>NC_000008.11:80795743-85664222 GCF_000001405.40 Homo sapiens
CTGTAGCTAATATAACAATGAAATTATGTTCAACTGTTATTCCACCATTTTATGATAAATATGAAATCAACCAACGTTTCTCAATGAGGGTGCACTGGCATTTGTAGTAGGAAATTACACATTGTGCAGGACTACTTTGTGGAACTAAAATTAGCCCTTAGACATTTCCAAATGCCTCTTGTGGGTAGAATGGGGCTTGGTGGTGCTGATGATACTAATCACTTATTGAAAACAACTGATTTTCACTGCTCCAAAATTTGTGCCCTTTAAATGGAGAAACATAGCTATTTGCTTCTTGGAAAAACTGACCTTTAGCTAGAAACCAAATGAAACCGGGTGTCTTAGTCCATATTCTGTTGCTTATAACAGAATACTTGAAACTGGGTAATTCATTTTTTCAAAAGGGGTTTATTTCTTACAGTTGTAGAGGCTGAGAAGTCTAAGGTTGAAGAGCCACATCTGGTGACAGCCTTATTGCTGGTGGGAACTCTCTGCAGAGTCGTAAGGCAGCACAGGGAATCACGTGTTGAGGGGCCTGAGTGTGTAAGCTCAGGTCTCTCTTCCTCACCTTATAAAGCCAGCAGTCTCACTCTTGTGATAACTCATTAACCCATTAATCCACTAATAGGTTAACCCATTCCTGAGGGCAGAGCCCTCATGACACTATCATCTCTTAAAGAGATCTCTATCATCTTCCCACCTCTCAATACCACCACATTGGAAATTAAGCTTCAACATGAGGGAACAAACATTCAAACCATAGAATTCTGCCCATGCCCTCCCCGCAAATAAACTCTTTTCTCACAAACAAATGTATTCATTCCCTCCCCATAGCTCCAAAGTCCTCACTGGTTCCAGGATCAACTCAAAAGTCCAAAGTCTCATCTGTGAAATCAAAATAAGTTATCTACTTCCAAGATACAATGGCAGGACAGGCATAGAGTGGACATTCCCATTTGAAAAGGAAGAAGACTGGGTGTGGTGGCTCATGCTTGTAATCCCAGCACACTGGAAGGCCAAGGCAAAAGGATAGCCTGAGCCCAGGAGTTTGAGATCAGCCTGGATGAACACTGTGAAAGAAAAGAAAGAAAAGAAAAGAAAAAAGAAAGAAAAGAGAAATGAAAGAGAGAAAGAGAGAGGGAAATGGAAAGGGAAAGAGAAAGGGAAAGGGAAAGAGAAAGGGAAGGGAAAAGGAAAAGAAGGGAGGGAGGGAGAGAAGGAAAGGGAGGGAGGGAGGGAGGGAGGGAGGAAGGAAGGAAGCAAGCAAGCAAGCAAAGGAGGGAATAGCCCAAAAGATAGTGGTAACAGGCCCCAAGCTAGTCTGAAGCCCAAGAGGGTAAACATTAAATCATAAAGCTGGAGAATAATCTCCCTTGACTCCACGTCCAGTGTCCTATGTATACTGGTATGAGGGTTGGGGCTCTAAGGCCTTGGGCAGCTCTGCCCCCATGGCATTCCTGGGTTCAGCCCATGCTGGCACTGCACACAGGTAGCTTTATAGTTCTGGGGTCTTGGTGTTGGCCCTGCTCTCACAGCTCCACTAGGCAATGCCCTGGTAGGAACTCTATGGCAAGATGGAGCCCATATTTCTGCTTGGCATTGCCCTAGTAGGGGCTCTCTGCAGTGGCTCCGCCCCTGCAAAAAGTCTTCTGCCTGAGTCCACAAGCTGCTTGACACATTCTTTGAAATCTAGGTGAAAGCTGCTGTGCCTCCATATCTCTTGCATTCTGTGGGCCTGCACAATTAACATCATATGTATGCCTCCAAGGTTGTTACAGCTTGTACCTTTCAGAGTGGCAGGTTGAGCCATACCTGGTGCCACTTGAATCACAGCTGGGGTGGTCAAGGAGTGATGAGGCTAGAATGCAGGGAGCAGAGACCTGCAAGGACCCTGGGCAGGAAGCCCACGGAGGGTTTCCTGGATTTGTCTGGCAAAACTATTTTGCCCTCCTAGGCCTCTGGGGCCCATGATGGGAGAGGCAGCTTCAAAGATATCTAAAATGTCTTCAGGGTCTTTCTTCTAGTCTCTTAATCATCCCTTCTCTCTGTACTGATCTCCTCAGTAAAGGTCACTGAAAAAAAAAGCACGTTCTCCTGAACATGTTTTTTCACTCTTTACATGGCCAGGCTAAGAGTTTTCCAAATCCTTCTGCTTTGCTTCTTTCTTGATTATAAATTCCATTTTAAGTCAATTTTTCCCTCTCACAGCTTAATGTAAGTGGTTAAAGGTAGCCATGCAGCAGCCTGAATGTTTTACTGCTTCAACATTTCTTCTGCCAGATATCCTAATTCATGGATCTTTTTTTGCTCTTTTTTTCATTTTAATTTTTAAAATTTTTAATTTTTGTGGATATACAGTAGGTGTATTAAGTTCTACATTCCATAATATCCTTAGACATGGACACAATGCAGCCAAGTTGTCAGTTTATAACAAGAAGGGCCTTTACACATGTTTCCAATACCTTGTTTCTCAGTTCCATCTGAAACCTCATTGTAATGGCCTTTAGTGTCCATATTTTTTTTTTTTTTGAGATGGAGTTCTGCTCTTGTTGCCCAGGCTGGAGTACCATGGCACAATCTTAGCTCACCGCAACCTCCGCCTCCCAGGTTCAAGTGATTCTCGTGCCTCAGCCTCCCAAGTAGCTAGGATTACAGGCACTAGCCACCACGCCCAGCTAATTTTGTATTTTTAGTAGAGACAGGGTTTCTCCATGTTGGTCAGGCTGGTCTCGAACTCTCAACCTCAGGTGATCTGCCCATCTCGGCCTCCCAAAGTGCTGGGATTATAGGCGTGAGCCACGATGCCCGGCCCTGGTGTCCATATTTCTATCAGAATTCTGGTCATGATCACTTACCCAGTCTCTAAGAAGATCCAAACTTACCCTAGTCTTCTTGTCTTCTAAGCCTTCACCAGAATCTAGGCTTTGTCTAGCCTGCTCCTCGAAATTCTTCCAAGCCTCTGCTCATTACTCAGTTCCAAAGCTGCTTCCATATTTTCAGGAATTTGATATCAGCAACACCCCTCTCTCAGTACCTTTTTCTGTCTTAGACCATTTTCTGTTGCTTAAAACAGAATACCTGAAACTGAATAATTTATAAAGAAAAGGAATTTATTTCTTACAGTTATGGAGGCTGAGAAGTCCAAGGTTTAGGGGCCGTATCTGGTGAGGGCTTTCTTGCTGGTGGGAACTCTTTACAGAGTCCCAAAGTGGCTCATGGCATGACATGGCAAAAGAGTCTGAGTGTGCTAGATCAGGTCTGTCTTCCTCTCCTTATAAAGCCATCAGTCCCACTCCTGTGATAAACTGTTAATTCATTAACCCATTAATCCATTGATCCATAAATAGAATTAACCATTCACCTCTTAAAGGCCTCACTTCTCAAAACTGCCATCTTGGGGATTAAGTTTCAACATGAATTTTGAAATGAACAAACATTCAAACCATAGGAACTGGAAATTACTGTTAATATTTCAAATTGTAGGATGCTAGACAATAATACATATAAAAAGTTACAAGGAATAATTATGCAATATTTATTTTGCAATATGCTGAAGTATTAAGTCATAAATTGTTTTATAATTGAATTGAATTTCTCTTTTAATTTTTAGACCTGAACTCTGAAGTAAAGGCTTATTTCCCTTGAGTCTAGCCAATACTTAATGATGCATCCTGATGTTTCTTCATTGTCCAGGTAGAAGGGATTTTAAGAGTTTGACTGATACAAGTGCCCAAAATAGCCACTGGTGGTACCTCCAGGTACAGGAAAAACTGAGGCAGCTAGGGTTTGGAGCAGACCCCCAGCAAACCACAGTAATCCTACAGGACAGTGGCTTGACTGTTAAAAGAAAAACAAACAGAAAACAACAATGACAATGACATCAACAAAAAAGACCCCACAAAAACCCCATTTTAAGGTCAGCAACCTCAAAGATCAAAGGTAGAGACGCCCACAATGATGAGAAAGAATCAATGCAAAAACGCTGAAAACTCAAAAAGCCAGACTGCCTTTTCTCCTCCAAATGACTGCAACACCTCTCCAGCAAAGGCAAAGAACTGGGCTGAGGCTGAGATGGCTGAATTGACAGAAGTAGGCTTCAGAAAGCAGGTAATAACAACAAACTTCACCGAGCTAAAGGAGCATGTCTAACCCAATGCAAAGAAGCTAAGAGTCATAAAAAAAACAATACAGGAGCTGATAGCCAGAATAGCTAGTTTAGAGAGGAACATAACCAGTCTGATGGAGCTGAAGAAAACAACATGAGAACTTCACAATGCAATCATAAGTATCAAGAGCAGAATAGACCAAGCAGAGGAAAGAATATCAGAGCTTGAAGATGATCTTTCTGAAATAAGACAGGCAGACAAGAACAGAGAAAAAATAACGAAAAAGAATAAACAAAACCTCTGAGAAATATGGGATTATGTAAGGAGACTGAACCTATGACTGATTCAGGTATCTGAAAGAGATGGGGAGAATGGAACCAAGTTGGAAAACATACTTCAGGATATCATCCAGGAGAACTTGCCCAACTTAGAAAGACAGGCCAACATTCAAATTCAGGAAATGCAGAGAACCCCAGTAAGATAATCCATGAGAAGATTAACCCCAAGACACAAAATCATCAGATTTTCAAAGGTCGAAATCAAAGAAAAAATGTTAAGGACAGTCAGGCCAGGTCACCTACAAAGGGAAGCCCATCAGACTAACAGTGGACCTCTCAGCAGAAACCGTACAAGCCAGAAGAACTTGAGGGCCAATACCCAAAATTCTTAAAGAAAAAATTTTCAACCCAGAATGTCACATCCGGCCAAATTAAACTTCATAAGCAAAGGAGAAATAAGATCCTTTTCAGACAAGCAAATGCTGAGGGAATTCATCACCACCAGGCCTGCCTTGCAAGAGCTTCTGAGGGAAGCACTAAATATGAAGAGGAAAAACTGTTACCAGCCACTACAAAAACACACTGAAGTACACAGATCAGTGGCACTATGAAGCAACCACATAAACAGGTCTGCAAAACAACCAGCTAGCATCATGATGATAGGATCAAATTAATACATAACAATACTAACCTTACACTTAAATGGGCTAAATACCCCAATTAAAAGACACAGAATGGCAAGCTAGATAAGGAGCCAAGACCCATCAGTATGCTGTGTTCAAGAGACCCATCTCAAGGCCAAAGACACACATAGGCTCAAAATAAAGGGATGGAGGAAAATGTACCAAGCAAATGGAACACAGAAAAAAGCAGGTGTTGCAATCCTAGTTCCTGACAAAACACACTTTAAACCAACAAAGCTCAAAAAAGACAAAGAAGGGCATTCCATAATGGTAATGGTAAAGCATTCGGATTCAACATGAAGAGGTAACTATCCTAAATATATATGCACCCAATACAGGAGAACCCAGATTCATAAAGCAAGTTCTTAGAGACCTACAAAGAGACTTAGACTCCCACAAAATAATAGTGAGAGACTTTAACACCCCACTGACAATATTAGACAGATCATCAAGACAGAAATTAACAAAGATATTCAGGACTTGAACTCAGCTCTGGATCAAGTGTTCCTGATAGATATATACAAAACTCTCCACTACAAAACAACAAAATATACATTCTTCTCATGACCACAAGGCACTTACTCTAAAACTGATCACATAATCAGAAGTAAAAACACTCTACAGCAAATGGAAAAGAAATGATATCATACCAGTCTCTCAGACCACAGCACAATCAAATTAGAACTCAAGATTAAGAAACTCACTCAAAATCACACAACTACATGGAAATTGAACAACCTGTTCATGAATAACTGTTAGTTAAATAATGAAATTAAGGCAGAAATCAAGAAGTTCTTTGAAACTAATGAGAACAAAGAGACAACACATCAGAATCTCTGGGACGTAGCTAAAGCAGTGTTAAGGGGGAAATTTATAGCACTAAATGCCCACATCAAAAAGCTAGAAAGGTCTCAAATTAATAACCTAAAAGAACTAAGTCGCAACTAAAAGAACTAGAGAACCAAGAGCAAACAAACCCCAACGCTAGCAGAAGACAAGAAATAACCAAGATCAGAGTTGAACTGAAGGAGATAGAGATATTAAAAACTCCTTAAAAAATTAATGAATCCAGGAGCTGGTTTTTTGAAAAAACTAATAAAATGGATAGATGGCCAGGCCAGACTAATAAAGAAGAAAATAGAGACAAATCAAATAAACACAATCAGAAATGATAACAGGGATATCAACACTGACCCCACAGAAACATAAACAACCATCAGAGAAGACCATAAACACCTCTATGCACATAAACTAGAAAATCTAAAAGAAATGGATAAATTCCTGGACATATACACCCTCCCAAGATGGAACCAGGAAGAAACAGAATCCCTGAATAGACCAATAACAATTCTGAAATTGAGGCAGTAATAAACGCCTACCAACCAAAAAAAAAAAAAAAAAAAGCCCAGGACCAGACGGTTTCACAGATGAATTCTACCAGAGGTACAAAGAAGAGCTGGTACTATTTCTACTGAAACTATTCCAAAAAACTGAAAAGGAGGGACTCCTCCCTAACTCATTCTATGAGGCCAGCATCATCCTGATATCAAAACCTGGCAGAGATACAACAAAAACAAAAACAAAACTTCAAGCCAATATTCTTGATGAACATCAATGCAAAGATCCTCAATAAAATACTGGCAAACGGAATCCAGCAGCACAACAGAAAGCTTATCCACCACAATCAAGTTGGCTGCATCTGCAGGATGCAAGGTCGGTTCGACATACACAAACCAATAAATGTGATTCATCACATAAACAAAACTAAAGACAAAAAACACAAAATTATCTCAATAGATGCAGAAAAGGCCTTTGATAAAATTCAAGATCACTTCATGTTAAAAACTCTCAATAAACTAGATACTGAAGGAACATACCTCAAAATAATACGAGCCATATATGACAAACCCACAGCCAATATCATACTGAATGGGCAAAAGCTGGAAGCATCCCCTTGAAAACCAACACAAGACAAGTATGCCCCCTCTCATTACTCCTGTTCAACACGGTATTGGAAGTTATGACCAGGGCAATCAGGCAAAAGAATGAAATAAAGGTATTCAAATAGGAAGAGAGGAAGTCAAATTATCTTTGTTTACAGATGACAAGATCCTATATCTAGAAAATCCCATCGTCTCAGCCCAAAAGCTTCTCAAGCCAATAAGCAACTTCAGCAAAGTCTCAAGATAAAAAAAAATCAACGTGCAAAAATCACTAGCATTCCTATATAGTAACAACAGGTAAGCAGAGAGCCAAATCATGAATGAACTCTCATTCACAATTGCTACAAAAAAATAAAATACCTAGGAATACAGCTAACAAGGGAAGTGAGAACTCTTCAAGGAGAAATACAAACTACTGCTCAAAGCATCAGAGGACACTAAACAAATGGAAAAACATTCCATGCTCATGGATAGGAAGAATCCGTATCATTAAAATGGTCATACTGCCCAGAGTAATTTCTAGATTCAATCCTGTTCCCTTTAAACTACCATTGACATTCTTCACAGAATTAGAAAAAACTATTTTAAATTTCATATGGATTAAAAAAGCCCAAATAGCCAAGACAGTCCTAAGTAAAATGAACAAAGCTGGAGGCATTACACTACCCATCTTCAAACTATACCTCAAGGCTACAGTAACCAAAACAGCATGGTACTGGTACAAGAACAGATACATAGACCAGTGGAACAGAATAGAGAACTCAGGAATAAGACTGCACACCTACAACCATCTGATCTTTGACATACTTGACAAAAACAAGCAATGGGGAAAGAATTTCCTATTTAATAAATGGTGCTGGGAGAACTGGCTAGCCATATGCAGAATATTAAAACTGGACCCCTTCCTTACACCATATACAAAAATTAATTCAAGATGGATTAAAGACTTAAATGTAAAGCCAAAATTACAAAATCACTAGAAGAAAATCTAGGCAATAACATTCAGGACATAGGCACAGGCAAAGACTTCATGGCGAAAACACCAAAAGCAATCAGAACACAAGCAAAAATTGACAAATGGGATCTAATTAAACTAAAGAGCTTCTGTACAGCAAAAGAAACTATCATCAGAGTGAACACACAACCTACAGAATAGGAGAAAATTTTTTGCCATCTATCCATCTGACAAAGGTCTAATATCCAGTTTACAAGGAGCTCAAGTAAATTTAGAAGAAACAAAAAAATCCATTAAAAAGTGGGGAAAGAACATGAAAAGACACCTCTCAAAAGAAGACATCCATGTGGCCAACAAACATATGAAAAAAAACCTCAACATCACTGATCATTAGAGAAATGCAAATCAAATCCATAATGAGATACCATCTTACACCATTCAGAATGGCTATTAAAAAGTTAAAGAACAATAGATGCTGGTGAGGTTGCAGAGAAAAAGGAATGCTTTTACACTGTTGGGAGTGTAAATTAGTTAAACCATGGTGGAAGACAGTATGGCAATTCCTCACAGACCTAGAAGCAGACATACCATTTAACCCAGCAATCCCATTACTGGGTATATACTCAAGGGAATATAAGTTATTCTATTATAAAGACACATGCATGCATATGTTCACTGAAGCACTATTCACAATAGCAAAGACGTGAAATCAACCTAAATGCCCATCAATTATAGACTGAATAAAGAAAATGTGATACATATATACCATGGAATACTATGCAGCCATGAAAATGAATGAGATTATGTCCTTTGCAGGGACATGGATGGAGGTGGAAGCCATTATCCTCAGCAAACTAATGCAGGAACAGAAAACCAGACACCACATCGTGTTCTCACTTATAAGTGGGAGCTGAAGGATGAGAACACATGGACACATGGTGGGGAAAAACACACATTGGGGCCTGTCAGAGTGGGAGGTGGGAGGAGGAAGAGCATCAGGAAGAATAGTTAATGGATACTGGGCTTAATATCTAGGTGATGGTATGATCTGTGCAGCAAACCACCATGGCACATGTTTACCTCTGTAACAAACTTGTACATCCTGCACATGTACCCCTGAACTTAAAATAGAAGTTGAAGAAAAAAAAAGCCATTTTAACACCAAAAATGCAAAGCTGTTCATCTGGCTGAAAATTTCATCATAGATTGGTGGGGTGAGGGACCTGTGGTATACTACTTGATTTTTCTATTAATTCCTTATTTCTAATCATCATTGCAGACAAATGGTAGTGACTACTAGGGTTTATTACTCTTCCTTTTAGAATGCTACTCAAATGTAACTATAAATGTCATTATCAAACTGTAAAAATTAAATATCTTACCCCTGAAGTAGGCAAGGACTAGGTACATAAAACCTTACCTTTCATCAACAGGCCAATTAGTTGACTGTTGTGCAAGTTTCAAGCTTGGGGACCCATCTCGTCACTTAACAAAATTATTATTGCCTTTTAAGTAGTCATCCCCTGCTTTTCCCTAGCACTTCTAGCTTGTGATGCTGTAGCTCTGGGGAACATGGAGAACAAACTGGAGCAAGAAAATTCCTGTTTTTTGGTAAGATACTGCATCATATTCCCAAGCACACAACCTGGAATCCATACCTACTCAATTCCAGGGTCTTTGGTGACAAGTCACTATAGCCATCAACTGCCTTATCAATTCTGGAATTATGGGGGACCCAGCCTTGAGCTAACATCTTTTCTTAGATAACAGGAAACATTACTTGGGAATAATTTCACTTACCTAAGAGAAATGTAGAAAGTCCCTGAAAGTCAAGGAATGAACATACAAAACTAGATATCTTTTTTTCACTGTAGGATTTTTACTTTTTTTCTTTCTCATGAATTTTAACAAAATTTGTTCATTTGCTTTTAGTGTCCAAAAGGCACAGGAATAAGAAACAAAGATAAATGGTTTGGTGTTCTACCTATCAAATTAAGCATCACATTTTCCAAGATTGATCATAATTCTGATTATGGTAAAAGTGCCCTGTTATTTCCTAGCATGGTCAGATTTACATGAAAATATGCCTGACTTTGATTTTTAATTGTCCTCCCTCACCCTAGGATTCTCACTTGGCTCCTGTACGTCTGCAGACAGCAATGCACCACACTGGTTGCATTGATCTCTCCCTAAGCTGCCACCTGCCATCGCCTCCCACCTTTGATCCTTTGCCATCATCAGTGTCTTCAAACAGCACTGCTGTGTTCTGCCTGCAAAAACAAGCGTACTCCTCAGTGGAAAAATACCACATTCCAGCTTGGTGAAGCAGGTGGTGTGTTTCATAGGATGGAGCAGAAAGTAGCATCTCTTCTTCTCAAACAAGAAGGAAGACTATTAGCACATCAGCACAGAAAGTCGTGCATGATGAATCTTAAGTGCTGCCTCATAAATGAAAATGTGGTAAAGTTTGAAAAATCAGCTTTGAAAATGTATTAAGTCCATTATTCAAACCCAAAGTCTTAATTTTTTTAAAAAACCAATTTTCCCATCTTTCAAATAAGGGGGATGGAGCAGATGATGTTCAAGATGCTCAAAATTCTTTTTGCTCCGTGAGATCTAAAACCTGACCTTGGCATCACGTAATGACCATCACAGTCAACACTGCTCACAACATATACAATGGGATGCCTGGTATGTTTTACAGCTATTATCTGGACTAAATATCCCATTTCATTTCCAGCCTAGGTAGACAGAAGATGAAAAGGTTTGTGTTTTTTTCTTTATGTGGACAATCCGAATTCATGTAATTATATTACTCAGAGTCTGGGAAATGAAGAAGCAACAAACATATTTGAACATCAGAGTTTCTGCTACAGGCTCAGAATAACTCAGTTTTTAATTTCTCTTCTTGGAAAAAGGTTCCTTTTTTCCATGAAGGCTCACTCTTCTGAACAGGACCAAATGGAGCTTCAACAACATGGATACAAAATACCACAACCAAGAGTGGGAGCTGTGCCATGCCACAGACACAGCCTTGCAAATGCAGGGAATTCTGCCTGATTCTGACTAGGACTGGTTAAAGAAAAGGCTGACACCAAACAGAGCAGCATCCTTCATGGCAAAGGCCTCAGCCACTGGGTCACTTTTAACTGTGACAACTGCAATATAGGGCCATACTGTCCTCCAGCTGATACCATATATACACAAAGAAATGACTTTTCATTTTTGCATGGTTTTCCCACACACTGCTGGAATGACCAAAGCAGAAAGTCTACTGTTTTGCTACATATGCAGGAGCAACCTTGCAAACTAGTGTGGTTTCATTTTTGAGATCAAAGAAAGCCAATATCAGACTCACTCAGCTCAGCTGGGTATGATTCCATAGGGAATACAGCACCATAATTCCATTGTAATAATGTCTTCCTTTATTTACAAGGATGGCAATAGAAGGAGTGACTCAATATAGACAATTCTGAACCCTGAAACATCATGCACATCAATAACAAGCTATGGAAGCCTGTTCCTTACTGGTCTCTTGCTTGCCCAGAGGGTAGGAGATAAACCTGCCTCTGGGTGCCACATGCAGGCGGGTCCAGGGGCTGCTGCTTGTCACTGCTGAGTAGAGTCTGCCATTGTGTGAGGCAGGAAGCCCCCAGCCAATGCTAATGGCTAAGAAGCCATTTCATCAGATTCTTACCCAGTGAAAAGGTGTTTTTAAATAATGAGGAAAAAAAGCTTACTGAATTCTTTAGAACATAAGCCTTGGGACAGCATACCACAACTATTACTTCTAAGTGGGTACCCAATAAACATTTCTAATTGACCCCCCCCAAAAAAAAGTTAACAGTGAACCAATATTTACAGAAAAAAAGTGTTCAATATATGCGCTCGTTTAGCTTATGAATATGTCAGCTCTGCTTAATCTATTTCTTTTGTTTGCATTTAAAAAAGTATAAAAATGTAAATGTATATATTTATATTCATATTTGTATATGTATATGTAGTATACTATTGTCTGATCCACTGAGAGAAAATGACCTGCCTTTTTATAATCTGTTACTGCAGTTATAAAAGTATTAACAATTTAATAAGTAATATCACAAATGAACACTTGTTAAACATAGGTTAAATATTTTTAAAACAAAATGGGCTTTTACCTCGTTTTAACCTTAGCAGACTGTTAAGCATCTTTCTAGTTTTGAAGGAGGCAGTGAAATCCCAAACATTCTTGGTTTTCTCTATTCAGCCTGATCTTATCTACTCTAAAAGAGAAACAGGTTATTCCACCAGCTTCGGACAAACAGTGTGGGGAGAAAGGAAACTCTTTGGCTACAAGGCTAGTTCCTGTGTGTCAGAGGTACAGGAGGTTCCTGGCCTGTGCACACATGGGGTAAGTCCAAAGACTTCCTTAAGATCAAGGAGCAGCAGAACTCCACAATTCCTCCCTCCTAACTACCAGTTTGACTTACTAAACTATTTTACCTCCGATGTGGAAACACACTTTCCAAGAACTCTCTTGTTCTTTGAAATTATATTCCTCCCCAAATTATCTGCAACTGAAGGTAGAAAGATTGTTTTTTTCAGTTGTAGATCTTACTATACTTTGTTTAAATTGCCTACAAAGAAAGGGAGTTATTAATTGAATGTGAAGATGGATTTGAGGCTTAACACATTGGTGGTGAATCACAAAGTGCATCTCTTTTTAGGTTTGTAGCAACATCAACTCCAAATGTTAATTTTCAAGTTGTAACTTTATTTGTGGATATGTGGAAAATATGACTACACTGTTTGTTAGGAATGAGTCAAAAGAGAAACTTGTTAGTCCGGAAAAATAAACATGAAGGAGAACACAATTCTTAAATATAGCTTTAATGGGAGGTGATGCATTCTATTATGGTTAAGAAGCCCAACAGAGGCTACAATTCTATGCTCCTCATGGTCCCTCCTTACAAATGTGGTGCAGCTGTCTGGCACTTTCAACGTGATCGTTTGATACAATCATTAAGACTAGCTACCTGCTTAGTATTTGCAAAATTACATTGCATGTGCAAATAATTGAGGTGATATTTTGAAAACCACATAATGTATTTATCAACTGTGGTTAGAAAGAACAGTTCCTCCAAAAACAGTTCACAGTCACCAGTGTTCAAGATAGTTTTCTGTTTTATTCAGTAGCCTTTGATGAATTTGGTAAAGTCTAATCACATCCAAGTGTCATTAACGATTAGGGTTATCCTGGAATAATCAATCCCGAAGAACAAAAATACAGTTTCTACAAAGATTTGATAAAACCTTGCATCCAGCTGGGTGCGGTGCCTGACATCTGTAATCCCAGCACTTTGGGAGGCCAACGTGGGCAGATCACTTGAGGTCAGGAGTTCTAGACCAACTTGGCCAACACGGTGAAACCCTGTCCTACTACAAACACAAAAGTTAGCCAGGCGTGGTGGCATACACCTGCAGTCCCAGCTACTCAGGAGGCTGAAGCAGGAGAATCGCTTGAACCTGGGAAGTGGAGGTTGAAGTAAGCTGAGATCGTGCCACTGCACTCCAGCCTGGGCAACAAAAGTGAGTGAGACTTCATTTCAAAAACAAAACAAAACTCTCACATCCTGCAGACAAAAGCCACACTTCACTTTAAAAAAATATGTGATAGCAAATTGGATGCAAAAATAGCAGATGACCTTGTAAGATGTTACTCTTAGAAAAGGGCAGCAACGTTACGCAAATCTATTATGAGATGAATACTATTTTGGGGGTTAAGAAAGCAGAGTTCGTGAGCTTCCTTGAAGAAGTGAGTGTTTGCCAAATCCAGCCAAAACAAACCCTTAGCAGGAGAGAGCAACAAAAGCTTTTCATCATTTAGGAATTAAGCTGTACAAGCAAAGCTCGCCTTGAGAAATGCCAGTGTATGAAAATCAAGATGTAGAGAAGTAGTTACATATATTAAAACAAAATACGATAAAATAGCAAGCACTTCTAGTACATTTATTTACAACACGACTATGGTTTGACTAAGTCTACATACCATTCTTTACAAATATATTTATTGTTCATTTGATTTTTGCTCAAAGTATGCAGGTCTTTGTTAAAGGGATCTTAAATTCAAGATGTCTTAGAACAAACTTCTGATTTCCCTCCACTCATATCTACTTTCTTTTGTATTACTCCTGAATTCTTATTTTTTTTATTGGCATCACCAACCATTTTTTCCATGCAGCTGCCCAAGCCAGCATTTGTGACACCATCCTGAGTACCCTTCATCCTTACTATGCTCCCTACCAGCTTTATCCTCACCATGGCCTCTTGAACACAGCCCTCTTCTCTGTTGCTTTTGTACTGGCCAAAGGTTTCACAATTACTTCTTTCAGATTTCTACATCTGCCTCTTAATTATTCTTTCTGCTTTCAGTGTCAACACTTGTATACACTCCCTAGCTCCTCATGCCCACAGGGTACCAGGTGACATTTTTGAAATGCCAATCTTACGGTATCACCTGAACAGCTCTCCATCACCTAACAGATAAAAATCAAATTCTAAAAGTATTCCAAGTTAAGCCTGACTCTCCAGCTTTATCCCTTATCATTTCTCCACCCAGAACTCTATTTATAGGAGAGAGAAAAAAGGTTAACATTTAAAAGGAGAATCAATAACAGTTTAAGCAAGTAACAAAATAAATCCTTTGTACTTAGAAGTCTTTAAAATACATATTTGACATATTTGTTGCACTTCCTAGTTTATAAGCAGTATGTATTAATGAGCTTTTTTTTAACAATATTAAAAAAGTATGAACAAATGCATTCAGTGTGATAACTGTGGTCCAAGCCTACAGTATGTTTACTTGGTATGTTTGAACTGCTCTAATAGTAGCTACCATGAGGAATGTCAGAGTATCTGGTAACAACTAAAGAGGCTCTCTCAAACTCTGGAAATGAAGCCTGCTTTGTTTTTAAAGGACCAGAACTGTGGTAATACCCATTTAACCTTCCTTTGATTTAGATGGAATTTAAACATCTTCACAATAATTATAATTGTACTAAACATCAGTTATGCACAACTGGGAGTCATTTCCCTTCAGGGGACATACAGGAATCATGCTGCAGATTTCTAACTAATCTATTTAGTTCCAACTAGTCCAGCTAAATACTGCCTGGCCCACAGTTGATGAAACGCTTCCCTCCTTACCGTGGATGCTCCTCCCCGCCACCCCAACCCTCAACAAACACTGCCATAGAAAGCTATGTTCCACCCCTAGCAGTGTGAGTGAGGCATTTTCTTCCTGTGTGTTAGAGTAGGAAAAGAGGGAGAGCAAGAGACCAACCACTGCCTTTGGGATAAATGAGATGTTGGACTGAAATGCAAAATTAACTTATGCTTTATTCTAAAGCTGCACTGTTCAATACAGTCATCACTAGCCATGTGTGGCTATAGATCACTTGAAATGTGCCTTGTCCAAACTGAGATGTGCTATAAAATATACAGCAGATTTTTAAGATTGAGCATGCAAAAAAAAAGAATGGAAAGTGTCTCATTAATGACTTTTTATATTGACATATGTTCAAATAATGATATTTAAGATACATTGGGTTAAATAATATGAGTTATTAAAATTATTTTTGCCTGTTTCTTTTTCCTATTTTTTAATAAAAATTGTATTTACTTAGAAGCATTCAGAATGTCAACAAAAGAGCTATACCTTTTTTTTTGGTGACTAGAATGGTATTCAGTTGACAAAACAATTATTTCATATAACCTGCAGCAGAGATAACTGAAGATGAAATAACTACCATCCCCATATATAACTCATTTGTGCTGTGCACCAAAAAGAACCTGCTTTAAATTTCCATGCCAATTTATAACCCTCATACTGTACCAGGCACAGTTAGTGGCTATCGAAAATACCACTAGGACAGGGCTATCTAAAGACATATGTGGTAGTGTGTTAACTATACAAAAAAAGGCACTGTACAGTTTAAAAACAAATCTTACGCAGCCTTACATTTCAATTTTTTTCTTTAAAAGGAGTGAATTGTGTACAAGGGGCTTAATGCTTTATAGCAGGGGTCCTCAGTCACCCCCAACCCAAGAGTCTATGGCCTGTTAGGAACTGGGCTGCAAAGCAGAAGGTGAGCTGCAGTGGGCAAGTAAGCATTACCACCTGAGTTCTGCCTCCTGTCAGATCAGTGGTGGCATTAGATTCTCAAAGGCACGTGAACCCTATTGTGAACTGCGCATGTGAGGTGTCTAGTTTGCACACTCCTTATAATAATCAAATGATAAATGTAATGCACTTGAATCATCCTGAAACCATACCCCACCCACCATGGAAAAACTGTCTGCCATGAAACTGGTCCCTGGTGCCAAAAAGGCCGGGGACAGCTGCTTTATAGACAAGAAAAAAACTGCAATAGAACCAATTTATCCATCATAATTGTCTTCTTCATCTTCCTCCTCCTCCTCTTTATCTTCCTCCTCTTTATTTTCTTGCTTTTTTTTGGCCTTGATGACTCCCTTTTTTGAAAGCATCAGGCTTTCCTTTTAGTTTGAAATGCAGCAATATTCTTTGGGTATTTTTTCTGCAGCTTTGCAGCCTTCTTTTCTTAAGGCTGCTTGTCATCTGCAGCAGTGTCATACCACATCTCTCCCAGTTTTTTCGCAACATCATCAATGGATAGGCCAGCATGTTCTACTTTGATTTTAGGGTGAAACTTAGAACGGAACAGAAGAAAGGTCGAAAGAGGTCTCCTGGGTGCATGTCTCTTAGAAAACTCTGAGAAGTTGATGGGAGCATCTGGGCGCTGCTTCCTTTTCTCCCAACAAGTTTGCGCAAAGAATGCATACAATGACTTTTTGCCTCTTGGCGTCTTAGGATTTTGCCTCTAGGCTTCTTAGGATCTCCTTTGCTCCTGTTTAGTTATTTTTCCTCAGCAAGGCAAGAGTCACCCAGTGCCCTTCTGGCTCTCATTTTCTCTGGCACTGTCTCTATGGAGTTCAATGTACCTCAATCACTGTCTCTTTTTCCTATTTTTAATGTAGCTATTATACCATAAATTTTTATACTATAGATATAGTTCACATTAAATTTCTATTGGACAGTTTTGCTTGAATGTTATCCTTTTTAGATAAACAAATGACCAATATCTTGGTTATTACTTGCCTTTCTATAATAAAAGCAGAGTACAGAATCTATAATGACAAGGGGAGATGAAGAGTTTTAAGAATCTCATTATTTCTATTTCTTGATTATTTACATTTTGAGTGGATATAGGGAGGAAAAAAGATGCTGCATCACATCTAAATGTAAACCAATTCTGCAGAGGCAACCTACGGCACGGGCATCACAAAAGTGGTATAATGGTACTCCTAAACATTTTAGAACATTCTCATATATCCAATCTGTGCAACAAAGCCAATGGTCCACCTTGTACGACAGTGCTACCGGTCCACCTGAAGTTTCAGTTTTAACTTTTCTCCATTTTGCTGCCAATGATGATTTACAAAGAAGGACATTTACTAATTATCCAAGGACTCTTTGGAAGTGATACTTGAAAATGCCCAAGCTTTGTTGATACAGAGAGCATAACCTTCATTAATGGCAGTGACATAAATTATTATTTTAAAAATTCATATTTATGATCAGAATTCTAAATTCACAATGCCATTCTAAACAGGTGACACATTATAATCTAGCACTAATGTGTGCTTATAATAAAGAACTTATAGTACACAAAAAATTATGAATTTTGAATGTCATTTTTAACATCAACCAAAAGAAGAAGAGTACTAAATTCTCTTTAAAACACACACATACATACACACACATACTACATGGGCCAAATTTGTGTCATAAAACAAGCTTGCCTAAGCTATAATTAAGAAAATTGAGAGGCCGGGCGCGGTGGCTCATGCCTGTAATCCCAGCACTTTGGGAGGCCGAGGCGGGCAGATCATGAGGTCAGGAGATCGAGACCATGCTGTCTTAACACGGTGAAACCCCGTCTCTACTAAAAATACAAAAAAATTAGCCAGGCGTGGTGGTGGGCGCCTGTAGTCCCAGCTACTCAGGAGGCTGAAGCAGAAGAATGGCGTGAACCCAGAAGGCAGAGCTTGCAGTGAGCAGAGATGGTGCCACTGCACTCCAGCCTGGGCAATAGAGCAAGACTCTGTCTCAAAAAAAAAGAAAAGAAAAGAAAATTGAGATAACATCAATGTTACTAGGGTTAGTACAAGAAAGAGAACTGCTGGAAAAAGTTCTCATCTTACCTTACTACCTTCCTTCCCATTTTTATAGAACATTAGGAGAGTGAAGTGGCAGCATATGTGCATTTAGATTACAGAAATTCATCTACAGGCACTTGGCAGGAAGAGAGGGCTATTTTTAAAAACAACAAACAAAAACCTACCATTCCACCGTTCCATTCAATGAAATTTTGCCCCAGAGTAAGAAGGGAGACAGAATTGCTTCTTTTTCAAGTGGTTTCAGATCCCAAGTCTTTCAAACTGAGTTCTGTTCTTACAGGTAACGGAGGACATTAAAAAGAACAATTTTGTCTGTATTTGATTTGTGTGTTGATGTGAGAATCTAAATCCTCAGCAAGATGGGGCTTGACTGTGTACTGATGGCACAATGTGCTGCATTAAGTCATAATGTCAATTATACTGGTTCCTACCATTTCCCTGTCTGCATCCCCCATCTCCATGACTATACTTGAGTTTTAGAAAGAACATTTTGGCAAATGTGTAGCAAATAGACTGTAGCAAGAAACCAGAGACAACAGTTATTTGCTGCCCTGAATTACTGAAATGATGGGAAGAGATAAATGGATAAAAGTTTCTTGGAAAAGATGTTCTTTATAGCTACTTTATGGGTATTGCTTCAGTTCTTAAGGGGAGTCCACCAATTATACAGTACCAGTATTTCTCTAACATGAGTGAGTACATTTATATTCCCCTCAAAATCTATTTTTTAAAAAGAAATGTTCTAAAATTTCAATGCTCTATTTTTTAAAAAGAAATATTTTAAAATGGTAAAGTGACCTTTTTTCTTTTTTTCAGTAGTCTCATACTGGTTACAGAGTTTGTGACCTGAAAAGTTTTTAACACATTTAAACATTAAACATTTGTTCCAGGAACTGCTAGGCTTCTAGAGATTCAAAAATAAAAGATACCATTTTTGTCTTATCTCACTTAATTACAAATTTGACATGGGCGACTTTCCGATAAACTGTCTAAAGTACATAAAAGAAAGGAGAAAATGTAGACACTACCATTGAAAATGGGAGCCAAATTAGTTCACAGTTTCCCATCGTATTTATAGGATTTTGCTTGTAGCTCAGATCATTTCCTAACTTTGAACTCAAAGGTCAATGTGTTTCTGAAGTTCTTTTAAACTATATAATTCCCAGAATGGCACGCTATAAGGAGAAGATGATTTCATTTTATTCAGCAAGTGATAAATATGACATCACTGTATTTTAAAACCCTGAAAAACAAATAGTACCATATGGTTTGTTTTCTTCCAACCACAAACTAACAATCTGTACTATTCTAATAAACTGCTGTTAGGTCTAAGAATACTTCTGGCCAAATTTTCCTTTTTTCTTTGTTATAACTGGTTTGCTAATACATTTCTCTAGCTTTAGAGTTATAATTAGAAGACAGTTACTACTTTGCATAATCAAATTGTAATTGATGTTTGGGTGAAATCCAACGAATTTAAGCATCAGTACCTTCAAAACCATGATGTCTGGCAAAAACAGAATAACAAATGTCAGGCTCTAATGATCTAGGTTATCTAACAATGCTTAACTGTTGAATTATTTTAGAGGCTGGACAATAAGTAATAATTGACTTATCAATATATTTTGAGCATTACATTTGTAAATGACAATAAGTTAATGGTCTCCAATAAACACAAATGGTGATGATAAGGAACAAAAATTCACTTGAGATCAGAAACCTATCCCAGTCTTAGGTCTGTCATTGGTGAAATATGTGTTTCTGGGTGAGTCACTTAACTTTCTGAATCTGTTTACTCATTTGCAAAATGGAAGTTAAGAAATCTAATGATAATAGACATTTGTCAATTTTTTGGAAGCCTCATGGCTGAATTTGCTTCTGTGTCTGGAGAACTTCCTAGCACAGATGTCTCTCACTTTAGAAGCCAAAAAGCCCAGTTGCAAGCACTGGTTCTGTAGAGTGAATGAACATAACTATGTTTCTAGCTGTTCACCCTCCTGTCCATTTTCTGACCTGGTTCCCCAGCCTTCCCAGCAACTCTGTGAGCTACCTTGATGGTCTTTCAAAAAATTTCACTCTTTGTTAAATCAGCCAGAGTCACTGTCTGTTCTTACAACCAAGAAGCCTCACTTCTACCTCAAGGTCTGGTCTGTACACTTCTCTTGATCTCAACTGTCACTCTTGTCTAAACTACCATAATTTCTTTCCTGTACTAATGTGGTGGCTTCCTGATTGGTCTTCCTTTGTCGATTCTTGTCCTCCTCTGATCCATTCTACACATAACACCTAAAGTGATCTTCCACTGAGATGAATGAAACCATATTCTCTTCCACAAAATCCTTCTCAGTGACATAAAAATGGAATTTAAACATCCTTCACACAATCAGTATAGCTCAACATGATCTGGCCAGCCTTCTTTTCCAAACTCGAATGTCTATTAACTGATGAGTGGATAAACAAAATGTGGTATGTCTATGAAATAAAATATTTTGGCAAATGAATGAAGTACTGACACATGCTATCACATGGATGAACCTTTCAAACATGCTCTCTTTTCCTGTCCTTAAACTCTTGAAGCCTATTTTCCTCAACTCTCCATAGGGATCAATGAAACTAGTATTTTCATCTCTCTCAGAGAGAGATCAGCCCTTGAGTGATTGCTATCCCAACAATTAGCATCGACACTTTTAGTACTTGTTACCCCCAACCCAATTACTGCTCTCCAATGATCCTAAAAGCTAGGAATTAATTTTCTTTCTGTTAATGATAAATCTTTAATTCTAAAGAGAAACAGTGCTTGCTCATGTGCTCTCACATACTCTTGCCCTCTCTTTCTGTGTAGTTATCTCTCCTGAGGAAAGTTGAATAATTTGAAGAATACTTTGGGTACCCAACTCTATAATGCACTTACTCCAAATCACGCTCAAAAAAGAAAGTAGTGCTTTTCCCTTGAAATCAATCAAGCAATATCCCAGGGGTAAGCAGACTCTCCTACAGTAAAGATTGTTCCTACCAACCCCAAGAAACTCAGAAGAGAGGTAGTTTGTATTCTGTCCTCTCATGACTCAATTAATTAATTAAAGAATTAATTTTAGGATCCTAGGGCCAAACAATCAGTTGCCATTTTTTCACAGGAAGCTTAGGGCCCTCTTAAACAATGAAGATTCCAGGTAGTCTGCACTGGTAACTCAAAGGGCAGGGAGACTGGCCCCTGTCTCAAGCCCGCACAGCCTAGGGCACTTTTAATATATAAAGTACAATATTGTGGGGTGGGAGGAAGGCAACCATGAGTACGCACCTTACAGATCTCCAATAACAGGGAGCTAACTGACCAAGGAAGGGCCCAGCTGCTGGCCGCTGAAACCATCTGCTGCATTTGCGCCAAGGCCACAGCTCCCACATGCTGCTCCCAGCAAATGATGGAGTACAGCAGGATTACCAATGCAGGACTCCTGAGGGCCTTGCCCAGCTACCTGGGACACTTCCCTCCAACTTTCCTGCCCTCTCTCCATCACTGCGCTCAGACTAGCACCCTAAACTGACATGCATCTCCCTCCTGTCCTTGCCCCTCCTGTCCCATTTCTCTCTCAGGTGTTTCTCTTACTAAAACGTTTGCATGTTTAATCCTGTCTTGGCATTTGCTTCTCCAATGACCCAGCCTAACACATCTGGATTAATAACTTACTTAAATTTATATTTTTCTGAAACTAGCAACTTTAAAATTGGTTCTCAAATATTGGGTAAACAAACAGGGAGTTTGTATTGATACTGAGCTCTTCCTTCTCTATTTCAATTGTCCCTATCTTGAAAAAGATATCAATAAAAAAATTGGGCTTTTAAATAGATGTTTCAAATTAATAACTTCCTTAAAACTAAAAGATTTTCCTTTAATTACAAATTTACCCCCAGTCCTAATGGGAAGGGAGCAAATCAGGAACTGTTATTTAAAATTAGCTACATATGTGTCTGTCCCTCTCATTCCACCGTAACCTCCAGGAAGGCTGGCACCTCACTCATCATTTTTACTGAGTACTGGGTTTGTAGCAGGTACTCAAGAAAAACCTGTTGAATGGAGGCAGGAGATCTGAAACTACAGTGAGGTAGAGAGTAAGGTGGGAAGGGGTTCCCAGATCTCTCTAGTTACATGAAATAAGCGATTGAAATACATGTATTGCTTTTATTATATAAACCTCAGAAAATAAACTTTGAGTTTCATTTTACAAACCAGAGAAAGTAAAGTTCAACAAAAATCTTAGCTTTAATGAGAATAAGCAAAAGATAAAGTGAGAAACGTTACAGGGAACTGATTTTAAATGATTGAAGAACTCTGCATTCTATGGGCCTAAAATGATTATCCTGCTTTTTGGCCAAAATATCATATATATATTTTTAAACATTTATTATATATTTTATAAGATATGGATACAGATATTCCTCAGTACCCATGGGGGTTGGTTCCAGGCCTCCCTATAGACACAAAATCAGCAGATGCTCAAGTCTCTTATATAAAATGCCATAGTATTTAAATATAACCTAGCACATCCTCTGGTATACTTTAAAGCAGCTCTGGATTACTTATAATATCTAATACAATGTAAACACTATGTAAATAGTTGTTATACTGTATTGTTTAGGAAATAAAGACAAGAAAATGTATCTGTACATGTTTGGTATAGACAATTTTTTTCCAGATATTTTCAGTCAGTGGTTGGTTGAACCCACAGGTGCAGAACCCATGGATACACAGGGCCAATTGTATATAGATTTCCTTGTATTGATAAATTTCACTATACTCTAGATTTACTCAAAGTTCATTATTTATACCTGTCAACAGATATATTTCTTCTTAGTAAACAAAAGGAAAATCCTACATCTTCCTACTGTATCAGGTAAAGAAGTTTCTTTAAAACAAAATATTGATATACTTAGGTGACAGTGGGAAGTCCGACATTTATTAAACTTGGTAGCAGTAAATGGAAATAGAGTTTGAGAGTTTGATCATTATAATCCACAATGCTTGATTCCCTCATCATCATTTTTTTTAAAAGCAACTTATCTCACCAACTGCTGGCACACTGTATTTATGATGATTAAATTCCTACTATAGCAATGAAAACAAGTATATTAGTAGATACCCCAAACAATGAAGCCTTAAGTAGTATTTCCCATAATAGATTAATACATCTAAATTATATCTTGTCATTGGGGGATTTTTGCTGTGCATTAATGGATTTAAAACCTAATTAACTTTCCCACACTGTTTAAGAACCTCACAATAACACTGGCGTGGGATCATGTACTTTTAAGTACATTCAGTGAACCATAAAAGGTGGAAAATATCCTACATACCAGAGTCAGAAAAGGCAGAAAACATCTTTCTTCTTCCTCTTTTCATTATTTTCCCCAGCAAGTGCTCCAAGTGAGGTGGAATTAAAGAATAAAGGTATACTTAAAACAACCTATGGCAATTTAAAATGATTAATTCCAGGTCTTTTAACATATACAATGGTCTAATGGAAATTTTATGTAGAATAAGTCCTATAGAATTGCAAGTTGGTATTAAACTGACACTAGAAGTCTAACTTTTGCCCTACAGACTTAGGAAAAAAAAAAAAAAGCACAGTTCTTCACATTTCAAATTGTTAACATGTCAGTTTCCTATGAGACAACCAAACAACAAATACAAATTGAGATGCCTATGAGGGTCAGGGTATGATAAAATGTTTCACAACCATGCCACAGTAGAAGGAAATAATCCTAAATAACTTAACATGTATTTATACGAAAAACATTAGAAAAGCAAATAATTCCAAGTAGTTAAACAGAAGTAATGAATACGTGAAAATTTTCAATTAAAGGTTAAAGAAAACTAAGAGGCCTATAATTTTAGAAAGTCTGACAAATCTGGCAATGGGAGAAAATAATAATTTTCTAGAGAAGATACTTTTGATTTAATATAGAAAGAAATGAAACGTTAATTACAAAACGTGAACAGGCAGGAAAGGCACATTTATTCCTCTTCCAAAGGTACTGTTTTCCTGGTTAACTGTTAGAAACCACTTGGACAAATGCAGGACTTCTCAAACAATTGCTATAAGCTCTAAGTTCCATTATAAATGATTTTTGGCAACAAAATGTGGCACCCATATTACAAATAAGCAATCTCTCATGCTACAGCATTTTCTTTCTTTTTTTCATCTGACAAATATTCATGAGTCCCCAGAACATAATTAAGCACTGTTCCAGGGCTAGGGATAAAGCATGAACAGAGTAATCTAAAATCCCTGCTGACGTGGAGCTTGTTTTCTAGGTGAGACAAATGATATGCAAGAAAGTAAAAGGTCTAATATGTATGTGCCACCACTGCCACTGTCATTCTGCCAGAATATTGTCCTTTGGTTCAGTGCTATTGGGTGTGGTTTAAATAAAATTATAATGTGACAAAGGCCTTTTTTTTTACTTGTTTTTAGAAAGACAAAGGCTTTTTGATATTTCAGATAAACCCTCTTGGTTGAGTTTTAAAGTAGATCTATCATACAAAGATTATCAAGATATAAACCAGGCATCACCAACTTTTTTCTTTTTTTTTCTTTTACATATTTTAGACTTTACAGACCACCTGTGCTCTGTGTCGCCTATTCTTCATTTCTTTTAAGCCGTTAAAAAGGCAGGCCAGGCACAGTAACTCATGCCTGTAATCTCAGGACTTTGGGAGGCTGAAGGTGGGAGAATCGCTTGAGCTCAGGAGTTTGAGACCTGCCTGGGTAACACAGTGAGACACCATCTCTACAAAAAATAAAAATAATTAGCTGGGCATGGCTGCATATGCCTGTAGTCCCAGCCAGCTACTCTAGAGCCTGAGGCAGGAGGACTGCTTGTGCCCAGAAGTTCAAGGCCGCAGTGAGCTACCTTTGCGTCACTGCACTCCAGCTTGAGCGACAGAACCAGACCCTATCTCTATTTGGAAAAAAAAAAAAAGTAAAACCATTCTTATGTTACAGGCCACAGAAAAACAGATCAGGGGCTGAATTTGGCCTGCAGCCATAGTTTACCAACCTCTGACCAAAGATCTGTGTACACTTGCTTTGAAGTGGCTACAGTCCTACTTAATGTATGCTCAGTCCTCTATATGATGTTTCATCCTAATTTTTTGCATTTATTCCTTTGCTCTTTATTATTCATTTATTAAAATTGAATAAAACATTTCTTTTCTAGAGCTACAATAGTTCCAACTACAGCAGCCTCAAAGTCAGTTATGAAGAGTAAGGCCACCTGCTCTATTTCACACAAGCAATAGAAAAAATTTCTTGGCAGAAAACCTTTCATATGTCTATATACTGAAGAGAGTCTGTACACTGGCAGAGATTATGCATGCTCTCCACCAACTTCCTGGGGCAGACACATGTGAGATTTAATGTTCCCTTACCTTGCTGGAGGAACATCAATGTTGGAGGAAACAACTTTTCTTTTTTGCTCAAGGAGACAGATGGAGCGAGTGTTTTCTTTTTCATGGTCAAGGATCCGGCTGGCTTTTTTGGTGTCTGCTGTTTTCACATCTTCCTCCATGGCCAAGGAAAACACGTGTTGATGAGACATTTTTTTACCACAGTCACGTTTTAAGTCCTCTGACTGAAATGTGAAGGTCATTTCCCGCTTAATGCTCCCCACCTGTGAAATGAAACACAGAAATTCTTACTCACATAAAACATCACCTTTGTACGACTACTGCAGATGGCGGTGAGGAGAGATTACAGACACTGTCCTTCCTGTTCATCTGAAAGATTGTATAATTTTAATAAGAAAAATGCAACATAGAAATAAAATAACTTCACAAAATAATATACAATCAATGCATCTGTAATAATGCAAATAAGAAACATCACAAACACACAAAAAAATGCCTCCCAGGTATACAAAAACAAAGATTTGAAAAGTGTAATACCTCTAATTTTTTAAAATGTAAAACATCATTGTTTTATCCCCCACAACTAAGAAAATTCAAGTAAACTCTTCAATATTTCAGTCTGATTATCATGTTTAATAGAAGAGAGCTAATGTATAAAATCTAACTTTCTTTTTGGCTAATAATACTGGTCTTAACCACACTCTGTAGTTCATGAAGAATTATTTCTTATCCTTCATCCCCAACAGTTAAGATTTTTTTATTAATTTATTTTAATTTTTTAATTATACTTTAAGTTCTAGGGTAAATGTGCACAACGTGCAGGTTTGTTACATATGTATACATGTGCCATGTTGGTGTGCTGCACCCGTTAACTCATCATTTACATTAGGTATATCTCCTAATGCTATCCCTTCCCCCCCGCCCCCAACCCATGACAGGCCCCGGTGTATGATGTTCCCCACCCTGTGTCCAAGTGTTCTCATTGTTTAATTCGCACCTATGAGTGAGAACATGTGATGAACTCATCCTTTTTTATGGCTGCATAGTATTCCATGGTGTATATGTGCCACAGTTTCTTAATCCAGTCTATCATTGATGGGACATTTGGGTTGGTTCCAACTCTTTGCTATTGTGAATCATGCCAAAATAAACATATGTGTGCATGTGTCTTTATAGCAGCATGATTTATAATCCTTTGGGTATATACCCAGTAATGGGATGGCTGGGTCATATGGTATTTCTAGTTCTAGATCCCTGAGGAATCGCCACACTGACTTCCACAATGGTTGAACTAGTTTACAGTCCCACCAACAGTGTAAAAGTGTTCCTATTTCTCCACATCCTCTCCAGCACCTGTTGTTTCCTGACTTTTTAATGATTGCCATTCTAACTGGTGTGAGATGGTATCTCATTGTGGTTTCGATTTGCATTTCTCTGATGACCAGTGATGATGAGCATTTTTTCATGTGTCTGTTGGCTGCACAAATGTCTTCTTTTGAGAAGTGTCTGTTCATATCCTTTGCCTACTTTTTGATGGGGTTGTTTGATGTTTTCTTGTAAATTTGTTTAAGATCTTTGTAGATTCTGGATATTAGCCCATTGTCAGGATGGAAGTTCCAAAATGGCCAAATATAGGAACAGCTCCAGTCTACAGCTCCCAGCCTGAGTGATGCAGAAGACAGGGGATTTCTGCATTGCCAACTGAGGTACCAGGTTCATCTCAATGGGGCTTGTCACACAGTGAGTGCAGCCCACAGAGCAGGGTGGGGCATCGCCTCATCCGGGAAGTGCAAAGGGTCAGGGAATTCCCTTTCCTAGCCAAGGGAAGCCGTGACAGATGGTACCTGGAAAATCAGGACACTCTCACCCTAACACTGCGCTTTTCCAATGGCCTTAGCAAACAGCACACCAGGAGACTATATCCCGTGCCTGGCTCGGAGGGTCCCACACCCACGAAGTCTTGCTCACTGCAAGGACAGCAGTCTGAGATCAAACTGCAAGGCGGCAGCAAGGCTGGGGGAGGGGCATCAGCCACTGCTGAGGCTTGAGTAGGTAAGCACAACGGCTGGGAAGCTCGAACCTGGTGGAGCCCACTGCAGCTCAAGGAAGCCTGCCTGCCTCTGTAGACTCCACCTCTGGGGGTAGGGCACAGCTGAACAAAAGGCAGCAGCAACTTCTGCAGACTTACACGTCCCTGTCTGACAGCTTTGAAGAGAGTAGTGGTGCTCCCAGCACGGAGTGTGAGATCTGCAAACGTACAGTCTGCCTCCTTAAGTGGGTCCCTGACCACCGAGTAGCCTAACTGGGAGGTACCTCCCAGTAGGGGCTGACTGAAACCTCATACAGCTGGGTGCCCCTCTGAGACGAAGCTTCCAGAGGAAGGATCAGGCAGCAACATTTGCCATTCTGTAATATTTGCTGTTCTGCAGCCTCCGCTGGTGATACCCAGGCAAACAGGGTCTGAAGTGGACCTCCAGCAAACTCCAACAGACCTGCAGCTGAGAGTCCTGACTGTTAGAAGGAAAACTAACAAACAGAAAGGACATCCACACCAAAACCCCATCTGTACGTCACCATCATCAAAGACCAAAGGTAGATAAAAACCACAAAGGTGGGGAGAAACCAGAGCAGAAAAGCTGAAAATTCTAAAAATCAGAGCACCTCTTCTCCTCCAAAGAAATGCACCTCCTCGCCAGCAACAGAACAAAGCTGGATGGAGAATGACTTTAACGAGTTGAGAGAAGGCTTCAGATGATTGGTAGTAACAAACTTCTCCGAGCTAAAGGAGGATGTTCGAACCCATTGCAAAGAAGCTAAAAACCTTGAAAAAAGATTAGACGAACGGCTAACTAGAATAAACAGTGTAAAGAAGACCTTAAATGACCTGATGGAGCTGAAAACCATGGCACGAGAACTACGTGACGCATGCACAAGCTTCAGTAGCCGATTTGATCAAGTGGAAAAAAGGGTATCAGTGATTGAAGCTCAAATGAATGAAATGAAGTGAGAAGAGAAGTTTAGAGAAAAAAGAGTAAAAAGAAACAAACAAAGCCTCCAAGAAATATGGGACTATGTGAAAAGACCAAATCTATGTCTGACTGGTGTACCCGAAAATGACGGGGAGAATGGAACCAAGTTGGAAAACACACTGCAGGATATTATCCAGAACTTCCCCAACCTAGCAAGGCAGGCCAACATTCAAATTCAAGAAATACAGAGAACGCCACAAAGATACTCCTTGAGAAGAGCAACTCCAAGACACATAATTGTCAGATTCACCAAAGCTGAAATGAAGGAAAAAATGTTAAGGGCAGCCAGAGAGAAAAGTTGGGTTACCCACAAAGGGAAGCCCATCAGACTAACAGTGTATCTCTCGGCAGAAACTCTAAAAGCCAGAAGAGAGTGGGAGCCAATATCCAACATTGTTAAAGAAAAGAATTTTCAACCCAGAATTTCATATTCAGCCAAACTAAGCTTCATAAGTGAAGGGGAAATAAAATCCTTTACAAACAAACAAATGCTGAGAGATTTTGTCACCACCAGGCCTGCCCTAAAAGAGCTCCTGAAGGAAGCACTAAACATGGAAAGGAACAACTGGTACCAGCCACTGCAAAAACATGCCAAATTGTAAAGACCATCGAGGCTAGGAAGAAACCGCATCAACTAATGAGCAAAATAACCAGCTAACATCATAATGACAGGATCAAATTCACACATAACAATATTAACCTTTAATGTAAATGGGCTAAATGCTCCAATTAAAGGACACAGACTGGCAAATTGGATAAAGAGTCAAGATCCATCAGTGTGCTGTATTCAGGAGACCCATCTCACGTGCAGAGACACACATAGGCTCAAAATAAAGGGATGGAGGAAGATCTACCAAGCAAATGGAAAACAAAAAAAAAGCAGGGGTTGCAATCCTAGTCTCTGATAAAACAGACTTTAAACCAACAAAGAACAAAAGAGACAAGGAAGGCCATTACATAATGGTAAAGGGATCAATTCAACAAGAAGAGCTAACTATCCTAAATATTTATATACCCAATACAGGAGCACCCAGATTCATAAAGCAAGTCCTTAGAGACTTACAAAGAGACTTAGACTCCCACACAATAATAATGGGAGACTTTAACACCCCACTGTCAATGTTAGACAGATCAACAAGACAGAAAGTTAACAAGGATATTCAGGAATTGAACTCAGCTCTGCACCAAGCAGACCTAATAGACATCTACAGAACTCTCCACCCCAAATCAACAGAATATACACTCTTCTCAGCACCACACTGCACTTATTCCGAAATTGACCACATAGTTGGAAGTAAAGCACTCCTCAGCAAATGTAAAAGAACAGAAATTATAACAAACTGTCTCTCAGACCACAGTGCAATCAAACTAGAACTCAGGATTAAGAAACTCACTCAAAACCACTCAACTACATGGAAACTGAACACCCTGCTCCTGAATGACTACTGGGTACATCACGAAATGAAGGGAGAAATAAAGATGTTCTTTGAAACCAATGAGAACAAAGACACCACATACAAGAACCTCTGGGACACATTTAAAGCAGTGTCTGGAGGGAAATTTATTGCACTAAATGCCAACAAGAGAAAGAAGGAAAGATCTAAAATTGACACCCTAACATCACAATTAAAAGAACTAGAGAAGCAAGAGCAAACACATCCAAAAGCTAGCAGAAGGCAAGAAATAACTAAGATCAGAGCAGAACTGAAAGAAATAGAGACACAAAAAACCCTTCAAAAAAATCAATGAATCCAGGAGGTGGTTTTTTGAAAAGATCAACAAAATTGATAGACCACTAGCAAGACTAACAAAGAAGAAAAGAGAGAAGAATCAAATAGACACAATAAAAAATCATAAAGGAGATATCACCACCGATCCCACAGAAATACAAACTACCATCAGAGAATACTATAAACACCTCTATGCAAATAAACTAGAAAATCTAGAAGAAATGGATAAATAACTGGACACATATACCCTCCCAAGACTAAACCAGGAAGAAGTTGAATCCCTGAATAGACCAATAACAGGCTCTGAAATTGACGCAATAATAGCCTACAAACCAAAAAAAGTCCAGGAACAGACGGATTCACAGGCGAATTCTACCAGAGGTACAAAGAGGAGCTGGTACCATTCCTTCTGAAACTATTCCAATCAATAGAAAAAGAGGGAATCCTCCCTAACTCATTTTATGAGGCCAGCATCATCCTGATACCAAAGCCGGGCAGAGACACAACAAAAAAGGAGAATTTTAGACCAATATCCCTGATGAACATCAATGCAAAAATCCTCAGTAAAATACTGGCAAACCGAATCCAGCAGCATATCACAAAGCTTATCCACCACAAGCAAGTTGGCTTCATCCCTGGGATGCAAGGCTGGTTCAACATACACAAATCAATAAATGTAATCCATCATATAAACAGAACCAAAGAAAAAAACCACATGATTATCTCAATAGATGCAGAAAAGGCCTTTAACAAAATTCAACAACCCTTCATGCTAAAAACTCTCAATAAATTAGGTATTGATGGGACATATCTCAAAATAATAAGAGCTATTTATGACAAACCCACAGCGAATATCATACTGAGTGGGCAAAAACTGGAAGCATTCCCTTTGCAAACTGGCACAAGACATGGATGCCCTCTCTCTCCACTCCTATTCAACACAGTGTTGGAAGTTCTGGCCAGGGCAATCAGGCAGAAGAAAGAAATAAAGGGCATTCAATTAGGAAAAGAGGAAGCCAAATTGTCCCTGTTTGCAGATGACATCATTGTATATTTAGAAAACCCCATCATCTCAGCCCAAAATCTCCTTAAGCTGATAAGCAACTTCAGGAAAGTGTCAGGATACAAAATCAATGTGCAAAAATCACAAGCATTCCTATACACCAATAACAGACAAACAGCCAAATCATGAGTGAATTCCCATTCACAATTACTTCAAAGAGAATAAAATATCTAGGAATCCAACTTACAAGGGATGTGAAGGACCTCTTCAAGGAGAGTTACAAACCACTGCTCAACAAAATAGAAGAGGACACAAACAAATGGAAGAATATTCCATGCTCATGGATAGGAAGAATCAATATCATGAAAATGGCCATACTGCCCAAGGTAATTTATAGATTCAATGCCATCCCTATCAAGCTACCAAGACTTTCTTCACAGAATTGGAAAAAAACTACTTTAAAGTTCATATGGAACCAAAAAAGAGCCCACATTGCCAAGTCAATCCTAAGCCAAAAGAACAAGGCTGGAGGCATCACGCTACCTGACTTCAAACTATACTACAAGGCTACAGTAACCAGAACAGCATGGTGCTGGTACCAAAACAGAGATATAGACCAATGGAACAGAACAGAGCCCTCAGAAATAATACCACACATCTACAACCATCTGATCTTTGACAAAACTGACAAAAGCAAGAAATGGGGAAAGGATTCCCTATTTAGTAAATGGTGCTGGGAAAACTGGCTAGCCATATGTAGAAAGCTGAAACTGGATCCCTTCCTTACACCTTATACAAAAATTATTTCAAGATGGATTAAAGACTTCAATGTTAGACCTAAAACCATAAAAACCCTAGAAGAAAACCTAGGCAATACGATTCAGGACATAGGCATGGGCAAGGACTTCATGACTAAAACACCAAAAGCAAGAAAATTTTGGCAACAAAAGCCATAATTGACAAATGGGATCTAACTAAACTAAAGAGCTTCTGCAGAGCAAAAGAAACTACCATCAGAGTGAACAGGCAACCTACAGAATGGGAGAAAATTTTTACAATCTACTCAGCAGTTAAGATTTTAACAAAATCCCTTCTAAGGCCCTATGATAAAGAAGTCAGAATAATTTTTCCTATCACTTGTAACAAAATGTAATGATGATTATGGTGGGAGACAAATATAAAATTAAACCTTAATGAACTGAATCTTGTTACTTCAGACTTTGTGAAACTGAAAAAGGAGACTGAAGCTAAAGAAAGGTTTCTGTAAGGTAATTGGTACTGTAAATGAGGACTGGAGAAAACCAGTTAAAGTCCTATTGTACAAAGATGAGTCTATCTGGTAATCTGGAGCCTCACTAATCAGTGGGGTGTATTTCAAAATATGCACAATCATGAGACATTTCATGGGCCTGTGATACAATCCATTTCCTCCAGTGGGGTCATCTGTGAAGTCAGTAAATCTTCACTCTCCCATTTAAATAGAATACATGCTTGTTTCTTTTTAATTTTCGGTAGGAGAAAAAGCACAAAGGCTTTAATCAAATAGATTTAGATTTATAGAATCTAAGGCCATAAGCATAAATCATTTTCAGAATACAAGGAGAATATGTGTGTTTGATAATAGCAGAGACTGGTAAAGGAAGGTATTAACGACTAGAAATTCTCAGACTAAAGGAAAACTGAAATACATGCATGCTGAAGTCACTGCATCTGCCCCAACATGAGACTTTCCAGAGTCCAGGGATGACTTGGGCCTTGGAATCCACTTGGCTGGCATGGATCTTTCCTATGACACATAGAGCACTACACAGAGCTCCATTCTCATCTTGGCCTCTCCTACCAGGAAGAAAAGAAGATTCTCTTCCCATAGTTTTCCTGTCAGACATATACCCAGCTCCACAGGAAGATTGTCACCCACTTTGGTTTACTTGTAACTCATTAAAAACTCACAATATTTCTTAGACTGTATTAATGAAATCAAATAAAGATAAAAGAAAATCTAGTGTCTGTTTTTAAGTGTTCACTGTTTTAATGACATCAATATGCAATAGAAAGACATAAAATATTTCAGACTTCCACAAATGAAATAAATGATAAAAATGTGTTTAGAAAATCAACAGATGTAAGGACAAGTATGTTAAACATCCATCACTAGTCAATGCACTGCGTAACTCTCTCTGCCTGGAGGTGGGGGGAGAGGGGAGAGTTTTTCACTTCTCCACCAGTCCATTCCTAACCTATGTTACAACAAGAAAACTCTAAACAACAGGGATAAAAAAAGAAAACAAAGGCCTAGTTTTGATGATTATAAATTGCTTCTAAGTGTCAAGTATTACGTTAATTAAATATTTAAGTCTTCACAGTATTAAGTTGAAACAAAAATTGACATCCATGCCTCCCTTGGGGCCAAATGGATTGATTAAATGAATTCTATCCAAAGTTTAAAGGAAGGAAACAACATTACAGGAAGTCTAGCTTTTAGCTTCAAAAATTTAGGAAAAAAAAACCTGAAGCAAATTAATGCAAATAGAATACATTTCCTATAGAAATACTGTTATAACTGTATGTCATGCATGCTCTTAGCCAAGGCTTCATAATAAAATATAGTAATATACAACAAAGCAAGCTATAAATCTTCTATAATACTTTCTAAGTAAAAAAATTAATCTCTCAATAGTAATCAGAGAAATTTAGCAATGTAACGGATTTTAAAGAAAATTTAGCCCAGACTTCTTATTTAAAAGTAGAATTAAAATGATCAAAAAGGACCAAAATAACTGTAAAGATAAGTAAAATATTTTGGACACTATGAATCATGGGTTCCACCATTTGTAATGCTAGCGGAAGGGGCAGATGGCAGATGTAGATACTCATTATATCACTATGCTTTAAAGCATGTATATATGTATCACATGTTCTTTTTAATGTCTTTTATTCATATCAATTATTATATTTAAGACACACAAAAAAAACAAAAAATGAGAGCTCACAGGAGAGGAGAGAGTAGAAAGCATATATAACGTCGAGTCTTAAGAAGCTGGGCTCGGAAATGGCCCAGAGAAATAGGGTGGTGGCTGGAGGGGATGATGGACGAGAGAGAATTTTAAGACAGGAGGTAAAAGAGTATGTTTGTACACTGAGGCAGAATGGAAAGGAAGGGATAAGCAAGGACTGGCAGCAGCAGTAGAAGGTGACAAGGCTCATCCAGTTATTGCAAATGAGCACTGACTGGAACCTACATTAGCTTAACAGAAGAAAGAAGCAAAAGGAAAATATAATTCCATTCATATGAGATTTCCAGAAAAGGCAAATCTACAGAGATAGAAAGCAGATCAGTGATTTCCTGGGGCTGGGGTGGGAGCAGGAACTAACTGCAAATGGGCATGAGAGAACTTTTTGGGGTGATGGAAATGTCCTAGGACTAGACTGTAGTGATATCTGTATGAGTAGTAAGTTTACTTAAAATTATTGAATTGTATCTTACAATGGGAGGAATGTTGTGGCATTTAAATTATACCACAATAGAGCTGAGGAAGGAAGGATGGAAGGATGGACGGAAGGAAGGAAGGAAGGAAACCAGAGTAACTAAGGAAGGAGGGAAACCAGAGTAACTATTGATATAGAGGGTGTGTTTCTTTCTTTTTTTTTTTTTTTTTTTTTTCAGATGGAGTCTCGCTCTGTCAACCAGGCTGGAGTGCAGTGGCACAATCTCAACTCACTGCACCCTCTGCCTCCCAGGTTCAAGCAATTCTCCTGCCTCAGCCTCCCAAGTAGCTGGGATTACAGGCACCTGCCACCACACCCAGCTTTTTTGTATTTATAGTACAGACAAGGTTTCACTGTGTTGGCCAGGTTGGTCTTGAACTCCTGACCTCGTGATCTGCCCACCTCAGCCTCCCAAAGTGCTGGGAATACAAGCGTGAGCCACTGCACCCGGCCTAGAGGGTGTATTTCTAAGAACCCCTAGAAACAAAAATTTGGAAATTGTGATGCAAAGAGATAGCCACCAAGTCTATGGATCTTAAAAACAAAACCAAAGAAAACAAAATAAAACAGAGATGGCATGGCAACCCAAGCTGCTGCAAGCAGTTGTGTATTAAACCCTAAACACTGGTCAAATGAGGCTAAAATTCAGTCCCCATTCAAGCCACATCCCGAGGCTTCCTTACTTTGGATGAGGGACATTTTTCTGATCCATGCACCTGGAGAGCAACTTTTTATACTTCATCTGTCCAAATAGGGTGCTTTTATTTTTTTTCCCAATTTGTACAATGCCCTGGTGACAAAACTGTTCCTGGTGATCTGCAAGGTCTAGTCTAAATTAGCTTGCTGCTTCTTTGAAGCTGGTATCAATTATGTGATTCATAAATATGAGCTGATATTCTTGTTAATGGAAAACTTGAGACAATCTGAAAAATCACTCTATGCTATAGGTCCTAAGCAGGAAAAGTGTTCAATGATAGAAGACAGCCAGAAAGAACAAAAACATCTGGTTAGAAGGACAGAAATCAACAGCAGCATTAAAGCTGGTAAGGGCAAGAGAAAGAAGAATCAGTATGCACAGCACTAACAAATGAAGATGCTCACCTTTTGGGGTAAATGGGGATCTACCAAAGAAGGGAGGGCTTCTCACAGCTATAGGATTCCTTGTAAGGACCAGGAAGAGAACACAACATAGGTAAGAAACTGACAGCTTCCTGTAGGAGAGAGACCTAAGTGGCAGGGAAGAGCTGATGCTGATGTTCAGATTAATTTCCCCCACATTAGGATTGATTTAAAGAACTTGCTTTCCGAACACTATAACTTCTATTGCTCATCAGCACTTTGTAGTCATATTGTACTACAATAGCTACCATCAAATTCTTTCTCCCTACCCAACACAGAAGCTCTTCATATAGTGTATCACAGACATACACATTATCCCATATAATTTCTTGCAAGGGAACAAAGCTTCAATGTTCAATTATATGAGAATACCACCAATTACTGAGTTAACGGACAAATAAAACTCAGAATTTTCATTCCAATGAACAGCTTTTGTTTTCCTAGAAGAAGATAAACAGTGTATATATAAATATGATATACTTGGGGAAATTGCCATTTTTTTTTTAACAAGAAGTTAACAGTATCTATTTATGTCCTGAATTTCTCTAAATGGTATCCTTTGTAAATTCGATGCAACTTCCTAAGACAGGGACTGAAGCTCATCATTTCTTCTTGATACAAAAACATCTGGTTTCCACAGGAAGATCATAACGGCGCATCAGAAAAGAGAATGTCTCTGACTTCAGCCCACTTATTTGATCAATCCTTCCTTCTGCCTACACTCAAGTACACTCTGGGCCACCTTAATCCTCACACTTTTCTTACAGATTTACAGTAATGAAATGCTAAAAAGCATGTGTCAACACTCAACTCTTGGAAACTGTCCTCAGTTACTCATCTCAACCAAATCAGATTTGAGGAGTTGGCTCCGGAGATTAACAACATTTCCAGGAATAATCTGAAAACAACCCATTTGCTTTCTGGGGCTTTCTGGATAGTAAAAAAGTAGTTTAGAAATTCTAAAGAAAAAAAAAAGGCATGAAATTTAGGCCACAGCAAAAATCACTCTTAGCAAACAATAGGAGGCTAATAAGAGGACCACTTGGCTGAGCAACTCTTTAAGGCCCTTCCACTCACCAGGAAACCATAAAATCACACCTGAAAAAGTTTATAAAATTTTTTCTATTTCAGATTATTCCCCTCCACATCAGGATTTAAAGAACTTGCTTTCATAACACATAATAAGACACATTACTATTTGGTGACTGATGACAATGACACATCAACCACTGTGTGGAGTGCAAATCAGACCCAATAGATTTAAAATATGTTACAAAAAGATAAGCAAAACTGATATTAATAATAAAAACATTTGATTCTCTCAATTAATTTAAAATATTACTGCTGGCCAGGCGCGGTGGCTCATGCCTGTAGTCTCAGCACTTTGGGAGGTCAAGGCGGGTGGATCACGAGGTCAAGAGGTCAAGGCCATCCTGGCTAACATGGTGAAACCCCGTCTCTACTAAAAATACGAAAACAAATTAGCTGGGCGTGGTGGTGTGCACGTGTAGTCCCAGCTACTCATGAGGCTGAGGCAGGAGAATCGCTTGAACCTGGGAGGTGGAGGTTGCAGTAAGCCAAGATTGTGCCACTGCACTCCAGCCTGGCGACAGAGCAAGACTCCGTCTCAAAAAAAAGAGAAAAAAATTACTGCTAAGGATCATGTTCAAAGAAAGACCAGAACCTTAGAATAAACTGATAAAAAATGACACCCAAAAACAGTCAACAGAACTCTACTCCTTATTTTAAATTACATTCTTCAAATTTCATGCTAGGTACACAGAAAAATATGTTGGACGGCAAATCTATAGTCCTAATGAATGGCTATAATAGAACTACTTTAAAAACAATTGCTTCCAATTACTAGCCCATTGATTATATTATTCCCTTAGCCCTCTGAAACCAATGAAGTTTGTTGACTGCTTTTTCCTTAAGTACATACATTATTTTTCTATACCAAGACAGAGGAAGTGGCTGATGAAAATCAGACTGGTTTGGTGGTAGTGGTGATGTAACCACAATAGGTCTGTTGCCCTATGTACATGGTAAATCAATATGCCGAGACACCAGGTTGCACTGGTTTAATCATAGGGCTGCCAAACAAGGAGATGGGAGGAAACCTCAAATCTGTCTGCCAGAGGAGTTTGGGAATAGGGTTTTTAGGGGTTTTGGAATGGGCCAAAGTGTGGAGATTGTTGACATCAGCTGTTCTACTGGAATTCAAGATCTGTTTAAGCAGTTCTTAACTGGAAGCCTATGATTCTAATGTCAGAGGTCCTATCTATCTTGAGCAAAAGCCTTATGATTCTAATGTCAGAAATCCTACTAGCTGGGCACGGTGGTATATGCCTGTGGTCCCAGCTACTCGGGAGGCTGGGGTGGGAGGATCACTAGAGCCCAGGAAGTCAAGGCTGCAGTGAGCCGTGATTGTGCCACTGCACTCCAGCTGGGGTGGCCGAGCGAGACCCTGACTCAAAAAAATAATAACAAAAGAGAAATCCTATCTACAGGTACAGTGGGGATGCAAATGGTCAGTATCTAGTGTTCCATGACTTTCAGTTACAAAAAAAAGTGAGTCAAAGGAAACCCAAATTAATGCTTAATTACAGTATTTCTGTCCAAAATTCTTGTTAACCCTGTGAGGGCAGCTTCAATGATGGAGTAAGAAGTAAAATTCAGCATGACAGAGTTGAAGCCCTGCGTTATGTTTTGGCATCATATGTCCAAACCACACAACTACACTATCTCAGGAATCAGTGTTGTTAATGCTGGGTTTACGACAGCAAGTTTTTGTTTGTTTGTTTTTGTTTTTTACTTTAAGTTCTGGGATACATGTGCAGAACATGCAGGTTCGTTACATAGATATACGTGTGCCATGGTGGTTTGCTGTACCTATCCGCCCGTCATCTAGGTTTTAAGCCCTGCATGTATTAGGTATTTGTCATAATGCTCTCCCTCCCCTTGCCACCACCTGCCCTGACAGGCCCCGGTGTGTGATGTTCCCCTCCCTGTGTCCATGTGTTCTCACTGTTGAACTCCCACTCATGAGTGAGAACATGTGGTGTTTGGTTTTCTGTTCCTGTGTTAGTTTGCTGAGGATGATGGTTTCCAGCTTCATCCATGTCCCTGCAAAGGACATGAACTCATTCTTTTTTATGGCTGCATAGTATTCCATGGTGTATATGTGCCACATTTTCTTTATCCAGCCTATCATTGATGGACATTTGGGTTGGTTCCAAGTCTTTGCTATTGTAAATAGTGTACTACAGCAAGTTTTAACTTTAATATGTCGACAATTTAATATTCAACAAAGCAAGACTTGGCGTGCTGCATGGAAGATTAGTCAGCAGCACACTTAGGATGGAAAGTTATTGGAAAAGTTGGTAGTGGAAGACTGCTTGGCTAAAGTTTCAAGCCTTTTATTTACATTATGCAAGGGAGACACACAACTTGGGTATTTTTTTTTAAATCCTTTCTGAAAAGGCTTGGATAGAAACATTCATTTCTGTAAAGTCCAATACTAAATTTAACCTCAGCTAAATTCACTTGTATATTTTTCCCAACCATATGGTAAGGACTGTAAACCAAAATGCATGAGACACGTCTCAATCAATTTAGAAGTTTATCTTGCCAAGGTTAAGAACTTGTCTTGAAGAAAACAACATGACACCACAGGAACAGTCTGTGACCTGTGCCTTTCTCCAAAGATGATCTTGAGAGCTTCAATATTTAAAGGGGGAAAGTAGGCTGGAGGGGAGAGAAGGAGGGTAGGTAATCCACATGCTGCAAGAGAGAAGGAGCAGGGAGGGGACGAGTCAGTTACATATTCATCTTGAGCTCAGTAAATCAGCACTTCACACAAGATAGGGTGAACATAGAGTAGCTACATGTGGAGATATTTAATCTTTATCTGTAGCTATATGCTAAGGAACAAAAGGAAAAGCAGTTTCTTGCATGACTCAGCTTTCAGCTTAATTTTTTCCGTTTGGCATAGTGACTCTTTCACAGGACAGAGGGAAAATCCATTATCAGTGTGGGTTAATCTTATTGAACTTAACTTCAGGATACAGAATTTCAAATATCACATTAGTTACTTAGATATTTTATTTGTTTTATATAATTCAAAGTTCAACTCACCCATTCACACCCAATCCATGTAGAAATCCTATGAATTTTATCTTCAGAATATATCTAAAATCCAATCACTTCTTACAGCCTCCAGTTACCATCCTGGTTAAGCCACCACTGTCTCTTACCTGGATCTGTACAATAGTCTCCCTCCCCGGAGCCCTGTTTCCACTCCTGCACCGCCTCCCATGAACCCCAGTTCCTCCTAATGGTAGCCAGACTTATCCCTTAAAAATCAGGGTCAGATCATGCCCCTCCTTGGCTGAGAACCCTCCAATGGCTCCCCATTTATTCAGAACAAAAGCCAAAGTCCTTGCCTCCAAAGTCGCATAGGATCTGGTCCGCCTCTATCCGATTTGCTCCCTCTCCTACTTCCTCTCTTCACTCTCACAGCTACCCCCAGCCTTGCTGGCCTTGAACATGCCAGGCATACCCCTGCATCCAGGCCTTTTTACTGGCTTCCTCATCTTCCTGCAGGGTTCTTCCTTCAGATACCCACATTGCTTGCTTCCTCACCCTTTTCAGTCTTTGTTCAAATGTCTTTCTCAGTGAAGCCAACCCTGACCACTCAATTTAAAATTGCAATGTTCCCCTCTCCCTCCTCATTCCCCATATTCTATTCTATATCAGCTACAGAATTATCATTCTAGCCAGGTGTGGTAGCTCATGCCTGTAATCCCAGCACTTTGGGAGGCTGAGGCAGGTGGATCACTTGAGCTCAAGAGTCAAGACCAGCCTGGGAAACCTGGCAACCCCCCGTCTCTACAAAAAATTAAAAAATTAGCTGGGACTACAGGCATGGTGGTACGTGCCTTTAGTCCCAGCTACTCGGGAGGCTGAGGTAGGAGGATGACTTACTTTAGCCTAGGAAGTTGAGGCTGCAATGAGCTAAGATCACACCACTGCACTCCAGCCTGGGCGACAGAGTGAGAACCTATCTCAAAAAAACAAAACTAAACTAAACAGAATTATCTTTCTACAGCACTATAGTTCTATCATTCTGCAGGACTTATTATTTTCTTACAAACTGCATAATTATTTATTATGCTTATTGTCCAAGCTGCTCCACCAGAATATTCGCTCCATGAAGATAACAGGCATTTTTTTTTTTGCTTTGGATACTGATGTATCTCCAGGAGCTAGAAGAGCATCTGAAACAGCATGGGCACTCTTGTAGCATTATTACATAAATGGAGTTTCAGGTGCAGATGCATGTTATATGGTGGGACCTACTCATAAAAGTCTAAGGAGGATAGATGCCAAGTTCCTAGGGCTGCAAAAGTGTGGGATCACAGAATCCCTCAGGCTAAAAGCACTTTCCTAAGCTACTGAGAAGGAAATAGTAAACTGGGGGAAATAGTAATTTGGGGGGAAGAAATAGGTTTAATATAAGCACAGAATGGTCAGCATCTCAATTCTTTCCTTATCAAAGTATTCAACTTTAGTGCATGGAGGACTTTGCCTCCAGGAATACAAGCCTTATTTTATAATAAAATTTATGGAGAAAATTGGGTTTATTTTATTTTTAAATTATGGGACTTTGAAACTTCCTTCTGCAAATACCACGAGGTTAATACAGGATAGACTTGTAGAGAGATTAAAAGGCAAATTTTCAGAAGCAAGACATGGTTAAAGTTACATAAATTTCAAAATCCTGGGAAATGACTATTCCATCCTCCAAGGTGAATTGTTAGGGGCAGACCATCGAGCTGCCTGGTCCCCAGGTATGCCCGAAACACTTCTTCCTTTCTATGGATCACAGGAAATCCAGCCCCCTACTCCCCCAATGAGTTTTAACATTTATAGTCAAGAACAATCATGATAATAAACACCAACTTTACTTCTTCCACATTTAGTTTATGGTGACTATTTTATGCAGATGGAATTTGAGCCCCACCCAGTTATTTCTTTTCGAAGGAGGCCAAGCAGCTGTTCTACTGAAGAATAGCTGGACTACTGATGGTCTGCCCATTCTAATAGCTATGATGGCCACACAGGGCCCCCTGACTGCCACTGCCACAGCCAGAGCCGGGGACCCTGGACACAGAACAGAACATCTATCTTTGACTTTTCCCCACTGGAGTTTCTGCCAAGGGGTCCCACACTCTCCTCACCTGAACCCTACCCTAAACCTATCATACATCAACAGAAGGGTTGCTCTAAAGATCACCAACTTTTCCATACCCCCTACTAGAGCCGACCCTCATCTCCCCAGAGCCCACTCTCATCTTAGACTCTACTCTGAGCTCCCCATCCTCCCTGGCTCAAATCCCAGGCACAAACACACAGCAAGAGAGAGATTCGTGGGAACAGAAGCAGTATGCCGGAGCTCATCTTCTTCATGGGTTAAATAGTTCATTGCAGCTGGCCTGGGAATCAACAGAAACTTTAAGACATAGTTTCTCTGACTAAACCACACATTTCAAAAACGCAGTTAGAACAGAACCTTTAGGCAAGTTGGAGAATATACTTCTGATATGTATAAATAAAAGGCCAAATCAGTTCTCAAAAAATATATATTACACAATTTCTCTGGGCAGAAACAGGGCCAACTGAATCCTTTCTTTCAGGAATCTGATCTGAGAGACCTAGAAACTGATGTCAGTTAGTGGTGCTGGCTGGTGGTGATGAAGAAGCACAGACTGAGGCAGTGAGGGTGAGCAGGCCAGGCCACATGCACACAAGAAAGCAGAGGAAACCAGGAAAGAGCAAGGGCAAGGAGGAGGAGGAAAAGGGGGGAGGAGGGGGAAGAGGAGGAAGAGAGCAGACCCTGGAGGAGGAGGAAGAGTTAGGGAGGGGGAGGAGGAGGAAAGAAGCAGAACCTGGAGGAGGAGGAGGAGGAGGGGAGCAGACACTGGAGGAGGAGGAAGAGGGGAGCAGACACTGGAGGAGGAGGAGGAGGAGGAGGAGGCCACCCGAGGTGGCAATGGAGGCAGCGGCAGGGAGCAGACCCTGGAGGAGAAAGGGGAAAGGAACAGGAGGCAGAGTGGAGGAGGAAGAGGGGAGCAGACCCCAGTGGTGGCGGAGAAGGAGAAGGAAGAGGAGGAGGAGGAGAGCGGACCCTGGAGAGAAACAGAAACAGAGGGCAGGAGAGTCCTGGGACAGACCAGCAGTAGTGGGAGCTGCCTCTTCCCACAGAGCTCCAGGCTGAGTTTGCAGAGTTCCGGCCCAGAGGCCTGGCTTCGGCTGTCTCTGGGCTTTAAAGTCTTGATATCCTTTTTCATAATTGAAATTCCCACCCCACTCACTGCATTTTACCTTTCTTTTTTAAGATATATGAGCTGGTTTCAACTTCTTTCAATAAAAATAACTGGACTAACTAACCTAACGCCTCTAATTCCTTTGGCAATAAGAACTAGAAACACAACTTTTCAAATTCATCAGTGGTTGCCACAGTCTAACACAACATCTTTAAAGTTTCAGAGCAGATTAGAAGCAGATTTTAAGTAAAAAAGAATATTGATTGCTGAAGGTTCTTCCTTCAAATACATTTCATTTAAAATACAATTTATCATTCCTTTGGGCAGTAAACAGCAGGTGAAATTAAAAACTCAAGTTGAAAACTAATGAACTCACATTTTAACTTGTATTGTGCTAATTCACAGATAGCCAATTATTTTTACTAGCTGCACAGATGACTAAATAAAATATGTTAATAAATGCAGCTAGAGTGTATTCAAGAAATTAGGCAATACATATTAGAATAAATTTGCATATCTGCTTATCATAAACGTAATTCTTTATAATACAGGTCTTACTGGTATATAAGAGAGTAGATAGAAATGACTATAAGGGAGAAACGCTTCCTGCTTCAACACTGAGGCTTTCATAAGAAGGGAGATGGCTCAAAAGAAGAATTGCGTTAACCCCTGATAGATGACTGTAGGGGGACCTTAAGATAAAAAGACATGCTTGAGGGGTTCCAGCCTGCTCCTGATCCTTCCTGCCTGTCTTCCTGCCTGTGGGCTCTGGGCTGCTAAGCCAGCCATAATGAGAGAGAGAGAGAGAGAGTAAATGAATACATAAATACAACAGACACACACACATCTCCTGGTGGTTCTGCTCGTCTGTTAGAAGCATGACTTGAGATAAAGCATTTATTTATGCTTTAACCATCTCTCTCCCCTAGTGCTTCAGAAACTATTTAGAGGCAGAGAGCAAGTTTTGCTCAGTTTTGAATCCCAGGCACCTGCTATATTTTTACCTGGCACATACTGGGTGCTTCATAAATGTTTATTGAATTAATGTAATTAAGTAAAGATAATATGGCAATGAGGCCAGCCTGCAAGAGCTGAAAAAAAGATCTGTAAAATCAGGAGACAGAAGAGATTGCTACCCCATACTCACAATACTCTAAAGCAAGCTTGTCCAACCCATGGCCTGCGGGCCGCATGAGGTCCAGGATGGCTTTGACTGTGGCCAACACAAATTCATAAACTTTCTTAAAACATGAAATTGTGTGCGTGTGTGTGTGTGTGCGCGTGTGTTTTTATTTTAGCTCATCAGCTATCGTCAATGTTAGTGTATTTTATGTGTGGCCCAAGACAATTCTTTTTCCAATGTGGCCCAGGGAAGCCAAAAGATTGGACACCCCCGCTCTAAAGTATACAGAGGACAAAATGACAACAATAATAGTAGTAACAATCATAATAATAACAGTTCCAGTTACTAAGCCCTTACGAAGTATAAGACACTTCATTAAAAATTGCTTCATACATATTATTTCACTCCAATACGAGAAAATCCCCTGATCCTGCTCAACTATTGCTCCTCTGCTCTATTCCCCGTCAGTCAAGTTATCAATAGAGTCGTCTTCCCAGGCTGTCTTTACTTCCCTACCTCCTATGTACTCTTCTATTTATTGTAACTGATTTCCACTTCCATCAAAACAACAACAAAACCAAACCAAAAAACCATGCTTTCTCCAGGGTCACAAATGAGCCTATCACTAAGTTTAATAAACACTTTTCAATTTCCATTTTTAAACAGTACTAAACACAATTAGCTCCCTTGAAGCATCATATTTTCTCAGCTTTATAGTAGCTGTACCATTCCCAATTTCTATCTGCAGACAGCAGACTTCCCTAGCTGGCTTAAACATAAAGAGGATTATTGATAGTTCCTCAATCTCCTAGAAGCCTGGAGAATCAGGCTGGGATGATCAACAAGACAACTGCACATAGCCAGGAGAGAAGTCCAACCACATCACAAGTCTGAGCTAGCAAGAATACCCCGCACTGCCTCCCACCACAAAGGGTCTGAAAGCTAGAACTTCCACCACAGATGCCTGGGTAGCACCAGGAACCTTTGCCACTGTGTTTGCCAAATCTCTTCTGCACATGGCAACGACCTCACTGTCTTCCTTGTGCTTCTTGTCACACGCATCATATGGATGCACAGTCTTGGAAGAAACCAAGTCACACACAGAATTCTAGCTACAGGGCATTCTAGGAAATTTAGGCCACAGCAGCACAGGAAAATAATACACGGCAGAGGTATTAAATGAGCCAAGCTACAGTATCTGCCACACCACCATATGTTTCTGCATTTCTTTTTTTTTCCCTTTGCAGCCTCCTCTGTCTGCTACCCCCAACACATATTTTTCAATCTGTGTACTTCTCTCTATTTCTATTGCTATCATCATTTTTCACTTAGACTACTGCAATAACTTCTCACTTTCACTCTTAACTTGTAAGAATCCACGTGTTATTGAGAGAATCAAATGAGAAAGATGTTGTAACTTTAATATGTCATATAAAAATATCACTGCTAATAGACTTGTTCTTAGTTATAAATATTAAATTTTTAAACATATCATTTAAGTAGATAGCTACCCCTCTGGCATGAACTCAAGGTGCCAGAGAGATCCCTAGCAGAGATACATATCAAATGACTAGGAACAATGCCAGAAATTCTATCAATAGGTTTAAGTCTCTTTTCTTTTTCTTCTTCTTTTTCTAGAGAAAGGGTCTCGCTCTGTTGCCCAGGCTGGAATGCAGTGGCATGATCATAGCTCACGGCAGCCTCAAACTCCTGGGCTCAAGATCGTCCTGCCTCAACCTCTCAAATACCTGGAATGACAGGCACATGCCACCACTCCTTGTTTAGTTTTTTAATTTTTTCATTTTTTCTAGCGATTGGGTCTCCCTTTGTCGCCCAGGTTGGTCTTGAGCTCCTGGGCTCAAATGATCCTCTTGCCTCTGCCTCCCAAAGTGTTAGGATCACAGGCATGAGCTACTGTGCCTGGCCTAAATCATATTCATATCACTAACCCAGTATTCCTGGCTAAACTATAAATATCCCAGGAAAAGAGTCTTTGTTTGCTGCAAAACTGTATAAAGCTGGAATCAAATCCCAGCCCTGCCCCTTACTAGGTTGATCTGGAGAAGTTTTTAACCTCTCTGCACTTCAAGGTCCACCCCGAGTCCTCATCTATAAGATAGGGAGGACAGGTTAGCTAAAAGGAACAAATGGAAATACCTAGTAAAGTAACTGATAAATATGCAATGAACTGTATTTCTGGTAATACCTTTACTGAGAATTAGTCTGCAAGACTGATTAATATCCAATGTGATGGTTAATGAAGAATGAAGCATTCTAGCAATCTGACATGGGCCCCCTGTGTAAAAGGGATCGCACACACAGAGAAAAAAGAAGTAATATTGGGAGAGAACAGGGCTTTGCTTAAACAGAACAGTATGGGCCACCAGCAGCAGTGAGAGACAGGTAAGGCCTCTGTGAGCCTTCAGTCGGCAGTGGGTCATAAGAAAATAGAAATAGTGATCAAACCAGGAAGAGAGAATGAAACCCATTCTCACTCTTTTAAAAGCTTCTGTTTGGAGTAAGCCCAATGGGGAGCCATCAGTGTCTCTGACATCCATATCATCCTATTATACTTCCTTAGCTCAAACCACACTCAAGAAAGCACAGGAAATCAGAACCACAGTGGAAGATGGATGAGAAGCTGGAAGAGGAAGTGTTCAGCAATGGCACACCATTCTTTGCCTTATTCTATGTCCCTGAGCTTGTTCAGCAACAGCAGCAATCTTTCTTAAACCAAAGGGATCCATGCTTGGATCTTCTTCACAGGGGACAAGCCTGCAAGCCAGATACCATTTCCCTGCTAACATCCTGCTTTCATCTTCAACTCAAGAGGTGAGTCAAAAGACAACTCTACATTAGCTAAAATGTACCTACAGCTCTGTACCACTGCTAACGATGTAGAAGATATTATTTTCCACCAATATTTCTCATATATTTGGCCTATGGACTGATTCAATGAACAATTTTGTAAATGCAAGAAATTTATTATTCATTTGTATTTTCTAAGAAGATGTCATTTAATTTAGTACTTTGAAAGACAGAATCTGTAGACGGTGGGACTTTATATATAGTTTTACAGACTTCTTACACTTATATTCTCCTTACAAATACAACCATGTGGCCCTGACAGCCCTAGCACAAGAAATGAGACTTGGCTGGCAGCCAAACAGTACTTATCATAAGACCATATACAGGGCAAATTATTACTATGTGTTTATGAATGCCAAAGGTCACACATTCTGTTTTTTAAAAGTTGAAGTCTCTTGTTCATGTGTTAGCATCTGAAGGATATTCCACAACAAGAAGGTAAAATATGCAAAAGCCACAATTTACACTCTAGCTTCAAAAGGCAAATAAGTTGTTTACAGCCAGAAACATGTACATTCTTCCAGGGAAACAGCAGACAAGTGATAGACACTATATAAACACCTTCTGTATCTCTGTGTAACACACAATTTTAAAGTATATGCTAATACATTAATTCCCAACTAAAACACCTCTTAATTTTCTTATTTAAAGATCATTTTCATGGCACTCTTCATAAAGGAGGTTGTATGAAAGACTTCAAAGAAGATAAAAATTGTAAAGCTTGAATATTTATTCCAGCCCACACATACACCAGTCTCCTTTTTTCCCCAGAGATAATAAGGAACAAATATATTTTAGTAGACCTTTGAAAAGAGCATTCGCTTGAAAAGTCATCATGAATTCAACAAATATTTTTGCTACATATTGTAAGCACAAGGGAGAACAGTGAAATATATATATATGTGTATGTATATATATGTGTATATATATGTGTATATATATATATATATATACACATACACACATGTATATGTGTGTGTCACTAAAAGTCTATGTTCATGGAGCTTACAATGCAGTGGAAAGAAGGGGCACAAATAAAAGAATCACACAAGTATAATATGAAAACCTCAACAAGTGCTCTGATAGGCTCATGCAGACTATGGGCACACAAGAGAGGAGAAAAATCAGAGGTCTGGGAAAGCAATTCTGAGGAAATGTCTTTGTCAGCTCAGACCACTACAACAGAATATCAGACTGGGTGGCTTATAAACAGAAATTTGTTTCTCACAGTTCTAAAGGCTGGGAAGTACAAGATCAAGGCACCAGCAGATTGGGTGTCTGGTAAAAACCTGATTCCTGTGGTTCACAGACAGCCATCTTCTCGCTATGGCCTCAGATGGTGGAAAGAGGGCTACCTAGCTCTCTGGCCTCTTCTTTTAAGCACACGAACCCCATTCATGAGAGTTTCACCCTCATGACCTAATCACCTCCCAAAGGTCCTACCTCCTAATACCATCACACTGGAGATTAGGTTTCAACATATGAATTCTTGAAGGACACAAACATTCCGTCTATAGTGCTTCCCTACCACAACAACCAGATAGGGCGGAGCAGGTGGCTTTACCATTACACTCTGGAAGTCAGGAATCCAACTAGGTGTTTAAAGATTTGAAGGCAGGAACCAAAAGCTATTTTTCTTATTTCATTTCATCTTGGAATGAAAATAGTTTTTAAATTTTAGAAATCTACCTCCAAATTAAACATGCTATTAAAATTTTATGTAGAGACAATCAAAAGTTATAGTTTAAAAAATCTTTTTGAATGAGAAGCTTGAATTTTTTTTCTTCTCTTTTTATTTATTTATTTATTTATTTATTTATTTATTGAGACAGGGTTTCGCTGTGTTGCCCAGGCCAGTCTTGAACTCATGGGCTCAAGCAATCCTCCCACCTCGGCCTCCCAAAGTGCTGGTATTACAGGCATGAGTCACTGCACCCAGCCTGGAATATTTCCTGATTTTGATTTCAAGAAAGTCTGAGTACTTGAGGTGCTTACCATGAAGTGATCTGAATGGAAGTTACAGAACTATTCTATTCTATTTCTTTATTATACATTTCTGCTCCCCTCCACAAATTTTTAGCCTTTCAGGAACATCAAAAAGTAATATACATAGAACAAAAATATTATAGCATGTAGGCCATGCCCTTCCTCACTCTTATACTGATTCTGACTCCCCTAGAGGTCCTTGCAAACACTGAGTGGTCAGTTGGGCTGGGTTCAATGCCAATGCCAAATCCAATACAGATAATTTCCTGCACTTGCACTTTGATTTCCTCACACTGGAAGCTGACTCTGGTGATAAGAACAGTCTTGGCTACATTTAGGAAGTTTCAACATTTGATAAAAGTAGTGCTGATCCAACTTGTGCTACTCACCTTTCTTCCACTATTTTCCTGGCTTAAATCAGATCAAAAAGAGTTAGCATGCTCCAGTATTCTGCATCCCTCTGTTAAGGACAGAAATACTCTACATGTCAACATGTAAATTTCTGCAATTGTTGAGGATTTGGAAGGTCTTTCAGCAATGACGAAGAAATTATCAGTCTTAAAGATTGTGGACTTTACTGGTAGTAAAACAGTAAGAAGCTATCCGCAGAACCATGAATTTAGACTTGCTAATAAAGTATGATTCTGAAGCACAAGAGGCACACCCAAATACCCCCAAACAGAGGAAGAACACAAAATATCTGCAAAATTACGGCAATCTAGGGCCATTTGATCCAGATGTTAATGGCTTGAGCGATGCAAGAGTCCCTGTATTAAAACACAGGTTGGTGTCTGATATTCCTAATTCACCACTGTTTATTATCATCAAGGGACAGGGAAGCATATACTTCAGAAGATTTTAATAAAAATTGCTAAAGTAAAATGGATGGGCCTATCTCCTCTGCCATACTAAAAACTATCTGACACTATTAATTCCTAGTAATATTAAATAAAGAGTATATTTTTATACTCTTTAAAGAATCGCTTTATTTTCTATGCTGCTGAGTATTGTGTATAACATTCAAGATTTTGAAGAACGAATCACTCAACTATCTTGGATTTTTATGAGGGAATGCTGCTCAAGAATCATGCCTGATTAAACCAGTTTTTTGATTTTGTAGAGATTTGCCTCTCCACCTAAGTAATGCAGGCCATATCACTGATGTATTCAATTCATTGACTAATGACTTGCACACCTTCACTGATATTTTTTAGTAGTTGCTCTTGAGTAAATCTTACATGTGGTTTCCAGCAGCAACTATTCATTTCCTAAGCAGATAACCTTAAGACATAATTGATATTTTATCTTAGAGGGTAAGAACTAAAAGACATTCCAGACTTATTGAGTAACCCAGCTTTTTAAATACAGAGATTTCATACACACACACACACACACACACACACACGTTAATTCTTCTACTTTGAGGATACTATTACCAGTTCATTTAAAAATGACCAGGAGATCTTTGAGGTTTAATGGGGAAGGACTCTTTAAAGTCAAGCAACAGTCTTCCATGGAAAGCAAAATAAGTCAATCAGTTAATTTTAACATTGTCAAAGCTCTCAAAGAAGGAGGTATTTTCTAGGCAGACTGTTGAAGTGGTCATGTTTTTGGTTAATAAGTTCTTCTTTAGGTTGGACTTAAAACTTCTCCAGAAAAATTTAACTCAATTTTTACTCATTTCAACATCATTAGAGACAAAGAATAATTAGTCAATATTGTTGTAGAATTTCAAACTCCTAAGGAACTCCTAAAGATACCCAGCTCAGCAAGATTGCAGGATACAAGATCAACATACAAAAAACAGTCACATTTCTATATACTTACAATAAATGTGTGGAGACTGAAGTTTAAAACACAGTACCAGGTTGGGCACAGTGGCTCACGCCTGTAATCTCAGCATTTTGGGAGGCTGAGGCAGGCAGATCACCCAAGGTCAGGAGTTCAAGACCAGCCTGGCCAACGTGGCGAAACCCTGTCTCTACTAAAAATACAAAAATTAGCCAGGTGTGGTGACGCATGTCTGTAATCCCAGCTACTCGGGTGGCTGAGGCAGGAGAATCACTTGAACCTGGGAAACAGAGGTTGCAGTGAGCTGAGACTGAGCCACTGTACTCCAGTCTGAGTGACAGAGTGAGACTCCATCTTAAAAATAAAATAAAATAAAATATAAAATAAAATAAAACATAGTACCACTTACAGTCACCCCTCAAAAAAGAGAAGTATTTAGATACAAATCTAACAAAGACATATTCAGGATCTACATCCTGAAAATTACAAATTGTTGGTGAAATAAATCAAGGAAGACCTATATAAATTGGGGGACATATTGTGGTAATGGCTCAAGAGTCAACATAGTAAAAATGTCAATTCTCCTAAATTTATTTATAGGTTGGATGTAATTTCTATCAAAATTCCAGCAATATTTTTGTAGACACAGACATGCTTGTTCTAAAATGCATATGGAAAGGCACAGGACCTAGAAAAACTAAAACAATTTTGATAAAAATGAATAAAATAAGAAAAGTCACCCATCCCTAAGTTATGGCTTATTATACAGCTACCATAACTCAAGATGGTATGGTACCAGCAGAGCACATCAATGAAACAGAACAGAGGACCTAGAAATAGACCCACACAAATATCTCCAACTGATTTCTGTCAAAGGTAGAAAGGCAATTCAATGGAGGAAAGAGTGTTTTAACAAACAGTCTGAAGCATTGAACCTCCATAGGCAAAAAACATGAACTTCAGCCGAAACCTCACATGTTCTACAAAAATTAATTCAAAATACATTGTTGGTACAAATGCAAAATGGTACAGCCACTATGGAAAGCACTGTGACATTTTCTTATAAAACTAAACATGCACTTACCATAAGATACAGAAAGCAATTGTACTTTTAGGTGTTTATCCAAGAGAAATGAAAACAAGTTTATACAAAAATGTATACATGAATGTTCATCACAGCTTTATTCATAATATCCCCAACCCACATGTCCTTCAATGGGTGAAAAGGTAAACTGTGGATATTCACAGTAATCAAAAGGAATGAGGTACTGATAGCTGGATGAATCTCAAAGGAATTATGGGGCATGAAAACAGCCAATCTCAAAGGGTTTACTCACTGTGCAATTCCATGTATATAACATTCTCAAAATGACAAAATCATAGAAATGGAAAACAGATTAGTTATCCCAGGGGTTAGGAACGGCGGAGAGGCAAGGAGAGGCTGTGGCTATATAAGGGCAACATGAGGGATCCATGTGGCGAAAAGTTCTGTGTCTACAATGATGGGGGTCACATGACTCCACACATGATAATATCGCACACATGCATACACATGTTCACATGAAACTGGTAAAATCTAAATAAAGTCAGTGGGCTGTATCAATGTCGATTTCCTGGTGGTGATATATTATGGTTACACAAGATGTTACCATTGAAAGAAACAGGTGAAGGATGAACAGGATCCTTCTGTATTATTTCTTACAATTGCAGGTGAATTTATAATTATCTTTTAAAGTTTTAAAACCTAGACTGGGTGAGGTGGTTCATGCCTGTAATCCCAGCACTTTGGGGGGCCAAGGTGGGTGGATCCCTTCAGCCCAGGAGTTCGAGACCAACCTGACCAACATGGTGAAACCCCATCTTTACAAAAAATCAGCTAGGCATGGTAGTGTGTGTCAGTAGTCCCAGCTACTCACCACTGCACTCCAGCCTGGGTGATGGAGTGAGACCCTGTCTCAAAAAAAAAGTTTTAAAAACTAAAAGAAAAGGTTAAAAAAAAAAGAGATAGATATGTATTCAAATTACCCCCTTTTACAGGTAAATCAATAAAGGCACAAGCAGTAAAAGAACTTGCTTGAGATTATACTATTAGTTAAGAGCTAGTTAAAAAATAAGACTCAGGCCTCTGAATTTTCCACTATGCCACACTCCTTAAAATAAAATATTAAAATAAGCCATCACTACTGTTCCATCTCATACTGAGGGATTAAAAAGATAGATACCTTTAAGCAGCTAAAAATCTAGTGGAGGATACATGGAATAAATATTAAGGGAAGAGGTGAGTAGTAAAGTTAGGTATCACACGATTCTATCTTAAATATAATAAGAACTCAGTGAAAAATGCATAGACTTGTTTCTCACCAAATTCTACTGCAACATCTCAACAAATCCAAGGCAAATAAACCTCATTTATTACAGAATACCTGTAAGAAAGGGACCTCTTATCCAGATGCACAGACTTATCCCCAAATATCATCTATGCTTAGGATACCATATTATGGGTGGTAGGTTGACCACCAAGGGAAATGGATGGCTAATGATTACCAGATCCTACTATGTTACCTTTCCCCACCCTCCTCACGGCAAGCACAGCAACAGAAAACATCCCAGAAAGTACAGGTCCTTTTCTTCACAGAAATAAACCACACACAACAAATCTATCCCATCAGAGGTGGAATTTATTTCCCACAGACTCTAGATTTAAATTTATTACCACTGCAATCCATGGCTCAAAGGTGACAAAGGCATTGCTATAATACTCAGTTCTAGCTTAATAGTATAAACTTGGCAACCAAACACTGTAAAAGGATTGGAAAGTGGTGTTCTTTCTATACATCAGGCTGACTCAATTTGCAAGAGAGTGAGTTCCAGTAAGAAAGAATATCATTTGGATTCTGGCAAGGGTGATGGATTTTCAGGCTCTGTTTACCTGGCTCTGAAGATGATGAGGTTTTAAGATCTGAGGATGAAGATGAAAGGTTTTATGATAGTTTTTTACATTTGGGAATAGCTTTTTACATTAGGGGCTAGTTTTTTACACTTATATAGCTTAAATATTTGCTGAAATGTGTTTTTACTGGAATTCAACTTTTTCTGTTGCTGTCAATAAAATATTTGCTTTTACTGCACTATGTGCATAACACTGAGATTCCATTAAACTTGTTTTGTTATGCTTTCTATCAGTTTTTCTAAAATATTTTATTGTATTCATATGTAATGGTAACTTTTTAGGATTTCACACAAATTTATTATAATGTTGCTGGGTTTGTACTTTTATTTATATTTACTTTTCCTACATGTACTGGATAGAAATTCACTCCTAAAAGTCATTTTATATTATGGTTCATTTTAAAAATTACCCATTATTTGTTTTATGTTACATGCTTGGTATGGAATTAAATTCACCAGAAACTTGTCTTTTTTTGTCCGTTATTTTTCTGTAATATAGAAATGTAACTGTTCATTTTTTTTCAGAATGAATCGACTATCATAATCTTTCTGCAGCTTCTTCTTTTCTTATATGAACTCCATTTTAAAATCTCATTCATAATACATGCATGAGATAAAAAGTACTTAATTTCCCCCCAAAAAAACTTCCATATAAAAGTGAAATGCATCTGATATGACGGCATGACACTGGCATGGAGTGTTGCTGGCAGACACAAGGCTGATGGGGTTCTGGCACTAACACCAGGCTCCACCCCAGCCATCATCCCATCCTTTCACCCTCCTTCCTGTTTCTTGGTCTGTGCACTCACTATATGCTTTTTGTTGTTTTATTTTGCTTTTTGCCCAGAATGCCATTCATCTCATTCTCCACTTTATAATCTCTCTTTCAGTCTTTAAACTTAGCTCTAATATCATTTACTCCAAAGCCTTTACAGACTCCCCTAAGTAGTGACCTTTCCCTTTTTATGTTCCCAGAACACTTTTGAGCTCATTACTACAGAACTCATAAGGCTATACTGCAAATACATGCATATGTGTTTGTTTCCCTTGCTTGACTGAAACACCTCACCTGGGAACCATGGGAAATTGCCTAACATGAAGCAGGTGACAAACTGAGCAGGCTTGATTCCTGACCATCCTAGCCATCAGCCTTCTGGGCTGGGCTATCACAGTTGCACATTGCTTAACAATGGGGATACCTTCTGAGAAATAAATAATTAGACAATTTTGTTTTGTGATGATAGAGTATACTCACACAAGACTAGAAGGTAGGGCTTACTACACACCTAGGCTATATGGTATAGCCCATTGCTCCTAAGCTACAAACTTGTACGCACGTTACTGCTTTGAATACTGTAGACAATGGTAACACAGTGGTAAGAAATACAGTGTTTGTGGCGATTCCTCAGGGAACTAGAACTAGAAATACCATTTGACCCAGCCATCCCATTACTGCGTATATACCCAAAGGATTATAAATCATGCTGCTATAAAGACACATGCAAATGTATGTTTATAGCAGCACTATTCACAATAGCAAAGACTTGGAACCAACCTAAATGTCCAACAACAATAGACTGGATTAAGAAAATGTGGCACATATACACCATGGAATACTATGCAGCCATAAAAAAATGATGAGTTCATGTCCTTTGTAGGGACATGGATGAAACTGGAAACTATCACATTCTCAGCAAACTATCGCAAGGACAAAAAACCAAACACCACATGTTCTCACTCATAGGTGGGAATTGAACAATGAGAACACATGGACACAGGAAGGGGAACATCACACGCTGGGGACTGTTGTGGGGTGGGGGGAGGGCGGAGGGATAGCATTAGGAGATACACCTAATGCTAAATGACGAGTTAATGGGTGCAGCACACCAACATGGCACATGTATACATATGTAACAAACCTGCACGTTGTGCACATGTACCCTAAAACTTAAAGTATAATAATAATAAAATTTAAAAAAAGAAATAAAGTGTTATAATCTTATGAGACCAGCTTTGTACACCCAGTCCATTACTGGCCGAAACATTGTTATGTGGTTCCTGACTGCAGTTTTTGAAAAATAAGGACACATCTATTCTCATGGTTTAAGGAAAAGGCATGAGACAACAAAAAAGACTAGACATCATTTTTCTTTTTTCCAGCTCATCCAGGCATGACCTCTCGGGACTCCCATTTAGAGAGTAAGGACTGAGGAAAAAAAAGTCTGTGTTCCTTTAGCCATACAAAGGGTGGAACGAACTTTTCTGGTAAGTGAATCTAGAGGGTAATCCCACTCACAGATCAACAGCTAAGAAAGGAATCCAGTGCCCCCAGCCAGTAGGGACCCCTTGAAAAACACACTCTATGTTAAATGTTCAACATACTTTGCACATTAAGGATAGAATATCATCTCTTGGACCTTTAAAATCTGCACTGAAAAGGAAGGGCAGGAATGCAATACTGGGCTTTCCTGACAAGAACCCTAAGATAACTATTGGGAATGAATGAAATATTTTGGGGATGTGCTTCCACATTTTCATACTTATGATAAAAATAATAGTACAGTAATCCCATCAATATTAGTATATACATGCCACATGAATCAATTTTTAATAAAAGAAGTTTCTACCCCTTTTGACTGATAAACTTTAATAATTTCTGTTGCCAATTTCTCTAAAATGCATTAGTTGCTTTCTTGCCTATTGAACAGAATGAACTTTTCTTGATGGCACAAAGTCATCATTGTGGAAATGTTGTAATTAAATTATAACACAGAGTAATATGTCCTCAGAAGCTACTTGCTACCACCTTACACAGACTCCGAATGTTATAATTTCTTATTTTACATGCCCACTTGTACAGTGTTTTAATAACAGTTTCACGCTTGCTGCTCGTAGGACATTGTCTGGTAGTAGAGGATTGCCCTCTTCCTACTAATTCCCAAGTTTTCATTTGTTGTGCATCGAAAAAACACATAATCACATTTGCTAGGACTGCATCTTAAGTAGGAGTGAGTGGGGCAATAGATTTATGTTTCTCACTGAATTCAGAACTCCTAGAAAGAAATAATAATATTTATGTTTTAGCCCCCCAAAGTGCCTAGCATGGTGTTTTGCATACCATACCATTAAATAATATTTTCTGATGTAAATTAAGCAAGTATATGAGCTGTATTTTTACATCTATTTTGGCCACTCAAGCACTGTTAGGTTGCTTGCTTTGTTTTAAGGTAGGTCACCAATAATAGTTTGCTAGATGAGGGATCGCTCTATAAATGACATCACTCTTGTGGTCTGCTAGGACATACACAGAAAGAATCTGTGAAAGGCGCATTGGCTCACACCTATAACCCCAACACGTTGGGAAGCTGAGGCAGGAGGATCACTTGAGCCCAGGAGTTCGATACCAGCCTAGGCAACACAGAACGACTCCCTCTGTAAAACAAAGACAAAAATTAGCCAGGCATGGTGGTGTGTTCCTGTAATCCCACTACCTGGGAGGTTGAGGTGGTGGGAGGGCCGCTTGGGCCCAGGAGGTCAAGGGTGCAGTGAGCCACGTTTGCACCACTGCACTCCAGCCTGGGCTACAGAGCAAGATACCATCTTTAAAAACAACAATCTATGAAAAATGAGTTAAATTCCAGATGATTATTAGTTCCTTCTTTTTTCTTTCCAGGACTTTAAAATGTTCTACAAGTATTGCTTCTATAATAAGAAAAAGTTACATAAAACCCAAGATTATTTTAGCAGTTCTGTGGAAAACAGACTTAAATGAGGAAGCAATGGAGGAAAAAAAAATTAAAAAAAAGACAACGAAACTATAGAAATCAAGAAAGTTATTATTGGAAAAGAAAAAAACAGTAGAAAGAACAAACAGAACTTGGTAATAGATGAAACACAGGAAGAAAGGTGACAGGAAAATCATCAGAGAGTGTCTGTATAATGACATGCTTGTTCTTTCATCTTCTATTCATTGAAACATTTATCAAGCGCTTACTCCTAAACAAGTATTTTTATTGAGTACTGGTACCACTAATGATGATGGAGAAAATGAGAAGCAATGGGTGTTTTCTGGGGAAGGAAGGGCAATGCTGATGGCCTGGAAGTCACTGGGAAACAAGAGGTGTGTCACGAGGTTAACGGGAGTAAACAAAAGACCAAAGCAAGAATAAGTCATAAAGGAAGATATCAACACAAAAATCTACTAATACTTTGCAGATAAGATAAAGACAGGTACAAAATTAGAAAGAAAGGATGCAAAGTTATTTATTAAAGTCATCTTGAACTACTCATTTACCCTCTCTGGCCACCACTGCCTCGTGACTGAATTGAAATAATAATGACTGTGAGGATTATAGGAAATACACAAGATATTGTGTATGAAATGATGGTAAACAGCGTTAAGGCACTGTAAAAACACAAGACATAATCAATGCTTTGCTGTCATGATGTCCAAGGATAAAAAAGGACAAAAGCATTCATTTCCATTACATGTTAACCCTTAAAAGTAAAGCTTCTCTCTCTAGTGATATGTTCCAGTTCTATATTTTTCTCCATTTCCCCTCAGTGCCTTCCTGTCAATTTTATCAACTTTTTAAAAAAAGACACACCAAAAATACTCAGCAAGGCAAAGATTAGAGGGACTGCTTGAGCTTGGATCTCCTTTCCAACTCACTGGGCACTGTACTGCAAAAGAATATAATTAGAGGAACTTGCCTAACTGTGACATAGTCTGAAAAACTACTTTTCTAAAAGACTTGTAAGATAGCAACATTAAGATGGGATTTCTTTAAGTAGCTACAAATCCATTTCTCTTTATATAAACTAAAATCAGAATATAAGTTTCTACCTGAACCTAGCCACTAAGCTTAGTTTAAAATTCTACTCCCTTTGCTTAGAACAACAGAAACAAAAAAGAGGGGTGGGAGCAGGAGTCAGCAAATTGGAGCTTAGACTGGTTTTGCAAGTTAGCAAATTATTAACTACTGCCAGCTTTCTACATTTGTCAAATGAAAACTGTAATATGCATTCTGTACTTTCACTACCCTTGCAGTTGTCATTTCATATTGTAATTACTTATTTGTTTGACTATTATTTTTAATTTTTTTAAAGTTTTTAAATTTCTGTGGGTACACAGTAGGTGTATATATTTATGGGGTACATGAGATATTTTGATACAGGCATGCAATGTGAAATAAGCACATCATGTAGAATGGGGTATCCATGCCCTAAAGCATTTACTCCTTTGAGTTACAAACAATCCATACAGTCTTTAAGTTATTTAAAAATGTACAATTAAGTTATCATGTTTGACTATTTCCTCACTAAATTGAATGTTCCAAAAGAACCACGCCTTTCTTGTTCAATAGTATATCGTCTGTACCCAGCAAAGTGTCTGGTACAAAGTAAGCACTACATGGATACAATGTTTTGATATCCCAAGATAAAAGTGATAGCAGAGGAAATTTATTTGATTATTGATATATGTTCTTGTGTCTTTTGATGAGTAAAAGTGTTTAATTTTGATAAAAGTGTAATTATCAATTTCTTTTCATTTAGAAATATTGTTATCCGGTTCTTGTCTAAAAAATCTTTGCTTAAGATATGGAATCAACCTAAATGCCCATCCATGAATGACTGGATAAAGAAAATGTGATACATATACACAGTGGAATACCATTCAGCCATAAAAAAGAATGAGATCCTGTTTCTTGCAGTGACATGGGGGTCATTATCATAAGTGAAACAGGTCAGATACAGAAAGACAAATATCACATGTTCTCACTTATAAGTGAGAGCTAAATAATGTGTACACATGGACGTAGAGTATGGAATGATACACAACAGTAACAGGGAAGGGTAATGGGGTAAGAGGTGGATGATGAGAGATTACTTAATGGATACAATGTACGTTATTTAAGTGATGGATAACTAACTTAAAAGTTCTGACTTCACCACTATACAATCTATGGATGTAACAAAACTACAATTGTACCCCCATACATTTACACAAATAAAAAAATAAAAAATAAAATAATGATCATAGCAGAGAAGTTCAACCTCCTAAGGTAACGAAGACTATAGTGAAACAAACTGCATTCACTTGGTCTCTGAAAATACCAGTTTTGTGTTTTTATTGTCTATTTGCTTCAAAGAAATGCTCTCTCATTTGGTCAGAGGTCAGAGTTACATCTAATGCCTGTTCAGTTCTTTTGAGACAGGGTCTCACTTTGTCACCTGGGCTGGAGTGCAGTTGCGTGATCATAGCTCACTGAAGCCTTAAACTCCTAGTGTCAAGTGATCCTCACACCTCAGCCTGTTGAGTAGCTGGGACTATAGGCACATGCTGCTGTGCTCAGCCAATTCTTTGTATTTTTTGTAGAGAAAGGGTCTTGCTTGGTTGCCGGGGCTGGTCTTGGACTCCTGGCTTCAAGCAATCCTCCTGCCTCAGCCTCCCAAAGTGCCAGGATTATAGCTATGAGCCACCGTGCCCGGACCCTGTTCAATTCTTGATAAACACTGCAATTACTTCAGAAGAATAACTTGTATCTGCCTTTCAATTGACTTGATTTTTTTTGTTTGTTTAAAGGAAAATGCTAAAATGATGACCTAAAAACTAAAACTTAAAACTATTTGAAATTTAAAAATTAATTTAATTTTATTAAATTAATCCTTGCCTATCCCAAAGTTACAAAGATATTCTCCTGTTTCTTCAAGAAGCTCTGTAAGTTTTAGCTTTTACATTTATATCTATGATCCATTTTTAAATAATTTTTTTGTGTATGGTGCAAGGTAGAGGTAATTGAGGGTTTGTTTGTTTTTTGTTTTTCTTCCTTCCAGATGAATAGTCTTTCCAGGACTGTTAGTTGAAAAAATTTTTAACTTCTTTGGTGCCTTTGTCAAACCATTTCTGTTGGGTCTATTTTGGGGTTATTACACAAATCCATCTGTCTATCTTGTAGCATCAGTAGCACACTGTTAGGACTACTCTCACTGTATAGTAAGTTCTGAAATCAAGTAGATTAAGTCTTCCAATTTTGGTCTTGCTTTTCAAAATTGTTTAGATTATTGTAGTTATTTTGCATTTCCATATACATTTGAGATTAGCTTGTCAATTTCTTACTAAAAATCTTGCTGAGATTTTAATTGGGATTGTGCTGAATCTTTTAATCAATTTCTGGAGAACTGACATCTTAACCATATTAAGTTTCTAAATGAACATAGTATATCAATTCATTTATTTAGGTCTTTGCTCTCTCTCATCAATGTTTTACAGATTTCACATACCTTTTTTGTACATTTTTCATTAATTTTATCCCTGTTTAGTTTTTGATGCTACTGTAAACGATATTTGAAATCTCATTTTAGCAGTTTTGTTGATTCCTTAGGATTTCTCTGCATGTCATCTGCAAATAGAAACAGCGATATTTTCTTTTTTCCTAATATTTATGCCTTTCACTTATTTTTCTTGCCTTATCACACTGGCTTAAACCTCCAAGATGATATTGAATAAAACAGGGCAGACATCCTTGCCTTATTCCTGATATTGGTAGAGGAAATTACCTTTTGCTATTAAATGTGAGGTTAATTATAGGATTCCTATACATATACTTTATCAGTTTGGGGAATTTCCATCCAATTTATTGAGTTTTTAAATCATGAATGAGTATTGAACTTTGTCAAATGCTTGTTTATGCATCTATTGAGATAATCATATGGTGTTACCCTTTCAATCTATTAATACAGTAATCTACTAATACAGTGAATTACACCATTTGATTTTTAGTATTTACACTTTACATTCCTAGGAGAAGAAATGACTTTGATCATAATGTATCATACATTTTATATCACTAGATTTGATTTGCTAATATTTTCTTAAGTGTTTTTGCCTATGTACATGAAAGTTTGCAATGTTATTTGTAATGTCATTGCATGGTTTTAATGTCAAGGCTATGCTGGTCTCATAAAATTTATTGGAAGGATACCATCTTACTTCTTTTTTGTAAAGATTTTTGTAAGATTGGTATTATATCTTCCTTAAGTATTTTATAGATTTCACTGGTAAAGCCATTCTCATCAGGAGTTTTCTATGTACAAAGGTTCTTAATTATAAATTCCATTTCTTTTATTTTTATTTTTTTCCCCTCAAATCATGGGATATTTCTTTAACAGATGGTAGGTTATTCAGATATCCTATTACTTCATGTGGTCAGTTTTGTTAACTTGAGTTCTTCAAGGAATTTTCCCATTTCATCCAAGTTTTCAAATTTACAGGCAAAAATCCTTTAGTCACAGAAAAGTAATATGTCTGAATTTTCCTTTTAAAATCTATAAGATCTATAGTAACGTCCTTTCTTTCATTCCTGAACTGGCAATCTGTGCTTTCTCTTTTTAAAAAAAATCAGTATTGCTAGGAGTTTATCAATTTTATTGACCTTCTAAAAGAATCAGCTTTTGGTTTCACAGATTTTCTCTACTGTTTGTCTTTTTATTTCCTTCCTCTTCTTTTTCTAACACCTTTGGATGGAAGATCACTGATTAAAGGCTATACATTTCCCTCTAAGCACTGATGTAAACTTCCATAAACTTTGATGATGCATTTTCCTTTTCAATCAGTTAAACTATTTTACTAATCACTTGTGACTTCTTCTTTATTCAATGGTTTATTTAGAAGAATATTGATGGAGCTGGGCACGGTGGCTCATGCCTGTAATCCCAGCACTTTGGGAGGCTGAGGCATGCAAATCACTTGAGGTCAGGAGTTCAAGACCAGCCTGACCAACATGGTGAAACCCCCATCTCTACCAAAAATACAAAAATTAGCCAAGCGTGGTAGTGCACACCTGTAATCCCAGCTGTTCGGGAGGCTGAGGCCGTGCCACTGCACTCTAGCCTGGGCAACACAGCGAGATTCTGTCTCAAAAAAAAAACAAAAAACAAACAAAACAACAACAACAAAAGAAATACAGTGATTGATTTTTAAATATTCGTGAATTTTCTAGTTAAATTTTTATTATTGATTTCTAATTTTATTCCATTGTGGTCAAAGGATATCCTCTACATGATATGATTTCAATTCTTTGGAATTTACTGAGACTTGGTGTGCCCCCAGTATATAGTGTACATTCATATTCATTGTAAAACTGAAAGAAATGCCTATTTTAAAATTGCCCAGTATAGCATTCTACAAGTATTAACTAGATTAAGCTGTTTGGTGGTGTTATTCAAATATTCTATAATCTTACTTTTTGTTACCAATTCCATCAATAATTGAATGTAACAAAGATATTCAATGATAATTGTGAATTTGTCTATTTCTCTTCTTGACTCTTTGGGCTTTTGCTTCATATATTTTGAAGCTTTCCTATGAGATATATAAATATTTAGGATTTTTATGTCTTCTTGATAAATTGACTCTTAGCATTGTGGGATATCCTTCTTCATCTCTGATCATAGGTTTTAGGTTCTAAGACAAGATATATATTCTATGCTAAAGTAAAAAGATGAAACATGAGACCAGACTGCTAGACTCAAAAAGCCACTACTTTGTGTTGAAGTTAATCTACCAGGGGTAGGAAAGGGTTATCCCTGTCTTGTCTCTAATATGGCCACTATTGGTACAGGGTGCTAGGAACTATCCTAAGCAATGTGTTGTGATAGTGGGAAAGCAAGTGTTGGAGTAACAGCTGCAGGCTTGCTCCCCTGGGGTTCACTCCCATGCCATGCTGGTCTATGATGATTTTATTTGCTTAGCCTTAACCTGAATGATGGCTCCCACCAGGATGCCAACAACACTAGCCACGTATGAATGATGCTGTTGTGTGAATTCTTTATGTTTCTTAATACAAATATTTTGCTTTTGTATTTCTCAATACATTAACCTGAGAGACCCTTATTTTTACACCGTGTTCTCAAGGACATGAGCAATCTCGGGGATAAGTCAGCAGCGACTCCAGGTCTGTATGACAAGCAGACTTTCACTCCACAGAATGACTTTGACTGTGCCTCCTTCTACTGGATGATTGGAAATGAGCCTGAACAGAAAAGCGACACAGAGAGATTAGAAGAGGTCAGGGTTGGTGAAAGGACCAGAATGAAAACAGTGAGAATGAGGCTTGCATTTATATACATGTATTTAAGAGTTTCTGAACCAAACCTTTAATCCTAGGTCATTGGCTCACTTTTCACACAAGAGTCATCCTTCACTGGATGAGGCTAAGGCTACCCTACACGTGCACACACTCGTGCAAAAATCCCAAGACAGTGTGGGGCAAACAAGATTGTAAGAACGAAACCTCTGTTTTCATCCCATGCTGCTGGGGATGTATGTTTGAAGCACACACACTGGAACCTTAACCTTTCAAACCTCTGTACTTCTGTGTGGCTTTCAGATAAAACTGTAAACAAGAGCTTCTTTGTGGTGCAGGGCCAGCATCTTCTGCTGCAGTAGTGATAACAGAGCCTAGGGAGCTAACAGAGAAAGGAAAATTTGATGGACAACATATGAAATCAGTGTGTACCTACCTCATTGACCGCTGTGTCTGTGTTGAAATGGGGCAAGTGGAATAGAACACACTGGGTGATGTGTGCCTGACTGTGAGTCCAGTCTTTCCAAAATCAACCCCTTCTAGCTTTTAGATATGTCTGAGCCTTGTAGAACTTCACAAGTTGCTGGTTTAGTGACTGCTACATGGTCTAGTTTGTCTAACTATAATGTGTTGGTCTTTCTCCTGTTGTTTTAGGGTATTGTTTACCAACATTTTGTATGGAAAAAATACCAAATATTTTTGTCAAAAGATTATGCACCACACAAAGGATCTGATTTGTAAGCCTGTGTGACCCTTTCCACAAGGTGGACATCTTTACCCACTCTCTCATTATGCTCCTTCCCTTATTTCCTATGTTAGACAAGATCTTCTGTCCCAAAAACTTGACTCCTCTCCTACCTTTAACCAAAACGACAAGATGCATGTACATACTGAATTCTTGGGGCAACTCCAAATTATAAAAGACTTGCATACAATTATGAATAAATTAGGAGCTCTGTAGCTTTCATTTCCAATCCATACCCCAATGATTGAAGTCCATTCCTTATTGTGTTTATGTCAAACACTTTTACTGCTGGATTTGTATGGACCAGGTCTGTTTACTGCTCTCAAATCCTAGAGTAGACAGAAATGAGAGATGGGTGGTGGGGGGGCAGGAAGTCTTCCACTTAGAAACTTGAAGTGGGTGACAAAGAAATGAAAGAAGAATGTCCATCAAATTCACTCAGGGACTCTTCTGCTGATGCAAAAGACCAATGTCAAAGTAGCCACAAGACTGTCTAGTAGCATGCAGATTGAATGTAATTCAACTCTGTTCACTGCTAGAAACCAAAGCTTTATCTTGAGTTTACAAAAAGAAAGAGTGAGGAAAGAAAATGAGAACTTGTCTTTGTCTTTTATTTCCCCTTATTTCTGAACTGCAGAAGACAACCCCCTTGAGCTTTGATGACCCCACCACTGGAGTATATTTATTGGATATTTGATTTTGCTGTACTGGATTCTTCCTTTCCCTTACTTCCCCCAGTGTTTTCTAACACATTAACCCTCTCCTTTCCTCCACTTCTTTTTTTTCCTGAAAAATGCAATGAATGAATAAAGTGTTATTGGCAATGGAAAGCCAAAGCAACTGTGGTTGCATGCTAATGGGTACGGGGTATCTTTCAGGGGTGACACAAGTGTTCCAAAATTAGATTGTGATGATGGCTGCACAACTCTGTGAATATACTAAAGAACACTCAATTGTACACTTTAAGAGTTATACGGTATGTGAATTAAATACAATAAAACTGTTAAGAGACAGAGACAGACAGAGAAATGTAGCACTGCATTTGAAGTGCTCCAGAGCTCAGTCCCAGTCACCTTCCCTTCTCTACCTGCTGTACCCCTTGGTATGCTCCCTCAATCCCATCACTTAAATATCATCTAGTGGCCCATGTCTTTTGAATTTCCATCTCCAGCTCCATCTTCTCCACTGAATTCCAGCCTACCTGACGTCTCCATTTGGAGGTCTAACAGGTATGTCAAACTTAACATGTTTAAGACAGAGCTTTTGATTCTCCTTTCAATCTGAATCTTCTCCTTCTCCATACAATCCCATCTCAGTAATACACCACTATCCACAAAGTTTACTAAAGTTCAATAAAATAGCCATGTGGTTGAACAAGATAGAAAAAAATAACCTTTTTTTTTTTTTTTTTTTTTTTTTTTTTGAGATAGAGTTTTACTCTTGTCGCCCAGGCTGGAGTGCAGTGGTGCGATCTTGGCTCACTGCAACCTCTGCCTCCCGGGTTCAAGCAATTCTCCTGTCTCAGCCTCCCGAGGAGCTGGGATTACAGGCACCCGCCACCACATCTGGCTACTTTTTTGTAGAAAAAATGACTTTTTCAAACATCAAACCATTAACTTGTAAATGAATTTAACCAAGATCTTTGAGGTATCTCAGTTTAACACATAAAGCTAGGCATAGTTTACAAACAATGAAAACTATATCATTTCTATTATAGTTTTAAAAATAAAGATAATTTTTCCAAACAACCTTGTGCTAGAGTGCAAGAAAAATTCAAGTGACAAAAATCAATACAGGGAGCTGAGAGGAAGACCTATTTGAATGGAGATCTCTTTTAGATATCTTTTTTGAATCAGAATAAAGAGCAAAAAGGACTTGGCACAGTGGCTCACATCTGTAATCCCAGCACTCCAGCACTTTGGGAGGCCAAGGCAGGCAGATCACCTGAGGGCGAGAGTTCGAGACCAGCCTGGTCAACATGATGAAAACTTGTCTCTACCAAAAAAAAAAAAAAAAAATTAGTCAAATACGGTGGCACATGCCTGTAATCCCAGCTACTTGGGAGGCTGAGGCACAAGAACTGCCTGAACCCAGGAGGCGGAGGTTGCAGTGAGCCGAGATCACACCAGTGTACTCCAGCCTGGGCAACAGAGTGAGACTCCGTCTCAAAAAAAAAAAAAAAAAAAAAAAAAAAGAATAAGGAGCTAAAAGAATTGTTGTCACTCAGCAGATGGCTAAAAGCACACTTTCAGAGCCTCTTGAACACCCACCAGCCACTCATGTCATAAGATATGCAAATAGAGACCTTGCTGTCTTTCTATAAACTCTACCTTGGGTCATGTCAACCCTTCAAATGCCCCCCCTTTCCCACTGTCACCTCCTCTTTCCCACACTAAGCTACAGTGTTTGTTCAGTGTTTACATAGGCTCAGTTGTCCATTTCCCCCCCTTTTCTGATAATTTTTACTGTAACTAATATATGATAAAACAAGACTACATTTTTTCAAATAGGTACTCTTCAGATATTTATTTTTATAAATTCTAAGATCCCCTTTCTAATATTTCCACTTTTTCTAATATTTTGTTACATTAGTTTTGAGTTAGAAGTCTATGAACCTGACAATCAAAACATTTTCAAAAACTTGCAAAAAATTGTTAAAAATAAAAAATTAGTTTCTGTAAGCACTTGCAGCTGAGTTGCAAAGCATGCACAAACTACATGAAAGCATTTATGACAACCTATGAAAACTGTATTTCACATTGTTTTAATTTATAATTTACTTCAAAATATTCTTTCTCCTTAAATTTCCTTTGCTGCTTAGGTACCAATTCCAATTATTTCAATTATTTAAAAAACTCTGCCGGTCTCCAAATGTTTTCTGAAATGTTTGACAAATATCTGTCATTTGGTATAAAATTCTTCATATATATTTTTCAACAGAAACTTCTATTCTTCTCTGAGGCTTATTTTACACATCTATAAAATGGGGATAATAATATCCACCTCTCAAGGTTATCAAGAAGATCAAGTAAGGTTGGCTATGAGGGCCTTCTATTAGTTACAATGCACTAAATATTGGGTAATATGGAAATAAACGTTGAACAATATCCAATTAGAGTTATTATACATGGTATCAACATTCACAAGTGCTTAATCCCTTTACTTGTAATAGCAATAGCGTTGACAGAAAATGTATCAGTCCTAGAATCCTGGTATGTTCTTTTTGTATGTTCTTTTCATTGAGACTCTCCTGATATTTTCAATCTTTTTTTCTTAGAGAATGTAAAAAACATTATTAAATACACTTTCCTGGATATAAACACCTTGTGAATTTCTTCTCCCTTGGCACTTTTAAATTCTGTTACAACAACACTTCCCACACCCTCCTGTCTTCCACACTAGACCCATCGTGGGTACTGATTTATTGAGAAAGGTAGTGTTCTCTACCAGTTTTTAAGTTTCACACACAATAATGGTATTCACAGATACACAAGTGAAAATTTACCACAGGAAATACTTCCTTTTTTAGAAACTCAATACTGAAGAGTTATCAGCTTTATGAGGAAAAATATGTCAAAGCTTATATGACCCACTACAACACTTTAACTCTCCCTTGTGCTTGTGAAATTCACTTGACAACTTATTTCTTTAATTATGCAGTTTTAGTTATTTATCTCAAGGTATAAGATACTTATCCATGTCTTTCCCACCAAGAAAATAAATTATAAACCAATATTTCCCAAAATGTATCCCAAAGGAAAGATGCTCTAGAAAAAAGTCCAACAAATATGTAAATATCACAATCTATATTCACCCTCTTAGAAACTCAAAATGGCCCTTGGCATATATAGTCAGTAACTTTTACATATACATGTGTGTGTTATATTACTCTTCCAATTTCCTCTTTGTTTGAAATATTTTATAAAATAAAAAAAATTGTATCTCTACTTTTAAGTGGAATTTCCCAAAGTCAATTAATTACCAAGCCCTTTTCTCCGTGTCTAGACATCTCCCTAACAGTGGGAGCAAGCAGATATGAGTTTAGAGGTACACTTTGGGCCACCCATTTCCATCTACCCAAAAAAACAAAGAATGACTTCTTCACCAAGCAAGATTACAAGTCTGAGACACCAACGCACAGGAGGGTGGGAAGGGCAAACCCATGCCTCAGAGATTCCAGCCACATGCAAATTAGAGGTAGAAGGTGACATCACTTTATTTCCATAGCAGCTTTAAGAAATATATTCAATGTGTGTGGTAAGCCTCTTCCAACCTACCCTTTTGGATAACAGCCAGGTTTCTCCAATACAACCACTATAGATCTGAACAAACTGATGAACATAAGAGATAGGATGTCTCTGTCCTCTTTGCACAAGTAGATAAATGACTCACAGCTTCCTGAGCTGAAAGGGAAGATTAAAGCTCACCACATATTATGACGGAACACCACAGAGCTCAGATGAATGGAGTCACTTCAGGAAGCAACTCTCTGAAATGCCTTGGTAGCATTAATAAGGAGGTTGTAACAGTCAAAATAACTGCAGGATTTTTGATCCTTGAGCACAGTTTTACAAATGTTTCCTTTCTGAATCCCAAAACAAAATAAATTGCCACCCATGTCTAATTTCAGGAGGTCTCTGGGCCATATTAAAAAAACGATAGCCACTGATGGAATCATATTATCCCAATTTTGAAGATAACATGAAAGCGTAGAGACAGTAAGTAACTTGATGTAGCCATGCAACAAGTGAGTGGAGAAGCTAGAATCTGAACCCAGAGCCTGTGCCACATCACTTCTTGATCTACAGAGAAGTAACAGTTGGGTGGGGGCAGCTGGGAGGATCATCTCCTTTGACTCAGCCTGTTCTCTCCCATCTCACTGATGCGCCAACAATGAGGGTCACATTTATGAACTAAAATTATCCTTTCTGCAGGTTTTATCAGATGGTATTTCAGGGTATACAACCTTTTAAAACACTGGGTTTAATTTAAAATGTTGGAGCACTTTTGACATTCACTTACTTCAACTAGCCACGTACAATTAGTCTGAATCGAGGAGATATGACTTTCATTTAACCTTCCATTATGACAAGAACATATGTAAAGCAAACGTTGTCACTGGTGACCATCAGGTATGGCACGGAGACCTCCATGGAGCAGTGCCCAGGCAGCACTCTACTACTTCTTTGCTCCTCAAGGCTCCATGGTGTTCTGCAACATGAACGAACCCTCCTTGTGTGTTACTGCAAAGTTCTGACTTTCAAGGAGAGTCTGAACATTACAGACTCTCCTTGAAAACTCTAGAGTCAAGCTTGTTTCCTACATATAAATTGTAACTCTAGATTTTTCCAAAACTGTATCTTCCATGAAGTATAAGACTTTAATCATTCTAATTCTATGAACACATATATCAGACTTATATTCTGTTCCATTTCATCTAGTAAATAAGAGCAACTGGAGTTATTTGCCAAATTCAGTGATCTAAACTCATCTTTTAACCAGCTATTCAGGAATCACCTCCTGGCCAAACCACAGAATCTTCTTCATATGGATCACTTGGTTACAGTTGTTTTAAAGGTATATTTCAGAATTACATCTCAAATTGTGGTAGCTAAGAAAAGGCTTTGGGCAGATCTAATCTTGATCTCATTAGGGATAAAGAGGAAAAGCGACTTCATACCTCTTTACAGACAACTTGGCAGGAATGTGTTAGAATGTGGGCTCCCTGAAAGCGGAAGAAGGCCTATTTACTGTTGTATCCTGTGTGTACAGCAGGAACCTGGTAAACAGTGGGGCTCAATAAATATCTCCTAACAGAGGGAATGACCAAAACATGGACCTCACACCCAAAGAAAATCATCCTTATTTCAACAACATAGATTTGGCTGGTTATGAGGGTCTTGAAGTATTCACAAATATTTCAGAAAGTCTAAGGGAAATCATGTATTTACCTTAAGATAAGATGGCACAGGGCAACTAAAAGTCAAGTTTGCTTGACTTCTGCAAACATATCAAGTCATTGTAACAAGGCTGATTGTTTCAGGAACATCAGAAGTTTGGATATTATACAATGACATGGGGAGGGAAAGGCTCCCTTACTCCTCTAAGCCCCTCTTGCGGGGTTGGGGGGGGGATACATTAATCTAACTGGGACAGATTTACTAATTTTAGAAGGTCAAACTCACATAGGGCTGTGGCTCTCTCAGGCTGTGTTAGATGGGGTATCACTATGTTGCCCAGGTTGGCCTTGAACTCCTGGGCTTAAAGCTTCCAAGTAGCTAGGATTACAGGTGCACCAGGCCTGGCTTGGCTCCTCCCTACTAGGAGGCAGGGGGTAAGCAGATTCAGGGTAGGGCTTGACTTCTTGCTTTTTCTCTTCTTTTCTCTAATGCTTGTGTTATGGGGCCCTCCATGGTCAACCAGTAGTAAAATGCTGGTGAAGGAGAAGAGGCTCTAACAGTTGACTGGTAATGACATCTTCTAGGCAAGTTTACTATCAGCACCACACCAGGGACTATGGGCACTCACTTCCCAGTGAAATGGGGCTCTTTTCTCATCTGTTATCCTCTGTGTATACGTGTCCCTTGGAAAGCTCACAGGGAGCGGGGGTTGGCCCAGGCAGGATTCAGAGGGTTCCATCCATCACACCACAGCCACATGTTAAGTCCACCTCTAGCTGAGGTACTTTACAAAAGACAAGTATTCCAAAAATAGAAGTTGATAAGCAGTAAGTAGTAGACCACTTCAGAAAATTGTGGATTTTCAACCCACAACTCTAAGGGAGTGAGCTGTAGATCATTCCTGAGCATAAGAAACCAACCCAGAACTGAGGACAATAAATTGGGGTTGGCAGACCAGGGCACAAATCATGGCAGCAGCAAACTTGCTAGCAGCCCCAGATGGACCAGGCATACCACCCTGCATAGTCAGTGCCCTCGGTGGTCAAATGAAAGTACTGGATTACTAGATAATATCTGTTTGCCTTCCAACTCCAGCAGTCCACGATTCAATGAATGACAACTTTGTCTGGTATCTTAAGCATATGCCTTTTGCTCGAGCCAACACAGACCATTTGCAAGACACATACTTGTTAGCAAATTGGAATTCAGTGTTTGCTGCACAGTTCCTGCCAAAGGCTTCTTAAAGTCATCTGATATTCAAGAGATAGTCTAATAGACGTGTTAACCATCCCTGAAGAACTGGCACAGAGGAAGCAGATTCCATTCAATTAATATTTACTGAGCACTGGAAGTGGGAACTTTAACATATATTATCTCATTTAAAAGCCTTTCTTCAGCAGTTTTTCAATAGTTAAAATCTTGGTAGGCTTCTAGCAGTCTTTTGTGTCCAAGCTTTTCATAAGTCTATTACACTAGCAAATTATCAAACCCTCTAGATTCTTGTGTTCTTATCCCTAAACTGTTGCACAGGATTGCAGAGCACAGCCCTGTGCTTGTTATCTCAGCCTCGCTACTGTTTTCCCTTCACTGAGTAACAATTTATTGTATCCTTCTTATGTTTGACAGTGCCTTTGTTTTTCGTCTGTTTGTGTGTTTGTTTCTTTTCTGGTTTTTTGGTAATGTTCCTTATACAGGCGCCCAGGGGTTAGTTGGTGGTAGGCAGGGGAGTAGGGAGGGGTTTGTGTGTTCAGGACTGTTACCACTGCAGATAAATGCTTAAGCTTCTTTTGATCAGAAATTGAAAACCATGTAATACAAAGTTTCTCTTATCTCATTTAAAGCCCACATTAGTATCCATTAGAGTAATCAAGCAACAAATCTCAGCTACTTAGTAGCATCTATCTCTGTTTCCTCAGCCCTCTCAAATCTTCCTGGAAATAAATGGGCACATGAATCCCAATACATATAGAAAGATGCCAGTTCAGTGATTAAAGGCACAGGCTATGGATGTGAGCCCATGCTCCCCACTTGTGGCCACATACTGGAGTGTGATATTTCACCTCCAGTCAGCATCATCAGATGGCGAATGGGAGCTATACTGATTCCCAAGTCATAAATTTTTGTAAGATCCTCCTTCATATAAAGCATTTAGTAAAGTTCCTGTCTCACAAATACCCAACAAATATTTGTTTGAATTAATATTACTGCGGAACCCAAACTGTCGTGGATTTCATTCCCATTCTTTTATTGATTTTTTTGGCTTACCCTTTGTTTTCTCCAACCCACTGACACATGATTTTTCTGCCTTCCCTCACTCCCTCCTGCCCTCACTCTTCTTATGTCACTCAGTCTATCATCATACACTTGCCAACTCTCTCAACAATAATTCCATCTCTTTCTTTCTATTGCTCACTCATCAGGCTAAACCCCACCTCTGCTCAATCCAGTCCTCCACTTTCTCTACAAGAGGCAACGTAGTGTAATGCATGTGGGTGCCACCTCTGGGGTTTGACTGTGCAGGGTTCAAACCCCTGCTCTGATGCCTAACAGCTTTTTATCTTTAAATAAGTCGCTCATCCCTTCTGTAGAATGAAGTTGATAACAATAATGCCTGACTCGAGGATATGTAATGAAATTTAAATGAGACTATGCACTTGGATTTGTGCTGGCCCTGGTAAGCACTCAATAAATTTAGCTGGGATTATTTTTATTATATTACTCTATGCATGAGGCCATGGAATAAAGTTGGGAAAATCACATACCCAGACAGACTACTTGAACTATAAATGTGGAATCACAAACCTCAGTTGCGTCCTTGATACTGTCTGGCAACTCTATTCATCTCCCTAGTACATTTGCTCTCAATGCCTTCAGCTCTTACTTCAAATCTCCCTCACCCTCAGCTGATGACCTTCCTTTCTGCTACATGGAGAAAACAGAAGCCATCAGAAAACTACTGTCATCTGATCATCACCCAATATAGAAAATATACCCACATCTGGACTCATATTCTCCATCTTCTCTCCAATCTAATGGAGGAAGGTTCCCAAAGGCCAGCCCTTTACTTGGGTTTCAGGTTCCCTCCCTAAGGCTTTCCAAGGACTTTCCTCCTGTAGTTTTTTCTTTTCTCTACATCTTTGGTTCCTCCCTAAATGACCCCTCAATGATCCTCACCACCTGGTGTTTATAACCTTGTAAAATTCCCTCTCCTTAGGTTGTGGGTGGAACCTGTGACTTACTTCTAACCAACAGAATATGGCCAAGTTTCTGGCCTATTCCTCCTGACTACATTGCATTATGCAAGGCTCCATCTTGCTGGCAGGCAGGCTCTAAGATTCTCCTTGCTGGCTTGATGAAGTAAGAGGCCAAGCTAAGGAGTCCCATGTGACAAAAAACAGCAGTAAGTAGGGAAGGGGAGGGGGAGAAGAGCTCTACAAGCTGAGAACAACTTCCAACTGATAACCAGCAAGAAGCTAGGACCCTCAGTCCTACAGATGCAAGGGAATGAATTCTGCCAACAATCTATGTAAGCTTACAAGTTAATTATTCCCTGGTCAAGCCTTCAGATGAGAACTCAACCCATGTAGCACCCTGATTGCAGCCTTGTGAGACTCTTCACAGAAAACCTAGTTAAGCTGAGCCTAGACTCCTAACCCACAGAAACTCTAAGAACTGTTTTAAAGCAAAAAAAAATTTGTAGTAATTTGTTACACTACACTACAATAGAAAACTAATAACCCCTCTTCCACATAATTCCCATGATGCTTTAGTCATAACACTAGGGTCTACTGTATCCCATCTTTTAAAAAAACCTAGGCCATAGGCCTTCCAGCTATTCCTCCTCCTCTTTGTTCTCCTTTCCAAAAAACTTGTCAAAAGAGTTTTTCCTGTGTCCCTCTGTCCACACCTCTCATCGGCTGCTCAGCCTACTCCAAGCACATCACTCAAACTTCTCTTGTCAAGGACACTAGTAAGTTCCATCTTATCTAATCCAAATGAACATCTCTCTCTCTCTTTCTTATTCTATATCTCAGCAGCATTCAATACAGTTCATTACTCCCCACCCACTTTTTGGAACTATTTCTTCTCTTGGCTTATTGGACTTTAGATTTTCTAGTTTTCCTTCTACTTATTTGGCTGCTGCTTCTCAATAGTGTTTGCTGGCTTCTCCATTTACACCCAAACTTAAATAGTGCTGTGCCCCAGAATCAGGCCCCAGGCTCTCCTCTCTTGGCCCCCTGCACTCCCTTAAAGCCCCCAGGCTTTACATGACATTAACATACTGATGTCGCTCAAATTCCTCCCACTATCCCTGACCTCTCCTATCCACTCCCCATCTCACCACCATCTGCCTAACCACACCCTCCACCTGGTTGTCCAATAGTCATCTCAGAATTCACATGCACAAAACAGAAAACCTGATTTTTGTTCTCTCGGTTTTCCTAATCTTAGTAAATGGTACCTTCAACCAACATTTACATCATGGTCTCATCCTGGATTCCTCCCTTTCCTTCATTACCCATCAACCAACCCATCCACAAGTTCTTGTAGGTTGATCCTCACAATAGATTCTGAATTTGCCATCTCCTGCCAATCTCTAACTCCAAGCTGCCCTCTCCCTCCCTTGGTCTGTGTAGTGACAGCCACCCAACTGGCCTCCCTGCCTCTACTACTGTCCTCCACACAGCATGGATCTTTTGAAAACTACAAATTACCTTGTAAGACTTTATTGCTTAAAACTTTTCAAAGATTTCACTATCCTTTTAAAGGGCCCACCAGGCTCTCTTTGCAGGCACCTCCCAGCCTCCTTGACATATCTCATACCTACCAAGTTCCAGCCACACTCACCCTTTTCTCCTTTCCACCTCAAGACTTGCAACTGCTACTCCCTCTGCCTGGAAAGCTCTTCCCATGCGAAATGTCTCATATCTCAGGTCAAATGTTCCCTCCTCAGAGAGATCTCACCCACAGTAGCTTTCTCTTCTTCCTTTGAAACTCTAAGATATCATGATTTTCTTCACAGGACACACCACAATCTGAAGTGTTATTCTTGCTTATGCATGTACATCTGCATCTATGTATTTGATTGTTGCTATGATGCCTCTCACTAGATGTGAGCATCAGGAAGGTGTCCACTGCTATGTTCTAGAATAGCTGCTAGCACATAATAGGTGTTCAATAAATATTTGTTGAATAAATGAATGCATGAATATATGTAAGAGGTTAACATTCGTATATGCATTATAATAAAATTATCTAGTGATATTCCATTAGAAAATCTCTTCAGATACAGTGTCTTTAAAAGAGTAATTTAAAAGATAAACCTCAAATGACTCCAACATTCTGTGTAAATTTCTGAAGTTGTGGGCAAATGAGAGTGTTATAAAATGAAGCCCATTTTGAAAGAATTTAAAGGAAATTTACTTGAAGATGTGAAAAACCTTTACTGATCAAGTGAATTATCACACTCATTATTCTGTTTTTACGGATTTGATTTTTTCCCTATATTAAGCTTGTTTTCATCACAGAGCATAAATTATTATTGTTTCTATCACAAATTGTGCAATCACTATTCAAACCACAGGACACACTTTCAGTATTTCTGGACAAAAATGCTAAGGAGTCACTACTCTTGATATTCAATGTCACTGACACCATGTGACTTCATTTCAAACCCAGCTATATCTTGTAGCCATACAATGCAGGCTTTTCAACAGACCATGGTAATGAATGTGGTCACGGTTTGGATTTCAACAAGCAGCTGTCAAAAACTATCATCCCAAATAACTACTTGCTGAAAATTTCTCACTCCCAGAGCTGGTACTTCCAGGGTGGTCTAGGAAATAAATTTCTGCCCACATCTACTCTGGGGCTATTCTAATTGCCGATGTTCAACATTTCTTTGGAAATGCAACTTCAAGCTTTGAGGAGCTTTTTTTGGTGAGCCCCCAAAGCTTTTTTTAGTGGTCTCTAACTATTAAGCTCAGCTGTTCATGAGTTTTTTTTCTTCCTGAAATACCAATACCTTCTGAAAACTCTGGTAAAATGTTATTCAGCTGATTTTAGGAACCACTCTTGAGAAAAATCACTCACTCCATTGCTTACCACTTGCTGCCCTCAAAACTTCTTAGCAACATACACCGTGCATGAATCTCAACGTGGTTTGCTTTGTCCAATAGCATGCCTGAAAGCCCAACCAGTCAGTTGTGTAATAATAAACCCCTTATCTCCTGAAGATACACAAACGGAAAAATCTCTCGGCGCTTCAGTGTACAGGGGACTTCGCTAGAATTCTCAGCAGAAACTCACATCCAATTTAAATGCTACCCCCCACCCCCTTTTCCTGGTTTCCTCTTTTTTTCTCATTTGCAATTTTGAGGAGGGAAAAAAACCTCAAACGCTAAATGATGTCGAGTGGAAACACGGGAGGGCGAGGGTCAATGCCAAAAACTGCTAGCAAAATGCATGTGGAAACCAAGGGCTTGGATTTTGCTGTACTGGGTTTACCGGTTCTCTCACAAGCGCCTGTGATGGAAACTCATCGACAATTGTTCTTGGTTGGAAGAAGGGGCTGAGAGATTGACAAGAAACACCGCTTTCTGGTTTCAATAAGCTTGAATAGCCCTCAAAATAAGGAGAAGGGGACACTCCTTCCTTGGGGGAGAATAAAATCTCACTCTCCCCTGCCTCACCCGTCCCCACCGGGCACGAACCGGCGCCTCCGTGGTCCCATCACCCAAGTTCCCCACCTCACTGGGGAGAAGCGCCCTTTCCCGGCACCCACACCAAACAACAAACCCGACACGGCCTTTGAGGAAAGCGGGAGCCGCCGCCTGGGAGAGACGCAGGGGCCCAAGGCGCAGGCAAATCAACAGTTCCTCGCGCTGCCCCGCGCGGCCGCCCGCGCCGCCTGACACACCCCTCCTGGCCGGGTCTCTCCCCGGCGCCGCTGACCGTCCTCGGCCAGGCGCCTTGCCCCGGGGCCCGGGCCCGTCCCCCTCCCCGGGCTGGCGGGTCCCACGCGCGCCACCGCGCCCAACACGCACCTTCAACGCGCCCCGGGCCGGGCCCCTGGGGACTGCGTGGCCGGGTCCGAGGGGCACGAAACGCTCCTCGCCGTCCTCGTCGTCTTCGTCGCCGTCCACCACCTCGACGACCACCTCCTCGTCCTCCTCTTCCTCGTCGTCATCCTCCTCCTCCGCGCCCCCTCGGGGCTTCTCCTCCACACGCCCGAGCCCCCTCCGCCGCCTGCTCCCGCCCTCCTCGTCCTCGTCTTCCTCCCCTAGAAGCAGCAGCACCGGCGACGAGGCGGCGGCGGCGGCCCCGGTGGCCCGAGGGGGGCCGGTCCCGGCGCTGCGCGGCGGCGGCGGCAGCGGCGGCCTCCAGCTCTCCGGGGCGGGCGCCGGGGCCGGGCCCGGGACAGGGGGCGGGAGCCCGGGTAGGGCGGCTTCCTTGGCGGGCGCGGGCGCCGGCCCGGCAGGCTGCAGCGCGGCGCCCCCCCGGCGGCTGCCCAGGCTGGAGCGCTTGGCTAGACGCCGCGCCTGCATGCCTGAGCGCGGGGTTGCGGGCCGCGGCGCGGGGCCGGAGAGTTTGTCACCTCCTCTTCCTCCTCTGCCTCCGCCGGTGGCCGCAGGGCCGGGGACTCGCGGCCGCAAGGGGCTGCAGGAGCCGCCGGCCAGGACCCGCGGCTGCCACTGGCTGCAGAGGCGCGGGCGCCGCCTTCGCTGGACCGGCCGGCGGGGACGCCGGCGGCCGGCGGCTACGGCGGGGCGGCGCGGCGGCCGCGGGCGGGGGTGGGTGTGAGCGAGCGGCGCGCTGCCGCCTCCGCCGCCGCCGCCGCCGCCCGGGAGCCGCGGGCCGCGCTGCGCTCCATGCGGCCGGCGGCCGAGCCCGCGCGCGCCTCTCCCGGCCGGCTGCGCCCGCGCGCTCCGGGCCTACCGCTGCCGTGCCTCGGCGCGAGCTGTTTGTGTTGTATGTTTTCCACCACCGCCCCCCTCTTCGCGAGCCATTCCTCACAACCCTCCGGTCCCCCCGCTCAGACAAAACCCGGACTGGATTTTTTTTTTCTCTTACCCACAGTCTCCGAAAGTCTGGCGCTTCGAAGCAGTTGGCCCTGACACCAGGGCAAACGCTTAACCGCAGCCCATTCTTCCCTCCGGAGGGAGGGGAGTAGACTTCGCTGGAAGTAAGGTTGTCTGTCAAAGTTAGACTTTGAACGTAGAGATTTGCTACAAGTCATTTTAATGGACACTGATGTGCATGGCAGCTACTCCTGAGCTTGTGTGAAATCAAGGAAGGTGTACCAATCTGAGGTTTGGGATGAATTCCTAATATGAATCATCAGAGTCGCTTAGATTTTCGAAACACTGTTTCATGAGCGATTGTCTACCAATCTCACACTCTTTGAACGCACCACTCTAGGCCCTGCGATTGAGCTGCCTTGGCTCTGTGCTGAGTGTGTAGGTCTTTCAGCTTTTACTCCTGCTATTCTACCTTGAGTGCCTGATTTTAATGGCTGAATTCCAAGAAGCTTTCTGTTTGCACTGTCTGATCTGTAGACTCTCTTCTGGCATTGTTCAGGACTTTGAAGAAACAAATGGGTGGGAGTTCAAGATCGTTTGAGTTGGTTACTTAAGAAATTAATATGAAGTAAGACCAAATCTGGAAATCAAGCACATAACATGACTAATTTTGCCATTTTCTGACGATTTTTAGGTGTGATAAAGAAAATATATTTGCTATTGCGTGGGGTTAGGCTATGTAGTAAGTGGTATTTCTTCTTTTATTTATTTTAATTTTTATTTATATATATTTCTTTATTTTTCAGATGGAGTTTCGCTCTTGTTGCCAAGGCTGGAGTGCAATGTCATGGTCTGGGCTCACTGTAACCTCCGCCACCTGGGTTCAAGCGATTCTCCTGCCTCAGCCTCCTGAGTACCTGGGATTAAAGGCGCGCTCCACCATGCCATGCTAATTTTGTATTTTTCGTAGAGACAGGGTTTCACCATGTTGGCCAGGCTGGTCTCAAACTCCTGACCTCAGATGATTTGCCTGCCTTGGCCTCCCAAAGTGCTGGGATTACAGGTGTGAGCCACCGTGCCCGGCCTTAAGTCGTATTTCTTACATTCAAATCATACCCCCAATTCCATCCCTGTAGAGGAGGGCTGGGGAGGATCTTACGCATCAAATACCCTGGTAGGCACCTCCGTGGGGCCAGAATAAAAGGTGTATTCACCTTCAGTTAATTATTGTTGGACATTTAACATCATATGCTCTGTTAGACACTTGAATGGGGCTCATTAAATGCTCACTTATGGTGGCTTCCAACTGTTGAACAGGGATGATGACAAAGATTCTAAAATGAACTTTTTGTTCTCCCTGAATCAGATTAGCTTCCTGATGTACCTATTTCAGGTGATGAAACTCTCATTATAATCATTTGAGCCCAAAATAGCGGTATCATTTTAACTCCCTTCTCTACCTTATCCCTAGAGGCAATTGCCCACAAGTCCAACCCATTGTTCTTTCTAAAATGCATTTTGAATCCACCCCTTCCTTTCCATTCCCAAAGCTCTTACAGCATTTTGTGACTTCAAAAGTGGAAGTTTCTAACAGTTCTACACACCCATTTTCTCACCCACACACCCTCCCTTTCCCTCCTCAGATGCCACCACCAGATTTATGTTTCCGAAACCCCATTTAGATCACACCATTTTCTTGTTGGACTTTATATTTGTAAATATTCTGTTCAGGAATTCAGAGAGAAGAAAACAGAACATTAAGAGATGGGTGTGTCTGATCAAAGCATGGAATAGCAGGGGCTAGCCAATAAGTGAATAATCAGTATCAGCTAGAGTGTGCAAAGAATTAAGAAAGAACATTAAGGTGGTTTCATCCCAATTGGAAGAAATTTAGCTTCGTTGATTTGGGAGATGATTTTAGAGTGAGGCAGCAGGATCTTTCTCTGGCCATGAAAAGGAAAGATCGGGGCAAGGGGTGGGCAGACAGGTATGGAGGAGGTGGAGGAGGACAAAGGTGTGAGGCAAGCTGGCTAGTAGTTAGGCACATGGTCTCAGGAGCACCTAGGTCCGAATCCTGACTCTGGAACTTACCAGCTTTACTTTTACTCATCCTCTTTCTGTGCCTGTTTCCTCATCTGTGAAATGGGGATCATAGTAGTAAAGTTGTTTTGCAGAGTAATGAGTGAATAAATGCAATCAGCTTACAAGAGTGCCTGGGACAAGCTAGGGTTTATATGCGGGCTTATCATACTAAACATTGTAATGGTAGGTAAACAAGGTGGCTTGGGATACTCTCAGAGAATAACAAGGTAGCTCTCTTTTAAGTAAGCTCAGTAATGTCAGTAACTAGCAAAATGTGCTTTTAAAGACCAACAACTTGTCATCGGAGGACCATGGTCAGGCCAAGCATGTAGCTTTTTGTGCCTAAAATTGCTATAGATGAAAGAAAGTAAATGTTTTCCTGAGAACCTAGAGGAAATACAGAGTTAAATGAATTGGTGATTGGCATTTGTGACTTAGTGAAAGATGATACACTATTGTACATTCTTTTAAAATTGCTGTATATGCTTTGAAATCAGCTTATTGTTTCTCTTAGGCCACTTCAATAGACTTCATAGACATCCATTCCCTGGCCCCACATTGCTGGAAAGGCTGCCTCTGAATGGGAAAAAAAAAAAAAAAAAAAAAAAAAAAAGACCTGGCCTTGGCTTTCAAACCATTAAATGAAGGCTAATGTCAAAAAAGAGGTTTCACCCAAGCTGGGCTTTGAGGGATGAGAAGGATCTGTTCAGGCAGGGAGAGCAGCATTGTCTAGGCAAGTGCAGGCCACTGAAGACCACCCTCATTAAATCAGAGGACACTTAGTGGGAATAAAATCAAATTAACTCATCAGGAATCAAGAAAAGATCTCATGATGTGGGCACATGACACACTACATGCATGACATGGGCTCAGAAGTCAAAAAGTATCTTGTGATGCCAAGCAAGTGGGGAAGAGTCATTGCTGCTTCTTTCCCCCACATTCCCTAAGTGTAACACATTTTTTTCTTCCAAAACTGGGAGCGCTTGCCACTCAGAATGAGGAAATGTGCCTCTGAGCCATGGGATAAAGAAGGAGCCCCTCCAGAACAGTTGGATTGAACACATCCTCATCTAAAACATTTCATCGTTCATTCTGCATGGATTTGTTGAGTCCTGACAAGTGCCAGGTCTTGTTCTTGGTGCTGGCGTGCAGCAGCGAACAAAATAACCCTCCCTCGGGGAGGAAGCAGACAATAATCAAAGAAGATAAGTGAACAATATGATTTTGTGGAGGCATTAAGTGTCTACATGAAAAAGTAAGGGAAAAATAAAAGGAGGGGTAGAAGGTGCTGGAGGTTTAGTATAAAGAAATGTGCATTTCAAAGCGTATTTCTTTATATTAAAACAGACATAAGAATAGTGTGAAGTTTAGTGTGAACTTTGAATGAAAACTCGCAGCCCTGGACTCTGTCTTCTTCCTGCAGATAGAATCCATTCTCCCCTACTGTCCGCGTGCTTTGGTCAAAGTTTGAGAAGCACTGCTGCGGAAGAACGAGAGTAGGCTTTGGAGTGAGCATCACTCCCTAAACACATAGTAGCTGGCTGGCTCCTGTCTGGTTTCTTCAGATCTCCAGTGATTCTTAAACCTTTGAGTTCTGAGCCCTAAAGATAACTAAAACATTTTTTTTACATGTATCAGAAAGAAAGAGAAAGAAAGGAAGGAAGGAAGGAAGGAAGGAAGGAAGGAAGGAAGGAAGGAAGGAAGGAAGGAAGAAAATCAGGCTCAATTTGACATTATGTTCAGTGTTTTTTTAAAATTTAAGATTCAGCAAAATAATCATGTTTCCAAAATCAAGAGGTGTAACCATAGCCAGAACAAAACATATAACAAATTTGTACCCACTGGTGGTAGTTCTTTTTTGTCCCTGTGAAACTTTAATAGTTGGATTTGTTGAGATTAGTAGCTCCTTTTAAAAATTATTTTAAAAGTAAAAGTAAAATTTTGCCCTTTAAAAAGCTTATGAAAGTAAGATTAGCTTAGTTTTTCCACAGTTCTGGGAAACTTAAAAATGATTTCATTTGATGACTGTCATCCCACCGTATGAAAAATAGATTAAGGTTAAGAGAATAACTCATCTATTACAACCTTCAGGCTGAAAGCCTGTCTAAGTCAAGCATAATCTCCACCCAGATAAATGTTTCTTCCATGAGCAATTAACTTAAACTCTCTTTCAAAACACACAGTACTTTCAAAATACTAGTTCCTTACAATACCTCTCAAAGACTTAGGTTTTTTTTTTAGTGAGTGTTAAAATGATAGCATTGCCTTCTTATTTATGTAACACATATTTACTATTTCAGTAGGTGCAATTTTGTCTTTGTTGTTTCCTGATCAGTTTAGTCATCTCATATTGGCACTTGAGAGGCAATAAATAGAACGCTGGATTGAGATTCCAGAGATTTGAGTTGAATCATACTGTGGGGATTATTAGCCATGGAACACTAGTTAAGTCCCCTGATCTCTGCAGAGTTCACAACTCTAATATGAATGAGTTGTGCTCCCCAAGGAGCTCTCTCATTTTAACTCTCAAGTTCCATGATATAAAATGTCAACTTGAAGTCTGTTTTAAGATTAAGCCAAATACCCATTATTAAAATCCACAAATGGAGTCTAGTGTGTATGTTAAGAAATGCATGTCAATTTTTTTTTTTTTTGAGATGGGGTCTCGCTCTGTTGCCCAGGCTGGAGTGCAGTGGCTCAATCACAGATCACTGCAACCTCTACCTCCTGGGCTGAAGCTGTCCTCCCACCTCAGCCTCCAGAGTAGCTGGGACCACAGGCATGCAACACCACGCTCAGCTAGTTTTTGGGGGTTTATTTGTTTGTATTTTTAGTAGAAGCAGGGTTTCACTATGTACAGGCTGGTCTTGAACTTCTGGGCTCAAGTGATTCACCCACCTCAGCTTCTCAATGTGCTGGGACTGGGTGTCTCTTTTAAGCCAATTCTAGGTGCTGTCTGTATCTTAGGACTGCCATCTCTGTTCCTAACAACATCACCCTTAATTTCATGAGCCTTCCCTGCTTCGTTGGGAATACAGAAATTATAAAATTATGCATTTTCTTGTTACCTTCTTATTTTGCTAGTTATTTCTTCAGTAATAAGATGCCTAACAGCCATGAACCAAGTAGTTTCTATGTTTTATTATTTGTATTAACCTCCCTTTCCACAAACTGATAATTGTTCAATCTAAGATGTGTAATTATTTCCTACTAATGATATTTTCATATCTCTGAGGCTTTTCTCTCCATCTTCCTTTTCTTACAGCTTTTTTCATGCAAGACCCTTCTGGTGTCAGTAACTGCAATCCTACTCACACTAAAGAAAAAAAACAGGGCAGAAGAGGAATTTATCAGCTTGGGTAATCCAACCACACATGAACCTGAGCTTGGGAAAATTAGATGTGGGGCTTTAAGTGATGTGTGGTCCTCTGTCTTTCTGTCTCTGTCTCTGTCTCTGTCTGTCTCTTCTGTCTCTCTCCTTCTTTCTCTCTCTCTCTCAGAGTGTGTGTGAAACTTATTTCATTATCTGGCCGACTAGAGCCAGATCCACAGGCAGCTCTGGCCACACACTTGTCCACCTTGTGAACAGGTGCAGAGGAAGTCTTTGCTATGTGCATCAGCTGGAAAAATCCCAGTGAATGATTTCTGGATGGCCCAGTCCGAATCATGAGCGGACACTTGTGGCCAAGGGTGGATGGCTGTGATGGATGGCCTGCACCAAACCATGTAGTTCAAGAGAAAAAGAATGATTACTGTATTGAGCAGAAAAAGAACATGAAAGGCCACCATATGTTATAAATATAATCAATACTATCACAAATCTGAAACATACAAATTTGTAGAAGGGATAAAAGTCACATCTAACCTCCCTACCCAAAGATAACCCCTGTAATTGTTTTTGGTATATTTATTTTCATTTCTTTTCTATGCATCATCCTTTTTGTCTCACATTATTTTTCCACCTAATTTTATAATGAGAGATTTTCTTTTGCACATGGTGGTATATAACTTGTAGATGTTTATGGAGCTAGTAGGGTAAAAATGAATCATAAAAATATTAACAGAATATATGCATGAATATTTTTATAACCTCTAGGGAATGATAGCCATTTTAAACTTGATACCAAGTCAGGGCCATAGCCAAAAGGTGATATATGATCACAAAAAACTTGTAGACTTTTTCACAAAAGACACCATTAAAAAGTTTTAAAGTAAGTGAAAGATAGAAAATATTATCAACATAAAATCAAGAATTAATATGCAGCAAAATGCAAATAATTCAGTGTTACTAAAACACTTAGATATAATATTTGCTTACCAGGCTTGTAGAAATTCTAAAGCTTTGATACTATTCAGGGTTACTGAGAGTATGAGTATGCTGTTATATGTATCCATGACATGGCTGTATTCTGCTGCAGTATCTGTCATGCTTCTCAAAGACTTAGGTTTTGTTTTAGTGAGTGTTAAATGGTAGCTTTGCTTTCTTTTTTATGTAACACATATTTACTATTTCAGTGTGTGCAATGCAGTTGCCAGTTGAAACCAGCAATTCCATTTCTAGTTATTCATCCTAGAGGAACACTGTGCCTAGTGGCACAAAGGAATACAGAGAGGATACTTATTACAGCACTGGTTTTAATACCAAAATATTGAAAACCGCATAAATATTCATCAAAATGAGAATGATTTAAAAAGAAGTCTTTGACGATGTACAAACCACTATGCAGCCACTACAAAGAGTGAGGGAAGTCACTGTGTGCTAAAAGAGAAAGGAGGAAAGGACTCATGTATTTTTAAGTGAAAAGAACAAGCTATAAAATACTTTTTTACAACATAATCTCATTTGTATTTAAAACACCCTACAAAATATACTATATACATCTATTAATACATAGCGTAAAAAAAAATACATAGTGTGATTTCAGATGGATATGGGGAAGCCTCCGTAGGATACCTGCTAACCTCTGGGGAGGTGAACAGGCTTCAGGGAGGAGACAAAGGAAGTCTCCCACTTTCCCTATTTTTTTGCCTTGTTAAAAAGAATAGGCAGGGCGCAGTGGCTCATGCCTGTAATCCCAGCACTTTGGGAGGCCGAGGTGGGCAGATCACCTGAGGTCAGGAGTTCAAGACCAGCCTGGCCAACAAGGCAAAATCCCATCTCTACTAAAAATACAAAAATTAGCCGGGCATGGTGGTGGGCACCTGTAATCCCAGCTATTCGGGAGGCTGAGGCAGGAGAATCACTTAAACCTGGGTGGTGGAGGTTGCAGTGAGCTGAGATAGCGCCAGTGCAGTCCAGCCTGGGCAACAGACCGAGACTCTGTCTCAAAAATAATAACAATTAAAAAAAGTGTATTCAAATATTACAGTTAATTTAAAAATAAAGAGTAAAAACTCTTCATAGCAAAATTCTTACTACAGAATATTGTGTCAAGCTGTGCAATGATTTCACCACATCTTGCTATGTAATATAGTGCCGCCAACCTTTGTACAGAAAGTATTATATACCTTTTGGATTCTTTCCTTAGGATCAGTGCCAGAAGTAGAATCAGTTGGTCAAATAGCATGCACATTTTCTTGATACGTTTGACTAGACGGCTTTACGAAAGAGTTTGCTGCAATGTGCACTCTGAAAACCACAAGAAAGTGGCTGGCGTCCTGCATGCTCTCTTACTTTAATCATGTCTTTTTCTATCATTCTCTCCCTTGCCACTTTGACAAATGTTTCATGAAATTTCATTTTGTTTTAATTTATGTCTTTGATCATTAATGAAGAAAAATAGTTTCCCATGTGTTCAAGTTTTACTTCCCCTTCTGCACATTATTTTCTTATCCTTTGCCCATAACCCTGATAGAATCAGAGTTTTTCATATCCACTTGTGTGAGCCCTTGGCATTAAAAACCCTATTGCCATATTTTCTGCAAATACTTCTCTAGCTTTGTTGTTCAATTTCTTCACATTTTCTTGCTAATTCTTTAGATTTACATATGGGCCTTTCTTTTCCTTTCTTCATTGAACTTATTTACAAATTATTCCTGTTTTCCACCAATGTTTGTACTAATGACCTCTGCTAGACTTCATCCATTATCATTTTCCTTCAATTTTGATTTCCTTTTATAAATTGACCTGCAGCAAGTCTTCATTTCAACGACTACTATTTTTTTACTTGCTTATGTCACATCATAATTTCTTTTTACTACAGTGATGTGCTATTGCTGGGAAGAATTTTTAAAGTTTAGTTTGCAGATTTGATTCTCATTTACTTAGTTATTGCTTACATGCCTTTCTTTCTGTATTTTAATTAATAACCCTTAATTAATCCTTCATCCTAATAGAAATATTTCTAGGCTTAATGGCCAGGTGTGGTGGCTCATGCCTGTAACTCCAGCACTTTGGGAGGCCGAGGCATGTTGATCACCTGAACTCAGGAGTTCAAGACCAGACTGGGCAACATAATGAAACCCTGTCTCTACAAAAAAAAAAAAAAAAAAAAAAAATTAGCCAGGCATGGCAGTGCACACCTATGGTCCCAGCTACTCAGGAGGCTGAAGTGGGAGAATTGCTTTAGCCTGGGAGACAGGTTTCAGTCAGCTGAGATCACGCCACTGCACTCCAACCTGGGTGACAGAGTGAGACACCCTCTCAAAAAAAAAAAAAAAAAAAAGAAAGAAATATTTTAAGGATCAAATAATAATTAGCATAATACCTCTAATAAGCAATGTTTTCCAAAATACTAAACCTAGCCATTTTAATGTATTTAACATTAATATAAATGTGAGCATACAAATGGCTCACCTGCTAGAACATTCTGCAGTGATGGAAATGGTCTATATCTGTGCTGTTCAGTAACAGCAGCCACCAGCCACATGCAGCTATGGAGCACTTGCAATGTGGCTGCTGCAAATAAGGAATAGAAGTTTTAATTTTATTTACTTTTAATTAAAGTATGAATAGCCACATGTGACTAGTGGCTATCATGTTGGATGATGAAGGCTCAAACCTTCCAAGGGTCATTTTCTACTTTCCAGATCCATTTTTAGGTAGATCTGACTGAGAAAATTTAAAAAAGAAAAATCACACCCAGGATTCTTTGCTGCAAATCGAAACTACCATAACTATGTTTTTTTCTCATCTATCTACCTAATTTTAAAAATTAAATGTTTTGAATTTGAGCTTATTTTTAACAACTCTCATTTATTACCTTCATCAGGTTTCCAATTAGGGTATTTCGAGGTTTGATGACAGATGTCAAAAGCTCCTAATCTATCCCCTTTGCCTCCAGTGCTATTTTTATCTACACCATTTTAGTTTCTATGTTTGTTATTTTATCTCAAGCTCTTCCAGGGGAAGAAGTACCTAAATTAACCCCAGCAACCTATCATGGGAGTCTTGAAAGCCATAAAATAGAATGAGACATCAGCATATGCTGATATAAATGCCACTGGGATTTCTTAAAAGCTAGTCATAAATTTCTTTTTGTTGTTATGCCTGTTAATATGAAAAAATTGAGAGTGAGACAGAATTTTGTAAGAAGTGTAAAAATTCCTCGGTACTTACCATACTTGCCAGGATAAAGAATTTTCCTTAAACCATTGTAGATATAAAGACTGTCCTTCCGGTCGACAATGTGCAAGAAAGAAGGAGGGCTGGGGAAGGCAGTGGGTGGAGCAGCCTTGATTACCTTCCATTTCTTTGACTGTGGATGCAGAGGTTACTTGCAACATTTTTGTCGCATTCCTATAAAAGCTATGGTGGAGCTGCTTGTCCCACCACCTCCTCCATATAAACCCCATTATCCTCATGCCCCCAGTGGCTCCATATATTTATCTAGTCACGGCCATCCTGCCACCTGATATCTTGCTTCCTATTGCCACACAGCAGGCAAAGCTGGCTTGGCCGAAGCTGGAATTTCAATCAAAACCTTTATTTCAAAATAAATACTGTTTCTCCTTGCTGCTTTCCAGAACTTAAGAGGAGTGAGGAGAAGAAAAATAAAGAGAAACAGGAAAGGAAGAAGAAGAAAGAGGAAGGGAGAAGAAGAGTGACCAGCAAGAAAAACACAAGAATAGTCTTGGGTCTTCGCTAATTTATTATGTTATATATAAAAATCCACACATACACAAAAAGGTTTTCGTCTATTTATCCTGAGTTGCCACTTTCCCTTATTCAGTTTTCAGTGCAGAGAGGAAATAGCTAGTGATGATCTTGGATATAAAAATAATGATCCTTAATATTTGTTTCCAAATCTTTTCCAATAGGTTTTCAATACAGAGTTCCAGCCACCACACCATAATCATTTTACCTATGTTGTTTCACAAGGTTTTTTCCAACATTACTTCTGCGTTATTCTACTATAAGTGATACCATTTTCTCATCAGCATTAAATGCCTTTATCTTATTCTCAATTCATGTTCAGCTTGTTTCTCCTAATGATCTCTGTATCCCTTTTACATACCTTGCAAATAATCAGTGATCCCCTACCCAGGGTATTTATATCTTCTAGAATCTAAAATCCAATGTCACCCTAAGTGTATGAGCTGCCATCTTTCAGAATAGCATTCAGCTTGTGTTTTTTTAGGCCTGTAGATATTCCTGGCCAGGCTACATAATTTGCAGAGCCCAGGATAAAATAAATATGCAGGACTCCTTGTTCAAAATTATCATGAATTTCAAGACGGAGACAGAAGGGCGTTAAACCAAGCATGGGCTCTTCCAAGCAAGAGGCCCTGGGTGACAGTACAGGCTGCATGTCTAGGAAGTGGGCCTTGTCTCCAGCTTTTTCATATAACAGTGGGAATGGTGGGTACAATATACTTGAGGCAAAGCTGTGTGTCTTAGGGTGTCCTCCACTTCATTTCTTCAGACTCTCCTTTAGGATCTTGTTGGAAAAACTCTGAAGTTTTGAGCAAGTGAGGTATGTGGTTCAATGTGTATGTTAGGAAGGTATTATGGCAGCAGCATAGAAGGGAGACCTGAAGGGAATAGTCATAGAGTCAGGGGGACCTGCTTTAGTCCAGGGGAAATGAAGAGGGTCTGAAGTAAAGCTACCACAGAGGATAAATTGAGGTGAGGGTGGATTTGAGAAATATTTCCAAAGCAGAAATCAACCAAACCTGGTGACCAACAGGATGTGGGCAGAACAAGAAAAGAAGGAACCAGGGACAATTGTCTGTTTTGAACTACAGGGACTAGGTGATCTTAGTGCTAGTCACTGAGGTTGGGGAGCAGGCTTGGTGGGGGACATAGCACCATTTAGGAAATATCAAGTTTCAGATGCCCACAGACATCCAGGTGAAGTTGCGTGATAGTTGTTTGATGTTTAAGAGATAGATCTGGGGGCCGGGGGCGGTGGCTCATGCCTGTAATCCCAGCACTTTGGGAAGCCAAGGCAGGCAGATTGCTTAAGGTCAGGAGTTCCAGACCAGCCTGGCCAACAGGGTGAACCCCCCGTCTCTACTCAAAATACAAAAAATTAGCCAGGTGTGGGGGTACACACCTGTAGTCCTAGCTACTCAGGAGGCTGAGGCAGGAAAATCGCTTGAACCTGGGAGGTGGAGGTTGCAGTGAGCTGAGATCGTACCACTGCATTCCAGCCTGGGTGAAAGAGTGAGACTCTGTCCCCACCCCCCCACCCCCCCAAAAAAAAGGAGAAGAAAAGAAAAAAAAGAGATCTGGAGAGGGTATTGGTGAAGGGGCTGGGCTGGTCCTCAGCCTATTTGACATCAGGGCCATTCCTTGCCCTTCCCCCGCTCTGCTATCTGTCACTGGTAGCCCTCCTCTGTAGGCCGTTTCTCCTGGCTCCTTTCTCAGGGGCATAGGTAGGAAACTGGAGAGGGTTAAGCAGGAGCCAGGGAATTTCTCCCCATCTCTCTGCTGTAGGGCTGTCCTCCCACTGGGCTTATATCCTCCAAGACTCCAGCTCTCCCTGTTTCCACAGGTCAAGAAGCCACTGGCTGTGATAGCCCCACCTCTTTTTGTCCCTGTAGCCTAAAAGTGTAGCAGGTTCCTGTCCTTACTGATTCCTGTCTCAATAACCCGTCTATTTTCTCAGCTCTTCCATCACCAGTGGGGATGAAGTTTCTTGTATTTTTAAACACTTTTTATGTTTTCCTGCTTGGACCCTGTCTGTGTAGGAATGATGAGCCTACAGCGATGTTTGCCAAAGTAACTGAATGTGCCTTGAGATTGTAGATGGGGACTGAAAATTGCCACAGAATTTGGTAACGAGTTGGTGATGCTAACAAGAGAATGAAAGCCAGATTGCTGTGGATTTTTTAAATTGCTGGGAATCGAGGAAGTAGCGAATGGACATTTCAGATTTTTATTTTTTTAAAATGTATTATTAAAGGAAGGAGCAAAGGAAATAAGATAAAGAGAAAGAAGTTTTGAAGATGAGAAATTGGCAGTGGCCCCAAGTAGAATGAGAGATGGAGCAGATACAGGTGACAGCCAAGTCATGGCTTGATGAAAGAGCAGCTGAAATTGGCTCCCACAAATGGTGTTTCTGCTGCAGGACTGTGTGATAGTCTCCAGTGTCTCTCAGGAGTGAAGAAAGTGAACTCAGTGGCTATAAACTGTGGTTCTCAAAGTATGGTCCATGGACCAGCAGCAGCTGCTGCAGCCCCTGAAAACCTGCAAGAAATGCAAAACCTCAGGCCACACCCCAGGCCAACTGAATGAGAAAACCTGGGAGTGGGACTCAGCCATCTGGTTGAAGAGACCCTCCAAGTGATTCTAATGAAAGCTAAAGTTGAGATTGACTGCCAGACCATTGCTACCCAAAGTGTGGTCTGCCATCATGCAGCATCAGCATCATTTGGGAGCTTATTAGAAATGCAGAATCTCTGTCCTCTCCCTCACATCCAAATCAGGAGTTTAATAAGATCCCCAGGTGGCTCCTATGCATATTAAGCAGCATTGAACTTAGGGACTTATTCTCCTCATTGGTATTTGTAGATAGCCAGTGATTCTTGAGGACCTAAATGAGAGGGTAACTTTTAGTGGAGTAATTTCAGGTTTGATTCAGATGACAGGAGAGATATCAGATTTTGGAGGCTGAGAACCCTGCCCGACACCTTTCAAATGATACCATATAGGTGGCTGGATCTGCTGTCCCTTCTCACGGACTGCACTTGAGACAGAAATGGAAAATTATAATGCAAAACAAAACAAAATGCAGCTCTGAAGGTCAGCCCTCAGGAAAGGTTATTGAGTGTCTACTATATGTCCTAAGTTCTTTGGTGGACCCTGAAATGCCCCGACTGTTGCTCAGTTCCTATGCTTAGGAGCTCCCAGTCTAACAGAAGATACAGATGCATGAACACATTATTATGATCCCTCTGGTAAAGGCATGATCCGGATCTGCAAGGGAATTTGGGGATCATGGAGGAGAGAGCCAGACGGCCACAGTGGGTCAAGGAAAGCTTGTTGGATGAAGTCCTGCCGGAGCTGAATGAGTGGGGATCTACCAGATGATGAGGTGGCAGAAAGAGACATTCCAGGGAGAGGTGGCCTCAGGAACAAAGGCACAGAGACAACAAAGAGTTTAGGATCTCCACTCTGGGGGCAGGAACATATTCTTTACAAGGCCAGGGTGCGTCTAATTAAAAAAAAAACAACCCACAGTTATTTTTGACATTTTCAATCCAAAGACCACGTAGTCCTACTTTTGAGCATGACTCTTTGTGTAGGGCTTAGGCTAGGCTGCTGTGATGGAAGAATTCTGCAATGGCCGCAGCATTGACATCACCCCATGTCACATGTGAATCAACAGTCCTGAGAGAGGGAAGTTAAGCCCATGTTAGGTGGTCTACGGAGAAGCTCCTCTATTGTCACATTCTCTCTTCTTCTTAACCCAGAAACCATGATTTTGGTGGCACAGAGAAATGTGAACACTCAGGTTAAAAACACTTGACACCCTCATTTCTCCACTCAGATCACTGTGCCTAAAGGCACACCCATGCACCCAGACCAGCAACACCAACCCTCTCTCTCTGCACCCCTGTGTTATGTGATCTTAGCTGTGCTCATGGTGAACTCATGCCAGAATACACCAGAATGACTATCTGAAGATTCTTTCCCAAGAACCTCAGCTCTTCCCCCTTGCAGAAGGTGGGCATGGGTTTCAGGGCCCAAGGGTATTCTGCCTCAGTGATGTTTAGCTTTTATACATTTATGCTGGAGTATATGTTTTTTTTCTTTTTGAGACAAGGTCTGGCTCTATCACCCAGGCTGGAGTGCAGTGGTGGGATCTTGGCTCACTGCAACCTCAGCATCCCAGGCTCAAGCCAGCCTCTGACCTCAGCCTCCCAAGTAGCTGGGACTACAGGTGTGCACCACCATGCCTGGCTAATTATTGTATTTTTTTTTTTTTTTTTAGAGATTGGGTTTTGCCATCTTGTCTAGGCCGGTGTCAAACTCTTGAGCTCAAAGCAGTCCACCTGCCTTTGGCCTCCCAAAATGCTGGGGGGTTACAGGCATGAGCCACCATGCCTGGCCTATATGATGTTTTTATATTATAAAAGGATCCTTCAAGAAAGAGACAGATGTCTTATGTCTTATATTTGTCCCTCATGGCATCTCCAATTTTACAAGGGTGCCCACTCAAATACTCAATTTTGTACAACGAAGTATTGCTCGAAGGAGGCACATTAGCCTGAAGCAGTCTCAGTCAATGTTAGTTCAAAATTTTTCCAGAGGCCATTTGATGCATTCAGTAAAACCAAGAGTCAAAGAAATTTAACTTAGATTTGGCCATTTTCCCGGAATCACCACTGATGGATGTTGCTGGAAATGAGAAATCTATATACCACCTTATAAAGCAAGATGGTGTGTGATTTTGACTTGTAGACCACAAGCAGGAGATTGATTTTTTTGTGGTTAGGATAAAGTATCCAGAGGCAACATCATATACAGGCCCCAAAAGTGCTGCATGTCAAACAGCTTATCTGGAGGTGAATATGACGTGGTTTGCAGAACTGTTAAAGTTTGGGAAAGTGGTTCTAGTGATGGCAGAGACCTGATGTAAAAGACTCGTGTGAAAAGTTTTAATAAAATAGATTCAAGGAGTGTGAGAATGGCAAAAAGCAAAGTATTATTTTATAAGATGCTTTTTAAAAAATATTTACCTGTAACATTTAATGAATAGTATTTTTCTAACCTAGTCACACACACTATAAGGTAATAAGTTCAATTCAGTCTACCTGTTGAGTGGCAGACTCATATATTTGATATCCAACACAATAGTTGGATGTCTATTAGGCATCTCAAACTTAACAGGACTGAAATAAATTCTTGGTTTTCTTTTCAAACTTGTTTCTTCCCCAGTTTTGCTCACTTTAATAAGTGGCACTGCAATTTACCTGTTAGTTTAAGATAAAAACTTAGAAGTCATTCTCGACCTCTCTTTTTCTCCCACATCCCAGATTTATCTTCAAAATACATCCTAAATCCAACCAATCCCACCACCTCCACCACTATGATATTTATCTAGCACTTATCATCCCTAACCTGGACTACCTCCTAACTAGTCTTATTGTTTCACTTTTGTCCTCCTACAGGCAGACCTCCACATAGCAGCCAAATTGTGTAAAATATACAAAAAATAAAGTATGCCCCTCCCCTGTCCAAGAGCCTCTGATAGTATCCCATCACACTGAGAAGATATCCAAATTTTCCTTCTGAGGCCCAGAAGACCCTATAATTATATTACTATCTCCATCCCACCTCTCAGTAACCTGCTCTCCTTTCCCTCCTACCTATCCACATTGCCTTCTGTCTTCCTTCATTACACTAAACTCATGTTCATATCAGGCTGTCACACTTCTAGTCCTGTCTGCCAGAACACCCTGCTTCCAGACTTACCACGACCTGCTGGCTCCTGAGCTTCATTCAGGCATCTGCTCAAATATGTCCTTAAAAAGGCCTTTCCTCACCACCCTGCTAAAATTGCACTTCAAACCTGATTCTTTTTTTCTTTTGAGCACTTATTACCAGCAGCTCTATGACATTGAGATATTGTCTGTCTTGTTCATCCCTCTGTCCCTAAAATAGTGCTTAGCATTTATAGTTGCTTAAACATTTCTTTCCTGAATTTAAAGTAGTACTTGACTATTCCATCTATATCCCCATAAGAATGGTTAACCATTCTAGTGGGCCAAGAAACTTTTTTGTGAATCTTTCTGTTGGAAGATCTCTAGTGGTTCTCAAATTTCACCACGCATCAGAATCACTTGGAGAGTTTGTTAAAATACAGATTAATGGCACACAGCCTCAAAGTTTCTGATTTAAAAAATGTGGGTTGGGGTTGGAAAATTTGCATCCTAACAAGTTGCAAGGTGCTGCTGTGGCTGCTGGTCCAGGTACCACACTTTTAGAACATAAGAAACAACTGGTCCAGGTACCACACTTTTAGAACATAAGAAACAACTGAGTCACCTCTGGCAATGCCACTTCTTCACATTTTCTCTTCCCAATCCCTCGACCCTTTTTTCATTTGCCAGTAGCACCACAGAAAGCCATAGGACTTGTGCCCCAGATCTACTCCTCACTAGGACAACCTTGTGATATGAAGCACTTGAGGACCAAGGCTTCCATTCCTCCACTCCCAGGATTTTGCGCTGTACTTCTCAGGTTTTGCACAAAGTCGTAGAAGGAAAAGTGTTTGTGGAGCATTGTGCATTCTAATGATGTCAAAATTTGTAAAAGGAATGCCTTTTATCCTCATCCCCTGCCAGGCTTTAAGCCAGTGCTTTCTGCACCTTAAGATTATGTCAGCATCATCAGTACTAAAAGGTTGTGGTTCACCCCAATCAAATAGGACTCTTTTGACAGCAATTGCAAGCCTGGGCAATGACTGATTGTTTAACTTCTGCCCTGTGTTGTTCGAAGGGAGCGGGACTGAGATCTAGTTCTTCACCTGCAGCAGTGAGATTTCTTATGTATTTCAATGGGTTATGGCTGGGTGAAGGGAGAAGTTTCTGAAACCTTTCTCACTTTGAAGGGGTGTGTGTGTGTGTTAGACTTCCACTTAGATGAATCAGCCTGGAGCCCTTTCAGGCTTCCATGTTTCTTTTCCACCCCCGTTTTTTCATGCACATTTAAAATTGAGTGATAATTCTGAGCCCCATTTTATTTTATCTTGTTTCCTGATAGTCTTCTACTGCTCATTCCTCAGAGTAAAATCATTAAAGCTCTCTCTAAGAATACAATTATCTTGGGGGGGGTATGACCCATTCAACATTTACCTTATTTACATTTACAATGTTCAATACCTTAGCTATTTGTGATGGGTTAATCAAGCTCTTAACAAGTCTTTGAAATCAGGAGAAAGGAATTTTATGGGTAAATGGCGGTAGTGTAATCAGTGAACATCTGGGGTACAAAGCATGTCAGACAAGGGACCCTTGTGTTGGAACTGTTCTGTATTTTAATTCTGTTTAATTCTATCACACATGTAGATTCGATGAATCTACATGTGTGATAGAATTAAACAGAATTAAATACACACACACTACTGCACTGTAAATACACACAGAATTAAATACACACACACACACACACACACACAACTGTAAAACTTGTGAAATCTGAACAAGGTGGATTGTATTGTCAATATCCTAGTTAGGATATTCTACTGCAGTTATTCAAGATGTTACCGTTGGGGAAAACTGGGTACATTGGACAAAACTATGTACACATAATCTCTGTTATTTCTTACAACTGCATGTGACTCTAAAATAATCTCAGAATTCAAAGTTCAAAAAAGAATTGCTGCAGAGAGGACAAGACTGGTGGATGTCAGAATGCAGAGTCCCGGGTTTTCAGTGAAAAGATTGTGGGAGCCCAGAGAAGAGGACAGAACCCAAATCTAAGGGGAAGAGTGGCATGGAAGGGAAGATGAGGAATGCTCCTAGGGAAAACTTCATTTTCCTCCTGTCTTTAAATTATACTGAGGAGAATATAGTCTATCACCAAGTCATAATTCCTAGAACAATCATCCATCAGATGTGAAAGCAATAATAGTACTAGATGACACTTACTGAGTGCTGCCAGCTGCTGGTTTCTTTACATGAGTTATCTTGTTTGATCCTCTGATGTCCTATGGGGTAGGTACTATTATTATATCCATTTTTATAGATGAGAAAATCAAGGCACAGAGAATCAAGAAACATAACTGGCAACTGGCAAAGCCAGGATTTACCTGATATGCTCAGCAGTGCAGCATCAACACTATTGGGTGCTCACCATGTGCTAGGTATACTTCCCTAAATGCTTTCTCTTTATGCTGAAGAAAGTGGCCTATCATATCTGGAAAATTCTCTGTCAGATACTGGCGTCAAATTACATTTGTTTGTTGTGTGCTTAAGTGTCAGGCACTTTACGTAAGTCATCCCATTGCATCCTCACAGCAAGTCTGGATGTATTATCTCCACCTCATTGATGAGAAAGCCAGGCCTAGAGAAGTTGGCTGTCTTCAAAATCACACGACCAACATGTGCGGAACAGCAAAGGCGCTCAGCCGTGAACTCCAGAGCTCTGAGCGCTGTGGCCTCCAACTCAGAAACCACAACCTCAAAGTCATTTAATTTTCCCCAAAGCTAGAGGCTCCTAGTATTCACTGACCAGGCATGAATCTATTTTATTTATCCTGGTATGCAAAGGATAGACATTTAGCATACTCATTTTATCTAGTATAACTTGGGAACTTTCTTTGCTATGTGAATCTATTAGCCACTCAAGGCATGGACAAGCTCTTTTTAGTTTCACGGTTCAATACACAACAGCAGCACACACAACACGATGTTTAATAAGCCTTCTTTAATGATGATGGTCATGACTTTTTGCTTTGAAGGTTTGCAAGAAGTGATGAACATCTCTAACATAAGTGATCTCCTCCTTCCGTTTCTCTCACCTTCGTGTCATTCCAGAGCACCTAGTAGGGGACTGGGGATTTAAATGGTTTTCTATCTATCAGTCCCTCTGAGTGAAGTGGACACATTCTGTGCTACATCATCGCCCTGTAATCACAAAGACTGGACACACGAAACCATGAGGAACTTGTCAGGGGAATTTCTTGCAGGCTGATGGGGTGAACCAAATAAATTCACAGCATCTCAGCCGCAGGCTCGGGGTTACAATGCGGATTCCTCCTGGGCGGCGGGCCCCAGTAGGCTTTCACTTTTCTGCAAGGGCGCACGCCCACTCCGAGCGAACTCCACGTCCTGGTTTTCGTCCTCGCCTCCTTCCCGCCGGCAGCCGGCTGCCTGTAAACACGCGGGGGTTCGCAGAAAGAGGCGGCTGCTATTGGAGGAGCCCATCCAGGCCTCCCCTACGCCTAGCTCCGGAGCTGTCAGTTACTCGAACAGTGCAACGAGATTTTGGCGCCACAGCTGGGAGTGAGGCTTTTGTTCCATAACAAAAACAAGCGCCTGAGTGGCAAGGCTGCCAGCGCCCAGCCCAGCCGAGCAGGCATAAAGGAGCCCGCGTCGCGGATGTTTGTGACCTGTCATTAGAGACAGCTCCCTCAGCTTCCAAACGATCACATGGAGACAATGTGGCAAATTATATTTGTACCAGCAAAGATCCTTGTCGAGCCGCGAAGGTGAATACTGTGCACCAGGATCTAGTAAGGGGGCCTGCTTGCTCAGGTGGAAAAACACCAACGAGTCATTTCCAGCGCTTTTTGTCTCCTCTGTCAAAGAACTTCTGTTTTCCCTCTGCAGCTGAAAGGCAACCTTCTGGTTGAAACAAGTTAAATGATGAATCCAAGAGGAAAAACTAGGTGTTAAGATGTCATAATGTAGTTCTCCCGATATGGTGGTCCCCCGTTATGAGTACATAGAGATGGAGTCTGCTATATTATTTGTTTGATGTTTGCACATATGATGCTAAATTAGAACACATCCAGACCCAGGTTACTCCCTACTATGGAAAAATTCATGTGAAAACCAAAATTCAAAAGTCAGATAGATGGGGTGAGTGTTCTCATGTCAGAGTCTTTGAGTTTCAAAGCATTCAGAAGACTTGAAAGTCCTCCTCCAAATCAGTAGAGTTGATATCCAAAGTGCCACAACTGAGAATTTATTTATTCAGATTTAGTCTGGTTAGAATGGAAGTACCTTTGAAATGATGAGGTTAAAAGATAGTCATTTACATCTTAGTGTGAATTTGTTTAATTATTTTTCTTTTGACAGTAGGTTTTCAGGAAGGAGACTAGTTACAACTGAGTTCCTGAAAGGAGACAAATGAACAAAATGGGTGGAAATGAATGCAGAAACACAGTCTAGGTGTCCCAGAAGCCCTGTTTGTTGCTTCACAATTCTGGGGGAATCCAGCTTTTTAAAGAGAGTTTGTTTTGTTTTGTTTTTGCAATAATAGAACTTTCTGCAGTTATGGACGTGTTCTATATCTGTACTAATATGGGAACCACTAGGCACATGTGGTTATTGAGGACTTGAAATGTGCCTGGTGTGACTGAGAAATTGAATTTTTGATTCAATTGGATTTAAATAGTCACATGTGACTAATGGTTCCCATATTGGGCAACACAGCTTTAGAGCATTTTAAAAGGTGTCCACAAATCTTCAGGAAAAAAAATTGCATAGTGTGGTGGGCAGCGTCAAAGATGGCCCACAATAGTCCCCACCTCCTGGTATTTATGCCCCTGAGTAGGATTCCCTCCTTTTGAGCATGGGCTACAACTAGCAATTTGTTTTTAGCAATAGAACGTGCCCAAAGTGATGGGATGTCACCTCCAAGATTAGGTTACAAAGAGACTCCAGCTCCATCTGGAATATCTTCTTTGGCTCTCTCACTTGTTTGCTCTCAGGGAAGCCAGCTGCCATGTCATCAGCCGCCCTGTGGAGTGGCCCTGCTGGCAAGGAACTGATGTCTTTAGCCAACAGCCAGCAAGGATCTGAGGCCCTCAGACCAAAAACCATCAAAGAACTAAATGCTGCCAACAACCACGGGAGGGAGCTGAGAAGTGGATTCTCCACCAGTCCCAGCCTAGAGATGACTGCAGCCCTGGCTGACACCTTGATTGCAGCTTTGTGAACCAGAGACACCCAGGTAAGCTATGCCTGAATTGTAGACCCACAGAAAATGTGAGCTAAGAGAAGTGTGTTGTTTGAAATCACTGAGTTTTGGGGTAGTTTGTTACAGAGCAAAAATTTTGGTATGGTTAGGCTCATTTAAAAGACATTTATACTAGTTAGGGTATCCCCAGGTCCAGAGAAACCTCCAAACATCAGTGTCTAATGCAATAAAAGTTCTGTTCTTTTAACAGTGCCATGTGGGAATTCTGATGGTGGTATGAGACCCAGCCCTTTTTCCTTCAGGTTGTCCTAGGAGTCATTTCCATTCCAGCCAGCTGGAAGGGGAGACAAGCAGAGTGGCTCCCATGGGGAACAGACTTCGGGATGATGCACACCATTTCTGCCCATGTTCTACTGGCCTCGCTTAAATGACCACCCCAGCCTGTAAGGCAGACTGGGAAATATAGTCCAACTGTGTGCCCAGAATGAAGCCAAAGCAGATTTAAGGATCAATCAGCCTGTAGGTTTTGCCAAAGCACAATATTTTTTGAGGTGGGTAAGCCCCTTGACAAGAACAGGCCTTCATGGCTTGCCAAACCCTGGGATCATGCGGACAATAATCTCTTAATAAATAATGGTAGGCTGGGTGCTGTGGCTCACGCCTGTAATCCCAGCACTTTGGGAGGCTGAGATGGGTGGATCCCGAGGTCAGGAGTTCAAGACCAGTCTGGGCAAGATGGTGAACCCCTGTCTCCACTAAAAATACGAAAATTAGCCGGGCACAGTGGCAGACGCCTGTAATCCTAGCTACTTGGGAGGCTGAGGCAGGAGAATTACTTGAAGCGGGAGGTGGCAGTTGCAGTGAGCTAAGATCGAGCCACTGCACTCCAGCCTGGGTGACAGAGTGAGACTCTGTCTCAAAATAATAATAGTAATAATAATAATAGTAGTAATAGTGATGACAGAACTGGAAAGAGACTATTATCCCCATTTCGAGATGTGAACTCACCAAAATTGTCAGATTATTCTAGTGCCATAAATTCCCATGACTCAACCAAAAGTCAATCAAAGTAAAGTTGTGTGAAGAGAGTTATGGCACAGTTCTGGAAATGACAATGGAAAAATCAGGAAAAGATTTTTCTTTTCTGTCACCCCCCACAAAAAAACTGTGGACACATTAGCAGTCTCTTCTCATTCCTGCCTCTATCCTCTGAAACCCAAAACAACCTCTAATTTACTTTCTATCTCTGTGCATATTCAAATGAGCATGTTCTAAACTACAGAGTGTGATTGGCGTGGAGTTCCACGAGCTGAGGCATCCCTTAGATGTGATTGCAAAGGTATCTGTAACATCTGTTGCTTTGGAGGCGGACTGATATTCTGGCAGCTGCCCCCAATGTCACTGTCAGTCTTAGGGTTTATAGTGAAAGGGGAAAAAAAGAAAAGATTGGTTTTGTTGATTTCAGTTGTTTTAAATTGAGGAACTCATGTGTCAATATATTTTTGCTCCTATATCAATACATTTCTGAAATGTGACTCCTCCCTTTTATCACCCTGGTCACCTTCCACCCACCTCCCTTAATGTTAACTTGTGAGCTTGTTCTCACCCAGTAAAGATAGGAATGTTAACTGAGTATATGTCTGTCAACATGTCTATTAGTCCGTCTTCACGCTGCTGATAAAGACATACCCGAGACTGGGGAATTTATAAAGAAAAAGAGGGTTAATGGATTCACAGTTCCACATGGCTGGGGAAGCCTCACAATCATGATGGAAGGCAAAAGACATGTCTTACGTGGTGGCAGATAGGAGAGAATGTGCAGGGGACCTCCCCTTTATAAAGCTATAAGATCTCATGAGACTTATTCACTATCATGAGAACAGCATGGGAAAAACCCACCCCCATGATTCAGTTACCTCCCACCGGGTGCCTCCCATGACACATGGGAATTCTGGGAGCTACAATTCAAGATGAGATTTGGGTGGGGACACAGCCAAACCATATCAACATGACTTAAAAAAAAGTTTTGGCACCCTGAAGTAAACAACCAAAACAAAAAAGAGAAAAGAAAGGATGAAAGAAAAGAAGAATGCTTGGCACAAATCCAAAGGCAGGTGTCTAAGGAGCTAATGTCACTCAAGCTTCAGGGCTCCTCCCTTGTAGGGGTCCTGTCCTAGGCTGAGTGCTGCCCTGCAGAGAGAAGCAGCAGCAGCAGCTCTCATATGTGATGAAGGCAGGAGTACTCCCCAAGGAGGGGGCCCCGCTATATTTCTACTTTTTAACTGCTTTATTGAGATGTAATACAAATAACATAGGATGTCCCCTTTTAAGCTCTGCAATTCAGTGTTCTTTTTACAGTATATTCACAGAGTTGTTAGTAGATTTTCATTACTGTAAACCCCCACAAAAAAACTGTGGACCCATTAGCAATGTCTTCTCATTCCTGCCCCTAAACCCCTGAAAACCAGACAATCTCTAATTTACTTTCCGTCTCTATAGATTTGCCCATTCTGGACATGTTTTTGTTTTTCTTTCTTTCTTTTTTTGAAACAGAGTCTTGCTCTGTTACCCAGGCTGGAGTAAAGTGGCATGATCACGGCTCACGACAGCCTTGACTTCATGGGCTCAAGTGATCCCCCAACCTCAGCCTCCTAAGTAACTGGGACTACAGGCATGCGCGACCATGCCCAGCTAATTTTTTGTAATTTTAGTAGAGACAGGGCTTCCCCACGTGGCCCTACACTAGTCTCAAACTCCTGGGCTCAGGCAGTCTGCCCACCTTGGCCTCCCAAAGTGCTGGGATTACAAGCGTTAGCCACCTCTTCCCTTCATGGACATTTCATATAAGTGGAGTCATATAATACACGGTTTTCTGTGACTGGTTTCTTTCACATAACATGATGTTTTCAAGGTTCACCCATGTTGCAGCATGTATCAGAGCTTTATTTATTTTTATTGCCAAATAAAAATACATGGTATGGACATAGCACGTTTTGTTTATCCAGTCATCAACTGATGGGCATTTAGGTTGGTTTTATATTCATTTTGTCTATAGTATTTGTCTATATGATATTATATTCATATTTTGTCTATACCCTGCCAGTGGTCCCAGGATTGTGAGTGGGGTTGGCAGACTGCCAGCAATACCTTCATATTTGTCTGCCCCGCTGTGATAACTTGCGTTTGGCAGCTGCCAGGGAGCACTTGGACCCTATCTTTTATCCCTGGAAGAGTATCTGAAACTGAGGCTGCTCTGCACCCTGTGCAGGGTCCATTAGGACCATGTTTCTAGGCATCTTGCTCCCTAACCCCAGGACCAGACCAGCAAGGGCAGAATATGGGGAAGAGGAAGAGGTGCAAGAGCCTGGCCAATGCTTACTAGCTGCCAGGGTATTCGTTGCCAGTGCCATGCCAACTATGATCAAAGAGCTGGAGTTTTCTGAAGTCTTGCTTGAGCAAGAAGCCTTGCCTGAGCAGGAAACTTGAGGAGTTGTAAAAGTGAGATTGCTCACCAACTGTAAGGAATTTTTCTAAACTATTCATAATTTTTTCAAAAAAATGTGGTCGGCTGGGCACGGTGGCTCACACCTGTAATCCCAGCACTTTGGGAGGCCGACGTGGGTGGATCACAAGGTCTGGAGATTGAGACCATCCTGGCTAACACGGTGAAACCCCATCTCTACTAAAAATACAAAATTAGCTGGGCATGGTGGCAGGCGCCTGTAGTCCCAGCTACTCAGGAGGCTGAGGCAGGAGAATGGCATGAACCCGAGAGGCGGAGCTGGCAATGAGCCGAGATTGCGCCACTGCACTCCAGCCTAGGTGACAGAGCAAGATTCCTTCTCAAAAAAAAAAAAAAGTGGTCAACCATGATAAAGGAAAAATTGGATTATCTTTCTACTTTTTCAATGAAAAATTATATTACAAAATTGTTGTCATAGCAAGAGGCAATAAGAAAGAATACAGAGAGGAGTGATTTCAGTGAAAATGGTGGAGTAAGGCACTCTAATATTTTACCCCTCCATAAAAGCAAATAAAAAAACTGGCAAAAATGATCAGAAGCAACTTTTTTCAACTCTGGAAATTAACTAGAGGCTTGCAGCCACCAGGCAGTGTTTATTCAAGGAAAGCACTGAATCTCAGTAAGCTTTGTGGCATTTTAACTTTCTCTTGGACCACACCTCACACCCAGCTCAGAGATGCCTGTAAAAGGAATAGCCGGCATTCCTGGTATTGGAGTGACTATTAGAATAAAACTCATTTAAAAAGAATTGTAATTATTTTCCCTTTAAAAACATATGTGAAGGCTCCATGGAAGACTGCTCAAAAGGCTTGTCTTTATTTCACTTGACCTGGAACTCACCCAGTCCAAAAGCTATGTGGGGGTAGTGGGAGCATTTGTCAAAAGCATTTACAGGCAAATGTTTTAGTGTCTGCTGCCTGAGGTGATAAATAGTTGCTATAAACCAAAAAGTTAGGAAGAAAAGGCTGGGAAATGTTATGTTCATGAAGGCTTTGAAAAGTACATGCATATTCCTGGGAATCTAGAAGCCATGCCTGCCCAGGAAAAACCTATCAAGACCCTAAGCTCTGACTTCTGGATGACCTTGAAGCTTTGCACAAGAAGGAAGTGAAGGCTAAGGCAGAATTGTAAACTGCCTGGCTAAGCATTAAAGGCAGGCCCCAACACACAGAGTCTCTAAGCAAACACTGTAATATTTTTGGTCTCAGGCATTGAGGAAATCTCCGTCCAATTATTGTTCTAACAGAACAGAGACTTCTATGGTCAAACATGACAAAGAATACAGACTTTACAGAATTAGTTTATAAAAATCATTCAACAAACAAATGAAAATGAAATGAACAGCAGCAACAATAAACCCTGGGGAGAGGAGAGAATTTATTTTCCAGAGTTTCCACATAATACTCAAAACATCCAGGTTGCAACAAAAAAATTATGAGCTATACAAAGAAACAAAAAATGTATGGCTCAAACACAGGAAAAAAATTAATAGAAACTATCTCTGAGGAGGCCTAGGCATTGGACTTACTAGAATACACTTTAAATTAGTTACCTGAAATATGTTTAAAAAGCTAAAGGAAACAATATCTGAAGAACTAAAAGTATCAGAATAATGTGTAACCAAGTAAAAATACTAATTAAAAAGCCAGGTGTGGTGGCACATGCCTATAATCCCAGCACTTTAGGAGGCCGAGGTGGGCAGATTGCTTGATCTGAGGAGTTCGATATCAGCCTGGGCAACATCATGAAGCTAAAAATAGAAAAAATAGCTGGGTGTGACGGTGCGAGCCTGTAGTCCCAGCTACTTGGGAGACTGAGGTGGGAGGATTGCTTAAGCCTGGGAGATTGAGGCTGCAGTAAGCTGAAGTCATGCCACTACACCCCAACCTGGGTGACAGAGTGAGACTCTGTCTAATAAACGAATGAATGAATGAATGAATGAATGAATAAATAAATAAAAAGATAGAAATTTTATTTTTAAGATAACCAAATAGACATTCTGGCACTCAAAAGTACAGTAACTGAAATAAAAAAAAAAATCACTAGGGGACTATCCCATCGAGATTTAAACATGATTCCAATCATAGATTTAAACAGGTAGCAGAGAAGAATCAGCAACTTGAAGATAGATCAATTGAGATTATCCACTCTGAGGAACAAAAGAAAAATGAATAAAGCAAAAAATTAATAGAAACCTTAGAGACCTGTGAGATATTGTCATACACATAATGGTAGTCCTGGAAGGAGAGGAGAGGGGAGGAGAGAGAGAAAGAGAGAGAGAGAGAGTATTTTTAAAAATAATGGCAGGAAACTAAAATTTGATGAAAAATGTTATCTATACGTCCAAGAAGCTAAATGAACTGTAAGTGGGATAAACTAAGAAGATCCATAGAGAGATACACCATAACCGAAGACAAAGACAAAGAACCTTGAAAACAGCAAGTGGAAAACAACTCAACTCTATAAGATTCAAGAAGGAATCCTCAATAAGATTAATTACTGATATCTCATTAAAAATCCCGGAGGTTAGAAGACACTGGAATGATGTATTCAAAGGACTCAAAGTAAGAAAAAGTCAGTGAAGAATTCTGTATCTGGCAAAAGTATCCTTCAAAAATAAAAATAAATGAAGACATTCCCAGATGAACAAAAACTGTTTGTTGCTAATAGACTGACCTTCCAACAAGTGCTAAAGAAAGTATTTCTGGCTGAAATAAAAGACCACTAGATGGTAACTAAAAGCCATATGAAGAAATAGAGATCTCTGGTAAAGATAACTATATAAGGAAATATAAAATATGTTTAATTTTTTTGTAACACTTTTTTCACCCTATTCTGATTTAACTGTATAAAGCAATGTTTATAAATCTATGTTGATAGACACACAATGTATATGAATACAATTTGTAACAATAACAGCATAGCATGGGGGTGGGTGGGGAGAATGGGGCTATGGAGAAACAAAGATTTGGTATACTGAAATTAAGTTGGTATTAATCTTAGCTAAATTGTTATAAATTAAGAGATTAATTATAATTGCCAGGGCAGCCACTAGGAAAATAACTCAAAATATAGTAAAAGAAATGACAAAGGAATTTAAATGGCACAGTAGAAAATACCTACTTAACATAAAAGAAGGCAGTAATGGAGGAATTAAGGAAGAATTAAGCAGAGATTGGTAAGATATATGAAAAAACATGATCCAACTCTATGATGTCTATAAGAGACTCATTTTAGATTTAGAGACACAAATTTGTTGAAAACAAAAGACTGAAAAAGATATTTCATACAAAACATAACCAAAAGAGAGCTGGAGTAGCTACATTAGTATCAGACAAAATAGATTTTAGTGCAAAAATGCTACTAGAGACAAAGAAGACACCATATAATAATAAAAGGCTCAGTCCCTCAAGAAGATATAACAATTATAAACCTGCATACACCTAAAAATAGAGCCCCAAAACACCAAAACAAAAACTAACATAACTGAAGGAAGAAATAGCCAATTCAATGATAACTGTAGGAGATTTCTATATCCAATTTTCAATAATGGATAGAGCAAACAGACAGAAGATCAGTAAGGAAACAGAAGACTTGATAGTGTCAAAGGACACTATCGAGAAATTAAAGAAATAACCTACATAATGGGAGAAAATATTTGCAAATAATATACCTGATAAGGGTTTAATATCCAATATACATAAAGCTCTCTTACAACCCAATAACAAAAAGGCAAGTACTTCAATTTAAAGATGGGCAAAGGATTGAAAGGCTATTTCTCAAATATACATATACACATGTATATACACACACACACAAGTGGCAAACCAGTACATATAAAGATGCCCTTCCTTATTAGTTTTAGGAAAATGTAAATCAAAATGACATGAGATGACACTTCACACCTAATAATGAAAAAAAAAAAAAAGGAAAACAAGTGTTGGTAGGATTTGGGGACATTGGAAATCTTGTACATTCACATAAAAATATAAAGTGGTGTAGCTGCTTTTGAAAACAGTTTGGCAATTCCTCAAAAATTAAACATTAAATTATCATATGACCCAACAATTCCTCTCCTAGACATATACACCAAATGATTGAAATCAGGTACTCCAAAAATCTATGTGTACACACATGTTCACAGTAGCACTGTTCATAATAGTCAAAGGGCAGAAAAACCCCAAATGTCCATCAACAGATGAATGGATAAACAAAGTGTGGTATATTCATACAATGGAATATTATTTAGCCATAAAAAGCACTGAGGTACCAATACATGCTACAATGTGTATGAACCTCAAAAACATTACACAAAGTGAAGAGTAACACAGAAGGTAACATCTTGTATGATTCAATTGGTGTGAAATATCTAGACTAGGTAAATCCATAGAAATAGAGAGTAGATTGGTGGTTACCAGGTGCTGGGAAGGAAGACATTGAGAATAACTGCTTAATAGGTATTGGGTTTCCTTTTGGGGTGATAAGGATGTTCTGGAACTTGATAGAGGTGGTGGTTGCACAACATTGAGAGCATACTAAATGAATTGTTCACTTTAAATGAATACTTTTATATTATGTGAATTTCACATCAAATGTTTTCTATAAAGGATAAAGTACTGTTACAAGTGACAACATAAATGAACCTTGAAAACATGCTGAGTGAAAAAAGCCAGACACAAAGGGACACATATTACATGATACCATTTATATGAAATGTCCAGAACAGGCAAATCCATAGAAATAGAAAATAGATTAGTAGTTACAGGGAATGGGGGAGGGGAGAAGTGGGACTGACAGCTGATAGGGACAGAATTTCTTTTAGGATGATGGAAATGTTTTGCAATTAAATAGTAGTTGCATGACATAAAAACCATGGAACCATGGAACTGTACATTTTGAAATGGTGGACTTTGTATTATATGACTTTTATCTCAATTTACAAAAAGTATACAGAGAAAAGATGTAGGGAAAGTATATTTTACAGATATGTCAGGCAGTTAGTTAATAAAGTTATCATAAAATTACAACATTTCCAATATTTGTATTATTTTTCAGCTTTTCATTGTTTGTAATTTGTTGTGATTTCTTCTCTTACTCTAATGTATATTCACTTTTGTACCTATTTTGTATTTTTTTTCTAAGAGGGCTCTCAGATTGATTGCTTCAGGTCCCACAAAACTGGGATGCCACCCTCGCATTACTAGGTACAGAAACTCAGCTACCCAAGGTGCTACTAGATTAAGGAATTCTGTCACCAAGCAGGCTGTGCACTGCTTCAGGAAGGCCCCCTCTCAACTCCTCCTTACAATTCCCTGCCGTATCCCACCAGTCCTCAAGCCTCCTCTGAGATGTACCTCCCTTCTCTTCCCACTTCTCCCATCGCCACCACCTTCATTCAGGTTATTATTGGCCACCTAGACTCTGGCAATCATCCGACTGCTCTACAATTTCACAAAACACTACTTCCAATCACCCTCCAACTGCTACCTGGGAAGATCTTGCTGAAATGCATATTCTCTCTCTCTTCTTACCTCTGCTGGGAAGCCTTCCAAGGCTCTCATTGCCTGTAGGATTAAAAACAAACACATCCCGTCCCGTCTGTCTAGACCCATCTCATAGCTTTCCTTCCCTGATGTGCATCCCCACATCAATAATGCCTAACTCCTCCCCTTCCCCAGAACTTCAAGTATTTTATGTCTCCTGGTATCTTTTGTACAGTTCTTCTGTCATTTAGTATGAAATATCTCCTCTTCTTCTTGGAAAATTCTTTATCTGCCTATGTCTAGCTCAAGTGTGGCCTCTGGGAAGGTTTCCCAACTCCCTCTACAGTCCTTACACTTTACATTGTAGTCATTCGTACAGATATTTTTGTATCTTATACATTAATGTATATGTCTGCAAATCAACTAAAATAATCTGAACTATTTCTGTGGTTGTATATGAGTATATTAAAAAACATATTGCTAGGTGTCCTACAAAAGGACACATGTTCATGTGTTGGAAACTTAGTTGCCATTGTAACAGTACTGAGACATGGGGTCTTTAAAGATGATTAGGCCATGAGGGCTTTGTTCTCATGAATGAGATTAATGCCATTATTGCAGAAGTGGGTTGGTTACCTTGGGGAGTGATAAAGGGATAAAGATAAAAGAATAAGTTTGGACCCTGTTTACTCTCTGTCTTGCACACTTTTGCCCTCTTTCTTCCTTGCCATGTGATGCCCTTCTGCCATGTTATGACACAGCAAGAGGGCCCTCACCAGATGGCCAAGCAGATGCCAGCACCATGCCCTTGGACTTCCCAGCCTCCAGAATCATGAGCCAAATAAATCTCTTTTCTTTGTAAATTACCAAATCTGTGATATTCTGTTATAGCAACAGAAAATGGACTTAAACACATATATATGAATATATGTATATATATGAATATGTATGAATATATAAAATCATATATAGGAACATATGCATATATATGAATTTATGAATATATATGAATCTATATAAAACATATATATGTTTTTGATTTATTTCCTAAAGAGCTATAAACATATCCAAGGCAGAGATGGTGTCACATCTATTTTAAAAATGTTTTCCTCAGCAGTTGCTATATTTTCTGTACTCAGTAGGCACTTACCCATGTGCCAGGGACTCATACAGTGGAGGAAATACTTTTTGAATAAAATTGAATTAAATATTCTTTTCCTTAAGGACTTTAGGCACTGAATAAAGAAACTAGCGCATGAACACAATTAGGAATATTAATATTATAAATAAATATCAAGTAGTAAGCTGCAAACCAATTAAATGAGCACTGATGACCTAGACAGTAGAGTGGATTACATCATCATCATCATCATCATCGTCGTCGTTACAACTGTGTAAAGTTAATCAAAGGAAAACTTTCTGAAGCAGAGAGGTAGTAAACAGATAAAGCTGAAGGGTTTTGGTTCAGGGTAAGGAGAGAAAGTGGTTCTTCCTGGGAGTAAAGAGCTTGAAGACTAACAGGGGAGAGAATTTAAAGATCTTCCTGGGAATATGGGAAATTCTTTGATCCCAGTGGGAGGCACTTGGGTATTTTAGTGTTTTCTTTGGACATACTATCTTTTTGTACTGAGATGAAAAGAGATTTAGTAATGTAAGAATTTTTACTACTTTGGCAAAAATTCCCCAAAAGTCACAAATCTCGTTTTGTGAGGGACAGGGAGATGGGGACTCAGGTATGCTGAGCCAATTCATAGAGCCAAATTAAAGGAAGGCATGGAAAGTACACCTTGTTTTCCCCTCTTCCTTATTCTTTCTCACTTTCAGATGGAGCAATATGAGGGCTTCGCAGAAGCAGCAGGCTCTGCTCTTCCAGGGACCCGCTGGTGGACTAGGAGAAGGGAGTAGATGCTTTGTTGGGCTAGAATTCCAAGAAGACCATGAATAAAACAAGTCACACTCTATTTCTGTGTGAGGCAGGAAGAGAAGGAAATCACCGCTTTTTTGGCATGCCGATGGAAAGGGGATTTAAATTTCCTTGGGGAAGCATGTGCTTATTTAATTATGTAATTGTAAATTTATTATAGTGTTTTATAGTTTTCTCCCTCCCTAATCCCTCCCTCCCTCCCTCCCTCCCTCCCTTCCTTCCTTCCTCTTTTCTTTCTTTCTTTCCAGAAGGCTTGGTTTGGTGCCTCTCCCCTTCCCATCTTTCTCCTCATGTCCCAAAGCCTGTTGTACCCAGTGTTCTGAGTACCACAGAGACCACCAGGAGGGCTAGACCCAGCCTTGGATGAGAATAATGACATGCCTGGAGCAGGAGATGCTCATTAACCCAAAAGAACAAATTACTGATGGGAGAACTAAAATAATAAGATGAGCCAAGGCAGTCTCAAACCACGACATAATCAGCACCTTTAATATTGTATTTCTTTCTTCCTTCAACAAACCATTATATGTATGCTGTGTGTTTGGCACTGTGCTAAGCATTTGAGCGACATTGCTGGTAACTACAAAGAAGACATTTTTGAGCAGACAGACAATGAATGGATCATATCAGTAATTGTGAAGTTACCACTGTGTGTTACAAGAGAGCTGTTGGAGCTGGAGTGCTGGTGGGTACCGCTCTTCTAGGTGAAGGAGACATCACACGCCAAGGTCCTGTAGCCACGAGACATGGCAGGTTGGAGAGACTAAAAGGTGACCAGTATGGTCATTACCAGATTTTACTTTTTAAAAAACCACTCTGACTGCTCTATAGATAGGAGCCAAAGTAGGAGGGAATTCTTCAGCGGGACACAGGGTAGGTCATGAAACCTGAAGTCTGAAAGCACAGCTATGTCTCAGGAAAGCCTGGAATCTGGCCCCAGAGAGCCTCTCTTTCTCCATAATTTTTTCTCTCTTTCTCTGTCCCCCATCTCTTCTCTGTCTCCTGTTTCTCTCTCTTCCTCCTTCTTCTTCACCCTGTCCTTCTTTTTGTCTCTCTCCCTGCCCGCCCTGTTCTTTCTCTCTCTTTCGAATGCCTGCATTACTCTTTGCTCTCTCTGCCACCCCTGATTAGAGCTTACCTGATCTTCCAGTTCAGAGGCCCAGAGAAGACTCCTCAGGACCTTAGTGCCCACCTACACATGTCCTACCCTTGTTTATTCCTTGCCAAATCAACTGGGACTCACAACTTGGGGGGAAGAAGATGCGAGAGCATCCCATGTAGATTTGGTCACTCACTGCTAGAGTTCCAGAGAAGGGGGCTGGCTAGACTCCCCATATGTTTTTTGTTTGTTTTTTGAGACAGAGTTTCGCTCTTGTTGCCCAGGCTGGAGTGCAATGGCATGATCTCGGCTCACTGCAACCTCCGCCTCCCGGGTTCAAGCTGCTCTCCTACCTCAGCATCCCGAGTAGCTGAGATTACAGGCATGCACCACCAAGGCCAGCTAATTTTGTGTTTTTAGTAGAGACGGAGTTTCTCCAAGTTGGTCAGGCTGGCCTCGAACTCCTGACCTTAGGTGATCCGCCCACCTCAGCCTCCCAAAGTGCTGGGATTACAGGTGTGAGCCACTGCGCCTGGCCATGTTTTTTTACCGATATGAAATTATCGATCTACATGTTCTTATGTAGTGACCAAACCACAGACTTTTAAAACAGCCACGGGGTGGGGGCAGTCCATTACCCTAAGACAGGACACATTTATTTGGCCAAAGTATTTACTTGTGTGCCTCCTATGTACAAGGCACTGTGATAGGTGCTGGAGAAACAAAAACAGTTGCATACCTTAAATTGCTCATATCCTATGCAGAAGGCAGGTAGGTTAACCAACAGGCCTCCACAGCCTTGGACACTATGCAGAATATTTCTTGTCTTTAGTTCAATTTAACTCAATTCATTTGCCATATTACAGGCACAGTGTAAGGGAATACAATGATAAATGCCTGCACTCTACCCCCAAGGAGTTCAGAGTCCAAGAGAGAGACAGATATATCAGCAAATATTAACAGTACAGAGTGATAAGCCAAGAGTCTAAGTATATGAATGATTCACAGGCAGGAAAAAGAAGGGAGTGATTATCCATCATCCCCACCCCGTCACTGGGAAGTCTTCGTGGAAGAGGTGACACCTACTCTGGGCTTTGAAAGGCATTTCAGGCAGTGGAATTGGGGCACAAAGTCACATAGTGATGAAACTGAATGGCATGTTTAGAATGATGTTGCTGGAGGGTAAAAGGAGGATGATGGAGGTGAGTGCCTGAGAAAGTGGAGAAGGCAGCAATGGTAAGATTGTGAGGGGCTTTTTGTACCCTGATTAGGACTTAACGCAGATGCCAAAGGGCTGCGAGGAGAGACTCATGATTCAATTTTGGTTTTAGCAAGCACTCCACCAGGACATGGATGACTGATGAAGGGAAGGCCAGGATAGAGCAGAGAGAGCAGTCAGAAAGCTATCACAGTAATCCAGACATGAGACAAGGAGGGCCATGGCATGCGGATGAAGTGGAGAGGCGACACATGAGAAAGGCTTAGGAAAGAATTTGAGGGTATCAGTGACTGGCTGGATGTGTCATGTGAAGAGTAGGAAAAAGTCCAGAATTAATCTCAGGTTTCTGCCTCAGGAAAGCTGGGTAGATGATGATACCACCAATTGAGAGAAAATACAGACAGCAGAGGGATAGTGAGAAGGAGAAGAGAGAGGTAGATCAGATCATTTGAATTGGAGGTAGTTGAGCATTTAAGTGGAGATGTTTCAGAAAAAAGTTGGGTATACATGTATTGAGCAGGCGGAGAAAGCAGGGCAGAAATGTAAATATGAAATCTTCTGGAATTTAGGTGTCAGAATGAAGGGAGAGATGGAAATCTCCTAAGCAAAGAAGACAGGAGAAGCCAAGACAGAATTCACTCCCTTAGGATCATTAAAGTGATTACAGATGGAAAAGACCTACAAGCCAGGAGAATGTGAGGATTTCAAAACTGAGAGGAGAGATTTTTTTTTTTTAACTTTTATTTTAGGTTCAGGGGTACATGTGCAGGTTTGTTATATAGGTAAACTTGTGTCACAGAGGTTTGTTGTACAGATTATTTTTGCAAGGCTCTTGTATTGGTTCGAACCCCGAGAGCGTGCCAACAGACAATGCGAGGCAGTGTGGAGCAACACACTGTTTTAATGAGCGCCTGGGTGCAGACGGGCTGAGGTCTAAAATGGCGTCAGCCCCAAATGAGGATGGGGCAGGGGCTTTATAGTCTCGTGTAAACGGGAAGTGTCTCAGTCTAGTGTAACTGCTATGCGGTACCCGGACGGCCTCCCTCTAGGTCTTCAGGGGGTATGTGTCTTCCAGCCAGCTCTCTTCCTGCTTCTGCTATCTTGCTGACGCACGCTGCTGGTGCAAATGGCCTTGTGCCTTGGGACTGAGCCTGAGGCAGGGAGGAGTTATTCAACCCCTGCCCAGCTTCCAGGCCCTGGGGAAAGTCTTTCATTCCTGCCTATTTGGTTATTGAAAAAGGGAAAAGGGACAACTTTCTCAATGACTACTTCAAGTGTGACATGGGGACTGGCGTGCGCACCTTGGAAACAAAGAAAAACTTAATTTTGGGGGTATTCTTGAGAGACGGGTTGGTATTCATCGTGTCGTTGCAGCAGGAGCATCGTCTGGATTGTCTGGTGGTTAACTCTAGTTTCAACAAGACTTTTAATAGCTTTGATTATTAGTGGGATAATACAGGGGGGAGAAATAGGAGGAACCCAATGATGAAGATTACTGTTCCTACCAGCGTTTTAAATCCTCCTAAATTAGAGAACCACCCTCCTAGAAGCTTTATTGGGTCCCATCCCTTCCAGGTTTGGGCTGGAACATGGGATACTTTTCTGATGTTTGAAGGGATTTCTAGTACTGCTTTTCTGTTATCGTCTATGTGAAGACAACAATTGGAGATATTAAACTTACCACAGACCCCACCTTCTGCTAATAAGTAGTCTAGTGGTAGCCTGTTTTGATAAATTGCCGTACTCATTTGGTTTTGTTGTTGCACGAGCATTTCCAGGGCTGAGGCGGTTTGGTTAGTGATTATCTCTAGAACTGCCTGTAGTCTAATTATTCTATTTAGCATATATATGGGAGTGCGATAACCCCATGAACCATCCTCAGCCCAAGTGGCAGGACTGTAATATTTGATGATCTCTGGCGGAGGCCATTTGTCCTGTTGCCATCTTTGGCTTCCTCCTACCTTTAAGGATCTTTTGTTGTTGTTGTTGTTGTTTAGGTTATTATATACAGGGACTCTGAGGGTGTTGCCCGCTGTTAAAGTTTTGGAGGAAGGAGTAGCCTTGGGGGTGAGCTTGAGCCTGGTGTGATGGATCCAGTGGGGGAGTCCTTGGACTCTCGCTGCAGTTGGCTTGCTGAGTATCACAGTGTAGGGGCCTGTCCACTTTGGTTGTAGGTTTTTGTGAGGGTCGAGTTGGCAGATAAACACGTCTGTGCCTGCAAGACAGTTATGTTGAGAGGACAAGGAGATGTTGACGGGGGAGAGGGGGTTGGGGCATGGCTTCATTTCCTGCTTCACAAATGAAAGACTGTGTCTGGACTAAGGAGGGGAGGTAATTCCGGAGTGGCTCAGAGTCGGGTAAGGGTGGAGGCCCCAAGACAAAAGTTTGGCCATACATGATTCAAAGGGACTATGAAAAGAGGGTGCCTTTGGTGTTGTGCAGCGTCTCACAAGGGCAAAAGGGAGATAGTATGATACAAGGCTTTTGTGTGGGTTTGAACCCCGAGAGCGCGACAACAGACAACACAAGACGGCGTGAAGCAACACACTATTTTAATGAGTGCCTGGGTGCAGACGGGCTGAGGCCTAAAATGGCATCAGCACCAAAAGGTGTCGGGGCAGGGGCTTTATAGTCTCCTGTAAACAGGAAGTGTCTCAATCTGATGTAACTGCGACGCAGTACCCGGACGGCCTCTCTCTTGGTCTTCAGAGGGTATGTGTCTTCCGGCCAGCTCTCTTCCTGCTTCTGCTATCTTGCTGATGCATGCTGCTGGTGCAAGTGGTCTTGAGCCTTGAGACTGGGCCTGAGAAGGGAGGAGTTATTCACCCTCTGCCCAGCTTCCAGGCCGCGGGGAAAGTCTTTCAATTTTGTCACCCAGGTACTAGATTTAGTACCCAATAGTTATTTTTTTCTGATCTTCTTCCTCCTCCTGCCCTCCATCCTCAAGTAGGCCCCAGTGTTTCCTCTTTGTGTCCATGAGTTCTCATCATTTAACTCCCCCTTATAAGCGAGAACATACAGTATCTGGTTTTCTGTTCCTGTGTTAGCTTGCTAAAAATAATGGCCTCCAGCTCCATCCATGTTCCCACAAAAGACATGATCTTATTATTTTTTATGGCTGCATAGTATTCCATGGTGTACATGTATTACATTTTCTTTATCCAATCTGTCATTGATGGGCATTTAGGTTGATTCCATGTTTTTGCTATAGTGAATAGAGCTGCAGTGAACACTTGTGTGCATGTGTCTTTATTGCAGAATGGTTATATACCCAATGGGTATATACACAGTAATGGGATTGCTGGGTCGAATGGCAGTTCTGTTTTTAGCTCTTTGAGGAATTGCCACACTGCTTTCCACAATGGTTGGACTAACTTATACTCCCACCAACAGTGTATAAGCATTCCCTTTTCTGAGAGGAGAGTTTCAAAGAGAAAGTAGTCTGAAGTATTGGTTGCTACAGAGTGACTAAAAAGAGGCTATATAAGGATTTGGCAGTTAGGAAATTGTAGCAAATCTTTACCAGGGTAACTTTACCTGCATTGTCAGGAAAGAGAGGCCAGTTACAGGGTTGGAAGTGAAGAAGCTGAGTTACGAGTAGAGGTTGTTCCATTAAGAAAATTGTCTTTGAAGCCATGCAGAGAGAAAGGTGAGTAGCTAGAAGGGGACACTGAGTTTGGGGGGATGGTTTTAGAAGTTAGAGTCTTGAACGTGTTTATCCATTGAGAAGCAGCCTGTGGAAAGGAAAGCTGAAGAGGTGAAGAGATGGAAAGGGATGGATTCTGGACCAGGGTTGGAGACATTAATCTGCAACAACAGGAAGAGCACATCTCCATCTGAAATTGTAAGAAAGGAAATAGATGTAAAAAGGTTTGTGTGTGTGTGAAAAGAAAACTTAGGAATTTTAAGTCCAATGACCTCAATTGCCCAGGTATGAAGAAAGCCATTTTCCAAGGTGAAGGATCAAGAAAGGAGAGAAACAATGAAGGGCAGGCACTGGTTTTGACATCTGCTATGGACATGGAAGGAATGAAACTTGCAAAGTGGAACTAACTGGGCATGGAAAATGATTTGAGAAATCATAAATTAGCAGAGATGCCTATCAGCAGTCCAGAGGTCTAGAAGTCCTGACCATTCTCACACCATTAAACCCAGTTCTGACACACTTTGAACCAGATCGTCTAATTCCTCAAAGCTCAGAGCACCTTGTGCTCATGGGGTAAGTATTCAAATTAGATAAATTAATATAAAATCCATGCAAAATGAGTATAGTAAAATCCTTTAATCTGTGGACTCTGCCAGCGGTGACTGAATGCAGGTTTTCCAGTATTAGGAGGATGCTGGCTGGCTGTTTAATGTCTTCACCAAAGACTAGACAATGGGAAATGGGCTTAAATTGCAGCCAAGTTTCAATAAGGAAGGACGTTCTATGGAAGAGTAGCTAAACACGCTGATGGGCTCCGAGAGACTACAGAGAACAGCCTGCCCTGTGGAATACATATGTCTTAAGTGCTTTTGATCCAATCCTAGGAGCATAGTTTATTTGATTTCTTAAATACCCTTTTAGTGCTATGCCACTGTTGGATTTTAAGCAAAAAGGAATATATAGTAGCACAGCCCATATAATGGAGACAGCACATAGTACTTTTTTCTTTCTTTACTTTTTATTTTACTTTCTTCCATAATAGACACATTAGAGGTAACTTCTATGTAAAATTATCTGGACATTACATCAAAATAAGTCACATGTAATTATTAATTGTGTCATAGTCCCATCAAGTAAAAAAGATCCATAGACCCTCAATCCTCTATCTAGCCTTGTTGGTTATCACTAGCTTGATTAAAGGGAATGATACTCGTTTGTAAATGCATTTGGCAAACTTACCCTGCTATTGTTTCCATTATTTTGCAAATTACAGACATTGAGATGAAGGCTCTGTAATTTCCTAGTGTTCTCTTTATTCCTGCTTGGAAAACTGGTATTGCCCTGGCATACTTCCACTTTGCTGTTATTTCATTTGAATACAGCAAATTCTTTATTATGATTAACAAAGACTTCTGCTCCATTCCTCTTTGAATATCAGTCTGCTCATGGAGATGTGTTGATTTTGAGCCGTGCTGTCTCCTTGAATCTCTCTGTTTCACTGATCTCAAAGATGTTCAAGACAACAGACACCCAAGTATTCCTAAATGACATGTTTTTTTGTGTGTTCTCCATTTTGAATTTGTTATACGTTTAGTAATTTTACCTTTGTCTGGAACTTTTGTCTGGAACCTTTTTCTCCTCTTCTTTAACTTGTCTAATTCGAAATGCCTCCTTCACTTATTACCTAAGAGCCTGAAAATATGCAAGTGGTCGGGTTTGGTAATCTTGCAATTTGTAAGCTTCTTTGCCCTTTCATATTTTGGGGTTTTTCTTCCTCATATATCTCTCTCAAGATTTTTGCTCAGTGCCAGGTACTTTGGGGGTATCTCGAGTAGGCAAATAGCTTTCCTTGAGCACTACACACTTCTAATCCATTAACTAATCATTGCACTGGAATCACATTTCCCAAAATCAGGCTCTCCTTCCTTAAGTCCTGCCTGAATATCTAGTATAATATTCATTGAGCAGTCCTCACACTTAGAGAGTACTAAGTAAATATTTTCCTCCTAAGATCAGTCATATTTAGAAAAAAATCACATTAATAGAGCTCTTCTAGGTAGAAAGTGCTGGAACCAAAACAGGTGCATGACTGTGACTTGGGAGCCCATCTTCCATGATCAAATATCAACATGGAAAGTTCTTCTCTTATCCCTCTCCCCCAGCTCCTTTTGTCTCCCCCTTCCCTCGCACTCCTCCCTGGTGTCAGCATCTTCAGTCACTCCTTGTTACTTTAACCCAATTGGGCAAATACTGGGAGGAGTGTACTGAGGATAATAATAGCAACAATAAGAGCTCACATTTCTTAAGAGCCTAACACGTGACAGGCATTGTTCTGTGTTTTACATCCTTTATCTCAGCTAATCTTCTCAACAATCTCATGAGGAGAGTAATACCAGAGAAGTGGACCCTGAGAACTCAGAAAGCTAGCGACTAAGGAGAAGGTTCAGGATTTGAACTCAGGGTGTCTGATTGCAGAGCTAGAACTACACTGTGTATATGCAGAGGAAGCATCCAATGAATCATGAGCATTTTATGGTGACTATTATTCAGGTATGTATCTTCCATGTATTGAGTACTACTACCACATGCTTAGGCTGGGTTTGACCTCTCATCCCATTTACTTTTCACAATCACCCATGGAATTAGGGTTTCCGTTTAACAATCAAGGAAACTGAACCTCAAAGGCATTCTGTAACTTGCCCAGGATTACTCATCGAGTAAGAAAGGGGAGTCCTGAATATTCCAGCCAGTCTGCCCTTTTCACCCCTTTTTAGGGTTTGCTTTAGAGAGTGGATTGAATTTTTCCTCATCAGACTGAGGATTCTAATGAGGTCACACGGATGATAATAATTAGAAATCAATGGCTTGTGTTTCTCCCTTCATAAGTAGAGTCTTAGTCCCTGAGGGTGGATCACGTGGGCTCCCACACATCTCCTCCTGCTGCGAGCTGTTCGTGCTCTGTCAGCCCCTCTGCCAGAGGAAGGTGTATCATACAGTGGTCTGTGGCACAAGAGGAAGAAGGACTCACACCCATCTTAACCTCAGCAGTGCTCTGTGTGCCCTGGTGCCCTAATGTCTACAGCTGTCTCAGTGTTCTTTAAAATGTAAAAAAGCTCTTTCACTTGTTACTTACAGTCCCTCTACTGTCCATGAGATTCAACTACCAGTGCATGGGGACCAGGCCAGGGCTCAACGCCACATGACAAACCCCATTCTGTATCCAGAATCCTCCTCCTGTCCACTGACTGAGAGGTGCCTTTGTTCCCTGGTAGATCTCATTGAGCCTGGATCTTTCTCTCCTCCTAATGAGCTCTCCAAGGAGACTCCTTTGGTGGGGTCACCTTATCAATTTTCTACAAATATTCTATGCTTTAAATCTCACTTAGACTCGGGGGCAGAGTCCCTATCAGCTGCTTTTCGCTTTTCATCTGTCCCATATCCAAACTCCATAGCCCAGGGCACCTATTTCCTTTTGGAGAATTGCTCTTGCCCCCAAATGTTATCTTGGCAGAGGGTAATAGTTGCCTCTGACTAGGGAAGCTGCCCCTCCAGGAAGTGAGCGTGTGACCTTGTTTGGCCAGTCGGTGCTCCCCTCTGGGACTGTGAATCACAAGTAAGCAACACAAAGATGTTAGAGATGGGTAGAAATGCTGCCTACTCCTGCTGTGGGTCCTGAGGGCTGGCTCTCACATTGCCCCTAATGCCTGCGGGTTCCAAGCCTGAAGCTGATTCTCTGAGCTCCTGACATACTTACAATCACTTACCTTTTATGTAAAATAGTCAGGGTGCACTTCTGTTGCAAACTATTCAGAATCCAGACTGAAATACACTCAAATTTACAATGTAAATGTGGCCAAAAACATCTTTGTGGCCCTTTGGTCTCTCATTCCCCTCCCTCTTAGCTTCTCCTCTGCTCCCAAACTTCCAAGGGTCTTAGGCTGCTTTCACTGTGCAGGCCTCTCTCATCATGGTAACTTTTAAGCTTGCCCTCTCCAGAGCTGAGAAGCCTGGATTTTTTTCTCCACCTTTTGTTGCAACACATTCTATTTTCTTCCACAAAGACTGATGACCAGGGCATCTTCATGGCTGTACAAGAATGCCATGAAACCATGTATCTTAAATCACAGAATACTCTTGAAATAAAGTCTTGTAGGAACAATATGTGTGCCTAATAAGAGAACAGCATCTCTGGTCCAAGCCAAGTTTGAAAACTAGTGGTATGGCTAATCTTGCTCTTCTTCCCCAAGGATATTCATAGGTGCTGATGGTTCTGAATGGGCAGAAGAAATAATATTTGACTGGGTACCAGAAAAATTAGAATCTTCTTCCATCTCTGGCACCGTCTCATCGTGTAGCTTTAATCAAATTACTCAGCCCTTTTGGGTTTATTATTGAAGTTGGAAAAATAAAAGCATTGCATTAGATTTTCTTTATAAAGTTCCTTTCACACTGTGATTTGGGTGTTACCTCTTCCAGTGGTATTTGCATTTTGCCTTCCAAAAGATCCCTAGAATTGCTAAATAGTAGAAAGGAGAGCTTTATTGGCGGTATCAGTTTGCAAACTGTGAAGAGATAGTCTTCAGCATGGAGCAAAGGTGCTCTCTCTTCAAAGAGGGAAAGGGCAGTTGGGTTTTATGTCTCTCAGGTCCAGCATCATGCAATAGAGTCCTACACATTGAGGAGGTTTGGGGATAAAGTTATACATATTTATGAAGGAAGTTGAGCGCATGTGCGATGGGTAAACATACATGTAATATACATCCCACGTTCACTTTGAGGTGGGGTTTCAGCATTAAAATGAGGTGGAATTTGGATCTTTACAGCAAAAGGTGAACTATAGGACACAGACAGTTTGTGTGCAGTCTCTATTAAGCTGGCTGAAATTGGCTTGAGGTCTGCAGTTGCTTATCAAGAAAGAATGTTTGTAAGACTGGTCCTCTGTCCAATCAGAGTTACAGTGACCTGGGTTGTAAATCAGAGTTAGGAAGGCTCTGACACTTTGCCTGATAGCTCCTATTGTTAGGAAGTTTAGCAAGAGTATGAATTTTTTCTTGTAGCTGTAGGAATTTAGGAAGTTACCATGCCAGCCAGGCCTGAACCCTTGGCTCAAAGGTAACTTTCATTCCCCTAACCACAGAGTCCATCTTAGTTGATAAAGGGGCATCTATTTTGATCTCTCAGATCACGATTATATCAGACGATTCTTGAAGTTTTCAAACTCTTGAGATCGAACATAAATCATTAGTATCCAGAAGTCAAGCTTTATAACAGGCTATCAGGAAAAATATTTTTGGTTTGCTGAGATGAAGATGAGAGGAAGGAAAAGGGAAGAGAGGAGAGGTTTCTCCAATTTTACTATTTGTGCTTCTTGGAAATTGCAACTCCACAACCCATTCTTTTTCTCATTAGACAAATAATGCAAAGAGCTTAACTATCACACCAGCATGCTACGAGAGGCTCCCTGGTGTGCTTCAATATTGGACCAAACACAGACAGATGTATTCCTGGTGCCTGTGTAACATTACAACTCATTGATCACATGCAGCAACATCAACATCTCAAGGAGTCCATTTGTTCAAAACACAGTAAATGACTCCACATTTTCCCTTTGAGTCAACAAAAGACTCTGCTTGTCACCTTGCCTGGAGCGGGGTGGTTTTTCACTATGTGAGTATCTATCTTTTTATTTCTGTCCCTTATGTTGGTGGGCACATGTCTGTATTGCTGTCCCTGTTACAACTCATCCCAGTGAATGTTAGCTGTGATGCCAGTAGTTACCATCTCTTGACTATTTACCCAACAGATAACAATGCTTACAATGCCTTAAAAATATTACCATTTGGCTTAAACAGTGATGAAAGAAATATATTTTTCTCTTCATTTTATATGAGGAAACTAGACAACAAGAGGGTCAGTAACTTCCTGAAAGTCACACAGATAGTAAGAGGCAGAGCTGGGCTATGCACTTGTGCTTATTTTTCTCAATATTCTTGCTGCTACAAGGAATCTTGAAAGAGGAGATTTTCAAGAACGTGAGCAGATTGTCTCAGGAATTGGAGGAGGATAAGCATCTATTACTTATCTCTATTCATTTTGACTCAGGCCTGTGTAAAAGCAGGAAATAGAAGGCATGAGTGTTCCCCATAATATTTGCAGTTCATAAGTTAGAAATTAGCAATCAGCCCCTTTTCACGTAGGACACAATAATAGACACTCTGGCACAGTCCCTGCAATTTGGTTATGCGAAGAAAACAGGAAACAAGCACATTTTCACTGTGGTTTCAGTCTGAGGAGGGCTGGCATCTGCTGACGTGACGGCTAGATTTTCTTGTCAATATCGTATTTACTATCCTGATCACATGAGCGGAGAGAGGAGGATGAGTCACAGTTAACTGGCTGCTAAATTAGGAAAATGTAATCCATTTATTTCTTTCAAATTAGATTCCCCCAAAGCATTTTAGACCTTTTTTTCCTCAGCAACCATAGCCACAACCTAAACAGCTAACACATTCCCAAACTAGGCTAATCTGGCTGTCTATTATAGCTAGACAATCTGGCTGTCTATTATAAGTAAATAAATTACCATTTTGTAGCATTTTCTTCCAAAATTAGGGCAGGATTTTGAGTATATTAGTCTTCACCTACAAATGCCAAACTTCTTCTGCCCTGGCTTGACTCATGTCCACCCCTCACTGCCTACTTTCAAGAGCCATCAAAATACAATGTAGTATGTCGATTTATATTTCTAGAAAGCCACAAAGTAGTCCTTAACCAATAAGAATCATAAATCATTAGCTCTGTGAGGAATCTATTGGATCACTCATTTTATAGCTAAGGGAAATGGAGACCCAGCGAGCCTTAAGAAATTTCATGGACTCAGCTCTCTGGTTGCCAAGTTAACAATTGCAGCCCCCTTTTTTCGTTTCTTTTCTTTTTTTTTTTTTGAGACAGGGTCTCACTCTTGTCACCCAGGCTGGAGTGTGGTGGCACAGTCATGGCTCACTGCAGCCTCAACCTCCCAAACTCAAGAAATTCTCCCACCTCAGCCCTCTGAGTAACCAGGACTACAGGTATGTGCTACCATGCCAGGCTAATTTTTTTATTTTTATTTTTTGTAGATATGGGGTCTCCCTATGTTATCCAGGCTGGTCTCAAACTTCTGGGCTCAAGCAATCCTACTGCCTCACCCTCCCAAAGTGCTGGGTATACAACCATGAGCTACCACTCCTGGCCTCCCCCCGCCTTTTTTTTTCCTGTGCACACCAGTATACCTGAAAATCAGTGCCACACAGGAAACCCTGGTTTGGAAGTGTAAAATGTGATGATCAAACAAACAAAAAAGCAAACAAACAAGCCAGCAAGTCCACATACTGTGTCAGCTCAGCCATTCTCCAGGAGGGGTAGTTGGGATGAAAAGCTGGGAACTCTTCTGTAGAAGATGGTTCAGCTTAATCTCCCAACCTGCAGCCGTTCACTTTATTTTCTTATAAAATTTGCTGACTTGAATCAGGGCCTGATTTCTCATTTTACTCATATTTAGGAATGAGGTCAGAGACTGGTTTTCTTCAACCATAGACACTAGATTGCCTGTTTTGATCTTTATTTTCAAAGAATGCTAACACTCCTTGGAAACTACTGGTGTTATTTCTCCAAGTGAACTGAGCTGCATGTTTTTGTGCCCTGCACAGAGGAGGTACAGGTTTTAGCAGTAACATGGGGTAAGCAAAGGGTACCTCTAGGAACCGTCATTCCTCCTTGTGGTCATCATTGTCATCTTCATCTCTTAAATTTAGGCTCTATTAAGGTCTTTACATGGAAGCCTCACGTAGTATTCATATGTTTTATAAATGGGAACACTAAATCTTAGAAGTTAAATAAATTTGCCTAGGCCACATCACTAATGAGAAGCTTCAGTCTGAAACCAGGAGTCTGACTCCAGAGCAAGTGGTTGATTATGTGTGGCCTTGGCCAATTCACTCAGAAGTAAAATAGTCCAGGATTTTCAGCAGCATCTGCATTTTGAACAGAGCATCTATACATCATATAGCTAGGGGTGCTGGTTCAGATTGCTGCCTTTCAAGGTTGGACATGAAAGTTAACTTTTCTGTCTTCATTTCATCTCCAGTCTAACAGTAATAATAACAGGTTGCTATAGGAGTGAAATGAAAAATTGTAGCATCTATGAAAATCCGTAGAGCAGTGATAAGGACTTGGTAAATCTCATTTTCCTCCCTTCCATCAAGGAGATGCCTGGCCTAACCCAAAAGAATAATTTGTAATTTGTAATGGTGAATTTTTTTTTTTTTTTGAGACGGAGTCTCACTCTTTCGCCAGGCTGGAGTGCAGTGGCGCGATCTTGGCTCACTGCAACCTCTGCCTCCCAAGTTCAAGCAATTCTCCTGTCTCAGCTTCCTGAGTAGATGGGACTACAGGTATGTGCCACCACTAAATTTTGTATTTTTAGTGGAGATGGGGTTTCACAGTGTTGGCCAGGATGGTCTCGATCTCTTGACTTCGTGATCCACCCACCTTGGCCTCCCAAAGTGCTGGGATTACAGGCATAGTGGCGATTTTTAAAACACTGAGAAGCAGTCCTCACAGACAGACATTTTGAGATGAATGGACACCAATGTAGTCCTCTTTTTAGGTCTACATTTTCAGGCAGTAGGGGTTTGTACAATGAGGAGTTCTAGTGCAGGAGCTAACAGGAGCAGAGCCAGACTACCTGGGTTCAAATCTCAGCTTGCTGTCTGCTTGCTGTGTGGCCTGAACTCTGCACCTTTATTTTTTTCTTAAAAACTTAGATTTTGTTTATAGAAAACCAAACAATTCAATTTTAAAAATTGGCAAAGGAGCTGGGTACAATGGCTTATGCCTGTAATCCCAGCACTTTGGAAGGTCAAGGTGAGCGGATTGCTGGAGGCCAAGAGTTCGAGACCAGCCTGGGCAATATAGTAAGACCCCATCTCTCCAAAAAATTAAAAAATCAGCTGGGTGCAGTGGCATGTGCCTGTAATCCCAGGTTTACTGGATCATATTTTAATTCTATATTTAGCTTTTATTTTTTTGAGACAGAGTCTCACTCTGTCACCTAGGCTGGAGTGCAGTGGTACAATCTTGGCTCACTGCAACCTCTGCCTACTGGGTTCAAGTGATTCTCCTGCCTCAGCCTCCTGAGTAGCTGGGATCACAGGCACATGTCACCACGCCCAGCTAATTTTTGTATTTTTAGTAGAGATGGAGCTTCGCCATGTTAGTCAGGCTGGTCTCGAACTCCTGACCTCAGGTGATCCACCCGCCTCGGCCTCCCAAAGTATTGGGATTACAGGCGTGAGCCATCACGCCCAGCCTCTGTATTTAGCTTTTGAGGAACTGCTATGCGCCTGCTACTCTAGGGTGGCTGAGGTGGGAGGATGGCTTAAGTCCAAGAGGTTGAGGCTGCAGTGAGCTATGATCGCACCACTGCACTCCAGCCTGGGCAACAGAGCAATACCCTACCTCTTAAAAAATGGCAAAGAACTTGTATAGATATTCCTCCAAAGAAGATATACAAATAGCCAGAAAGCACATGGAAAGATGCACAAGCATTTATCATTAGCCACCAGGGAAATACAAACCACAGAACAGTGAACTACCACTTCACACCCACTAGGACGGCTATAAAAAAAGGGGAGAAAATAACTAGCATTGGCAAGAATGTGAAGAAATTGGAACCCTCATACATTGCTGGTGAGAATGTAAGATGATGCAGCCTCTGTGGAAAGGTTTGGCAGTTCCTCAAAAGTTAAATATAAAGGCTGGCGCGATGGCTCATGCCTGTAATCCCAGCACTTTGGGAAGCCAAGGTGGGTGGATCACCTGAGTTCAGGAGTTCGAGACCAGCCTGGCCAACATGGTGAAACCCTATCTCTACTAAAAATACAAAAATTAGCCAGGTGGGTGGCATGCGCCTGTAATCCCAGCTACGCAGGAAGCTGAGGCAGGAGAATCACTTGAACCTAGGAGGCAGAGGTCGCAGTGAGCCGAGATTGCGCCACTGCAGTCCAGCCTGGGTGAGAGAGTGAGACTCTGTCTCAAAAGGAAAAAAAAAAAGCTAAATATAGAATTAAAATATGACCCAGTAATATCACTTTTATGGGTATATCCAAAAGAATTGCAAACAGGTGTTCAAATGAAAACTTGTATGTGAATGTTTAAAGCAGCACTATTTATAATAGTTAAAAGGTGGAAGCAACCCAAATATCTATCAACTTGTGAATGAATAAAGAAAATGCAGTATATCCTTACACTGGAGTATTATTCAGCCATAAAAGGGAATGCAATACTGTACATTGTTACAACATGGATGAACCTCGAAAGCATTGTGCTACGTGAAAGAAGCCAGACACAAAAATCATACGATATTTAATCACATTATATAATTGAATTTATAAGAAACGGCAAAAGTAGGAAAACTGGTAGAGATAGAAAGCCGATTAGTGATTGCCAGTGGCTGGTGGGAGGTCAGTAGGTGTCAGTGGGTATAGGGTTTTTTCCGGGGGTGGGGGGGGGGGGCGGTGGTGATAAAAATGTTCTGGAGCTGGATAGTGGTGATGCTTGCACAATATTGTAAGTGTGTGTGTGTTTTTGTTTTTCAAGACAGGATCTTGCTCTGTTGCCCAGTCTGGAGTAGTGGCATGATTACAGCTTACTGCATGCAGCCTTGACCTCCAGGCGCAAGCCATCCTCTCATCTCAGCCTCCCTAGTAGTTGGGACCACAGGCACATGCCATCATGCCCAGCTAATTTTTTATTTTTTGTAGAGATGGAGGTCTCCCTATGTTGCCCAGGCTGATCTCAAACTCCTGGGCTCAAGTGATCCTCCCTTCTCAGCTCCCCAAAGTGCTGGGATTATGGGCGTGAATCACCACACCCAGCTGCGCAATATTGTGAATGCACTAAGTGCCACTGAATCGTGCACTTTAAAAATGGTTAACATAGTAAGTTTTATGTTATGTGTATTTTGCCACAATTTAAAAAAAGGGATCACGGTAACACATACCTCATAGGGTAAAGTCTTAAATTACATAGTAAGCACCAAATCATTGTTGTCAATGATGGTCAATGGCAGGGATAAAGGCTAGGAGAAGATAGAGGATCAGAAAAGTCAGGATTGAAGGGACGGACTGGGAAAGAAGTAAGCTGAGGCCTGGGTGGTAAGAACATGAGGGATGAGTGCAGGAATTGTGTAGTGGACATCGAAGAGGTGGTGTGGAAGGAAAACGTGTATACATGTGTATAGTAAGTTAGAGGGAGATACAGCAACCTTTTTATAAAATTCTAAGCAATGGACTAGTGTACACAAAACCAGCCTGAAGTCAATGGTAGGTTGATGTTCTGTGGTAAGAAGAAATTCAATGAATTTAGTACAGCATGCATGACTTTTCAAGCTTTAACTTATGAAGTAATCCAAGCTTCAGTTTGAGAGAGAGAGTTCACACCAAGAGCCTTCCTCTTTTTTTTTTTTTTTTTTTTTTTTTAACATTCCTGGGTGCAATTAAAAAGAGTAGTCAGGGTGGATGGACATTTTTGTTGGGCAATACAACAGATTTCAGGAGAGGAGGCTGTAATATTCAGTCCCACCTTGTCTGGCGGCAGCTCTGATTCTAGAGTAGTCTCGATAAGCACTTTCCAGAGAGAAAGAATAATGGGCCGATAGCTAGTAGTGCAACCCACAATGGCTCTGTGGGACACTCCTCATTTTCATGTCACCCTCAACCCTCCTTCACCTGCCAATATTCTGGCCATGATAGGCTAGATATGACGTCTATGGATTGCACACAGGAAAAAGCTGTAATTCTTGGAGTCAAAACATAGAAGGGAGAAGAGACAGGGAATAAGATATGAGCTGCTACAGACCCTTGCAGCTCACAGCTATCTACTTCCTTGCTCCTTGCCTAGGCTTGGTGCTTAGAAGCTCCTTTCTAGCAAATGCTCCCTTAGAAAAGGGAAATAAGATGCAGATTTGCAGCAGGCTAGGGCTAAAGAAACCCTGATAGGTGCTCTAGAAGCTGGGGGAAAATAGTTATCAGCTGTGTTTACAAGCTGTATTTCTGTCTTGCAGGTGTGGTGGGTGGAATTGTTTACAGGTGAAGGCGTCCAGCTTCCTCTATTCCAAGCCCTTGCCTCATCCATACATTTTCTTCTGCAACTCGGTCTCCAACTACTAAATGAGAGTCCTTGCCAGTTGGGTTCCTGGGCAGTTTATTAGGCAGAATTGGGAGAATGGAAGAGGGTAGGCCAGAGAAATGGAAAGGTTGGTGGAAAGGAAGTGAGTGAATGGGGCTAATGGCTTAGAGTGGCAATGGTGATCTATATCGCAAAAAGGGGAGAGAAGGTAGGCCAGGGGACTAAGCAGAGAGAAGCCATGTGGGCTGTATTGGAAGAGGGAATTTTGGATTTTACAAGTTAGAGGCTCTTGGGGATTGCCGGAGACTTATGGGTTGGGGGAGAATTGGCAGAGAAGGAGGTAGAGGCTTTGAGGGCTCTTGATTAGAACCCGTGAGGGAGAGGGAAGTATAGATTCGAATCCTCTTTAATTCCTATTTGGCAGCTGGACTGGTACTCTTTAAACATAGAGATGAGACCACAGGAGATCAGCATGTATTTGGGTCTCATAAATAAAAGTAGAGACTTGACTGCCCCCTGGTATAACTTGTCCCTTTGTTCTGAGAAAGCGATCCAAATGATGCAAAGACCATTGATTCAAAGAAACACGGATGAGAAGCCATAGCTCTAAGAAGCAAAACTCTCCAGTGGGACATTGGAAATGTGCTTTCTGTGATTTACCCTGAGATGCTTAAAGGGTTTGTTTTAGCAGCAGCGCCATCTTTCTCTGTATTTGTATTAGATGGAGCTTATCTCTCCAAACCAACAAAACTCTGTTTTTTGAAACAACAGAAACAAACTGTTTCTTTCATAGAAGTTCCTCTTTCTACACACACACGCACGCACGCACGCACGCACACAAATGAGTTGTAACTTATCACAGCTGTGGAAGCAGAGAATGTCCAGGGCAGCTTGAAAGTTAAGGAAAGATCTCAAGGACCATTGATTTAGGAAAACTAACTCCAGGGGCATTCATTTCACCAGCCACTTTCTCCTTCCCCCCAACAGGTGAGAGAAGAAGTTTAAGTTCTGCTTACAAATGAGGTGAGAGTTCATTTAATCTATTCACCATGACCAAAGTTACAAAGGGCTCTCTGGTTATTAAGCATTCAGTTATTTTTTCTTGTTTTCAAAAATTGATTTTTTTTTCAGTCTAAGAAAGTAAATAAAGCTTATTTCTTTCAATCTTTCAAAATATTACAATGAGATTATTTGAGCCTCTGTTCTGGTAAAATCATCACTTTTTCAAAGATGATTTCTTGCTGTTGTCTCATTATTTACATGGTCAGAGAGGTTACTTAAAGAGTACCGCTTTAAAATCTGGAGCATTGAGAGAGAACCACAAACAGCCCTATACCATGAAAAATCCTATTTATGTGGGAGGGAAATTTTCTTAAACGTCAGTTTTTAAATCAGTTTGGGACATTAAATCTCTCCACCTCCCACTCTCTCCTCCCTCACTGACTTCTGAGGAACAACAACCACCAAGAAAAAAAAAAAAAAAAAACCACTGTGTTTTGAATTCCATTATGTTTCCAAACTTCCAAGTCAGAGGAAATTATTTAAAATGACTTACCCCACACAAATACACATAAGGAGGGAGGGAAAAACAAATTGCCAGCTCACAAGATTGTTTCTCTACTAACCACCCGCTTTTGCTGACCTGACAAATTAAAAGTATGTAATTTCCTCACGGCATTTCCGACATATTTTAGTGATATTTTGTAAGAGTTAAGAGAGTTCTGTTTGCTCTTTTTACTCAAGCCTCTTGGACTTTGGTCCTCTGAACAGGATCCTAAGCTTGGAAACTCTCCAAGTGACAGAAAATTGGCAAGTTCTTCATCGTTGATTCCTTACTGGCTCTTTGGAGAGGAAAGGAGTTCTGCTCAGGATTTGGCTGAGCCCTTTGCTTGGCACCCCAGCCAGTAACTCAAAAGTTCAAGGAACTTGACAGACAGAGGCTGTTTTTCTGGTGAGAGATTTGAACATGCCCAGTTGAGTCTGTCATCGCACGTCTGCATCTTGTCTCCTTCCAGAGGAGGCTTATTTCTGACCAGGCTTGTGATGGATGTATTCTATGCGGGAAGACTTTTGCCTGCCCCTGTGGCATTTACCCTGGATCAGGGTGAGCCCTGAATCTCTCTATTGCCTCAATCCATACAGCCTCACTGTGCCAAGTGGAAGCAGTGGCAGTGTGTGTATGTGTGTGTGTTATTCAAACAGTTAAAAAAAAAAAAAAGACAGAAGGCTTAGGCAGATTTCCAGAAAACAGACTGTGTCAGTCTAGACTAGTAAAACCCAGCCAGTTTAATTTCTGAATTTGTGGTTATTATTTCTGAATTTATTTTGTATTTAACCTACTTCCCCCTTGCCGCATCCCCACAAAAAAAGAGTAAAAAGGTGAGAAAAATGACCAACCAGTTTCAACCACTATCCTGGCATCATGAAAGTTAAAATTCCAAAGATTAGAGATTATATATTGCTCCTATGAAAAATAACCTTTGTGTGAATCTTTAAAGATTCCTACTTTTTAAAAAAATAGCAAAAGCAGCATATGTTATTGTTGAAACTTCAGAAAAAAAATAAGCGAAAACAAGAAAATTGAAACCATGTATAATTTCACCATCTAGACATAAGATTACATGGTTTTGTTAAGTAAGAATCGGCCTTGAGTTAGGTAGAACGGAGTTCAAATTGTGGGCCTACCTGTGTGATTCAGAGCAAGTTAACCTCACTGAGCATTGAACTTCTCTCCATAAAGTGAGACATAGCTATAGGGGTGTGGAGGGTTGCAGTAAAATTCTGGACACAAAAGTAATTGCTGATTGATAATATCTGTATTGTATCCCCTAAACTACTGATCATATTTCATTATTAATTTCATACTACCTGCAGTTTCAGAAAATGAGCTCATTAAATTTTTCTCACATTCCTTTCTTTGTTATATTGCCATGACACAAATTTACAGCTTCAGTCTTCTGCTTTATTGTTTCTATTGCCTATACTTGTCTGGAGTAAGATGTACACAGAGCCATATTTTTATAGTGAGTAAGCCTGATTTCAGTGCTTTATTATTTTTTGGCAGTGAATGATGTTGCAGCAAGTCTGAAACCAACTTGATTTTCTTCCTTCTAGGTAATTTATCTTGCCTGGCAGGTGCCTGAAGATTTTCTTCAAGTTCAATACTGTACATAGGGTAAACTTTGATATTAACTGAATTGGAATGTTCCTGGAACATGGTTCAATTTTATCTGCAGTTTCAGTGATATCTTAAAATTCAGATAATTCTCTTATATCTTTGAATATATCTTCTATTTTGTGGTTTTTCAATTCAGATACATCAATTCTTCTTATATTGGATTATGTTTATCTACCACATATATTGTCTCCTATTTAATTTTTTTATTTGCGATATTGTCAGTAATTTAATATTCACCAGTTTTTATTGTTTTAATTTTATATTAGCTCTATAATGTTGTATTTTATAAGAAATTCTTTTTAAAATCTCATTTTCTTGTTGCCTTACTGATTTGATATTTTTATTCCAATTTACTCTAGCAAGAAATGAGTGTGATTAATATGCTTCTATTGGCTTAAGTTAAATTTTTAGGGGCGGGTGTGTTGGCTCACACCTGTAATCCTAGCACCTTGGGAGGCCGAGGTAGGTGGATCACCTGAGGTCAGGAGTTCAAGACCAACCTGGCCAACATGATGAAACCCCATCTCTATTAAATATACAAAAATTAGCCAGGTGTGGTGGTGCGTGCCTGTAATCCCACCGACTTGGGAGGCTGAGGAAGGAGAATCGCTTGACCTGGGAGGTAGAGGTTGCAGTGAGCCGAGATCATGCCACTGCACTCCAGCCTGCATGACGGGAGTAAGACTCCACCTCAAAAAAAAAAAAAAAAGTGTTAGCTAGGTTAGGCTTTGTGTCTTCTGCATACTATAATCCCTTTTTTTTTTTATTTTCTTCTGCTCAGTGGTTTTTTTTTTTTTTGGTCAAAAAGTTATTTTATTGTATTATTTTATTTATTATTAATCAAACTTTTTATTTTGAGATAATTTAGATTCACATGTGGTTGTAAAAAGTAATACAGAGAAATTCTGTGTATCCTTTGTCAATTTCCCTCAATGATAACATCTTGTAAAACTGTAATACGACATTAAGACTAGCATATTGACATTGATACAAATCTTACTCAGATTTTCTCCATTTTACTTGGGCTTATGTGTGTGTCTATGTCTGTGCATGTGTGTGTTTGTATTTAGCACTATGCAATTTTTATTGCCTGTGTAGGCTGGCATATTTACCACCAAAGTCAAAATACAGAATGGCTTCACCACCATGAGGATACAGTAGGTTGTCCTTTGTAACCATAATTGACTATTTTGGACATTTTATATAAATGGAATAATGTAATATATGGTCCTTTGTGACTGGCCTCTTCCATTTAGCATAATGTTCCAGGGTTCATCTCTATTGTAGCACTTTCCACTGCTTCATTCCTTTTTATTGCTGAATAACATTTCACTTTATTGATATACCATATTTTGTTTATTTATTCATTAGTTAATGGACATTTGAGTTGTTTCCACTTTTTGGCTATTATGAGTAATACTAATGCGAACATTCATGTACAAGTTTTGGTGTGGTCCTATGTTTTCATTTCTTTTGGGTTGATACCTACGAGTAGTGCCGCTGGGTGATACGGTAACTCTATGTTTAACTCTTTGAGGAACTGACAGAGTGTGTTCTAAAGTGGCTGCACCACCTCACATCCTCACTCGCAGTGTATGAAGCTTCCAATTTCTCCACATTATCTGTTTGTTGTTCTTTTTTGAGACAGGGTCTCATTCTGTCACTCAGGCTGGAGTGCAGTGGTGCGATCTCGGCTCACTGTAACTTCTGCCTCCCAGGTTCAAATGATTTTCTTACCTCAGCCTCCTGAGCAGCTGGGACTACAGGTACACCCCCACACCTGGCTAATTTTTGTATTTTTAGTAGAGACGGGGTTTTAGCATGTTGGTCAGACTGGTCTTTAATTCCTGGCCTCAAGTGATCCTCCTGCCTGGGCCTCACAAAGTGTTGGGATTACAGGCATGAGCCGCTGTGCCCAGCCATCTGTTTTTCTGAATAGAGACATCCTAGTGTTTGTGAAGAGGTAGCTGGCATAGTTGTTGTTGTTGTTTTTAATGTAGAGTCTTTCTCTGCTATATCTCATGTAGTTTTGATTTGCATTTCCCTGGCTAATGATGTTGAGGACCTTTTCGTGTGTTCATTAGCCATTTTTATATCTTCTTTGTCCAAATGTGTGTTTGATTTTTTACTCATTTTAAACTGGGTTACTTCCTTATTATTGAGTTGTAAGAGTTCTTTATATTGTCTTTCCATAAGTCCCTTATCAGATATGTCATTTAAAAATAATGTCTCCAGTTCTGAAGATTGTCTTTTCACTTACTTGATGGTGACCTTTGAAGCATAAAAGTTTTAAATTTTAATGAAGTCCAATTTATCTATTTTTTCTTTTGTTGCCTGATCTCCTGCAGCTCTCACGCTCTGTGGAGTCTACCACTGCTTTCAGCAGCCTCCAAACTATGTCCAAACTATGCCACTGCCCCCATCAATGCTTGGGTTACTAACAAGCTCTACATTTTCCCCTTCCATCCCGAGGGAGGCACTGGGAGTTGGCTGGCTTCCTCCTGATTTTGTTGCACTGGGGAGGGGATGGGGCAAGGGCAAGTGAAAACACCACAAAATTTTCTACTGTTTAGAGTGTGACTTCTTCTTGGTTAGGAATTCTCTTGGTTGCTGCAGATCCTTAACTGGTTTCTATAATTCCCACAAAGCTACTTTGGTTCCTATATCATTGCATGCATAATGTTTCCATGGGCAAGAGCCTGTAGCTTCCTTCTTGGCCATCTTGCTAACCTCATGACCCTATTTTTGCAATGTTGAGGTCTCTCACAGCTATGTGTGTTGCTGGCCATTGCACTGGGCCATTCTGCTCCACCCGATGTGGCTGGAAGTGCAGCATCTGGGGAGGGGGGTGCTTGATTAGGCTGCAATAGCTCATTCCAACCAACAGGCAAGGAATGTGCCATTGTTGGTTAGAAGATCAGCGGGGCTGTTGACCAGAGCGCTTATAGGTGACCTCTCCATGTGGCTTGAGTCTGTCACAGCATGGTGGCTGGATTCTGGGAGCCAGAATTCCAGGAGCGAGCATTCTAAGAGGAAAAAATGAGGAGCTGTCATACAAAAAAAGGTAAATATAATTATTTTTAAGAGATAGAGTTGGGAGGTCCTAGGCCAGCCCTTACATGTCTGCAACTGGTATGTCTCACTGTGGACCACCCATGAAACCCCAAAGCCTCTCAGAATGTAGTATGAAAGCCACTGCCTGAGTTAAGACCTCTAGATTTAGATGTCATTCAGATTTCTCACACAAAGGTGGGAATGCAGTAAGGTCACACTAAAGCCACCTGTAGTTTAGTCCCTCTGTGCAGCACTTCTGAAACCATGGCTTCACTTCCTGTGGCCATGATAGCTGAGGATGACTTGGTATTTGTGAACACCCTCTTCTTCCACTCGCTCTGTGCCCCAGCCTTTCCCAGGAGTTCCCACGGGGCTCCCCGCTGCCCTGGGTCCTCTCCCACTTGTGAGTGGGCCCCACTGAGCCAGTGGAGTCACCTCTGCTGTTGTATCCTTTTCCTCTCATACTTTGTACCTCAGACCTTGTAGGAAGTGGGAACAAACATTTTCCATGTCCATTTTTCTCTATTGTGAAGGCCACAGGGTCGGGCTGGTTTGCACTCTTTTCTCTTTAAAAGCAGAGCTTTTGCTTGTTCATTGGTTTTTAAGGGCCTTGCTTTTCATCATGGCTCTGCTTCCTTAGACTTTGGCACAAAACCCGAAGGGGCTGAGCAGGAAACATACCTGACTCCTCCTTCCCCGGGATACCCTTGAGAGCCTTTTCCTTCCGCTCTCAACTGTTGACCTCACACCAAGCTTGTACTTCTTGTACCTCTATCCCTCCACCCTTTCCCTTCATAATTTCCTTCCCAATCTTCCTTCCCTATGAACAATGGCCTTTATTTGACCAGCAGCTCAAGGGGCTTAGACTTTCCAAATAGATCTCCGCACCAGCTGACCCTATGAGATGCTCCCGTGAAACCCCCTGGGCTTTAATGAGCAATGATCAGGGCAGCAGGTCCCTGCTGGTCCCTTGACCATGCTCAGGCAGATCTGAACTTCCTGGGCCTGAGCAGTGAGGCCCAGCTCTGGAACCCTGTTACACTGTGATGAGTGAAAGGAAGCTAGAGAGAGTCGTTGGCACTCCTGAGAACAGAAGCTAGGCAGCCAGATACCCATCTGATAATGGGTTGTATCCTGGCTTACTGGGAAGAGAAGTTTATTGTAGACTCTACTTGCTAGGTGTCCACTCAAATAAAGGCAAAAGAGATGTTTACAGCCCTTGCCTCTTGAAATGGAAGAGTCACCTAGTTATTCTGTCTCTAAAACCCTATTATCTCTTGTGTTCTTGAAAACCTTGGCTTCATTTCCTAATTCCAAATTCCTCACATTCATCTCAGATCCTCCTTACCTATACATGCCCCTTGGACCTCATTTTCTGGCAAACTACCCTGGGCTCACCAGCTTCGGCTCCAGTTTTCATAGCCATCTCTCCTTCATCACTGACTGTTTGGCACCTATCCCAGCCAGGGTGAGCTTCTACTGCTGCAGAATCAGAAAGGAAAGGGGACATTTTACAGCATGGAGACTATGATGATTAATATTGACTATCAACTTGATTGGATTGAAGGATGCAAATTATTGTTCCTGGGTGTGTCGGTGGAGGTGTTAGCAAAGGAGATTAACCTTTGAGTCAGTGGACTGGGAGAGGCAGACCCACCTGCAATCTGGGTAGGCACCATCTAGTCAGCTGCCAGTGTAGCTAGAATAAAACAGGCAGAAGAACATGGAAGGACTAGACTGGGTGAGTCTTCTGACCTTCATCTTTCTCCCGTGCTGGATGCTTCCTGCCCTCGAACATCGGACTTCAAGTTCTTTAGCCTTTGGGCTCTTGGGCTTACACCAGTGGTTTGCCAGGGGCTCTTGGGCCTTCAGCCATAGACTAAAGGCTGCACTGTAGGCTTCCTTACTTTTGAGGTTTTGGGACTCAGATTGGCTTCCTTGCACCTCACCTTGCCTATGGTCTATTGTGGGACTTCATTTTGTGATCACGTAAGTCAATACTGCTTAATAAACTCCCCTTCATATATACATCTATCCTATTAGTTCTGTCCCTTTAGAGAACCCTGACTAATACAGAGACCCTCATTGTGTGCCACAGGCATAAATTCCATTCTGTTGTTAATATTCCCTTTCTGGAAACAGTTTATTTACCACATACTGCTCATGGTAACTAACACAAGCACACCTATTCCAGATAAGCTTTTGTAGATTTAGGGGCGATCCCAGCCTAGAATGGGGCAGGGCAAGACAAAGTAGTCCTGTAATACCTGTCCAAAGTGTCTGGCCCTAAGATGGTGGGAAAATCATGCCACTATTGAATACATATGCTGTCACCTACCCATCTCCACCTGTAGCAGACATCACTCATCTGTCATAATATTTTTTCTGGTCGAGCACAAATTTAGCCTCAGCATCTTTCTCATCTTAGGACCACAGCAACAGCATGCAATGAAATTTGACATGTAAAAGAAATCTTATTTTCCATTTCTGAAATATAATGAAGATGAGTTTAATTAATCAGAGTGAAGAGGGTAAGGGAATGGCTGATTAGAACAGCCTGTGAAAGAGGAGGAAGGAGAGGAGGTAAAAAGAAAATGGGAAAGCCAAGCTGGGCTGAAAGGGGCGAAAGGTCCCCAGGAGATAATGATGGAAATGTCCCTGCTGGGGAAACAAGTATGGATTAAGAACCTCTACCTGGAATAATTGATATTTGGGAATATCAGTTTTTTGTGGATAGAGATGCTAGGATAGCAACCATAACCAGAAGTCAAAGCAATTTTGCCTGGGTTCCTAGCCAAGGAAAGATTCTATTTCTCTAGGGGTGAAGGGGGTTAGCAGAGAAGTTAAGTCTGACTCAAGAAGTGGGAGCAATGGAGGGTGAGGAGGGACCCCTGTCCAACTGGAGGTCAGAGCTTAGATAGATGTGCACAGGTACCTTAAAGGAGGGATGCCTGTAGGAGTGCAGAACAGATTTTAGGTGCTTACTGAAAAATGTGTCACTTTACTTGTGATTTCACTAGTTATTCATAAATTGGGCTACAGAATTTCTTCACACATTTTCAACAGTGTGCTCATGTACATCAATTGGATTGTAGGGGACAGAGTAAGGGTGGGTCTATGAATCTAGAGGTGCAGTTTTCAGAGTGAAGAAACCAGTCCTGTAAGTCCTTAGCTGATGGTCACACATTTCTCATAATGGAAAGTGAGGAGAAATCACATGGGAATGTAGCTGGAGGACTTGCCGTCTGGGGGCTCCCCCAGGAATGTTGAGTTTTGTCATGACAGAGTGTGAGATTTTGGCTCTTCCCACCAAAGGGGCCCCCTCCTATCACCTTCTCCTGTGACTGTTCTGAAACATAATGAAGCTGCTGGTGACTTGTGCTATTCCCACCCTATTCCAGTTTAAGCTCTGGTTTTGCAATATTTTGGCACACATGATACCGTGACTTAGGCTAAGAATAGTGTCTGTCTAACTGGGCTAAGCAGATTCCAGGGAGCTTTACAACTAGTTACTGCTGATATGTTAATAATGCTTTGAAAAGGAAGGTTGTGGCATGAAGGTTTATGTTAATTCCAGTTAATTAACCGAGTGATCTGGGAGGACTTCCTCCTTTTTTCTTTCACTGTTTCTTACATGAAAGAGGCATGGATCTGCCTTTGCCAGTCAAACGTATGACTGATTTGCTGAGTGTCATTGATTCAACCCCCATAACCTCTCGCTTCACTTCCTTCCTCTCTATTCTCTCTGCTGGACCCACATCAGGTTTTCATGACCTCTTACTTGGTTCCTTATAAATCCTCCAGGGGATCTCCACCTCTCTTCTCCTTTTAGGCTATTTTATAAACTTCCCTCAGGCCATTATTCTTAAACCATCATTTTTAAAAAGCTTTAGTTTATTTTTAATTGACACATAATAATTGTACATATTTATGGGGTATGGTGTGGTGTTGTAATACATGTATACATGTGTAATGACCAAATCAGGGTAATTGGCATATCTATCATCTCAAACACTCATCATTTCTTTGTGGTGAGAGCATTCAAAATTCGCTCTTCTAGATATTTTGAAATGTACATTATTGTTAACTATATCACCCTATTATGTAATAGCATACCTTAACGTATTCCTCCTAACTGTAACATGTACCCATTGACCAGCTTCTCCCCATCCTTCCCTCCCTACTTTCCCCAGCCTCTGGTAGCCACGATTCTACTATGTACTTTTATGAAAGCAACTTTTTTAGGTTTCACATGTGAGTGAAATTAGGCAGTGTATGTCCTTCTGTGCCTGGTTTCTTTGACTTAATGTCCTCTAGTTTCATCCATATTGTCGCAAATGATAGGATTTCATTCCTTTGAATCACTGAAGAACATTCCATTAGGTATCTGTACCACATTTTCTTTCTGCATTCATCCACTGGTGGACATTTAGGTTGATTCCATATCTCGGCTATTGTGAATCATGCTGCAATAAACATGGGAGTGCAGATGTCTCTTTGATATACTAATTTCATTTCTGTTGTAAACTATAATTTTGATTATTTTATTCCCTCTCTCAAAAGCCTTCATTGGCTCCTTGGGGAGTGTGGAATCAAGAGTTCAGACATCTTTGCCCAGAATTCTAAACTCTTCAGAGCTGGAACCGAATTCTCCTTCACAGACTCTTTTTAAGTGAAACTGAGCTATTTACTCTTCCTCATAAATAATACATATGTTCTTGTCTCCTCACCTTATGTTATTCCCTTCCTTGAACGAGGCTACCACCTTTAAGTGTTTAACTTACAAATTTTTTTTTCACTAAACCAGTGTTTCTCACCCTTGGTTACACAATAAATCACCTGAGCAATTAAAAAAAAATCCCAATGTCCAAGCGTTACACCAGCGCAATTCAATCAGAACCTTCAATCAGAGGTTGGACCTGGGCATTAGGATCTTTTAAATGATGTTAAATTATATAGATAACATAAAGTTTGCCAATTTAACCATTTTTAGAGTACAGTGGCATGAAATACATTCACATGTTGTGCAAACATCGTTACCATCTATATCTAGAACTTTTAATCATCCCAAACATAAACTTTCTACCCATTAAACAACACCTCCCCAACTCCCCCTCTTCGCCCCAACCCCTGGTAACCACTGTTTTACATTCTGTCTCTATTTGAGAATTCGACTATCCTAGGTACCTCATAACAGTGGAATTCTATCATATTTGTCCTTTCGTGACTTATTTCTCTTACTGCGATGTTTTCAAGGTTCACCCATGTTACAACATGTATCAGAATTCCCTTCCTTCTTGAGGCTCAATATTATCCCATTGTATGTTTAGACCACATTTGCTTATCTATTAATTTGTTCATGAACACTTGCTTTTTCCCCCACCCGTTAGCTATTGTGAATAACGTTGCTATAAAGATGGGTTTACAAATAACTGTTTGAGTCCCTGTTTTCAATTCTTTTGTGTATATACGCCAAAAGTGGAATTGGCAGATCATATGGTAATTCTATGTTTAATTTTCTAAGGAACCTGCGTCAGTATCTTCTGAGGTTCCCAGGTGGCTCCAAGATGCAGCCAGGTTGACTTCCACTGCTTTAGAGCCTCTCCCAGTTTCTCCAGCTAAATGTAACCTCTCCCTCTTACAATCTCAGCTAACAGTTTAATGAGCTTTTCTATGGAACTTATTTATTTATTTATTTTTCATTTTTTTGAGATAGTCTCATTCTGTCGCCAGGCTGGAGTGCAGTGGCATGATCTCAGCTCACTGCAACCTCCGCCTCCTGGGTTCAAGTGATTCTCCTGCCTCAGCCTCCCCAGTAGCTGGGATTACAGGTGTGTGCCACCACGGCCAGCTAATTTTTGTATTTTTAATTGAGAGGGGGATTCACCATGTTGGCCAGGATAGTCTCGATCCCTTGACCTCGTGATCCGCCTGCCTTGGCCGGCACCTATTTATTTCTGTTATATTATTTATATTGTTATACATATTATTTGTGTTAGATGTTAAGTGTAGGATGACAAGCACAACAAAAAAAAGCTGTGCTCTTATGAAACTTGCAATTTAGTGGAGGAGACAGATATTAATTATGTAATATAAGTGTATAATTACAAATTGAATTATCTGCTGTGAAAGAAACACGTTTCTTTTGAAGGCAAATTCACAAAAAACCCTGACCTAGACTGGAGGTGGGGGGTCAGGGGGTTCTTTCTTAAAAAAGTAGTGCTTGAGTTTTTTTCTAAAGTTTAAAAAGGAGTTACCTAAGCATGAAGTGAGAAGGAAGATCATTCCAGGGAGAATAAACACAGATTCAAAGGATGGAAAAAAAAAAAAAGAAAGGTCAGTTTTGCTGGGATATGGCAAATGCTGCAAGATGAAATTGGCCATTTTTAGGGGACAGATCATGTAAGATCTTGCAGCTATTTTAAGGATTTTGGTCTTTATGCTAAAAGCAATGGGGGAACCATTGAAGGGATTTAAACAGTGACATGACAAACTCAGATTGGCATTTGGAAAAGATCACTCTGCTGCTGTGTGGGGTAGGGATTGGATGGGTGTGGAATGGTTGTGGGGAAACCAGGCTTTTGCAGTCGTCAGGTTGATAGAGGCTGGTTCCTCAGAGTAGGAAGGTTGCAGTGGTGATGGACAAGGGTCAGAGTTGAGAAATACTTAAGGTGGGTGATCCTTGTTGATAGTTTGAATATGAGCAACTAGGTAAGGTCACTGTCAAGGATGATGTCACCTTTTCTGACTTGCCCAAAGCTTTCAGATTGTAACTATGTTTGAGTAAACTTTGCATGCTTCCAGAATATCTTGCACAAAGCTTATGTTCACCGAATAATAATTTTTGAAGGAATGAATGAGTCAATAAACCAAATATTACGTTATATTGAACACACCCATATGAAGCATGCTGAATATTAATGCAATGCTGTAGATTATTATTTTTTGCAGATGGACATTTGCACAGTTGGCTCAACTGAATTAAATTCAATAGGTTTTCTGCTTCTGTTATAGCCAGACCTATGCTAGACACTGAGAATACAGACATAAATAATTTATTTTCTGCCTATGACTAGCTACAAAAACAGTAGAGAAAAAGACTTGCGAATAAAAATTATAACAAAATGTAATTGTAAAAATAAGTACACACTTTAATTGCAGAGGAAGTACAGAGGAGGGAGTGATTAATTTTTTTTTCCAGGGGAGCTAGGAAAGTTCCCAAGGCAGAAATATAAGTGCAACATATTTCAAGCTGAGTTTTAAAAAACGTACTTGGATGATTTAGGGAATGGTGAGCTTATTGTGGTTACGGTATGGGATGCAGGCAGGCAGTATCACTAAGGTGGGGAAACAGACGGGGAAGAGGAAGGAAGAGAGAGATTTGGCTGGAGGACCGAGCATCACGGCAGCATAGGAATTGGGAAGAGTGAGGAGGCCAAAGTATATTTCATGGTACATTGGTCCTAAAATATTTTTGTAAGTCAAAGGATTTCATGGTCAAATAACTTTGGTAAACACTGATAATTATATCTCCCTCTTGGAGATGTGTATGCACATTGGCATATTAGAGGCTTACAGAATAGAAATTAGTTTAACTTTGTCCAACACAGTATTTCTCAAACACATTGGACTGATAATAACCCCCTTTCTCTCATATAACATAGCACACATATTGACATCCTGCAGGAGAGAACGGTTTGGAAAATGTTACATTGGGCTTTGGATCAGAGATGGTTTACGTGGTTTTGCTGTCAACTATGGTCAAGGTGTAGTGTGGGCTTCTGCTAGTACTAATTTTTCACTACTAATTTGCTATGAATTTTGCTACTAATGGGCATATATGGTGTGACAATAAATTTTCACAGCATAAATGCTCATTGAGCAAGAAACAATATACAAAAGGATTTAGTTATCTGCAAGCAGGAGGCAGAAGAAGAGAGCCACAGATCAAATGTTTCCTTAAACACACAAACATGTCCCTCAGGAATAGAAAAGGTGGTGTGGTTAGGCTTCTAAACACTTCTGACCCTGTAAATAGAGGATTGCTTTATAACACTGTGAGAGATGACTAAACTTTAATAATGACTATGTTGTCATTATTGCTAACTCATTGAATGTTATTTTGAATTTTTCATCCTTTTGAGAATACTGCCATAAATCCTAATATTATAGAGGGCGTCATAGATAGAAAGAGTTGAGACCCATTGTTGCTTTGCCTGAGAGGCACCGAAATATCAATGTCAATTCTCAGAGTGGGCAGCCATTGGATGGAAGTGAGGTTCCAGTAAGATGAGCACAGCTCAGTGGCTGGGGAGGTGGCTTGTGACTCTAGTGAAAACCATTAGTTTTGTATGTCCAGCATCCATTTATCCTTCCGGTAAAACACCATAATTTTCCTTTTAGGAATAATTTCCTGAAAATTCTGATGGTTACTTGAGTGTGTAAGAGTCATTTTATTCCCATGTGATGAAATAGGGCATCCCTTTCTTCCTCTAGCTTCTGTATTGCTCATGTGTTTATAAATTCTGCTACTACCCAGTGATTCATGGGTTTCGCCTCTGAAGATTTTTTCCTAGAGAGCAAAGTCTTTTTACTTGTTATTTTCTGCAGATCCTAGACAGTATACAGTCTAGTATACATCACGTTGTGGGACCAAAAAATGAATGAAAGATGACTAGGTCTAGCATAAAACATCTCTTCAATCAGAATTATGAAATGACTTCACTCCAGTGGAAGCAATTATAAATGCGTACACCAGAATCCACCCCTCTCTTATTTTATTTGAATATTGACTACCTAAGTTTTTTCTTTCTGGCTTCTTCAGACAATTCAGAACTCACCTGTAAGTTCAGATCAGAAGACACCTTGACAGCCTCACTATTCTTCCTAGAAAAAATAATATTACCTTTATATTTCACTCAGAAAAAAAACTTGTTTTTGCTTTTTCTGGGGTTAAAGTTCTCAGTTGGCAACCCTTAGCGTGCTTTCAAATATTTTAAAATTTGACCTGCCTTTTGATGCTCCTGCAGCTTTTCCAGGATTTCTTTCTGTCACTGGATTTCTTTAAAACAAAATGAAATATATATATATATTTGGAAGGAGTCTCACTCTGTCCGTGAGGCTGGAGTGCAGTGGCGTAATCTCAGCTCACTGTAACTTCCGCCTCCCAGGTCCAAGCTATTCTCCTGCCTTAGCCTTCCAAGTAGCTGGGATTACAGGCACGTGCTGCCACGCCTGGCTAATTTTTTTTTTTTTTTAATAGGGGTTTCACCATTTTGGCCAGGCTAGGCTGGTCTTGAACATCCTGACCTCAAGGAATCCAGCCCCCTTGGCCTCCCAAAGTGCTGGGATTACAGGTGTGAGCCACTGCACCCGGCCAGCATAAATCTTTATTTTCTATTTGTCTGTCTCTTCTCAGTTACCAGCTTGGAATATGGCTTAGAGCTCATATAAGATGATAAGTTCTACCTAAGGAAGTTTGGTCCCAAAATATTCGTCTTTCTCTTACAATTGCAGCATGATCCAAACTCACTTTATATTTAAGTTTTCTCTCCTGGTGAAACAAGTTTATTCAAAATCATATGTACTTTGAGACAAATTTCATATTGTTTTGCATAACTTCAGATACTACTGGGATTAATACAGCGGTAGGACTAGAACTCTACTATTCCATTAGGAATGGCCTCCTTCTCCCAAAAGGAAATGCAAAGGAAATGTAAATAAATCTCAATCCAATAGAACAGTTTGATTTTCACCTTCAGGAGTGGTAGAAATTGTAGTGGGGGGACGTTAGAGAAGCACAACTAGAGTCAAGAACACTCTGGGTTTTGGGAAAGGAAGGCTGACCCTGTTTACAGATGCTTGGAAATCTTGGAAGGTTTTAATGCCAGAGTAAACAGAAACTAGACACAGTTGTCATCTTGAATTTTTTAAAGGTCTCAGAGAATTCTCCCCTTCATGCATTTGTATTAGGGCACAAAGAATAATTTGATTCCAACTTGGCTATTTATGCAGGGAAATAAGGATGTCTAATACTTACATAGAAGCTTCCCAAACTAAGATTAAAATGATGTACTTTGTATGAGAAAGCAAGTCACTGGTGACCCAAAGGAAATCTATAAATATGAATAGCAGGTGCAGTAACAATCTCATTGATTGGAAATTAATAAGGAACAAGGAAAACTTAATACTGGTAAAATGTGTGGATAATATCCATTTATTCATTTATCTTAAAAAAATTATAAATTCCTATTTTGTGCCAAGCATTGTTCTAAGTGCTAGAGATTGAGTGGTGAAGAGACAGTTCCTGCCCTTGCATAGTTCACATTCCAGTGGTGGATATATAAACTCAATAAACCAATGTACTCTTATTGTCAACAATTCTTATTTTATTAATAAAACAAACAGAGAAACAGGATAGAGCTTGACTGGTGGAGGCAGGAGACAGATGTGAACATGGCATGGACTATCTAAGACAGCAGGAAAGTCCTCTCTGTGGAGATCCCATCTGAACCAAAGCCTGAATGATGAGAAGTAACCAGGCCTGTGGTGGGTGTCAGTAGAACATTCCAGGCACAGGAACAGCAAGACCAAAGGCTTTGAGGTGGAGACTAGAATGAAGGCAAATGTGGCTAAAGCAGAAGGAAAGAGCAAAAAAGATAATGGAAAATTATTCATTTAAATAATTCATTTAAGCACCAAATGCATATTTTTTCTCTTTTGGTCGACTGTATTGAAGTGCAATTCATGTAAAATAAACTGTACCTAATTTAAAAGTAAGGTTCAATGAATTCTGACACATGTGTTCACTTTAACTTACTCTAAGACCTTATACATTTTCTCTGGCTTTAAAAATTTTATAGTTTTAGATTTTACATTTGGGTCTATGATCTATTCTGAGTTAATTGTGTTTAGTTTAAGATAAAGGTTAATATTCATTTTTTCCCCATAAGAATCTAGTTGTCTCAGCATCAGTTGTTGAAAATCCTTTCTCTATTCGATTATCTTGGTGTCTTTGTCAAAAGTCAGTTGACTCTGTACATGTGTCTCTGTTTCTGTTGCGTACTATTGATCTGTAAGTCTATCCTTTCACTAATGCCATATCTTCTTGATTATGTAGCTTTACAGTAAGTTTTGAAATCCAGGAGTGTAAAATCAGTTTTATACTTTTTTAAATATATAAAATGATTTGGCTATTTGAGATTCTTTGATTTAGGGTATGAATTTTAGAATCAGCTTGTTAATTCCTACACAAAACCATCCTTCTGGGATTTTGATGAGGATTGCATTAGGGCTATAAATCAATTTGTGGAGAGCTTATATCTTAGTGATTTTGATTCATGAACATTATATATCTCTTAATTTTATTTGGGTCTTCTCTCATCAGCATTTTATAGTGTTTGGCTTATATGTCTCATACGTATTTTGTTAAATGTATTCCTAAATATTTTGTATTTTTATGCTTTCATAAATGACTTTTCCTACAAGTTTATTTTTCAAATTTTTATTGGTCATATACAGCAATACACTTGATTTTGTATATTGACCTAGCATTTTGCAATCTTGCTAAATTTACTTATTACTTATGTGGTTTGGTTTGTTTGAAATGAATTACAAAGTGTATTGGTTGAAACATATCGGTTTATATGTTTGTAATTGAGGTCTAAGGCAAAAAGGAGGCTGTGATGTTCAGGATGAGGGCACCTGAGCACATCTGGAGGCACCAGGCAGACTAAGCAGGGGCTGGGAGCAGATGAAGTCAATAAGCTATCTGGGAAAGTCCTCATTCTGAAAAGCCAGCAGATGGGCCAAGTTTAGTTCAAGAATATGCATTTTTGAAATGCAGATACCAATAAGAGGCAAGATCCTTATCTGCAGTCAAGGTTCTTTTTAATTTTTACTTAAATAATTTTTATATTTGCATAAGAATGCCAGGTCATAGTAAAAGGTTCTAAAAGAGCTATTTTACTAAAACCTTTTAAGGTAGATTATCCTTCGTAAGCCACTTGGGATAAAAGGTGACAGTGAACTAAAAAGACAAACGGGAATTTCATTTTTTCTATACGTGTGTGTGTGTGTGTGTGACAGACACACACACATACACACAGAACTTAACAAAAATTAAATGAAATTTAATGAAAATGTAAGACATGGCAGGACTAAAAACTCATCAAGTAGCTGTTAAAAATCCCATCCCCCGCTCTCCCTTTCCCTCCCACACTCTGCAAGCCTCCCTCCCTCACATCCCACAAGTACTTAAAGTCTATTATACTAAAACAATACAAAGAGCTGGATTTTTTGGTTTGTGTTTTGAATAATTAAGTATCATGGTTGAAAAACCATAAGGCAGAGCCAGCAGTGACCATGAGAATAAAACATTTTTTTGCTAGATTTTGAATCTCTGCAGGCTATGGAAAAGGGTCAAACTGACCTCATCTATCACTTATGGGCCAAGCTAGTCCAACTAACATCTGGAATCCACATGTGGCAACACAGGCTGCCTCTTCTTATCTCACTTCCTATCTTTATAGCAGTGTTGGGAATGTGCATATTTGCACTTTTGGAGAGGGTTCATCGGTGTAAGATTTAAGGCACTTCCACAAACATACAACCTTAGATTTGCTGGTTCGTTTTCCATGTGCTTGGGAAAGAGCTGCTCAGAGAGGACTGTGTAGGGAACCTCCTTGCTCCCTCTTCATGTCCAAGACTATGCCTGGATTTTTTTGTTCGTTCATTAATTTCTTCACTCATTAATTCAACAATTACTTATTGAGAGCCTAGTATGTGCCAAGCATTGTTCTGGATACTGGGGATCGGCAGCAAATAAAATAGACAAAAATATCTATCTTCATGGAATTTATATGCTAAGTCATTTGTTCAACCATGTGTTGCACTAGGACTTGGGTCTGATTTGACAGTTTCATTGGGGGAGGAGAAAATAATCACATTAGCATACAGCATGATAAGTGCTCATACAAAGGTAAGCACATGGTACCATGCAGTGAGTGAACCTATCCTGGGGAACCAGGGAGAGCTCCCAGTGGCGATGTGAGACTTGAGTAGGAATTACTTAGATGTCATAGTCCATTTAGCATTGATATAACAGAATGCCTGAGGCTGGTAATTTATAAAGAAGATAGGTTTATTTAGCTCATGTTTCTGCAGGCTGGGAAGTTCAAGATTGGGCAGCTGCATCTGGTCTTCCATGCTGCCATGCTGCTTCCACTTATAGCAGAAAATGGAGGCAGAGTGGGTTGTGCAAGAAATCACATGGTGAGAGAAGAAGAGAGAGCAAAATGAAGGAAGCCAGAACACTTTTTTTTTTTCTCAGAGACAAGGTCTTGCTCTGAACTCAGGCTAGAGTATGGTGGCACAATAATACCTCTTACTGCAGCCTCCAACTCCTGAGCTCAAGGGAGCCTCCTGCCTCAGCCTCCACAGTAGCTAGGACTACAGGTGCACTGTCACTGTTCCTGGAAAATACATACATATATATAGTGTGTGTGTAGATTGGGGTCTTGCTTTGTTGCCTATGCTGGTCTCAGACTCCTGGTCTCAGGCAATCATCCCACCTCAGCCTCCCAAAGTGCTGGGATTACAGGCCTGACTCTTTTTAACAACTGGCTCTCATAGGAACTAATTTATTCCTGTGAGAGTGAGAACTCACTTACTGCTGAGGTATCACGAGGAATCTGCCACAAGAACCCAAACATCTCCTACTAGGCCCTGCCTCCTAAAACCACCACACTGGGTATCAAGTTTCAACATGAGTTTTTCTGGGGACAAACCATATTCAAACCACAGCACTAGGTGAGAAACTGGGGCAGGCATTCCTGGCAGAGGAACAGTAGTATATGTAGTGGCCTGGGGGAGCTACCCTCCAGTGTGGGATGGAAGGGGAGGAGTGGAGGCAGATGAGGCTGGAACTGTAAGCAAAGTTTCATTATTGAAGGCTGATATGGTTTGGTTGTGTCCCCATTCAAATCTCAACTTGAATTGTATCTCCTAGAATTCCCACATGTTGTGGGAGGGACCCAGGGGGAGGTAATGGAATCATGGGGGCTGGTCTTTCCTGTGCTAGTCTCATGATAGTGAATAAGTCTCACGAGATCTGATGGGTTTATCAGGAGTTTCTGCTTTTGCTTCTTCCTCATTTTCTCTTGCTGCCTTAATGTAAGAAGTGCCTTTTGCTTCCCACCATGATGCTGAGATGTCCCCAGCTGTGTGGAACTGTAAGTCCACTTGAACCTCTTTTTCTTCCCTGTCTCAGATATGTCTTTATTAGCAACATGAAAACAGACTAATACAGTAAATTGGTACCAGGAGTGGGGTGTGGATGAAAAGATAACCGAAAATGTGGAAGCAACTTTGGAACTGGGTAACAGGCAGAGGCTGGAACAGTTTCGAGAACTCAGAAGAAGACAGGAAAATGTGGGAAAGTTTGGAACTTCCTAGAGTCTTGTTGAATGGCTTTGCCCAAAATGCTGATAGCAATTTGGACAATAAAATCCAGGTTGAGGTGATCTCAGATGGAGATGAAGAACCTGTTGGAAACTGGGGCAAAGGCGACTCTTGTTATGTTTTAGGAAAGAGATTGGTGGCATTTTGTCTCTGTCCTAGAGATTTGTGGAACTTTGAACTTGAGAGAGATGATTTAGGGTATATGGTGGAAGAAATTTCTAAGCAGAAAAGCATTCAAAAGGTGACTTGGGAACTGTTAAAAGCATTCCATTTTAAAAGGGAAACAGAGAATAACAATTCAGAAAATTTGCCGCCTGATAATGGAGTAGAGAAGAAACACCCATTTTTTTGAGGAGCAATTCAAGCTAGCTGTAGAAATTTGCGTAAGTAGCAAGGAGCCTATTGTTAATCCTCAAGACCATGGGGAAAATGTCTCCCAGCCATGTCAGAGACCTTCATGGCAGCCACCCCCATCACAGGCCTGGAAGCCCAGGAGGAAAAAGTGGTTTCATGGGCTAGGCCCAGGGTCCCTGTGCTGTGTGCAGCTTAGGGATTTGGTGACCTGTGTCCCAGCTGCTCCAGCCATGGCTGAAAGGGGCCAACGTACAGCTCGGGCTGTGGCTTCAGAGGGTGGAAGCCCCAAGCCTTGGTAGCTTCCACATGGTGTTGAGCCTGTGGGTACACAGAAGTCAAGAATTGAGGTTTGGGAACCTCTGCCTAGATTTCAGAAGATGTATGGAAATGCCTGGATGCCCAGGAAAAAGTTTGCTGCAGGGGTGGGGCCCTCATGGACAGCCTCTGCTAGGGCAGTGTGGAAGGGAAATGTGGGGTTAGAGACCTCACACAGTGTCCCTACTGGGGCCTTGCTAGTGGAACTGTGAGAAGAGGGCCACCATCCTCCAGACCCTAGAATGGTGGATCCACTGACAGCTTTCACTGTGTGCCTGGAAAAGCCACAGATACTCAATGCCAGCCTGTGAAAGCAGCCAGGAGAGAGGCTGTACCTGCAAAGCCACAGGGATGGAGCTGCCCAAGACCATGGGAACCCACCTCTTGCATCAGCATGACCTGGATGTGAGAACTTGGAGTCAAAGGAGGTCATTTTGGAGCTTTAAGATGTGATTGCCCTGCTGGATTTCAGACTTGCATGAGCCCTCTAACACCTTTATTTTGCCCAATTTCTCCCATTTGGAATGCCTATATTTACACAGTGCCTGTACCCCCGTTGTTTCTAGGAAGTAACTAACTTGCTTTTGATTTTACATGTTCATAGGTGGAAGGGATTTGCCTTATCTCAGATGAGACTTTGGACTGTGGACTTTTGAGTTAATGCTGAAATGAGCTAAGACTTTGGGGGACTGTTGTGAAGGCGTGGTTGGTTTTGAAATGTGAGGACATGAGATTTGGAGGGGTCAGGAGTGGAATGATATGGTTTGGCTGTGTCTCCATTCAAATCTCAACTTGAATTGTATCTCCCAAAATTCCCACGTGTTGTGGGAGGGACCCAGGGGGAGGGTAATTGAATCATGGGGGCTGGTCTTTCCTGTGCTGTTCTCAAGATAGTGAATAAGTCTCACAAGATCTGATGGGTTTATCAGGGGTTTCTGCTTTTCCTTCTTCCTCATTTTCTCTTGCTGCCACCATGTGTAAGTGCCTTTCACCTCCTGCCATGATTCTGAGGCCTCCCCAGCCATGTGGAACTGTAAGTCCAAGTAAACTTCTTTTTCTTCTCAGTCTCAGGTATGTCTTTATCAGTAGCGTGAAAATGGACTAATACAAAGGCCTCGTGTGTGATGATGTAACAGCTTCCTATTGCTGCTGTAACAACTTGGCTGAACACAAATTTATCATCTTATAGTTCTGAAGGTCAAAAATCCAAAACAGCTATCACTAGGCTAAAATCAGTGTCAACAAGGCTGCATTCCTTTCTTCAACATCTAGGGGAGACTCCATTTCCTTGCTTTTTCCATCTTCTAGAGGCCACCTACATTCTGGGCTTGTCACCCCTTCCTCCATCTGCAAAGCAGCACCATAATGTCTTTAAATTTCCCTCTGACTTGTGCTTCTGTTTTCTACCTTTAAGAAAAGTAGAAATGTGATTAAATTGAGTCCACCTGGATAATCCTGAATCACATCCTCATCTCAAGGTCAGCTGATTAGCAATTTTAATTTCATCTGCAATCTTCATTCTCTCTTTACATCCAAGATTATATATAGTCACAGGTTCTGGGGATTAGGATGTGGACATCTTTGGGGGGCAATTATTCTGCCTATTACAGAAGGGCAGCTAATACTGAATGTAAGCAGAGGAGCAATATGATCAGATTTGCATTTAGAGTAATTGCTGTTATGGTTGTGTGGAGATTGGGCTGGTGGTGGGTTGGGTAGGCTAGGGCAGAATGGAGCTGGGGGTATCTTACAGAGATTTTAAGTGAAAAGCCCAGTTAAGAGACTGTTTCAGCAATTAAGTGAAAAATGACATGTGTCTGTATGCATATACTTTAGGTAACTTAACCCTAGGGTTCTTAGAAAAGTTTAATCTAATTAAGTTTGAGACATACCTCATAGTGTGGAGAAAAAGAAATTGTTTTTAAATCCTAAAGTCATGATTAACTTTGGAACAAAGGTTAACTCTTCATATACAGTTTCCTTACTTTTCCCAAGAAGAAATGTTTTCTTAGTTTGTAAAATAAGGATGTTGGACTAGATTGCCTCTAAAGTTTTCTCCTTACTAACATCTCTGACTCTATGAACAGAAGAGGAGAATTGTTTCCATCTTACCTAGATTGTGGCTTGGAGATAAATTCACAAATAATGAAAAAGACCTTTGCAAACATAAAAACAGAGCTACTGCTAAAGCCAAGTGCTTTCATTTACTGAACTACAAAAGACTAAAGAAAAATGGATGGATATGTGAAATACAAACAATTCTGTGAATCCCAAGAGCTGGAGACTCCATGAAATTCTCAGAGTGTTTTCACAGGAAATATAGCAGGCTTTAGCTTCACTTCTTTTTACCCTCGTGGATGGGAAGAATGGACTGAGAGGTGGATTCTTACCATGTCTATCAGGACTTTTGGTGGCATGCAGCAGAAACTGACTGATATGGTTTGGCTCTGTGTCCCCACCCAAATCTCATCTTGTAGCTCCCATAATTCCCATGTGTTGTGGGAGGGACCCGGTGGGAGATGATTGAATCATGGGGCCAGGTCTTTCCCGTGCTGTTCTCATGATAGCGAATGAGTCTCATGAGGTCTGATAGTTTTAGAAAGGGGAATTTTCCTGCACAAGCCCTCTCTGCCTGCTGCCATCCACATAAGATGTGACTTGATCCTCCATGCCTTCTACCATGATTGTGAGGCTGCCCCAGCCATGTGGAACTGAAAGTCCAATTAAACCTCTTTCTTTTGTAAATTGACCAGTTTGGGGTATGTCTTTATCAGCAGCGTGAAAACAGACTAATACACTGACTCTGCCTTGGGAGGGTCTTGAGGCTGCTGATGGTCTGGGAGGCTGTGTGGACAGGGAGGACTGTCTGGAAGCAAAGAAGCACAGAGCCTCAGAGCTAACTGCATGGACAAGGGGTGCTGCGGAAACATCCAGGACATTGTTTAGCCCCAGCATCTGCAGAGAATCTGGGATCACGTTGTTTCCTCCATTTTTGTGTAACCAGCTGGAGAGTCAAAGCCCCCAGAGCAAACATCTGATTGGTACATGTCCACCTCATTAGCTAGAGAGGAAGCATCCATCCACCTCAGCTTTGCCTCCTATCTGGCTCACTATTCACAATACGAAATCTCCTACAAGGGAGAACAGATTTGAAAAAGTGTGTGGATGTGGGAGTGGGATGGTTGGTTGCCAGATGGCCAGAAAATAACAAACGTCTTCCTATTTTTGTTTTTCTCCCTGGTCCTTTGGCCTCCTCTTGGCTATCTTTTCATTTGTTAACTTACTATAAGGGAGATATGTCACATCCATCTAGACTGGTGATTAAAGTAGGATCTTAATTACCAGGATGAGTCAGGGAATGAGATTTAAAGAGTCACTTTGATTCTTTTGAGATTGCCATTCTGATATCACATCACACTGTAAATGGTAACCCCCACCCCAAGGCAGATTAGGTGGAATTTTTCCAGCCAATTTCTAACTGGTCTTTGTGTTGCAGACATAGCTTATGACTGCTTCTCAGCCAAGGTTGTGCAGGCAGATGGACAGGGGGTGGCTAATAGCCCATAGAGATGATTGCTTTGGGAGATGGATGCATTTGTGACAGTGATGTTTGACCACACAGCCCATGACGCTTAGCTGGTTCAGTACTGTCCTTGCTATGTAGTAATTCTCCTAGTCAGTGCTCAATGGCAGAGATTAGCTAAATTGACTGCTTTGTTCTCTGGAAGGGTCTGTTTACTGTTAATAGGACCAGAGATAGAAAAGGATATTAATTAGTGCTAAATTCCCCCATCATATTGATCCAGAGTGAGAAAACAGATGAAATCCAGCCACTTGGGAAGAAAATGTCTGGATTTTAAGGGGTCACCCTGTGTGTGTCTCTCTGTTTGGCAGAGAGACTGGAACAAGCACAGGCTTGCCAGGAGGAGAGGAGCCAGGGGGCCAGAGTGGAGAGCTCCAGTTCTATGGTTGTCCCTAAGATGCTGGTTGCACAGAAGCAGATAGAACAACCACTTTTTCCGAATTATTGTAATGTGTGTTTGTTTGTGTGTTTGTTTTGACCGAGCAATGGCTTCGGATGAATTGTTGTAATGCTGCAGAAATACCCAAAGCCAAGGATTTGGGGGTAAAAAGCAGCAGCAGCATTTAGTAAGTGGAATTTATACAATAACTCTCTCATCATTGTCTTATGATAGATGAAGATTCCTTGAAGCCTGAAGTGGGGAGGCAGAATATCTGAAATGAAAAGCAACTTCCTCTGTTTCCCATTGGACATCTTATTGTGCCAAGAAAGACAAAGGATGAGCATTCACAAAATGGTCACTCATGAAGCGTGGTGTTGCCAGCAAGCCAAATATGAGACATGTCTGTGCCTTTTTAGCCATTTATGGGTAGCAGCTGTTCAGGAGAGAAGGGTTGGAGGCTGTGTTCACTTTTGGCCACATTGCCTTCAGATCCATTCTGAAACCTTTCCCTGCTCTGCTATGGGTGGCAAATTGGGGGTGAGGAGGGAGCCTGCATTTCCAGGTGCCATTGTTTGCTGTCTTCTGATGGGCTTGGGACCATGGGAGACACTGGCAGAGACTGGAGGCCAGGAGGGCGGCAGGAGCTAGTGTTTCTCTCTGTCTCTCCAGGCTTTGGGCCTCATACTTTGCTACTGCTGTGACTCTTCTGTGGTGGCTCAAGTGTCCCTCTGCCCCCAACATTCCTGCCAGGGTTCTAGCTTCCACCAGGTGCCCAGTCTCTGGGCTCTGGTAATTCCATCTCTCCCCTTTTTCTTTCTAACCTGAAGACAGTAGTGCCTTCTCCAGTGTGGATAATCACCGAAGCACCTCGCTATCCCATCTAGCTTCTCAGCAAATTCCATCACCTGGGTAACCAAGTCCCTGCATTAAACTCTACTTTTAAAAATACTGAGATGATATTCCAAATTAGACCATGACTAATACAGGCAGAGAGGTGTCTTTCTAACAAGAAACATTCCAGAAACTATACAGGACCCAACCTGTCCACCCCCGACCATGGTTTGAAACAACAATCAGCTTCCTCCTTTATCGCTCCTGGGCTCCTCTGCTACAGACACTTGCATCTTTCTGTAGCCTGACACATCTTCAATTTCAGGTTTCTCATTCCATCTGAATTCTGAGCATCTCTCTGCCATCCTCGTGCCTGTCCTCAGAAGCAGCACTGTGTTGAGTAACAGCACTGGCTTTGGCATTGGGCAGACTTGTTTCAAATCTCAGTTAATATCTCCAAGCTCCAATGGCACTGTCCAATAAAGCACAATGAAAGCATCATGTGAGGTTTTACATTTTCTAGTACCATATTTAAACACATAAAAAGAAACAGGTGACATTAATTTTAATAATATATTTAACAAAGTAATTTCAAAAATCATGCAATCAATACAGAAATACTGAGATATTTTACATTCTTTTGTCTAATACTAAATCTTTGAAATATAGTATGTATTTTATACTTATAAAATATATTTTTTCTTTTTTTGAAATGGAGTCTTGCTCTGTCGCCCATGCTGGAGTGCAGTGGCGTGACCTTGGCTCACTGCAACCTCCACCTCCCGGGTTCAAGCAATTCTCCTGCCTCAGCCTCCCAAGTAGCTGGGACTACAGGCACACACCACCACGCTTGGCTAGTTGTTTTGTATTTTTAGTAGAGACCGGGTTTCGTCATGCTGGCCGGGCTGCTCTTGAACTCCTAACCTCAGGTGATCTGCTCACCTCAGCCTCCCAAAGTGCTGGGATTACAGGCATGAGCCACTGTGCCTGGCCCACTTATAGAACATTTTAATTCAGATTTGCCACATTTTAAGTACTCAGTGTTCATATGTGGCTAATGGCTACCTTACTGAACAGTGCAGATCTATAAGAAGAGATAATAAAATTGCTGTAGCCATTTTTCCTTTTTGTTTGTTAAAGGTTAGAGATAATATGTACAATGCTTGGCATACAGTAGGAGTTTAATACAGGTGAACTGTGATTATTATTAGCTATGAGTGCTCAATTTCCTTTCTGTTTCCTTTACCAGCACTTTGAAATTTTCATTGCTCTTCTCTCTCTTCATGGCTTTTACCATGATCTTCCATTTTCAATGGATAATCTTATTTTCCCCTTCAAAGAGAACAGTGGTCAGCTGAATATTTCACTTCACTGACTAGTGATCCATCTGTAATAGAAGCTTTATTAACTGATAGAATAATTTTCACAAATTGAAAAAGTTGGTTAAAATAAACAATCATTAAAAATAATTCATAGTGCATTAAATGTATTATCTTAAAACATAAAGAATGTGATTCCTGGGCAAGATGGCTGAGTAGGAATAGGTCTGGTCTACAGCTCCCAGTGAGACCAACGCAGAAGGTGGGTGATTTCTGCATTTCCAACTGAGGTACCTGGTTCCTCTCATTGGGACTGATTAGACAGTGGGTGCAGCCCATGGAGGGTGAGCAAAGGAAGGTGGGGTGTCACCTCACCCAGGAAGTGCAAGGGGTCAGGGAACTCCCTCCTTTAGCCAAGGGAAGCTGTGAGGGGCTGTGCCATGAGAGACTGTGCTATTCGGCCCAGATACCACACTTTTCCCATAGTTTTCACAACCCGTAGACCAGGAGATTCCCTCAGGTGCCTACACCACCAAGGCACTGGGTTTCAAGCACAAAACTGGGCGGCCGTTTGGGCAGACACTGAGCTAGCTGTAGGAGTTTCTTTTCATATCCCAGTGGTGCCTGGAAAGCTGGTGAGACAGAACCATTCACTCCCCTTGAAAGGGGGCTGAAGCCAGGTAGCAAAGTGGTCTAACTCAGTGGACCAATAGAACAGAACAGAGGCCTCAGAAATAACGCCACACATCTACAACCATCTGATCTTTGACAAACCTGACAAAAACAAACAATGGAGAAAGGATTCCATATTTAATAAATGGTGCTGGGAAAACTGGCTAGCCATAGGCAGAAAACTGAAATTGGACCCCTTCCTTACACCTTATACAAAAATTAACTCAAGATGGATTAAAGACTTAAACATCAGACCTAAAACCATAAAAACCCTAGAAGAAAACCTAGGCAATACCATTCAGGACATAGGCATGGGCAAGGACTTCATGTCTAAAACACCAAAAGCAATTGCAACAAAAAAATTGACAAATGGGATCTAATTAAACTAAAGAGCTTCTGCACAGCAAAAGAAACTACCGTCAGAGTGAACAGGCAACCTACAGAATCGAGGAAATTTTTGCAATCTATCCATCTGACAAAGGGCTAATATCCAGAATATACAAGGAGCTTAAACAAATCTACAAGAAAAAAAAAAAAAACTCCATTAAAAAGTGGGCAAAGGATATGAACAGACACTTCTCTCTCTTTTTTTTTTTTTTTTAGACAGAGTCTCGCTCTGTCACCCAGGCTGGAGTGCAGTGGTGTGATCTCTGCTCACTGCAAGCTCCGGCTCCCGGGTTCGCGCCACTGCCTCAGCCTCCTGAGTAGCTGGGACTAACAGGCGCCCACTACCACACCCGGCTAATTTTTTGTATTTTTAGTAGAGACGTGGTTTCACCATGTTAGCCAGGATGGTCTCGATCTCCCGACCTCGTGATCCACCCGCCTCGGCCTCCTAAAGTGCTGGGATTACAGGCATGAGCCACTGTGCAGACACTTCTCAAAAGAAGACATTTATGCAGCCAACAAACATGAAAAATGCTCATCATCACTGGTCATTAGATAAATGCAAATCAAAACCACAGTGAGATACCACTTCACGCCAGTTAGAATGGCAATCATTAAAAAGTCAGGAAACAATAGATGCTGGAGAGGATGTGGAGAAATAGGAACGCTTTTACACTGTTGGTGGGAGTATAAACTAGTTCAACCATTGTGGAAGACAGTGTGGCGATTCCTCAAGAATCTAGAACCAGAAATGCCATTTGACCCAGCAATCTCATTACTGGGTATATACCCAAAGGATTATAAATCATTCTACTATAAAGACACATGCACATGTATGTTTATTGAAGCACTATTCACAATAGCAAAGACTTGAAACCAACGCAAATGCCCATCAATGATAAACTGGATAAAGAAAATGTGGCACATATATACCATGGAATACTATGCAGCCACAAAAAAGAATGAGTTCATGTCCTTTGCAGGGACATGGATGAAGCTGGAAACCATCATTCTCAGCAAACTAACACAGGATCAGAAAACCAAACACCGCATGTTTTCACTCATAAGTGGGAGTTGAACAATGAGAACACATGGACACAGGAAGGGGAACATCACACACTGGGGCCTGTCAGGGGGTGGGGGAAAGGGGAGGGAGAGCATTAGGAGAAATACCTGATGTAGGTGACAGATTGATGGGTGCAGCAAACCACCATGGCACATGTATACCTATGTAACAAACCTGCACGTTCTGCACATGTATCCCAGAACTTAAAGTATAATAATAATAATAATAATAATAATAATAATAATAATAATAATAAAAAGAATGTACAGTCAGTTGACATTCTTTTGCTATATAGAACCACTTTTCTTTTTTGAGACAGGGTCTCGCTTTGTCACCCAGGCTGGAATGCAGTGGCATAATCTGAGCTCACTGCAGCCTCAACTTCCTGGGCACAAGTGATCCTTCTACCTCAGTCCCCCAAGTAGCTGGGACTACAGGTGTGCGCCACCACACTTGGCTAACTTTTTTGAATTTTAGTAGAGAAAAGGTCTCACTGTGTTGCCCAGGCTGGTCTCAAACTCCTGAGCCTAAGTGATCCTCCTGCCTCGGCCTCCCAAAGCACTGGGATTATAGGTGTGAGCCACTGTGCTTGGCTGGGCTACCTTCTTTTGAGGGTGGGTTAGCTGATTGGGTTCCCGTTGTGATATTCCCACAAATCACACATAACTCATTGTCCATGAGTCTAGCTTGGGATTCTTGAAAGTGGAGGAAAAACTGAAAAGTACTTTTTGAAGAAATATGATTGCAGAACACCCTCTATAATGTGTTGTAGTTGTCCCACCCACACCTACACTAATGACATTTTTAGTGAGCCACACTTGATAGACTTTATAAAGCAATTTTGTTTTTAAGAAAAGGCAACTCTTTTCATACATGCATTCTATTGTTTTATATAATATTTAATTAAAATTTGTAATTCCGATAAGAAATGCATAGGCATACTTTTTTCAAGGTTTTTAACTTGGAACCAACCCAAATGTCCAACAATGATAGACTGGATTAAGAAAATGTGGCACATATACACCATGGAATACTATGCAGCCATAAAAAATGATGAGTTCATGTCCTTTGTAGGGACATGGATGAAGCTGGAAACCATCATTCTCAGCAAACTATCGCAAGGACAAAAAAACCAAACACCGCATGTTCTCACTCATAGGTGGGAATTGAACAATGAGAACACATGGACACAGGAAGGGGAACATCACACACCGGGGACTGTTGTGGGGTAGGGGAGGGGGGAGGGATAGCATTAGGAGATATACCTAATGCTAAATGATGAGTTAATGGGTGCAGCACACCAACATGGCACATGTATACATATGTAACAAACCTGCACGTTGTGCACATATACCCTAAAACTTAAAGTATAATAATAATAAAATTAAAAAAAAAAGAAAAAAGAAAAATAGCTTCATATCCACTAGCATGATTGTATTCAAAAGCACATAATAACTTGTGTGGTCCATGTAGAGAAATTAGAATACTCATGCCTTATTGGTGGGAATGTAAAAGATTACAGGTTCTTTAAAAAACAGATTTTTCACCTTCTCAAAATGTTCAACATATGATCCATGAATTTCACTTCTACTTATATATTAAAGGGAAGTGAAAACACACTCCCACACAAAAACTATATACAAATGTTCAAAGCAGCATTATTCATGATAGCCAAAGAATGGAAACAATCCATGTGCCTTTCAACTGATGAATGGATAAATAAAATGTTGACTAACCATATAATGGAATCTTATTTGTTAATAAAAAATGAATAATTACAAATAAAAAAAAGAAATGCATAGGCATAAACAAGCTTGTGGAAAAAAAAACACCACAACAGAGTTTTTGTCAATGTAGAACTGGGGAAGCGGAAATGCATGGGTTCTAGCGAATGTCCAGTTGACCACACAGAATGCCAAGGGCATCCTTCAGGATGTTCTAGAAGAAGGAGGCAGAGTAGAGCACCATTTAATCAGTGAGTTGGTGAAGTGGAACTGATGATGAAAGTCCCCACTGTATCCAGATTGTCCTTATCTGCATTCATTGTTCTTCTTTTCATTCCTGCTCAGGGGAAGCTAGTTCCCTTATATAGTAGCCAGGAATTCTCTAGAGAAACAGAACCAATTGGATATAGATAAAAAGAGATTTATTAGAAGGTATTGGCTCACATGATTATGGAGGCTGAGAAGTTTCACAATCAGCAGATTTTCCACAGTCTGCAAGCTGAGGACCCAAGAAAGCCAGTGGTGTAGTTCAAAGGCCTGAGAGCTGGAGAGTGGAAGATGAAGATTTTAGTCCGGGGAGAACTGGGAACACTGAGGGTGGAGGGAGATGGATGTCACAGCTCAGAAGTCAGGCAAAGAGCAAACTTAGCCTTCCTCTGCTTTTCGTTCTATTCAGGCCCTTAACAACTTGCGTGATGCCCAGCCACACTGCGGAGGGCCATCTGCTTTACTCAGCCCACCAATTCAAATGCCAATCTCATCTAAAAACACCTTTGTAGATGCAGGCAGAAATAATGTTTTTCCAGCTAGCTGGGCATCCCTTGGTCCAGTCAAGTTGACTCATGAAGTTAAACCTTCACACCCTCCCATCCCAGGAAATCTCTCCACCTCTTCCCCAGATCCATCCAGCCCTGTCTACTCAGAACACTTGCTCTGCCAGTTGGCTACTCTTATTTTCCTGATCTTCTCCTCTTGTTCATTTCCCTAGACCTACAAGTATGCTAAGGACTTCCTAATGCTAAAAAGGATCATTAATGAATAAATGAATTGAGATGCAACATTTCACCAATAATCTGTTCCTTGATCTTGCTCTTTTATCCTTCTCTTCCCATATTTCTCCCCTTGCTGCCAGACTTCTTAAAGGAATAGCTGCACTTTCACTTCTCTGAATATTTCTTCTGTCTAATGCCTTCTGGCCTCCACACTACAGCTTTACTGAAATTGATCTTTCTAACACCCACACTATCCTTCTAATTCTCCATTTCATCCTGATTCTATTCCCCCTCTCCACATTGTCTGCTGCCCTTGGTAAACTCCTTTTCAAATTTTCTGCTCCTGTGACATTTGTGGCATCATCTTCTGAGTAATTATCTCTTCTTCTGATGTGTCTTTTCCGTCTCTCTGTGGTTTTCTCTTCCTTGTTCTGTCTCTTAAATGTTGGTGTTTCTTGGTGTTTCACTTTTCGTATTCATTCAACATATTGTCAGGGCCAGGGCCTGTGTTCTTTCCCTACCTGTCTGGAAGCTGAGCCGCAGATTCTGACACCCATCTCAGCATAGTCCTGGGGAGTAGGGCTGGGGTGTAGGGTGGGGACAGTGAGAGTTCTTAGAAGGAACTGATGTTTCTTATACAGATCAGTGCCTGAGTCTGGCCTTGGGAAGTAAAAGCTGGGAGGCTAGGGGAGACATCTGGGATAGCCAATGAGGGGAGAGGCAGTGGCTACGCTTCCCATGCTTGGTGGGGCAGGGACACTGGAATGCCCACAGGCACCCAAGATCTCTGTCTGGAAAGAACTCAGCCCTGGAGATCCAGCCCGCACCTAAGATCTTTGTCCTGAAAGAACTCAGCCCGTCACCCAGGCAGGGCAAAACTGTTGTGGTCACCAAGGGCAGTAGCACCAGGGGCAGGAATTGAGCCTGGATGAGAGGTCACTGCTGGTGCAGCACAAATGTCCCCCTTTGGCTGTCTCTGAAGGTCCCACTGCTTCTCCACTTCAAAGAGCCAGCATTTGGATGCCATTCATGACAGAAGGACCGGATAGCTAGGTTAAAGGTGTTTTTACTTCTTTTCTTTTCATCCTCTTTTCCTGTGCTTTCACTCGCTGCAAGGAGGGGCTTGAAGTACCAAGCAGGGGTGGCAGCAAGAGAGGCAGATGTGGGATAAGCAGAAGGAGAGCCTAGACTCTGCCTCTGTCACCTCTGGGCCCTGCAGAGAGTTACTGTCAGGGGAGAGGGGCACTAGTGGGCTGGGGAGAGAATCAGGTAGTAGTTAATGCACAGGTTAGGAAGTAGTGGTCTAAGCAATAGAGATAAGAATCATTAATTCAGGTGTTTGAACAGTCATCTTGTGGCAGGATCATGACTGTTTATGTCATTGGAATGAAAATGGTGAAATGTGGCCATGCCATTTCCAGTCACTCAATAGGTATTTATTGGATGCTTACCAGGTGACCAGTATATCTAGAGCTGGTCTTTACTTAGCACTAAGAAAGTTTCAAGCCCCTTCTTGGCTTTCTACAGCTGTTAGTAAGACTCTCCTAGTGACTCTCAGAAAGCTCCATCTTACTGAAGACACAGATGCATTCTTTGCTATCAATACCAGCATCGTTTAATCTAAAATGCATACACCGTAAATCAGAGGAGTGGTTCCATATTGAGGAGGGAATACTTTATTTTTGTACTCCAACAGTTTATTTTTCAAATATTTCTAAATGAACCAAGTGCCCAGAAATGGTGAAACTTTAATTCCTCCAGTTCCTGGTGGATAGGTTCAAAAGTGTGAAAACACTCACCACTATGTTCCTGCCTAAAATCCCTAGGAGAAGGGGGCTCATTTTCTCACCTCTCTATTGCTAAATTAGAATTCAGCTACTTTCTACAGCTGAATTAGAGCCTGTACTTCAGCCAAAACACAGTGTGGATTAGACAACTAAAGACGTCTTTTCAAGTGAAACAAAGCAACTTACGCCAGGCAGGAAGTGTCCAGTGTGGCATCTGACTTTGTATGCGCTCTCAGGCCCTGTGGGTGCCAACAAGAGAGGTGCAATGAGGCAGGTAGTTGTTGGGAACCTGAGCCAAACATAGAAGTTAACAGAGAACCCCCCAGGGACCCGCAGCTGCCACCACTGTTGGTGCAGGTGAGCAGGTTGTGTTTCCATAGGGAGGAGTCAATGTCAAGTGCGCAAGTGTGCGTGTGTGTGTGCGTGCGTGTGCATGTATGTGCGTATGTGTGCGCATATGTGCGTGTGCGTGCATGTGTGATGTGTGCGCATGTACGTGTGGGCGTGTGTGTGTGCGTGTGTATGCATACGGCCTTTCATATATGCTATTCCGTGTAACCCTTTAGATGAGTATTGTCCCATTTTCACGAATGAGTAGACTGAGGCAGACAGAGTGGCCAGTGTAACTGATGCAGGTTAAATGGTGAATACATGGTGCTGTTGGGATCTGAATTCTGGTCTTTGACCCCAAAGCCCGTGGACATCCCATTCCCCACACTGCCACTCCGATGGCTCCTTCTTTTTTTTTTTTTTTTTTTTTTTTTTGAGACGGAGTCTCGCTCTGTCGCCCAGGCCGGACTGCGGACCGCAGTGGCACAATCTCGGCTCACTGCAAGCTCCGCCTCCCGGGTTCACGCCATTCTCCTGCCTCAGCCTCCCGAGTAGCCGGGACTACAGGCGCCCGCCACAATGCCCGGCTAATTTTTTTGTATTTTTAGTAGAGACGGGGTTTCACCGTGTTAGCCAGGATGGTCTCGATCTCCTGACCTCGTGATCCGCCCGCCTCGGCCTCCCATAGTGCTGGGATTACAGGCGTGAGCCACCATGCCCGGCCAAGTGTCCTCATCTGTAAAATGAGACAGATGAAGTAGATGAGCCCAAAGTGCCTGGTACATAAAACACTTAGCAATTATTTGGTGAATGAATGAAAGATTGAATGGAACCCAGGGCTCAGTCGGCTGTGTGTTGAGGATGGGGTAAAGTGGGAGAACTAGGCAGGCGGAGGAACATAGAGACGTTTCTGTACATAACAGAATTTAGAAAGACACTTACTACTAGGGCCACGTGGTGAAACCTGTAGTCTCTTTCTCTCTCCCTTCCCTTCCCTGCCCTGCCTTGCCCTGCCCTGTCCTGCCCTCCTCTCCTTTTCCCTTTCCCTCTTTTTTCTTTCTTTCTTCCTTCTTCCTTCCTTCCTTCCTTTTTTCTCTTTTATTTCTTTTCTTCTCTTTCTTCTTTTCTGCTTTCTTTCTTCTTTTTCTATCTTTTTCTCTTTCTTTCTTCTCTCTCTCCTTTTTTAGCTCCCTCCCTTCCTTCCTTCCTTCTCTCTTCCTTTCTTTTTTTCTTCTTTTCTTTCTCCCTTTCTTTCTTCTTTCTTAGCAAACAAACAAAGATCCAGTTTCAATGGGTTGGTTAAATGACTTACTTTGATGTGGCTACTTTGTAGACCTAGACATACAACTCAACACTGGCTGTTGTGTGGAAAAGAACAGAAGCGAAACTTGAAAGCTGTTGCCTGTTTATATTTGCTGCAAAGAGGGATATGCAGAGTTGATGATTTTCTTGTATCTGAGCCCATTAATCAGTCTTTGAATATGTGATAGAAGTTCTTGAGCCCAGCAGGGAGTGGAGAATGGAATTGCACAGCATATGCAAACAGGAAGGTTGGGAGGCAAGAGTGCTGCTGAGGAAGAGCTTTGGGGGTGGGGGCCAGCGGTTCAACTGAGATGCTGACTTATTTTGTTCTCACTTTTATCTTCAGCAACATCTGTTACCATCATGCATGCTTTGTGATTTTGAGGGAAATTTAAAAGGTGCAGTATGGGTTATCGTAGAAGAGGAAAGAGAACAGCTGCCGGAGCTAAGAAGAAAGTGAGTTGGATGGTTTAGCAAGGACCAAGAGCACTCAGCCCCTGTCCAATGCTCCTGGCATTCCACCGAAATCGAGGGACAATCTCCGACAACCTCTAACCTCACCTTGTACAGGAGCTAGTTTTGTTTACATTTCAAAACAGAGCGTGACCTTAGATGAAAATGAGAGTCTTGAGCACATGGGGCATTGCAAAGGCAAGGACTCCCGCTCACTAATTAGAGGGAGAGAGGGGCATTTTGTTTAGGGGGCACAGTAAAGGCAGGGCCGGAGTACACACGGTTGCTTTATGTTAGGACCCAGTGGGAGACCACTGGTGTCAAGGGATATGAATATTTAACATTTTCCCAAGGAAACACTGAATCTGTTAGTTTTATCCTTCTGCATATAACAAGATGTATGCAAGAGAAAGACAGAGGACAATTCAGGGTCACTGGATCCAACTAGTTATGAAACAGAACGAAGTGAGAGAGAAGCACCAGCAGACTGAAAACCATGTAGAAAAATAACACTAACAGTAACTGTGGTTGACAACAGCAATCTCAGAACTAAAAACTTTTCATTTTTAAAAAGCTTCCTAGTAATTAATAAGAGGAGTGAGAGTAGGAAAGGTGTTTTGTGTTTTTTGTGGGAAAATTATTTTTACCTCAATTTAAAAAAATGTTAATTGGAGGCCAGGCACAGTGGCTCACGCCTGTAATCCCAGCACTTTGGGAGGCTGAGGCAGGCAGATTGCTTGAGCTCAGGAGTTCGAGACCAGCCTGGGCAACAAGGTGAGATCCCGTCTCAACTAAACGTACAGAATAGCCGGGTGTGGTGGCATGCCCTGTAGTCCCAGCGACTTGGGAGGCTGAGGTGGGAGGATCACTTGAGCCTGGGGGGGTGGAGGTTGCAATAAGCTGAGATCGTGTCACTGTACTCCAGCCTGGGCGACAGAGTGCCCCTGTCTCAAAAAAAAAAAAAAAATTAATTAGATGGTACTGGGCTGATACAGTTTATTTCTGTCCATTCTTTCTTCCCTTTAACTGCTTGCCAGCTCTCTACTTTGTTGAGCCTCTATTCAATTACTCAGCTAGTCTTCATTTAAATGATCAGAGATTCTTTCATTCAGTAGTGCATATGATTATCACATAACATTTATTCATTGGGGGTGGGGTTAATGGAAGATAACTATGGGTTTCAGGTAAACCCATATCTGATTAATTATGTTTCAGTGGGAACTCCATAGTTTTTCAACTTATTATAATTGGGGAGTTTACATTCCCCTGATAAAAGAAAAACTTCAGCTGAATTAAATTTAAAAGAGTTTAATTGAGCAATGAACGATTCGTGAATCGGGCAGCCCCCAGAATCACAGCAGATTCACAGAAACTCCAGGGGTGCCTCATGGTCAGAACACATTTATAGACAAAAAAGGTAAAATGGCGTACAGGAATCAGAAATGAGGTACAGAAACAGTGAAATTAGTTACAGCTCGGCGTTTGCCTTCTTTGAACGCAGTTTGAACATTCAGCAGTCTATGAGTGGTTGAAGTATGGCAGCTGGGATTGGCCAGCGCTCAGCCATTGTAACAGGTGCATACTACTAAGCTGGGTTTTCAATTTTGTCTGACTATTAGGCTAAGTTACAGTTCATCCACAAGGACTCAAATATAGAGTACAGAGTCCTTCTCAGGCCATATTTAGTTTGCTTGAACACTGCCATCATGATATTGCAAAATATTTTTTACCAAGAAGCTCAAAGCAATATTATTGAATAGTTATGAAATCAATTGAAAATAGGTAAATATTCTATAACTAGTTGTAGAAATGGAAAGATGTACATTCTGAGTCCAATCTGAAATCACTGCCTACCTCTCTTCAACCTTCTCCTTCTATATCTGTAGTTCATTAATATCATCATCTTCTATCCAGAGACCCAAGAGTTGTCTTTTCATCTCTATGCCCCTAATTCTGTACATCTTATGAGTAGCCAGATCCCTTTGTTACACCACCTACTGATGTCTAAAATTAGCATTTTTTCTCCCCATTTCCTCTGCCCTGGTCAAGCCTTCATTGGCCCATCTGAACTGATCTCCCAGCCTCTGATCTCAGCATCCCCCCTTGCGAACTTCAAGTGCCTCGGATGCAAGCCCCTTAACTCCTTGCCATCATATGTACAAATGTTGCCTGCATCGCCTACAAGGCTGTGAGTTCCAGAGGGGTTGGCGGGGGGGGTCTGTCTGATCCACCTTTGTGTCATCAGTACAATGCCTGGTAGGTTGGCTGTGAGTAAACCTACATGCTATTCATCTATCTGTTTATCCACCATCCATCCCTTCAACATATATTAATGAGGCCCTATTATGGGCAGGCACACTTGTAGGTAAATGAGAATATGGAAGTAAACAAAATAGATATTGCTGTCCTTAGATATGTTGCTTCTTACACTGATGCATACACTTAAACCTTTATAAAGACATTTTATAAATTTATGGAGTCAAACAGATCAGTGTTTTCCTCTATGATTTGTGCTTTTGTGCATTGCATATTTCAGTTCTAAACCATACATAATAAAGCCATAATAAATATCTCCCACAGCAGAATTTTAAGAACTCAGGCTTGGAAATAAAATTACCTGAGTTCAAATCTCATCTTTGCCACTAAAATCTGGACAAATTTGTTAACTATTCTATGCTTCAGTGTGATATCATTGATTACCATGAGAATAATTATTTAACTCATTAAAGTTGTTTTGAAGATTAAATGAGCTAATACAGTGAGATGCCTGTAGAATGGTAACTCATAAATAGTAAGCTTATATTATTGTAGCTAGTATGTTTGTTTCTTATTATTCTCTCTTTCGTCCATCTGAAGTTTATTTTCATTTATGGTGTAAGTTGGGAATTCAATTTTATGTTCTTTTTTGTTATTTTCTTTTCGTATGTGTTTTGTTTTGAGACAGGGTCTTGCTCTGTTCTCCAGGCTGGAGTGCGGTGACAGAATCATAGCTCATTGCAGCCTCAACTTCCTGGGCTCAAGTGATTCTTCTACCTCAGCCTCCCAAGTAGCTGGGATTACAGGTGTGTGCCACCATGCCCAGCTAATTTTTTAAAAATGATTTTTGTACACAGTGTCTCACTGTGTTGCCCAAGCTGGTCTGAAACTCCTGGCCTCAAGTATTATGTTATGTTTCATATGGAAAACCAATTTTTGCCAAACTTCTGTTTAAAATCTTTCAGTGGCCTCTATTTGCTCCTAATATCACAGTACAATTCTTTTTTTTTTCTTTTTTTTTTTTTTTGAGATGGAGTCTTGCTGTGTCACCCAGGCTGGAGTACAGTGGCGTGATCTCGGCTCACTGCAACCTCTGCCTCCTGGGTTCAAGCCATTCTCCGGCCTCAGCCTCCACAGTAGCTGGGACTACAGGCGTGCACCACCACGCTGGCTAATTTTTGTACTTTTGGTAGAGACGGGGTTTTGCCATGTTGGCCAGGCTGGTCTCAAACTCCTGACATCAAGTGATCCGGCCGTCTCAGCCTCCCAAACTGCTGGGATTACAGGCATGAGCTACTGTGCCTGGGCTATCACAGTATAATTCTTGATTTGATCTACTCTGCTCTGTGGAATCTGGACCCTGCCTCTCTCTCATATTTCCCTTTTTTGTGACTCTATCTGTGGTTCAGATACCCTGCCTTCTTTTGTGGTCCAGGAACATACCAGTGTCTTTTCCTCCCTGGGGCCTTTGCACTTGCTATTTTCTCTTCTTGGAATGTTTTTCTCCCCAAGTTTTATACTGATGCCCCAAGTCATTCAGGCCTTCCCTGACCACCCAGTAGAAAAGGTATCATTCTTCCTGCCCTAACAAACCAAGGCAGTCTCTATTTTATCATCATTTCATTAACTTTATTCCATTTTGTTTTACTCATCACATTTCGGATCTGAAATTTGGTTTGATTAATTATTTTTCTTCCCCTGCTAGAATGTAAGCTTCATTGGAACAGAAACCATTAGCTGTTTTATTTATTGCTGTATCCCCAACATCTAGAACAGTGCCCGGGAAATAGTAGATAATAATTAGTGATTAGTCTGTACTTTTCTCCTGATCCAAACAGGCTTGCTTTCTAGATGGATAATACTGGCAACAGTACGGAAGGTTGATTTGAGGTGCTACAGAGTGACTTAGGATGGGGACTGGCTGGACAAGGGCAGGAATGGTGGAGAAGGAGACATGCCGGAGGCCTGGCAAGCTGGCCCGTTATTGATTTATGTGTGCTTGTGTGAGAAGATCAAGGTTTTCCTGGCTTGGAGCCCTGGCGTTGGCTGTGCACCATGCCTGGAATTTCTTTCACTGGCTTATTATTTCAGTCTCACATTAAATGTAACCTGCTCATAGAGGCCTTTCTGGAGGCCTCTCTGTAAAGTGGATCTCCAGAGACTTGGTACAATCAGTGGAGACATTGAGATGCTGAATACCCTGAGAATTTAAACGTGTATGTCAAACATTTAAAGGTAGGCACTAAGGCCATTAGAATGTGAGCTCCAATGAGGCAGGAGTTCTGTCTCTTCTCTCTCACCCTGTTTCAGCTCCTGGCACATAGTAAATACTCAGCAAATATTTATGGAATGAATCAATATTTGGTTTTCCTGTGGCTTGTTTTGTTTTCCTGTTAACTTTGCTTTTCTACTTTGATGTTGCGATGATTAATTTTTTTTCCTTTGGGCCTAAACATTTAAAGCTGTTGCTTTGAATGACGTGTCTGTTTTAGAAGACACTCTGCCAGATTGTGGTGCTGTTTATCTGCATGTCAGATGTCTGCCTTCTTCCCCGTGCCACTGCTTTTTGGGCTGGTTTGACTTGGAGGATATCCCTATCTTGTTACCCTGGCATCTCTTCAGAAATTCACAGTCACAGAGAAGCTTTCGGTGGGGGAAGAGTTCAAGTATGAAATCCTAAGATTCGTAGGCACTAGTTCAAGACAGGCTTGTAAGATTATGGATGATAGAAAGGTAGGAGAATTCAAATCAAACCAAACATTTATTTAGTGCTTGCTGTGTGCAGGAAATTGTAGTGTATGCTACGGGGAATATTTCAAAGTTAATGTGCCCTGAAGAGCAAACAAGGCAGCTCGGAAAGATGATTCCACTCCAGAACAACCACATTTACATTGGGACATACCGAGGGAGACATTGTGGAAACAGATGTGATGCCTGGGAGACAGCTGGCTTTGGAGTGCCGAGGTCCAGCCTTGAGATTTTAAGAATCATCTAGGATGGGAGCAAACATTCAAAATGGCGACCTCAAAAGTACAGTAAGGTCCTGGATAACTCTTCAAAACTGAAAAAAATCGTATTGCAGATTGTATTCACAGAGGTAGAAAGATGGACCCAAGGAGAAACATTTAAAAAAAAAATGATAAAGTCTGGACTGTTTGGCTCACCTTAACTAGGGTATCAGAATTCTCCAGTCCTCTTAATGAGCACTTGGTAAATGTCTACGTCCTAGAATCGGCAGTACACCCACCTCTGACAGAAGAGGCGAGTGCTCCATTCTACAGGTGACAGGGAACCTTCGAAACTGCTGAGCTCTGGAGCTTCCATTTCCCCAGACAGCCCAGGTGGGAAACCAGGATCTGTGTTCCAAAGACTCAGAACAAACATTTCTTAGCGCTGAGCCTCCACACACAGAATGGAGTTGTGATTAATACTCTGGGAAAGGAAAGTTCTGCCCGTGTGGTGAGAAATGAAGCCAGAGTTTGAAACCAAGATGGCCAGGCCCTTACGCACATCTGCCTCTAGGTTGCTATCATTACATCACATGCAAGGAAGCAACCAGGCAAGATGAGACCCTTTGACAGGGAGCAGCAGGCACGGCCTCTGTGAGGGCTCAGCAGGCATTTGCTGATGTGGCGTGTGATCTGCGGGAGCCTCTGTCCTCTCTTCTATGCCCAAATACTCCCAGCAGTCTCTCAGGAGTTTGCCGTGCCCATGAGAGTGAAGGGTGGTTTTGCTCAAGACTGTGATAGGCAGCAAGCTCCTTAAACAACTGTAAACAGTCCTCGGAGTAGGAGGGATATTCACTCACTGTACAGGAACAGTTAGTTGGGTAGAAATAAGCGGGCTAGTCCCTGGAGAAATATGGAACAGGGTGAGTATTTATAATGGTGCAGATGGGGTGGAACAGAAGGAGAAAGCAGAGAAAAATCTCAGAAAGGGAGGCTGGGTTGTGGTGGGTGTTAAAGAGGCAATCTGGGGGTTTGGGGTGTCCTGTAGTTACAGGGCACAGACAAAAATAAGACAGGAGCATGCCAAAGAAAACTCTCACTGCTTCGCCTTTTGGCCCCAAGGCCAGTCTTAAGTGACTAGGAAGGGGGCAGCCAGGTCAGATGGTGGTTAAAGTCATTTGCTCTGAGACATCCTGCTGGGGCTGCATCCCCTTCACACAACAAGCAGATGGATTTTCCTCTTGGCCTGGGGAATTATTTGCTCTCAGGTTGCACATCTTCATAGGAGTGCTTGGCAAGTGTGGGTAAATGCCATCAAAAATTTCCCAGCCCTTTTGTGAAGATGGTCTCTTACCATGCACAGAGCACTTAGCACCTTGCCAGGTACCATGCTTAATATCTCATTTAATCCCCAGGACAACCCCATTAGCAGGTTCTATACTATAATCCCCCATTTCCTAATGTGAAAAGGAGGGCACAAAGAAGTCTAACAGCTTCCTCAAAGTCATGATGGAGCCGGGATTCAAACTCGGGTCCTTTTCTGCAAAGTTTTTGATGCTAACCTCTACACACTTTGGTCTGATTACCAGGAACATTATCTTTCCTGTTATGGTGGTGAGTTGACTGCTGGAATCCCAAAACCCTGGTAATGTATGAAAGGTACATAAATTAGCCATTCTTGACCTTTTCAAATACCAAATAAATTTTAACAAGCCTTTATGTAAAACTGACTTTTATTACAATTAAAAAAGAACAAAGACAATTTGATAAGTGCCTTTAATTACAACATACCTGCTATTTACATGTAATCATACTTTTATATATAGCTTGAATAAGTTTTATTACATGTAAACTATAAGATATTACAAGTTAAACTCCAGTCTTTTCTGGATATTCAATTGAAATACTACTGGCAGAAACATACGAAAACAAATACCCATTTCAGTTCCTCAGGTACCATTACTGGTTGAATGATCAAGATCTGGCCACAGAAGAGAAGTGGAAATATGCATCAAAACAAAACTTATTCTTAACATGACTAACAGTATTGTTATTTAAACCCTAAACATAATTAATAATTGGATCATTAAAAACACAACTTCAATTTATATAGCACCTTTCTTCCGAAGAGTTGAAAGCATTCGTGCTTATCTCTATTATTTCGTTTGTCCCCATAACATCTCTATGAGGTAGGCAATGGTTAGTATCATTATCCCCATTTTGTATATGGAGAAACTGAGGCACAGAGAAGTTAAATCATTTGCTCGAGGTCACATAGTAAAGTCAATGCTGGAACAGGGACCACAGCCCTGTGCTCTTGTCTCCAAAACCCATGTTTCCCTTTACACTAAATTGTCCCACTTGAGAATTTAATTCAATAACTCTACACTTTTCCAATAAATAAAAAAGTGCATTTTTTTCACCCATAAAAATTTTTGAAATACTATGAGCAAGATACAAACATTCTGGGATGGATGGTAGATGGATGCTACACTCTTCTAGAAAGTGCTTATGGAAATGTTTATTTTAATATGAGGAGTTTCTTTTCCTAGTTAAAACAAAGTAGATGTCTTTACAAGAAATATATTTGAAAAAATGCTTCTAGTCACCTACTCAATTATAGCTCTAGTAGCCATATTATATTATCTACAAACCAGGTTTATTCCTGAGTTTAAAAAGAAGAAAATATCTAAATAATAAGTTAAATCTTTGAGATAATTTTTCTCATTTACACACATTTACTCAAGAGACTCAGAGTGGCAGATAGGGAATTGGGCCAACACATTTCTCAGAGAGACATGAGAACTGAGACACACAGGGGCAGCAAGTCTGAATTTTGCTCTCATCTCTGCTCCCTTCGCCCCACTAGAGTCAACTATACGGTTGATACTCGAAGCAAATAAAAAGATAATTTTTAAAAAGTGTCAAGGTCGCAAGCATACTAGAATGCTCACAAATGTTTGCTGACTTGAACGTAAGGTTCAGCTTTCCTGATGCTTTTCACATTGCTTCTCCTCAAGACATGAGCATTGCTGCAGGCATGGCCATCTTCCAGGACATGGGCGGGTAGTGGCACATAGGAATTAAATCCTAGCATGGCTCCAGGAAAAACAAGACAAGTACTATACTCAAAAAGTAAAGTTAAAAAAAGCAAGCATGCTTAAGGGATGGGTCATGAACACCACATCAGGTTCATTTATGAGTCTTATATTAAAAATACATAGAAGCTTGTCAAAGGAATGCTCAAAATCCTCAACCCATAGACTCAGGCTTTTGGTCCCAGCCTCTTCTTCCAGAGAAGGGCACTGCTGTCTTTCAGGGAAGCCTTCACTACCTAAATGAGGAGCTAAAGATTAAAAAAAAAATTCTCTTTAAGCTTAAGAAAAGGAAATAGTTTGCTTTAAACTCATGGTTTCCAACTTGTTGAGTTAAAAACAAACCAAACCAAACCAGGACATGACAACAAGATAGTTCTGAACTGTAGGCTCTAGGGAGCAACTGGTCCTTCTTTTAGCTTTAACTGTGTCCTATTTAGAGTGCCTAACAGGTATACTAGGGGAACTTTAAAAAACTAAATGTATAAAGAGAATGAGCAGAGATATCTGTTCTGCTAATTTTGAAAAAAAGTTACACTCTAAAATGTCCATTCAAAGAATTAACTGTGATGACTTACAGCAAAGTTTTACAAAACCAAATGAAACACCCTGGCTCCTGAAGTATGTAGAAAATGGGAACTTCAGCAGCTGCACCTCCAATTCACCTATCCTAGGACCTAGAAGGTGCTTGGTTTCTCACTCCAAAGTCAGGCAGTTTGCTATAAATGGCCAAGTTATTCTCCTTATCTGGTAGCTCTACCTTTGCATGCTGAAGCACTCACAGTTTTCTTAGGTCCTGGGGGATCAGAGCAAACTGGCTGTAACTTGACATCATCCTTAGGCACTGTTTCCTGGGGGAGAGGGTGCAATGGCTTCATGGTGAAAACATTTTACACTCAATTTACTTTAAAAAGGTTTTTTTTTTGTTTTTGTTTTTGAGATGGAGTCTTGCTCTGTCGCCCAGGCTGGAGTGCAGTGTTGCGATCTCAGCTCATTGCAACCTCTGCCTCCCAGGTTCAAGTGATTCTCCTGCCTCAGCCTCCTGAGTAGTTGGGACTACAGGCACATGCCACCATGCCTGGCTAATTTTTTTTGCATTTTTAGTAGAGACAGGGTTTCATCATGTTGGCCAGGCAGGTCTCAAACTCCTGACCTCAAGTGATCCACCTGTCTCAGCCTCCCAAAGTGCTGGGATTACAGGCATGAGCCACTGCACCCGGCCTAAAAATGATTACTTCTTATAAAAAGGATTTCTTCCCCTTCACAACACTCAGCTTCCTTTTTCTTTCCTGGTAACTATGGGTCTGGTGTTGTCATAAGGATCTACCTTCCACATGCTGGACAGTGGGGGTTGCTGCTTGAGGAGACTCAGGCCAGATACAGATCACTGTGGGGAACACTAAGCTTACTTGGTTAGAGCACGGCACTAACATTTCTGCCTCTGTGAGTTTGATTCCACCACATAATTTTTTAAAAGTGCTTTTCCATGGCCCCTTAGTGTCAACCATTCTTACGAAAGATGTGAGCAACAGTGTACATGTTTTGGCAAAAGTCGTGACAAATAGCACCAGCATCTGCCGCCCTAGGTGGACCTGTGGCCTCATCTTGGCAGCCTGTGAGTTGGGCAGAGCTGTGACGAGGCATGGTTCTGTGCCGGCTGGCAGGGTCTGTGATATGGCAGCACTGTGATCCGTACTGGAAAGACATAATGGCATGTCCTGTGAACAGCAGATACAGAAGGCTGAGTGGGGAAGCGACCCAGGGGTATTGCCACACAAAGCGATAGGCCAGCTAAGTACCAGGAGACAAACTGAGGTGGGAGGAAATAGTGACTTCATGGCCTCATTCTTTAGACTTACTCCTTAAAAGGACTAGATCCGGGGAGGGAAAAGTAATCACAAAATGTTCAAGCTAATAAGAGATATTTTTGGTCTTAAAACTAAGGTTTAAAAATTCCCAGTACTGAAAACAACTTTCTCACTCTTTTGTGAATTGGACAATTTGACCATTATGAAGATCTTTTGAAACAATCAATGAAAATGCTACTAAGTGTCATGAATTATTTTTTAATATTTTTGAGTAAGGGGAGTACTTTAATACTGATTGGGCCCATGTAATAGACAATATGTCACTTTTGGTGTAACTATTTTTATGAGGAAAAAACATTAACAATGAAATGCCAATTCCTATTTATAACAGACCTTTTTTGTTTAGATATATTTCAAGTTTCCCCAGAAAATATGAGGCATGTTAATACAACACAATTATTTAAAAGGTAACAACATTAAAACATTTTACTGCTGCCAATGTAACATACAGACATCTGAGAAATGACAATTATCAACCTTTGTAATACATGATTACGCAAGGTGATATGAGACAACCCAAGGGTAGCACATTTTAAAAAATACCCACAGTATATAACTGGCAAGCCAAAAAAACTTCCTGTATTAACAGAAATGATTACTGAATTGAACGCTTTTTAAAAAATGTCTTTTAAGCAAAAATTGTATTTCTCTTTTCATGTTACATTAAGAATTTGGAATATTATTTTTCAGTTAAGTCAAAGAAGAACTTGAAAAAAATAATGACATACTTCACAAATAGTAGAGACTAGATGTAAACACAGACCTAAAAATGAGCAGTAGGATAAAAAAAACCATGAATGTTTGTTCTCTTCTGGACCATGATTTTAAATTTTAATTTGGTAATTCCAGATAAAGATTCTAATTTATCATGGTTTCTGGACTGATCTCTTTAAGTTAAACACTTTCAGTCTAAGTGTGTTCAACTGGCCTAAAGCCACTGTCAGGAAAAATGTATTTAGGAAAATATACAACACAGGGCAAGAAAATACTACTGTAGAATAAGGAATTTAGATTTCACTGCAAATAAAGCCATATTTGATATTAAAGACACATGTTCCTATTTTCACATCAGTCATTTATTAACACCAAACATTATACTTTAACTTTTCCCCATTACACAGTACAATAAGCCTGTCAAGATTTCCAGGAAGTAATCATCAGTACCTACTGTGCTTCCAGCAGCCAAAGCTAAGCTGGCTGGGTACCAGAAATCAACACCTTCAGGAGAATGGCATCACAAGATTGCATGGACTCATATTAACTATTACAAGGGGCACTGGAAAAAAAGGTCATTTGCTCATTTACAAAATCCTAATTGAACTAAAGCTCTGTAATTATAGCCATGGTATCAGACCAGCTTTTTCGCACATCCTATCACATCGCTGCCTGCTGATGTTTTACACTGCCTATAAAGTCTCATAATTTTAAAAGGGAATGAAACAGAATGCCACAGGTGACCGACCTCTGCTCCTGCTACTTGGGAGTCACGTTGTCTTGGCTTCGTCCTGGCTCAAGGTTACTAGTCTCTTGCTGCTTTGGGCCAAATCTCTTATCTCTTTACATTTCCTCCTCTCAGGCTGAGTCAAAAGTAAGTCACATGTATAACAAAACTGTCTTAAAATACCACTGTTTTTCAGCCAAGAGAATTACGGATGCAATTTAAAGTCTAAATGTATTAATTGGAAAAATTAAATTAGAGCAACTCAAGGTTTTCCTGTAATTACCAAATGAAACTGATTGAAAAACTGTTCCTTCTAATTCTGCTTTTCCAACAAAAGTTCATCACACTAGCAGGATAAACATTCAAAATACATAATAGAACATATCCTAATTAAGCACCAGAGTTGTGTCAGAGCCAAGTATATACACACACACACGTATACGTGTGTGTGTGTGTGTGTGTGTGTGTAGTTTATTACTGGTTAAGTAAATGCTCTAATTAGCAAAAATCATGAGAAATATATACAGTGATATAATGCGGTTAAATTTTAGTTCTCTGTGTTAACTACTTACTGTTAATTTAGTACTCAATTAGAATTAACTCTGGGATTTTGAGGGCAGATAAATCAGTAATTAGCCTTTATCCCAGAAAGAATAGTGGTAGCTTCAAAAGCTTCAACAGACCTAATGATGTAATTTATTCAGGACAGAAAAAAAAATATGTAGCCAACATTCTTGCAAGAATTACTTTCTTATGGAATTTAAGATTTCCTCAAATATTTTCTTTTCTATATAGCGTTTTGTTCTTGTGTAGTTATCTGCCTAGGATACAGACAGGATATTGAGACTATTTCAGAAAGTAGACACACTAAAAACATTTGACAAATTAAAAAAATTTTGCATAAAACAGGTTACCCTTTCCTGCTGACTATACTTAAGAAATACCAAAGTAGCATACAAAATGCTTCTAAACTTTCAAAATATCTGAATAAAAACAAAGATCCTACTTTTAACTGAGATAGATTTATAATTCTTACTTACAAGATAAAAAAATTTCCTAAAATTTATTTTTAAATTTCACATAACCTGCTATAATTCGCTGTAAAAAATGGATGTCAAAATAGAATTTTAAATATACAAATTGTTTTTGATAACTACCTTTCATACATTTTATTTAAACTGTAGCATTAGCTCAAGATGAAACTTTTTAAAAGAAACCATAGGCTTTTGTCCAACTCAAAGATTCAAGCCCAGATTCTGAACAAAGTAAATGTGATGAAATTTATGAAAAACTATACTGTACAGTCAAAACAGTGATGGTGCCTCAGTAAATAACTTCAGTAAAATATCCAGTGCTCCAAATAGCTGAGCCATCTTTCTAAGGTTCACTCTGCTTCTCTCCCCCAGCCCTCATGGCCTGTGCTACCATCTATTCTTTTAGCGTTTATGCTGGAGGGCCTTATAGTTCCTTTAAAAGTACACTGAAAATACTTTATATCACAGCTTATTCTAACCACTGGTTCTCAAATTAAAAGGTATATTTCAGTGCATATTTCATAGCCACATTGCAGAACTAATATTTGAAAACTCTTGGGGGAAATTTTGGTAACAAAATTGCAAAATGACATGATTATTTATGAGCTTTCTATAAAAAGTTTTTTTTTTTTTTTTTTTTTTACTTTAGAGATCATACCTACTTTCCTGCCTTTTTGATAAGTAAGGCATGAAATGAAACAAAAGTTTTGAGCTGTAAGGTGCCTATAAAGGATGTCACTACAGCATTCACAATGCTAGGTGTGTAAGATGACATGGCTGTTACCATGTACTAAAGAACCCCATCATGTGAGAGATCGCTCAAAGTCATTAACACAAAGCAGTGAAAATCATCCAGCAAAGCAGTGCTTATGAGAGACTAGAATTCAGAGAAATGCAAGGTACGAACTTCTCTCTAATCCAAGGGTATTCTGCTGTGATCTTCTAATCAGTGATGATTGTGCTTATGCACACGACATCTTCATGGGAGAGACCAGGCTGATTGCAAAATAATGACAACCAACCAGTTTACCTCAACATAGCTCACTCTGCAATGTCAGACATGCAGTGTAGAGCAGTCACAAAGTCAAGCCATGAATACAGGGATGGAAAAACATTCCAGTGAGCTGGTCTCTACAATTTTTAAGACACTTCATCCTCCCAATTATATTCTTTGTCATAAAGAGGAAAAACAGCAAGATTATTAAATCCAAAAAGTCACAGATGTCACAAGGGGATGAAATAATTTCCTCATTTTTTTTCTTTATCAGTGTAGGAAAAGCTGTCTTTCCATAGCCCACACTCATAATAGCACTTCAACTAGGCTCCTTTGAAAATGAAAAGTGAACAAGTTTCCTAATGCTGGCCTTATAAGATCTAAAGAGATGATTAAATTCAAACCAGGCTGAGCTCTTACTCTGAGCTATTTCAGCCACTGATGTTTGTAAAATATAGGAAGAAGATTCCAATAGGCAATTTGCATTGGCAAGCACTGGACTACAGAATTCATCACTGTTTTCTGAAAAAATATAATTAAACCTTAATGGAATTATGACACTTTTATGAGGTTTATAATTCACAGCCACCTCTCATCATATTTTGTTCTTCTTTCCATTTTTACCATTTCAAATATTGCAATATTGCCCACCATAAACCACTGAAAATGATTATTTATGTATATTCCATTTATTTCTCTAGGGGGTCTAGGTAATTTGAATCAGGAGCTCCAAGTACCATTTAAAAAGGTGAGTCTTTAAAAACCATCAGTGTTTTAAACACTTGATTAGAAAAAAGATAACAGCTCCTTGTAGTGATCTAGCTTATGTGCTTTATGGTATCTTTTCAAAAGGAGAGTATAAATCATTGTACATAAAATCAAAATAGCTAATATACATTTTTTTCTGGCACTTTTGAGAAATTAGGCATTGAACATAAAACATCTTATAAACTTACATAACAAAAATAAATGTTTACATTTTAATCTTAGATTACCTTAGGGTAGCAGTTAACTTATGAGATGCCACACTGTTGGTGTGGGCAGCGGAGACCATGGGAAATACACATTCATGTCCACAGCCCTTCAGCGATGGATGCATGGCTGCCGTCCAAATATGTGGTCTGTGTCCCAACATAAAGATTAAGGCTCTCTGTTTTGAAGGAATGAGTTCTGGGCTTAAACAAGTCTAGAAGTACCACAATACTCATGGAAAATACTGAAAAGATTCGGACGAGTTTTCAAACACTGGGGGAAACACGTTTTTGACTAGAAAAATAAAATAAAGCATCTAAAACTGACTTCAAGTACTTTGGGGAGAGGCTGCTGATATCGAATGCCAAAATAAGAAGGAACAAAGACAGAAGAGACTCCAGGGACGTCCCTCCCCATCCCTTCACCCGCAGGGTCCAGATCCCCAGGTGCTGATGCGCAACTCTTTGGGGAGGACTGGCGAGCTGGGCAGAAAGCAGCAGCCATGGTTTGTCACCATCCTAAAACACCTATATTGAGGGCAAAGGCCAAGCTTTGTGTGAAAATTTCCTTGGGATGAACCACAGGAATCTGGACATTTCAAGGGGGAAAAAGCCTTAAAGTCAGTAGCAGACAGAGAAAAGGAAAGAGAGGAAGAAAAACCTGCTTTTCTGAATGGCAGTACTTTAGGCCGGGGGCATTGTGGTCCTTGGTGAGTGCAGCTTTTCCATACAGCTTGGCTTTCCTCACTAATGAGATGAGACCACTGACAGCTGGGATCTTTTGTGGGTGGTGAGGGTGCAGCAGGGAGATGTGCTTGGGTGTACCTGTCCATCTGGCAGGCAGGGGCACACTCAGGTGCAGCCTAGTCCGTACCTCTCTGTCTCAGAAACTGAACAACTGGGAGAACAGTCGACAGGGCCTCTCCAACCATCTTCAGGTGACTAAAGCAGCATATGAAGTATAGGTTTGTGTCACTTCTTCTCTTCCACAGAAGAAACGTCTCCAGACACTGATCACAGGCTACCCAGGGTTGTCTTCTGGGTTGCTAGAGCCTGGTAATATCTCTGCCTTGCTGCAAGTCACTTATGCTCTCGTAGTCGTTCTCCTTTGGGACGAGACCGTGGTGGCCATTGGTCCCCAGGGTGGCCTTTTCTTCCTCTCTGTTGAGAGTCTGTATCGCTTCATAATCAGGCTCTGGCTCCTCGCTGGGCCTCCCTGCTGGTGGAAGTGTGCTGTTTGGAGTTTTTTCGAAGTCTTTAACAGTAGCATAGAGATCATTACAGGAGGAGGGTGACCTCTGTGGGTCCCCTTGAATGGAGGTGTAGGTGGACTCCGGAACTGTAAGCGACTGCCCCGATTTATTCACTAACTGTCCAGGTTTATTTACTGATGAGTACATAGCTGAGATCTAGGAGACAAAGGGAGAGTTGAATAAACTTCCAGCTGTGACTTCCCCCTCCCTCTTTTTAGTGACAAGCTACATACTGAGCACTCCTGGGTTTCTGTGTGTGTACTCCTTAAAGATTTGTTCTTTCTTATCTGTACTAATTATGGAGCACATTACTAGAGAATAATTACACACACTATCTTCAACTATGTTAACTAGATCAGTCATATTCCCTTAATTCCGTGAAAACCCAGTTCTCTTGGGTCTGCCGAGGAATTTGAGGAGAGGTGGAGTGGGAAGCTCCTGAAGGCCCCGGGGACCTGACCACAGCATGTGTTTTATTTCATTTCTTTATCAGAATGATATTTTGCCTGAAAAGGGGCTCCACTGCTTTACAAAAAAGGACAGAAAACACATAGTAGACCGGTGATTCTCAAAGTGTGGGCTGTAAACCAGCAGCAACAGGATCTGGGAATTTGTCAGAAAGGCAAGTTCTCAGGCCTCATCCCAGAACCACCAAATCAGAACCTCGGGGCTGGGGCCCAGCAACCGGTGCTGATTCTGATGGCCAGTAAAGTATAAGAACTCTGAATTAGACTACTCCATGCTTCCTGCATCACAGTGGTCTCCAACACCCGTTGCTGGATTCTCGTTGGTGGTACACATATATCTGAAAGGGTATTCCTGTCCATTATTTCTTGACTTAGTTGCGTATTACTGGTTAAACAGACATTGACAGTCCAGGTCTAGTTTTCTTCAGTGGGAAAACTCATTCTCGCTTGCAACCAGCCAAGTCAGAAATGACAACTTACAGGATACTATTAAGAGCCAGTGGCTTTCCAAGCACACCCCCACAGTCTCACTAATAAATCCTGTATCACCTCCGATATCAACAGGGATTTCATTCATTGTGAAGATTAAATATACTAATTAGGAGACTTTTGGGGAGTATTATTTTATTGTGAAAAATCACGGTTGGAAATAAGTAAAAATACCCTTCATTACCTGTGTTTATTTTTATCACAGTGATTTGATTCATTCAAATACCCAGGAAATACATGAACATGCTTCCTCACAGATGCCTGGCTTCCCAAGGGCTGAGGGACATTTTCCTGCTTCCACTTTTCTCACATACTGCAGGTGAAGTTTCCAGCTTCTTAAGACAGGCCTGTCTTAAGACAGGCCTTCTTATGTCTCAAAAGCTTCTTAAGACAGGCCTGCCACATGCTAACTGGTCATTTGCATGAGAACTTTTCATTACAGGCTGGTGGCTGGCTCAGTTTGGTGAGGCCTTGACAATCCAAGGGTTTACAGTTCAGAAAAACAGTCTTTGGAAAACTCTTACTATGTTGATCTGACTATCCTAATGAATATGAAATGATTAACATTCTCACCTTAGAGGTTTTAATGAAAAAACTGCTCTCAGAATACAAGAATTATAATTTCTTTGAATTTAATAAAAAAAATTCACTGCTGTTTATAAGGAAGTGCAAACACAGAATGTATTATCTAAATGGTGGTCCAAGCCAAAAATTATATGTGGACAGATTATAAAAAGGTAAACAATGGATGACAATGGTGAGGGGAGACGGCATACCAGCGTATTCATCACCTGGTAACATCAAGGAGGACAAATGTACCTTGACCTAGATTGTAACAATGAGAGTCAGCCCCTCACCACCGTTAGCTTCTCTCCTCAGCTTTCTTCCCCCTGGTCTTTGTAATTAATGCCCCTCACTCTTTGTAAGAGTACTTGGTCTTCTTGGCCTTTGTCCTCATTCATTAACTTGCAATTTAATATTGACTCTGGGAATGAACCTAGTGTGCAGAGGGTCTCACTGTACATTTCAACTTTTATAAAAGCTTCTTGAGTCTTCTCATATTCCTTTTGACTGTTTTCTATGACCATTATGACTATTATTTTTATTTTGTATACAGGTTTCTCTTCCAGCCCCCTTGCTATTTAGCTTCTCAATTTTTCTCTTTAAAACTTTCATCATTATTCCTCAGTCTGTAAATTGTTGCTATATTCCCATAAGTTACTCTCTTCCTTTTCCCCATTTCTCTTCTTTTTCTAATCAATCCTTTCCATAACATTCTGTTAAATTGGGGTAATAGAACTTAAAGCTCAGATCTCAGCTTCAGTCTGGACTGTTTAACATTAAATTACATAAATACAAAAAAAACTTTCATATTTATTTTTCCTCTTTGTCCTAAAATGAATGTCTGTGAGTCATAGTTCTGTCATGTTAAAAATTCATCAGTATAACTAGGTCCTGTTTCAAAAAATACAAACAAATGTAAGATAAGGAGCAATTTAAAATTTTACATAGTCTTTAATTCCCAGAACTCCTATATATTTTACCTTCTTGTCCCAGATGGGATCACTTTGGCTGCAGAGTAGAAAACAGAGTGGAGGGAGGCCAAGGAGCTGCCAGGGATCAGCAGGAGGGGACTGCTCTGGCCTAGGGAGGGGCGGCCGCAGTGGGCTTGAGGGAGGTGGGTACACAAAGAAAACAGTTTGGAGGTGCAACTGATGGGTCTTGGCAATTGACTGTGTTGGAGGACAGTGAGGAAAAGGAAGTATCGAGATGACCCCTAGGTTTTGGTCTGTGCAACCAGATAGACAGATGGCAGGTCCATTCTGGAGGTAGAAACATGGACGAGGGTGGGCAATATCACCTAGGGAAAGCATTTTTGCTCTTTGAACATTCAACGTGGGTGTCTATGTCCATATTCTAATGCTTTACTCAGAGTCCTATAGGAAGTGATGTACCTGCATATGTACTTTGCTCTTGTACATGTACACAATTTACTCTGCTAGGAATTCCAGATAGAAGCTATATACAGCTAGATCAATTAAGGTGTTTAGCTCTCTGAGCATAGCTCAACATTTATATATATACATATGAAATATGTATATATACACATATTTCATATTATATGTATAATACTGGCTTTAACAATTTTAATGCTTCATTGAAAATCTAACTCGTGAATTTTGCACCCTGGTGCTTGGGAATATGCGATCTGCTCTTGTTGGCTGCTATGTCTGACCCTAGCTCCTGCCTGGAACTGTACTTACTGAAGTTAATCTGCTCTCAGCATCCAAATTTCCCCACGGAGACTTCCTCTTTCTGTCTCCCAGGCTGGAGCAAATTCCCTACACTCACCTGTTCTAATTTCCTGAATTTTCCAACCCATGATTCATTTCCTTCTGATGTGGTCTTCCTGACTGCTGACTGCTCCCACGCTGGAATTTTTCTCTTCTCACTCTTCTCCCCTGCCCTCTCTATTTTTCCTGACCCTGCTTTCCTGCTCAGTTTCTTTTCCTGAGCTGACTACTTGTCCTGCCATCCTTCTTGTCTGGCCTGCCCGTCAGTCTCTCCAAGCCATTATAAAACCAGCATCCCAAGTCTTCATCTCCAAACATAGGCATAGGAGAATATTTCAGCTCTTTCAAAGGGTAACATTACAGTGCATTTATTCAAGGGGGGAAGGTCTATTCTTTACTACAGTTTTCCCTTTTTAAAAAGAAACAAAACTTACCTCTTCTTCTGTGAGAGTGGGGTCTTCTTCCCGAGACTTGTATGACAATGAGCTAAATCTCTGTCAGAACAAACACAAGCCAAGGAAAGTAATTCAGCGTTAACAATCTAACCTTTCTTTTGCACATGTTTCCTCATAATCTGTCTAGCAACGTTTTCAAATGATTTTTATGGAACCACGAAGAAATTATGGGAAGAGAAACACTTATGCAATCTATTACCACATGTATGATGTTCGGGGATATCTAGTAGTATTATCCTTAGAGAAATTTCCTCTAATTTTGTATTTGCATCTGTAGGTACAAAGAAGCCAAAATAATTATTTAGACTACTGTTTCAATTCCTAATTGTCACTGAAGGATTGATCATCCATGGAGGATTAATATTTAAAAACATGGTGTTTCTTTATCAAATGCCTGAATTTTATACTTCTACAGTTTGCTGGCGTCATCAGAAAGATCCTTAAGTCATTTGGAAACTTCAAAGCTAATGGAGAAACTGACTCACATTTTGTGTCTTGCCCCCTGCCTGATTTCTGAAGGATTTTGGCTCTTGGTTTACTGATTCTCTAACACATCCCTTGTCTTAATTTTTGGTGACCTCAACAAACGTGTACCCTTCTAAATCCCGCCCTTCAGTTCCTTGACTTTCCCTTCCCCCACTGATTTTATGCTCTATCTGTGTCCCCTCTCCATGTCCACCCCCGGCCTCAGCACCCTCATGGCTGCACCCCAGGCCTTTCTAAACCACAGCCTCTCCACCAGCCCAAGTCCTTGCAACCCCTTTCAGACCAGCGCTCGTTGTCAAAGCTCACTCCTTCTGTAACCCAGTTCCAATGCTCCTTCAACACCATTGGGACCCATTCATGCTTTCAAAGTCTGCCCTTCTCCTTGGTGTCCTGTACTGCTTTACTAAGCTTAAGCTCCATAGTCAACTGCCAATCATACGTGAACTCAACCCTCTAGTGAGCCCTTAAAGCCGCTCCGTATCATCCGATGCTTCCCCAGTATACTCAGTCTCTGCTCAACTCACAGTCTACTTTGCATCTTCTCCTCTTCTCCCCAGACTTCCAACACCTCCTCACCTATCTTCACTCTGAGCAGATGATCTTGCTTCCTAGTTGGCTAAGAAAACTGAAGGAATCAGAAGAAATTTGTATCAACTCTTAGCCCCACCCTCAGCCTCTGCGTTAATCTATTTTCTTTCCTCCCTGTCAAATGGATTTTCCATGTTCCTCCTTCAGGTGATCCCCTCCTTCCTACACACTAGACCCTGTCTCCACATACCTATGTGTGAATACTGAGCCAGGAATTCTCCCAGTGTGGGATCATTCCCAGCCACATGCAAACATGCTGTTGTTTCTCTCATTCTAAAACCAAAACAAACCTAGTCCTACTCCGAAATTCTACCTACTCATTATCTCACTTCCTTTTTTTTTTTTTTTTTTTTTTTGACAGCGTCTCACTCTGCCATTCAGGCTGGGATGCAGTGGCGTGATCTTGGCTCACTGCAGCCTTGACCTCCCAGGCTCAAGCCATTGTCCCACCTCAGCCTCCCAAGTAGCTGGGACTACAGGTGCATACCACCATGCCCAGTTAATTTTTGTATTTTTTGTAGAGACGGGGTGCTGCTACATTGCCCAGGCTGGTTTCAAACACCTGGTTTCAAGTGATCCACCCACCTCGGCCTCCCAAAGTGTTACGATTACAGGCATGAGTCACTGCGCCCAGCCTGTCTCACTTCTTTATAGCAAAATCTTTTAAAGAGTGGTCTAAAAAGTCAACCGAACAATTTTTCTCTTCCTATTCTCTTTCTAATCCATTTCAGTCATGTTTCTGCCTCTACCATTCCACAGAGACTGCTCTTGTCAAGGGCACCAATGAGACTCGCCTTCCCTGACCTACCCGCTGCATTTGGCAGAGCGGCCCGCCACTCCTTCCTTCCTGGACACGTTCTTCACTGCCTTCCAGGACTCCACAACTTTCCTGTTTTTGTTTCCTACTTTGGTCTCTTCTGCTGGTTCCTTTTCCAGATCTCTATTCTTGGAGCTCTTCCAGGCTCTATTTACACTCACCTATCCTGTGACCTCACCCAATCTCATGACTTTTAAAACCACATTCTGTGGATGACTCCCACATCAGCAAATCCAGCCCTGGCCTTTCCTCTTTACCCGGCTCATCAATCCAGCTACCATCTGATAAGCTCTACTTGGAAGTCCAATCGGTATCTCAAGTTGAACGTACCCAACACTGACTGCTGGTTCTCCCCCCAAAACCTGCTCTGCCTGTATCCTCTTCATTTCAGTTAATGGCAATTCAATCTTTCCCACATGTTGGGCCCAGCCTCGTACTCATCACTGCCTCTTCTTTATCTCACTAAGCGTAGGATCCATCCGCAAATCTCTTGGCTCTGGCTTAGCTTTTCTCATCACCTCTGCTGCCTCTTCCCTGATCCAGGCCACCGCCATTTCTAATCTGGTTTATTAGAGTCACTACCCAATTGTTCTCCTCACTTCTACCCTTTATTTCAAAACTGGAGTCAGAGGGATCCTTTGAAAACATAGGCTAGGTTGTGCCATTCTGCTGCTCGGGACTCTAGTGACATTATTAGTGTTCAGACTATAAGCCAAGGCCATCCAGGATCGAGCTCTGGTTCTCTTTCTCCTCACTGCTGTCCTTGCTCTTCCCTCTCCACCCACAGCAGTCCCCTCCTCTTCCCTTAAAAAGCCAGTTGCAAGCTCTAGCTTCAGGGGCCTCACACTGGGCATCCCCTCTGCTTCACGTGCTCTTTCCACAAAAGCACAAACCTCACCCCCTTGGATCCTTTAACTCAAACGTCACCTTCATAGCTGGGCAGACCCTGACCACTCTATCCAAAACTGTACTCCCCACCTGTTTTCTCAGTTCCCCTTATTCGGTTCTATTTTTTTCTCTTATAAACTTTAAACTTTATGTCTGTCTCTTCCCACTAAGATGTAAGTTCCACAGGGCAGGGATTTTGTTCATGTACATGTTTTGTTTCCAGGACTAGAAGACTGTGTGGCACACAGCAGGTGCTTATTAAGATCTTTTGTTAAATAAATGAATGAATATTAAATACTTCAAACCCTCAACTCACTTAAAATTAGGGTTGTTTATATAAAGATGATGGATTACTCATTTTTACTATATTGTGGAAGGATAATTTTATTTCCAGATGATTATTTCCAGTTTTTAACGTGAAATCTGGAGAACTGTTTACTAGCAATGGTTAGACAACTCAACGTCTTATCTTTCTAATGCTTGTAAGTAAAAAGCTTTGTCTGGTTTAGGCAGCATGAACTTTACATCAGGTTTATGGTCTTTGGTTCTATGAAGGGCAAAAAATTGGACTGCATTTTTATATTTTATGAACATGTTCATAAACCCTTTTATTGGTGCTCTCAACAGCTGATTTCATGGATAATATGAAAAGTTGAAATGCATTCAGAGAACAGCACAAAGAATGATTTTCTTGGTCTAATTTATACAAACAGAGTGAGGGTTCACCTCTGGCCATGAACTACGGAAGGTTTTTAAGGCTACTAGTGACTGGCTAACCTGCTACTTGTCCTTCCTACTAAAACTGAATAGAAGAGAGAACCTTCCTCTTTTTCTGTGTAGAAAACAGAAATTAATTATTAGTTGCCTGAAGTAGATGGGCCTAGTTAAATCCCAAAGAGATTTTAACAACCAGGGATGTGAACTTCATCGTGGCTCAGATATCAAGTTATCAGACACATGCAGAAGGTGTGGATTGCTAATGCATTTTACAGCTTTGTTGAATATCTAAATTTAGGAAGTATAGGCTATAGTTTAGAAAGGGTCACAAAATAAGATCTCCTACTGATTTATATGAAGGTTTGTACAATCAGATATAACCAGGGGCACCTGTGAGTTGGTTCCCATGGTACCTGTTGCTATGCATGCTGATTTTTGGGGATCCTGGAAGGGGAAAGGTCACCATGCTGCTGAGGCAGCCAACAAGCAGAATGGGTAAAATGTGTGGGCAAAGTGTCCAGTTTCTGTATTTAATTTGTGGACATCAAAATGAAGCAAACAAGATTTGGCCCTAATTAGACATGATGGAAAAAATGTGAAAATATCCAAGTAAGGTGCTGAGAGAAATATTTGATAAATACAAGTTTTTGGTATTTTATTACTTGGAGGGGGAAAAAGCCAAACACAGCTTACATGAAAACAGCTCTCATCATTCAACAAACTGGAAAGTGTTTGCAGATATTTCCCAGAACAACTCCAGGGCCAGCTAGATTCCTAACCAGAACAGGAACCCACAAAGACAAAACAAAAACGCCAGTGCCCACCTTGTTAGTTTCACTGGTCGTGTCTGTGGCACTCTCTTCCGCCTCTCCCCCTTCCTTCTCCTGAAGGTTTTCATTCTCGTCCAGAAGCTTAACAGGGACAGGTGGTGGGGCCTCCTCTTCTGGATCACATGAATTTCCAAGGATACTCTCTACATTAACACTTTGACGACATTTTTTGTTTCTGTCCACCGAGGCATATTCAGCAAACTCAGCTTTGCCTTCAGTCTGGGGCCCTGGGAGCTCTTTCGAGGCAGAAGTAGATTTTGCCTTGCCACTGTGGCCTTTCTCCAGGTGTGCAGCTGCAGCCACCTCCTTGATCTCTTTCACAGTTTCATACAAGCAGTCCTCCACCATGTTTTCTTGGGAGGAGCTGTCCTTGAGCACTTCATAGGGCCCTTCCATCCCCAGCCCCTGGTCCCCGTCCACACTTCTCGCCGTGAGCATGGTATCCACTGCGCTCTCGGGAGGGATTCTGGGCAGCTCCCGACTCTGATGACATTTTGGTTTCCCTGTGCTGTCCTGGGAATCCAGCAGATCCGAGGCCGATGTCTGGACTTCCTCGTAATGCTGCATGCAGGTCAGAGTACTGTCCTCTGAAAGAACTAAAGCAGCACACACATTAAAAGCGGAGAAAGGCAAGTCTTTCAATAATTATTACCGAGAATCAGGTAATATAAAGTTAGGTTAAATCAAGATGCGTGCTTTTTATTTAAGTCTCAGGCACAAATTATAGTTGTTATGACCATCAGTTGGTATCCTACTTCAATCACAGTTTAAAATAAAGCTGTTCATTATATCTTTCCCAATACAAGATTTAATAAGTTATCTTGGCTCTAAGTGTAGTTCACAATTACTTTCCTTAATGTCACTCCAATGAGAGACTCTTGTAGGCAGATTGTCCAATGTGACCAGAAGATGACCAGTTTGATGCCGCTGAACTATGGGAGGCTGGACACCAGAAAGGCAGCATGTGCAGTGACCACAGTCCCCAGCACCACTGACCCCTGCCTGTGTGGAGGGAATTATTGGTAGCCACCCCCTTTCACACAGGTGACTTTTGTTTGGCAGACATAATAGAAACTACAGGGCAAACATGCACCCGTCAGCCATTAGCACAAAGGGACTGGCACCTCATACCTTGCTTCCATCTCATCCCGCCACCAACATTCCTACCTCAAATTAGAAAAAAACCAAATGTGAAATTCTTGGCCAGCCACAGATATGCTATTGTGTGAAGCTGTTCAGTCGTCCCTTTGTCAACCGTGTTGTGAGTGCCTGCCATGCACCAGGGATGGTGCAGGGTGCTGCAGACACATCATTCAATGAAACAGAAAGCCCTGCCCTTAGGATGCAGACACAAAGTAAGCAAGTTATTCCATTAGTGTCTCACTCTGGGGGAATTAGAAATAGTGTTTCCAAGGGGTATGTGAAAAAATGACAACGGATCCCCCAATCCTTCTGAACTTACCAACACCCCTGTGTGTTCTAAATCCCTGATCATCACGGAGGGGGTGAACTTTTGCTCTCTGGTTCTAGTTGTCTACATCATGGTAGACAGAGAACAGGCACTGGTGTCCTGATTACCCCACAGTTTCCTCATCAGTAAACAGGGGTAACAGGACGCCCTCTTACCTCAGGTAAAAGCATGGTGTAAACTCTAAAGCATGAAGGAAACCTAGCTGCTCCTTCCATCAGCAAGAGTACACAATGCATGATGCAGAGGTTATGCAGAGTGACTGAGTGCGTGCCCAGGGATCAGACTGCCTGGTTCCAACTACAGATCCTTAGCCCGCTGACTATATGATATCAGGCAAATTAGCAACATCTCTGTGGAAGGCAGAACGACCCTGAAAAATGTCTGTCTCCTAATTCCTGGAACTTGTGAATGTGTAATGTTTTGTGGAGGGTATGGAGGGATTAGGGCTACAGGTGGAATTAAGGCTGTTAATTAGATGACTCCCGGATGAGAGGGAAGCCTGGATTATCCAGGTGGGCCCAGTGTAATCACAAGGGTCCCTATAAGTGAATAGGGAGGGGGGAGGGTCAGAGAGGGATGTGAAGAATGAGGGAGAGGCCAATGGATTCTCCTTGAGGCTTCAGGAAGGACCACAGGCCTACGGATGCCCTGATTTTAGCCCAGTGAGACCCATTTCAGACTCCTGACCTCAGAATTGCAAGTCAATAAATTGTTATTTTAAGGCATGAGGTTTGTGGTAATATTGTTACAGCAGCAATGTGCCCAGTTTTGTCACCTTTAAATTGTGAGGAGTAATAATACCTATCTTACAGAGTAGTGTTATTATTAATAACAGTAATCTCGTGGGGTAAATGAATTAGTACATGTAAATGTACTAAAATGTACTAAAAGAGCAAATGAATTAGTACATGTACCAGTCTTAGAACAATGCCTGGCACACAGAAGTGGATTAATAAGTAGCAGTATTCATCCAAATGAGGGGTTCTGCTAAAACTGCTAGGAATACTAAAACTGAGCAATAACACATTTCCTACTTTTTGAGCTATGTATTTTGAAACCTAGGACTTCCAGAGGTGATGAGGCCTGTGTGGAAAGCTGGTGTTTTTGCAGAACTTACTGTCCCCATTGGTGAGTGCCCCATTCTGCTCACTGCTGGCAGGAGCATCTGTTGCCAGGCTAGTAACTGAACGGCTGAACATCTCCTTGTCTGAAGGCTGAAAACAAAAACAAAAACAAAAACAAATGCATCACATTGCTAAGAATCTGGACTGCAGAGCAGAGGAGAAGATCCATGGCTTTTTCAAAAAATTAAAACAGCAGAAACAGAAAACAGAATCTCCTATAATAGTCCCCCCTTATCTACAGAGGGTACATTTCAAGACCCCCAGTGGATGCCTAAAACCATGAGTAGTACTGAACCCTATATAGACTATGTCTTTTCCTATCCATATATGTTATACCTATGATGATGTTTAATTTATAAGTACAGTAATTTAACAATAACCACTGACAATAAAACAATATAATATAATGAAAGTTATGTGAATGTGCTCTTCCTTTCTCTCAAAATATCTTGTATGGTTCTCACCTATTTTTGGATTGTGGTTGACTGTGGGTAACTGAAACTGCAGAAATCAAAACTACAGATTAAGGGGAGCTACTGTTTTTAGATTTAAATTAAGTAAAATAAAATACACTAAATTGAGTTCCTTGTTGACTAGTCACATTTCAAGCGCTCAATAGCCACATGTGGCCAGTGGATACCATATCCAATAGGAGATACAGAACACTTCCAGCACTGCAGAAAGTTCTATTAGACACTGTTGTCCCAGAATCTTAGGGGCACTGGGAATCTTCCAAAGCCATGTGCAGAGCTTCCTGCCTGGTGACCTACACAGGGCTATAGGCAGGTTGTGAGATATCAATTCCCTTAGCTCAAGGCAGGAAGGGAACTGGTTGAAAAAGACCACAGCAGCCTCATCCTTACAACACAGGTGCTGTAAATCATTATTGGTAAAGGTGTGCCATGCTATGAGAAACGTGGAAAGGCATCACCCTTTGTCATGTGAAGGGAACAGACTTAAATCTGGTCAGAGATAGATAAGGCTATTGATTTCTGAAACTATTTTAGAACCAGCAAAGCCTCTGGCTGCTAGGTTCACAGAAACAATAATATGCTGAAAATTAGCTCTGCAAACTTTTTATTTATTTATTTATTTATTTTTTAAGATGAGGTCTCACCTTGTTGCCCAGGCTGGAGTGCAGTAGCATGATTATAGCTCACTGAAGTCTCAAACTCCTGGGCCCAAGAGATCCTCCTGCCTCAGCCTCTGGAATCGGTGGGACTACAGGTATGCACCACTATGTCTGGCTGCTCCCATAAGAGATGGGATCTTGCTATGTTGCTCAGGCTGGTCTCGAACTCCTGGCCTCAAGCGATATGCCCACCCCAGCCTCCCAAAGTGCTGGGATTACAGGCGTGAGCCACTGTGCCCAGCTCTGCAAATCTTTCTTATTCTTACAAATAAACTTAGGACATTTGGAGGGAAGAATGGCATCAATAGTTGGTTTTCTGCAGGGATAGAATGTGTAGATGCTACCTAGAACAATATGCCTGGCTCAGCTATAGCTAAGAGTAGTCAGAAAGCAAGTTGGTGTTCATGTATTTCTTTAAATACCCAACTTGTCTCAGGTTGCAGCCCAAATCACTGCAAATGTGATTTGCTCCCTGTTCTTCTCACAGCCTGCACGTTCCAAGAGGCTATCTCATGCTCCAGGATTCTACAAGGAAAGTTGTGATGTAAACAGCACACAAACCTTTGCTAGTTGGCCTCACAAATTCTCTGACTCTTGATTGGAAGCCAGTAATACACAGCAGATAGTTCATGCTGTGCAATGATCCAAAAGTGTATTGGAAGTCAGCTGTTTCCATCCAATGCAGCTCATTCACGTCTGATGAGCCCCCAGTGAGATGGGTCACTGTGTTAGGTTGCCAGGAACTTGCAATGCAGGTGCTAATATCCCAGAAATGATGTTATAAATGGGCAGGCATGGGTGTGGGGAAGGAAGACTCCCAGGTGGGCCCATAACAGCATAATCGATCACAGCTGAAGTTACCATAATCTAGACTCTAACTACTATTCCTAATCTTTGCTTCTATGAGATGAAGAATCCGCAAGTTGTATAAGATCTAGGAGCTGAAAAGCTCTTAAGGAGAGCTGGGTGGGCGAGCGTGTGTACATGGGTGCCAGTGTCCGGGTAAGCATGCGTTCCTGTGTGTGCTCGCGCTCTCTCACAGACATTCACATCCATATAAATGAGGCTATGGGTTGGGGCAATAATGAATTATATGGTGGATGAGGAAGAAGGCAGGGGATGGAAGCCAGCTTTTTCCTTTTATCCACCTGCCACTCTCTTCCTATCTCGCCCAGGGCTGCTGCTGACCTTGAGTAGAACAGCGGGAACCCAAGCTCTAGGCCAGTGGCTCTCACACTCGAGCATACAACTGGATCACCTGGGGTGCTTGCGAGCCTTTTACTGGGCCTCACCCCCAGGAAAATTCGCATTTCTAAGGAGCTCCCAGGTGCTGCTGCTGCTGTGGGTGGAGGTCCAGGCCACACTGCAGAAGAACCCCTGCTCTAGAAGGAAGTGAGGAATGGCGGTGGGAGCCCTTCCCCAGCCCCACCTCACCACCCAACTGGCACCAGGAGAATGGTGGAGTGACGAAAGGCAGGGGCCTGGAGTCTGCATGGGGAGAAGCGACAGTGGGGCGTTCCCTCCATCCCTCCCACCCTCCCTGCTGAGGCCACCACAGCAGCAATCACCAGGCAGAGCAGGGGCGCTGGGAACAGATGAGAAGTGGCGACAATGTGGACAACCAGGGATGGGAACAGGGCGAGAAACAGAGTAAAGGGAGGAGTGGTGATGAGGGCCCAGGAAAGCTGCGAAGGGTGAGGTGGGCATGTGGATGCAGAGGGGAGGGAAGGAAAATCCTGGGGGTCCCAGGAGGAACGGGGAGTCCTGACAACTTCCTGCCTGCTTGGGCCAGAGGAGTCCTGAGAATTGGCAGGTCAGGAAGCCTAGACTGGAGATGCCCCTGGTCATCTCTGCAAACGTCTGCTGGCTGCGGGTTTTACGCCAGACCTTGGCTCATCCATGCTTCCTTGTTTGCACCCTCTCCTCCCAACCAGTTTTTGCTTGACCTTGAGAAATGATGTCCTGAACAAGAAGCATCTTCTGTCTTAGCACTGCCACAGGACTCAGGGCAGATTCTGAACTCTGCCTTGCTAATGTGACGATGGGCCCCCTCCCCAGCGGCTGGGACTGCTCAGCCATTCAAAAGCACGGGCCTGGGTCAGAGAGGACAAGGAAGGACCTGGACACTCTCAGGCTGTTCCTCGCCAGGGTGGATCCCTGAGGGCCTCAGGATCATCAGGACCCTGTAAGATACTGAGGGCTGGGAAAACGCCAGCAAGGCTAGGTTATATACCTAGGGTGTTGTGGGTCCCAAGCTCCCTCCAGCTTAATGACCTGTTGTTATGGGTTGAACTGTGTCTCTCCAAAATTCATGTCCAAGTCCTAACCCCCAGCACCTGAGAATATGGTCTCATTTGGAAATAGGGTCATTGCAGACGAAGCTAGTTAATATGAGGTCGTGCTACAGTAGGGTGGGCACTAGTCCAATATGTCTGGTGTCTTTATAAAATGGGGAAACTTGGACACAGCCAGCCATACATAGATGGGAGGTGATGTGAAACACAGAGGTCACCATAGGAAGATGAAGGCAGAATTTGGGGTGATGCCTGTACAAACCAAGTCACACCCAAAGTTTGGCTGCAAACCACCAGAAGCCCCAGGAGAGGCCTAGAACAGACTTTCCCTCAGAAGCAACCAATCCTGCCAACACCTTGATTTTTGGATTTCTGGCCTCTAGAACTGAGAAACAAACTTGTTATTTAAGCCACCCTGTTTGCGGTCCTTTGTTATGACAGCACTAGCAAATTAATAGAGGCAAAAAAGTCCCATCCCTGCAGTAGGTTGGAGCCATTTAAGGATCATTCCGGCAGCAGCACTACTGCATCCATTTCAGAAGCCACCGTTTAACTTAGGCTTAGCTCTCCCCGTGGGTTCTACTCAGGCTGTGAGCACATGGGAGCACACTTAGATAAGTAGCTGATGTTCTGGAGCACGCACGGACAGACAGGCAGACGACACGCGCAGGCTCACCACGTTCATCAGGTTCTCATGGTCCCCACTATGCTGTCGCGGCTTCTTTTCCCTGAAATGAAAAGTGAAATGTTGTAATGTCAAATGTGCCCCCTTAAAATCAAGCGCACACTACCCTTTCCTATCCCAATTCTTATCAGCTTTTAAATCTCTCGTTTTAAGAACCATGTTTATTTTGTCAACAAAGACAAAATCAGACAGTGATTTGATGGCCCGTTTGCAGGTGCTGGGGAAGAGGAGTTCAAGCCTCAACTAGGGACTGTCCACCTCCCCTGGCACCCCTTCTTCCGGGAAAAAACATACAAGTTCACAAGGAGAGGACCGAGGCCTGGGCCTGCGTAGAAATTGTTTATACCTAAACTAGCAGAGTAAGTTATACCTTTTTTTTTTTTTTTTTGAGAAAATGAAGACAATTATCTGAGTCTCTGCAAAGTCACACACTGCAGTGGGATGGAGAAAATACAGATTTTTGGCACGCCAGGAAGGGTACATGCTCTCAGGGTGAGTCATATGTACTTCCAGTCTATGGGAAAGTCTGTCAAGTAAAAATAGAATTTGTTTTTACTCGGGACAGTCTAAAGAAAGCCATCAGTTGTAGAGAATACGCCGCCCATCCACGTTCTCTATAAAACAAGGGTGACACCTAGTGGGAACATGAGTAACTACAGAAGCAGGCCGTCCAGGCCCCGGGAAGCCCCGGCCCTGCGGCCTCTTTGTTCATCTTCCCAATCATTCAGACTCTGTCCCAGCCACAGAGGTCTGGGTCCAGGCTGGGCAGGGATTAGGAGGCTAGCTGGGTTCAGAGGGTCTTGGCTTTTCTCCTCCTGACAGATTTTAGGGTAGGAAGCTATTTCAGAATTTTAAGTGACGCTCCTGGAGTTGCTTCCATGGTGGAGGGAGAGTTTGGACAGGGCTGGCTGACGGTCAGCTGGTCTGCATGGGCCTCTGGTGGCATCTAGCCTATCAGAAGGTTATGTGCTTTGTAACAGTTCCAGAATGTCCTGAAACATCACTTCTGGTTAGAAAGAACTTCTCTCTGAGCAAAGATTTCTCTTGTTGGGGGTACTGACATTTTATATGAGACAGAGGAGAGAGAGAAGTATAACTCTAAAAAAAGGACACTGATGATTATTTCATATACAGCATGTTCCTCTCCTTGGAAAATAATCTGTTTCTTGAGAAACTGAAGGTCTACACTACACATTTTTAATCATAAACAATCCCTCCGAAATCACGTAGCAGCAAACATTCTGTGACTTCCGCAGGGTGGTGGCAAAAAGATGCGCATCACACAAGATTTCAAAATGCCCGCACATGAAAAAAGACAAAATCCATTTTGACAAGGGTGTGATCGAAAGAACAGCAAGACTTTCATTCTGGGAAGTTTAAAATATAAGGGCTCTTCTAGTTGCTCCCTAGCAAAACCAAATATGGGTTTTCCTTCAGTGAATAAAGAATGTCCCGAGACGCTCTGCAGCAGAGAGAAGAGAGTTAAAGCTAATGCACAAGTTTCTGGGACGGCTCTGTGGCGGGATTCCATTCCTAACAGGCTTTCCACAGAAACTCTTCTGGGTACAGGGGATGTATTAGTTTAAGGCACAGGTATATACACTCTGGTTCTCACCTGTCACAACTAGAGCACAGGAAGATGAGGAAGGTGATGACGAAGAAAATGGCGACAGCAGCCAGACTTCCCCACAGGGTGATCTGCATCTGTCCGCTGCCCAGCAGGCTCCCCGCGGGCCCCATGGCAGGAGCAGGCACTGGCACCAGCCGAGGGAATCAGTCAGTCCTTCAAAGGTGGTGACATGGAGGCAGAGAGCTGTGTCCTGCAAAGAGACCAGTGCGTTTGGAGAGTAATTCTCGGGTAAAGTGGCAGAATCTGTAATTCGGTCCCTGTCAGGAGCAAGACCTTTGCGCAAAGTCAGGGAAGCGTGTGCTGGATGCTGAGGAGAGCCCCGGACTGGACTTGAAATTGGACTCTGGGCAAGTCCCCTCCATGGTCTAGGTCTTCATTTTTCTTACCTGAAAACGAAAGCGGGAACATACAGCTGCCTGGCCCAGTGTTTGAAGCAATGGATGTCTTATCTTGATATGTTTGGGGGTGGATTCTTCTTGTTCTTTTTTTTTTTTTTTTTTCTTCAACCAGGGTCTTGCTCTGTTGCCCAGAGTACAGGGGCGCAATCATGGATCACTGCAGCCTTGACCTCCCTGGGCTCAAGCAATCCTCTCCTGAACCACCCCCCTGCCCCCCACTGCTGGGACTACAGGCATGCGCCACCATTCCTGGCTAATATTTTTATTTTTTGTAGAGACGAAGTCTCACCATATTGCCTACACTGGTCTTGGACTCCTGGGCTCAAGTAATCCTCCTGCCTCAGCCTCCCAAAGTGCTGGGATTACAGTGTGCCACTGCACCTGGCCTGGATGGATTCTTAATGTCTTCAAATAAAGATTTCAAGTACTCCATAGCAAATAAATCCATGCTCATTTAGGTTCATTAAAAAAAATCAGAACAGTATATAACAATTCTTATATAGCTTTTGCAAAAATGCAACTCATCACCTGCCCCTGCCCCCCACTGCCATCTCTCATCTCCCTAACCCACTGCCATCTCTAATCTCCCTAATCCACTGCCATCTCTCATCTCCCTACCCACTGCCATCTCTCATCTCCCTCACCCACTGTTGTCTGAGAAGGTTTAAGGTCAATGTAACTAATGAAATAGAATGTCTTTATATTCACCTGCATTTATTTATTCTGAGTATGTTATGTATTCTGAGTATGTTTACACTACCCTGCTGTGAGTACCCAATAAATGCATTTTCAAATGAATGAATGAAGTATGTGCTAAGAATACATCCCTGGGAATAAATAAGACCTATTTATAAACAATTGCAAGAGAAGCATAAGAGCTCTACCTAGTACATTTCCGTACCTGGTATGTACCAGGGATTCTGCTAAATGCTTTCCTCATTTAATTGCTGTCACCACCCTGTGTAGGAGGCACTGTTAATCCCCCTTTTACAGAGATGGAAGCTAAATCCCAGCAGAGCGGTGACTTCCCCTGAGTGTCACAGGAGCTAAGTGGCAGGGAGGGATGAGTCCAGCTGTCTCAGACTCCAAAGCCTGTGCTCTGTGTCCATCAAGGAAAGCTCGTTGTCACTGTGGGGATGCTGGGACTCACAGGGTCACTGCACCCTGTCCCAATACTTCGAAACAGAAATGGTCAGATTCCTTGTGTGAAATATTTTAAGAGCTACAGATATTTTAAAAATGGAGTCGTATATCAAATGATCTGTCATCACAGAGGCCTTGTTTAAAGAATATTTGCTTTGCTCAATTCTAGAACATTCTAAATGAAAAGAAATAGCCTTTAAGTTGGTCTCAAGTGTCATGAATAAGCAAATACTTTGGTTTTTTGATAATAGTGCAATATCTTCTTTGAAAAAGTATTTACATTTTCGTTTGCTTCAGTGATAAAGCTGTGACTGTTTTCAGCCATCCCTGAGCACAGACATCAAGACGGCAGGGGTGGCTTCGCAGCAAACCAGGGTGCCTCCTAAAACGGGGAGAATAAAAGCCATTTTGGCAAATGTGGTTCAATTGGACCAAATCATCTCCAGGTGAAACACTGTCACATTTATTTGAATATTCAAAGTTAAAGAATATTAAAAAGCTGAAGAAAAAGAGACTTTTACCTACAATGTATGCAGAGAGAGTTCTGAGAGATGAAGTTGTTTTCCTCAATCTTTGAATCAACATGAACGTCTTCTAAGGCTCTATAATTATATAAATGCAGGACTCCCTGCGTAATACAGAACTTCTTTCTTCCTATGTTTGATTGTATGTATATTGTGCCTGTAAACACGACAGGCGTACAGTAATAACAAGTCAAATTACTTTGCATGTTTGCCCCCAGACAGCTATAAACAAATGAAAATAACCACCACTTCTGTGATTTGTTGATGCAAAGAATAATTCACTTTAAACTGAGACTACAAATTGGCACCACAATAGGTTTTAAAATACATTCAAGCAAGCAGCTAAATCATGATGACCAATGAAAATATATAAAATACATTTTTATACACAGGTCCAAAGCATACAACATTTTAGGAATCACAGACAAAAGGTATCTATCTCCTGTGCAGGCATCTGTTTGTTCTTCATTCATTCATACAACAGATTAATTGATGCCCATTTATAAAATGCCATGTTCTTAAAAAGAGTTTGCTGTGTGAGTTATTCAAAAGCCAGATATCCATTCATGAAACCTAGTGTGGAATCGCCAACAACTCTCTCCTTTCTGTACATGTTTCTCTTCTCTCTCTCCTCTCTCCTAATAGAAGGAGGTCAGTAGAATATGATGAGAGATGTGGGATGCCCAGCCTATTAGTACAGTGCAGGGAGAAAGAGGATGAAAGGGGATTATTACAAGCTGTGGAATAAAGGATGGAACCAAGAGAAAATGTGTTGAAACTCCTGGCTCACTCCCCTTCAATTAGAATTGTCTATAAAGCCACTGAAAGACTTTTTCCCAAGTTCTTACTGTGGACAAAATTCTCACAGCGAACAGAATGATCATCATCAGGTGCACGTTTCTGAGTCAGATGCACTGCAGTCCTCAGGGACAAAGGCCCCAGTTGCGGGGGCAGCTTTCTCCTCTTGGACCCTCTAAGTGCTGCTCTGCAGGAGGACTGTGGGACACCAGTCCCCGTGGTCGTGGGCAGTGCTGGCGGGTTGAGTGGCTGCACCAGCAACTGCCACCTACTCTTCTTTAGGGGCCTGGCAGAGTGTGTGAGTGTTGGTGGTGGGGAGGTGGGAGGAGTGGTGGCTGAGGGGATCTAGACTAACATAATCTTTGATCCTTACAGCAGACGTCCTTGGTGGACGGTTCCCATTTTGGAGAAGATCTGTGCACTGCTACCCTTCTCTCCTGGTCTCTCTCTCTTTTTTCTGGATGTTTGTTTCCAAAATTCTGCTGCCCATGCCTTCTCTGGCTATCTCCTTAAATTTTGGCAGCTCATCTACAACTGAGCCAAGACTGCCTCCCGCTCACCCTCCTGCTCACAGGTCTAGATGGACTTCCTGGTAAATGTGTGTCGGTGGACCGGCTCCTCCCCTGTGCATGGGGATGGCCCCTCCCCATGTGTGCAGATGTACATGGATCACTTTGTGTTTCACCTTCTTGGAGCAGCTGAGGGTAGAGGCCTCATGCAGAGGGCCCAGTGCTCTGCCCCTAGGCTGGACCCTCATGTGTCGGTTTAACTGCCCTTAAATGCAGTGCTTGGGGGTCCTCGTTCTGTTCTTTTGAGTGAGGGGAAGGTGGAGGGAAATCAGTACCCTTTCAGATGGCCAGCGAGGCTTTTCTTAGGATGAGTGATGGGGGAGACAGTAAGCGGATAGGAGGCATAGTGTATGGATAGTAAAAGCTACCCTGAACAGGAAGGTCCCTGTGGCAATCATGGCATTTCCAGACTCTACACTGTGCCACCCAAGGCAGTGCTGTCCTGTGACAATCATGGCATTTCCAGACTCTACACTGTGCCACCCAAGGCAGTGCTGTCCTGTGACATGGTTATGGTCCACAAGGACCATCTTATTTTAGGCTGATTCAATATCAAGTAAGTTATGTCTTGACTATCAGGGATGATCTCTTCCAGCAGAAATATCTGAGCCATTTGGAGGAGCATCCCCTATGTTTTTTTCATGAAGACATTTAAGTCTATTTCTCCGAATCCTGTTCTTACTTGACTCAATAAACTTGCATTCAACTATATAATATTACATAGAATATTATTTCTTCTTTTTTTTGAGACAGGGTCTTGCTCTGTCACCTAGGCTGGAGTGCAGTGCTGTGATTACTGCAGCCTCGACCTCCTGGAATCAAGCAATGCTCCCACCGCTGCCTCTTGAGTAGCTGGGAACACAGGCATGCGCCACCATACCAGGATAACTTTTTTGATTTTCAGTAGAGATGAGGTCTTGCTATGTTGCCAGGCCGGTATTGAACTCCTCCCACCTCGGCCTCCCAAAGTGCTGGAGTTACAGGCATGAGCCACCACACCCAGCCTATTTCTTCAAAGTTTAAAAAATTTCTCTTATCAGACCACATGTGTAAATATTCTTTGAGTTATTCAACACAGGGCAAAGAAGGACCATTTATTTTAATTGTTAACTCTACTAACACTTAATTTTGGCACCTGAATGCTGTACTAAGATGAGCCACAGAAGATGGTAATATTAATGTGATCACAGATTTAGATTAATAGTTGTACATTAATTCTGTTTGCTATAAAATAGGCTTCATTATTGGCTGCATTGATGTAAAGTCATGGCTGGAGACTGTAATATAATACAAGCATATAGTATTGCTGTAAAAGACTCAGTGGTACTACCTCAATCTCCACCCCAATTTTGTATAATTTCGAACTACTGTGAGAACTTGTTGTTTAGCCTTGAGAAAGGTCAGTGCTTATGGTTAAAGGACTTTCATTGGGGATTCTTTCAAAGATTTATCTCATTAATTATTTTGGACTAAAAGGTCCATACTCTCTTACCCTTTTATATCCACTAATTTGTTTTAATGCATAAGTGATTTAATCACTAGAAAAACCACTGGCCTTTAAATTTAACAGCAGGTGTCCTTTTTTTTTTTTTTTTTTTTGAGACAAAGTCTCGCTCTGTCGCTAGGCTGGAGTGCAGTGGTGCTATCTCAGCTCACTGCAACCTTCGCTTCCTGGGTTCAAGCAATTCTCCTGCCTCGGCCTCCTGAGTAGCTGGGACTTCAGGCGCGCGCCACCATGCCCAGCTAATTTTTGTATTTTTAGTAGAGACGGGGTTTCACCATGTTGGCCAGGATGGTCTCCACCTCTTGACTTGGTGATCCACCTGCCTCGGCCTCCCAAAGTGCTGGGATTACAGGCGTGAACCACCATGACCGGCCAGCAGGTGTCACTTTTAACCACAAGGTGGCAGCATAATTCTGTTCTCAGCCCTATGCAGCACTTTCTTTAAGGAAAGCTGCTCAATTATTGTTGGTGCCTTATGCTTGGCATTTGAATTGTCTTCATTAGCCTGCACTATCAGCCACCAAAATCAATTCCAACAGGAGAAAAAAAAAACCACACAAATTAATGAAAGGTGCAGACCAAATGGCAGCTATTTATTTCTTTGGCCAAACATCCTTAACAGGTAGGTTCTCTGATCATAGCAAATTCTATAAATAATAATTTGGTAGAGATGGGATGGCCAGTGAGATTAGATATGGAAACAGACACTTTAGAGTTCTTTTGAAGCAGGTCTAGGTCAGTAATGATAGTCATTACCTTTTTACAGCTGTTGCAGTTGACACATAATTAAACATGATAGAAACCACCTCCACTCATGACCCCTCACTGTTGGATGAAATATGGTCAAGGGCCCAATCCCAGTGGGAATTCTTCCTTCCTGGTCATTACCAGGCGTGGGAACCATGTGGTAAAATGACACTTTGTGGGCTCTAAATTAACCAGATTTAATGATGGCGGAGGAAGCAGATTCTTTGGTGGGTTCCCTGGTCCTGTGAGCACACTGACAGCTGCACAGGCTAAGATGAAATAAACTCTGAACAGAATCCTCAAGCCCCAGAAAGAGTTTTAAGCTAAAGTGTGCAAATTCAGGTAGTCTTCCGTTCAGGTTACAGGGACTGTGCTACAGAAAAGCCTGCCACACTGAACTCTGCACGGATGAGTGTCTGTTGGAAACACATGGGGAATCACCTACCCAGATATTTACTATTCCATCCTGCTAAGGTACAAAGGCTTTTGCCTACACATGATTGTTATCAAGATCGCCCTATTCTGATCCTGCACTGAGTCAGGGGCAGAACACACCCAAAGCACAGAGGGTGGTGGAAGGTAAGCTTTTCTTGTTTATAGATTCCTGAATCCTTTTCTAATGTCCCCACCCAGTGATATCTTGACATCTCTTTCTGCAGCAGTTTAAGAATGAGTGTAGATGAAAGAAACCTGGAATGCCTTAACATCACCAGACCACAGTGACCCTGCTATCAGGACTCACTGCTCATGGGAGAGAGACCGGCACTCATCCTAAAAGCAAGTTATAAATCCTCATGGCTGTCTGTCAGCATAACCTGGTCACTTTTTGTACACACCAAACCTATCGATCTGCACAGAAAACAGGAAAGCTGACCCTTTTGGTGGAGGGGTATGTGGGGCTGTCACTTGTCTTCAATAATACATTAAACTTACATCACAGAAATAATATAGTTTATTGTTTATAAACACTTTTGCCCCAGACAAGCCAAAAGGCAAGTGAATTTGATGGGTAAGGAATCACTTCTAAGGTTGGTTTCCCCCAAATTCTGACTTGGAAGCCAATTCTCAAGGTTCATTTTTAATGGTGAAGAGAGAGAGACAGAGAGAGACACGAGAGAGGGAGGGAGGCAGAGTGCAAGGGCATGGTCTTTCTAGAAGTACGTATCACATGCACTCTGACAGAACCCTGAGATGCGCTTCTATTTGGGCTAATGCGGTACGTTCTACACTGACTGCATAAGGAGCACGGGTAGTGGGGATTCACTTTGCACAAGAAGGCTTCATGGAATGTTTCAGACAGTGTGTATTTTGGGCTTTAGGTTCTATTTCTTCCTGCCTTGCATGTTGGCTCATCCAATCTAATTTCCTTGAGGGCAGGGATGTCTCCACCTCACTTCCCACCATATTCCTAGCACCTCTATGACCTGGGAAATAGGAGCCAGTCAGGAATTTTTATTGAATACATGTTTCTGTAGGAAGAATGGTGAGTAGATTCTCAAGCAGATTCTCAAAATGCAAGTTTAATTCATAATTTATACCACAAGGAAGGGAAGGAGAGTAATAGGGATGAGCGCACTAAGCAAACAATTAAAAAATAAGCTAAGAGTGTCTTAAGGCAAATCCTTTTTTTTTGAGACAGCATCTTCCTCTGTCGCCCAGGCTGGAGTGCAGTGGCGTGATCTCGGCTCATGACCCTTTAAGGTAGATGTTACTGAATCGATTGTAAGGACTCCTGGGTTTAAGTGATTCCCTGCCTCAGCCTCCTGAGTAGCTGGGACTACAGGTATGTGCCACCACGCCTGGTAATTTTTTTGTAATTTTAGTAGAGATGGGGTTTCACCACGTTGGCCAGGCTGGTCTTGAACTCCTGATCTCAAGTGATCTGCCAGCCTAGGCCTCCCAAAATGCTGGGATTATAGGCATGAGCCACCGCACCTGGCCTTAAGGCAAATCCTTCACTCTGGAATGAACACAGCCATCTGGCTTCTCTGTATTGTCACTGAAGCAGCTGAACATCTCCTGAGAAAAGTCACAGCACCGTAATATCAGTGTCTTCATCCCCCGCAGCAGGCCTGTCAACTCCAGTAATCTCACCATGTCCCCAAGCTTAGTGTTCTTCTGACCCCTCTCTGCAATGACAATTTCACACCTTCTCCAGCTCCTAGGTTCCTCACACAAGCCTCAAGGGGGCTGGACCTTCCATTTCTAAAGGAAAAAGGAGCCTTAAACATTGTTGGCTCTCTTTCCAACATTTTTCATCTGACAAATCTAAGCATCCTATGAGTCTCACTTCCTTGGGGCAGCTTTCCTGATGCCAAAACCCTCCCACCTCTCAGGTGTGGCTGAGGCCCATCTTTTACAAGTTTTTTCCTTCCTTACTCAAAATTGAAATTATGAAGCAATTCAAGTGTCTCCTCTGCTGGGCTAAGCCCCAGGAGGGAGGAACTTCAAACTGACCTATCTGGTTCATAACTGTAGCCGTAGTGTGTGGCACCCAGTAGGCACTTAATATTTATTGGATGAATTAATAGTTAAGAGGAAGAAAAGGAGGCAAGAGGAAGTGCATATTGGTCAGATCTTCAAAGGTGGTAAGAGTTGGAAGAAACCCTTTTGCTCTGTCCTCTCAAGTGATGCTGAAACTTGATGGGGGCACAAGGAACCTACAAAAGCCTGCTTGCCCGACCACCTGGCCAGGGTAGGTTGGTCTCCATGGTGCTCCTGCTTGCATATAATCCATTACTGTGGCTTTACCCAAGTTCCCTCCAGGGCCCCCAAGAGGCTCGCTACATACCAGTTTTGACTCATAGGCTTGACATAAAAAGCACCGAAAAATGGAAGTGAGCACAGACTGTGTGTCTGCCAGCTACTTTACTGTGGGTTATTTTATTTCGTCCTCATGACCCTTTGCGGTAGATGTTATTGAATCGATTCTATGGATGAGGAAACTGAGGCTCAAAGTTCAGTGCCTTATTTAGGGTCATGCAGCTACAGGCTCTGTCCCCAGCACTTCCTCTTCTAACACACTGCCCAGCATGCTCTCAGCCCCAGGTATTCACAACCTCCAGGCGTCTGGCCTGTCTGGGACAGCAGCAGACAGGTGAGGATGTGAGAGCCACACCCATCTCCCTGGCAATCTTAACTTCACTCTATCAGGACTTGTTTTAGGGCCAGAGAGAAGAATGTTCACTCCCATCTGGTACACCCACTGCTTACTCCCAGCCATGCATTAATCATAAACCTCCTTCCAAGGTATCTGGAGGGCTTTACAAACATCCCACCAGCTTTGCTGTGATGGATGTGGTGTCTACAGGCAGGCCAGTTTACTGAGACCAGCACTATTTGCAGTCACGCTCTGTTAAGCATTGCTTTGCACTGTTTTTATTTGGCTTCTGAGGGCAGTAATTCAGCCACCTTTTTTTTTTTCATAATAAAAGACTTAAAAAAAAATAAACTTCAGTTTCTTTGCCAAGAGGTTCAAAAATGTACCACTTGACACAAATGCCTCTCAATCAAATTTCCTACTCGTGGCTCATGATATTGAAAAGATCCACTTCCTTTTAGCACTTGTTTAGCCTGGGCTAACTACAAATGCCCCCTTTCGGCAGACAGCTACTACCTCACTGGGACTGCACAGTAAAAGATGCTTGATCTGGGAAAAGTAAACCCTCAAGACTGGAGAAGTAGAATTTAAGAGCAGATGGTCATTTCATATGTCAAAGGAATGTCAACAGAGGAGTTTGTAACACCAGTTCACTGTGAGCTAGTGCCAAATTAGAGAACGCGTCCTGTGGTCTCTCCCACACCATTAGATGTACTGCCATCGTAAGGACTGCTGGCTTAACAGTGCTAATATTGTACCCAGCAATGGCAAAAATGTGGCTGAAATCATTACGCAGTACTTAAATAATGGCTATCTTTATGAAGTTTTAAAAATATTAATAGCCAGGCAAAATATTTCTTGATTCATAAAAATAGAACCAAAATCCTCAAAACACACATCCCTCCAAGTTATTTACTGGTGTTATTGTGAATTACTTAGGGCTGGGGAAATGTTTCAAGAGAGACTAGCTTGATTAGAGAAAGTCAGAACTTGTATTTAAAAATATATGTCCAGAGCTTATCCTCACAGCTTTCTGCCTGGAGAGGGCAGGGAAGGCAGATGACTCAAGGGGTGTGACTCCTAGGCCCCTTGTAGAGGAAGGGACAGGGTCATGGTTCTTGTAGAATGGAACTTCCCCAAGGGTGGTCCCAGTTAGCAGCACCTGGGAACTTGTTGAAATGCAGAATTCTGAACCTTCCCCCAGACTTATGACTCAGACACTCGGGGGTGGCGGGGCCCGGCAACCTCTGTATTAACAAGCCCTGCAGGTGATCGTGACGCACTCTGAAGTTTGAGAAGCACTGTTCTAGAAGAGCTGCTAGATGTATATATGGTGATCTGGGATCTTGTTACAGATTCTGATTTGGCAAGTCTGGAGCGGGGCTCAAGAGTCTGCATTTCTAACTGGCTTCCAGGTGACATCCAGGCTGCCAGTCTGTGAACTACATTTGAAGTAGCACTAGTACAGATGCTGAAGGTTATACAGCCGGATCCCTGGAGCTGGAACCTAGCCTTCAGTTTACTCAAAGATTATGGGATGATAAAGTCAGAGCTTTTGTTTCCTAGGAGCCTTCTTGATTCCCTTAAAGGAACTTGAATATAAGGCAGCTCTTTCCCACTCCAGAGTCTGGTAAAATGGCAGTGATCGGGTACATTGCTGCTACGTAGAAGTACAGACCAGGTTCTGCTCCATTCTTTTCCACTGAATTGCTGTGTGGCCTGAAGCGAGTCCAAGCCGCCCCATGCCTCAGTTTCCCCTTCTGAAAAATGTGGTCATTTCAAAAGAAGCTAAGGGTTCTTTTGAACCCTTAGTTTCTATCATTTTATAAGTTGCCAGTGATTCCTAAAGTCTAAGATAAAAATTCAGGACTTTCCACACAAAGGAGAATGTTGCTCCAGCAAGAATCTTAAATTCTTAATGTGATCAATAGTTTCAACTCCCAGAAAGCACAGTCTTAGTAATTCAGAGGCAAACCTGATGAGGCCACAGCAGTTAGGTGGATGTCAGGAAGAGAAGCCATGGACGGCCTTTTTAGTCAGCATGCAGTGCCGGGAATCACTCCCGACAGCCCTTCCAAAACACCATTTGCACTCTGGCAACATCACCATGGTACACCGGCTGCAGGGCTGACTTACAAGTCTCGTTATTTTTTCATTAACATGTACTTGGCATATTTACATATTTACAATTCAAATTTAGAGTAGCCTTTCAACAAAATGCGAAGACAGAACCAAAACACACAGATGGTGCACGGACAGGTAACGCAGAAAGAAAACACTTCTCCTGAAAGCTTCCGAGGCTGATTAAAGGCATATACCCAAAATATTGAAAATCTTACACAAAAAGCAAGTTGGAAATGGATCCATTTAATTTCTAATCTCAGGACTTGATAAGCTTGAGGAGGTTCCATATGTGATAAGAGATTCTGGAAAGCTTCTCTGTTTCTCTTACTACAGGCAGTCTGCAACTCGGGTTGGTTTCACTGGTTTCTTGACCAATACCTCGCATGATATTTTCTACTTGCTGACACTCTGTCATTCATTAAACACATAATTGATAAATACCTACTATGTGCCAGGCACAATTTCATCTTCTAATCACACCATGAATATGAAACAATATTGGACCACTATAAACTTTGCAAGAGGTAAAAACCTGTTTAGGATTAAGTTCCTAATACAGAGCTGTATTTTGACCACAAATGAAAAGCCATTTATTGTTGAACTCCAAGCTTGTGCAATCAGAACAAAAAAGCCACAAGTTCTTTCACTTCTACCATGTTGCACTAGAAACAACATTTAATCACAATAATTGCTGCTTGATTCTGTTTAGCCTGGCAGCAGAGGCTCCATGGCATTGATGCAGCTGCAATGCCCTTGGACTGATGTTGTTTCAAGCTGAGAACTGTCCCCAATGTGTCTGGTGGATTCCAAAGACAGCCTTTGCATGTTCACACGGTGGAAAGGACTCCCTCCCACGCATGCACTTGACCACAGCCAGGGCCAGCCGGCCTCTGAGGATGGGCTGGATCCCAGGGACCAGGAAGGTGCTGTATAGAGCCTACCTCCCCCACTTTCTGAATGGAAGAAAACTGATTTCACTTTACAGTTAAAGTGAAAGCTTAAAACAGAAAATATTCATGCAAGAGGTGACACATGCATTCAAAATCACACAGAACATAAATGACTGGCAACAGACCAAGTCACCTGGTGAGGAAAAGAGGGGAAGGAGAAGGATGAGAGGGCTGAGGCCAGGACGCAGGGGCCTTGTGCATCTGAGAGAGACAGGACATGGGGGAATAGACTTAGGGGGCTTTCCAGGTAATTGTTTTCTGCTTCACCTCTTTGCCTGTGGCTGGCCTTAATCCAGGGGGAATTCTGAGAGAATGGCATATATATGTATGTATGTATGTATGTATTTATATACTCCAATACATTGATCTCCCTCTCCTCCATTCTCCAATTTAGGGAAGTTAAAATTAAGTCAACACAGGTGGGGGAAATCAGTACAACAGAATAGTAACACTCGTGCAGATCTTGTTCTTTCAGTCTGACATGGCTGAATGTGGAACTCAGTGATCAGAATCAGTCATGCTCTTTGGAAGAGGTTCTTGTTCATTTCAAAGGCTGCTAATACCTTGGAGAGCCAAAAAGACCTTGGACCCGATACAAAAGGCAATATGGAGAAAACTGGAGGGTCTCTAGTAGAGACACAACAATGGGACAGAACATTTCTGAGCAAGTGCGTGTTCTGTCAACTGAAGTGATAAGTGTGATTGTGGCCCTATGGAATACCCAGCCTCCATCTGTATCAGAGCGCGTGTCCTGCAGGTCCGTTCAGCACACCTGCCCCTCCATCTGTCAGCCTCATAGGCTTCACTTGCCGTCCTTCCCAGGCAAAGATGCCCTCCAGAATCCCTCACTCCCTGACGTTCTCCCAGTCCTGCCTTGTAACACATGGGGCAATTTGTTAAAGGGCTGAGGCCCAGATATAATAGAGTTGGAGAGGGGCCCAAGAATCTATATTTTAATTTTTAAATTTAAATTTTAATTATTTTTTGAGACGGAGTCTTGCTCTGTCGCCCAGGCTGGAGTGCAGTGGCGCGATCTCGACTCACAGCAACCTCTGCCACCCAGGTTCAAGCAATTCTCCCACCTTAGCCTCCCAAGTACCTGGGACTACAGGCATGTGCCACCATGCCTGGCTAATATTTGTATCTTTAGTACAGATGGGGTTTCATCATGTTGGCCAGGCTGGTCTCAAACTCCTGACCTCAAGTGATCTGCCTGCCTCAGCCTCCCAAAGTGCTGGGATTACAGGCATGAGCCACCATGCCTGGCCAAGAATCTATATTTTTATCTTGCATCCTAAGTGATTCCCAAGTAGGTAATTCACTAGAAAACCCTTTGAAGGACACAGGTCTCGTGCTTGTGAGTCCTGCACTGCCCAATCCTGAATCTGTTCTCTATCCCTTCTCTCTCTGTGTGGGCACTGAAGTGCCACCTCTTCCTGGTCCCTTTCCATCTCACTGGTTCTGTAGACAAGCCTCACTGTGTTCCTGGTTCATAGTGTGAAAGTAAAAATCTAATCTCATAGCGGGTCCCCAGGGGCAGAGGCAGTGAAACTCCAGAAGTCCACAGGGAGAACTCAGAAAACTGACCCTCCTTAGAAAGCCATGGAGCCAATGGGATTACAAGACCTCATGCACCAAAAAGAATGCAATTCTGAACATCTTTAAAATCACACTGTCTTCCTCGAGATTTTCCATTTTTTTTTTCTATTTGGAAATCATGAATAAAATGGAAGTTATGGGTTAAGGCTGTGTTTATGAAAAGTCTTGGAGTATAATGTGAAGAGTTTTACATTTTGAGTGTCACAGAGGTTTTCAAGTTGAAGGATCATATGTGGAACTCACATTGTATGCCACAGTATTAAGAACTTTTTTGGAGAGGCCTTAGAATATGGATTCATTAAGCTAACATTTTAAAGAGAGCCTTTCCCTGTGCTGAGTTCAAAGCCCTTTGTATGTAAGGCAGTCAACATGGTCACTCTACCCCCAATTTCCATTTTCTTTGGAAAGTAGAGACCAAGGAAAGTCTTCAGGTTGTACAATGAGAACAAATATCACAGTATGGCTCTGACAGCCCTGCCCCCTTCACTTCTCTATGCTACGTTTTCACTCTTTTTCTGGAAAGGGTATTTTAAAGGCATTCAACAGAGAGGCAGAGAGAGAGAGAGTAGCCTATGATACAGCGGCAAGGTTTGCAGGTAGGGACAGGCATATATTAGAGACATGTTGTGGGAAGTGCGGGAAAAAGGTGCCAACAACATCTTCTAGAAATGTGGAAGTTATTTGATTTTAAGTTAATTTATCATAAAAGAAACATGGATCTCATGGAGTACAAGGTTCTATTAAGAACTTAAAAAATAGGCCAGGCATGGTGGCTCACGCCTATAATCCCAGCACTTTGGGAGGCTGAGGTGTGTGGATTACCTGAGGTCAGGGGTTCGAGACCAGCCTGGCCAACACGGTGAAACCCCGTCTCTACTAAAAATACAAAAATACAAAAAAAAAAAAAAAAAATAGTAGACGGGTGTGGTGGCGGGCACGTGTAATCCCAGCTATTCAGGAGGCTGGGGCAGGAGAATTGTTTGAAGCCAGAAGGTGGAGGTTGCAGTGAGCTGAGATCGTGCCACTGCATCCCAGCCTGGGTGACAGAGCAAGACTCTGTCTCAAAAAAAAAAAAAAAAAAAAAAAAGAACTTAAAAAATAAAACACGGGAGCTTGAAGAATGACACATGGAGTCAGGAATGTGAGTTCACACTTCTCTGCCACTGAGGCTTTGAGGAGGTCTGGCTGTACTAAGAGCATAGACTATATTTCTGTGAGTGGCACCTCCTAGAGGCATGAGGTTTGCACTAAATAGCCGTGGCAGTGGCCCTGCCAATGCTTACTGTGAGAAATATAACAGTGGAATCTGGTCCGGGGGAATCACTGTGTGCTTATTTCTCATGCATCTATTACAGGAAAACTTCAAGAAAAATATATTTACAAAACAGGACAAGAAGATGTGTTTTTAGGACAAAAAGAAAACTCATCTAGGAAAATCAAGGTAGCCACTGACATCTAGTAATTGCTATTGGGAAAAGAAGTTAGTATGTATCATTTTGTCCATCGGATTAAATAATATAAGCTATGTGGTTTCATTCTAGTTCTTTTTGTAAGCAATTATTTCTAACAGTTACGTGATTTCTAGACACAAATTGTAAAACAATATGCTATTATCCCATAAACAAGAATAATTCAGTCTTTTTCACATCACATATTTTAGACCTTTCTCCAAACTCTTCAAAATTCTACTTCATTATACTTAATAAATTGCCATGTTATAGTGTTTCAGGAATAAACAAACTTTAGGGGCAACTGGCTCACTAGTAGTCACTGGTAACACTCTGCTTCCCTTTACGAAGAACATAATTAAGAACAATGTAAGGTGTTCTGCAGTAGCCACTTATCTATCATACGTTTTTGATTCTGTAGCCAGGATCCATCTAAGACACCAAGATGTATGACTACAGTATAGTTCTCAAACTATTAATACTCTCCCAAAGTATAATACTACATATAATATATATAATACTACATATTATATACTAATATATAATATATATAATATAGTAGTATATATAATACTACTACTGTAAGAATTTAAAAGGGTAAGGTGAACCTGACAGATCAAATTCCAATCTCACGTTTCCTAACAGAGTGGTGTTCTGCTCCACTTCCTCTCATCTGTGACTTCGTATGGCTTTCAGATGAACTGAAGGACATGCTCTGCCACAGCTCACTGGAATACCAACATCCTCCAGGACTGCAGCTGGCACAGTCCTACTGACATGAGCTCAGGACTCTATGAGGTAGCAGCTGAACCTACTGATGAAGTAATGTCATAAAAGTAGCTTTTATAAAATATTAATATAAGAAATTATCTTGATTTATCTGAATTTCTCATAAAACTATTAAATGACATTGTTCTACTGTGTGGTACATAAAGCTTTATGTGTCTGTGTGATAAACTCCTAGAGATTTTACTTCTCAGAAGAAGGTTTTCTGTCCTGGTGAAGTAGTTTGCCTTTTTGTATAAAAGATAAACTACACATACAAAAATCATATTTCCTTTCTTCTTTTCCCCTCACATGGCTGGCTGGATGCTCAAAGCTGTAATTATCTTTAATTATAGCAATTATCTTCGTCTAGCTCTTTCTTTCCTCTGCCTACACCAATGCCAATTACAAGTTTTTTATTTCATATGTTTTAAAAAACCTTATGTGTCTTTATTATAACAACTTCAATATTTTTAGAAGCAGATATTAATTTCTGAATAATGGATACATGAAACTTGAAGTTTAATTACCATGGACTATTCCTTTATAGATTTTAAAAGTTCTCAATCTCCAGATTATGCTTTAGAAGGAAAATACATTTTCAAAAGAGCAAAGAATAAAAGGAAAAAGGAAGTCAGAAAGGAAAAGACTTTCCCATCAAACTAACCTTAGGGACCATAAGCTCTGATCTCTAAAAAAAATAATGAAGTATTACCCAGATGATAAGATATGAGATATAGAGACTAAGATGCTGAAAATCAAACCAACGGTATCCTAAAGACTATGGCGACCTATTAAATTAGACCAGTGGTTTTCAACCCTGGCTATCCATTGCCAACTTTTTTTTTAAGACAAGGTCTCTGTCACCCTTGCTGGAGTACAGTGGTGTGATCATAGCTCACTGAAACCTTGAACTCCTGGGCTCAAGAGATCCTCCCACCTAGGCCTCTTAAGTAACTAGGACTACAGGCATGTACCACCACATCTGGTTAATTTTTATTTATGTATTGTTGAGATGGAATTTAGCTATGTTGCCCAGGCTGGGCTTGAACTCCTGGCCTCAAGTGATCCTCCTACCTTGGCCTCCGAAAGTGCTGGGATCACAGGTGTGAGCCACTGTGCCCAGGCCAAACTTTTTACAATACACTAATGCCGAGGTCTAACTCTCAAAGTTGGCTTAATAGATCAGGAATGGGGCCTTGACATTGATATTTGTGAAGGTGTCCCCAGGGTATCTGAATATATGTTTGGGGCTGAGAATCACTGAGCTAGACTATTCATTCATATTTCTAAACTCTTAACTAGCAGATGCTATTCCATCTTATTTCTCTTGTAGTATTGGAACATGTCATAATCAGGATGTGGCAATATAAAACAGATACAGCTCATTGTTCCTCTTCCCACATAACGAGTCTATGCTGCAATTCACATAAACCAAAGTTTCTCACATGTATATCCTTAAAGCCCAGGCCAAAACAGATCATGTTTTGAATCTATTCCAGAGGGTGGTATCTGAGCTCACACAACATAAAGACTCAGATTTAGAAGATAGGGATTTTGAGCCACACTTTTTTTTGCTTGTTTGCTACATTATTTCTATGTAGTTTTCTCTGCATCCCTCAAAAGTTATATGGCTATTGTAATTTATTATAGAAATTAAAATAGCATTATTTTTAAGCATTTTCAAATATAAAAATTTCAACAAGAAATATATAAAATCTCTTGGCCTGTTACTTGTTTGAGGGTAACATACCACTGTTTTTAAGCGTATGTCAAAGCTGATCCAAAATACATTTCTCTATCCACTTGCAAAATGATCCATAATTCTTAGAAAGAATGTACAATAAATCAACACATTATTATGACAATAACTTTTCTTTATGATTTAGGCTATTTTAGCTTTTCTATTGACCTTCATTGTTTAAACGGACACAGTACACTTTGTTCAGCTCAGTTTGACCAACATTCATTGAAGGGTTCTCATGGGGCAGGTGGACCCAACCATTCCAGCCTCAGCTGGTTCCTTGGTCTCCTTGACCATGACTTCTCATGTGCTTTTTCTTTCTAGCCCTTGACCATGTCAAGCTTCCCCTCACCTGGAGCTTTTATACTAGCTGTTTGTTTTCTGGAATGAACATCCTTCAGGTCATCATACAGCTGGTTCCTCCTTATTTTTTCAGTCTTGCTTAAAGATCGTGTTCTCAGAAAAGCATTCTATGACCAACCATTCTGAAACTCTCCCGTCCACTCCACTACACTCAGCCTTCATCTCATTACCCTGCTGTCTTTTCCTGTTATCCTTATCTGAAAGCATATTATTTATTGGCCTTTGTGTTTATTGTTGTATGTACAACCTCTAGAATAGAACCTTCATGAGCACAAACTCTATGTTTGTCTTTGCAGCTATAACTAAGGCACTGATATGGTTTGGCTGTGTCCCCACCCAAATGTCATCTTGAATTGTAGCTCCCATTATTGCCACATGTTACGGGAGAGACCTGGCGGGAGATAACTGAATCATGGGAGTGGTTTCCCCCATACTGTTCTCATGGTAGTGAGTAAGTCTCACAAGATCTGATGGTTTTATAAGGGGAACTCCTTTTGTTTGGTTCTCATTTTCTCTTGCCTGCCGCCATGTAAGACATACCTTTCACCTTCCTCCATGATCGTGAGGACTCTCCAGCCACATGGAACTGTGAGTCCATTAAACTTTTTTTTTTATAAGTGACCAGTCTCAGGTATGTCTTTATCAGCAGCATGAAAACGGACTAATACATGCACTTACAGCAGAGCAGGTGCTTAGTAAATATTGATGGAGTGAATAAATGCATATCTTTGCAGTCTTACTAAGAATAGTACCAAATACAATCCTGTATTCTTTAAGGTTGTAACTACTGATGGCTAATAGATAATGAATGTGTACAGTTGCAATTTCATTTTAAGCTATAGTCCCTCATGCAATATGCACATGTTGGGATTTTAATTAGATTCACAGTGCCAGCTACTTTTGCAGAGAAGGCGTTTTGCAGCCTGTGCTTTGCTGACCTCTGGCTGGCTCCAAGCTTCTGGTAGAGAGGGCTTCTCCATTTGCACATTTTGCAATCTTAGTTGTTCCTTTCAATTTCCAGCAGAAGGCAGCTAGACATTAATGTCTGAAACTGTACTTCCAATCGTCTGTTGAGGTTTCTTTAGATCACTTTATCGGGAGTAACACCATGTTTATTTGGCATAGGGTCCTCAGTCTGCCATGGTAAAGTTTTTGGGTCTCTTGCAATTGTTCATTTCCATACATGTCAGCTTGAGATGGGAGGTACATTGCAGAAAGCATCCATTTAATGTTAGTGGACTCATTATAGCCTGGGATCTTTTGTTAGTAATCTTATCCTTCCATTATTACCACATGATACTGAGAGTACTGGCCAAGAAGTCAGCTGCAATATCTTCAGGACAAATCCTACTGACATATGGAATGACAGTTGGGCACTACCACTATTTTGAGGCACTTCTGTTTGGTCTAGACTAGCACTTTAAGCCATATTGATAACACACTCTGCCAGCCTTCCAAACATGTGCCTATGTTTGCATGTCAGCTCCATTCAGTATCTTCAGTATTTCAGATTGCCATTCAGCATAGAAAAGTATATTTGAAACCCCTACCAAAATCAGCTACATTTGTATCTTGTGCAACATGCACAGTTCAGTGCCCTTGCCCAGAGTAGGCACCCAGTAAATATTAACTCCTTTTGCTGCTTCCCTGGCTGGTTTAACATAATCTTATTTTATTCAAAAACATACTTAAAGAAGAATCTGCATCTTCCTGCATTCAAAGCAGCTGATTCTTCTATTATGATTTATAATTTATAATTGAATTTAACACAGCTGTAACTAAAATAAAGAAATAATCAGATACCAGCTGTCCATTTGAATATATTATATATACATTGAGTTTTTAAAATAAGCAGGTTCTTCTGAATCCACTGATGAATTTTAATGTCAGGAAAAGAGGCACAACCAGACATTGTATTGTGTGATGCAAAAGGAAACCCTGGGCACTAGCTAGAAAGTCTAACGATAATGCAAACTCGCATTGATCAAGCCTCTAAGTCTACATACCAGAATTTAAAAAATTTTTTTTCACTTCTGTCACTTAAATCATCAAATAGCAAGCAAGAATTTTGCCTACCCATGTCCGTCAACTCACATCCACAAGACAGAGGTTTGTGTATAAGTTTCTGTGAGAAAATATCAGACCAAATTTCAGACACTGTATAACTATCCAGAATCATTATCATCCATATGCCAACTTAAAAGGCAGAGGTATGGGTCAAAGGATGATGCCAAATTATGGTAACCACACATTTGAGAAAACACCCCAGGATATTGGCTCCTCTCCCTAGCTATGAAATACCATAGTTGTTTAAGGTATGGTCTTGGGTTCTTTTCCTGATTTTGCTGCATATTATCTTCCTGGACACATCATCCAAAACCATGCCTTCATTTCCCATCAGGTTGCCATGATCCCAGATCTGTATCTCTGGCCCAAGCCTCTTTTCAGAGCTGCCATCCCATATCCAGCTGCACCTGGGCTTCTCTGCCTGGGTGTCCCCCAGGCCCTCGGCCTCAGTGTGCGCAAGGCTATACTCTCCATTGTACCCTGCCCCTGGGGTCATCCTCCAGGGCCCCTCTCTCTGGAAATGGTGCCACCTTCAGCTAGTTGGCCAAGGTCAAATCCCAGGTCCTCCCTGTTTACCACCCTCTCTGTTTCCTCCCATATCCAACTCAACATCAAGTTCCCCTTGCCCTTTGTTTTTGAGACAGAGTCTTGCTTTGTCACCCAGGCTGGAGTGCAGTGGCGTGATCTCGGCTCACTGCAGGCTCTGCCTTCCGGGCTCAAGCGATTCTCCTGCCTCAGCCTCTGGAGTAGCTGGGATTATAGGTGTCTGCCACCATGCCTGGCTAATTTTTGTATTTTTTGTAGAGACAGGGTTTCACCATGTTGGCCAGGCTGGTCTCAAACTCCTGACCTCAAGTGATTCGCCCGCCTCAGCCTCCCAAAGTTCTGGGATTACAGGCGTGAGCCACTGCACCTGGCCTCAAGACATATGCTTAATATAAAATGTTCAATATAATATAAATTCTCTACAGTGCCAGTATAAAGAACCATAGAATGTTCAGGGATCTCTGAGATCTCTGAAATCTAGTTCCACATATTTGCATTGACATTTTATTTACTAAAAAATCATTGCGGTAATTTAAAATATTTGTAGGGTTTGCCAGGGTAAAATTCTCAGATTTTGGGCTTACAACTTTGTACATAACTTCTAGTTTGGCAAACAAACGTAAAAAATATGGAATCCCCCTAAAAGATATTATGTGTAAATAGAGTCATCAAATTTAGAATATCAAGCCCCAGATGGCTTATCAGTAGCAACAAAAACTGCTTTCCTTGCCAACACAAATTTTATAAACCGGAAATCATTCTCAGGCATGCAAAGATAGACATATCAGGTCTACAAATACTTATTACTATGTGCTTAGCACTATGTTAGGTACTTCATTACATGGCCCATAAAACATTACTTTAAAAACAAACTGAGAGTTCAAAACAAACTATTTACTCTGTAGCAAAGGCACTGAAGCCTTTCCAGAAAGTGACCCATACTCCAGTGCTGCAGAGCAAGATGGGGACTAGCAGGCTTTGAAAGCCAAAGCAACACCATCAGCAAACCTGTGTTGGGATGTCTTGAAAATGTTAATTAATTTATATTTGTTTTTCTTTTCTAATGACATAAATCGTTGGGGATTCAATATTTCTGTTGTTGTTAACAGCAAATGACTCTAAATGTGATGGAATGGCCACGTAAACATGTCTTTGTACGACCATTATTAAGGAAATAAGGAAGGAGGCTTGTAGCTTCAGAAGCTTCCCCTGTCACTCAGAGAGGAAGAAAGTGAGAGACATGAGGATCAGAGCCACAGTTCTTAATCACTCCACCACTAAGACTTTCTAAAATCTTAAGAGGAACAAGCAGTACAGTGGACATTCAGTGTTTGGGAATGAGGTGCAATCGGGCGGATAGAGGGCCCTTTTGTGGGCTTTGGAGCTTTTGGAGGTGGTGGGTTGGGTAAAGCAGGCTGAAGTCAGGAGGCAGAGCGCAAGAACCATCTGATCTCTATCATTTAAGGACTTAGAAGTTCCATAATTATAAAAAAGCTGGCACCACCCTCAATGCACATTTGCCATATTTCTGCACTACACATTCTTGAATACCCTTTGATGTTCTATTTATTTCAAAGAGTATAGGTATTTTTTGATCCAGTTCACATCACTGATTAGAGGTATTTTAGCTGCCAGATAAATAAATCTCCATTGAATGCAATTTATGGGATCCAAAAGCAATGTGTGGATCAATCTAGAACTATATGAGGCTTAGCTGGTTTTATGAAAATACTCATAACAGTAAAAGAAATCAATAACAATTTATTAAGGTTTTTGTTCTTTGTATAGGTTTTGAAATGAGTTCTTACCCATTATAAAAGGCCTTGAATATTTTGGGAACTGAAACATTGTACTTGACCGTCTCTGGTTCTTTTCCTGAGTTGACCCTTTATGTTGAATAAGCATATTCTACACATTGCAGCTGCCAGACTGTCAGGCCAAGATACACATGCACTCAGAGGCAGTGAGCTTTACCCACTTACATTATATTTCTGCAACAGGGAAAGAATGTATAATGTTTAACCTTTGTAAGAAGCACTTGGAGGTTCATCTGATATTCTATAAAAGTAAGCAATTAAAGAATTTGGCTTAAAATCTGATTTCTAATTTTCATAGGAAAAAGTTAATACTTTCCATGTATTGAACATCTATGATTAGCCTGGTACTTTTTAGGTTGGAGCCTCACCTAGAAAAATCAAGTTATATTTAACTTTTTCTTCACAGGATTGTTGTGAGCTATAGGTAGGTATAGAAGATTCCCTAGATGGTCACAAGTCTTCCCCTCCCTGTATCCTCACTTCTTGCAACGTGACTTTGGAGCTCCTTCCAGCAAGAAATGCTGTCTGTTTCTCTACTCTTAATGGTGGGCTGATTTGTGACTCCCTTTAGCTCATGGAGCTCATTGGAAGCAATGGTGTGTCAATGTTGAACCCAGCCCACATGCTTTGAATGATTCTACTCTCACTCTGGAATTCTGCTGATCCTCTATGTGAATAAGCCCACACTAGCCTGCTGGATGATGAGAAGGTGGTCATCCAGTTGTCCTTATTGTTCCCCCAGTAGCCAGCCAATCCTCAGAAGCAGAGACATCTAGCTGACTGCAAGCTGACCAAAGACACAGGCATGAGCCCAACTGAGACCAGAAGAACCTCCAACCTAAGATGGCCCAAACTATAAAACTGTAGAATGAGCTGCTGAGTAAATGGCTGTTGTTTTTAAGCCGTTAAGTCATGGAGTGGTTTGTTATGCAGCAAATGCTATAGGAGGTATTATTGTCCTCATGGTACTAAAGAGGCACAGTAATTTGTTCAAGGCAAACTAGCTGGTAAATGGTAAGGCTATCAGGTTATTATACCTGCTTTAAGGGCCTACACTCTTAGTCACTTCACTGCCCTTTGATGTAAATGAGAAAGTACATGCTGAGTGCCTTCCACATGCTCAGTTGTCGGCTAGACATATTTTCTACGTTTAGGGAACTTACTACCTCCATTTTGTTTTTCACTAATGAAAGCACAATTTGACAGTTCTCCTTATGCTATTGCCTCACCTGAAATATATTTTCTACCCTTGAAACCTGCTCAAATGTTACCATTTCTCAGGAACACCCTCTAATGTCCCAAGATAGAACTGAAGTTTTCTACCTGTGGTTGATTGCAAAAAATAACCATTAATTGCTCACTGTTTCCTTTCTCCTTGCCCTTTAAAATGTGACTTTTTAGTACCTTCCATCAAGAAATGAAATCTCTTTCCCCACTCCTTGTGTCTAGACTGGGCTTGTGACTTGCTTTGGCCAGGAAATGTGGCAGAAGTGATGGTGTGCCCATTCTCACACCAGGCCTAAGGTGCCGTGGATACTTAGGCATTCTCTAGGAAACCCTAACTCCATATTCCAACAAATCTAGGTTGACCCTGCTGATGACTGAGAGGCCAAAGGAACAGAGCTTGGTCAGCCAGCTTGTCTCAGTTAAAGCTCCCAGAAAAGTGAGAGAGCCCCACCAAGATCAGCAAAGCTGAACCACAGCTGACCATTGTTGCATGAGTGAACCTGGCCAAGACGAGAGGATTGCCCAGCTGAGCCCAGCCTAAACTATCAATCACAGAATCAAGAGCTAAATACATGTTCATCTAAAGCCACTAAGGTTGTTATGAAGCAACAGATAATGAATACAGATCCTTTGTATTCTTTGGGCATGTTTAAACTTATTTTTGGAATAGCATATGTATTCAACAAAGGTCACCAGATGAATAAAGAAATCACTAAATATTTATGCAATTACACTAAGATTTCTCTAACAAAACAGAACTCTGACTTTTTATTTCTAAGTGAATAATTCTATCTTTCCTGGCTGTGAGACAGAGTGATGTTTATAGCACAGGACCTGATACTTAGCAGGTGCGCTCAATAAATTTTAGCTCCCACTGATCTTGTAGGTGAAATAAGATGCCAAACAAAAGTCAAAGCAAACACCATGCGTTGACAAAAGCAGGATGTTACCTCCTAAATCCTTTCAAAATCAGGACAAACTCTCCTGGTATTTGTAGGATGGAGACTTAGGGCAAGCAACACGTGCTTTCTGCCCCTCTCCAGATATTGGTAAGTTTCTTTCTTTTTGAAAATAATCTTCTTTAAAGAACTTCACAGCTACTCAAGCTACCCAATTACAAAGAGCAGGAGCATTCCACTACAGAAAGACCTCCCCAGGAGGCTTTCCTTGCTTGTTCTCAAGGCCTGTATTTCTCAACTTTGGCTGCATATTCAAAGGACCTTGGGAGCTTTAAAAAAATACCTCCAGAGATAGACTTAATTAGTTTGAGGGTATACCTGCACATGGGAATTTAAACAGCCCCTTGGGTAATTTTACTGAGTAGCCAAAGTGGACAGCCACTACTCAACCTTTTCCTAGAGTGCCTCTACTAGTCAAATAATTATGATCAGATTTAATTTTAAAGGCAGTCCTAAATAAACCCTTTTTATATGTCTATAATCAAAACCCAGCACTGAAATACTACAGCTGGAAAATAATTTCTTATAAAGGACAATGACTGGCTCAATAGAAATTAAGAAACAATGATCAGATAAGTAACTTCCTGATAATTAACTCGACAAGCATAATATGAACATTTGGCAAGGTCTCAACTGTCTTAAAGGCCTTAACATAATTAGGTATTCAAAACTTTATTGGCCTAAATTAAATACCACATAACATTATTGACTATATTGAATAACAAATTCAAGCTAAATTGCATTTAAGTGTACAATCTTAAAGTACATTAGCCTAAAATCTTTCTTTCTCAAAGTGTACATTATCATTTGGATAGTAATACTTTATCACAAATTAAGGCACAATTTAATATTTTAATATGATTTTGAGCTCAGATTCAACATGGGTATTTCAAAACAACTGGTCTTGCTTTCCTAGTACATAAGTGACTCACATGGCAATATGGTTTGGCTGTGTCCCCACCTAAATCTCATCTTGAATTGTAGTTCCCATTATTCCCACATGTTGTGGGAGGGACCCAATGGGAGGTGATTGAATCATAGGGGCAGGTCTTTCCCATGCTGTTCTCATGATGGTGAATGGGTCTCATGAGATCTGATGTTTTTATAAATGGGAGTTCCCCTGGCACATGCTCTCTTGCCTGCTGCCATGTGAGACAGGCCTTTGCTTCTTCTTTGCCTTACACCATGATTGTGAGGCCTCCCAAGCCATGGGTAACTGTGATTCCATTAAACCTCTTTCCCTTATAAATTACCCAGTCTGGTGCATGTCTTTATTAGCAGTGTGAGAACAGACTAATACAGTAAATTGGGACCAGGAGTGGGGTGCTGCTATAAAGATACCTGAAAATGTGGAACTGACTTTGGAACTGGGTAACAGGCAGAGGTCGGAATAGTTTGGAGGGCTCAGAAGAAGATAAGAAAATGTGGCAAAGTTTGGAACTTCCTAGACACTTATTGAATGGCTTTGATAAAAATGCTGATAGTGATATGGACAATAAAGTCCCTGCTAAAGTGGTCTCAGATGGAAATGGCAAACTTGTTGGGAACTGGAGTAAAGATCACTCTTGCTATGCAAAGAGACTGGCAGCATTGTGCCCTTGCCCTAGAGGTCTGTGGAACTTTGAATTTGAGACAAATGATTTAGGATATCTGGTTGAAGAAATTTCTAAGCAGCAAAGCATTCAAGAGGAAGCAGAGAATAAAAGTTTGGAAAATTTGCAGCCTGATGATGCAATTAAAAAGAAAAACCCATTTTCTGGGAGAAATTCAAGCCAGCTGCAGAAATTTGCCTAAGTAATGAGGAACCAAATGTTAATCACCAAGACAATGGTGAAAATGTCTCCAGGGCATGTCAGAGACCTTCACAGCAGCCCCTCCCATCACAGGCCTGGAGGCCTAGAAGGAAAAATGGTTTAGTGGGCCAGGGCCCCCCTGTTCTGTGCAGCCCCGGGACATGGCGCCCTGCATCCCAGCCGCTTCAGTTCCAGCCATGGCTAAAAGGGGCCAACATACAGCTCAGGCCCTTGCTTCAGAGGGTGCAAGCCCCAAGCATTGGTGGCTTACACATGGTGTTGGGCCTATGGGTGTACAAAAGTCAAGAATTGAAGTTTGGGAATCTCCACCTAGATTTCAGAGGATGTACAGAAATGCCTGGATGTCTAGGCAGAAGTTTGCTGCAGGAGTGGCAAGCTGATGGACAACCTCTGCTAGAGCAGTGTGGAAAGAAAATGTGGAGTTGATACCCCTACACAGAGTTCCCACTGGGGCACTGCCTAGTACAGCCATGAGAAGAGGGCCACTGTCCTCCAGACCCTGGAATGGTAGATCCACTGACAGCTTGCCCTGTGCACCTGAAAAAGTCACAGACACTCAACACCAGCCTGTGAAAGCAGCCAGGAGTGGGGATGTACCCTGAAAAGCCATAGGGGTGGAGCCGCCCAAGGCCATGGGAGCCCACCTCTTATATCAGCATGCCCTGGATGTGAGACATGGAGTCAAAGGTCATTTTAAGGTTTAATGACTGCCCTATTGAATTTTGGACTTGCATGGGCCCTGTAACCCCTTTGTTTTGGCCAATTTCTCCCATCTGGAATGGATGTATTTACCCAATGCCTGTACCCCCATTATATCTGGGAAATAACTAACTTGTTTTTGATTTTACAGGCTCATAGATGGAAGGGATTTGCCTTGTCTCAGATGATACTTAGGACTGTGGACTTTTGAGGTGATGCTGAAATGAGTTAAGACTTTGGGGGATTGTTAGGAAGGCATGATTGGTTTTGAAATGTGAGGACATGAGATTTGGGAGGGGCCAGGGGTAGAATGATATGGTTTGGCTATGTCCCCACCCAAATCTCATCTTAAATTGTAGCTCCCATGATTCCTACATGTTGTGGACCTGGTGGGAAGAGATTGAATCATGGGGGCGGGACTTTCCCATGTTGTTCTCATAATGGTGAATGGGTCTCGTGAGATCTGATGGTTTTATAAATGGGAGTTCCCCTGCACAAGCTCTCTCTTGCCTGCCGCCATGTAAGACGTGCCTTTGCTTCTTCTTTGCCTTCTACCATGATTATGAGGCCTCCCAGCCATGTGGAACTGTGATTCCATTAAACCTCTTTCCTTTATAAATTACCCAGTCTTGTGTATGTCTTTATTAGCAGCATGAGAACAGACTAATACACGTGGCAATAGGGTTCCTTTTTGTGATTATTTAATTCCTTTTTGGTAGAGTTCAAAAGTGCCGAAAATGATGGGTAATCTTATGTTTTAAGCTATATATTGCATATATAATGCATGCAAATTGCTTTAATGCCAAAATTTCATCCTTAATAAACTCTATGCTGTAATCACAAATGGACCTCCAACACACATTCAGAGTCAGAATTCTCCACGCCACAGGTTCTGAAAAACCTGGTTCGACCCTCTGACTTCACAGATACGAAAAATGACATCCAGAAAGGTTAAATAAGTCAAACAATGCCCACAACACCAAATGGCTGGGAATGGAGCCCAGATCATCTGAGCCTGCATCCTCTTGCCCCGCTAGGGGCATCTGGAAGATAACAGCAGAAGTGTGTTCAAGCCCTACAGAAACAGATGGCAGGGCTGGATTTGGTCTCCAGCTTTTGCCAAATACTTGGATTTTGCCAGCCTTTGCTATAGATGACTATGTTCAGTAGAAGACATTGACAACAGGAGATATCATTATCACTTTGTATACTTCAATTCTTCTTATCACAAAACAGGCTGAAGTCAACTATGGTTTTTAATACGTTAGTTATAAATGAATTTGCTGTATTTTTTCTAGTCTATTATTAACAACTTACGTCAGCATGGTACATGTGTTACAATTAATGGACCAATATCGGTACATTATTATTATTATTTGGATTTCCTTAGTTTGCACCCTATGTCCTTTTATTTTTGGTTCCAGGATCCCATCTAGGATGCTGCATTACATTTAGTCTGCTCATTTTTCATTACTTCAAGTGTGTGTGTGTGTGCATGTGTGTGTGTGTGTGTGTGTGCCTCTGTGTTTGTGTGTGTGTGTGATAGAGAGAGAGAAAGAGGGAGAATACAAGTATTTCTTTTCTATGTAGCAAATTAAGGGCAAAATCCTACAAATTACAATTCTCACGTTCTCTAATGTAAAAGAAAAGGGCAGATGTTAATGAAGTAATCTGTGGTTTCAATTATGAGGAAAACATTGTGGATTAAAGGAAGGTTAGGTTAAAAAGAATTCGACATTTAGAAGGACCTGGAAACAGAGTTTCTGATTCCAGCATGGATTAACAAAATCTAAAAAGCAAGGAATGTAGTAGAGTAGTGTGAGAATTTAAAGTAATAAAAGTCAGTTCACATAGAAGCATGGTAACGCAGAAGAAAGAAAAAACATTGTGCAATTTGTCACCATTTACTTTAGAGGAGTCTGCATTTTAAAATCCACAGAAATGCAGTGATAGTTTCCTTGCCAGTATTTGTGTAAAACATTTTCCAAACAAGACTGATTCATCTTACTCTGAAATGAATTGTTAGATCACAACAGTGAATGTTAAGGCATTTGCATCCCTTATAGAAATGCCAAACATTTTACTATGCCTGATGCTGTACTATAAATAGGGAAATTCAAATGCTAAAAATGTTCTCTAAGTTGCCAAACATAGTTCTTTACCATGTACTTCCTGGTACAAATGACTTGTTCTTCCAAAGTCTGAAAATGAAAGCTAACTGCAATTCAGAAAAATGTTGCAACTTACTTCAATTAATCAAATGTAAAAGTTATTTCATTTCTGTATATTTCTTTTTCCTTAGATCATATTTACTGAAAGGCTCCTTTAGACATTTACCAAAGTTTTATTAAATCATAGTTAGTCTGATAACAGTTGGGTTTTAAAATTAACAATTGGAACAGCCAAGCAATGTCAATATTGCTGGAAAATAACGATGCTTATCTAAGTCATTCTGAATTGTTAGCCACATTTGGATGTAATAGTAGATGTAAAATTTACTTACTATATTTTTTCTAAATAATATATGGGCACAATAGTGTCCATAAATCCATATATTAAAGGTAAAAGGTATTTCATTTCACAATAATGCCCATATATTATTGGGAAAATTGTACTAATTTATAATTGGCATTTCAAAATAGTATGAATATCTATGTATATCTTCAATAAAAAGAGAACATAAAAAACAGTATAGGGATTTGTTTAACATATTTAAGATTAGTATTCATTTGAAGAGGTGATCCCTGATTTTCACTGAGAGCTGGGACAGGAAATTATAGGAGATTTTTCTATGATGTGGACAGGGCAAAGCACAGCAAGAACTGCTTTATAACATGTTCTTCAAATCAGCTGACTACCCCATTGGCCTTTAATCTCCCTTCTGCAACTGACCAGACCTCATATTATCCAATTACCAGTAATCTACTCAAGAACAGCAAGGTTCTCTTTAAATTGGATACAAATAATTATTTTAATATCTTTTCCTGGCTTCTTTAAAGATTTCATGTTTTTTGACTTGCATAAACTTTTGCAAACCTCCATGGAAGATATTTTAATTATTTTAAAATTTTATGGCACATAAGAAGTGCCTTAAGTAAAATTACTTGATTTTAAGTTAATTATTATTAAAGGTTACATTAACAAGTTCATTTAAATACAAATTTTACTAATTCTAGTTTGACTTTTTTCTTATTTAACAGTGATGTGCTACTTAGTCTACTTTAAATTCATCATGTAATGAAATGCATGACTTGTTTTTGAAATTTTTGAAATGACAAATTTTTGAAATGACAAATGGGCATATACTTGGTTTTGGGACCAATTATATAAATTTCAAGCTACAATTAATATGTCATGATAGATAAAGAGATAAAAGTTTTCATTCATGAATATTTGGTAATCTTGCATTTTGGACAAAAATAATCAACCTGCAATAATTTTTGTGTTTAATTATAAAATAATGAGACAAGATAAAGCTTTAGGCTGCTGTTTGTATGCATTTCTCTGCAGTATATATATATATATTTGTGTTTCATTTGACTCTGTTGTCAGCTTATCAGGAACAATGTAAGGAGAGAGAGAGAGAGAAAGAGAGAGAAAAAAAGGGAGAGAGAGGGAAAGACAGAGGGTATGAGTGATATTTATTTCTAATAAATCAAGGTCAAATTACATATGATTATCATTACTTTTTCTTTTATCAACATTGAATTTTATACCATATAAATGTCCTAATAGACTAATATAAAACTCCACAAATACATTAAGATATTTAAGATTAAAAGAATAATGCAATAAACACAGGTTTAGGAAATACACACCCAGTTTAGGAAATAAAACATTATCTACACCATGAAAAGTCTGTAAGAATTTTGACCAGATGACTGCAAATGATAATCGTCACAACATCAGTTGCTTCTTCTGCTTACTGTCTGTAATCAGTTATCCATTCTATGTATAAAGTAACAGTAAATGACTAATTATAAAAACTAATTAAAGCCCCCATGGGGGCTTGCAGTGTTTATGTGAGTCATAAGCATGTTCACTCATCTGACTGGCACTAATAGCTTCACTTACATTAAGAGGTCCTGAAGCAGTATTATTTTCTAAAACGTATTTAAGCTATCATTTTATTTATTAATAATTACTTAAAAAATAGAACCTAGGTTTGAACCTTTACCACCCTGAACAACACAAAACCCCTGGGACAGCTTTGCATCGCTGTGATTTTGTGAAAAGGCTGTTGGAAACCCCGATCCAGGCTCGGCCAATGCTAAGTTAGAGATGCAGGAAGGAGAAGGGTGCACCCAGAACTGATGTGAGGATGCACAAAGGAGGCCATCTGGAGAGCGGCTGACACCCCCGGGCTCCTGGCACACGGCCCCTCCAGGATGGAGAGAATACTCCGGAGTCCAGAGTCAAGACCCAAACACCTCCACATATACGCAAGTTGGGCTGGGCTACAACATGTAATGGTTCCGTAAATGAGGATGATGTATATTAAATGTATGTATCCACAAGACCTATGAAGTGTATCTACTGAGGTTCCAAATCTTGGTGCCATCCCACCACAGAGCTGAAATTTCTACCTAAAAGACTAAAGGGCCATACCACAGAGTTAAAAGCCATGGGAAAAATTTGTTCAAACTGGGAACAGTTGTTTCTTTTAGGAAAATGTTTGTTTTTAGTTTAGGAGTCTGTTAATTACAAAGCTGTGGTCATAGTTCCCTTTTCAAACTGTTCCTTAGAAAGCATAGAACCAAATTTGGTTCTATCATATTAACCATGAAGGATTTCACAGAATGTATTTTGCATAATAACTTCCCTCCTTCTTCCATCTTTTCTACCTTACATTCTCTGTGCCTCATTTTACCCTCACCAATTTTTCATTTGATGTGTTGTGTATTGTATCTTATTCTTAAAACTCTTCTGGAACAAAACAGTCACCAGCTTATAAGGATGAAAAAAGCTTAGGGATAATTCAGTTCTATCCTCCATATTTTACAAATGAGAAATTTCAGGCTCTAAGGTCCCAATAGCTATCAGTTTAAAAAGGGACTGGAATTTAGAGACCCCAAATGTAGCTTATTGATTTTCCCTCAATATCTGTTTGCCTCCTATGACGGTGGATTTCTTTTTTTTTTTTACCTCTCCTTAAGACAACACTGACCAAATGATGTTGACAGACATTTTCACCCACCTGAGAAAATATAAAATGTAGGACATTCTGCATTCTACATGTTGCTTTGGAGAGTCACAAGAAAATTCTGAGAAATCCTGCAATAAGTAAATCAATTTAATTTTGCTGAACCCATGTCTCCCAAACATATCCAACCATGAATAAACCTTTGTTTGTTTTCTCTTTTGGGGGCGCCCAAATGAGAGAGAGCTGCACCCATCAAACTCCTCAGATTCCACTTTGGGAAGTTCTGTGTTAAGACAAGGCCTCCAGGAGCAACTGTCTAAATCCCCATGGCAGTGGGGAGGGAGGAATTGTCAAATGTCCATCCTGGAGAGCGGCTGCTCTCCACACTGGCAGGTCGTGCTACACCACCGTGCCCAGGGCCATGGTATGTCAAAGGGCCCAGGACCCACCAGTGAAGAAGCTGTAAAGGAGGGGCAGGGCAGTACCCTGGTCCTTTCTCTACATGCTGCTCGGGCGTTCCTCTGCAGGCATGTCACAGGATGCAGTTCACCCTGACAGCCACAGGAGGAGGTGCCTGGAATCCTGTTTACCATGTAACAGGGATTAGTCCGCACCCACTTTGAATTCTAGAAGGACAGGGATGACAAATTCTTCCTCCACTGCAGCAAATGCCATCAGTCAATGGGGATAGAGTTCCAAAAATGACAACATAACATGGTGTGTGTACCTCTGTGGGGGCAGTGTGTGTGTTTACAGACCCTAAAGGGGCCTGACAGTTAAGCAAGCTCTGCTATGGTCCAGGAGACACCCGTGTTTAGACGCATGGAGCCCTAATGCCTAGACCCTGGAGTAGATGCCAATGCTGTTTCTACCCTTCCTTGGCAAGTCACTTACCCTCTCTGAGCTTTAGTTTCCTCTTTGGTAAAACAGGAATGTTAATAATAGTAATAGGGTGATCAGGCAGATTAAAGTTTAATACTTGCAAAGTGCTTAGACCAGTGCTTGCCTCGCTGTAGGTACAATATGAGTGTTTGTTAAATAAAATAGTATCATTCACCTATAGTCCCAGCTACTCAGGAGGCTGAGGCACGAGAATCGCTTGAACCTGGGAAGCAGAGGTTTCAGTGAGCGCAGATAGCACCGTTGTACTCTAGCCTGGGCAACAGAGCAAGGCCCTGTCTCAGAAAAACAAAACAAAAAAACCCCAAAATAAAAGAGTGTCAGTAAGTGTTTACTCCAATTTCCCTCGACCGATAAACATTTTCTTTCATACTAGATGGTGACACATAGCATTGGTGAAACAAGGCCCTTGCACGCCTTGCTTTAGGGCATCCTCCCCCGAGCCACGATGATGACACACATGAGGCTGGTGCCCACACTAACTTAGCTGCCTGCAGGCTCTCCCAGCTTTCTGGCGAACTGTGGTCACAGGGTATGGAGACCCAGCTGTCACTGGTGTGTGCTAAAGATCAGGTCTCAGTGGTTACCGGAAATTCCGCAGGAAAGGAACAAGCAGGCAGGATAGGAGGCATGGCTGCTGAGTCACAGATGGGCCAGCAATTACCCTGCACACGAAGGTGTCTTCCAGGGACCTGCCAGTTCTGCTGCTGCAGGCAGCACCTCCAAGGAGTCCCTGGAGGGAGCAGGAGAACCTGGCCCTGCCTCAACCTCACGTCCCTCAGTAATCCTTAACTCAGCTGTGAAAAACAATAAAATAAAAACTGCTTGAAAAACAGACCAAAAAAATGTACCAAATGGAAAGAATAAAGGGAGTTTATTCAAGCCTTGGTGGTTTTTTCTTGCTATCTTTGTGATGTACTTCAAAATATCATCATATAAATATATTTCTATACTTTTTTTTTTGAGACAGGGTCTTGCTCTGTCACTCAGACTGGAGTGGAGTGGTATGATCTCAGCTCACTGCAGCCTCTGCCTCCCAGGATCAAGAGATCCTCCCACTTCAGCCTCCCAGGTAGCTGGGACTACAGGCATGCACCACCATGCTTGGTTAATTTTTGTGGAGACAGGGTTTTGCCATGTTGCCCAGGCTGGTCTCGAACTCCTGGACTCAAGCAATCTGCCCACCTCGGCCTCCCAAAATGCTGGAAATTTAGGCATGAGCCACCACAGCTGGCCAATTTCTATACATTTTTAAAAAGACGAACAAATGCATCATCAAAAAGATTGTCTAACAAATACATTTTAAAAGACTGAGAAACTTAAAAACAACAAAGCAGATAATACGTGTGAATCATGTCACAAGTGGTGGAGTAAAGGACCTGCTTTTGTTACATAAGATTAACCCTTACACAGGCTACATAAAAAGGGATTTGCAATAATCCAATGCTCTACTGTATACTGACACTACTACGGATAGAATTTTAAAAGTCTCATAATTTATATTATGTAGTTTTTATAAAAATATCCAGGGAGCTGTTCTTAAGAATATAGGCCAAGAGGCCGGGCGCGGTGGCTCATGCCTGTAATCCCAGCACTTTGGGAGGCCGAGGCAGGCGGATCACGAAGTCAGGAGATCGAGACCATCCTGGCTAACATGGTGAAACCCTGTCTCTATTAAAAATACAAAAAATTAGCTGGGCGTGGTGGCGGATGCCTGTAGTCCCAGCTACTCGGCAGGCTGAGGCAGGAGAATGGCGTGAACATGGGAGGCGGAGCTTGCAGTGAGCTGAGATCACGCCACTGCACTCCAGCCTGGGCGACAGAGCAGGACTCCGTCTCAAAAAAAAAAAAAAAAAAAAAAAGAATATAGGCCAAGATTGGGCAGCCATGAGAAATTTCTCTTTAAGCCTAAAGACGAGGGTCCCCCACAGCTGCTGTTGGGGCTGCTGGGTGTGGGGCAGGCTCTCCCACTCTCTAGCTCACACTGTCTGTGAACACAGCAGCCTGGCACACATGCACACACACAAGGTCCCCAGACACCTGGGGCTATCAGGGCCCATCATATTGTGCAGTCTCTGTGCTCAGGGAGAAGTGGGAACACATAGCCTCAAGAAGCAGAAATGCCAGGCCTCAGTCACAGCCAGCTCAGTTTCCAGTTCACGGTTTGCATGCTGCTTTGAGCCTTTGCTTTTACAGTTGTTGCCTTTAAAGTTCTGAACATTTGGAGCATGGCTCCCTCTCACTAGCAGTGCATCTCTTACCTCAATGCACATCTTTAAATGCGTCTTTTTTCTCTTATCTTTGGCAGCATACACTTGCTTCTGTGAACCACCAGATGACGTACATAGGCTAATTTTCATTTGTACCAATGTGAATGCTGACGTACAAAGGGCAATATCAAAGCAGGTCTAGTGTGTTCATCAAGTATTTCTAAACTTTCATGATTTTAATTCTTGTTACTACAGTACTTGGATAGGCATACTGCATCTTAAAGACTTTTTTCATGTAACACAGGCATAATGCAATGTGAAGAAAATTATCACTGAAAGGAAAACTGTTTCTCCAAATTATGACTTACGTCTACAGTAATGAGAAGCTATTAAAATAGATTTTTGCAAAATCTCTAAGCTGATCTGCTGCTTAGAATTTTGAGATTTCCCACTGCTCTGCTATTTTCCCATTCTGTACGCACAGCACAGATTCCTGCCAAGCCTATTACAGTGAACAAACAATGTCCTCTCTGTCAGAACAGAGAATGAATAGTATCACAAAATTCTCCTCTAATGTACAGCCTACATTTCCCTCACCCCAAGCCCTTCAGAAGAGAATAACCAGGATGAGGACCGAGGAGGAAAACAGGACTCTCCCCTGGCCAATCTGAAACTGCCTTCCAGAACACTAAGGGCTAGGTAGTATCAACCATATCATATTAACTTCTAAACAGAGAAAGTTGACAAGTTTATTTTCTTTTAAGGGGGATCATATGTTTTTGCATTTCTGTGTGCGGGTACACAAATATCTTTATAAGGAAGGAGGTGTTTCATCAGATAAAACAAGACAGCTTTTAGCTACAGACTGAGCAGCGACAGGGGAACTTCATAGAAATGACACAGCAATTTGTGCTAAAACATTGGCAGCTAATTCATGAATGCCAAAGCTGACTATGAATTCAGCTGCTTCTGTTAAGCCTTTATTCCCACTAAGCTCATGATTCACAAAGAAAGCGCCTAGAGTTACTCCTCTGAAACCTATAGTATCATGCTGACAGATCCTTCTTTGGTCTCTCTCTCTCTCTCTCTCACACACACACACACACACACACACCCCTCCCCACAAGAGGCATTAAAGATATGATTTCCAAAACAAGAACTTCATGAAGCATTCCTCACAAACCAATGAAAGGCTTACTAAAGGCTTACTTAGCAGGTATTTTCATAGAAGAACATGGAGTTCCTTAAAATCTTTCATACTTGTCTCAGTTGGTGTAAAATATTATGATTCAGGCTTTTCCCTCTTGTGACATGAATACAGCATATATTTTATTTTAACCTCTAAAGGAAACTACTCATTTTTTTCCTCATAAAGGATGAAATGTTATTTTCATAATCGAACCCCGCTGGCTTTTGTGTTCACGAGTATCTGTAACACGAAGAAAAAAGGCCAGCCTCTTCTTTCCTCCTCATTTCCCACACATTTTTCGTACAGCTCAGTGAGCTCCCAGATTCTGATGGCATTCTCCTGGTAACACATTTAGAAGAGGCTGCAGGATACCCCAACAGCACTGCTTTCTTCTCTCTCTCTCCCTCTCTCTCTTTCTCTTATGTCACTCTAGGTCTGTATGAGACTAAACAATTAAACCTTTGTGCTGTACCACTGCCATTCAAAAATTCTAGTGATGTGTCCCTTTATTGGTACAATGGTAATATTTACCTTGGAGGAAATGTTTGTCCAGTAGAGTATTCCAAGTTCTGGCAATGTATTCCCTTTGAAATGTTGTGGTGAGAGTTCTCTCTTCTTTCTTGGCCTATAGCCAAAGAGAAGGAAAGTTAGAAAAAAAGGCAGATGGATATACACTGTGAAAGATACTTGTTCAGTTCACTGTAAAAATGCTAGTGTACTTATGCCAAACACTGAGATTTATATTCTTATATTCCTTCCTGAACAAAGCAAACTGAAATGTAGAGGCACAACTATAGACAGTAATAATTAAATAAAAAAATTTCAATAAAGAAAACTTCCTATCTCCCCATCCACCCAAAAATTTTTAATAAAAAAGCCACGTAAGTGTCTAATCAAATACAAATCAATTTACTTGCTCTTTCTATATTTTTCCTAGTTTATGCCAAGTAAACCTCTGTGTTACTACAGTGATACTAAAATTCAAATAACTGTTTTCTGAATTTGAAATAAAACAAGTGATTTATTTGAAAAGAGCATTTATACTTTTTGGTAAGGTAAGCTGTGATTCAGTTCTGAAAATTTCTTATTAGAAGGAGACTTTGGTGCAGCGTGAACAGTGTCACCTGGACGACATGCAGATCTAGCCCCGAGTTGTCCCTTCACGCATTCTGCTGTGGAAATGGGGAAGATGTTCAGAAAAGAGAGGCTACATGGGCGACTTCCCTCGCTCTCCCTCCTGATTCAACAGCTCCCCAATCCTACCTGTTGTTCTGCTGTTTTTGGTGCCTAGCCCTTCCTCCTGCCCCCTTCCTCTCTAGTTCTCTTCCCATCCTCAAATAAGTCTCTCCCATATTGAACACTCACTTTACATAAGACACCATGACAAGTGCAGTAAGAAAGGGAGGAGGGGAGAGGGACGGAATGAATGAATGAACGAACGAACAAACGGATGAAAGAACGGCTGTGTTTATGCTCTAAGGAGAATATCTTGGCTGTTGACTAAGATTCAGAACCTCTCAATCATTTTAACCAACTGAGGCATAATTCCTGATTTCTGACATAACAAACGGAGTGGAACGTGAGCCTTCTAGATTTGCATCTACTGATGTTCTTTTGTTAGAACCACATATTATCATCTTAGACTGTGTGTTGCTTTCTCTGATAGCAGAGTCAGCAGAATATTTATATTATCTTGAGGTATATCTATTGTTTCCCTGACAGTTAGAAAGTGAGAAACTGCTGTCTTTTGTTTGCCACTGCATTTAGCTACATTATTATTTTCTTTTAATAAGTTTAAAAAGATCAGAACAAGACACACAATCATGGGCTGTCTTCTTCTAAGCCGACTCCAGGTCTTTCTGCTGTCAATCTCATCAACTAGGAGACAGAGCTTCGCTGGGTGCAGGGCTTGATAGACAACTGAGTTCCCAAGCCATCGTTCCACTCTTTTATTAGACTTCAAGTCAAGCCTCCTTCTGAACCCCTGCCATGCAGATATATTTAGATGTGGATTCCAACCATAAACCTCTCCACTTTTTCTTGTCATCATGGTCAATCCAGGGAATTCTCCTGAATTAGCCAGAAATATGAGCAAGATTTAATTATCTAAATCAAATTGCTGCAATTAAAAGGTAAAATTTAAAGAACTAACAATTTTTTAAAAAATGTCAAATTCTATTAATGTGTATTAAAAATAATGTTTGGATGTGCTTTCTCTATCACCAGATATGAGTAAGATCCTGACTTGAAAACTGGAGACAAGATTTGACAGTTAATTTAATAATATAAAAATGGTGCACAGTTTTGAATTTTCAAAATATACATTTTGCGACTTAAAAATATTCCAACGAAACAAGGTCATCAAGACACTGTGGTGCAGTCATAAGGATAGACATACAGATCAATACTTTAGCATCCAGGAATAAACCCATATATTTATATTCCTTCAATTATATGGCCAGTTGAGTTTTTGGCAAGGGTGCCAAGACTATTCAACGGGGAAAGAACAGGCTTTTTCAACAAATGGTTCTGGAACAACTAGACAGCCATATATAAAAGAATAAAGTTGGATCCTTAACTCAGACCGCAGAAAAAGTTAATGCAAAATGGATCAAATACCTAAATGTAAAAGCGTAAACTACAAAACTATTAGAAAAAAAACCAAAGGGCTAAATCTTCATGAGCTCAGATTTGGCAGAGGCATGTGACCCCAAAAGCACAAGCCAACTAGAGAAAAAGCAGATAAACTAGATTTCATTAAAATAAAAATATTTGTAATTTAAAGGACAATATTAAGAGAATGAAAAGACAACCCAAAGAATGGGAGAAAATATATGCAAATCGTATGTGATAAGGGACTTATATATGGAATATATAAATAACTCTTATAACTCAATAATAAAAAGACAACCCAACCAAAAATGGGCAAAGGATCTGAAGAGACACTTCTCCAAAAAAGATACACAAATAATCAATAAACACATGAAAAGATGCTCAACATCACAACATAAGTAGCCATCAACAAAGTGCAAATCAACCACAATGAGATACCACTTCATACCTTCCTAGTGATTTGCTCTTGGCCATAATAAACACGTCTAAGCTAATAACAAGTGTTAAGAGGATGTAGAGATATCAGAACCCCATGCCCTGCTGATGGGAATGTAAAATAACGCAGCTGCTTTGAAACAGTCTGTTAGTTCCTCAGAATGTTAAACAGAGAGTTACCATGTGACCCAGCAATTCCACTCCCAGGTATATAGCAAAAGAAATGAAACTATACGTCCACACAAAAACTTGCACATAGATATTCACAGAAGCATTACTTGTAATACCCAAAGAAGTAGAAACAATGCCCCTCAACTGGTGAATGGGTATATACAAAATGTGGTATATCCATACAGAAGAATAGTATTCAGCCATAAAATAGAATAAAATACTGGTACATGTTACAACATGGATGAACCTTGAAAACATGCTAAGTGAAAGAAACCAGTCACAAAAAAATATTATATGATCCTGTTTATAAGAAATGTCCAAAATAGGCAAATACATAGAGATAGAAAGTAGATTTGTGTTCCTTAGGGCTAGGGGAGAAGGGGTGATGAAAATGTCCTAAAATTGATGGTTGCACTTTAAATGGATGACTTGTATGGTATGTGAATTGCATCTAAATAAAGCTCTTATGAAAAATAATATTCCAAGGATTTGGATGTTATAAGTAAGCATCAGTCATTTTTCAGATCAGTCTTAAAAAAAAATGGCAAACCCCAAAACAATTTTAGCTGGAATCATGGGAGTTGTTACACTAAGCAGATAACCTAGCTCCATTGCAAACTATCATGCCCTGACTGGGACAACTTGAGTATAATTCTGATAGACCAAACACTTCTTCAGGTCTCCTTTCATCTTGCTGATTATTTCCAAAGGTGATAGAGATAATTAGGTTATCAGGGTATAGAGATAATAAGGTTAATCACTGCAAATGATTATTGACCCAATCAAACAGAAATCCCATACCTTCAATATTGATTTCTTTTTCCACCGAATGGAATTTTAGGACTTCTGATACTGACGATTTAGTCAAACATGACCTCTCCCTGAAACCCACATATCCTGTCCATGGAATGCCACGCCCAGCAGTTTCTGTTACATCTGGCTCTCTGACAGTTTTCATGAGGACGGTTGGTGACTTCTTAATACTAATGATGACATTCATAAGAAGGCCCAAGCAAGTGAACTCCAGTTCAGGATGTGTTTTTACCAAACTAACCTGAACTCTTGTTCTGGCTAAAGCCACCCAGCAGAACTGAAACAGAGCTCCATTCTGGGACACTGAAACCCTGAGGGATGAGATGGGCACCTGACAGATGGCCTGGGCTGAGCCCCCGCTGGCAGTGCTGAGGAGGGTCTAAGGAAAGGAGTGTTTTCTCGAGGTTATATCCTAACAGTCTCTTCTGGGGAAGGAGTAATGATGTTGAGAGTGTATCTCCCTGCTATCTGGGTAGACAAATACAGGGATTGAGGAGAATAGACTTCAGCAATCTACTCCAAATTCATGTCTGACTTTTAAAAACTGTACCTGGAGGCAAGATAACTACTCAGTATGAGACCAGAATCATGAAACTCAATTACAGATTCTCAAATTTAAAAGAAACTTAAAGGTCATCCATAAATCAACCCCACTTGATACTTGAATCCTTTCTACAATGTCTGTGACATCTCATCGATAACTGCCATGTCAAAAGGACTTGGTTAAATAGAACAGTTCAACGTACTGAGCATGGAATGAATCACAGTGCTTGGAATATAGTAATTGCTCAATATTTATTCACTGATTGAGTGAATTCATTTTAAAAAAATCAGAGTAGGCTCAAGGATGTTGCTATAATAAAACCTCTCTCACTCACAGTCCCTGAAGACAGAGAAGAGAGTAGGATTACCGGCTGCTCATGACTGGCATACTGCTGCAGCAATATTTCCCACATGCAAACATCATTCCAGTAAATACAATACTTTATCTATGTTGCAATGGAAATAAACCAATAAACAAAACTTAGACCTGCTAATCTACCTATGCTGAATTCCCTGCCACAATAAAGGGCTTCCTCCATCCCAAGGAATCCCTTTCTGTCTCTGAGAAGTGTTGTTAAATTTGAGCTAGGAGTAAGAAAGGTTCTTCTGTGCTCCAGAGGCTTAGTGGCTTCAACCTTGTTTGAGTCGTGGTTTTAAGGTCTAGGGCCATGCAGAGCAAGTCCAATAGTTCCCTGACATGGCAACCCTTCAGATACTGGAAGACACCTATTTAAAGAAGTTCCTCTTCCCCTGCTCTTGAGCTTTCCTTCTCTATTCCAAAGAATACGATTTCATGTACCACCTGCCATAACTCAAAAGAACACAAAGGCTGCCAGGAGAAGGGAGCGGGTCCCTGGCCAGGTCTGCTCACAAGAGCAGAGTAGAAGAGCCTGCTGCAGCTACAAAGCCCAACCTGGGAGGGGAGCCCAACAACCAAGCACAACCTCCAAGGAACAAGGCAACATCGACCTGATTTAGGAAATAACCCTTATTTGGGTGTCGGTGGTGGCGGTGGGTGGGGATTTTTGGGGCCCAGCTATCGCAGGGAGGCAAAGCTATCAGCAAAGAGTAAATAGGTTGGTGAAGTCAGGAGGGTCGTCCATTACCATCCTGGAGGTCTAGTCACAGCAACAGAATCTAGCCACTGAGCAGCTACTCAGAGTAAGAGCCACAGTTCTCAAGAAGATCACCTGGCAAGACCAACACAGACTATGAGACCCAAAGAGGATCTTCAGTCCCAGACGCTTGGTTACACAGACACAGAAACAGCTGAAACTTGGAAGGCCAAGGAGTAAGGATTATGGGAGCCTGAGAATCATCTTAGGATACCAGAGCCTACATCTGCATGACAATAACATCGCTGGAATGTGACATAGTCATCCTAGTGTTCACTGGGGCAATAACATCTCAACATGGGAGATTCAGCAAACAAACACAGCTGGCATTGGGCAAGATACTACTGTGGGCGAGGCACAGAGAGAGTATAATTAGTGATGTGCTCCAGTGGACTGTGGGGTAGGTTTAAACATTTAAAGTGTTTTCTGCTTTAGTCAGAACAAATTCAGATTTGGGGAGGGCAACGATGGCACATGCAAGAGGAACAAATAGTGAGGGAACAAGGAAGGCAGGAGGAGATGTACTGGGGGCTGGCACTGTCATTTTCTGGATGTTCTCTTCTAAAAGATCAAGCTCAAAGGCAATTCTCCAGGTGAAGAAGCACTTCATCAGTGAAGAGTGGAACAGGTCTCTTATTTCTGTCCACCCACATTATTTAGAAGGCCAAAGATCACAGAAGCCTTTTTAACAGCTACCCTGACACACATACACACATATATACACATGTGTATATATGTATTAACATATATATACATGCATATATACACAGTTATAAACACATATTAACACATGTGTATATACATTTATATTTGACTAAAATCTAAATTTCTGTGAAATATGATGCTGCTAAGCTTCATCTCTCCTTACTGTTCCTTTGCAATTTAACTGGGGGAGCAGGGTGTTTATACTGATCCCTGTGACATTTCTGCTTCTTAGATTTGGGTCACTGTGTTAAATGTCAAGATGGTCCTAATTCTGTTTCCATCAGTTTTTACATCTGCTATCTCTCCCAACTTTGGGGCATGCATTTATACAGTTTTACTCATGTGAGGCCTAATGTGGACTAAGACTGGATAAAGTTAAAATACCAAAAACCTCTCTTCAGGAAGAGAGCAATTTATTAATCAGTGCTCTCTGGATATGCCTACCAAACCAGTTATTAACCCAGCTAATTACACACATTCCTTATTTGTCCAAATACTAAATGTTAGCAATTTGATATACTTTTGGTAGAAAAAAAAATGTATCCTTAAACTAATGCATGATATTTCTCATTAACCTGTCTGAATTCCCTGACAGGTTTAGTACATTATCAATATAACAGAGATCAACCTCAAAGTACAGATATTTCATTGATATTTCAATATTCAGTCCATAGTAATCATGCAAGAAAACTGTATTAAATATGCTCAATGACACAGCAATTAAAGAGGTAGCCAAAGACAATGCATATGGGCTATGATGCACTGTGCAATATTGGAAAAACATAACTAACAACGCTTCTGCCTCCCTTATCCTCGGATTCTTGTTTTCATCAGCCGCTCTTCTCCCCCTGCTAAGCTCCCTCATGTTTCCTGGGGCTGCTTTTTCTTGCTGCTTCTCCCAGCTGTGCCTCTCGTTTTTTCCACTCCCCAGCTGCTTTGGCTCACACTTTCAGCCTTTCTGGTATTTACTGTGTTAACAGTTCTAGTCTTCATGCCATCTGATGTCTCCTGTTTCATTTTTCACACACTCGAACAGCTGAAATCCCTGATGTATGCAAAGCAGCAGTCCATTAAAAGAGGGTTTTCTGGGTTTTATTTTTTTTTCGTTGAGTACAGAAAAAATGGAAGCAGCAAGAAAGAGTAGTTCACAGAGCTGCCAAAAGAGGCCACTGTGAAGATAAGATGAAGGCAAAATATAATAATAATCAGATTTCTTTAGGCATCAAAAAGATTATAAGTATGACACCGGAAAAATAGTTCTTTCTGCAAATCCTCTTCAGTGGTGTGGTTTAATGAAAACTCTGTAATCTCCTTTCCAAGAGGACCATAATTTTCTTGAATTCTAGGAAGCTGAAGATAAAAATCCTTAACGATGTATCCTTATACTATCTACAACATACAGGACTCAGGTAAGACAGATACAGTTATAATACATACATTGATTTTTTTAAAATGACATTTTACTAGCAAAAATCTTCTATTTCTAAGCATGCTACCTGGAAAGAGGCTTAAAATGCCATAATTTAGTATAAGCCTTATCCGTATGCATCCATCCCAAGTGTGGCTTGGATATGAATTCCTTGCAGTTTCAATATCAGCAGAGAAGTAATCAAATGACCGAAGTGTTCAAAACAGGAAAAGAAATCTTTCTTGTTGGCACAGAATAGAATAGTTTATAATGTGCAGCACGATGTGTTTAAGAGAAGCTCTATAGCATGCTTCTCAGGCATCTGAATACAAAGTAAGATTAGATTCAGTACTTAAATGTTGCTTTAGTGAATAGAAGACATATAAATTGACTCCTCTAATTATTAGCTTATAAATTGATAGTAAAATACAGAATTTAAAACATCTTCTTTTAGGCAATGTAAATAAGCATGAGATAATAGCCAGCACAACTACAGAGGATATTCATTCAGTCATTTGTTCATTTTCTTTATTCACCTCTCAATGTTATTTCCTTGCTTATGAATACAATGAACAAAAAGTAAATATTATTCCAGTCCTTTCCACTCTGCACATTTAGGAACTTTCTTTTGGACTGGGACTTTAGCTGTCATTTATAGAGCTTTGATTGTCTTGGCCTAATGCACATGCCCTATCCTGCCATTGTGCATCATGGGCAGCTAACTGGGTAGCCACCTGGAACACCGGGTTGTCTCTCACAAAGCCTCAGGTCTGCCTCAGGCATTTCCTGATGAGAAACAGTTCTCTGACTTCTAAGTTATCTAATCTGGGGATCACTCAAGGGGTTATGGGGTTGGAGGGTTGCTGCCCCAGCAGAAGTTGTGTGAATGGGTATGCATGTCGGCGGGGAGGGGCAGGCAAGAAAGACTTCCCTTTCCCCAGGAAGCCGAGAAAGTTGTGGGGTCAGTAACTAACTTGAAGTCTGCCCAGGTATGTGTTTGAGATGCCAAACATTCACAAAAATCTGCTGTGAAGTTCCTCTGCTATGAAAAGTCCCAGCCACGGGGTAACTTCCCAGCCACAGAAAGGACCCTGGCCTCCGTTCTTGGGGTTCTGCAAAACTGGCTGGGCTGTTTGTGTTGACCTGAGGCAATGGCTCTGCCTGTGGGGTCAAGAGAGAGACATTTAAGCTCTGGTTATTCGCCTGGCAGCTTCCACATTTTGAAAGATTGTTGTCCGTAAAATGCCTGAGTTTCAGAGGGGTATGCAGGGCCGTGTGTGAACTGGGGGTTGGTAGGTTGGCATTTTACAGATGGACCATATGGGATAAAGTAGTTTGAAGTGTCTTCCTTGCTCCTTCACACTCTATATATGTAATGAGTACATATATATGTATGTGTGTGTGTTATGAGAGAGAACACACACACATTTGACCACTTCAATCTTAGACTTTCAATGCTGCTTGCAGATACCACAACAGAACTCTGCCATTGATAATGTGCCCGTGTGTACACTCTCGCATGACTTAGGGTGGTTTTAAGAGATGCTAACATATGTATGACATTTAGTTTCTCTGAAGGAAAGTAACTACTAAATGATCTACATGGAACTTTAGAGAAATTCTGAGACATTCAGTGAGATGTAATGCTCACTATCACAGAGATAGTCAAGGAGATTCACTTGAAGGGAAATGACACATGAACTAATGTATGTTTAAACACCCTAACAAGAGTTTTGCAATAGTTAAGTGCCCAGTAAATGTTAGCTACAGTATGATTGGTAAAATATGGTGTTTAGAAGAACTACAAGTATCATGATGGACTCTAATAAGAGTCCATGTTCACAGGGTGGCCACAATTAGAGAATCTTATACTCTGTGTGTGTGTGTGCATGTGCCTATGTGACGCTTTTCTGAGCCTGTTAGGTTTGATTTATGTCCCCCAAAATTCATGTCTCTAAGTCCTAACCTCCAGGACTGCAGAATGTGACCTTACTTGGAAATAGCATATCACAGATATACCATAAGTAGTTAAGATGAGGTCACACTAGAGTAGGATGGGCCCCCATATAATGTGATTGGTATATTTATAAAATGGGGGGATTTGGACACAGGGACACCCACACAGGGAGAATCTCATGTGAAGCCTGAAGGTATGCTGCCATAAGGCAAGGAACTGCAAGCAACTAAGAGACAGACCTGGAACAGATCCTTGCCTAGAGCCATCAGAGGGAACACGGCCCTGCCGACGCTGGGATCTCAGACTTGCAGCCTCCAGAATGGTGAGACAATCAATTCTGGATGTTTAAACCACTCAGTTCATGGAACTTTGTTATGGCAGCCCTAGAATACAGGGTCAGTGCATGAAAAGATGGTCAAGTTACCTAATATTCCAGTCCTGACTTAAAGACACAGAGATTAGGGTAAGGAAGGTAATTCTCATTACTTTACATACCTCATATCAAGAGGTTTACACATCAATCCATCTGCTATATGGAGTTATTTCTTAATTATATAACTTCAAATGAACATCAAAATAACAGGTAGGTTCACGCAATTCATTATACAATTTCAAAGAGGGAATCTGCATTTTCAATTGTATTTTTTCCAGTGATAGCTTGAGAGATGAATGACCAAAAAATATGCAGCATACTTAATGAAACAGCTTTCAATAATTATTTTAATTGTGAGGAAAAATTTTAAAGAGCTCTGTAAGAATTTATATCAACCAAAATTCCTAGGGAATTTTTTTGCTTTACTGGGACACAGTATCTTAAGACTGATATGCTACATCACTTATTTTCTTAGACTCCCCTCTTGGTTAATTCATGTCTTTGAAAAGTCACTCAAAATTCATGCTTATGAGTCCACCCTGTTTCTCTATGTACATTTTTTCAGCCCTTAGTGTATAATGATGTTTCTGTTCTATTGTTTAGTACTTATGTATATTTCAGAGTTATATTAATATACTTTAGAATTAGAAACAAACTCCATGATATTTCTGTTCAGTCTCTAAATTTAGTGGCAAGGAAACTGAGCCCTGGCTGTAATCACACGGCTATCTGAGGTCTGAGCCACAAACATAACCCAGGCCACTTTTCATTACCTTCACCTCCACCTCCATTGTGGTGGCTTAGCCATTTCACCTACGCTACCTGTGCTTCTTCCCCTAATCAGGTGATTTGGTGTTAGAACTGGTGCCTTAAAAAAAAACAACAAAAACCCTCATCCAAAGATTCTTCTGCAATGCCATGTCCCGATGAGGCATATCAAAATGCTTGCTTAAATGTGGAATATTTATGATATAGCTACATATGTATAAGAAGAGATTAACCAGTTATCATATACGACTGTTCTTCAGTACATTATTATTTTTTAAGGCTCTTCCATTTATTTACTATCTAGAATATATTTCTTTCAAACTGATTTGTTTATAGAACAAATTGGTATTATGTATACCCCATGTTTTACTTTATTAATTGTTTTGATATCCAGACTAATGGCATTTTAAATGAGATGTGAAATTTGGACTTTACTACTGCAGACCTTTGGCTATCTAGTCAAAGAAGGAATATGGGCTCACCTGGTTGATCAAATAAGGGTAGAAGAGGAAAGAGAAGAAGGAAAAAGAGAGGAAAGGAGAAGGAAAAAACAGACGTGAAAGATTGTAAACTCCCTTGTACAAAAGCACGATGTCTATTACAGTTGGTAAAAATCATGACAACAAATGCTCGCGAGGGTAACATGGCCGCATCTTTGCATGGAAAACTGAAGCAGCAGACAGCAGTTTCCACATCGATCTGCCAAAATGGAGAAAACTAGTGTCACCCACAGAAGAAGAAAGAAGGAGAAACAAAAACACCCCTTGAATCTTAACTGTGAGAGCGAGGAGCAAGAAATATAGGAGCAGCCTCCACCCTGTGGAATCACATTTTTTTTTTTGTCTGTCATCAACAGGTGTTGCCATGGTAACTATCCTTTAGTTAAGAAGTAGTACAGGCAAGAAAATCTATACAAAACCACAATAGAGGGACAAAATAAGAAAGATATATTATAGCCAAACTAACCTCAGACCTACCAGAATGAGCAGCCAGAGGCTTGACTGGCCATTTACCAGATCTTCATGTTATTTGAAAGAGATGCTGGAAGGAGAGAAGATGTCAGCCCAGATTATGGTCCCAGGAGGAACCAACACCAGGGAAGTATTGCGGGGGCTGCTGTGGCTCTCCATTTATCTTCAGTTCCACTTTATATCCCTATTCCCATTTGTACATTTTAGCTCTTTGATGACTTTGCGGAGGAAAGCTGCAGTTGTGCAGTGTTATGTCTGGAAACTTTTAAAAAGTAAACATATCACTGAATGACTTCTTGGTTATACTTCTACCTCTTTTAGGTAGTACATTTAGTAATAATTTCTCCATTTTCTCCCCTTCAGATGGAGAACCTCAGGATTGCATGCTACGAATTAGTGAAATAATTAATAGCTAATTCTTCTTATGAACAACTATTGCCAATATTTGTAGGCCAGGTACCAGGAAATACCTCAGAGTCTGGCTGGGATCAAAATCTCATTTCTTTGGCTCTTTCTCCATTGCTCACGGCTCACCATAATATCCACAAGTAGTACCATGAATGAGGAAGTAACACTATCTCTGAAATTAAATTCTGCATTTTTACTTTGTAAGCTATTGTTGGTGGTCCCCCAAAGGGTGCAATCTTATCCCCTTTATCTACCAAACTTCTTGTTGTTCAAATGACCACTCTGCTTTATAAATAAATGACATAGATTAGTATACTTTGCTAACTTCTGTGATTCTTCAAGATTAAGGCAGGTGACAGAACAAGATTTGGGAAGATGAAGTCTGAAAGGTTTAGCTCGAGAGACAAATCCATGGGGTACCAACTATACTCTGCTGAGGCCATGCAGGCATCAGAGTGTCATAGAAAACAGAGTCTATGCCTCACCAGTCAAGGCTCTTGCCCATTTCTGGGACTCAGTGTCCCCTTCCATAAAGACATGGAAGCATTACCTCAAAGGGTCAGTGTGAGGCTCAAACGAGATAATGCTGTGAAAGCATTTGATCACTAACTGCAAAACACTAGGCATATAAAAGCTGATTTGGAAATATGGTTGTCACTTGTTTTTCAAGCTTTCTGCTATGTTAACATTACCTTTAACACACTTTTTTTCTGATAAAATAAGTAGGCCATGACAATTTTCACATGATAATTTTGGCAGAAAATCTTTTTCCTCTTTATCATTTGGAGGTGCTTATCTGATTTGGACGTCATTTTCTTCTATGAGTTCCCTTTCTTTAACTTTTTGTTCAGGCTAGTAGATTTGTATCACGGGGTGGGTAGGTGTATGTGTGTGTAAAAGAGAAAGGGGGGTGAGGAAGGGAAGGAGGAACAGGAGAGTCAAGCGGAGATGGGAAAACACAGACAGGAACAAGTAAAGGTGTTAATGAAGAGAAGGGGTAAAGACTTTTCCCTCCCATTTCAGAGATAAGTACCTATCCCTGAGGTGTTACTTTGTATGTAATTTGTGGATCACTAGGGATAAGTCATTGGTGGCTGTTTTGGTGGCTGTATACACTCTTTAGCAGAAGAGATTCTGGGAATGACATTAATTTCTGCAACTGGCTCTCATCTCACGGCACTGTTTCTCCATTCTTATGCTGATGGGCTCCACCAATCATAGTTGAAGATGCATAAATCCTCCTATTTCTCAAACTAACACTCCTAGACCCCTTTTACAATAAAATACATACTTTCTGTCTTTTTTATTTTTTAATAGTTCCCTTTAAAATGTTGCCCTTTTGCTTCTGAGTGTTTTGAATTCATGCTATCCCTATCCCATCCCTTCCACCCCTCCTCTACTTTCCCCTCTTTACCACCCCACTGTTCACCACATTCGCCCACTGGTGAAGTCTCAAGTCTCATGGATTCTGTCTCCTTAAATGTTTTAGTAAATGTCCAGTTTTGGTATACTGCATGCTTACTGAAAAAGTTCACAGAACACACAGGATATAGAGTATTATGTTTTAAAAAAGAATATTCCTTTTCACTATATTCCCTAATCCCACAGGTAAGCACTGTTAGAGTTCAGTACAATACTTTAAAAAGGTCTGGAAAGATACAAAAATCGAAAGAGTCTTTCTTTCTTTGTTACATATATAGTACCCTATACTAGTCACTGTTCAACAGTTTCATTGTGTTCATTTACTGTGTGTTAGAGAATGTTCCATGTCAGTACATATAGGGTTATCTCATTCCTTTGAGTAACTATAGAACATTCAATGAATGGTGTGGTTATACTATAATTGGGCATTCTGTGCCAACGGATATTTAGATTATTTTTGGTTTTCCTCAATTACAAATGACATTACAATGATTAGTCCTGCATATATATCTCAGCACATGAGTGAGTATAGATAGGATTCCTAGACATGGAGTTGCTGAGTGAAAGGGCATGCACATTTTCATTTTATTCTCCTGCTCCTTACTGACCTAAAACCAAAGTTTTATTAATATACAGTATGTAATGGTAAAAGGGAATATAATCCTTTGTTCTTCTGGATTTCACTACCAATCAATTCATTTCTTTTAGTACCTTCTGGGAATTCTTAAATATCCTTCTCCACTGATGGTAGTTCTCCCTGACTTTCTAGTTTTGCTGTGGATGTGCAGATTTCTTTTTCTTCTTCTTTTTAAACTTGAAGAATCTGGAGTGTGAAGGATAAAGTAAACAGCCCACAAGGCTTCTTGAACGGTCAAGGCCAAGAGGTTCCCAACTACTCTTGCCCCTTTTGCATTCATCCTCCACACAACTCTCCAAGTGACTTTCTAAAATGCAAATATTAACACTTGACTTCCCTGCAGTAACATCTGAATGCCTGGGGGCAGTAATGGGTTGAATTTTGTCCCCTAAAAATGTTAAAGTCCTAACTCCCAGTACCTCAGAACGTGACTTCATTTGGAAATAGGGTCTTTACAGAGGTAATCAAGTTAAAATGAGGTCATTAGGGTAAGCCCTAACCCATTAGGATTGATGTCCTTACATAAAAGGTGGAAATTTGGATACAGAAACAGATGTGCCTAGAGGGAAGCAGATGTGAAGAGACACAGGGGAAATGCCATCTGAAGCCATAGGCAAAGGCTGGAATTTTGCTGCCACAAGCCAAGGAATGCCTGAGGCTACCAGATGCAGGAAGAAGCAAGGAAACATCCATCCCCTGCAGGCTTCAGAGGGAACATGGTCCTGTTGACATCTTGATTTTGGACTTTTGGCATCCAGAACTGGGAGAGAATACATTTCTACTGTTCTAAGCCACCCAATTTGCTTGCTTTGTTACAGCAGCCACAAGAAATTAAAACAGTGGGTCAAGTCCAACTCCTTAGAGATCTCACATAGCCCCTTTCACACACTGATGCACAGCCTCAGAATCCTCCTCACAACCTCTCCTGTAACCACCCTACTGTCTTATCTGCTCACATCCAAAGGCTCTAGGATGTTTCCTATGTCAGTGCATTTGAACACACTGGTCCCTCTACCTAAATTTGCTTCTCACATTCCCTAAGCATGACTAGTGTTCCATTGCTTATCTGCAGCTCCACCTTCTCCATGAGCTGTTTCTGGCACCCCCCTCCCCACCAGTCTCCCCGGGCATAACTGGCTGTCCTTGTAAGTGCCCCCTATGCTGCACCTGGAGTATTTTGCTGCTATTTTGCACTTGCTTGTTTATGCATACCTATCATCCACTCCTATGCTGCTCCTTGAAAGCAGAGCCATTCAACATCTCCTAGCAAAGTCACCACACACAGAATGTCCAAAGTGGGATTTCGCTGGGTGAACCATACACCAGTGCCATAAAAATATAACAACTATAAGAAATGTATCATGATTTTTTATTTTGTTAAACATGTCTCATGTAATGAGGTAGAGTATGTCAGGCTGACTGCAAGTGACTGAAGCACTCCACTGATAATGGCTGAAGAGTACTCTCCTAAGCACTGAATTTGTGGCTATTTTCAGGTTGTTATTTTTGATGACATTCATTCTTCTGGTCAATATCACTTAGAAACTAGATTTTGCCATCAGCTACTGCAAACTCTAACAGCTCCAACCATTAAATAGATGTGTCTGGATAAAGCTGCACTATGGTGCTTAGTCTCTGATGTCCACTGACTGTCTCCTTCATTAAAGAGCAGCTCACTAGAGACAGAAAGTAGATCAGTAGTTGCCTAGAGCTGGAAGGAGGGTGAGATGGGGAAATTGGAGGTGGGGTGACAGCCTAGGGGTGAGGGGTTTCCTTCTGGAGTTATGAGAATGTTCTAAAATTGATTGTGGTGATGGTTACACAGCTGGATATACTGAAAGCCACTGAACTGTATACTTTAAATAGGTGAATTGTACAGTATGTGAAAGATACTATATCTCAATAAGTTGTTTCTTTAAAAAAGAGTGGTTCATTCAACCCATCCCAAACTAAAAGGATTTCTGTTAAAACAAGCCAATTCTTTCATAAGCAAACATCCACACAGACAAAATAAAATAGACCTTCTGCATTAATAAAAAAGAAAAATACTGCAGCCTGTAATGTTTATAGTATCTGAAAGAAAACTTGACAGATAAGGATCTCTCATGTCAGGCCCATTTACTCTGAACCATCCTATTGCTTCAGCATTGGGCGTGTAACAGCATAACTCGACCTCACAACTTTCCTTTTGTCTTACATTATCCTGATTCTCTCCTCTTTTTCTCTGTGTCATCAGGGATACTCTTAAGTCGGTAAATATTAGAGCCGGGAAGGAACTAAGACATTCATTTGGTTCCAAAGCCCTCATTTTACAGATGATAAAATGACAGCCAAGAAGAGAATCCTAAAAACTTACCAAGCTTTTGGTCTTGGAGAGGATATCAGTTCCAGAGTGAATCCAATGACCTCTGTGCAAGGCAGTAATATTTGACAGTGTATCAGGCAAAAGAATGCATCTCTAATGCTTTGCAAACTGTTTAGCAAGCCTTCTGAATAAATGAAGCATTGGATGACTAAAAGCAGGCATCCTGGTGTTTATCCATAAACTGTTTAGTTTTTACCACCTATGATGTGAATACTTGTCACATCTCCCCAGTGAAATTTCAAACTCCTCAATGATAGGAAAGGCAGCTGATGTGCCCTTTCCCCCTTCTCTTATCACCATTTGATACCCAAAGCATTCAGCAAAGAGTTAACAATTGCTTTATGGGTACAGGACAGACCTATAGCAAAGTTTCATATTAAAATGTTTTTCTTTTTAGTAACATTGTTTTTGGGCAAACATAATTTAATGCACGGAATAAGAAAATCTATGTAGTAATCCTGTAATTGATTGTGACCACTCTTGGAAGCCCCGTTTCTAAGGTCTTTTTTTTAAATTTCCAATTTTTATTTTAAGTTCAGGGATACATGTGCAGGATGTGCAGGTTTATTACACAGGTAAACGTGTGCCATGGTGGCTTGCTGCACAGATCATACCATCACCTAGGTATTAAGCCCAGCATCCATTAGTTATTCTTCGTGATGCTCTCCCTCCTCCTACCCCCCAACCCTCCGGCAGGTCCCAGTATAGGCTGTTCCCCCCATGTATCCATGTGTTCTTATTATTCAGCTCACACTTATAAATGAGAACACTTGGTATTTGGTTTTTTCTTCCTGTATTAGTTTCCTGAGGGTAATGGTTTCCTGCTCCATCCCTGTCCCTGCAAAAGACATGTTTTCATTCATTTTTATGGCTGCACAGTATTCTATGGTGCATATGTACCATATTTTCTGTACCCAGTCTATCACTGATGGGCATTTAGGTTGATTCCATGTCTTTGCTATTGCGAATAGTACCGCAATGAACATATGTGTGCATGTATTTTTATAATAGAACAATTTACTTTTCTTTGGGTATATACCCAGTAATGGGGTTGCTGGGTTAAATGTATTTCTGCCTCTAGGTCTTTGAGGGATCAACACATTGTCTTCTACAATGGTTGAACTAATTTACCATCCCACCAACAGTGGAAAAGCATTCCTTTTTCTCTATAACTTCGCCAGCATCTGTTTTTTGACTTTTTAATAACAGCCATTCTGACTGATGTGAGATGGTATCTCATTGTGGTTTTGATTTGCATTTCTCTAATGATCAGTGATTTTGAGCTTTTTTTCATATGTTTGTTGACTGCATGTATGTCTTCTTTTGAGAAAAGTCTTTATTTTGGAGGAATGTATACAATAATCACTTAAACAGAAACAGAAGCCTTTAAAATCAAAAGGCTCTTGTCTCATGCATCTGGGCATGACCTGGTAAGCAGGATTCCATAGGGTCCACTCAGATGGACACACACTACAAACTTCAATTTTAAAAACTATCTCAGAGCTAAATGTCTTTTAGAGGTAGCTTCTAATGTAACCACAAACAAATTTTTACTATGGTAAAGGAAACAGCTTCTCTCTGCAACATATCCTTACATAGGTCATACACTCAGGAAATTATAGGCTCTTTGCTATCGAAATCTGATGATTAGTCATTGAGTTCAACATATAATTGGAGAGCCCATAGTTAAATGTAATTAGCCAAGATAAACTATAGAGAGAATCATGCAAATATATGAAAACCATTGTTAGAGTTCAGTGTTCTAGGATAAAGAAAAAAGTAAACCTCTCCTACACATGTTCACAAGGAAGTACTCAAATGCACCATTTCCGAAAGCTCCTTGGGTAAGGAACTCCCTAGTTCCTGTGGTTAGAACTTTCCAGCCCTCTGTAACCTGATTCACCAGCCTTGACTTCTTTCCAACACAAACTCCTCATCCCTGCTTGTGCCTTTGCTGATACCATTCATGACTGGAATGTTCTTCCCCCTTCTCCCCTGACCACTTAGCTCTAAGTCCTGACTGTCCTTTTTAGCAAGGCTTGTTCTTTTCCTTCTGCTCTTAGATTCTGCCCAGTTCACTTGACATCAAATATTATATTACCTGTCTTATATTGGGGGAGAATGCTTTTTTCCCTACACATTTCTAGCATATAATACCTCTCTTTCCATCTCTTCATTTACTCTACCCAAGGGGAGGTTGAGTGACATACATGTCTAATGGGCAATTTGGGGAAGCATCTCCTGGACTCAGCTCTTGCCTTCTCTCTGCAGGGAGTAGGGCTACCATCCATGAATATGAATTCTCCTCTGATCCTCCAGCAAATAATTTGAGTTGATTCTCTGGGCCCAGAGAGGCCTGCCCCAGCCGCTGTGACCTGTGCTTAATTCCTGGGTTCCATATTAGGAGAACAAATAAACCATGCCCTGCAGCCTGGCCTTTACAGATAATAAGGGTGATGTTTGAGCCTTATCTGACAATGATTTTATCTTATCTTTCAGTTTTTCTCAGAACTTGGGAAATTCAGGGTGGTTGTCATTATTATGATTTACATCAACGACGCTAGCATCATTCGTATATATAAATGTACATACATTTATTAGATGATCTTAAAAGCTGTTGTGAGATTGTGTCCCATCTCCCTGCCTGGACAAAGTTTTGTCTTATATTTCATAAGTCTTTGCGGCCCAGTGTTTCACTGCAATATATAATATACAGTACAAATAAACTCAAATGGGTTCAATCATTAATACATCATCAATTAAGGACATACAGAGAAAATAAAGCAAAATTTAGGACTACAATACTTGTGATTCTGGCTAACGATTATGACTTTATTAATGCATTTTTGGTGTCACTTAGAAGTGCTAGCATACAATCATTACAGGCAGGGTGAATATAAAATTAATATATGCTCTATACTGTGATCCTGCAGAGCAAACCTAATTACACATTGAGCAAGAAGAGAGAATAAAAGATAAGGCATATACCGATAGATTTTCTTCATCAAAACCCACAAACCCTCACTTCAACAAAGCCCTGTCATTAGCTTCACAACATATCTAAAAGTGAATTTAATGTGATATATGCCCTAATCTAATTTCCAAAGAAGTGACAGCAATAAGCCAGCTTCTCATTTACTTACATCTTAAACCTTTATATTATGTGCTACATTCTTTTGCCAACTCCTATTCACATGTACACAAAAAGCTATTAATGTACAATGCTGCAGAAAAATAATGATTTAGTTGTCTATATATGTTTTTCAATGTCCACCTATGAAAATGCAAAAGTAAACTAAGCACATAAAGGAATTACAATTATACCTAAATAAATATAGGGTTTAAAAAATGCTAAGTCAAATAATGTATGATAAATTGCTAATGTGTCCTCAATTTTACTGTGAGTGCATTAGCTTATTTTAAATATGCATTCGTTGAATGCTAACTGGATGCTAATACTAACAAACACTGGGCACTAATAAGCAGCACATAGCAAAATAATAATGCTAGAAAGGATTCCTTATATCACCATTTTCCAGTTTTCTAAAATGTGCCACGTTTTCCCTTTAATTCTCACAGTCTTCCATTAAAACGACAGGAAACATTGCCATGCCTGCTTTACAAATGGGGAAACTGAGACTGAGAGGTTCAGTGATATTACTGAGGACTAACAGGGCTGGTACTCCAGTCTAGACTGCTGACTCCCAGTAGTTAATCATACATTTGGAGATTCAGTAAATATTTACTGAGTACCTACCATACAACAAACCCCACGCTGGGACTGGGGATGGAGAAGGTCCCTCCCTGCTCTCCTGGTCTCTCCCCGAGTCTGCCCCATTTGACACAGGATGGCATGTTTAATGTACTATTTTCATTTTATATATGGATAAAAACAAAAATTAACTTGTAAATATTTTTCCTATAAAAACAAAACTAGGGAAAACTGCCTTAAAATTAATTCAACATAATCATTACTTTATAACTTAAACACGTTTCATTGCTATTCCTCGATGCTCAAAACAGAATGATAGTGTTGCAATTAAAATTGAGACTGTAAATTAAAAATATCCTTCAGCATTTTGCAATGAAGCATTTAATCCTCTTATTAAATGAATGAGAATTTAATCACATAAATTAGTCTACCTCATTCATATACCCAAATGTCAGAATTTATCTAATAAAGCAAACTTAGATTTAAACATTCACAGGAAGAGTGGTAAGAAGGTGGCTGGAGAAGACCCTCTTTGAAATTCAGTTTTGAGTTTTACGCATCTAAAATCACAGAGATCTGAGGTTCCAGCACCATGTTGCAGTTCTCAAGCCACAATTTTAGTATAAAGTTACCCCTTCATAAGTGTAGCTGTCATAAAATGCCATAAGACATGGGAGAGACCAAAGCTTAGTCCTGAAATAAAAAAAAAATGGTACTCACAGTCCTTTCTATCTGTATTTGTCTATAAGTTAATTCATGTGCGGTAAATACATTTGGATTTAAGGCATTTGGATTCCTTCCAGATAGGAAAACAGAAAGACAAGTAAACCCAGTGAGATAATGTAGAGAAACCCACTGAGGCAATGAAAGGAGAGAAGTAGGTGCTTGAGTCCATCAGCTGGTGAGTCAACTCCGCAATCGCATCCTCACATTCCTGCTGCATGAGCTGGCAGAAGCCAGTAGAACATGTGCTCATTCCAAAGGAAACACAAACTCACTGCCTTCAGCCTCCCAGAATCATCAGTCTTACAGAATTGAACAAGTAGAGAAGGTGGCCAAAGTGAATTTGAGTTGCCCATATTCTTCTATCACTCTCTTTCTCTACAGGATGGTGACTTTACGTTTGTCTTACATTTTACTTTTCTTGAGATAAAGCTTATACATATATATGCCTCTTAATGAATGCAGAATTATTTCTTATGCAGTGGGTTTTTCTCCATCCATCTGTAAGCTGTCTCTGATACTGAGTGCTGGGCTGGATGACGTGATGCCAGCTCTATCACATGCCCAAGTTAAGCCTGAAGGCTCTGCTCTTATGTAAAATGAGCACTACTGGATTAGTGTCCCTGTTAGATGTGATAAGAGGAAATAGAAAAATGAGAACAGAGAAGTCCTAATTTATATGAATCACAGGCAGGTGCCCTTTAAAAACGACTTAAGATTTTTGAAACCATCAGCCCCAAACTGTCACATAAATTTCTATAGAATGGCACATCTACTTAGGTATTTCTCTATTTGTGTTCGATTAATTAGAAATCTAAATCTTCTGTTCATCTTCCCACCTTTTTTGGCTTATTGCACATATATAAGATTTTGGCAACCCAGAAAAAGAAAAACATCAGAAGAGACCTAATTTATAAAAAGACTTCATTCCAAAAATTCAGTCATTAGGACGACTGAACATCCTTTCTCATTAGAATGATGAGAAAAGGAGGGTTTTTACATTCTTAAGACAAACAGGTCATAACAATTTTTGTAAAGTTAAACAACTTTATAGAAAACAGAGAAAACAATGAACATTAAACTCTATTGTACTCTGATGTTTCCTTTGATCTTTGATTTTATGTAAATATTTAGCAAGTTGCCATCAGCAAATACAGTGTCATGTGCCATTTTCAGTTACGTAAAAAATGCATTTCTATGTTTCAAAACAGCCTGCATAAATCATTTTAAAGACTATAAACTATTGGCCGGGCGCGGTGGCTCACACCTGTAATCCCAGCACTTTGGGAGGCTGAGGTGGGCGGATCACGAGGTCAGGAGATCGAGACCGTCCTGGCTAACACGGTGAAACCCCGTCTCTACTAAAAATACAAAAAATTAGCCGGGCGTGGTGGTGGGCGCCTGTAGTCCCAGCTACTCGGGAGGCTGAGGCAGGAGAATGGCGTGAACCCGGGAGGCGGAGCTTGCGGTGAGCCGATATCATGCCACTGCACTCCAGCCCGGGCGACAGAGCGAGACTCCATCTCAAAAAAAAAAAAAAAAGACTATAAACTATTAAATATTTTTATATCCTTAGTCACGTCCTCATTGTTGAAGAAAGTAGTTTCCAAATTTTCATTTTCATAGCTAAAACCTATTTAAAGACTTGAAAGTGATTTTTATGTGATACTCTGTGTCGAGACTTTAAGTGCCACCTCTAGCTTAGGTGGGAGGCCAGCCAAGGGCACCTGCACTCCCAGCAGAAGGCAGAGTGAAATTGTAAGTTCAGTAGCCCCCACCACTGCATGAGGCTAGTTGACAAAAACGGCATTGAGACATCCTTAACTACTTACTTTTTTTCTTCTAAGTATTTCAGCTATTTTGCAGACTGATGGTGGGTGGCATTTTTCTCTAAAGCAGAATGTAAAATCATCCTTAATTTGACAGTGATTGAGCTACACTGCTTCTTTACATGTCTGATCAAAATATAGCTTTAAAAGTCTACAGATAATTAAAATTTCAGGAAGTATTTGGAGAAGCTTATTAATATATTACATAATCATTAACCACAGAAATATATTAATCTTTAAGATCAATTGTGAGCACCGGGAACTATTATTCTTGGGATTATTTTGTGTGAACAAACCCAAATCCCTGTGCTACACAAAAGCTAATGTCTTTGCTCAGAGGATTAGAATTAATTTATTATCTCTGCTTTTGACTTAAATGCTATAAACATCTCTGTTGTTCTTGGAAAACAAAGGCTGCTCCTGCATAATTTTTCAGATAAAGAAACTGAAATTAAAGTACTATGAAAATATTTGCTGGATAGAACAAATGCCAAGATCAAAGATGATAAGACAATGAGCGGATATTTATTATCCCCACTAATCCTTTCGTATTTCAAAGTTTATTTATTTTTACAATGCTCTTCTGTGCTCTTCATCAGTTATTATAGCATAATTGTAATTGTAAATTCATAAAAGAGAATGCAGAGTTAATAATATCATAAGCTTTGGAATAATATTCAAGTGATATTGATAAGAATGAACATGAATGTATTATCTGAATATATTATTTGGATGAACAAGAAAAAATGATAATCTGATGTTAGAATTTTAACTTCTTACCCTGCCAGCCAATGAGGCCCTGAATAAAGAATAGAGATTTAATTTTAAAACATTAATGACGAATAACTTTGAAGTGACAACTCAATAAGTCATAAACCTGTGTTCTTTTCCATATATTTGAGTAATGGCTACACATTTTACAATATTCTGACTTTCTAGCATTCTTTAATTCTTACTTGTGAAACAGTATCTAAAGTCGAGAAATGGATTCATATTTCCATGGCTTACTTGACAGAGACAGACCATAGTTATTTCTCACTGAATATACCTTAAAGCAACTTCTGACAGACTGTCAAAGGAATTTCTGGTCTAATCGCACATGGGGACTGAGAATACTAGAATGATCAGCATTGGTTACTTAAAAGCCTAGGTTACTGTCTTCAAAAAGTGTATGTATTTAGGATAATCAATGAACAGCCCTTTTGAAGACATCAGGCATGAGCAATAAAAAGGGGAGATACACCTTGGGCATATGGTGGTGTCATTAACTGGGATAGGAAAGTCAGGAAGAGGAACTGATTTCAGGGTGGGAAATGGACATTTGAAGAAATCAGGTTGGAAAATGTTAATTTTAAGGTAGATATGGGGCATGAAGAAATTTGGTGGGTGGCTAAATTTAGGAATCAAGATCTTATGAGAAAGGTTGAAAGTAGTGAGCAAGATCAGGGTATGCGAATGCTTTCTGTAAAGGGCCAGAGAGTAAACATTTTAGGCTTTGCAGGCCATAGGATCTCTCACATCTACTCACCTCTGACACTATTGCACGAAAGCAGCCATCAACAGTAGCTAAAGGACGAGTGTGCCTGTGTTCCAATAAAACTTTATTTACAAAAATAGGTGCCAGAATGTATTCAGCTTGCAGGTCATAGTTTGCCAACCCTAAATTAGATGGCAAATGAAGCCCTTGGAATGGACAAGATCACCCAGGAAGAACATATGTACGTAAGGCAAATTTCTATGCTAAGAAATTTGAAAACATGTAATTGTGAATTCCCATTCTGTTCAATAAGGATATATCCCATATACAAGGCCTTGCAGTCAGACAGATGGTTCCAAAACGTTGGCTCTGATTTATACTGACTGTGTGAGAAATGGGGCAGGTTATTTAACCTCTGAGGCTCAGATGCCTTGACTGCAAAATGAGGATAATGACTCTAACAGCTAACACGAGGCACAGGGTTCAAGAGTATATCAATATTTTCCTGTAATCCCAGCACTTTGGGAGTCCAAGGCGGGCGGATCACGAGGTCAGGAGATAGAGACCATCCTGGCTAATACGGTGAAACCCCCTCTCTACTAAAAATATTTTAAAAATTAGCCAGGCGTGGTGGCAGGCGCCTGTAGTCCCAGCTACTCGGGAGGCTGAGGCAAGAGAGTGGTGTGAACCTGGGAGATGGAGCTTGCAGTGAGCCAAGGTGCGCCACTGCACTCCAGCCTGGGCAACAGAGCGAGACTCCGTCTCAAAAAAGAAAAAAAAAAGAGTATATTAATATTCCTATCAATCCTCAGAATGAGATACTATTATCTGTTTTATAGATGAGTATACTAAGGTACAGGGGGCCGGAAAACATGTCTAAGTGACACAGCTGGTAAGTGGTGAAAGAGGTCTGATTCCAGCCCAAGGAGTCGGCCCTATACTCCTCACTCTCAATCATACCTACATTTCAAAAGCTCATGATGAAGACTGGATGGGAGAAGGGGGAAACTTTTATCACTGCCCTTGGTGGGTAGAAAGAACCCAATGTGGCCATTATAATTATTATAACCTTGAGGCACATCAATAGATTCAGGATACAATGACTAAGCCAAGGTCAGTCCTGTCCAAGACACTAACTCATCACTGAATTAATTTCTTTTTTTTTCTTTTTTTTTTTTTTTGTTGACACAGGGTCTTGCTCTGGAGTGAGGCAGTGCAATGATAGTTCACTGCAGCCTACAACTCTTGGGCTCAAGCGATCCTCCCGCCTCAGCCTCCCAAATAGCTGGGACTACAGGAATGTACCACCATGCCTGGCTAATTTTTAATTTTTTTTTACAGAGACATGGTCTCACTATGTTGCCCATATGGCAGTGCCATTAACTGGGATAGGAAATTCAGGAAGAGGAACTGATTTCAGGGTATAAAATAAACATTTGGAGAATTCAGTTTGGTAAATGAATGAAATGAATGAATTCATCCTGGGGTTCATTTTTTTTTGAAAAATTAAGAACTGACTTTAATTCCATCTTAGCAATAACTGATAGTTAAATACATTTAATAACTGAGTATGTTTCTGGGAAGAAAGTCACTGGTAGCTTGATGGGGATGGCATTGAATCTATAAGTTACCTTGGGCAGTATGGCCATTCTCACGATATTGATTCTTCCTATCCATGAGCATGGAATGTTCTTCCATTTGTTTGTGTCCTCTTTTATTTCGTTGAGCAGTGGTTTGTAGTTCTCCTTGAAGAGGTCCTTCACATCCCTTGTAAGTTGGATTCCTAGGTATTTTATTCTCTTTGAAGCAATTGTGAATGGGAGTTCACTCATGATTTGGCTCTCTGTTTGTCTGTTATTGGTGTATAAGAATGCTTGTGATTTTTGCACATTGATTTTGTATCCTGAGACTTTGCTGAAATTGCTTATCAGCTAAAGGAGATTTTGGGCTGAGATGGTGGGGTTTTCTAGATATACAATCATGTCATCTGCAAACAGGGACAATTTGACTTCCTCTTTTCCTAACTGAATACCCTTTATTTCTTTCTTCTGCCTGATTGCCCTGGCCAGAACTTCCAACACTATGTTGAATAGGAGTGGTGAGAGAGGGCATCCCTGTCTTGTGCCAGTTTTCAAAGGGAATGCTTCTAGTTTTTGCCCATTCAGTATGATATTGGCTGTGGGTTTGTCATAAATAGCTCTTATTATTTTGAAATATGTCCCATCAATACCTAATTTGTTGAGAGTTTTTAGCATGAAGGGCTGTTGAATTTTGTCAAAGGGCTTTCTTCATAGAATTGGAAAAAACTACTTTAAAGTTCACATGGAACCAAAAAAGAGCCCACATTGCCAAGACAATCCTAAGCCAAAAGAACAAAGCTGGAGGCATCACGCTACCTGACTTCAAACTATACTACGAGGCTACAGTAACCAAAACAGCATGGTACTGGTACCAAAACAGAGATATAGACCAATGGAACAGAACGGAGCCCTCAGAAATAATACCACACATCTACAACCATCTGATCTTTGACAAACCTGACAAAAACAAGAAATGGGGAAAGGATTCCCTATTTAATAAATGGTGCTGGGAAAACTGGCTAGCCATATGTAGAAAGCTGAAACTGGATCCCTTTCTTACACCTTATATAAAAATTAATTCAAGATGGATTTAAGACTTAAATGTTAGACCTAAAACCATAAAAACCCTGGAAGAAAACCTAGGCAATATCATTCAGGACATAGGCACGGGCAAGGACTTCATGTCTAAAACACCAAAAGCAATGGCAACAAAAGCCAAAATTGACAAATGGGATCTAATTAAACTAAAGAGCTTCTGCAGAGCAAAAGAAACTACCATCACAGTGAACAGGCAACCTACAGAATGGGAAAAAAATTTGCAACCTACTCCTCTGACAAAGGGCTAACATCCAGAATCTACAAAGAACTCAAAGAAATTTACAAGAAAAAAACAAACAACCCCATCAAAAAGTGGGCAAAGGATATGAACAGACACTTCTCAAAAGAAGACATTTATGCAGCCAACAGACACATGAAAAAGTGCTCATCATCACTGGCCATCGGAGAAATGCAAATCAAAACCACAATGAGATACCATCTCACAACAGTTAGAATGGCAATCATTAAAAAGTCAGGAAACAACAGGTGCTGGAGAGGATGTGAAGAAATAGGAACACTTTTACACTGTTGGTGGGACTGTAAACTAGTTCAACCATTGTGGAAGACAGTGTGGCGATTCCTCAAGGGTCTAGAACTAGAAATACCATTTGACCCAGCCATCCCACTACTGGGCATATACTCAAAGGACTATAAATCATGCTGTTATAAAGACACATGCACACGTATGTTCATTGTGGCACTATTCGCACTAGCAAAGACTTGGAACCAACCCAAATATCCATCAATGATAGACTGGATTAAGAAAATGTGGCACATATACACCACGGAATACTATGCAGCCATAAAAAAGGATGAGTTCATGTCCTTCATAGGGACATGGATGAAGCTGAAAACCATCATTCACAGCAAACTACCACAAGGACAAAAAACCAAACACCACATGTTCTCATAGGTGGGAATTGAACAATGAGAACACATGGACACAGGAAGGGGAACATCACACACAGGGGCCTGTCGTGGGGTCGGGGGAGGGGGGAGGGATAGCATTAGGAGATATACCTAATGCAAATGACGAGTTAATCGGTGCAGCACACCAACATGGCACATGTATACATATGTAACAAACCTGCACGTTGTGCACATGTACCCTAGGACTTAAAGTATAATAAAAAAAATAACTGAGTATGTTTCATGTGATTATTAAATTTTTGAGAAATGTTTGGAAAAATAGTATCACTGGTAAAATGTACTAGAATATCAAAGTCCAGTCTTTTACTTATAACGTAAATCCCTTTTTCAAGTTAATGACTTTTCTTGTACTTCTTTCCACCATATATATAAATCCTTTGGTAGCCATTGTTTTACATATCAATAACAAAAGCAAAAATAACTCCAGTTCCATTAGTTAAACTCCTTGTCTAGCAGAAGGGAGTATTTACTGATAACAGTAAATACTGCCTTAAGGGAGGTATCAAAAACTTGCCAAGAGATGTGACATGGAAGGGATTAGGGAACTTTTTGCAGAGGAAGGGAGATTTGAGCTGGACATTGGTGCATATATAGGAATTGTTTGGTGAGAGATTTCTTTGTTCATTTTTCCCCAATCCTAATCTTAGTTCCTGCTAAGATTAAATGAGTGTTAAACCATAATCTACCATGGACCCAAAAAGGGACCTGTAGATTCTTATAGCAGTTTTGAACAACAGCAGCACAAAGAAAAGAAACCATCCTTCTGCAGGTTTCAATGTGTGTACATAAAGGAGAATAAAGCAAAATTTACTAGGAATACTTGGGAAAAACAAATTAAAAAATGCCAGGCAAGTGGTAATAAAAACTGATACTATTTTCTTTCTTAACATCCCCACTTAGGGGAAAGACAGACTGAAAATTAACAATAGAATTGATTTGGGGGTCCTTTTAAAGCTGGTGGTGTGTGCCTGTAGGAGGCTAAGGCAGGAGGATCGCTTGAGCCCAGGAGTTGGAGGCTGCGCTGAGGTATGATTACACCATTACACTCCAACCTGGGCACCAGAGCAAGATCTTTTAAAGCTGGTGTTAGAAATTCAGGCCAGGCCTGGTGGCTCATGCCTGTAATCACAATGCTTTGGGAGGCCAAAGTGAAAGGATCACTTGAGGCCAGGAGTTTGTGACCAGCCTGAGCAATATAGAAAGACCCTGTCTTTACGAAAGATAAAAAAGTAGCCAGGCATCGTGGCATGCACCTGTAGTCCCAGCTACTTGGGGAGGCTAAGGCAGGAGGGTTCTTTGAGCCTAGGAGTTGGAGGCTGCACTGAGGTATGATTATACCATTGCATTCCAACCTGGGCAACAGAGCAAGATCCTGTCTCAAAAAATAAAATGGATCTTCTTAACTCAATAAGTGTTCTATATAACTATTTCTTTAATAATAATTGTCAGCATCTTAAATATATACTTCATTGCAAAAGGATTAAATACAGTTGTTCCTTGGTATCTGGGGGACTGGTTCCAGAACCCCCCTCAGATACCAAAATCCCCAGACACTTAAGTATATATACTTAAGTATATATATAGGCATAGTATTTGCATATAAACTATACACATCCTCCCATGTACTTTAAAACATGTCCAGATTACTTATAATACTTAATACATTGTAAATGCTATGTAAGTAGTTGATATACTGCATTGTTTAGAGAATAACAAGAAATAAAGTTTGTACACATTCAGTACAGAGGCAAACATTCTTTTTTTTTTTTTCTTTGAATGCTTTGAATTAGAGGTTGGTTGAATCCATGGATGTGGAACCCAGAGATACAGAGGGCCAACTGTAAATGTTGTTTCTGTTTAGATAAAAATATTACAGCATTTTATAAAATTCAAATATGCCTGGGGTGTTATGTTACTACCAGAAATTGAAAGACCAGTATTTACAGCACAAAATTAAACATACCTCCTGCTTGGAAGAAGTAAGTCAGGGTTTGTTTGCCTGGAGTCCTATAGATAGGTGCCAACAGGATCTTGGCCAACTTTCAGAGGGTCTGTAAACTACCTGCAATTATGTCAAATTTTCTGTGCATGTGTCTTTCTTCAGACAGTCTAGAATATTCATTAGCTTCTCGAAGGAGTCTATTATCTCCCCATAGCTAAATCAGCCTCTGCAAAAAGGTCTCCCTAAAGCACACTTATCTTGCTTTAAAAGCCTACGTATTTTGGGGCTGGGTGTTGTGGCTCATGCCTGTAATCCCAGCACTTTGGGAGGCCAATTACTTAAGGTCAGTAGTTCGAGACCAGCCTGGCCAACATGGTGAAACCCCATCTCTACTAAAAATGCAAAAATTAGCTGGGTGTGGGAGTGCACACCTGTAATCCCAGCTACTTGTGGGGGGCTGAGGTAGGAAGATTGCTTGAACCCAGGAGGCGGAGGTTGCAGTGCGCCGAGATTGCAATACTGCACTCCAGCCTGGGCAAAAAGAGTGAGACTCCATCTAAAAAAAAAAAGCCTAAGTATTTTTTTAACCCCCTGCCTCTGAAAATAATTAAAAAATCTGATTATCCATCCAAATTAAGCAAGTAAATATTTGTGTTTCTGCACTGGACCACTGGCATTAGATCAAAAAATCAAAATTTTGTCCATTAGTAAGAAGGCAGGGTTACTCATTCTTAACTTAGCATTGTAAAACAATTCAGTGTTTTCAGGCATCTAGCTTTTTTATAAAACTCAAAAGAGACAAAAATCAATAAATACCCTGAGCTAAGGACTTCTGAAATGTGTAACTATTAATTAGTACACCTAACTTTTAAATTAATCTATACAATTAACTCTACCTAAAAGTCAAAGAGCAGAGCAGCCACGGATGTTTTTCTTACAGGTTGATTATTTTTTTGAGATAAACCACAGCAAGTTGATGGCAAAATTAAAGGACTGAGAATTCCTGCTATTCCATTCACAGGCAATAATCCATTCTTTTATAAATGAAAGGTATTTTAGAATAGAAGAAAGCTATTCTTTCCAGAACAAAATAAATTTCTCTCAGGGATTAGATTTTGGAGACTTTATGGCATGTACAAAAGGCTTTTGATATATCCCCCTGCTAATTTAATTTACTGCCTTTGCTCTGTTAATGGCCAGAACTAGTTTGGAATACCTTCTCTATATTATTGAAAATCAATGAGCAGGAGTCTCACTAATACTTTGAGGCCACTAATGTATAAGAGGTCACTACTTCAAAGTGTGAAAGATGGTTGAAAACAAGTTGAGCTTAAATTAGGGAGTAAGTAGCAAAGGCTCTGAGATTCAAAAGCTGTTTTTTGTTTTACCTGAAACTATCCAATAAGCATTACCTTTGATGACCACAGAACCAACATTTGCTTGTGTTAACCTGACATGAGGGCCCATAAAATTGTATTTAACAGGCTCTACAGCAGCCTCTCTGCTCCCTTGAAAGAATAGCTTCATTCATACACATTCCAAATTATATCTGTTTTGCATAAATTAAGTAGACTTTGTAGAAAAGACTGGATTTATTATCATGTAAAATACAGCCATTAGCAGAAAATCTAGTAACTCTATTCCCAGACATAACAAGATTAGACTCAGGCTACTGGGCTGGAAGTCGGGGGATGAGAAGTGAAGTATTCTTAAAGCCTTCCTTCTTATAGCATTACTCACGGGGGTAAATTAAATAACAGTACTAAAAAAGGAAGCTACAACATGCTATTACTCAGGTCTACCATCAGAGCAGAACATTCTGGCCAATTGATCTTGAGGGTTAACACCAGCATAGGAAAGACTTAAATGTCTACACATTTCTCTCTCAAAACCTTTCTTAAGCTCTCTTGTGGCTGGAAAATTTGATAGGACTCACTTGCCACAAATGCTCATCATGTTGACATACAGTAGTTGTGTTATCATCATACTAATCAGATGCTGCAACCAGGGAGTAAAGGCTGGTTAATGACAGAAATTCAGAGAATACAGTACCACAGATTCCAAAACAAGGGCCTGATTCTAGGCAATGATGATGAAATGCTCTCAAGGTCAGGCACAGGGGTAGGTCCAAAGGAAAAAGCCTGCATATGGAACATCTAAAGAATGCCTACTCAATGCCAGGTACAGCTCCAGGCACTCAGGACACAGGGTGAACAAAACAGATGGGGTCTTAGCACCTTGTAGGTGAAGACTGACAAAAGACTAGCACCAAAGTACCAGATAGGGAACATTTAAAACGTAAAAAAGGAAAGGTGAGAGTGTCTTATGGGGTTTCCTGAGCCATGGATGCTTGGGGAAGTCCTCTCTGAGAAGGTAGCCCGTAAGCGGAGATCTGAATGACAAGAAGGAGCCATCCTCTATGCTTTCAACCTATAAAAGCCATCTTTCATGGGAAAAGGATGATAGACAGCAAATGGGAGGGATGGGAGGGAGCAGTTTAGTCTCGTAATTCAGTGGTTTTCATCATTTTTGGTGTCTTTGAGGCATATTTTAAAATACTACATATTTATTATATTAAGAGATTATAAAACAAAGCAATTTAAAATGAGTCAACAATTACAATCCAGCCACTCTTGACACTTCAGCTAACAACACCTCAGTTATCTATAAAAGCACCCACACTCATCGCAATAGTCACCAGTCGACATCAATTCTGAGGTGCTATCTGTGGCCTATGCCACATTCTCATATACTCAGGAGGCAAACTTAACTCTGTAAAAGTAAATGGAAGTTCTTTTGTTAGCAGAAGTTTAAGAACACACTAAACTCCTTGCATTCACACTTGTTTTCTGCAAACATAACCTGTTTGGCCTAATACTTGTCTAACAACATCTTAATGGTATATATCCATTTTATAAACTATATATATTCAGCTATAAAAAATACATGTAAACATTCATATTGGCAGCATGCCTTTGGGCTATGGGGCATCAGATGGGTAATGGCAAAGGATCACATGAATGAAATCGCAAACCCATTTCTAATTTTCTAAGTTTTCCAGCTATCCCATTATCAGATATTTTTCATTTTTCACATAAATCTCAATCTTTTGGTTCTTCCCTTATAAGAAACACTAGAAAAAAAATTATTTATTTAATTTACTGCTGGCTGATTTGTCATAGTTAAAGCCACCATAGACAGGGTTAACTTTATCCTCTCAACAGAAATCTTTTTTTTTGTTTGTTTTGTTTTAAGAGATGGGGTTTCTTTGCCCAGGCTGGAGTACATAGTTCACTGCAGCCACAAACTCCAGGACTCAGGTGATCCTCCCACCTCGGCCTCTTGAGTCGATGGGATTAAGGGCACAAGTCTTTTATCAGGAATCTTCAGAAGCACATTAGCACCATAATTAAATTTCACTATGGCTGGTCTAAAATCTATTCTAGAAAATATTACAAAATTATGAGAGTTTCCTGTTTGGCAAAGTGCTATGCCACACAGCATTTTATTTATTTTAAAAATCCACTAAATAAAGGGAGAAAGGGAAGATGATGAAAAAAGAGAAAGGAAGGAAATATGTGAGTGAAGGAATAGTGCAGAGCTGCCCCTTTTCTTAGTCATGAATAACTATGAGAAACTTGGAATTTAAATATCTAAAATGAAAGCCCTATTTGGAACTGAGTCATCTCTCCCAGTGGGCCTGGGCAGGGCCATTCCAGCCTGCGTGGGTCTCCTCTATTCGAGGCTCAGATAAGGCCATGAGAGCCAGGTACTTCCTTCTTAGGGCAATATTGGTACTAAGCAGTTGAGGGAGGGTTTTTATTCCTAAAGTGGCAGGCCCACAAAAGAAGTATCTTTTTTCATGACATGAAAAAGGAATATGGAAGGCAGCCACAGCTTCATTAAACCTTGCTCAAGAGACTGGTCTGGAGCTCTCTGCGACTGAACAGGAGAGGCCTCAGTGAGCACCTCTGGCCACCTGCAAGACACAAAGACCCAACAGGGAAATTCTTTCTCCACTGGTGAGGATGGAGCTTTCATAAGACGGAGTGGGAGTCTCTAAAAAACATTTTTTAAAGTTTTTTTTTAAGTACTAGAACCTGTGGTTGATCCTAGAAATCCAGCATTCAAAATCACCTTATGTTAGTAATTTGGATGTGACAGGTGTCTGGCTGTGAAAGTATCACTCCATTAATGACCAGGTGTTTCACGAAAAGGTCATATAGGCAAAGCAACCCCCAAACACAGAAGGAGTCAAAAAACCAAAGAAGGAGGCAGACAAGTCCCTCTTGTCATTACAGGGTGATTTTATTGGGGAACTTACGGACAGGGGCATGGTCTTGGGTAGCCACATGACAAGCAGATCTCCTCGTCATTAGACCCCCAGACCCAAGGATTATATACCCAGGGAAGGGGTACACATGCTCCAGAGGAAATGAGGAGGAATTTGATCTAAGGGCAGGATTTATAGTAAGTACCAGTATGTCAAGGTTGATCTGCTCTAAGGGCAGGATTTATGGTAGGTATATGCTCTTACACAAGGAGCAAAAGACAAACTGGAGATCTCAGAGCATTCCTGGAACTGTTAATAAGAAGTCAACATGGTAGATTAGCTTACAAGATAGAATTACTTTAGCTTCCACACCGGGGTTGACTTGGGGAGCCAAGAGGACCTCTAAAGCAGTGGTCCCCAACCATTCTGGCACCAGGGACCGGTTTCATGGAAGACAATTTTTCCACAGGCAGGGGGAGTGGGGATGTTTTCGGGATGAAACTGTTCCACTAAGATCATCATGAGTGCACAACCTAGATCCCTCACATGTGCAGTTCACTATAGAGTCCATGCTTCTGTGAGAATCTAATGCCACCATTGATCTGACAGGAGGCTGGCCCACCACTCACCTCCTGCTGTGTGGCCTGGTTCCTGCAAAGGCTGAAAACCCCTGCTCTAAAGGAACCAAACACAGGGTCAAGGAGGATGACTTCCTAATCAGCTTCCTATAGGAGTGCATAATTAATTAATGCTAAAAGAGCAAAAACATACTATTAAAGAATATAAAGCAGATTATATTGGAAGAATGTAAAAAAAGACCTTGAAGGACTTGACTAAAGCTAACTAGAAAACCTAACACACAGACCTTAACATAAACGGTTAGATTCCAAACAGCTAACTCTCTCTTCTTCAAATAGGTCCTCTAGTGTGCTTTTCATGTCAGGCACCTCGGGTTTCTACTGAAGCAGAGACGGCAGCCTCGGTCCTTCAAAAGTAGTTCTTACGATCTTCTCAAGACATCCATTCATGAAGTGAATAGCAATCAATGCTCTTGGAGCTTAATGGGAAAAACTCGAAGACACTGACATGCCACCAGGTTATCTCCATGCCTGAGGCTGATGAGGCAAAGGAGAACAACTGTGACCAGCAGTGAACAGGTACTGTAGTGAATGGCATTTATATGCTTTCCCTTCTAATTCCTAGAAGCCTCCTCTGAAGAGGCTCCCAATGTAGCTATCAGTGGAGAGGAAACAGCAGAGATCCGAAGAGACAGCACCTTTAAGGCTTCTCCCAAACCTCTGGCAAGGGATCTGGGCATCCTGGGAGCCACAGACCTGGCAGAGCACCAGCTGCTCTTGGGGGGAGGCGCTCAAGGCCCCAGCCTCTAACTGGAGCTGTGTCCTCCCTGGCCCCCTTGGTGTCCTCAATGGCACAATTTCTAAGAAAACTGTGTGGCTCCTGGTAGCTGAGCTAATCATCTGCAATGTTTTCACAGAGAAGTCACAGGCTTTTAAAACTGGAACAAACCTTATTCTTCATGAAGAAATAATCCTCACTTCTGCATTCTTTTTTTTCTCTTTTCACTTCCTTTTCTTCTTCTTCTTTTTTTAAATATCAACTAGTTACTTTCAAACGGAAGAGTCCTGATGTATGGAAGTCTATGGAAATCAAGAAGTGAAATCTGCCAATTTCTCACAAACTCACTGCTGTTTAAATTAGGGGAAAAAAACAACAATATAAACAAAATGTCCCAAAGAAGTTCAGAAACTCGCCATAGGTCACAAAGCAGCCAAGAGTGGATAATGAAACTAGCTTTTACGTCACCTGACTCTCCAGCCAGTTCTACTGTGCTAAGATCAGACTGCTAATAAAAAACTGGATATTTAAAATTCCAAATGGTGCCATTCTACCCATTAGAAGCATTTTTCAACCATAGGGAAAAAAATCAGTTAATGTTGAGGGAAAAGTCAGGGCATATTTTCTTTAAGTTAAAAAAGTCTAACAATAATTTTAATATCATAAACACTTTTAAAACAGAATAGACTATGTATTTTATATATATATGTATATATATGCATGTGTGTGTATGTGTGTATATATATGTTTATATATATCATATATATATCATATGTCATATATATATATCAACAAAATGAGTACACTTTTAGGATTACACTTGACTTACATGGCCTAGCTACACAGAGAGCTGTTACATGTACTATAACACACCAACAAGTACATAGGGTTATTCCAAAGTGAATGAAGTATCCCAAAGTGAACATTCTCATGTTAACTGCCCCTTGGGCAGAAGTGCCCATCCTTTGGGCCAGGGAGCAAAATTACAGGGGACAGATCAACAGGGCCACTACATCCTTCCGGAGCAAGCTGACATTTGGTGTCAACAAGAGATTGTGGCTGAAGCTTTGATTCTATCCAGCCTGCTGTTCCAATAACCCGTTGTGCATCAGACACAATCATGGCTTGGCTTCAGTCACAATGTATTTAGGTCCATTTGCAAAGTAGCATAGAAAACAGAGGAGTAAAACTTAACGATATGCTGAAATGTTCCTTTTACACTTGCAAGCATCGCAAATGCACTTTTTCAGGCTTATGAGGATACCCTCTAGCATCAGAACATGGATTTTTGAGTGTTACAAAAGCTCTTCTTATTGTGCCTGCACCACAGATTTACACTGCTGTAACTCCTGTCAGACATCATCTTAGCTTTATGAATAAATAAAACTATGCCCTAGGGAAACATTGATTTAAGAGGAAAAATCAATACCCATCTAGCATGCAATAGACTTGAGCTTTAAGGCAGCTTATTCCCAAAGTACAATACAATATGAAGTGTAAAACCATACTTTTTGCTTCCTAATAAAGGATAAGTGAGAATATGTGAAATTGGCAGGCAAATACTTGCTTTCCATAGTCCTCAGAATATCAAGAGTCATCTTTTCCTCTTAAAAGTAGCTTAGTTGATATTTCAAAAGAGGAAAGAGAAAGGGAGAAAGAAAAAAGGGATAGGTGAAGCCATGGTGGCAAAATCTTGATACTCTGTGAATCTAGACTGTGAATATGTAAGGACTCAGTGATTCTCTCGTGTGTGTATAAAATTTTTCATCATAAGCAGTTTAAAAGTATGAGGCTGGGCATGGTGGTTCATGCCTGCAATCCCAGCATTTTGGGAAGCCAAAGTGGGAGGCTCGCTTGAGCCCAGGAGTTTGAGATCAGCCTGGGCAATATGGTGAGACCCCATCTCTACAAAAAATAAAAAAAAGTAGCCAGGCATGGTGGCACGTGCCTGTATTCCTAGCTACCTGGAAGGCTGAAGTAGGAGGATCTCTTGAGCTCAGGGGTTTGAGGCTACAGTGAGCTATGTCCAGCCTGGGCCACAAAGTGAGACCCTGTCTCTAAAAGCAAACAAAACCAAAAGGAATTTAAAAATTATGTATGTTTGCCTGGGAAAAATTCTCAGGGAAAAGTACCAGCCAAGATGCTAACAATGGTTCTCTTTGGGTAATGGATTCACAAGGAAACTTTTTTCTTCCTTGAGAGTATTAAATTTTCCAACTATCGTGACTATGTATATGCTTTATAGTTCAGAAAACACACACACACAATAAACACAAGGAAGGATAGCAAAAAGAAAATGAAAGATTAATTAGACTGACTGCAAAGTATTTTGTTGACTACTGGCCTAGAGATAGCTAAGATTTATACTGTAACATTTATATTCCAGGCCAACTCTTTCTTACTGCTCTTGGATGTTTTTCAGGGCATAAGCAGGCTGCTATTAAAATTGACTGATTTAAAAAATAAAGCTAACAGCTTATGCTGAAATTAACCTCGTCTTTGTGAGCCAAAGATCAAATGCGAGACAAAAGCTGGCTAGAGTCATCATTTCCTCAGCTCTGCAATCACCTTACAACTTAAGACCATTTTCACAGTGGAGACAGTTGTTAAAAGTTCTGACAAGCCCTGCGGTAACCTTTGATTACAAAGCCACTCCAGAAAGCCAAGGCTCTTGCTTAGAATTGGTTTGAATTAAAAATGAATCCCATTATTTTCCCCTAGCTCCTCAAAGACGCAGTTCATCACTAATTGTGTTAACTCTGGCCTCTCAAGAAACACACTTATTTGTTAATTCAGCTTAGGAGTGCACATCTCCCTGGACGGTTGCTGATTCTGTGTTCTCTTTGCTTGTGTTTCTCTTTTTTGGGGGGCAATCCTAGCTCACTGAAACCTCTGCCTCCTAGGCTCAAGCAATTCTTGTGCCTCAGCCTCCCAAGTAGCTGGGATTACGGGTGTGCAACACCATGTCCGGCTAATTTTTGTATTTTTAGTAAAGACGGGGTTTCACCATGTTGGCCAGGCTGGTCTCGAACTCCTGGCCTCAAGTGATCTGCTCGCCTCGGCCTCCTAGAGTGCTGGGATTACAGGCGTGAGCACTGCACCCAGCCTGCTTTGCTTATGTTTCTAATAACTGGAAAGAACAACTATGGAAGTTTGAAATACATTTCCAAGGCACAGGCACATTGGAAGCCTGAAAATGGGTTGGGACAATTTAAAATTTTGAATTTCAAATTAAAACATCATAAAGTCGCTACTATTACCACTAAAGTTGGTGCAGATACTGTCTGAATCTACTTCCACTGTGGAAATGACACACAATTACAAGTTTCAAAAGAATGTAGCCACCATGTTAGTTCTGATCTCAGCAGAAGAGGGAAAGGGGACATAAATTGGTTTTGGTGGCACTTCTTTAATGTGGCGAAAATAACAAGCAAAGCATTATTGTTGAGAAGAATGCTTATATCTAGTCAGAAAAAAAGCTCAGCTTGAGATAAATTACTTTTCATGAATTCTATCTTCTTTAGTGTCAGAGATATATTCATTTAAAGAAATTAGAGCATTCACTGTGTGTTACTATGCTCCAGGCATTTATTAGATGTTGTAGGTACTAAAATAAGATACAAACATTGACCTCAAGCTTAGCTTCTATAGGAGGGTCAGATGGAGTAAAACTCAAGAAGTCAGCCATGTACAAAAAAGTACCACACAACGCTTTCCAGAAATTGGGAGGAATGTGATTCTATTACAGAAACATGTGATGCCTATTCTAAAGTATATAGATTCTTGAGTTAAATCTTCATTACCCCCAACCGGAAAATGCTCTACATTTCAGGCCATAATGTGTGTAAGGCGAGCAGCTCTAGTGGAAATGGAAATGCATTAGAGAAAATGTCTAATCCCTGAATCGAGATTCTTGTCAAATATTAGGAGATCAGAGGAAGGCGTTTTTAGAATGTGGATAATCAAAGGTCTTAATGCACTGATTCTTTAGCCTAAGTTAACTAACAAAAGGCAGGCTGATTTCCAGGATCTGCAGTTATATTTAGAAAGACTGTGGCCTCAGAGGGGAACCAAAATAACCCTGAAATAGCTCCCTGCTCTCCTAAGAGGAAAGGGTTACTCTGGCAAGAGAAGGAATTTCTCAGTAAGTTGAAGCAAAGATTTAATTAAAAGACAGTGGCCTATTTTACAAGATTCCTTTGGTGAAGAGATTGGGAAAACTTAGACCAGATGAATTCCTTTCCAGGCCATACAGGCATTGGATAATGATTTAAAATGAATATGAGTCGGGCAGGCCATAACACTTGAGGTTTGTAAAATAAATCTTTCAAATGGGTGGACATAGTGCTTCGAAGTCCAGGATTCATTATAAACACTGATAACCATTGTAGTAAATGAATTTCTAAAATAAAAGACAGAATGTCTTTGTGTTAACCTGTTCATTTAGTCTGAATGATTTTTCCACATTTGGTCTGTTCGCAGAAGATGACCCAAGGTTATTAAGGAATTATTAACATAACTTTATCATCAGCACAAAATGAGATTATTAATACCATGAATAATGATAACCAAAAACACAGCCTCGTATATTTTTGGTGGTGGTGGCAGTGAGCACTGTGTATCCTATTAATCTCTCTATCAAGCCCATGAGACTATCCAATTATTATCCCTGTCTCAAAGATGAGGAAAGAGATTGAGACAGAGTAGGCATTTAGCCCAACTTCACAGAGGCTTTACAAAGCTCAGCCATGGATGGGCTTACCACCAATCAAAGGGAAACACCATGTTGTAGGAAGTATACCCATTGGCGTCTTGGTTTCTATCGCAGAAGACCTAAGTTGCTAAATTCAAATCAGACAAGCTCATTCCCTGGATGTTTTTCAGCTTAGAAGCTGTGTGTCTGCAGACTTAACCCAAACAGAGTCTCCAAATCAACAACTGATGCATGCAAAGTTAAACTAAAAGCCAGTTTGAATGAGTAATAATGTAGAATAAACCAGATAAATAAATACTTTGAAATCACCTTTTCCCAGCAATGAAGTTGTGGCCAACTGCTGAAATAGGAGAAAAATCTCGTGTTTTCTGGAAAAGAAACACAAGAGAAAACAATTTCAAAATTCTGAACTGGATTAAAACTGCAACAATTAAGAGTAAAATGATCATCTTGTTATTTACTTATTTAACATTTGGCCAACAGTAAGCAACTGAAAAAGGCTTATTTAATTAGCTTTTACTGCTTTAATACTATAATAAAAGAATGTTAAAAAGCAAAAGCTAAAACCTGCTCTTAAAACATCCAGACCTAAACATTATCCCTAATTTTATACATGTAGAAAAGTAAAAATGATGGCATTAATTGCATGTAGTAATAAATTATGTCCATACTTCGTTTTAATCATTGCTGCCTTCTAACTCAATCCCACCAATGATAACAGTAACTAGGAGTTATCACCAGCACTGCACCTGCACACCTCAAACACAGACCCCTAGAGCCCATGTGCAATGCACATGGATTAAGCAAAAACAAAATTGGTTGTATGCCTCAAGAAGATGAAAGTCTTTTCAGCACAAAAAAAAAAAGGTGAAACAAAATTGTATAGAGACGTGATAATTGTTATATTTAGCTATATTATTTAATGTCTTCATCTTTAAATATGCTGTATTTTTGTTAACATGGCTTCTTATGCTTAAAAATAAAACTATCACTTATAAAGATCACTTCTCCAAGAATAAGTGTGATTTGAGTTTGAGGAATGTAATCTCAAATCGAAAATTCTGTTTTTGTAGAACTGTGCATCTAAGTAGACATCTGAAAATATGCTAAGTGGAAGTAAAAAGCATGGGTAGTTAAAGAATGAACCTGATAACGAGACTGAATTTTCTCAGGAGAAATATCCACTGGGGGAAACTGGTGCCTCCTCTCCCCTCTTTTCTTTTTTGGTAAAGTTTAAAAGAGAAAAGAAAGAGCTATTTCTTTTCTTTTTTGGTAAAGTTTAAAAGAGAAAAGAAAGAGCTATTTCTTAGAAGAAATGAAAAGCAAAGTAACATTTGAAAGACCAAATAGTCAAGCTGACAATAAGCAAGGTGGTAATTCCTCCATGAGCTCCAGTGTCAGACTCCACAGTGGCCAGCAAGACATGAACACCCAGACTCTTAACCCATGTGGTCTAAGAGCCGCCTGAATATGAGTACCAAGAGAAAAGTGCAGTAGAAGGTGAGAGAAGGTTCCATGCCAAGAGAGGCAGTAGAATGGTAAAGAACCCACTTGCCAAGAGTCCACACACAACGAAGAAAGGCAATGGAAACTCTCTTCTCTTGGCCTTTTGCTGGGAAATCCCACATCCTGGGCTACTAAGCATTATGGCTCAACAACACTGTGGGTGCTGGGAAATTTCCCCACCAGTCTGAAAACCTATCATTTATAAAACCAGGAGGATGCATTTCAAGCTCTAAACAATTGCATTGGGAACAAGTATTTGGGAATAGTACTTGTTCAAAAGTGGAGAAACAATTATTTTGAGAGGCTGCTAGTGGTGTCTAAAACACCACCAAATCTGTTTAATAAACACTTACTGATAAATCTCTGTGCTATATACAAGGGGCACACAAAGGCAAAGATGACAAGGCCCAGTTCAGGAGCCCAAGTTACAAGTAAGTAGCACAATACAGAGAGACGCAAGGGATAAGAGGAGTATGAACAGGTTGTGAATACAGTACAGAAAAGAACAGGATAGTTTGGCTCTGGAGGGCCCCATCCGTGCTTGTTCTCCACAGCCCTTGTGACAAAACCCAAGCCCCTGGCATTGTGACAATTTCCCCATCACAGTGCCCAGCCTGTCCAGTGTCATCTCATCATGCTCACTGCCCTCCTGAGTCCTCCGTGCTTCTGCCACCCTATCTGCTTTAGAGGCTTAACCAGTATAGAAGAGAGAACAGACCAGCGGCACAGGGGCCCACTGAGATGTGTGCTCCTTCAGCTACACTCACCAGCGTAGGTGAAGATGTGGCGTGGGGAGAGAGCTGGGTTATGCAGGGTTGGGGTTCTGCTAGTGAGTATATCTAATAAAGCACTTGTTTTTAAGCTGGAAACTGTAGTGTGCTTGTAAAGAGTCAGTGAATCCTGGCACCTGATAGGTGGGTCCCCCAACTTGTTCCAACCTCCTGTCCCACTGTGTCCTCAGCCAGTCACATCCTTCTCAATTCTCTCCTTCATTTATTTAGAGTCCAATGAGGAAATAACTATAAACACCAATGTAAAATACATGCTCTAAAACAGGGCTTTCAACCCTGGCCTTGCTGACATTTGGGGCTGGAGAATTCTTTGTTTTGAGGGGCTAGCATTTCCTGCCCTGAGTTGTAATAAACAAAAATGTCTCCAGACTTCAACAAATATCCCCTTAGGAGCAAAATCATCCCCATGTTGAAAATCACTGGTCTAAAATGAATGATGACTTATTAAAACACAATAATTTGAGCATAGTGGCTCACACCTATAATCCCAGCTACTTAGGAGGCTGAGGTGAGAGGATTGCTTGAGCCCAGGATTTTGAGGCTGCAGTGATCTATGTTGTGCCACTACACTCCAGCCTGGGCGACAGAGTGAGGGCATCTCTTAAACACAAACACATACTCACATACTCTCATATTTATATCTTAACTTTCATATCATGCAGAAAAACAGTAGTGTGGATGGGGACCATTGGAAAGGGCATAGATGAGGGAGTGGGTGCATGTAAAAAGCACCTGTTGTATTCTCAGCCCTGCATGAGGTCAGTTATCTCATCCAATACGCACAAAACACCCTGTGCTTTTCCCTCTGCATCACAGCTGCTCAAAACCTTGAGAGACAATGATTTAGTGCATGCTGACAATGTTATTAAAAGCAGAACTCCTCAAAATAAAATAAGAAGTATTGCTAGATATGCCTTTCCTTCACTTTCAGTAGACTGAACGCCTGACTCCTTGAGAATGACCAGCACAACATATTTTCATGGCAATCAACTTCATTCTGTGCCATCTTAGGACATTTCCACTGCCAACTTGTCCTGTGGTTGTTTTCATCAGGATTGGCCCACATGGAGTCCTAGGCATAGCCATGATATATCTCTTTTCCTCAAACCACAGCGAATTAGGCATATTTAGCCTGCAGATTTGTAAAATAGAACTGGTTACAGCTCTGCTAGTGTCCCAAGTGAGTATGACAATGCTACGGAGTGCAGAGCAGTGTCGGGTGGTTAAATCCTGACTCACACTACCAACCTCCCTGAGAGCATCAAATGAGACAAGCGACAGGATTCTCAGATGGAATTTGATGTTGGTCCTTTCCCCTCCTGATCCCCAAAGGGCCTGGTGGGCTCAACAATCTCTAGTAAATTCAGCATATTCAGGTCCAAAAGTATCCCTGAACAGGGATCTTCCTTAGCCTTGTCTATTCAAAAAGACCGGGAGTGGCTTTTTAAATACATGTGTGGATATGCAGTTCTTCCTAGTTGGCTTTTTCTGATTCTGTCCAAACACAATCACATCTCCCATGCTAGTATCTATCCAAATACTTTCTTTAAGGAGAATGTCCATATGTCAGCCACTATTCTAGGTGGGGGTTTCGATATTGACCAAGATGAAATTCCCTGTCCTATGTATCTTTCTAGTGGAGGTGGGGAACAAACCCACCATCTAGCAGCATAGCTGTGACAATCACTGAAGAAAACCACAGAGGCACTGTGGAGGTAGGGACTGCCTGGGGAGTGGGCGCTGCTTTGAGTTGGGGAGTCAGGAAAGGCAGCACTGAGAAAATGTTAGCTGAGCACAGACCTGAAGGTGGGGGGGAGGCAGGTCAGAGGGGGCTGGTTCCACTGGCCCCTCCATGTGCCCACCTTGGGCACCCCTCAGAGAGCTACAGCATGCCTGGTGCTTCCACACCCACTGAGGGGAGCACTGGCCAGGTGTGGGCACACGTGCAGACATGTGGGCAGATCCAGGAAAGGCAGCAAGATTATTAGCTGAGAATGAGGATGGAGAGGGAGGTATTTGAGGTTTGAGGACAGGACACAAGAAGATGATCCAGAAAAGCAGAACAATGGACAGAATAGCGGCACAGGGACCCACTGAGACGAAAGTGGGACCTGTGAGCACAGTGATGTGTGTTCCTTCAGCCGCACTCACCAGTGTAGGTGAAGATGTGGCGTGGGGAGAGAGCTGTGTTACGCAGGGTTGGGGTTTTGCCAGTGAGGATCATGAGGGAAGAGGGAGCAGCAAAGAACCTGAGGGTGGATGCAAAAGAATAATTATAACACAAGATCATGGAATCTAAGCTAGATAACTAGGAAAGGAGAACTGGAGGGGGTGACAGACAAGGAAAATTAGCAGGATCACTGGATGGTGAGTACTGGTGGGCCACAAATGGTTGGAGTTAAGGCACAGGGGATAGAAGACAGAAGGTGGTGATCAGAGGATGAAATGGTTGAGGAGAGAGTGGATTAGACACTTGCTACTTAAAGTATGGTCCCAGACCAGCAGTTTCTGCAGTATCTGGGGACTTGCTGAAAATGGCAGAATCTCAGACCCTACCTCAGATCTACTGAATCAGACTCTGCATTCTAATAAGACCCCCAGGTGATTCACACTAAATTTGGGGAAAAACAGCCTTAAACCACTGTCACATCTGCACCATGCTGGCTCAATTTGCAGGCAACCAGAAGCCACAGACACCCTATAAAAAAGGGTGAGTGAATAGCATTCTGAGGTTAGGAAATTCCCTGGGGCTCTGTTTCCCCTTCAAACAGCTCCACTTTAAGTCGCTCATTTTGGTTTCTTGGGTTTCTATCCAGCTGCCTCATGCTCTTGTTCTGCCAGGCCTTGCAGTCTTATGATATGGTTAGCAGGCTTAAAATTCAATTTCCCAAAGAACGCTGCCCCTCCAAATGCTGGTTAGCCTTCCCTCACTGTCTGTAGGCAAAGAGCATCTCCTTACTTCCTGCAACCAGGTACCTATCTCCACTCTCGTTTGCCAGAGAGAAGGCAACCAGATACTTAGTGTCCTCAATTCAGCCTGTGTAATTCCATGTGTCCATATAGATCTATTCCAAGACCCTAATGCAAAATGTATAGTATTGCCATTTGTGGCTTTTTAGAAGTTTAGCTTCCTGCTATATAATAGTCAGGGTTTTGTATCTTCTAGTATGAGTAGACTGACTTGCCTCTTTATAATTTTATAAAAAAGAGAAAACAGTTGTGTATGACATTAGCATGAAAGATGAGGTTGAGTCTAGTTAATGGAGGCTTTGCCTCCTTAAAAGCTTTATTCATAATAAAATGAGTGTGACATTTTCATGAACCCAGACACTACCTCCTGTACAAACACTTGCATGTGAAATAATTAAGAATCTCTAACTTCTTTAAAGACAAGTAATTTCAGATGCTGTCGTGTATGAGTTTTACTATGATTACTAATAATCAAGTACTATTTGCAGACACCATGCTATACATTCCATATATCCTCATCTTACTTAATGCTCACAAGGATTCATACTATTGTTACACTGATCCTACAGATGGGGAAACTGAGGCCTAGAAATGTGAAGTGACACAGCCAGTGAGTGGTGGAGCCAAGTTTCAAACCCAAGTGCACCTGATTCCACAGCAGCTCCTCACGCACACACACAAGATAACACACAGCTGAAGCCCAAGAGCGTGGCACACACAGCTCCCTCCGCTTTCCCGCATCTCTGAGCATACACATAGTCACTACTAAATATTATATGTGCCTACTTGAGTTGAGAAGGTGTAAACAAGGGTCTCTAATCTCACTGTTGGTAAATATCTGATACAGAGACCCTTGCTTAGATGTGACCATTTTCTAGATCTGTGATAATTCTTGTAGCTCTTGCTAAGTTACAATAATCAATGAAATGAGCCATCCTGACATCACTCTGCTAACCTGTGATACAGTTATAACAAACTGGCTTATCACTACAGGTACCTGAACACAATCTCTGTTGGTTGGTGACCTGGCCTCCGGGAACAGAACCTGTTCTGCTTTCAAGAGAAAATGCCAGCAATGACTTCTTATCTGATCCTTTCCCACACCAAGGCAGATCAAGTCCTTAGGTCAGTTCAGCAAATGCAAATGTGTACAGAAGAAACAGAATCAAATCCAAAGCTTCCCATGTGAATTATCACAAGGCTTTGGACATACCAGTTTCCTTCTTGGTATCACCTAACAGCCCATGATTCAGAGATAACAATGTCTAGCTCTGCCTCCTTTGCTTCCCAAGGATGATGTGAGGGTGACTAGATGGGCCTGAGGTCCTTGGGTAGGAGGAGCTGACGCTAATTTAATAAGCCTATGTACACACACAGTGCTGAGAAGCACAAAGTCAAGCCAAGGCACCTGCATATGGTAATTAGGGTTAGGCATTCAGGGCTGATAAAATATTTCTTTTTAAGTCAGTGAGGCCAAAACAAAGCAAACAACAACATTAAAAGTAGCCTCAGAAACTGACCTTCCCATTTCCAACCCCTATCTGCAAAACAGAAAGAGAAATCTCTTACTTTCATGTAAAAATTATAGGGCAACTTCTTTGGTTTCTCAGATTTTGAAAGGAAGACAAGCTGTAAGAAAATAAATATCCTAGGGCCCATGCTAAGTACATACTTTTTAAAAAATTTTAATGTGTTCTATATCTGGATGAACATTTATTACTCAATATTTATTACTGCCTCAATATTTATTACTGTCTCTATACATATTTCTCTGTCTTAGGTTGTCAAGTCTGATAAGGCAAAGACCAAATATACTTTTGTAAAGCATGGGAAGCTGTTATGCATAATTAGGCACTTAAAGAGTTTTTGATGAAGATGATTATGAAGAATGAGAATGGTTAATACCATGGTAGGCATGTTTCATGAAACCTTCCTGTCTTTTCTAAAATGTCAGCTGACTGCACGTTCATAGAATCGTAGAGTTAATGGAAGCTTGAGCTTAGAAATCGTGCAGAGCTTGCTAAACAGTGTGTGATCTGCAGACCAGCAGCATTGGCACCCCCCAGGAGCTCGTTAGAAAGGCAAACCCTGGGCCTCACTCCAGATCTACTGAGTCAGAATCTGCACATTTAACAGGATGTACATTAAAGTCTAAGAGGCACCAACTAGAGAACCATTAAGTTCAACTGCTTCATTTTACAGCTGAGAAAGTTTGGGACCCAGACAGCCTAAGTGATTTGTAAGCCCTTCCACATCCTGACCTGGGATTTGTTGCTCTCTATTCCAACCTTCTACAGCCTCTTCTACTTCAGGAGTACTCCTCCTTGCATTTCTCTTCTGTGGGCCTACAGGAACAAAACTGTAAATAAATAACAACCCACAGATTGCAGGGAACACTGCAATAATGGTAATATTTGTTTGCCTCAGTCTTTATTCTTTTCCTCACTCACATTTGAATACCAATTGTCACCCTCCTAACATATGGTGACTTTTATCGAAAAAACATTAATTTCTTCAGGTGTAAAGAGAATGGCTGTACTTTTGTCCACAACTAAGTTTTTTTTTCGCATTTAGAAATCTGAAAGGAATTTGTTGGATATAAAAGAAAAATGCTGTCTTGAAGAAGATATGCCTTAAAAACAGCAGAGATTAATCAAATCAATAATGCAAGATGTGGAGTAAAGGTTTGAAAATAATATGTAAATTTTGCTGAAAGCAAAATGTTTAGATTGGTTAGAGACAAGGACAGACTGACCTGTGTTCCATCATTTCCTAAATAAACCCTGGGAGAGACCACCCTATCAAAGAGAGCCAGAAGGGAACAGGCTTACTTAAAAGCACTCTCCTTTCCCTCAAGGCATGGTCTTCATAAGAGAACATCATCCCATCATTTGGGATCAAACCCACGTAAATGAAATAGATCAATAAAAATCCATAAACCCAAAAATATTATTTCCGACATGGCCATTGTTATAAATGTACACAGCAAATGTCTTGAGGTACAGAAGTAGGAAAATACACAGAAGGTGTCTGCTACTTTATCTCCTTCAGTGCCAGAGTTTCTGGGTTTGAAGTACTTAGTTGTATGTGACTTCATATACTTGTTTATTGAGGTTAAGTGGGCTTAAATTTTTAATCTGTTTAGTAAAATCAACTGCAAAAGTATTAAAACCTATTACTAAAGACATTTTGTAGACAAATATCTAAAAAGAATTGAGGTCAATCAATTTCATTGTAATTTGAAGGTTTTTCTTCTCTATCCCTTAGTTAAGTAGGAATAAGAACTAAGTCCTTCTTCACCAGGGCAAAATACCTTCCTAACATATTATAAGTCATGAACAGATGTACTTAGAAAATGAGAAGATTTGAGTTTAGCACACAGACTGAATCTGAAAAATCATCTAAGGTTGGAAACAAGTTCTCCAAAGAGACACATCTATGTTTCTTTGGAAAAGAGACACATTTTCTTTGGAGAAAACACACATTGACAAGGGTCTCAAATGCAGGCAATCCTTCATCCTTGCTTATTATTCCTTTATCCTTCCTTATTTTCCCTAAATTTCTTCTTAGTCTCCTGACTCCATACACTAAGGGACAGGCTATTTAGATGACACTGTAGGTACCGAATAAAAAGAGCAATTGACAAAAGAAAAATTGTCCAGTGCAGAGATGCTGCTACTTACTGGCTGTTTACACGATGAGGTAAATACTATTATTATTCCCATTTTACACATGAGGAAACTGAAGCATTCAGAGATAACTTATTTGCTCAAGCTTACACAATAGTATGACAGAGTGAGGCAGAAACTAAAAACGCACAATCTGGTTCCAGAGTACAGGCGCTTTATTCAATATTTATTTCATTTTTCACCCCTTCACCCACTTCCTTATCTTCCATCTTGCCTGCAAATGCTAGAGTTTCACCTACAGTGGAATTATAAGCTAAGAAGTCACTGATCTCCTGCTCTGGTGATATCCTTGCCAGGACTCAACCTTTGCAGGCCTCCCCTTCCAGTAACAATAACATAGATTAGCAACCAGAGGTCAGACAGAAAGAGTCTACAGATTCCATCCCAAGCAGCCTTTCCACTCCTTGATTTCCCCCCCTTACTTCCTATCAGCTCAAACACTAATTTCTGCATTGATATAGGAGCCAAACAAGTAGCCACTTCTTCAGGAATCACATGCCCAGCCTGGAAGGTCATCCCAACACCACTCACGCAAACAAGGCAGCCTCCAGTCATCTACTCCTCGACTGGAAAAAAACAAAAACAAAAACACTTCTGACTGTAATATAATTTGCAGGACTATTATCCTCAGACAATATTGAATTACTTAGGAGTTCAGCATCAAACATAATCATTTCACTTCTGGATGTCTACTCTGTAACGAGAATGTGCTAGGCATTACAAAGGCGATCAACAGGAATAACTTATTAACCCTTCCCTCATGGCAAATTCCCCTTCCGTGAAATTCTTTACTTCCATTTCCTACTTGGTCAACTATTTCAGACTGAGCATATGAGACTCAGGAGAGACACTCAGAGTTGGGCCCCTTAAGAGAAAGACCAATAGGGGTGGAGGGGCCTTGAATTGTAGAACTGAAAATACTTCAGTAGAAAGCCAGACACAGAAGAAATACTTATTATTATTATTATTATGCGTATCGCATGCCATGAAGCAAAATCAATTTATTTCATTTATTTATTTATTTTTTTGAGACAGGGTCTCGCTCTGTTGCTCAGGCTGGAGTACAGTGGCACGACCATGGCTCACTATAGCCTCAACCTCCCAGATTCAAGTGATTCTCCCACCTCAGCCTCCTGAGTAGCTGGGACTAAAGGCACATACCCCCATGCCCGGATAATTTTTAAAATTTTTTGTAGAGGTTGAGTTTTGCCATCTTGCCCAGGCTTGTCTCAAACTCCTGGGCTCAAGTGATCCTCCCATCAAGGCCTCCCAAAGTGCTGGGATTACAGGCATGAGCCACTGCACCTGGCACAAAATCAATTTATAAGCACCTCATTGAATCTCCGCAAAACTACTAGAAAGTCTTTACAAAGGAATGTTAAAGCAATTGTAATGACGAACACAGTGACTGCGCAATACTCATAATTTTCTAATTTAAGAAGTATTGAAGGAGATATATTCTAGTTCATGTATGCCTATTTCGTTTTAGTGACTAGCCTTCGTAGATGGACTAGTGATTTCAGCACCTTCAATTCTATGGGGGTCTTAAGTTTAACAACTGCAAATCCACTAATAATGGAGATTTTCAGAAATAGAACTTTAAGTAGTTTATAATCAGGAAGAATACAACCACCCAAATTATTAAGATAAAAGGTAAAACATAAAAGCCATGATTTGGTAGCTAGGTGGGTAGAGGCATTTCCTCTACTGTAAGAAAAACAACAGTGTTGCACAATAAAAACCAGCTGATGGTTGGTTGTGGTCTCTGGGTAAGTAGTGGTAAGGACTGAGGCAAACAACCTCATCTAAAGAGGCTGTAAGAGGCAGTCCCTAAACATCCTATATCTAACTCCTTTGAGAGAATTTGAGAATGTACACCCAGTGTTGGCAGATTTTCTTATTTTTCCTGAGAAGCTAGAAGCCTGGATTTTTACATATCTCACAATGTTTAAATATATACTGCTAATGTAAATTTAAAAAGAATAATCTACTGCCCAGCACTAAGTGAGCAAACAAAATATGCTTGAGGATCAGGTCTGAGGGCCATTTGGAATATGGCTTCTCCCAGGTGGGAGTAGGATGGGATTTTGATAGGAAAAGTCTTGAATTTCAGTCTCACAGCTATGACTCTGTGACCTAGGAAAAGTGCTTAAAACTTCTGAGGTGAGTGTCCTGCTGCGGAAAGATACTTGGATACTAATAGCCTATGCAGATAGGCCAAAGAGTATAGTCAGTAAGAAAGGATGCAGGCTTTGGGACCAGACTGTCCAGTCCAAATGTGGCCTCACTACTCATCAGGGCAAATCATTCCACCTCCCTGCGTCTCAGTGTTCTTCTTTACAATAATGCTGACCTCACACGGTGTTTAGGAGTTAACAAATATTATCTATTTTTTAACATATATGATTGATAAAACAGAATCCCTTGCCTTCCTTCCCAATCTCCAAACAAATTAAAAAAAAAAACAGACTTTAGAAGAGGCAACTTCGTACTAACATCTTTCTGAACTTGGACATGCAAAGTTCTTTATATATGATATAGCATTGTGTTTTCAAATTGATGTAGCTACAAGAAATTTTTAAAAGTTATTTTTTAAATTAAATTTTAAAATTTTAGATAGTTATAGATTCACAAGCAGTTACTTATAATAAAGAGGGATCTCATGTACCCACTGCTCAGTTTCCCTCACTGGTAACTTCTTGCAACACTATATTACAACATTACAACTAAGGTAAACACACTGATAGAAGGAAGATATAGAACATTTCCATCACCAAGTATTACTCATGTTGCCCTTCTGTAGCCCCACCCACTTCCCTCCTGTCCCTACCACATCCTTAACTCCTAGCAATCGTGAATCTCATCTCTATTTGTACGACTTTATCATTTAAAGAATGTTATATAAATGGAGTCATGTTACATGTAGCCATTTGGGATTGGGCTTATTCACACAGCATGGCTCTCTGGAGATGCACACTAGCTGCTGCATATATCAATAGCTCCTTTGTTTTATTGTGGAGTAGTATTCCACGATATGGATGTACCGGTTTGTTCAGCCACTCATCCATTAAAGGATATTTGGGTTATTTCCAGTTTTGACTATTACAAATAAGGTTGCTATAAGCATTAATACACAGGTTTTTGTGAGAATGTGACTTTATTTCTCTGGGATTAAATGCTGAGGAGTGATATTGCTGTATCTCAAAATCCTTGGCCGGGTATGGTGGCTCACGCCTGTAATCCCAGCACTTTGGGAGGCCGAGGCAGGCAGAACACCTGAGGTCAGGAGTTCAAGACCAGCCTGGCCAACACAGCGAAACCCCATCTCTACTAAAAATACAAAAATCAGCCAGGCATGGTGGCACACACCTGTAGTCCCAGCTACTCGGGAGGCTGAGGCATGAGAATTACTTGAACCTAGCAGGCAGAGGTTGCAGTGAGCCGAGACTGTGCCACTGTGCTCCAGCCTGGGCAACAGAGTGAGACTCTGTCTCAAAAAAAAAAAAAAAAAAAAAGAAAAGAAAAAAAAATCCTGAAATTAATTACCTCTGCAAAATCCCTTTTACTACATTAAAAAATAAAAAGAAAAAAGGAACCTGATTCCCTAGTTCTGGGAATCAAGACATGAACATCATTGGCGGGGGAGCCATTATTTGGCCTACTACACTCAACTCCTTGTATCTGTAGGTTTCAGTCTTCTGTTAAATGTGGCAAGTCTTCAGCTATGATTGCTCAAGTACTTTTCCAGCCCCTCCCTCTTCCTATGCTTCTTATGGGTCTCTAATGACACAAATGGTAAATGTCAAGTGTAGTTCCACAGGTCCTTGAGGCTCTCTATTCTATTTTCTCTCTAGTGTTGAGACAAAATAATTTTGATGGTTCTCTCTTTACTGATTCTTTCCCCTGTCCCCTGCATTCTGTTGTCCAGCCCATCCACTGAGATTTTTATTTGGGTTACTGTATTTTTCTGTTCTAAGATGCCCCCTAGGTTCTTCATTATATTTCTTATTTATTTCCTGAGGTTTCTATTTTTTCATTTGCATCCAGCATGTTTAGAATTCCTCAGTGATGCATTTTTATGATGGCTGTTTTAAAATCCTTAGCAGACAATTCTAACATCCCTGTCATTTTGGTGCTGGCCTCTGTTGACTGCTTTTTTTTTTCTTCATTCAGTGTGAGATCTTCCTGGTTTTTGGTATCACAAGTGATTTTTTTTTTCATTGAAACCTGGACATTTTGGGTATTATGTTATGAGACTTTGGATCTTACTTAAACTTTCTATTTTAGTTGCCTTCCTCTGTTACCACTCCCAGAAGGGAATGGGGAGACTGTGTTATTATTGCTGGTTCATCCTGATTACTGGGGTAGAATCAGGTTCCCTACTACACCTCCCCTGATACCTGAGGGGGATGCATTCTTACTGCTAGTTAGGAGTGGGAGTTTTGGCTCTCCATCGGGCCTCCAACAATACTTCCTGGCTGGGAGAAACAGTGTTTCTGGTTCCCACATGATGTCCACTAACACCACCCCAGTTGGAGAGGAAAAGGGCTCCTCATTACTGTTAGGAGTTGGGGAGGGTAGAAACCCAGGTTCCGCATATGGTTTCTACTTACATGGGGTTGAGGTGGAGGCTCTTGTTACTACGCAGCAGAAATAAAAGCCTTGGCTCCCTACTCAGTTTTCTGTGACACTACCCAGTGGCGAGGGCTGGGGTGCCTTGGGACACCCCAGCTCTCAATTTAGAGCTGGCAAGGGTGGAAGTTTAGGCTTCCCTATCAGCTTTTGCTGGTAGGGTGAGGCCACATTTTTTTTTCTGTGGGGCTTGGCTAGAGTACAACAGTTATTATCTAAAAGTTTTCCATTTTGCTAGGCTCTACCTTTTCTAGTCCTCTGGTTTCAGAAAACAGATTTTCATCTTTTACTTATTTGTTTTTGTATGTGCCTGTTGGTGTTTTCCACTTGCTGCCTTCTTCATCAGGAATATATGGGATCTCAGTCAGGTGTGGTGGCTTACACCTATGATCCCAGCACTTTGGGAGGCTGAGGCGGGTAGATCACTTGAGGTCAGGAGTTCAAGATCAGCCTGGCCAACATGGTGAAACCCCATCTCTACTGAAAATATAAAAATTAGCCAGGCGTGGTGGTGCATGCCTGTAATCCCAGCTACTTGGGAGGCCGAGGCAGGAGAATCACTTGAACCTGGGAGGTGGAGGTTGTAGTGAGCCAAGATGGCACCACTGCACTCCAGCATGGGCAACAGAGCGAGACTCCATCTTAGAAAAAAAAAAAAGGGAATATGTGAGCTCTGGGAAATACGACTCAAAAAGAAGAAAAGCCAGGTAACTCACTATTGTGTGTTGCTTGGGTTTTGAGGTCTATAGATATTCTGCCATCTTTCCTCTACCTTTCAGAGTCTTCTTACGTTTGTTTTATGAACAATGTCTAGGAATTTTAGTTGTACTTAGTGGGAAGAACAGGGAAAAGTATGTCTACTCCATGTTCCTGGAAATAGAACAAATTTTTCATTTCATTTTGAGGTTAAAAATTAGAAACCTCATTAAGTAAGGACATTGCATTTGCTATGCTGAAAAGGCTGCATCCAATAGTAGCAAAAGTTTACATAAAATCAATTTAAATACTTTCAAAATACTTTAAGAAAAACTTCAAAACCATGTATTTAACCCTTAAGAAAATCAATTTTAAAATAATATATTTTAAAGTTCTCAAAAGGTACCCAAATGATGTTAGTTAACTTTTTGTTTCAATATATTTCAAGAAAATGAAAGGAAGGGACTTTTTCTATGTGGGTGTCATTTTGCAATTATTACCCTTAATACGAGAGGTTTTTAGTTTTCTTCCTACTTTGGTAATTATTTGAAGGCTTCTTTCTTTCCTAAGCTGTCTATAAGAAGTGGCTACACAGGTCTTACGTAAGATTATATTTATATTATCTCAAAAATTTTCTTCCCAATGGCTTTTTATGGGATTTAAGAGAACTGGATGTACATTATGAGTGTCAGTCACGATATTAGAGCAGACAAGTGCCAAAAATTACATCTATTTTCCTTTAACCAACCCTTTATTATAAGCAAAATGTACAGAGTGGCAAAAACACAGTGAAAAGTAATGGAAATCTATGTGAAATACATTAAGATGAAGTCCGTTTTCTTTTTTTACAGTTCAACATGAAAGGTTACTGTTAAGAAATTTGAGAGAAAGTATCAGAGTCAAATAAGATACAATGAAGGGCAAGAAATGTATAAATACAAATACTCTTCAAATTGATGAACGCACTTTAAAACAATCTAGGAGTAGCTCTGAGTTAAGATGGTTGTTGGGCCTTTACTTGGAATAGTTCTTAGAAAAATCAGGGCTCTGATTTTATGCTCCATGTGCCAATTAGAAGCAAATGGCGATTCCTCCGGCTAGACTCTAAATTCATCACATTATTGCTTCATATAGCCATTTTCTCTTCCTTCGTTGAACAGAAGGAAACTGCATGGTACAGTAGTCAGTGAAATGTAAAATAAGGATTAACAAGCCATTCTGGAGATTTAGCAAAATGAAGCTTCATCAACCAGCTTGACTCACAGCCAATCCAGCAAAAAGCACCCTAGAAAGAAAACTAAACAGTGAAGTGACAAGTAGCACAAAAAATTAAATAACTCAGGCATTAAAATCATGAAAAGGTGCATTGTGTTCTGTGATCAACCAAGCCCATTCCTAGAATAACAAGAGTCCATCCTGTACTCAACATGCAAGTCCAAAACAGCCCACTGGCCTACCGTGAAATGTGCTTAGGAAAGAAAATAGTACATTACCCTACCTATGTCCACAGAAGTAAATTTACCAACAGAGAGGAATAGAGGAATATATAGGATTTTGTGAGGACTTATTTTCCCTTTATGTGAAAAGGACACATGACACATCCTTACACAGCTGAGGTATAGCACAGGCTACCATCTCCAGGTGCCTGAGACCTAAAAATAATGTTGAATAAATTTGAGTTTTGTTTGGTCAGAGTAAGTCTTTCATATGCAAAACTGAATCGTTAATACAGTCAGGTAAACCTAAGTACACTGTCAGTATTTGAAGTCTTTGAATGCTTAATGTTATAGCATGCATTTTGGTCAATTATGTTTTTTTGGTTTAGGATCTTTTTCATACACAATTCTAATTCTTCTAGCAAGTAGTTACGCTTTTAATCTGGCTTGTTTTTTTTTTTTTTTTTTTTTTTTTTTGAGACGGAGTCTCGCTCTGTCGCCCAGGCTGGAGTGCAGTGGCGCGATCTCGGCTCACTGCAAGCTCCGCCTCCCGGGTTCACGCCATTCTCCTGCCTCAGCCTCCCGAGTAGCTGGGACTACAGGCGCCCGCTACCACGCCCGGCTAATTTTTTGTATTTTTAGTAGAGACGGGGTTTCACCATGTTAGCCAGGATGGTCTCGATCTCCTGACCTCGTGATCCGCCCGCCTCGGCCTCCCAAAGTGCTGGGATTACAGGCGTGAGCCACCGCGCCCGGCCAATCTGGCTTGTTTTTACAGGCTATTTCATAATAGAATTTTGCCTTATTTAATAATGAATATTTACTCTAAATCAATTTATTACTGAGAGTACTGTAAAAAGAAGTCATCTATCTAGTTCATTTTTTCATCCTCAGACAGGAATACATTAAAGCAGTTCAGGGCAAACATGAGTAGTTCTTACTCTCACTGTTAGGGAAGAAGGCAAGAAATGTGTGTGTGTGTGCGCGCGCGTGTGTGTGTGTGTGCATAAAAGGATGCAATAACAGGACATAAAAGAAAAAATATTTGAAACATATAGAAGTGGAATAGTCTCTGGAATATATAAAAATGCCTACGTATTGATAAGAAAAACATAAACAGCCCAAACAAAAAACAGGCAAAAGATACAAACAAATATCTCTCATGAGAAAAAGTACAAATTGTTCATAATTGTAGGAAAAGATGTTCCACCTCATTGGCAGCCAGGGAAATGCAAATTGAGGCCCATAATAAGATATTATTTCATATCTACTAGACAAGCAAATTAAAAAGTATAACGTCAGGTTATGGTGTGGAGGAGGTGCATTGGGGTACTCTCATGTACTGCTTGTGAGAAAGTAAACTGATATAACCACATTGAAAAAAGTTTCTCATTGCCTTTTAAAATGTACATGTCCATGACTGATGATAAGTACTTCTATTCTAAGGTATATATCTGAGAGCAGGGGTCAGTTTGCTGACCCCTACTCCATGGCCCACAAGCTAAGAATTACTTTTACATTTTTAAAGAGCTGTAGAAGCGGCCAGGCGTGGTGGCTCATGCCGGTAATCCCAGCACTTTGGGAGGCCAAGGCGGGCGGATCCCGAGGTCAGGAGATGGAGACCAGCCTGACCAACATGGTGAAACCCCGTGTCTACTAAAAATACAAAAATTAGCTGGGCTTGGTGGCATGTGCCTGTAATCCCAGCTATTCTGGAGGCTGAGGCAGGAGAATCGCTTGAACCCAGGAGGTGGAGGTTGCAGTGAGCCGAGATCACACCATTGCACTTTAGCCTGGGCAACAGATGAGACTCTGTCTCAAAAAAAAAAAAAAAAAAAGAATTTTAGAAGCATCAGCAGCAACAGTGACTACATGTGCCCTTGTAACGCCTAAAATATTTAGTACCTCGCCATTTACAGAAAAAGTTTGCTGACCCATTTTAAAGAAATTCTTGCATATTCTTTGCATTGTGTTAATAACAGAACAGAATGATAAAACCCAAATGTCTATCAACAGGAGAGTGGATAAGTCAATTGAGGAATATTCATACAACAGAACTGTATTCAGCAATGAAAATGAACCACAGCTAGATGCAACATACTGTAATCTCAATAATAACTGAGTAAAAGAAACAAGTTACAGGGCACACTGAGTAGGACTTGACTTGCACAAAGTTACAGAACAAGCCCAGCTAATGTTTCGGGGATAAGCGCATGCATGTGGCTCTGTGGCTGCAGGAGAACAAACCCTCGGCTGCAAGGCTACACTGCAGTCAGTCACCTGGGCTGGTCAGGCACCCTGCGCTGGGGCCAGAGACCCAAATAAGCCATTTTGTATGTTGTCCACTATGATTTAAAGATTTTTGACAGTTTTAGGAAAGGGAAGAGATCTGAGATGTCATTGGGCCCCTCCTAAATACATATCAAAGATCAGTGGGGGGAAAAAATACTGATTTAAAGCTGAAGATTTCTCAGAACCAACATTTACTCTAATTTTAAAATACTTTTGTACTGTCTAATTACCTCATTTTTTTCCCCAAAAATAACTCCTTAATATCTATTATCTCAAGAGAGCTTTGGGTCTGGGTGTGCTTCTTTAATTATGTATTATTTACCTCCCAACTCCTTCCTAAAAGGATTTGAAGCAGCCTGAGTAATTTACATGTTTATGAAAGAAATGTACTAGACACAAGTGGAACACTGTGTTTCAGCAGTAGTTCATTAGAATTACAACTGGTTATCAATGCTATTTTTATGATCTTTAATCCCCCAAAGTCCATTACCCTTCAAAAGAATAGTTCCTGGCACTAAAATAAGCATTCCATAATCATTATTAACTGCGGATTTTTTTCACCTCTCTTATTTTTTTCTCTACTGCATTTAACACCATGATGTGTTTATCCTTGTTATAGTTAGGGGGTTAGGGTTACGGCTGGGGTTAGGACAAATTGCAAAATGACTATAATACAAATAGCAAAATGACTATAATACAAATAGCAAAATGACTATAATACAAAATAGACAAACAGCAAAATGACTATAATATCTTTTGGTGTAATCAGAGAGAGCTGGGTAAGGAGATCTAGAAAATAGTGGGAAAGTACTAAGTCACAAAAAAAGAGCCCAAATAAATCTGCCTTGCCTATTTAATACTAGCAAACAAATATTTGAACAGACAAGCAAACTAACCCCACCACCCACCTTCAGAAAAGAAGCTAGCTTAACATGCCAGTGGAAAGATATAGAAATGCTAAACTCTAATAAGAGCAAAGGAAAGTTGTTATGGAAAATATCAAAGTGAAAGGATTTAGATAAATTGAAGAGGTTCATTTATCATCCTTAAGGAAAAAAGGCAAATCAGCAAAGGACAGTTTCTTTCTTGTCAATAATAGCTGATCTATTTGTTTTTAGCTTTTTGAGAAAGCATTGTACTACATTCTTATTGTTCACTGCTGTAATTTAATATGCTAAATGATTTTTACAAGTGGAGATTTATCACAATGCTTTTAAGAACTGTGAAAGATCTGAGATTTCACCCAACTTACAAGTTAACAAGTTGGCCTGCACATTTTTACAGATGCTGGAAGAAGATACAAAACTCCTCGGTCTGAGACAAAGGACTTAATTATTTATGGGATAGTTAACAGCATTAAGTTTCATGTTCAGTCACTTCTACTTGGTGTCCAAATACAGGGGGCACTGTGGAGGGACTCAGGCAGACGCTGTGCATGCAGTGGGTTTGTATCATACTTAAAGAACCCTGATGGGCCAGGCGCAGTGGCTCACGCCTGTAATCCCAGCACTTTGGGGGCTGAGGTGGGAGGATCACGAGGTCAGGAGATCGAGGCCATCCTGGCTAACACAGTGAAACCCCGTCTCTACTAAAAATACAAAAAATTAGCCAGGTGTGGTGGTGGGTGCCTGTAGTCCCAGCTACTAGGGAGGCTGAGGCAGAAGAATGGCGTGAACCCAGGAGGTGGAGCTTGCAGTGAGCTGAGATCGCACCACTGCACTCCAGCCTGGGCGACAGAGCGAGACTCCGTCTCAAAAAGGAAAAAAAAAAAAAGAACCCTGAGTTTAGGGAACATGAACTGTTCATAATGGAGCCTTGCCCTGCTGGGAGACATTATCTTTATTGGATTGTACAGTAAACAAACCTACCCTTTGCTCTGGAGGGAAACACTATCTTTAGCTTCTACAGCTTTATCTTCTACAGCTACATTACAAACATCCTTGAAAAGACAGTTTAGAACAAAAGGGTTGTTAGTGCCTCTGCTTGCATGACATGCAGAAACGTGAGAGTCCATAAAGAATGGTCTCCCAGCATGCTCATTTAAAAAACAAAACAAATCTGTGAAGGAAGATGTTGATTGAAATTGCATTAAAATTATAGATTAATTTAAAAAATCAAAGATGATCCTATATTGAGTCTCTCAATCCATAAACTCTGCATATATCTTTCCACTTACTCTTAGCTCTTTTATGCATTTCAATAGTTCTATAATTCTCTTCACAAAGGGCCATGAGTAGTTTCTGCTGCTAATGTAAATGGTATTTTTATATAATTAAAACAATCTCAAACAATTACCTAATTTTCCTGGTGTACAGGAATACAGCCATGACATGTCCCACAATTTTTCTACTCTCTCTCCCAGGTAATTTGTGGAACTCCCTCTTGGCTTTATCAATCGATAGCATTCTACAAATATTCAGTGAGTATTCTATGTCCCTGGGGTGGACTATAAAACAAGAACACATCTATGGAGCTCTTATTCTGTGCCAGACTCTGTTCTGATGCTTTCTATATATTAGCTCTTTTATTTCTCACAAAACCCTATGAGACATTCTGTTACTTAGATGAGGACAATTAAAAAGATAGGATATGTAACTTGCCCAACACCACAAATAAGTGATTGGTTCCTACAGACTAGATCCAATGCTAGACACTGAGGAAATAAATATTAAGATGTGACATCGGCCTTCAAGAAGCTCATAGTCCAGTGGGAGAAAGAGAGACCACTAACCAGCAATTACAGCAGTGTGAAAGGCATTTTGAAAGGGATGTAATAGAGCACATGGGAATGCAAATGAGGGACATTGAAACCAGATTAGGTTGAGGTGGTTGGCCAATCAGGATCAGCTTCTCAGAGAATAGGACACCTGAAGAGGGAAGTCAGCTGACGAACTCTAGGGAGTGGTTTATGAAAGCCTCGGGCCACACGTGAGGAACTCTGAGTTATATAACTAGAACACAGATCACACAGCAGAATGCAAGAAATGAGGCTGACTGACCACCAGGGGTCTGATCGCAAAAGACTCTATGCCACATTAAGGAGTTAGATCTCTTACCTGGAGACAATGTTCAGAAAAATCAATGAAGGATTTTAAAGAATGACCTGAGCAGATTGGCATGTTAGAAAATTCTCCCTGGCAGGAGGGTGGAAAATATTGATAATATAGTCCTAGCCAAGTCTGGCAGAATGGAGACTAGCTAATACAGGAACATATGTCATCCAGATGATAAGGGTCTAAACTAAGAGAATGGCCGAAGGATTTGAAATCAAAAGCAGATTCAATATTTAATAGATAGAGCATACAGACCTTGAAGGAAGAGGCATCAAGAGTGATTTCCTGTTTTATTGGCCTCCTCTATTGAATGGGAGACAGTAAGGCAAAGACTACAGGAAGATGTAAGATGTGGAAGAGGGAAGCATATTGGGGCACACTGACAAGCTGGTTATTTGCACATGCCGAATTAGAGTTTCATATAGCAAAAATTCATTTTGTATCAGGCACCTAAGGGATTCTCCAAAAGATGCACTAAACACAATTCTTTTCTCCTATGATCTAGTAGAGAATCATGTTTCACTTAATGACGGGGATACATCCTGAGAAATGCATCACTGGGCAATTTCATCATGCGAACATCATACAATGTACTTACACAAACCTAGATGGTATAGTGTACTACATACCTAGGCTATATGGGGTAGCCTATTGCTCCTAGGCTACAAACCTGTACAGCATGTTACTGTACTGAATACTGTAAGGCCATTATACTACAACATAGAAAAGATACAGTAACAATATGATTTTATAATCTTATGGGACCACGGTTTTATATGTGATCCATCACTGACAAAAATGTTGGTATGTGGTACATGATTACATACATATATAAATAAACAATTCACAGTAGGACTTGGTAAATGCTAAACTCCATGAAAGCTTCAACAAGCAGTCCAAGGACCAGTTTTATCAATGGGATTTAAAAAATGCATCCTAAGTCACAGGATGAAGAAAGAAGAAGAAGAAGAAGAAGAAAAAAAAACACCCTGTCCAGGTGCAGTGGCTCACACCTAAAATCTTTTGGAAGGGTGAGGCGGGAGAATTGCTTGAGCCTAGGAGTTCAACCCTGTAGTAAGCTATGACTGCATCACTGCACTCCAGCCTCAGCAACACAGCAAGACCTTGTCTCAAAAAAAAAAAAAAAGAAACAAAACTTGGATAATATTAGTTTAGGCATCTGTCTGAATAAAAGTAAATCCAGGCTGGGTGCAATGGCTCACACCTGTAACCCCAACACTTTGGGAGGCTAAGGAAGGTGGATGGCTTGATCTCAGGAGTTCAAGACCAGCCTGAGCAACATGGCAAAACCACATCTCTGCAAAAAAAAAAAAAAAAAAAAAAAGGAAAAGAAAAAAAAGAAAAATTAGCTGGGCATGGTGGTGTGCACCTATAGTTCCAGGCTACTTGAGGCGCTGAGGCGGGAGGATTGCTTGAGCGTGGGAGGTCAAGGCTGCAGTGAGCTGTGTTCACTCCACTGCAGTCCAGTGCAGGTGACAAAGCAAGACTCTGTCTCAAAAAATAAAATCCATTTGTGAATATTAAAATGACAATATCATTTCCTATAATGAGGCAGTGAAGAAATACATTTATTCTGAATATAATTTGATCTCTGTTAAATATGACAAATCCATAGAATCTACATGTCAGAATGAAGGGGTTTCTAAATGTCAACTAACCATCAAATGTTGATGTCCCTCTACAGATTCAGCAACATTAGCTTGATCCAAAATTGTATCCCTCGTCATGGAACTAATTCAACAAATGAAACAGCATTACAACTTTTAAAATTAAGTTCTTCATTGAGCAGTATGCTTTTCTCCACCTCATATAGAAAAAATAATGAAAATTGTTTCTCAAGTTCATGGTATATACCACTTTACCTATGTCATAAGGACATGGGTCTGATTTAATAAATCACTTTTAATCCCTAACTGATCTCAAAACTAATGCCGATTTCTTGTGGTAGTGAGCTTTAACAGGAGAAATTATATGAGAATTGACAGAGAAAGCACAAAACACGCCTTGTATCAGATCTCTCTTTAAATCTCAACTCAAAACCTTCTTAGCTGCATGATATAGGCAAGTCACACCACCACTTCAACTAGATTTTCTTTCCTACAAAGTAGCAATTGTGAGGCCTTAATGTACGATACATATTACTGCACTTAAAAATACTTGCTCCTTAATAAATGTTTAATAAGTGAAGACATATACTAAAAACAACAACAAAACAGAGCAAATGGTATGCTGACAGCATACAGCCTTCTTGGCACCATCACAACCAGCTGCACAGAGAACAGAACTGACTGTATGCCTTACCTGAATCTGCCCCAGGTAAGGCATCTACCTTCAGTGGGTGAGACATGAATCCAGGATGCAGCTAGAATTGGGGAGATAATCTAACATGATTAATTTTAAAAAGTCTGAGGGTGGTCCGAAAGTCTAGAAACCAATGAAGACCCATGTATAATTAATGGTATGTTCATTTTACTTCACATAATATGTTCTAGAACATAGATGTTTCCAGACTTTACGAACAGTCTATGTAATCAACACATAAATGCTTTCGCATTTTATCACAAAGCTAAAGCCTCTCCCTCATGCAAATCCATCATTCTTAAAATTGCAGTTAACTGTCTTCCTTTCAAGATTGTCTCTGAGGTTCCTCTTTCACTTAGACACAAATGTAGGCACAGACAAGGGGGTAGACACGTTGCCTTTACAACATGATCATGTCTTGTATGCCATACCCCCAGATGTGGCCCTGAGCCCACCTTACACCATAAATGATGTGAGACTGACCACCAAGACCAAGCAGCACAATATCCCCCTAGGGAAACCTGTGACAAGAAATCACCCTCTCTGGACGATCAGCCACACGCAGTAGCAACTGAATTTGATCGTTGCTGATGAAAATAACCTCAGGAAGGAGTGTTCATCCAACATTCCAAAATAATCAAAGCAGCAATCTACACTGTGACAATCATGGTGTGGTCTGTAAACCAAACGGCCTGCCTTGCCCTGGTCAATTCTGCAGGACGTAATGGCCAGGCTTCAGGGGGAGGTATAGCCCCTCCATCACTTCCTGGCATCTCATTCAAACTGGGTTCATGCCAGAGACAGGCAGTTAACACCCTGCAGTCTGCTGTGGGGTGTGGGCTGACATTCTAGAGGATGCTGCGGTAGGGCTCACTGCGGTTCTCCCCAGCTGAGAGCGTGTGGTGGAGCAGGGGGCCACCATAGGAAAATGTTTTCTTGTCTTTTTTTGTTTTTCATCTTCTTCCTCTCTACCTATACCCCAGGAGGGACATCGTCCTAAAAGTCAGGCCAGGCTAAACTTATTATGATATTAAGTCTTTCAGATAAATATGTTCAATACCCTATCCACATGAGCAAATTAAGCTAGAACCTTCCTCACACATTCAGATGGGGGCAGGCAGGTAATTTATTGAAGCAAATGTGTTTTCAAGCCAGCTTTTAAGCAAGATTTCTAATTATCAGTGTGCTTTTCACTCAGCAACCCTCCTCCACATCTTCAACATCATTTTTGCAACTCTTGGTTCAAGAGCCACTTAAGAAATAAATGATTCATGGCAACTGAAAGCATGACAATTTTCTGTGAGGCCTAATGGTTGGGTTTCTAGGTCTATGGGTGATAAAATTATGCTACCCCTTAAACCTTTCAACTTCTTTTATGGGAAAAAGAGGCCCAGAAACACCAATATTAAGATCCAAGCTCTTCTTTGCAATATATATATATTTTCCCCTAGAACTTAAAATTCTAGCTTTGAGGGAAAAAAAAATTAAACTTCTTCAGAAAAGAGAAAAGCTAGCAAAAATGAACACTCTGGTTCTATCCCAAGATGGGATATATTGAGTCCTGTATCTGAGAGATTGACCATGTTCACTCATGAAACAACCCTCAAAGGTGTTCTGAATTTTGCAGGGTTGTTCTTACCATTTTCACACAGGCAGGACTCTCTATGAAAAGAAGCACATTGCTTTGCCAGCCATAACATGCACCAGCTGTGTGACCTTGAGCCAGATGCTTAATCACACTGGGCATGTTTCTTAATCTGGAAGCTAGGAAAAATACGTTTTTCTTACAGGGTTGTTTTGAGAATTAAATGGAATATTAAAGTGAAAGTACAGTCTTTAGACACAATATTTCTCAAAGATTGGTCCATGAACTCCCTGCATCAGGTCATTTGAAGTTTTAATGAAGTCTTCGATGCCAATCCACGTCATTAGATGAGGACCAGGTACACAAGTTGGCATTTTAAAAAAGCATTTTAACAAGTTCATTAGGTCTAGTGTACTCATGGGGCTGTGAGGTCCAATCTGGGTTTGGACAGAGGACAGAGGACAAAAGAGGAGCCCAGCATTTCAGCATCAAGTCAGCATGCTGCCTGTTCTATTCTCACCAAGTATCCTGGTTTTGAGTTCCCAGCATTGCTGTCTTGGATTCCAATTCACCCTTTGTGCTGCTACCAGAGTTATCTTCCTAAATATAAACCTGGCCATGCTGCTTCCCGATCCTGAGTACAGGCACCCAACCTCAACTCTCTGCCCTTCTGGCCTCCTTCAACTGCCTGCATATACTCTGTCCAGGGTGGTCTCAATTCATGCAAACCCTGGTTGTTTTGGTCACATTTCAGCTTAAATGTCTCTTCCTCAGGGGGACCCTCCCTAGCCTCCCAGTCACTCCTAACGATGTATATATATTTTACTCTCTGCTAAAACCAAATGTCTACTACTGATAATCCCTTGGTTATGTGATTGTCTCTTTCCACTAGGAAGTAAGGGTAGATAGCCTGTTTGCTTCTATATGTACTACCTATCCCTGTGCCTGCTACATACTAGGTACTCAATAAATGTATGCTGCATGCCCCCTTAATTAATTATTGGCCTGCACCACTGCCAGCCTTGGCAAGGTTCTCACACTATATGTGTAAGGCTGATAAATACAAAAGCTGCATTTCTTACCATGCAACAGGACAACAGCAGGGTGGTATTTGCTTTGTGCAATATCTGTGCTCAGGGAAAATGAATGAATAAACAGAATTTCTGTAAACGGACTCCATTAAAGAAGGCTGGCATTTAAATAATTCTTATGAAGAAGTTTGTTAAGTGAAGCGTTTTGTCTTAATTTTTTTGTACAACTGGATATTCACGTAAATTTCACATTGGATTTCCTTAAAACAGCTCTGAATCCTTGTTATTAACACCAAAATCACCTCACTTAAATTTTCCTACTTACTAATAAAAATAAAACTACTATATTTGGAAGAAATAATTCCTTAATAATAAAGCAATGAGGTCCAGAGAGTACTGTAAGGCACTCATGTTGTAAGTGTTCTCAGCTCCTTTAGAAACTGTAGAGCCGTGGGGAACAGCCAATGGTCCTTGCGTATGGCCCTCTGGAAAATGAACATGCATTCTGACCCCCAGAAAGTCTTGAGAAGAGACTTCACAAAGATCACTTTATAAAAAAGGCTACCCAAATGAATCTCTGCCCAACTCCTGGACTTGATAATATATAAAAAGGGATTTTAGAGGCCCATAGATGTATTAAGAATAAAAGAAAACTACAAAAAGATGACAGCTCAATTTTGGTAGTGGCCTCCCCTCTTTAATTCAGCAAAATTATGTTCTACACAATAGTTTTCCAGCAAAGACTCTGCCATCCATCTTTCTTGCAAGTGAAAAGTGAAGTGAACAATCTCTACTTGAGAACTTTAATTGGTTCTGCTGTGTGTGTCCTTTGGGCTGGTGAGTTTCAAGTGAGCTGACAGCAGATGAGCGGGGAGGGTGCATGGCTTTGGTTTACAGAGCCTTACAAAAAGGAAAAATGGAAATACGAGGTTGCAAAGTAGGATGCCCAGTTAAGAAAGGAAAATCAGGCCCCTGGTAGGCTGCCTCATGATGAGATAAGTAAAGGCCTTGCCTGGAATGGTTTCTGGCCTGCTGGGGGCACAAGGCTGTCAGGAATTTACTGATGAGAACACAGGCCTAAGGGGAAGAAGTCACACCAGCCAGGTGGGCATAGGTGCCACTTAGCAGAACTCATTCTCTTCAGCTGAAGCTGAAAGCAAACAGAGGGATGAGGAAGAGTTGTTTGTTTTTTAATCTCTTTTCATCCTTTTTCAAAACTCCCTGCTACCCCTTCCACAATTGCTCTCATTACCTACAACAGACAGGTATTACACCCTATGCACCAGTGGTTCTCAGTGCTGGCTGCATCCCCAGGGAAAGCATTTAAAAACTACCAAGGTTGGGGCCCCACCCCCAGGGCACTTTAACCAAAATTACTGGGGGTGGGCCCTGGAAATAAGTTATAGTAAACGTGAAACTTCCCCAGGTGATGTTAATCACAGCCAACATGGAGAACCACCCTCTAAAAAGCATCACCAGAGCTGGGGAGGGGTAGGGGTGGAGGATGTCATTAAATGTGGAATGGGGTGCGGCAGCAATAAGGTGAGGTTGTCAGCTTCTTAACAACAGGAAATGTACTAACAAGAAGGAATGTGTGCAAACTCAGGAAGACACTTGGTAAGAGGAGGCAGGTGCAGTACCAAGGCAGGACAAGTTTAGCTCTTGAAAGCTGGGAGGTAAAAGAGAAAATGATATCTGCAAAGAGGCTGTAAGACTTGTGAGAAAGTTATTGGCAGAGGCTGGAGGAGGAGGTGGGGGTACACCAAGACACCTATGAAAGAAGTCTGTGGGTAGGAAAGGCGAGGTTCGTAATTTCACAACCAAATGGCAATGATTCAATTTCATACTGATGGTTCACCTTCAGACAGAGATTTTGGTGGCACAGTTGAATCAATTAAGAACTTTAAAAAAAAAAAAAAAGAAGTAATAAACAGTAGTAATGTAGTCCCTGGTACACGCTTCTGAGTGTCTACAAAAGCATCCAGAATTACCACCTCACTCCCATGGGTAGACCTTAAGCATTACGTTGCTCTTTGAAAACTTAGTACTGCCTTGATGATGCTCTTGAGTCCTTAGAAGACAACATTCTTGAATGTTCCTATAAATGTTTTATCTGATGCTGGTGCAACACTACACTCTGCTCTTTCCTATAATTTGCAGAAATTGGATCCCCTTGCTTGTAAATGGGTCCCATTATCTATAGTATATTCTGCTTAAGTAATATTGCTATAAGAGTATGCATTTTATTTGTAAGAAAGCAAATTGTACACATCCATCAAAATATTCATTTACATTCACGATGGGTCTATAGCAACTCAAGAGTGCCACAGGAAACCAGTTAAGACCCACTGGCCTGCAGTTATAGTTTTCTAAGTACTACCAATGGAAATCTGGAAATTAAAACAGACGTGAAATTTATGGTTAAAAGACTAATGGGCTTGCTAAGGACCATTAGGCAAATTACATAAGATGATTATGCAAAATTCAATAATTTGCAACAAGTCTTTAATGTCTTGGTTTGGACTGGCGTCCTACTTCTGAGCTGTGTGGGTCCACTACAGAACCCCACATAGTTTTCTTCATGTCTTTATCTTTCTTGAACTCTAAATATCTTTCCTTAAAGAAAATTTACTCTAGTGGATTCTCCTCCCTGGTTTGACACTCTTTCTATAGCAGTCTAGTCTCATGGCCCAGGATTTCATGATGGGTGTGAGGGCTTCTGAGCATGAGTCTGGGGCTACCTGGGATGGCAGCTGCCATTGCTACCTTTGGATTTTTCTCCATGGGTATCTTTTTGACCCAACAAAACCATGTTATTCTTCTTGGGCCCCGGGGCTGGTGCAGATGAACATGGCTACAATCCAGGCCTTCAGCAGAGAGGTGAACCACAAACCACAAACCTAGCTGGCCATAACACATCTGTACCTGGCCTTCATCCACCAAAAGTGAACAGCTAATTTGGCATTTTGTCAAGTCTGATGGGAAGTTAACGTGAAAAAGAAAGACAAATATATCCATGGCTAAGTTAAATGAAGTGTGTATATGGCAGAGAGGATTGGAGGGTGGGGAGCTAGAAAGAAGATGAAATGCAATAGTTTGAAATGCAATATCCTGGGATACACTGAGGCAGTCTCACAAACCTTTACCCACAATTTTGAAATGCAAAAATTTCTGAAAACAGAGTTTGTTATTTTGCTACGAAATGAGTTTGTTCCCCAAACTGACCTGAACTGACATGTGGTTAGTTTTTCTCTAACTAAATGTGAATATTCATCTACTTTGCTACAAAAATTACTGTGTGTTGCCTGGATCCCATGGGGGTATTACATTAATATACAATGAATACACTGTATTACCTTTCTAAAAGCTGAATTCTGAAAGACATTTGGCCCCAAAGGGTTTGGCTAAGAAATGGTTGACCAGAATACAGCTCCCAAACAGGCATGTTCTCCAGATTTAATCCTTTTGTAGTTTCCCCACATCTTGAGAGTATTTATCTGACTTCAGCTTTTCAATGCTTTCTATAACATTATTTTTGTAGACAGAGTTACAAAAGTAGTAGAGGGGGTGACCACCATTGAAACAGGGACAAAGCTGAGAAACAGGCACACATTCCACTCTTACACATGTGCTTTACTTCTTTGCTGCATGTTTCACTTTATTAGTCTGAGAGTTCCGATAACTAAGAGTCCCTGAACCTGCACTGTAGCATGTGTATGGTACAGGCAATATAAAAAAAATAAGGTGATGCTGATCTTGAAAAAGAAGATAGAAACTACATTTTTATTGGTAAATATTAATATCTCAAATGAAATGTCCAGAGATTTGCTAAAAGGCAAATATATAAGGACAGAAAGTGAGACAGAAAAGAAAGCAAGCAATAGAAAGATTGGTGGCTTCCTGGGGCTGGCAGCAGGAATGAGAACTGCACACAGGCACAAGGGAGCTTTTTGGGGTGATAGAAAAGTCCTAAAGCTGAATTGTGGTGACAGTTCCCTAGCTCTGTACGTTTACTAAAAATCAGTGAATTGTTCAGTTGAAATTGGAGACTTTTATGGCATGTAAACTAGAACTCGATGAAGATGATGAAAAACTCATTTCCTAAATTCCTGAAGTAACACTTTTTATGTCAACACCTTCCCTTCTTTCCTGACATTTCACAGTAATGCCAGTTGAAATTTAAAAAGACAATAAATAAAACTTACTCCTAATTGTCAAGGAAAAATTAGAAATTCTTTACCCACAAATGACTGATATTACATTTAGTCAGAGAACAATCCCTTCCAGATATTCTCTTATATTTAGCAAATGAAATCTAAATTATTTTTATCTTAACATGCCATGCATACCTCTAATCACAGCATACATCACATCAACCAGTTTGATTTTATTTACTAATCATTTTGGCAAAGACAGGGTATACCCCTGAGGCAAGAACCATGTCATAGTCTTCATTGTATTCTCAGAGCCTAGTAGGTGTTCAATAAATGATTACATTATATGCAATGATTTCTTCACCAGAACTATCACTTTTCGTTTGCGTAAAAAATATAATACAAATTAAACAGACATCCCCTACCTTCTAAATCAGGGTTTCTCAAGCTTAGCACTCTAGACATTTTGAGGTAGAAAATTCTTCCCTGGGGAGGGCTATTTTGTGCATTGTGGAATGTATAGCAGCATCCCTGGCCTCTACCCACCAGATGCCAGTAGCATCCCCATCCCCAGCTGTGCCAACCAAAAATGTCTTCAGACATTGCCAAATGTCCTCTAGGGGGTTAAGAACCACAGTTCTAGACAGAAAAAGTTTAACATGGATCAAACCAAACCGATGGCGGACGCATTTCAAAATGCCTTTCATGCTATGGCTTCTGAAGCTAATGAGAACATCAAGAAAGAAAAAGCATACGACTAGCAAATGATGATTCTCTGACCACAGTCCTTGGCATATTACAGGGAGAGAAAAGGAGAGATATTCTTTTCATTCTCCATGTAACTGTGGAGAAGCAAAAGCTAATTCTAATATAAGGCTGACAGTTTTTAGGAAATGTGGAGCTGTGGAAATACATAAGAGAAGTGTCCAAATGCCAAATAGCCTGTGGCTATAAAACAGGCTGAAAGAAGCATGCTTGTTGCCAGCGCTGCGCTGTTCATTATGAATTGTATCTAGGAGAACGATTTTGAAAATGCTATTGAATATTTATTAAAAGGAAAGATCTATAATTCAGGATGTGACATGCCACTATTAGCAAATAACTCAGCCAGTTGGAAAGGTTAAGAATGGTGGTAGCGAAACCATTAAATTAAGTGTAAGTTTAGTACATCAGTGTTATTTTTCTCAATGACCACAGTATTTAGCAATCCTCTTCCAAATATCTCAGCCCCAAGACTAAAAAGCTGTTATCCATATTGTATCCTTTTAATAAGACTCCAGATGTTTTGGTTTCAATTCTACCTCGGACATACTGAGCATTCCATACTAAAGGTCAAGATGTACATTTTGGGCAAAGTGACCACTACATAATAAAGCAAAAGAAAAATATTCGTAACACTAAATATGTACAAATATTTATCAGGACTTATGATCAATATTTTAAAGCATCTTTATTTCTTATTTAGCAAAACAAAGGAGTGGACTTCTAACCTCAACACCAACAATTTAGGCAATACAATGACACCATTCTAGTTTTCAGCCATGTCTATATTTCTTATCAATCTGTTCGTATAAGAGAAAACTACCACAGACAGTTACGTGTTAATTCCTAACACTTAAAAAAGGAAGCATATCTTTTCCAATTCTATTGGCAAAAATATTTATATTTTGCTCTGTGCGCCTACTGATAAACATAAACAGGCTTTGGACTCTTTAGTATTAAGCATGTAATTCCTAAATCCACTAACAGAAAGAACATACAGGATGTGCAAAAGCTCTCCATTCAATCAAGCTCTAACTGTACACATAATTATGGTATTCAAATTAGATTACTAATTTAGACATGTTCTATCATGTCAAGTATACACTAACATAAAAATGTCTGAATAAAATTCAATAAGAATAAGAAAAATAAGACAAAGAAAATTTAATTACTTTTTAGAAAATGAAAACTCCTAGTACATAATATTAAAATATATACTCATAGAAAGATGAGTACGAAATGCAGTTTAATTGTTCATCTTGGAAGTGATTAATAAATACAGTAGTGTCAAATCACCTGAACAGAACACTAACTCTATGCCCTGGATTATCATATTTGCATTTGGATGAAATTGGGATACATGAGGCATGAAATGACCAAATTAATCTTCATTTTACCTCATTTGAGTTTCCTCACATATTATTATAAAGTGCAATAAAAATCAAATATAAAATACCATATTACTTTGTATTGTTATTTAAATTTTCACATGCCTATATTGTAATTTTTCAACTACATTGGACTAAGGCTACTACAATGCACCATGTGTAGTGATAATTCAGAACTAAGATAGCTGCCTAACGTTTTTTAAAACTTTTTAAAATTTATAAATGTATTGTTATTTTTAAAAATCAGCACCAATAACAAAAGAGCAATCCACCAAATGTCACAAAGGCATAAGCCCCTTTGGATTCAACTTTTCCTACCAAAGCTAAAATGTAAAATAGGCACCATGAAGCTTGAAATTGAGATTTAGGGATAAGCATTAGCACCAGCATTTTGCTACTTGCTAGAAATTGCTTTCATCTGGAAATTGCAATTTAGTAAGCCTCCTAGATATTTTTTGTGAAAGAAAAAAATGCAGCATCATAAAGTTTTTCCACCAGCCACAACATTCTATGTACTTTTCATGATTCTAATATTACTGTATATTAACAGCTAATATCTGCTTCAATAGTAGCAAAATTAGGTAAATAAAAAATTTAGACTATCAGGAGCCAAAATACAAGTTGTAACATTAAACTAAATCCCTTAGGCTCATCCTACATCATTTTACATTGCTTACCGAAGACAAATGCTTTAACACTTTGGCATTAAATGAGTAACATAATAGCTGCTTTGGCAAGACAAAGCAAGCAATATCATTTAATGTATCTGGAGAATTCAAAAATATTACAAAAGGAAAACCAATAGTTTAAAATTAATTAGGCTAAATTTTATTTTTTATACATGCACACACAGGTACGTGTACACACGGAATGCCTCTTACAGACAACAGCCATTGCAATTGCTGAAAAATAAATTCCCACTGTATCACAAATAAGTTTATCTACAATAATTTTATAAGTTAAAATATTGAATCCTTATATTTATACTCAGATTCTTTTTTAGTGCTCTTGAGATAATGAATGCAAAACATGTTCATTTTGTGGGAAAAAAAAAAAAAAAAGCAGATTTTCCCCCAATCTAACTTAATCACATATATTTGCATAAATAACCTGTGGCCCATCAAATATAGAAATTGTAGCTGATACAGCTTCTACTGTTGGTGCTTTGAGCAGACTAATAAAGAAAATCTCTTAAACATAACACCCCCTAATTCTTCTTTAGTAGCTATTCACAAAGATACAGCAACATGATGGAGTGGTACGAACCCAGGACACCTCATTTTGGATCCTAGAAGCTCTACCACTTACTAGCTGTGTTATCTCCACCCACCCATCTGAACCCTGTATCTCAGTTTCCTCATATGTATAACGGGAGTGATTCTACCTTTAGGTCAAAATTAAAGGACAAACGTTTGAGGACTGAAAGGCATAATATTTAACTAAAACATACGGTAATTATTTCCATCATCTCCAAATACTCCAGTTAGTCTATAATATAATGTGTCCTGTTTTTATAAGACAAGTGAAAATTATAGGATATTTTACTCAGCATACATCAAATAATCCAGTGAGCCGAAAGTCTCATTAATAATTACATAAGCATTGGCTCAAAGGTCCAAACCCTCTAATAACATTATGGCCATGATAAAAGCTTAGTTTTTACAATCCGTCAAATAATGGATCATTTATCACCTTCTCTTTCAGTGTGTTTATTTTGTGGATAAAATGAGATATGCCCGCTATGGGGAACTGAGGCACTTCATGCACCAACAAAATGATTCTTTCATTCTTTCCATTCTCCCATGAAGCCTGTGTCCTGCTGTCAATGAAGGAGAAAAACAAATGGAAAAGAAAAATAAGAAATGATAATTCTATAAGCTTCTTGAGATCCAGAAAAAAATAAGAAATGAAAATTCCATGCGCTTCTTGAGATCGAAATTCATGCCTTGTTATTTTATTTCTTCCCCCCATCCCCTTTCCCACCCACCTTCCACATGGTAGGTCTTAATATTTATTGACCAGAACCGGAAACTCTAGGAGTAAAAGCCACCATTATCTGTGTAGATGGAAGCAAGTTAACAGTCAGACCTGTCCCTTTGCTCTCTTTTTATTTCAATTTCATTTCTTTTGTCACTCAGTTCCCATTCAATCAAGCATCTCATTCTGCTTTGCCTCTGGCTTCTGCCACTTTGTGTCCAAGCACTTGTCAAAAACTTCTCTTGCTTAATCTTACTATGCCATCTCTTTTTCTTCTGACAGCCACCTTGGCCTTCGTCCTTTTTTTTTTTTTTTTCAGTCCACACGTTCTCACAGGCAGATCACAACCTCAACAACAATTTCAAATACACGGAAGACTTGCAAACCTGCATTTCCAGTTCGGCCTCCGTTTTGAATTCCAGAACCACAGGCTGTACAACTGCCAATTGCATCTCAGGTCCTGAATGTCCCTCTGGTGCCTCACAGTGCATAAATCCACAACCTGTCATCTTCTCCTGCAAACTGCTCCATCCTCTGTATTCATTATCATCTCCAATGGCAGCCTTATGGATTCAATTCCCAAGCCAGACACCTGGGAGTCATCCTTAAATTCACCATCCTCTCCTTGCTTCTCCCCTTAATGTCCCCACGCTTATCAGTGGGAGTTTAGACTTTAAATCCACACCAGTATTCAAAAGCTTTTTTTGCACAGCTTACTTTGTCTGTCCCTTACCCCATCCATTCTGTGTAATATACCCAGAGTGATCATTCTAAAAAAGTACTCAAATTCATCTACAAAACTAAATATGGCCCACAAGACCCTCCAAAAGTGGCTCCAGCCTCCGCTCTCCATCTCCAGTCTCACTCCCCACCCTCAATGTGCACCAGCCACATGGAATGACCAGCTGTTCCACAACCCGCCTCTCCGGTACCTTTGTTTCACCATATTCCCTGTTCCCTCTCTCAGAATAATTTCTCCCTGCCCACTCCCACCCTTAGCCTCCTGGTACCCTCCTACTGGCTCTTCCAGACTCCATCAAGCCCGGCTGCGTTAGGAAAAGTCATCCCCTTGGAGTCAGGCACCCCTGACGGAGCCAAGCATCCTTTAAGCACTGGTTCCAACTGCTGCTCAGTGTCTCCTTCCCTCATGAATCTGAGATTCTTGAGGGCAGAGAGAGGGATTTTCTGGTATTTGAGGTCTTATCATCTAACAATGTGCCTGGTATCATATTAATATATATCTGGTGAATGTATAAATGAATAAATACCACCCTTGTGATATTTAGTGACCCTTCAGTCACTAAATTTGACTGAAAACACAGACAAGCTGCTAGTGATTGATTACATGTGAATTAGAGGCTCACAGCCCTCCTTAGAAGGTGCCAGGAAAAAATTAATAAGGCCACTCTGGTTGCAATTCCCAACTGCTGAATGCAGAAGGTGTGGTGTTCTTGTGTATAGCTATGTTAGGGACTGGCTTTTTTTTAATGAAAAGAAAAAAAGTATTGTGTTATGTGTTTTTTCCTTTGACTTAGAACATGAGCTCCCTCAACACTTAAGTTTCCCAATAGTTTCATCATGTTCCACCACAATGGGCATGATGAAGGAATGGGTATGGTTTGGGGTGAAAGGATGGCGTAGGGGGAAGCAACTTTAATAGTAATGATGGAGTCACAAATACAGTGAGACGAGATGCCTGAGAACTTATCTGATCACCCTTCATTCCTCAGAGAATAAATTCACATAAAAGCTTACATATGCAACCCTGGGGCTCTCTCAACACGGAGATGGCAGATGACAGTAATGCTGATTTAGTCACACCTTTTGGTACTTTTAGAAAATCAAGAGAACCTGATTACTTGCAAATGAATACATGATACGGTACCTAGGGATTGGGTCAGCTGGACATCTGTGAAATGGGAGAGGGAAGTACAAAGCTGTTAGTGACCAATTTTATTTTTATTTATTTATTCTGAGACAAAGTCTTACTCTGTTGCCCAGGCCGGGGTGCAGTGGTGTGATCTTCCTGGCTCACTTCAACCTTTGCCTCCCGGGTTCAGGTGATTCTCCTGCCTCAGCCTTCCGAGTAGCTTGGATTACAGGTGCACACCACCATGCCCAGCTAATTTTTGTATTTTTAGTAGAAACTGGGTTTCACCATGTTGGCCAGGCTGGTCTCGAACCCCTGACCTCAAGTGATCCACCCTCCTCAGCCTCCCAAAGTGCTCAGATTACAGGCGTGAGTCACCGCACCAGGCCTAGTGAGCAATTTTAAAACTACTTCTTCTTCCGTATTTTTTTTTTTACTTGCTTACTCCATAAGGTTCACAGGATTTCAGGAGCTCTGCATTTTTAGCAAATGCCCCCAGTCAGGCCAATTTCCCTGTCTTCTGCAATAAACAGTCTACATTTAGGAGACTAAATTTTTAAAACGTTTTTAATCACTTCTCAGGTTAAAAAAATCATACAGTCCTATAACATCAAGGATGGGGGCAAATGAGAGATCAACAGGATATGCCAAAATATTATAATCACAATAATTCCTTTATAATTCAAACTCCAGGGGATGATATGAATTAACTTATTGAACAAATATTGGCACCAGTATGAAATCGAGAAAAAATAGAGGGGGCAGGGCTCAGGGGAAGGGTTTTGAAAATATTACGAGATGGTTTTAAAATTGTCCTTTTACCCTCCATTTTGACTGGAGTTAGAAAGGCTATGATACAGACATGGACGATTTGATGCAATGTTCTTACTATAAGATAACACGTTTAAGCCTTACTGGTTAGACATAAGTGTTCGTTTCCTTTGAAAACCATAGTCTCATGGGATGACAGATGACACTGCTGTAGTAATGTGGTTCTCCCATGACAGTTCACTGCTGATACTTCTTTAGATTTAAATAAACTTATTTTTCTTTTAAATCACCCAAGAAAATGTCAGGTCTCCACACTTCTCCTTTTTTTTTAGTGAGAATGATGCAAGTATGTGACACTAAACACAGATAAAGTTAACATGCCTCCCCACTGTGCTCTACTACCAGTTGAAGGCTTTATGCTTCCTATTTCACAAAGCAGACATGTGGTTTTCTTTTTTGAGCTCATTGCGTGAACTAAGCTTAAGCTCTTCTTCTACAAAGATAATGGAGATGATATTTCCTGTGCTGTCAATTCCTGCTCCTGGCAGTGGCTAAGAAGGTAGGCATGTGTCTTCCCACCATTCCTTCACCTGGGGACCAAGCAAGATAGTATAGGATTCTTCTGAAAAGCATAATATAGTCCATCTATATTATGTAATATATAAATCCATGCAATAGAGTTTAGCTATCACAAAGGCTCAAAAATCAGTGGCAGCAGAACGTTCTATAAGTATCACGGGCCTCCTTGCACAGTTCTGGGCTCCACTCTTTACTCTGAAGCTCACTAGTGTCACCGTGGACAAGTGCCCTGACTTTTCTAGGCCTCAGTTGTCACTTCCACAAAAGAGGATAATAAAGTACTACCACACAAGGTCACAGTGAGGATGAAGGGCAGTTCTTAACATGGCAGCCAACACACAGTAAGTGCTCCCTTTAAGCTATTCATTCCAATTCTTATCCAGAAAGATAACCAGTAAGGACTAGAAATGTGGTCATATAAATTATGTACAGAGCTGTTTTCCCCTCATACTTAACCCCTGCCCTTGAACTCAGCAATGAGCGAGCCCTCAGGGGCTGTCTCTGCGGGGCTGCACATGAACTGCTTGCGTGTATAACTTGTATAACCTCCCAATGTGCCTCTCACAATGCATGAGGCAGGAGCTCTGGAACTATCAGCTCCCAACTCCTCAAGCCCAAAGTGAAGAAAATTCAAAACAGTACATATGACTGTCAATGGTCTTCATTCATTTATATCCATATTAAAATTAGTTTGCATTTCTTTTACATGTATCTTTTGATGGATGTCAGAAGAAAATTATTCAGAGATTTAAAAGTGACACAGATAAGCCACTAAATAGATAACAGATAACATAGATGAGAAATGAAACAACTATATGTATATTCTGAGGAGTTAGTTAATAATAAATCATGAACCTCATTCAAGTCACAAAAGTGATCAGGGGAGACTTTTACTATAGAATAACCAACCCAGAGCAGGGGAACACTTGAAATTAACTATTAAGTAAGCAAAAGGGAATATCTGTTCTCTGAAAAGGAGGGTTCAAGTTGAAACAGAAGATAATTCAGAGATGTGAGATGACTCAGTCAATGGCAGGGGCTCTTTTGGGCACTTTGCAACTATGGTATTGTGTCCCCAGGCACATGGAGGCAGCCTACAGGAAGAGTAGAACTCTCGAAGAGTTTTGATTTTTTTTTTAAAGCCAACTTTGAGCATTTATATTGAAGCACCATTCAGTGTTAGCATACATTAGCTAAGAGATTTCATTAAACATTAAATCAGTCTGTGATTTAAATTAAATCAGACTGTGAGCAGTCTGTGGTCTATGTGCCCTATACGGCAATTAGATTTTAATCTCTAGAAATAAGACTTACAAAAGGCGAGAACACTATCTAGTATTTGGGTGATAACCTAACACAGCCACAAAAATGCCATGACCTCTCAATCATTCCCCACCTCTGGAACCCAGCTGAGAAGTCTAACAAGCTATGGAAACCTTAAAGGAAGTACTGCTCACACAGCACCCCGGAATCTGCTTCCCATGACATGGGGTACTAAGGCTTGAAGGAAGCATGCTTATTTAATGGTAAGTATAAATTATTTCTTTTTCTGAACATGCAGTTTAATATGAGGCAAAGTGCAAGGCCTCTCTCTGCCCAAGGGAGTTCTCCAGCTGGGACTGAATGCATATCCAGGGATGACGCTGTTTGTGGATTGATTACTGCTGCCGTGGTGGTTTCCTTGACTGTGTAGATTGCTGCAGCTACACGTGCAGGCAGGAAACCAAATGGAGACCACCACCCTCCAGTGTAAACTCTAACATCACACCAATTTTTCTTTTTTGACTCTCTGAATGCATGAATAGAAAAATAATAAAGCAACAGAATCCACTTCAAATTGAAAGACCTGGCACCTCTACCACACATTAGGAGGTATGGAAGCATGGGCAAGTTATTTAACAATAATTATGATCATTTCTGTTGTGGGTGCTGTTAAGCACTTTGCATACTTTAATCCTTAAGCTTAGATTTCTTCATGTATAAATTGAGGATAATAATGCAACTACTTCATTTGCAAGTTGAGGCAGCAGGGTCAAAAAGAACACAGTTTCAACACAGACAGACGTGGGTTAAATGCCAGCTCCAATTTCTACTATTTGATCTCACTGAGCTCCCATTTTCTCATCTCTAAAGTAGAGATGAAGCCACTTACCTCAAAGGACTGTGGTGGGGAATTGAGCAAGACAGTGTTAAATACCAGTTGGTGTCTGTATCGCTAGACAGTGCACAATAAATGTTTATACCTTCTCTCCTATTATACACATGAACTGCTTCTGTTAATATTCATCAGCAGCAATTCAATGTCCATAGCAGCAATTCAATGTCCATAGAGTCCAAAGATGCATTTCCTTTCATAACAATGAAAATTTTTCCCAGAACAAGCTTAATATGCCAGATACTGGCCCAACAGCTCTATGTCTATGAACTCATTTAATTCTCACTACTGTTCAGTGGGGTAGGTACTACTACTGTCATCCCCATTGTACAGATGAAGACACTGAGGCACAGACTTTGGGTTACTTGCCTAGATTCAAACAGATGGTACCAGAGCTGGCAGCCTGGCTCCATAGCCTGTCCTCCTAACCAGGCTGCAATAGGGCTTAATGGGTCAATCTGTTTGAGATTCCATGCTTGGATGTAATCTCTTCTAGAGATAAGCACTGGATGCTCTCACAAACCGCAATGTGTTGATGTGACTAACTTTTCAACTTCTGAAATAACATTTTGTGTATTTTCTTAGTATTCCTAAAAAAAAACCCTTTACACTTTAAATAAGGTGCCTATAACTAGTTCATCTTGTTCTGCATGCTGAAATACCATAAATAAATGCACTTCTCTCTTCAAAGATTATGTAAATAAATCTTACATTAAAACATACCCCTGAGCTTTGGTTTAAACAATAATTTCAAGTCCAAATTAAACATTTATGTATGTGTATATATATTTAGCAGGAAAGTCTTAATATGACCTATTTTGTTAAACTAATGACATCTATACCCAATACTCCAAATATTCCTCTTATTTATAATATTCGCTGTGTAACAGTCACACAGCAGTACTGCATGGTACTTCAAAGTACTATTCCTTTTACAAGTTTAACCAACTCAGGTATTAAACATCAATGATGATAATCCATAGCTCTGCTTAAAAGGAATCTCTCGGGAACAGCTGAGAAAGAAAGGTTAAAGATTTCTATCCTTCAAAGTAGGGCACTGCAGCTACCTATAAATCATGCTCTTTGTTTATTAAGATAATTAGGCCCATCAGTACACTTAACTTTTAGACTCAACAATTGTCTGGCATGAACAATTTCCACTTTTTCTAAAACAAAGGGGATGTGTTCAAAAAGCGGTCCTCTGCATGCTCTCTGCACAATGCATGCTATTTTAAAACATGATTTATGGGTCTAATTCCTGGAGCTGCCTTGAAAAATATAGTGGGTTGTTCCTCCCATGCTCCCTATTAGGAGAAGACACTCCAATTTGAAGAGTGCACTCTGTTTCAGACTTCAGGCCGCTATATCATGTCAGCATTTTCAGTAAATACTGTTCAATTGGACTTTAAACAAATGGAATGGAGGGCCACAGCTGCAGCCACTGCAGAGATAAAGTTATCCAGCCGGGAGGCTTACATAAGAGGTGCAGGACAATCAGGGTGAAATCCAAGTGTCATTATCTGAATCCTATTTCTTGAGACTTGCCTACATTCTTAAAGTGTATGAATTCACACGCCCAGAGCTCGTTTTATTTGCCTTAGGGCATAAAACACCGGGTCGACATATAAGTTGTTTTTTCCCTAAAGGACTAGGCTCCAATTATGAAAAGGTTGGCAACTTCTGCCTAGGGGAAGAGTAAAGCGGGATGCGCGGGAAGCCTGCAGGCCTGAAAGAAATGGCTCGCCCAAAGATCCATCGCAGTGCTGGCCACACTCCCCAGAGGAATTAGGATGGAGGTGACAAGACCCTGCCCAGCCCCTTCACCCCAACGTAAACACAGAGTCAAGGAGCTTGGAATGAATAATTAGCACGCAGCAGTCGAAATGCCCTAGGAGTACCTGTCCTCTCCCAGCATATTTCCAACTGGCACATTCGTGAGATGCTGAGGTCAGCCAGCCCTGGACTCCAGACCTTCCAGCTGCCTTGTCCCCTTCTTGGCACCCCGCACTCCCTCCTCGAGCTGGAACTCTGTTAACAAGAGGTGCCACCCTCGGCTTCCCACAAGAAGATAAAAACGAACCTCTCCTTCCCACGGCTCCCTCCAACTTCAGAAACTACAGTCAACTTACTGGGACTCAGGAGGCAGGGAGTCTTCCTGGCGGACGGCGCTCGGAGGCAGCCTCTGCAAACTCCGGCGCGCAGCGCCGCCGCCCCGGCACAGCCCGGCAGCAGCGGCAAGTGCAGGACCAGGCGCCGCCGCTCTGCACCAGTCGCCTTGGCTCAGCTGTGCCGGGCGCCGGGCATTCGCCAGGGCACACGACTCAGCGAGGCGGCGGCTGGGACTGAGGCTACTGCACCCGGCCGCGCGGACCCGAGCGCTGCAGCTGCCTCCAGCCCCGGAGCGCGGCGCTCCGAGCCCCTGGTGGGTGTCTCTGGCTCCAAGGGAATCACGGCTCAATTAGGGACCTGCCAGGAGAAAAACCGATGCGCTGCCGCAGGCAGAGCCGCCAGCCCGCCCCCAGTCGGCTGGTCACATCGCGGGCGCGCAGACGGACAAGCGAGCGGGAGGGTACCGCAGCCAGCACTCGCCGCCGCGCCGCGGAGAATGACAGGCGCCGAGGCGGAGCAGCCGCGCGGGGAGCGGGGCGCGAGTGCGCATGATCCTGGCCGCAGCGGCACGTCACGGGGGAGGAGGGGCGGGCCGCGGGGCGGGAGGGGGCGAGCCGGGCGGGGCCGGGCTGGGGGTGCACACGGGTGAGGACCGGCGCGGGGCCTGGCTTGCTCGCGGGAGGATGCAGGAAGTCTTCCCTGCCCTGATTTTATGAACCCAAAGCTCTGTGGTTGAACTTGTCCCAGGAGCCCATTGTCCTTTAAACAGCACCGTTTAAGCGGTCCTTAAGGTCCCTGGGGAGCCCACAAAAGCCAATTTAATTCAGGTTACAGCTTAACCGTAAAGGGTTGCCATTTGGGGGACAGTGATCTTCTATTGTGGCTGTGCATTAAAATAACTTGGGGAGCTTGTAAGAACCCTTTGCCCCGGACGCATCCCAGAACAAGTACAGGACAATGTCTGGGTGGGGCCCACCCAGGTATCAGTAGGTATCTAAAGATACCAAGGTACAGCAGTGCTTCTCAAACCCTCAGTGTGTGACAGAATCTCCTGCGGATTGTGATGAGATGCAAGATTCAGATTCAGTAGGCCTGGGATAATGAGGGAGACATCCTTTCTAACAAGCTCTCGGAGGATGCCAATACTGGAGGTCCAGACCCCCATCCTTGCTACTTAACGTGTGATCTAGAGCCTGGAGCAGAGCTTCTGAAACAGTTGGCCTGTCTGACAGTCACCCGAGGGGCTTATAAAAAACGCAGAACAAATGCCCAGGCCGTACCCCCAGTGATAGTGGTTCTGGCTCAGCCCCTGGCAAAGGTGGGCTTCTAGAATTCCATTTGGCATCAACACTCTAAATAAATCTGATAGGGGTTTTGTTTGGGCCAAACTTCAAGTTTACACTAGCAACCTGGAATTGGGAATAAACTTTTGCACTTACAAGGAGACAAACCAAGTCTAGAACTCAGGACATCTGACTTTGAGTCAGGGATTCTAAACCAACGGGTGCTTTATCTGACTAGTCCCAATTTTCTAAAATTATGATGCATTACTTAGCAAGAAAAAACATATAAATGGCATTAAATATACACACACACACTCTATTGAACACTCGTTACACATATCATTAATGGGAGCTTAAAGGTGGCTGGGGAAGAAGGCTCATCAGGAGAGGGTAAGGAAGACAGTGATGGAGTAAGGGATGTTGTTAGTGTGTCGCAGAGGGAAGGGTATGTGGGAGGAAACAGTTTAGACTCAGCCTACAGCTTGGAAAAGCCCATTGGGGAAGCGGACCCAGGAACCAGACTTGGCCTCTTGCTTCAGAGCATGGTATGAAACTCAGGTGTTTAAGAACTTATGGAGTATAACATTTCACATACGTTACCTCACTGAAATTTCACAGTGGTCTCTTAAGTTGAATAATAATATAAAAAAGTATCCCCATTTTATATATTAAAGAAGACATCCTGGACATGAGTTGACTAATGGTGGAACTTGAATAAAAGTAGGGATCTCCGTGTTGGACTTGGCTTCTACAACTCTGGAGAAGAGGACAATTTAGACCTTATAAAGCAAATGGTTTCTGTGTTTACTAGTCACATCTTTTACAGGCTGTGCCTAAATTTGGAGTTAGGAAGGCTTTCATTCTTGTGGGGAGGAAATACATTTTGTGTCTTCCAGTTTTGCTACACTTGTTAGGATACACTTAGAACAAAATGTTCTAAGAGCAACCCGGTCCTAGGACATTGCAGTTCCACAGTGCAGGCTTCATTGAGGAGTTTGAAGGGCAATATTCACGTTATCTGGTGACAAGTGTAATTACCATCCTCATTTTACCCAGGCTCAGAAGCTAAGTGATTTAGACAAATTCACGAATGCAGGCAGGAGCCAATCTCTAGCCTCTGTCCTTTTCCTCTGCTCTCTTTTCACCAAGTAACATGCTGAGGATTGTTTTTCATTTCCAAATTTTTCATATCAGGATTTGCCATCAGTAAATTGGAACTCAAATGTATTTCAAAGCCACTCCTAGATAGAGAACCAAAAGTGTCAGGATCAATTCTTGTGCTTGTGGTAGATGCTATGGGCTATACTCTCGGTCTGAGTAATGTTTTGGAAGCAAGTATGTGATAGTTATATACAGTCTTCTAATCCAGAGGTTTGACTGGGAATGCTACACTGCCAACTGTGGTCTACCTGCCTTTATCTTTACTTCTTATCTAACTCTTCCATTACAGCCATTCTTCGGTGTGATTATGAAATTAATTCCTAAGAAAAAAGAATTCTTTGAAGGAGCTGGTACATCACAGGTTGTAAAACTTACTTCAGTTTTTAATAAGAAATATATATATATTTTAAATATGAAGGTAGCAGAATAGTCATGTTGGGACCTTTAGAAGAACCCAAAGTTGTCATTGTTTTCTTAGGTGCCCGACATTTCAATCAAAATATTTACATAATTCATTTGTATATTGATTTCAAGAGATCCAAGATTTAATTAAATAAAAAGTTACTATTAATTGGTGTGTCCTACTGCTATTGAATTTTGAACCATTGTTATTGGCATTAAATACATGAAATATATAATATTGTCTTGATACTATATTGACTGTGCTTTAATATTGACTGTGTCTTGATATTGACTGTGTCTGTATTTAGAATTTATTTCACATCAGCTGCTATTGATTGTCTGGCAGAAATCGCAGCTACATCTTTTTCTCTGAGGTCTGTATTCCTTATGGGTCAGCAAGGCCTACTCTTTGGCTGAGAATTCCTTCCTTCAATGCCTCTAAAAGTCCTAGTAGTGAGATATTCAATTATATAGACACTAATGACTCCACTGAAACTATTCTTCCCTCATGCAGAAACTGTACCTAGGATAGATTTTTATTAAAGTCTTTCTGCTAAAAATCACAGGCTTACCAACTGAGCTGGAAAGCTTAGGCTCAAAAATTCTCCACCTTTATTAATTACATTTCTTCATCCATTTCACTCAAAGGGATTCTTTGACATGAAAATCTTCACTTACTTCATAGACACAGTCCAGATAAGAGAACTGTGGGGAGTCCAAGGTGACTAGCAAGAGTGAGACAGTTGGGAGGAAGGAATTAGATGCCACTTGGTGAAAAATAAGCTTGCCATAAAAATTAATACAAGTTGTGCTTGATTTGTGGACATGGCTTATTACAAAGTTTGCCTTGTTTGAACACATGCAGCAGCTGATAACTTCACTGGAAACCATCACTGAATCCCTGGTGTAGATGGGATTGGGGGAGATTAGGGTCCTGTCTTCTTTCCCGAGAAACTTTAGAAAAGTATTAGAAAGCCCAATTCTTGCCCTAATGCAGGAAACTTACGACGTGCCTGCATTGTAAATGTTCATGTCTAAGTTATCTCACTTACAATTTAGAGCAGTCAATATAATAAATAATCAGGATTTTCAGGCTAGCTCCATAATGTTTTTTAAGTCTCTATTAACAACAAAAAAAGCTAATAGAGTGTTAATTATAACCCTGAACCTGAGAAGAAATAGGTGATGGGTAGGGATGTTGGGCTAAGGCAGGAATGGGGTCGGGGGCTGGGACAGGATGGAATTTAGGGATGGAAGAAGGAAGGCAGGAAGTGGCCTTTGGTTGCTGAGGAGCAAAGGCTGGTGGAGACTGAGTATCAGCAGCTTCTGAGATAAGACTGGGCAATGGCCTGTGAGCAAGATTAGAGAGCAAGCAATCAAGACTCTGCTGGCAACTCACAGCTTACCTGAACTTAAAGTGCTGAGGATTCCACGTGTGACTTTGTCTATAGGAAAGAGGGATCAGAGGTTAAGAAATAGATTATAAATTCCTTAAAACCCATGATAGATGCTTTAAAGAACTACTACAAAATATACCCTCAATTTCAATCTCTAAGAGTTACTTTTTCCTCCCTCCCAACCAAATTGCCCACTAATAAAAGGAGAGAGCAGCTGGGGGAGAGGCCATGCTGCACAGTGCGAACCTCACAGGCTGTCTGGCCCCCACTCCCAGCATCTCCATCCATCAGCTGTAATCACGTGACTGCCATCTTTGATTACCTAATACACAGTAACAAGAGCTTCAAGCACATATTAGGTTCCGAATATGCTAGCTATTAGTGGTGGGCTTTACAAAATCTCTCCTAGAGTTAAAATCTGAAACTAGACATCTCTTAGTGTCTATTTTATCATTTTAATGTAAACCATGATGAACTGTAGTTTTTAAGAGAGTACTTTCCTTCTCCATCAGAAGACTTAAGAGTGACTTTAGGGCTCCTCTGAGGACAGGAGAATCGTGTAGAAAAGGCTTTCAAGGGAGATCAGGGCAAAACCTACTAATGTAGCTCTGCAGCCTCACACTATACTGTAGAGGAAAAGTCAAGGCTTAAGGACTTGACATTTTCATATCTTTCTACCGGGAGAAAGAAATTATGGTGGCAAGAGACAGTAGCTATAAAAGTGAAAATAGAGTGCTTTAAAGAAATGCCTTTATATTACAGATTTGAGAATGGACATTTCCATTGTCCTTTGTCATCCTGACCTTACACATTCCTTAAAGTTCTATCCTGACATCAACACTCAAGATGTGTGCCTGTAAAACTGATGTAGATACTCAGAATGTTGGTAGAGATTCCTTAAGCTCACTTTTAATTCTTCTGCCTTTATCACTTCAATATAATACAATTTTTATAAACATATTTTAAGCAGGCATCAGAGAAAACTGCGTGTTTCCTTAGTAGCCAACCAGTTGCCTGCCAGCAAGCAAAACTTCAGCATTGAGAAAGGAAGATTTTGAAATTCAATTCCAAAAGAAGTGAGTTGTGCCATCTCCAACATTAGAAATATGTGAAAGACTTATAGTGGCTAAAGCATTTCTGTCATTTCTTGCCTTTATACATCTTCCTCCAGTCCCGCCCTCTCAACACCTTTTCAGCAAATAGACTTTTCTGCTCTCAGTCTTGTACTCTCCCTAAAATGGAAGCTGTCTCTTGTTATATAGCTACAACAGATGACAGGAAGAGGAAATTCAGCAGAAAGTGGCTTTCTCTGTGAGCCACAAGCCCATTAAAAGTGGAAGATTATTCTTTGTTTACATGGCTTTCTTCTTCAGTTTGCATAAGGTTCCTTATCTGAAAAATGGGGATAATAGTATCAGAAAATAGTATCAGTATCCACAAAATAACATAATTATTTTCTGAAAGAATCAGCCATTTACCTATTCCTACTTCCCTCTGAAGAGCATTCAGTTTCTGCTGAATTCTCTTCTTTTGTTCTCTACTCCCAAAGAAGAGAACACCTTCTAGAGAGGGTTGATGGTCAATGCTAGTGAGTGCTAGTGAGAATGCAGGCTCCCCAGAGTTTTCATACACTTGGCAATGGTCAAACCTGTGGTTCTGAACAGGTAACAAAAACTGGTGCTTGAGATGTTACTTGTGTGGCTGGTGGTCAGACCCTCAGCAGAGTCTGAAACAAATTCTTTGGGGGATGAATAAAAGCACAATTGCAGTCTGATAAAAAGTCAAGGGACCCTGGAGATTTCACAGCAATTCAGAGAGAAAAAAGAATTTCCAGAGGTAAAAGCCATAAAATAAGCGATCACTCCAAAAGGTCTTGTAAAAACAGCAGTTGCTTTTAGAAATATTTAATCCCAAATTCCACTGAAGTGCACGTGGTATTTCCTGTTTCTGAAAACTTAGAGGAAAATTAAACTCTTCTTTGAAAAAAAGCAAGCAGAGCCAGATGTTGGCGTTGGTAATGATCTGCAGAGCCTAACACACATGTGGCGGCAGTCAGGGAAATGCATGACAGCTGTCTGAAGCCATGGGAACCTGATTTCTCTTGGCTAGAAAAGAAACAAAGAGTAAGGGTTGTTTTGTTTATATATACAAGGGGACAGCTGAGTCCAACAGACATTATTTTGAGCTGTAGAGCCAGAAACAGCAGTTTAAAATATTTTATCTTTCCCTTTGACACACTCAGTCCAAATAATTTATTCAAGGAATGTTCAGTATCCAATCAGATACAGTGACATTCTAAAGTATTTTTTTCAGAAAATGCTAGACTATACCGTTTTGAGCCCAATTATAGGCAATCTCATAGTAGCTTGCTTTGTTCATATTAATAATCAGAATTTTTTTCTGAAAATACATGACTGGACTTCTTGATTAAAAGAGCCTTTGGGTATACAGGAATGATTACCATCGGCTTTATCTTTCACTACACCCCATCCTGAATCTTCTTCTCTGGTCAAACTGTTTTACTATTCCAAGATTCATTTCCCTTTGTCCTTTCTTGCTTTTGTTTTACTGCTGTTTTTTTATTCAAATCCTCCTCTCCCATCTCTGTCCTTCAAAATACTGCCCATTCAGGTGCCTAATTCATACCTCACCACATCTGTGAAGTTGATCTTGATCATCCTAGCTGGAAGAGTGTCTCCTCCTGGGAACATCTGTAACACCTACTGTCTGGATCATCCACATGGCACTTCTCCTAAACTGCTTTGAATTAAGGACATCAGTGTATGTATTGCTGTTCAATGAAACAGCAAGCTCCCAAAGGCAGGCATTAAGTTTTAAACTTCTTTGTATCTTCTCTCCTTCTCCCGCTCCTTAACTCTCTAGTTATTTTGTACGTGATCACAAGGGTTCTATTCATGTCCATGCTTATGACGTTGATTGTGAGCATGTTGACTGGAGAGAGAGGTGTAGGTTTGTGGAGGAAGACAGATAACTAACATCCAAAGAGTGATTCAGCACCTAATCCCATTTGGATTGCAGCATTGGGCAGATTATCAAAGCTTATCTAGTTATATATTAAATACTTATTGCATCTGAGTTACAGGGTGAAGGCTTGATCCCAAGAACAAAAATTGAATTCTAATTACTACAATAGAAGCATGAGGTGTGAACCAGATTATTTATATTAATATTTAATTTATATTGAATTCTGGGCTATGGATTCTTCAGTATCCACCTCCCACTGACAAGGGACAGGATTGAACCTGGAGCCTGGAGAAAGACTGAGTCTATTGTTGGAGGAAAGGTGATCATCTATGAAAGCAGAGATGATAGGGGAGCAGAAAGCCAGGCAGGACATTTTTCTTCCTACAATGCCTTTCATAGCAGGTTGTTTGACATGAGAAGTGTCATGTCAGTCATTGTGTTTACCCATCTCTGTGCCACTAGCTTCCTCTGAAATATGGACTAGAGAATATGGAATGGACTGAACAGTCTAGGGAGGAAAATGGGACAGATACACAGGGAGAGGCAGAGATCCAATGGAAGACAGACAGAGCATTCCAGCCAACGTAATGCTTTTCCAGACCCTTCATATCCTTAAGTAAATTTTCCTTTTCATTGCCTGATCCTTGTAAGACAAAAAAATCTAACATACTGCTCAATGAATGTTTATAGAACAAATGACTAGAAATGAGGTGTTAATATTATTAAGAATTGATAAAGCAATATTCATATTCATTTGTGATAAAATAAAGAACATATCTGGCTTTTGTCTCTGGTTCCTAGCAGAGTTTCAAAACTCCTAGTATTTCCAGAGTGATAAGAATGTCTTTTGTTATTCATAATTAACCTCCTTGGACTGTACCTGAGTTTGTGATAATGAATGGGGGAAACCAACCATGTGATTAGAAGGTTGGAACTTTCAGACCCTGCCCCCAACCTTTGGAGAAGGAGTGAGACTGGAGATTAAGTTCAATCACAGGGCCAATTATTTAATCAGTTATACCTACACAATAAAATTCTGACAAAAAATTCAGGACATGGAGATTTAGGAAGCTTCCTGTTTGGTGAAGATGTTGCTGTACTGGGAGGGTGATGTGTCCTCCTGGCTCCACAGAGACAGAAGCTCCTGCACTCAGTGCCTTTCTAGACCTTGTTATCTGTATCACTTCATCTGGCTGCTCATTTGTATCCTTTCTAATAAAACAGTAATCATAAGGATAGTGCTTTCCCAAATTCCATGAGTTCTTCTAGTGAATTATTGAAACTGAAGAGGGGTCATAGGAAAATCCCCAAAATTGTAGCCATGTCAGACAGAATTGCAGGTAGTTTGGGGACCCTGCTTGTAACTGGTGTCTGAACTAAGAATAGTCTCATTAGGAACCTTGCTCTTTAACTTGTGGGAGCTGACTCTCACTCCGGGTAGTTAGTGTCAGAATTGAATTGAATCGTAGGACATCTAGTTGGTGTGAGCGACTTGATGTTGGAACACAAGATTACATTCTTTGTGCATTTAAAAATACACCATGTTTTTGTGACATCTATTTACAGTGTTGATTAACACAGAGCAGAAATGGCATCAACATCTCAAGATGAAGAAGAGAGCAATTATATCAGGTGACTATGTCCGTATCAGTCAATCTGCACATGTAGGTTGATGGTCAATGTACTAATCAACAAATTTCAATATATGTACCCCTTCTTTCCTGCTGGACTGCAGGCTTCTGGGAGTCAAGCTTACATATCCTACGTCTTTTTTTTTTTGTGATGGAGTCTCGCTCTGTCGCCCAGGCTGCAGTGCAGTGGCACGATCTCTGCTCACTGCAGGCTCCGCCCCTCGGGTTTACACCATTCTCCTGCCTCAGCCTCCCGAGTAGCTGGGACTACAGGGGCCTGCCACCTCGCCCAGCTAATTTTTTTTGTATTTTTAGTAGAGACAGGGTTTCACCGTGTTAGCCAAGATGGTCTCGATCTCCTGACCTCGTGATCTGCCCACCTTGGCCTCCCACAGTGCTGGGATTACAGGCGTGAGCCACCGCACCCGGCCTCCTACATCTTTTTATTTCAATCTATGCCTTATGAATTGTCTTCAAAATCCTAAGTACTACTGAATGCTTTATGGTTGATATGCTGATATGCAAATAAATACTTATTAATTGTAATACTCAACTTGCATTGCATGCCTATTGAATAGTCTTATCTCTCTGGACATTACTTTAGTAATCTCTCTCTCTCTCTCTCTCTATTTCACAAATGGGAAAAACTAAGCCATAGGTTAAGTGTCTTACCTAGGATTTCAAAGAAAGTCAGGACTGGACCTACATTTAAAAATGCATTTCCCCTGAGTTTCCAAGCCTATTACTTAGCTTATCACACCTTCCTTAAATATCAAGAGCTACTGGTCATTTCTGGGTTCTGACCATCATGTGGAAGATGATAGAGAGTGAAGTGGCCATTGAGGTTCAGAATCAGGTTCTATATGGAAGTACTTTCTCATTCATCTTAGAGTTGTTTTAGCTTATGTTTGTGCTAGCAGCTAAAACCAATATCTTCTTGCCAAATTAAGCCAGTGAATCACTTGTGCTGATATGAAAAGTTAGAAATATTACTTAATTTAGGATATGCTCTCTTAAAAAGACAAAGAAATAGACTTCAAGCATTGACAAAAAGAGAAAGAAGAAACATTTTTAAAGAAGAAATCTTGAGTGTAAAAATAATCGTGATGCTTATCTAGCAGATTAAAATGTAATTAGCTCTATTGAGTTGTAGCTGGATTCACTCTTTGAATCTTCTATAAATCAGAATTGAAACAGCAACTTTGCAACCAGAGGCATTTTTAATGACTATGGCGGATAACAGCCAACAATTTATTTCAGACGAGGAAACAGAGACAGAAATCTTGTTTTATTTTATCTGATTTAATGTTACCGTTCAGAAGAAATTACTTGCTTTTCTAACATACCAAACTTTTACTTTATTACTAACAAATCTTCAAAAATGACAGCAAGTAGAATTAGGGAACAGTCATTACTGTAACATTCTATTTGACAACATGTAATCATGTCCATTAAGAGCTTTAAATTCCCCTCAAACATGTGATAGGAAACTTCAAAGTTTGTTTAACCCAGTGCTGAGTACATAACAAGTTCAATAATAAACATCTGTTGATAGTCTGATTCTCAACATATTTCCCAAGAAGCTTTATCTAAATGGCAAACACTGACAGAAATAATTATTTCCTGGAGTCTTAAGTTTACACACAGTTGGGACGCAGTCTCTGAGACAAAGCAGGTGATTTTTGTGGCCATTTCGCAGTTAAGTGAAATAGTCATGGCCCTTCTGTTCTACCTCTGGATGGGGCCTTTTTCCCAAAAGACACCAGGTAGATGTTGATGTGCATCTGTTCCGTACAAGCTCTGGTACATGTATGCTCTTGATTGAGAGACAGACTTGACTTTTCAAGAAAAGCTCTCAGAGATTGGCCTGACTTTGATTATTACAAGGGCATTTAATTTCAGGGAAGTCCAGAACAGTTCTTTTTTGAGATCCACCTATAGTAATTATAAACTTCTTGATTTCCAGAACAGTTCGTTAGCCAATCTGGACTCTTCTAGATTAGGGATGATATGGTCCACTCTAGGACCACCCTTCTGGGGCCACAGGAGAATTGAAGGAGGCTTGGTTAGGAAACAGTGACTTTGGTTAGGGAGTTCTGTGTCTGCTTCAATAAGAACTCCAAAGCACATTTTTCTTTTTTCACAAGGAGGCAAGCTAATAGTGAGATTCAGCCCTTTGCACAGTGGTCAACATGTGGGCTCTGGGGGAAGGTGCCCTAGGTTTATATGCCTCCTCTGACAGGCACTAGTATCTTTGTTAAGTTGCTCACCCTTTCTATATCTCAAGTGTCCTTGTTTTAAAATGTAGCAATGGCTTATCTTATTTAGTATTTAATAATATGTGAAATACGTATGCTAATCATAAACCTAATGGTTTTTAAACACTGGCATAGTCTCTGGAACCTATGAAATGCTCAAATCAGTACCGCTATATAGTACTTTGCCTATGCCAGGTGCTGCCTGTGCACTTTGTATCTGTAACTCATTTAATTTTCACAAAGGCAGGAGGAGATGCACCCATTCTCATTTTACAGATAAAGAAACTGAGGCACATACAGGCCAAGTAACCTGTCCAAGATCACACAGCTAATAAGTAGATTACTTCTATACATTTTAACCAGGCCATGTGGCTCCAGGTCATGTACTAAGTCACTATTTTCTTCTGCTTGTCCAGTAAATAAATACAATATTTTATTATTGTTGTTCTCCTTCCTGTCAGTTTTTTCAACTCTGTGACACAGCAATGACCTCTGCTCCTTCAGGCCGTTTGTCCCAGGAAAAGCAGCAGCTGACTCTTCCTCTTAGTGAGCCACTGTGATCCATGCCAAGCCATTTGCCACTCTCATGATTCCCAAGATGAAGGGGAAATGGTAGCAGGAAGGGCCAAAAGTCTGCGTAGATGGAGTTATACTTCTGCTTAGATTCTGGTACTCTCCTAGCTACATAAACTCGAGATTTTCTTTGGGCTTTAATTTCCTAACTTACAAAATGCCAGACTCCAACTGGAACATTTCTATGCATTTTCCATATCTAGAATTGCACAATGGATAGTGTATTTACTTAAACTTAACAAACATTTACTGAATACCTGCTCAATGCAGAGCATTATGTTCTTTGCTGTGGACAGAAAAAGAAATGAATAAATAGAAGCCACGCTCACAACCACAAGGAATTTTTATCTAGGATGGCGGGCAACAGTATAAGTAACCATGATGGAACACCCTATGTGAATTGGGAAGACCTGGGTTCAAATATCATTTTCTGTTTCATAACTGTGTATCACCTTAGACAAATTATTATTTTAACCTTAATTTTCTCATTTGTAAAATAGGCTCGATAATACTTTTCTCATGAGATTTGGATCATTGATTGTACTTGTAAATGTTCTTAAAAGTATTCAAAGAATGCTTTCGAAAATACATTACTGAAAAGAAAGAATATAGGGATATCAGCAAGAAGAATATATACTATGAGAATTTAAAACTGTATATGGGATCATGGACTAAATTAATTTCCTTCCACCATTTTCAACATAACTAAGCAAGATTTCAGATTGCAATATGCATCGTAAACGGCATAAGGATTTAAAATCTAGACACCAAACAAAAATTTTTCATTAAGCCCTCTTTTAACTCACAACCCACAGAAATCACCATATGCTTTTGGTGGAAGATGTGTTTCTACTCATGCATGGTTTGTGTGAGGTCTTTTGTGAAGATGGCCAAGGATTGTACAAGTTGCCTGCTATCTCAAAATCCAAATTTCTGTAAGAGGCAGCAACATGTATAGGAGTAAAATAAATAAATAAAATGTATTTTTCAATGGTAAGCAAAAAGAGAAGAAGCCTTTCTTTTCCACACTTGATATTTTCTTCCACGTAAAAGGGTATTGACTAGCATAAAATGCATGGAGCCTCTTCTCCTGCTTACTCGTTCCTACCCAGAGAGGGTGACTCAAACCAATAGGCTGGGTTGAAAGAAGAAACAGGGCATGTACAGCCTGCATCCTCTTCTTCTCATTTCTACACTGCTCCTTCTCTCCTGTTTGCATTACAGAGCTGGGTCTGCTCCTGAAGAGGGAGACGTGGCTTGGTGCAGTGCTCCCTGCAGCAGAGAAGAGGAGCCAGCCTATCTCTATGGTGCTGTGCTGACATGCCGGCTTGCCCACAGATGTGTTGTCACATCCTACCGTAACATCTTTATTGGTGATAAATGCTATACTGTGGCCTACATCTACCTAACTCCATCTTGTGTCTTAATTTATTTGTAATGCAAGTGAGAGAAAAAAAGCGTTAATTATTGAGTTTCCTTGATTTCCAACATTCAAGAAGCTGTTGACTACCCCAGGGGGCCTCTGGTTTCCCTACCTAAATAGATGGGTTTATACCGATTCAGCTGCATTGTCTTCTTTCCTCACTCCTGATGGTTTCATGCATTTTTCAGGGTAACTGTGGGCTAATGCAACAAATTCCCACATTGACTCTGAATATTTTAAAGCTGAGTCAATGAGTGGGAAGAATTTAATTTAATAATCATTTCATCCCCTGCCTGTGAAATATTCCATAAAAAGATGTCAAGAAATACTCTGATAATTACAAACATAAAATTTTAATATATCATTTTAATGTTAAAAGGAACTTATTACATTGCATTACTATTAGACACATGACAAAAATAAAATACATATTAAAATGGGACATGTATATGCAACATGAGGCGCATGCCACTTAACCAGTTTATAAATGAAGAAAAAACTGAAGTGGAAGGAGATGAAAGTTACACTGCCCATTAGTAGCCAAGCTGGATGCAGATGGTGGATTTGGGAATGTCGTCGTTAAGCCCTGATGCTGGTACCTTTCCTAAACATTCATCACATGGCAGAGCTCACGCACTGACTACTGGTAAATTCGGAGCTCCCACAAAAATGCTGTCTGTCCAGATCAATTTAGCAAATACTAATTTGACTTGAACTTTCCATACGCCACAGTCTGTGTCATTTGGGTAAAAGGACAATATACTAGATAGATATGGACCATACCCTCATGGAGAATATTGGAAAGAATCCAATTGTATTTGTCAGTTAAATAAGCAATAGCTAGCAAAAAAATATATATTTTCTAAAACTGAAAGTGCCATTTAGAAAATATATGTATTATGGTTTTTATTGCTATGTTTCTTATAATAGGAAAAAATAAGGAGAAAAATTTGAATGTCAATCATTAGAAGATGGTATAATAAATACTTGTATGTTCACTCTATGGAAGGCTAGTGCAGTTACTTAATAAAATGAGATAGATGTACAAGAAGGGTTTTGGGAAAATGTAATGATTTATTTAAAAAAATGAGTTGTGTGGATGATTCTATTTTTGTAAAAAAACAATAGCAGCAATAGTATTTATGTATCTACCTTATATGGTTGTTTAGGAAGGGAACAAGTAAGGAAGATTCATACCAAATTTGTATAGTGGCTACGTCAGCTAGGCCAACTTTTGAATTGTAACACAGAGAATTAGTACTTTTAACTAAAAGCACTGAAACAAATGATTTACTGGTGAAAAAAATGCAAAGTGCTAAGTAGAAAAAATAGACTACATCTCAACTAAGAAAAATAAATAGGTAAATGGTAGAGATAAAAGTGTCAAGATGTTAATATTTGCCTCAAGGTAGCACAATGATCATTATGGTTACATTTTGTATCTCTCTCTGGACACTTTTATGTACTTTCTAAATAAGCATGCATTAATTTAACAATCAGGAAAAAATTAAATTTGTAAGGAAGTTAATTGTGCTCTTTGACTTATTAATTTCACTCTTCAGTTTCTTTTTAAACATAAAACATACCAAAAGGACACAAATGAGACTACTTTCTTTTAATGTAATTATAAGGTGAGACTATACCCTTATTTCAGTAAAGATTATTTAACAGTTTTTGGAAATTCCTCTGGATTTTCAACTGTATTCAGCAAAATCATTGGAATATTATACCCATTCCAATTAAGCGGACATTTATCTTTGAGCTGATCTGGGCGTGATAACCAATTTCCAGTCCTTCTGGGTAAGGCTCGCTTCACACTAATCTGTAGCATCATGACGTAAATTCACAGAAAAAAGCACATCTCTCAGAAATTCCGCAGGACTTTCCCCTCTAGCTATTAACTATTTAAAAAGAGGCCTACTCTCAAGCCAATAAAAAAAAATTAATTAATAGAATACTTCTCGCACAGAGATTTATATTCTCAAACTTGAGGAGCTTAACACTTGAATAATTGCTGATTTGTATGTGTGTGAAGAGTTAGGATAAAGTCTACTATCTACTCGAGAAACATTTATTGGTTGTCCAATTGTTTCATCTTCTCATCTTTCGGAAGCATAGTGGCAGATTAGATAGAAATTACCCTAAGGGTGCTGTGGACATTTGCCCAAACCACTTCTGAGGTGCTGGGATTGGTCATCCCTACATCCCAGGGAGTAGGGATGAAGAGACGGGACGTACATAGGGAATTGTGAGGCTTGGTTCTATAGAGAAAATCCAGGATTCTGTTAGAACACTCTGCACATGGAGTGAGTGAAAACCTGAGATGAAGTTCTGTCACTTTCAAGTGTTTTGAATTTGAGCAAGTCAGTTAACCTCTGAGCAGCAAATCTCTGAATTAATCTGTGCTGAACTGAGAACAGTTATAATAATACACAAGTACTTTACAAAGTTATTGTGAGGGTTAGAGTATATATGCAAAAGTATATTTTATAAAGCATGAAGTTCAATATATAAATCAAATATATTAATACTTAAGGACATATACCTATCCCTTGGGATAGGTAACACAGTGTCTTCCACTTGGTCATTACTCATTAAATATTTGTTACATTTATTTCATGAGACAAGACATATATTGGTGATAAAGTGGTGTCTTGGCAGCTATTTTAACTAGAAAAGCCAGGGTTCTCTGGGTAATATGAAATTAAAGAACAGTTATCAAACGTTGCCTGGGCACACAGTACCTAGCATCGTGCAATCTGAGAACTGGTGTGATAACCTGTGATCACTTGACTCAGCCTTCTACTGGTGGCTGGTATTTTCTCATCTACTCTTTTCTAGAGTGCCAATTCATTGTTTCAGTGATTCAATGTGACTCATTCATTCAGTTATTCAGCCAGCAAAGATTTTTTGAGAACTAAGTATGTTGTAGACTCTCTACCAGGAACAGTTGATATAATGGTGAGGAAAGACATACACACCATCTTGTCTTTATGGCACTTAAGACAGATAATTGTCAAGTAATCACACAAACCACTGTAACCTCAACAATTGACGGGAAGGAGAGAGACATGATTCCACAGAGGCCTGTAATTTCCATGCTTGATTTAGTCAGAGAGGTCAGGAAAGACTTCTCCAAGAGGAAGGTGCATGGACTTAAATACAAAGATGAAAGGTAATGTCCAGAAGCTGAAGAAGGAAAAGAAGGACATCCTAGGCAGAGGAAACAACTTGTGCAAAGGCCCTGAGGCAAGAGGAAGCACAGCAGTATGAGCAAATGTAAGAAGGCCAGAGTGGCTGAACTGCAGAGTTAGGGACTTGGAGGGGAGCGTGAGGCTGGGAGGTTCATGGCAGCTGAAGACCATGCAAAACTTGAAGTCTATGTTAAGGAGTTTGCAGTGTTTCCAAAGAGCATTAGGAAGCTATAAGTAAACAGAGGTATCATGACCAGATCTGTATTTTGGAAAAAAAAAAAATTGCTTGCATTATGGTTGCAACGTTAGACGAGAGATGGGCCAGGGTTGCAGTATTAGTTTTCTATTGCTGCTGAAACAAATTACTACAAACTCAGTGGCTTAAAACATCACAGTTTCTGTAAGTCAGGGATCTGGGCACAGAATGGCCAACAGAGTTCTCTGTCTAGAGCTAAATAAGATGGAAATCAAGGTGTCGGACAGGGCTGCAATTCTCATCTTAATCTCACTGGTTGTTGGCCTACTTCATTTCCCTCTCCTGCTTTCCACGAAGCCTCTCCCATCTTCAAGGCAGCAAACCCAAGTCAAGACCTTCTCACACTTTTTCTCTCTCCTACTTCCCTCTCTGTCCCTCTCTCTTACTTCCTCCTCTGCCTTCAGCTGGGAGACAGTTCGCTTCTAAGGGTTCATGTGATTACAATGGGCTCACCTGGATAATCCAGGCTATTTTCCCTATTCTAATGTTAAACTGAGAGTGTGTTAAATTGATTAGTATTCTTCCTAATCTGCAAATTCCCCTTTTCCATGGAACTTAAGCTATCTACAGATGTGACATCAGGGGGCCAAGTCTGGGATCCAAAATTCTTCAAGCAGATACAATTAGCAAATTATTCTGATAGTTCAAGCCAGAGAGGTTGGTTAGCTGGATGTGGATGGTGTTGGTAGAGATGGAGAAAAGTGTATATGTTAGAGGAATTTTAGACGAATGATGGAGAGAAAGCTATAAAGGAAGGCTCCTAGATCTCTTGCTTGCACAGTTGGATGAGTTAGGTGCTCACCCATTCATGTATTCTTCTCCCCTGTACCTCCAGTCTTACTGCCCCATTTCTAGCCTATTTTGATCCTGCATGTCAAATTGTCTCTGCATTTCTTTATTTCTGCAGAGGGGCTGTAGCTCTGCAGGAGCTCCTGGCCTCCTCCCATTACTGAAAATAAATACCAGGGAAAATCTGTTTCTTTAGTAATTTGTTTCTGATTATAAATATTGCACATGTATTGATTACATAAATCCATATACTATAAAACTGATATTTAAGAGAATAAAAGTCCCAACCTCAGAATTAACTACTGCACCCCCCTTTTTTTTTTTTGATGGAGTCTCGCTCTGTCGCCCAGGCTGGAGGGCAGTGGCGTGATCTCTGCTCACTGCAAGCTCCGCCTCCCGGGTTCACGCCATTCTCCTGCCTCAGCCTCCTGAGTAGCTGGGACTACAGGCACCCACCACCATGCCTGGCTAATTTTTTGTATTTTTAGTAGAGACGGGGTTTCACCATGTTAACCAGGATGGTCTCGATCTCCTGACTTCGTGATCTGCCCACCTCAGCCTCCCAAAGTGCTGGGATTACAGGCATGAGCCACTGCGCCTGGCCAACTACTGCTTTTAAGGTAGACTTTATCTCAGTTTGCTCAGTAGATATAATTTTTTTTTTTACAGAAAAGGGATAAAACACACTCTTTTATAACTGGATTATTTTCCTTAGTGATGTACCCTGACCTTGTATGTCACCATTTATAGATTTTTTGGTTCTTTTAAACAGTGGCATAGCATTTGATTTTTAAATGGATGTACCATAATTTATTTAACTTGTCTCTTACTAGTGGGCATAAGGCCTGTTTTTAATTTTTGCTATTATAAACAATGTTCTAATCAGTAGCTAGGTATAGATATCTTTGGCCACTTTTGTGATAGGTCTCTGGTATCACTTTCTAGTATTGGAACTGCTAGATCAAACATTATACATATTTAACATTTTAACTGTTATTACAAAATTGTCCTTCAGAAGACCTCTGTAGTATGTTTGTTTCACCTTATCTGGGAATGCCAGGTGCAGGGAGAATTCAGCTTCACCTAGAACCAAAGGAAACCCTGTCAGTGAAAAGTCTCAGATGAGACCAAGGCTATCTCTTCAAATAGTTTAGAATATGCAAGATTTAACAAAGATAACATATTTGCCTAGTGTTCCTGGTACTCTGCTGGGTACTGGGGATAGTACCTCAAGCCTCCCTCACCCTAGTTGGTAAACAGCAGGCTAGTGCAGCGGTTAAAGGAGCATGGGTGAGGGTGAGGGGATTAGTTGGGGGATGTTTCTTATTTAAGCTGAATTATTTTGATGAAAAGGATTTTGGAGGGAAAATGTTTTTGTGTCAGTCATTAAGTAGCCCAGTGGATTAGTAGAATGATAAACAGATTTTTGCAGTTTAAGGAATGGGGTACAGGAAATGAAAGCAAGTGATCTCAGCCTGTTTCTCAACCAGTTAAGAATGTTTTCTACTGCAAGTGACAGAAGTGGATAATGATGGCTTAAACAAGTAGGGGATTATTTTTTTCTGAGACAAAGGTCTAAATGTGGGAGGCTGAGGATTGGTTCAGTGGCTCAATGTGTCAGGGCCAGTGTCTCTGCAGTTCTCTTGGCCCTTCTCTCATGGTGGCAAAACAGCTGCCTCTATATCTGGTGTCACATCTGCATTCGAGCCAAGAGGAAGGAAGAAACGGCGGTGGCGGGACATCTGCCTCTGCATCAGGAAGGCAAAGCTTTCCCAGAAGCCCCAACAACAGATTTCTGTTGCTGTTTACTGGTTACCACTAGCTGGAAGAGAAGGCGAAAGTGTAAAGAACAGAATGGCATAATTGGCTTAGTCTGACTATGACCATTGCGGGGATGTGGGCACACGGATTCCCAAACAAAATCCAGGCACTTCTAACTAAGAAGAAGAGGGGTATAGATATTAGGAAATTACTACAGCTATCTCTTTGTGGGTTAGATTTTGAAGGGCCTGGTAAACTATGCTGAGGAACAGGAACTTTCTAGTACACCAAAGGCAACCACCCAAGTTCTTACATGGTTTATAAGGGTTGTTAGTAGTGGCCATTCTTTCCCAGATAATTTCAAGATTCTGGACTTGGTGGAAGATTATTTCAGAGTGACAGCTACTGATCAAATGAACAACTCTCCTTACTTGCCTTATAATATGAAAGGACAAGATTGTGCTATCTCTTTCATCTGTAAAGCTTTCCTTGACTTCAAAAAGAATCTTATAAACAAAAGCTTTTCACAGGATGTGGAGATGAAAACAAGTTATAAAAGCAGTTTACATACCATGGTTTAGAACAAATCATAAGGGATGAACAAACAAACCCTTTTTAGTTAAAAAAAATTTCCATGTTTACACACACGTGTATAATTACTATCAAGATATCATGCATTTTGAAACATCTTTATTTAGGTGGTCATACAGCTCCCATGGGCCATAATGTTTATGGTTGCACATAGTTTTTTTTGTTTGTTTTTGTGGGTTTTTTTAAATTTTTTTTTTATTTTTTGAGACAAGAGTCTCACTTTGTTGCCCAGACTGGAGTGCAGTGGCGCAATCTTGGCTCACTCCAACTTCCACCTCCCAGGCTCAAGCAATTCTCATGCCTCAGCCTCCTGAGTAGCTAGGACTACAGGTGTGTGCCACCTTGCCTGGCTAATTTTTGTATTTTTAGTAGAGATGGGGTTTCACCATGTTGGCCAGGCTGGTCTTGAACACCTGACTTCAAGTACCTGCCTCAGCCTCTCAAAGTCCTAGGTATACAGGCAACAGCCACCATATCTAGCTCAGTTTTTCTTAAATATAAAGTAATTTTTGTCCACACCAAATCAGAGTAGCTGAGAACTACTGCTAAATACTCCATAGTTAGTTTATCTATAAATTAATATTTATTCATTCTGATACATTGATATGTTTATGTTTAGTACAGAGATACATTTGAACATAGAAAATCAGAATAGGAAGTTCACCATAAATATTACATAAGTGAAACACTAAAAGTGACCTGTCATAAACCTCAAGAGAATGCTTGGATATTATGAACTGGCTTTATCATTACTATTCTCTTATTAAACATTTAAAGTCTTTCAATATAATAGGGAAGGATTACTTTCATAAATAAACTATTGCTCTTTTAAAAAACTAAACACTATTGTAAAGGTATAATTTCTTGTGTGGAAATATTAGTAAGAAAATTGTGAATCAAACTATATTCTTTATTCTTTAGTTACTCTTCAGGGTTATGCCCCATAGCATATGAGTAAATGGTTTTAATATTTTTAGTAAGAAAATTTTGATCACATTAAATGTTATTTAATGTTGTTATTGATAGCAAAGAAAAAGGGCATAAATGTTTCAAATTTGCCATTACAAAAATTACTTGACACGAGCGACTAGGTTTATCCCACATAAATTAATGTGAACACACCCAGAGGGACACAAAAGGAAAAAAATACCATAGATGAAGACTCAGCAATGAGGAAAACACCAATATTTGCCCATAACCCTGCCCCACCATATATGAAAAATCCATTGATGATTGAGTGCTTTCAAAATAATTGGCACAATCCCTTCTCTCACAAGAATATTGGAGATGATCAAACAAAACCTGCTTTTTTATTTTTAAATTAAAATTTTTCCTTTCCCTTTCCCTTCCCTTGTCCTTCCCCCTTCTGTCTTGCTGGTACTGAGCACTCTGGGCTGCCCTGCATATTACTCCAAAATAAGATCAGGGCTGTCATCCTTCCTGCTTTACCAGCTGTGTCAGTCTGGGCCCCGTGGGAAGCCGATGCCGAGCATGCAAGAGGATTACCTGGGGAATTGTCTGTAGAGAATGCAAGGAGGGAGTAGGAGTCCAGTCCACTGAGAGAGGCTCCAGACTGATCTACAGATCTGACACCTACAAGAGGAGAAAGAGTAGGAAGGATTACGTACAGAGAGTCTCAGATCACAGCAGTTTTGAAAGTCTCAGCCAAGCCAACGGGAAGTCCCTAAGACACTGAGCTTTACCACTGAAGAAGCTTCATGCTGGCCAGGAAGGATGACTTTGGAGTAAATAACATTGTGGTCACAAAGGAGTAACTACTGGAGAGACTGTTCATCAGGTCTGCTCCCCAAGCAGTTTCCCCTGAAGGAGGCCACCACACCAGCATTGTCTTCCTTTTTCAGCATTATCTTTCCTTTTTCCTTCCAGAAAAAGGATGTTGGATGTTATTTCTCTATCCAAAAGCCTTCAGTAACTCCTTTTTGGCCAGAAAATAATGCTGCAACATGCATTGAAGGTTTCTGAAAGCTTGACCTTGGCTTCATTTACACCTCTATTTTTAGAGTATTTCTCCCTAATTTCTATTTTCCAGCCACAGACAACTTCGCACCATAATCTGGAGTTTGAATGCAGTGTGAAGCCTCTGAGCTTTTGCTCACTCTGTTCCTATACCTCCATACTCTCCTGAGCCTCTCAAAATACTACCCTCCTTTCCATATCCAGGCAGGTGTCTTTCTTGAGCCATCTATTCAGAATGCATCACTTTTGTGTTCAAATACCGTGTGGTTCAGATGTCTACTTGGTGTGAATTTCACTTTACTTTATTTTATGTCTTTCCTTCAAAGATCTAGAAGACAGAAACTATATTTCTAGGACCCTGCTAGGTCTTGTGCTTAGTGGTGGTCATTTGATGAGTGTTTACTGAAAATAAATTAACCCAAATGCAGGAGAGGACGTTTGTTTGTGAGGAGGTGAGTTGCAGGAAGAAAGATGGAATCATCTAAGGAAAGTCAGAGACATTTCTGTACACATTGTCACTGAATTCTCTTTGCTTCTCAAGGAGAGGCCGAAGATTTCCTTTCCTGGAACTTGAAACAGAGTGTCCAGAAGGCTTGAGAGATAAGGGGCAGGGAAGCAAAGATGTCTTCCCTTTTATGGAACTCTTTGGGAGCCCAGCTCTAAAGGAGAGAATCAAATCCGTGTTTTCCTGTGTAATTCTTCCCTTTCTTTCTTACGTGTACCTGTGTGGTCCAGGATTCTCCCTCCTAGTTCTCGTGTGGTACCTGTGTGGTCCAGGATTCTCCCTCCTAGTTCTCGTGTGGTACCTGTGTGGTCCAGGATTCTCCCTCCTAGTTCTCGTGTGGTACCTGTGTGGTCCAGGATTCTCCCTCCTAGTTCTCGTGTGGTACCTGTGTGGTCCAGGATTCTCCCTCCTAGTTCTCGTGTGGTACCTGTGTGGTCCAGGATTCTCCCTCCTAGTTCTCGTGTGGTACCTGTGTGGTCCAGGATTCTCCCTCCTAGTTCTCGTGTGGTACCTGTGTGGTCCAGGATTCTCCCTCCTAGTTCTCGTGTGGTACCTGTGTGGTCCAGGATTCTCCCTCCTAGTTCTCGTGTGGTACCTGTGTGGTCCAGGATTCTCCCTCCTAGTTCTCGTGTGGTACCTGTGTGGTCCAGGATTCTCCCTCCTAGTTCTCGTGTGAAGATTAAACTGTGAAGTTTCTTCTCACGTCTGCTGATGTTTACCTTTGGGTCCCCATCACCCAGCCGAGGGCCTGACAGGGAGTGGGCACAGAGTAAATGGCTGGAGCAAGCTGCACAGAACTAACTGTGGCGTGCAGTGAGCGAGGAAGCAGAAATCTGATACTCAGAGGGCGATTGCGAAGGAATCACAGGGAGAATTACAGTGACTGAAAAGTAGCAGGAGGTGAAAGGACAGATGGCAGGATGCAGTAAAGAAAATGGAAGGGAGACACTTGGCTTTGCCATGATTAGTTGAACTAGACGACTTTGGACCCACAATAGAAGTAGAAATATTAATTGGATTCAAGTTAGCAAGTCTTTATTGCACGCTCATTTCTACAATGAGCCATCCTCATTTCTGTAGCTGAGTAAAAAAAAGAGTAGAAGAATATGACTAATTTCTGATTGCAAAGTAATTATAGTTCAGTTGAAATACATGTACAAACACACGTGAGATTGTTTAATTATGACACAGTAGAATATGACATCGAACTTCTTTCCCCTGCTGCATTTAACTTACCCATGAGTCTGAATGGCTTAATGTACAAAATAGACCCCATATCTGCCAACTTTTCTCCATGTTCCCCATACAAAGTCTCCACCTCTTTTGTCTCCCCTGGACCTGCAACAACCTCTTAACTGGTCTGCCTCATTCTAACTTTGTACCCTCATGGTCCATTCTCTGACCAGTAGTCAGAGAGATCTTTCAAAAAACACAAATCCTGTCTTGCCACTCTCCTGCAGAAAACCCTCCCATGCGTCTGGGTGCACCTGGAGTAAAAGGTAAAGTCCATGCGGGATCTAACTCTTGCCTGACTCTCAGCTCCTCTCTTCATGCCTCTCAGCATGCTTCCCTGTGCTTACTCTCCTCCTGCCACACCGCCCTTCTTCCTGTTCCCCCTATCTTTGCAGGGCTGGCTCCTTCTTGTCATTCAGGTCCCAGCTCAGATGTCACCTCCTCAGTGAAGCCTTCCCTGACTATCCCCCCAACCTAAACTATCTGTCCCCTCTCCAGCCACTTTCTTGTATTACCCTGTTATAGAGCTTCATAGTACTTAGCAGCATCTGAAATGTGTAAAATGCATTTATTGTCTGTCCCCGCCTCCCAGAATGTCCCCAGCTCCTTAAGAGGAGAGATCTCGTTTGTCTTTTTCATTGCTCTATTCCCAGTACCTAGCCTGATATCTTGTGCATAGGCAGCTCTCATCAAATAGTTATTGGGTGAATGAATAAAAAACAGGAATTATTAGAGACAAAGAATGGAGATTGTAGCTCAGGGTAGTTGGGCAAAGTGCTTGGAGGAAGAAATATTATTTTAGCTATGAAGAATGGTGTGGGGAACAGAGGCTAAGAAGCAGCAATGTGCACATTTTTGTCAAAGGAAGACCCTGGCCAGGCTGGAGCAAAAGGTACACAACAATAACAGTGGGGCAGGTGTCATGACAGGGAGTTAAATTTGTATGGAATCAGAGGGCAAAAGAAAGTCATTACACTGCCAAACTGTGTGTGTGTGTGTGTGTGTGTGTGTGTGTGTGTGTATTTTGCCTTAGGTGGCAAGACATTGAAATTCCACAGGGTGCCTAAGAGCTAGGATATCTATTTATCATCTTATTTCCAATTTTGACAAATATGAAACAAATTATAGTCCCTGAATCATGAACATAATGAAAAAAAGTTAGTCGACCCCATATATTTCATATTTATGCCAGTGATGGTGATTTGATTTGATTTTTTGTCTCCTCTGTTTCTCATGAAGTGGTTCACTATTTTGATAGAGCAGCTCCCTGAATTATTCAATCGAGGAATAGTTTTCGTTTGCTTGATGTTTCATTTTCTCTCAGGAATGGCCCTTATAGAATATGCATTTCTTTTCCTTGAGTGAGATAATGTATGTGAAAGTACTTTGCAAACCATCAGGCGCTAAGGAAATGGAAGGTAGAATGATTATTACCTTTTAAGGTCTTAAGAGACATAAACTACTAACAGCATCATCTTATTGCTCTGCTTTTCTTGCTTTTTGTTGCTGTAAAAAGAACTATTTCCTCTCAAGAGATTATTCTCTGCTACAGTCGGGAGGCAAACATGTTTGTCTATACATCGTCCAGTTACTACCTCTAAGAAAATTAACAAAACTCAGATGTTCCTGAGATAAATGTTGGATAAACCATTAGTTGTAGAGAATATTCTTTGTCCAGAAGAACAAAAATATTAAAATTCTGCCGATTTTAAAAAAGCGCTTCTTCCTGACATCCCTCCTTGGCTCTTCCCTTGTGAGCACAGAATGTCCACATGCAGACTCGGGAAGAGTGGCAGTTCCTGTGATCACCTAAGTTGCCATGGACGGCAAGGATTGGGAGACTTCAGTTTTATGTTCTAGTTACCAGTGAAACTGCCCCATTAAATATTTTAAGGAACACATTCGAAGTATGAAAATATTTTCTAAAATAGAATCCATCTCTTCGTTTGTCCTCTAAATATAGCTGATGTGTCCATCATGGGACCTGATCATAATATTTTTATGGTGACATTGATGCTTTCTTTGCAATTTTTGAAAAGTAATAATTTTCTCCATGTTATAGCTATCATAGGAAAAAGCTGTTCTTGGAAATACTGGGATGCCTGGGCCCATCTCCATTAAAAAAGCGAGACTTCAGCAGCCACAAAAAGGAAAGAGATCATGTCTTTTGCAGGGACATTGGTGGGGCTAGAAGCCATTATCCTAAGCGGACTAACACAGGAACAGAACAGCAAACACCGCACGTTCTCACTTATTAGTGAGAGCTGAACAATGAGGCCACATGGACACAGGGAGGGGAACAACACACACTGTGGCCTGCTGGTGGGGACGGGAGCCCCGGGGCAAGGGAGAGCATCAGGAAAAATAGCTAATGCATGGTGGGCTTAATACGTATGTGATGGGTTGGTAGGTGCAGCAAACCACCATGGCACACATTTACCTTTGTAGCAAACCTGCACATCCTGCACATGAAATTAAAATAAAAAATAAGCAAGACTTGGAATTCAGTTAGGAGGCAAAGGACAGAGAGGCAGTAGGGGTGGAATGGTTTTGAGTTCTGGCCTAGATGGAATTCCAATGAGATAAGCTGAAGTGGGTGAGTAGAGGCTGATGGGGGTGGTTTTACCTGAACGAATGTAGGAAAATAGGGACCCAGGCAAGAGCCTTCCAGCGGAGAGGCAAAGCAAAAAAGTGCAGCTTTTTTAGGGGAGAACTAGATGGAATGTAAGAGCAAATGCAAACTTCTAAAAGAACAAGGAGACAAGGACCTTAACTAGTTTAGGAACAGGTAGGGATTAACATTTATCTGATAGGCCGGATGAATTTGGAGTTTGAGTGCAATAATAACAATAATATCTAATATTTATTAAACTTTTAATGCACCAGTTACTATAGCAATCATTTTCATAAATTATCCTGCATTATCTCCTTAATCCTTACAACTTCATAAGATAAAAACTTATTTTAGGTTCTTATCTTATTTTAATGTTGGAGAAAACAAAAGTTTAGGGAATCTAAGATGATTCAGTGGTGAAGCCAGTACCCAAGTTATGCCTGTGTGACCCCCTAATTTATGATATGTATATACTTCTTAAAGATATAATATGGCTTGTGTGCTTGTATTTTTAATTTGAAAAATATGAACACACACACAGAAGTTAAAATTAACCTTAATTCTACCATGGAAAATAAATATCACACAATCCTTCAACAACCCCCATCCCCAAAGGTAACATTACCACTTTAGTATGTGTGTGTGTATATATATATATATATATATATATATATATATAATGTGTATAGTATGTGCACACAACTACATATATATGTAGCCGTTTGTTTTCTGCAACCTTTTATATTAAAAAATAAAACAATCTTTCAAGAAAATGATCTTTTCATATTTGTGCATTTTTCTTCCATAGAAAATAGTGCTGCAAAAATATATATTTACATATATATGTATGTATATAGACAGACAAAATTTTGACGATAAGGGGTTGCAGCAATTTATACTTATGTGAGGGTATGATATGAGGGCTCCTTTTTACTCACATCATTGTGGAAACTAGTTTTTAATTTAAAAATTTTTGGTTATTCTGATAGTGGGGAAATGGTATCTCATTTGTTTTGCCTTTTTTGAGTTATTATTGAAGATGAATATTTTTCTCATATTTTATTGACAACATAAATGTTTCTTAAATATATTAATATAAATGTATTTTTCTCTTAACCATTACAATGTTTTCTGTGTTTCTGTAATTTTACACATGTTCATAATTCCTAATATGAGAAGTAGGGATGGAGAGTGGCAGGGAAAGAATGAATGGGATTAAAGGGAGGGTTGGGACAGAGTGAATGGGACATCGGGACAGCACTTTGACTGTTTCTATAGCTGACCCAGAAATATTTCATGATCGAGGTTACTAGAAGGAAATGACAATGCTTGAATGGTAACAAAAGCATTTTTGAAAGCACTGCTTCTAATCTTTGATCATTATACTCACTTATTATGAAGTTTCTTTTCACCTCTAAATATCTGATTTTCAATTTGTAAAGTGGGAATAAAACTTCCTTTTCTTTTGAAAGATATCTTGAATGTTAAAAAGAAAAAAAAAAGAAAATACTTTGAAAACATCATTACTCCATATCATGATAATTACTTTCATTTTCTTTTGTTTTACCAATGACATCCTCTCAGATCTGGTCTAACACATTTCAAATCCAGCCGCACTCTTTCTCATCCCTCTAAAAACACCTCATTTTAAAAACAGTGAAAACAGCACGTCTGCCATATTCTCAGATTGCTATTCAATCATCTTAAAGGGTTAAGGAAGGATGTCTTATTCCCAAGTTAAGATTGAGTATTATCCGAATTGTCTTTTTAGTTAAGGACTGAGAGTAGGAGAGTTTAATAAAGAAACGCAAAGCTCTGGAATTTTTTTCTTTTGATTCAGAAAAATCTAAACCTGTTGTCCCTCAGGGCATCACATAAAGCACATCCGTTAAATCAGGATTTTCCTAATGTAAATGGACATGGGTTCTCTTGACAATTTTACTGGTTTGAATTCCGTTGGGCTGCTATACATATGCCTGGAGGGCTCATCAATGAGTGGGTATTATAAATCAAAATTTTAAAAATCACTTGTATTAGAACTATTATCTATGACCCATTACAAATAATCCCCCAAATCTTCATCTAATCAAATGCGGTTTTGTTAACCGCTACATTTCAGCTCTCTCTGTTCATTGTAATTCAAGGTTGTGCCTCTGCTGCCATTCGTAAATCACTTGTTAATCGCTCCTGCTTTATAATACCAGCCTAATCATTTGCTGTGTCTTGCTGTCAAAACATTCCAATCTGATTTGATGCAACTTCATTCTGCATGTGTGCATCCCTATCTAACCTATAGAATAGCAGAAATAATTGCCTACATCTGAGAAGTTTTTTCTCCAAACACCTGTACTAATTAAAACTCCAAATACATGAAAAATTATTGACAATAGTGTTCATCATTAAGAACCTCTTTTCATAGGCACAGCAAGCAAGATGTGGACTGTGTACAATGGCTAGTCAAAGATGGATAAATAATGGAAGCTTTATTTGCTGTGCATTCTAAAGGATCCCATTTACGAGCCAGCTAAAACATAATTCAATGGATCCATCAGTGGTTCCCACACCAGTGTCAGACTGGCATGAAAGACCCACATTTCCAGGCCTTATGAAATGGTAGCCCTTTTAGTGCACAAAACAAAAATCATTCTGTACCACTTCCTATGTCGATGACATGCTTGTATTGATTTTTCTCTGATTGTTTTGCAACACGTAGAGCTTCTTCAGGTATTTGGGTCACACTCACCACACTGGTGCTCAATCCAAAGGGCCTCCAGCACCCTGCACCAATAGCGATTAGAGAGACACTCTGATGGACGTAAAAACTGAAACCGGCCGGGCATGGTGGCTCACGCCTGTAATCCCAGCACTTTGGGAGGCCGAGGCAGGCGGATAACGAGGTCAGGAGATCGAGACCATCCTGGCCAACATGGTGAAACCCCGTCTCTACTAAAAATACAAAAAATTAGCTGGGCATGGTGGTGGGTGCCAGTAGTCCCAGCTACCCGGGAGGCTGAGGCAGGAGAATGGCATGAACCTGGGAGGCAGAGCTTGCAGTGAGCCAAGATCGCGCCACTGCCCTCCAGTCTGGGCAACTGAGGGAGACTCCATCTCAAAAAAAAAAAAAAAAAAAAAAAAGAAAAAAAACCCCTGAAACTTCCACATTATAGAGATTTAACTAATGATGTAGTCTTTTTTTTTCTGTTAATTGATACTGAAACACAAATGATGTAGTTTGGCTGATAAGTGTTTTCTTCCTGCTTTCTATTTTTATACGTATACTATCAGAAAAGGACACAGGAAGTCAACGACAGCCCAGGCTACATAGTTTGGAAAGCAAGACTGGAAATTAAGTTTCTGGCAGGAAACCACACGCATTTTGAAATCCTGTAATCCTGAATAATATGCAACACAAATATCTCTTCCTCTTCTTTCGCCTCTGACATTAGTTAGTATATTCTTTTACTAGAGAAATAGGCTTTTTGTTTTTCTTTTGCTTGTAGGGGCACATGAGGCATCCTTTATAAGGAAATGGACTGGTTAGCTGACACTGAAGTATTTGCACTCTTCATGTACTTTTCCAGCAATTAAAGTCTGAGAAAAACTTACTTCTCCTTTTAGTATTCCTCATATGGTATCAGATTTCATTAAATTCTTTATCTACAGCTTCCTTAGCCATGTCATAGACGCAAACTGGGAACCAATTCTTTACAAATAAAAATGAACTTATATACTTTATTGCTTCTGACATGAAATACACTGGAAGTACTGAAAAAAGATGTTTGCTTATCTAGGGGAGTAGTGTTATGTCATTGCAGAGAATAACTTCAAATGTATCACAGTATTTCTGCAGAAAATTGGACTTCTCCTTGATGAGTGGCTTGGTGCCAAGGACCCAGATTAAAAGTACAAAATACACAATATCTTCACTGTAACTGTTTTCTATGTATGTAACAGAGGAACCAAATTAGTGACAATGTGTATCATGTATCTGCTTTATGTGGATAAATATAGTGTATGACACACGAAAGGCCACTGAGCACAAGCCCTAGTGTTGTGGGCTGAAGAAAAGGAGGGCATATCTTAGTCTAATCAGGTTCAGAGAATCACTTCACAAATTAAAAATACACAGCAGTTATGGGATGGTCCTATTTACTGATGCTCAGAGACATCAAATGCAGCACCAATTGCATACAGGAAGGGTTAAATGACCAAATATTTCTGCAGGTCTCTTATGAATGCTCTTTAATGAAGTTTTACAAGGAAGACATTCAAGAGGGTAACAATAGAAAAGTAAACATTTGCTAATTCACATGTTTTTTCATTTAATTGCACTTATTGCATCTTCCTATATGTCTGATGCAAAGACCGATGCATATAACATCATCACTAACTTAGAACTCAGAGCCAGATGAATTCACTTTCTTCAAGTCACTATGATAAAATGTGATAAGTGTGATATTTTAAAAGTGTATCTAAAGTGCTATGGAAACAAAGGCAAGTAATTCACCATGTTTATTATTGGAGGATGGGGTGAATGTTCCGCTAGCATCCCCTATTCCTCTTTCCTGCTGTATTTTTTAGAGCACCTATTATCACTTGATATAGTATATATTTAGTTGTTTACTGACAATTTGGTTTTTTTGCAGTGTGCACTGCCCCGCCCAAATATGATATAGACCCTGTAAAAACAGGAACTTTTCTTTCTTCTCCCTTCCTTCCTTCCTTTCTTGCTTTCTTGCTTTCTCTCTTGCTTGCTTTCTCTTTCTTTCTTTCTTTCTTTCTTTCTTTCTTTCTTTCTTTCTTTCTTTCTTTCTTTCCTTTCTCTTTCTTTCTTTTCTTTCTTTCTTTCTTTCTCTTTCTCTCTTTCTTTCATTCTTTCTCCCTCTCTTTCTCCCTCCCTCTCTTTCTTTCTTTCTTTCTTTCCTTCCTTCCTTCCTTCCTTCCTTCCTTCCTTCCTTCCTTCCTTCCTTCCTTCCTTCCTTCAGAAAATGTCTTGCTCTGTCGCCCCCAGGCTGAAGTGCAGTATCATAATCAGGGCTGACTACAGCTTCAACCTCCCAGGCTCAAATGATACTTCTGCCTCAGCCTTCTGAGTACCTGGAACTATAGGCATGTGCCACCACACTTGGCTAATTTTTATTTATTTTTTATTTTTTGTAGAGACAGGGTCTCACTATGTTACCCAGGCTGGCCTTGAACTCCTGGGCTCAAACAATCCTCCTGCCTTGGCCTCCCAAAGTGCTGGAATTACAGATGTCTTTTCAATTCTATTCACAGCTTATATCCTAGTGCCCAAGACAATGGTTGACACAGAGTAGTTGCTAATTAAGTATTTGTGGAATGAATGAAAGGAATACATGTTAGACTACATGAGATGCTGGAAATACAATGGTGACTAATACCCACAGTAAACCTGACCTTAAGCAGCTTATGTTCTAAGGGGAGAGATAGACAATATTCAATATACAAGTAAATGTGATGGTTTCACACACTGATGAGTGCTAAGAATATAACCACTGTAGGTAAGTCATATAGAGTGAAGAGGACGTTGCTTAACAAGGGAGCCAGGAAAGGCCTCTCTGAGAAAGTGACATTTGAATTGAAACCTAGGTCCTGAGAAGGAGGAAGCCATGTGAAGAGACGGAGAAAGAAAGAGCATGTCATGGGTTGTTATGGTTTAAATATATCTCCTCCAAAATTCAAGTGTTGAAACTTAATGGCCAATGTGATAATAGTAAGCGGTGGAGTCTTTCAGAAGTGATTGGGTAGTGAGGGCTCCTCTCCTTGTAAATGAGATCAAAGCCCTTATAAAAGAGGCTTTATGAATGATGTGGCTGTCTTGTCCTTCTCCCTTTCACCATGTGAAGATCCAGTGCTCCTCATCCTCTGGAGGATGCAGCAACAAGGCACCATCTTGGAAGCAGAGAGCAGCACTCACCAGACACCAAACCTTCCAGCACCTTAGTCTTGGAATGATCAGTTTTCAGAACTGTAAGACATAAATTTTTGTTCTATATTAATAATCCAGTCTGAGGGATTTTATTATAGTGGTACAAACGAACTGAGACTCAGGCCATCAGAGCTTGGTGTTTTGCCAAAGAAGCCTGTGTACCTCGAATGAATGGATGGAGCAAGAAGTGAAAAGGTGGGAGGTGTCATATCACATAGTGCCTTGCAGGACAAGGTAGGAACCTTGGGTTTTATTGTGGTCCTAAAGGGAAGCCACTAGAACATTTCAAGCAAAGAAGTGGCATGATCTGATTTATGTTTTAGAAGGTGCTTTGCACACTTGCTTGCAGTTAATGTGCAGAAGGTGGTGGATAGAAAAGAGTCAGAGAGGCCCCTTCGAGGAGTCTATTATAGAGCCATAGAAAAAATACAGTCTTAGATGAGGCTAAGCTTGTAGCAATGAGGGTGGCAAGAAGTGCTTGGAGTTCAGATATATTAGGGAGGTAAAACTTACAGGTCTTGATGATAGATTTAATGAGGAAATTGAACAACCGAGTTGGTGAGTCAATGGCAGAAGGTGATTTGCTTTAGTTGAGCAGAAAATAGGAATAGATTTGCATTAGTTAAGTAGAAAAATAACTAGAACATTATAAGACGTGAGGAAGGGTGTTGAGCTTCCCAAAGTCTGTTCTTTAGAAGTCTGAGTCAATGAGATAGTGAAGAGGACTGATTTAGAGGTTACCAGTAGAAAGGGTACTGGAATTTGATCACTGTGGCTGAGGCAGGCAGGGCAGAATGGAGGTGAAAAAGACTGTTCTAGTAGCCTGCAGTTGAGAGTGAAAAAAATAGCTTTGGAAAGAATAAAGCTTAGAAATGTTACAGGAAATTGGTAGCATACTGATTATGCCAAGATACTGCCAAAAAACCAGCTCCATTTATCAAATGTAGAGAAAAATCACTAAACCTAAGTGGAGCATCGTGCAAATATCACAGCCAACATTTTCCCACAATTTCCCACTTTTTAGCTACTTGTTTTTATACTACATACACAATACTTTTTTTTTGTTCAAAGGATTGGATGTAATGGATGAGGCAAAGGAAAAAAACCTGAATTTGATTTCAAATTTGTTTTCAAATTAGTGAGGCTGCACTACAGTGCTACCAGATATGATCATGGAAAACAAAGGAGAGAAAAAGAAAAAGAGATGAAGACAGTCGACCCTCCATGTCTTTTGGTTCCACATTCCTGGATTCAACCAACCTCATATAAAAAATATTTGGAAAAAAACCCAAACAACAAAAATAACAACCCAATAATACAAGTAAAAAACAATGCTTGGGAGGCTGAGGCAGGAGAATGGCGTGAACCCGGGAGGCGGAGCTTGCAGTGAGCAGAGATCGCGCCACTGCACTCCAGCCTGGGCAAAAGAGCGAGACTCTGTCTCAAAAAAAAAAAAAAAAAAAAAAAAAACAAAAAAAAAAACAATGCAGGATAATAACTATTTACATAACATTTACATTGCATTCGGTATTAAAAGTAATCTAGAGGCGATTTAAAGTATATAGGAGGATGTGTGTAGGTTATATGCAAATTCTATGTCATTTTACATAAAGGACTTCAGCACCCCAGAATTGTGGTATTTGAGGAGGGTCCTGCAATCAATCCCCCATGGATACTGACTGTAGAATTATCTGAGCCAATGAAAGAAAGTCACTTCTTAAGATGGCTAATTAAAATCCTTGGACCTTTGGCTTAGAAAATGTTTTCATGTTTACATTTAAATACAAGAGGTTGTGGCTTTTTGGGAAATCCATTTAACTATAATGAATTAGTAGAGTGTAAGTCAGACTTAGAGATGCTGGGAAGCGACTTCATTTCTCAGCATCCAGTCTGTACCAGGAATAGATCACTTTCTTTTGATTCTTATGGAAGGATGACCTTTCTTGAGCCACTCCAGTAATATTATGGGAAGAAGCTATGCATTTGTGTTTAATATCATGAAAAATAAGAAGGAGTTGAGATGTCAACAAAGCTATAATTAAACTCATTCATTTATTCATTTGACACATTTGAGTTATAGTCAAGTCTAAAAGTGTGTGATAGATATTCAAACCTCCTTGAGGTCAGGGACCATATCAATGCATCTCAGCACTAGAAAGTGCTAGGAACACGTGTGAATGAAATGAATAAGGGCCTAGTGAAAGGAAAGGTGACTGTGGCTGCAATGTTTAGAGAAGCCTCATGGACAAAGTGCAATTTTAACTTGTTTTTCAACAGAGAGATAGTCTATATAAAAACTAAATAAGGGGAAGAGTTACAACTATTAAAAAATTTCTAAGTTAGATTTGCCTCTTAATCCAAATGTGGACAGAATGACTTTAAACAATTGATTCATTTATTTATTCGACCATTCATTTAGTACCCAGTATGTTCTAGGCATTGTGCCACACCCTGAGCATGGATTGTACAATAAAATATACACAGTCTCTGCCCTTGTGAAGCTTATAGTCTAGTGGGGAAGATGGACTAGAAACAAATAAATAGGTAAGTAACTGAATTTAAAACCAAAATCAAAACCAAAAAGGAAACCTAGATTGCTCTAACAGAAAATATTGCAGAAGCTGGGTGCAGTGGCTCACGCCTGTAATTCCAGCACTTTGGGAGGCCGCGGTGGGCAGATCACCTGAGGTCAGGAGTTTGAGACCAACCTGGCCAACATAGTGAAACCCCATCTCTACTAAAAATACAAAAAATTAGCCGGGCATGGTGGTGGGCACCTGTAATCCCAGCTACTTGGAAGGCTGAGGCAGGAGAATCTCTTGAACCTGGAAGGCGGAGGTTGCAGTGAGCCGAGATTGTGCCACTGCACTCCAGCCTGGCGAAAGAATGAGAATCTGTCTCAGAAAAAGAAAAAAAAAATTGCAGAGATGACTGCTAATCAGGGACATCCTTTCTGGGGAATGACATTGAATTTGGATGAGAAGCAACCGAATATCCTAATAGCAGAGAATTGGACAAGGAGAGGAGAGTGTGGAAGTAGTTGATGTTCCAGGCAGAGCGAACAGCATGCAAAAGCACAAGACAGGAAATATTTTGGCTTTTTGGGGAAACGAATAGAGGACATTCAGCCCAATTTTTGAGCCTGACTTTGAATAAAAATGGGATATCTGAGTGGAGATCTAGAATAAGGAGGAAATTAACAGCCTAAAAGTGGGTGAAATGTCACTGGTAATATTCATTCTTTTGATAAATATGTATTCAGTCAGTCATTATTGTGGGCATTGCGGGGATAGTAGTCAGGAGCTTACATTTTAGAAGGGGAAGATAAATCAGAAAACAAGTAACTCAATACGGAATTTAATTTCAGATCATAATAGGTGCTATGAAGATGACACAATATCATGGGAATGACGGTGACTATTTTAAGTAGAAAAGTCAGAGAAGACTCTCAAGGAGGAGACACCAGCTGGGTAGCCTCAAGCAAGAGCATCTCAGGCAGAGTATGTGCAAAGGTCTTGAGATCTGCTGTTGTGTGCCCCTTTATCCAATGTCACAAAGGCTGGCGATATTCTCAAGGTCCCCTATCTCGCATCACACAAGCATACATCACTCCATTGTATCCAAAGGCACACACCACATCCGGGAAGCCAAGGTTGTCTCTGGCCTACACAGCACCTCTTCTCTCTCCTCGACTCTTGCCTCTTTTTTTTTTTTTCCTGTTGCCCTATACAACTTATCTTCCTACCCAGCTACACTGCCAGCAGCACTTTCTCCTTCCTCAGGCAAGTATGGTAAAGTGCTGTGGGCTGTAAGTGGGAGGAACCCCCAACAGCCAAGAGCAGGAACCATGTGTGGACAAGAGGTCATAGCAGGAAATGGGTGTAGCATAGTTCACTGCCAAGCCTGAGATTCAGTTCAACCACCTGTCCACCAGTTTCCTGCTGTGGGGGCTCCGGGCCAGGTGCTTGCATGTTCCTCAACGTATGTGTGGATGTTCCAGCTGAGAAACTGAGCTCTAAATTTGGAAGCAAATGCATGGGTATCTATGTATAAGATGAGACAAAGTGGAGAATTAAACTCTCAAATTCAACCCTGAATTTTATCAAGTCGCTATTAAAGATGAAATGAGATGTTATCAAGTTGCTATTTAATGTGAAGCTATATAAAACATACATATATTTTTATTATCAAATATACATATATTTATTATACAAGAATCAGATGCAACAAACATTGAGCACTGATTATATACCAAGTAATCTGCTTGGAAAACAGATTTAATTCTTACATTGGTCTTTCCCAATAAGTCTGATTTTACTCATTTTACCAGCAGGGGTGAAGGAACAGTTTGACACACTGCTCACATACCAGAAAGTGGCCAAGGAAGGCCTTTGACCACAAATGCTGGGGTCATCTCACGAGCTACCGTTTGCCTTCTCAGCACATGACAGCAAGTTTGGAGGCAGCCTGGTGAGCAGCCAAGAGCAGCAGTGGTTACGCCTAGGGAAGAGCATGAGTTAGAACATCAGCATTACTTCTTTCCAGCCATGGGAGCTTGGGCTGGTAAGTTTACCTTCCCAAGCCTCAGTCTCCTGATCTCTAAAATGAGAATAATCATAAAATGGGCCTCAAAGAATTGTTAAAGGATTGAATGAACTTCTTATGTCATGCCTGGCATATTTGGCACTCAGTAAATGGGAGCTACCTATCATCTCAGAGGAGAGTGCTTAGCCCTTAAGTTGCTCTTTTTAAGCTCGGGCACATTCACTCACTCATTGTATCCTCCCAGATTGGAAGGGTTGGGCACAAGAGGAGCTCCCCAAGACAGGTGCTCCCTGGTCTCTAGCCCTCTTTATGGAGAGATAGTGCACCCAGTACCTCCTTAAGACAAATACTCCCCACCACCCAGCCTCTTGTCTGGCACCGGAGCAGAATTGTCAGGGAGTGTGAGTAAGCAGCCGGCAAGAACCCTCACTGTCTGGAGGCATATCCACACCTGAAATCTCTTATCAGAGAACATTGAGGTTTACTGCAACTGAAGGGCCTTGTGCTGGTATCAGAGTGCTGCCTTTCTAACATAATCACTTCTCTCTTGTACCTTCTAGATGTCTAAGTAGGAAGATCTTCATAAATATTTCGCACACCATGTTAGAACCTTTAAATCTGTTTGAACTGGATTCTTGTTAGGAAGAAATTCATTTCTAATTTAATTTTAATTTTTTTGGCATGTTTACTCCATCAAACAATTATCCTGCCTAACAAATTATGTAAAAAAAAAAAGTTAAAAATAAGGGAGTCACATGACCTTTGAAGTTAGAAAATAAATCAGAGAAGAATAAAAAGGGGAATGAATTGTTCTAAGTATATCAGAAAGGCTTTATGTGTTCAGAAACTCATTTACTTTTCTCCAAATCAATATGCAGTGCTCAGCACAGAGAACTATCAGAGAACTATTGAATATAAAGCACAGAAGATAACAGCAGTGATTACAACATGCAATTGTGCAGCTGTGATATCATCCCCTCCCGCTCCACTGGGTCCTCCCCATCAGATTGGTTGCTATGTTAATATTTTAGGCTTAAAGGACCAGAATTAATTCATTCAGTCTTATCTCTGATGCGTTGGTTTTCTGTCAAAAATTCCTGACAGAATTAACAGTCAAAATGAAGCAGGATAATTGGAGACGGAGCCATGCAGCCGATCATGCCATCCTTGGAATTATTGGGCACACCATCATCTCTTGCTTGGATTCAGGATCTTGGCGTGAGTTGATCCCTCTTCCCTATTCTACAGAGCGACAATTTTGAGCTATAAATAGACCACCCCATGGTGGTTTTCTATGAATAATGAATATGGAATATGATCTTCCTCTGTTTTGATGAACAACTACTACAACAATCAGACGAAATCTAACAGGCAGCTGGACGAGGTGTTGCAAAGCCCCTAAAAGTGACAAAGTGTGAGTTAAATGTATATAGGCTGATTATCTTACAGCTTCTTATTTCACATGATAATGAAGTAGTTTTCTATTAACAGAGAGGTCCTATGACATAGATAAGATACTCCAGAGGATTTTCCAGTTCATTTGACCTTACAGTAAAATAGAGAAGTGTTTGGGGCAAGACAACAGAAAACTGACAGCTGGAATGAGAATGTGAAATTTACAGCTTTTTCATACCTAGTTCCATCTCTGCCCCTCCCCCAGTCCATCCCCTCGGATGTTTTCTTTCTCAAATAGGAACGTGGAGAAACGGAGGAGGGAAAGAATTATACAAGTGTCTGGCTGCCAATAAAGACAGCACCTACTTCATGGTCAGAAATGATTAATCTTTATGACCGTTCTTATCACCATTTACTCAGGAACAGTTGAGAATTCAGTCATGTGGTGGTGAGCAACTATAATCTTTCTAATCCAGATTTTCTACTTCTGCCTTTTAATCCCTGGTTGGTTACTCCAATCTAGATTTCTTCCCTCTAAGAAATTTGCTAAAGTCCCCAAAAGATTTCTGGAGGGAAAAAATGCTGCCAAAGATCATTCTGGAATTTCAGGTATGATCACTGTGTAGATGAGGGTGTTTTTGAACTTGGGTAGGCCGCCCAATGGAACAATTCCCTGTGCCTCAAGAACAGCTTTCTGAGTTTGGCTAAGGAGGCCAGTAGTTAGGTATCAGCAGGATCTTGGAAGAGGTGGTAAGCTGGAGGAGGAGGAAGGTGAGGAGCAGATGAAATTGAAGAAATGAGATATCTCCCTTGATTATTTCTTCATAAGTCAGCAGAAGTTGGTTAGCAAGGAGGGAGGGAAATATTTGGTATGTTATTAACAAAGCTGCTGTAATAAATTATGAAACAGGCTGTGGCAAAAGGCCTGTGAAGTACACCATGTACCCTTATCAAGATGGCTTCCCTTTGCCCTAGGAAATTGCTTATGATTAAGATGTTGGTTAATACCTGTGTCTTACAGCACCCATTACAGATTTGCAAATGCCTCATCACTGTCACTAGGCACCAAACCTCATCTTCTCTGATTTGCAGCTTTAGTGGCAGTGACCAACATAAATAATTAAATAATTAAATATGCACATAAATCTTTTCTCCAATCACTTGTCTAAAATTTTCACTTTTCTAAAGAGTAGAGAAGATTAATTTTTAATGTTATTAAATTAGGTAGGATAAAACCTAAGAATAGGCACATTTGAACATTTGAAAGAATGATCTTGCTCTCATTATGAGAGTGACATCTAAACCCCCCGGCTACACCCACCTTATTCAGCTGTTACTGAAACTTCAAAGGGAAAATAATTCATTAAATTAAAGGACTAAGTATTGAAAGGCCTTAGTTGAATTGTTGGCTAATATGACCAACTAAACTTAATTAGAAATATGGTCAAAAATAGCATATACTTTCCAACTCTGTTATCCACAGAAAGGAAAGGGAGGTGAGATGTAGCTAACATTGTAATGTTTGCACGATTCTAAAAATAATTGTTATTGGATTAAAAAAATACATTATATACATTTTCACAGCAGGAATTGGAGGTTGAGTCAGACGTGAATGAAAGATCTCATTCCAGTCCTTTGCACTTACTATGATAACTTTTAATTGTAGGACCACCAGCCTACTATAGCCTCTTAGCTTGGCTCTGGAAAAAAGTCATGAACAGTGTGTGTGTGTGTGAGTGTGTGTGTATGTGTGTGAGAGAGAGAGAAAGAGAGAAAGTGAGATCACTTGGAATCATTTTGAAATATAATTTCCCCGTACTATTTCCTATCATAATGACATGTAACATTGTATAAATGGTGAACAGTGAGTTTATTTTATTAAATGTGGTTTAAAGTGTTTTAACTAATAGCAACAACCATAGCAAAGAAGATAATGTTTCGATTCTGGTCCTCCTTAATACCCATCTTTAAAATATTTTCTTTAAGAAATATTTAAGAATATTTTCTTTTTCTAGAACTGCAGCACCAGTATCAATACAACGGTGGGTTCTTTGATCTTTTTGTTAAAAATTTTTTTTTTAATGAAACCGGTAAGAATGATGTAGATATTATCAAGTACACATTACTAGAGCAATATTGAATTTCTGTATAAAGAAATTTAAGTATGTAATAATAGACCACTCATTTTATAAAATACTTAATTCTATGAAATTATAGTCAAGATGATTTGATTAATCCACTAAGTTTCCTTCAAATTGAATTTGGCTAGCTCTTACTTAGGAAAACTGACTTCTATTGAGACCAAATTGCTGCAAACTGAATCATTGTGTGTTCGAAGTATGCGAATCTCCCAGGTGAGACTCAGGATGGCAACACAGGCATCTAGAAGCAATTTAAGAAGTGATTAAAGCCCAAGAGCATAGTGAAGGAAAAGAAAACAAATAACAAAGCAATGGCTGCATAGCACGTGTTATTAAGTCCATCAAAGGTAATTATGAAAAATATCTTAGACAAGGGATTGATGATCTCTTCTTAGAATGAATACTTTTAGTAAAACATCTTTAAAATATCTCTGTTTTAAAATTTTTGTATATAGATCTATCAGAGATCTCTCTTTTTAAACTAAAGGGAGACACAATGAAAAGTTTGGAGATCAGTTGTTCAAAAAGTTTAAGATTAGCCGGGCGCGGTGGCTTACGCCTGTAATCCCAGCACTTTGGGAGGCCAAGGCAGGTGGATCACGAGGTCAGGAGATCGAGACCATCCTGGCTAACACGGTGAAACCCCATCTCTACTAAAAATACAAAAATATTAGCCGGGCATGGTGGCAGGCACCTGTAGTCCCAGCTACTCGGGAGGCTGAGGCAGGAGAATGACGTGAACCCCGGTGGCGGAGCTTGCAGTGAGTGGAGATCATGCCACTGCACTCCAGCCTGGGCGACAGAGTGAGACTCCGTCTCAAAAAAAAAAAAAAAAGAAAAAAAAGTTTAAGATTAGAGTTATTTAACCTGATGATGTCTAAAAGCACACCTTTGCCTCTCCCAGTGAAGCAAACGTTGAAGGAAAAAAAAAAATCCTAAAGAATGAAAAAGAAACTTGAAGCAAAGTATATGATCCACAATTTGGTGTACAATGTCATTCACAACAGTCTTACTGATATGACTTCTGGAGCTGATTTTTTTCATGTGTGAGCGTTTACCATTTTATGTTTAAGTTTATATCAATTTTTCAAATTACCTTTAAACTGTTAGGCCTGTAAAAAAAAAAAAAGAATTAATTCTGAAGGGAAATAAAATTATCATGCAGGTCATTTAGCTTAAGATAAAAGTCATTTCATTGTATGCCCCAAGTCTTACTCAAAGAAAGTCTGTGAGTTCTTTTCAAGGCTCAGGAATAGAATCCCAACTAAGCAGGGGGAACTCTTACTGTAATTTTAACTACCTGTATTCAATAGTCATGGTGATTTTGATTTGCTTTTCTTTTACTAATTTTTTTTCCTGTTCCATGGTTTCCATGGTGAATTCCTATAATACAGGTAGACTAATCCTATCTTCCTTTGAGTCAAACAGTTCCAGAGGTGATGTATCACAGTGGGCCCTATGAAATCCAATCAAACCAGGGAGAGGCTAGTTTCTAGTTTCAGAAAAGAAATTTACTCTCAGACAATATATAAGCTTCCAATAATTAGAAAGGAAAATCAGTTTAAAAGATTTAACGAGTTTTTATCTTCATAATTAGTCACATCATTTTGTTAAAAGGGAAAAAAACAGGCTTCAATGAGCCTTCTGTACCATAATAACAGATTTGCATGGTGTGTTGCAGTTTACAAAGCTTTCTTACATCTAATTGCATTCTAATTTATATGGTGTCTGTTTACTTTTCTATCAGATTTTAGAACTCTGTTGTGATCACTCATAATCTGAAACTTGAAGCTATAAAGATGGCTAAGCAATAGCAGATAAATTGTCTTGAATAAAATATAACAGAGAATGATAATGACAGCCCCGGAAGATGCTTGTTAATATATGATTCCACCTCTAGCATGATCTCAGAGCCGGGGCTTCAGAGATAACATTGATGTGAGACTCTACTGGACTTAATTTGATTTTTAAAATTATTATTCAAAATCACTTCCTAGGAGACAGTATTATTATTTAAGTTTAGTTTTTAAAACCATTTCATCTCTACCACTATTGCTTTTAAACTTTTCTAGATTGCATTCTTACAGAAAAGCCTCTTTGCAGTCAACATCCACAGAAAAGAAATAGAAGCAATTGATCTGCAAGGACCTGCCTTTGAAATATTGACACATTGAGGTAAAATCAAATGCTTCACATTGTGAAAATAGCTAACGCTCTTGTTTGTGAAATTCAAATAAGCATTTCCTCATCATTTGCATAGATCCAGTTTCGCTTCCTAATTTCCATACTGCCACCTGGATGCATTCAGGCTGTTCTGTGACACAGTTGAACTAGTTTAGAAGGTTCCTCCTTTGTCTCTGGGCTCCTTTTCTTTTATTCCCCTAGGACTCTTTGCTGCAAATGATTTTATCTGAAGCTGTGTCTGAACAAAAATAGACAAATGGAGAACTGAGGCAATTATACTATTAATTCAAGCAGAGAAAAAAGCACTTCGCCTGAGTTATCTGGCATTTCCTGGCAAAAATCTTTTTCTATGTCAATGATCTAGAAGATTGCCTAACTTCTTTTCTTCAGGGGTGTAGATGTGGCCTATGTCACATGGCTCTCATTGCCTCATTTCCTGCTGCTTCAGACTGTGTCTATTCTAGGAAGGCTGACACATGATGAGAAGAGTCAGTGGTCCTGAGGTACAGTACTTAAGATAACCCTGTGAAGGCTGAGATTGATATTTGAAATTCACAACTGATCTTGGAGCCTGGTACAGCAGTCATGGTAAGCTGGACATACATACACACACACACACACACACACACACACACACACACACATATATATATATATTTTTTTTTTGAGACAGAGTTGCCCTCTGTTGCCCAGGCTGGAGTGCAGTGGCGCAATCTCAGCTCACTGCAACCTCTGCTTCCTGAGTTCAAGCAATTCCCTTGCTTCAGCCTCACAAGTAGCTGGGATTCCAGGCATGAGCCACCGCACCCGGCTAGTTTTTGTATTTTTAGTAGAGACAGGGTTTCACCATGTTGGCCAGGCTGGTCTCAAACTCCTGACCCCAGGTGATCCACCTGCCTTGGCCTCCCAAAGTGTTGGGATTAACAGGTGTTAGCCACTGCACCAGGCCTGGACCAATACTTTTATTCATTCTTTTACTCACTGAGTGCGTGCTCTGTGCTAGGTCTTGGAGATACAAAGATGACAATGTCTTGGCACTTGTACTAGCAGTTTAATACACATTAAGAAGTAGTTACAACACCATACAATAAGTTTGAACAATGATTCCATTGAGGGGAAAAGCGTATACCCTCTAAAAGATTTAAAGTAATAGAAGCAGAGCCACAAAGGCAATTCTCCACGAATGCACTTCTTCTGTGTTATCTTGTTTGCTTTCGCCTACAATCCCTTAAAAATGACATAAGCCAGTTTCACTGGAGATTCATTTACTATCTCTTAAGGATACTCGGTCTCTGAGAGTTGTGGGGTGGACACTTTCAACAGACCAGGGTTTGGCAGAGGTTTGTCATGCCTTTTTGCCAAGGGCTCACCCTGGCAGATGGCAACAGCTGTTTGTGATTGTCAAGAAAGTGCAGGAGGAGCCCTGCAAAAATGTCCTTTTTATTACACCATTGACTTCTTTCCTGAGAGTGGTTTTTCACTGTATCAGTGCATAATTGATTTTGCTAACGCATTTACTCTAATCATACAAAAACCTAATTACTCTATGTAATGAATCATTAACAATTTCCTTAAATTCATTTCAGTGTTTGCATGCTGGTATTCAATTTATGCTAATAAACCCAAAATATTCATGTCTTTAAGTCAGAGATTGCAGACTATGCTAAAAAATTTGTTTTACTAAATGTACATTTTAAATCTGTATTTTATAAAATACTGAGGTGTAAAGTCTGCAAGATTATTCTGAAATACACAGCATTCAAATTTTCTATTTACTTTTTAAGCAGAGTTCTTTTTATCTCCTTCACACTCCGAATTCACTTAGCTACAACAAAATGACACGTGGTCATGTTTAACTTAAGAGCATTAATTGGTGTTTGGTAATGAAAGATCAAAAGTGACTGATGTCAAACTTTTTCACTTTGATTTATTCACATTGAGATTCAGCCTTTGATTCATTTGCTGAAATAGATATTAGGAATAAGTACCTTATTTTTATTACTAATGAGTACCTTATTTTATTATTTTAATCAAAGAAGAGGAAATTAAACCTTGAATTCTAGCCATAAAAATATATCACTATAAAATCAGATTTTTTTACAGTACTGCCATTATTATTATTACCTTATTATTAAACACATACTATGCACTTAAGTGTCCATTTACTCTGATAAGTGCTTAATGTTCACCAATTCATTTAATCATCTTCTAAACCTATGAGGTCAGTACTATTATTATACTCATTTTATAGACAAGAAACAGATTTAGAGGGCTGGGCACCGTGGCTCACACCTGTAATCCCAGCACTTTGAGAGGCCAAGGTGGGCGGATCACCTGAGGTCAGGAGTTCGAGACCAGCTGGCCAACATGGTGAAACCCTGTCTCTACTAAAAATACAAAAATTAGCCAGGTGTGGTGGTTCACGCCTGTCATCCCAGCTACTTGGGAGGCTGAGGTAGGAGAATAGCTTGAACCCAGGAGGCAGAGGTTGCAGTGAGCCGAGATGGCACCACTGCACTCCAGCCTGGGCAACAGAACAAGAGTCCATCTCAAAAAAAAAAAAAAAAAGAAAAAAAAGAAAAAAGAAAAAAAAAAGAACAGATTTAGAGAAGTGAAGCAACTTGCCCAAGGTTACACAGTGTTGCACAGTGGTTCTCAACTGGGTGTGATTTTTGCCTCCCTAGGGACACTTGACCATGTCTAGAGATATTTTTTCTTGTCACAACTGGACAGGGGGCAGCTGGCATGTAGTCAGTAAAGTCCAGGGGTGCTGGTTAACATCCTACAAGGCACATGCCAGTCCCCATGACAAATAATTATCTAGTCCAAAATGTCAGTAGTGTTGTGGTAGAGAAACCTTGGTGTAGCAGCTGTGTGTGATGCCCATGTCACAGCTTCTTGGGCTACTGATTTCTGAGCAGCTGTGGTGGGCAGCTGTGATGGACAGCTGTGGTGACAGTGGCATGCAATTACTAGTGTCTCACTTCAAGCACATGTGGTAGTTGCTCTTTGCTTTTCTGCCTTAGGGCTTTCTCTGAAACACCTGTGCAGGTGTAACTTGGGATTGTGCTGGTGTTATCATCTGGGGGAAACCTTCAACCAGGGTTCAACTTCCCTGTTATTTGATGGGACCATTCCAAGGGCATTCTTCACAATTCCTCTGTGTGTCCCCAGAGGGATTGAGTCTCAATTGCCTACAGTGGTAACTGGCTGGTACAGCAGGCCCTTATTCACCCTGCCTTCTCCCACTGGTTGAGGGTTGCCTAGAGTTCTTAACACCTCTGAAATTTCAGGCTGTGTTGTTAACTGAGCTTTAAAGAAAGCTTTGTGGCAGAGAAACAGAAACATCATCACGTGAGCTTGAGGTGGGATTCCGGTAACTACACTGCAGACTTTGAACTGTCAGCAATAGTTGGCTGAAATCAATAACACACATCAGTTTTTATCACTTCCTTGTCTTACTCCTCATATTCTTTTTCCTAGCCTAGCCTCCCTTATAAACCACCTGTACCCAAGCCCTTATTTTAAGCTGTGCTTTCAAGGGAACTCAAACCAAGACATTAAGCTAGTAAGTCTGCTATATTATATTGCAAATCCAATGAAACAGAACCAAAGGCTGAGTTTCAGTCCATTCTCATCCTTTGGCTGAGGATTCCCTCTACAGCGTGAATTCCATACTCAACGATTTCATATTGATTTTTCAGGACTCTAAATTCTCTCACCTCTGTATCTTTTTCCAAACCCAATTGTGCATCTTTAATGATCAAATCATTCTTTTTTTTTTTTCTTATGCAGGAGCCATATTGGATTGTGAAAGGAACTCAGTTGACCTGGCCTATTGCAGATTTATTCTGAGAATTTCAATTCAGTCTTTGCTGCTGTTTGGAAATCTTTCATGAATCTTTTAATAACTTCCTTACATACATCTTGTTCCATTAAAGCCCCAAATTTGGCTTTGTCAGCTCTCTTTCTTCATAATCTTTAGGTAACATTTGATATCTTCATCATGAATTTTTTTTTCAACTTCCATGATTATATCACATTTACTACTCCTTTGATCTCTCTCTGACAGCTCTTTTTCTTTAATCTCCTAACATCTGATTTTCCTCCTCCCTCCAATCTGAGGCTAAGACTCATCATGGGTCCTTTTTCTATAACCACTCCCTGGGGAGCTCATTCACTTCCATATGGATGACATCTAAATTTCTCTTTCCAGCTCTGAGATATCCCTTAGGGCTCAGGGTCATTCTTCACTGCCTATTCAATTACTAATAAGGAAGCCACAGTATCTTTGAGTAGCATTTTGCAGTTTAATATAATCTCTCTAAAAATGGAGTTTAAATTCATCTCTGACCCTCAAACTAGTCTCTCTTACCTGTCATACCACTGAATAGCTAGAAACGAGGAATCATCTTAAATTCTGTTCTCTTCTTCATTGCATTGTTGGCTGTACACCCAGCATCCCTTACCCCTTTCCTCTTCTCTTAAACTCCAGTTTTGGTACAGTATCCAAATCCTCCCCTAGGCAGCCCATGTGGCTCAGAAGTCAAACTCTCTCCCAAGCCCAGGAAGGCACTAGAATGGTCCAAGGAGAATCCTCTTTCTTCATGCCACATTGCTTTAGTAATTGGCATACAAACCAGTTAATGTCCCTGAGATTCAAGAAAAGATTTATTAGTGATTCTCGGGAAATTCTTTATTGCATTTCTGAAAAAGCTTTCAGGAGTAATTCTTTCTCTATGTTTTTTCTTGCTTTTTCTCAGGATTTGTTCATGTGTGGATGTGATGGAACTGAAGTCGCTAGGTTCATGCTACCTGGAACATGAGACTGACAAATAGAGGAGCACTGAGTCAAATGAATCTCGGAGAAATGGAGCTGGAAGAAAACTGGAGTAAGCCTGTCCCTGAAAGGGCACTACATTTGGATATCCAGCAGTGGGACTCAATATTTTTTCTTGTTGTTTAATCTCATTTCTGTTACTTGCAGCCAAAGGCTCTTAATGAGAAAATGGCTCTACCTAGTTTTCTGAAATTGCCTCAGTCTCTCCACTCTTCCCTATTACAAAGGTCATCTCTTTAATTCACATCCAATAACTGATAGTCTCTTGACTAATCTACATCCTCTCATTCTCTCCTAATTCACCTTTCATACTGTTGCCAGGTGACTTTTCCTAAAAGACAACTTTCATGATGTCACTCTACTTCATAAATTCTTATAATGGTTTCTTTTTGCTTTTAGTCCAAACTCCTCAGGTTCGTTTTCAAGGCTTTTCATAATTGAATTTCTTTTATATACCTAAGATGATTTCTCTGTGTTCCCAAATGTACAATTGACAGTCCTTCCTCCTGATGTTCTCTCCAGTAGGAAATGTTTGCTCTATGTAAATTCAGTATAGCTTTTAGTCTCTATTCAAGTTCTACCTTCTTCATAAACTTCTCCTGAATAGAATCAGCCTATAACCATTTAAACTGTCTTTATTAGGTGCACACTATGTGCCAGGTACTCAACAAGGCAGTGGAACTATGAAGACAGATAATCACAGTCCCTCTTGCCTCTGGGAGCAGGCAGTTGAATGCAATGCTTTTTAAAGTTTTAAGTAACGTGGTCATGCAAAATCTTATAGATATACATTTGAATGTACAGAGTTTAATTACCAAGCTAGTGAGACTTAATGTTTCAATTAATAAAAAGTTTGGAATCAAGGTATATAGATAAGTATAGTGGTCTTATATTTAGCCTCAAACTGAAATTTATGTCTTATTTTATTATGGTTACTTAATATTTTAAAAGACTATGATTCATCGGGCGTGGTGGCTCACGCCTATAATCCCAGCACTTTGGGATACCGAGGTGGGTGGATCATGAGGTCAGCAGTTCGGGACCAGCCTGACCAACATGGTGAAATCCCATCTCTACTAAAAATACAAAAATTAGTGGGGTAGGCATGGTGGCGGGCACCATATATCCAACATTATGGTACAGTCATTTGTTGCATAACAACATCTCAGTCAACCATGGACTGCATATACAAGGAATGTGCCATAAGATTATAATACTGTAACTTTACTTATCTTTTCAATGCCTGTAATCCCAGCTACTCAGGAGGCTGAGACAGGAGAATCGCTTGAATCCAGGAGGCGGAGTTTGCAGTGAGCTGAGATCGCGTCATTGCACTCCAGCCTGGGCAACAGAGCCAGATTCTGTCTAAAAAAAAAAAAAAAAAATGGACTATGATTCATAGAGTCAAATAGTTATAAATATTAACAATCTCAGAATTTTATTTTATTTTATTGTATTTACTTATTTATTTATTTATTTTTTTGAGACGGAGTCTCGTTCTGTCACCCAGGCTGGATTTCAGCTCACTGCAACCTCCAGCTCCTGGGTTCAAGCAATTCTTCCACCTCAGCCTCCCGAGTAGCTGGGATTACAGGCACGTGCCACCGCCCCCATGCCCGGCTAATTTTTGTATTTTTGTAGAGACGGGGTTTCACCAAGTTGGCCAGGCTGGTCTAGAATTCCTGACCTCAAGTGATCCACCCGCCTCGGCCTCCCAAAGTGCTCGGATTACAGGCGTGAGCCAGCATGCCTGGCTTCAATCTCAGAATTTTCTATTAAACAGAAGGAACAGAAAAACTTTCTGAAATTTGCATAAAGTTATTTTATATTGCATAAGTTAACATGTTGATGGTATTCAGTGATAAATTTTATGTATATATATTATTTAAATCATTCATTTATTCAACATATAGTTATTTACCATGTGCTATTCTCAACAGCTAGTTATTTACCAAGGCCTTATTCTCAATCATGTACCCTCAATATGGTGATAATATGCCAAGGGAGAAAATATTAGTTATTGAGGGTGAAAAATGTTAGATATTGAAATGGTTTGTGGCCCCCCAAACATAATCATATATACAGCCTATCTGTGGTATTAAAATTTCATAGGGTGGCGATTAGGAAAAAAGATGCCTGAAAAAGTCCTAGGGGAACAATAATGAAAAAAATATTGAGAAATACTTTTTCAGATACTGGGAAAACAGCAATGAACAACACGGAAAAGAAAACCCCTGTCCCGATGGAGGTGATTTTCTCATGGGGAGGATGAGCTAACAATAAACAAGATAAATAAGTAAAATATATAATGTGCTATGGAAAGAAAAAAAGCAGCACAGGACAATGAGAACAGTCAATTAAAGGAAGGAGATAGGAAGTGGATGTGTGAGAGAAAGGGCATTGGCACTAGCTAAGGTGACCATGGAAATCTGAGTAAAGAAATTCATGGTCGAGGGAGCAAGGGAGGAGCTCTCCAGAGATGGAACAGGCTGTGCAAAGGCCCTGTGGAGAGAGCGAACCTGGCACACCGGAGGACCAGCAAGCCTGTGTTCTGGGTGAGGAGGCCAGGAAGGGTATTAAAAGGCCATGCCAAAAAGTTCACATGGCCCAAGTCACAAGGGTTATGTAAAAACCTTTTGTAATGTTCATGAGAAAAGAAGAAGTCATGGGTGTGTTCTGAGGAGGACATGATGTAATCTGACTTACGTTTTTACCAGGATCACTCTCAGCACAATGCTGAGAATGGGCTGAACAAGGCAAAGGGAACGCCAAGCAACTAGTTGGGAGGGGTACTAGGTGGCTCAGGCTGCCAAAAGAAAATAGCACAGGCTGGGTGTCTTAAACAACAGACATTTATTTCTCATGGTTTTGGAGGCCGTGAAGCATAAGACCAAAGTACCAGCAAGGTAAGTGTCACTGGGAGGCCTCTTCTCTTAGCTTAAAGGCAGCCACCATCTCGCCATGTGTTCATATGGCCTTCCCTTGATGGGTGTGCCTGGGTTGGGGGAGGAATTAGGAGAGGAAGAGGAAGAGAGGGAGAAAGAGAGCGCTTTCTTGTGAGCCTTCTAATAAGGACACTAATCCATTGTACCAGGGCTCCACCCTCATGACCTCATCTAACCTCCCAAAGGCCCTGTCTCCAAATACCAGCACATTGCAGGTTAGGGCTTCACTTATGAATTTTGGGGAGACATAGACATTCAGTCCACAACAAGAAGCTACTGCAATAATCCAGGTGAGGGATGATGGGAGTTTGGACAACGTGGTATGGTAGACAGAAATGGTTGGACCGTGAATGGGGTTTTAAAGGTAGAGCAGACAGAGCAGTGTTGCTTGATCTAATGTGGAAGATGAGAGAAGAGAGGAGTCAAAGATGTCTAAGGGTTTTGCATACACAGGTTATCAGTATTATTTTTACTATGGTTTTCAATATTGATAAGTTGAACAGGATGCACCAAAGCACTTAAGATTCTTTGGAACACTAGAGTTTGAAAATGTTTGGTCTAAAGAGTCTTAATTTGTAAATAAATGTGAGAGGCATTTGAAATTAAATTTATTTTTGTTTGACACAATGGCTGGGAACACCTGGCATTTAAAGGACAGGGGCCAGGGATGTAAGCAATCTTACAATGCATGAGAGAGTTCTGCACAAAGAAAGAAATGTTCTGTCACTAATTCTAACAGCACTCCTATTGAGGAACACTGGTGGAGTTGTTTTCATGTATTTGTTATCTTTTTAAAATATTTTATTGCACTTTGATGCAACAGAAAACAGTATCTTTCGCTGCCAATTATTTCAGGTACAGTTTCCCCCAGCTAAGTTCTAAAGGCCTTGAGGGCAGAAGTCATCTTGTATATTTCTCTTGTATCCTTATACAGTGAAAGCAGAAAAATACCTTTATTTTGCTATGTCTCTTGTTTTCTCCATATGCAGTGGCATACTCTCATTTTATCCATTTCTGACAGGAATGAAAGAAAAGATATACGCAAAGTGGATTCTAATCATAGGTGAGGACTAATTTTTGTTTTAAGGACTCAGCATGCAGGAAATAATATACAAGTATTAGCTCTTATTAATGATAACAATGGGAGGCATATATAATTTCTTGATTAAAGCAAATGCCAGCCTTAGTTATCAGGTTTTCTTTTTGTCATCACTTTGCCCATTTTCTTAAACTCATATCTTTACAATAGAATTAAATTTTTTTTGGCTAAATCAATCAACAAAAAGTCTATTTTCTAAATCACAACATAATCCCAACTCTCTAATAGTTATTTCTTCGTGTTATTTCACAAATTTTGTCCACATGTAGTTAATTTTTAAAAATAAAATCTTTATTTTTTAGAGCAGATTTCAGATCACAGAAAAATTGAGTGGAAGATATAGAGATTTCCCATATGTCCCCTGCCCTGAGACATGTATAGCCTCCCCCATGATCAACATTCCCCTCTAGAATGCTACATCCATTACAGTTAATGAACCTACATTGACACATCATTATCACCCGAAGTCCATAGTTTACATTAGGGTTCACCCTTGGTGTTGTACATTTTATGGGTTTGGATAAATGTATAATGACCTATATCCAACATTATGGTACAGTCATTTGTTGCATAACAACATCTCAGTCAATCACAGACTGCATATACAAGGATGGTCTCATAAGATTATAATACTGTAACTTTACCGTATCTTTTCAATGTTTAGATATGTTCAGATACACATATACTTACCATTGTGATATAATTGCCTATAATATTCAATGTAGTAACATGCTGCCTAGGTTTGTAGACTAGGAGCAATAGGCTGTATGTGTAGGCTACAGCATCCAGATTGGTAGAAGTATATTCTGTGATGTTCGCACAGCAATGAAATTGCCTAATGGCGCATTGCTCAGAATGTTTCCCTGTTGTTAAGTGATGCATGGCTACGTCATACAGAGTAGTTTCTCTGCTCTTAAGATTCTCTGTGCTTCACTCCCTTCTGACCTCTGGAAACAACTGATATTTTTGTCTCCATTATTTTGCCTTTATAGTTGGTTTTTAAATTAGAAATAATAAATACTGAATATGTAGTTATTATGACTTTTTTATTCACTTAGAATCATTTTGTAAATACTTTTCAATGTTTCTACCTAATGATCAGAGTTATAATTTTAATAGCTGCATATAGTCTAGCATATTTACTGTAGCTTTTTCCTTTATTGTTGGACAATTTGTCTTTGGTCTTTCATGAGTTACATATAATATTTCTATCTAGTCTTTTTGCCATTGATTTTTCTCATGCTCTATTACATATCACCCCCCACCCCCAACTTCACTCACCAATTATTGTCTACTTGCTTGGCTTCTGACTATTGTGGTTTATAGATGCATGCTGACATCAATTTGCCTACCTGCCTTAGCTTCGATCATTGATAGTGCTTGATCTTTCCAGCTTTTCTTCAGTATTCACATTCTTGGCTCACAATAGCTGGTACTTCTGATACTATGCTGCTCAAAAAGTACTTGGTCTAGTGTGAGGCCCATGTGGGTAATCAGTTGGATGATTCATGGTAAGAGAAAAGACATATCCTAGAATAATTGAAATTTTCTTTCTTTCTTTCTTTCTTTTTTTTTTGACAGAGTTTCATTCTTGTTGCCCAGGCTGGAGTGCAATGGTGTGATCTTGGCTCACCGCAACCTTGACCTCCTAGGTTCAAGTGATTCTCCTGTCTCAGTCTCCTGAGTAGCTAGTATTACAGGCATGCACCACTATGCCCGGCTAATTTTGTATTTTTAGTTGAGATGGGGTTTCTCCATGTTGGTCAGGCTGGTCTCGAACTCCCGACCTCAGGTGATCCACCTGCTTCAGCCTCCCAAAGTGCTGGGATTACAGGTGTGAGCAGCCGTGCCCTGCTGAAACTTATTTGTTTGAGCAATAAAAGCCACATATTTCCTCTTTTGATAAAGTGTAAAATTATAGTACTCTTCCAAGATACTCATGGATTGATAACAAAAAACTAACAACTGGATATTGTTTTAAATATTGAAGAAAAGCAAACAAATCAACATCAGCCATAACATTGCTTCATATGCCAAAACCAGGATGAAATAATGCTTTTATAGAAGATGTGACCTGGGATCAAATAGCATCATTTACCAAATGCAAAGGATTGGTGTAGCTCTTGACTTCAAGGCATATTAAATCTAGCAAAGCTAAGATTCAATATAGATGTAGGTCCAATTTCATGACAAAAAATCAAAGAAACCAACCAAAATCAGAGAACTTAGTAAGTTTGTGGGTATGCAATCTACAGAAGTGAATTATATATATATGATAAAAGAGAAGAAAAGACTCTATTTACAATTCAACAAAAAAGATAAAACGCTTAGGAATAAGTATGAGAGATGGGCATGATTTATATAAAGAACATTTTAAGATGCTACCAAAAAACACAAAATAAAATGAATAAATGGGAAAGCATATAATTTCTTAGATAGGAAAAGTCAACATCACAAAAATTTAATTCAATAAAAATAGCAACAGCATTTTTATTTTGTAATCAGAGACAAGCTAATACTAAAGTTCAAATGAAAAAATAAAAAACAAAAATAGTCAAGAAAAATCTGGAAAAGTGATCATAAAGAGAACTAGTTCTTTCACACATTTAAACACATTTTAAATCTTCAATAATAAAAATAATGTGTGAGATCTGGCAAGCTGGCCAAATAGGAACAGCTCTGGTCTGCAGCTCCCAGTGAGAACAACACAGAAGGTGAGTGATTTCTGCATTTACAACTGGGGTACCTGGCTCATCTCATTGGGACTGGTAATACAGTGGGTGCAGCCCATGGAGGGCAAGCCAAAGCGGGTCAGGCGGTGGGGGGTGGGGGTGGTCACCTCACCCAGGAAGCACAAGAGGTTGGGGAACTCCCTTCCCAGCCAAGGGAAGCAGTGAGGGAATGTGCCTTGAGGGACGGTGCAATCCGGCTCAAATACTATGCTTTTCCCACAGTCTTCGCAACCCGCAGACCAGGAGATTCCCCTGGCTGCCTACACCACCAGGGTCCTGAGTTTCAAGCACAAAACTGGGTGGTTGTTAGGGCAGACACTGAGCTAGCTGCAGGAGGCTGGAAAGCCAAGCAGAGCCAGAATGGACAGAACCATTCACTCCCCTGGAAAGGGGGGCTGAAGCCAGGGAGCCAAGTGGTCTTGCTCAGCAGATCCTACACCCACGGAGCCCAGCAAGCTAAGATCCACTGACGTGAAATTCTCGCTGCCAGCACAGCAGTCTGAAATCCACCTGGGATGCTCCAGCTTGCTGGGGGGTAGGGGCATCCGGCATTACTGGGACTTGAATAGGCGGTTTTCCCCTCACGGTGTTAAAAAAAATGCCAGAGGGAAGTTCAAATGGGACGAATCCCATCGCAGTGCAGCAAAGCTGCTGTAGCCAGACCACATCTCTAGATTCCTCCTTTCTGGGAAGGGCATCCCTGAAAGAAAGGCAGCAGCCCCAGTCAGGGGCTTATAGATAAAAACTCCCATTTCCCTGGGAGAGGGCACCTGGGGGAAGGAGTGGCTGTGGGCACAGCTTCAGCAGACTTAAACGTTCCTACCTGCAGGCTCTGAAGAGAGCAGCCGATCTCCCAGCACAGTGCTTGAGCTCTGCTAAGGTACAGACTGCCTCCTCAACTGGGTCCCTGAACCCCGTGCCTCTTGACTGGGAGATACCTCCCAGCAGGGGTCGACAGACACCTCATACAGGAGAGCTCCGGCTAGCATCTGGCAGGTGTCCCTCTGGGACAAAGCTTCCAGAGGAAGGAACAGGCAGCAATCTTTGCTGTTCTACAGCTTCTGCTGGTGATACCCAGGCAAACAGGGTTTGGAGTGGACCCCCAGCAAACTCCAGCAGACTTGCAGAAGAGGGTCCTGACTGTTAGATGGAAAACTAACAAACAGAAAGCAATAACATCAACATCAACAAAAAGGATGCCCATGAAAAAACCCTATCCAAAGGTCATCAACATCAAAGATCAAAGGTAGATAAATCCACGAAGATGAGGAAAAACCAACGCAAAAAGGCTGAAAATTCCATAAACCAGAATGCTTCTTCTCCTCCAAAGGATCACAACTCCTTGCCAGCAAGGGAACAAAACTGGATGGAGAATGAGTTTGATGAATTGACAGAAGTAGGCTTCAGAAGATGGGTAATTACAAACTCCTCTGAGCTAAAGGAGCGTGTTCTAATCCAATGCAAGGAAGCTAAGAAACTTTATCAAAGGTTACAGGAACTGCTAAGTAGAATAGCCAGTTTAGAGAAGAATGTAAATGACCTGATGGAGCTGAAAAACACAGCATGAGAACTTCATGAAGCATACACAAGTATCAGTAGCTGAATTGATCAAACAGAAGAAAGGATATCAGAGACTGAAGATCAACTTAATGAAATAAAGCATGAAGACAAGATTAGAGAAAAAAGAAAGAAACGGAACGAACAAAGCCTCCAGAAATATGGGACAATGTGAAAAGACCAAACCTACATTTGATTGGTGTACCTGAAAGTGATGGAGAGAATAGAGCCAGGTTGGAAAACATACTTCAGGATATTATGCAGGAGAACTTCCCCAGCCTAGCAAGACAGGCCAACATTCAAATTCAGGAAACACAGAGAACACCACAAAGATACTCCTCGAGAAGAGAAACCCCAAGACACATAATCATCAGATTCACCAAGGTTGAAATGAAGGAAAAAATATTAACAACAGCCAGAGAGAAAGGTAAGGTAAACCACAAATGGAAGCCCATCAGACTAACAGCAGATCTCTCTGCAGAAACCCTACAAGCCAGAAGAGAGTGGGGGCTAGGCCAAAATATAACATTCTTAAAGTAAATAATTTTCAGCCCAGAACTTCATAGCCAGCCAAACTAAGCTTCATAAGCGAAGGAGAAATAAAATCCTTTACAGACAAGCAAATGCTGAGGGATTTTTGTCACCACCAGGCCTGCCTTACAAGAGCTCTTGAAGGAAGCACCAAATATGGAAAGGAAAAACCGGTACCAGCCACTGCAAAAACATACCAAAATGTAAAGACCATTGACACTATGAAGAAACTGCATAAACTAATGTGCAAAATAACCGTAACCAGCTAGCATTATAGCAGGATCAAATTTACACCTAAAAATATTAATAAGTTCTTTGAAACCAATGAGAACAAAGACACAACGTACCAGAATCTCTGGGAAACAGCTAAAGCAGTGTTTAGAGGGAGATTTATAGCACTAAATGCCCACATGAGAAAGTGGGGAAGATCTAAAATCAACATGCTAACATTGCAATAAGAAGAAGTAGAGAAGCAAGAGCAAACAAATTCAAAAGCTAGCAGAAGACAAGAAATAATAACTAAGACAAGATCAGAGCAAAACTGAAGGAGACAGAGACATGAAAAACCCTTCAAAAAATCAATGAATCCAGGAGCTGATTTTTTGAAAAGATTAACAAAATAGATAGTTGGCTAGCCAGAGTAATAAAGAAGAAAAGAGAGAAGAATCAAATAGACACAATAACAAATGATAAAGGGGATATCACCACTGATTCCACAGAAATACAAACTACCATCAGAGAATACTATAAACACCTCTACGCTGATAAACTGGAAAATCTAGAAGAAATGGATAAATTCCTGGACACATACACCCTCCCAAGACTAAACCAGGAAGAAGTTGAATCCCTGAATAGACCAGTAACAAGTTCTGAAATTGAGACAGTAATTAATAGACTACCAACAAAAAAGCTCAGGACCAGACAGATTCACAGTCGAATTCTACCAGAGGTACAAAGAGAAGCTGGTACCATTCCTTCTGAAACTATTCCAAACAATAGAAAAAGAGGAACTCCTCCCTAACTCATTTTATGAGGCCAGCATCATCCTGATACCAAAACCTGGCAGAGACACAACAAAAAAAAGGAAATTTTAGTCCCAGGTGGGCAGATCAAGAGGTCAGGAGATCAAGACCATCCTGGCTAACACGGTGAAACCCCGTCTCTACTAAAAATACCAAAAATTGGCTGGATGTGGTGGCACACGCCTGTAGTCCCAGCTACTCAGGAGGCTGAGGCAGGAGAATCACTTGAACCCGGGAGGCAGAGGTTGCAGTGAGCTGAGATTGCACCACTGCACTCCAGTCTGGGTGACGAAGCAAGACTCCATCACAAAAAAAAAAAAAAAAAAAAAAGGAAATTTTAGGCCAATATCCCTCATGAACATCAATGTGAAAATCCTCTCCTCAATAAAATACTGGCAAATTGAATCCAGCAGCACATCAAAAAGCTTATCAACCACGATCAAGCTAGCTTCATCCCTGGGATGCAAGACTGGTTCAACATATGCAAATCAATAAATGTAATCCATCGCATAAACAGAACCAATGAAAAAACCCACATGATTATCTCAATAGATGCCGAAAAGGCCTTCGATAAAATTCAACTCCCCTTTGTGCTAAAAACACTCAATAAACTAGTTATTAATGGAATGTATCTCAAAATAATAAGAGCTATTTATGACAAACCCACAGCCAATATCATACTGAATGCGCAAAAGCTGGAAGCATTTCCTTTGCAAACCGGCACAGGACAAGGATGCCCTCTCTCACCTCTCCTATTCAACATAGTATTGGAAGTTCTGGCCAGGGCAATCAGCCAAGAGAAAGAAATAAAGAGCGTTCAAATAGGAAGAGAGGAAGTCAAATTGTCTCTGTTTGCAGATGACATGATTGTATATTTAGAAAATATTGTCTCAGCCCAAAAACTCCTTAAGCTGATAAGCAACGTCAGCAAAGTCTCAGGATACAAAATGAATGTGCAAAAATCACAAGCATTCCTATACACCAATTCCTATACAACAGACAAACAGAGAGCTAAATCATGAGTGAACTCCCATTCACAATTGCTACAAAGAGAATAAAATACCTAGGAATCCAACTTAGAAGGGATGTGAAGGACCTCTTCAAGGAGAACTACAAACTACTGCTCAAGGAAATAAGAGAGGACACAAACAAATGGAAAAACATTCCATGCTCACGGATAGGAAGAATCAATTTCGTGAAAACGGCCATACGGCCCAAAGTAATTTATAGATTAAATGCTATTCCCACCAAGCTACCATTGACTTTCTTCACAGAATTAGAAAAAACAACTTTAAATTTTATATGGAACCAAAAAAAACAGCCTGTATAGCCAAGACAATCCTAAGCAAAAACAACAAAGTTGGAGACATCATGCTACCTGACTTCAAACTATACTACAAGGCTACGGTAACCAAAACAGCATAGTACTGGTACTAAAACAGACATATCGACCAATGAAACAGAACAGAGTCCTCAGAAATAACACCACACATCTACAACCATCTGATCTTTGACAAACCTGACAAAAACAAGAAATGGGGAAAGGATTCCCTATTTAATAAATGGTGTTGGGAAAACTGGCTAGCCATATGCAGAAAACTGAAACTGGACCCCTTGTTTACACCTTATACAAAAATTAACTCAAGATGGATTGAAGACTTAAACATAAGACCTAAAACCATAAAAACCCTAGAAGAAAACCTAGGCAATACCATTCAGAACATAGGCATGGGCAAGGACTTCATGTCTAAAACACCAAAAGCAATGGCAAGAAAAGCCAAAATTGACAAATGGGTTCTAATTAAACTAAAGAGCTTCTGCACAGCAAAAGAAACTACCATCAGAGTGAACAGGCAACCTACAGAATGGGAGAAAATTTTTGCAATCTATCCATCTGACAAAGGGCTAATATCCAGAATCTACAGGGAACTTGAACAAATTTACAAGAAAAAAACAAACAACCCATCAGCAAGTGAGCGAAAGACATGAACAGATACTTCTCAAAAGAAGACATTTATGTGGCCAAGAAACATGAAAAAAAGCTCATCATCACAGGTCATTAGAGAAATGCAAATCAAAACCACAATGGGATACCATTTCACACCAGTTAGAATGGTGATCATTTAAAAGTCAGGAAACAACAGGTGCTGGAGAGGATGTGGAGAAATAGGAACGCTTTTACACTATTGGTGGGAGTGTAAATTAGTTCAACAATTCTGGAAGACAGTGTGGTGATTCCTCAAGGATCTAGAACCAGAAATACCATTTGACCCAGCAATCCCATTACTGGGTATATACCCAAAGGATTATAAATCATTCTACTATAAAGATACATGCACATGTATGTTTACTGCGGCACTATTTACAATAGCAAAGACTTGGAACCATCCCAAATGCCCATCAATGATAGACTGGATAAAGAAAATGTGGCATATATTCACCATGGAATACTATGCAGCCATAAAAAAGAATGAGTTCCTGTCCTTTGCAGGGACATGGATGGAACTGGAAACTATCATCCTCAGCAAACCAACACAGGAACAGAAAATCAAACACTGCATGTTCTCACTCATAGGTGGGAGTTGAACAATGAGAACACATGGACACAGGGAGGGGAACATCACACACTGGGGCCTGTCAGGGAGTGGGGGGCAAGGGGAGGGATAGCATTAGGAGAAATATCTAATGTAGATGATAGGTTGATGGGTGCAGTCAACCACCATGGCACATGTATACCTATGTAACAAACCTGCATGTTCTGCACTTGTATCCCAGAACTTAAAGTATAATAAATAAAAAATAAAGATAATAAATAAAAATAATGTAGCACCTGAATAAAAAGACATCAATGGAATTAAATAGGAAATTCAGAAGTAGGTCTAACATAAAAAAGGGAATTTAGCACATAGGAAAGATGTCACCTCAAATCAGTAGGTGAGTCCAGCTGAGTGGGGGTTGGGGGGTGTTATGGGCTCGTAAGAGAGAAAGTGCATGCTGATTGGTTCATGGGTGGCCATGGGTGGCCATGGGCGGGCCCAGAAAAAGCACCATGTGTTTTCACTCTGGGCTGTGGATTCCACCATGAACTGACAGCCAGGCCCCCAGGCTTCAGGGCATCCTGGCTTGAAGGTGGGGCTTCACCAGGGACCCGCCCCTTTCCACCTAGGGGCTTGTCTGCCTCCTGCCGCCATCAATCATGCCTTCCATGGCACCGAGGCTGTTTGTGCCAAGGGGTGCCTGCCGGCCTGCGACAAGTCTCCCTCAGCGCCCCTTGGCCTCCCTTCCGGGTTCCTAGGTGCCCAAAGTCCAGAGGGGGCCAAGGCAGCAGGGGGCTGGCATGTTGCACCACCCCACGCATGCACACACTGAGCTGGGTCACAACAGCACCCGGCCTAGCCTCAGCTTTGCTGTGAAATCAGAGTGGGTGCTGGGAGCAGAGAGAGACCAGGGACGGGAGCAGGCATGAGCCTTTGGGGGTGGGGGGCTTTCTTGGGCCCCCGAGAGCACAGGGATGCCTGGGTTCGGGGCCGCAGCTGGGTGGCTGCAGCTGTGCCTGGGAGCACAGGGCTCCCGCCCTGCCAACTCAGAAGGAGGCAGAGCTCCCGCCTGTTCCCAGCTGCCGCTGGCTCCATGGAGCCCACAGTTCTGGTCGCACCTCCCCTGCTGCAGCTGGCGTCTACACAGCAGCCACTCCAGACGGGCCGCTGCCATCAATACCATCTCATACCAGTCATAATGGCTATTATTTAAAAGTCAGCCAGGCTCAAAACTGTAACCCCAGCACTTTGGGAGGCCAAGGCAGGACGATCACTTGAGCCCAGAAATTTGAGACCAGCATGAGCAACATGATGAAACCCCCATCTCTACAAAAAAATACAAAAAAAATTAGCTGGGTGTGGTGGCATGGGCTTGCAGTTCCAGCTACTTGGGAGGCTGTGGTGGGAGAATCACCTCAGCCCAGGAAGTCAAGCTGCAGTGAGCTGTGATTGTGCTACTGTACTCCAGCCTGGGCGTTGGAATGAGACCCTGCCTCAAAAAAAAAAAAAAAAAAAAAAAAAAAGTAAAAAAAAAATATAAATGTTGGCAAGGCTGCAGAGAAAAGGGAATGCTTATACACTGTTGGTGGGAATGTAAATTAGTTCAGCCACTGTGGAAAGCAGTTTGGAGATTTCTCAAATAACTTAAAATAGAAATACCATTCAACCCAGCATTCACATTACTGGGTATACACCCAAAGGAAAATAAGTCAATCTACCAAAAAGATATGCACTCATATGTTCATCCAGCATTATTCACAATAGCAAAGACATGGAACCAACCTGGATGTCCATCAATGGTGGATCAGATAAAGAAAATGTGGTACATATATGCCATGGAATACTAAAAAGCAGTAAAAAAGAATGAAATCATGTTCTTTGCAGTAACGTGGATACAGCTTGAGGTCATTATCCTAAGTGAATTAACACAGGAACAGAAAACCAAATATATGTACTCACTGATAAGTGGGAGCTAAGCATTTGGTACACATGGACACAAAGATGGGATCAATAGACACCGGGGACTATTAGAGAGGGGAGAATTGGAAGGGGGCAAGTGCTGAAAAATTACCTATTGGATACCGTGCTCAGTACCTGGGTGATGGGATCAATCACACCCCAGACCTCAGCATCATGCAATATACCGATGTAACAAACCTGTACATGTACCTCCTGAACCTAAATGAAAATATCTATATATCTATGTATATAGTTAGATGATAGATAGATAGATATAGATAAAAGTTGAAATATATATATGTATGCATGTATGTATGTTATGTATGTATGTATATATTGATGGCATTAATGAGGAGATTCACCATTGCTTACAGAAAAACTTAAGATTTCCGTTTGGAACACAGTGGCATTAAATGAGCATTTCTCTTCTCTTCTTGAAAATTATTCAAAAAGCAAACAAGCAGTATAAGGGGAAAGAAAACAGAAAACACCTCAAACTCTATTTCTGGTGCCATTTTTAGTGAAACTAGGAGACAGCTAAAACTCCAGACTCTACAAAAGTGGGAAAACCACCAAAAGCATAGAGATTAGAGGAAGAGGCATGTAATTAATACTGTGCAGAAAGAACTCAATGGCGGCAGATCTCAGACAGCAAAATAAATTACTCAAAGCTGGGGGAATATCTGAGATGCCAAACCTAAACTCAGCCATAATGAAAATGGGGCAACCAAATAATAACATGAGGTTGCTAGACCTGCAATAAAGGTTTTTTGTGCAAGTACTTTACTGGAAAGCATGACCTAGAGAATGAGGATGAAGGATCTATTCCCTTTTTGAAAAAGGAAAACAGAAGAGGGAGAGTCAATACAAAAGAAGAGAAGGTGGAGTTAAATGGGGAATCACACAGACTAGCTATCTTTGCAGGAAGTGGTCAATTTTTTTGGCAGTGGAAGAAAAGAAAGGCCTTTTATTGTTAAAACAACAACCACAACAAAACACAAAAAATCAGTGACTGTCTATTTCCACAACCTGGGGAGAAATAAGAATTCATTGTACTGAATCACAAGAAAAATTGAAACTAGGCTGATACAGAATTTGTGGCCATATTCTAACTATTACAGACACTCTATCTTATTCTCTGTTCAAATATTTGCCACTCTCCTTGGATCTCCTAGCTTTTCATATATTCCTACATTTAGAAGATAAACGGTCTCTAACTTTACAGAGAAAATGGATGAGCTTAGGCAAAAATTACTTCCCTCTCCTGCTCCTACCTGGCAACTAGTTTACTGTAGATTGAGGCTTCCCATTCCCAAATATTAGCCCATCCCCACCAAATCAGCTATTCTGGTACTTGTCCTTCTATTTTTTATTCCAAGGTCAGTAAAGGTGCAACTCTTCTTCCTGAAAAATGCTGGTCCCTTTACCCTCATGCCTAATTTCTTCCCCTACTGTTTCTTCAGGAAACTTACATCATCTCTTTTAAGTTTCATGCCACTTTGTAAACATGCTGATATGTTTTTCATCTTTTGAAAAATACCCCTCTAACTTCTACCCTCTCTTTTGCTTTTAGTCATATAAAAATATTTTCAAAAAGATATTATGACTTACTGTTTCATTTTCTTTACCTTCTAAACCCATCTCAATTCATGTTATCTGGGATTTACACCAGTTCTCAAAAGAACACTACCTAGTTTTGACCAAGGTCATCCATGACTTCCTAGTTGTTGAATAGATTTGCTTGATTCATCACTGGAAGCTCCTTTACAATGTCCTTCACTAATTTCTTTTTTCTATTAATGTCTTAGGTGTTGATTTAAATTATCACCTTTGCCTATGACTAAAACAATATGCCCTTATATGGGATAATCTCAGGCAGTGCATGACATTGTGATGGTCATATTATCTCGCATTTGCTCCAGACTCATTTCTAACTCCAAATGGGCATCTCCTCCAGGACATTCTATCAGCAATACATGATTTCTCTATTGCTGTACAATAAGCAATTTCAAAATGCAGTGTCTTCAACAATTATTTCCTTGATCATGATTCTGCAATTTGGTTGGGTGGTTCTTTTGCGTGTCTTGCCTGGGGTCACTCAGGTGGCTATAGGAAGTTAGTGGGTTTCATATCTCAGTCCTCAGCTCAGAAGGCTGGAATGGCTGAGCCTCTTTTTGTCTATGTGGTCTCTTGTCCAGGATAACTTGGAATTCTTCATTTGGTGATCACAATGTTCAAAGAGGATGAGAGTGAAAACTGCAAAACCACTTGTGGCTGAGACTTGCCAGTCACATATCACTTCTACCATGAGACCTGCTATATTTCATGGAGTGGGGAAGCAGATATGTGTTAGGCCATTCTTGTTTGCTATAAAGGGATACCTGAGGCTGGGTGATTTATAAAGAAAAGAGATTTAATTGGCTTATGGTTTTGCAGGCTGTACAAGCATGATGCTGGCATCTGCTCAGCTTCTGGGGAGGCCTCAGGGAGCTTTTACTCATGGCAGAAGGTGAAGCAGGAGCAGGCATGTAGGCATATCACATGGCCAGAGCAGGAGCAAGGGGATGGGGAGGTGACACACTTTTAAACAAGCAGATCCCTTGAGAACTCATTCATTAGTGCAAAGACAGCACCAAGCCATGAGGAATCTTCTGCCGAGACCTAAACATCTCCCACCAGGTCCCACCCCAACACTGGAGATTACATCTCAACTTGAGATTTGGGCAGAGACAGATATCCAAACCGTATAATTCCTTTCCTGGCCCCCACAAATCTCATGTCCTTCTCACATTGCAAAATACAGTCATGCCTTCCCAATAATCCCCCCAAATCTTAACTCATTCCAATATTAACTCAAAAGGCCAAAAAGCCCAAAGTCTCACCTGAGAAAAGGCAAGCCCCTTCCACCCATGAGCCTGTAAAATATAAATCAAATTATATACTTATAAGATACAATGTGAGTATAGGTATTAGGTAAGCATTCCCACTCCAAAATAGAGAAATCAACTAAAAGAAAGGGGCTATAGTCTCCGTACAAGTTCAAAACGCAGCAGGGCAGTCAAAATCTTACAGCTCCAAATACTCTCCTTTGACTCCATGTCCAAAAACCAGGGCACACTGGTGCAAGGGGTTGGCTGCCAAGGCCTTGGGCAGCTCTGCCTCAGTGGCTTTGTTGGGTGCAGCCCTCTTGGCTGCTCTCATATGTTGGAGTTGAGTGCCTGTGGCTTTTTCAGGTGCAAGGTGCCAGATGCCATGGATCTACTGGGGTCTGAAGGATGGTGGCTCCACAAGGCAGTGCCCCATGGGGACTCCACGGGCCTCCAACTCCACATTTCCCCTCTACACTGCCCTAGTAAATGTTCTTTGTGAGGTCTCTGTCCCCACAGCAGGCTTCTGCCTGGGCACCCAGGCTTTCTCATACATCCTCTTAAATCTAGGTGGAGGCTACAGAGCTTCCTTTACTCTTGGACTTTGTGCACTTACAGGCTTAAGATCACATGGGAGCCTCAAGGCTTATGGCTTGCACCTCTGAAGCAGCAGCCCCAGCTGTATCTGTGCCCCTTTGAGCCAAGACTGGAGCCAGAGCAGCCAGGATGTGGGGAGTAGTATCTGGAGGCTGCACAAGGAAAGAGGCCGTGGGCCTGGCCCACAAAACCACTCAGTCCTTCTAGGCTTCAGAGCCTGTGATGTGAGGGGCTGCCTCAGAGATCTATGAAACACCTTTGAGGCCTTTTCCACATTGTCTCAGCTATCAGCACTGAGCTCCTTCTTAGGCAAATCTCTCTAGCAAGTGGTTGCTCCACAGCCTGCTTGAATTCCTTTCCTGAAAAAGATTTTTCTTTCTCTGTTACATAGCCAGGCTACAAATTTTCCAAACTTTTGTGCTCTGTTTCCTGTTTAAATATAAATTCCAACTTTAAGTCATTTCTTTGCTCCCACATGTGAGCACAGGTTGTTAGAAGGACCCAGGCCACATCTTGAACACTTCTGCTTAGAAATTTTTTCCATCAGGTACCCTAAGTCATCACTCTTAAGTTTAAACTTCCACATATCTCTTGGACATGGGCAGAATACAGCAAAGCTCTTTGCTAATGCATAGCATGGGTGATCTTTGCTCCTGTTCCCAATAAATTCCTCTTTTCCATCTGAGGCCTTGGCAGCCTGGCCTTCACTGTCTATGTCACTATCAGCATTTTGGTCATAACCATTTAACCAGTCTCCAAGAAATTCCAAACTTTCCCTCACCTTCTTGTCTTCTTCTGAGTCTTCCAAACTCTTTCAACCTCTCCCTGTTACCCAGTTCCAAAGCTGCTTCCACATTTTCAGTTATCTTTATAGTAATGCCTCACTCCTCAGTACCAATTTTCTGTTCTAGGCCATTCTTTCATTGCTGTAAAGGAATGCCTGAGGCTGGGTAATTTATACAGGAAAGAAGTTTTCTTGCTTCATGGTTTTTCAGGCTGTACAAGCATGGTGCCAACATCTGCTCAGCTTCTGGGAAGGCCTTGGGGAGCTTTTATTTGTGGTGGAGTGTGAAGTGGAAGCAGGCACATCACATGGCCAGAGCAGGAGTGAGAGGGGGTGGGAGGTGTTTTAAACAACCAGATCTCATGAGAACTCACTCAATATTGTGAGAACAGCACCAAGCCATAAGGGATCCTCCCCTAAGATCTAAATGCTTCCCACTAGGTCCCACCTCCAACACTGGGTTTGGGCGGGGATAAATATCCAAATTATATCAAGAATCTATTTTTTTTTTGCAGTTTTGCAAAGAAAAACTGCAAAGATTTTATGGCCACATTTAAATGGCCACAGACACTTTATACTCAACATGCCCCTAACTGATTTGCTAAATTTTCTGTTTAAATTCACATAGTCTCCCTGGCCAGAAATCTAACAGCAATTATTGACAATCCTCCTTTACTTACCAAGTGAAATTATCTTCAGATTCTGTCAATTCTGTGATTACACATTCTATCGAATCTGTTATTTCCTCTCCATCCCCTTAGCTTCATAGTGTCTTGCATGCAGCTTCAAACTAAAACTCCAATTTTGCCTCTGTAATTATTCTCAATATTGGTATCATAGTGATCTTTCTAAAGTGCAAAATGATCATAATACATTGTAGTAAATATATACCTTTTTTTATAAAGTTATTTTTGTTGTCTAGCATCTGAACCTCATTCCCTGGTTGACCTATTTTGCCTCTTGTTTTTGAAGGTAAAAAGAATTGTCACTGTTTTCTCAGCCTTTTGCAGCTGAGGTGCATAACCTGTGCTAGCCCAATCAGACATGCCTGCTATAGAATTAGAATCCAAAGCAAAAGTGGCAGCAATATCCAGTCTCCAAGGTAATAGTGTCAGGAGTGGCTTCCAGGGTCCAGTGCTGTAGGTAGCAGTGGTGGTAGTTCCAGTGCCCAGAGGTCAGATATAGAGCTTCAGTCTCTTGCCCAACCAGTTTTATATCATGAACCAGCTGCCCTTTGTTCCTGGCTATTTTCTGAGCCTGGTTCTCTGACTTGTAGATGAATCTGTGTGCCACCCAATAGCTTTTCAATATATCGTTTTTCTTTTCTTCTTAATTTGACCAGAGTATTTCTGCTGCTTGCAACTCAGAACTCTGCCTCATACATTCTTGCTTCAAAATTTTTAATGGATCCTTCATGAACTAATATTCAGAAAACATTTTTGAATGAATTATTGAATTTCGTTTCTGACTTCCAGTGGTGTGCAATTTATGGAGGGAGGAGACACTCATAAAAATGAAAAAAAATTCATAATGTTATTGTCAGTATTTTAGAGTTGGATAAATCATAATGGCTAGATGTAGTGCTCTTTGGGCAAATATGCTATGTTGGTGCTGTTAGAGAAGTACCATTGTGGGCTAGACCCTTAGGACTAGCATTTAAGAGATTTCTGGGACATATAAAACATGTTCAGTTTTAAGAGAAATACAGTAATTCCCATTCTTACTAATAAAATGTTGTATAGAAAGCATCATTTAATCAATTAAGCATGATCACAATATGGAGCAATGGCAAGGAAAACAAGGCAGGTGGTGCCACTTTCTATTTTAAATCACAACAGATTTATGCTGACCTAATCATGTAGGCACTATTTGGGTAGAGCTGGCTTACTAATGACAAACATGCATTCATAATTCCACATGGAATTATGAGATTTCGAGAGATTTCCAGAAATGTCATTCTATTTCAGCTGATTCATGTTGAGCTAGGTCTTTACTGGTTGAAAGTACAAAGATACACACTATTTACTGCTAAATGAATGCAACAAGAAGCAAGTATAATAGTGGGTTAGAGAACTTGTATAGATAATATCTTAATTTCATATTAATATTTCTTTTCTATTTATTATACTTTTGAATACATATACTGGCAATATTTTGTGAACCAGAGAGAACAAAGAAAATCTATTAGAGAGGTCAGACTTGAGTTGGGTTGTGAAGCATGGCAAGGATTTAAATATTATGAATATGTAGAGAGACTAAGGAGGTCATTAACGAGTGGAGAGTGAACCGGACAAAAAGTATGGAGGTGGAACTATGATTGTCATGTTACGATGGCAGTAAAATTCCAGCTTAGTTCACGAGGATTAAAATAATGCAGTAGTTGGAGAAGGGGTTGGGGAAGGTAAAATTAAGGATAAAGAATTGCCATTGACAGTTTCTCAGTGAAGGAAGAAGAATGTAATGTCTAGAAGGGTAAATTTGACAGTTGTGTCCATGACAGATGGAAGAAGGTCATGAACTAATATTATTTCATTAGTGTTGGAGGTCAAGAAGAGTAGATGCAGTGGTTACTATTATTATCACCTCATGGGGTTATTGTAATGATCACTTCACAAGGAAGTGGTTGTAAATCAGGTAATAGAAATGAAAGGAAACAGAGGATTTTAAAGACATTGTGAAGCATAAATTCACAGAATTTAACAATAAGAAGCCAAGGGAAAATAAGTGAAGAGTTGGACAATGAGTTTAATGGTTTATCACTGGGGAGAAGAATAGTCCCACTAATAGACAGGAAGTCAGAAGAGGACAATCAATTTTAAAGACAAGAAGACAAATCCAGTTGCAGCTATGTTGACTTTGAGCATCCATGTGGAAACGCTCAAGTGCCATTTGTATATTGTACCCTAGGAGAGATATTCAGGGCTGGAAAAAAAAGATTTGAAAGCCATCCTCATAGACAAGATGATTTGATATGGGATGAATGAACCAAGAGAATAAAAAGCAGATCTCTTGGAAAGGATCAATCATAAGAGATAAAAGGAGAAAGAAAGCAGAAGGGATTGAGAAAGAGCTATCTGAAAAGATGGTAGAAAAGTGAAAATAAAACCTGGATTTGAAGGGCTGCGGAGAGGTAGATTAATAATATCAAGTGCTATTCCAGCATGTAAGCATCCTTGGAATTATTGCATTTATATCTGTATTAGTTTATATCTATTGGTACATAACAAAATATTTAAAAGCAAAAATAAACTTTTGCTATATCACACTGTTTCTGTGGATTAGGAATTCAGGAGTGGCTTAGCCGCATGATTTTGGTTTAGGGTATCTCGTGAGTTTGCAATCAAGATAGCGGCTGAAGTTGCAGTTATTTGAAGGATTGTCCAGGGCTGAAGTTTTGCTTCCAAGATGGCTGACTCACATGTGTAGAAAGTTTGTGTCAGCTGTTGGCAGAAAGCAGTTTCTCTTCATATGTATCTTTCCATAGGCTACTTAAGTGTCCATGCAGCATGACAGTAGGAGTCTTTTAGAGTAATAGGAGAGAGAAACCAGGAGAAAAGCCACAATAGCTTGTATGACCTAGCCTCAGAAGTCCCACTCCATCATTTTTGCAATATCCGACTGGATGGATAAGCACAGGGTATAACCTCAATGAAATGTTCATTTTGAGGATACTATAAATTTTATCATTCATACTAGACCAGAACACATATTATTCTCTTGGAAAACTAGTCAAAGGGTGCCATCATTAATTAAGGAGTAGAACTAGATATTGATATCTGACCCCACTGTGTATATAGTCTTAGTAGTTTGCTATATATAAAAACAAAGAGTAAAATATACATGATTCTTATCTCAATGAGTTTAGTCAGGTCTATTCAGTATGGGAGGGGACTACACAAGGGTATGAAAACCAGGAGGTCACGATCACTGGGTGCCATCTTGGAGGCTGGCTACACAGCATACCTCTTCCTGTTACCAAACAGGAACTTAGAAATATTTAGACTTTTCTATAAAGCTATTGACTTTTAGCAAATCAAATTGATGGAAGACTTTTGGATAATGAGAATAATACATTTTTTAAAATGAATTCTTTTCTTCTTTCCAGTCCATTAGATTTCATTGTCAATACATGTACTGGAACTTGTAACTTGGATTACAGTATTATGAAATAATTGGTGAAATCCACTAGGGTCAGTAACCATACACTAAAATTGTCCATCTTAATGAGACATTTAATGTAAAGCAGATGGATTAGTGATGTTTTCAGGCTCATTTGTTGAGTATTAATGCTTGCTTTCCTTGTCTTCCTAACAGTGTGAATGTAATCTCCTTTAAAGCTGCATTGATTTTTTATTATAATTTTATATTTAACTTTTTATAATTTTTAAAGTTTCTTCCCATATGATTAGTAGGTAAGGTCTCTATTAATAAATTAATGAATTAATTGAACTAATATTTAGTGAAAACGCAGATGGCATTTTCAAAATAGGCCATGGTTCTCAAATTTGAATGAATAAAGGAATCATCCAAAAAGTTTATTTACAAATATAGTTATCAGGGCCCCACCCTCAGAAACTAATTCATTAGGTCTGACATTGGACCTTGGAATGAGAATTTTAAACAAGTAAAATTATGAGGATACTATAAATTTTATCATTCAGACTGGACCAGAACACATACTACTCTCTTGCAAAACTGGTGAAAGGTTACCATCATTAATTAACGAGTAGAACTAAATATTGATATCTGACCCCACTGTGTATATAGTCTTAATAGTTTGCTATATATAAAAACGAAGAGTAAAATGTATATGATTCTTATCTCAATGAGTTCAGACAGTCTCAAATAATACCTACATGCTGCAAGTTAAAAAAAAAACAAACAAAAAAAACAAAAAACCTTCTGTGTTAGTTTCCTGGTGTTGCTGTCAAAAAGCACCTACAAACAGAGTAGCATAAACAACAGAATTTAATTTTCTCACAATTCTGGAGGCTAAAAGTTTGAGATCAAGGTGTCAGCAGGATATGTTCTTTCTGAAGGCCATGAGGGAGACACCTGTTCTAAATCTCCCCTTGGCTTGCAGATGGCTGTCTTCTACCTGTATCTTCACATCATCTTCCCTCTATACCTGTTTGAATCCTAGTATCCTCTTCTTATAAGGACACTGATCATATTAGATTAGGGTGCACCTGAATGACTTCATTTTTACCTGGATTACCTCTGTTAATATCCTACCTCTAAATAAGGTCTGACGTAATGAGGATTAAGACTTCAACATGTGAATTTTGGAAGGGGCATGCTTGAACTCGTAAGAACCTCTATAAACTCTTTTGCAAAGCCACATTTTATTTACAGACTTTGGGATTGGGATTCAGAATCTGTAATAAGTAGTTTAGACTATAATACACACACACACACACGCGCGCGCACACACACACACACACACACACACACACACAGGCAAGATGGGCAAAGATCACTCGTCCCATAGACCGCTTTTGTAATAAAACTTTTTTATGGTGGGGGGAGTATGGTGGAATTAGGATTGTGAGCAATATAAAGGGGTGAAATACCTTGTTCTTGCCCTTGAGGAGCTTATACTCAGAGGGCACCTAAAAAATACATGTGTGGGAAAACATGAAATAACAGGGCACAAATCTCTGCTGGTTGAGTTGAATTTAGCTTAGAATGTGACCAAATTTAATAAGTGATGATTTGGGTGGTTCAGAGGAGATGCTCAACAAATAGTATCCACTCTCACTTTAATACTATGCTAACCTGGTGTTCTTCCAGAAAGACTTTACATGAAACAAGTAAGAGTGGGCTATAAGCAAAGAGAAATGGCCTAGTAAAGTAAAATCAGTAGAGCATGTTTGTCTGGTATTGGTTATCTTGTTTATAATCTTGAGCAGTAGCAACTAAGTGGTTAATCAACTTTACTTTTAAAGTAAATAACATTATAAAGCTTTCCCTCACTATTTTCTTCATTTCTATCCTTTTATCTCTTTAAATATTGTCATATTACTATACATGATTTTGTAAATCCTCTCTATCTTTTGGAACAAGATGGGATATAAATGCAATAAAGCGTTCTGAAGGGATTGATTTATTTTGTTTGCCACAGAAATATACTTTGTATGTCAAGTCAGCTTTCAAAAGCTTGAAACTGAAAATAGGAAATATGAGCGAAGGAAAGGTCAAATAATGGGTAAAACTAAATCATGTAATTTAGATAGGATTCTCTTTTTTTATAAGAGAGTGAAATTGTGTCAATTTAGTCAATTGTAGATTTAATAGGAAAAAAGGTCTCAGATCCATAGCTGCATGTAATAAACTAAAACAGAAGCTAATAACAGTGATTTATGGGATTCCTCTTGATCCTGACATTTCATTATTTTTATACAGAAATAGCATTTCTGGTACATGTTTTTAGCATTTTGTTTCCTCATCTTGTTCTCAAATATATATACTGAAAACCATCTTGTTTTATAATTTTCTGACTTCTGTCAGGAAAATAGTTGTACCATAAATAAAATTCTTGATCTATTTTCAATTGTGTTTCTCTACAAATCTTTTTGAAGGTCTGGGGGGAAATGGTGCATATATGAAACCTAGGACTTAAAGCTTACTTCCTAAAAATTCTACACACAGAGACACATACACATAAACCATTTCGCTAAATTGGTATATGCAGTTTTAAAAGAGACAACAGAATTAAAGTGGTATGGCTTTAGGCTTCTTTTTCAACTGAGCTTTTATTTGTGTGTAAAAAATTTAATTATATTTTGAACGAATACAATTACTTAACTAGAGAACAAAGTGTCACTTGTAGCAGAACACTTTATTAATAGGGTTTTTTTTCATTGACTAATTAGTTTTTTGTTTAATATAGGATCTCATCATAAGTGATACAAAGCACAGAATTTTTAAAAAAGATGAAGAATTTTTTTTGTGTGTGTGGCAAAAATCTCTGGCTTGTGTATTATGTCTCAGCTAAAAATTCATCATATGCTTTGACTCCTAGTCCCCTACTTTAGGGTAGTCGCTGTAGTCAGCTGGACCTGGGCTTAAATCTCTGCTTTGACACGGAGTTAGAAAAGGGTACTTTTATCTTTTTAAGAATTATTTTCCCCATCTGTAAAATGGAGATGACAATCTCCATTTTATAGGATTTAGGCATTACTGCTCATAGCATTTACTTTCTAAAAATAGTTAAAGGGTTAATTAATTGATTGAAATTGAAGTTTAAAAAATAAGAATAATAAAATATTAGACTTGGAGGGAACATGGACATTAGATAGGCCAATTGCCCACTCCAAGCAAGCATCTCTTACTTTGTAGCCTGTACTTGAACACTGTCGAAGGGCATTCACCATCTGCCAGTGTAATTGCCTCTACTATGAACTATCTTAGTTACTCCCCAGATTTTCTGTGTCACTGTATGCATAAACTATTGACACGTTGCCTCAAAACTAACATTAGAAAAGGAGATAACCTTATTGCAACACATGGCTTGTGGACTTCACACTTGCAATGATATGGCTCACATAGCAAGGATAATATAGCAGCAGCGCCATAATATCTAAATGAAATATTGCATGCCTGGGAGCACATCCTTTAGAAAACAGATGGTTCTTTGTTGAAAACAAAATATGATTATGGTGTTTGCATGCAAGAAATCTTATACTGTCTACTTATAAGAATCAGACTAGTTGTAGCTGTTGGCATACAAAGTTTCTTCAGATGAGTAGAAAAATGTTCTACTCTTGACTATGCAACTGAGAACAATGAGATACAGGTAAAATATCTCTTTGACGAATACCATTATGATGTCTAGATCTATGTAATAAACTAGTGCATTTACAGACTGGTTTCAATATACAATATTGGAACCAAAAAGCATAACTGATGCTATGTTCACCAGTCCTTGTCTATTTAAGAGTTTGTCTCCATAAATGTTGCTTTGACATTTACCATTGCGTTATAACTGAACTTTAATGCAATGGGACATTTCTATAAAGCGTGAGAGGTTTGCATGAAGAATGACTACATTTGTAGGCAGAGGAGAGAGAGAGGATGAAGATCAGGTGAATTAGCAAAATCATGGAGGAGAAGAAAAGGGAAAGTGGTATCTTTAGTTGATAAATTAGAATACAGTATCCTCTAACTCAGTGGCTCTCAACTGGACTACTTTTGTCTCAAGCATTTGGAAAATCTAGAGACATTTAAGATTGTCACAACTGTGGTACTACTGGCATCTGTTGAGTAGAGGCCAGAGATGCTGTCAGACATCCTACAATGCACAAGACAGTCCCCACAAAAAGAATTGTTTTGGCCAGGCGCAGTGGCTCACAACTGTAATTTCAGCACTTTGGGAGGCTGAGATGGTTGGATCACCTGAGGTCAAGAGTTGGAGACCAGCCTGGCCAACATGGTGAAACCCTGTATCTATTAAAAATACAGAAATTAGCTGGGCATGTTGGCATACACCTGTTTTTGCAGCTACTTGGGAGGCTGAGGCAGGAGGATCACTTGAACCTGGGAGATAGGGTTTACAGTGCGATCATGCCATTGCACTCCAGCCTGGGTGACAGACCAAGACTCTGTCTCAAAAAAAAAAAAAGAAAAGAAAAGAAAAGAAAAAGAATTGTTTGGTTCAAAATGTCAATAGTGGCAAGACTGAGAACCCTAGAACTAGAGAGCCTGAACCACATCCCACTATGCGCATTGTATCAATAGATATCTATGAAAGTGGACTTATAATATAATACAGCAATTATTATATCGATCCCATCAGCTTTATTTCTTATGGAATTCTACCCAAATTCTATCATTGTAAAGATGCATTCCCACTCACTGTGGGAGCAAAAAAACTTGGTCTCATGGAGACAGAGTAGAATGATACTTACCAGAGGCTGGGAAGGATGTGAGTGTGTGTGGAGAGGGAGATGAAGAGAGATTGGTTAATGGCATACAATTAGAAGAAATAAGTTCTAATGCTCAATGGTAGATTAGGGTGACTAAAGTTATCAACAATGTATTGTACATTGCAAGTAGCCAGAAGTGAAGACTTGAAATATATAGAAATGATAAATATATATATATATATAGAAATATATAGAAATTATAAACGCTCATGGTGATGATTATCCTAAATACACTGACTTGATCATTGCAAATTCTATACATTTAAGAAAATATCACATGTACCATATAAATATGTAGAAAAATAATGTATCAATTAAAAATTAAAAATTTCTTTAAAAATTAAAAGAAGAAACAGCTAATGAAAATAAAGAAATAAAACTTAAGGTAGATTAAATCTTCAAAACACCCACCAACTTCACCTATCTCTTTGGATTACTGCTTTTATTCTTTTGAACAATGAAGACTTCCCTTATTTTATGATAACTTAAAAATGCACCTAAAGTTATTTTTTACTGCCTTTCCAGGAGAGGGTGTTCATTATATCAGTTCACTTGGGTCATTCTACTGCAGGCTGGGGAAGTCGTCTCTTCCTCGAATGAAGAGAGCTAATGATGTTTAGATTCTCTCTGATCATCTTTACTGTCCACATGAGAGTGGTTAAAATTCTGACCTCTGCAGTTCTAACATTTCCATGTACATTATCCCTATTCAAATTTCAGAGTCTGGTGGACATTCATCTGATTTGGCACTGCTAGACCAAGGTTCTGTGGTCACCCTAGGAAACAATTCCATGAAATAGGAGTGACAGTCATATGTTCACGTTGGTACACACTCTGCATTTCTAAGCTAATGATAGGAAATGTTTTTCTCTGAATGTTACATGCAAATAAGATTTTTACAGTGATAAAATCTATACCAAAGAAATAGTGACCTCAGAGCTGTCTTCCTCCAAATACAGCAAAAGAGCAAAAATATGCAGAAACCAAATCTGTAAATACCTTAAGCCCATTTACATTCCTCGGGATTCCACAGATTGCCCTGGGCAATAGCAGTGTAGAAGAGGAAAGACTTTCCCTTTACTCTCTGAGGGTTTGATAATTGAGTCTATAAAATAAACTGACAGTAGCCAGATTAGCAGGAGAAGAGGTGTTCAAATTTATTACATGCATGGGGGCATCACGTGAAGGAAAAGTAAATACCCCAAAAAAAACCCTATAGAGAAGCTTATATACTCTCTTCACTGGGGAAAGGGGAGGAGGGATGTAGACAACTTAGGGGACAGTAAATGCTTTGGGAACAAGATAAATAAGTCCTCAGAAGAAAAGGTGACAAAAGTCTGTCTGTCTGGGCATGGGATTATCCAGTTTTCTCACCTGCAACTCAAGTATAAGCTTCTCTGGTTGATGAGATTTCTGGGGAGAGGATTCAGAAAATTGCATTTCATATGGAGGATTTCTCTTTAGGTAGATAAGGGTAGTTCAGAGAAAGCCCTTCCCCACATTTGCTGTTCCCCAAGTGCCCTCAGTTTGAGGTCCAAACTGGCATATTTCAAGGTGGCGTTTCCTGAGAACTCCTTCAACATAAAAAGCCAAGCAACGTGGTACGCACAGGTTATGGTAATTTAAGTTGTAAATATTGCAGCAGTAGCAAAGAAAACTAAACAAAATTTAGTTGCAAAATGATGATAACGGCTGGGAGCTGGAGCAAATCACCTTAGCCTAGGAGAATTAGGGCTCAAGAGTTAAAAATAGGAAAAGTAGCTCAGAAACAGACCTAAAAGGAAATCAACTATCTTCAGACCCTAGACTGTAGACCACATAATTCTCATCCATTTGGTCAGTTATTACTGCACAACCATAACGTCTCAGTGCCATTCAACAATCAGTGCTTATTTTTCTTTTTCTTTCTTTCTTTTTTTTAAAAAAAAAATTTTTAATGAGTTTGCTGGTTGGCAGGAGTTAGTTTACCTGGGCTAGACTCAGCCAAGTAAGTCAACTTTGAACTACAGGTTTGGTTCTGGTCTTCATCCTGGGGCAAATAGGTATGCAGAGGAATCTTTTTCATGGCAATGTCAGAGGCACAAGAAGACAACTATGCGAGCACATTTCAAGCTCCTGCTGATGTCATCATGTCTTTCAACGGGCCATTGGTCAAAGCAAGTTGCGGTGGCAAGCCCAAAGTCTAAAGACAGAGTACATCACTCTTTCTATGGAGGTAGGGAGGAAGAAAGAATAATTTTAAGCATTCATATAATCTACCATATCATTTATAGTTGAGCTTAGATTTTCAGAAGAAAAACAATTTCTATGTATTCAACTGCGATATCATATTTCTAATTTTCAGAAAGAAAGGATAGTCCAGGTAATAAGTAATGTAGCTGGATTCCCAGGTTCTGAATATTATTCTCTTTCTTGTTGTTGATGTGAGAAGCTGCACATATCAATTTTTCTTGCAGTTTCATCTCTGCCAACTGCTAAATGTAAATAACATTTCCTGTTGACCTACTATTCTATGTCTTCCAGGAAACAAGGTAAAAACTCAAATTGGCTACAAATTCTTAGGTGGAAGGCAGTAACAAAGGATTTATCATTATTTAATTTTTTAGCCTCGATAGTTTTTCTGCAGTTCTTTTGACATTATTTAGAACATTTAAGAATAGAGAAAAAATTTGGCAAGACAAGCATTTGAACGTTTTTCCTCATCTGTTCCTCCAAGGGATACTACTTTGAATTTGTTTAGCATTTTAGTCAATCCATTAACCTTTCACCCTAGATTTAGAAAATGGATTTAATGGTTTAATTCTGTTCCCTAAGGAGTCTATAACCACATCATAAGCTGCCTGGTGTTAGACATTAATTGGAATGCACTTTCAGGGCAAATTCAGAGTTAGGATAATGAAAGTATCGAAAATAGGTACTAAAGAAAGAGAAAGTTGCTCATCTTGGCTCTTGGTAATTTTGAAATACATAGTTGTATTAATTTCTGTTGATGGGAGTGGTATTAAAAACAGCGGGGCTGCAACAATAAACTGAATTTTAAAAAATATTCACTTAAGCATATTCTCTTTCCTGCATGAGATTGCCACTTAATATCCTTTATTTAATCTCTGACAATTCCTCTAAGTACTCTTGGTTTCTCCAGATACTGTGGTGTTTGGGGTTTGGAATTAAAAGGAATATCTGAGAAGATAGGAGCTCAGTTTCTGAAAAGAAGGGCTAGTCCCGAAAGTCAGTCTTTGCTTTCCTGTTGTCTCCTTTCACTTCCAAAATCAATCCTGAAAAGCGGGAAATACATAAATAGTTTCCACATGAGGGTCAATGTGAGGTGAGAACAAAAGAGCTAGACCTTATTTCCTTTACTCCACACACAGGTGTGATTATTGCTAGGAATGGACAGCACAGAGCAATAGCAACCTTGTGCCTTGCCTGCAATCTACCACCTGGATAGCATGCCCCACCTCTATACTTTTAGCCATGCATGACATGTGAAGATAGTGAGTGCCTGGTGCCTGACCTCACCTTCTGCCTGCTATCCAGCAGCTGGATAGCAGGCTCCACCCAGGAGACTCGCTCAGTTCCTTTGGGCACTGGGTGCTTGCCTTCCTAACTGGCTTTGCAAAGGTTAATCTTGTAACCAGATGAATTTCCTTCAGCATTTTTTTTTGTCTTTTTGAGATGGAGTCTAGCTCTGTCACCCAGGCCGTAGTGCAGTAAAGTGATCTCGGCTCATTGCAACCTCCACCTCCCGGATTCAAGCAATTCTCCTGCCTCAGCCTCCTGAGTAGCTGGGATTACAGGTGCATGCCATCATGCCCAGCTAATTTTTGTATTTTTAGTAGAGACAAGGTTTCATCGGGTTGGCCAGGCTGGTCTCCAACTCCTGACCTCAAGTGATCTGCCTGCCTTGACCTCCCAAAGTGCTGGGATTATAGGCATGAGCCACTGTGCCCAGCCTTCCTTCAGTTTCTTCTGTTTGATCAAGGGTTTCTCTCCAGTCCAATTTTCAATGTTGTGGAGATACCAGAGAACCACATGTGATTTCAGATGAACAATAACTTCAAGGAAAGGAAAAATGTAGATGTGAATCCTAACATTTCCCACAGTTGTTATTTTATGAAACAGCATTTTACTAAAAGGCTTAAATTATTGACTAAATAGAGCTTCTTTATTTTGTGGGATGGGAGTGGGTGAAGAGGGTATAGATAATAGGCCTCATATTTTACTTTTATATTTTTTGAAAAATGAAGGGAAAAAAAGGAGTATTCATTTAAAATAAGCTTCCTTAAAAGTCACAGCATATTAGTAAGTCTTACAAGTTCTTTTTTCTTTTTTTTTTAGCAAGAGATTTAGGAAGTCAGTAGTTAGTATGACTCTACTAATGCTCCACACTAGAGCATTAGAAAGGAAAAGAAGTATTGGATAAGAAGGAGTAACAATGCCATTAAGAAAGGACAAAATAATTATATGTAGTGGGAAGCAGAATGCTGTTCTTTTCAAATGAGAGGGAACATTTAAATACTTACATGAAACTAAGAGACCTAGTAGTTAAAATTAGTAAAATATTCTTCAGAAAAAAATAACCACTTCCAAAATTATGTTGACAATTTGGTATTATTTTATGTGTGATTTATAGTAACCTAGAAACATAGAATTTTGGCCTACGAAGAGATTTTTTTAAAAGTTCATTTAGTATAAGCCCCTCACTTCACAGTTTTGGAAACTGAGGTGTGGAGAATTTAAGTGACTTATTTAAGATCTATTGATTACAGAACTAACATGTGAATAAACAGCCCCTAATCTAATGCTCTGTGGCAGGCTGAACAGTGCCCACTCAAAGATGTCTACATTGTCATTCCAGAATGTGAATATGCGTGAATATGTTACCTTAAATGGTAAAAGGGACTTTGCAGGTGTGATTCAGTTCAAGATGGTTTGTCTGGGGCCCAGTACAATTAAAAGGATCTTGATAAGAGAAAGGCAGAAGGGTCAGAGCAGAGAGAAGATGTGATGATGGAAACGGAGCTCAGTGATGTGCTTTGAGGATGAGAAAGGGGCCACAGCCAAGGAATACAAGTAGCCTTGAGAAGCTAGAAAAGGCCAAGAAGCAGATTCTTCCCAAAAGCCTCCAGAAGGAACAAAGCCCTGCCAACATTTTGATTTTAGTCCATAAATCTTATTTCAAATTTCTGACTACCAGAAATATAAGATAATACACTTGTGTTGTTTCCAGCCACCAGGTTCATGTTAATTTGTTATAGCAGCAATAGAAAACCAATACATGCTATTTCCATTTACACAGCTTACTTCCTTTCTTGAAAAGAATCATGGAAGTTATTGAAAGCAGTAGAGAAATCCAGGAACCATACTAAAAATTCAAGTTGCAGTTACAGATAAACTGTGATGCAGGTTTATGAACCAACTGGCTAGTTTTCCCACAGGCTGGCATATGTACTAAACTCATGATTTAAAAACTTTAAAAACCCACTAAGTTTAAAATAATGTCAAAAATGCTGTTAAAAATTTTTTGAATGAAATAAAATAACTGTGTCAGAAATCATTTTGTTTTGAGACAAGTAACTCTGACTAGTTTAAGTAAAATGGAAACTAGAGGTTAGAGAACGCCAAACTGCAGAAAGAACAGGAAATCTTGCAAAAATCAAGGTGAGTACCTTTTCTGTCTTTCTGTCTCTCTTTGCACAGTCTCTTGGTTTTTCCTCTTTTCATACACAAGTTTATTTATAGCCTAGTTTTTTCTTTTTTTTTTTTTTTCATTTCAGTTTATCTTGGGTTGAATATGGCTGCTCAAATTCTGACTTTTTCTTATATCTCAGTTGGAGTTCAGCGGACACCAACAGGAGTCACTGTTTTCTAAGTCTGGTCTTTAAGTAGAGAAAAATCTGATGATTGGTCCAGTTGAATCAGATGCCCAGCCCAGTCTAAGCAGTTAGGACTAATTGGATCCCGTATGATCAATCATGGGACTGTAGTGTCACAAGTCCCTGCTTATTAGAGGCTGTGGAGGCACACTAACAGAAAAGGGGAATGTGCAGGATGAGACAAGTGACCAATATGTCCATTACATACCAGGTAAACATCTTTTTTAATTATTTTTTTTTCATTTAAGGAAGTTAATTTAAAAAGCATTGAGTCTACGCACAGACTGCAATTGTTAAAATAGAACATTAAGGAAATAACATATTAGGTTATTATTAACGATTAAAAGAGTTTCCCAAAAAGAATCTATTAGTCAGTCTATTACTTAGTACTGAGGGAGAGAGGAGGTGAAGCAGGCATATTTCAAGGGAGGTAGGTCATGAAATATCCAGGTAAGCCCGATCTGGGAAGGACATCACAGAGGAAGGGCCTGACTACCACATGGCTGGCTATGATCTCTGAGCAAATCTCTTTCACTGCCTATTGTTCTTAGAGTCCTCAGGAATATACACTCTCCTCATTTCCTCTTCATAGTTTCCCAGGGAATATCTCTGAGGAAAGAAGGAAAGAGCAATCACGTAAACCTTCAGTTTTCCTACTTTAAACTTCAAGGGTGAACTTGACAATTTCTTTTATTTACTTGTTTATAGTTTGGGCAACTTTTGCTTCATATATTTATTTTTTTTTCTTTTTTATTTCAATAGTTTTTGGGGTACAGGTGGTTTTTGGTTACATGGATGAGTTCTTCAGTGGTGAATTCTGAGATTTTAGTGCACCTGTCACCCAAACAGTGTACACTGTACCCAGTATGTTGTCTTTTATCCTTCATCCCTCTCCCAACCTCCCCCCGAGTCCCCAGTGCTATTGTGTCACTTTGTATGTCTTTACATCCTCATAGCTTACCTCCCAGTTGTCTGAACTTGGTAATTTCTAAAGCCCCTTCCAGCTCCGAAATTAGTATTTTTTTAAAAATTGTTGAGCTTATAAGAGTAGTTTAAATATTTATGTATTTGCCATTTTGGCTTTTGAGTGGTCTTTTAATTTAGCAGTTTCCCAGCTCTGCCAAATCATAGTGGCCTTCTGTCAAAATATATTACTTAACAGGCCAATACGTCTGGATCAGTTACACCCACTTCATGCTTCCTTCAGATTAGTCTAATGATCTCTTTTCCTCACAAAACATTATTGAAAGTGACTTTCTTCAGTTACTTGGGATTTTATCATCACGACCATGTTAACCAAAGAGGTATCATCTGGACACTGAACCAGAAAGAAAACCAGGCTGTAGTTCCTGTTGTTACTCAATATGGCTGCCCCATTCAACCTTTTTAGAGGCAGAGTGCTGAGAACATTGTCCTAAACTTCAGGAATTCATGGTTCAATAAAAGGAAGGTACAATTAAGAAACGTAAGCATCAATATACTGAACATGCACTAAAAAGGTTGTTTTAAAAGGTATACATATTTGCAGCTACTATTTCTTCAGAAATATGCCTTTCCTTATGGAGAAGGGTCTTTGTAGCCACTCAAGAGTCTGAGGTGTGTGAACCTCACTGCCCTATTGCAAACAACTTACTTGTGGCTTTCTTTCTTGGCATAAACTTATGCAATTCTCCAGCGTGAGAATAATATTCTCACAAGACTGTCAAGATGCTACTTCACAGCTGTAATGTCCACACTAATTTTTCCAAGGAAATTATAATTTTATAGAGAAATTAAGGAAAACAAGTTCTCTGTAGAGAATCCTAAAGAACTTCACAGAAGTTATGTAGCCAATTAGTTTTGGATTGTATTCCAACCAGATTCATTGTTTTCTCTTTACTATCTTTATGACCAGTACTTTAGACTGAGTTTAGTTTTAAAGCCATACGAAGTACAGAGCCTTCAGAATGCCAATAATAGCATGCTGGGGTTAATCATCGACTCAGAAAGGAGAATGCCAACTAATGAATCATCAACATATCTCTTGCCACACCTAGGGTTTTCTCTGGATGATTTCCACCCAAGTGTTGACAAAACTTGACCTTGAATAGTCACTAAGATGTGTTGGGACTATGGCCAAAGGTGCTTACGTGCCAGTGGGACAGGCTGCATGTTCATTAACTAGGTTATTCTGCTCCACATATGACAAGAAGTGTACTTTTTGCATTTTTCACATTATTTCTGATTTTTAAAGCTTCCAGACAAAAAGCCTCTAATTATTGTAATCTCATGCAGTGCCCTGGACCCTCTCCAGATGTAAACTTCAGCGTGTAGCTAAATTGAAAGACCAAACCCCAGTGATGGGCCACCTATATATGATAAGCATGCCCATTTATTAAAGTTGAAAAACAGGCCCACAACCACAACACTACATTTTACCTTCTGAATGGTCCTGGCTGCAATTAAAAGCAGGATGATGCACTATTTTCCAGTTGAATAAACTGAGAGCCAAAAGTTCAGGAGTTCTGACTCTAGTTGTGTATCTGATTTGTCCTGGGAAGGGCACTTACACAGAGTCTCCCTTTCCCCCTGGAACATAAAGTCATTAAGTAACTGGCCTTGAAGGTTATTGTAAGCAGTGATGACATTGACAAGACAAGAAGTCTTGTCTTTGGGGAAAGGGAGCTTCATAGCATCTTACATGCCTCAGTGCTTTGACAGTGGGTGGTAAATAGAATAAGGAGAGTGACAAAATGGTAATGAAAAGGACATTCTGGTAAAAGACTAAATACTGCTGTCCAGTCTGTTAAAACTTCTTCTTGTTGCTATTATCTATAATTTTCAGGTCAATTATGCTAATGTCAACCCAGGGCCTCACTGAGTTAAGGAAAGAATACAGGAAGGTTTATATTGACATGATGTCAAGAGAAGAGTGGCATGGGGTATGGAAATGCCTCATCATGGCTCCATTTGGCTATAATAGCCTGATTTGGCACAAGCTTCTAATAAAGCCTGAAGGTTAATCATACTGCTGTGGAGCAGGACTGGAGTTTTGCTAGATCACAAATTTCAGGGAAAACTCAGTTTCACAAAATGTAAGGTTGATATGAAATTTTAAGAATTAAATTTTTCAGCCTTTCAAAGATTCTAGAAAGTCAGGCAATAGTATATCTTGAAGAGTGCCTTCTGTATGCCAGGTCTGGGTTAGGCTCCTTAAGTTTAATCACAGATTATTGTCAGGTCATAAAGCAAACTTGATAAGATTAAATAACTACTTTGCCTAAACTATAAGGTATTTAAATATATTTTAAAAGCCACTGATAGAAAAATAAGGAGAAATAATCAGAAATACAGTTCTGTTATATTTTTAAATATATTTCACTCATTCTTTGACAAATCAAACAAGTGAATATAAAAAGTAATATAGACAATTTTAATAATATGCAATTAATAATGTTGACTTATTGATACACATGTGTATAAAATATACAATCTGTGTACATTATACCAGAAACTTGCACCAAATCAGGCTATGTATTTTCTCTTTGTAAATACATTTCCCCCAGAATCCATGAACATTAAAAAAACTGATCACCTATTAGGTCACAAAAAAACACAGTAAATTCTCCAAAGCAGAAGTTATACAGACTATATATACAATAAAATTATTTATTAATAACAAAAGTATAAAATAAGACCTAACTGTATGAACATTAAAAATTCTCTTACATAATTATTTAATGAAAGAATTCAATAAGCTGACAATGGAAAGCATTACATATTAAAACATATGAGCTGCGGTCATAGAAGTACACAGATACAAATTCATATCATTAAATGCCTTGATTGTAAACCAAGAATAATATTCTGAGGCCCCTGCAACTGTCAGAAGCATGTGAACCAAAACAACTCCATATTGAAAATGAGGCTGGAACCTACTGGGCTGCATTCCCAGACGGTTCTGGCATCCTAAGTCACAGGATGAGATAGGAGGTCAGCACAAAATACAGGTCATAAAGACCTTGCTTATAAAACAGGTTGCAATAAGGGAACCAGTCAAAACCCACCAAAAACAAAATGGTGACGAGAGTGACCTCTGGTCATCCTCACTGCTACGCTCCCACCGGTGCCATGACAGTTTACAAATACGATGGCAATGTCAGGAAGTTACCCTATGTGCTCTAAAAAGGGGAGGCATGAATAATCTACCCCTTGTTTAGCATGTCATCAAGAAATAACCATAAAAATGGGCAACCAGCAGCCCTTGGAGCTGCTCTGTCTATGGAGTAGCCATTCTTTTATTCCTTTACTTTCTTAATAAACTTGATTTCACTGTGGACTCGCCCGAATTCTTTCTTGTGTGAGATCCAAGAACTGTCTCTTGAGGTCTGGATGGGGACCTCTTTCCTGTAACACAACAATTGAATGCTCTTCCTCCTCAGCCAGGGCTCTTAAAATTTAATCTGAGAGACTGTTTTAGGCCATGATGGGAAGTGGGGGTCGAACATGCCTCATTTTATCTTTCCGGCATTAATTTAACTTAACAACAACACAGACTTTTAAGTCCGATAAGAAACATTTTACAACCTATTCTCTCTGAAGCCTGCTACCTGGAGGCTTCATCTGCATGATAAAACTTTGTTCTTCACAATCTCTTATCTTAACCCAGACATTTCCTTTCTGTGGATCCCAAGTCTTTAGACAAAGACAACCAATTGTCAACCAGAAAATGCTTATATTTACCTATAGCCTGGAATCTCCCCACCCCCCCACTTGGAATGGTCCCACCTTTCTGGACCAAACCAATGTATTTCTTAAATGTAATTGATTGACATCTCATGCCTGCCTAAAATGTGTATAACAAAGCTGCACCCCAACCACCTTGGGCACATGTTCTCAGGACCTCCTGAGGGCTGTGTCACAGGCCGGGGTCACTCATATTTGTCTCAGAATTAATCTCTTCAAATACTTTACAGAGTTTGACTCTTTTCATTGAAATCATTAATAAACAAACAAAAAAGAATACAAATGACTTGAGGCCAGAATTTCCAAAACTGGTGTCCTGTATGACTCCATGCCACGAAATGTTAATGTTATGCCATAGAAAGTGTTCCTGGGGTAAAAATTATTTGAAAATGCTGTGTTAAAAAAGCTAAGATATTGAGAACTCCTCAATATCTGTAACATTATAATGAGCATTGTGAAGCTGTAAGAGGGAATATGATATTCAGTGTTTCCCAAACTATTTAATCAGAGAAATTTTTTTCATGTTATCTATATAAACATCTCAGAGCGATGCTCTTCCAAATGGTTTAGAAACTTAAGAAGCATCTTAAGTTTCTAAAGATGCTTCTTAAGTTGCACACTTAAGAACACCTGGGAAGAGTGTTCAAGAACACCTGGGAAGAGTTAAGAAGCATTGAAAAATAAAAATAAAAGTTAATAAATTTAAGCCACCAATTGTTCAAATTAATACATTTATAATATGGCTTCCTAAAACTAAAATAAGGCTACTGTTTATTTAGCCCTAATATAGAAAAATAATAAAAGTATTTGATAATAATGCAACAGAAATATCAATGAAACAGATGTTTTTTGAGTAAATTATAAACTGCTTAAATTGACTTAAAAAGAACATAAAAAGTCAAGAAGATTACTATTGCAATAGAATTAGAAAAAAATTCACCTTTAATGAAAGGTCATAAATTATATAATTAGTTATTTTAGAAAATCAATGATAATTCACTTATTAAATAAATGTTTCAATAAAAGAGAACATAATGAAAAGCTTATTAGTTCATTTTAAATATCTCCTGTAATATTTGTACCAAAACTAAAACAGGATTGCAGAAAATAAGGCCCTCAATAAACCAACAAAGTCATTTATTTTAGCAATATAGATTTAAAATTTCTAAATAAGTTACAGAATCTTTTAAGTGAACATATATAAAGATATATTTTTAATTTATATTGATTTAAATATTTATTCCATTTAAATGCTTATACATTGTTTGTTGAGGAAGCAATAATGCTTATAGAAGCATTGGTGAAATATACTAACATAATTCATTAACTCAATAATCAGAGACAAAAAGGATAAACTTGATAGATGCTGGAGTGGCATTTGAAAAGATTCAACATCAATTTCTGACCAGAAGCATTTAGTTATTTTAAAACAGAAGGATTCTTTCTTAACATGGCAAAGAATATTGTCTCAAGTTCGTGCAGGATTTTCTAATACACCAACTAAATATGTAAGTAAAAAACAAAAGAATTTGATACTTGGTATTTGCAAAATACTCACTGAAAGTTATCTTGTGAAAACAGAATTGTTGAATTTCTTGACAGTATTTTACAATGTATTACTGTTTCTGTTTGGGATTGCATCTTGGATGGCAGCATCATAATTTTACATACTTAAAGCCTCTATAACTCTTTATCTGGCTGTGCTCAAGCAATAGCCAACCTAATTCTTAATGGAGGTTGCTTAATGCCTAAACAATGATCATTGCTAGTAAAGTAAATAACAAAACAATGATGGCCCTCATTATTTGCGTTTTAATAAGTTTGCCAATGTAATAAGGCAAGAAAAATAAGTAAGGAATACAATTATGAAATCCAAGAAGGCAAGATTGTCATTTTATAAGACTATGGCTGTTGACCTTGATAACCCAAGAAACCAATAACAGAAAATTATTAGATATAGTAAAAGAGTTCATTAAGGTAATTGACTATAAAATAAATATGCCAAGTCATCCATTTTTCTATTTACCTGTGATTTTAAGTTGGACAACAAAATGGAAAAAAATCTCAATTATTATACAAACAAAATTAGAAATGATCTTGGTAAAAATCTACCCAGAAAGAAGAGCTTATATCAATAAAACTATATATTTCTCTCCTTAAACACATAAAACATTGAATAAATGAAAATATGCTTAATTTTAGATGAGAAGGCTCAAAATTTTATAGACTGTCAATTACAACAAATATTTGGTATATATTTCATGCTAATCCAATTGAAATATAGAGAATTCTTAGATGTATTAGGAAGAATAAATTCTGTAGGAGTTAAACATTTAAAATACAACAATCAAAATTTTGGGAAAATTAGGAGAGGTCATTTAAATAAGATAGGAAGTCTAATAAAACTATAAAGAAAGAATAAAATATTTTTACTACACAAAATTTTATTTTAATTTTTTTATTTTTATTTTTTATTTTTATTATACTTTAAGTTCTAGGGTACATGTGCACAACATGCAGGTTTGTTACATATGTATACATGTGTCATGTTGGTGTGCTGCACCCATTAACTCGTCATTTACATTAGGTATATCTCCTAATGCTGTCCCTCCCCCCTCCCCCAAACCCATGACAGGCCCCAGTGTGTGATGCTCCCCACCCTGTGTCCAAGTGTTCTCATTGTTCAATTCCCACCTATGAGTGAGAACATACACTGAGGACATATGGTTTTCTGTCCTTGTGATAGTTTGCTGAGAATGATGGTTTCCAGCTTCATCCATGTCCCTACAAAGGACATGAACTCATCCTTTTTTATGGATGCATAGTATTCCATGCTGTATATGTGCCACATTTTCTTAATCTAGTCTATCATTGATGGACATTTGGGTTGGTTCTAAGTCTTTGCTATTGTGAATAGTGCCACAATAAACATACATGTGTATGTGTCTTTATAGCAGCATGATTTAAAATCCTTTGGGTATATACCCAGTAATGGGATGGCTGGGTCTAATGGTATTTGTAGTTCTAGATCCTTGAGGAATCGCCACACTCTTCCACAATGGTTGAACTAGTTTACAGTCCCATCCATAGTGTAAAAGCATTCCTATTTCTCCACATCCTCTCCAGCACCTGTTGTTTCCTGACTTTTAAATGATCGCCATTCTAACTGGTGTGAGATGGTACCTTGTTGTGGTTTTGATTTGCATTTGTCTGATGGCCAGTGATGATGAGCATTTTTTCATGTGTCTGTTGGCTGCATAAATGTCTTCTTTTGAGAAGTGTCTGTTCATATCCTTTGCCCACTTTTTGATGGGGTTGTTTGTTTTTTTCTTGTAAATTTCTTTGAGTTCTTTGTGGATATTAGCCCTTTGTCAGATGAGTAGATTGCAAAATTTTTTTTCCCATTCTGTAGGCTGCCTGTTCACTGTGATGGTAGTTTCTTTTGCTGTGCAAAAGCTCTTTAGTTTAATTAGATCCCATTTGTCAATTTTGGCTTTTGTTGCAATTGCTTTTGGTGTTTTAGTCAAGAAGTCCTTGCCCATGCCTATGTCCTGAATGGTATTGCCTAGGTTTTCTTCTAGGGTTTTTATGGTTTTAGGTCTAACATTTAAGTCTTTAATCCATCTTGAATTAATTTTTGTAAAAGGTGTAAGGAAGGGATCCAGTTTCAGCTTTCTACATATGGCTAGCCAGTTTTCCCAGCACCATTTATTAAATAGGGAATCCTTTCCCCATTTCTTGTTTTTGTCAGGTTTGTCAAAGATCAGATGGTTGTAGATGTGTGGTATTATTTCCGGGGTTTCCATTCTGTTCCATTGATCCATATCTCTGTTTTGGTGCCAGTACCATGCTGTTATGGTTACTGTAGCCTTGTAGTATAGTTTGAAGTCAGGTAGCTTGATGCCTCCAGCTTTGTTCTTTTTGCTTAGGATTGTCTTGGCAATGCGGGCTCTTTTTTGGTTCCATATGAACTTTAAAGTACTTTTTTTCCAATTCTGTGAAGAAAGTCATTGGTAGCTTGATGGGAATGGCATTGAATCTATAAATTACCTTGGGCAGTATGGCCATTTTCACAATATTGATTCTTCCTGTCTATGAGCATGGAATGTTCTTCCATTTGTTTGTGCCCTCTTTTATTTCATTGAATAGTGGTTTGTAGTTCTCCTTGAAGAGGTCCCTCAAATCCCTTGTAAGTTGGATTCCTAGGTATTTTATTCTCTTTGAAGCAATTGTGAATGGGAGTTCACTCATGATTTGGCTCTCATACACCTATAGACAAACATGTCTGTTATTGGTGTATAGGAATGCATGTGATTTTTGCACATTGATTTTGTATCCTGAGACTTTGCTGAAGTTGCTTATCAGCTTAAGGAGATTTTGGGCTGAGACGATGGGGTTTTCTAAATATACAATCATGTCATCTGCAAACAGGGAAAATTTGACTTCCTCTTTTCTTAATCGAATACCCTTTATTTCTTTCTCTTGCCTGATTGTCCTGGCCAGAACTTCTAACACTGTGTTGAATAGGAGTGGTGAGAGAAGGCATCCCTGTCTTGTGCCAGTTTTCAAAGGGAATGCCTCCAGTTTCTGCCCATTCTCAGTATAATATTGGCTGTGGTTTTCTCATAAATAGCTCTTCTTATTTTGAGATATGTCCCATCTATACCTAGTTTATTGAGAGTCTTTAGCATGAAGGGCTGTTGAATTTTGTGAAAGGCCTTTTCTGCATCTATTGAGATAATCATGTGGTTTTTTTCTTTGGTTCTGTTTATATGATGGATTATTTTTATTGATTTGTGTATGTTGAACCAGCCTTGCATCCCAGAAATGAAGCCAACTTGATCGTGGTGGATAAGCTTTTTGATGTGCTGCTGGATTCGGTTTTCCAGTATTTTATTGAGGATTTTTGCATCGATGTTCATCAGGGATATTGGTCTAAAATTCTTTTTTTGTTGTGTGTCTGCCAGGTTTTGGTATCATGATGATGTTGGCCTCATAAAATGAATTAGGGAGGATTCCCTCTTTTTCTTTTTTTTTTATTATTATACTTTAAGTTTTAGGGTACATGTGCACAACGTGCAGGTTTGTTACATATGTATACATGTGCCATGTTGGTGTGCTGCACCCATCAGATTCCGTCTTTTTCTATTGATTGGAATAGTTTCAGAAGGAATGGTACCAGCTCCTCTTGTACCTTGCTAGAATTCAGCTGTGAATCCGTCTGGTCCTGGATGTTTTTTGGTTGGTAGGCTATTAATTATTGCCTCAATTTCAGAGCCTGTTATTGGTCTATTCAGGGATTCAACATCTTCCTGATTTAGTCTTGGGAGGGTGTATGTGTCCAGGAATTTATCCATGTCTTCTAGATTTTCTAGTTTATTTGGGTAGAGGTGTTAATAGTATTCTCTGATGGTAGTTTGCATTTCTGTGGGATTGGTGGTGATATCCCCTTTACCATTTTTTATTGTGTCTATTTGATTCTTCTCTTTTTCCTTCTTTATTAGTCTTATTAGTGGTCTATCAATTTTGTTGATATTTTCAAAAGACCAGCTCCTGGATTCATTGATTTTTTGAAGGGTTTTTTGTGTCTCTATTTCCTTCAGTTCTGCTCTGATCTTAGTTATTTCTTGCCTTCTGCTAGCTTTTGAAAGTGTTTGCTCTTGCTTCTCTAGATCTTTTAATTGTGATGTTAGGGTGTCAATTTTCGATCTTTCCTGCTTTCTTTTGCGGGCATTTAGTGCTATAAATTTCCCTCTACACACTGCTTTAAATGTGTCCCAGAGATTCTGGTATGTTGTGTCTTTGTTCTCATTGGTTTCAAAGAACATCTTTATCTCTGTCTTTATTTCGTTATGTACCCCGTAGTCATTCAGGAGCAGGTTGTTCAGTTTCCATGTAGTTGAGTGGTTTTGAATGAGTTTCTTAATCCTGAGTTCTAGTTTGATTGCACTGTGGTCTGAGAGACAGTTTGTTAAAATTTCTGTTCTTTTACATTTGCTGAGGAGTGCTTTACTTCCAACTATGTGGTCAGTTGTGGAATCAGTGTGATGTGGTGCTGAGAAGAATATATATTCTGTTGATTTGGGGTGGAGAGTTCTGTAGATGTCTATTAGGTCTGCTTGGTGCAGAGCTGACTTCAATTCCTGGATATCCTTGTTAACTTTCTGTCTCATTGATCTGTCTAATGTTGATAGTGGGGTGTTAAATCTCCCATTATTATTGTGTGGGAGTCTAAGTCTCTTTCTAGGTCTCTAAGGACTTGCTTTATGAATCTGGGTGCTCCTGTATTGGGTGCATATATGTTTAGGATAGTTAGCTCTTCTTGTTGAATTGATCCCTTTACCATTATGTAATGGCCTTCTTTGTCTCTTTTGATCTTTGCTGGTTTAAAATCTGTTTTATCAGAGACTAGGATTGCAACCCCTGCTTTTTTTTGTTTTCCATTTGCTTGGTAGATCTTCCTCCATCCCTTTATTTTGAGCATATGTGTGTCTCTGCACGTGAGATGGGTCTCCTGAATACAGCACACTGATGGGTCTTGACTCTTTATCCAATTTGCCAGTCTGTGTCTTTTAATAGGAGAATTTAGCCTATTTACATTTAAGGTTAATATGGTTATGTGTGAATTTGATCCTGTCATTATGATGTTAGCTGGTTATTTTGCTCGTTACTTGATGCAGTTTCTTCCTAGCATTGATGGTCTTTACAATTTGGCATGTTTTTGCAGTGGCTGGTATTGGTTGTTCCTTTCCATGTTTAGTGCTTCCCTCCTGAGCTCTTGTAAGGCAGGCCTTGTGGTGACAAAATCTCTTAGCATTTGCTTGTCTGTAAAGGATTTTATTTCTCCTTCACTTTTGAAGCTTAGTTTGGCTGGATATGAAATTCTGGGTTGAAAATACTTTTCTTTAAGAATGTTGAATATTGGCCCCCACTCTCTTCTGGCTTGTAGAGTTTCTGCTGAGAGATCAGCTGTTAGTCTGATAGGCTTCCCTTTGTGGGTAACCCAACCTTTCTCTCTGGCTGCCCTTAACATTTTTTCCTTCATTTCAACTTTGGTGGATCTGACAATTATGTGTCTTGGAGTTGCTCTTCTCGAGGAGTATCTTTGTGGCATTCTCTGTATTTCCTGAATTTGAATGTTGGCCTGCCTTGCTAGATTGGGGAAGTTCTCCTGGATAATATCCTGCAGAATGTTTTCCAGCTTGGTTCCATTCTCCCTGTCACTTTCAGGTACACCAATCATACATAGATTTGGTCTTTTCATATAGTGCCATATTTCTTCGAGGCTTTGTTCATTTCTTTTTACTCTTTTTTCCTCTAAACTTCTCTTCTTGCTTCATTTCATTCATCTGATCTTCGATCACTGATACCCTTTCTTCCACTTGATTAAATCGGCTACTGAAGCTTGTGCATGCGTCACATAGTTCTTGTGCCATGGTTTTCAGCTCCAACAGGTCATTTAAGGATTTCTCTACACTGTTTATTCTAGTTAGCCATTCGTCTAGTCTTTTTCCAAGGTTTTTAGCTTCTTTGCGATGGGTTCGAACATCTTCCTTTAGCTTGGAGAAATTTGTTATTACCAATCGTCTGAAGCCTTCTTCTCTCAACTCCTCAAAGTCATTCTCTGTCCAGCTTTGTTCCATTGTTGGCGAGGAGCTGTGTTCCTTTGAAGGAGAAGAGGTGCTCTGATTTTAGAATTTTCAGCTTTTCTTCTCTGGTTTCTCCCCATCTTTGTGGTTTTATCTACCTTTGGTCTTTGATGATGGTGATGTACAGATGGGGTTTTGGTGTGGATGTCCTTTCTGTTTGTTAGTTTTCCTTCTAACAGTCAGGACCCTCAGCTGCAGGTCTGTTGGAGTTTGCTGGAGATCCACTCGATACCTGTTTGCCTGGGTATCACCAGCGGAGGCTGCAGAACAGCAAATATTGCAGAACGGCAAATGTTGCTGTCTGATCCTTCTTCTGAAAGCTTCATCTCAGAGGGGTACCTGGCTGTGTGAGGTGTCAGTCGGCCCCTACTGGAAGGTGTCTCCCAGTTAGGCTACTTGGTGGTCAGGGACCCACTTGAGGAGGCAGTCTGTCCGTTCTCAGATCTTGAACTCTGTGCTGGGAGAAGCACTACTCTCTTCACAGCCGTCAGACAGGGACGTTTAAGTCTGCAGAAGTTTCTGCTGCCTTTTGTTCAGCTATGCTCTGCCCCCAGAGGTGGAGTCTACAGAAGCAGGCAGGCCTCATTGAGCTGCATTGGGCTCCACCCAGTTCAAGCTTCCCATCCACTTTGTTTACCTACTCAAGCCTCAGCAATGGTGGATGCCCCTCTCCCAGCCTTGCTGCCACCTTGCAGTTCAATTTCAGACTGCTGTGCTAGCAGTGAGCGAGGCTCCATGGGAGTGGGACCCTCAGAGCCAGGCACGGGATATAATCTCCTGGTGTGCCATTTGCTAAGGCCATTGGAAAAGTGCAGTATTAGGATGGGAGTGACCCGATTTTCCAGGTACTGTCTGTCATGTCTTCTCTTTGCCAGGAAAGGGAATTCCTCGACCCCTTGCGCTTCCTGTGTGAGGCGATGCCCTGTGCTGCTCTGTGGGCTGCACCCACTGTCCAACAAGCTCCAGTGAGATGAACCCAGTACCTCAGTTGGAAATGCAGAAATCACCTGTCTTCTGCATCGCTCACGCTGGGAGCTGTAGACTGGAGCTGTTCCTATTTGGCTATCTTCTACAAAAAATTTTTAAAGAATATTTTTAAGAAATATTTGCAAAAAACATTGATAAAGGAATTAATAATATCTATTATAAGCAAAGGGCTTATATGCATGTAAAAGAAAAAACATAACCAATTTATATAAATAGGTAAAAGTTATACATGGACAATTCATACAAAAAGAAACCCAAAATCCAAGTGATTTGAACAATACATATGTGTAAAGACAATCCATTTTAACTATGAAATACTAATTCTTATCCATTATATTAGTAAAATGTTTAAGGTGATAACATCCAGTGCATGTACAGAGTTCGGTGAAACAGTATTCTCATACACTTCTGGCATAAATATGAAGCAATCTGGTAATATCTGTTACCAGGTACTATTCTTCAACTCAAAAGTTCTATTCCTGTAAGGCTATGACATAAAAATAAAAGCTCTGATGCCTTAGAATATATGCTCAGAAAATCTCTTTCTGTAGAAGAGATTTTTGTAGAAGAAAAAATCAGCAAGTTGTCCCTCAATAGGAAAATAATTGAATATATTGTGTTATATCCATCCATGGGATTTTATGTAGCCATAAGAAAACATAATTTAAAGACAGGCTAAATTTCCATTATTCAGTCAGAAAGTTAAGATGCAGCAAAAAGTATATGGAATTATCCCACTTTTGTGGGAAAAGAATTGATTTTAAAAACCCCATGTATGAGAGTGTGGGTATATAGATTATTTGCAAATAACTGAATGAGAATGGAGACAGAGGTATAAGGGCATTTATAGGCTGCCAGTGGTAATGTTCAAGGTATGAGGAAATAAAAACAGGGAGGATGAGAAGCAGAATTTCCAAAGAGTCACTGGAAAAATAAATATGATTTAGGGAATATAAAATTCAATCTAGATTATTGGTTCACATTATAAAAACTAAATATATACATGAAGGTAACATGAATGGATTAAAATGTTGATTTGCTGGGCACTGTTATTTCAAAATATGTACTGATTTTTCTGCATAAAGGGAAAAATATTACTGAAAAAAGCCAGGAAAACTTTGAAATGACAAAAAGGAAAGGAAAATTGTTACAGCCTGTTGATTCAAATATGCTTGTGCTGGTTGGGCTTCTTCAGATTTTGGGTTATCGCAGCTGACAGGGAATTAAAGATAAGGCAGAGTAAAGAGAAAAAGGAAATGGATCTCTGAAGGTCTCATGGAAATCTCAGACATTGCTAATTGCTATTTAGGATAGAAAAGTGGCCTTGGCCCTCTGAGAAGAACCAGAACTCTAGGGTCTTCCCTGCTCATTTACATCTCTGCTTCTTTTTCTGTTTTAGAGGAAGACAACTGAGGTCTCCCTTTCAGTGGTAATGGGATCATGTCTAGAGTGTGAGTAAAAGCCAGAATAGGAACGAAATTCTCCACATAGAAGTAGAAACATACCCCACTGGCACTCCCAGGGATCAGCTGTTGTCATTCAAATCTTTTGGAGCAGTATCTCTTTCTGGATTCTCATTCCGTAAGGTAGCATAAAAGTTTTTGGGCTCAGAGGGAGTCCACCATGAGACTGCCCTCTTGGAAGAATCCTCTGAGTTGCCACACATAATACCATGGAAGTCAGGCTGTGCTTTGCATGTGGTCGTAAGGCATATTCTTTCACCTTGTTAGTAGGTCATGTGTTTTCATTTATTGCCCATATGATTCAGTCCTACAATAAGGACAGACATATGTTCCCAAATCAGCTAGGTCTGGAACTCTTGAGGGACTCTGCAGAAAGGCAGGGGTTGCTGGTCCCTGATGGCCATGTGGCTCTAGCATAAGATATTTTCTGCATTTGGGGAGAGGAAAGAGAGGGGTAATGGGTGTCTTTCTTTAGCCTAAATTTGGACCTAACTCATAAATGGATAACTTGAGAGATAGGCTGATAACGTGTCTTTATCACAACTGTTGCTCCTCTAAATTATTCTAGTAAAGTTTTCTCATAAGTAAAGTTTCTCATAAATAGCACCCAAATTTATCTTCTCTTTGGAATTTACTGAATGCTTTTACATATTTCATGCTTTATCATATGCAGTTATATCTTACAGCTAAATTTAATGCATTCCAAGTTTTATATTCTTCATAAATATTTTAATTCAAATAAGTAAATTTCAAAGTGTTATGTTTCCACCAAGACTGAAAATATAACGTATTAATCATTTCTGATTTTACTAATGTTCTCTAAATATCATAAACAAAATTAAGATTATAAATCTTGGTTTAGGTTGCTATTTCCTAAAATGGTCTGGTTTATATTTGAGAAACTTAAAAAATTTCCTGAAAATATTTGGAAAAATAGTTCATTTCATCCACAAATTGCATCACCAATTATGTATCTCCAATTATTCTGTTTTATCTACCTGATTTTTTACAGCCTAACTGCCTAATTTGTCATCTGTGGCCTGTCACAACTGATTACTTTAAATATCACTCTTTTGTTTCACCAGTTGGAAAAGCTTGTTTTGATTCTTATGCCAACTACTCTCTTTAGGGAGAGATATAAACAAGAGAATTACAAAATGAAAAAATGAAGTTTTTTTTTCCACTTTGGCTGGGAGAAATGTACACTTAATTAAGGTTCATAGGTTTTGGGCTCTCTCAGAAGGATCAAGTCTAGAAGGGAATTTAACCACTAATAAATTACCTCAGTATGAAATACTCCAAATTTTGCAAGATTACTCTAAATTTATTCTCATTAACAGGAAAATGAATAAGAAAACCCACCTATGGAAAATTTTAATTTCCCTAGAGAATGAATGTTTTTGGAGATGAAGCAATTGAAAAGACACTTTAGTAAAACAACAAAGAAACTGCTAATCCAACCTTACTCTTGTTTTATATTTCAGAGATTCTAGAAACCGAATAGGTTGTCTCCTACATTCTCTCAATTATTTGAAACTTACTTTTGAAAGGAAATATTAAAAGACTGTGCTGAATGCAGAAGTTACAATTATTTTCTGAGTTTTACCCTACAATTTTTTTAAACCAAAATATCAGCTAGAGAATTGGTATGGTTTAGGAAAATTATAACAAATTGAATGCACTTGGTTAATCCTCAGATGTTAGTTTATTAGGAACTATATTTACTAATCAAAGAAACATCTTCAAAACCCTGAATACTGCTGGATACCATTTGGCATATACTATGAAATACTTCAGGAACCAATGGTTCCTTAGGAGACTAATTGGCATCCTTAATTAGATGTCTTGTTCCTGACCAAAAAGGCTAGTTAATTTAGAAGCTATCTTGTCAAGTCTGCCTCCCTCTCAATATGAACAGCTTTTGGTTCTATAAGCTTATTTTGTCTGCAGATGACAGTTCCTTTTTCTATTTTTTTCAAGTTTTCCTCAAAATAAGGTCTTAGTGAGAGTGGTAAGCACCTCAGTGACCCAACATACCCTACTTCTTTTCCTGTTTGAGTCATTTTGAATCTTTCCTTGCAAGTACTAATAGAGCACCTACCATGTGGATACCATAGAGACGGACTCTTGTAGCGTTGTCCAGGCTGATCTCGAACTCCTGGCCTCGAGCAATCTTTCCACCTTAGTCTCCCAAAGTGCTGGGATTACAGGTGTAAGCCACTGTGCCCAGCCTCAAACTGTTGGTCACTTCTTTGCTCCCTTGACTTCTAAAATAGCACCCTTTCTTGATTCTATTACCCCTCTGAGCATTGTTCCTTAGGCTTCTATATTAGTCTTCTCCTGACAAGTTATTTAAATGTCAGTAATGCCCAAAGGTTCTCTGGCTCCTAGTTTTTCACTCTGTTTGCCCTAAGTGAACTCATTCAGTCCAATGATCTCAGATAAAATCTTCACCCCAACTCAATCATCTATTTGGGGCTTAAAGGCTGTAGAACATTTCCAACTCAGTCAACCTAAATAACTGTTGTAGGTTGAGTTCCCTGAAAAGCAGACTAAGAATTTGCACAAGCTTATGCCTTATCTGAAACCCACAATCCAGCCATTCCTAAATGCTTGCAGTCCTTATCAGACTACTCCATATCTCTATGCCTTTGATCATGATGCTCCTTCTGCCTGGAATATTCTTTCATCCCACTCACTTGCTACTTAAAAATCCCTATTCATTTAAGCCTTAGGTCAAGCAGGAACCCTCTATGAAATCTTCCCTGGCTGCCTTTATCCTTCTCAAGTCATCCTGTTCTTTATCTTTATTTGTGGCTCTATCATGCCCCAACATATCGCTATCTTTATATCTATAATTCTTAATTATATTTTTTGTACCCAGGTCTATCTGTTCTATTGGTTGTATTCTCCTTGAAGGCAAAAATGGTGTCTGATTGATTTCTGAGGAGCATGAAAGAAAGAACGTTAATTAATGATCAATGAATAGATTGCTACACATAGGAGAGGAACTAGTTGCTAACAGATGGGATGAATCCGAGAAACAAACAACAAAACAAAAAAGCTTAGTTTTGCGACCTTCGTCAGCAATGCCAAACAACCTCGAGATAAAAGGGGAAGAGAATATGAAATACTCAGAGTGAAGAACTGAAAAGTTGGGTCATTGGAAGGATAAGGCATAGAGGAGACCGAGGCTCCCAGTGAGAACTTCACTGAAATGGCTCCCCATGGGGCAGTGGTCCCTAACCTTTTTGGCACCAGGGACTGGTTTCATGGAAGACAATTTTTTCATGGGACAGGGTAAAGGATGGTTTCTGGAGGATTAAAGTGCCTTACATTTATTGTGCACTTTATTTCTATTGTTATTACATTGTAATATATAAAGAAATAATAACTCACCATAATGTAGAATCAGTGGGAGCTCTGAGCTTATTTTCCTGCAACTAGGCGGTCTCATCTTAGGGTGATGGGAGACAGTGGCAGATCATCAGGCATTAGATTCTCACAAAAAGCATGCGATCTAGCTCCCTCACATGTGCAGTTCACAATAGGGTTCATTCTCCTCTGAGAATCAGATGCCGCCACTGATCTGACAGGAGGCAGAGCTTAGGCGGTAGTGCAAGCGATGGGGAGAGGCTGCAAATACAGATGAAGCTTCGCTTGCTCACAAGCTGTTCAGGACCTGCTGTACAGCTCAGTTCCCTACAGCCTAGTAGCTGTCGGTGGCCTGGGGGTTGGGAACCCCTGCCACAGGGAATGGTCCATGTCCAAGGCAAATGTGCCATTAGTCTGCTGGATGAGCTGCCAAGACAGAGGTGCTCCAGGAACTGGAGGAGAAAGGTCAGAATCAATAATAGTGAGGCATTGGAAAGGCAGGCAGGAAAAAAACATTTTAGAGCTTAAAATTTTGGAGATGAAGCAGTTTTCAGTGATGACAAAGTCCAAAGCACAATCTTAAATGTTGGTAGCTTAAGGGGAGGGTCATGAAGATAAAGGTTGTTTCCGCTGAAGAAATGGAAAATCTTTGATGTCAGGGATGGGGTGTTGATTATTAGAGTGACTATATATCCTGGGTTCTTTGAGTCCATCCTGGGTGATGCATGCTGTTTCAGCACAATTATTAATAACATTTCTTTTTCTCTCAAACGTGTCCTTGTTTAGATGATGAATTATATGTTCACTCTAGTTCTTATTAACCTCCATGACAACATGATAATGCTTAGCGTAGCTAAGATGAACCTATTCTTCTGGACTTTGGAAGAAAAATCAGGCTGTCAAAATTAGAATTAAAATACAGTAGGGAATTCAAAGAAGAGCTATTGCAATTTACTGTGAGAAGATAATAATGAATGTATTTTTATTATAATGTATATCACAAAAAGAATTTTAAAAATTTACATTTATACATAATGCCATAGTTTTTCTGTAGTGTGGTTCTTTTTAGGTTTTTATGTTTAAAAGCATAAGATGAATTAAAACAAATTTAAAAATTATGTGACTAAATAATCTACAGTTAAAGGGGAACCTGTCGACTTGGAGATGTTCTGAAATATAATTGCAGCATTGTATAGGATAAAGAGCAGAAGACGAAATTAGAGGATCTAGGCCAGCTCTTTACCAGCTAACATGAAGATAACCACATTAATTATCCTCTCTAAGCCCATTTCCTCACTGGAAAAGTGGATAATAATAATCATCTGACCTCTCACAGGGGTTGTGGTGAGGACCAAATGAAATAATGGAAAATTTATTTAAAACTGTACTAATGTAAGCATACTAAATGTCCTTTCTCAAAACAAACAAACAAAAATTCTAGGTGAGTTATTAGTATTTTTGTTTTAAATTAACTTGAATATTTTATGTAATTATAGAGTTAACAAATAAATGTGTCACCATTTAATATATAAATAAATGAATTGCTCATGACTTACAAATTTATTTCATAAAAGGGAATGTGATGAACATTGAGAATAATGGGAAAGCACAGTTACCTTGTTAGAGATCTGTCTCTTCCTTTTACATGAAAAATAGAGTACTTAGTGAACCAAAGTTCTGATGAGAAAATGAGGTAATTTTTGGAGACAGAAATATCCAATTCATTCCTTTGTAAGTATTTTACCCATAAAAACCCCAGCCTAGTCATCAGAAGGTCAACTGTTTTATAGATTAACTCACTCAACCCATGTCAGAGGTTAGGAACTCTCTGGTGAGAACAGCTGTGGGTTATTTGTCTTTCCACATCAAAAACTCAGGAGATTCTTTAGTAAATTAGGGAGGTATTAAGGGGATGAAATTAGTTCCTTGTATAAAGAAAGTTCATACCACAAAACTAGTTATAGTTTCCCTATAATGAAAATAGGAAGTATTAAAAATTAATTGGAGCAGTGAAGCCTCCTAGAGAATCTGTCACCAATGGTGAAACATGTAAGATTATTTGATTTTTTTATTATACTTAGGATATTTTATTCAAAGATTAAAAATATGACAAAAATCATATTTAAAACACCACATATAGATTTACATTGGAAAATTCTTCATTTTTCATGTAAAATACAGATTTTTCAGAGAGCAAACTCGACTTTATTAAAAAGTGACAACTTATTCTTTCACACAGTTTGCAGTAAGTTGCAGCCAAGAATAACAGGAAAAGAATACAGACTTTTTGAAAATGATTATACTTTTGTAAGAAAAGAAATATATTTTAAATTCCACCTAAGGCCTAGGAGATCTGCTAGGCATATTATATGAATTATGACATTTAATTCTCATTTAGCAATTTATAAGGAGGTGGGGTAATACCCACTTTCACTTTTTATTAAGGGCGGGTACAGCTAGGTTAAGTTAGAAGTGAGGGTAGGTAGAATTCTCAAGATTCTTGTCACCTTTCCCCCAATCCATTCCCCTGGTTATTTAATCAGACATTTATCTAGGTAGTGTTAGGGAGGGATTTTGCAGTTGTAATTAAAATCCCAAGTCAGTTGACCTTAAGACATGGAGATTATCCAAATGGGCCCAATCTAATCACAGGAGCCCTTTAAAAGGCAGATGCAGAAATCAAGAGAGAGTCAAAGTGTGAGAAGCTTCCTTTTGCTGCTTTGAAGAGGGAGGGACCACGTGAGTGTGGGCAGCCTCTAGGAGCACAGCATGGACCTTAGTGGATAGCCAGAGAGTAAATGGGAGCCTTGGTCTTACAACCATAAGAAAGTGAATTCTTGGCTGACACCTGGATTTTGGCGTGGGAGACCCTAAGCAGAGGACCCAGTTAAGCCATGCCAGACTTCTGAACTACAGACTTGTGAGATAATAAATGGGTGTTCTTTTAAGTTGCTAAATTTGGGGTATTTTGTTACATCAGCAATAGAAAACTCATACAGAAGCTCAAAGTCATGGAGAAAGTAAGCAGTGGATCCAAGAAATAACCCATTCAGCGTAGAGTATTGTGATGAAAATAAATGAGAGCAAGACAAGCAGGTTGATTTAAAGAAATTTTGTTCATTAATTTTACGTTCATTCATTCATCTACCAAATATTTTTGACTACCTTGTATATGGCAAGCCTATTGCTGTAAGGTCTAGAGAGAAAAAATTCAGCCCCTTTCCTTAAAAAGTTCACAATTTAAGGGCTAGGGGCAGACAAGCAAATGGATCAGTGCAGTGCAGTGCAGTGTGTCTCTTAACTACTATAAAGAAATAGGCTGAGCCGGATGTGGTGGTTCACACCTGTAATCCTAGCGCTTTGGGAAGCTGAGGTGGGAGGATCACTTAAGGCCAGGAGTTCAACACCAGGCTGGGCAAGAGAATGAGACACCTGTCTCTACAAAAAAATAAAAAAAATAATAGCAGGGTATGGTAGTATGTACCTGGGGGTCTCACTGTGTTGCCCAAGGCCAGCCTGGGCAACAGAGTGAGATCTCCAACTCTACAACAACAACAAAAAATTAGTGATGTGCGATGGTGCACACCTCAGCTACTTGGGAAGCTGAGACAGGAGGATCGCTTGAGCCCAGGAGTTCAAGGTTACAGTGAGCATGGTCACACCACTGTACTCCAGCCTGGGCAACAGAGCAAGACCCTGTCTCAAAACAAAAACAGAAACAAGATAGGCTAGAGGTTATAGTAGCACAGATGCTTTTAGTCTGATTTCTTACCATGTTGTCTGTGGTAGGCAGATAACGACCCCCCAAAGATGTCCTTGTTCTAACCCCCAGAACCTGTGAATAGATTATATTACATGAGAAAAGAAAATTAAGGATGCAGATGGAATTAATGTTGTTAACAAGCTGACTTTAAGATAGGGAGAGTTTACTGGATTATCCAGGTGGGTCCAATGTAATCACAAGAGTACTTAAAAGTAGAAGAGGGAGGCAGATGAGAAAATCAGTAGGATGTGATGTGAGAAAAACTGGATGGATGGAGAAAAACAGTAATGGCTTTAGAGACAGAGGAATGGCCACAAGCCAAGGCATGTGGGAAGCTTCTAGAAACTGGAAAAGACAAGGGCATGAGTTCTTATGATTTAAAAATGGGAAAACATTTGAAGAGACACTTCACTAGAGAAAATACACAAATGGCCAATAAGGACATGAAAATATGTTTAATATCATTCATTATTAGGGAAATGCAAAATAAAACCATAATGAGATAGAATTAAATACATAGAATGGCTAAAATAAAAACGATTAATTTCAATTGTAGGTGAGGATGTGGAGCAACTGTGATTCTCATATGTTGCTGGTGGGAATACAAAATGGTATAACCACTCTGGACATGGTTTGGAAGTTTCTTACAAGTTAAACACACACTTTCCACAGGCCAAGCAATCCGCCTCCTAGTATTTATTCGAGAGATGTAAATATACATGTCCAAACTGCGATACAGATGTGAATGTTTACAGCAATTTTATTCATAATCAACCAAACTGGAAACAACCCATCAACTGCTAAATGGATAATAAGATGTGGAACTCACAGAGTGGAATATCACTCAGGAATAAAAAGGAATAAACTATGGGCACACACAACAATATGAATGAGTCTTAAAAACGTTCTGCTAAGTGAAAGAAGCTAGAGACAAATGACCACCTATTGTATGAGTCCATAAGGCATCCTACGAAAGGCAAACTGTAGTGATGGAACGTAGACTGGTGGTTTATAGGGGCTGGGGATGGGGGTGGTGATTGCAAAGGGGCTTGAGGAACTTTGGAGGATGATAAAAATATTAAGCATCTTGTTTGTGGTGGTGGTTACATAACTATATATATTTATACAGATTCATCTTAAAAGATGAAATTTTATTGTATATAAATTATACCTCAGTAAACTTGACTTAAACTCCTCCCTCCCCTCAAAAGAAAATAGAGCACGTGGGCCGGGCGAGGTGGCTCACGCCTGTAATCCCAGCACTTTGGGAGGCTGAGACAGGTGAATCACCTGAGTTCAGGAGTTCGAAACCAGCCTGGCCAACGAGGTGAAACCACGTCTCTGCTAAAAATACAAAAATCAGCCAGGCTACTCAGGAGGCTGAAGCAGGAGAATCTCTTGAACCCGGGAGATGAAGATCGTAGTGAGCCGAGATTGTGCCATTGCCCTCCAGCCTGGGTGGTAAGAGTGAAACTCCATCTCAAACAAAACAAAACCAAACAAACTAAAAAGAAAATAGAGCACATGGTTTAACTAAGGGACTGACCAACTTCCCAAATATAATCTTTCTCAAGAAAATATGGCTTCTTAAATACATAAGGGCAGAAAACTCATACATGTGAGAAGCTTTACAATTACTGCTCATGCATTAAAATTCAGCTGTAGTGTACATTTCCTTGTCTGGTCTGTGGAATAAATGTGAAATTTAAGAAAGGATATTTTAATTAAATATAAGGACCCAGAGATGAAATAAGATAGTCTGAAAGAAAAGCAGGAAATGTTCTCACATCATCTTCTTGGAAAAAAAAGCATTCGGATAAACAGTTTGATGCACAGTGAATACTATATTGAGAATTACACAATAGTGTGCTGAAATGAGTATAATTTATCTCGCTCAACATTCAGGAATAGACTTTTAAAAGACTTTTTTACTAAAAAGAGAAACATTTTCAAGCCTCTAAAGTGCTCTAAGCTCCTCAGAGAAAAATGCTAAGTACAGGGTATTATTATTTCATGAGCTTTGGGCTTACTTTGACAGTCATTATAGTTGTTCCATTTATAATATGCTGGGACGGCTTCCATAAAGTGCATCTTTTGTATGTGCATTTGTAATTCATTAAAAGCGCACACTCATTTTGGGAAATGCCCTTTCAGAGATACGGGCATTGAAGTTGTGAGAAGGCAGCTACTTTGCCCAAATTACTTAGTGCCATCTGAGGGCACAGAGAGGGCCAGTCCCAACTGGAGCTCTTGGCATGATGTCTTCTGTTTCAAAATAGGGTCTCAGCAACTCTCTATGAATTATTTACACGAGAGAGATTTTTGAGAATTTCACTTTGCGGACAGCTCTTTTGAGGATATAATTTGGCAAGGAATTATCATCCTTGCCTCTGTTTCTATAAAGAGGCCTGAAGACTGTAATAGGAAAACCATTAGATTTGAAAAATGTAATTTTATTTTACTTACAAATTTTATAATCTACAGGAAAAAAAGCCCAATCCATTTCTTTGTTAATATCATTCAATTGCAGCATATTTCATTTGTAAATGCAGTATGCTTTCCACTATTTTAATAAGCATTTCTGCTGCTTCTCTTGGGGTTTTGTGATCGCAGTCAATAGCCATAAACTGTGAAGATGTAACAGGATGTTTCATCTCATTAAGATGCCACGCAGCCAGGATTCCTTCGTCTTCCTTCTTACATCTGATTTGTGCTCCTCAAATATGACCTTTAAGGCCTTCATTGCTTTGCAAACACATTGCATGTCCCAAGGGCACATAATTAAGTAGGTCACATGCTTCCTATTACATATTAGTGCTTGCCTTTCAACATGCATTTCCTCTGTTCCACTGTGGGAAAATTCTCTTTTTCATAAAGCATTCCTGAATAAGTTCTTGGCACTTTCCATAGAAAAAATGTCCTTGATATATTGTGGGAATACTTAAGGTCATGTGGGATTTCGTCAGTCATGAGAATAATTGGTCTCACATTTTTTAAAGAGTAGAGTCCACTTACACTAATTGTAGTATTGCCTTAGGCTTGTATTTCTAGAGCATAAAAGAACTCTCAAGGATAAGAGTTTCAGTTGTACCCTTTGCCAATTAAAGTATGTCAATAATTTTTGAATAATGCTCTCTATAAAATGTCACAATAAAAAAACCATTTCAAATGTATTTTGATAATCTTTGACATTAATAAATTGACTTGCATAAATGCATATGGACTTGGTCGAGTTTCTATTAATTCCTTTTGAAAATGGTATTTCCTATGCATGCTGTAGGATTTGGCAATCAAATAAATAAATATGCATGCGGTAATTGTTTATAATTTTGCTCTCATAATTTTAACAACTGAGTGTGAATTTTGAGCAACAAGATAAAATTTCATTTTGCTATGATTATTGTAAAATATTTTAAAATATTTATTACAAGTAGATATTTTCTTTTTTCAAATTTATTTATTGAAATTAACAAATAAACTTGTATGTATTTAGTATAAGTAGATTTTGAAGAAAATCAGGATTAGTGGCTCTGTCCCTCCACCTCATCATATTATCCTTTGTAAACTCAGCAAATTTTCTCCACCCGAGTAATCAACTGGATTAATTCAAGATGAAGCATTTGTGCCCTAATTAACAGGCCCATTTAATTAAATTGGATTTCGTGACTACTGACTTCTTCCTCCTAGTGAGACTAATAAAGAGATAGCAACAAAACTCAATTGAGTTTCACATGAAGATTGTGTTAAGAAATCAATAGGAGATGAGATGGTAGCAATGAAGACCCAGAACCGTATAGAACAGTGCTTCCCAGATTTGATGAGCTTAAAAATCACCTGGAGATCCTGTTAAAACTGGAATTTCAATTCAGTCATCCTGGAGTGGGCCAGAGATTGATTCTTTGTTTCTAAAGAGCCCTCAGGTGATGCTGAAGCTGTTTGGAGAGAGGAACCATGTTTTGAATAGCAAGTTCATAGACAAGTGTTGTATCACAGTTTACTATTTGTATAAGTACTATTGTTCAGTGCACAGTTCTGTGGGACCACTCAAGGATGAGCTGCCTCCTTTGGTTGTAAAAGAAGAAATACCTGAGGGAATTGTAGCAATGCATTGGGTTTCAAAATGTACCTTCCGGATTCAAATACAACTGTTTGGCTTCTCTCATCTTTGTCCCTTGCTGTTACTTTTGCACCAACCTAATAGAACTGTCCTGAACTACAGCTATTGACTTTAGGCAGGATGGCTGGTGTTGATTTTATTCTGAAATATATCATTGCGTGATAGTGACAAGTGGAAAGCATGGGCCTAAAGATATTATAGACATAGTCACAAAGGGCGACTTACTTGGGGGAACACGGGTGTGGAGGTGCTGTCAGACTCTGCTCATGTCTGGGTGCATGCTGGTGTGTGCTCATGTGTGGCTTACACCCTTAGTCAGGTGGATTTGCACTACAATGGACTTTTTACTTTTACTTTTTTTTTGGACCATGGAATGAAGCTTTCATTTTCAATATTCTTCATTATGAGGACCTGCCTTTTTTTTTTTTTTTTTTTTTTTTTTTGAGACACGGTTTCACTCTGTCACCTAGACTGGAGTGCAGTGGCATGATCTCAGCTCACTGCAGCCTCAAACTCCCAGGCTCAAGTGATCCTCCCTCCTCAACCTCCCAAGTAGCTGGGACTACAGGCGTGTACTACCACACCTGGCTAACTTTTTATAGGGATGGGGTTTCACCATGTTGCCCAGGCTGGTCTTGAACTCCTGAGCTCAAGTCATCCACCCACCTCGACTTCCCAAAGTGCTGGGATTACAGGTGTGAGCCACCACTCCCAGCCAAATACCTCCTATTTAATATTTAAAAATTAAGAAATTTTATTATCCAACTAAAATTCATAATCAAGATCTTTGAATTTTTCTTTAATCTTAAGATTATCTACAGAAATTTGGAAACAAAACCAGTACAGTTATGAAAAGCATATTCTTCATTTAACTTATAGCCAGTAGTTTTTCTCTGCAGCCATAGTTTCAAAGCCTTTTGTTTTCTTTTTTTCTTCTTGAGCATCAAGCCGAGTATGCTTTATTGGATGGCCAAAGAGCAGAGAAGAAAAAGCATGGCTCACAAATCAACTTCTCACCTACTGAGGGCATTACAATATAGGGTTTCTCTAACGAAGGGGCTGGACATTAAAAGTGAAGGGAGAAATATTTATGTCTTTCTTGGAAATAGGTGGTGAATTTCTCAGAACCAGAGTGCCACCTTCCTGTTTGTCCTTTATAGTTTTTTCTGGTCATTGTCATGACAATTATCAACTGTCATGGTGCTGGTGAGAGTGTCATTTAGCATGGAAATGAGATTATAATGAAGCCTGAGGTCTTTTTAAAGTTGTTCAGCTGACTATCTTGGTTGTAACTAGTCTCAGGTGGTCTGGTTACAAAGGTAACTTTTCACCGCAGGCATCTTACTGCTTTTTATTTTTTTATTTCAATAGTTTTTGGGGAACCAGTGGTGCTTGGTTACATGGATAAGTTCTTTAGTGGTGATTTCTGAGACGTTGGTGCACCCATCATCTGAGCAATGTACACTGTACCTAATGTGTAGGCTTTCATTCCTCGCCCCCTCTTCCTCCCCGCTCCCCCAAGTCCCCAAAGTCCATCATATCATTCTTATACCTCTGTGTCCTCATAGCTTGGCTCCCACTTATAAGTGAGAACAAATGATGTTTGGTTGTCCATTCCTGAGTTATTTCAGTTAGAATAATGGTCTCCAACTCCATCCAGGTTGCTGCAAATGCCATTTTTTCATTCCTATTTATGGCTGAGTAGTATTCCATGCTGTGTGTATATATATATATCTCTATATATATGACATTTTCTTCATCCACTCGTTGGTTGATGGGCATTTAGACTGCTTCCATATTTTTGGAATTGTGCTGCTATAAACATATGTGTGCAAGTGTCTTTTTTCATACAATGACTTCTTTTTCTTTGGGTACTCAGTAGTGGGATTGCTGGATCAAATGGTAGTTCTACTTTTAGTCCTTTAAGGAATCTCCAAACTGTTTTCCATAGTGATTGTACTACTTTACATTCCCACCAGCAGTGTAAAAGTGTTCCCTTTTCACCATGTCCACGCCAACATCTGTCATTTTTTGATTATGGCCATTCTTGCAGGAGTAAAGTGGTATATTCTTGTGGTTTTGATTTACATTTACCTGATAACTAGTGATGTTGAACATTTTTTCATATGTTTGTTGGACATTTGCATATCTTCTTTTGAGAATTGTCTGTTCATGTCCTTTACCCACTTTTTGATGGGATTATTTGTTTTTTCTTGCTGATTTGTTTGAGTTCCTTGTAGATTCTGAATATTAGTTTTTGTTGGATGCATAGATTGTGAAGATTTTCTCCCACTCTGTGGGTTGTCTGTTTACTTTACTGATTATTTCTTTCGCTGTAGAGAAGCTTTTTAGTTTAATTAGGTCCCATCTATTTATTTCTGTTTTTGTTGCATTTGTTTTTGGGTTTTTGATCGTGAACTCTTTTCCTAAGCCAATATTTAGAAGAGTTTTTCCAAAGTTATTTTCTAGAATTTTTAGGGTTTCAGGTCTTAGATTTAAGTCTTCAATCCATCTTGAGTTGAGTTTTGTATAAGGTGAGAGATGAAGATCCAGTTTCATTTTTCTACATGTGGCTTGCCAAATATCCTAGCATCATTTGTTGAATAGGGTGTCATTTCCCCACTTTATGTTTTTGTTTGCTTTGCTGAAGATCAGTTGGCTGTAAGTATTTGGCTTTATTTCTGGGTCCTCTATTCTGTTCCATTGGTCTATGTGCCTATTTTTATATCAGTAACATGCTGTTTTGGTAACTATAGCCTTGTGATATAATTTGAAGTTGGGCAATGTGATTCCCCCAGATTTGTTCTTTTGCTTAGTCTTGCTTTGGCTATGTGGGCTCTTTTTTGGTTCCATATAAATTTCAGGAATTTTTTTCTAGTTCTGTGAAGAATGATGGTGGTATTTTGATGGGAATTACATTGAATCTGTAGATTGCTTTTGGCAGTATGGTCATTTTTAAAATACTGATTTTACCTATCCATGAGCATGGGATATGTTTCCATTTGTTTGTGTCATCTATGATTTATTTCAGCAGTGTTTTGTAGTTTTTCTTGTAGAAGTCTTTCACCTCCTTGGTTAGGTATATTCCTAAGTATTTTATTTTTTGCAGCTGTTGTAAAGGGAATTGAGTTCTTGGTTTGATTCTCAGCTTGGTCCCTGTTGGTGGATAGCAGTGCTACTGATTTGTGTACATTGATTTTGTATCCTGAAACTTTACTGAATTCATTGATCAGATCTAGGAGGATTTTGGATGAGTCTTTAGGGTTTTCTAGGTATATGATCATATCGCTGGCGATCAGTGACAGTTTGACTTCTTTTTTACTTATTTGGATGACCTTTGTTTCCTTCTCTGGCCTGATTGCTCTGGCTAGGACTTCCAGTACCATGTTGAATAGCAGTGGTGAAAGTGGGCATCCTTGTCTTGTTCCAGTTCTCAGGAGGAATGCTTTCAACTTTTTCCCATTCAGTATAATGTTAGCTGTGGGTTTGTCATATATGGCTTTTATTATCTTGAGGTATGTCCCTTCTATGCCAATTTTGCTAAAGGTTTTTTTTTATTTTTATTTTTTGAGATGGAGTCTCACTCTGTCACCTAGGCTGACGTGCAGTGGGAGTGATCTTGGCCCACTGCAACCTCTGTCTCCTGGGTTCTAGTGATTCTTCTGCCTCAGCCTCCTGAGTAGCTGGGATTACAGGTGCCCACCACCATGCCCAGCTAATTTTTGTATTTTTAGTATAGACAGGATTTCAACATGTTGGCCAGGCTGGTCTTGAAGTCCTGACCTCAGGTGATCCATTACCTTGGCCTCCCAAAGTGCTGTGATTACAGGTGTGAGCCACTGCACCCAGCCCTGCTGAGGTTTTTAATCATAAAGGATGCTGGATTTTGTCAAATGCCTTTCTGCATCAATTGAGATTATCATGTGATTTTTGTTTTTAATTCTATTTATGTGAGGTATCACATTCATTGACTTGCATGTGTTAAAGCATCTCTGCATCACTAGTATGAAACCTACTTGAACATGGTGGATTATCTTTTTGATATGCTGTTGGATTCAGTTAGCTACTATTTTGTTGAGGATTTTTACATCTATGTGCCTCAGGGATATTGGTCTGTAGTTTTCTTTTTTGTTATGTCCTCTTCTGGTTTTGGTATTAGGGTAAATACTGGCTTCATAGAATGATTTAGGGAGGATTCCCTCTTTTGGAATAGTTTCAGTAAGATTGGTACCAATTCTCCTTCGAATGTCTGGTAGAATTCAGCTGTGAATCCATCTGGTCCTGGACATTTTTTCTTGGCAATTTTAAAAAAATTACTGTTTCAATCTTGCCATTTGTTATTGGTCTGTTCAGAGTTTCTATTTCTTCCTGATTTAATCTAGGAGGGCTGTATATTTCCAATAATTTATCCATCTCTAGATTTTGTAGGTTGTGCACATAAAGGTGTTCATAGAAGACTTGAATGATCGTTTGTATTTCTGTGGTATCAGTTGTAATATCTCCCATTTCATTTCCAATTGAGCTTATTTGGATCTCCTTCCTTCTTTTCTTAGTTGATCTCTCTAATGGTCTATCAATTTTGTTTATCCTTTCAAAGAATCAGCTTTTTGTTTTATTTATCTTTTGTACATTTTTTGTTTGTTTGTTTCAGTTTCATTTAGTTCTGCTCTGATTTTTGTTATTTCTTTTCTTCTACTTGGTTTGGATTTGGTTTGTTCTTGTTTCTCTAGTTACTTGAAGTGTGACCTTGGATTGTATATTTGTGCTTAATTAGACTTCTCGATGTATTCATTTAATGTTATGAACTTTCCTCTTAGCATCACTTTTGCTGTATCCTAGAGGTTTTGATCAGCTATGTCACTACTATCATTCAGTTCAAACAAGTTTAAAATTTCCATATTGATTTCATTGTTGACCTAAAGATATTTCAAGAGCAGATTATTTAATTTCCATGTATTTGTATAGTTTTGAGCATTCCTTTTGGAGTTAATTTCCAGTTTTAATCCACTGTGTTCAGAGAGGGTAACTGATATATTTTTGATTTTCTTAAATTTATTGAGACTTGTTTTGTGGCCTGTCATATGGTCTATCTTGGAGAATGTTTCATGTGCTGATGAAAAAAATGTATATTCTGCAGTTGTTGAGTAGAATGTTCTGTAAATATCTGTTAAGTCCATTTATTGTAGGGTATAGTTTAACTCCATTGTTTCTTTGTTGACTTTCTGTCTTGACAATCTGTCCAGTGCTGTCTGTGGACTATTGAAGTCCCCCCACTATTATTGTGTTGACATCTATGCCATTTCTTAGGTCCAGTAGTAATTGTTTTATAAATTTGGGAGCTCCAGTTTTAGGTGCACATATATTTAGGATTGTGATATTTTCCTGTTAGACCAGTCCTTTTATTATTATATAATGTCCCTCTTTGTCATTTTTAACTGCTGTTGCTTTAGAGTCTGTTTTGTCTGATATAAGAATAGCTACTCATGCTGGCTTTTGGTATCCATTTGCATGGAATATCTTTTTTCACCTCTTTACCTTAAGTTTATGTGAGCCCTTATGTGTTACTTGAGTTGAAGACAGCAGATACTTGGTTTGTGGATTTTAATCTATCTGTATCTTTTAAGTGGAGCATTTAGGCCATTTACATTTAATGTTAGTATTGATATGTGAGGGACTGTTTTATTTATCATGATACTTGTTGCCTGATTGCCTGAATACCTTTTTTTCATTGTGTTTTTGTTTTATAGGCTCCACTAAAAATACAAAAAAAATCAGCCAGGCATGGTGGCGAGTGCCTGTAGTCCCAACTACTTGGGAGGCTGAGGCACAAGAATTGCTTGAATCCAGGAGGCGGAGGTTGCAGTGACCTGAGATTGCACCACTGCACTCCAGCCTGGGTGGCAGAGTGAGACTTAGTCTCAAAAAAAAAAAAAAAAAAAGATTCCATTTTGGTGTATTTCAAGATTTTATTTCAAGATTTAGAACTCCTTTTAGCATTTCTTGTAGTGTTGGCTTGGTAGTGGTGAATTCTCTCAGCATTTGTTTGTCTGAAAAAGATTTTCTTTCTCCTTCATTTATAAAGCTTAGTGTTGCTGGATATAAAATTATTGGCTAACAATGATTTTGTTTGAGGAGGCTAAAGATAGGACCCCCATCCCTTCTGACTTGTAGGGTTTCTACTGAGAAGTCTGCTGCTAATCTGATAGGTTTTCCTTTATAGATTGCCTGATGCTTTTGCCTCACAGCTCTTCATATTCTTTCATTTGTCTTGACTTTGGTTAACCTGATGACTCTGCCTAGGTGATGATCTTTTTGTGATGAATTTGCCAGTTGTTCTTTGAGCTTCTTTTATTTGGATGTCTAGGTCTCTAACAAGGCCAGGAAGTTTTCCTCAATTATATCCTCAAATAAGTTTTCCAAACTTTTAGATTTCTCTTCTTCCTCAGGAACACCAATTATTTTAAGTTTAGTCATTTAATGTAATCCCAAATTTCTTGGAGGCTCTGTTCATTTTTTAAAAAAAATTTTTTTTCTTTGTCTTTGTTGGATTGGGTTAATTTGAAAGCCTTGTCTTCAAACTCTGAAGTTCTTTCTTCTGTTTGTTCTAGCCTATTGTTGAAACTTTTCAGTGCATTTTATATATCTCTAAGTGTGTTTTTCATTTCCAGATGTTGTGATTTTTTTTCTTTATGATATCTAATTCTCTGGAGAATTTTTCATCCATATACTGTATGGTTTTTTAAATTTGTTTAAGTTGTTTTTCACTTTTCTCTAGTATCTCCTTGAGTAGCTTAATAATCAACCTTCTGAATTCTTTATCTGGCAATTCAGAGATTTCTTTTTGGTTTGGATACATTGCTCAGGAGCTAGTGTGATCTTTTGAGGGATGTTTATAGAATCTTATTTTGTCATACTACCATAATTACTTTCCTGATTTCTTCTCATTTGGGTAGACTATTTCGGTGGAAAGATCTGGAATTCAAAGGCTGCTGTTCAGATTCCTATGTCCCATGGGGTGATCCTTTGATGTGGTGCTCTCCCATTTCCCCTATGGATGGCGCTTCCTGAGAGCCAGACTGCAGTGATTGTTATTGCTCTTCTGGACTTAGCCACCCAATGAGGTTACCAGGCTCTGGGCTGGTGCTGGGGAATGTCTGCAAAGAGTCCTGTGATGTGATCTGTCTTCAGGTCTCTCAGCCCTGGATACCAGCACTTGCTCTGGTGGAGGTGGCAGGAAAGTGAAGTAAACTCTGTGTGAGTCCTTGCTTGTAGATATGTTTAGTGTGCTGGCTTTCTTGAATGCTGGCTATGCCAGCAGTGAAGTTATCATGTGGACAGACTCAGGACCTCTGGTGATCCAGGATGCTGCAGGCAGTGGAATTAGCTGTAGTTTTCTCCCTTCTGGGAGCAGGGTTATTCTGTCATGAATTGCTGTAATGACCTGGGTTGGTTGGGCTCCAGCCAGGAGGTGGCACTTTCAAGAGAGCACCAGCTGTGGTAGTAGAAGGGGGATGTAAGCTTGCCCTAAGCTGGGCAGGGTAAGTATTTGGGTTTCTCAATAGGAGGGGCCATAAAGCTCCTAAGAGTTTATGTCTTTTGTGTTTGGCTACCAGGTGGATAGGGAAATATCAGGTGGGGGCAGGGTTAGGTGGGTCTGAGCTTAGACTGACCTTGTGCAGGGCTTGCTGCAACCATTGTGGGAGATGGGAAGGTGGTTCTCAGGTCAATGGGGTTATGCTCCAGAAGGGATTATGACTGTCTCTGCTGGGCCATATAGTTCACTAGGGAAGTAGGGGGGAAAGCTGGTAGCAATAGACCTCACCCAGCTCCCACACAGTTGGTGAAGCCGGTCTCACTCCCTCAGTGTCCCACTAACAGCACAAAGTTTAGATCCAGGCAGCCTGTGCATGGGACTCAGACCTTGCTCCAGGTTATATGCTTCCTCGCTGAGGAAGCAAGCATGACTTTAGGGCCTGGTCCCTCCCTGTCTGCCCATGATGTCAGCAGCAGCTCCTGTGCTTGTATATGTAGCAGTTCTCATTCACCCCCTGGATTCTGCTTAAGAAAACTTGTGCCCATTTGAAAATTATTAGGAAGCTCAGTTGGGAGCTTCTTTCACCCTGTGACTCCTCCCTAATTCTGTTGGCTTCCTTCCCCTAAGGCCCCTGTGAAATATAGTCAGGGATGGCTTCCCTGGGCTTGAGCTGGGGACTGGGACTGCCTACAAGGCTCTTTCTGCAGCCGCTTCTGCTTTTATGTTTCATGTGGCTCCCTAAATCCTTTTTAGCTCTGCATAAGGTTAGCTCTTTCTCCTGTGACCTGGATTTTCAGGTTCCCCAGTGGGGATGTGTGTTCAGAGGCAGGATTTCCCCCTCTCACACTTTGGGAACTCACAGTTTTTCCCTGTGTCATGAAATTTGCAGTGGCATGCCACTTCTTTCAAAGGATTTGTGAATGCATTTGTATTTTCTGGTATATTCCTGTGGTGGTTCTTTGAGCAAAAGTTCATGGTGTGAGTCTCCACATGCAGTTCTGTCCATACATGTGGGAGGTGCACATTAGCCTTGTCTCCTATCCACCATCTTCCTTCCTTGCCTGGAGCCACTTAAGATAATCTGACTGATGAATCTCTTCCTTCATCACACCACATTTATAGGTACTTCTGTTTTTCTCTTTCAGGATGACTGATTCCTTGTGAAGAGTAGAGAGCCAGGAAAAACTGGAGATTTTGGGCTTATACAGAATCCAGAAATGGAAGGCTCCTGAAAATTAATATTTTAAAAATAAGAAATAATGGGTGCTTGACTTTTCCTTAACATAATAAATGATGAGGAACTGACAAAAGAATTTGAAGATTCTATTTCAAAGATTCTTATGAACACCTCAACATAGTTTTTTGTTTCTATTTATTTTCTTTGGCTGGGTGATGTTTCCTTATAAATATTAAAACAACAAAGGCAATAGTAATACGTAAAATCTTGGCAAGTCCACGAAGATTCTGCCACCAACAGATTTCCATGTTTTCTGATTTTTTTATTTTGAGACAGGGTCTCACTCTGTCACTCAGGCTAGAGTGCAGTGGCATAATCATGGTTCACTGCAGCTTTGACTTCCTGGGATCAGCCTTCCAAGTAGCTGGGACTACTGGCCCACACCACTACACTGAGCTATTTTCTTAATTGTTATTTTTTGTAGAGTCAGGGTCTCACAGTGTTGTCCAGGCTAGTCACAAACTCCTGGGCTCAAGCAAGTCTCCTGCCTCGGCTTCCCAAAGTGCTGGCATTACAGCTGTGAGCCACTGCAGCTGGCTGATTTTCGTGTTTGGAAATAACAAACCAATGTCCCATCTGTGATGTGTCCTCCATGACTCATTTCCTTTTCTTCCTAGGCACTCAACTGTCAGGTTTTCCCTCCCTCCATTCCTGTTCACTGTGGCCACGTGACTGAGTTAGCTAACGGAATGTGGGAAGAAATGTGTTTCTTCTCTAAGGCTGTCTCATAAAAACTTGCCCACAAGTCTACACATGCCCCTTTCCCTCTTGTGATTTACTGGAGAGGACAAGAAGATCAGGAGAAGGGAGGAGCCACAATGGAAGAAGCCTCAGTCCATGAAGGATATGGCAGAAAGCTGTCTGGAAAGGGAACTCAACATTGGACTGCAACATTAGAGAAAACGGAATGCACATTTTGTGTTTGTTTGTAATGCAGTAAACCTACTCTGTGTAGCACAGGTGGAAAATCGGAATTCAATCTAGTTTTGATGCCTACTGTCCACTGGGGAGCAGGACCAAATTTTCATCTTTGAATATTGGATACCTTGTCTTATTAGGTGGATCATAAACCTTTGCCCAAGAGAATTTGGTGCTACTATCCAGATCCTGTTCCTTGTCCTGAGCCAGCCCAAAGGATAACAAGCTAAGAACCCATGTCCTGCTCAGACCTGTATCCAGAAAGAAATAGAGCTGTTTCATATTTTTTAAAAATTTATCATGTATTTGTCTATACCTATTGCTAAGGAACGTTGTAGACTAGGGGTCTGAATGAATTTGCCTGTTAATATTTTTCTTGAATAACTTTCTTCTGTTGCAATCTAAAAGATATTTTTATTTAGCATCAAGAAAAGGGCTGTCATCACTGTCTCAGCTCACTTCGCGGTGCTATAAGAGAACACCTGAGACTGGGTAATTTACAAAGAACAGAGATTTATTTATTTCAGTTCTGGAAGCTAGGAAGTCTAACATGAAGGTGCCGGTAGGTTTGTTGTCTGGTAAGTGCCTGGTCTCTGCTTCCAAGACCGCGCCTTAAATGCTGCATCCTCTCGAGGGAAGAAACACTGGTCTCTGTGTGGCAGAAGAGCCAAAGGAGAGCAAAAGTGGAGAAGGATGCACCCTTTTATAAGGGCACTAATCCCATCCATGAGGGTGAAGCCCTCATGCTAATCACCTCTTTAAAATCCTACCTCTTAATACTGTTACAATGACAATTACATTTCAACATGAGTTTTCGAGGGGACAAACATTCATACCATAGCAATCACTTATTTGGAAACGGCATCTGTTTAATGGCTAGGAAGCAGGAGAAAAGGATTCTTTGTAGAATAAAACATACATTGGGCTTAGTTTTTTTCTCCAAGAAATTTGCACTTTCTGAGAATAGAGGGGGAATTATCTTCTATGATCGCTTCAAGAATCTGCTCTTCATTCTAAAGAAGTCGTGATAATATGTAGAATCCTTCTGTTTCTTGAGGGCTCACACTCTGGGCTAGGTAGGCTACCTACAGAAGGACTTTTTATTTGGAGACTATTTTTTTTTTGGCTACATCAAAATGATGATGTGATCAGTTATCAAACAATACTTAAGTTCCTAATTCATTGCATAAGGTATCTAAGAAGACAGTGCATAGATACTCAAATAGCAATAGTTCCTGCTTTTTGTAAACGTGTTCTGCAGACAAAAACCACTAATGTACACTTAAAAAAAAAACACACACAATAAAACCACACAGGTGTCAAATACAGAGTAGATGGCAACACTTAAAAAGAAAAAAAATCTTTTGTGTGGGAGGATGAAAGCATACTGAGAGCATGTCCCAAAGAATAGAAGCAACAAATCTTTTTTAGTCCTGCTATTTCTCTTTAAGAATTCTTCATCCAGAGGCTCTGTGAAGGCTGCATCGTGGTCACTGTAGGTGTCCATGGGATATTGACATGAGGGTTGCCTTTATGGAACAGAGTAAATGGCAGTTTCATCCTTCTGGATCAGCCCCAAAACCTCAGAGTCATCCTCATGTTCTCTCATCCTCTCACGTTTGTACTCAATCTGTCAGGAAATCTTGTTGGCTATACCTTTAAAACATCTCTCTCACCTACGCACTCTCCCACCTTGACTGATACAAGCCTAAACTAAGCACCACCAGGTCTTGCTTTGATGACTGCAATAGCTTCCTAACTGGTCTCCCTGCTTCAAGCACTTGCCTTTCTACATTCTGTTTTCCTTGCAGAAGCCATGGTAATCCTCTTAAATTATGTCACTCCTCAGTTAAATTCTGCAGTGACTTCCCAAGTTAGAGTAGTCTATTGTCATCTGTAATGGTACATGATGTGGCCCCTGGACCTCTACAACTTCATCTTCTGGCACTTTCCTTATTGCCTACTTCATTCCAGCTGTACTGGCTGTCCTTCCTGCTTCTCTGCGAACACACGGAGCATGCTCTTTGTCAGGGCTTTGTACCTGCTGCTTTAATGCTCTCCCTGCTGTGTATTCCTTAAGAAATGATAACTGCTATAGTGAGTAGAACTAGAATTCTAGGATGCCTCAAACACAGTGGACATCTTTTTTGTCATGCAAAGTGTTGGGCAGGTGGACAGCTCAATGGGGAGTCCTTCCCCATGATGTCATACCCAGAGCCTGAGATTGGAACTTTATTCAGAAAAAAAGATTTTTGCCCAGGTAATTAAGTTAAGGATCTTGAGATGAGATCATCTTGGATTACCCAGATGGATCCTATATCCAGTGCCAAGTCCTGATAGGAGAATGGAGGGGAGAAGACACAGTGGGGAAGGCCACACGCAGGAGGCAGAGCTTAGAGTGATGCAGTCACAGTCAAGGAACTCCTGCAGCCATCAGTAGCTGGAAGAGGGAAGGAAGGACTATCTCCTGGAGTCTTTAGAGGGATCAGCAGCCCTACCAGCCACACCTTGATTTTGAACTTCTGGCTTCCAGAACTATGAGAGAATAAATTTCTATTGTTGTAAACCACCCAATGTGTAGTAATTTGTTACATCAGCTCTGGAAAACTAATACATCTCCCCTACTATAAGCTTCTGGAGGGTAGAGATTTTGTTTCATTTCTTATCCTATTTTCAGTGCAGAGAACACTGCCTGACATGTAAATACTTGTTGAATAAATGAGTGAGTAGAAACATGGAAATGAATCTCCGGCTTACTCAGAAGATGAAATTTTTTTTTAATAGCTTTTACAGTCATTATGAAATTGCCTGCCCCAGAGGACCATTTTTGTTTTTCTGGTCTATCCTCCTTCTGAGACAGTACATGTGGTGCTTAAGAGCTGAGGCTCTGAACTTTGACAGACTTGGAGTAAAACTTCAGCCATGGAATCACTGACAAGTGTGATATTGGACAAGTTAATTAATATTCCTAAGGCTCAATTTCTATATTTGTTAAAATAGGCCACTCACATAAGATTGGTGGGAGGATTAAATGAGATAGTAGATACACAATCCACTCATTGTTTACTGCTTGACCACGTAAATTCATAGTAAATTCGTATGATAATAATGATAATGATAATTACTTAGGATTTATAAGGAATGCCTAAAATTTTACAGACTCAATTATTTTTTTCATCTTGAATTCCTTTAAAATAACATTCATTGATTGTAACATTTCTTTACTAAGAATTTCAATCAAGTAAGCCCTTTCTATCCACAAAATACTCTACTGTAGTGTTTTAGGATTTGCAGAATTACTTTTATGTAACCCATATAAGCCATGATAATGTCGTATTAAATATGGGCACATTGCTGTGAATTCCAAGTTATAAAATGAAATCAGCCCAGCCTGAGCAGCCCGCCACACCCCTGTCTCTTGCTTCTCTGCCTTTGGGTTTGCTGTGCTCATTGCTATCTCACGAAAAGAAATGATCTCCTTGCTGTTTATGTTGTGATTTAGTGCTTAAGTATCACATATTGATATTGTGTTCCACTCAGAGAGACAACTTTTCAAAAACATAATCACTAATTTGCATATATTAGCATAGAGTTGGCATAACAAACAAAAATTCATAAACTACTACATCACTACAGCAAATAAATAGATATATAAATAAACCTGAAAGAAGATCTTCACAAATATGAAGAGGTGACTGGATACAATTTTGAAGTGTTGCTAAACGAGGAGTGAGGAAGGTGGTATCTCTTTAGAAGGCACGATAAGTGGTCTTGATCACTTTCATTATTTTGTTCACTGAACATAAAAATATTTATTAGACTTTCATTAATTCACTCTCGGCCTCACTCAGTCTCTTTCATTCTCATGTAAAGTCCTACATTTCTCAATGGCAAGGTAATGTAATCGTTGGGTTTGGAGACAGAATATATGGCACTTAATCTGAAGGCCTGACTCTGGCCAAGGAAATCTTACCTGCTCCACCTCGTGAGCACGCTCCAGCCCCAAGCTCTGTCTCAGCAGCTTCCTTTCTGTTTTTCAGAGTTAGTTCAACATAGAACCTTTGACCCCACTGCTTCCCTGCTTCCTTGGCGTCAGGATGCATTTTCCTAGATCTTTTTTTTTTTTTCTTGCAACAGGGTCTCGTTCTGTCATCCACGCTGGAGTGCAGTTATGTGATCACAGCTCACTGCAGCCTTGAACTCCTGGGCTCAAGTGATCCTCCATCCTCAGCCTCCCTAGTAGCTGGGGCTCAGGCATGTGCCAGTGTACTTGGCTAATTTTTTGTTTTTTTATTTTTAGTAGAGACAAGGTCTCGCTGTGTTGTCCAGGATGGTCTCAAACTTCTGGGCTCAAGCAATCCTCCTGCCTCAGCCTCCCAAAGTGCTGGGATTACAGGCATGAGCCATGGCACCCAGCCCCAGGTATTTATTTGGCCAGCTTCTTCAGAGAGGCTTCCGTAGATTCCTGCTCACCCATCATCTTGGTTTCATTCTTTGCCCAGCATTAATACTGTTCTTGGTGTGTGTGTATGTTTGCGTGTATGTATGTGTGTGTGTGCACGTGTTTGCTCATTCATAGGTGAACTGGGTGTATCCCCACCCTATTAAAAAATAAGATCTGGCCAGGTGCGGTGGCTCATGCCTGTAATCCCAGCACTTTGGGAGGCCGAGGCGGGTGGATCACCAGAGGTCAGGAGTTCGAGACCAGCCTGACCAATATGGAGAAACCCCGTCACTATTAAAAATACAAAAATTAGCCAGGTGTGGTGGCACATGCCTGTAATCCCAGCTACTCTGGAGGCTGAGGCAGGAGAATCGCTTGAACCCAGTAGGTGGAGGTTGCGGTGAGCTGAGATTGCACCATTGCACTCCAGCCTGGGCAACAAGAGCAAAACTCCATCTCAATAAATAAATAAATAAATAAGATCCATAAAAAGAAGACTCTGTCATGTTCCCAGCTGTATACCCAGTGTTTACAATACTTCCTAGTACCTAACAGATGCTCAATAAATACATACTAAATATAATCAATGCAAAAACTTCCCCTATGTTTATTTTATTGATAACTTCTCTTCTCAGTCATAGATAGTACAAATTCTGACTTCCAAATTCCAAATTCAGTCAGAGATATTCCAAATTCTGACTTCTGGAACTGCAGAAAAACACACAACATTAGCATGTAATATTTAGCGAGGGAATACTACTACCAGTAACACTACACACAGGTGTTGGCCAGTAAGGTAGATAGGGTATAATTGGAGAGCATTTGGTGAGGAGATTCAGTAATGTGAAGGTTGTCTTGCTACCAGCATCTCTTGCACTTTTGCATTCCAGAGGGAGAAGCATAGGCAGAGAAACCCTGGCAAAGAATAGCCAAGGACAGCTTTATTATTAGCATTGATGGCACCTCAGATCACAATGGAAGTTTGCTGGTAAAACACACCAGAGTAAGAAGAGGCCCCTGGCCTGAGATGTGTGGGAGTGGTGGCAGCATCTGACAGCTTTCTCTACTCAGGCTCAGATAAAATCTTGGAATGTTATTATTCTTCGGGTAACAACATGATACAAATTATAGTAAATGCATGAAATGCAGAGCGATGGGGCATTGGCTGAGGCACCTTCCATACGGTGAGGGTCCTGGGTCTTTTATTATTCCAGACATGGGGATTTAGAAAGAAGAACCACACCCAGTAAGTGTATCTCTGTATAAACTATGGGGGAGACTCTCAAGAAGTTAAACATATACTTACAAGATGACCTAGAGTTTACCCAAGATAAATGAAAACATGTGTTCACACAGACTTGTATTTGAATGTTCCTTGTAGCTTTATTCATAATAGCTAAAAACTAAAATCAAAACAATGTTTAGTGCTGGTGAAGGGATAAGCAAATTGTAGTATATCCATACAATGGAATATTACTCAGCAATTAAAAACTCCATCGAAATATACAGTATCATGGATGAATCTTAAAAAGCATTATATTGAATGAAAGAAGACAGATAAAAAAGACTACTTACAGTGTAATTTCATTTATAAGACATTCCAGAAAAAGAAAACTAGAGTGACAGAAAGTGGAGTATTTATTGTCAGGAGCGGGGAGAGGGGAAAGAGGTAGAAGATTGTTTGCACAAAGGAATGTGCAGTTTTTGAAGTCATGAGAAATGTTCATGATAACAGTGGTGGATACACAACAGTATACATTTGACCAGGCTCATCAAAAATTCAAAATAAAACCGGTGGATTTTATTTTATATTAATTATATCTCAAGAAAGCTGATTATATATGTATATGTACACACATAAAAATACATATATCTTCTATAAATACTCTGGGATCCTATTCAAAGATATTAGCACTTCTTCCTTTTGAAGAACAGGGGAAGATGGAGGAAGAAGAGGCTTTTTGTTCTCATTTAAAGGAACAGCCTCTGGGGCATGTTCTAGCAAAATCACAATGGGTGACATACTTTCTGTTTCATTCCGCATGGTTCTGAATAGTTCTTCTTATTTCACATTTTGGAATTACAAATTCTTCTTTGTGTTCTTTAATGACATGTTTTCTGGCTAGGATTTTTTTCCCTTTTAAATAAGGCTGGGGGATGGGCAAGGAGCATGTGAGGCAAGTGAGGGGCGCAGGGTTATGTGTCCTCTAAGAAACAGGAAATGCATAGTCAAGGATTCCCATGGTTTGTGTGAGTAAATTGTGACCTGAACTTGCTGTGACTCAGCCTGATGCATCCCTTACATATTTAGAGTGCTCCCATCATTAAGCCCTCCATTACACAAAGATCCCCACATATTGTGATTTTGGGTAGAGCCTGTGTTTTAAACCAAGAATTGTTGGAGTGTCCCTGTGATCTATTCATACCTGTAAGTTGGGTGAATTTTATCAGTGCTATTAACAGAAATGATTATTTTAGGTCTTAGAGCAAAGTTTGAATTTTGGCTTCAACCCATCTGAAGAACTAAATTACAGATGACAGAGGACAAAATTAGGTCCTGCCTTATATATGTATTTTTTGGACTGTTTCTACATGACAAATATTTGTACTTAGGATTTGTACCTATTCAACCTAAGTTCAATAGTTGAAAATGTAAGAGAATGAAGGGAAATGTATAAGTCAATCCAAGTAGACTCATTACCAGACTTTTACTAGAGTAAGTAACACTCTTACCCTGGTAGGTAGTAAATAAAACAAGGTCTACTACTCTAGATTTACTGTAGCAGATAGATGTGTGGCCATTTGAAACCAGAGATATCTACAATTTAAAAGGCCAGGATTACAGCCTTCCACCCTCCCATCTTGGTGAAGGAAGGAATGAAAAAGCACATATTCTCTTTAGTTTTATTTTGTTGATTATACATTTTAAATATGTGGGAAATTATTTTGATTAGTTGTTTTTGATTCTTGACTTGAAAAAAGAAAAAAAATCCCTTTAAAGCTTAATCATTATTATTCCTATTTCAATCTGCTGTGTCTGAAGGAACGCAGCTATCTGTAACCATTGCTAAACCTCTTGGCTTCCAAGATTTGACCGCGCCCAGTCCCAACTCTACGCAAGCTAGGCTGGTTCTGCCATCTAGCGACTTTCTTATTGAACTACATTGGTAGGGCATTACCTAATTTGGTCGACTCAAGCCCTGAGAATTAATTTTAATGTAATGCCATGTGATTAGTTTTGGCCTTTACATCCTTTCATCCCTATTTACTGCCTGTGTGATTTTTGGAAAAAATATTTAACATTTCTGTGACTCAGTTTATTCGTCTGTAGAAGGGGGATAAGGACCTAACTCCTACCGTTTTCATGAGGCTCATCTGAGATAATGCACAGAACACACTTAGCAGAGTGCCTGGCACAGGTAAATCCTGGAAAAAGATTTGATGTTGTTATATTTATAATTGTAACTATAATTATGCAAATCTAGAACTGAAAAAATAGACTAAATTATGGGAAATGAAGTTATGGATATGAGTATTCCAGAATAAATTAAGTATATAATATTTAAAGCTTGGAAGAGGAACAAGTTTATTTAGGTTTTTTATGTCACTGCCAACAAATGCATTACTGCAATTATACTTGCCTCCTTCCAAGCCTTTCCCCACCTCATACTGAATGTTCCCATCACAGCAGACAACTCATTACTCTGTGCACATTTTAATGCCTTTCTTCATCTTTCTGGAGTTTCTCCCTCACATTTTACACTTCACAATCTTTAACTCCTAAATCAAATGTCAGCTTCCCATGCTATCAAGTGGAGTTGAATCCTGTGTGGCCCTTTATTCTCATCTCTGTTAGAGCATCTGACACAGACAGGCTGCACACGAGTGGACCGAGTAGGGTCTGTGCAGCCACGTAAGTCGAGGCTGAAGTCCCTTCCATGAGATACTGTGTATTCTCTTTGCATCTTCTCTCTCTCTCACCTCAACACCTAATACAAAAACCTCATACAATAGGTGCTCCACTAAAGCTTGTTGAACTGAGATAAGAGCTTAGCAAATATCTAACAGTGACTTTTTAGGATGGCTTACTCACAGAAGCTTCTAACATACATTGGACTAAGTTAGCCCAGTGGTTTGAGTGGGCAGGTTTGGTCCATCAAAATAGTCTTTTAAATTAAATAATTAGGTCAAGCTTGGTGACTCTCGCCTGTAATCCGAGCACTTTGGGAGGCTGAACTGGGTGGATCACTTGCCGCCAGGAGTTCGAGACCAGTCTAGCCAACATGGAGAAACCTGTCTCTACTAAAAATACGAAAAATAGCATTACAGTAGGATTACAGGCATTGTGGCATGTGCCTGTAATCCTAGCTACTGGAGAGACTGAGGCTTGAGAATTGCTTGAGCCCAGGAGGCAGAGGTTGCAGTGAGCCAAGATCACACCATTTCACTCCAGCCTGGATGATAGAGCAAGACTCTGTCTCTAAATAAATAAATAAAATAAAACAATTACTTAATATTTTGTAACAGTAATACTAGATTCCATTAAGGAATACTTAGAAATTACCAAAAAGAAAAAAATCATGGCTTCACTACCCAAACATTATTAAATTTGATGTATTTTTTAGCATTTTTCTGTAAGTGTTTGTATTACACGGTTGTAATAATTGTCTATTTGCAGCTATATACCCTGATTTTAAATTTAACACATTTAATTTTCCCATTATACTATATGCACATTAAGAGCATAATTCTAAAAAGCAGAATTCCACTGAGTAAATGTACCATCGTGCACTTAACACGATTATATTTTAGGCATTTAGCTTGTTTGTAATTTTTTGGCTATTGTATATAATGCCATAGAGTAAATCTTTGGGCATAAAGGTTTTTCTTTGTCTAGGATTATTTGCTTTCATGAATCCCAGAAGTACAATTCTGACTACCTTTCTTACTATAGTAAGCCCCGATGGACCAGGAATTAAATTATTGTAATTAATGGAATGTCCTGTCAATTGAAAAGTAACCAGAAAATGGTTTTTGATTTGTGGTTGCTCCAGGTCACCATTATGAACTTTGACTGCCCAGGAGTTATTGTAGATGTGAAGAAAGGCTTTAGAAGATTAGGCTAAAATCGGCGTGCAGGGAATACTGTTTTCCAAAACCATTCTCTGATATTAAATTGTTTCTTTGATTTTTCTTTGTGTGGGCGTGTGTGTGTGTGTGTGTGTGTGTGTGTGTGTGTGTGTGTTTTGTCATTTCATATTAAAAGTGAAATACTCAGGCCAATACATGTTACCTGACTTTATATCTTTCTTCCACAAATAATGAGTTATTTGGTCATGAATTTATTTATTTATACATTTATTCACTTATTTTACAGATATTTATGGGTGTTTGTGCCACTCAATTCTAGTACATATTAGCTACCCAGAAACCAGTAAAACACATTCTTAAAAGGATTTTATAGCTTACTGAGAGGAGCCAATAAACAAACAATGACAATGCTGTAAGAAACCTACTTTAGTAGAATTAAGAACAACACGGCTTTGGGAACAAAATGGGAGAATTAATTTTGTCTGGGGTAACCAGGAAGGCTTCACAGAGGAGCTTATATTTAAGTCATGTATGACGGTAGGAGTTTAACAGATGGACTTCTGGAGAATCCCAGTAAGAGTGACCAACATATTCATAGGTGTGAACATGAGGTGGGAAAATTGAAAAATCCTTTGTGGCTGAAGGGAGGACTTACAAGAAGGAAGGAGTAGGAAATCATGATGAAAAGATAGAATGATGTTAGATTATCAAGAGTCTCACATTTTATATTTCAGGCTAAGAAATGTATATTTTAAATGGAAACCTGTTAAAAACTATTTATAGTGTGTTTTTGTTTTTAGCAAAAGAATGACACTAAAATGATAGCCCTATTCAGTAACTGAGACTTACACTAGGCATGTTACTTAAGCATTTTACATGAGAAGTTTTCACAACAACACTATGTGTATTAGTCTGTTTTCACACTGCTATAAAAAACCGCCAGAGACTGGGTAATTTACAAAGGAAAGAGGTTTAATTGATAGTTCTGCATGACTGGGGAGGACTCAGGAAACTTACAATTACGGTGGAAGGTGAAGGGGAAGCAAGGCACACCTTCTCATGGTGGCAGGAGAAAGAGAGAGAGAGCCAGGAAATGCCATATTTAAAACCATCAGCTCTCGTGAGAAGTCCTTCACTTTCATGAGAACAGCATGGGGGAAACCATCCCCATGATTCAACCATGTTCCTCCCTCGACACCTGGGAATTACAACGTGAGATGAAATTTGGTTCAGGACACAGAGCCAAATCGTATTACTATGAGTGAGAGGAGTAATTTTATTGAATAATATGGAAGAAGAAATTGAGGATTGGAAAAGTTAAGTAATTTGTCCAAGGTCACAGAGCCAGCAAGTGGCCAAACAGAGATGAAAACCTGGGCAATGGTGATTGCAAAGCCCAGCCTCTTAACCACTCTGGTCTATTGCCACTTTGGAGCATATTTTAGAAAGACCACTTTGGAGTCTGTAGGTGGTTTACAGTAGAGAGAGAGAGAATCAGAAGTCGGAGATATCACTTGGGAATCTATTGCAAGAGTCCAGGACACAGGTGATGAGGGCCAGAACAAGAAGGGGATAATGGAGGCTAAGAGGTTGGAAAAGTATTAGCTATAGGTATAGGGCTTAGATAAACAAACAAATAAAGATCACAGCAATTCTGGAAAACATAGGTAAATTTTACTAAATAAACAAAAGAAATTTTACTTATTTGTGGTACCTGCCCATAGGGACTGTCTTTCATAATGTTCTTGAGGAAAGTTATCCATCTTTGATGTTCCTGGATAAAGACATTCTTAAAACATGGCACAATTGAGCTTTGAATCACAGGGTTGTCTTTAATATACGGAAAATTGTGTTTGAGGAAAATTATTATTCAACCATCTATTCGATGCATTGCTAGATACTGGAGTACACAGAGATGGATAAGTTTAAAAACCCTTTCTTAAAATGTTCCCAATCAAGAAGGGTCAATAAGACTAGTACAAAATAATCACAACACTGTTAAAATGTACAAGATGTCATGAGAGGCAAGGGCAAAGCATCCTAGAAATCTCAAGGGAGGGCAGGGAGAGTGCTTCCAGCTGTGGCGTATGGGCAAAATCCAGAGATGGTTTTGTGGCGGAAGTTTGCATTTAAGCCGGACAAGAAGGATTTTGAGGTGAGACAGTGATAAATTCCAGGTAGAAAGAAGAGTATCATCAAGGAAGTCAAAGATGGCAAGTGTTGGGCATATGCGGGAGAACAGGGTATGATCCAGCTTTTTTGTTTTGTTTTGTTTTTTTGAGACAAAGTCTCCCTTGGTGGCCCAGGCTGGAGTGCAGTGACAGGATCATGGCTCACTGCAGCCTTGAACTAACCCCTGGGCTTAAGCCATCCTCCCGCCTCAGCCTCTGAGTAGCTATGATCCAGTTTGGTGGGAGCAGGAGGTATGTGTACACGAGGAACAGGAGGCAAGGGCACGGTTGAAAATTACAGAGAGGGCAATATGATTAGCATTGTTCTTTCTAGAATAGTAACTTACAAAGAGTGTGAAAGTGAATTCTCTAGAGGGAGAAGAATTTTTTAAAATTGAGAGTCACTAGGTTGTACATCATTCTCGATCCTCACACCTTAAACATCCACATGGCCTAGGCAATGGGTCCTGGCATGTTGCAGATGTTCAGTAAATGTTTGTTGAGTAAATGAATGGCTCTCTCCTTCCCTCTCTGTGTAAGATGGAGAAAGAAGATTTGCTTTTAAATAAGTACACATCTTCCAGACAGGTGGTTTAAAGGAAGGGCCAAGAGTGAACTCTTGAATTCTGAAATCAGAAATGGCTCCACGACTAATCTTAGAACAATATTACCAAGACTCTCTCTTTGGGCCTTATTTCTTCATTTACAAAATAAGGACAAAATTAGGACCTACCTAATACGATGGTGACGTTTCAAAAATCTGGCATAGAAGGCACTACACAAACATTAGCTTTTATTCTGGAGATGTTGGAATTCTAGTTTAGCAACCAGAGCTGTTCCCTTAGGCTTCTGGCACCAGTAGGCCTATTGAGAGACGATTCTACCTTTTTTTCACATCTGTTCTCATGCCACTTTATTTCACTCCTAGAAATGCATAAATCAAGGAATCATAAACATAAAAATCATCATTTTTCCTTGCCCTAACTGATTGAAACCCTTTACTCATGCAAGGCTCCAGTGGGCTCACTCGCTAGCTGCCTGCTGGCCGGCGTCAGCTCTTCCAGCACATGGCCCCGGCCATCTGGTTCTCACCAGGCGAGCCATATGGAACTTAGCCCCCACTTTTTTGAAAAGCTTAACTTCTTTCTTCTTTGGGTTCTCTGCCTGGCTGTACTTCTCAGTTCTATGGAATTAAGCATGATTGCAATCACAATTTTCTTATCTTCCATCCTTGAAAGGAGAGTCAGTGACTTAAATTTTATTAGGAGAGCCTTTAGATCCTGCATCTCATTCATGTTAAATAACGAAACTCTACTTCAAGCCCTGTGACATCTGTGGCACAAGATAAATAATTCAGAAATCACAATTATATAATTCTTTCCTGAAACTGCCCCTGTTCTCTACAAAGGAAATACTATTACATTTTCTTTCCTTCTTTCCTCTAATACTTTGAGCTGCAATTACCTGCCACCAAGCCTCAAACAGCAGGTACAGCCATGCTGAGATGATTAGTTCTTAACTGTTACACGTTATTAGCTGAGTAGAAAATGACATGCAAAGTTCCAAGATATGGTTTGGCTCCTACTGTGATAATCTCAGTGAGATTTACAAATACCAAGAAGATTTCTAAGCTTTCCTTGAAACTCACTGCAAAAATGCTTGTTTCTTAAAAGTGTAAGCCTAAGTTAAATCTTAATCAGTTCTGAAAAATAACTTTTGAGAATTTTGTTTAAATAAATACAAGTGTAGGTTTGCTTATATAAATGTATTGATGATTCAAAATTTTAAAAAATGGAACAGAAGTAACAGCATGCAAGCCTAGTTGATTTTCAGCAAAACTATGAAGGGAAACAAGTAGGTCTTCAGGTGACTTAATGCCTTTCCCACACTTCTCAATTTTTTTTCCTACCGTGGCCCCAAGTCACTTATAAAGCATATTTTTTCTATTATAAGAAAAAATGTATTAAGATGCTAGCACATTACTGTAAATTAATTAAAAAATGTCCGGCCCCCAAAGATAAAAAATGAATGTGCTTTTCAAAAGCATCCCCCAAGGAAGAAATAAGCAATTAATCTTCATGTTCACCATGGAATAATTTCCATCTTCTACTCCTTTTTGGGAGGAGTGATTCTTCTTCCATGAAAAACAAAAGCTGTTTTCCCCTTACTTCTTTCCAGAGGAGAGTCAACATACTTACTCTTACATTCCATGTAATACTGTTATTCTAGTCCAGATTACTGAGCTCAGAGCAAAGGTCCAATTAACTGTTTCTTGTCCTTTGTATGCCCAGATGCAGGCACAATACCCGGACCTACTGGGTATATGATAAACGAATTTATGTTGAATGATGTTGTGAAATACATCATTTACTATAGAACAGAGAATCTTGCATGAGCTGCAGGTAACTCTGTAGTTATTCCTGCAAACATACTTAGATTTTACATTTGAACTCAAAAGAGGTTCCTTACAGTTTTGTGGTTCTCAATCTTTTGTGTTTATACACAATTTAACATTCTTAAATTTTTGGTGGCTTATTTTAAGGAATTGACAAAATAAAAGCTAAATACTTCAGCAATAAATATAACCTATAGCTAATATTTTACAGCAAGGCATCAAGGGGTCAGGGAGGGCTCCCTGGGACGGTATGGGCAGGAGATGCTGTACTCCCAGACCCTACCCCACATAGCCTCCATCAGCATCCCCCTTGCTGCAAGCCACCTCAAATAACATGTAGTATATAAGTAAATACTGGGTCTAGCTATGCGAACTTACTTTACATGTCTCCCATCTTTACCTTTCAAGCAAATAACCAACCTATATGGAAGTTCTGTAGTCACCATTGGGCACTTTGGGATTCATTACAACTTATTTAATAATGCCTTAGTATGTTAGTCAGTTCTTTTCCAATCAATGCCCTCACTTTAACAGTAGACACCTGGTGAGGCTGTTCTTGCATCTTTTGTTGCAGGTCAGCCACTCGCATGATAAGAGCTTGTGTCTGTTTTCCCACAATTTCAGCTTCTTCTCTACAGGAGATAAGACTCTCTCTCAGGGCAATCATAGCAGATTTGAGGCTCAGTAACTGCTGCTGAAGCTGGGAGACAGAATCCCCAAGTTCATCATTTTCTTTTATCACTTTGTCCACTGAACTTAGAAACAACCAACCAGCTTCATTGTGTTCCTTGGTTCTTCACATATGGTCAAAGGTATTATGTATAGAGTCACTAAACTCTTTGCTTCTCACAAGCAGTAAATCAGGAGTGTCAAATGCATTTATTTGGCATAGCTCTTTAAACAATTTCTTCCAAGGACTCTCAGTGTTCTCCATACTATCAGAAGTAGAGTCCTTAGCATTTTTGGGTCTAATCATATTAAGTAGCCAACTCCAGAAACCCCAAAACCAATGAAAGAACTCCATCCTTAATATTCTGTTCCTCTAGAGCCACTCTTGGTACCAAAATCTGTATTGGTCAGGGTTCTCTAGGGGACAGAACTAATAGGATATATATAAAAAGGAGTTTATTAAGTATTAACTTACATGATCACAAGGTCTCACAATAGGCTGTCTGTAAGCTTGAGGAGCAAGGAGTGCTAGTTCGAATCTCAAAACTGGAGAATTGGAGTCTGATGTTCAAAGGCGGGAAGCATCCAGCATGGGAGAAAGATGTAGGCTGGGAGGCTAGGCCAGTCATGCCTCTTCACATTTTTCTGCCTGCTTTATATTCACTGGCAGCTGATTAGATGGTGCCCACCCAATTAAGGGTGGGTCTGCCTTCCCCAGCCCACTTAATCTCTTTTGGCAACACCCTCACAGACACACCCAGAATCAATATTGCATCCTTCAATCCAATCAAATTGACACTCAGTATTAACCATCACACTTAGCATTATGTTGCTGTGCCCTGCCCAAGCTGTTTGATATGCTCAAGAGGCAATTACCTTCTCATATCACTAACCAGTCTCTTTTTTTGGCACTGATCATTGGGTTTACCTTTTACCTGCAGACTTCTATAATCCTATTGTACACTGCACTTCACACTCAATGCAGTATTCTAGCAGATAGCTATTGCTGTAACAGCATGAATAACTGTGGCAAATATGGAAGAAAAGCAGGCCAGGGAAGCTTGGTCTGCAAGTGAGAAGACGAGGCAGCTGGGGTGTGAGACTCTACTCAGTGGGGAGGTCCCTCTCGATCTTGATCTTTCTCTTAAATCCTTCCCTTTTGAATAAAATTTTATTTTAATTTTATTTTTGTAGAGATGGATTCTTGTTATGTTGACCAGGTTTGTCTTAACTTCTGGTCTTAAGTGATATTTCTAACTCAGCCTCCCAAAATGCTGGGATTACAGACATGAGCCACCATGCCTGGGTACGTTTAATCTTTCTCTTGATCCTTCATATCTCCCCTACCCTGGGGCAGATCCAGATTTTGTGAGCTTGAAATTTATACAATTTGGGGGTTCTTCTTCATGAAAAAATGATAAAAATTACAAATACAGAATTAGCTGCAAAATAAATATTTATTTAGAATGATTAAAAAACAACAAATTGGTCTTCCCCTAAATGGCCTGAGGTGATCTGTGAAAACAGTTTGCTATTCACCTGACCAAGAAAACTCCACAAAATCATGCAAGTCAAGAGGTTCAAATCTTTGTGTTCACTTTAAGAACATGCATGAAACTTCTTAGGTCATCGAGAGTACACACGTATGAAAAGCCACAAGGTATCTGAAAGATGTCACTTTATAGAAACGGTGTGTACACACACATCCTGATGATCCTTACTGAAAAGGAATAAATTATTTCTAAACCAGAAAAGGCAATTGCGCAGAAGAAAAAGAAATCCCAGAAGAAACTGAAGAAAAAAAACTTATTGCATGGGAATAAAATAAATGTAATTAAAAGTAAAAGAAAAAATAAAACCAACAACAAATTACAAATTTAAAGAAGCTGATGTGTACACAAAGTATTATAAAATCTACAAAAATAGTATGGTTTTTCAAAATAATTTTTTATTATACTTTAAGTTCTAGGGGTTTTTCAAAATAATTAATTGCTTGATGCAACTCTACTATATTTGATAGTATGCTCTGATTACTTCTTTCTGTGATGAATGACAAGATTTCACGGGACTTTCATTTTACTCCAGCAACAACCAATTTCAATACTCCTGCATTGACAACACTCATCATCCAGCTTGCTGTCAATGCCCTCTTTGTAGCAGCATGTTATGAATCTAATGTTATCTTAGTCAACATTGGTATTGCCTGTCAAAACAGCAAGAAATGTATATCATTTTTCAGTGTGTTCATATGACTTATTCCTATTCACTAACTTGATTATCTAATAATCCAAAAGCTTACCCACCTTATTCACTATTTCTTTTCTTTCTTTCGTTTTTTAGACAGAGTCTCACTGCGTTGCCCAGGCTGGAGTGCAGTGGTGCAGTCTCGGCTCACTGCAACCTATGCCTCCCGTGTTTAAGCAGTGCTCCTGCCTCAGCCTCCCAAGTAGCTGGGATTACAGGTGCCCACCACCATGCCCAGCTAATTTTTTAAAAAATATTTTTAGTAGAGATGGGGTTTCACTATGTTGGCCAGTCTGGTTTCAAACTCCCGACCTCAAGTGATCCGTCTGCCTCGGCCTCCCAAAGTGCTAGGATTACAGGCATGAGCCACCGTGCCCAGCCTCACTATTTCTTTTCAAAATTTACCTCTTTGTTTAAATTAATTATGACTCTTGGTATGATCTGAAATTTTTTATATATTGTAATTAGCTTCTAGATGTCAAATATCTTTATTAACTTTGTTTCATATTTCATTAATTTTTTATTGAAATTTTTCTATATTTATTAGTAAATAAATATTAAGATAATAAAAGAAAGTATTCTTTATATTCACTTCCTTTAGGAGTCTGTAATTCCTTACTGTCTTATTGAAACATCTTTTCAAGTTGCAGTTAACATGGCACTTATAAGCTTTATCAACTTTTTGAACACATTTATTCTGTTGAGATTTTTCTTCTAAGTCTTCAAAAATATACTTTAGATCCTCAAAGAATTATTGGTCCCATGCTCTCAGTCTTAAACAGCTTTATAATGAGCATATTATCCCATATCTGGAAACACATTGTTAAAAAAATCCAAATCACATATGCCTTAAAATGCTCCATCTAAAAAAGAGTATACACAAACAAAAACATGTTGAAAATTTGAAGTAGTCAACAATTTCAGGTACTGTGGAGGCAGTTTTTTCCTTAGCAACAAGATGAAGTGAATGAGCTGCATACTGTGCACACCTTCTGCAATTTACTAATGCTTTAAAGAGCATTTACAGCCATTTGTCTCCATTGTCATATGCTAAATCTCTATATTAAGTACCTTATGTGTATTTCATCTTTTTATTTATTGTGGAAATAATGACTATTATTATGTCCATTTGACAGATGAAAAAGTAAGGCTTGAAAGTGTATGTAGCTAGCAAATGACTGAATCAGAATCTAGGCTCAGAAACTTGCAATCTAGGGCTCAGGCTCCTAATTCCTGCAATGAGAATAGGATTTGGAAGGAGGAAATGTTTGCCCTGAAGTACTTAAAATATTTGCACCACTTTCTCCTAGGTCTTTTTGCTATGTGGGGCAAAAAGACCACATTTAGCAAAGCTGAAAGGGTCAGTTTCTGCCTGCATCCCCCCCCCTCACGGCTTGTTCTAATGGTTGATTGGATTGTGGCACCCATTTTTAGCCTCTGAAACCTGCAGAGGGAGCACGTAGGTTTTTAATTTTTATTTGTTAATGATTCAATGATTTACTAAGTCAGACATGCAAAACATACTGCTGGTTGCATTAACAAAAGAGCAGTGTAAAAGCACTCCACAATTTTGCAACATTGCTCTTACACTGTTTTTCTGACTATACAAGACACAACTTTAGTCTACTGGAAGGACAGTGGTGCCTTGCATCCTGCCCCTGAATGACTGAGTAACCGTGACCTCTGTTAAACTACATCACCTCTCTGGGCCTCAGATTCCTTATCCATAAAATTAGAGAGCACACTAAGTGGTCTCTGAGGTTCTTTCCAGCTCTAAAATTCAATTGCAGTGCCAGTTTAAGTAGGAGCATAAGGTACACCAGTACCAAAGACATTTATTCATGTTTAGTTGCTGAAGTAGTACTGTTTATATATGGAATAATGGTTCCAGGAAAAACGTAGAGTAAAAGACAAAACAAACTATTCCATCTTCCTAAATATTCTGGTTTACTAATTTGCTACAAAATTAAAATGAAGGACTTTGAAATTAATATGCTTTATTGTATATAAGTAAGAATATTATGTGAGATAGCTTTAATACCACTAATGAAACAATAACAGTAATAATGTCCTCATTTGCATTCACATTGGTTTATGACAACCAGGTTTATAAGTTCTATGAATTCAATTTTGAAATTCAATCATTACTGAGATTTGTTTACAAGTAAATGCTCCTGATTTAGGATTATAAATGACCAATAAGCTCATGAAAAAGTATCAACATCACCAAGAATCAAAGAAGTGAAAATCATAGTAATGAAATACCATTTTCTACTCCTTACACTAATAAAGATTGAATGGAAGCACAACTTGGCAAACCTTTCTAAGGGAAAATTTGGTGATATATTTGGAATTTTATCTACCTTTGACCCGATATATTTTATCTGTAGAAATTTAAACAGATACTCTCCTGAAAATGTCAAAATATTGTTGGAAAAAATTAAAGAAGACCTAAACAAATGGAGAGATATTCTATGTTTCTAAATTTGAAGGCTTAATACTATTAATACTTAAAGCAATCCATAGATTCAATGCAATTATTATCATAATTCCAATGGCATTTTTTGCAGAAATGAAAAAGCAGATCCTTGAATTTATATGTAATTGCAAGGGGTCTCAAATAGCAAAAAATCTTGAAAAAATTTGGAGGAGTCATACTTCTCAAATTAAAAATTTACTATAAAGCTACAGCAATCAAAGCAGTGTGGTACTTACATAAGGTTAGATATATAGACAGACATACAGCAGTCTCCCCTTATCTGCAGTTTTGCTGTCTGCAGTTCCAGTTACCCACAGTCAATGTCAATCATGGTCTGAAAATGTTAAATGGAAAATTCCAGAAATGAACAATTTATAAGTTTTAAATTGTGCACCATTCTGAGTATTGTATAATTGTTCTATTTTATTATTAATTGTTGTTAATCTCTTACAGTGTCTAATTATAAATTAAACTTTGGGTATATATGTTCATGGAAAAAACATTGTATATATTATATATACATATATATATATGTATGAAAAAACACAATATGTATAGGGTATGCTACTATCTGCAGTTTCAAGCACCCACTGGGGGTCTTGGAACATATCCTCTGTGACTAAGTGCAGACTACTGTATAGACAAATGGAGTAGAATTGAGAGTCCAGAAATAAACCCATCCATCCATGGCAATTTTTTTGACAAAGATGCCAAGACCATTCAGTGGGGGAAACAATAGTTTCTTCAAAAACGATGCTCGGATAACTAGATAGACACACACAAAAGAATGAATTTGGACCCTTATCTCATACCATATACAAAAACTACCTCAAAATAAATCAACAACCTAAATATAAAAACTAAAATTACAAAACTACTAGAAAATAATAGGGGTAAATTTTCATGACCGTGATTAGGCAATGAATTCTTATATATGACCTCCCCAAAGAATGAATAACAAAAGAAAAAAATTATTAAATTGGATTTCATCAACATTCAAAACTTTTATGCATCAAAAAACATAATCAAGAAAGCAAAAAGACAACCTACAGAGTGTGAGAAAATATTTGCAAATCATATATCTGATAAAGATCTAGCATCCGGAATATATAAAGAAACTATAATTCAACAATCAAAAACAAATAACCCAATTATAAAATGGACAAAGGACTAGTACAGACATTTCTCTAAAGAAGATACAAGTGGCTTACAAACACATGAAATGATGTTCAACATCAGTAGTTATGAAGGAAATGCAAATCAAAATCACAATTAAGTACCTCTTTACACCCACAGGGATGGCTATAATACAAAAGTGAAAAATAACAAAAGCTGGCAAGGATGCAGAGAAATTGGAAGCCTTGTACTTTGCTGGTGGAAATGGAAAATGACCCAGGCATGTGGAAAACAGTGGCAGTTTCTCAAAAAGTTAAGTATAGAATTACCGTATGACTCCATAATTTCACTGCTAGGTATATACAGTTGACCCTTAAATAATATGGGATTAAACTGCACAGGTCCACTTATATGTAGATTTTTTCAATAAATATATTGAAAATTTCTTTGGAAATCTGCAACAATTTGAAAATACTTGCAGATAAACCATGTAGCCTAGAAAGTTTTTAAAAATAAGAAAAAGTTTAGGTATATCATGAATGCATAAAATATATGTAGATACTAGCCTATCATTTACTTTCTTAAAATGTACACTAATCTATTATAGAAAGTTAACATTTATCAAAATGTACGCACACAAACACATACCATACATGGTGCCATTTGAAGTCAAAAGAAATGTAAAGATGCAAAACAAATGTAAAGATGCAGTATGAAATCATAACTACATAAAATTAACTGTAGTATATACTGCACTATTGTAATAATTTTGTAGCCAGCTCCTGTTGCTGTTGCAGTGAGCTCAAGTGCTATGAGTATCCGTTTACAACAATGTGTGATGCTAATCCTTTCTGTGTGAGCAGTTGGTCTCTCTAGTAAATTGTGTATCATAGTAAAAAGTGATTTCTCATAGTTCTCACATATTTTTTCAGGTTTAGTGCAACACCATAAACCTTGAATAACACCGTAAGACCCAACAAAGTGCCACTAGTGGTGCTGGAAGTGCTTGCAAGAAGCAAAGTCATGGCATTACAACAAACAGTTGAATAACTTGATATGTACCCTAGATTCAGGTCTGTAGCTGTGATTGTCCACCATAATAAATGAATCCAGAATCAGGACCATTTTAAAAAAAAAAAGAAAGAAAAGGAGATTTGTGAAGCTCTCAGTGCAGCCATGACAGCAGGCAAGAAAACTTTGCATTTTGTTTCAAAGTATCTTATCTTGTGTTGAAAATGCAGCTTTTCTGTAGGTGCAGGATTGTTACAAGAAAGGTCTACCTATAGACTCTAATATGATTTCAGAAAAAGCGAAATCATTGTATGAAAACTTAAAGCAAAAGAAAGGTGAATTATCTAAAGCTGGAGAATTTAATGCCAGCAAAGTATGTCTTGATAATTTTAGAAAGATATTTGGCTTAAAAAATGTCAAGCAACAGGAGAAGCAGCTTCTGCTAACTAAGAGGCAGCAGATAAGTTCTCAGATGCATTAAAAAAATCATTGAGGAGAAGAATATCTGCCTAAACAGGTTTTTGATGCCGATGAAAATGCCCTATTCTGGAAAAAAATTCTACCTAGGATATTTATTAGTAAGGAAGAGAAGTGAGCACCCACATTTAAGGCGGGAAGGGATAGGCTAACTCTACTGTTTTGTGCAAATGCAGTCAGGTTTATGATCAGGACTGCCTTTATCTATAAAGCTGCTAACCCCTGAGCCTTGAAGGAAAAGGATAAACACAAGCTAACAGTCTTTTGATTGTACAACAAGAAAGCCTCAACAATGAGAACTCTTTTTCTGCTTTAGTTCCACCAGTGCTTTGTCTCTGAAGTCAGGAAGTATCTTGCGAGCAAGAGACTGCCTTTTGAAGATCTTTTGATATTGTACAACGTCCCTGGCCACCCAGAATCCCGTGAGTTCAATGTCAAAGGAGTTGAAGTGGTCTAGTTGCCCCCAAACACAACATCTCTAATTCGGCCTCTAAATCCAGAGGTCATAAGGATTTTTACAATTCATTATGCATGGTACTCTAAGGAAAGCATTGTCAACGCTATGGAAAATAACCCCAGTAGAAAAAATATCATGAAAGTCTGAAAGAATTATGCCATTCATATGCCACTGTGTTGTAGAAAAAGCCATGAAAGCCATCAAGCCCAAAACAATAAATTCCTGCTGGAGAAAACTGTGTACCAATATTGTGCATGACTTCATAGGATTTATAACAGAGCCAATGAAGGAAATCATGAAAGGGATTGTGGATATGACAAAAAAAGGTAGAGGGTGAAAGGTTTCAGGATATGGATCTTGGAGACATTCAAAAGCTAATAGATACCACACCAGAGGAATGAACAGAAGATGACTTGATGGAGATGAGTGCTTCTGAGCCAGTGCCAGATGATAAGGAAGAAGACATAGAAGAAGCAGTGCCAGAAAACAAATGGACATTAGACAATCCAGTAGAAGGTTTCCAGTTATTTAAGATTGCTTTTGACTTCTCTTATAGCATGGACACTTCTATGATATGGTCACTGAAACTAAAGGAAACAGTGAGAGGGGATTGGTACCATATAGAAACACTTTTATTAAAATGAAAAAGCAAAAAAGTCAGACAGAAATTATGAGGTATTTCTGTAAAGTTATACCGAGTGTAACTTCCTTTCATGCCTCGCCTCACACCTCTTCCACCTCTGCCACCTCTGGGATAGAAAGACCAACACCTCGTCTTCTTCCTCCTCGTCAGCTTACTGGGTGTAAAAACAAGTATGAAATCCTTTATGATGATCTACTTTCACTTAATGAATAGTAAATATATTTTCTCTTCCTTGTGATTTTCTTAATAAGATTTTATTCTTTTTTAGCATGCTTTATTGTAAGAATAGTATACGATACATATAACATACAAAATATGTGTTATTTTGACTGTGTATGCTATTGGTAAGGCTTCCAGTTAACAGTAGGCCATTAGTAGTTAACTTTTGGGGTGTCAATAAAGTTATATGTTGTACAGGAGGTCAGTGCTTCCAACCCTTGTGTTGTTCAAGGGTCAACTGTACACAGAAAGAATTGAAAACATGTACTCAAATAAGTGCATGTACACAATGTCCTAGCAGCACCATTCACAATAGCCAAAAGGTAGAAACTGCCAAATGTCCAACAGCAGAATGGATCAACAAATTGTGGTATATCCGTATAATGGAATATTATTCAGTCACAAAAAGGATAATTCATACATACTGATGTATACTATAATGTGGATGAACCTTAAAAAACATGCTAAGTGAAAGAAATAAGACATGTAAAATCACATATATGATTCCATTTTTATGAAATAGCCAGATTAGATAAACCTATAGAGACAGAACACAGATTGGTGGCTGTTGGGCTGTGGGAAGGAGAAATGGGGATAAACTGCTCAAAGAGTAAGAGGCTTTATTTGTAGTTATGGAAATGTTTTGGAACTAAATAGAGGTGGTGGTTACACAACATTGTGAATATACTAAATGCCAATTAATGTGTTCGCTTAAAAAATGGTAAATTCAATAAGAATTTCACCTCAAATTATTTTTTAACTTAGTAAAGTTTTATATATAATGGTGTTATGCATGATTTCCTTTGTTGTTTATCTGTCTTTTCTGAAGTTTAATAATATGCAGTATTGTTTTAATTATTAGGAATGAATTGTTTTTAAAAATAATAAAAATACCCCGAGAACCTCACAATTTAAAACTACTCTTTAAAGAAGGTGGGAAATATGGCTAAGAAAAATTTAGGCATCTTTTTTACACACTTTTAGAAAAATACATTTTTAAACAATATATTTTAAAGTGTAACATTTATAATTTTCATCTCTGTTCACTAGCAATTAAATTTCTTTCCATATATTGTTTCCCAGAACTTTTTAAACATAAATTAAAAGAATGGCAGCAGAAAAATTCATTGACTTATTTTAGAACTAGTGCCTTTGCAGGAAAGGAGAGTTGGTGAAAGGGACTGGGAGATTGGGATGAAAAGGTAAATTCAAATCTTACTTTTACAAAAGGAACAACTAGCCATTTAGAGAATGAGAAAAAAGTTCATTTCACAGATGCCTTTGTTTTCTCTCTCTTACTGTGTCTGCTTGATATAGGACTAAGATAAAGTAAATGCGCAACACTTTTTTTTCTTTAATCATAAAACTATTCCCTGAATAGTTTCGTTACAGTAGTTAAGTTTTGTTTTGAAAAAATTAGAGAAGCAATAAAGAAGGATTTGCAGTTCTCATCGCTTCTAATTTTCTTCTGTAATGAGTTTTCGGCTTAAATGTGTATGCAGTTTTTCCTTTTTCCTTATACGGGAGCCAAGTTTTGTTGTGGCAGTCAATTTCTGTTGAGGAAAAACACAAACATTAGTATCAGCCCAAAGCGAGGGTGGAAAACATTTGGAAGAACATGGAAGGTGTTATTGAAAAGAAGAATAGATCAAAGATCTTAATTTTTTCTTTCTATGAGTCATGTAACAAAAATATAAATATCTAATAAAATAATTAGATATTGCCAAGCAAAACAATGGCTTAAATTGTTTCTCGAAGTGTGGTTTGCTGACCACCTGAATCAAACTTTTCCAGGATGCCTGTTAAAAATACAAAGGATAGGTTCAACCGCAGAACTGCTGAAGCAAAGACTAAGGGAGGTGAAGCAAGTTTAAAATGAAACAAAATAACAATACACATAAACACACACAGTCTAAGCCAGAGGCCAGTATACTATGCCCAGAGGAGGAAAAATGGCCCACTCCCTGTTTTTGTAAATAAAGTTTTATTGGAACACACTCACAGTCTATGGCTGCTTTTGAGCTACAATGGCAGAGTTGAGTATTTGTGACAGAGATGGTACAGCCTGTAAAACTTAAACTATTTATTGTCTGGCCTTTTACCAAAAAGTTTGCCACCCCTTCTCTAAGCAAATGCCTCTCAAGCTGTATTGTGGATACAAATCACCTGGGAATGATTTTAAACAGATGACTTTGATTCAGTAAATCTGAAATAGGCCTAAGATTCTGTGTCTTTATAGATTCCCAGGTGAAGCTCATGCTGCTGTCTTGCAGAACAGATTTGAGTCGTAATGCTCTAGAACAGAGGTTCTAGAGTACGAGGAATGTACCTTCTCAGCTCCAACACAGACCTACTGGTTCAGAAACTCTGTGGATGGGATCCAGCAATCCATTCCTTATTGAGACCTCCAGGTAATTCTGATGCATGACAAAGCTTGAGAGCCACTCATCCACATTATCCTTATGCTAACTGAAACTTGACAACCACTGTCTTCAGAGAGCATGAAATTAATGTTCACGTTACATTCCATTATCACTGATTCTCCTAAATACAATATATGTTGGTTGATCATAAGAATCAAAAGGGAAGGAGACACTGTATGAAATTGCCACTAAATGCCATGTTATTTATTTTTCCCTTGTATCTTCAGTGTGGTGGTTTTAAAGACATAAAATTTCAAATGTGTCTCCACTGATTTAGTATAGTTTAGTATGTTACTTTTGGGGACCTCTATTTTCATGGCTGCACAAAATAGCTCCAAGTGCCATGTCATTTCTGAAATGAGCAACAGAGGGAGCTAGTGTTATAATAGTAATCCTCCCGGATAGGGGCGTTTTCACATTGGCTGAATTAATGACGGAATGGCTTCTTGACTCATCCTTGAGTAAAATGTTATTGTTTGGATTTATAGTTTCTACTGTCCGTGTTCGATACAGTCCCTTCCAATGCCGAAACAGCTATAGGTTCAAAATGACTGCCACCTGTAAGCAATTAGATTTGATTACTGTCAACATTCACAGACTTCCTTACATGTTCAAATGAGGTTGAAGCTACCAGAGATTATGAAAACACAGATTCTTTTCTCATTAAATGTAAGGTTTTTGGGAGAAGGGGTGTTAACATAATCATGAGAATAAATCTAATAAGACAGAACAATCCCTTACCAGGATCTGAGAGAAACTGAGACCAACAGGTAGATGCTTCAGTGCATTTCCTAGAAGTGGCTATTTCGGTACGTGATATGATAGGAGGAAGCAAGCCATGTAATGCTGAGCTGAATGATGTCCCTTACTGGTAGCACCAGAAGGAATACAAACCGTTAAACATAATTGTCCAATTTGTCAGCAGGAGAGACAATGTTTACAAAATGCAATGGAACATATTCCCAGAGGTGAAGAACCAGCACACAGATGGCAAGTAGACTATATTAGTCGGCTGCCGTTAGCACCAGGAAGATTTAAATGGGTTTTGACTGGCACGGATTCAAGACTTGGCTTTGCTTTTCCAGTCACACAGACTAATGTTAATAATACAGTCGGGCTGGGGTAGGGAGGCTGACTGAGCAGGAGTCGTCTGCTTGTAGTGGAGGCTGCTAGGAGCCGGTCAGAGGGATTCATGCATAAAATTTTCCATCCCAACACTGACGACGCGTCAGGAACTGTGTGTCTAGATGTAATTAATCAAACTTGGACAGCTCTCTATGATCTTACCAATATATTTGAGTCCTTCCTGCCCCAGTTGTTGGCCTATCCTAACCCCATAGATCCTCTCAATGGTGAAGATGCAGCCATGTACCTCCAAAGACCAGAAGAATACAAGCAGAAAATTAAAGAGTACATCCAGAAATACACCACGGAGCAGGCGCTGAAAGAGCAGGAAGAGGGTACCAGGGACAGCTCATCGGAGAGCTCTATATCTGACTTTTCCAAAGATGAGGCCCAGGATATGGAGTTGTAGTAGAAAAAGCACCTGCTTTTCAGAAAGACTATTGTTTCCTAACCATGAGAAGCAGACTATAATATTCATATTTAAACACAGCAATTTTTTTATGACTAAACAAGGTTTTTATGAATAAAAGCATTGATATATATATATTATATATCACCCTTTAGATCTTGATTTCCTGGTCGTTTCTCAACCTGAGGTGCATAGCATATTCCCACATTCCATTTGGTAGCAATATGCGGTCCGAATGCATGCATTCATGAGTCCATGTGGCCAAGTCAGCCTGTGTGCTACTGAACTGTCAAAGGAAATAGCCGCTCTGATAGGTAGACGTAAGAAGAACGGGAAAAAAATCGCTTCTTTTATTGATGGTTCCAAAGAAACAAACCAAACCAACCAGCTCTTGGATGTGAAGATAAAATAGTGCTTTTCTGAAATGGAAAGGAAAAACTTGGGGAGGAAGGGGCCTGCTGTGGGGACATTAGAGCCAGCCACATAAGAATCAGAGCTACTACTTCCTGTGAATCCTAGGTGGCCCTATGTCTTCTGTGGAGTTACAGTATAAAACAGGGAGCTAATTAGAGTATTAAAACTTAAAACCGTTTTTTGACTCTGATTTTCAGTACGTTTTTACATGTCGGTTCCTGCCCTTCACACTACCAGGCCCTGCAGCCACAGTGTTCTGTTGGAGAAACTTGGAGAAGTGCTTTCTGAACCGGTTCTTTTTCTTGGGGTAGAGCTTGTAATCCAGACCTGTTTTTCAAAGGACAGCACAAGAGGAGAAAAGTGACTGGGACGATGCTTCCTCTCATCCAAAACACGTGCAGAGTCACATCCTCATCCTAGTGTTTGGCAGTTTGAGACTGCTACCCTGAACTTAAGAGCTTTAAATATGAGAGTTGTGTTTTCGCGGGGGTGGGGGGGGGGTATTTTTTTGGTGTGTGTGTGGGGGGGGTTTTTTTTTGGTGTGTGTGTGTGTGTGTATTGTGCTTAGAAAGGTTGCAGATTTCATCTTCACCTACCAAGAGGCAGCCGCCTCCTTGGACAAGCCGCTCATGGACCTTTAGACTTGAGAAGACCCGTGTGGTGACTGCAAAGCCCTGGGTACTTGCCTTCATGTTTTGGTTTGGTTTTCCCTTTTTCTGCTGCTCTTGGCAGCAGCCTGATCATCATCTGCTTGTGGGAGTGGGAAATGGGTATTTTAGACCCAACACAGGTTCTAAATTTAAAAAAATAATAATTGGAGCAAATAAAGGTTCTTGTACCCAGAGTGATTCTACATGGGAAAAACAAACCAGCTTTTTTTCAGAGAGTGACCGAATAGGAAGAAGGGATTCAGAAATATGATGTAGTAGAACATGCCCTGCAGGAAGAAAATGTGTTCTCTCCTGTGTATGTTAAGAGGAAATCAGTTTAAAATGCCTGCTAATCAAATGTTGTCTCAGCTAACCGTATGTCCAGGTTGCTGCAGAGTTTCTTTCAAATCTGAGTGTTGCCTGCTGAACTCAGATGGGAGTTTGAAGAAATTTTAGACAGCAGCTCTGTATTCTTTTTTTGCTGCAGCCAATAAGATAATAGCAGAATTTGCCAATCCTAAGACCTTCTGAAGACGATTTTTGAGCATCCCACTGGGATTATTTAATTTTTCTTTTTGACGTGTGTTTTTAGTTTGGAAATGCTGTATTCCACAAGGTTTAAGTCAGTGAGGTTGGAAGATGCCCTATCTTTTTTATTGAAAAAGCACAATCAATCTTTTGTTTGAAAATCTATATAAAGTACAACTTGCTTTTAGCATGATTATTTTCCTAAATAAAAAGACAAAGAATTTACTTACTTTATGTAAAAAAAAAAAATAATAATAATACAGTTAAAGGATTGAAACAGAATATACTGTATCAATTTGGCCTACCAATTGACATTTCTTCTGATCAAAGAAACAATTTCCTGGCACATTCTGCACAGTACTAGGCAAAGTACCCAGGGCAGTGAATACTCAGTAATGTTTGCAGATGTAGGAAGAGATGGATGGAGAACCGAATGACTGGTTGAATTGACAGATTAAAAGAGGTAGTTGAAGTCTAATGAAGGCATTATCAGTGTGAATGAAAGAAAAAGACAAACTAGAGAAACATCACATAGGTAGAATCTTAGGGTTTGATAATTGTTTGGATATAGAGGTCAGCAAAACAAAAATGGCTGATAAAAGAGAGATGGTATCTTGAACATTAATAAAAGAATCAGAAAGCTAATTGAGTTTGGAAGGAAAGCTAATTCAGTTTGGAAAAGACGAGTTTCATTTTAGACTTTAGAGATATTAGGATAGTTTAGATAGATGATGTCAAAGGTGATATATTCAATTATAATTTTACTGATCTGTTCAATAATCATTTATCAAAGACTTGAGGGTTCTAGGCACTGGGTTACAGGCTGAGTATAATAAGTGCCAACATTTGTTGAGTACTTATACAGTAGGCATTTCTTGGTGCTGGGAATGGGGCAGGGAACTTAGATGAAACTTAGATCCTAGTGGGGGTAGACAGAAAATAAAATTAATAAGTAAAATATATGCTATTAGATGGTGATATGTAGAAAAGGAAAGCCAGAAGGTGGGATAGAAAAGGTTAGGGTTAAGTACTTTCAATTTTAAATGAAGTAGTTAGGGAAGGCCTCACCAAGAAAGTGGCATTTGAACAAAGACCAGAGCAGATAAAGAAGCAAAGGTATCAGGGAAACAAATGTTCCAGGCAGAGCAGCAAGCAGCAGTATGAACACTAAATGCAAAGGCCCAAGGGTAGGAACATGCCTGGAGCATGGGAGGAATGGTTAGAAGGTAGGTGTTTCTGCAGCAGGGGTAGAGTAGAAGGATGTAATGTCAAGGTGGTAGCAGAGACCAGCTCCTGTAGGCATTTTAGGCTGCTGAGATGATTTTCGTGGAGGAGTGATATGACCTAACCTAAGTTCTAGTAGTATCAGCCAGGCTTCTGTTGGAAATGATAATTAAAAGGGAAAGAGCAGAAGCAGTTGAGAGGCTAATCCAGCTAATCCAGACAAGAAATGATGGTGGTTGGGACCAGGTTGATAGCAGTGAGGTGGAGAGCATTGGTTGTATTCTGGGTATATGTTGAAAGTAGGGCCAACACAATTTGTAGATTGATTGTGGAGCATGAGAAAAAAGAGTAAAAGATGATTCCAACATTATTTACCCTGAGTAATTCCAAGAATGGTGTTATACCTGGCTGAAGATGAAGAAGGCTGAGAAGGAGTTTGTGAGAAGTAAGGATTGGGAGTAGTTTTAAACATGTTAACTGTGCAATACTCATTAGACAATCCAGTGAAGTTAGAGAAGCCTGTTTTATATGAGTCTGGAGTTCGGGAGAGAATTCTGAGTGGGAAATCCAAATGCGAGAGTTGTCCTGTACAGATGATGTTTGCAGCCTGAAACTGATGATCTCTTGGTGATCTCATCAAGAGAGTCAGTGTAGAGAGAAAAGGAGATCAAAGGCTTAAGCTTAGGTCCAACATTTAGGGTCAGAGAAAACTATAGGAACAAATAAGGGAGTGATCATCAAGGAGTATACTAAAGGGAGACATGTATGCAAATAAGCCTCAAGTGTATTTGTACTATAGAGGGGTTCAAAGGAGAGAGAGAGGTCAAGACTACCGAACAAATGAAGGATCAAGAAAGGTTCGTTAGAGAAAGACTCACTGGAAGTGGGGGGAGGATGAGGATTTTCCAGACAGAGAGAAATGACATTAACCAATCCAGTTCGTTGTGGTAGGGTGGTCAAGAGTAACGACTCTGGAGCCAGAGTGCCTGGATTTGAATCCTGGCTCTGCCAGTTACTAGATGTGTAATGTTGGTTGAATCACTTAACCTCTCTGGGCCTCAGTTTCCTCATCTATAAAATGAGGATAATAATACATACATAGGGTTGTTATGAGGATTAAATAATAAAATATTTGTAAATTTCTTAGACTACATGACACTCTGCATGTTATACATAAGTTTTAGTTAAATCTATAGAGATTTGGAACTTTATGGAACAATTTGGAAATTACAGTGGTTGGGGTGTAGAGTAGGTAGAGAGAGGAAATGGTGTCTAAGGCTGGAAATGCAGACAAGGGCCAGCTCACGGAGACTCTTCATGTTATGGAAAATAATTTGAACTTTTCCAGTAAGCATTTGGTCAGATTCATGTTTTTGAAACACAATTCTAACAGTAGGGTGAAGGTTACCGAGTGATAAGATGAGATGAGAGGCCAAGTGATGAAACTGAGATTGTGTGACAAGAAAGAAGGTGTGAACAAAATGGAGAGTGTTAAGCAGATACAATCGACAAGGCTTGGTCACCAGTTAAATGTGAAGAATGAGGAAAATTACAAAGGCTGAAATGACTTCCAGATTTTCTATTGCATTACTGGTTAGCTGATAATCCATTTTGTTAGAAGGAATATAGGAGGTAGAACATGTGTTAAAGACAGATAATACTCCTATTTTGTGAATGTGGGTTTGAGTACATCTGTGACATTCTGGTTGAGATGTTCTGGCACCATAGGAAATGGAAACATGGAATGCGATCTGATATAAGGCTGTGACTACAGGAGAGGAGTCCAGGCTAGAAATATAGATTCAGAAGTCATCATCATGCTGGTGGTTGGAGGAGTCATAAAATTGGAAGGGATGTCTCAGGAATCCTGTATAGAATGAGAAAGCCAAAGCAGAGTCCTACAAAGCATCAGCACTTGGAAATGAGGTGGCTGAAAAGGAAGCAAAACTGTTACAGAGGTAGAAGCAACACGAAAGAGAAGCCAAGGAAGAGGGAATATCAAGGGAGATAAGGACTGGAAGCCAAATGTTGCATAGAGAAAGGTCAAGGAGGGTGAGGACAAAAGAGATTTCGTTAAGTGTGGCAATTATGAGATCACTGGCTCTCCACCAGAAAGGCGAAGTGCTGAAAGCAGGAAGCTAATTACAATGGGTGTAGCAGACACAGTTGGTGCCCCTCCCATATTTCTTTGGCATTCACTATTTCCAACCTTGCCAATGGCATCCTACAGAAAGCACCTGCTACTTTCTATGAGGGCTTTGTCATCAGCAAGAGCCCAGCCTTGTCTTGGAGCTGGCCAGATGTGCCAGAGTTAATGGCTGCAGGAGCAGCCCACAGTGATTTAAGATGTGAGTACCCCAGTATTCCTCTCCCAAGGAGAAATCACTCTTCAGATTTGTTTGACAGTTTCCCAAAGATGCCAAATGAGATTCAAATCCCAGTCTCCCACAATAGTAATCTAAGATAAACACATTCTATATTGACTTTTTTCCTACCTTGACTCACTTTCCTTTCTCCTAGCAAAGATTATCCCCCAAGTAAACTGCTCCCATCAAATTCTTATCAGAGCGTGTTTCTGGGTGTGCCCAACTTATGACAAAAGGTTATAAAAGTTTTAAGAGGTGAAGATAAAAAAGAATTAAAATATTTAAACTTGGTTATGAATGAAAAAAGATAGGACCATAACTAGAAGATGACATAGAATCACGAGACATTTTTTCTTTATGTCATGGGAGAAGCAAGTTTATATACTGAGCGGACAGAAACTATAGGAAGGGGTGAGGGTGTAGGAGAAGTGATGCTCTAGTGGAGCATGGTCCCTGGGATAGGTGGAAGGCATGTGGTACCACAAGGAGGGGTTAAGAGTTGAGGAAGAGGGATGCCTTTTTATTAAGTAAACAGAAAGGAGAGAAGATGGTTACAGTAACAAGTAAGAGCACAGTTGTGTATGAATGTTCTGGTGGCCAGAGAGCAGAAAGGGAGCTCATTTACTAACTGTGAGGTAGATTGGGGTGACAGTGTAAGTCTATTGGGCAAGAAAAATGATAGAAGATGCAGGCAAATAGAATGCCCTCATTTAGGTGGCAAATAGAAGACGAGAAAAATTTAGAGAGATAAATCAAGAAACAAGTAACATAGTAACATGGAAACCAAGAAGGAAAAATTTTAAAGGAGAGAGTGATCAAAGTGTCCAATTTCTTGAATGAACATCAGTAATTTTGGAAAAGAATTTCTTTTGGGTCCATGGAATAGAAGCTATCTACTTAAAGGATAAAAGAGTAAGCGGATAGGGAAAAAAAATAGAGAATGGCAAACAGATGAGACCTTGACCAGAAGATAATTCCAAAATATGGATTCACATCAAGTTAATGGAGAAAGAACCCAATGGTATTTCCATGCATACCAAGATACCTGTATTTAGAACTCTTTAGATATTTGGTTGCATTATATGAAATTTCCCAGATTTGACCATTTTTAACCTACAAAAATGTCAATTTCATATGATTTGACCTAATATTCACAAATATCATAGGGAAATTTTTTACTGACCAGAACTCAGATTCTTAGGTTCCCTGTGTCAACTATCAACTAAGTCTATTGTGAATACTTAAGGCATAAAACTGCCAAGAATACTATGCAGTTAGCAAAACACCATGGATGAAAGATAGTGAATGAAAGATAATGAAAATTGACAAATTATTGATTTTATTTTTAGTATTTGTTAATAACATATGTTCTACCAAAAGAATAATAATTTCTATAACAGAGTATTAGAAATAAGCAGCTTTCTGAGGCCGAGCACAGTGGCTCACGCCTGTAATCCCAGCACTTTGGGAGGCTGAGGTGGGCAAATCACGAGGTCAGGAGTTTGAGACCAGCCTGGCCAAAACGGTGAAACCCTGTCTCTACTAAAAATACAAAAATTAGCCTGGCGTGGTGGCGCGTGTCTGTAATCCCAGCTACTTGGGAGGCTGAGGCAGGAGAATTGCTTGAACCCAGGGGGCAGAGGTTGCATTTAGCTGAGATCACGCCATTGCACTCCAGCCTGGGTGACAAGAGCAAGACTCTCTCTCTCTCTCAAAAAAAAAAAAAAAGAAATAAGAAATAAGAAATAAGCAGCTTTCTTTTTTCTGGATTTTCACAAATACTCTAAAAATAAAATAAAAATATCTCTCTAGAACCTTTAGTTTTTAATTGGAGAATTTTTGAGAGTGAAATGGCTAGAGCAGAATGAAACTCTGAATGGTGATTTATCAGCTAGAGACATCATTGAGTGAAAACAACTTTAGTGAACTTGATTATTTTGGTTCTTACTCCTTGCTTCAGTAATTTTTTTCTCAAATTTAATTGCTTCGAGGCCAATGATGAAGGGTGTGTAAAATGCAATTTAACAGATGAAAAATACCTCCTGTGATTTGATATTAAGCAGGAGTGATGGAGTGTAACATTAAAAAATGGTATCAGAGGTGCATATTCTGCATTTCACCTTTATTACGTCAATTTCAGGTTCTGGAACACTGGAATTTCACACATGCTTAATTAAATTACATCAGTACCAATACTTGGAGCTCAGAAGAATTTTTGGAGAAAGTTTCAGAGACAAGGAACATGGGGACAATAATTATTTGCCCTTCTGGCTACTGGACCAGAGTATGCTCTTGAAGTCTCTTCCATCTGTAAATATCTGAATGGAATTCAAAGCTAATAAGATAACAGACATAACTGAGTGTATGTTGGGCCCATGAGAGGGAGAGTGGTCTATATTAACTCCTCAATCCTCCAACCCCTATAAGTGGTTTCAGATGCATGTATTTTTTTGAAGATGTAAAAAGACAAAAATCAGAGAGATTACTAAAATATATTTTTTAAATTAAGAAATTAAATTCTTTTTTTCAAAGACAATGTAATAGCTCTAATTATATCTATTTTATAGATAAGAAACTAAGGCTTTAGGATATTAATACTTAAGCTGTATACTGATGGTCATACAGTTGATACCCAAGCTCTATCTCTAACACATCATGCACTAAATTCCTGTTCTCAATGTTCCTTAAAATGGATTATGTGACTCTGCAGGAATTATATATTTTCTTCCCTTGTCCCTGTTTATGTTAACAATCATGCTTTCTTTCTTTTTTTTGTCCCTTCTACAGCTCATGCCCTGGCTTCTTTTCTCCACTTTATCGTTCCCTAGAGGCATTCTAGGATAAAAATGAAAGACGTTAAAGGAGTCTGAAGTCCTCTTAGGGGGGACATTAGTTATACTGTGGTTCCAGGAGAGCCTTGAGGGTGTAATGGCATACTGGTTAGCTCAGGTGCTGTAAAAAGTATCTGGGGCCACAGAAATTGCCACCTTCATACATTTTGAGGTAGACCAGTTATTTGCTGGGGCTATAAGGCTGTGATCTTAGAACATTTGAACATGTAATAAAGTTCTTGGGGACTAAAGAAAACCGGCATTTTCTGAAGATTGAAACTGGATCCCTTCCTTACACAATATACAAAAATTAACTCGAGATGGATTAAAGACTTAAACGTAAAACCCAAAACTATAAAATCCCTGAAGACAGCCTAGGCAATATCATTCAGGACATTGGCATAGGCAAAGATTTCATGATGAAGATGCCAAAAGCAATTGTGACAAAGGCAAGAATTGACAAACTAAAGAGCTTCTGCGTAGCAAAGGAAACTATAAACAGAGTAAACAGACAACCTATAGAATGGGAGAAAATTTTTGCAAACTATGCATCTGACAAAGGTCTAATATCCTGCATCTATAAGGAACTTAAACAAATTTACAAGGAAGAAACAACCCCATTAAAAAGTGGGCAAAGGACATGAACAGACACTTCTCAAAAGAAGACATTCATGCAGCCAAAGTCATATGGAAAAAAGGACAACATCACTGATTATTAGAGAAATGCAAATCAAAACCACAATGAGATACCATCTCACACCAGTTAGAATGGCTATTATTAAAAAGTAAAAAAATAACAGATGCTGGAGAGGTTGTACAGAAAAAGGAACACTTACACATTGTTGGTGGGAGTGTAAACTAGTTTAACCATTGTGGAAGACAGTGTGGTGATTCCTCAAAGAGTTAAAGACAGAAATACCATTTGACTCAGCAAGCCTATTACTGGGTATATACTCCAAGAAATATAAATCATTCTATTATAAAGACACATGCATGTATATGTTTATTTGTAGCACAATTCACAATAGCAAAGACATGGAATCAACCTAAATGCCCATCAGTTATAGACTGGATAAAGAAAATGTGGTACATACACACCATGGAATACTATGCAGCCATAAAAAAGAGCTAGATCATGTCCTTTGCAAGAACATGATGGAGCTGGAGGTCATTATCCTTAGCAAACTAACAGAGGAGCAGAGAACCAAATACTGCATGTTCTCACTTAAAAGTGGGAGCTAAATGGTGAGAATACATGGGCACTTGGAGAGGAACAACACACACAGGGGACTATCGGAGGGTAGAGGTTGGGAGGAGGGAGAGGATCAGGAAAAATAATTAATGGGTACTAGGCTTAATACCTAGGCGATGAAATAATCTGCACAACAAACCCCCATGATACATTTTTACCTATATAACAAACCTGCACATGCATCCTTGAACTTAAAAGTTTAAAAAATGAATCTGTCACCCCTGGGAATTTCATAAAAATATGGTGCCACATTTTTACATGAGTATAAATTAGGATAACATCATGGTATGTTTGCAAGTTTGAAATGAGTATGTTGCAAATGTTTATTAACATATTGAATAAGAAAATATAATAAAATTAAGTACAGATTTTTAAAAATTGACATTTTATGTTTGTTCAGTTTATTTACATTGTTAACAAATAAGTTAGGTAATTCTATTCATAATAGTAGTTACCATTCACTGAATTATATATGGTGCTGATATATATACATGCATGCATACTTATATATGTATTATTGTCCCATCAAAATGGTCGTTATGATTTCCCTTTAAGGTGAAGAAACAGAAAGTGACTTGCTCAAGATTATACAACTAGGTGTGTGGCAGAGCTAAAATTCCAGCTCAGTTCCTTCCGGCTCCAAATTTCACATTTTTTCCACCCTACCATGCAGCCTCCCAAAGGAGCATTCAGGTTGCTTTCCCAGTTACATATCACCTCCCAGTTGTCAGTGTAACCTTGCAAAGTGAGAGGTCAAAAGGAATTACGTGGCCCCCTCAACATTCACTTCCTTAATTGCTGAGCTCAGCTAACTCTAGCTGTACTCACCTGAAAGGTAAAAATCAACAAAAACTGCTAAGTTATATTTCCTTTACCTAATAAAATAATTTAAGAGGACTCTTATAAGCCAGGATTAATAACGTAGGAAGAATTTTATCAAATCATTTGCTACTTTTTCCTGAGACACTTAAGATATTTCAGTTCTTCACTCATCATCCTATTTGCTTTTAAAAAAATAACATTTCTAATGAAAGCATAACACTAGGCAGAGAAGAATGCACAAATCTGTTATATACAGCTTGGTGAAATATCACAATGTGAATCTACCCATATTGCCATCTTCCAGATAGAAAACTTTGCCAGCACTCCAAAGCCCCCTCATCCCCTTCCCAATCATTCCTCCTTCTCTCCTTCCCAAAAGAAACCATTAACTTGGCTCCCACTACCACAGATTAGTTTTATCTATTTTTGATTTTTTAACATATAGGATCTTCAGGTTTTAATTTTTCTGTGTGTAGATTCCTTCACTCAACATGTTTATCGTTGAGTGGTTGCAAATGGTCATATTTGTTTCATTATCATTGCTTTCATTATTCCATTGAATGAATATGTCACACTAAAAGCCCCATTTTACTGTTGATGAACACTTGAGTTACAACCATGTACCACATAACAGTTTTGGTCAATCATGGGCCACATATTTGACAGTGGTCCCATAAGCTCATAACTCCATATTTTTATTGTACCTTTTCCATGTTTAGATATGGTTAGCTATTACAAATACTTACCATTGTGTTTCAGTTGTGTTCAGTATTTACAACAGCAATGTGTTGTATAGGTTTGTAGTCTAGAAGCAATATACTATGCCATGCAGCCTCGGTATGTAGTAGGCTATATCATCTAGATTTGTATAAGTACTCTCAGTGATGTTTGCACAATGATGAAATCACCTAACGACGAACTTCTCAGACTATATCCCTGTTGTTAAGCAATGACGATGTTGCTTGAGTATATTTCCATTTTGGGGTTATAACAAAAAACCCTACCATGAACATTTTTGTACATGACTCTTGGTGTAAATATTCAACTTTAATAGATAATACCAAAGAGATTTCCAAAGTGGTTTATCAATTTACTATCCACCAGCCAGGCTTGGTAAGTAGGAATGGTTCCTACTCTACATTTTAGTCCTGAGTTTTAATGTAAGTTATTAACAAGGTTGGGGGCTAGAAAGAGGTATCACATCTGTCCTAGTGCAACATAGAGATGTTAAATATTGCACCCAGGATGACTCAGCGATCTCTCTGGACTTGGTCATTGTGAGCTGCCTCCTAGCTGCAAGTGTTAGCACACTAGCTAGGAGTGTTTTCTGGACCATTCTGTGAACAGTGGCAGTTTAATAACATGTGGCAGGGCACCAGTGGATGATCTCATGTGTGAGTAACCACTCTGAAATCACCTTAGTATTGCTGTTGATTCATCGGTGTGAAAAAAGCAATATCAAAGTAAGCCATGTAGGAGGGTGGAGGCACCTAGACGTTGTGCTGTTATCACAGCAAAAGTTAACACTAGGGTCTTCCTAAGGCATCTGCCTATCATAGTGTTTGTTTGAAGTTCTGAAGACACCAGAACTTTTACAATGCCACTCTAGAAGGTAGCATTAGTGGAACTGACAACAGGTGCCTGAACACCTGACCCATTTCTTTTAAGTAAGTCAAAACCTTTTATAAAGTTTGTTATGAATTCTAATACTCTTAGAAGTTCTTGTAAATGTTACCTACTTTTTACTTAGTTAAGAGAAGATCTGCAAGAGATGACAACTTCCCTTAGATAATTCTGGATACCAAGGACAATCCAGAAATAAGTGTGCAAAATGAAATAGATTTGTAATCTTTGGAAAGTTCAGTGAGTATGTGGAGACGGTGTGGAGAAACAGAGACTAAGATTCTTGAATTTATTTGCTCTCTCTCTCTCTCTCTCTCTCTCTCTGTGTGTGTGTATATATATATAGGTGTGTGTATATATATATATATATATATATATATATATATATATATATATATATATAAAGGAGAAACTGAACAAGCAAGTTAAACTTATAGCTTTCAAAGAGAACCTCCACTCCTTGCTTCAGGAAACTTAAGTAGGTGAAGAGGAAAATGTGATATAATCTCTGAATAATAAAAAGAGGATCTAATAGAGGCTTAATCTCCAAGGTATTTCCAGTATCCAAAGTTTCTTTGACTACAAATCCATTCTCAAACTCTTAGTTGTCTTTTTTTTTTTTTCTAATTACATGAATGGTCACTAATTCCTAATAGAGTATCAATACTCTTAATTACCTTTTCTTCAGCCTACTGAGGCATGTACTGTCATCATTAAGTATTTGGTCATAGTAAAAAAAAAACCCTCAGTAACCTAAAAATGAGGTTTGCGTGTTCAAGTCTACTGATGCTGTCTTCTTGCCATTTGCTTTTGGTGGCATCAGTTGACTTAGTTGATTTATACAATACATTTGCTATCAACCCTGGCAATTTTTAAAAAAGAAATGATAGAAATCCCCTGTGGGGTGGAAAAAAAGAAGTAAAGCAAGAATGGGGTTAAGGGAGAAGGAGAGAGAATGAGAGAATGGGAGTGCTCTTATCCATTTCACAGGCATAAGTCAATGCATGTGTCACTGGTGAATTTGAAGAGTGAGCCTTCTCACTGTGCAAGCAGAAAGCAGTTTCCTCCCTTCCATGAGCTTCTGTACAGGTGGGAAAATCTCCACTGGGGAATAGAGGAGTCTTCTCTACTATCTTCTTGTCTGCATTAGGCTACCTTTGGCTATTCTAGTGTGAGAGAAGAGGAAAAATAAAGGGTAGAAAAAGTCTTATTTGACTGGAATAGTTTTACCTGAAATTTATTTGTATCAGAATAAATTTAAATATAAATGAGTATTTTTTGTACTTAGTGAGTTTTTAAAGCTATGTTTTTCTATCGGATGTTATCGTGGACTCTTTGGAGAACTTCCTCTCCTCATCACTGAGGATTTCTCACTTGTAGTTTCCTTGACTCAGAGAACTCTTATTTCTCTGCTTATAACTCTTCCTTCAGCAAGATACTGCTGGCAGAAGGGGGCTGAGCAACAATAATAAAAGTTGTATTACAAAATTTGCTCAGGAATCTGAGTCTGAAAACAGTCAATGGCACATATTTGAAATTTTAACCATTATAGTTTATCCTTTTGTTAGATGACAAATAAGTAAAATGCATAATAAGGTTTTTTAGTTGTTTTCATCAATGTTGTTTTCTTTTTGGTTGTTAAAGAAATGCTCTGTGAAGTTATTATAGACATATCTGAAAGAAACCATTTACTACACTTCCCACATGTAAGTATATAAATTAGGTAGGTTTAATGCATCTAGGTGAAAAATCGGTGCCTAATTGCTTACTTCTTGAGAAATAGAACACTTGGCTTTGGAATAGCAGTTTAATACAATACCAAGACCACCTACTGAAGTAGCTAGTGACTTTGCTGTACTTTTCCCCCTTCTCACTTTCTTTGAAAATCAGTTTTTGCTCTGTGTCTTCTGACTACTTTCTCTCTACCTCCACAAATGGCTTCCGTCACCTGCTCACCAATGTCATTATACATAGGTGAGTGCTACTGTCTGAAATGCCATCGTTAGGGATTCAGCCTTCAGTTTAAACATTGCTCCTTCTTCTCCTTTTAAAATGCAAATACCTCCCAGATAGTCAAATATGAATTAAATCACTTCATACATTAGAATGAATTAGTCTTCAGGTTCCTATGTCCCCAAGGACAGCATAAGAGACTTGGAATTTAAAGGAAAGGATTATTGAAAAGGGAAAAGACAGGAGGTACATTAGGTTGTTGTTTTTCATGTTTCATTCTAGTATAACATGTTGTCCACTGGAATTAAGACATAACCTGGTGACCAGGCGTGGTGGCTCACACCTGTAATCCCAGCACTTTGGGAGGCTGAGGCGGGTGGATCACTAGGTTAGGAGTTCAAGACTGGCCTGGCCAATATGGTGAAACCCCGTCTCCACTAAAAATACAAAAATTAGCCAGGCATGGTGGTGCATGCCTGTAGTCCCAGCTACTCAGGAGGCTGAGACAGAAGAATCACTTGAATCTGGAAGGTGGAGGTTGCAGTGAGCCGAGATGATGCCACTGCACTCCAGCCTGGGTGACAGAGCGAGACTCTGTCTAAAAAAAAAAAAAAAAGGTATAACCTGGCCACAAAGCCAGGGGATGCTTACCAAAGGCCTGATCTCTACTGGGGCAGAGCCTATATCCTGATGCACCTTTAGAAGGAAAAGAAAATCTCTCTGTACTCGTAACTGCTTGGAAGAAGATGCATTTGATTCCTATTCCCCTCCACTGGTCACCTTTCTCTTCTTGTCATCAACAGAAAAGTTCAGGTGTCTAAGTAACCTGGTTTCTTCCTCCCTGCATCAGTTTTGTTCCCTATTACTCAAAGCTCAGGGTGCAGATCTCAGAAGTAAACCAACTCAGTCCAATATTCTACCTGTCATTCGAAAGACCACCAGGATAGCTACATAGTAGAAAGGAGAGCATTATTGACAATATCAGTTTGCAAACCAGAGTCAGTGTCCGCTGTGGACCAAAGGTGCTCTCTCTTTGAAAAGGGAAAAAGCAGGTTGAATTTTATGCCTCACAGGGCCTGTATCATGCAATAGAGTCAGACATATATAGGTGCCTCAGAATACAGGCTCTGCCCCACAAAAATCTGGCCCTGGGTAAGTGTCCTCTGGCCCTGTGGTCAGGTTATATCTTGATTCCAATGGGTAACATGTACCTGGATGAAACATGAAGAAAAACATCTTAATGCACCTCCTCTCTTTTCTCTTTTTAATAGTCCCTCCCTTTAAACTCCAAGTCTCTTATGCTTCTGCAGGTTTGGGGAAAAGCTATCCATATCTCAGAGGAGTTAGGTGCATGAGCAATGGGTAAAAATGTATGGAACATATATCCCATGTTCACTTTGGGGCGGGATTTTAGCATTAAAATGGGGTGGACTTTGCTCTTTACATCAAAAGGTGAACTATAGGACACAAAGACAGTTTGTGCATCTCTATTAAACTGGCTGAAACTGGCTTGAGGCCTGCAGTCGCTTATCAGGAAAGAATGTAAGGTGTGTCCTCTGTTCAATTAAAGTTGTGGTGGTCTGGGATGTAAATCAGAGTTAAGAAGGTTCTGATAATTTGCCTGATTCCTCTTGTTGTTAAGGAGTTTAGCAAAGGTGTGGTTTTCCTTAAAGCTGTAGGAATTTAGGACAATACCATGCTAGCTGAGCCCTGAACCCTCAACCTGTAGGGAACTTGTTTCAACTTTAAGGTCTGGTTTAATTGATAAAGGGGCATCTACTTTGGCCTCCCAGGTCATATATACAAAGCTTTCTCTAAATACTGTACCTTTGGTCTGCATTCACTTTCCGAACCTCAATAGAACATGTCCAGAAGACCTTTATTAAGAGGTAAGTTTTCATGCATAGATGTCCTCCATGAACAACTGATATGTATGTTCTTCGAGGCCATTACTAGTTATGTACTATATTTCTTCATTCCCGCAGAACATTGTCTTGGTGATAGAATCAAATACTTTGGAGGCTGAAGATTATCATCAGCATTTTCCTAGAGTATTCTTCAGAGCATTCTAAGTGCTGCTAAAAGGATGGCAGCAAACAAGGCAGGTTTTGCAATCAATCCATTTGTAGAGATGTTGCTCTTAAAATGTTAAATGTATTTTTTAAGTTCAAGATTTCCTGGCATTGTTAGTATGCTCATACAAGCTGGAAATATCCAATGGGAATCATGGTATGCCCAATTTCCCTAATTTGTTTGATAATGGAGTCTGTATTCAAAAAACTCCTCACAGGAAATTTTAATTTCTTCTGTTCTTCTAAGGTTACAGATGAGAAAACAAAAATTTAAATTTAAACAGGTATTTTGTAGCAAAGTCTAGAACAAGGGTTTCCTATATCCTAGGTCACTGCTTTTACTTTTTATGTATTTAGAGCAGATATTTAATAAAATTATTGTTTTACAAATGATACTAATATTTATTTGCCTGACTATTTTAACGTTATGGCCTAGAATTATAATAGAGACAAAAGTTGCTATGTCCAATTTGATTCTTAAAAAATCTTTTAAGATTGTTTTCAATTCAAGTGAAGACAAAGGGGAATTGAGGACACAAAGATAATAGTTTTTTAAAAAATACTTTAAAAAAAGATATATACTTTTTAAGATTTTCTAAGAGACCAAAAAGGCTCTGCTACAGTTTAAATAGTGAGCAAATTATGCATGTTTGTGTAAGTATATGACATATTATTATGACATATGGTTTTCTTGAGGAACAAGGGGGGAGGCCAAGCAATGGCACAATTACTTGCAGTGTTACATTTCTCATGTCTATTTATAATCCATACTCTAGTATTGTTTGAACTATGAATTAATAACTATTATTTTCATAGGCCAAATACGAATTGAAAGAAATAATTTAATTTTTAGGTTAATCCCCTTATTTTTTCATTTTCATTTTTCTTCCCATAAAGTATTTTAAAGAATACTTAAATGATTATGGAATATATTTGGTGTTCTTGATAAACCTATAATTTGCAATTCTATTTTTGCTTACTCAGAAAATCTTTTGTCAAAGGAATCTTGATTGAGTTTTAGCTGAATTAGAAGACATCTAAAATTCCTTTAAACTCTAGGATTTTGATTCTCCTTTAGTCCTAAATCCAAGCCACTAATCTATTTTCAGAAATGAAACTATACAACTTTGAAGAATTTACCAATATGTCTGCTCAAGTGACAACTCATTGTTCTGAGATCACGTCTGACCAAGAATTACTGCCAAATACGCAATTAAAAACTGTATGTCTTGGGTGTGGGCAGCAAAGATCAAGTTCTACTTGTTCATGTGGATTAGTGACTTGGACTAGTTAGGTTCCCTCAGAGTACTGAGGCCCTAAGGCTTTGGGTGTGAAAGAACTAGAGCCTTGCCTTGGAAAACCAGAAGCAGCTGACACCTGCTTAGTAAAGCACGAAGCAAAAGGAAACCCAATACTTTTTTGTGTGTGCAGGATTTACCATCACTATTCACGTTGATTGGAAAATGACAAATAAATGTTTTGTTGAACTCTTATGTGATTTTTATTTTGTTTCTAGTTATGATTTGTATCACCACATGCTTTCAAATGGAATATTAGGCAGTTTTGATTTTCTGTTTCATATTGGGGTCAAACTTTTGTTTCTGTGACTATATCTCAGAGATGATTATGTCAACAAAATGCAAAAATGCAATAAAATGGAAAGGTATTTAATTTGAGAAAAAAGCTTTTTTTCCCATATAGTACATAACATAGAGTAACTTTCATATGCTAAATACATTCAAAGGGACACCAGTAAATGGCATTCTTTCCTGTTTATAGAAGCTGGTCCTATTCTGTCTTGACACTTATATGATGTCCTGATAACATAGCTGCAGAAGTGATAATATTTTACAACATGCAACAAATAAAACTTGTCATATAGAACCATAGTCTTCTCCCCAGGAACCACGTACAGTTTCTACTGAAAGACAAGGGCATCAGAGTATGTGTGGCAAGAAATCATTCAGCTTTGCTTCTGAGACTCTTCTCTCAATTCTCAGAAAAGGAACTCAGCAGGATTTTCTGACCCTTACTGAACTAGCCGGGTGGTGACAATTCCAGTTTTGACTTGTATTCTGGAAATTTTTATTATGCAAGTTGTATATCTCAGTATGCATCACCACCTCAGGCATAGCCTGGTGTCCGTTTACTACCCGGTTTATAGCGATGAACTAACTCTAAAGCACAGGCAGAGCTGAGTAGTGACATGAGTTGCTTCATGATTTCTAACCCAGTATTTCTCAGACAAGATCTTTCTAGCTGAGCAAAGTTTACCTCAGTTAACTTTTTGACATTTGGCACATTAATTTTAAACAAGATATATTTATTTGGTACACTCACCTGGTTTCTGTTAAAGACTCGCTTAATATTATAAAGATAAAACAATGGCCTTGACCAATGCCATGGAGTTTTCCCTCTATGTTTTCTCCTAGTAGTTTTATGTTTTCTCCTAGTAGTTTCATGTTTTACATTTAAGTATTTAATCCATTTTTAGATGATTTTTGTATATGGTAAGAGATAAGGGCCTAATTTCATTCTTCTACATGTTGATCTCCAGTTTTCTCAATACCATTTATTAAAGAGACTGTTCTTTCCTCATTGTGTGTTCTTGGCACCTTTGTAAAAAAAAAAAAAAAAAAATTAAGTTGACTGCAGATGTGGTTTTCCCTGGGCTATTCTATCCCATTGGTTGATGCGTTTCTTTTTGTGCCAGCACCATGCTTTTTCAATTACTATAGCTTTGTAGTACATTTTTGAAATCAGGTAGTGTGATGCCTCCAGCCTTTGCTATTTGTTTTTCTTGGCTAATTGGGGTCCTTTGTGGTTCTATATGAATTTTAGAATTGTTTTCTCCATTTCTGTGAAGAATGACCTTGGAATTTTGGTAGGAATTGCATTGAATCTACAGATCACTTTGGGTGGTATGGACATTTTCACAATATTAGTTCCTCCAGTGCAAGAATACAGGATATCTTTCCATTTATTTGTGCCATTTTAAATTTCTTTTATCAATGTTTTACAGTTTTCAGCATATAGATTTTTTATCTCCTTGGTTAAATTTACTCCTAAGTATTTTATTTTTATACCTACATCATAACATCACATTTTACCCCATAAATATATACAATTATTATTTGTCAATAAAAAAATTAAAAGAATAAAATAAAAACATGATTGTGTAAATGGAAAACAACAAATGTAGACTTTAAATTAACCAGTGATGATCTAAAAACCTTTCATTTATTTCTTAAATAAAATAATGTGGTTTCTTAAGAAAAAAGGCATAATGAATTATGGGGAACCTGAGGGCTTCTGTTTACCTGATATTTCAAAGACCTTCAATTTTTTAAAATTTTCAATATGTGATGAACTAAAACAGAATCAATTTTTAATAAATGTTTGTGAAATTTAAAAAACCCACAATGGATGTAGTTTTTAGCTTGTATAGACTTAGATACCAGACTTCTTGAAGATAAGAACTAGATTCTATCCACATAATTACTAGGTGTTCTAAAAATATGGGGTGATTTGAGACAAAGGAATGTGTCTGGTATGGACATCTCTGCTGGCCATTCTTTTGTGAGCAAGCAAAGCTGTCCCTGCATGACATATTTGTATGATACCTGAGTAGGGTAATACTGAACATGGCGCTACCACATTTTTTCCCTCCTGCAAGGCACCTTCAGGTCTTACAATAGATGATGCTGTAGTACCATGTTAATGCCTTCCTTGAAATTTAGACTTTGGAGCTACCTGATAGGTGAGAATTAAATATAACAACTCTTCATCCTATTTGAAATAGTTGGAAGGAAGGAGGGCATTGCTCAAAATCATACCAGGACAACAAGCATAGCTCTGACTTGCCCCAGTCAAACCAGGATATGGTCATCCTATCTTGCACTCTGAAAAAAATCGTGTGTTCAGATAACCTACCAGGGCAGAAAGGCCATTAGGAGCTCCATCTCTGCTCTGATGGTGAAACTAGAATTAATGCTATCTGATGTGCTGGGCAGGGAGAAGGAGGTAAGGATGCAGGGCACATGATTATTTTTGTGTTATTTTAGGATTTGACCATCAGCTTAGGTCTTGTTCCTTCTTCCTGATGGCTAAACTCTGTCTACCATTCTCTTGCCAGGATCCAAATCCAGATCAGAAGAACCCATCAGAATCATGACAGTACCATCCCCTGGAATTCAAGCCTGACCTCCACAGCTCTAGCTGCCGTGTCCCACCCACAGAGCAGATCCTCTAGGTATTTTGTTGTCTTCAGATCCAGGTACATACACTTTAGGCCCAGCGTGTGGCAGTTATGAAATAAAGCAAATGTTTCAAAGACAAGTCAGACTTATTCCTCATTCAGATGGGTAAAACTATATTGAGTGTGAAGAAGAAAGGGCAGGGTAGGAAGAAAACCAGAGGAGAATTAAGAAGTGATTTCAATTTTTGAAGTCAATTTTATTGATTTCTTGACTGACTCAATAAAGGAGTGAAGTTGAATTGGTTGATATCTAAATAAAAATATCCATTCTAGGACAACAGATGTGTGTAGCTCAGGTGAGCTTTTAATCCAAAGTAAGAAGTAGGGATTTCAGACCCACATTCAGAATCCTGAGGCCATGGTAGTTTTGAGATCTCCTCTTTGTAGCCCTGAGTGTTGACAAGCCCAGCTTGGTGTTCAATATTTGGCAACTCAGTAGGATGTCTGAGACCCTGCAGAATTAACTATGTATTTCAAGGTTGTAAGATAGGAGACAAGATTTGAGATTTGTGGCACAAATATTTTTTATCCCACCTTCCAAAATAGGCTGGAAGTAAGATCACAGTTGCTCTTCTTAATGGTAACAACTACTTAGCCTCCCAGTTCCCGCATGAAATTACAATATTTAACCAATGTAGAAAACAGAATATACTTTACTGGAAACTTCCCCTACATACTGTTGAATCTGTATCTTTAAGTTTGGTCAATGCAGAAGTGAGCAGGTGAACAAAAAGTGTCCTGTGGTGTCTATGGGTGGGTGAACAAAAGGTACCCATCCTGCTGCTTGGGTCCTTCAGAGAAGTGCACAAAATCAGCTGCATGCTGGTTTTACAGCTCTGTGCATGACTCTGAGGAGTTATAGGGTAGCTCTTCCCACTGCCAAAGTAGGAGGACCAGAGATAGGATCAAGAAAGCATCTTCAGTCGGATTTAGGTAGGTTATTAAGTGCTGATGATTCTTCTTCAAAGCTAATCCAGAAAAATGGAAGCAGTGGGCCTGACTCACTGAGATAAATAGCTTAGAGGCAAGCAAATCCACGGTTTTGTAGATTTGACTTGAAAAAAATCATTAATTCTTATAGATAAATATCAAAATAGAGAAATGATCAAATGGTGTGAGAATCTAGGAATACTGCATGGGAGGTAGGAATGAAAAATAGAAAAGGGTAATCTACAAGAAAAGAATTTGGCCTCTTCCAGTGGGAACATATCATTTGGAGGTTTTTTATGTTTGAAATTTTTTAAGGACAGAGATGCTCATTATTAATGTGTCTGTGTGTTTGGGCTTGGCCAGCCTAAGATTTTGTATATAAGGAGGCTTAGGAGTAATAATGTGATTAGAAGCGGGCTTGAAGAGGTTGGGGTTGCTAAGGAATTTGTTTTGAAGTTGCATTGCCTGGTAAACATAGTGCTTTTACTAAGATTTTGTGTTTATTGGGGTGGCTTTGCTAGCATCCTCCCGCTCCATTTCAAGCTGTGCCCTTTGGAGTTGTGCTTTTAAACCTTTGAACACTGCTCATATGAGGTATAAAAGGGTTATCCCAAACTATGTGTATCTGTTGCCATGAGCTATTGACAAATGTAATATACAATAATACACATGTCTGGAAAGTAGGAAGATCTATATAAGTAAGGGAAATGTATGAATTTTATACTGAAAGCTTTTATTATAAAATGAGCCATTATGTCCTCTGCCTTATTTTGAAGCCATTCACTTTTTATTACTGTAACTTTTGCAATGCCTCATTTTCCCTCCAGCTATCCTCTAGTCCAGTTAACTCAGCAAGCACAAGTTTATGATGGATCATTTAAGGAGCTGGAAAATTTTAATGGTTAGCCGTGGCAGTTATGATGTGTAAGACTCTAACTGCTTTAAGTAAAAGGACAAAGTTCAAAATATAACTCCATCTTTATAAGTGCTTTAATTAAAACCAATCTTATTATGAAAAACAAACCAAAAAAACCTTGCATTGATGGATGGTAGCTATTTGCAATTTCTTGTTTTGGCTGGATGCATTGAAGGATTAAAAATTTAATATTTAAGGTGTGCCTTAAACTGCAAGGTTCCCTGATTTTATTCTCATCTAGGAATTTTTGCTGCTTTAGGTAGCTGACAACATGCAGATCCATACTCTATCTCTTAAGATTTTCTTTTGGAACTGATTCCAGGTGAAATTTTCTTAGGGAAGATGTGGCTAGAAGCTGGGTATGCAAAGCATGTCTATAGCAAGGAAAGCCAGATGAGTGAGGGTCAAAAATCTAGTTATAAAATTTAAGGGAGACACTAGGTTTAAATAAACATATTCTCCAACCTTAGTGATTAATTTTTTTCCTTTTTTGATCATCTGGCCATGTACTTAGAGAAGACTCAGTTCCCTGAAAATGGATTACTTTGAATATTCTCTGCAATAATTTAATGTAGTACTCTCCATTTCTCTACCAACTGCCTGTTGCTAAGCCACCAACACTTAACTGTCCTTAGGAAGAACTAATATACAATAATCAACTTTGTGGAAGGCACATCTATGTACATAAACTTTAACTGGGAAGTTGTCTTTAAATAAAAATGACACAATATGCTCCAAAGCTGTGTGTGATTACAGAATGAGAAGCTGAAAAACTACTCACGTTTATCAAGTAAAGCCTCAGAGAAATATTACGGTTTCACCACTAGGTGGAAATAGAGTAATTTTGAGTACGCTTTTTCAAGGCCATGAACTTCTACTGCAGGAGTACTTCATAAACTGAAGGGGACCTAAAAAATCATTTAGTATTAATTCTCATCTCCTTAAATTCATAGATGATAAAACTAAGCTTCAGAGATATTAAGTAAAATTGCATCTGTCTTGAAAAAGGCAGTTTTCTAAGCTACTGGAAGAAGAGTTGCTAGTAATTCTTGATTCTTCAGTCATTTTCATCCATAAGAATAATGTGTTATTATCTTCCAGTGTGAAGGAAAACATGATATAACACCTGTATTACCTATGTGCTGTTACTAAAAATAATGAACAGCACAGTTACTAATGTTCGTAAGGACAGGTTAGGATAAAACTATTGTTTCTTGTTTCCTATGTTGTAATTAATCACAATCAAGTGATGATTCTCCTCCTTCTTTCCAAGAAGAAATACTCAACCATCTCCATAAAGTTATATGAGACTTCAGTGAAATTTGATTTCACAACATTTTTGGTTTTACACCTCATAATGGGTGCAAGGTAAGTAGCCTAGAATAGGCCTTTACTTAGCGGGTGAAGGCAGTACTTAACTGCTTTTTCACAGCTTAAAATCCATTACCATTACTCTGGAGAAGGAAAGAATCTGAGTAGTAGAGCTTAAGGGGCATTAGAAATAATCTACTCCAATCATACATCTGTATATGCATCAGATGTGGTGTCTGAAAACAAGACATTCAATGTGTTTCCCTGAGGAACAGAGCAATCACCATGCCCTTTTTTGTTCCACAAGATACAATAACGGTTATTATTCTGGCCATATAGCTTTGTTTTGTCTGTATGTTTTAACACAAAAGAATTATTTCCACTCATCACATCAGAGATTGTGTTTAAACTTAAGTTTTAAGTAAGGCCTTGGGATTAAAGGCTATTTCTTAAGTACCTAAGTATCTAGTACTCCAGTGCCATTATCTTTTTGATATTTCTGTAACATGTTAGATTATGATCATTTAAAAATTAGTATCAGAGTGCTGCGTCCTATTATTACTACATATAGTCTATACAGAAATGGATAAGACATGTTGAAATAGCACATGAAGAGCTCAAGTTCAAACACACAGGCAGCCCTAAGGAGCTGCCTGAAGTGCCTGGTAGCCAGGGCTTCTCATCACTGAGTAAATGATGCACTCAGCTTCCCTCAGAACACGAATATTTTCTGAGCAGTAGGGCCTCGGGTGTGGGACATGCAGACCCTTATTGGGAAAACAATTGAGTGTTAAATGGTACCACAAGGAAGACTGGTGTGACCCTAAACTGAGGGCAGGGACTTGAAATGAAAGGGATGCAGTTCAGGGGAGTACATGTCCTGCAGCATGTTGGGAGATAGCAAACCAACCTCAGATTTCAATTTTGTCAAGGATGATACAAGAACTAGTAGTGTCTCGGTGACTGTGGTCTACTCAGAGCTCCATCACAGCTACCCTGAGCCCAAGGCAGTCAGGTGTGGTCTGATTTCATAAGGTCTTCAGTGAGACGGACCTGGATGGGGATTCTGGTTCTACCACTGTGAGAACTATCTTTGCCCTATTTTCTCTTTTGAAAAATTGGGATAACACCCCTAGCAAAAATATAGTGGAGACCAATGTCTATAAAGTGCCCAGGAAGCACATCTAGCACTTAGTAGCTACTCAATAAATGCACATTACCGCTATCGAAACGGCCAGCCTGTGTGGCAACTTCCTCACCTCAGTCCATCTGACTTCCAACAGGCACCCGGGAGCACCAAGTAATAAATTGTGAAGAGTACACTTTGAAACGTATCATGTTCTACGCACATGTGTAGGGTATTATTATAGTTCAAGAGAAAGAGGGAACCCGCTGGTGTCTGAGAAGAAACCCGCTGGTGTCTGAGAAGAAACGGTGAAGGGTGCACTACGAAGGGAATATAAACTAATCAAACATTCTTGAATGGCAATGACAGTCACTAAAGTTGACACTTCCTGCAGTCTTTTAGTTTAGAAACCACACTTCCCGAGACGTCCCCCATCCCAACAGGGATAAAATCCTCTAGCTCAACTCAGGTATATCCCCACTATTGGGCCAGGGAGACCTGCGGATGGCGAGAGCAGGTTCTCTTAGGAGGGTGTGGATTGTGAGCTTGTGCGCTGGCGAGGAGCAGAAGGTCAGGGAGGCACCGTAGTTAATGAATCAATAAACCAAACAGCCGATCAATCACTTCCTGCAGTCCGAGTCCGGCGAGGGCTAATCGATTGGTCCGGGTATTTTGAAAGGAAAAACGGCGGTGGATATGTTGTCAAACGGAGGGGTGCAGGAGAGGCGGGGCCAGGCCTCCAGGTGACCCCTCTGGCTTCCTGGGCCTGCAGAGGCGCCGAAACGTGCAGGCGCCGGCGTCCATGAGGCGTGGGGCGCGCCGGGCGAGTCCCTGCTTGCAGGAGGCGCCCGAGAGGCCGTCGCGTACCCTGGCAAGAGGAGCTGGTTAGCACCTCCCGACCCCGAGAAGGCCCAGGGGGCGCCCGGCGGGCGGGGCGGGGACCGGGCGAGGCCCGCCTCCCATTGGCCGCATAGCGCCGCCCAGCGCGGGCCGCCGTTATAAAGCAGCCGCCGGCGCCGGGTGCCTCACAGCACGCTGCCACGCCGACGCAGACCCCTCTCTGCACGCCAGCCCGCCCGCACCCACCATGGCCACAGTTCAGCAGCTGGAAGGAAGATGGCGCCTGGTGGACAGCAAAGGCTTTGATGAATACATGAAGGAGCTAGGTGAGGCACCCGGCCTGGCAGCGCCTGCAACGTGGCGTGTTGTGCGGTCGTCTGTCCCTAGGTCCCCGTCAGCGTGCCAGATTCTGGGGCAGGAGATGCTCGGCGGCCTACCCCCATCCCCTCCCATCTTCCCCACCACGCGGCCGTTGGGTGCAGCGCGCGCAGCACCACGCGGGCAGGCGGCGAGGAGCAGGGAGCGTGCGCGCCTCTTGCCCGCCCGCGGGCCGCAAGATTCCGGAGGTGGTCCACCCCGTGGTCCACCTACCTCTGCTTCTTTCCCTTCGCCCAAACGGCAGCCCTTCCGCATTGCTTCCTGTCCTTTAGCGCGCGCACCCGTCACCTCACGCTGCACTTCTTTCGACCCCCTCCAGGCGACCCTGTATTTCCCTTTTTTCCCCCTTTACTCATCCTTCCCCTTCCTGCCACCATTCTGTCTCTCCCATTTACCCCATCGTGGCAGCACCCACTCCCCTTTCCCTCCCTGTCGCATCTTTTGTTCCCTGTGGCGCGCAGGTCACCCTCCGTTTTCTTCATGGGGACGCGGTGCTGGCGCGCAGTTTCCCGCAGAAATCCTGTGGAGGGGTCTGAGTGGCGCTACAGCTTCAGCTTGCATTCCTCTGTCAGCCCCGTCTCCCCCAGGTCCTCTGCTCGCCCTTACCAGTTGAGCCGAACCCTTTGGATTGGTACCCCATGGAACACCAGGGCCCCCGAGAAGCGTGGCGCTGGCGGTGCCGACCTGCTGCTGGCACTGCCGGGCCGGGGCGCCGCAGTGGGCGGGTGGCCTGTGGGAGGAGCGCAATGAGGCCTGGGGGTGGCCGTGTGTTGCCATCCTGGCCTCTGCCACTTGAGGGTGAGGAGGAAGGAGGCAGTGGGCTTTGCTGGAAAACCGTAACAGAAACTGCCTGGCCCTCCTGCGGCTAACTGCATGCAAGATGGGTGTGGCCCTGCAGAAGGCAGATGACTTCTTGAAGCGTTCCGAGGGAGAATGAATCTCAGTAGTAAGATTCATTTCTCACTCAAAACAGTGCTTCATTATAAATTACTGTCCTTTTCTATGCCAGTGACAGATTGCATGCTGATTGAGACACTGGATAAATTGCAAACAAAAATGGACCTTTGTCACAGGCCACTAGGAAGTGAGATGGAGTTAGCATAGCATGGATCCTCTCTGGAAGGGAGCTTCCAGCCCTAAGGGATGGCTGGGATTTATGAGGGTGCTTCAGAAGCCGGTATCCACAAATGTTAACCCGGTTGCTCGCTGGTGAAATAACTACCGTGACCCTCTATTGATACCTGGTCGCCGTGGCACTTCGGAATCACTCCTTCAGTACCCTTTATCCAAGACCATGTGGTGTTAAGGCTGGTTTATGGTGAATCATGAGTGTATTTTTGATACTATCAGTAAAGAAGGCAGTATTTTTCTTTTTCCTTGTAAACCTACATCAAGATGACTCTGGAAAAAGCGATTTACTGCACCTGTCCAATAAATAACAGTGTGTGTGTGTGTGTGTGTGTGTGTGTGTGTACAAGTTTAAGGCCCAAAGAACACTTTTCTCTGCCTGTAGAAAGCAAATTGTGTGTAGGTTTGGAGGGCTTGTTTCCAGGATTCTGGAGTCTTGAAGGTTGTCAAGACTCAGTTCATTAGGGAGCAGTCACAATGTGAAAAGAGCAGAGCCCATTTATTTGTCCAAAGTGAGAGTACATAATGACTCAATTAACAGCATAAGGCACCAGCCCTGAGCTGGCAAAAGAGAAGGCTCCAAGGGGAACTTTAAAGCCTGGCTGGGTGTTCTTCATCAAGACAATCATGCTGCGTAGGTTGTAGTCTCCTCATTTATGAAACAGTGATTTGGCCTGGATCTAAGATTCCTTATACATGTTAACTAACTCTAAGGGGAAAGAGATAGATCATAAATTACATGTTAACGTTGAGGGGAAATTGATAGATCATAAATTAAAATATAATTTAATATGTTATATATTTCTATTGATTTATATACCTATGAAATAGTTTTTATATTGAAAGGTAGGATTTTTTTTCCCATTTGTTAGCATCATGATTGTGCTGCTGAGTTTTAAAAGATTGTGCTATTTGAATATCTCAGGATCAATTTCTATTTTGTGTAGTCTATTAATCAAATATTTATCGAGAACATTTATATGCCAGACTGTGCTGGAGTCATAGAATGTAATGGTTGGCAGAATCTAGTAAAAAGAAAAAGATTGAGCAAACTCCTGAATTTGCAATTTTGAATGCTTTATCTCCACCTTCTATCAACTGCTTTGAGTAAATAAAATTTGGAAGTCCACATTTCTTCCCTAACTTTCTGAAAGCCAGCATAGCATGGTGGCCAGAGCTCAGATTTGGAGCCAGGGTGCCAGTGCTCTTGGTTCCCAGCTCCATCACTTTCTAGTTGAATGATCTTGGGCAAGTTACTTCCGTGCCTCGCTTTCTCATCAGTAAAATGGAGACAGTAACATCTGCCTTTTACAGGGCTGTTGTAAGGCTTACCTGAATTTCATATATGTAAAGTGCTGGCTCATACCGTGGGATATATGTTTACAATAGTTATCAATAAGCAAATAAGTGAAAATATGCCGCACAAAGTGATTACAATGGAATTATTGCTTTTATCATGTAAATGATAACTTTGGTCTTCCTGTTATTTAACATGACTTAACATTCTACAGGAGTGGGAATAGCTTTGCGAAAAATGGGCGCAATGGCCAAGCCAGATTGTATCATCACTTGTGATGGTAAAAACCTCACCATAAAAACTGAGAGCACTTTGAAAACAACACAGTTTTCTTGTACCCTGGGAGAGAAGTTTGAAGAAACCACAGCTGATGGCAGAAAAACTCAGGTCAGTCGTGACATGTTATGAAATCACAGAAGCTTCTAGAATGATAGGCTGTATCAATAACATTTTACTGTTTATAGGCAAGAACTTAATGAAAAAGTTATTTTATGAATTGAATTTTGTCAAATTAGCAAAAGTATCAACTTCATCATAGAATTGGCATCTTTTATTAGCTACTAGGTTGAAAACCACAAACTATTGTGAATAAAATCAATATGGGTTAATGAAGTAGACTCAGAAAGGAGAAGGTGAAACAAATGTTGATTAAGGAGGTTATGAGTCATGGAAACTCTTGTAATGTACTTGGAAGATTAAAACGTTTACTTTGTTTTTGCAGACTGTCTGCAACTTTACAGATGGTGCATTGGTTCAGCATCAGGAGTGGGATGGGAAGGAAAGCACAATAACAAGAAAATTGAAAGATGGGAAATTAGTGGTGGTAAGTGTCAAACTGCTGTGTCTCAGTCAGCTTCTTGTGTGCATTCATAGTTCACATAACTGTTCTATATCATTGATCATTAACAGAACTCAGTTTGGAAGAAAAAAAAGCAAAATAACAAGTTAAATACTAGAACACTAATTATTAAGAAAGTCCTAGTGGAGATAGAGAAGTGACATGACATAGGAGAGGATTTGGCTGGAGTTGGGGGGAGTTCTTGCTTTGCTGCCACGTCACAGTGAAATCTTGGCAAGCCACCAAACTGCACACATTTTTCTATATCTTTAAAATAAGGAATATTTGCCATAACCAAAAGAATAAAGATATATTCAACACATTAGTTTTCTGTAAAACATGCATATTATAAGCAAAACAACAGCTTCTGGCTTCTCTCAAACCCGTGAATTCTGAAAGAAATTTTCTCCATCTATGAAGTAGATTACGTGATTTCGTGGGACTTTGATTCTAATGTTTTAATACCACCACTGCTCTGGAATCTAAGGCTAACCTAACTCTTTTAATATCTTTCCTTCTTCTAGGAGTGTGTCATGAACAATGTCACCTGTACTCGGATCTATGAAAAAGTAGAATAAAAATTCCATCATCACTTTGGACAGGAGTTAATTAAGAGAATGACCAAGCTCAGTTCAATGAGCAAATCTCCATACTGTTTCTTTCTTTTTTTTTTCATTACTGTGTTCAATTATCTTTATCATAAACATTTTACATGCAGCTATTTCAAAGTGTGTTGGATTAATTAGGATCATCCCTTTGGTTAATAAATAAATGTGTTTGTGCTAATATATCTTGTATGCATTCTTTAAACCTTACAGGAAATTAGTGATGAGTTTTAATAATTATTAATTGAGTAAAGGTTGGGGCAGTCTTGAGGGTACTATATTGAGATGACACTCTAGCAATTTATATAGATAGCTACTCTTACAGGAAATACTGTACCAATTATTTAAGCTTGCCCTATACTATTTGAACTTTGTATGAATTCAGGAATCTTGAATTTCTGGCAGAGACCATTCTCAATAAAAGGTGACTACAACATAAACTTTATTATTCAAATTAGAGCAAAGGTTTAATTAACCAGCATTGACTAAAATACTTTTTGTGTGTATTTATATACAAATATAAGTAATACTATGTATGGAATAACCAGAATTCTAGTGAATCTCTGTTTCTCGGTCCCCAACACAAATATCCACAGTTCACATTTGGAGAAGCAGGCTGTTGGCCCTGAGCTAAAGCTTCGCATAAATGATCTTTAGGGCAGACGTTAAAGGGCTGGTACAACTACAACCATTCTGCAAGTAACTAGTTCAAGGACAGGAGGTAGTAGAGCTGGACCGACAACCTATATCTCATCAAGTCTACTCAATGTGTTCAGTCATTCTGCAATGCTGTCTCTTTGCAGCTTGTGCAGATCTTGTCTAAAGTCCCTACGTATACTAAGTGAGACTTCTGAAACCACCCTCCACGTGCAGAAATGTTAACTGGTAAGCCTATTCTTTTAAGAATTAGCCACAGCTAGCAGTCAGTGGAGGTTTTCAACTCGCTGATACTCTAGTCCTGTCCTGTCCAATACATAGCTATGAGTCACACATGGCTATTGAACCTTTGAAGTGTGACTAGTCTGAATTGAGACGTACATAGGGGATTTCAAAGGCTTAGTACAAAAAGTAAAATGCCTTATTAATGATTTTTTTGGTATTGATTGCATATTAAAGTAAATATATATTTGTAAAGTTAATTTTACCCATTTACTTTTTTAATGTTTCTAGGGAAAATGTAAAAATTGCATGTACTTTCATTTCAGTCATGCTTATTTCAGTCTCTATGCTGGGGTTCTTTCATCCACATTTTCCGCTTCTCATAATTATGTATATTTATTGACATTCTCTCTGAACCAAACATGATTATGAGAAGTGGAAAATGTGGATGAATGAAGAACCCTAGCATAGAGACTGAAATAAGCATGATTGAAATTCACATAGAAAGGAAGTCTAAATCAACACTGTCCAATAAAAAATACGACACAAAAATGAAAGTTAGCACGGGACCCATAATATAGTAAAGGCTTAATGTCCCACCAGCACTTCCCAATATAACTTTATGTGACATGGAAATGCTCTTTAATATCTGCACTGGCCACTAAGGTAGCCACTAGCCGTAAGTGAGTATTGAGCATTTGAAATGTGGTGAGTGCAACTGAGGAACTGAATTTTTAATTTAGTTTTTATTAACTAAAATGTAAATTTAAGTACCCACATGTAGTTAGTGACTGTTAATTTGGACAGCATGGGATGTTTCCAAAATTGAAATTCTTATGTTTTAAACTTTCAAACCGATTCCTCTTGCAGTATTCTCCCTCTCAATTCATGGGAATGTCATGTTTCCAGTGTTCAGGCTAAATGTCTAATCTTTGATTATTTCTTTACCATCTTATATCTAATCAATTAGCAAATTATTTGTTTTACCATCAGAATATACCTAGAATTCAATTGCTTGTCACTTCTTTCACAGATACCACCCTCATTCAGTCATCACCATCATCTCTCCCCTTCTCTGCCATTTTGCAACTTTATTCTCCCAAAGCTATCATTTTAAAACACAGGTTACAACATGTCACTCCTCTGTTGAGAACCCTCCACTGGCCTCTTACTTCCCTAGGAGTAGAAGCTAAGATCTTCATAGAGTTTCTATGTGATTTGCCTGTGTCTTCCACCTTCCCAGTGCCCCCTCCTGATTTCATTTCCTGCCACTGTCCTCTCAAACATTCCCTCAGACCTTGGCCAATGTTGATGCAAATGTGCTTTTGCCTCAGGGCCTTTGCACCTGTTTCCTCTGCCTGAAACACTCTTCCCCAAGGAGGCTGCAGCCCACACTTTCTCCACTCCTTAGAGTCTCTTCCCTAAAGGTCACCCTAACAGTGAGTCATTCCCAGACCACATGATGCATCAGAGCTGCCACTCCTCCCCCACATTCTCAATTCCCCTAAGCTGCTTTATTTTTTCTCATAGTCCTCACCTTTATCATCAATTCTAACTATACATTCACTTGTTTTATTTCTTAATTTTTTTGGTTATTATCTGTCTCCCCAATAGAAAGTAAGTCTTATGAAGAAGGGACTTTGTTTCTAACAGTGCACACACTCTCTAGTATGCAATTAGGGGAGAACCCGACATACAAAAGATGCTCCATACATATTTGTTAAATGAACGAATTTGTTAATAAATTAATGGATTCCTGACATCTATTTAACACATTTTTATATTATTTAAGACCCATCATGATATTGCTTCAATTGACTTTATTTATTAAAACCATATTTCTTACCTTTATGCAAACCATTCAACTTTAATCAGGTCTTTTACCCCAGAATAGTGCGCTTGATGACTGTGGGAAAAGTATGTTTGAAATAGGAAGTAAGGAATTCAGCCGTGCTTCCAAACTGGCATGTCATGGCACCCTGGCCTACCAAAAAATAGGCTACCCAGTTTTGATCGATGTATACAATTTATTTTACTGCAGCCAAGCACTCTGCTAACAGGCAATGCCTGTCAAGCAGAACTGGACCTGAGGTGTTTGTGGAACATGGTGAAGATTAATATGATTTGCTAGAAGAAAGACAGTTTAACACAAGTCAACCTCTCACTAAAGAAAAATATACAGGAGAAAGATGACAACTTTTGTATTATGTCCTTGAGCACCATGAGGGCATCAACTGTTCTCGACAAGTGAAGTCCAAGTGCCTGCGGATGAATGGTTGTAGTGAATTGCCACTGTAAGATCTTTGCAGGCAAAATGAGGCATTGTTTTATGCTAGTAGTGATTATGATGCATCTATTGCTAACATAGTCAATGATTTCTTGAGTCTCAATCTCTTTAACTGTTTTCTCAAAATTCTGGTATTTGAAATTGTGCTATGACCATGAAAAGGTTGAGAACCATCTTTTTGGCACCTAGATTTTGAGGCTGCCAAGTCAACTTGGACTATTACTCAATTCTTGCTGCTTATAAACCAATGATTCTTAATGTCTGTTCCATTTTGAATTCACTTTTAAGTTCATGAGAATAATTATAGTGTTTCCCTGGGTTTCATGAATTCTCTGTTCTCCTTTTCTAACACTGCCCTCTTAGAATTCACTGCCATTTGATGGGTCATGGGTGAAGTGAGTTGGTAGAAAGGGCTGATGAAGCCGGTGAACTGGTTTGGAAAGCTGACACATATTCTGAAATGCTGTGAAAGGCAAAGTGGTATGACTTGCAGCTAGTCACACAGCAACTGGAAAATAATTGTAGTCTTATGATATCTGGTGTGCCAGGCTCTGTCACCAGATCATATGTAAACATTTGCTTTTGATCCAGTCTCTCTCCTCCTCCCATTGCCTCCTCCCCTTATACCTCCTTCTCCCATACTGTACGCTTGGAAAATGTCTGAAAAGAGAATAATTCTTAAGGAGCGTTTTTTAAAGGTGCTGGCAACACATGGCATGGTGAACAAGATAGAGTAGGGTGAAGGTTCTTTCTGATGGAACTGACATTCTAGTGTGAGATGATGTGTCTTAGTCTGTCCTGTGCTGCTGTGACAGAATACTTGAGACTGGGTAATTTATAAAGAACAGAAATTTATCTGTTATATTTCTCGAGGCTGGGAAGTCGAAAATTGAGGGTCCTGAATCTGGTGAGGGCCTTCTTGATACGTCATCCCAAGACGGAAGGTGGCAGGATGAGAGAGAGTAAGAGAGCAAGAGGGGGCTGAAGTCACTTTCACAACAAGCCCACTCCTGCGATAACCACCCCACTCCAGAGATAACGACATTAATCCATTCATGAAGGCAGAGCCATTGTGACCTAATCAACACTTATTAGGTCCCACCTCCCATCGGTGTTGCATTAGGGATTACATTTCCAGCACATGAACTTTGGCGGACACAGTCAAACCATAGCATGATGGAACATACATGATTCAAACAAATGGCAGGGTGATAAGTGCAGCTAGAAAAATATAAAACCAAGTAGAGTGATAAGGAGCGAATGGGGTGGAATCTGTTAGGTTGGTGCAAAAGTAATTGCAGCTTTTTGTCATTACTTTGAAGTGCAAAAACTGCAATTATGTTTGCACCAACTTAATACTTTATATGGGACGGTCAGGGAAGGCCTCTTAGAGAAGGTAGTGTTTGAACTGAGACCTGAATAATGAGAGAAGGTAGGCAAGTGAACATCTGGAGCAACAGTGTTCTAGGCAGAGGGACTAGCCGCTGCAGAAGCCCTGAGGTGGAGACCGACAGAACCACAGAATGACAGAAGATTATTGAAAGAGGAGCAATGTGGAGCAAGATGCGGTCTGAGATTTAGGTGAGAAGCAGAGTGTGTAAGACCTTGTAGCTCCTAGTGAGGGATTTAGGTTTATCTAAGGACCCAGAGAAACTACAGAAGGTGTCAAGGAGGAAGTGAGAGATGACTATTTTAACAAAGATGTTCTATTTTCACTTTTGCAATGAGATACTGATATTTGGAATAACTTACCAAAGACACTGAAAATATTGGACAAAAAAAAATTTTTTAATTGCCTTAAAGTGACAAAGAGCTGACAAAATCATGAGGAATTATGTGGCCTATTTCTGGGAATCCAGAGAAGCAACCCCAACTGACAGGTGAGTTTTACCCTGGAATATTAATTGCAGGTCTGGGAGACATGGCTGAGAGGCTGAGCTGTGCTTTCGGCAACATAGGAAACAATTGGGCCTTTGTCTGATGGTAGCTAGGCTGACTCCATCCTCTACTGTCTTGGAGAAAGTTCTCTGAATGTTGAAAATTGGGTTATAAAGATGTTCATCCAAGTGCTTTTACATTAGCAGATGATTGGCAAGCATATAACTTTCTAGAAATAGAAGACTGGTTAAATAATCATAATATAGCCATACAATAAAATATTAACTGGAATTAAAACAACAAAAAGACAATAGCTTGGAAAAAAGACTCGTAATTCACTGTAAAGTGGAAAAACCGGATATAAAATATTATGTACATATTATACCATTTGTGTAATATGGGCACATATGTGTAATTAAATACAGAAGAATGTTAACAGTGCCTATCTCTTGGGTTTGAGGTGATGTTTAATTTTTATTTGCTTATCTCTCTATAACAAAAATGCAAAAACATTTAAATGCCAATAGCTTTGTTTGTATTTTTAATAATAAATTTATATTAGAAGATGTTTCAGAAAAGCATAAAGAAGTAAATAAATATCCTTGGAAGTCTCACTTCTATAGAAAATTAATACTAATATTTTGTTATGATGCATTCAAATAATTCTTCATATATTTATATGCATAAACATCCAAAACATTTTATACATGGAATCATATAACACAGTATTCTCTTGCAATTATTTGTCTTTTAAACCTGATTTAAATATAGATTCACATCCTTTTCTTTAACTTCATAACATTTAATTTTACTTCAACTCTATTATTTCTTTTATCAATTTCCTCTTGATAAATGTTTAAGCTTTGCAAAAAGTTTTGGAGTTATTAACAGTGGTTTGATAAACATTCTTTTCCATTGATGGAATATAATTATTTAAAATATTTTAAAAATATTTACCCTTTGGTTAGATCCCCTAAAGCACTCAGCCCATGGTGTGACATAAACCAAGTAATGCCTGCATGCAAACAAAGCTGGCTTCACAAAGTTGCAGAATGTAGTAGGCACCTGGTTAAGGAAAATTCTACCCACAAATTATTTTGCCCCCAACGGGCACTTTAACAGGGAACACATTTTTTCCCCCTTTTTACATTAAATATCTGAATGTTGGGGAAGGGGAGATGTTTGTTCTAAAGTTAATCCTAATGGTAAAGTTAAAGGTCCAATAATGTGTTTATACTGTAATGGACAGTTTTGCTCTTTCTCATTGCTGAACTTTATGCAAGGGCCTGGTGCTTATTTGGGCACAACTCCAGAGGCCTTCATTCTTACTGTCACCGGAGTGCATGGCCCTGCCAGGTCGTGTATAACCTGTGCTATACCTGTATGTGTACCTGTGTGTGTAGGCCACTGAGGCCCTGGTATTTGGTTTAGTTTGTTTCTTGCTTTGCTGCTGCTTGGCTTATTGATTCTCTAAAAGAATACAAGGGAGAAAAGTCCCAGAGAGATGTTTCAGAGTTTCAGGACAGTAGCAATGAAGACAGTATTCATGCAGAAGTTTACAAAAGTTAGATATAAGAGAACAAAGACTCCTTTCATCATTTAGACAGAGTTGGTCTGACAAAGGTTTTCAGCAAATCACATCACCAAATATAGAAACTAAACTTGCTGACTCAGTCTATTGCACTAACCACTAAACTCAGCTTCCTCCCTTAGCTATACAGGATGGAAACACAGGGGAAAATGCCACCCTTTCTGGAACAGGCAGACTTTTGGAAAATGGCCAGTTCTGGAGGCTGACTTATATAGTGCATCATTTTACCAGACACATACCACACCCAGAAACTTTGCAGAAATCATCATGACAGAGATGAGATAATCTCAATACTTTCTGATTTTATGTGAAGATAATTTACCATGCTCATAGAAGGTTTTATGAGAACTTAAATGTTTTATTCTGAAAATAGTCAGTAATTCCAGAATCCCAGAAAATTTAAATCCGTGTCAGTTTGGTATGTTTGGACAGCTGATGGGGAAATTGTGCTGTTTGAATTTCATGTCAATAGGGCATAAAGACACATATTAAAATAAGAAATAAGGCACCACACCAGAATGAGACAACATAATGTGAATGAAGGCAGTAAGTTCAAAGGATAATTGTATATTAGAGTATTTGCCAAGGGGAGAGTTGCATTTTCTCTATCATGTCTCTTATTTCATTATACCAGAGCCTGTATACCTGCAGTGATTCTTTTAGGACTTAAGACAAACACTTTATTTATTCTAAGAACAAATTGATACACAACTTATATATCACATATAAGAAGTCAGTTGTCTCTTATTGTATTAGTGTTGATCAGTTAGCTGATGAGGTCTTTAAATCCTACCCCAATGCCAGCATGTCTGGGATGGATGTCTTGATTGATTGATTCATTCATTCATTCAATTTAGCAAACATGTGTCGAGCCCCTACGATGTGCCAGTTATTATATAGTGCTAAGGGCTGGGCCTACACAATTGAATAAAGTAAAAGCTCTTACCTTCATAGAGCTTAGAGTCTGGAGGGAGAGAGAGACAATAAACAAAAATTGAAATAATAATTATAGATAGATTTAATTGCCATGAGGGGACTAAACATGAAGACTAATAGCAGGAACCAATAGTGGATAGGTTAGGGAAGGCCTCTCTTGGGGGAAGAAATTTAAGTTGAAACCTGAAGGCAGAAAAGGAGCCTCCAGGGGAGGAGGAACAAGGAAAAGCCTCTCCAGCATGATCGACAAGGGCAAATGGCCGGAGGTGGACATAACTTGGTGTGGAGCCAGGCAGAACACCTGAGAGAGGGAAGGACTGCACTGGAGACGGTGGGCATTGGCTGTGTCCTGCAAGGCCCTCGAGTCAGGAAAGCACAGGGATTTCATCTAAGTCTATTGGGAAGTCACCAGACGGTTTAGTGCCAGACAGAGCCATGGTGAAGGGCAGACATTCATATCCCAATCCCTTGAGCCAGATATAATTTGGAATTCAGAATTAATTTTGCATTTTAGAAAGTTAATATAGTGTGTGTATGTATTATATCCACATATTAACCCATATATTATATAATTTTGCCAGAGATGCCTGGGACAATACCATTTAATCAAACATATTAATGTATCTGTAGTGAAATCGTGTGACTACTCACACTAAGTGAGGTGAAGAAAGACTGTACGTGGCCCGCCCATCAGTTCACCTCAGGTTTTGCTGCCAGATGAGTTCAAATCCCATGAGGTTTTGCCACCAACTAAGTTATAAAAGAAAAACAAATCAGTTTTTGGAGCTTTTTGTATTTTGGGGTTGGTGGATAAGAGATTGTAGATTTATAATTATCCCGCTTTTTTTGCAATTATTATGAACAACATTTATTAATACATCAATTCAAGAAATATTTTTGAAGGCCTGTGTATCATGTAGTGTTCTGAATGTCTGGAAGTGTATTAAACATGAAAATAATTCATATTTTCTTTAATTTTTTCATTTTAAATGACAAAATTGTACATATTTATGGTGTTCAACACAATGTTTTGGTATATTTAGCCATTGTTCCTGATACTCACATTTGCTTTTCATAATTAAGGAGATTTATCTGCCTATGATAAAGCATTTGTTGTATTGAATGTGGAGAAAATATTGCACATAAAACCAATAGTATATTTTGAATAATTTCTGCTCCAAATAATGATTTGTAATACTGTTTTTACAGTAGTGCCAGATACTGAGGCGAAAACTTTACATGAATAATTCCATTAAATTCTAAAAGATGAGATAGATACAAACTCAACACCAAAAAAAATCCAATTAAAAATGGGTAAATTGCTTAATAGATATACATCCTTCAACATGGATGAGTTTGGAGGACATTATATTAAGTGAAATAAGGCAGGCGACAGAGAGACAAATGCCACATGTTATCACTCATACATGAGAGCTAAAAAAGTTGAACTCTTAGAAACATAGAGTTAGAATAGTGGTTATTAGAGGCCGGGTAGGGTCGTGGGAAGCAGGATTAGGGAAAGGTTAGTTAATGGATACAAAATTAGAGCTAGATAGGAGGATAGTTCCAGTGTTCTATGGCACTGTAGAGTGACTATAATTAATAATTTATTATATATTTTCAAATAGCTAGAAGGGAAGATTTTGAATTTCCATATGCTAATTACCCTGATTTCATAATTCACATTATATACACATATCAAAATAGTAGACTGTACCTCATAAATATGTATAATTAAGTGTCAATTAAAAATAATAGTAAAAGCCAAAATATGAGGCAGATACAAATATTATTTCCATTTTACAAATCAAAAAACAGAAGCTGAACAGCAATTTGAAGAGGCCTCTGGAGCTTCACATGGAGGGAGTCAGGCATGCTTGGGAGTTACCCTCCAATTCCAACCTGATGCCCAGGGTGGCAAACAACCAGTGACTGTCAAGTGTAGGAGTGTGAAAGCTCAGGTCCCTTGCATCAGATGAGGACATCTGATATATAACTGAGATATAACTGACCCTCCAGAGTTGCTCCCTGGATCAGGCTAAAGCCCGCCCTCTGTAGAACATGGTCTGAGATCATATCCTGCCTCAGTTTCCTCCTCTTCCCACTCCTACTTCCCCTCTCTCACGCCTTTACAGATCTTTCCCTAACACTTCCCTTAACAAATCACTTGCATGCAAATTCTTGCTCTGGCTTTGCTTCTGGGGAACTCACTCAGAACAGCCCTGCTGAGCCCTGGAAATTCCTGACCCTCCAAAACCTTGGGACATAATAAAATGATTGTTGTTTAAGCCTCGTTTTGGGGTGATTTGTTCTGTAGCAATAGGTAGACAGAACTCCCTGCAACACCACCATAAGTGTATGCAGCAGGGATCCCTCCAGTCCTTACTCAAAGGACTCCAGGGCTCAATTCATCCTGACCAGATTGACATATTCCACAAAGGAGCTTTCCCTTCTTCTGCAGGTCCCCAGCCAACACTGCTGTCTGGGGGCCCACAGAGTGTTTCATCTGTTGATATAACATCACCTTGAGACCCATTCTATGGTGAATGAAGTGTGGCAAAGAGTCCATGATGAGGAAAGTTGCTGTTCCTACCACAAACCACCACTTTCAGACGATTCTAGCCTGATGGAGCATGGAACGGTCTGTTGAAGGCAAACCCAAGACTGGGGTACTGTCCTTCAGGATGTGGTAAGCAGCATGAAGCAGCAGCTATTACATATGGTGCTGCTTTGTTTTTAAAAATTGCAGATTTGCTTGTGAAAGGCTTAATTAATAGTCATGGTGGCTGGGAGCGGTGGCTCACACCTGTAATCCCAGCACTTGGGGAGAAAGCCAAGGTGGGTGGATCACTTGAGGTCAGGAGCTCAAGACCAGCCTGGCCAACATGGTGAAACCCCAACTTTACTAAAAAAAAAACAACAACAAAAAACAAAAACTTATCCAGGCATGGTGGCGGACGCCTGTAGTTCCAGCTACTTGGGAGGCTGAGGCAGGAGAATTGCTTGAACCTGGGAGGCGGAGGTTGCAGTGAGCGGAGATCATGCCACTGCATGCTAGCCTGGGCAATAGAGTGAGACTCCGTCTCAAAATAAATAAATAAATAAATAAATAAAAATAAAATTTGTGTGGATTGTTTTCAGTCTTTTGCTCTTATAGATAACCAAAGTTCAGGCTACTTTTCATTCAATTTATAGAGACTCTAGAGTCTAAGTACAAATGGGAATCCAATGGGAGCGATCTACAGGCTCAGGAACCAGAGGCAGGAATAGGAGTGACCTTGCTCACCATGACTCCCAGTGACCTGCTTGTCCCTTTGAATACGTTTTTATGGTTTATCCCCCTGGCTTTGGTGTACTTTCAGCAGCCAGCAGCTAAGGCTCTTTGTGGGAAATCTGTCCTTGGACTACTAGAGCCCTTTTTCCCACACATGCAGAAGGCTGAAAGTGACTGAGAGTTTGTGTTCTTCTTTCTCTGCCAGGGCTGCCTGGTGCAGTGTGGGAATATGAAACCCAGCTCCCTTGCTGAAGATGGGACAACACCAAGGCTGAACTCACACTTGAATTCACCCACAGGATGGGGCTGAGCCTGAGATCTCATCCTTCATGGCTTCCTCTCCTTCCTTCTGTTTCAGAGGAATCTGACCTAACTCACTTGTTTAGAGTTACAAACAAAATAAATGGTGAGGTCAGGACCTAGGATTGCTGTATTGAGCAAATAAAAATACAGGACTCTTGCATTTTATCTAGCAATAAAAATAAAATAAAAAATACAGGATGTCCTGCATCTTATGTCTGGCAACCTTAGTCAGGATACTAATCCAAGTCTGTCTAATTCCAATACCCATGCTGGTTTTTAAAAAAAATTAATAAATCATTTTGAGTCTGTAAATAACTTCAGTGTCACATTACAAAATACAAAAATACAGTAGTAAAATTGTCAGCCTTCCTACTACCCCTGTCCCCAGCCACTCGTCTCCTTTTTAGAGGCAATCATGGTAACCTTTTTCTTATTTATCTTTCTAGCAATATTCTCTGTAAATCCAGGCATAATTATATATGCATCTCTGTACCTTGCTTTATTAATTTAACAACTCCTCTAAGGTAGGTCCTTATCAGACATATGGTGCTGTTTTGTTTTAGAAAATTGCAAATATACTTGGGAAAGGCTTAATTAATAGTCTTGTGGATTGTTTTCAGTCTTTTGCTCTTATAGATAACCAAAGTTCAGGCTATGTTGTTTTATTCAATTTAAAGAGACTCTAAAGTCTAAGTACAAATGGAGATCAAGAATTGAGCTGCTAAGTGCTGCTAACAGCATTGAGGAGAGATGTAGGTTACTTGATGATAAGGCAGCCGCAAGAGTTCAATGGATGCTATCTGATGTCTGAAATTATTCTGCCCCTCATGAGTACTTATACAGGAATTATTTGAGTAGATATGAATACATGTTTATACCTAATCCTTTAGTCTCTTCCTGTAGGAAACTAATAACCATTTACTGATAAAAATATCACTCACAGCCAGGCGCGGTGACTTACGCCTGTAATCCTAGCACTGTGGGAGGCTGAGGTGGGCAGATTACCTGAGGTCAGAGTTCAAGACCAGGTTGGCCAACATGGTGAAACTCCACCTCTACTAAAAATACAAAAAATTAGCCAGGTGCTGTGGTGCATGCCTGTAATCCCAGCTACTCTGGAGGCTGAGGAAGGAGAATCTCTTGAACCCAGGAGGTAGAGGTTGCGGTGAGCCGAGATCACACCACTGCACTCCAGCCTGGGCTGCAGAGCGAGGCTTCATCTCAAAAAAAAAAAAAAAAGAAAGAAGTAAAAAAAAATATGTCACTCACTATAGGGGTGGGAATTCATCTACCTAATTTCATCTGGGAGTCAGTGCATTTTCTAAAAGTAAGTGCTCAACAGTGGAGTACCTGCTGCCAAAATCCTCAAAGATAAGAATGTGTTTTAAAAGGGCTGGCTCTGTGATAAGCAGAAGGGCCTATCCATCAGTAATACTTCTTGCTGGAAAAGCAGCCTCAGAGAAAGTGGAACCGATATAAGGCAAGTTCCTGGAATATTGTTTTGCTAATAATATCTCCAGAAGGGGAGATTCATTACAGAGACAACACAGGGCCCAGTTTGTTCAGGGTCATGATGCATGACTGGTTTGGTGGTTATAGGAGGTTGACAAGAGCAAGTAGTCCAGCACAGAGTCAGGCAGAGGCAGTTTAGTTTCTTACTGGCTGAGAAGATGGTGGGGGAGATGCAGGGATGGGTTTGGTATGCATAAAAGTATTGTTCTGGACTGATATTTATTTGAGGCAACTCTCATTAGGTTAGACATGCTCCCTGCCCTCAGTAAGTTTACAATGCATTAGACTGACATGGAAACAGATGTTATCTAAACAAACACAAGAATGATTTTGAACAGAATTTATACATTACAGTATAGAACACATGTGATGCATGTAATTCAGTTTTTTTTTGTTTTTTTTTTTGAGATGGAGTCTCACTCTGTTGCCCAGGCTGGAGTGCAGTGGCATGATCTCAGCTCACTGCAACCTCTGCCTCCCGGGTTCAAGTGATTCTCCTGCCTCAGTCTCCCAAGTAGCTGGGATTACAAGCACACACCTTCACACCCAGCTAATTTTTGTATTTTTGGTAGAGACGGGGTTTCACCATGTTGGTCAGGCTGGTCTTGAACTCCTGACCTTGTAATCCGCCTCCCAAAGTGCTGGGATTAAGGTGTGAGCCACCGCACCCGGCCTCAGATTTTTTAAAACTCCGTAATTTTCTGCTAGTCAAGTATATCAAACTAGGCCCTGAAATAAGTTTCAACAAAGGCAGGCTAATGTAGTAAATAATTTAGATCATGGTTATTTAATTGCTATATATCCTATGTTTCCCCCATGTAGAATTAATGTTTTCACTCTCTTTAAAAACATTTTTATTACTGAAGGAAGAAATCACTTTGAAACGTTAGATAAGCATATGGATTTTCAACGTAGTTTGATAGGTGATGTATTAATTGGGAAAAGAACACTATCAGATTCTGCCCCAGGGCATTTTTTTTTATTTTTTTTTTTTACATTCTTACATTGTCTGTTCTCTGAATTGTGTGCGTGGTATGTATGCTCTCACAGTTTAATTTATAAGTTAAATAAATAACACGGAAACCAAAACAATCTGTGCTCCTTAAGTACTGTACAACAAACTTCTCAACCACAGGATTTACTTTAGCACTTCCCGAAAAGTGCTTCTGCAAATATACAAACTCACACCACCCACTTGCAGATTGCACTTGAATACCAAATAAGGGAGTCTTGAATGAATGAGGGGCTAGAATGCAAAACCCAGCATTTCTTTTAAAAGCAAACAAAAAAATAAAACATTGATTTTTTTTTTCCTGCATGTGCCTGGTAATACTAGTTTGCTTACACTCCTGTTTCTTGTTTCTTTCTCTTCCTAGCCTCCCTATACTTCATGATCCTCACCAGGTAAATTTAAGAATGGTAAAAACAGTGAAACTCATCTTTGGTTCTAAATCTCTTCACCTTTCCCATCTTTATTCATCCACTATCTTCCTTGTTCTCATGATTGTCAAAACAGGAGTCATGGAATCAAATAAACCCCAAGCCCAGAGTGGAGGGACTTGGAAGAGTCATTTTGTACAAAAGTCCAGGAGATTTAAATATAGTATTTAGATTTTCAGGGCTGAAAGGAACCTTACAGAGGGTTCAATCTCATTTCAGGTATTTGACTCTTTCCTGAAATATGTAGAATTGTTTTAAAACAATTTTTAACTTTGTGAATTCTTGACTCGTTACGCCTACTCTCTTCAGCCTTTGAAACAGAAAATTATTAGTCTTAACTTTCAAACCAATAATGTTTAAACATTCAATAAAATAATTATTGTACATATCACATGAAACTAATGTTATAAGTCACTGCCTAAATGAAGTACACGACTTTTTTTCTCTAACTTTCTTTCCCAGGCTAATTCTCTGGTATATTTTTCTACTTTCTGTGTTCCCATAGCAGTGAGAAAACAGGTATCATCTTTATTTTGTTATTCTCTTGTTCAAATCTGAAAAGGTATTGAACTCAGAACTTGAGGAGCATAATTAGTATAGAAAGTAAAACAAGAAAAAGTAGATACAATAAACTATTAAAAAATCAAATTCTGAAGCTCAAGGGGACCTCAGATATCATCTAATAAACTATCTTCGTTTTATTTTTAATGAAAAAACATTATTTAATTCTTTCATAGTTATCGGAAATTTCAGTTTTACTTTATTATTTTACCTTTATAGTTGTATGATACTTTGCTTTTTAAAATAATTATTTTAGATTCAAAGGGTACAGATTTATTACATAGATATATTGCCTGGTGCTGATGTTTGGGCTTCTAATGATCCCATCGCCCAAGTGGTGAACATAGTACCAGATAGGTAATTTTTCAACCTTGCCCCCTCTTCCCTCCCTTATTTTGGAATCCCCAGTGTTTGTTGTTCTCATCTTTGTTTCCTGTGTACCCAATGTTTAGCTCCCACTTATAAGTGAGAACATCCTGTGTTTAGTTTTCTGTCTCTGTGTTAATTGGCTTTGGATAATGGCCTCCAGCTGCATCCATGTTGGACATGATTTTGTTCTTTTTTATGGCTGTGTTTTCATTTTACACGATGAAGAAAGGAAGACCTAGAAAATTTATGTGACTTGCTCAACAATACACAAATGGTTTATGATAGAGCCTCTGTTAGTTCCCATTCTCTTGACTTCCAGAACACCGCTGGCTGTATGAAAGATCTCAAGAGAAGCTTTAATGCATAAAACATATTTTTGCCTTTCTTGATTCCTAAAAGCTTTTTCTCTAGGCATTTGGATTCTGAGAACTTGATTTCTTTTCCTCTTCTTCTTTTTCTATTTGCATAACAGCTAACTCTAATTTAAGCTCTTTCAGCCCCAGTTATAGGAAACGTATTATGCATCCACTGAGCCAGTTCAATTCTCAGACAATTCTCAGTGTTTGGAATGGATTCCAGAGTCTCCCAGCATTTGACTATTTATTTATAATAAGGAAGGGGAGGCTGGGCACGGTGGCTCACGCCTGTAATCCCAGCACTTTGGGAGGCCGAGGCAGGCGGATCACGAGGTCAGGAGTTCGAGACTAGCCTAACAAACATGGTGAAACCCCGTCTCTACTAAAAATACAAAAAATTAGCCAGGCGTGGTGGTGGGTACCTGTAATCCCAGCTACTCGGGAGGCTGAAGCCGGAGAATTGCTTGAACCCGGGAGATGGAAGTTGCAGTGATCTGAGATCACTGCACTCCAGCCTTGGTGACAGAGCGAGAGACTTCCTCTCAAAAAAAAAAAAAAAAAGAAGGGGGGGAGCAGTAGTATAGGCAATCCAAATTAATAAATAATTTTTGAGTAATTGCAAATAAATTTAATTGTAGAAACTAATACCTAGGTTAACATATTAATGGGAGCATCCATCTTGGGCAAGGCATATATGCCGGAATGTTCAGGGCCTTGCTTTCTGTTGATGAAAAGACTCAAACTCTGTAAAATACTTGAAGAGATTTATTCTGAGCCAAATATGAGTGACCAGGGCCTGTGACACAGCCCTCAGGAGACCCTGAGAACATGTACCCCAGGTGGTCAGGGTGTAGCTTGGTTTTATACATTTTAGGGAGATATGAGACATCAACCAAGTACATTTAAGATATACATTGGTTCAGTCCAGAAAGGCAGGGCAATCCAGAAAGCAGGGTAGAGGGCTTCCAGGGTCATAGGTAGATTTCAAATTTTTCTGACTGGCAATTGGTTGAAAGAGTCATTATCAATAGAAAGGAATGTTCCAGTTAGGATAAGAGGTTGTGGAATCCAAAGTTTTATCATGCAGATAAGCCTCCAGATAGCAGGCTTCAGAGAAAATAGATTGTAAATGTTTCTTAACAGACTTAAGATCTGTGTTGATGTCAAATGCTGGTCCGCTTTTTCTGAATTTCAAAAGAAAGGAGCGCATAATAAGGCATTTCCAACCCCCCTTTTCCCATCATGGCCAGAACCAGTCTTTCAGGTGCCCTGGACAAGGAGGGAGTTCATTCAGATGGCGGGTGGGGGGCCTTTGAATTTTATCTTTGTTTTACATTTCAAAGAGAGGTGACTTACATAGTTCCATCTACCACCATCTCTACAGCGTATAGGAGGAATGCTGATAACAGCTGCAGAAGTTCTGGAGCATACTTCAGATACGAATGGTCTAAGCAATAATGGAATATTTAGTACTGGAGGGAAGTACATGGTAGAGCTGGTAGACCTGCAATGAAAATATTTCTAGAATGAACCTCATTGAGAAATGCCAAACAGTTCAGGAAACTAAAGGAATGAGCACTTGTAATCAGTTCCAAGAATATTATTAACAGGACTCTTCCCATTCACATGGTCTCATTACCACTCCTCTCCATTATTTTTACACACACACACACACACACACAATGTGTTTATTTTCAACTCCATTTGATCTATATGTATCTTCTCTCTTCATTTTAGTAGCTTTCTGATTCTCACTGTTTTCTAAGAGATGATGTAATTTACTATTTTTATTTAAAAAGTTCTACATCTCTTCTCTTTGGAAATTCTGCAGATTTGTCTGATTATGAAAAATTAGGCATTTACCTTTAAAATGAATCCCAACACGCCAAAAACAGTTTCAGTGTCTTCCTAGTCGTTCTAATATCACTGCAGAAAGCATTCTCAGTCTTTACAAAGATGTTTTTTAAGATTATGTTAGTATATGGGAAATAAAAAGATATTGCTACAATGGGTCCTCTTGGCTCAGCTGTCTTGAGGACCAGTGTGGATCCATGCAGACTTGGATTGAGCTGTAGCAGATTACAGAAGTTCTTGAACGATTGTTTTCCTTACTTCTGGATGGGAAGAATATACATGGAGGAAGTTCTTTTTCTTTCCTTGAAGATCAGGATTCCCCAACCCCTAGGCAGTGGACCAGTACCCGGCAGTGGCCTGTTAGGAACCTGGCCGCATAGCAGGAAGTGAGCAGCAGGCAACTGAGCATTACTGCCTGAGTGCCATCTCACATCAGATCATTGGCTGCATTAGAGTCTCATAGGAACAGGAGCCTTATTGTGAACTGTGCATGCAAAGGATGTAGGTTGCATGCTCCTTCTGAGAATCTAATGCCCTAATGCCTGATGATCTGAGGTGGAACAGTGTCCTCCCAAAACCAATCCCCCTCCTCAACCCACCTCTCCATCCATGGAAAGGTTGGGGATGGCTGCTGTAGATGGCATATTTCCAGATTCTCTAGAGTCTTTGGCTTTTTAAGGATCGTTTTAACCCTTGTATATTGTGTTTTCTTCTAATTGTTTCCTCTTAAATAAGGGATCACAGAACTAGACACCTCTATGGATAAGTTTTCTGCTAAAAAGCAGTTCCTTATCTACAATCTTTTCTCCTTCAGGCCATTGCCACTTCCTCTTCCTTGATTATCCCATTTCCCAGTTTTTCACCACTAGGTGTCATAAGTATTCACACAAATGCCTGAAAGGTGTAAAAATAAGCTTTCTTTTAAGTTGTGCCCCTGAATATCTTGACTTTCCACATCCAAATCTTGTATTGCTTGGGCTCATGTTATTAGCTCACATTGACATGCGATTCCAACTCAGAATAGAGAGTGTAGAAAAAGTCATAAAATCAAGGAAAAACGGCTGGGCGCGGTGGCTCACGCTTGCAATCCCAGCACTTTGGGAGGCCAAGGCGGGTGATCACGAGGTCAGCAGATCGAGACCACGGTGAAATCCCGTCCCTACTAAAAATACAAAAAATTAGCCGGGGCGTGGCGGCGGGTGCCTGTAGTCCCAGCTACTCGGAGAGGCTGAGGCAGGAGAATGGCGTGAACCCGGGAGGCGGAGCTTGCAGTGAGCCGAGATTGCGCCACTGCACTCCAGCCTGGGCGACAGAGCGAGACTCCGTCTCAAAAAAAAAATAAATAAAGTAAAATAAAATAAAGGAAAAACAAAATGAACATCTTTTTGGTAAATATGTGTAGCTTTGACTTCTGCAGATTTTGTTCCTGTGAGATCATCTTCCCCACTCTGCCCCAAAAGTGTCTTTAGCCTCACTCTATGAGATTAACGGGCAGCTTTCCTTTTAGTGATGGGCTGCACAAGAGTGCGTTGAAAAATCCCTTAGGAATCATTTATTACTTTGTAATGGGGAAACGTGAGACATCACAACCCAGTCTTGTGCTACTTATTTGTATTTCAGCTGAAACGGCTGACACATTAAAAAACATTTTCAAATCATGGATTTTTAGAGCTAGAGCTAGAAGAATCCTTAAAATGAAGTCTAATCTTTTCATTTTATGTGAAGGAAATAATACCTGGAGTGTTTTGCTCCAGGCAAAACTAGATCTTGGACACACATCTCCCTACTTCTAAGCATCTTGCATCCTCTCTGTACATGTTACTATTGGGATAGATTCATGCCTCTACTCTGGAATAGATTCATGTATCTACTCTAGAATTTTAAGGAAAATATAAACCATAATACTCCTTCGACTATGCTTAATATTATGAGAAAAAGCTTAGCTCAGTAAGCCTCCTCGGTGGAGAGTTAATGTTAAAAAAATTAGGCTATTAGTTACTGGCACAATAATAAGAAACAATTTTTAACAGATTTTGCAGATTGCGTTTTAATTCAGAATGATGGGATAACTTCCTTTTTGCTTTTCTTTGTATTGAAAGTCAGTCAGATCCATACATATTTTTTATTGAAGTTTTTTTTTTAAAAAAGGGGATGACCATATTTAATGAAAAGATATACTCGATCCATTGGTATTCTAAGTAAAAAAGAATATTATTATTGTTCTCACCAAGATGTAAAGGAAATAAGCTTACTCAGATGTAAAAGCAGTGCAAATATTGTATTTTTAAAGTAGCTATATCATAAAATAATTAATTTTGTTCGTGTATACCCTTTATTCGTTGGGAGGAGCAGCTGTCAAAAGGCCTGGGGAGTCCCTGTCCTCTGGTGCTCATCCAGTTCCCCAAAGGAAGGATAGGATCATGCAGATCTTGTAAGATCCAAATAAGCCTCTTTTCTTCATGTTGACTGAACTTTCCTTGATAAATCCAGGTGCAGAGAATGTCTTGTGCGTAAGAATCTTACCTAATTATAATACTGAATAATTCCTTTGGCGAAATTTTCTCTCCCTTTTGTTTTTTAAAGATAATTAAAAACATTTTAATTGTATTTTTTCCTAGTTTTATTGAGGCATGATTGACAAACAAAGGCTAAATTTTCTTTTAAAATTTTGAAACACTGAATTAAAAACTAACTCTTTGGTCATAACTACAGTGAATGGAAATTATATAAACTGGTGATTCTGAATGGTGTTTGAGATGTTACACCAAAAAAAGGCAAGGTTAAATTAGGGAGATAAGGTTGTATGCTTAACACCTTTTCTTAGACATTCATAATACTGCTTAGCATATCAAAGACTGAAAAATCCTGAAATTAAGAAACTTAACCAACCGTGTTTAAAGTAGCATGTTCTGAGTATAGTTGATCAGAAACTTCTGTTGTAAAATACAAGTAACATCTTGTGAAAAACAGGTTGAGAAACCTTGATTGCCCTAATGACATAAGATACTTGCTTGATAAATCAACTACTGCATATCTTGCAATATGCAACCCTTCTATTTGACTTTTATCGTACTTATTGGCAGTATCTTAACAGTATTCCTTTTGCCTCTATGACTACTTTTTGGCCAATGGGAAGATTCATGGTTGCAACATCAAAGACCCAATCCCTGCCAAGTTTACCCACAGAATGTCACAATTATCAATGTCCTGTCAACAGATGAATCATTTAAAAATATTACCTTCAAGTGTGTTATAAAACAGTTTTTTCGGTTGATTTCCTCTAACTCATTTGTTTTCTTTTACTTAATATGAAATTGTTCAGTGTCACAGAGTCCCAGGCTATTTACTAAGCACCAAATATGCCTCGATTAAAAATACAATGGTCATAGTCCCTGGGTTTGATAGTATGGTTGTTACCTGGTGGTAGGCGTAGCTAGTACATTCAAGATAAAATACTGACCCTTCAGTATCTCATAAGAGGTTGAGTGTGTTTGTTTCTAATGCTGCATGGAAGTGGTACATCCAGATTACCACTGGTAATGGAAGTTTATCAGAAAAATCAAGATATAACAAGGTAACCTGGGCTACTGTTTCATAGATTTGTTGCAAATTTGCGTTACGTCCTGGAACTTCAATAATTGGGTATTCCATAAATCTTATGGAGAATTGTAATAATATTTTTATACTATTTTGCATCTGGCTACGGCTTCAGTGATTTGTTTCCCTGTGAGTACTTTCTATTTATACATCCCAAGAGAGATGATTCATTTTGACTACTTTGTCACCATTCCATTCAAAGAACTCTTACTAGGCAGAGTTTTATACCAAGTGACTACAAAGGCCATTGATCACCTTCCAGTTCAGGTTAATTTGGAAGCTAGTGACTTTGAACCAACCCAATCCCTAACTCCATCAATTAGGTGGAGGAGATACATGTGTCATAAATACTAGCTAATATTCCAGAAAAGTTACTTGCACTTTCTGTCCTAAAAGATGGTATAATGAATGTGGTGATGGGAACCCAGATTTTCATAGAAATTTTTTGGTCCAAGGCCTGTCAAGATCTGATTGCCACCTGCTCCTTCAACTGATTTCTGATTATCCTTCTCCTTCATTAGTTAAAATAAAGTAATAAAAGTAAAGAAATTGCTATTCTCTAAATGTTTCATGCTTTTATTTCCTTACATAATTTGTGCTTGCTCTTCTTTTCTACTAGAATGCCATCCTCTTCCTTTATCACCAAATTAAATTCTTCTCATATTTCTGGGTTTGATTCATGAAGTACCTTTCCTAGGTACTTTTATGTCATTCCTAGGTTCAAAGAAAATTTTAATGCTGTGAAAAAAATTAAGGATGGACAGATTAAGATGGCAGACAGGAGGCAGGACTAGCTTGCAGCTGTTGCTCAGATGGACAGAGCAGCGTGTGGAGACTCACATTGTGAACTTTTGCTCCAAGAACTACTGCAGGAACATACCAGGAAAGCTGAGAGAATCCACAGACCCTTTGAAGGTACTGGATCACTACTGCAGGCTCCCTGAGATGCTGCTGAAAAACTGTGAGTCTGCTTGCTTTCTCAACAGGGAGGCTCGTGGTCTGGGGCAAGTTCTCAGCCCTGGTCACTGGCTGCTTGGAAATAGACCTGGTGCTGTTGCAGGGCCACAGTGGGAGTGAGACCGGCCTTTAGGACTATGGGCTGCGTGGGAATGCGGTGAGGCCTGTGGCTGCCGACTTTCTCCCACTTCCCTAGTGACCTGTATGACTCAGCAAAGGCAGCCATAATCCCTCCGGGACTATAACTCCATTGGCCTGGGAACCGCACTCCCATCCCCCACAGCAGCTGCAGCAAGACCCGCCCAGAGAGAGGCTGATTTCAGACACGCCTATCCCTGTCCCCACCTGGTGGTCTTTCTTTACCCTCTCTGGTAGCCAAAGACAAAGGTCTCAATTTCTTGAGGGCTCTATGGCCTGCCCACCACCTGAGAAACCTGAGTACTTAACCAGGTGTCCCTAGGGCAAGTTTGCATTCTCCCTATAGGACCACAGCTGATGCGCTCTTGAAAGCACCACCTCCTGGCTGGAGGCCAACCAACCCAAAACCAGCACACTAAAAAACACAACCAAGGACCCTCACAGAGTCCACTTCACTCCCCTGCTACCTCCACCAGAACAGGTGCTGTTATACGCGGCTGAAAGACTTTAAGATGAATCACATCTCAGGACTCTTTGCAGACACTCCCCGGTACCAGCCCAGAGCCTGGTAGCTCCACTGGGTGGCTAGACACAGAAAGGCAAAAGCAATCACTACAGTTTGGCTCCCAGGAGGCCCCATTCCCAGGAGAAGGGGGAAAACATCCTATCAAGGGAGCATTCCATGGGACGAAAGAATCTGAACAGCAGCCCTTGAATCCCAGATCTTCCCTTCGACATAGTCTATCCAAAAGAGAAGGAACCAGAAAAAAAATCCTGGAAATATGACAAAACAACATTCTTTAACACCCCCAAAAGATTAAGCTAATCAAGAAGGCACCACAGAAAGGTGAAGTCCAACTTAAATAAATAAAAAAGCATAATACAAGATATGAAAGGAAAATTCTTCTGTGAAATAGCATAAATGAAAAACAATCACATTAGGTAATCATGACTCACTCAGAGAAATGCAAAATGCACTGGAAAGTCTCAGCAATAGAATCGAACAAGAAAGAACTTCAGAGCTCAAAGACAAGGCTTTTGAATTAACATAATCCATGAAAGACAAAGAAAAAAGATTATTAAAAAAAAAACGAAGCATCCAAGAAATTTGAGACTATGTTAAACATCCAAACCTAAGAATAACTGGTGTTCCTGAAGAAGGGAAATCTAAAAGTTTGGAAAACATATCTGAGGGAATAATGGAGGAAAACTTCCCCGGCCTTGCCAGAGATCTAGACAAATATAAGAGCTTAAAGAACACTGGGGAAATTCATTGCAAAAAAGATCATTGCCTAGGCACATAGTCATCAAGTTATCTAAAGTCAAGATGAAGAAAACAATCTTAAGTTCTGTGAGGCAAAAGCATCAGATAACCTATAAAGGAAAACCTATCAGATTAACAGCAGATTTCTCAGCAGAAACACTACAAGCTAGAAGGGATTGGGGTCCTAGTTCTAGCCTCCTTAAACAAAACAATTATCAGACAAGAATTTTGTATTCAGCGAAACTAAGCTTCATGACTGAAGGACAAATACAGTCTGTTCCAGATAAATGAATGCTGAGAGAGTTCGCCACTACCAAGCCAGCACTACAAGAACTGCTTAAGAAAGCTCTAACTCTTGAAACAAATCCTCAGAATGCACCAAAATAGAACCTCCTTAAAGCATAAATCTCACATGAACTATATAACAATAGCACAATGAAAAAAACCCAAGGTATTCAGGCAACAAATAGCACGATGAATAGAATAGTACCTTACATCTCATTACTCCCATCGAGTGTAAATGGCCTAATGCTCCACTTAAAAGATATGGAATGGCAGAATGGTTAAGAATTCACCCACCTAGTTTCTGCTGTCTTCAGGAGACTCACCTAACACATAAGGACTCACATAAAGTAAAGGGGTGGAAAAAAATACTCCATGCAAATGAACACCAAAAGTGAGCAGGAGTAGCTATTCTTATATCAGACAAAACAAACTTTAAAGCAACAGCAGTTAAAAAAGACAAAAAGGGACATTATATAATGATAAAAGGACTAGTCCAACAGGAAAATATCACAGTTCTAAATATATATGCACCTAACACTGGAGCTCCCAAATTTATAAAACAATTACTACTAGATCTAAGAAATGAGATAGAAAGCAACACAATAATAGTGGGGGTGTTTAGTACTCCACTGACAGCACTAGACTGGTCATCAAGACAGGAAGTCAACAAAGAAACAATGCACTTAAACTATACCCTACAACAAATGGACTTAACAGATATTTACAGAACATTCTACCCAACAAATGCAGAATGCACATTCTATTCATCAGCACATGGAACATTGTCCAATATAGACCATATGATAGGCTACAAAAGAAGTCCCAGTAAATTTAAGAAAATAAAAATTATATCAAGTACTCTCTCAGATCACAGTAGAATAAAATTGGAAATCAACCCCAAAAGGCAACCTCAAAATCATGAAATATGTGGAAATTAAATAACTTGCTCCTGAATGATCAGGAGCAGGTCAACAATGAAATCAAGATGGAAATTAAAAAATTTTTGAACGATAACAGTGACACAACCTATCAAAACCTCTGTGATACAGCAAAAATGGTGTGAAGAGGAAAGTTCATAACAATAAATGCCTACATCAAAAAGTCTGAAATAGCACAAAAAGACAACATAAGATCACATCTCATGGAACTGGAGAAATAAGAACAAACTAAACCCAAAGCCAGCAGAAGAAAAGAAATAACTAACATCATAGCAGAACTAAATGAAATCGAAATAAAAAAATACAAAAGATAAATGAAACAAAAAGCTGATTTTTTGAAAAGATAAATAAAATTGATAGACTGTTAGTGAAACTAACCAAGAAATGAAGAGAGAAGATCCAAATAAGCTCAGTTAGAAATGAAACGAGAGATATTACCACCAATACTACAGAAATACAAAATATTATTCAAGGCTACTATGAACACCTTTACACACATAAACCAGAAAACCTAGAGGAGATGAATAAATTCTTGGAATTATACAACCCTCCTAGATTAAACTAGGAAGAAACAGAAACTCTGAACAGACCAATAACAAGTAGCAAGATTGAAACAGTAATTTAAAAAATTGCCAACAACAACAACAACAAAAGCCCAGGACCAGATGGATTCACAGCTGAATTCTATTAGACATTCAAAGAAGAATTGGTACCAATCTTACTGAATGAAACTACTCCAAAAGATAGAAAAAGTGGGAATCCTCCCCTAAATCATTCTATGAAGCCAGTATCACTCCAATAGCAAAACCAGGAAAGGATATAACAAAAAAAGAAAACTACAGACCAATATCCCTAGTGAACATAGAGGCAAAAATCCTCAACAAAATACTAGTGAACTGAATCCAATAGCATATCAAAAAGATAATTCACCGTGATCAAGTGAGTTTCATACCAGGGATGCAGGGATGGTTTAACATACGCAAGGCAATAAATGTGATGCCTTAAATAAACAGAATTAAAAGCAAAAATCACATGATCATCTCCATAGATGCAGAAAAACATTCAACAAAATCCAGCATCCCTTTATAATTAAAACCCTCAGCAAAATCGGCATAGAAGGGACATACCTCAATGTAATAAAAAGCCAACTATGACAAACTTACAGTCAACATTATACTGAATGAGGAAAAGTTGAAAGCATTTCTCCTGAGAACTGGAACAAGACAAGGATGCCCACTTTCACCACTCTATTCAACATAGTACTGGAAGTCCTAGCCAGAGCAATCAGACAAGAAAAAGCAATGAAGGGCATTCAAATTGGTAAAGAGGAAGTCAAACTTTCACTGTTTGCTGATGATATGATCGTAAACTTAGAAAACCCTAAAGCTTCATTCAAAAAGCTCCTAAAACAGGTAAATGAATTCAGCAAAGTTTCAGGATACAAAATCAATGTACACAAATCAGTACCTCTGCTATACACCAACAGTGACCAAGCTGCAAATCAAATAAGAACTCAACCCCCTTCACAATAGTTGCAAAATGATAAAATAAAATACTTAGGAATATACCTAACCAAGTAGGTGAAAGACCTCTACAAGGAAAACTACAAACACTGCTGAAAGCATAGATGACACAAACAAATGAAAACACACCCCATGGTCATGGATGGGTGGAACCAATATTGTGAAAATGACCATATTGCCAAAAGCAATCTACAAATTCAATGCAATTCCCATCAAAATACCACCACCATTCTTCACAGAACCAGAAAAATAAAATCCTAAAATCCATATGGAATCAAAAAGAGCCTGCATAGCCAAAGCAAGACTATGCAAAAACCTATGTCTTTATTATGAATTACCTCTTTTTTAAAGTTAACTATAACATATTTTTATTACTGCAATGAAAAGGAGACTTAACAGTTACACAACCATCTAAAATACTTCTCATTTACCAATTGCCAATTATGTTCCAAATGGTGGCTTTCCACTTTATCAGCTGATCTATTCCAGGTGCTCTCAAAAACTTATAAATCCCTGAAGGACAATTTCTGAACAGCAACTAGAAGTGAACAAAATAGCAAGAAACACTATACTCATAAAGTACTTTCCTATCACATTTTTCCCTCATCCTGGAAAAACGTTTTTTCTCCCATTGCTGATCTAAGCATCTCTTTATAATGCATGCCATCTACCTTTTTGGACTTATTTTCAGCTGGCAGATAGAAGCAAACTATATCCATTAGATTTCTGCAGCTTCTTCATCATTGGTTTTATTCATATGACACAATTAATATGTGGTCACCCACTTGGCTCTTAGGAAAGTATGACCCTGGTTTAAGGCCAGAATTTTTTCAGGAAAGAGATAGGTAGATTCTGATAATTAGAGGCTTGCTGTTGAATACTTTCCAGCCCTGCAAACCAATACTTGTTGTTTATTGAAAATCTGAAACCTGAGATTATGGCAGTACCCCAAGAGACTGTCATTTTTTTTTTACTGTTGTGGGGAAATAAGACCTCCAGAACTTCTCTCTGTTAATCAGTTCAGGGTCTGGAAAATATACCCTTGGAATATATACACGCACATACACACACATATTTATTTATAAAATCAAAATATGTATCATAATATATCATTGGGATATATATCTATATATAATATAGATATATCATATGTGATATGTATGATAGAAGTTGTAGGCTCAGTCCACGCTTAACTTGGAACCTTATAATCTTATTTCAGAAAGCCCTAGGGTAAGTGGAAGAACATCATGACACATGTGGATACAACTTTGTGATGTAAACTAGATTAACAGGAGGTGTCAGTGGATTGGAGAAGTATATGCAGTGTATAGCGAATACAGAAGCAGGTCAGCTCCTGCTGCTTCAGCTGAAGTCCAGTACCCACGCCACTCACTTGCTGTTTAGCTCCAAGTTCTGAATCCCTGCCACCAACCTGCCATTTTGTCCCTGGTAATATAAGCAATCCAAAACCATGGTTTTGAACTTAGTTGCTGGTAATTTGGTTGGCTAGATTTCCTGAAAGCTTTCCAGGTTTTCACCTTCAATCACCTAAATATGCTGGATAAAAAAGAAAATAAGTCATTTTAAACCCACAGTTAAGCCAAGAAGAAAGTATGCGTCATCTTCAAAGTGCAAAAATGAAGCAGGGGCACCAATCCAGAGTTGAGCCTTTGCTGATACACGCTGCATGACTAGATTCTAGTCTTTCTTATAAACTAACCGTATCCCCTCCTTTGAGTAATGTGAGAGGACGTTCAGATATTCTATAGTTTTTGAATGAGCATCTATTACATACCAGGTGCTATTTTGTGTTATCGTATGTGTACCTGTCACAATAACCTTAGGGAACAAAGTCAGGGGCCCAGGCAGTTTGAACAGGTGGATTGCAGATCCCTGAATCAAATTCAGACACCACAAATAGCTGTTCCTCACTAGAATTGTGGATGGGAATAAAATATGTCCTGAAAATAGACTTTTTTTTTCTTGGTTTTGGATAAAGAAAAAAAATATCGTGGAACTGAAAGCAAGTCTTGCTGCACAAAAACATGTTATTCTTCCTGTTGATTTCTTGAAAAAGAGCCTAATTTTTATGTCACTGAGAAAATAGTTTAACACAGTGGCTGGAGTTTTAGCTGATGGATCACAGATTTCCTGGGGGTAGGAGTAGGAGTTCACACCCCAGATACCTTTATCTACATCACTTCCTCCCCGGCATAATATAAGTAAGATAATGCCTGGGAAATCCTTCAGGGACCCAGGCTGTCCAAAATTTCATAGGTAATTGCAAATTTTGAATCTCTCAATGAAAACTGCTGTTTAATATTTAAGTATAAAATATTTGAATGTTTGTATTTAAATCAGAAATAGAAAATGAGGTATTGCATTAGACTGCTAGCAGACTAAGTTCCTGACAAGCCTGGAGGTAGCATACTGTCCACCCATACATTTGGAGCCCTGGGCAGTGGGGAAATGTTTCTGGGTTGCACAAGTCCCACTTGGACCCCTGTGATCTGCTTCCTGGGCTGCTTCCCAGTACGTGCCTCAACAGAAAGGCTGTCAGTGTGTTACAACCACTATTGGTTCTTGTTCCTCTTTTGACAGGTGTGAGAATGTCTCTATCCCCTCCAGAGCCCTACGGAGTCTTAGCTTTTTCTGCTCCTATAACAGAATACCACAGACTGGGTGGTGTTTTATAAATAAAAGAGATTTGTTTGGTTCATGGTTCTGGAGGTTGGAAAGTCAAAGGTTGAGGGGCCACATATGCTGAGTGCCTTCTTGCTGTGTTGTAACATGGCAGAAAGTATCACATGGTGATGACAGAGTGCATGAGAGGGTAAGAGCATGCAAGACAGAGAGAAAATGGGGCTGAACTTATCTTTTCATCAGAAGCCCATTCCCTTGATAACTAACCAACTCCCACAATCACGGCATTAATTTGTTTTGGAGGGCAGAGCCTTCATGACCTAATCACCTCTTAAAGATCCCACCTACTAACACCATCACAATAGCAATGAAATTTGAACATGAGTTTTGGAGGGGCATTCAAACCCTAGCACACGGCTTCTGAGACCCATCTAGGACTTTTGAATAAAGGGGAAGTTGTCAGGATTATTTTACAAAGGAAGAAAAAAATGTAAATGTTGATTTACATTTTGCTTGGTTCTAAATGAGTCCAGTAGTCTTTTCTGGGACTTTTAGGTCAGTGATGTTTAATACTTTATTTTATAATAAAATGAAGGAATTATCTGGAAGAATAGCAGGGAAAAGACAGAAGAAATGGCGGGGGGCGGGGGTCGAGTGGCAAAGCATCTGCTGCAGTACAAGAAATGGACTTGACATATCTGGGACCTAAGAAAGTGTCTTGACTTCCTTGGCACCTCACTCAGGCTTGCTCTTCCAGAACTTCTCTCTCCTCACCGGGTCAGAGTCTGGAAAAAGTTCTTTGTCTTCATTTGTCCCTCACATGAGTGATTCTCACTGAATTTTCCTTAATCCGAGAAAAAATGGAAATTCTTCTAAGAACTGGAATAAGGACTCTTCATGGGAGAATGGCACTGACACACAGATTTTTAAAAAATAGAAAACTATGAAGTCAGTGTTTTTCAGTCTTCTTTTCATCTCTCCATATTTTGTACCCCACAAGAGCCATGTTAGACATTTTCTTCCATGTCACTCCTTCCCCATTAGATGCTTTAATACCACAAGTATTCTGTACATCTGTTTAAGTTCAATGGCCCAATAAACCATTGTAATATCTACATTTTTGATCACCCCCTTAGACATAATTTTTCCCATGAAGGCATATTGCCCCACCGAGACTGCATGAGTTAAGTGAATATCTCCGCTTTCAATACGTTGTTATTAACGTGGAATAGTAAAGAGAACACTCAATTTATAATCACTCAATTGATAGAACACTCAATTTACAATCCTGTGGAGGATTAGAGTACCAACTCTATCCTGTACTCTGTTATTTTAGAAAAATTATTCAATTTACTTGAATGTCAATTTTTTCACATATAAAATAGGGTTAACCTTAAGATACTAAGCAAACAAACAAACAGAACAGAACAAATCTTATCTGCTTCCATCGTAGAGTTGTTGTGAGAGTGAGGTGACTTGTCCTGAGATAAGTCACCTTATCAAGTCCGAACTCACTACAAACGCCTCTAAGCTCTTTCTTCACAAGACTAGAGTCTTTGTATTATTAACATAGACTATGTTATTTCTCAAGTGTTTGCACAGTAGAAATAAGAATGTGGCCATGAGCTCTGCTGTTTCAGTTAAACAACCAACCAGATAAGTTTCTTTAGTGGAGACTCTGTCTAAGCATAAGGAACTCATGCTTTATGGAGGAAAAGGTCACAAAGGGAAATCTTGGAATATTTTCTTCTTAGAAACTCTAAAAACAATATCAAGCATTGCTTGACTTCAGTGAATTATTTTCAGTCAAGGACTGGATGAGGTGATGGTTAATCATTTCTCTAACATTTAATTCATTGCTTTTCTATAAAGAACCTAATTATTAATAGGCAATCCAAGACTTTAATGTAAATGTTGTCAACCTAAAGTAGGAAACTGACACAAAATTAATATAGAGAGTTTATTTGGGCCAAGGTTGAGGACTGCAGCCCAGGAAACACTAGGAGATGCTCTGGAGAACAAAGGAGAGGCTTGAGTTTTTAAAGAAAAAAAGGACGAATCAGGAGGGGAGCAATTACAAAAGCTGTTTGCCAGAAATTCTCATTGCTTTACAGAAATAACATTGATTGGTGATTGGCTATACATTGGTGAACGATAAGGTGTCAGTTATGGTTTCCAGGATGGGGCATTGTTAGGTTAATATACAGCTATGGGGGGTGACACTCTGTTTAGAGTCCATAAAGGAGACAGCTTTGAAATGATTACTTAGCTCAAAAGGGGGCGGGACATGATTCACATTTCCATGCCTCTTTGGGCTTGATAATTTAAAGGAGCCTCATCTTCCTCAGATAAGTTTCCTTTCTTTCTGAATTATTATTTCTAACCCTAGCTTGTTAAGTCCAACATCTATATGTTGGTTTTATAATTAAATTAAATGCATTTATTTTTCAACCCTTCACAACTCCTAAAATACACAGTTGGTTGAAAAATAGTAATACGTCTAACATTTATTGAGCACATGGTGTATGCCAGGACCTTGACTAGTGTTGGAGTCATGGTTTCCAATCCCTGTGGCAACCTGTAGCATTAATATTATACACCCTATCAGTTACCCATTGAACAACAATCATTTTATTTCCTTTCAATTCAGTGGGTCAGCAATTTGGTCTGAGCTTAGCTGGGCAGTTCTTCTGCTGATCTGGGTTGGGGTTGCTCATGTGACCTCAGTTCATGATTGGGTTGCCTAGGGGCTAGTTTGATCTAGCAGGCCTTTTTTTCTGTTCCACATGGTCTCTCTTTCTCCAGTGCATCAGCCTGGGCTGGTTCTGTCAGCTGCAGCACTTCAAGAGGCCAAGCATAGAAGTGGCATTGTAACTAATGCCTGGCCACTTGTTGCCTGAAAACCAAAATTTCAAGGGACAAGCTTTGGTGAAAGGAAAGTTAGGTTTTTTCGAGAAGCCAGCAACTCAGGGGAGGCAGTGAACTAGCAGCGTTCAAACACCGGCTCTCCAACTTGTGTCTCTTGATCGGGGTTTTTTTAAGGAAAATTAGGAGAAATGATGATGAAAATATTCTTGTGAAATGTGTGCATTCTCAGGTGAGCAGTTAAACATTGCTTTCTTGGTCAATTTTTGTGGCCTTCTGAAGGTGCTGTCAGCCTGTTCTGATCTGCCCAGTCAGCCCTGTCCCAAAGTTGTTCGTTGGCATATTTTCTTTGATCTCTGTTGAAGGTTCTATTTTCCTGAGGTAGTTTTTAGTGAATATTCAACAAACTCAAGTAAAGCAATAATTATATTCAAGTAAGCAAGCTTTTACCTGACATGAAGTCAGTACCGTTATACAGCACAGCTTCCTGAGACCTAGACTCAGAAATCATGCATCACTTCCACAGCATTCTACTGGCCAACACACATGGTGAGGCCAGCCCAGATGCGGGGAGAGTGGAAATAGAGTCCACCTCTTGGTAGGAGGAGCTGCCAAGAATTTGTGGCCATTTAAAAACTACTACCTACACTATCACTGATGAGCAACGTGGGACTCAGGGATGATGTCAGATGTCCAAGATCTCACAGCCAGCAAAGAAGTAGCAGGGGTGAGCTGGGAACTGAAGATATTTCTGATTCCAAAGTCTACACTGTTTTAACTACATAACATTGCATTCAATTTACTTTATACACATCTGAATTTCTCAAAGCCCTTGTTAGGGGCTTAATTGTGTCCCAACTGTGCTTCCCTTTCCCCAGCCAAACCCATGTGTTGAAATCCGAACCCGCACACTTCAGAATGTGATTATCTCTGGAGATAGGGCCTTCAAAGAGGTGATTAAGTGAAAATGAACCATCCGGGTGGGCTGTAATCCAGTATGACCAGCATCCTTGTAAGAAGAGGAGATTGGGACACAGACAACATACAGAGGCATGTGAAGACAGAGGGAGAAGACGGCCATCTACAAGCCAAGGAGAGAGGCTTCAGAAGAAACCAACCCTGCGGACACGTTGATCTCAAATTTCTAGGCTCTGCAACTGTGAGAAAATAAATTTCAGTTGTTTCAGTCACCCAGTGTGTGGTCTTTTGGCAGCTCTGGCAAACTAATATGGCCCTACTATTTACCTTGGTTTATCTGATATTCATAACAACTTTATAAGGCTGGTACTATTAATCTTATAAGACCACAAAAGTACTTAACCTTTATAAATACAAGTTTTATTTCCTCACCCTACCTCTTTATTGTGCTAAGTTGAAGACATTGAATGTAAAAAAAATTAATAGGAGATTTCTCAAAACCTTTATAAGATTAGGTACTATTGTTATTTTTTTAAAATATGATTTGACACACTGAAGAATCTATGTACCTTGCTCAGTAGGGTTGGTTAATGGTGGGGCCCCTTTAGAAACAAGGTTTTGTGACTCTTGGCACAATGTCTTCTCTACTAAAACAAGACTTACAGCTCACTTTTAACCTCCAACCCTTCTCTTAAGGATGTACTTGTTATTTCTGTTTTCTGCAAAAAACTGATAATTTGATAATTGGAACACACACCAACCTGTTTTTTTTTTTTCATTAGAAGTGCCAAGACTGTGCTGTTTATTACTATTATTTTTTTACATTCAATGTCTTCAACTTAGCACAATCGAGGGATAGGGTAAGGAAATAAAACTAGTACCAATTTTATACATGCAGTAACCCACACAGAAGAAAAAATTCTTATTGCTGAAATTTAAATGAGCTCTTAGTTTTAGAGATAAGTCAGACAATTATATTTGGGGTATCAACACTTCTCCCGGGTGTTGCTTGTATTGGATTATCTTACCATGGTGCAGTAAATCAGGCTAGCTCCAAAGGAGAGTGAAACTTTAGGCAGTGCTTGGCTCTCTGGCTTGACTCTGAGCTGAGGCTGGGTGCTGGGCCCACTCACGAATGGAAACTGCTGGGGGCAGGGCTGTCACAGAGCCTGCAGCTTTGGTACAGTCATCTCACCTCTTGCAAGCTGTAAAGAGATGCTCTATCTGCAAATTTGAACAGTAGGATGGGGAGTAGTTTCTGAAAAGAGCTTGGTGCTGCGGGTTTTTCTTTGTAGAAGGAGAAGGCAATTGAGCACAGTGAACTTTAGACTTGCACAGACCTGTTATGGTCTCTGTTCTATCACTTCAAAAGTTTTCTGCCTTTGAGACTTTCACCAAATTAATCTCTCTAGTTCTCAGTTGCCTCATCTTCAATAAGGAATATACAATTCATAGAGGATTGTTGTGAGCAGTAAATAATTAACTACCATGTACAGTCCATGGCATTGAGTAGATGCTTATTACACAGTAACTATGAGTAGAAGTAAATTCAGTTGAATTTTACTTTCCATACATAGGTAGCTTATGTTGCCCTATGGAGCCAACTGTGATGTTATTTGTTCATTCATTTATTCAACAAATATTTGTGGTTCCACATCTCTTTGCTTTCTACTATGCTAGGTGCTGGGAATGCAGGAATACAGCAGACAGGGTATGTGGTTTCAGGAAATGTGAAGTCTCATTTCCTAACTACTCAAGATATAGTCTGAGGATCAGCAGCATTGATATCACCAAGGAGCTTGTTAAAAAGGCAGAAACTCAGATTCCGCCCCAGACCTACTGAATTCGATCTGCATTTTAGCAAGTTCCTCCAGGTGATTTGTGAGCACATTGATGTTTGAGAAGTGTTGCTGTACTGAACCTGAAGTCTGTGACATTTTACTTGATTTGGCACCTAAAAGTTTCTTGAAATAGTCTTTCCTTATAGAGGGTTTCAAATCTGAAACATAGAACTGAAAATGTAGAGATAACAAGCTAGAAAGGAAATAGTTTGGTTTTACGCACCTTAATCTAGCAGAAGGAAATCAAGGAAGACCTATAGGCCAAAGCATTAAAGAGAAAAATTTTAAAAGGTCATACGTATTCTAGGGACCATAGTCTCTCTTGTCCCCTGTTTGCTCACTTGTGGAGGATATGGTGCAAGCTTTGACATTAACAACCCTGTTTTATCCCCACCATTGCCAGACTTACTATATTTGTGGGATTATTGCTGAATGAATGATATAGTTAGAATACTTTTCATGCTGGACGTAGGAGGAGTGTTTGCTTGTTGAATGTGCCCATGCTTAGGTCCTCTTACAAGATTTTTTTCAATATGTGAATTAAGTCATAGGAAGAAGGCTCTCATATTTACCAAGAACACAAATCTGAGAGGGTGTGGCAGAGACAGCTAGTTGTCTCCTAGTACCTGTTTTGACCTCTTAATTAAAAATGGAATTATTCTTTTTAGCAGGAGACATAGCTACCTAGAAGTGAGATTGCAATTTCCAGCTTCCTTTGCTTCTGGGTATGGCCATGTGGCTAAGCTCTAACTCATAGTCTTGAGAAGGGTCACCTTAAATGGACTGCAGATGGCCTTATTGGCTTTTTCTGGCTTCCTGTTGGCTGGAAAACGAAAGTGATAGCTGGAGCTCTGGGCTTCATCTTGGACTATGAGGTGGAAGAGGTGTTTAGGATGATGGAACCTACTCAATGTGACCAGTGTACCTGATGATAACAGTTGTCACTCTAGTCCTAAAGTGTTTTCCTGTGATCTTCGTCCACATATGATAGAAATACATTTCTATTTTGTTTAAGTCATGGTATTTAAGTGTTGGATCAACCCTAATCCTAGCTAATCCATACTTACTTACATATTAAATAATGAAATCAAGATTTAAAATTCTTGATGGGCTGAGATAATGGTCCAAACTACTGTGAAATAAAATGGAACAAAATGTGGATATCAACATTTTTGTTTAAAAATATTACCCAGTAAGTTGGGCACGGTGGCTCATGCCTGTAATCCCAGCACTTTGGGAGGCCGAGGTGGGCAGATCACCTGAGGTCAGGAGGTCAAGACCAGCCTGGCCAACATGGTGAAACCCCATCTCTACTGAAAATACAAAAAAAATTAGCTGGGCATGGTGGTGGTTGCCTATAATCCCAGCTACTCTGGAGGCTGAGAGAGGAGAATCATTTGAACCTGGGTGGCAGAGGTTGCAGTGAGCAGAGATCACGCCATTACACTCCAGCCTGGGTGACAGAGAAAGACCCCATCTCAAAAAAAAAAAAAAGAATAAAATAAAAAAATTGCCAAATATAGAATTGAGGAAAACTGGCTAAATCGTACTTTATACATAAAAGACACACGTGTTGTGGTGGGGGTGGGTGTAGGGAGGGAAGAGGTGGCCAACAAATTTCATGTGTGTAAACAGTGTAATGAGGCTGTTTAAAACAAATCCCATGTTAGCCTGAGTTAAATTTCATGAGGGAGGCGAAGACTTTCAGTTCTCTGCATTGGCACAGCACATCTGGAGTAGTGTGTTCCTTTCTGAGCTCCAGATTGTTCAGAGAGAGAGTGACAAAATAGAGAGTGTCTGAAAAGCAAACAAGATAGCTAAGGGTCTCAGGTGGTTTGGATATTTGCCCCCCAAATCTCATTTTGAAATGTAATCCCGAATGTTGGAGGTGGGGCCTGCCAGGAGGGATTTGGGTCATGGGGGCAGATCTCTCATGAATGGCTTGACGCTGTCCTCACAATAATGAATGAGTTCTTGCGGGATCTGGTTGTTTAAAGTGTGTGGCACCTCCCGTGCCCTCTTGCTCCCACTCTCACCATATGAAACGCCTGCTCTCCTTTTGCCTTCTGCCAGCAGCTGAGCAGATGCCGGGGTCAAGCTTCCCGTACAGCCTGCAGAACTGCGAGCCAATTAAACCTCTTTTCTTTATAAATTACCCAGTCTCAGGTATTCCCTTAGAGCAATGCAAGAATGGCCTACCACAGGGTCTAACAAGCATATCACAGTCAAGAGAAGGGACTTTAGAGTATTAGCCTGGAGAGGGGATGACACATTGGAGGCATAGTAGTCACCTTCAAATATTCAAAGCATTGTCACAAGGAAGATGGAGTAATTGCTTTTTTGCCTTTCAGAGGGCATACTTACAACCAAAGGTCCTAGAGACAAAATTCTGCTCTATATAAGAAATAATTTTTCAATAGCTAAAGCTGTCTCAAATGAGAATGTGTGGCTTTGTTAAGTTTGATCATCATCAAATCATCACAAGTGCTCACCTGTATTTGGTGCATTCTATGGGGCAGCTGCTTTGATGTGTTACCTCATTTAATCCTCAGAAACCATGAGGTAGTCTCTATTTTTATCTGTTTTACAAATTTGGAAGTTGAGGCTTGGAAGCATCGAGTAACCTTCTCAACACCATCTGGCTGATGAAAGCCAGAGCCAGGCTTTGATCCTGGCTTCCCTATGTCTCCCACCCATGGCTATGGTTTGGTGCAGGCTGGATACAAGGGGTGGGGGTTCAGCTGGTGGGCTATAAAACAGATTCGTGAATTAAGCCACATATAGTAAAGTCTTCATTTCTTTATTTTGAAAGCATTTCCTTAACTCTAGTAATAGTAAGGCGACCATGTGGAACAGTAAGAAAAAAACCCAGTAGGCTTGTCTAGGACCTTGGAGGTAAGAAGGGAAAAGCATGAAACACGTGGGGAAATGGGTCAGAACACCTACGTTTGAATCTTGAATCTTCTACTTCCTAACTGTATAGTTTGGAACAGGATATGTAGTCCGTGTGAACCTCAATTTCTTCATGAATAAAATCCACATAACTATACCCAACTTGCGAGATTATTGTGATAGTGAAAATAAAGTGATTAGCTCAGGGTCTGTTACATGGAAGATGCCCAAAACTGGTAGTTAATTATCACTAGCAACTTACTGAGGTATGAGCTGAGGCAGGTATTAGTTACACCTTTTGGTTAGAAAAATTCAGATACTGGCATTCCTCCAGCATTTAAGAGAGAGATTGAAGCTCATGCAGACTGCAAAATTTTTGTAATGCCTTATATCAGTACTTGTCTGGAAATCTAGAATTTCATTCTTTTGGATGAGACATATATTGTAGGGAATGGGAAACGAAAACTTCCACTTCCCAGACCCACCCCAAATTAGAGTTCTGGATGTAATTTAGATTTTGCCTATCAGATGCACTCATGGAAGACTTGAATTAGTGAAAAAAATAAGGGAGGACAGAGATATAGAGGCAGTGACATGCAAGTGTTGGGAAAACATAATTAAAAACAAAATCTCCTGCCAACCCAGAAAACCTCTCCTCAAAGGTGGAAGAGAAAGAAAATGGTTTTATTATTGAATAAGCATAAACCAGAATGCTGGGTGCATTACGGAAAACTGCTAAAGAGATTGCAAAGACAGAAAGACATCTCATCCTCTCGTATCACCAAACAGATACAACCCCCTCTAGACATGTTCTCAAGATAAATAATAACTTGTGCTCAAGTAAGAGGACTTGCCAGCAACATTTATCACACAGAGTTGATCATAAATCCACCTGGCAGTTGGAGTAGCCACCTGTGTTTGCTCATTGCCTTTATCAAAAGGAAAAATAATTTTTTTACATCTTATGACATCTCAGTTTGCAACTTGAAGACAAGTGCCAGCTGAAGATAGGCTCCTACCCTCCTACAGACTGGGAGATAGAGGCACTGTCTTCCTTGATGATGACATTTCAGAGTTGATTTCCAGGTCCTTGAGGATTTGTTCTTGGATTATAAAATTCACAAGGGGCTTATTTAGCTTTTAAAAAGAGTCAAATGCATTTCAAAGAGGCAAAGAAATTACAGGTTTTCTAAATGCCCTAAGAAGAGAGAAAAGGAGAAGTTACTTCCCTTGTTCTTGCTCCTCAACTTTTCCAGTGTGTTTTTCTTCACTTAATGCATTGTACTAAATCCCTGCCTTCCTAAGTACCTGGAGTGGTTTCTGTGCTCTACAACTGAACTGTGTCTAATACAAAATTGAATAAAAATGATTCACCTAATGAACCATGACTTTGTTTTAGACAAAATTTCTTTGTTAGTATAAGCAGAACTTGGTCCTCTAAATGATTTCGCTACTGAAATAAATATTCTAACAGGCATAGTTTTTAACTTTTTTTTTTTTTTTTTTTTTTTTTTGAGAGGGAGTCTTTCTCTGTCACCCAGGCTGGAGTGCAATGGTGCGATCTCGGCTCACTTCAAACTCTTCCTCCTGGGTTCAAGCGATTCTCCTGCCTCAGCCTCCTGAGTAGCTGAGATTACAGGCGCCTGCCACCACGCCCGTCTAATTTTTTTATTTTAGTAGAGACGGGGTTTCACCATGTTGACCAGGCTGGTCTTGAACTCCTGACCTCAAATTATCTGCCCACCTTGACCTCCCAAAGTGCTGGGATCATAGGCGTTAGCCACCATGCCTGGCCCATTTTTAAACTTCTGATTGTTTTACAGATCAAATGAAATAGATGAGACTTAAGTGTATTTTTAATTAGTTGGAGAAACTTAAAAAGCAGATATCCTTGGCAGATATTTCACTTTTTATTTTGTTTTTTCTTCTTTATTTAATAAAAGAAATGTAATTTTTAAGTAAGCTAGTTCAAAACAAATAAAATTTTAAAAGGGAAGAGATGTGGTTTATCTGGGATGATCCCATCCCCAAGTGTTAAGAGACAATACTGTTTCAAAAAGTCACATTCAATTCCTCTCATCCTTACAGGCAGATGCTGGTCCTCTCATCAAGAGGTGAAGGCCAATTCTCTTCCCCTTGGATCTGCGCTAGCCTTGTTACTTTCGTTAATCAACAGAATGTGGCAGAGGCGACTCTGCGCCAATTGTGGTCTAGCTTGAGGAGACCTAACAAATCACTATTTTGGAAGGCAGCCGCTGCTAAAAAAGGAAAAAAAAAGTCTATTTTGCTGAAGAAGTAGGCCACTTAGAAAGAGCCCCAGGGATGTGAGACTATGATAGCAGCAGAGAGGTAGACCAGCCATCCCCTAGCCATTCTAGTCACCCTGTGGGGTGCAAGATATTGCTAGGTATTTGCAACTGCTGGCCATTCCCTGAAAAACTGTTTACTGTCTCTCTTCGTAGATAACTTTTACTCATCCTTCAGGCCTCACCTCAAGCATTATTAATGGTAATATTTCTCAGAGAAGACAGGAGATGTGATCATTATTGCCCAAGTCATCTAGGGATCCTAGCCTGGAAGTGGGGTAGAGAGATGGGAGATTAAAACCATTGTCCATATTTACACAGCACTTTTGCCCCCAGGTCCGTTGCACTTGCCATCTGTTTGCTCTGGTTGCTGCCTCTGCCTTTTGCAGGTATCTGTACAATTCCAGTTTCTCGGTGGTCCCTTGATATGTCCATTCTCCACTGCCCACAGACTACGATGCTCCTGAATTCCCTTAGACCATCTAGTTCCACAGAGTTCCCACAGCCAAGCATTTCTAAGATTTGTATAAATTTAAGGGGTATGAGTGCAATTTTGTTACATGGCTAGGTTGTACAGTGGAGAAGTCTGGGCTTTTAGTGTGTCCGTCACTGGAATAATGTACATTGTACCCACGAAATAATTTCTTATCACCCACCCTTCTTTCACCCTCCCACCCTTCTGAGGATCCAGTGCTTGTCATTCTATACTCTATGTCCATGTGTACACATTATTTAGCTCCCACTTAAAAGTGAGAATATGTGGTATTTGACTTTCTGTTTATGAGTTGTTTCATTTAAAGTGTTGGCCTCCAGTTCCATCCATGTTACTGAAAAAGACATGGTTTCATTTTTTTAATGGCTGAATAGTATTCCATTGTGTACATATACCACATTTTCCTTATTCAATCATCCATTGATGGACATTTAGGTTGATTTCATATCTTTGCTATTGTGAATAGTGCTGTGATAAACATATGAGTGCAGGTATCTTTTTGATATAATAATTTGTTTTCCTTTGGGTAGATACCCAATAGTGGGATTGCTGAGTCAAATGGTAGTTCCATTTTTAGTTCTTTGAGAAATCTCCATACTGTTTTCTCTCGGGGTTGTACTAATTTACATTCCCACTAACAGTATATCAGCATTCCCTGTTCTCCCTATCCATGACAACATCTGTTGTCTTTTGACTTTTTAGTAATAGCCATTCTGACTGGTATAAGATGATACCTCATTGTGGTTTTAATTTGCATTTCTCTGATGATTTGTGATTTTCAACATTTTTTCATATGTGTGCTAGCCATTTGTATGTCTTCTTTTGATAAATGTCTGTTCACATCCCTTACCCACTTTTTAATGGAGTTGTTGTTTTTGTTGTTGTTGCTGAGTTATCTGAGTTCCTTGTAAATTCTGGATGTTAGTCCCCGTTGGTTGCATACTTTGCAAATACTTTCTCCTATTCTGTAGGTTGTCTGTTCACTCTTTTGATTATTTCTTTTACTGTACAGAGGCTTTTTAGTTTAATTAAGTCCCATTTGTTATTTTTGTTTTTGTTGCTTGTGCTTTTGAGGTTTTAGTCATGAATTATTTCCTAGAACATCCAGAAGAAATTTCCCTACATTTTCCTTTAGTATTTTTATAGTTTCAGGTTTTACATTCAAGTCTTTCATCCATCTTGAGTTGATTTTTGCATATGATGAGAGATAGGAGTCCAGTTTTATTCTTCGGCATATGGCAATCCAATTTTCCCAGCACCGTTTATTGAAAAAGATGTCTTTTCCCCAGTGTATGTTTTTGTCAACTTTGTCAAAGATCAGTTGGCTGTAGACATATGAGAACCAAGCTTTTTTTTTTAATTTATTATTATTATACTTTAAGTTTTAGGGTACATGTGCACAATGTGCAGGTTAGTTACATATGTATATATGTGCCTTGCTGGTGCGCTGCACCCACTAACTCGTCATCTAGCATTAGGTATATCTCCCAATGCCATCCCTCCCCCCTCCCCCCACCCCACAACAGTCCCCAGAGTGTGATGTTCCCCTTCCTGTGTCCATGAGTTCTCATTGTTCAATTCCCACCTATGAGTGAGAATATGCGGTGTTTGGTTTTTTGTTCTTACGATAGTTTACTGAGAATCATGATTTCCAATTTCATCCATGTCCCTACAAAGGACATGAACTCACCATTTTTTATGGCTGCATAGTATTCCATGGTGTATATGTGCCACATTTTCTTAATCCAGTCTATCATTGTTGGACATTTGGGTTGGTTCCAAGTCTTTGCTATTGTGAATAATGCCACAATAAACATACGTGTGCATGTGTCTTTATAGCTGCATGATTTATAGTCCTTTGGGTATATACCCAGTAATGGGATGGCTGGGTCAAATGGTATTTCCAGTTCTAGATCCCTGAGGAATCGCCACACTGACTTCCACTATGGTTGAACTAGTTTACAGTCCCACCAACAGTGTAAAAGTGTTCCTATTTTTCCACATCCTCTCCAGCACCTGTTGTTTCCTGACTTTTTAATGACTGCCATTCTAACTGGTGTGAGATGGTATCTCATTGTGGTTTTGATTTGCATTTCTCTGATGGCCAGTGATAGTGAGCATTTTTTCATGTGTTTTTTGGCTGCATAAATGTCTTCTTTTGAGAAGTGTCTGTTCATGTCCTTCGCCCACTTTTTGATGGGGTTGTTTGTTTTTTTCTTGTAAATTTGTTGGAGTTCATTGTAGATTCTGGATATTAGCCCTTCGTCAGATGAGTAGGTTGCGAAAATTTTCTTCCATTTTGTAGGTTTCCTGTTCATTCTGATGGTAGTTACTTTTGCTGTGCAGAAGCTCTTTAGTTTAATTAGATCCCATTTGTCAATTTTGGCTTTTGTTGCCATTGCTTTTGGTGTTTTAGACATGAAGTCCTTGCCCATGTCTATGTCCTGAATGGTAATGCCTAGGTTTTCTTCTAGGGTTTTTATGGTTTTAGGTCTAACGTTTAAGTCTTTAATCCATCTTGAATTGATTTTTGTATAAGGTGTAAGGAAGGGATCCAGTTTCAGCTTTCTACATATGGCTAGGCAGTTTTCCCAGCACCATTTATTAAATAGGGAATCCTTTCCCCATTGCTTGTTTTTCTCAGGTTTGTCAAAGATCAGATAGTTGTAGATATGCGGCTTTATTTCTGAGGGCTCTGTTCTGTTCCATTTATCTATATCTCTGTTTTGGTACCAGTACCATGCTGTTTTGGTTACTATAGCCTTGTAGCATAGTTTGAAGTCAGGTAGTGTGATGCCTCCAGCTTTGTTCTTTTGGCTTAGGATTGACTTGGTGATGTGGGCTCTTTTTTTGGTTCCATATGAACTTTAAAGTAGTTTTTTCCAGTTCTGTGAAGAAAAGTATTGGTAGCTTGATGGGGATGGCATTGAATCTGTAAATTACCTTGGGCAGTATGGCCATTTTCACGATATTGATTCTTCCTACCCATGAGCATGGAATGTTCTTCCATTTGTTTGTATCCTCCTTTATTTCCTTGAGCGGTGGTTTGTAGTTCTCCTTGAAGAGGTCCTTCACATCCCTTGTAAGTTGGATTCCTAGGTATTTTATTCTCTTTGAAGCAATTGTGAATGGGAGTTCACTCATGATTTGGCTCTCTGTTTGTCTGTTGTTGGTGTATAAGAATGCTTGTGATTTTTGCACATTGATTTTGTATCCTGAGACTTTGCTGAAGTTGCTTATCAGCTTAAGGAGATTTTGGGCTGAGATGATGGGGTTTTCTAGATATACAATCATGTCATCTGCAAACAGGGACAATTTGACTTCCTCTTTTCCTAATTGAATACCCTTTATTTCCTTCTCCTGCCTGATTGCCCTGGCCAGAACTTCCAACACTATGTTGAATAGGAGTGGTGAGAGAGGGCATCCCTGTCTTGTGCCAGTTTTCAAAGGGAATGCTTCCAGTTTTTGCCCATTCAGTATGATATTGGCTGTGGGTTTGTCATAGATAGCTCTTATTATTTTGAGATACATCCCATCAATACCTAATTTATTGAGAGTTTTTAGCATGAAGGGTTGTTGTACTTTGTCAAAGGCCTTTTCTGCATCTATTGAGATAATCATGTGGTTTTTGTCTTTGGTTCTGTTTATATGCTGGATTACATTTATTGATTTGCGTATATTGAACCAGCCTTGCATCCCAGGGATGAAGCCCACTTGATCATGGTGGATAAGCTTTTTGATGTGCTGCTGGATTCGATTTGCCAGTATTTTATTGAGGATTTTTGCATCAATGTTCATCAAGGATATTGGTCTAAAATTCTCTTTTTTTGTGTGTCTCTGCCCGGCTTTGGTATCAGGATGATGCTGACCTCATAAAATGAGTTAGGGAGGATTCCCTCTTTTTCTATTGATTGGAATAGTTTCAGAAGGAATGGTACCAGTTCCTCCTTGTACCTCTGGTAGAATTCAGCTGTGAATCCATCTGGTCCTGGACTCTTTTTGGTTGGTAAGCTATTGATTATTGCCACAATTTCAGCTCCTGTTATTGGTCTATTCAGAGATTCAACTTCTTCCTGGTTTAGTCTTGGGAGGGTGTATGTGTCAAGGAATTTATCCATTTCTTCTAGATTTTCTAGTTTATTTACATAGAGGTGTTTGTAGTATTCTCTGATGGTAGTTTGTATTTCTGTGGGATCGGTGGTGATATCCCCTTTATCATTTTTTATTGCGTCTATTTGATTCTTCTCTCTTTTTTTCTTTATTAGTCTTGCTAGCGGTCTATCAATTTTGTTGATCCTTTCAAAAAACCAGCTCTTGGATTCATTAATTTTTTGAAGGGTTTTTTGTGTCTCTATTTCCTTCAGTTCTGCTCTGATTTTAGTTATTTCTTGCCTTCTGCTAACTTTTGAATGTGTTTGCTCTTGCTTTTCTAGTTCTTTTAATTGTGATGTTAGGGTGTCAATTTTGGATCTTTCCTGCTTTCTCTTGTGGGCATTTAGTGCTATAAATTTCCCTCTACACACTGCTTTGAATGTGTCCCAGAGATTCTGGTATGTTGTGTCTTTGTTCTCGTTGGTTTCAAAGAACATCTTTATTTCTTCCTTCATTTCATTATGTACCCAGTAGTCATTCAGGAGCAAGTTGTTCAGTTTCCATGTAGTTGAGCAGTTTTGAGTGAGATTCTTAATCCTGAGTTCTAGTTTGATTGCACTGTGGTCTGAGAGATAGTTTGTTATAATTTCTGTTCTTTTACATTTGCTGAGGAGAGCTTTACTTCCAAGTATGTGGTCAATTTTGGAATAGGTGTGGTGTGGTGCTGAAAAAAATGTATATTCTGTTGATTTGGGGTGGAGAGTTCTGTAGATGTCTATTAGGTCCGCTTGGTGCAGAGCTGAGTTCAATTCCTGGGTATCCTTGTTGACTTTCTGTCTCGTTGATCTGTCTAATGTTGACAGTGGGGTGTTAAAGTCTTCCATTATTAATGTGTGGGAGTCTAAGTCTCTTTGTAGGTCACTCAGGAATTGCTTTATGAATCTTGGTGCTCCTGTATTGGGTGCATATATATTTAGGATAGTTAGCTCTTCTTGTTGAATTGATCCCTTTACCATTATGTAATGGCCTTCTTTGTCTCTTTTGATCTTTGTTGGTTTAAAGTCTGTTTCATCAGAGACTAGGATTGCAACCCCTGCTTTTTTTTGTTTTCCGTTTGCTTGGTAGATCTTCCTCCATCCTTTTATTTTGAGCCTATGTGTGTCTCTGCACGTGAGATGGGATTCCTGAATACAGCATACTGATGGGTCTTGACTCTTTATCCAATTTGCCAGTCTGTGTCTTTTAATTGGAGCATTTAGTCCATTTACATTTAAAGTTAGTATTGTTATGTGTGAATTTGATTCTGTCATTATGATGTTAGCTGGTTATTTTGCTCGTTAGTTCATGCAGTTTCTTCCTAGTCTCGATGGCCTTTACATTTTGGCATGATTTTGCAGCGGCTGGTACCGGTTGTTCCTTTCCATGTTTAGCACTTCCTTCAGGAGCTCTTTTAGGGCAGGCCTGGTGGTGACAAAATCTCTCAGCATTTGCTTGTCTGTAAAGTATTTTATTTCTCCTTCACTTATGAAGCTTAGTTTGGCTGGATATGAAATTCTGGGTTGCAAATTCTTTTCTTTAAGAATGTTGAATATTGGCCCCCACTCTCTTCTGGCTTGTAGAGTTTCTGCCGAGAGATCCGCTGTTAGTCTGATGGGCTTCCCTTTGAGGGTAACCCGACCTTTCTCTCTGGCTGCCCTTAACATTTTTTCCTTCATTTCAACTTTGGTGAATCTGACAATTATGTGTCTTGGAGTTGCTCTTCTCGAGGAGTATCTTTGTGGCGTTCTCTGTATTTCCTGAATCTGAACGTTGGCCTGCCTTGCTAGATTGGGGAAGTTCTCCTGGATAATATCCTGCAGTGTTTTCCAACTTGGTTCCATTCTCCCCATCACTTTCAGGTACACCAATCAGACGTAGATTTGGTCTTTTCACATAGTCCCATATTTCTTGGAGGCTTTGCTCGTTTCTTTTTATTCTTTTTTCTCTAAACTTCCCTTCTCGCTTCATTTCATTCATTTCATCTTCCATCGCTGATACCCTTTCTTCCAGTTGATCGTGTCGGCTCCTGAGGCTTCTGCATTCTTCACATAGTTCTTGAGCCTTGGTTTTCAGCTCCATCAGCTCCTTTAAGCACTTCTCTGTATTGGTTATTCTAGTTATACATTCTTCTAAATTTTTTTCAAAGTTTTCAACTTCTTTACCTTTGGTTTGAATGTCCTCCCGTAGCTCAGAGTAATTTGATCATCTGAAGCCTTCTTCTCTCAGCTCGTCAAAGTCATTCTCCATTCAGCTTTGTTCCATTGCTGGTGAGGAACTGTGTTCCTTTGGAGGAGGAGAGGCGTTCTGCTTTTTAGAGTTTCCAGTTTTTCTGCTGTGTTTTTTCCCCATCTTTGTAGCTTTATCTGCTTTTGGTCTTTGATGATGGTGATGTACAGATGGGTTTTTGGTGTGGATGTACTTTCTGTTTGTTAGTTTTCCTTCTAACAGACAGGACCCTCAGCTGCAGGTGTGTTGGAGTACCTGGCCGTGTGAGGTGTCAGTCTGTCCCTGCTGGGGGGTGCCTCCCAGTTAGGCTGCTCGGGGGTCAGGGGTCAGGGACCCACTTGAGGAGGCAGTCTGCCCGTTCTCAGATCTCCAGCTGCATGCTGGGAGAACCACTGCTCTCTTCAAAGCTGTCAGACAGGGACATTTAAGTCTGCAGAGGTTACTGCTGTCTTTTTGTTTGTCTGTGCCCTGCCCCCAGAGGTGGAGCCTACAGAAGCAGGCAGGCCTCCTTGAGCTGTGGTGGGCTCCATCCAGTTGGAGCTTCCCAGCTGCTTTGTTTACCTAAGCAAGCCTGGGCAATGGCGGGCACCCCTCCCCCAGCCTCGCTGCCACCTTGCAGTTTGATCTCAGACTGCTGTGCTAGCAATCAGTAGACTCCGTGGGCGTAGGACCCTCCGAGCCAGGTGCGGGATATAATCTCGTGGTGCACCATTTTTTAAGCCCGTCGGAAAAGCGCAGTATTCGGGTGGGAGTGACCCGATTCTCCAGGTGCCGTCTGTCACCCGTTTCTTTGACTAGGAAAGGGAACTCCCTGACCCCTTGCACTTCCCGAGTGAGGCAATGCCTCGCCCTGCTTCTGCTCGCGCACGGTGCGCACACCCACTGACCTGCGCCCACTGTCTGGCACTCCCTAATGAGATGAACCTGGTACCTCAGATGGAAATGCAGAAATCACCGGTCTTCTGCATCGCTCACGCTGGGAGCTGTAGACCGGAGCTGTTCCTATTCGGCCATCTTGGCTCCTCCCCCTTAATAGAGTTCTTTTCATTTACCATAATCATATTCTTCTCAGAGAGCACAATTATTCAGTGGGAGAATATGAAAACAAAGCAAAACAAGGGCCTCACTCCCTTACCTTAGGAAACCATGCATTCACCAAATATTTGCTGAGCACTTATCATGTGCCAGTCGTTGTGTTAAGCACTGAGGTTACAGAAGTGAACAAAACAGATGCTGAACAATTAGAGCAGTGTTGAGTATTGCAACAGAAGAAATACAGAGTTGAATAAACTATGGCTCAACTTTAGCAAATTTTATGGAAAGATGAACTAACACAAAGAAAACACAGAGAACATATGATTTGCAACTTAATGCTTGGTTTAGTAAATATTAATAGAAACAATTAATACTAATCAGTGTACAGTAACACAAAGATAAAACAATGGCAAACCTTAAACTTTTAACATATTATCATCCCTAAATAGGCATAAAATCCTGTTAGTGGCAAACAGTGATAGGGCAGTGAGAGTGATCTATTCTGGGTATAGGCAACCAAATGGTGTTTTTTTTTCTGTAGAGCATTTAAAAACAATAATAAAATAGGCTAGGTGGTCTGCTTTTGATTATTACCACATGCAGGCAATTTAAACCATGTTAGTGATAAAATATCCTTCCCTGTGAATAAAGATCGTTTGTTGGTTTGGATTCTAAACAATTGTTGTTGTGGTTACTACTGTATTTTAAGTATATACGTAAGCTTCAAATTAGCATATTTTTATTTTTTATAATTTATCCTTTCACAAACATTAAATTCTATGTAGGAGCTATTTGAAGAATTCCTCAGTTACACACTTAGTCTCCTATGCACATGAAGAGTCAAATGGATGTTTTCATTTTGAGCGGAGTGTTGAAATGTTTTGAGCTTCTTTTGGTGCAGTTCATCTCTTTATAGATTCTTGAGTCTAAATAATGAACGATGGTATGACTTTTATTTTTGTGTGTGTGACTAGAATCAAGGGAATGCAAATTGCACCTATAAAGAGACAACAGTAAATCCCATCAGAATAGCAAGAATTTAAAATAACTGATAATGCCAAGTGTTGACAAGGATGCAGACCACTATTTGTGATTTACAATCTCCTTGGGAAAACCGTTCTGCATCTATAAAATTTGAACAAGTTCATACTCTATGACCCAGCAATTACATTCCTAGGCAAATATCCAACATAAATTTATATGCATGCTGAAAGACATTCAAGAATGTTCAGGGCAATGTCATTTGTAATAGCCTCTAACTGGAAACATTTCAAACTGTAAAGAATTGAATGAATAAACAAATTGTGGTGTATTTATACAATGGAATAATGCACAACAATGAGGATGACACCTCTATACTCAACAATCTGGATGAATCTCAGGAACATAATGTTGAGTCATATAACTCATATACAGAGTATTACATGGTTTATAATTTCATTTATATAAAATTCAAAAACCAGAAAAATTATTCTGTGGTGTTAAAATTCAGGGCAGTTAATATTTTTTGAGGGTGGAGGGGATATGGCTTGAAAGAGACATGACGTTGTTTTCTGGTGTTTCCTAGTGTTGGGGTATTTTATTTATTATTTTTTGTTTTGAGACAGGGTCTCGGTCTTTCACCAAGGCTGCATTGCAGTGGCACAGTCACAGATCACTGCAGGCTTGACTGCCCAGGCCCAGACGATTCTCCCACCTTAGCCTCCTGAATAGCTGGAACTACAGGTGAGTGCCACCATGCCCAGCTAATTTTTGTAGAGATGGGGTTTTGCCATGTTGCCCAGGCTGGTCTTGAACTCCTGGGCTCAAGCAATCTGCCTACCTCTGCCTCCTAAAGTGCTGGGATTACAGGCATGAGCCACCACACCCAGTCAGGTGTTTCCTAATGATGTTTAATTTCTTGACTTAGTTGATATTTATATGGATGTGTTCCCTTTGTGATAATCCAATGAAATGTACTTTTATGATTTGTATACTTTTCTGAGTGTATAATTCAATAAAAATGTTTATTGGAAAAAAAATAGCTAAAAACAGTAAGGTATGAACAAAAGATATTACAGACATTGTATTTTGGGGGTATTATTGTACAGTCTGGTATGAGTAGGCTCACAAGTTTAGTTGTAACACATACAGATAGAATTTTCTTTAAGAAAACCGGAAATGAAGAAATCCACATTTACAAAACAAGTAAACCAAGAGGGGTGTTATTTATATAATACTGAATACAACTTTTAAGGAATTCTTCTCTTTCTTTGTGCATTAACATATATTTTTCAATTATTTTATTCCAATACTCGGAGGAAATAAATTATGTTGTTTTTTTTTTTGAGACAGGGTCTCACTCCCATTGCCCAGGCTGGAGTGCAGTAGTGCGATCATGGCTCACTGCAGCCTTGACTTCCTGGGTTCAGGTGATTCTCCCACCTTAGCATCCTGGGTAGCTGGGATTACAGGCACATGCTGGCTGGCTAATTTTTTGTATTTTTTTTAGTAGAGGCAGGCAGGGTTTCACCATGTTGTCCAGGCTGGTCTCAAACTAAGCTGGGATTACAGGCACATGCTAGCTGGCTAATTTTTTGTATTTTTTTAGTAGAGGCAGGCAGGGTTTCACCATGTTGTCCAGGCTGGTCTCAAACTCCTGGGGTCAAGAGATCTGCCCTCTTTCACCTCCCAAAGTGTTAGGATTATAGGTGTGAGCCACCACACCCAACTTCTATTGTGTAATTTTAAAAAGCTAAGTATTCTACCTTCCATTTCACCTCTGTATCTTTTCCCTGCATATTATTCTTATGAGACTCAAATGGCCTATCATCACTATCTTCAGTATCATCATTATCCCATTGCATTTGCATCATGCTTAACAGTAACAAAGAGCTTTTTCACTGGTCGCACAAGTCTCAGAGGTAAAGACTTGTTTACCTCTCACATTCTGCATGAGCAAACAAACTCAAAGTGGCCAAGAGATTTTCCTAATACTTCATTGCTCACAGGAGGTGAAGCTCTGCCCTAGTCCAGCATTCTATCTTCAGTAGCCCTTGAATCTGTCAGATTACTTGGTTGCAAGCTACAGAGACCAACTGGGTCAACCTAAGACAAGTAAAGAGAGAGAGAGAAAGAGAGAGAGAGAAATCAAGAAAAAAAACAAGGAAAGAAAGAAAAAAAGAAAGAGAAAAATAAGAGAAACAGAGAGAAAGAGGGAGGACAGGAGAGAGGAAGGGGGGCAGCAGGGAGGGAAGTCGGAATACGCTGGAAGCATACCAGGGGCTCAAGTATTAACAAGAGGCTGAAGCACATGTCTTGGAAAAGTGGCAGTTACCAGGCAGCTGCAGAGGCTTGGCATCAGAAATGATGATGCAGAAGCCATCTGGTCTTTGTGGAGTTGCTGGGATGAGTCTGAAATCCAAAAAATATGTTTTCCTTGCTCAGGATTCAAATTTCCAGGAAGGAGTCCTGACGGGCTGAGTTTTCCTTTTGTGCTACTCCCTGGCTATACTAAAAGGCTAGGTAAGAATTAGGTCCCTTCATTCCTGGGAGGGGGCAGTCAGGATTAGAGAACATCTCAAAAGGGATGTTATAGTGAAGGACTTCCCTCAAAGGAAAATTAGGGTGCTCATTGTAGTGAGTTGTTGGATGACAGAGAGCTGAAAAACATGGCAAACCTCTTCTATAATACTCGTCCACACACTGGAGAAAAACCAAATAGGTGATCATGTTAGCAGCTGGAATCATGATCAATGTGAAAGTCTGAGATTCTGAAGACATTCAGGGTTGAACCAATCTGTTAGTTCCTGGTGGCTTTACAGCCCTTGTGGTTGCATGGAGCTGTGTTACTTTAAACCAGGCCCAACACTTGGTTTCCCGACTGAGTTGATTCTCAACCTTAACTAGTAAGACACAAATTAAGACATGCCAATTATTCTAAATACTCAACAGGGTGAAAAAAATGGAACAATAACAACAGAAAAGCTAAAGGGCATCTAAGAGGACATAAAATAGCAATCACCAACACAATAGCAAACAGAGAAGTGGAGGCTGTGGCCCCGTGTAGCAGCTGGAATAGTTAGAAAAACAAGTAGAATTTTAAGGGAGTGCATTAGTTACTAGGGCTGCCATAACAAAGGGCCATACACTGATTGGCTTAAAAAGATCTTTATTGTCTTGCAATTCTGGAGGCTGAATTCCAAGATCACGGTGTCAGCAGGACTGGCGCCTTCTGAGGGCTCTGAGGGAGAGTCTGCTCCATGCCTCTCTCCTGGCTTCTGGTGGTTTGCCGGCAATCTTTGGTGTTCCTTGGCCTGTAGGTGCATCACCCCAATCTCTGCTTTCATGCTCACATGCTGTCCTCCCTGCCTGTGTCTCTGTGTCCAGGTTTCCCTTTTGTATAAGTACACCAGTCATACTGGATTAAGGCCCAATCCTAACGACCTCATTTTCATTTGATTACCTTTAAAGACCCTATTAGCAGGTAAGGTCACATTCTAAGATACTGAGGGTTAGGCTTTAAACATATCCATTTGGAGGACACAATTCAAATTATAAAAGGGAGGATGCTTCTTATTGGTCAAGAGTCATGCTTTTTAGTTTCCCTTTGTCTGGGGACCAATAAGCATGTTCAACACTGCATCACATGTAGGAGCAATTCAGTTTGTGAGAAGGTCAGTGAGTTTATGACCCTCAAATGAGAATGCCAAGGCTGCAGATATTATGTCCTGAAGTCTGATCTTTATTAACTCTGCTAATTTCCTAGTTTCATGTTTACTACAAAGTATAAAGTCTTTTTCTAGGAGAGTGTTGACTGTGACATGTTATTCAACACACTTATTTTATTTAAAGGTTTAATTTCTTTCATTTCAATCTTAATTTTCCAAGACTTATTGAGGATTTTGCTTTTGTTAATAATTTTTGTACCCTTTAAGTATGATATCAATGGTAAAGAGGTATTATTAGAATTAGAGAATATTATAATTTAATAAAAACACAATATTTATTAAACAATTATTATGTGCCAGGAACATAAGTTCTTTATATGGATTATCTTATTTAATTTCTGAATGATTCTTATTTTACTCATGAGGAAGCTGAGGCTATGGAAGGTTCCATGAATTTCTCAGGGTATCTTACAATGAGGGGAAAATTTGGACTCAGGCTGATTCTAGAGTCTGGGTGTCGCCACTTTGGCGACATTATGGAAATAATTTCCATAATTTGAGATGATGCAAAAATTTGCCTTTGACTCCTCACAAACCAGGATCTTTTTTATTCCTAACTAAAAACTATCCGAAATATTTGCTGTGTGGTAACAGCAATATTGTGATCAACTGTTCTGCAGTTCTGGAGCCGTCCGTGGGAGGAAGAGTGGAGGAAGAGGAGGCGGAAGAAGGAAGGAGGAAGGGCCGTACCAAGTCACCGGTGAACGTTCCCAGCACGCACAGGACTCCTCCCAGAAACAGACAGGTGGAAGCTGACCACTAAAAGCTGGCTAGAGAGAGCCAGGGCACTCAGGACTTGGGGGAGAGTTGAAGTATTATGTTGGCAAAAGACTCTATGGGTATCCTCACTTGACTAGAAGAAGGATTACTTTTTCCTTGGACCCAGGTCAGCACTCTTTTGGGTTATGTGATGCAAGACATTCATGCCAAGAGATGAATTTTTCTCCACCTGGCATGCACTGCATGGCATTAGATTTCCATTGATTTAAAGGGGGAAGACACAGCTGCCTCAAATAACAAACATGCATCTTCTGCAGCTGGTAATGGATGAAAAAAACCTGCATTTTTTTTCTTTTCAATGTCTGGAGAGAGTCAGGAGAGGAGAGGCGGGATATATTAAATTATCCTTTGGCGAGCTTTAGCTTCTGAGTGCCTCAGGCCTTACCCTGGAAATACTCCGCATCAAGTATGCACAGGGATGCAAGAAGAAATTAATCTTGCCATCAGTAACACTTTGTTTTTGGAAACTCTCTATGTCAAAAAGCGTCAGCTCCCAAGAGTTTTGGCTACTTTCTTAATTATCTTTGCAACTGAGCAAATGTTTTCTCTCCTCCTCTAAAGGGAAGGTAATTTGCTCTTTTTCTCTCTTTTTCCCTGAATGTTTGCAAATACTATGGCCTTTAGCAGGTTTTGGATAGACTTGAGAGCTATAAAGCCAAATCATTTGCAATCCTATAATCTTATTTGTTTCTTCCAGGAATCTGCTGAGGTGTTCACAGCTGCCTGCCTGCCTGCCGTGTCAGATAGTAGAAGTGGTGTGATGATGACCAAGTTGGATGGTGAATGGAAGATTCTCGACACCAGGTACTGCCCAGCCAACAAGACACAGGCTTGTCCCACCGCAGCAGAAAGTTGTTCTGTAGGCCAATAGCGAGACTGAGAAATGGCCAGATGCAAAAGAAACCAGTTCTGACTGCACTCCAGCTCTGCCTACCAAGTCAGGGCCAGGAGGCCCACGAACACTCCCTCATTGCTGACACTACAGAGCTGAGCTTCACAAAGTGCTCCCTGTTGGCTCTGCATTTAGACCTCCCACAACTACAGATAAAACAGAGGGAGACTAACATGCCTTAGAAACTAAGCAAATAACTTAAAGGATAATATTTAAACATGCTCATATATCTAGATCTTGATCTTCCTTTATTCAATTTCATGGTCATGCAAATATAACAGCTTGAGATATTTTTAGTCCTGTGCAGTGTATGCTAAAATAGTGTCTGGCTTTTCTAGATTTCAAGGTCTGAATCTTATTTAGCTATCAATTCAATTAGCAGGGAGTTTGCCAAATAACTTACATGTGGAGAGGGTGTGGGGGGAACGCCACAGCTACACTGATTAGGGAGGGCATTATATGGTTAAGTGTTCATAAACCAAAACCACATTTTCTTCCTCTACTCAAGGGTCCCTTGGTGATCTTATGCAAGTCCAAAGAGGAAAGTTTCATCATACTGAAAACAAGAGATAGTGTGAGACTTAATGAGTATTTCTTGCGAATCGTCAACCTTACATTTTAAATTGGAAATGCCTCTGTATTCTATTAGGCTAACAGAAAAGTGTTATACATTTATGTTATGATATTCAAAAGGAAGCACTTTCAAGTTATTAGATAGGAGGTGTTAGATACTTAGAGTATCACCAATTTTCCAATATATTTTTTTATTGTCTTTATATGATGACTTTATTTCAGAAAAAAGAAAAAAGGAAAAAAACCAGACTCCAAATATTTGAGTTACTTTTATGCTTACCTCTGAACTGAAACTACTGAAGCGATTTCCCTCCTGGAAACCAGTTAAATGGACATAATCTCAAAAGATTATACTTTCAGGCCAGGCGGCAGTGGCTCATGCCTGTAATCCCAGCACTTTGGGAGGCCAATGTGGGTGGATCACCTGATGAGTGATGAGTTTGAGACTAGCCTGGCCAACATGGTGGAACCCCATCTGTAAAGAAATTACCCGGGTGTGGTGGTGCACCCCTGTAATCCCAGCTACTTGGGAGGCTGAGGTGTGAGAATTGCTTGAACCTGGCAGGTGGAGTTTGCAGTGAGCTGAGATCATGCCATTGCCCTCCAGCCTGGGAGACAGAATGAGACTCTGTCTCAAAAAAAAAAAAAAAAAAAAAAAAAAAAAAGATTATACATTCAGAAAATGTCATTCCTTGACTCTGGAAAATGAGAGCACTTTGAACAACTACAAGGGTGGGTCTTTTACTGCTCCTTTTCCTCCCTACTTGGTTTATGTTCAAGTTGAGGAACCACATTACTCCATGAAGGGTGATACAGAAAAACACCACCAACAACAAAAACACACACAAAGAAATGCTGGGACAGAGAATGCTCAACAGTGAAGCATGAAGGGGTACACGTTGGTAATGTGCTGTTTGTTCTCTCTGCCCTGTCTCCTAACCCTCTCCTAACTCCTGCTCACTGGTAGAAGGCACCCTCTTTCTCTGCTTTTTGAATGTTTCCTTCTGCTGCATGAAAAGGCTTCTCTCTCAACAGTTTACATGTCATCTCAAAAACAACCATTTCTAAGTTCCCAGTATTTTGATCCTTTCATTCCCTAAGCAAAAGTTCCCAATAATTTTACTAGTTTTGGGACCCACTGCATGGAGGTATTAACCATTGGGAAATCCCCAGTAGAGTGCATATAAATTCTTAAAGAGAAATCTCACAGCCACAGCCTTTGGTACACATTACTTAACACCATTTGCCTTGGGCCTGTTAGGGACAGGGATATTGATGTCGGATTGGGAAATACTGCACAGATGCAATAAGGACCAATGTGCTTTCTCTGGGAGTCCCCTATTTCTAGACTAGAGAGGATAATTCAGTGCCTAATTAAAAGGCTGAAAAGACACAAAGGAAACAAACTTCAGAGACTTTTCAGAGAATAATTCCTTAGAAACTCCTAGAAGACTAGCTACCAAATTTATAATGGTGTCATCAAAACATTTGATCTCTGGCACTGTATCTTTCAGAAATGCAGCTGCCTTAGCAGAGAGCTGGCTGGGCACTTGGCAGCTATTTTTTTTAATGTGCTGCCAAAGGTAAGAGTTGCCATTGCTAGTAATTATAAATTATAAACCGGCAGCCAAATGGGAGCAATTATGAAAAGTGACCTATGAGCCAGTTTTTATAAAGTCATCAAAATAAGTAAGGAAATTTATTTTTCTAACGAATAAAACAAGTTTAATCTTATATGTGTGCCATTAAGAAAGTCAGTGATGGAATATATGAAGAACAAATGAGTCAGGCAGCAACCCATGGCACTCAATCACATGTTGAGTGCTCATCTCCAATGTTTCATTTCCTGGTTTAGGGAGATCAGGTTTCCTGAAGGAAGTGTAAAGGCCAGATATATCAAAGGTAAGATGCAAAGTCATTTAGGGGGACAATTTCTATAGGAAGGGAGGCTGATATCATTATTATTTAGCATCTGCTGTTCATCAAGCACTAGATATTTCTAGCACTTTGCATCTCTGATCCCAGGTCCTGGGCTCAATAACTCTATGAAGGTGATATAATTATCCTCATATTTCAGATGCTCATTGGGCAGGTGAAGTAAATGTTACAATGTCTCACAGACTGTAAGTTGACTTCAGAGAGTCCCTTCTAAAGTCTGATCCCAGTTCCAAAGCCCATGTGCCTCTCTGTTGCCTCTCATCTAGGTGACCTTCAAGGGCACCCAATAAAGAGGAAATGACATCCCAGTAGGGCTGCCCGCCCAATCTGTAAATGAATGGAAGGAAAAATGTCACTGCTGGCTGCAAGAAGGAGTGTATTAATTCTACCCTCCTACCTTTAACTCAACCAAATCCCCTGCAACAATCTCCTCACTGTTCTGAGTGTTTGCTCACCCAATCTGTGGAATTCAACTGACAAATCCAGTTTCATCCTCTTCTCTGATCTTATTTAGTGACCTTATTAGACTGACCTTATTAGAATCGGAGTCACTGCCTAATGCCTCCTCACCTTCCTAGCTCCTTCTGTCCACACCTCTCTAGTTTCTCCTCTGTGTGCTCCCTTTGACAGGATTCTGCCATTCTGATTCTTGTGTTTTAGCTTCTGTCTTTTACTTGTACCTGTGGAACCCGTGGGCCAAGTCCGCTCACCACAGATACCTCTCATGGGAAGGACACTACGTTAAGCTCAGAGAAGTACATTTAATCATTAGTAACTGTATTTGGACATTTTTCTAAACATTGTTAAGTCATTGCTTTTAAGGCTGTTAAAACCATTTTAATGTTTTGTTTGTTTGTTTGTTTGTTTGTTTTGTAAATCAGTAAATTTGGTTCTTGGTCATTTCGATCACTTGGTGAATTAAGTTTTTTCCTCATTTCCTAACTGGAAATTAGGAGTAATTACTGGACAAGGCTCAACTCAGCAGTTGGCTCTCTTTTCTGGAACTTTGTTCTACTTCCTGGAAATAGAGGTGGAAGTCCAGAGAGTCAGAGCCTAGAGACATGAGGCATGAAAAGTCATTCTGTTTTGGTGGCTGGTGAGAAGTGGGTAGAACTTCCTATAATCAAGCAGCATCTGGACAGTCTTGGTTGGAACGAGGTCCTCCTGTTATTTTAGCCTGGAATGGCGCTTGCAGTTCATCTCTCTCCAACTGGTGCAGGAAGAAAAAGGCAAAGGCATTTTAAATCATGGATTTTCCTTCCCTTACAAAGGTCATAGATTAATCTGATGAAAATGAACAGCTTTAAAAAGAATGGCCTAACAACTTTTAGAAAAATGTCCATAATAATTATGATGATTAAACATATTCTTCTGAACACAGTTGTCCAAACAATAGGTAGCATGTCAAATGAAAAATTTTCAGTTTATACTGATTTTTGTTTGAAAATTGTAAACATCATTTTCAGTTTGTTAACACTTAGGATCTTAATTTTAGTACTTTTCAGACTTCTAACTAGCTTTTTAATATTTCCTTTACAATTTTACATTGATTCTGAGTATATATCAAATTATTTTGATGTACAAGACATCTGATCCATTAAAGTATTCCCTTCTAAACATCCTTGCTTCCTTTCCACTGATTTGAGCAGGGTTATATTTTTAAGTTGAAATTTTCTGCAAACTGCTACCCATCTTTCTGTTTATGAATTTGTTAGAAACCAAAATGCCAGCATTTTATCTTTGATTAGGACTCCTGGTTAATTCTGATTTATGTCATGTGCTCTTTAAATTTAAATTTTTAATTTAATAAACATTCAATTTAATTTTAATTGAAATTTGAATCATCTGTATATTAACATTTAAATTAGTTAAATTAGAAATCTCTTGCTAAAAATGTAAATTAAGGCTGCTATGCCACTTGAAGAATTGATGAAATAATACTAAATGTGCTCTTGCTCTCACGACCCCTACAGCGGGATGCCTTGAACTAGACTTCAGCATACTCTGTATGTTTACATTTTGGAAAAAATAGTTTTATTATAACATGGCGAAACACTATCTCTACTAAAAATACAAAAAATTAGCCAGGTGTGGTGGCTCGTGCCTGTAGTCCCAGCTACTCAAGAGGCTGAAGCAAGAGAATCGCTTGAACCCGGGAAGCAGAGGTTGCAGTGAGCAGAGATTGTGCCACTGCACTCCAGCCTGGGTGACAGAGTGAGACTTCGTCTCAAAAATAAATAAATAAATACATAAATGAAAAAATCAATAGTCACATACTGAATTCCAAAATTTTGGATGGAAAAAGTGGTTCACAATGACATTTTCAGTGAATATAGGATTTCTCACCATTTTAACATTCTATTAGGAATATTTTATCAAGGTAGCCAATTAAATTTAGTTTAGCTAATATACAAAAGAATGTATTTGATTACATGTTATCAAAAATAAAATATGTTTATAGAAACTGCTAACAATGGCAGTTTGTAAATTTTGGTTATTCTGTAAATTGATTATTTCAAGAATTGATTTTTAGTGAATTGGCCTTCCTCCTTCTAGGAAACTTTGCAGCTAAAAATAAACAAGGCCAGGCATGGTGGCTCATGCCTATAATCCCAGCACTTTGAGAGGCTGAGACAAGCAGATCACCTGAGGTCAGAAGTTCAAGACCAGCCTGGCCAACATGGCGAAACCTCATCTCTACTAAAAATACAAAAAAATCAGCCTGGAGTAGTGGCACGAACCTGTAGTTCCAGCTACTTGGGAGGCTGAGGAAGGAGAATTGCTTGAGCCCAGGAGGTGGAGGTTGCAATGAGCCAAGATGGAGCCACTGCACTCCAGCCTGGGCAATAGAGTGAGTGAGACTGTGTCTCTAAATAAATAAATAAATAAATACACAAGAACATCAATAATAATGGCGACACTCATTCTAAGTAGATGATGAGCTAGAACATGCGTTAGGTACTCTACAGTAGTTGTCTTCATTTAATCCAAACAACAACTTTTTGAATTAGATATTATCATTTTACAGAGGGGATATCTGAGGTTCAAAGAGGTTAATAATGTAAGTTGCCCAAGGGAAGCAGAGTCAAGACTGCTTGTCTCAAAGACCAGGCTGTCTGGTAAAGTTTCCAAGCTGTGAAATATAAGATGGAAATTACTTTCCTTGTCCTAGATCAATAAAAATTAAGATCAGCATTTTTTGCTACCTAAATGGAAAGAGCTCAGCATGTCCATATATGGCAGCATCTGTGACAAAAGCATGTGGGCTGGAACCATTTCCAGTCTACAGGTCAGATGGTAGGAGTGGCTATAGAGACTATGCAGGTGGTGGGTCAGGTTCAGGCATCCTTCCTGCAGGAGGGTGAGACACTGGTAACTACTGGTTGTGGTTCCAGCTCTACATTCAGCACAGTCAGCTGCCTGCTGTTCCCTGTTCTCCATTTTTTCCCTATAAGACCCGTAGGTCTATTAGATACGAAGAAAAGCATCCTAGAACTAGTTGCTCTCTGGAATAATGTCAATCAGGCCTTAATAGCTGACAGGAGAGAGAGAGGGTCTCTTGTAACCTCAAAACATAGAGCTCAAGAGCGTATGCTGGCTGGGTGCTGTTGCTCAAGCCTGTAATCCCGGCACTTTGGGAGGCCAAGGCAGGTGGATCACCTGAGGTCAGGAGTTCAAGATCAGCCTGGCCAACATGGCAAAAACCCGTCTCTACTAAAAAATACAAAAAATTAACTGGGCATGGTGGTGGGCCCCTGTAATCCCAGTGATTCAGGAGGCTGAGGCAGGAGAATCACTTGAACCCAGCAGGCAGAGGTTGCAGTGAGCCAAGATCGTGCTACTGCACTTCAGCCTGGGCGACAGAGAGAGACTCCATCTCCAAAAACAAAAAGAGCGTATGCTGAAGTCTAGTTCAAGGCATCCCGCTGTAGGGGTCATGAGAGCAAGAGCACATGGAGTGGTTTTGTCTGACTTCTGGCAAAGTTTTATTTGGGTAAACTGGGATGAAATGCCGTCTATGGGACGACGTGTTGTATGAGCCTTAGATATTTATTAATACCAGGTAGCAAATACCTCCCCTCTTCCCTTTCCTCTTGCTTTCTATAACTGTCATGAGCAGCCTGGGAGTGACAGATCTAGGTGTAATATACTGTTATTAGATGCAGTTTGCTGTATACTTGATCACACTTGCCCCTCATATACTGCTTTCCATTTCCCACTGCAGCCTGAGAAAGAACAGGGTTTGAGAAGGAAGGGAAAGGCAACTGGGAAGATATCCTTTTCCTTTTGCTGCAGATGACATGGTACCATATCTATCCGATTATTTTTCTCTTTCAATCCCTCATCTCACACCCATCTTAGATTGAATGTCTCTAATTAGTGAGATAGCAATTTTTTTTTTCTTTAGAGACAGGGTCTTGCTCTGTTGCCCAGACTAGGGGGCAGTGGTACAATCATAGCTCACACAGCCTAGAATTCCTGGGTTCAAGTGGCAATCCTACTGAGTAACTGGGACTATAGGTGCATGCCACCATGCGCAGCTAATTTTTAAATTTTTTGTAGAGACGGGGTCTTGCTTTGTTGCTCAGGCTGGCCTTGAACTCCTGGGCTTATGTGATCTTCTCGCCTTAGCCATGCAAAGTTCTGGGATTATAGGCATGAGCCATTACACCCAGCCACAAATTTTTAAATATATATTTTTTAGTTTAAAGTTTACAGCTCAGGGTTTTCAATATATTCACAAAATTGTGCAACCATCACCACTATCTGATACTGGAACATTATCACAATCCTGAAAAGAAACTCTGTTCCCATTAGCAGTCATCTCCTTTTCCCTCTTCCCAGGTTTCTGGCAACCTACTTTCAGTCTCTACTTCTTGTCTCTTTAGATTTCTACTTTTTGTCTCGAATCTACTTTCTGTCTCTATAGATTTGCCTATTCTGGACATTTCATAAAAATTGAATCACAAAATGTGTTTGTTTCTGGCTTTTCTTTACTTAGCATAATGTTTTTAATGTTCACCCATGTTGTTGCCAGTATCAGTACTTGGTTCCTTTGTATAGCTGAATAATACTCCATTATATGAATATACCACATTTGTTTATCCATTCATCATTTGATGGACATTTCTACTTTTTTGGCTATTCTAAATAATGCTGCTATACACATTCATGTGCAGGTTGATATGGACATATATTTTCATGTCTCTTGGGTAATACTTAGAATTGTTGGGTCATATGGCAACTCTATGTTTAACTCCATGAGAAACTGCAAAATTGTTTTCTGAAGTGACTGCCCTATTTTACATTCCCACCAGCTATGTTTGAGGGTTCCAATGACTCACATCCTTTCTAATACTTGTTATTGTCCCTATTGTTGATTTTAGCCACCCTAGTTGATGTGAAGTCATGTGTACTTGATTTGCCTAATAACAAATGATGTTGAGCGTCTTTTCATATGCCCATTAGCCATTTGTATATCTTCCTTGGGGAAATACCTATCAAATCTTTGCCCATGTTTAAATCGTGTTATTTTTCTTTTTATTATTGATTTGCAGGAGTCCTTAAATATTTTAGATACATACACCTGTTGAAATCAAAATAAAAATACACAGAAGACTTTCTGAATTTAACATTTTATTTGGGATACAAGAATTGCAATGAGGGACATACATACAGATAGGATGGTCTTCAGTATATCCGAAGAATGAAGAGAAGACTGGGAGTTTATAAAAAAGAGAAATGTTATGTATTGTTTTTCCAGAAAGTTCTTTGGCATTAGTCAAATTTTCGGGAGGTGGCAAGCTCTCATTGGTGAGTTATGGCAGTAAAACCAGTCTTAGAATTGCAGCAGGTTGTTTCAGCAGCCGTGAGATAAAACTGGTTTCAGGTTACAGCAGGCAATTTCAGCATCCAGGCTTGCAGAAAATTACATTCTCAAAGTGCTGTTACATTCCCTGAGTGCTTCTCCTAATGGCTTCTTGACTCTGTTTTAGTTGGGTGTGACAAGAATGACCCAATTCACATCACTTATTGGATATATGATTTGCAAATGTCTTTTCCTATTGTGTAGGCTGTCTTTTCACTTTAACGGAGGGAACTCTTCATGTAGAAGGTGACATGTGGGATAGCTCCTGAAATGAATGGCAAAAATAGAATAAAGCTAAAAACTACTAAAATAAGAATATGCATTATAATATGTATGATAAACAGATTGTGTGATTAGGGCTGTTGCTCAACCATCTGTGCTGTGTATTTTTGTTTGCAGATCTATGATAACTTTCTGTGTTTCAAGTGTCACTGTTTAAGCTACTCTAAATTAAAGAAGAGCAAATTAAAAAGGCAAATTAAAGAAGAACAGCAATCTCTTTCTTGCTTCCTATATTGATCAATTCCCCTGATGAATGGTTTGCCAATTATCTATAAATACATTGGTAGGTATTTAAGGATAAGCAGACTAGAAACTGCATTTTCTAGGGCTTATTGGGAATAACATTCAGATAAGTCAATGTAATGTGGAAAATTTGCAAAACTTGCTTTCATCTGTAAAGCTTGGAATGCATAGGGATAGAATGCACTTTTCTGTCTTAAAAGTGAAAAAGATGGTCATGAAGTCCTTCAAAGAAACATGGACACACACAGACACATTGGCTAAAATAGCAAAGACATACTGGAATTCCTAGTGATTTCACTGTGATTCCTAATGATTGTGTATGGTACACTGTGAACTAAGATCATAAATTAATGCCAAGTTAGACAAGTAAGTTTTTGACACTGGAAATGGACAATGTCGTTACTGTATAAGATAAAAATGAAAAAAATACTATAATTAGGGACTGCCAGGCAGTAAATGAGATGCAGTTACCTGAAAGGGGAAATAAGAAAACATCTTACTTCACTGTATGCCAGTGAACGAAGTGTGATTTATACAGACAGTACTAAGTTAGGAAGGTGCCTTCCATGTGCAAGAAGAAAAAAACTAGGGGAAGAAAGTATATCCTGAAATATTCTTGGAGGCTTCTCTTTTCTGTCAACCTGAGAGATAATGATAGGAAGTTATGAGGAAGTGAGCTTTTCAATTATTGTGGACTGTTTTTATTTTTCTCAAAATCCCTTAGGTGAACAAAGGAAATCAAATCAATATAAACAATGGAAATGTCTGAGACATTTAGGAAATGGAAAACAATGTCCAACAGTAAGACTTGGACAGATCCAAACTGATACAGAAGTGGTGGAAAATTCCATCACCTTTGAATATTTACCCCCTCTGAAAATACAGCAGAACATCTACTGCTAACATCGTCAGTAGGACACTGAATTGGAATGATTTAATCAATCAAATACATCAGTCAAATTTTTACTCCCCATATCCAGGAGAAGCAGTTTCTCACAGATGTTTTATTGATATGTAGGATCGCCAGGAAAAGAGACATTTTCCAAGGTAATCTGGGAAAAGTCTTGATTAGAATGATTTACGGTTATTTTGGTAGCTCTGGGTTATTAGGCTTAGCTACTAGGCTGCTCTGTATAAGGTCCTCAGAAGTTAATAGGAATTAAAATAGAAAGTCAGACCAGTAATGATCCGGAAGAGGATTATATCCCCCAATTAAGACCACAGGATTGGTTTGTGGATGACAGAGTTGAGCTGCTGGCTCTCAACCCTGCAGATTAGGAACATACTAGAACTCTTTCTAGCTATTTTCAGAGTCCATTTTTGGATGTGTCACACATGACTTTACATAAACTTTTTACAAAATTTCATTTATATTTTTACTTGCCAGTGATATTTGTTGAGACTGGGTTTTACTACATATCACAGAGTTCTAGAATATCAATGACTTAAACAAGATAGTATTTTATTGCTTTCTTGTTAAGTCCAGAGGTGGGCAAGGCAGTGTGGAGATGGCAGGACTGATCCATGGTGGGCCCAGGGACCCAGCCTTGTCTCACATCGCCAGGCTACCTTCACACATGTGTGCCCTTATCCACATGATATAGTCATCACATCTGTGTTCCAGGCAGAAGGAAGGAGGAAGAGATGAAGAGTGGCCACAGGTGCCGTAGCTCATTCATAAATAATTTTGAAGAAGCTGCCAGAGGAAATTTCTACATACATCTCATTGGCCAGAACATAATCATATGATTACACCAAGCAGCAAGGCAGGCTGGAAATGGAGATTTGATTTACAAAACTATTTACCCAGCTAAAAAATTGAAATTCAATTACTCTGAAATAAAGGGAGAACAAATACCGGGAGACAGACTGTGGTATTCACAATACCACAACTTAGAAGCAAAGTATTAGACTGAATTTTTTTTTTTTTTTTTTGAGACAGAGTCTCACTCTGTCACCCAGGTGGGAGTGCAGTGGTGACATCTCGGCTCACTGCAACCTCCACCTCCCAGGTTCACGCCATTCTCCTGCCTCAGCCTCCCGAGTAGCTGGAACTACAGGTGCCTGCTAACATGCCTGGCTAATTTTTTGTATTTTTAGTAGAGACGAGGTTTCACCGTGTTAGCCAGGATGGTCTCCATCTCCTGACCTCGTGATACCCCCGCCTTGGCCTCCCAAAGTGCTGGGATTACAGGCGTGAGCCACCGCGCCCGGCCTAGAATGAATTTTGTAACACAATTCTGTCTTTTAGTTACTCTACATTTACCTGTTTTGAACTTCAGCACTGCCTTGTAGTTCTAATGTAACTGGCTTGATGTTGATCAAGAAGTAACTAAAAGATGCCTGAGATCTCTGACTGTGGAAATGAGAACTACATGGGGGTACATTTAATGGGGTTTAATGAGGTGGTTACCTTTTAATGTTTCACTGTTATTACAGAATAGTTGTGTTCACTCCTTTTGTACTCATTCTGTGATTATCTACTTAATTATTTGACTTTTAACAAATTATCAAATGTAACCACTCAGCAAACATTCTTTTCAGGCTGACTCTTAGACGTTTTTGTCTGTGTTTACATGACAGTGTCCCCATATCGCTGTGAACACTGTGAACGCCCTCCGCTGCACCTTCTGAAGCGTGAATGTTTCTTCTTTGGCAAAAGTAGAACTGAGTAAATAAACCTTGCCTCAGTGGAGAGAGACACTTTGGGTAATGAAAACTCACCAATGGTTTGGCCTAATTATGAATCATCAACAGGATATATGCTTCATGGCCAAAGAGATGGAAATGGATAATGCCATTTAAAATGTGGGAATATAATTACAGGAAGAAGAGATTATGAAACATCATAAATGTTGAAGAGAAATCTTGCTTCAGTTGCCACTTAAAGTAGGCCAGTAGGTTAAGGAAGAATATAAATAAATACATATTGTCTATTTAAACCATATAAACATTAGAAAGATATTTTAGTAGCAAAATTAATCTTGAAAATTATCCATCCAAATATTTTTATTTTATAGAAGAGGTTACTGAAATACAGGAAAGTGAGCCAGGAACTGTTATAAAATTAGTCATAAACCTCTCGGGAAAATAATTTCTATTTTTGCCATTATTGAATAATAGTCAACTATACACAAAAGATTTTTGTAAAATTCTCACAAAGAGCTGCAACTGTTAATAATTTTTCTCATAATCAATTATTGACATTATTTTTAAGTTAAATCTTGAAACAAATCCCTAAACTCCTAAAATGAGGGGAAAGAATCATCTCCTCATAAAAATGACATGATTTGGAGAGTAAAATTGACATTTGGATATCATGTCTTACTCCTGCAAGCAAAAGCCAGTTGATACTTAAATATATGTGTCTAACTGCTTAAATATAAACGCAAAAATTCCAAAACAACTCAAGCTTGGAAACACAGAAGTACTATGAAAACTGCTACCCATTGTTTATCTGCTGCTGCTTGTTTACCAAGAGCAAATGTGAGTGCTCGTACATTAGATATGAGAACTAACATCAAACCAGCTTAAAAACATATTTATTTCTTATATTCTCAGCTTTTCACAGCTTGGTGGGCAGGAACTAAAATTATTTCAGTGAAATCTAAAGAGAAACCCATTAATCTGGCAATCAGGGCGATGACAGGGCATTTATAAGCTACCAATCACATGTTGTATTTAGTCCTGCATGTTTCTCCATTAGCTTCTTCTGTTCAATATATTCTTCTAAAAAGGTTTTGGAAATATTTCATCTGTCTCTGTTGATTAAGGAGCATTTGTTTTCCATGCTTTAGTTGGATAATGAAGAAAATAAGCACTATAATCTACTTAACAAGCAAGACCGTGGAAAACTTAACCACGAAGCTAACAGAATTGCTGACCTTTTGTCATTTCTGCATCACCCACAGAATGACCTTCTGCCTGAAAAGTTCATCCAGAGAGTCATCACTTTGTACCCCTGATCAGCGTGCTAAGCAAAGAGCAGCTGTGACTCAGCCTGGTGACTGAAGAGATGGTTCCTGGTTCTTTTATAGGGCACCTGTGTCCATTTTGCTGCTGTGGACATCCATCTTTACTCAACATTCCTAAATTAAAATTGAAGGCTTTAGGAAGAGTTGTTATTATTATAAAGCTATCTTAAGAAATAATAGCCTTTAAAATTTATTAACACATTCTTAACAAATGTTATTGGGACAGGAAAATGAAGCAAACAAAAAGACATGAACAGAAGGGATTCTGTAGGATTTGTAGTTGATTCATTCATTCTCTTTCTTTCAGTCCATTTTTTTCTCCTCTCTCTTTTTCTTCCTCCCTTCCTTCCCTACCATTCTCTCCCCTCCCTCCCTTCCCATTTCCTTTTCTCTCCTCTCCAACACTGGTTACTGAAAATGCTTTACTTAATGATTTTGTAATGTCAGGACATGCTCTGGCAACCTCTCAAATACTTGGAAGGATTAATATGAAGGAACAGGCTGGCAGCTTGCTGAATTCATTTAAACAACAAATGCTATGGAACAAACAATTGTAAAAATGAGTGCCAGCTGGTTTTTTAAAGTAACTTTTCTTACTTAACTGAAGGCTGGTATCAATTGAACTAATTCAATGCAGAAGGGCCATCTTCATGCTGTTAACTCCAAAGAAATGTTGAGTTATTGTTTTTTGCAATAGTGGTGTACACAGCCTATTTCACTCTATCTTGGTATCTGTTTTCACAAAACCATCACAAGAACCCAGATATAACTCAAATCCAGTCTGTCCATTACACACAGATTAAAATTCCAGACATAAAACTAAATCTGTTTTTTTCAAATGAAAAATAATTTTAATTGACAAGTAGAAATGATCTTTACTGATCATATACAACACATCCTTTTGGAATACGTATACATTGTAAAATGGCTAAATTGAGCTAATTAACATACTTATTTTTTAGGGAATGAGAATACTTAACATTTCTCGGCAATTTTCAAGACTATAATATATTGATATTAACTATAGTCACCATGTTTTACGATAAATCTATTTAACTTATTCCTCCTATCTAACTTAAACTTTGTGTCCTTTGACCAACATCTCAATTGCCTCCTCGACTCCAGTTCCCTGGTAACTACCATTTTACTCCTTACTTGTATGAGTTCAACGTTTTTAGATTCCAAGTATAAGTGAGAACATGCAGTATTTTTCTGTACCTGGTTTATTTCACTTAATATCTCCTAGATTTATCTATGTTGTCACAAATGACAACATTTTCGTTTTCTCAGGGTCAAGTAGTACTCCATTGTGCATATATACCATATTTTCTTTATCCATTCCTATACTGATGGATACTTATTTTGAGTCCATATCTTGGCTATTGTGAATAATGCTGTAATGAACAGGGGAGTGTAGCTATCTCTTTGACATACTGATTTCATTTCCTTTGTATGTGTATCCAGAAGTAGGATTGCTGGATCATGTGGTAGTTCTATTTTTAATTTTTTGAGGAACCTTTATGCTATTTCCCATAAGTACAGCACTAATTGACATTCACACTAACAATGTACAAGAATTCTCTGTTCTCCACATCCTCACCAAAATTTATCTTTTGTCTTTTTGATAATAGTTATTATATCAGGTGTGAGGTGATATCTCATTGTGGTTTTAATTTGCTTTCTCTGATGATTAGTAATATTGGGCATTTTTCATATGCCTGTTGGCCACTTGTGTGACTTCTTTTGAGAAATGTTTATTCAGATCTGTTTCCCATTTTTAACCTGGGTTATTTGTTTTCTAACTATTGAGTTGTTTGAGTTCCTTAGAGATGTTGAACCCTCATCAGATGTATGGTTTGCAAATGTTTTCTCCCATTGCATAGGTTGTCTCTCTACTGTGTTGATTGTTTCCTTGACTGTGTCCATTACACACAAATTAAAATCACAGTAATTAAACCACATCTCTATTATTAGCTGGATTTCATGGGGGCACGTTTCACTGTAAGCATTTTGGATTCAGAGCTTTTCTGGTTACTTTGGGTAAAGGCCCCTAAGCGGCAGGATGCTTCTCCTCCAGGATTCCTTGGTTTCTGATCTCTGAACTAGCTATGTTCTTCAGCTACTTTTCAAACAAAAATGAATAACTTGCTGACTCACTGACTTTACACACAAAAGTATAAGAAACAACTTTCTTGGCAGAGGGGTTCATTTAATGTTCTCTAAACTTATTCTCCTTTGTGGCCCTGTTCTAGCAGCTGTTTTTTATCTTTATTATTTATTAATAGGGTTATGGCACACCATAGATTTTTGAACCTCTCTCTCTCTCTGGAGCTTAAATTATTGCCTGATAGGAAAACTATCAAATCATATTGATTGTTTCAGGTCTCAGAGATGTTTCTCCTGAGCTAATTTTCTTCCTCTTCCATTTGTCTCTTACCCAGGAGAGAAAATACAACCCAGAGTGTGTTAGAGGTGAATTGCTTCATGAATTGCTTCATGGAGCTTGCTGGCATTGATCAACACAGGATTCTGCCCTTTTCTTTTGTGGCAGTTTCCTGCTTAGATAAATTTTTCATTGCTGTGGTTTTAACGACTTATTTTTATTTTTTCTTTTTACAAAGTAATAAATGTGCATGGAAGTACTTCAAGTAGTACAAAGTGTATACAGTAAGTCTCCTTCCACCCACTGAGACCCAGTCCTCCAGCTCATCTCCCAAGAGGAGCGTCCCTAAAACTTCCCATTACAGAGACAAATTTCATTTCTTCGTCCTGTAATTCAGAGCTCTCCATGATCTTTCTTGAACCTCTTTCCCTCTTTTCTAACCCCTACTCCTGGCACATACCCCCTACTGTCACCATATCTGCTATCCTGCTCCTGGATGAGTCCTGGGTTTGCTCCTGGGTTTTCCCTGGGAAACACAGGTCTTTGCTCTGCTGGTCCCGTCTGGCAGGGTGTCCTCTGTTCTCCTCCCAAAGCCTGCCCAGCTTCAAAACTCTGCTCAGATCTAACCTGCCTTGCAAGGTCTTCAGAATTTCCCTAGTCTGAAAGTGATCATGTTCTCCTTTTTCATCTTGTCATGAAGCATGATGGCTGATTTTCTAGTATTCATCTGATGTGTTTGTCTCCACTACTAAGCTGTAAGATCTGAGGGGGAAGGAATTAAGAAACTTCAACTCTAGGCTCAGCTCAGCCATTAATAACCATGTGCCCCAGAAAAAGCCACTATACTTCTCTGAGCCCAGTTTTCTTATCAGTCACAACATTTTTGAAAACAAATAGCCAAGCCTTACAAGACTCAAGAAGAAAGCAGTAGCTCGTGCTGCCTCTATGTTCTTAAAGTAGGGAAACATATTCTTTCTTTCCTATGTAAATGAAAATAAACATTTCAAGTAAATAAATTAGGTTATTACTGTCTCTAAGAACTACAAGCCTCATGGAAATACAAAGAATGTGTTTATTGAAGTATATGAAGTAAACACTGAGAATTATAAATCTGAGCGATTAATCCAGAATCCCAAGTTCCATGGAATGTTTAATTATGTACCAATACCCTCCATTCAAGTAAACAACTTGCAGGTTGATTGAATTCATGGACTTTCATTGGTGGTCTCTGAAATTAAATAAAAACCTTTAAGCTTTCTTAAGGTGTTGTTTATAGCAGGTGTTATGTCTTATGCACCTGCAGGGAGGGATGGTCAGGCAGGGGCTTGTGACCTTATTTGAACAGTTAAAATACTCAGTACATAATCACCAAAATGTCCTTCTAGGAAAGAATTTCATTTAAGTCTGGTTAAAGTAGACTTTAATATTCATAAGAGGACAGAATTTTTGCCTAAATAAATCTATCGTGCAGAGTTTTGTGGCAATAATTAAATAAAGCCGAAGAGCTTAACATTACAATGGAAATTTTTCTTTCTAAAATAGGAAATAAAAACAAATAGTTTAACATTTCAGGTCATGAAAAAGAGCTTATAAAATTCTCAGACTACAGATATTAAGGTACATTCATACAAAAAAAAGAGGAAATAAAAAGAATAACAGGAGTTTTTTTTGGTTTAACTTTACAAAAATAATTGTGAAAACCTGGATGAAAGAAATAATGTTCTAGAAAAATATGGTGTACTCATCCAGATGATAGAAAATCTAGGTAGATGTTCTAAAAAGGAAATCAAATAAGTAAAAAAGTTGCTTTTGTTTCTTCAAATGGTTTCCCTGGAGAATTCTACAAAACATTTAGAGACCACAAAATTCCAATGTTACTTAAATTATTTCAGATCATTAAAAAAGAAGAAAAGTCTCTAGGTGCATTTTATGAAGGAAGTATAACATTGATAACAAAGAAATGACAAAGATCACACCAAAAGGAGAATATGGAGACTAATCTCATTTATCAATAAAGTACAAAAATCTGAAAATACTAGCATATAAAGCTCAGTAGTTCTTAAAAAAATGATAAGTCATTACAAGGTGGGGTTTATTTTAGAAATATAAGACAATATTATGAACTGTAATTCATTACTTGATGGATCCAAAGAGAAAAAACAACTGATCAGCATTAACAATACTGAAAAGAGCACTGAGCCAGCATCATGTTTTATGGAATAACTTAAGAAGCATTCCGAATTTTTTTAAATGGGGTGATGAGATGAAGTGGAGGTAATAGTCAAGTTCATTTTGAAAAATAAAAATACCTCATGCATACATCAACATAAATTACTCTTAATGAGTTAATATTTTAAATGTAAAAAAATCAAACAGCAAAAACATTAGTAAATTCTTGTAAAGGAGGAAGATCTTTCTAATTACAGACTCAAAGCCATAAGCCATTTTAGAAAAGATTGTAAAATTCAAGTACATTAAAACAAGTCAAAACAAAAACTTCTGCGTGGAGGTAAAAATTTGATAAGCCAATTCAAAGGACAGACAACTGACAAACTGACAAACATTATTTGTAACTCATATCACAAAGAAAAAGCTCACCTCCCTCTTACGTAAGCATCTTCTTCAAATAAATATTAGGTTGATGGAAAAGTAATTGCGCTTTTTGCCACACTAGTAATAGCAAAAACCACAATTACGTTTTTTTTTTCGCCAACCTAATATTTAAGTTTACTTTTGCACCAACTTAAAAAAGGCTCATGCCCATAATCCCAGCACTTTGGGAAGCCAAGGAAGTGGGCTGATCGCTTGAGCCTAGGAGTTTGAGACCAGCCTGGGCAACATGGTGAAATCCTGTCTCTACGAAATATACAAAAATGAGCTGGGCATGGTGGTGCGCACCTGTAATCCCAGCTATTCAGGAGGATGAGATGGGAGGATCGCTTGAACCCGGGAGGTGGAGCTTGCAGAAAGCCAAGATTGTGCTGCTGCACTCCAACCTGGGTGACAGAGCCAGACTTTGTCAAATAAATAAATAAATAAATAAATAAATAAATAAAGATGTCTGTCTGTTAAACACATAGGAAAAAAATAGGCAAAGAATATGAACAGAGAGTACAGCACAGGCAATACAAATGGCCTTTAGATTTATAAGAGGATACTCATCTGCACTCATAAAAAGAGAAATGCTGAATCAAATAATACCATGTTTATGGTTTCAAAACATGGCCCCAGAATTATATGACACTCTTTCCATTAGGAGGTGAAGTCTGTATCTCTTTCTCTTGAATCTGAGTTCTGTAGCTTTGCAACCAAAAGCTTACGCAGGGGTATTACTGGGCCAATTTCTGAGCCAAGGCTTTAAGAAACACAGTTTCCACTTCCTCTGTCTCTTTCTCTTAAAACCCAGCCACCATGCTGTGAGGAAGCACAAGCTTCTCAGTAGGAAGGCCCATGCGGACAGGAACCAACAGTCCGTACTGACTTGCCAGCCATGTGAGTATCCGTCCTGGAGGCAGGGCCTCCAGCCTCAGTTGAGCTGCCCAGTTGGCCCTGGAGGGAGCTGTCCTCGTCAAGCTTGGAGAAACTGAAGATTTGAAACTAGTTAAGTAAGTGTTTTGTTTTAAGCCACTGTGAGCTGATTTAAGGTGGTCTTTTAATATATAGTGATAGATAACCAGAGCAACCATTTTTACTATTTTCCACTTCTTTTAGAATGTCAAAAATCCAGAAATTTGACAACTAGATTGTCAAGGCTTTGTGGAAGCAGTTACTCTTACACATTGCTAGGAGATACGGAGATGAGATGGATTGAGGCAGCCATGGAAGCAATCATTTCCTGTATTTTTTTTTTTACTCTTTTGGATTTGGAACTATATGAGTAAAATAACTCTTTCACACAGTCTACCTTGAAAATAACCTTGAAAATAAAAAAAGTTAAAGTATATACCAATTAGTTATTTAGGAAATTTATATTTAATATGTGTATTGAATTATACAGTTTATAAGGCAATTTTACAAATATTGCCTCATTTTATTAATCATAACAACTCTCTGAAGAATAAGTAGGACAATTATTATAATCCCCATTTATAATTGCAGAAACCAAAACCCTGGTTTTCACCCATCAAGTAAATAGTAAGGCCAGAATTTAAACTGAGCTCTCCTGATACCAAATCCAATTCTTTTGCATGAAACAGCTTCATTTAATGGACAGCAAACTATGATAGAAATGAGTAGATCCAGGTCCTACTTCCAACTTTTTCTTTATCTCTTGAATATTACTGGGTAAGATACTCAAGTTCTCTTGCACTCAATTTCATCACCCAAAAACTAGACATGAAAATACATATTGTTCTCATTTACTTCTGGAGAGCATTATCGGGATAAAATAAAATAACAACTGTGAAGATGTTTTGAAAAAGGAATTGCAAATCATTAAAATATGAATTATAAATGTAAAAGAGCATGGCTCTGCTTAAAGATAGCTGACTGAGGACACAAATTTTCAGTTAAAAAGATAGAGTTAAGAATACTCACCAATGTGAGATGTAAAGAAATTTTAAGGAAATAGGAAGTAGATGGAGTATGAAAACTGATGAAGTGGGAGAGAAGCAGGACTGTGTAGCATACACTAAGAAGAAACACAGCCAAAGAGGTTGCTGATCAGCCCCACAGATCTCTGGACTGTCTAGGATTTGGACATACCATGTGCATTACTACCACTCCAGTCCAAAACTAAAGAGATCAGTGCCCCCCAGATAAAGCCAATTCCATTCAGACATTTAGTCATCTCCAGTGAAATGATTGACTTGCGTTGTCATCTCAGAAGTAAATCTGGTAATTGACAAATTCCATCCACATATCCAGGTCTCTCAATCAGCTTTCTGTTGCCTCAGTCTTAAAAGTGACCATTGAAAAACAAATGATACAGGGAATAGAAAAGAATTTTAAAAACCTCTGATTGGTATCCTTATAAAGATTCATTAAAAATTTCCATCCAGTAAAAGAAGATAGTATACTAAGTAATAATGAGGAAATAAGAAAGGCCTCTCTGAAAATTTTTTTCACACACAAAAATAAACAAATAAGTTCGAATTCAAATTAAGGAAGTGTCCTTGAAAATATTACAAAGGATGAAGAGTTGTAGAATACAAGGGTAAAATTCAGAGATATGAAATTATCAATATGTGAGATCCAACATATAACCAATGGGATTCCATAAAAAAGATTAGTAAAATTGGAAAGGAGGAATTATCGAAAAACTAGAACAGCAGTTCTCAAGGTATGATCTGAGGACCTCTGAGGTCCTCCCTTTTCTTTATCATAACCAAAAGACATATTTCAACAGATTGAATGCAGAAGCAAATACAAGAATCAGTTGTCTTCTTGTAAGATATTATAGAGATTGTCAAAAACAATGCTATTTTTAACCTTAATCCTTTTGTTTTGGGAAGTATATTTTCAAAAAAATGTATATTATCAATGTTAACATGCAATGATTTTCTTATTAAAATATTTTGAAATTAATGCGTATTTTTTACATTTCTGAATTTAAATTTCTAGTATGTTAAATACTGATAGATGCAGTAAACAAAATATCTTTAGTGTCTCCAATATTTTTTAAGAGTGTAAAGAAGATCTAGGATAAAAAAAGTTTGAAGGCTGATATTTTAGAGAATACCTCAAACTGAAGGACAGTAGCCTGCAAATGAAACAAACAAACAAAAACCCAAAACCAAAAAAAAAAAAAAAAAATCTAGTGAGCTCCCAGCACAATGAAAACTAGACATAACTGAAAGTTTTGAACACAAGGGATACATAAAATATTCTAAAAAATTTCTAGTGAAAGAAAGTAGGTTATTAAGGAAAAAAATCAGACTAAAAAACACTAGAATAAAGCCTTTAAAATTTGAAGGGGAAAATAATTTCCATCTAGAATTGTTTATACAGTCAAATTAGCAATTAACTACAAGGGTATGATAAAGCCATTTTTATAAGTGCAAACACTTGGAACTTTTATCCTTTCCTCAGGAGTTACTTGAGTATGTGCTCCAGCAAAAAGAATGAGTGAATGAAGAGAGAGGAAGATATAGTCTATGGCAGTGTAAATTTAATTTACAAAATTAATAAAGGAAAGTACAATGATGATGGCTCTACAGTTGATCTAGAGAACCTATCTACAGGTCAGAATAAACCAGAGGTAAGAAGATCTGGGATGGCGATCACAAGGAAATCAAAGGGGCCTGAGAGATTTTATAGTATTCTTAAAATGACTTAAGAAGATGATATAAACAAATAATGCAAAGAAATAAGAAAGCATTTTCGAACTAAAAAAACACAGGAAATAAATGTAATCATGACACTCAACTGGATAGTGAACAATATTTACATAATTATAAAGATGTAAATAAACACTTTATTGATTTTTTTTTTTTTCAGACTGTCTTGCTCTGTTGCCCAGACTGGAGTGCAGTGGCGCAATCTCGGCTCACTGAAAGCTCCGCCTCCTGGGTTCACGCCATTCTCCCACCTCAGCCTCCTGAGTAGCTGGGACTACAGGCGCCCGCCACCACACCCGGCTAATTTTTTTTATTTTTAGTAGAGGCGGGGTTTCACCATATTAGCCAGGATGGTCTCGATCTCCTGACCTCGTGATCCGCCTGCCTCGGCCTCCCAAAGTGCTGGGATTACAGGCGTGAGCCACTGCACCTGGCCTGATTTTTAACTTTTAGAATCATGCCATGTGAAAGCATCAAATAGTATGTTTATAGGATGGCATGTAAATGGTATTAGCCTTGAAATGTTATAGTACAAGTACACATGTCAGAGGCTAGAAGGTGGAAAGGAATAGTGAAGGGGCTAACATCCTTATTTCATAAAGTGGAGAGAACAATAAAGGTGAGCTACATTATTATCTAAAATTAAAAAGGTAATCAACAGAGAAGTACAAATATTGACATAGCTACACTGGGGACAAGTGAAAGTTGTCGTTAATGTGTTAAATAATTTCTTACTAGAGCAGAACATATATAAATAACAAGTAAACTGAGAAATCTAGAACTAGCTGCCTAAGATTATTATCTAGCAGTAACAGCCATTTAAAGAAGTAACTACCAGAAGAAACAAATAACTAAAAGGATTGTCTGTGGAGATGTGAATGGGGACAGAAGAAATTCATTAAGACCCTTTACTTTCTTTAAAGTGCAAGTATTTTGATATCTAACCGGATGTCTCAATTAACAGAAGAGTCACGTCTAGGAAGGATGTTTGAAATGTTACATTAGGAGGCTGACAGCTGTTCCTTCCTGAGGTTTGGAGGTGAGAATTATTGACATAACCCCAGTATCATGGAGCACTCCTCTCTGCAAGTGTAAAGTGCTGTGTGTTGTTTGAAGAACACTGCATGTGCTATCTTCCTCAGTACTATTCTGGTAAGTAACTTAAATCACCACTAAATATTTTAGCTCTTCTCTCTTCCTTTCCTCATTATTCTTCTCTCCAGTTTTTTATTCCGTTGTCTCCTTTATAGTTGCCATTTACAAACTGGTTCAAGTTTTTGTTAAAGAGTTTTAAGTTCTTACGGAGAAAAACACTGGAGTAATTTATATTAAATCATACTTTTGGAATCTCTTGTCCTCGTTTGGACAGGAATATGTGGGGAAATCCAGGGGCTTCTTCAGAACAGCAAAGCTCTTTCGGGTAAATCCTCTCCTCTGAAAGGGCCTTTCTGTCATTAAGTGATAGACACTCTGGAATGTTGCAAATAGAATAGAGACACTGGAGACCCGCATGCCCCCGTATGCCCATGTGGCTCCATTTTTGCTGGAACAATGGATATCAGCCAGCATCTTCTATCTTAGTTTGGGCTGCCATAATAAAAATGCCATACACTGTGAGACTTAACCAGCAGAAATTTATTCCTCACAGTCCTGGAGGTCAGGAAGTCCAAGATCAAGGTGCTGGCACATCCAATGTCTGGTGAGCACACTCTTCCTGCTTTGCAGATGAATGCCTTCTTGTATCTTCATATGATGGAGCAGAGGGAGAGAGGAAGCTCTCTCCTTCTCCTTATATGTGCACTAATTCCATTTGTGAGGGCTCTATATTCATAAGCTGCCACAGGCCCCAACTCCAAATACCATCATATTGGGCATTAGTCTTCAACATATGAATTTTAGGGGAGACACCAACATGTAGTTCATAGCAGCTTGATATATTCTGAATGCCATTAAATTAAAAAAATAAGGAGACCTAAGTTTATTTTGCAGATCGGTATAGTGATTGTAATAAGACAAACCATCCTAGTATTGAAAGCCCTGCATCCTGAGAAATCCCCTAGTCCCAGAAAAACTGGAACACTTGGTCACCATATGGTTAGGATGACTAGTATGAAGCCAACTGCTCTGAATAAGATCCCAGATCCACCACTTATTAGCTATGTGAATTTGTCAAAATTATTTCATCTCACTTTTTCTCAATTATCTTATATAAAAATGAGAATAGTGTACGTACTTAACTGGTAAGGTTATAATAATAAATGATGTAAGACATGTAAAGAACTCAAAATGGTGCCTAGCACATGTCAAGCACTAAATAAATATTACCTAATAACAAAAACAATAATGTTACTATTTTTAAGTGGAAAGATGATTTATTGTATACTAAAGTAAACATAATTGTGTAAATGATATCATTTTGTGTTGGAGGTTGATTATGTCAAATGGGACCCATGGATGCTTTAAGATGTCAGCTGAGTGAAAATCAAATATTTAAATGGTTAATTCTATAAACTCTGCAGAAACAGCTGCCAGGGAAAGCTACACCCCGTGTTTATCAGTGTTGTAGACAAAGCTTGAATAAATAGGTGCTATTAAAACAATCCAGTAAACAAAGCTATTTTCATATCTGATTTTAAAATATGAGGTCATGTTCACATAGATGAAATTCAAATGAACATCAGGTATTTATCGTTGACAAAATAGGTCATAAAATGTGGAATATGGAGAAGTAGAGACAGGGGTTACTAAGTTTGAATTGTTCCAGTACTTATTACTTTTATGATATTAGGAAATTCCTAGTCTTCCTGAAATTGAGGATTGTAAAAACATACAGTGGATATCTGCTTCTTTTTGTTTGTTTCTTTGCTATACAACTTGTGAACATCCTTCCTGCCTTTTAGTAATCTCCTAGCAAGTGGGCACTGGTCCCATTATGGAACTGAAGTGGCCAAATACTGCTTCCTCCCGCCTCGCTGTGGTTATAACAGTAGTCATGAAACCTTAGCATGAATCAAAATCACATGCAAAACTTTTTAAAACATAGATTGCTGAGCCCTATCCCCAGGGGGTTTGAGAATTTGTGTTTCTAACAAATTCCCAGGTGATCTTGATGCTGCCGGTTGGGGACTATACCATAAGAACTACTGAGCTAGAATGTGGGGACATGATTTAGGTCAATCAAAGAGATGAAGCTATCTGGGATTTGAGATAAGGATACAAACATAAGGCTAGCTGAGAAATTATCTGTGGATAGAACAAGCATAACAGGAATCCAACTCTAGCAACGCCAAGTGTTCAACGATTGTTATCAAAGCAGGTAGCTTTTAGATTGTTGCTGTGAATGACCTTGGCTGTCTAGGCTTCCTTGATTTTTTACTGTTTCCTGGAGACTAACTCCATCACCTTCTGTCAGTCTATGAGCCACGCTATGTCTCTTCAGTAAATTACCTGTATGGGTAAGCTCACCACTGTCAGTTTCTGTTGCATGCATCTAGGAACTCTGACTAGAGGAGCAATGTTATCAATGAGTAAGCCAGGACTTAAACTGTTGTCAGCCAGGGGTGTCAGTAACTCAAGCTTTGACAATAACTGAGTAAGTGATAGAGGAATGCTCTCAGTACTATATGAGCACAGAGGAGAGGATTTAATCCAAGTGACTGGCAATTGAGGGATAGGAAATGGGGGAAGAGTATGTTTGAAGAGGATGTTCAAGGCAGATAATAGCAGGATAAAATGAGAGCTGTAAGTAGGAATGAATTTATGGAAAACCTTGTGTGCCCGGCAAGGGAATTTAGATGATCATCTGCAGGTCCACATTTCCTAGGAATCACTCTGGAGATTCTAAGGTAGGACCCCATAATCTAATTTTTTAATTAATCTTATGATCAAGCAGACTTGAAAATACTGCCCCAGATAACAAGAAGCACTCGGGGATCTTATGTTTGGGAGGGCATGTCTTCCTAGAATACTCTCTGACAGTTTGATGAAGACAGAGTTAAGGGGTGAAAGATGGGAAGCAGGCAGGCCAAGTAGGATGTTGCTATAATTGTTGGGGCAAGAAATGGTATGTGCCTCAATAAGTGCAGTCACTGCAAGGAAAATGATTCAAAATAAATTATAAACAACAGATTCCCAGGTGATCTTGATGCTGCTGGTTGGGGACTATACCATAAGAACTACTGTTGATCAATTAGTATTCAAGAGATGATGGGATTTAGGGTGAGGAAGAAGGGGAGGAGTCTGTAAGGACATCTCCCAGGACTTGGAACTTGGGTGATGGATGGACACGTGAATGTTCCTTTTCAAAAAGTCTGGAGGGAAATCTAAGGTGCAAGACAGAGCAGCGGAGAGAAGCAGTGTCCAGGAAAGCGGTATAATTTTTTCTGATAATAGTATAGAGAAGCTTGAAATGGCTTACAGAAGGGGAGAATGCTGAGATCCTCAGCACACTCTAAATATTGTTGCATAGACTTCTGCCAGAGAAGAAGAATTGAAATTATTATTTATTATTGTTCTATTCACATGATATCTCCTTCTCAGGCTGGGATGCTTGTCTCACACATAAAAGGAATGCTATAGCAAGAGAGTACCACATTGTGTTTGCGTGTGTGTGTGTGTGTGTGCATGTGGTGTATGTGTGTGTGTGTTGCGTATGTTTCATATGTGTGATGTGGGATACTTTTTCTAATGTGACTTCACAGCATTATCCAAAGTTTCTATAGGTATCCTTTAACACAGTCTCAGACTAGGGCATAAAGGGGCTCAGAGAGTCTGTCTTTTGTTGTAGCAATGTAGTCAGGAGAGGGAAGTGAGAGATGATTTAGCCAAGAAAAACTCAGATAGGGGAAGGAGATGCTGTTGTATGAGGCAACACAGAACAGTGGGGCTTATGTTGCTGAAAGCCACTTAAAGTCACTGGCCCGAACATGTGATCCCACTGCAAACCGAGTTCTCCCTATGTGACTCACTGAATGACACAGTGTGAGCTATTTGACTTCCGGTTTCCTGCCCCATTTAACAGGAATAAAAAAGCAGATAGAGGTTTTATTGTAGTAAACAACAAATTAACATAAAAGATGTTGCATGCACAATAAAATATTCTTGTTAAAAGGTGAAATGATTGACAAATTTAGCATTAAAAATAATATCCTTTTGCATCAGTGTTTATACAGGAATTTCAGACCTCATTTCTAAACACTGTTGTCATTCATACAGTTTCATTCACTGATTTGGTGCTGTGGCATGTTAATTATTTTTTCTCAGAAGTCTTTCTAGTTTGAGAGATTCACAGTTCTTTCTAAAATTCAAACCAGAAAAGTAAATAATTAATGCTAGTATACTTAATCTTCCTACATCTTTAGAAGTGAAGAAACACAAGTATATCTTTATGGGATCATGTCCCCTTTGATCTTCACAGTCTTTCATAGCAGATTTTTTCCTTTAAACACAGAATAATTGATACCAATAGAGCTAAATGTGTTAAACACTAAAAGATAAACACTGACAGTACATAGTGTTTATATTTAAACAAAATAACAAGGAAATACTTGTTTAATGCTCATAAATTCCCTCTGAAGTTAGTACTATGATTATTCCAATATCACAAATGAGAACACTGTGACTTGGTGAATTTAAGCAACTGGGCCAAGGCCAAACAACTAAGTCTTTTTTTATTCCATTATTCTCATTATTTATTTATTTATTTATTTATTTATCTTTCCAACTTTTATTTAAGTTCAGGGTGGTATATATGCAAGCTATTTCATGGGTAAATTGTGTGATGCAAGGGTTTGGCATACAGATTATTTCATCACCCAGGTAATAACCATAGTACCCAATAGGTAGTTTTTCAATCCTCACTCTCCTTCCACCCTCCACCCTCTTGCAAGCACCAGTGTCTGCTGTTTCCTTCTTTGTGTCCATGTGTACCCAATGTTTAGCTCCCACTTATAAGTGAGGACATTCAGTATTTGGTTTTCTGTTCTTGCATTAATTCGTTTAGGATAATGGCCTCCAGCTGCATCCATGTTCCTGCAAAGGACATGGCCTCATTCTATTTTATGGCTGCATAGTATTGCATAGTGTATATGTACTACATTTCCTTTATCCAGTCCACCATTGATGGACATTTAGATTGATTCCATGTATTTGCTATTGTGAATAGTGCTGCTATGAACATATGCATGCATGTGTCTTTATGGTAGAATGATTTATATTCCTTTGGGTATATACCCAGTAATAGAATTGCTGGGTTGAATGGTAGTTCTGTTTTGAGTTCTTTGAGAAATCCTCAGACTGCTTTCCACAGTTACATTTCCACCTGATGTAAATTAGGTTGAACTAATTTACATTCCCACCAACAGCAGAGTATAAGCACTCACTTTTCTCTGCAGTGGCACCAGCATCTGTTATTTTTTGAAATAATAGCCATTCTGACTGGTATGAGATGATAGCTCACTGTAGTCTTTATTTGCTTTTCTCTAATAATTAGTGATATTGAGCATTTTTTCATATACTTGTTGGCTGTGCGTATGCCCTTGTTTTGAGAAGTGTCTGTTCGTGTCTTTTGACTATTTTTTAATGGAGTTGGTTTTGCTTATTTATCTAAGTTCCTCATAAATTCTGGATATGAGACCTTTGTCAGATACATAATTTGCAAATATTTTCTCTCCTTCTTTAGGTTGTCTGTTTACTCTATTGATAGTTCTTTCACTGTGCAGAAACTCTTTAGTTTAATGAGGTCCCATTAGTCAATTTTTGTTTTTGTCACAATTGCTTTTGGGGTCTTCGTCATGAAATCTTTGCCAGGGCCTATGTCCAGAATGGTATTTCCTAGGTTTTCTTCTAGAATTTTTATAGTTTCAGGTTTTACATAAATCTTTAATCCATCTTGAGTTGATTTTTATATATGGCCTAAGGAAGGGGTCCAGTTTCAGTGTTCTGCATATGGCTAGCCAGTTATTCCAGCAACATTTATTGAATAGGGAGTCCTTTCCCCTTTGCTTGTTTTTGTCAACTTTGCAGTGACTAAGTCTTATAACTGGCTTTCAAATTCCTGTTTGATCCTTTCTCAGAGACAGAAGGAAAAACAGTAATCTGAGAAGCTTTGCTTTTGTTTCCTTTACCAGTTTTTCCTTGCTTAGCTCACACCAGCTGCCTGTGTTCAGAGACACTTTATAACCTTGCTATTACATCAATGCATTTAAAGAAAATTATTCCTTTCACATATTTCTACCAGTGGTTTTTTACCCCCAAAATGAGAATTTGGTCATGTTATGCTTCTCTTTGAAAATATCCAGCAGCAATTTATTGCTTAAAGGATAGTTTAAACTCCATAACATGGCATGATACTGATAAACATATTAAATGAGAAACATTTACAATAATTGTTCCATATCTTAGTTTTTGTTAAAACACTCCTGTGAGAAAGGCACATGTCAAATATTCTCCCCAAATCGTAAACTGATGAAACACAGCTGAATTACTTTCCAAAGATATCTAGGAATTAGACGATGGAGCAAAGAACAAATCATATTTCATAGTCTCCTAGTTTACTCTATAACAATTTTAAAGAATCTTTTATCTTTATATCAGCTTTGACACATACAATAGGCACTCTGACATGTACCACACATTCCCACGTGCATACTAATAACTTATCCTATTGCTGGTTCTTTACAAAATCTCTCTTTTCTATACCACTCATGACATCATATTAGAGTATGATTGTGAATGAGGGGTAATGTAGTATCAAGGATATGAATGCTTGCAATAGCCAAGCTGTGGAATCAACCTGTGTCCATCAACAGATGAATGGGTAAAGAAATGTGGTATATATTCAAAATGGAATACCATTCCTCCTTAAAAAAGTAGAAAATTCTGTCATTTGTGACAACATGAATGAACCTAGAGGACATTATGCTAAATGAAATAAGATGGGCATAGAAAGATGAATACCACATGTTCTCACCTATATGTGGAATCCAAAATGATGGAACTCAGAAGCAGAGACTAGAATGGTGTAGGAGGAGGTCAGTCAGAGGGTACAAAGTTGCAGCTGGGAGAAATAAATAATAATCATTTAAGGTGATGGATATGGTAATTAGCTTGCTTCAATCATTCCACACTGTATACATATATCATAACATCACTGTTTACCCCATAATTATATACAATTAGAATTTGTCAAAAAAAAAAGGATAAGAATGCATGTTTTAAATATATATATATAGGAATTTGGGTTTAGGTTCTGATACCTACATGGCTGTAAGACTCTGGGACAAATTGCCGAACCCCTTACCACCACTTTTTTGTTTTGTTTTTTGAGATAAGGTCTTACTCTGTTTCCCAGGCTGGAGCACAGTGGTGCAATCATGGTTCACTGAAGCCTCTGCCTTCCAGGCTGAAGTGATCCTCCTACTTCAGCCTCATGAGTAGCTGGGACTACTGGCATGTGACAACATACCTGGCTAATTAAAAGAAAAAAAATGTATAGATGAGATCTCACTATGTTACCCAGGCTGGTCTCAAACTCTCCTGGGCTCAAGCTGTTCTCCCATGTTGACCTTCCAAAGTGCTGGCATTACAAGCAGGAGCCACCATGCTTGGCCTTTGAACCTCTTTAAGTCCCAATTTTCTTATCTGTAAAATGGGAAGAATAAAATATAGATCTTAGAGATTTTATGAGAATGGAATAAGATATTTGTAAAGTGCTTAGCACTTTTGACATATAAAAATTGTCCAAGAAATGCTCGTTTTAAAACTGTTCTGCTCTAATTTGTTTAGAAATTTCCTGTTTAGGGGTTTGAACTCTATTTTATTAACATGTTCCTTGCAACACAATCTCCTGATGGATCATGACACAGCAGTGTGTGATGATACCATGTTCCAGATAATACATCTTTAAAGTGGTTAACTAGTCGGGGGCACTGTCAGAAATCTCCCATGCAGTGTGACCTCCTCCAGATTTGGGCAAGCCTGAAAAGCAGGTACAGAGCACAGAAAGCAAGTGACGTAGCCTCTCTATCACAGCATCCCCAAACTGTTACTAAGTAGAAATGCAGAACAGAATATGAAGGCAAATTGCTGCAGTCAGTGGTTTATTATCTACAAGGCTTTTGAAAAGAACATTCTCTTGTATTAGGATGCCATTTGGGGCTAATAAATATTATACAAGCATTAAAGACATTTTTGCAATTGCTTATGTACTAATCGAAATATTGCCGATTCTAGGATTAATAAGAGCAGTACTAAAGCTGCTAAAAGCCAAACGTTTGACATCATCTGGAGCCCATTCAAGTCTTTGCTCCTTCTCTTACCAGCTTTATGTTCTTGAGTAACTTACGTGTCATCTCTGAATCTCTTTACACAGCTGTGCAATGGGAATAATAATAGGACTTACTTCATAGGTAGGTTGGTTGAGGATTAAATGAAACAATACATATAAATGCTTAGTACAGTACCTGGCTCATCTTAATGACTCAAACAATATTAACACTCATTTTTCTCATATGAAATATTTAACCAGTTTCTTATTTTATTTCATTTGAAATAGTCTTATTTTTATATCTAAGTTTATCCTCCCTTCCCTCTCCATACCACACACAGTTTTTCTCATCTCTGGGATTCAAAGAAATTGTGTATACAGCAAAGAAACCTCAACTGGGATGAAATGGAGCTGGATGACAGAGGACCTAGTGTTTGGGTTTCTTGGAAGAGCCTTAACTGGGACGTTGGTCAGGAAATGTTACCAATGCTATTTGTCATGCTAAAAGGAGATGTGACCAAATAGAAAGGACTGTGGGGACCATGAAAGGAGAGTAAATAGGCTCTGGCTGGTTCTGAATTCTGGGATCTCATTAACAGTCATCAGGAGCAGACAAGCTGGTCGTGTTCTGGGGCCTTCCAATTTGTGCCACAGAAAGGCTCTCAGAGAAAAGTGCCACTTAAGCCTTCCTGTCATGCCTGGGAGTGTCAGAAAGTTGTTTGGTATGACTCAAAGCCTGATTATAGTTTGGCTTGTAAAACCACCATCTGCCTGCATGATTTATCTCAGCCTTTTTAACAATATGGTTTTAGTTATAGCATTGGGAGTTTTTAGGTGTGATAAATGGTAAGAGTAAATTACCCCTTGAGATGAAGAAACATATGTTATGAAGATTAGCATTATCAAGCAGTTTATAATGTATTTTGTTCTTAAGGGAAAATTTTATGGAAATTTGAATCATCAATTACAATGAATCTGAAGTACCACCAAGAGTTGCTTCACTCCCCCATCTTTCTAAATTAATTAGTGCTGTCCTCATTTTCAATAGAACGGAGTGGCTGCCTTTTGTTCGGCTTGCCTAACAATGCAATTGCAGACCAAACTAGTGCCTGGAAGAATTCACATAGCTGCTTGAAAATTCAGTAACGTTGCAGGACATTGGACAGAAAACCCAAGATGTCTGGGACTATCAGGAAAGTTGTCAAAAAAATGTAATAGAAGATTATGGCCTAATCTGCAGCCTGTTTTTCTTAGCGTGGTGCCTCTTCAACATCTTCTAATCTATTCCTCTTTTGCTTTCACTTATATCCCTCCAACTGCCTCAGATAAACACACTTATGTATACATAAATGTGCTTTAATATTCATACGTCTAACATATTTATCCCTTCTTCAATCTTCCTCTTTTATGAAAAAAATAGAACAAGCTTTAGGAATCAGATGACTATAATGTTGTTTTTCGAATGATTTTAAACTTATTACTTGACAATTATGCATTCATTAGTAGTTCAGAAAACTAGCAATTTCACATGTAAGAAGTTAATTTCTTAGGTTAACAAAGATTACACAAGGCACAGGGAATGCAAAGAAGCTAAATAAACACTTGTTGTTTCTTTATTGTTGTTGTTGGTTATAATTCCCTCTAAGCTGTAAGCCCTATGAAGATGGAAATTGTGTCTGATTTTTCCACCATTATATTGTCAACACTTAAAACAATGTCCAGTGTATAGAAAGTGCTCAATAAACGTGCAAAGTGAATGATCTCGTTGAACACTTACTATATATATGTCATGTACTAAGTTCAGTTCTGAAAAGATGAAGCTTCAATATTGAATGTCTTTGCAGTCTACAAAATGCTGTGGGAATACAGATGAGGAGCAGTGAACTCTCCTGATGAGGCGATAATGGAAGACACAGGAAATCACATGAAGAGGAATTGAATTTCAAGCTGGGCTTGGACCAGCAAGTAGGAGTTCAGCAGATAAAATCGGAGAGTGGGGAGAATATGCTGAACAAAGAGAATAGGATTTAAAAAAGGGATGGAGGTTTGATGGTCCATTTGAGAACAATAAAGGAAAAATGTGGCCAGAATTTAGGCTGTCTGTGAAGGTGTGAGGCAAACAGGGCTTGAAAGGTAGCCAGAGTGTTTGAATTTCATCCTGTAGAGGGAGCCATTTAGGATTACAGTACTGTTATATATTGCCATAGAACAGTAACTGAACTCAAAGTGCATAAATGCATGAGAGGTGGGAAGTTGGAGCAAGGGCATCTTGTTTGGTAGGTATTGTAAAGGTCCATGAGGGAGCAGGGGGGTATGAATTGAGAGACAGCAGACAGGATAGGATGGAGGGGATAATGGTGGGATAGTTGGGTAGAGCTAATAGGATTTAGCCACTGAACTAATTGAATGATAAAGGATAGGAGGGAGTTAACTCCATTACTCTCTGGAGTGATGGTTTCTCTCTGGAGTGATGTGTATACTCAGATGACATTTGTCAAGACAGTAAATGGGAGAGTCGGAATATCTTTTGGGAAAATGATTGTTTGATTTGAAAGATGTTTATCAATGCTACCAGCTTTGATAGTTTTATAGTGATGGACAGGAAGCAATTGGAATATGGATTAAGAGCTCAGAAGAAATGTCAGTGCTAGAGAGAAAGTCAAGAATGATTTGCTTTAGAAGGGATAGTGGAAGCCCTGGATGAGATCATCAAGGTAGAGCATGCCAGATAAAAGAACAAGAAGACTAAAGCCTGAATCTTGGGAAATGTCTATATTTGAGGAGGGATGCAGAAAGGAATAAAGAGGGCACAGTTAAGAAAGAAGCCAGTAAGTAGTAACACAAACCAAGGGAGAAAAATTTCACAAAGGAGGGAAAATTAACAGTGTCAAATGCTGAAGAAGCCTGGTGACTCAGTAGAATGTGTTTGATATTGAAAAATCCACTGGTGTCTTTGGAAGTGTAATTAATTAATGACTGTGGAATTCAAATGACAGGGCCAGGGAGTTAAGAAGCAACTATGAAGAGAGGAATGAAAGCAGTGAGCATTGTACCTACTCTATCACAATGTTAATAACGAAGGGAAAGGAAGACCCATTGGGAACTTGGTGAAGTAGCCGTGTCTGGGAAGGTTTTTATTAAGACAAAGAGAAAAGTGGTCTAGGAAAAATAGTCATGGGAGAAAAAAGGATTGAAGGTCACAGAGAGAAAACATTACTCATGGACTGATCCAGAAAAATGGAAGAAGAAAATGGGGTATTTTACTTGGGCCTTAAAATGATTAAATTCATTCTCTCACTGTTGTCAGATGATGGAAATTGTGAGTTCTCTGAGGTCTAGAAACAATAAAGCTAGGGGATATTTATTAGCTGTACTTATTAAATAATATTAAGGTATGTTATTAAGAATATTTATTTTTATTTATTTATTTGAGATGGGTCTCACTCTGTCGCCCAGGCTGGAGTGCAGTGGTGTAGTCATAGCTCGTTTTAATCTTGAACTTGTTGGCTTAAGTGATCCTCCCACATCAGCCTCCCAAGTAGCTGGGACTACAGGCGTGTGCCACCATGCCCAACTAATTTATTTATTTTTTGTAGAGACAAGGTCTCATGATGTTGCTCAGGCTAGTTTTGAAGGAATATTTGTTAAGACTCACACCATTTTGAGGATTTTCTTTTTTAGGGCTGAAACTTCAGGATACATGGGAATACAAAGTGAGTCTGGCCTGAACTGAGAAGTGGTCAGCCAGGACTCTGCCCTGCATGTATGCAGAATGGGCACCACTGCTTTGGCTGCCTTTCCTTAGCCTTCAGCATAACCATGCCATTAGTTAGATTAAGGAAAGCAATTATTTGTAATAGAGTATATTTAACTTGGATCTACATTAGAAGAAAGCTCATTTCTGGTTATAATGTGGTTGTAAAACCTTACTCATGTACAGTGGGCAATCTGTGGGCTGAAAGATTAAAAACCCTGAACATATTTCTTCTGATTCTGTGTGCTGTGCTTAACATGGTAACCCTGCAGCATGAGTGAAGACTGCAATTGAATGGTTAGCCACTGAACCAATAAATACACTCATTCAGCACGCAGGCAATGGTGAAGCACAGAGTATTGTCCCTTCCATCATTCTTCCTGGAAAAAGCAAGCAAACGTAAGTAGAAGACATTTGCATTCGGTGAATGTGTTTGGTTGTAGAGGACTTGTGAGCTCAAGATGCTAATGGTTTTGGCAATACGCAGATAAGGAATGTGTTTAGACAGAATTATCTGCTGAGCTGTTACATGACCTTCATATTGGATTAAGCTTTGTTTTTCAGAGCAACCATCGATTTCTCATGAAGTAGAGTATATTTCATGATTGTTCTTTAAATGGGCTCTTTAAAAAAGTAATGACTATCAGTAATTAAAATATCTGGTGAATATCAAAACCATCAGGGCAGTAACTTGTACAAAAAAAACAGAGAGGCCTAAAAAAGTACAAGTTGTTGTTGTTTTTTTTTCACTTCTAAGCCAAAGGGAGAGTTACAGATTTACAGAGTGAAAACTTTGGCTGTTGGAACAAATTTGGTATTGCCTAAGTTGCTAAGTGAAGACTATCCTGAAGGAGAAGAGGAAGATATTTTGAATTTATTCAAATTAAATTTATTATTTAAGATATTTTGAATTTATTTAAAACAAAAGTGAATTTTTGAATTTTTGAATTTTGAATTTTGAATTTATTTAAAACGAAAGTGCTCAATATTTCTGAAAATAACCCAAGGAAAAAATCAATAGGATATAAAATCAATAATATAGGGTTCTCAGGTGTTTTTCTCAGCATACATTCTACGGGGCTGGTCTCTAATTTCTGACTCTGTTAGATGTGGCTTGTTAGCTACAGCAGTACAGGGCATACTGGGAAAGAATTTTGCCCTAAAACTAGACTCTCATCTTTGGAGATGGACAGAACTGTTTATAAAGAACCTAAGATCTAAGCCGAAAGACAAAACAGGGTATTGGAACAATAAGTCCTGGATATCTGAAGGCTGTGTCCCCTTGCTCTTTTCATCCCGAAGATATTGCATAATTCCCAGCATATGGAATTCACTCAAAAATTATTTGTTGACAAAAAGAAGATCAGGTAATGAATGATTCTACAGAAAAATACACTGTAATAATGGGGGTATCCAGGGATAGAAGTGTTCAGACATTCAGGCAATTGGCACTGGGGAAAAGTCTGTTAGGAAACAATGAGAGAGAAACATAGATAGGGGTTCAGAGTCAGGATCTAAGTCCCAAGAGAACAGGACTAGGGCTGGTCTTTGAGGTGCTGATAATGTAGGAAAGTTGCCAAAGCAAAATCCAAGTCTGAAGGATAAGACAAAATCTCATTTATCGAGCCTATGTGACTAAATCATTCATCTATTCATTTATTCATTCAACAATTTATTATTGAGTGTCTTCCCTGTGCCAAGTGCACTGCTAGATGCTAGGAATAAAACAAAAAGAGACAAAGATTCCTGTTCTCATGTGGCTAATAGTAAGAAGAGACAGAAAATCAAGAAAAAAAAAGATAATTAAAATACAGAGTTTACTAGATGACATCAAATACTTTAAAGAAAAATAAAGGAAGAAGAGATAGTAAGCATTGGACATTATCACTAAGGTGACATTTGAATAAAGACAAGAAAAAAAAAGGTAATGGAATGATCCCCAGAGATATCTCAGGGAGGAGTAGAGACAGAGGGAACAGCAGGTACAAAGGTCCTGGGCTCTGAGTCTGGAGTGGATCAGAAATTTTCCAGAAAGCAGGGGGCCTTGTGTAGCTTGTAGCAAGTGATCAAGTAGGCAAGTAACAGGAGATGAAATCAGAGAGGCAAGGGGAGGAGCAGAATGCAGGCAGATCCTGTAGGACTTTGTGGGATTGGACTAGATGTGCTGAAATCTGGCCTCTCTACAATCAGAACTGTTTTTCAAGATCAAGGTCAGGCAAAGCCTACTGGGATGGGTTTGATAAAAAGCACTTCTTGTGAGCTGTGAAGAGGTTGAGAACCACTTGGGTGCTATCAGTTAATCCTCAGGAAAAAAAAATGCTCAGGAAGCAAAATGTGTCATCAGCACCCTCAGCTTCTTCTGGGGACCTTTCCCATGTCACTGTGCCCAACCCTTAGAGGAACACACTTATGTCCTATTTCCATAGAATCTAATTTTCAGTGAAAAACTCAAGTATTAGTGTTTCTGGCTTAATATCAACCAAGGGTTATTTAAATTATAATTTGGCCAGACTACAAAGTCCTCGGTATGTAAAGTAACATAATGATGGAATGAGAAACCTTGAGTGAACATGCTCTGGCATGGAACTGGTTATCTTTGGCTGGTTTTCCACTGGCAACTCCTTGTATGCGCAGTACCTGATGTCTAAACACAGCTCCTGTTTTTATAGTTACTTTCTCTGTATATGTAGATGTATGTAGTTTATTATGTACATAGTTAACTATGTGTGTTGAAGTAAAATTCCTAGTGTAATTTAGCCTTTAAGTAAATATAATAAAACAAAATAAAGTCTGAATTTAAGAAATATAAGTGAGGCCAGGCACGATGGCTCACACCTGTAATCCCAGCACTTTGGGAGGCCCAGGCGGGAGATCACTTGAGGTCAGGAGTTTGAGACCAGCCTGGCCAATGTGATGAAACCCCATCACTACTAAAGATACAAAAATTAGCCGGGTGTGGTGGCACATGTCTGTAATTCCAGCTACTCAGGGGGCTGAGGCAGGAGAATCACTTGAACCAAGGAGGTGGGGGTTGCAGTGAGCCGAGATCATGCCACTGCACTCCAGCTGGGGTTACAGAGCCAGACTCTGTCTCAAAAATATAAAAAAAGAAAAGAAAAAAGAAAAAAAAAGAAAAAGAAAAGAAAAGAAAGAAATATAAGTATTCTCCAACATTCTAATTCTGGGTCATCAATGCCCCTCCATTATCTGTTTATTAAACCAGTTGCCCAGCAATATCTGACCCCTACATAACTGCTAGGGAAAGGACAAATGGAATTTACAGAAACAGAGACCCAGTAGAGGCATTTATGGACTAACTTCTATTTGCATAAAATTACCGGGTTTGTTCATTTTTAGATTATTTTGAAATGCTGAGAGGCCCTATTCCAGAAGGGATGGATGCCTGGTTCTTCACATACATTAAGCAGCAAGGGAGTGACAAAAAGAAGGCATATTGTTTTATCCTTTTTTTTCCGGGAAACAGGACCTCTTGAGTTGAGGGGACTCAGAACTCTCTAGGAATTTCGTTCTATTCTACTTCATACTCATCATAAGCCAAACCTATGCATCCATGAGTGTAAAATCAGTTGTTCAGCCACTGCTTAGCACAGCTAGTTTATCAAACAGGGTATTGTGGAGTCTAAATAGAAACAAAAAGCTTATTGATTTAGACAATTCTCTTGAGAGCTCATTGAATTTATTGTGATATTTTTCTTTATACAGAAAAGCAGATTAGTACCTGATAACAGATCAGCACATTTGTAAATGCTGAATGCTGAGTTGTAGTCAACATGTGATTGAATGCAGAATTCCTAATTATTTTGCTTTATTGTGTTAGCTGCAAGAACAGCGAGGGGTAATGAGGTTCTGATCTCTTCTGCAGGGGCCTAGCATAGCTATCGGAGAGGCAGAGATGGGCTAAACCCTGAGGTGCACTCCAGACCCAAGCGAGGCTGATTTCAGCAGTTGCTGAGAGGCTGTGCATGATAGGTGTCAGAGCTAAATGTGTACATTCAGAGAAGAAGGTGGAGGATGGAGGACACAGGTGCTCTGGCGGGTTAATCTGTACTTGAGATGACAGGTGTCCCTATTACCCCTGGGGTGAGATTTTAATTCCAGGGTGGAGGGGAGGTAGTGGTGAAGATGAATCCACACTTGGGGAGGAAAGCGTTGCTGTGGCGGTTATTCAGGAGGTAAGGGTCAAGGCAACTATTTCCCTGAATTATCAGGTTGAAAATACGGAAAACTTAAGTGATAATGAGATTAAGATCTAGTCCCTCAGAGGCAAGAGGAGATTGGTTTCCTTGGAGGTGAGTTGTACCCAACAGCTGTGTAAAGCGATATTTTTGTTTGCTATAAAGACAAAACAAAACAAGACACACACACACACACACACACTCTTTATTGATGCATGATATATACACAGAAATGTGCATATGTCATAAGCATACAGAGTGAGGAATATTTACAAACAGAGCCACTTGTGTAACCGGTACTCAGACCAAGAAACAATATTATCAACCAGACACCTCATAGTGTCCATTAGTTTTACCTGCTTTGGTATTTTATGTAAACAGCATCATGCTGTATGTAATCTTTCATGCTTGGCACCTTTCACTCAATGTTATGTTTGTAGGATCTATTCATATTGTTGCATGTTGTTATTATTTCTATAGAGTATTCCATTGTATGAATATCACCATTTTTATATCCATTCTACTCTTTATGGACATTTGGGTGGTTTCTAATCTTGAAGTACTATAAATAGTGTTTCCATGAGCATTCTTTTGGTGAATATGCTTACACATTTCTGTTGGGTATAAGCCCAGAAGTGGAGATGCTAACTGATGAGGGATATGATCTTCAGCTTTGGTAGATGCTGCCAGTTTTCCAAAGTGTGGTTGTACCAATTTTTGTCTGCCCCTATTTTTTTTTTAAATGTGAGTGGCACAAAAATTTTCACTTAGCTCTTGCCTGAAGTACTTCCTTATTTCCTTCTTGTCTTAAAGTGTCTAAGTTTTGGGTAACAACAAGGCTTTCTGCCAAGTCTCAAGAAGTTTAAGCTGTAGAATTTTAAAAAAGGGGGAAATTAGGGAATAAGTCTGAGCAATAAAAATAAAATTACATGAGGTTATTATGCAAGACTGGGCCCCCAAGTCTCTTTAGCTCTTATTTTCTCCCCCAAGTATCAGCCCTTTATTTAACTTTTGTGCCCCACTCTAGTATTTCACTGTAGTTCTTTTTTTCACGAAAGCTCCCAGTATCTTCAGGTTCCTGCACAAAGTCAAGTTGTAGAAGATGAATCTCAGAGTTCCCAGTACATTGGGATTTGTATTAGTCTGTTCTCACACTGCTATGAAGAACTACCTGAGACTGGGTAATTTATGAAGCAAAGAGGTTTAATTGATTCAGTTCCACAGGCTCAACAGGAAGCAGATGTTTTCATAAACAGATTCTCACTGTCAGCTTTTTCAGTCAACATTTTGCTCTTTCCCATAAATTTCAAGGCCCCAGGGGGAAAATTAATTTATATTTTTTGTTAACTGTAACTCTGTTTATGTGAGATTTACTTTCTTCTTAAAAAAAACAAAAACAAAAAATAACTGCTAGAATCAATGGTTAAAATATGCTCTTAAAGATAAGCCATGGAGCTTTCACTGTACTTTATATATTAAAGGCTTGAATTAAGAAAAGAATCATAGATAGAATATTTTACCTTAGGGAGCTTATATCTAGCTGGTGTATGGCTTTCATCAGAATTCTTCAGTTTCATTGATGGAAACCTAATTCAAACAGACTTAAAATAGAAAATTGATCATTCAATTCCTGCCAACATCTCTGCTCCTAACATTTCCACATTTCCATTTCCACTGGCCTAACTGCTTATTTTCAGCACCCTTTGCCCGTAAGCTCTTTCTGGCCTTATGTAGGGGAGAAAGGTTGGAAGTGCTCTAGAATTAACAATAAGGAGTGTCCATCTACCAATGACAGGGGTTGGTGAACAAATACCCCAGCCTCCTTGTCTCTCCAGGTCCTAGAGTTTCCTATTGAGATTAAATTCAAGTTACCCAACATGACACTTTGCTTGGTAATACACACTTTATTGGCTTTTTTCTTTTCTTTACCTTACTTCTCTACTCCCCTGATAGTATTTTACGACATCAATACCTAAATAAACTACTTGCACTATAAGCCTCATCTCGAGAACTACTTCTGGTGATAAAAAATCAGGTGCCACATGCAGGCTTAGAAAACAAAACAAAAACCCAACTCCTTCTGAGTGAACTCACACTAAAACAAGTGGCTTTTCTAAGAGAAAGAAATTCAAAGTAAATTTCAGGCACCCCTAAATCCAGGGGCTTAAGTGATGTCATTGAGAGTGCATTTCCCTTGTTTGTCTCTTCAGTTTTTTATCTTAGAGTTATTATCACCCATTGGCTTCTATTAAGATTGCCAGTGGCCCAGTGGCCCAAGATGATTGCAGTGGCCCAGCTGTAGACCATATTCTCTCAGCAGCACCAACTCCAAAAGAGCTATTCTACTCTGGTTTTTCTGATGGAAAGGGCTATGACTTCATTGGTCTGAATTTAGTCCATGTCTAGCTTTAATCCAATCAATATGAGAATAGGGATGGAATATACTGACTGGAATATACCTGGGTCAAGTATTTAATCCTGGAGCTAGGGTTGAGTTAAGCCCATCCACATCACATCTCTGCAAATAAAGGACAGTGGTTTTTTCCAAGGGGTAATCAGGTTTCTCTTTACAGAAAGAAAAGGATGCTAGAAAGGTAAACACTCTCAAGAAGCAAGATATTTATGTTCAAGATATTTACGTACAGCAGTGCAAGGCAAGTGTGGGTATCAAATAAGTGATGAAAGCATTTGTGATGTAGGCAGAATTATCATCCAGGAACTAAGAATGGCACCAGGAAGAGAAAAAGGAGAAAATGTTAATTCTTAATTCATCAATGGTCTCCATCTGTGAAACATGACTAATGTTATTCTAAAACATATAACTACCATCAGTTGAAGTTAGGCATAGGAAAACTCCTCCAAAGGTGGCCAGTAGCTTGCTGTAGTCCTGTGAAAGGATGGCTATTAATATACATTTTATAGCATAAGCCAGAGTACAGGAACCAATTCGTATAGTAAAAAACAATGGATAAAGAGCACTTTTATGGTCTTCTGTAGTACCATTTAGTACCATTTTATTCATAGTGGCCATTTTTATTTAAAGCATAGAATAACTATGAACAGAAGATTATAAAATATCAAATTGTTGTCCAGAGTATTGATATTTTCTACCAATATTCCTGTATAGCCTCTGTGTGTACAGTGAAGACATAGGTATATTGGAAGAGGAAAGAATTTGGAGTTGGACAGACTTGGGTTCAAATCATGGCTTTGTGATTTATAAACAGAATTTGTAACATTCTTCAGATCTCTCGACCTCAGTTTCCTCACTTGTAAGAATGATTTTATAATGCCTCTCTCACAAACTTGTGAGGATTAAATGAGATTATAAATAAATGAATTGGTCCTTAGTATAATGTGATTGTAATGATGGACACTGATAATTTTTAAAGAGAAAAATGTTGGCCAAAGGAGAGTAACAAGTAAAAAATAGTAATTAAATAACACAGTTTCAACAGATTCCATGAAAATTTGGCTGTTATCTTCAAAAATATTTTTAAGCAAGGAGAGACCATAGAAGCCTAATTCAGTTCAGGGTGTTGGTATATCCCACCAGTCCAAATCAATTTGACAATTCATTTTCTACTTTGCAGTAAGTAAAAGCAAAAAGAATGATTAACTTTTGTTCAAAAAGAAACAAATGCACAACCATGAAAAGAACTTCCCCCATATATCTTTGTGGGAAAATCAAGTAACCCTTTGCTTCTCTGTCCCTCTTGGGCATAGGAAATATGCTTTTGGTGGCACTGCGCCATTTTACTTTATTGCTTATAAGGAAGAAAACAGATGGAAATTTTCTCAGGAATTCTGATTGTCCTTTTCATGGTTAAAACATGGTTTGTGGTCTATTTTTTCTCAAATATCTGTTACATATATTAAGTAAGTTCATTGTTTTAAGAATAGATTGACAAAGTCATTCAGAAAGGCTGACAATAAGAGGAAGAGCAAAGGCAACCTATACAAATGCAAACAAAAAGAAAGCAAGAATCATCCTTTTTGGTGTTTGATTTTATCTTTTTAAAAATTTGTACAAATTTCTGGGTACATGTGAAATTTCATTAGGTATGTATAATGCATAGTGATGAAGTCAGAGTACTCAGCGTGTCCATTACCCAAGTACAATACATTTTTGTTTAACTATAGTCACCCTACTCTGCTGTCACACAATGACTTTATTCCTTCTATCAATTTGTATGCTTGTATACCCTTTAACCTATTGCTCTTCATCCTTGCTCTCCGATATTCACCCTTCCTAGTCTCTGTTACCTACCTTTCCACTCTCCACCCCCATGTGATCAAATTTTTTAACTCTGACATGTAAGTGAGAACATGTGATATGTCTTTTTGTGCCTGGCTTATTTTACTTAAGATAATGACCTTCCATTCATGTTGTTTTAAATGACATGATTTCGTTCTTTTTTTTGTGGCTGAATAAAGTATTTTGTTGTGTATATATACATTTTCCTTATCCAATCATCTATTGATGGATACTTAGGTTGATTTTGCAACTTTGCTATTGTGAATAAATCTGCAATAAACATGTGAGTGTGGGTATCCCATTGATACATTGATTTTGTAGACACGAATAGTGAGATTGCTGTATCAAACGGTAATTCTACTTTTAGCTATTTTAGAAATCTTCATAGTGTTAACTACAGTGGAAGACTAGTTTACATTTCCACCAACAGTGTATAACAGTTCCCTTTTCTGTGCATCCTCACCAAGATATGTTATTTTTTTTTTGTCTTTTTAATGATAGCCATTCAGACTGGGGTAAGATGACAAGTAATGTTGAGTATTTTTTTAATACACCTGTTGGCTATTTATATGTCTTCTTTTGAGAAATGTCTCTTCATTTCCTTTGCCCACTTTTTAATGGGATTATTTTGTTGTTGTTGTTGAGGTGGTTGCATTCCTTGTATATTCTGAATATTAGTCCCCTGCTAGATGAATAGTTTGCAAATATTCCGTTCCATTCAACAGGTTGTCTGTTTACTCTGTCGAGTATTTCTTTTGCTGTGTGGAAACTTTTTAGTTTAATTAAGTTCTATTTGCCTTTTTTGTTGTTGTTGCCTGGGCTTTTGAGGTCTTAGTCATAGATTATTTGCCTAGACCAATGTCCGGGAGAGTTTTCTTCAGGTTTTCTTCTAGTGTTTTTATATTTTCATGTCTTACATTTAAGTCTTTAGCCCATTTTGAGTTTATTTTTGTGTATGGTAAGAGATAGGGGTCCAGTTTCATTCTTTGGAATGTGGCTATCCAATTTTCCTAGCATAATTTTTTGAAAAGGTGGTCCTTTTCCAAATGTAAGTTCTTGTGGGCTTTATCAAAAAGCGGTTGGCTATAAATAAGTGGATTTATTTCTATATTTGGTTCCATTGGTTTATGTGTCTATTTTTATGCTGTTTTGGTTACTATAGCCTTGCAATACATTTTGAAGTCAAATAATGTGATGCCTCTAGCTTTGTTCTTTTTGTTCAGTATTGCTTTGGCGATACAGGCTCTTTTTTGGTTCCATATGAATTTAGGATGATTTTTCTAATTCTGGGAAGAATTATGTTGATATTTTGACAAGCATTGCATTAAATCTGTAGATTGCTTTGTGCAATATGATAATTTTAATGATATTAATTCTTCATCCATAGCATGGGATATTTTTCCATTTGTTTGTGTTTCTCTCATCAGTGTTTTTAAGTTTACCTTGTAGAGATCTTTCACCTCCTTGTTTAGATTTATTACTAGGTATTTTATTTTTCTTATAGCTATTGTAAATGGGCTTTTCTTCTTGTTTTCTTTCTCAGCTAAATCATTATTAGTGTAAAAAACACACTACTGATTTCTGGTAGGTTTATTTTGTATCCTGCAACTTAACTGAATTTGTTTATCAATTCTAAGAGTTTTTTGGTAGAGTCTTTAGGTTTTTCTAAGTATAAGATTATATTATCAGCAAAGTGGGACAATGAGACTACCACTTTTCCAATTTGGATGCCCTTTATTTCTTTCTGTTGCTTGACTGCTCTGGCTAGGACTTCCAGTATTATGTTGACTAGGAGTGGTAAAAGTGGGCATCATCATCTTGTTTTAGTTCTTACAGGAAATGCTTTCAACTTTTTCTCATTCAGTACAATGTTAGCTATGGGTTTTCCATACATAGCTGCTATTAATTTGAGTTATGTTCCTTCCATGCCTAGTTTGTTGAAGGCTTTTATCTTGAAGGGATGTTTAATTTTATCAAATGCTTATTTGCATCTATTGAGGTGATCAAATGGTTTTCATCCTTCATTCTGTTGATGTAATGTATCATGTTTATTGTTTGCATATGTTGAATCATCCCTGCATCCCTGGTATAAGTCCCATTTGATTGTGGTATATTATGTTTTTGATGTGCTGTTGGATTCGATTTGGTAGTATTTTGTTAAGGATTTTTGTACATCAAGCTCTAGGTTTTCCAGTTGGTCAGTGTATAGTTGTCCATAGTAGTCTCTGATAAGTTTTGTATTTCCTTTTTTACTTCTGACTTTATTTGGCTCTTCTCTCTTCTTTTCTTGGTTAAGCTATCTAGCGGTCTATCAATTTTGTTTATCTTTCTGAAGAACCAGTTTTTTGTTTCATTTTTCCTTTGTATTGTTTGTAGTCTTTATTTCATTTAATTCTGCCTTGATCTTTATTATTTGTTTTCTTCTGCTAAATTGGATTTCATTTGTTCCTGCTTTTCTACTTCCTTGACATGAACTATTAGATTGTTAATTTGTAAACTTTCTACTTTTTTTGATGTAGGCATTTAATGCTATAAACTTCCCTCTTAGTATTACTTTTGCTGTATTCCACAGACTTTGGCATGGTATTTCTCTTTTCATTTGTCTCAAGAAATTTTTTGATTTCCATCTTCACTTCTTCATTGACCCTATGGTCATTCAGGAACATGTTGTTTAATTTCCATGTATTTGTGTAGTTTCCAAAGTTATTGGTATTAAATTTTAGTTTTATTCAATTATGGTCTGAGCAGATACTTGACATGATTTTGATTTCTAAAAATTTGTTGGGGCTTCTTTTGCAGTCTAACGTATGGTCAATCCAGGGAAATGTTCTATATCCTGATGAAAAGAAAGTATATACTGCAGTTTTTGGGTAGAATTTCTGTAAATGTCTGTTATGTCCATTTGGTCTAAAGTCCAGTTTAAATCCAATGTTTCTTTGTTTATTTTCCTTCTAGATGATCTGTCTAATCTGAGAGTAGGATGTTGAAGTCTCCTGCTATCAATGTATTTTGGTCTATCTCTGTCTTCAGATCCAGCAATATATGCTTTATACATCTGAGTGATCCATTGTTGGGTGCATATTTATTTAGAATTGTTATGTCCTCTTGCTGGATCGATCCCTTTATCATTATATAATGACCTTCTTTGTCTTTTTAATTGTTGTTGACTTAGTCTTTTTTGATCTTATATAAGTATAGCTACTCCTGCTTACTTTTGGTTTCCATTGGCATAGATTATCTTTTTCCATCCGTTTACTTTCAGTCTATATACGTCTTTATTGGGAAGTGAATTTTTTTGTAAGCAACCTATTGTTGGATCATTTTTTAAAAATCCATTCAGCCATTCTGTATCTTTTAAGCAGGGAGAATATAATTCTTTACATTTAAAGTTATAATTGATATGTGAGTCTTTGTAATTTTCACATTCTTAATTATTTTCTGGTTATTTTTTATATTCTCTATTAGTTTCTTTTTCTCTTATTGTTAGTCTTTATGATTTGGTAGATTTCTGTGGTGGTATCATTTGAATCCATTATCTTCCTCCTTTGTATGATTGCTTTACCAATGAGTTTTATACTATCATGTGTCTTCATGAAGGTAAATGTCATCCTTTCACTTCTAGGTTTAGAACTCCCGTGATCATTTCTTGTAGGCCAGTTTAGTGGTAACAAATTCCCTCAGTATTTTATTTCTCCTTCATTTAAGAAGGATAATTTTTCTAGACACAGTATTCTTGGTTGATAGGGTACCTTTTTTTCAGCACTTTGAATATATATATTATCCCATTCTCTTCCAGCCTGTTAGGTTTCTGCTGAGAAATCCACATTAATCTGTTGAGGTTTCTTTATATGTGACTAGACACTTTTAATACTTTTAGGACTCACTGTTTATCTTTGACTTCATACAATCTGACTGTAATGTACTGTGAAGAAGACCTTTTTGCATTACATCTTCCTTGGAATTGCTGAGCCTCTCATGTCTGTATATCTAAATCTCTTGCTAGACTTGGGAGTTTTCATCTATTATTTAATTAAATAAATATTCTAACCCTTTCATTCTCTCTTTTTTCTCAGGGATACCAATAATTTGACTACTTGGCTACTTTATATTGTTCCTAGGGTGAAAAAAGTTTTGCTCATTCTTTAGAATTTTTTTTCCTTTATTTTTGCCTGACAGGCTTATTTCAAAATATTTCAAGTTTCAAGATTCTTTCTTCTGCTTGATCTAGTCTATTGTTCAAGCTTTCAAATGTATTTCGTATTTCATTAAATGGATTCTTCAGTTCCAGAATTTCTAATTGTTCTTTTACAAAATATCTATCTTTTTGATAAATTTCTCATTAACATCCTGAATTGTTTTTCTGATTTCTTTGTATTGGTTTGCAGAATTCTCTCATATCGAACTAAACTTTAAAATCAGTATTTTGAATTCCTTAACTGGAATTTCATTTTGATTGGGATCTCTTGCTGGAGAATTATTGTGTTCCCTTGATGGAATCATATTTTCTTGCTTTTTCATGTTTTCTATGTTTTTACATTGATATCTGCACATCTGGTGTAACAGTTGCTTCTTTTAATTTTTTGAGATTGCTTTTTTAGTAGAAGACTTTTTCCTGAAGACAGATATATATATTAACAAAGTTGGTGGATACAGTACTTTGGCTTTGATTTTGGGTGCCTGCAGTTGTGTGATCTTCAGCTGTAAACAGGTTTAGTAGTATTCCTGATTTCCTCTTTGGCTTAGGGTGTGGTTATGAGTAGAAGCTGTGGTGAAGTTTTGCTGGGGACTAGAATGCCAGATAGACTAGTCTTTGGGCCCCAGTGGTGGAGGTAGTGGGCTGAGCATGCCTGTTTGGGGGCCCAAGAGACACTGGCACCAGTGTTAGTGAGGTGGGTCTAGAAGGTCCAATTTTGGGGCCCCCAGGTGGCTTGCTTAGATACTGGTAGTGGCAGCAGTGGACTGGGCATGTGGGTGTGTTCTTGGGCCCCTGAGCAACTGGGGTGATGGCAGTAGTTATGGTAGAGAAACCTACTGGAACCCAAGTAGTCCATCCTGGTGTTGGTAGTTGCTACAACAGATTGAGCTGGCCAGTCTTCTGGCTCACTGGTGATGCATGTGGATGAGTTCCAGCTGTGGTGGTATAGTTAGGTTGGGCCAGCCTGACCTGAGACTCCAGTAGGAGTAATCAGGTGCCAATGATGGTAGACTGGCCTGAGATGGGTAATTCCCCGAATGGCATGCTCTAGTACTGAGGGGATGCAATTGGGCTGGTAGTCTGGCTTTCAGGCCCCCTGATAGTACATTCAGGCACTGACTGTGGTAGGCAGAAGTGAGGCTGCTGGCAGAATCCTCAGATCCAGGCACTGGTGGCTGCACTGCAGTTCTGCCACCAAGGAGGACAGTGCCCCTCTCAGCTGAAACAGTGCGGGTAGGTAGCTATGGGGAGTGTGGTTTACTCATGCCTCGATCCCACAGCAGTCCACAGCAGCAGCAGTGGGATTTGTCCTTAAGGTATGTGGCAATACCTGACCTCTCCTCTCCCTTTTTGGCTTGGCAGCAACAGTGGCAATGTCAGCCTGGCTCCAGGGTAGGATTCAGACCTTCAGAGCTTAGATCCTCAGAAGGGCACCAAGCTGCAGCTGCTGTGGGCTTGGATGCTTGTGGGACTCCATATAAGTTTCTTCTCTGGAGCAATGTCTCCGTGTAGTCTCTAGGCAGCTCCCTAGGTTAGTCTCGAGGCCCACATGGGTTGAGGGGTTCTCTTGTAGTTAAGACTGTAAAACACTGGCAGGAGTGTGCAGCCCTGAGAGTTTGGTTTCTCTCTTACTCTTTCCTCACATCTGGGAGCTTCTTACTGCTTTCCCAGCTGGTCCTAGTAAAGCAAGCTGCCTTGCATCCCTCTCCTTACTTGCTTTTGGTACTTTCTGTCACTCTGTTGAATCCCAGTATTCACTCTTAGATGATCTATTCAAAGCATGGATGTCTGCTTCCTATTTTTGTTCCTCTCTGTGGAGGAGGTATCTAGTCATCCATTTTGAATCAGTCTCCAAGGATTGTCATCTTAACATCAGTCATATCTGAATTTAGAGCAAATGAATTAAATAAGACAATGGAGAAAATTTTATAGTGAGAAACATTTTGACCCACAATAAAGAACATATATATGCCAATTAGCATAACATCACATAAATTATAAGGTAAAAACTACCAGAACTACAAGGAGAAATAGATGGAAACATAGTAAACTTTTCCAGGACATGGTTGATCAAGTCATGAACATATAAATAGGATCTGAAAAAACCTATGAGTTTTGGGAGGCCAAGGTGGGTGGATCACTTGAGGTCAGAAGTTCAAGACCAGCCTGGCCAATGTGGTGAAACCCCATCTCTACTAAAAATATAAAAATTTGCTGGATGTGGTGTTGCATGCCTGTAATCCCAGCTACTTGTGAGGCTGAAGCATGAGAATCGCTTGAACCCGAGAGATGGAGTTTGGAGTGAGCTGACATCATGCCATGCACTCCAGCCTGGGTGACAGAGTGAAATCCTATCTTAAAAAAACAACAAAAAAGAACCCCCAAACCCTATGAGGTAGGGATTTATTTTTATTTACTTATTTTTCTACAGGGAGAATAAACTGTTACAGTCTATCTTTGCCTCAATGATTTTCAATGCTTACTGTGTCATAAGTCAGGTTTCCATATGTGTAGATCTGTTTCCTGGGCTCTCTGTTTTAACCTATATAAATATAAAAAGATATCCAACCTTATTAGTCATAAAAATGCAAATTAAAGTCATTTCATATTCACCAAGTTGGCAAAATTAAGAAAGCAGGTAATATCAGATGTTTACACAGATATGAAACAATAGAGATGTTCACCCATTGCTGGTGAGAACGTATACTCAAAAATATTTAGAATGGTTTGGCGTTACCTAGTAAATTTGAACTCTCTGACCCAGTAATTCAATTTCTAGGCATGTTCCTCCGAGGAACTCTTCACCATGTATACAAGGAAGCATGTAGAAGAATGTTCACAACAGCATTGTTTGTAAACTAAAAACCTGGAAACAAACCAAACAGTTGTCACTGATAGCCCAGATATGTAACTTATATTGTATTCATATAATGAAAGATACTCAACAGTGAAACTGAATTACCAATGTGGCAAAATCTCAAAAATATACCATGAGTGAAATAAGCAGTCTCTGAACAATATATAAAGTATGAATAATAGATGATTTAGAGACATATACAGAAGTAATAAAACTATAAAGAAAGGCAAGGGAATGATTAATTCAAAAATTCAAGATGATAGTTTTATCTCCAGAGTAGGTTGGGATAAGGGGGGAATGTACTCAAGGGGTTTCTAAGCTATATGGTGGGTACATTAAAAATTATTTATTCTTTAAACTGTACATATAAAACCACATCATCTTTCATATATGTTATATGTTTTGTAATAATATTTTAAACGGAAATTATACAATATAATATCATAAATACTACCTAAGAATTATTTATTAAAATGTATTATGGAAGAAAATTGGAATAATTAAATAACCAGTTGCTAAGAAAGAAAATCATGGTATGCATTGGGCATGTTAAGCCAAAAAGCAGGGAAAAAGAAGTTAAATAGCTTTGTGGTCAGGGCCAGGACACAGTATCCAAGTGATAAAACTCAGGACAACAGACTGGACCATCAGAGGACAAATGATCCCTTGGTAGTACTAACAATTCAATGGGAATTTTATTACCTAACTCTTGTGTGTATGATCTTCATGAGGAGGAACACTTATTCTTCTGAGTGTACTAATTATTAAATATCATACCTTCTTTATTCCAACACAGTTTAAAAATAAGTTATATGTCCTGTGTTTTCAGAATCATTTTCATTGGTTACATTTTTGGTTGACTGCTTTATAGAAAACCACCTTAGATTGTTCCATAAATTTTTCCAAATTGTGTCATAAAAATTAGTTTTTTCTTATATTTTCTAGAAATACTTACTTAAATCAAGCTGTGAAGAATCTTGTTTAATTTCTTTATTTACAGAAAGTGACTTTCTCAACATCCCTAAGTTTAGCCGTCTATTTTTGGTTCTCAGTTTGCAGTAAGTAATTCAGTTACGATCTATTCCTTGAGATTGCATTAAACTTACTTTGATCTACACCAGAAAAATATTTAATTGAAAGAGTGTCTTTTCAAGTTAAAAAATAAAAAGTAAACAAATCTCAATTGTTTCTCTCTCTCTCCAAAGACAGTTTAAATTGTAGTACTGAATTAGCTTTTTGCAAACAATCTGTATGCCTTAACACTGTAAATGAAGAAATGTGTTTAGTTATGCTGTTACTAGTCTACACATCAGCTTCTCTGGGGTTCTTCAATCCAGTGTCTGGAGGATGATGATATGATATAGCAGTTCTATCCCTCCCTCCTTTACTTTCCTGACCCTGATCCAAGTCATTTGCCACCAGGCTATAAATCTGACTTTACTTGTCTTCCACTGAGTTTCTGTGAAAATAGCCCAATTGTAGTGGACTAAATTTATGGGCAATAAGAGTTGCAATGATGCTGGAACCACCCTGGTGGTTCAGCCCCAGGCAAGTGTTGATTTCTCAATTTCATTCAGAAGCAGGGCACAAATGTCACCTGTATTAACTGCCAGCTTTTTAGAGCTCGTTTTCTGAATTCACTTGGTCATAGCCACTGAGCTTTCTGGGAACTTTTTTGGAATATGATGGGTAAACAACAAGGAATTGGAACCAACTCCACATTCTTATTCTGAGAAAGCCCCTCCCCTATGGCAAATATTCAAGTATGGTGGGTGGGGTGGGGAGGAGAAAGAAAGAAACAAATTGTTCAAGGAGCTCTCTACAGTTTTGAAGGAAATTACTTCAGATATTGGCAGAAATCAAGAAATCTTTATCACATTGGGTCCACATAGATACTTCCTTTTCAGTTTAGGATTCAGTCCATTTGTTTTAAGGAAGAACAGCTGATTTACTCACCAAATCTCCAGCATCTGTACTTAGCAATCTTGCAATAATCCTAGTAATATTGACATCATCAGTCTTCAAGGTCTGTAAGGGAGGTTTGAGTGAATGAAATAATATAGTGTACTCTAAAAAAATGACAGCTTTTCATTATGAATCCCTTCATTTGATGCTGAAAATATGAATAGGTGATTTTAATCCTTGGGGCTATTCACAAATGTCCTATGTGCATAGTATTTGAAAAATAATTAGTAAATTTATAGAAGTCACATGATGCTGCTGGTAGAAATTCACTCAAAAGAAATAAATGACTCTGATAGTGTATTATTAGGAAGACTATGTCATGAGCTGATATCATGGGAAAATATAAACTAAGTCTGAAAAATAAATTCATTTGATTTATAGTTCCTATTAAAAACATCTGGAAGCAGGGTACAGTGGCTCACACCTGTAATCCCAGCACTTCAGGAGGCTGAGGCGGGTGGATCTCTTGAGCTCAGGAGTTCAAGACCAGCCTGGGCAACATGGCGAAACCCCATCTTTACAAAAAATGCAGAGAAATTAGCCAGGTGTTACAGTATGTGCCTGCAGTCCCAGTTACTCTGGGAGGCTGAGATGGGAGGAACTCTTGAGCCCAGGAAGTCAAGGTTGCAGTGAGCCCTGTCATCATGCCAATGCACTCCAGCATGGGTGACAGAGAGAGATCCTGTCTTATAAAAACAAACAACAAACAAATGAATAAACAGAAAATCTGTAAAAGTCTAAAGAAGATCAGGCCATAGATATGTTTAAAAATAATGAAATTGATCCACTTTTCAAGAAACAGACTATCAACTGCCAGGAGCAAATCTTGGAGTCAATGTCTTAGTTTCCCAAGACTAATCCTTGAAGCTATTGAAATAATGAAGTAAAACTGATTTTAATTTTTACTCTATTAAATAAAAAATAAAAAAGCCAAAATTGACAAATGGGATCTAATTAAACTAAAGAGCTTCTGCACAGCAAAAGAAACTATCATCAGAGTGAACAGGCAACCTACAGAATGGGAGAAAGTTTTTGTAATTTATCCATCTGACAAGGGGCTAATATCCAGAATCTACAAGGAACTTACACAAATTTACAAGAAAAAAATAACCCCATCAAAAAGTGAGCAAAGGATATGAACTGACACTTCTCAAAAGAAGACATTTATGTGGCAAACAAACATGAAAAAAAGCTCATCATCACTGGTCATTAGAGAAATGCAAATCAAAACCACAGTGAGATATCATCTCATGCCAGTTAGAATGGCGATCATTAAAAAGCCAAGAAACAACAGATGCTTGAGAGGATGTGGAGAAATAGGAACGCTTTTATACTGTTGGTGGGAGTGTAAATTAGTTCAACCATTGTAGAAGACAGTGTGGAGATTCCTCAAGGATCTAGAACTAGAAATACCATTTGACCCAGCAATCCCATTACTGGGTATATACCCAAAGGATTATAAATCATTCTACTATAAAGACACATGCACATGTATGTTTCTTGCAGCACTATTCACAATAGCAAAGACTTGGAACCAACCCAAATGCCCATCAATGATAGACTGGATAAGAAAATGTGGCACATGTACACCATGGAATACTATGCAGCCATAAAAAAGAATAAGTTCATGTCCTTTGCAGGGACATGAATGAAGCTGGAAACTATCATCCTCAGCAAACTAACACAGTAACAGAAAACTAAACACCACATGTTCTCACTCATAGGTGGGAGGTGAACAATGAGAACATACGGGCACAAGGAGGGGAACATCACACACTGGGCCCTGTCAGGTGATGGGGGGCAAGGGGAGGGATAGCATTAGGAGAAAACCTAATGTAGATGATGGGTTGATAGGTGCAGCAAACCACCATGGCACATGTATATCTATGTAACAAATCGACACGTTCTGCACATGTATTCCAGAACTTAAGTAAAAAAAAAAATTTTTTTAAGGGCAAGAATATTAGAAACAATAAAATAAAATTATCTATTTGACAAAAAATTATCAATTAACAAAACCAATGTCACATTTACTATCATATGCAAATATACAGAATACCTTAAAGATTCCTGTTTTAAAGTGTTCTTAATTCTTTTTATTATTATTATTATTATTTTTTTTTTTTTTTTGAGACAGAGTCTTCCTTTGTCATCCAGGCTGGAGTGCAGTGGCGGCATCTCGGTTCACTGCAACCTCTGCCTCCCGGAATCAAGCAGCCTCCTGAGTAGCTGGGATTACAGATGCCCACCACCACACCTGGCTAATTTTTTTGTATTTTTAGTAGAGACGGGGTTGCACCATCTTGGCCAGGCTGGTCTTGAAGTCCTGACCTTGTAATCCGCCCACCTCAGCCTCCCAAAGTGCTGGGATTGCAGGCATGAGCCACTGCTCCCGGCTCTTAATTCCCTTTAAATTTAGTTTTCTTGAAAGTTTGTATATGGGGGGAGTATAAGATATGAAACACTGAGAAAATATTTACTGAGTGGTACTTATGTTCTCTTGGTTAAATAAAATTACTGAAAAACTCGGGTTTTGTTGCTAGAATAGACAGAGAGGTTAAAGAATAGGAAGCAATGAAAGTGGGCATAAGGGATGTGGATATGGTTAGAAAAGAGAGGGGACAATGCTAATTGTGAGCCTGGAGATACAAATTTTATGAACTGATGATCATTTTTCAAGCTTATTTAAACACATAAAAAGACTGAGTAATTTAAGAACTCCATGGGACCTTCTCCACGATTATTTCTAGTTCCTTCCCAAACTTCCCTTCTCTCTTGATAAATTACACTGTGTCCATTCTTTTTTATTTTACTATTTTTAAACGATAACAAAAACTCTAGGGGTGTTTTGACTCTGCAGCTGCAGAGGTAGTTATTCTCGTCCAGTTGAAGTAAGGCTGGATACTGAGAGTTCAATTGTCAGGATGATGACCACTTCTGGCAAGCAGCTTTAGAGAGACCTTCCCGGTTTGCGTGACACAGGGCATGTTTTTCTGAACCAAAGGGAAGCAAATCAAAGTTTTGTTATCTCGACTTTTGAAAAATGGCCCGTAGTGGATGCAGTGATTGAAGCTAAAAGAATGATTGCATATTGAAATAGCTATGGGCTGTTTTCTCAAAAGTCATAGAATAGGGATAGGGTAGTCATCAGATGGAAATAGAGAAACTGACTTGTGGTGTTGCTATTAAAAAATAAAATAATTTTTTTTTGATTCAACGACTTCCTGTTGTTACTATAGAATGAGGTGACTGAAGGGAATCTTAAAAATACCTAATAGTGCATAGGAAGTGGAGGCTTCTTTTACACTTCGGAAGTTAACGTGTATCTTTTTTTCCAGAAATGCTAGGAAAAGAAGTGCCCCAAATGTCCCTCATGTTTTCTAGATTTATTCTTGGCACTGGCATGGAAATGGAAAAATCCAATCAACAGCTGTAACCATTTCCCTTTTTGAATTGTGATATTCCAGATAGAGTTGGTAGGAGCAAAAAAGCTCACCTCACACAAGGGGCTACTAAATGGATTCTAAAGTACCAGAAATCCCGTCTTCCCAAAATACCTCTTCTACCAAATGTAAATACCCTCAAGGTATTAACAATGGATTAGATAGGTGCATTTTCTCTATACAGCAGGTTTAAATTCTCTTTCAGTTTATTACAGAATATTTTCTAGGAGAAAGCAAGAGGACATCACAGCTTGTTGTAGGCAGGTCATGGTAAAAGGTTGATCACAACACTTGCCGGGGGAGTGGTTCCAGAGGAAAGCGAGAGGGATACTTGAATGCTACAAGAGTTGTTTTGCATAGTTCCTGTCCTCGATGGAACATTTATTTGCAGTGCTCCTTCATTACTCTTTAGTGAGTATAAATTTTGGAATTCTGTATTACTCCCGTATTAGAGGGAGAAATGTCTTATCAACTCTTACTCCTGGGAAATACAGTCTGGGGATTATTAGAGTGGGATAGCAAAGATATTATACAGTATTATTCTATCTCCTGAAAAAGCATTCCTAAGCTTGATGTTCCAGTCAGATAAAAATTGGCCAAAACCCAACTTCTTGGTTCTTCACTACTTCCCTCAGGTCATGGAAAAGTTCCAGAAATGACAGCTTTCTTCCTGCATGTTATCAGGTATGGACTCCACCCTGATGTTCTGTTAAAATGGTTTAGTTGCTGAAAAAAAAAAAAATGAAAAAAATGAAAGGTTTACTTGTAATCTCAATAGGCCCTAATTATGTATCTAAAATGGAGCCAAGACATAAAACTCCCTCTGGTGGAATTAATGTAGTGGAGTCAGCTGCACAGGTGAGGTCCATGAAGACACTGAAATGGTCTTGAGACTTTTAATGACTATAAGTATACATATGTCTGTGACCTTTCTGTGGGAAAGTGTCTGGTTTTTCATCAGGTTCTTAAATAGAACCATGACCCAAGAAATGTTAAGAACCATCATAGATGTGAAGCTTTGGGAGAATGACTCTGCTCTTAGGGGAATGACTGCAGAGAGTGATTGGGTTCAATCATTGTAGATTACATGTGTCTAGGACTTATTTCTGTTAGGTTCTTTGTTTTTTGACGTATTATTGTTGATAGTATTTTCTTATAATCTTTTGTATTTCTCTGACGTTGATCATAATTTCACTTCTATCCTCCAAACTTTTCCAACTTTTGCCCATTACACAGTTCTAAAGTCACTTCCACATTTTCAGATTTAATTATAGCAATACCCTACTCCTCGATAGCAATTTTCTGTCTTAGTCTGGTTTGTGTTGCTATAACAGCATACCTGAGACTGGGTTATTTATAATGAAAACAGACATATTTAGTTCACTGTTCTGCAGGATGTGAAGTTCAAGGGTATGCTGCTGGCTTTTGGTAAAGGTTTTGATGCTGCATGATAACATGGCAACAGTTCAAAGAGGCAGCAGGCATGTTTGAAAAGGGGCAAAACACAAGAAATATCCTCACTTTATAACAACCTGCTCTCACAGGAACGAAGCTATTTTCACATGAACTAATCTAGTCTCACAAGAGTGAGAGCTCACTCACCACGACAAGCAGGGCACTAAGTTGTCCACAAAGACAGGGCCCCCATGACTCAAAGGCCTCCCATTAGGCCCCACCTCTTAAAAGTTCTACCTCTTAACATTGTCATACTAGGAATTAAGGTTCCAACATGAGTTTTGGTGGGAACATTCAAATAATAGAAATTTCACTCTCTCCTGGCCTACAGTTTCTGCGGAGAAACCTCTGTAATCTTATGGTGATAACCTTGTGTGGGATGAGTCAGTTTTCTCTTACTGCTTTCAAAATTCTCTCTTTGACTTTGATAATTTGGTTATACTGTAACTTGGTGAAGATCTCTTTATGTTTAATCTCTTTGGGGTTCTTTGGAATTCATGGACCTGAATGTTCATTTATCCCTCCAGATTTGATGAGTTTTCTGTCATTATTTCATTAAATAAGCTTTCTGCCAATATTTCTTTCTCTGGTCTTTCTGCAATTTCAACAATGTGTATATTGGTTCACTTGATGGTGTCCTATAAGTCCTCTAGATTTTCTTTACTGTTTTTCATTCCTTTTTCTTTTTATTCTTCTGATTGGTTAATTTCAAATGACCTGTCTTCAAGTTTGCTGATTCTTTCTTCTGCTTAATTAAATCTGCTGTTGAAGCTCTCTATGGAATTTTTCATTTCAGTCATTATGTTCTTCAGCTCCAGAACTGTTTGGTTCATTTTTTATTGTTTCCATCTTTGTTGAATTTCCCATTTCTTCATGTACTGTTTTCCTGATTTCGTTTAGTTATCTATCTCTTTTCTCTTGTAGCTTACTGAGCTTTTTTAAGGTGATTAGTTTGAAATCTTTGTCAAGAAGTTTATAGATATTCATTTCCTTAGGGTCATTTACTGGTTATTTATTTTGTTCCTTTAGAAGTGTCAAGTTTCCCTGATTATCATTATCTTCATAGTATTGTATTGATGTGTGCACACTTGACGAAGTAGGTACCTATTTTAGTCTTTATAGACTGACTTTGACAGGGAGAGCCCTTCTGGGTGGGCCAGCTGCCAGGACCCATGGGTAGGCTTGCTGCAGGAGACCTTAATCTGGCTAGCCTGGTTTCTGCATCAGTGGGTAGGTGGGCCTGGTGCCTGGGGTTGTGGGGGAAGTCTTTGGGCCATGAGGGCTAGCCTGGAGCATGGGTCCACCAGGAATGGTGCAGTACTGTGGTGGGCCTGGAGCCACAAGGGGCAGGTTGATGCCACGGTTCACTGTTATGGGCCTAGCGTTTGGGAGCTACAGAAAAGTCAGGTACTCACTTCATTTTTCTTTTCCCATATGGAAGGTATTTTTCTCCATGCTACACTATGCAGAGTTTGGGGAGAGGTGACATAGATAATGTGAAACTTACTTTTCTACTCTCTTCAGTGTGTACTTTCTTATTTCTGTGCTCCATCCAGGTGCAGTAATCTCACCTGGGTTCCTTAGCTCTTGTGAAAGTATTTTCATATGTGGACGATTATTCAAATTGACGTTTCTGTGAGAGTGAGTGTTGAAAATGACTATTTTTCCCTCCTGTTGATGTTACTCCAGTCATTTCTTCTTAAAAAATTAAAAGTATAATTAATGCAGAATGAATATTTTTTAATAATAGTATTTAATAAGTATTTCTTTAATGGAAAATATAAACATAGTTTTCTTCCAAATACCCTTATCAAAAACTTTAACATAAATCTGAAATGCTTTTACTTTTAATATAAGATCTAAATAGTTCTTAAAGTGTTTACATAACAGCATATGAAAATACAAACCATCCTTAACTGGCAAGATAAAAGTGCTTTACCAATAATTTCTCTTTTAAAGAAAGTCAATTTCAGCCTATCAAAAGATAAACAAGAAGCCAGTTTGACCAATATTATTGTTCAGTTTGTCTCTTAAATTGCATCTTATGTGCATAGTGAATAGAGTAATGTGGTTGGATCACATGCTAAATAAGGAATACATTATTAAAGAAGGGGTATTGCATAGCTAACATGACATCAAGAAAAAAATGTTAAAGAGTAGAATAAAATACCCCTCACCTATTAAAAGGCAGCAGAAGTTTTCTAAAGGTCTCCTAAGCTTTGTAAGATCTGATTTGACCAAAGACAAATACTCCTACAAACTTATGACTTCAAAACATATGAACAATTACTAATTTTCATATAGTACTTGAAAAATTTTCCAGAGTGCTTTCAAACATATTTAATCTTTACAACAAACCTAAGAACTTTGGAGGAGAGGGTCTGTATCTCGTTCATGGTTTGAATTCAATACATTTTTAATGGATACATGAAAGAAAAGTAAAGTAACTTAGTCAAAACCATCAGTGTGTAAAGAAACTTGGGTTCAGTCTTGGTCTTACGATTCCGAATTCCTTATTTGGAATTGCATAACTCTAGCTCTTATTTCGTCTGTAAAGAAATAGTCAAATCTTTGATGCATATGTTTTCAATTTTTCCTTGATTAAAGAAAAACTTATTTTTCAGGATTCACACCCTCTTTTATCATTTTTAAACAGTGAAGTCAGGTAGTTTGAAATCAAATGTTGGCTGTCTTTTTCAATAAGTGGAAGATAGTAAATATTTCCAGCTTGTTAGGCTATGTGGCCTCTGTTGCAACTCCTCAACACTGTTGTTTTAGTACAAAAACAATAATAGATAACACGTAAATGAATAGGTATGGCTGTGTTCCAATAAAAATTATTTGAATACTAATACGCTGATTTCATGTAATTTCCTTGTGGGTCACCAAATATTATTCTCCTTCTGATTTTTAAAAATTACTCTAAAATATAAATGTTATTCTTAGCTTGTGGGCCCAATAAAAATAGGCAGTTGGTTAAATTTGATTCAGAAGGTCTTAATTTGAGAATTCTTGGTTTAAATAATGATAATAATAAAAAGAACTCGACCCCTCTGTACAGTTAATTAAAACATTCAGCCGAATCTTGTGTCAGTGAAAATAATATCTATTTGAATTTTCTCAGAGGTGTCTTTTTAATGCTGTTTGGTGGTAGGGCATTATTTCGTTTGGAGTGACTGAGTCAGAAAAAGTGACAGGGGATTCATGGGGTGGGGGGAGAAATGTCAAAGCACACTCTATTTCTGTAATTTGGTGACTTGAAATCAGTTCAGGATTGTGTCAGTATTGAATCTATCCAGGACTTCAGGAAAGGGAATGCTAAGTCAAACAAAAGAAAAATATTCCTGCTTGAGAACACACAAAGCATATTATTTATTTTAAGACAAAATATTTTTTGTTTGAAAACTTGTATGTTTATCCTGTCATGTTTACAATCAGAGTCAAGAACAAATCTCAAAACTTATATATGCTCTGGGGAAAGCAGACATAGAGAAATGTGGAATAAATTCAAAGAAAAAATTCAGAAGTGCTGCTGAGGGAAAGTTGAAGAAGTAGTAGAAGGAGACATTTCCAAAGCTAGAGACAAGAAGATGAGGCTTAACTGATTTAGAAAGAGAGGAACTGGCTACCTCCTTGGCTATGTATTGCATTAGTATTGTTAGAAATGCTTATTAAAATGCTGAAGTGCCGCCAGAGCATGACTATAAAATAATCTGCCATGTTCCATGAGAAATTGCACGAAAAATGGAACTTTAGAATAAGAATATAATCCCTGCATTCATTTATTCAGTTTTTTTGGTGGTTGGAGGTGAACTGATGAGAGAGTGAGAAAGGTAATGTCAGAATCATTTCATCATTGAAATGATTTTTCATTGATGGCACCATATTTTTCTGACCATTTTAAATGTGGTTTGGTCCCATTCACTCACTGAAACTCTCAAGGAACACAAATTTCTCTCATTGGTAACTGAAGGAAATGAGGATCTGAAAGATCTCTTCTGATAACTTAGTTTTCAATAATTTTCTTGGTTCTAGTAGGGACATATGTTTGGATTAGATAACTTGTCATTGTGTTGCTAAGTAAATAAAGAATTTATCTCCACTTGGACTGAAAGGATCATGTTCCAGAGAAGACCTTGTGAAACATCCTCATGAGAAACATTTTGTGTGAAAACTAGCAGACACCTCCTGGAAACATTCTTTTGATCTCAGGGAAAGACTGCCGTTATTCCAATCCACAAATTAGAGCAGGCCAAGCTATATCAAACACTCCTTCTCATTTGACCTCAAACTTTTGTTGTGGTTTTACTCAATAGGAGGTAAGACATGAAAACATGGAGAGACACAAATTCTTTTGAAACACCCAGCAGAGTCTGAGATACTGCTTGCCAAGAACAAAAGTTTATATTCTATTTTTGAATGTTTAGTTGTTTCTTGTATATAAAGCCTCTGCTCTTCAGTGTTGAATGGGGAAGTCACATAAACAGTTTATATTTCTCTTCTGTCATTTTTAGATGCTTATTTCTGAAGAATGAATGAGGGTGTATTTCCTGTGTGCCTTGTAGGGGTTTCTGTTTCATCTTCCTTCTCATTGACTGGAATATTAGACTATGACCTCCTGTTCTTGCCTTTTTAGCACATCCCGCATTTTCTCAGGTAAGTTTTTATGGACCTTTTGTACACCAACTTTGACAAGAGTCCAAAGAGAAAGATCTTATTTGCAGAGTGTCCTGTTTGGTGCCAAAATGGATACACAGTGGTCTACAGTGACAAAAACACACTGGTTTTTGTCAGCTCTGTCTTTAATAGCTTTGAAACATTGGAGAATTCACCAAATACCCTTCAACTTTTTCATTGTAAAATAAGGCGAATTGAACTACATTTCGGTCAGGATAAGGTTAGTTTTGCTCACACACCTAAAATTTCAGTTGTATTAAATAACAAAGGTTTTCACATGTCTATCATGGGATTGGCAGATCCTGGGTTGGGTAATCACTTAGGGATTCAGGCTCACTACCTTGTCAAATGCTAAGCAAAGCAACCAATGCATCCTACCCGTATTCAGTTTCAAACCTCTTCCTAAGACCTTGAGTTCATTAAGTACCTTATATGCTTCCAGTTTATCTCAAGTAAGGATTTACTGAAGGTTTGCCAGTGAAAAGCACAGACTGCCATCCTGTGGACTCCAAAGAACAGTTTCCTTGCCAGCCACTGTTTGGTTTGTAAACCAATACTATATATTTTAGTTTGGTACAGAACCCTATTTATAGATACTATTTTCTGTATCCATCAGGTTAGTATGGGTTGTGCTGTCATAGCCAATAACCTGCATGTAAATGAATGACAAAAACCAAAAAGTATTTCTCACTGAGGACACATTCAATTAAGTGTTGGTTGGATGTTTACACATTTCATTTCCTCAAGAATCCAAGCTCAACAAAGTATAGCCACCATGCCAAAATAGTTGGTTACTGTACCAAGGAGCAAAGAGAATCATAGAAGATCTTGCACCAGCAGCTAAAGACACAGCATAAGAGCATCATATGTCCCTTCTATTCAAGAAATGTCACATATCCCCAAGAAAATGTCACATATACCCAATAACGGGACTTGCTGCGTGCCCCGAAAGGGGACAACATGCAAACAATTGATAAGAAGCACTGATGACTAACACAAGCTAGATAAATCTCACATTCCTTTCTTTCTTTGTTTTTTTCTTGTTTTTTGAGCCTTGCTCTGTCACCCAGGCTGGATTGCAGTGGCGCAATCTCAGCTCACTGCAACCTCTGCTTCCTGGGTTCAAGTGATTCTCCTGCCTCAGCTTCCTGAGAGCTGAGATTACAGGCACATGCCACCACACCCAGCTATTGTGTGCGTGTGTTTTAGTAGAGATGGTGTTTCACCATGTTGGCCAGGCTGGTCCCTAACTCCTGGCCTCAAGTGATCCGCCCGCCTCTGCCTCCCAAAGTGCTGGGAGTACAGATGTGAGCCACCACACATGGGCTTATATTCCTTTCTATGGTCAAATTTCATGATGATATTATTCTTACTATGCTTCAAAGAAATCTTTGGGTGACTGTGCTAGCTAGGCCACAGAAAGATAATCATTATGCATGCATGAAACAGTTGAACATTTTGTTTTTTAAAAAATCCCTGGATTTGTAAAGGCTGTGCAAATTTCAGTGCCTGTGAATGAATATCTAACTATCACCACAGTGGAAAGTATGCTAACTCTGTTTGCATTCAGCTCACACTTCCCTAGCTACTGCCTTTGTTCCATGGTTTCTCTAGGACAAATGCAGTCAATTCCAGTAAAGATTGAAGTCAGGATTGGAAAAGGGCATGACACTCTCAGCTGGTTCTTAGCCAGTGTGTTGGCTAGTGTTGACGGCAGTGAATTTGCTGACAGCCAATTTTTTTCACCTACCTCTACTTCTCAGCAATTTTAAGGGAACTGCTGAGGCAGGAGTTATGAACAGAGGCATCTTTGGTGATGCTGCATGGTATTTTAAACACACTGATTGATGTGCAACCTGGAAACCACTGAAGCTTTGCTCTGTAAAAGTTTATAAGCCTGTGTATTGATGCAAAAGATGGCTGGTACAAAGGGTAGCTTGGAGTACTCTCCAGTTCTTTTATGTCTTTGTCCTTACCTTGCAGGAAGTGAGAAAAAAGAAATGTCACATTCTGTGGCCAAATGTACAAATGATTTTAGATACAGTTATCAGACTTCAAGTGAAAAAATAAACATTTTTCTCCCACGTGTGGCCCATAGTTTGCAGGCAGAACAACAAAGATAATCACTTTCAACAGGACAAACTACAGCCTCAGAGTTTGAGGAAAGGAATGACTGAGGTTGGATAGGAGAGTGATTAATGTCCCTGTAGCCGCTAGCCCTTATTCTTTCTTGGGGTCTGCTTATGAAATCTAACAAATGTTGAGTTTTATAATGAAGTCTTGCAGGAGTTTAGTCTTCTAGACTAGAAATTCTAGAGTCATCTTCGACAGCCTATCTCTGCAATCTTTCAGCTGCAGGACCTCGGGCAGTTATTTAACCTCTCTGTGCCTCAGTTTCCTCATACTTGAACACATTGCTACATGCAAAGCACTTAGTCCATAGTAAGCACCTAATCCATGTTAGCTTGAGGGTTCAGAATTTATCCATTTCTAAGGAATATGATTATATCCAATATTATTTCTGAATTGTGACTAAAGAAAAGATTCTCAAAGTGATCAAATACAGATGTTCTTGAAACAGATAATATGTAAGCATTTCCCCCTGCTCCTCCAGGGCTTTCTGCAAAGGTTTGATTTCAACAATTCTTGGTATACTTCTGTGTTCTAAAAGTCAGAAAGTTTCGTTCACAAAGACTCAAGTTCAGAATTCTCTGCATCTTGGTGTCTTCTGAGACATGGAAGTTGTGTTTTAAATACTTGTCTCAATCTGTTCTTTTCAACCCCTTTGAGAGAAAAGACTTGTCCATTACTGAAAAGTTGCCCTCAACAGGAACACAACTCCTCATAATAAAGCCCAAACTGACAGAGAATGTTATCTTAGGCCACTTTCCAGCGCTGATAAAGTCATTCCCTTATTATATTGAAGATAGCTCTCATTCCAAAGTGTATTCAGTTATTCTATACCCTAGGAATACCCACAGAATTCCAGGGAGAAGAGAAGGCTGGAAAGAAGAAGAATTTGAAGCTAAAATCAAGCAAATTATTTTACTCAGAGTTTTGGAAAAAATGTATACGAGAATTCTGTGTGGGCATAACATGTGGGATGTAGACTTGGTAGCTATAATAAAAGGGGCATAAATAAGATGGAAGTTGTTTTGCTCTCATATTCAAACCTAAGTCATATAGCAGCCTCTCTTCATGAAGCCAGCAGGGGCCCCAGGTCCTTTCATCCTCCTGTTCCTCTATCCCTAGGATGTTATCCTCATCTCTACGATAGAAAACGGCTCACCACTAAGTTCACATTCCAGACAGCAGGAAAGGGATAAAACAAAAAGGGAAGATACCGCCTTCCTTTAATGAGACAGCCCTTTTAGGTAACCTGAACTATTTTTATTCACATCTTATCTCAAAGTGGGGAAGTAATTAGATATAGCTACACAGGAACCGCAAATGTCATCTTTACTGTTGGTGGCCATGTACCCAACTAAAAATCAGTGTCATCAGTGGGAGAGAAGAGAGAAGAACAGATACTAGAACAAATAGCCTCTTACTCAGTAGGAGACAGGATGCTAGGTGATAGCCACATGTAAATCTGATACCTGCAGTATTTTATAAATGGTCCCAGGCTTGTGGATGTCTGTGTACTGTGAATTGGGTAGATGAAAGCTATTCCTGATGTTCTGTGTAATTTTCATCTGAAAAGCTGCCTGATATGTCTGTGCCTGAATCTGCCCAATTGCAAATTGGGAGCAATCACATTAACCATGAGAGAAGTCTCAGGAGTATTTGTTGGCTTGATGAATCTTAAATCAGAGTTTTTGAATGAATGAAACATTTTTAAAAACCAATTGAGTTAGTGTTATTCTAAAAAATAGTTTGTCATTGGTTGCATTCAATAGTTAAGAAGTGAGTGTTTTATTCTGCAACAACTTTATCCCTTAGAGAGAAGTGGCTGTTTTTATCTTTAAGTCAGATTTCAGACTCAAGAGGACCATTTATTTATTAAATTCAGGAGATGCCTCTCAGGCTAAAATGGCCACATTGTATCATAGTGTGTATGTGGTAGGTGAAGAAAATTTTTGATGAAAAAGTTGGGTTTGGTTTAAAAAAATGATGGTAGGAGAGCCAGTAAATCTTTAAAGCCTTAACATTAGGACTATACACATAAGCAACACCGAAACATCCCTTCATTCATTTGAAATATATTTGCTGGAACACCTACTGTGTTCTAGACTAGAAGCTGGGTATATAAGAATAATAAAGACAGACAAGATTCCAGTCCTCAACATTTTGCATGCTACTGGGGGAGATGGGCAATAAGCAAGTAAACACAAAAGGTAATAAAAGATTGTGCTATGAGAATCACTGAACCTGGGAGGCAGAGGTTGCAGTGACCCAAGATTGCGCCACTGCACTCCAGCCTGGGGGACAGAGCAAGACTCTGTCTCAAAACAAACAAACAAACAAACAAAAATAAAAAAAAGATTATGCTAAATGATAGAAAATAAATAGTATATTCTGACAGTGAGTAACAGGGGCTTCTGTTTTAGATGATGTGAGGGAAGTCCTTTCAGGACATTTAAGCAGAAACCAGAGGGAAAAGCTGCAGACATAGAAAGAGACAGGAGAAGAGAATTTTAGAGAACACAGTTCTGGGGCAGAAAATATGTTGGTCTGTTCAACATAAATGGCAAGGCTAGTAGGAACCAATATATTTATTTGCTGGATAATTTGGGAAAGTCTTGTGGCTTAGAACTATTACTTATGCTTCCTCATGTTCACTGTACCTTCTATTTTTTTTAAAAAAAACCTGTTAAATAATAGAAATTAAAAGAAATACAAAACACTGAAGTTTGATGGCCAAGTGGGAATATATACAAGCAGAAGCCCCTAGAATAAAGTCTTTCAGAAATGTGTATAGCAAATTACTGAAATGTAAAGTGCAAAAAATACTAGGACATGATTAATCTTAACCTTATTTAGGAAATCCTGGATGTCGCCAGTCTTTAATTGAGTGATTCTAAAACAGATCTCTCTTTAATTTTGAGGACACGTTGTCTCTCCCACATTTAGCTGTGGATATGTTTACTTTGTAATTGGAAAAATTATCCATTCCTAGTTCTGCTGGACTTAAGAAGGTTTGTTTTCTCCATCTTGAGTATAGGGCTCTTTTCCAACATGAATCCCTGAGGAGTCGTGCAATTCTATATCTGGAAATCCCATCATGTTGAGCACATAGCCATGGCGTCAGCCCTTCCGTGTTTTCAATGCATCCCCTTAAAGCACAGATGCTTGAGATATGCCTTGGAATCTTTACCAGCCATTTAGTGTGCTGACCCGATCCTCAAATATTGAGGACAGCATTTTGAAAATTATATCAAGAAAGTGTGCATTCTCAAATTGACTCAGTAACTTCCCAAATTGCCAAATCACCTTTCACCCTAAAATTTTCAAAAGGAAAGCCTTCGGAGTTGATAATAAAATTGGGTTTCTCTCTTTTTTTTTTTTTTTTAAAGATGTTCTCTTTTTGCCCTTTCGTGATGACCTGCCTAAGACTTGCATACAGTTTGGAATGGAATGCCTGGGCTCAAAGGCTACAGCCCACAGGTCAGCATCTGACATTTTCATGCACACCGTGTACAGCTCCCTGTGTGGTGGAATGTGTCATGTCAGAACATGAAGATCTGTGACAAGGCCTGGCAATGGCTTTGACAGAGAAACTTCTCAGAAAAACTTGCCTGTCTTTTTCTAATGAGGAAATCCCAAAAAGAGAAGCTGAAACTTTCCTGTTGTAGAAGGGTAATAAGTAAGCTGTGGAGAAAATTGGACAAATGCAGAAATCTATATAAAGCAAGTGTGACTTTTTCCCGGGAGAAGATCTTGCCAGAAAACATGGTGGTCGTATCATATCTGATTGACTGGTGCAAAACATGGACTAGGTAAGAATGGGTACCAGGAATTTCCTAGAGGACTTATGGTGGGGCTACAGCTTGACTGCTAAGTCTCCCCGCTGGTTCCTGCTTATGTGCTTGTAAGGGTCACTCGCAGGGAGAGCCTGGGGCATGCACAGCTTGTTTTCCTCTCCTCCCTTGCTCATGACTATGTTTAGCTCCCAAGCAGGAAGAGGCTGAATAGCTGTAAGAAAATCTAAGAGATTTGTTTGTATGTCCCTGCCATCAGAGGATGGAGTCTTAGATAATGGGACTACAAAACGACATAATTAATTTTCCATCAACTTTTTCCAAGGACTTTCAAATTTATTTTATGTCCTAAATTTATTCACCTTCACTGCCATTCTGTTTTCAGATTTTCTGTCCAATCATGGTACAGTAGCAAAAGTGCCAAACTTGGACTCAATAAACTAGTTTTATATGATTTGGGGCATGTCATTTTTATCAGTCGTGATATTTTAATGGATAAAATGAGAATCATGAAACACACGCCTATGCTATGAGCACCGAGTGGGTATGATTATGAAAGCATTTTGTACATTGTAAAGGGTTAAACATATGTTGGTTATTTATTTGTTTTATTTTGACTTGAGTGAAGAAGGTTTATTCTGGATTATTTATTAAATGCTAGGGGAGATGTAGAAATGAAAGTACCAAAAACAATCAATGCCCCAAGTTTCTTTAATTGTTGGAAGGGCAGACTATATCTTTAGGAAACTATCCTATATACTTTTATGTGCATATATATCACCTGGAGGATTTTCTTAAAATGCAGATTTTGATTCAGTAAATTTGGTGGAGTCTGAGAGACTGCATTTCTAAAAGCTCCCAGGTGAAGTCTGTAGAGCCAGTCCATACTCTACATTGAGTTGCAATGGATGAAAGAGAATGAGGTAAAGCGGAAAGGTAATACAGGTGAAAAGAGTGATCAAGACTGAGCTTTCCTGTCGGTTGTCCCTTTATCTTGAAACCATACTGGTGAAATGACTACATATAGAATAACAGTTGTTAAGTAATCTTCCTGCTGATATTGTATCTTGATATAGTTTGTTGTTCTTAAGCGAGTGCCATTCTTGGGGAGTAAATCTAGAGCAAGAGATAGATAGCACTAATTGTGGGCTTGGAACATGACAGCCCTGCCCATGATTTGCTGTAAACATGGTAGGAAACTAGGGAAATTCGGTTTGTAAAAGAAGTGTCTGTATTCTGCCAACTGAGGAGTGATCTGACAATGATAAAATCATTAGCCTCTATGACCTTAGCTGTATTTAAAGAGTATTCTCTTGGGACACCTAATATAATATGTCTTGATTGGACATTGTGAACTAGCATTCTTATTCACATTTAGAACCAAATGACTTCCTTCTGGCATTTTTACAGTGATTTGGTAGCCTGCCATGATATTATGCATTGTTCAGAATAATTTTCCATGTTGCTGAGGTTCATTTCCCTGATTTATAGCTATTTGTAAAAGTTGGCTCTCAAATGTCAAGAAGAAAATAACTTTATAATAAATTACTCCAAACGAAGAGGAGATGCTGAAATTCTTGAAATTCTGCTGTAATTCTGTAAAGGTATAGGGTTATAATACACAGCTCTTGGTGACTCAATTCTAATGGGCAACTGTTACACTTTAATTTTTATAGATACAGTAGTGTCTCGGCTTTTTGTTAGCTACCAAAATAACCACATCTGAAAATGTGCTGCTGTGGTTTGTAACAAAGCTACACAGGCATAAACTTTGTTGAGGCACCATTCTCTAAGATTTGCTGCTTACTGAATCACCCCTCTTGGATTGGCAGCATCTTGATTAAAATGATCAATAGGGGAACAGATAGTGAAATATCTACTAATAATATTAACTGATGAGATCCTTTAGCTCAATATTTTGAGCTCACTTTGTTGAGTGTATCTCACCTACACAATGAGAATTCTACCCTAGTGTTATGTTTAGTTTATTGTAGAGTTTTAAAAAGCATTACTATGGAGAATATAAGAAAACAAAAATACTCAATAGTTTGGTTCTATTATTAATTTCCTGTATCCTTTAAAAGGAATTCTTGAGGCTCTTAGCTGAGTGTAGCTGAGGTCTGTGAAATGATGCAGTCTATATCCAAGTTGGTAGTTGTTGCTGGCGTGCAAATCTGTTTCACATTCAACCTTAGCCATTATTGCTCTGTAATGATCCCATCTATGTACTGGGAATTTTAACAGTTATAGTGAATTCTTAGTTTCTCAGTTTCTAATTGCTCAAAAGTCTAATACTGAGTCTTCACCAAATATATTTCTCTAGGTTTAGTTTTCTGCACTGAACTGAAGACTGTCTTATGCCTCCAAAATGCACTGCAGAGTGTCTGCCAACAATTGTTCACTAGCTGTGAATGTTTGTTCCTTTTCAATGCTTCATCTAATTCCAGGTGCCAGTGACTTTGCTACCACTCTAAATGTGGTTAAAAAGAACAACTTTCAAATTGATTGTAAGTGGAAATAATAGGTCTTTATAATTTGTCTATAATATAAAGGACTCTAGATAAAACCGTTAAATCTCTCCCATGACTTACGTATAAAGTGCTGCTTTCATTTCACAAGGAAATTATTGATTTCAATTAGTTCTCTTTATACTAGAAATCATCTGGTATTAATTTAAAAATTTTTGAGATGTCTGTGGAATAAGCAAATGAGACAACAAAAAGCTATGTTTTAAAAAATAAAACTTTCTGATATATACAAAATTAATATTCTTTTGGGGAAAATTCAAAATATAGAAAATTATTGCTTAAGTCCCTGCAAAATTCTATCACCCAGAGATAAACATAGTTAACATTTCTTTTTGTGAGCATTCTCTAGAGATAATGCTTTTTTTCATATTCTTGGGCAAGTTATTCAGTCTTTCACTGTGTAAGCATATTTTTCCTCTTCTATAAAATGGGAATAAAAATGATACTTGTCACCTAGGGTTGGAGATTTAATGAGTTAATATGTATAAAATGTGTAACTTAGTACCTGAAAATAGTTAATAAAGATTTACTGACAAGGCATGGTGGCTCATACCTGTAATCCCAACCAACATATTGGGAGGCTGAAGTGGGAGGATCACTTGAGGCCAGGAGTTTGAGACCAGACTGGGCTACATAAGGAGACCCTGTCTCTACAAAACATTTTTTAAAAATTAGCTGGGCATGGTGATGCACATCTGTAGTTCTACCTATTTGGGAGGCTGAGGTGGGATGGGTGACAAAGTGAGACCTTGCTCTAAAAAATATAAGCTAATATTATAATCACCATATGCACGTATTTATAACTAGCAGGTATATTATTTCCAAAAATGAGGTAAAACTATACATATTACTTTTTAATCTTTCTTCACCTAGTAATATGTTGAGGTCATGTTTCCATGTCAGTAAACAGGGACCTATGATATTCTTTTAAATTGCTGCATAATATTCTATTATTCAAATGTAGTCAAAATTTTTAAAATTCTGGTGTTTATTTGATTTCCCTAACTGGTATATATTTGCACGTTTCCTTATACTAAGTTCTTAAAGGTGGAACACGGGTCAAACAATATAATTATCTTTGAAAGTTAGTGTTTTTAATGTAACAGCTAACAAAGCTTACTAAGAGGAGGAAGTGGAGCGATATGGCAGAATAGATGGCTCCACCAATGGTCTCCCCCAAAAGGACACCAATTTAACAACTATCTACACACAAAAAAGCACCTTAATAAGAACCAAAAAATCAGGTGAGAACACACAGTGCCTGGTTTTAACTTCGTATCACTGACAGAGGCACTGAAAATGTAGGAAAAACAGTCTCAGGTTGCTAACACCACCCTTCCTCCTTCCTCCAGCAGTGGCAGCATGGTGCAGAGAGAGAATCCGAGTGCTTGGGAGAGAGAAAGGACAGCAATTGTGAAACATTGCATCGAACTCAGTGCTGCCCTGTTATAGCAGAAAGCAAAAGGGATGAACTCAGCTGACACCTGTACACAGAGTATTTAGCCCAGCCCTAACCAGAGGGGAATTGCCCACCCCAGCAATTGAAACTTGAATTCCCACAAGCATCACTATTGTAGGCTAAAAGGCTTTTGGGCTCTAAATAAACTTGAAAAGCTGTCTAGGCCATAAGGACTGCAACTCCTAGGCAAGTCCTAGTGCTAAACTGGGCTTACAGCCAAGGGACTTGGGAGGGTGCGTGATCTACTGAGACACCAGTTGTGGTGGCTAGGGTAGTGCTGGCAGCACACTTCACCTAACCCCATGCAGCACAGCTTGCAGCTCCAAAAGAGACCCCTTCTTTCTGCTTGAGGAGAGGAGAGGGAAGAGTGGGGAGGACTTTGTCTTACAAAGACTTTGTCTTGCAAAGACAAAGATATGTAAACTTTTAGACAGGATTCAAAATAACTGTTTTGAGGAAACTCAACTAAATTCAAGGTAGCATAGAGAAGGTATTCAGAATTCTATCAGATAAATTTAACAAATAAATTAAAATAATTAAAAAGAATCAAGCAGAAATTCTGGAGCTGAAAAATGCAATTGACATACTGAAGAATGCATTAGAGTCTTAATAGCAGAATTAATCAAGCAGAAGAAAGAATTTGTGAGCTTGAAGACAGGTTATTTGAAAATACACAGTCAGAAGAAACAAAAGAAAAAATAATTAAAAAAAAAGCATGCCTACAGGATCTAGAAAATAGCCTCAAAAGGGCAAATTGAAGAGCTATTGGCCTTAAAGAGGAGGTAGAGAAAGAGATGGGGCAGAAAGTTTATTTAAAGTAATAATAACAGAGAACATCCCAAACCTAGAGAAAGATATCAATATCCAAGTATAACAAGGTTATAGAACGACAAGCAGATTTAATGCATAGAAGACTACCTCAAGGTATTTAATAATCAAACTTCCAAAGGTCAAGGATAAAGAAATCATCCTAAACGCAGCAAGAGAAAATAAATAACATACAATGGACCTTTGATACGTCTGGCAGCAGACTTTTCAGTTGAAACTTTACAGGCCAGGAGAGCATGGCATGACATATTTAAAGTGCTGAAGGGAAACAAAACAAAACTTTTACCCTGGAATAGTATATCTGGTGAAAATATCCTTCAAACATGAAGGAGAAATAAAAGACAAACAAAAGCTCAAGGATTTCATCAACATCAGACCTGTCATACTACAAATGCTAAAGGCAGTACTTTATTGAGAAAGAAAAAGATGTTAATGAGCAATAAGAAATCATCTGAAGGTACAAAACTCACTAGTAATAGCAAGTACACAGTTTTTAAACTACTCTTAAGTGTGGTGTATAAACTACTCTTAAGTAGAGCGACTCAACAATGAACCAATAAAAAATAATAACTACAGTAAGTTTTCAAGACATAGTACAATAAGATATAAATAGGAAAAACAAAAGGTTAAAAAGTGGGCAGATGAAGTTAAGGTGCAGAGTTATTAGTTTTCTTTTTGCTTGCTTGTTTGTTTATGCAAATAGTACCAAAAAAAGCAGGAATAGCTATAGTTATCGCAGAAAAAATAGGCTTCAAAACAAAAACTATAAGAAGGGATAAAGGTCACTATATAACAGTAAAGGGGGTCAATTTAGTAAGAGGATATAACAATTGTAAATATCTATGCACCCAACACTGGAACACCCAGATATTTAAAGAAAATAATATTAGAGCCAGAGAGCGAGAGAGGCCCCACTGCAATAAGAGCTGGGGACTTCAACACCTCACTTTCAGCATTGGACAGATCTTCTTCCAAACAGAAAATCAACAAAGAAACAGACTTAATCTGCACTACAAACCAAATGGAACTAATGGATATTTACAGAACATTTCATCCAATGGGTGCAGAATACACATTCTTCCTCAGCACTTGGATCATTCTGAAGGATAGACCATATGTTAGGTTACAAAATAAGTCTCAGAACATTCAAAAAATTGAAATAATATCAAGCATCTTCTCTGACCACAATGGAGTAAAGCTAGAAATCAATAATGAGGAATTTTGAAAACTACATAAATACATGGAAATTAAACAATATGCTCCTGAATGACCAGTGAGTCAATAAATTAAGAAGAAAATTGAAAAATTTATTGAAACAAATGATAATGGAAACACAACATACCAAAGCCTATGAGATATAGCAAAAGCAGTATGAAGAGAAGAGGTTATAAGTGTCTACATCAAAAAAGAAGAAAAACTTCAAATAAACCTAACAATGCATCTTAAAGAACTAGAAATGCAAGAGCAAATCAAAACCATAATTAGTAGAAGAAAAGAAATACTAAAGATCAGAGCAGAAATAAATGAATTCGAAATGACTAAAATCATACAAAATATCAATGAAAAAAATTGGTTTTTTGAAAAGTTAAACAAAATTGGCAAACCTTTAGTCAGGCTAACTAAGAAAAAATGACAGAAGACCCAAATAAATAAAATCAGAGATGAAAAAAAGACATTACAACTGATTCTGCAGAAATTCAAAGGATTATTAATGGCTACTATAAGCAACTATATGCCAATAAATTGGAAAACCTAGAAGAAATGGAGAACTTCTTAGATATGTACAACCAACTAAGACTGAACCATAAAGAAATTCAAAACCTGAACAGATCAATAATAAGTAATGAGATAGAAGCCATAATAAAAAGTCTTCCAGCCAGCAAAACAAGCCTGAGACTCAGTGGTTTCACTGCTGAATTCTATCAAACATTTAAAAAAAAAAAAGTAGCACTAATCCTACTCAAACCATTCTGAAAATTACAGGAGGAGGAGGAAATTCTTCCAAATTAATTCTATGAGTCCAATATTACCCTGATAACAAAGCCAGACAAAGACACATCCAAAAATACAAATAAAGAACCCATAGGCCATTATCTCTAATGAATATTGATGCAAAAATCCTCAACAAAATACTAGCAAACAAAATTCAACAACACTTAAAAAGATCATTCATCATGACAAGTGGGATTTATCCCCGACATGCAAGGATGGTTCAACATAGGCAAAACAACCAATATGACACATCATATCAACAGAGTGAAGGGCAAAAGCCATGTGATCATTTTAATTGATGCTGAAAAACATTTGATAACATTCAACATCCCTTCATAATAAAAACCCTGAAAAAACTGGGTATAGAAGAAACATACCTCAACATAATAAAAACCATATACAACAGACTCACAACTAGTATCCTACTGAATGGGGAAAACCTGAAAGCCTTTCCTGTAAGATCTGGAACATGGAAAGTTTGTCCATTGACACCACCGCTATTCAAACATAGTACTGGAGGTCCCACCTAGAGCAATCAGACAAGAGAAAGAAATAAAGGGCATCCAAATTGGAAAGGAAGAAGCCAAATTTTCCTTGTTTGCAGATAATATAATCTTACATTTGGAAAAACCTGAAGTCCTCACCAGAAAACTATTAGAACTGAATAAACAAACTCAGTAAAGTTTCAGGATACAAAATCAACATACAAATATTAGTGGCATTTCTATATGCCAACTATGAACAATCTGGAAAAACCACTCAAAAGATCAATGAATCCAGGAATTAGTTTTTTGAAAAAAAAATAAAATAGACCACTAGCTATACTAATTAAGAAGGAAAGAGAAAAATATAAAAAACACAATTATGAATGGTGAAGGGAATGTTACTACTGACCCCACAGAAATAAAAACAACTATTAGAAACTACAAACACCTGTATGCACACAAACTAGAAAACCTAGAAGAGATCGGTAAATCCATGGACACATACTCCCTCCCAAGACTGAGCCAATAACAAGCTCCAAAATTGAATCAGTAATAAATAGCCTACCAACTAACAAAAACAAACAGACAAACACAAACAAAAACAAAACAAAAACAAAAACAAAAACCCAGGACCTGATGGATTCACAGGCAAATTCTACTAGATGTACAAAGAAGAGCTGGTACCATTCCTACAGCAACTATTCCAGAAAACTGAGGAGGAGAGACTTCTCACCAGCTCATTCTATAAGGCCAGCATCATCTTGATACAAAACCTGGCAGAGACTTCACGCCAATATCCTTGATGAACATCAGTGCAAAATCCTCAACAAAATACTTGCAAACTGAATCTAGCAGCACAACAAAAAGCTAATCCACCATGATCAAGTAGGCTTCATCCCTGGGATGGAAGGTTGATTCAACATATGCAAATCAATAAATGTGATTAATCATAAACAGAACTAAAGACAAAAACTACATGATTATCTCAATAGATGCAGAAAAAGCTTTTGATAAAATTCAACATCCCCCTATGTTAAATACTCTCAATAACTTGGTAGTAAAGGAGCATACCTCAAAATATAAGTTATCTATCGCAAACCTATAGCCGACATTATATTGAATGGGCAAAAGCTGGAAACATTCCCCTTGAAAGCTGGCACAAGACAAGGATGCCCTCTCACCACTTCTGTTCAACATAGTATTAGAAGTCCTAGTCAGGGCAATCAGGCAAGAGAAAGAAACAAAGGGCATCCAAATAGGAAGGGAGGAAGTCAAACTATCTCTGTTCACAGATGACATAATTCTATATCTAGAAAACCCCATAATCTCACCCCAAAAGCTCCTTCAGCTGATAAACAACTTCAGCAAATTTGCAGGCTACAAAATTAATGTACAAAAATCACTAGCATTCCTAAACACCAACAATCAGAGAGCCAAATCAGAAAGGCAACCCCATTCACAACTGCCATTAAAAAAATAGCTAGGAATACAGCTAACAAGGGAGGTGAAAGATCTGTACAATGAGAACTATAAAGCACTGCTCAAAGAAATCAGAGGTGACACAGACAAGTGGAAAAAACATTCCATGCTCATGGATAGGAAGAATCAATATAGTTAAAATGGCCATACTGCCCGAAGCAATTTAAAGATTCAATGCTAGTCTCATTAAACTACCAATGACATTCTTCACAGAATTAGAGAAAACTATTTTAAAATTCATATGGAACCAAAAATAAGCCTGAATAGCCAAGGCAATTCTAAGCCAAAAAACACAAAGCTGTAGGCATCACGCCACCCAAGTTCAGATTATACTACAGGGCTACAGTAACCAAAACAGCATGGTACTGATACAACAACAGACACATAGACCAATGGAACAGAATAGAGAACCCAGTAATAAGACCACACACCTACCACTATTTGATCTTTGACAGAGCTGAGAAAAACAAGCAATGGGAACAGGATTTTCTATTCAATAAATGGTGCTGGGATAACTGGCTAGCCATATGCAGAAAATTGAAACTGGACCCCTCCTTACTCCATATACAAAAGTTAAGTCGAGATGGATTAAACACTCAAATGTAAGACCCAAAACTATAGAAAGCCTGGAAGACAACCTAGGCAATATCATTCAGGACATTGGCATGGACAAAGAGTTCATGACGAAGACACCGAAAACAATTGTAACAAAAAGAAATATTGACAAAGGGGATCTAATTAAACTTAAGAGCTTCTGTACAGTGAAAACCTATCAACAGAGGAAACAGACAACCTACAGAATGCAAGAAAATATTTGCAAATTATGTACCTGACAAAGGTCTCATATCCAGAATCTATGAGGAACTTAAATTTGCAAGAAACAACCCTATTAAAAAGTGGGCAAAGGATATGACCAGACACTTCTCAAGAAAAGACATACATGCGACTAACATCATATGAAAAAAACCTCAGCATCACTGATTATTAGAGAAACGTAAATCAAAACCACTATGAGATACCATCTCACACCAGTCAGAATGGCTACTGATAAAAAGTCAATAAATAACAAATGCTAGCGAGGTTGTAAAGAAAAGGGAATGCATATAAACTCTTGGTGGGAGTGTAAATTAGCTCAACCATTGTGGAAGATCGTGTGGCAATTTCTCAGAGACGTAAAGACAGAAATACCATTTGACCCAGGAAGCCCATTACTGGGTATATACCCAGAGGAATATAAATTGTTCTATTACAAAGACACATGCATGCATATGTTCATTGCAGCACTACTCACAATAGCAAAGAAAAGGAATCAACTTAAATACCCATCAGAGATAGACTGGATAAAGAAAATGTGGTACATACACACCAAGAAATACTGTGCAGCCATAAAAAAGAATGAGATCCTGTCCTCTGCAAGGACATGAGTGGAGCTGGAAGCTATTATCCTTAACAAACTAATGCAGGAAGAGAAAACCAAATATGGCATGTTCTCACTTATAAGTGGAAATTAAATGATGAGAACACATGGACACATAAAGGGGAACAACACACACTGGGGCCTATTGGAGGGTGTAAGGTGGAAGGAGAGAGAGGATCAGGAAAAATAGCTAATGGATACTAAGCTTAATACCTAAGTGATGAAATAATCTGTACAACAAAACCCCATTACATACACTTACCTGTGTGACAAACCTGCACATCCTGCACATGTACCCCTGAACTTAAAATAAAAAGTTAAAAATTAAATAGATATAAAAACAACTAGATTATATGCAAGGAGCTCAAACAACTCTATAGGAAAAAAAATCTAATAATTCAATTAAAATATGGGCAAAATCTCTCAATAGACATTTCTCAGAAGAAGACATACAAATGGCAAACAGGTATATGAAATGGTGCTCAAAATCATTGATTTTCAGAGAAATGCAAATCAAAACTACATTGAGATATCATCTCACCTCAGTTAGAATTGCTTTTATCTGAAAGTTAAGCAATAACAAATACTGGCTAGGATGTGGAGAAAAGGAATCCTTGTACACTGTTGATGAGAATGTAAATTCATACAACCACTATGGAGAACAGTTTGCAGGCTCCTCAAAAAACTAAAAATAGAGGTACCATATAATCCAGCAATGCCACTCTTAGGTATATACCCAAAAGAAAGGAAATCACTACGTCAAAGAGATATCTGCACTGCCATGTTTATGGCAGCACTATTCACAATAGCCAAAATGGGGGACAACCTAAGTACCCATCAACAGGCGAATGGATAAAGAAAATGTGGTACATATACAGAAAGGAATACCATTCATTCAGCCATGAAAAAGAATGAGATTCTGTCATTTGAAATGACATGGATGGAACTAGAGGTCTTTATGTTAAATGAAATAAGCCAGGCACAGTGTATTAGTCCGTTCTCATGCTGCTATAAGGACATACCTGAGACTGGGTAATTTATAAAGGAAAGAGGTTTAATTGACTCACAGTTCTGCAGGGCTGGGGAAGCCTCAGGAAATTACAATCATGGTGGATGGGGAAACAAACATATCCTTCTTTACATGGCAGCAGCAAGAAGAAGTGCAGAGCAAAGGTTTTTATAAGGGTTTTTATAAAACCATCAGATCTCATGAGAACGCACTATCACAAGAACAGCGTGGAAGTAACTGCCTCCATGATTCAATTACCTCCCAGTGGGTTCCTCCCACATGCGGGGATTATGAGAACTACAGTTCAAGACGAGATTTGGGTGGGGACACAGCCAAACCATACCACACAAAAAGAAAAACATCACATGTTCTCACTTATCTGTGGGTGCTCAAAATTAAAACAATTGAACTCATGGAGATAGAGAGTGAAAAGGTGGTTACCTGAGGCTGGGAAGGGTAGTGAGGGTGGGAGGTTAGGAGGGATGGTTAATGAGTCCAAAATTAGTTAGAATAAATAAGACCTAGTATTTGCCAGCATAACAGGGTGACTATAGTAAAAAATAATTTAAATATGCTTTTAAAAATAATTAAAAGGGTATTATTGGATTGTTTGAAACACAAAGGATAAATACTTGAGGTGATGGATACCCCATTTACTCTGATATAATTATTACATATTGCATGCCTGTATAAAAATATCTCATGTAACTCATATAATATATATCTACTATGTACCCACAACAAATAATGCAAATGCAATTAATAAAAAAGAAGCTGATTAAAAAATGCAATTTAATAATCGTATTTGATAGAGAAATGAAAAAAACTTGGTATTTGATTGTAGTCATAAGTAGTTGTAAGCACCAGCTTTCAGGAAGCTTATCAAATTCAAATTCAAGACTCACTAGTTGTGTGACCTTGTACAAGTTTTTAACCACTCTGCCTCAGTTTCCCTGTCTGTAAAATAGAAATAAAAAAATCTACTTTCTGGGTTATTTTAGTAATTAAATAGGTAACACAAACAAAATACTAAGAATAGTGACTAGCTTATAGTAAAAGCTCAGTAAATATTGTTTAACTTTTTTTATATAGGAAAGTGAGATAGCAGAGAGTACTTGTCAACTGAAATGGAACTTTATGTAACTTAGAAGTAATACAAATTTTCACAGGTTTCCCCAAAAGAACTATTAAACAACATTTCAATCCATTAAAAAAATTTTTCTCTCTCTCTTTCATGACATATATGCTGATATAGAATCACTTTCTTGGGCAATAGAGGACCAAATCATCTGAGTTAAACAGCTTCCTGAGCTGCTACTTCCCAGGGTGCTATGAATTCTGTCAAGTTATTTGCACTTAATTGCTTTAAACCCTAAGGCATTAACAGAAATCTTTCTTTTACTTTATCCAATGCTTGGCAATAGGATATAAAAGAAAACAATATAGTCATACATCGCTTAATGATGTCCCTTAGCATTACTTAACTACAAGAAGTTTTGAGATGTGTTGTTAGGTGATTTTGTCATTGTGTGAACATCATAGAGTGTACTTATGCAAACAGATGGTATAGCTTACTACACCCTAGGCTATTTGGTATGGCCTATTACTCCAAGGCCTCAAACCTGTACAGCATGTTACTGTACTGAATACTGTAGGCAATTGTAACATAATGGTAAGTATTTGTGCATCTAAACATGTAAACATAGAAAAGGTACAGTAAAAAATCATATAAAAGATGGTATGTCTGTATAGGGCAACCCTCTGTCATATATGGAGGCTGATGTTGACCAAAATGTTATGCGGGGTATGACTGTATTTTTAAAACATTGAAAAATACCAACTAAAACAACTTATTTTATATTGTTCTATAAAACAGCTTTAGTTCATTTCCAGCACTTACCCTATTAATAAGGTATGGTGTTCAACAAAGGGATGTAGTTAAAGTGAGGTGTAGGTTTTAATTAAATTTCTTTGGAAAATTTTTAAATATATTTTGCTATTTGGTTCAGCCTTCTTACAGACTCTCTCAATTCATGTCTTCCACTAATCATGCGGACTATTATAAAAGAAAAAGCAGAATTTGACCTTTGTGTTTACATGGCTTTCCAGACAAAAGTAATTTGCCAGAAACAGCTAAGACCCATACTGAATGTCATGAGAACTTTTAGTTCACCACAAAATGAGAACTGCCGGATGTCCTCTTTTAACACATTAAGATTTTCTCACGTACCTTGTATAGCCTTTACCTTGCTGGACTTGTTTGATTATGATTGGCTACAACTGCCAGCATAGTAAGTAAGAGATAATTGTGAGCATTAAGTCCCTGGTGCATGCTAGGCTGTGGCTGTGAGCATAGGGCAGGGAATTTGCACTGCTCATCAGGCCTGCCTGGGCTACACCACACTTGCAGTCGTAAGGGAAAGTTGATTTATGAAAGACTGTGGAAACTCCAATGATATAACTTCTAGGAAGTCTTCCTTTGCCCTTCAGGTAAAATTCTTAGTACAGACAGTGGATAATAGAGCATAGAACCACTCCATATCCATGTTTGAGATCATACCCAGTGCCTTCCTTAAATCCACCCTCAAAGAACAGCACCAAACTCATTATATATATATATATATTTGTTGTTGTTGTTGTTGTTGTTGTTGTTCACAACATGTTTCTGTTCTTCACCTCTGACCTGGTCCCCCCACTTGATGGCAGGGCCTCTTTTCACTCATCTTTCTTTCTCAGTAATATTTATTCAATGAAAGTCTCTGCCCATTGAATTAGGGCTGTGATTTGCCAAGCAAGTTACTTGTTTAAAGTGGTGTTTAACATGGTTTTTAAAAATTATTTTTAACAAATACTGTGTAGTAGAAATAGTGTGTTTTTCCCACTATATTTATTGGGATCAAGAAAGTGGGGAGGGGGATACAGCAGACTCAACTGATAGCAGTAATTTAAGTATGCCCTGAGAATGCAGATTCACCTGATCCGTATCAACTTTATGCTTTTTACAAATGGGAGTGGCTCTCTTGTCAAGCCCACTGCCACTGGACCATCTCTATGTCTTTTTACAAATGGTGGCAGTTCTCCTGTTCATCTCACAACCACTGGACCATCCCTGTATGTAAGTCCTCAGTAAATCCTATGTCTTGTTTGCTGACTGTGGGTCTCTTCTTTGGCCTCCTGGACATGGTGCCATCTCTGCTGAAGTCTATAGGGATTTCTCAGGACAATTGGTGAGCCAGGCAGGAGGTGGAGAAAACCCCAAGAGTGCAGAGATGACGGGATTAGGGAAGGGGTAATCCCTGGGGAAAATCCAGGCTGGCTGTCCACTTCAATGTGGGGCCTGATAGCCACCATCCCTGATGGATGGGGCCCACCATGTGGACACCCTGAAAAGGCTGGAGTCTGGAAGAGTTGTTGCAGGGGACAGATCTAATTGAGCGAAGGTCAGATTCCGAGTTGACTGGTCATTCCTGACTGCGCTGCAAGCTGAGGCTGAGCTCACAGTGCAGCCAAGAGTTCATCACTTGTTAAATGAGTTTTGACAAGATAGAGGTGCCAGATTAGTTCAGGCTGTAACACTGGAGATGTTACTGTCCTGCCTGAGGGAACAGGATGGCAAAATGGAGACCCTAGCTTATTGGCTAGTGTGTTTGAAGGGTCACCAACTCCCATGCCAACAAGATGAGGCTATGATGACTTAAATCGTCCTGGGACCCTAAGTCCTGGGACCCAATGGAGAGCTCTAGTGGGGAGGAGAGTGAGGTCTGGGAGGTGCCTAAAGAGGTTCCTGTTCTCTCTGCCCACCCGTGGTCACTACTGGAAAGGAGGCAACCTGGCCACACCCACAGGGAGTAGATCAGTAAAACTTGCCCCATCCTGAAAGACTGTACACTGCTGTGGAGCTGGTGGAGGTAAGAAGTGGGTTCAGGCAGTGGAGGAGGGAGTTGATCGCGGGGTGGCTTCTCCATCTGTGGGACATGGGGGCAGAGGGTAGTGTACTCTCTTGATTTGAGATGAGTAAAATGGCACCTATCATAGACCACTTGGCCCTGAGGCAGGGCCTCTATAGTGCTGAAAATGAGGATCGGGCCAGCCCCTTCCTCAGTTGGGTAGTTGTGGGTTACAAGGCAGCCTGGCCAAATGAGGTGAATGTCCCCACATCTCCTTTGCTATGGCAGACTATGGCGGAATTGCAGTACATCCCCTGGGAATTAGTGGGGAAGCATATTATCTATACTGACCGTTGCTGAGGTCCCGACAATGAGCTTTTCACTGCTGGCATGAAAGAGCCATCTTAAAGTCAGCACCCAACCAATGGTATGGTGCATGGGTACCCAACCTGAGCCCCTTGGTAGGACAGTCAGTGTCTAGAGCAGCCCTAGTGACCTCTGACTTAGGAGAGATGGAGAAACTCTATGGGCAATGGCGCTTTTGCATTTGGTTGCAAGGCTTCTCTGCATACCTGGCCCCAGGGAAATTGCAGAAAAATGGAGTGAGAGGAATGTGAGGGCCATTCAAGGGTATGCTGGGATGGAGTATCTGGCAGATGCACCTGACAGCAGTAGTTTAGCTTAAGCATACCCCGAGAATGCAGATGCACCTGATCTATATAAACCACATGCTTTTTACAAATGGTGGCAGTTCTCCTGTTCAGCTCACAACCACTGGACCATCCCTGTATGTAAGTCCTCAGTAAATCCTATGTCTTGTTTGCTGACTGTGGGTCTCTTCTTCAGCCTCTTGGACCTGGTGCCATTTCTGTTGAAGTTGATAGGGGTCCAGCACGACAGCGGTATTATTTAATGTTCTTGTGGCTTTGAACCATAATTTTACTTTCTGGAGTAATGCCACAAATCGTGATAGCCCTAATTTAATATTTGATGGTATTCCCTTCTTCCTACTTTCTCCAGGGAGGAGAACCTTTCATCAGGATAGATTTACATTCCTTTCTGTTCACCTGGGAGTTATTTCAGTTTCTACCTGGGAATTATTTCAAATACTTTCCCTCATTTCTCACCCGCTGCCATGCTGATGACCAGATCATTTTGGCTGAAAGCAGGCAAATATGCTTTAATTTAGGCATTTGCTGACTGTAGAATGGTCTAAAAATGATCTCACATTTCTACCAGCTGAATCTGCAAAGCGGATATAAATCAGCAGGAAGGCTGTGTGGATCTCTGATGGACCCCACAGGAATTCTGGGATTCAATGAGCTATAAAGATGGTTCACAAAAACGCAGAGAACCAAAGGAGTCTTCTTCCATGCTTTTCTAATAATTCCCTGTGTCCTCCTCACCCAAATGTTTTTGCACTCACATGAACATTTCAAAAATCTAAAACCAACATGAATTCTATGCAAGATAAATACAGAGCTTGCAATTGGAAATGATCTCAGAACTGCTGTAATCTATTTTGTTCAAGCAGAAATAAATCTTAATCATACAACTATTTCATAGACTCATTCATTCATCTGTGTTTGATGATTTTTAAATAAGAAAATCCCTGGCTTTCCTGTGGAATTATTTTAGGTACAATCTCTGGGCTATGCATGTGACTTACCAGAGAAACAGAGAAGCAGACAGATTTCCTGTTTAACATTCCAGGCCTAACCATTTCAAAAGGAAAGAAGGGGAAAATTAGACATGACAGCATACTATAATGGCCTTTCATTGTTCCTCTTTGTCTGCGAAATTCCAAGGAAAAGAATTTACCTTGACTAAACTTTGGGAAATTTATCCATCTGTTTGTTTTCCGACTCAGCATGGATGAGCCTTCTGTGTACAGGATACTGTGGCCAGAATTGGTGAACTGGTACTTATTCATGCATTCCTTTATTCAGCAAACATTTACAAAGACTCTTCTATAAATCAAACACTGTAGGCTGGAAGTTTTTAAAATTTAAAATTTAAATTTTTTTCAATTGAGCTCTCATTCTAGTATTAGAGGTTTAAATAAATTGTTATATTGCAGTGCTAGCAAAGTGAAGAGAATTATTAAATGCACCTCCTTCCGTTCAGGTCAGAGAAGTCAGAAATGAAATTTTTGTCTGTTGAAGAATGATGAGGTATCTATGGGATGGGAAACAAGGTGGGGTATGAAAGGAAATATGTGAAATACATATCTCTGTTCACGTAGAACTTCTGGAAGTGTTGGAAAGCAGACAGCTATTGAACAGAAAAGTTCACACAAAAAATGTTATTTCAATATCAAATAGACAATTATATTAGATACAACAGTATCAAAGTTATAACTAATTAGGATCTATCCAGATTAGCCCCTCCTTTAAAGATGGAGAAGCTGGGGCTATGCGATGATGGAATGAGCTGCGTGAGGTCACCCAGCTGGCAGGAAGTGGGAGCGGGTAATAGAACTAGGGTCCAAGTCTGCGATTTCAGATGCTGAATAAAACTCGATTTAACAGCATCTTATCTAATCTCTTTCCCTTTATTAGTTAGAACAAATCAAGGCTGTGTAATATACTTAATGTTATTCCCTCTATTTTTTACAACCAATTCAGGAGCCTGATAAACAGAAAAGGCTCTATATACAATCATTATTTGGAGCACTCATACAAGAAAGCCACTCGAAACAAAAAATCTCCACGCTGATTAAAAGGGTTTTGTATTCATGTGTGCTTAGAAACACAGGCATAATAATAACAATATTTTATGTACGAATAACATCTTACACTTTACAAAGTGCTTTCACAAGCATCATATATTTTTCTTCCATGTCAACTGTGTGGGGTAGCTATTATGGCTCCATTGTACAAATTAGGAAATTGCAAGTTAGAGTTTGTGACTTAATGCCACACAGGTAATAAGTGGCAAAGCCAGAGTTCAAATCCTTGTTTCCCCACTATACTTTCAGTATTCTTGCTTCTCTAATACACAGAATAGGCAATAGATGCCATGCAGCTTCCCATGTCAGCCTGGTATTTCAGTAATACTTGTGGTAACCTAGACTTTCCTGGGAGCTTTCATGGACACAAAGCAGTTTAGGTAGCTGTGTCCCACCTTCAACAGCACACAATCTATCTGAGGAAGATGTGACTGAAATGAACAAAATGAGGCATAATACAAGATAGATTTCAATAAAAATCTAAATTTTTGCTGGCTTTAAGGGCAAGTGTTCCCCAGAAGCCAAATTACATTAAGAAATAAAAGTCTATTGGTGATTTATTTTGGAAACCACCAAACCAAACTATCATCAATTTACACTATACTACTTAATTTATTTAATGCAATTTATATGCATTAATGATGCACTAATAATCTGGAAAAATGTAATTACAGAAGATCAAGAATAATAGTACTATAATGCCAAATGCCAGGTTGTGCAAAAAAATTTATGTCCTTCTTAAATTCCAACAAGGGAATAATACTATCTAGTTTTCTTAATGGATGAAAAACAGCCTTGTCGCAGATGGAGTTTTCAAAACCCTTTCCCGGTAGAAGCATCAATCCTTTGATGCTACCGGGAAATTCACTCTGTACCACCAGGCCAATTAAAACAGCTGCACAGCAGTTAGCTGCAGGGAGGATTTCATGCTCCAAAAAGACTGCCAAAATTCCAACCCAGATAACTGGGACCTGAAAACTTTGCATTCCATTATTGATGTTTTTTTAAGTAGATAGCAAAATGTGGGAAATACCTTTTAAATAATCAGCTCCATACTCATTTTTTTGAGTAATTTGACCTTTTAAAATACTGCTGAAAGATGATTTATATTTTGCAAAGGTGTATCATTATTTTATAGATCTGTTTTCCTTGTTGATCCACATTTTGCTATTTTTATACCTTCACTTTTCCATATGCTTTGTCTTGAGTAATGGCTAATTGTGTTGCTGCCTGTGGAAATAACAAAGATAAGATGTAAACGGTTGCTTCCTTAACAAAGGACTTGATTACATCTAAATTACTTTTAAGGTAGTATTTTTACTATCTACTATTATTTAATATCACATTGGAAACCCTTGGTACTCCTGACTTTGGTAACATTTTACTCCATTTTATTGACAGCAACACAATAGACTATGTTAAATTTCTAACTACGGAAGACTTTGGCACAGTGGTGCTTAAACTGGCCACATATTGTAATCACCTGGGAGATTAAGAAAAACAGTGTCAAAGAAAGTAATTAGGTTATTAGGCTGAGTGCTTTGGGTTCCCACCTAAGCAAAACTAAACACAATTTGGTGTAAACAGTAAAATGAAACTTAAGCTTATCCAATCAGAACTGCCAATTAACATCTAATTAGAGAATCTACCAATCAGAAACCACGAAACCACAAACTAACCTCTAACTAGAAATTTTATCAATAAGAAACTGCCAACTAATCTCCAACTAGGGATGTTCTGCTTTAACCAATTAAATATTTTCTGTCTTACTTCTGGAAATACCTTATAAAAGTTTTTCCCGATTCCTACCTGGTTAGAGCCCACACCACTTGTGATTTGGGGCTGCCTGATTTATGAATCACTGTTGGCTCAAATAAACTCTTTAAAATTTTTGTGTGCCTAAGTTTACTTTTTAACAATATTGGTGCCTGAGTCTCACCCATCACCCGTAATTTGTAAATCAGTGGGTCTGGGGTGCTAGCTTGGTATTCATATGTTTAAAAACTTCCAGGGGATTCTAACATGCAGATACGCTTAGGGAGGTACAATTTGGACTAGAGGAAATCACTCTAAAAGCTAAGCAGAAGTGACTTTTTTCTTAGACAGAAGGTCTCACTCTGACACCCAGGCTGTAGTGCAGTGACATAGCCATAGCTCACTGTAACTTCAAACTCCTGGACTCAAGCGATCCTCCTACCTCAGCCTCCCAAAGTGCTGGGCTTATCAGCACGAGCCACCATGTCCTACCGGAAGTGACTTTTTAAGAAATTGTGAATTAAATCGTTAGTTAAAAATTAGTAATATTATGGCCAGCATGAAAATAAGACTCTTGTTAATGAAATCCAAGTATTATGCTACTTGTAGGTAGTGATGTGTTAGTAAATGTTTAAAACCAGCTCCCTAAGAAACAAAGCTCTGTTTAGTTGTGTTTGTCTGTTTCTCTGGTTGTGTTTGTCTGTTTCTCCCATCATAGATGATTTCAAGCTACCAATGGTTTTACAACTGACTTGCCAAGTTTCTGAAAATTTAACTCTTAAGCCAATTTTAGCCAGCTTCATTGTACTACTGCATCTAAGAGAACTAGATCAGGCATGCCAATTATCACCTGATTAATATTAGTTATTTATCCTTTGGAGATAAAATGCATTTATTTAGGCCTCACTTAGGTTAGAGAAGATAATCATCAATTCCCGTTTTTTGAAGTTGCTTAGACTAGCAGTATTGTTAGTCTGTCTAGGATTAATTTTAACAAGTTTCTTGATTGTTTTTATCTTTGTGAAAATAATATTCTTAATAAATTTAGTCACTTGGTATGCAAATCACTTAAAACATCAACAGCTCTGAAATCTTGTGATGTTCTCTTCATTTTGAGGTATAATAAAATGTTCTACTTGAACATCATATATATTACTAGATAAATGATAATAAAAAGACATTTCTATAATGCTTTTTCTGTGCTAAGAACTGTTCTAAGCACTTTACATATATTAACTTAAAGTTAATAAATGTTTAACTTATAAGTTAAATATAAGTTAACTTAAACATGTTAGACATATAAGTTAAATATGTCTAACTGATATTTAACATAGAAGTTAAAATAAATATTAACTTATTTTTTACAGCTCTTTGAGATATATTCTATTGTCCCCATGTTTACAGAGGAAGGAACTGGGGGTGAGAGAAGTTATGTAACTTGCCAGTGACACACAGCTAGTAAGTAGCATATTGGAATTAGAACTAGACAGTCTGTGTTTTTTTAAAAAAAAAATTTTAATTTTTTTATTTCAATAGGTTTTTGAGAACCGTCAGTGGTTTGGTTACATGAGTAAGTTTTTAAGTGGTGATTTCTGAGATTTTGGTGGATGTATCACCCAAGCCGTGTACACTGTACTCAATGTGTAGTCTTTTATTCCTCCCCATACCCCACCCTTTCCCCCAAATCCCCAAAGTCCAATGTATCATTCTTATGCCTTTGCATCGTCATAGCTTAGCTCCCACATATGAATGAGAATCATATGAATTCTGATTCTCAATCATATGAATGAGAATACAATGTTTGGTTTTCCATTCTTGAGTTACTTCACTTAGAATAACAGTCTCCAGGGGGGAGGAGCCAAGATGGCCGAATAGGAACAGCTCCTGTCTACAGCTCCCAGCGTGAGCGACACAGAAGACGGATGATTTCTGCATTTCCAACTGAGGTACCGGGTTCATCTCACTAGGGAGTGCCAGACAGTGGGCGCAGGTCAGTGGGTGCGCGCACCGTATGCGAGCCGAAGCAGGGCAAGGCATTGTCTCACTTGGGAAGCGCAAGGGGTCAGGGAGTTCCCTTTCTGAGTCAAAGAAAGGGGTGACAGAGGGCACCTGGAAAATCGGGTCACTCCCACCCGAATACTGCGCTTTTCCGACGGGCTTAAAAAACAGCGCACCACGAGAGTATATCCCGCACCTGGCTCGGAGGGTCCTATACCCACGGAGTCTCGCTGATTGCTAGCACAGCAGTCTGAGATCAAACTGCAAGGCGGCAGCGAGGCTGGGGGAGGGGCGCCCGCCATCGCCCAGGCTTGATTAGGTAAACAAAGCAGCCGGGAAGCTCCAACTGGGTGGAGCCCACCACAGCTCAAGGAGGCCTGCCTGCCTCTGTAGGCTCCACCTCTGGGGGCAGGGCACAGACAAACAAAAAGACAGCAGTAACCTCTGCAGACTTAAATGTCCCTGTCTGACAGCTTTGAAGAGAGCAGTGGTTCTCCCAGCACGCAGCTGGAGATCTGAGAACAGGCAGACTGCCTCCTCAAGTGGGTCCCTGACCCCCGAGCAGCCTAACTGGGAGGCACCCCCCAGCAGGAGCACACTGACACCTCACACGGCAGGGTACTCCAACAGACCTGCAGCTGAGGGTCCTGTCTGTTAGAAGGAAAACTAACAAACAGAAAGGACATCCACACCAAAAACCCATCTGTACATCACCATCATCAAAGACCAAAAGTAGATAAAACTACAAAGATGGGGAAAAAACAGAACAGAAAAACTGGAAACTCTAAAAAGCAGAGCGCCTCTCCTCCTCCAAAGGAACGCAGCTCCTCACCAGCAACGGAACAAAGCTGAATGGAGAATGACTTTGACGAGCTGAGAGAAGAAGGCTTCAGACGATCAAATTACTCTGAGCTACAGGAGGACGTTCAAACCAAAGGCAAAGAAGTTGAAAACTTTGAAAAAAATTTAGAAGAATGTATAACTAGAATAACCAATACAGAGAAGTGCTTAAAGGAGCTGATGGAGCTGAAGACCAAGGCTCGAGAACTACGTGAAGAATGCAGAAGCCTCAGGAGCCGATGCAATCAACTGGAAGAAAGGGTATCAGCAATGGAAGATGAAATGAATGAAATGAAGCGAGAAGGGAAGTTTAGAGAAAAAAGAATAAAAAGAAATGAGCAAAGCCTCCAAGAAATATGGGACTATGTGAAAAGACCAAATCTACATCTGATTGGTGTACCTGAAAGTGATGGGGAGAATGGAACCAAGTTGGAAAACACTCTGCAGGATATTATCCAGGAGAACTTCCCCAATCTAGCAAGGCAGGCCAAGATTCACATTCAGGAAATACAGAGAACGCCACAAAGATACTCCTCGAGAAGAGCAACTCCAAGACACATAATTGTCAGATTCACCAAAGTTGAAATGAAGGAAAAAATGTTAAGGGCAGCCAGGGAGAAAGGTCGGGTTACCCTCAAAGGGAAGCCCATCAGACTAACAGCGGATCTCTCGGCAGAAACCCTACAAGCCAGAAGAGAGTGGGGGCCAATATTCAACATTCTTAAAGAAAAGAATTTTCAACCCAGAATTTCATATCCAGCCAAACTAAGCTTCATAAGTGAAGGAGAAATAAAATACTTTACAGACAAGCAAATGCTGAGAGATTTTGTCACCACCAGGCCTGCCCTAAAAGAGCTCCTGAAGGAAGCGCTAAACATGGAAAGGAACAACCGGTACCAGCCGCTGCAAAATCATGCCAAAATGTAAAGGCCATCGAGACTAGGAAGAAACTGCATCAACTAATGAGCAAAATCACCAGCTAACATCATAATGACAGGATCAAATTCACACATAACACTATTAACTTTAAATGTAAATGGACTAAATGCTCCAATTAAAAGACACAGACTGGCAAATTGGATAAAGAGTGAAGACCCATCAGTGTGCTGTATTCAGGAAACCCATCTCACATGCAGAGACACACATAGGCTCAAAATAAAAGGATGGAGGAAGATCTACCAAGCAAATGGAAAACAAAAAAAGGCAGGGGTTGCAATCCTAGTCTCTGATAAAACAGACTTTAAACCAACAAAGATCAAAAGAGACAAAGAAGGCCATTACATAGTGGTAAAGGGATCAATTCAACAAGAAGAGCTAACTATCCTAAATATATATGCACCCAATACAGGAGCACCAAGATTCATAAAGCAAGTCCTGAGTGACCTACAAAGAGACTTAGACTCCCACACATTAATAATGGGAGACTTTAACACCCCACTGTCAACATTAGACAGATCAATGAGACAGAAAGTCAACAAGGATACCGAGGAATTGAACTCAGCTCTGCACCAAGCGGACCTAATAGACATCTACAGAACTCTCCACCCCAAATCAACAGAATATACATTTTTTTCAGCACCACACCACACCTATTCCAAAATTGACCACATACTTGGAAGTAAAGCTCTCCTCAGCAAATGTAAAAGAACAGAAATTATAACAAACTATCTCTCAGACCACAGTGCAATCAAACTAGAACTCAGGATTAAGAATCTCACTCAAAACCGCTCAACTACATGGAAACTGAACAACCTGCTCCTGAATGACTACTGGGTACATAACAAAATGAAGGCAGAAATAAAGATGTTCTTTGAAACCAACGAGAACAAAGACACAACATACCAGAATCTCTGGGACGCATTCAAAGCAGTGTGTAGAGGGAAATTTATAGCACTAAATGCCCACAAGAGAAAGCAGGAAAGATCCAAAATTGACACCCTAACATCACAATTAAAAGAACTAGAAAAGCAAGAGCAAACACATTCAAAAGTTAGCAGAAGCCAAGAAATAACTAAAACCAGAGCAGAACTGAAGGAAATAGAGACACAAAAAACCCTTCAAAAAATTAATGAATCCAGGAGCTGGTTTTTTGAAAGGATCAACAAAATTGATAGACTGCTAGCAATACTAATAAAGAAAAAAAGAGAGAAGAATCAAATAGACGTAATAAAAAATGATAAGGGGGATATCACCACCGATCCCACAGAAATAGAAACTACCATCAGAGAATACTACAAACACCTCCACGCAAATAAACTAGAAAATCTAGAAGAAATGGATAAATTCCTCAACACATACACTCTCCCAAGACTAAACCAGGAAGAAATTGAATCTCTGAATAGACCAATAACAGGATCTGAAATTGTGGCAATAATCAATAGCTTACCAACCAAAAAGAGTCCAGGACCAGATGGATTCACAGCCGAATTCTACCAGAGGTACAAGGAGGAACTGGTACCATTCCTTCTGAAACTATTCAAATCAATAGAAAAAGAGGGAATCCTCCCTAACTCATTTTATGAGGCCAGCATCATTCTGATACCAAAGCCAGGCAGAGACACAACAAAAAAAAGAATTTTAGACCAATATCCTTGATGAGCACTGATGCAAAAATCCTCAATAAAATACTGGCAAAACGAATCCAGCAGCACATCAAAAATCTTATCCACCATGATCAAGTGGGCTTCATCCCTGGGATGCAAGGCTGGTTCAATATATGCAAATCAATAAATTTAATCCAGCATATAAACAGAGCCAAAGACAAAAACCACATGATTATCTCAATAGATGCAGAAAAAGCCTTTGACAAAATTCAACAACCCTTCATGCTAAAAACTCTCAATAAATTAGGTATTGATGGGATGTATCTCAAAATAATAAGAGCTATCTATGACAAACCCACAGCCAATATCATACTGAATGGGCAAAAACTGGAAGCATTCCCTTTGAAAACTGGTACAAGACAGGGATGCCCGCTCTCACCACTCCTATTCAACATAGTATTGGAAGTTCTGGCCAGGGCAATTAGGCAGGAGAAGGAAATAAAGGGTATTCAATTAGGAAAAGAGGAAGTCAAATTGTCCTTGTTTGCAGACGACATGATTGTATATCTAGAAAACCCCATTGTCTCAGCCCAAAATCTCCTTAAGCTGATAAGCAACTTTAGCAAAGTCTCAGGATACAAAATCAATGTACAAAAATCACAAGCATTCTTATACACCAACAACAGACAAACAGAGAGCCAAATCATGAGTGAACTCCCATTCACAATTGCTTCAAAGAGAATAAAACCTAGGAATCCAACTTACAAGGGACGTGAAGGACCTCTTCAAGAAGAACTACAAACCACTGCTCAAGGAAATAAAAGAGGATACAAACAAATGGAAGAACATTCCATGCTCATGGGTAGGAAGAATCAATATCGTGAAAATGGCCATACTGCCCAAGGTAATTTACAGATTCAATGCCATCCCCATCAAGGTACCAATGCCTTTCTTCACAGAATTGGAAAAAACTACTTGAAAGTTGATATGGAACCAAAAAGGAGCCCGCATCGCCAAATCAATCCTAAGCCAAAAGAACAAAGCTGGAGGCATCACACTACCTGACTTCAAAATATACTACAAGGCTACAGTAACCAAAACAGCTTGGTACTGGTACCAAAACAGAGATATAGATCAATGGAACAGAACAGAGCCCTCAGTAATAATGCCGCATATCTACAACTATCTGATCTTTGACAAACCTGAGAAAAACAAGCAATGGGGAAAGGATTCCCTATTTAATAAATGGTGCTGGGAAAACTGGCTAGCCATATGTAGAAAGCTGAAACTGGATCCCTTCCTTACACCTTATACAAAAATCAATTCAAGATCGATTAAAGACTTAAACGTTAGACCTAAAACCAAAAAAACCCTGGAAGAAAACCTAGGCATTACCATTCAGGACATAGGCATGGGCAGGGACTTCATGTCTAAAACACCAAAAGCAATGGCAACAAAAGACAAAATTGACAAATGGGATCTAATTAAACTAAAGAGCTTCTGCACAGCAAAAGAAACTACCATCAGAGTGAACAGGCAACCTACAAAATGGGAGAAAATTTTAACAACCTAGTCATCTGACAAAGGGCTAATATCCAGAATCTACAATGAACTCAAACAAATTTACAAGAAAAAAACAAACAACCCCATCAAAAAGTGGGCGAAGGACATGAACACACACTTCTCAAAAGAAGACATTTATGCAGCCAAAAAACACATGAAAAAATGCTCATCATCACTGGCCATCAGAGAAATGCAAATCAAAACCACAATGAGATACCATCTCACACCAGTTAGAATGGCAATCATTAAAAAGTCAGGAAACAACAGGTGCTGGAGAGGATGTGGAGAAATAGGAACACTTTTACACTGTTGGTTGGACTGTAAACTAGTTCAACCATTGTGAAAGTCAGTGTGGCGATTCCTCAGGGATCTAGAACTAGAAATACCATTTGACCCAGCCATCCCATTACTGGGTATATACCCAAAGGACTATAAATCATGCTGCTATAAAGACACATGCACACGTATGTTTATTGCAGCATTATTCACAATAGCAAAGACTTGGAACCAACCCAAATGTCCAACAATGATAGACTGGATTAAGAAAATGTGGCACATATATACCATGGAATACTATGCAGCCATAAAAAATGATGAGTTCATGTCCTTTGTAGGGACATGGATGAAATTGGAAATCATGATTCTCAGTAAACTATCGCAAAAACAAAAAACCAAACACCGCATATTCTCACTCAGGTGGGAATTGAACAATGAGAACACATGGACACAGGAAGGGGAACATCACACTCTGGGGACTGTTGTGGGGTGGGGGGTGGCGGGAGGGATAGCATTGGGAGATATACCTAATGCTAGATGACGAGTTAGTGGGTGCAGCGCACCAGCATGGCACATGTATACATATGTAACTAACCTGCACAATGTGCACATGTACCCTAAAACTTAAAGTATAACAATAATAAAAAAAAACAGTCTCCAATTCCATCCAGGTTGCTGTGAATGCCATTATTTCATTCCTTTTTATGGCTGAGTAGTATTCCATGGTACATATATATCATATTTTCTTTATCCACTCATTGATTGATGGGGATTAGGGCTGGTTCCATATTTTTGCAGTTGCAAATTGTGCTGGTATAAACGTGTGTGTAAGTAGCTTTTTCGTATAATGATTTTTTTTCCCTCTGGGTAGATACCTAGCAGTGGGATTGCTAAATCAAATGGTAGATCTACTTTTAGTTCTTTAAGGAATCTCCACACTGTTTTCCATAGTGGTTGTACTAATTTACATTCCCACCAACAATGTAAAAGTGTTGCCTTTCACTGCATCCATGCCAACATCTAATATTTTTTTTAAATTTTTTGATTATGGTCATTCTTATGGAAGATCTAGGATTCAAGGGCTGCTGTTCTTGCAGGAGTGAGGTAGTATTATTGCACTGTGGTTTTAATTTGCATTTCCCTGATAATTAGTGATGTTGAGCATTTTTTCCATATGCTTTTTGGCCATTTGTATATCTTCTTTTGAAAATTGTCTATTCATGTCCTTAGCTCACTTTTTGATGGGATTGTTTGTTTTTTTCTTGCTGATTTGTTTGATTTCTTTGTAGATTCTGGACATTAGTCCTTTGTCAGATGCACAGATTGTGAAGATTTTCTTCCACTCTGTGGGTTGTCTGTTAACTCTGCTGATTGTTTCTTTTGCTGTGCAGAAGCTTTTTCATCTCATTAAGTCCCATGTATTTATCTTTGTTTTTGTTGCATTTGCTTTCGAGTTCTTGGTCGTGAAGTCTTTGCCTAAGCGAATGTCTAGAAGGGTTTTTCCAATGTTATCTTCTAGAATCTTTATGGTTTCAGGTCTTAGATTTTTAAGTCTTTGATCCACGTTAAGTTGATTTTTTACATAAGGTGAGAGATGAGGATCCAGTTTCATTCTTTTACATATGGCTTTCCAGTGGTCTCAGCACCATCGGTTGAATAGGTTGTCCTTTCTCCACTTCATGTTTTTGTACACTTTGTTAAAAATCAGTTGGCTGTAAGTATTTGGTTTTATTTCTGAGTTCTCTATTCTGTTCCATTGGTCTATGTGCCTATTTTTATACCAGTACCATGTTGTTTTGGTGACTATGGCCTTATAGTTTGAAGTGGGATAATGTGGTGTCTCCAGATTTGTTCCTTTTGCTTAGTCTTGCTTTCACTGTGTGGGCTCTTTTTTGGTTCCATATGAACTTTAGGATTGTTTGTTTCTAGTTCCATGAGGAACGATGGTGGTATTTGGATGGGAATTGCATTGAATTTGTAGATTGCTTTTGTCAGTATTGTCATATTCACAATATTGATTCTACCCATCCATGAGCATGGGATGTGTTTCCATTTGTTTTTGTCATCTATGATTTCTTTCAGCAGTGTTGTGGAGGTCTTTCATGTCCTTAGTTAGTTATATTCCCAAGTGTTTTATTTATTTTGCAGCTATTGTTAAAGGGGTTGAGTTCTTGATTTGATTCTCAACTTGGTTGCTGTTGGCATATAGCAGGGCTACTGATTTTTGTACATTAGTTTTATATCCTGAAACTTTGCTGAATTAATTTACCAGTTCTAGGAGCATTTTGGATGAGTCTTTAGGGTTTTCTAGGTATACAATCATATAGTCAGCAAACAATGACAGTTTGACTTCCTCTTTACTGATTTGGATGCCCTTTATTTCTTTCTTATTGCTCTAGCTAGGACTTCTAGTACTATGTTGAATAGAAGTGGTGAAAGTGGGCATCTTTGTCTTATTCCAGTTCTCAGTGGGAATGCTATCAACTTTTCCCCATTCAGTATAATATTGACTGTGGGTTTCTCAAAGATGGCTTTTATTACCTTAAGGTATGCCCCGTGTATGCCAATTTTGCTGAGAGTTTTATCATAAAGGAATGCTGGATTTTGTTAAATGCTTTTTCTGGGTCTGTTGAGATAATCAGGAAATTTTTGTTTTTAACTTTGTTTATGTGAAGTATTACATTTATTGACTTACATATGTTAAACTATCCCTGCATCCATGGTATGAAACCCACTTGATCATGCTGGATTAGGTGTTTCATATGCTGTTGGATTTGGTTTGGTAGTATTTTGTTAAGGAATTTTGCATCAATGTTCATCAGGGATATTGGTCTGTAGTTTTCTTTTTTTGTTATGTCTTTCCCTGGTTTTGATATTACGGTAATACTGGCTTCATAGAATGATTTAGGGAGGATTCCCCCTTTCTCTTTTGGAACAGTGTCAATAGGATTGGTACCAATTCTTCTATGAATGTTTAATAGAATTTAGCTGTGAATCCATCTGGTCCTGGGCTTTTTTTTTTTTTTTTTTGAGATGGAGTCTCACTCTGTTGCCCAAGCTGGAATGCAGTGGCATGGTCTCAGCTCACTACAACCTCCACCTCTGAGGTTCAAGGAATTCTCCTGCCTCAGCCTCCCAAGTAGCAGGGACTACAGGTACGTGCCACCACATCTGGCTAATTTTTTGTATTTTTAGTAGAGATGGGGTTTCACCATGTTGGCCAGGCTGGTCTCAAACTCCTGACCTTAGGTAATCCACCCGCCTCAGCCTCCCAAAGTGCTGGGATTACTGGCGTGAGCCACTGTGCCCAGCCGGTCGTGGCCTTTTTTTTTGTTGGCAATTATTTTATTACCATTTCAATCTCAGCTTGTTATTGGTCTGTTCAGAGTTTCTGTGTCTTCCTGGTTTAATCTAGGAGGGTTGTATATTTCCAGGAATTTATCCATCTCCTCTAGGTTTTCTAGTTTATGTGCACAAAGATTTTCACAGTAGCCTTTAATAATCTTTTGTATTTCTGTGGTATCAGTTATAATATCTCCTGTTTCATTTCTAATTGAACTTATTTGGATCTTCTCTCTTCTTTTCTTGGTTAATGTCACTAATGGTCTAGCAATTTTATTTATCTTTTCAAAGAATCAGCTTTTTGTTTAATTTATCTTTTATATTTCTTGTTTCAATTTCATTTAGTTCTGATCTAATCTTCATTATTTCTTTTCTGCTCTATTTGGGTTTGTATTATTCCTGTTTCTTCAATTCTGTGAGATATGACCTTAAATTGTCTATTTGTACTCTTTCAGAGTTTTCCATGTAGGCATTTAATGCAATGAACTTTCCTTTTAGCACCGCTTTTACTGTATACGAGAGGTTTTGATAGGTTGTATCACTATTATCATTCAGTTCAAAGAATTTTTAAATTTCCATCTTGATTTCATTGTTGACCCAATGATCATTAAGAAGCAGTTTATTTAATTTCCATGTATTTGCATGGTTTTGGGGTTTCCTTTTGGACTTGATTTCCAATTTTATTCCACTATGATCTGAGAGAGTACTTGATATATAATTTTGATTTTTTAAAATTTACTGAGACTTGTTTTGTGGTCTATCATATGGGCTGTCTTGGAGAATGTTCATGTGCATATGAATAGAATGTATACTCTGCAGTTGTTGGGTAGAATGTTCTGTAAATATCTGTTATGTCCATTTGTTGTCAGGTATAGTTTAGGTCCATTGTTTCTTTGTTGACTTTCTGTCTTGATAAGCTGTCTAGTGCTGTCAGTGGAGTATTAAAGTCCCCCACTATTATTGTGTTGCCGTCTATCTCATTACTTAGGTCTAGTAGTAATTGTTTTATAAATTTGGGAGCTCCAGTGTTGGATGCATATATTTTTAGAATTGTGTTATTTCCCTGTTGGACTAGCCCTTTTATCATTTTATAATTTCTCTCTTTGTCTTTTTTAACTACTGCTGCTTTGAAGTTTGTTTAGTTTGATATAAGAATAGCTACTCCTGCTCACTTTTGGTGTTCATTTGCATGGAATATCTTTGACCACCTCTTTATCTTAAGTTTATGTGAGTCCTTATATGTTAGATGAGTCTCCCGAAGACAGCAGAAATTTGGTTGGTGAATTTTTTTTTTTTTTCTGAGATGGAGTCTCACTCTGTCACTCAGGCTGGAGTGCAGTGGCATGATCTCAGTTCACTGCAACCTCTGCCTCCTGGGTTCAAGCAGTCCTCCTGTCTCAGTCTCCTGAGTAGCTGGGACCACAGGCACATGCCAACACACTCAGCAAATTTTTGTACTTTTAGTAGAGATGGGGTTTTTCCATGTTCCCCATGCTGGTCTCAAACTCCTGACCTCAGGTGATCCACCCACCTAGGCCTCCCAAAGTGCTGGATTACAGGCTTGAACCACTGCATCCGGCCAGGTTGGCGAATGCTTACCCATTCTACCATTCTGTATCTTTTAAGTGGAGCATTTAGGCCATTTATATTCAATGTTAGTATTGAGATATGAGGCACTATTCTACTCATCATGCCATTTGTTACCTGAATACTTTGGTTTTTTTCATTGTGTTATTGTTATATAGGTTCTGTGAGATCTATGCTTTAATGAAATTCTATTTTGATGTATTTCAAGGATTTGTTTCAAGATCGAGAGCTCCTTTTAGCAGTTCTTGTAGTGCTGGCTTGGTAGTGGTGAATTCTCTCAGCATTTGTTTGTCTGGAAATATTGTTATCTTTCCTTCATTTATGAAGCTTAGTTTGGCTGGATACAAAATTCTTTCCTGATAATTGTTTTTGTTTAAGGAGACTAAAAATAGGACCCCAATCCCTTCTAGCTTATAGGGTTTCTGCTGAGAAATCTGCTGTTAATCTGATAGGTTTTCCTTTACAGGTTACCTGATGCTTTTGCATCACAGTTCTTAAGATTCATTTTGCCTTGACTTTAGATAACCTGGTGACTATGTGCCTAGGCAATGATCTTTTTGTGATGAATTTCCCAGATGTTCTTAGAGCTTCTTGCATGTGGATATCCAGATCTCTAGGAAGGCCAGGGAAGTTTTCCTCAATTATTTCCCAAAATATATTTTCCAAACTTTCTCTTCTTCCTTGGGAACACCAATTATTCTTAGGTTTAGTCCCAAACTTCTTGGAGGCTTTGTTCATTTTTTTTTTAATTCTTTTTTCTTTGTCTTTGATGGATTAGATTAATTCAAAAGCCTTGTCTTCAAGCTCTGAACTTCTTTCTTCTGCTTGTTTGATTCTATTGCTGAGAGTTTCCAGTGCATTTTGCATTTCTCTAAGTGTGTCCTTTATTTCCAGAAGATGTGATTGTTTTTTATTTATGCTACCTATTTCACAGAATTTTCCTTTCATATCTTGTATCACGTCTTTGATTTCTTTAAGTTGGAGTTCACTTTTCTCTGGTGCCTCCCTGATTAGCTTAAGAATCAACGTTCTGAATTCTTTTTCTGGCAATTCAGAGATTTCATCTTGGCTTGAATCCATTGCTGGTGAGCTGGTATGATCTTTTGGGAGTGTTAAAGAAACAAGTTTTGTTATATTACTAGAATTGTTTTTCTGGCTCCCTCTCATTTGGGTGGACTATGTCAGAGGGAAGATCTAGGATTGAAGGACTGATCATATTCTTTTGTCCCAGGGGGTGCTCCCTTGATGTGATGTTCCCCCTCTTCCCCTAGAAATGGAGCTTCCTGAGAGGCAAACTGTAGTAATTGTTTTTGCTCTTCTGGGTCTAGCCACCCAGTGGAGCTACTGGGTTCTGGGCTGGCACTAGGGAGTGTCTGCAAAGAGGCCTGTGATGTGATCTATCTTCAGGTCTTGCAGCTGTGAATACCAGCACCTGTTCTGGGAGAAGGTAGCAAGGAAGTAAAGTGGACTCTGTGGTTTTGTTTTTGTTTATTGCGCTGGTTTTGTGTTGGTTGGCTTCCATTCAGGAGGTGGTGCTTTCAAGAGCACATTAGCTGCAGTCCTATAGGGAGGATGCATACTTGCCCTAGGAACCCCTGGTTAAGTGTTCAGGTTTCCCAGGTGGTGGGCAGGGACATAGAGCTCTTCAAAGATTATGACCTTTGTTTTGGGCTACCAGGGTAGGTAGAGAAAGACCACCAGGTAGGTAGCGATAGGCGTGTCTGAGCTCAGACTCTTCTTGGGTGGGGCTTGCTGTGGCTGCTGTGGGGCATGGGGGTGTGGTTCCCAGGCCAATGAAGTTATATTTCCAGGGAGATTATGGCTGCCTCTGTTGAGTCATACAGGTCACCAGGGAAGTGGGGGAAAGTTGTCAGTCACAGGCCTCACCCTGTTCACATGCAGCCCACAGTCCCAAAGGCAAACCTCACTCTCACCAGAGCCCTCCAACAGCACTGAGTGTATTTCCAGGAAGCCTGTGACCAGGGCTGAGAAGTTGCCCCAGACCACGAGCCGCCCCATTGAGAAAGCAAGCAGACTCACAGTTTTTTGGCACCTCAGGGAGCCTGCAGTGGTGATCCAGTTCCTTCAAAGGGTCTGTGGATTCTCTCAGCTTTCCTGGTATGTCCCTGTGGTAGTTCTTGAAGCAAAAGTCTATACACTGCTCTGTCCATTGGAGCAGGAGCTGCAAGCTAGTCCTGCCTCTAGCTGTGTTCTTAACCACTGTGTTATATTAAAAAAGAATTAGAGAAGGAAAATTATATTCTGATCTATTTTTGAATATTACAGAACTCAAGTGCTATGGTCTGAATGTTTGTGTACCCCTAAATTTATATGCTGAAATCCTAACTCCCAAGTTGATGGTATTAGGAGGTGGGACCTTTAGGGAGGTGATTAGGTAATGAGAGTAGAGCCCTCATGAATGGGACTAGGGTCCTTATAAAAGAAGCCAAAGAAATCTCATTTTCCCCTTCTACCAAGTGAGGATGCAGCCAGAACATGCCATTTATGGACCAGGAAACCAGTCGTCACTAGAAATTGAATCTGCCACACCTTGATCTTGGACTTCCCAGCCTCCAGAACTGTGAGAAACAAAATTCTGTTGTTTATTAGCTATTCAGTTTATTTTTGTTTTGCTGTAACAGCAGCCCAAATTTACTAAAATATCATTTTGTTTTATTTTTCCCTCTCTTATGGTTGTTTTAAAATCGTTTTCAAATCTAACAAGTATACTGTTTGCTGAAATGATTATTTTGCCTTCCTTCTTATCAGTGTAGTTCAACATTTTCTTTTATGAAAATAAAAAGCACTCATAATTTTTGCATAGTAGAGAAATTATATTTATTGAGGAATAAATTTTATAACAAGTTGTATTATCACAAATCTCTAAAAATAACAACGCAGTTTTTAAACTCGTATTTTGTGAGTTGGAGCCTGGCAACAAAACAACAATAACAACAAACAACAACAATAAATAAAAAACCACTTAACACAGACATTTCTAGGCTGAAAAAGAGAAGAAGTTGCCAAGTGCGGGGTTTTTTTTCAATCATGTTTGGAAATAAGTTCCAACTTACAGAATAAGTTGCAAGAATCAGACTGTCTCAAAGAAAACACATATACCTTTTGCTCAGATTATTGTTAAATTTTACCTCATTTACTTTATCAATTGCTCTTTCTCTATTTATGTGTATCAGATTATTGTTAAATGTTACCTTATTTGCCTTATCAATTGCTCTCTTTATGTATGTTTGTGTGTACTGTTGCACATGCAAATGCACACAAATATATGTTTCTGAATTTTTTGAGAGTAGATTGCATACATTATGGCCCTTTACCTCAAAATACTTTATTGTGTATTTTCCAAGAATAGGGATTTTTTTTACTTAATCAAAGTATACTTCTTATCTGATTGACTGTCTATATTCCAATTTGCCAGTTGACCTAACATTGTCCTTTGGAGCACTTATGTTACCTCTGGTACAGAATCCAGTCTAGTATTACTTACTATGTTTAGTTGTCAGGTGTTTTTACTATCATTTAATCTGAAACATTTCCACAACCTTTCTTTGTCTTCTATGACATTGACATTTTTGAAGAATTCAGTCAAAACCCCCTGTCGTTTCTGGTTGTTGTTGTTACAGTGATGTTGTTTCCTTCTCAGTGGGTCACATTTGAAGGCACATGTTGAACATCCACCCTTTATTGGTGAGGTTAATTTTGATAACCTAGTCAAGAGGTTGTCCATTTTTTTCCATTGCATGGTTACTATTCTTTCCCCAGAAACTAACAACAATCTGTGAGGAGATACTTTAAGCCCAGACTAATACCCTAATATCCTGCTCCTAAGCGAAATTTCCCCCTAGCTTTAGCATTGATTGATAATTCTTGCCTGAGCCATATTTACTGTGATGGTTGAAAAATGATGGTTTTCCAATTCCAGAACTCCTTCCACTCACATTTAACACTGGTCCATGACGTTCTATTGCAAAAGAGAAACCTTCTCATTTCTCTATCTATCTATCTATCTATCTATCTATCTATCTATCTATCTATATATCTATCTATCATCTGTCAGTCATCTACCTATCTATCGATTATCTATCATTATATCAGTATGGATTCATGGATTTCTATTTTTTCCCAATGGAATTGGGAATTTATTTTATTTTTTTCTCAATTATCTTGTTATTTATTTTTCTCAATTATTTTGCTCTCAGATTGGCTCAAGTTTGGCCAGTGGGAGCCCCTTCAAGCTGGCTCTATGTTTTGGCAATATACCTCTATTTTTTTTTTTAACATTACTTTCTGGCATAACAAGATATTTCAAGCTCATCTTGTTCCTACCTTGCCCTTGCTTTGGAATCATCCATTTTTCCAAGTAGCCTTGGTTCCTTTTAGTGGCAAACTATATTAGACACGAAGATCTGAGTGCTAGGTATATTCATTTCTGCTGAGGTGTTTTTGTGTCTAAGCCATTTTGGCAGATAGGATTAGTAAATATATGCATGTGTATACACACACGCACATAAATGCATGTGTATTATCACACACATATATGCATGGAGGCATGTGTATGCAATTATAATACATATAAACGTACATATACATGGTTTAGAAATTATGAATTTATACCAATTCTATTCCATTTCCACATGGTTCTTTCTTGCCTTCCCTCATTTCATATTTGTATATTTGTTTTTCCATAGTGAACATCCTGACTCCCATCAACATCAACATGTTTTCTCATTTGCTCAATCATATAATACATCTGAAATAGTTTTATTATTACTTGGGCACAATGCAATGGTCCCCCGTTCCTGCCTGTCAACAATTACTGGACCTAATGATATGACTAGTTATTTATTTAAAATAAAGGGACTCCTATGTTTACAAAAAGTCTTGTACAAAAATATTTGTAGCAGCTTTATTCATAGCAGCCGAAAATTAGAAATAGCTCAATTGTCTTAATAGTAGAATGGATAAACTGTGATATATTCATACAATGAAATAGTACTTGGTAATAAAAAGAAACAAACTACAGCTGCATGCAACAATGTGGATGTATCACAAAAACATGATGCTGAATTTAAAAAAGGCAAACAGAAAAGAATGCATGATGTACAATTCCCTTCATATGAGCAGGTAAAATTAATCTATATGATAGAAACCAAACCACTACTTGCTTTTGGTAGGGGTGGAACAGAAAAGGACACTGATTGGGAAGGGACAGAAAAAAATGTACTAGGATTAAGAAAATGTTTTGTGTCTTGAGTGGGATGTGAGTTATATTTAACTCACATTTACCTGTCTATAAATTATCTGTCTATAAATTATCCATTTTTACTTAACTGTCTATAAATTTAACTGTCTATAAATTATCCATTAATTTTAAAATGTTGGCTGGAGTAGAGGCTACCCCTTTTAACTGAGACTACAATTCTTTACATTATAATAGCCCATTCTCCTAGCTTGCCTCATTTCTGATGCTCCTTCCCCATATCTCCTCTGGCCCCTGTCAGCATTTGAGTTTGCTACCCTGATCAATACTTTGATTTCATTTTACTAAGAAATTATATCCTTTTTATTATCATTTCAAGTATACAAAGTTCAACATAGATTAGAATTTTGTAGTTAATTGAATGACATCATCAACTGTTTGTGTCTGGCCAATATATATGCTTTGATGTAATAATGACATGCATGCACATTGAAAATGTTTAAATAACACTGACTTTTAGATTAATTCTCAGTTTAGGCCTTTGCATATCTGATATATTAAGACAAAAGCAAAAACAAATATTTGCAGTGTATTCAGTTTTGTCAATGGAAGCAATTGATTTCCATCATTAAATGATAAAAAGCCACTTCAATGAAGAAATGATTTTTCAGACCTTCTCATAGATTCTGGTGCACACCACGCCCTTCATTTTACATTCCTTAAAAAAGAGAGAGGTTAATTGAGTATCTCAAGTTCAAACCAGAGAACAGAAAATTTGTAATAAAAATAGAAATTCAAAATAAACTCATAAGATTAATTTAGAAAGGAATAAAATATCAGTATGTCAGTCTCCAGTAATTCAGAATTATGACCATTGAAATAGAAGAAACAATTTAAAAGTTGATCTACGTTGCTGTAAAGGAATTTTTTTAAGTGGCAAGTTTTTATGTATAGTTCACTTGCATTTAAATCTAATAAGACAGTGGTTTTCAAAAATGTCTACATATTTGCGTTACCTGGGGAATATTTAAATATAGTGATGGTTCCTCCTCCCCCAAGAGATTTACATTGAATTATCTGTTTGGAGGCCTCCATATTGGTATTTACTCCCCAAGTAAATCTGTTGTGCAGCAAGGGCTAAGAACCACTGTACTAAAGAAAGAAACATTCGGAAGAGTACATGAATCTATTTACATTCAATGTATGTGTTAATTAGTGAACATAAAGCCTTAACCCTAAAAAAAAAAAATCATCAAAGGTCATCACATACAACCTTTGTCATTATTTTCATCTGCCAACTAGAAGTCTCCAATGAGCTCAGCTTGCTTTATTGACATGATTGATTCTAAGTTACTATGGGCTCTTGAATTCAAAATTGTGGGATATCTGCAAATAGTCTACAAATGACTTTGCAAATAGTCTACAAAATACACCTTGCAGAGAGTGTTTTGCTTTTAAAATTTAGACTTGCTTTCTTCTTTGTGAGCCCAAACTAGTAAGATTTACCTATACTTTCTTTAACCTTACTACCATTTTTAGGTATTTTTATTTGTAAAATAACAAATGGCTTTTTTTATTTCTAAAATCTTGGGTCAGTACTTGAAGATGAGTCTGTAATAGTTTAAATATCACTGAAGCATTAACTCTTACTTTATTCTTAGTCATTTTTATCCATTCATATTCCAAAGAACAAAGAATATTTTGAAAACAATATAATCAAATTATTTATATAGCATTATTTCTCTATTTAGAAGTAAAGATACTCTTACCGCTACCATTTTCCCATTCACTAGCTTTCTCTTTATGGTTGTCTCTTTGCCATCCCATCTCTGCACTTGATTCAGTGATCCTCTCTGCAGGGTTACGATGCTCTGCAAAGACAAGGTCATGCAATTGACTTGCCTGAAATTTGTTGATCAAAGAAGCAGTTCTTTCAGTATGGAACCATTTTCATAATAGATATAGATGTCTCAGGAGGTACACTCCTTTTCAACAGAATTGAGTCTACCCTTTTACACTAGCAGGAATATTCCTCTCTCTCAAGCAGCCCACTGGGCCAACTTTGAAGAGAAACATTAAAGATTACCTTGGTCTTTCTATTGTCAGCTGTGGTTTCTTCAAATTCCTGGCCTAGCTTGAAGGAGATTTCTGTATTTTTAAAGGTACTTTCAGTTCGTATAGTTATAATATCTCCTTTCTTGCTGATGATCACAGTGGGTTTGGCCAAATTTCCCAGTTTTCTGGTGGCTAACCCCACACCTGAAAATTAAGATAGTGTTAGAATTATGTTGACCAAGAGAGCATAGCCAAAGAGACTGTGGTGGCCACATCCTACGCTCAGTGGTGCCCCAGGTGAGTTGATGGCAGGTAATATCACTTACTACTAAGCATCTCCTCCCATGTTTCACTCCTAATGGAAATACATGCCCAGGACTCAAACATTTTAGGTTTTGTTGTTGCAAAAGTAAAGTCTGCAGATTTTCTTTTTTTTTTTTCTTTTTCTTTTCTTTTTGAGACGGAGTCTCGCTCTGTCGTCCTGGTTGGAGTGCAATGGAGCAATCTCGGCTCACTGCAAGCTCCGCCTCCCAGGTTCACTCCATTCTCCTGCCTCAGCCTCCCGAGTAGCTGGGACTACAGGGGCCGCCACCACGCCTGGCTAATTTTTTGTATTTTTAGTAGAGACGGGGTTTCACCGTGTTAGCCAGGATGGTCTCGATCTCCTGACCTCGTGATCTGCCCTCCTCGGCCTTCCAAAGTGCTGGGATTACAGGCGTGAGCCACCGCGCCCGGCCAATGTCTGCAGATTTTCAAGAGTAAAAGTTTCCAGCTGAAATAGCTACTGCAAGTCATCCATTTTTATCACATCCAATCCTATTCCCCATTGAAAATTACTAATTATAGATTTGCATAAATCATTCTAGAGATTTTAGTTTGTATGTACAAATACTATAGATATATTTTAAAGATGAGACTATAGCATATACGTATTGTTCTATGATATTTTCCCTCAATACCATATTATGGATATAGAGAAGTATTCCCCTCATATTTTTGATAGAATTTCACTTCTGAAATTTTGTGGCTTCTATATCTAGCTGGTAGGAAAAAAACTATCCATCTAACTTTGAGATCTATACTATTATAAATGATCATAGAGAAATAAAATATTTTTTAAAAAACTCTTCTACATTTCAAAAATGAAACAAAATTAGACTCTTAAGTTTATTACCATTATTACCAAGACTATAAAATATATGGAAAAGGGAAAATGTAAAATAAAAAATATATGAAAGAAAAACTAATTTTCCAGGAAGTCTCAATGGTTGAATAACTTTTTCCAGTTAAAAAGATCTCAAACTTTTACATACTGAATAAGAAGTTAAGAGTTACAGCCAATAAACTATAAACTATATTCTTTCTTCAAATTCTGATTAATCTTTTGTTATTTTATACAGTTTAGGACAATGTTTCTCAAGTTAAATCATAATCTCTGGGTCAGAGCCTGAGAATTTATATTTACCAAATCCCAAGGTGTTATTTTGCATGCTAAACTGGAAAACAGTGGAATTAGAAAATCCTTCACTGAGACTTTCTTTTATTTGGCTTCTTCCTCAGCTGTAAAGTGAAGTCTTTAAATCTAACCGATCTCACAGTATGAATTGATCCCCATAAGTTCTCTTACTGTTCCAGGCAACAATGACATGACTTTGCTCATTTTATCTAAAATAGAACATTTTATACAGGCTTTCTGAACAGTTAAGTAAAGCTGTAGGCACTTTGACAAGCACAGCAAACTCGGGTCACTGGCATCACTCTTTATTGTATTTATATAGTTCTGAAAATTCCCAAAGACTCTTCATATCTATTGTGTTTATATCGATGGGACATACTCTAGAAATAGTATAAAATAAAGTTGTTGTAACTAATGACTCGGTTTTCCATCTTCACTCACTGCTCCAACTCCAGAAACGTCTGATGTTAGCGAAATTGAGTTTGAATTCACTGCCATAACTCCAGTTCTTTTTCTCTCAGTAACTTCCCTAGACTATGAACACAGTATTTTAGGAAGTATTTTTGTTTTTCAAACTCTCTGTATCTACATGATTGTGTAATAAAGGACAACCTAGAGGTAGAGAGAAAAAACTGTTAGTTTAGCTAAAACTTAAATTTTTAAATTGAGATTTTCTAGGATTTGCAATATATTCAATTCCTTATTTTATGAACACTTCAGTTGCTATGAACGTAGCTCTCAGAAAAGCCAGAAAATGGGTTGACCATGCTTTTAAGCTTTCTCTCCTCTGGACCTGCAACCAAAATTCTCTTGGTATGAAATTGCCCTTGAAATCAGTGGGCATTCCATGCATTTAAGCAGCTCTCTCATTTAAGTTAATTCTATTAAAAATTACCACAAATAAAATTCAAATAAATTATCTGAATGACACAACAAAAGATTAATCCTAAAAGAGGATTGTACTGCAGCCTTGCAAAACTCCCCAGTATCCTGTTAAAAGTAGTAGATGAAAATGTCATGTAGCTTTCTTAAAAAGGAGCTTTTCAGCAGAACAACAAAAAGCATTTCTTACCCAGAGCTTTCATGTAATCGTCAAAGTTCTCACTAGAGACAAGTTTCCAGGTGCCCAGGAATTTGTTGCTCATCGTGATGGGTGAGAGCTCAACACAGTTCTAAGTGGGATTCAGAAGACTCAGATAAAATGCTGAGGCCTCAGAAGATTCTTTTCAAGGATGCCCAAAGCGTGTGACTCTTACAGAGACCCAATGGGGAAAGGCAGTGTCGGGACTAAGCAATGAATGGCTCTTCAATGGCCAGCTGCCCGCCCAATAGGATAAAAGAAAACCCCACATAATACTTCCCTTTGTCTCCAAAAAAATTTATAAAATGAATGAGATTACTATTTGAATCTTCAAAAATTTTTTGATCAATCTTACATTTATAAGAAGGCTTAGGCCCTTCATGCTTTGGAAAAGACTGCATGAATTCTGTGATCATGAATGAATGTGTGTGTGTTTAGGCATGTCGGTCACTCTCAATCCTGAGTCTGCACAATTAAGAATTCTTATTGAAAGGGAAGAAAAAGAGGAAAATGTCTGTAAGTATTATGATAACAGTCTCAAATATGTTGTGGGAGAGAAACGTAGGGGAGCAGTGTGAGGAAGTATTCATAGGTAAGAAGGCTTGGCATAGTTCACATATCCCAGGCAGGCAGAGTAGGCAGACAAAGAAGTCAGTCTATTGCAGCAGAGCACAGAAATTGTATTCATGTGATGAAACAAGAAGTAGCACTATAACATGTTCTTTGAGCACAACAAAGATTTTCAGCTAGAAATACTTAAAGTCTGAACTAAGCAGGTTCCTGGATACTATAACTATTTGTGTTTAAGTCATTTAAAATGAATCTACAATTTTATAAAGAGGATTTTCTATAGAAAGAGTACTAATTTATATTGACAACTCACTATGGGCCAGACACTGTGCTAAGTGCTTAATACGGGTGATCTCATTTAATTATATCACTAATTCCAAGAGTTAGGAACTATTATTATATCCATTTTACCAATGATAAAAATGAGCTTGGGGACATTAGGTAAATTGCTCCCAAAAGTTGAATAAGGAGAGGACAGGTTTGAACCCAGCATTGCTGCCAGTGCCCGGGTTCTGAACCATGATCTTACCCTGCTTCTATTATACTATACCATACATGCTACGTGCACGGAGGCCCTGGCCAGAGATCACCTGATGCTGATAGCACCACGATTAGCTAGAAACACTCTCTCTCTTCTCAAAAATCAAGAGAGGTAAAAAATCAAAAGATCCAGCCTACTATATTACATCAAAGCCCCAGTCTTTGGCCAAGGGGAACAAACGTAAATCCACTTAGAACATAAGTGTTGCTCTTGAGAATCTCTGATTACTGCTATATCTTTCCTAGCAGGTTTTTTGTTTGTTTGTTTTTGTTGTTGTTTGTTTGTTGTTTGTTTTTACCTTAGCATTAATTCTGGCTGGAGACAACTGATATTACCAAGTTTTATACATTTAGTAAACAGGTTGGCACTGTTTACAACAACAAAAATATGATGAATTTGCTCATAACAGGTAGAATTACTAGCAAGAAGGGCTCAAGAAACCCAGTCGCATAGCTGTGACATAACTATTGCAGTTACATAGTTAGAGTTCAAGCTGAGTAAAACACGTGAAATCATATACAGTGGGCTGAAGTTTCATTTACAATCCCAGTGCCTGAATAGCTCAAGGTGGGAAAGAAATGGTGAATAGGAAAATTCCTCAGCTAACCAACTAACCCAATCCTAAACCCAAGAGAATGTAACTGGAGGGAGTACATTGTACTGGGATAGAAAAAACAACTGTGAAAGAAAAAGCTTTTGATTAGTGGATATGTTATTTTATTTTCCAAAACACTTTACAGAAATGATGATATCACTTGTACCTTCAAAACTTTTTTTTTTTTGTTAGCTGTACACTATTAAGGAGTACAGCATTCAACATTTAGGTTTTCTGCCTAAATAAATGAAGGACTCCCAAACCCTCACACTAGAGCTGAGACCTTGTATTCAGTGGGACTGCTACAAGAAAGCTGTGTGAATTTTAAGCTGACTCTGTGTTGCACATAGGAACAGCAGTGGAGTTTAAAACATAAACATTGAGCCATATATTTCCAAGAGAGAAAACTTATAACTTTGAAGCAATATTAGACCAAGAGAAAAATTTTCTACTTAAGGCTTATCAGCAATTGTACCTGACTGCTATTAATAGAACTGACCAGACAAGTTTGGACCGTGATGGGATTCTGAGGCCAATATATGGGCCAAAGGCACAGATCAAAGCAATGAGGGAAGACCCGGACTGAACTAGGCCTGAAACATTACATCACTCCTAGCTAAGAAAGTCATCAATGTCCTAACAAGAAAGAATGCATAGAACCACATTATAACTAGATGTATATATTTAGACTGAACTACATGTTTGTAAAATACATATAGTCTCTCTATGATGTGTATTCAGTTCTTCTCTCTTCACCAATTTATTGTCCATGTAAATTCTCAAGATACAGCAAGTTATTTGACTCATACACTGAAAGGAAGATCCAAAGGTCCAAACAAAATAAATAAGGAAAGCTTACTCTATATAACAAACCATGTAAGTGTTCCTTATAGATTGTCTTCAAGCTAAATCCAATTATATATTTGAAAAAGAAATAAGATAATCAATCATTACATAGCAAATGAACAAAGAATTCCTGACCCTCCACTTGGATGCCAAAGATCCAACTCAACTTTTGCTGTTTATTCAATTGCAAAAATATTTGTTGAGAGCTTATTAAGTGCCAAGCACTGTTGAAAGTGCTGGTTAAACATTATTGAATCAAATTCCTTGCCCTCATGGAACTTACATTCTACTCATGATTTGATAAAGGCTTGAAGCAAGAAGTATTAATTGTAATGAATTTGAAATTATTTGTAATAATAATTGATATTGTGATAATAATTGATGACAAGAGAAGCATACCATAGAATACCAAGATAAATAATCAACTTAAAAGGGTCACTTAAAAAATTGTGGGTTCATAGTAGGTGTATGTATTTATGGGGTACATGAGATGTTTTGGTACAGGCATGCAAAGCATAATAACCACATCATGGAAGATGGTGTATCCACCCCCTCACACATTTATCCTTTGTGTTACAAACAATCCAGTTTTACTCTTGCTTATTTCTAAATGTACTATTTAATTATTATCGACTATAGTCACCCTGTTCTGCTATCAAATACTAGGTCTTATTTATTCTATTTTTTTTGTAACCATTAACCATCCCCACCTCCCTCCTACTCCCCCACAATTCCTGCACTACCCTTCCCAGCCTCTGATAATCATCCTTCTACTCTCTGTCTCCATGGGTTCTCAAATGTTTTGATTTTTAGATCTTGTAAATAAGTGAGAACATGTGATATTTCTCTCTCTATGTCTGGCTTATTTCACTTAACATGTGCTCCAGTTCCATCCATGTTGTTGCAGATGACTGAATCTCATTCTAAAAAGTGTCATTTTTAAATAAATAGTTGGGAAGAAAATAAAAATAGAACTTAGAACTTTCACTTCTAGCCATGATAGATGAGGAAATTAAACTCACTTCTCAACTGTAAAAAGATGAACAAAATTAGGAAAAAAAATCTTCAAGGCATCAGAGAGATAAAAAGGCAGAGAAAAACTAAGGGCTTAGGACTTGGGAAAGAAAGGCAAGTCCAGAGAGACAAATCTCATATTTGGAGCTTCTGCTCCTCTAGGGATCTATGAATTCTGCAAGAGGCAGGTTAGAGGTGAAAAATCCAAGGAACATTTAGGACAATGCTACAGGGTTAGGGGAAAAGTGAAGAAGAATCCTGGTTAATCATTACATTTTGTCTTGAGACTCCTTTGCAACATAGGATTAAGGATAAGCTCAAAATATACCTGTGCTAATATAAAGTCAATTCTTAAAATTAAATTAATGTGATCTGGGATAGCTAGTGAACCGAGCTACTAGTCAGAAATGAACATAAACCCTCTTCAGAGAAAGAAGATAATGTCACCCGAGGTCTAAATTTATTTATATAATTTTTATATACATTGCTAATCAAAAATAAATAGAACAAAAAGAGAAAATATACTTAAAAGCTAAAAGAAACAATGGACAATGGAAGTAGATAATTCATAGAGCAGATAATAAAAACAAACATGATAGAAAATATCAACAAACCCAAAAGCATTTTAATGACTAGTAAGATCGATAAACTTTTAGGAAGATGGATTAAAAATAGAGAAGACAAAATTATTGAACACAGAAATGGAAAAAAGCATATTAATATATCCTACAGATATGAAAAAGATCATAACAATATTATAAACTACTTCATGTCAATAAATTAAAATTTTTTAAATAAAAAAATTTAAAAGAGACTTACAGGTTTCTTAGAAAACACAGTTTATCAAAAATGATGCAAGAAAAAGTAAAAATCCTGAATACTCCCAAATCTATTAGCATTAAATCCATATTTAAAATCCATCTCATGAAGATACCCTATGCCCATAGGCTTCACCAATGAATTCTTACAAATATTTGAGGAAAAAATAATACCAATGTTACACAAACTCTTCTAGAGAATAAAAAAGTCCTAGTTTCTAGGTTGCCTCCACCAAGATCTCTGCACATGTCGTTCTCCTTTCCGGCAATACCTCCCTTCGTCTCTTTCCCTGTAATATGTAATCACTCCCACATGTTTAATCCTTAATTCTCAGCTCAATCATCCTTTCGGACCTTTAGAGCGACATTCTCTTGATATTAACTCAACCATCTTTCCTAAAATTTTCTTTACCATGCATATCATCATTTAACAGTTACTGCAATGGCAATGTTTATAAATTTTGAATATAACTTGATAAATAGCTTAACTGACGTCTTGATTCCATGTGATCAGGGACAATGCGTGATTTTGCTCATGTAGTATCCCAAGTGCAAAATACCATGCATGCATACAGTAGGTAATGAATAACCATTTGTTGACTGACTGAATGAAGAAAACAGAATATTTTCTACTTACAAGGGTTTTTGTTTGCATCAAATCAGATAATAAATGTTATGAAAGCATCAAAAACTAGTGCTTATGATCAGTAGTAGTATTCTTCTAAACTTCTTTCTCCCCTCTCCCTCCCCTGCCTTCTCTTTCTTTTCTTTTTCTGGAGACACAGAAAGAGCAAGACTTGGGATATAACTAAGTGACACTCATTCCTTCATTTGGTCTTTCCTTTAGTCAGCAGTAAAAGCAGGCAATTGTTTCCATGTTCAGTATGACATAATCTTATTATGATACTAGGAAAGTGCATGTAAGATGATTCTAAGATTCATTGTACAGTATCTCACAAGCCTAAATGCAGACAATTATTCAACATATATTTGTTGAACTATGATAGTACTAGAGATAATATGATGAGTGAAATAGCAACAGCTCCTTCCCTCATAAGCCTTATACTCTAGTTAGGAAGACAGACATTAAGTAAACAATCAAGACACATGATATCCAATTATTTCTTTTTGTCATTTGCAGATGGATACTGTGAAAATGCCATTAAGAGCCCGTTGACCATTACTATCTAGGCAGATACCTTATGAAATTTCTTAGACACCATCATGAGACTATTGATCTGATTTATCTTTAGGAGTCAGCTACTAGAGCAGCCAGTACCTTTCCCAGACAGGTATTTAGCAGAAGGTGACAATGGCACTTCAGGACAGATAACCTCCTCTTCCATGTTTCAAATAAGTGTTTTGCTCTAAGTTTAACAATGTCAAATTAAAATTGCTTTCTTAATGCAAACCATCTCATGCAACTTCCTCGGCTACCAGTGGGTATTTGGTCTTTTGGTTACTATGGTGACAATTGCATTTATGCAGCCCCAAAGGTAGTTAATAGTTTTTCTTTTCTGTTGAATGGCAACAAAGAGAGGAAAGAAGTAGTCTGTGATTCCTCTAAACAATTCAATTAGCGGTTTTTGTTTGTTTGTTTGTTTGTTTGTTTGTTTTTTGCTAGAATCTAACACACCGAGGCCTCTTTTCCAAAGGCTAATCTAAGATTTCACATCATTGTTGCTAATAGAACACCTGAGAATTGGAGTTACTCACTCACTGGGGAGTAAATAGAAGACAAGATTTCTGCATCTGAGTTTCTTTCTCTGGTCATCATAACATAAACTGAGTTTTCCCCATTTTTCTACTCATTTGCATTTTGTCTTAGAGAAAAGGTGATATTAACACTTTCCAGATACAGGACATCCAAGTAGATTGTACTTCAGGTATTAGCACAAAGAGCTGTGGGAGACACTTTTCAGGATTTAGCCATTTGCTCCATATTGCTATAAAAAAAAGAAATCCCTTAAAAATAATTCACTTGCAAAACATAGTGAAAAATGTGTGTGTATGTGCTTAGCTTGATTTCATCAGGAGAAAACACAAACTCAAAAATTCAGGTGATTTTCTAATCATGTGGTATCCAGGTAGCCTACGTTGTGTTCTACTTTATTTCTTTGATTGTGTCTTACAATTTTTTTGAACAATTAAGATGGTATGATGGCTTGAAAGTATAATTTACATACGAACTTTTTACATCTATATATGTATTTCAGACTAAGTAAAGTTAGATCAGAGAATCAATTAAATTCATGTTTAAACAGTGTTTTTTTTTAAAATTCATGCCAATCCATTCCTTATTTCCTCAAATAACTGAAAACTAGTTTTTTTTTTTTAGTTAAATTCCAGCTTATAACATGTTCGTGACTGGAGATAAACTGTAAAAATGACATCTCTTAAATTTCACACTTATTCGGAGAAATATTAGCTGCTGTAATACACTCCAGGATTTCAGTGGCTTATCCTGGAAGTTTATTTTTTGCTTGATGTCCAGTCCAGTATAAGTGCTCCTGGCCTATGGGTAGCTTTTCTCCATGAGGTGACTCAGAGGCCTTGGATCCATTTATCTTGTGCCTCCACCATGACCTCAGGTTTCAGAGTCCTCTCCTCCAAGCAGGCAGGCACAGATTTCCTTGACCCAGAAGTGGCACATATCACTTCTACTCATTTTCTAATGCAAAATTGTCATAAGGCCCCAGGGAGACAGGGGAGGGACTGGGCAATGCAGTGCCTGGCTGGCAGACTCTTTCTAGCAACAATGCTGTAATATGGAAGCGTAACCCCAGATTTCTAGTGGGTAATTAACCATCTCTGTCACAGTGGCTTTCAAATTGTGGTACATCATGTTCTGACATTATTTCTTAATTTAGGAAGATAGAATGTGATAGTGAATTTAGAGTAAGTTCTCATTTAGCTTTATCACTTACTATAATAAGTGGATTTCATTTGGGCTGAAGTTTTATTATCTGTAAAATATTGATTATTTTGAGGATCAAGAAAGATAACTTTTGGGAAGTTGTTTTGTAATTTATGTCTTGAAAGATATTACTTTTAATAAGCATCTACTCATATTCAAACTCTGTTTTACAAAGTAAACTAGAATCCATATTCCCTGCTCGTTTTTCTCAATTAGTTGCTCTAAGCTTACCTCTGCTGAGACCCTCTTGATCTCTTTGTCTGGTCACTGTTTTAGTGCACATGCTCAACAATTACATTGTTCCTACTCTTTGCATTCTAATTTCCTTATAACCTCAGAAGGGGATCTGGAAAAAATGAGAAGACCTGAGGGATTTTCTGTGTCAGTCCTTTTGATAAGGCTTCATTTACTCTCACAACCCTGTGAAGCAGATAAGTCTCCATTTTGCAAAGGAGAAAATTTAAGTGATTAAGCAGCTCATGCTTGCTCATGTAGCTGCCAGTGGCAGAAGCAGTATTCCAGTCCAGGTCTGACTGGTCCTCCAACCCCATTCCATTCACGGCATGCATCTCTGGGTCAACAGGTGAGTTCCATTCTATGAGCAGGGCTGGTAGTTAGATGGTCAATCCCCACCTTCCTGGAAAAAGGGACACAAGGGCCTGGATACCAAACTCCAAAATGAATAGACTATATTTTTGGACTAAATGTTCAGGATAGAAATCATAAGAGTGTATGTTTTGGGACTAGACTATGTCCTGATACTTCATCCTAATGTTTCATCTACTTTTGGTTACTACCTTTGGGATAGTCCATTCCCTTTTTATAGCCAGTGAAGAAAAGCATGTCCATTATGTTTATTGGATTTTTGTGCAAAAAGTATAAAAATTAAATACTACTAAAAATGTTTAAAACAAATTAATTTTAATTTTAATAATAAATTATATTAATGACTTATTTTATTATATTAATAATATGTAACATAATATAATATATAATTACCAATATAAATGTTTATTATATTAACATATAATAAAATATAATGTATAATTGTCTCTATATTATATATTAGTGTAATCATTTAATTTTTACTTAATTAAATTAATTTCTTTAATTAATTAATTTTAATAATATTATTCAGTAATTTATTAATAGTGTTAAATAGCAAGGAAAATCTGGTGAATGATTCTTGACTCATATATTAATAATGGCATTAGTATGATTGATCTTTAAATAATTAATACTTTCCTACAAACTTCAGTGTGGATTTGACATACAATAATATAAATATTCAGAATAAAATATATTTATAAATTATATATTATAAAAATATGTATAAATATTCTGAATATCATATTCTGAATTATATTATTTTGCACACACTGAAGTCCTTTAGGAAGGAGGAGGACATGGTATGCTGGGATGACCATCATTGCCCACATCCAGCAGCTATGTAGCCAGCACCAAGCCCATCACTTCTGGCCACAGCTGAAATCTCACAGGTTTTCAGGGTTTAATGTGACAACCCTAGTTTCTGAATATAAATATTATATTCTGAATATTTATATTCTGATTATTTAATATTTATATTTTATTTATATTTATACATGAGAGAATAGAAACTTCTCTCACTTATTTTATTTTAAACCTGCTTAGAAAGTAAACAAATAATGGCTTTACATTAACTCACTATAATGAAAAGTCCCTCTTTCATTATCTTTCTTCTATAATAAATCTAATACAACATAACAAACATCATGTTGTCATTTACTTAGAGATAGATGATAATTTTTGAAGGCAAGTCAGATGTACCAAGAGATTGATTATATGAAAGTTCTTAATAAAGACAATGATTCTAAGTATACTGTTTAATGTATTTTTAAAAGAAAATTTTCACATGATTTGACTGAAATTGAAAGGATTCATGTTTCAAGATGACTCTGCTACATCAAATATAAAAGGGAAGTTGTGAACACCATACCTAACTCTGATGTTTTCTAGTCCCTAAGACAGCATCAGACGCACAGTGATCACCGAGAAGAACTTGTGGATGAGTGAATGAATGATTTCCTCAGGAGTAGTATCTTTGGCTCCACCTACTAAAATACTCAACATAGGGGTTTGTTTCTTATTCAGGCTCATTGTAGTTTGAGCTTTGACATATATGAAAAGAGAAATATCTTGAAAATTAGGAACAGCATTATTCTTTTCTTAATCGTGCCTGTGTAAAGTGAAAGATTTAAGTGAGTAAGTGCTTAGTGCTTTTTAGCATAATTTCTTCTTCCTAACAGTTGTGGAAAACTCTCTGACCCTGCTCTGAGACGTCACTAAAGCAGCTGTCATTTCCAGCTCCCTTGCAGAGGCTGATTGAGGAGGCATTGGTCCATGTTCCCCTTTGTGCAAGACACCACTTCTGGGGCTGAACACCATCTTGACTTCTGGAACACACACATGGTTACATTTTGTACACACTCAAGTCCTTTAGGAAGGTGGAGGACATGGCATGCTGGGATGACCATCATTGCCCACATCCAGCAGCTGCGTAGCCAGCACCAAGCCCATTACTTCTGGCCACAGCTGAAACCTCAGATGTCTTCAGGGTTTAATGTGACAACCCTAGTTTCTTTCCTTGGCCAGGGATTCAGTTCATGTCTCAACCCCATGTTGTAGTCCTTTTGTTCATTACCCTTCAATTTCACCCTTACTAAGGTGCCAGTAACCCCCAGTTTGCCTCGAGCAGTCCCAGGTTATGCCTACTCTCCAGATGTAATTGTTAATAGTGCCCCTTTTCAATTTTAATTTCTCATCCAGTTTGGATGACAAATTACATGGACATTCTGCTCTAGTGAATACACATGACTCTAAGGACTTACATTTGACCAAATACGATCTATGTTTCAGTTTAAGGCACAAAATGATTATTTACAAAATTCCCCCTCTTTCTTTCTCCTTTTCCCACTGCTATAGGTACCCACAGCATTTTAGGCTTTGTCCTTTAATTTTACCTCCATTAGGCTGTTTTACCCTAAGCCCTGAGAACATCAATTTCTACCAACAGCCTTTGGTGAAACTATTAACGGACTGTGTGTAGCTCTAACAATTACATTCTTAACTAGACATTTAGAAACTCAGGACTGGCATTTAATAAAATGTCATACGGCAAAGGCTAAGTTGTAAACAGTTGTGACAGATGCACCAGCCTGATTATTTTAAATGGATTTATGGAGAAACGAGATGACTCTTTTAAATGCTCTTTTATAGCAACTTATCCACAGTGTATGACATCCAGTCTCTATTTAGTGCTATCTATCTGTCTGTATCATCATCATTTAATCTATGTATCTGCTTTAAGTGGGCCACACTTCTGAAAAAATAAAAAAATCAGCAATGTTGGTTTTTAGAATCTGTGCTGCCTAGGAGATCACCTGAATTTCCACAAGGCTTTGATAGAATGCCTTAACCTAAATGGAATGGGTCCTTCAGTGAGAGCTCAAGGACTGTGGAAGTCAAGTGGGCAGAGGACAGAGGGGACTTTGGTGCTGTTACAATCACACTGCAGGCAAGTAGCTTCTTGCCTCAACAATTCATTGGTTTGTTCCTAATCCTCATTATTAAATAGCTTCAAAACTGCACTTAATTTGATGCTTTTATTAAGCAAATTTATATTGAGACATTTTTTAAAAATCACCAGCCCTGAGGCATATCTTCTTCAGGTACCAGTTCCTTGTCAGTGAACAAGTTTTCATTGCTGTGGACCTTTCTTCACACCTTTTCGTAGATTCTGGTGCTGACAATATTATTCATTTTACATTCCTAAAAGCAAAGAGGAATCTATTAGAGCTGGTAGATAACAGGCTAAACTTGCCCTGCCCCTTTCTCCTCAGACCAAACCCTTAATTCAGGATGCAAAAACAATTGAATAACTTGAAAGGCATGTATCAAATAGGAACATATAAAGACTTCAATTTAAAGAAAACTTACCACTACCATTTTTTCATCCACAATTTTTCTTTTGATTGTTGTCTCTTTGCCAAGCCATTTTTGGACGTGAATCATTGAGCCATTCTCTAATGTTATGGTGCTCTATAAATGCATAAAGAAATCAGAAGTAGCAACTCACTACCTTCTAACCTACATGAGACCACATATCTACTTTTTAATTTCTATTTTGAAATTCTTTTCTTAAAATCCTCACTTTTGTTGTCATGATGTAGTACTATCAAACTAGAAGTCTCAAGAGATTATTCAATTAGTGCTCTTTCCTAGGCAAACAATGCATAAGCTATTTGTGTTTAGTTGTTTCTTTCTATGTGCTCTTTCATATGACAAAGAGATAAGAAAAAATGAAATGAAAACAATTTGAATCTTTTAGCCCTATTGTTAACCATCAAAATAATTAGCAAAAGGATTAACTTTAGAGATGTGCGACTATTAACAGAACAAGCCCAGACAGACTTGGTGATAAATCAAATTACAGTAAACCATGCCTAACCACCTTCTAACTTTTTCCTGATTGTTGAACACCAGGAAGAATTAGTTCTGACCTTTACTTTCCGGTTGTCTGCTGTAGTTTCATCAAATTCTTCCCCCAGCTTGAAGGAGATCTTAGTGTCCTGGAAAGAACTTTCTGTTCTTATGGTCATCATTTTCCCATCAACACTAATAGTTACTGTCGGTTTCACTAACCCTGCCATGTTCCGGGCTGCGAAATTCACTCCTACAAGACAGAGATAGCCTTGGACCTTATTAAGACATTGTTAACAATCACTCTGGAAGTCAATTTTCAAAGAATGCTTACTTTACCTATTTTGAAATTTTGGATAATGTATAGTAACTTATTTTATGTTTTCTGTGATATCAGGGCTGAGCTAGATCCTCCCAGTCATAAGGTATATATGTGACATTTTGAAAAGCTAAATTCACTCTCTGAGACTATTACACTTCCTCTAAAATGTAAATTTGTATGGTGCCTTTCAAGAGATCAAATGCTTGCACTTCACCTTGTGGAGTGTTACGATAACCTTGTGGGTGCGGGAGGAGTTTGACTTAGAGCCTGGCCCTGTGGTTTGGTTGGGAATTTCCCATTGTCAAACTTGACTCCTGCAGTTGGTGGGCAGAAGAGCTGACTCCTTCTCTGTCCTGATATCAAACTCCATTTCACATTTAGATTGTGGAACTGATATGACACATCTTACTGTAGAGAAGCAGTGTTAGACATCTGCATCACAAAGAAGAGTGAGATGGTTAAAACCCAGGCTCTAACTTGGCCACTTGCTAGCTTGGGCATATTATTTACCTCTCCTAACCTTCAGTTTTCTCAATAGTAAAGTGTGGATAACTGTATACTTGACCTCGCAAGTTTTTTTTTTGTTTGTTTGTTTGTTTGTTTTTTGTTTTGAGACAGAGTCTCGCTATGTTGCCCAGGCTGGAGTGCAGTGGCACAATCTCAGCTCACTGCAACCTCTGCCTCCCAAGTTCAAGCGATTCTCCTGCCTCAGCCCCCCGAGTAGCTGGGATTACAGGCACATGCCACCATGCCCAGCTAATTTTTGTATTTTTAGTAGAGATGGGGTTTCACCATGTTGGCCAGGCTGATCTCGAACTCCTGACCTCAGGTGATCCACCTGCCTTGGCCTCCCAAAGTGCTGGGATTGGAGGCCTGAGCCACTGTACCCAGCCAGCGGATGTTTTAAAAGGTTAAATGAAAGGGGTTAGCATGGTACTGGCACATAGAAACTGCTCAGCTGTTATTCTTGCTTGTATTATGCCTAAACCCAGCTCCCAGTCAACACAAGTGCTACTCTGGCCATAAGGCCCAAGTTTTTTATATACCCCCCCAATTTTTATTCAAAACAAGTGAGTCTATAAATCTATGAAGAGACAGAAAAACTTGTTTCTTATGACCCTCTGAGAAAGTGAATATTGACTACATCAGAGGAACAAATATTACATTTATAAGCACATTGACTTATTATGGGGATAAGGCATTGTTATTTCATTGTCTAGAATGAGTAAACATAATTAATAATTGTAAGCATCCATTAAGCATGTTATGTAAGTTAAAAAAAAGTAAAGATAAGAAAGTCCTTGGCTTTGTATACAGTTTACTACAAGGGAGGTTTCTCTTAATTAAATATGAAAAATATGAAATAATTGCTGTTCTTCCATTAGTAAAGAACAGTTTAGCTATTATACACCCAAGTCATTATAATTAATGTGTAACTAAATGACTTGAGTTAGAGATTAAAGGATTGGTAGGGTTTATAATTCTGAGGAATATCCAGTGGTGAGACATTCAATGAGTAAAAATGTTGTGTTTCTTCAGATTTGTAATTCTTCAAAACCATGTTTATAAAATATCTCTCACATTTATGAGAACTCTAAAAATTAACCAACTAGAAATTTTGTTAGTTGATACTGCTGTTTTAAAGCTATAACTTAAACCTTGAAACAAATTTAATTGATCAATTTAATTGTAGGTAGTGATTACTGTCTATAAATTTGAAGCTGGGAAAAATGTTATTAAATGAAATGACCAAGCTAAAATGAAATTCTATCTAGAAGTTAGGTGAAGTATTTTCAAAAAGGATAAATGGGCTTAAATATATGGATCATGACTGGACAGAGGTGTCTGTGGGCCTAGTCTTCCAAAAAGAGACAATTATTACTAGTAATTTAAAAAAGCAAAAGTAGAAGCATACATTGTGTTAGTCTATATACCCTAGGATCACAAAAGGAAGATAATTGTAGGAAAATTCATGGTAAAGTACAAACCCAATCACATCACAAAATGCTTTGCCAATTTCCAAATTTGTAATGGTATTTCTCACCCAGTTCTTTCATGTAATCCTCAAAGTTTTCACTGGAGACCAGCTTCCAGGTTCCCAAGAAGGGCTCAACCATCATGGAACACTTGCTGAGAAGAGCCACTCGTAATTGAAAACCAAAGAAATATAGGCATTACGGTGCTGCCAGTAGTTTAATTTAAAGAGCGTCTTCATCACGTGACTCTTCTGAAATGGCCAATGGGCAACAGCAGCAAGACTAAAGATTCTAGGCACCAGCATTTGACTCATTTTATTTACCTCCAAATTAAGAGACAGAAAATTAGCATGTAAAATTAAATTCTGGTCAATGATTTTAGCTTCTAGCAAAAAGATTTACACCCAAGTCACCTGACAAATATTACTTGTGGAACGGAGACAATCTTCAATAGACATCAGCTTTTTGAACAATGAATACTGAGTCAACCCTGGAGGAATATCCTGACAAATTGATAAACACCTGGCTGAGATGTTTTCCTACCTAAGACAAGAAATCCTTGCTTGGTCCACCTCAGCTGTTTTTTGTTTGGGTAAGTCACAGTGCTCAAACATCCTCTTCATTAAAATAATATCTTCCCTTCCCTTCCTTACAGGGTTGATGGGTTGATATTAGTTAATGTAACTAAAATGCCTATAATTGCTTGGAGGGAAATGGAGGGTATTATTAATATATTATCATTGTTGTTAATCGAAGGTAATTGAGGACAGGAAAGAAAGGTGACAATTATCATTGGATAATAGTATATGATTTAAGCTCTGAAAAGGAAGCAGAGCGAATGCCTACAAAATTCGTCTTTCAGGCTTACAAAGTAAACTCTACATTAAAAGATATTTTAAATTATAAGAAAAAATTTTGGCAAGTTTCATATAGAAAAAGATGTTTGGAATCTGCATTCTAAAAGAAAGACAAAGGCAGCAAATGGTTTCAATCTCTGTGCCATTACTTCTGAAACCATCTTCTGCAACCCCAATAATGGAAGTGGACTTTGCAGGTACTGAGTTTAGTAAGAAGGAGTAGATTCAGTAGCTGTTGATTTACATTACGGTTTTGAACTCCAGTTAACTTTAGAAGATGTTGGAAAGTTAGTGTCAGGGACCAGAAGAAGAATATTTATATTTTTACCTGCTTTGTATGAAGTATTTATTTAATTCAGAAAATATTGTTTGTGAACAAAATAAACAGGAGGTTGATATTTTGGTACTGTAAAACAATAACTTAAGTGGAATAAAGGATGGCTTTTGATGAAAACATATAAAGAAGAAACATATAATGTGATATCTTTATGGGTGGGACAATTATTAAATTATCTACAGTGCAAAACAGGGTAAGTGAAAATCCTGGAGTTAATTTCAGGAAACTAAGACCCAAGCTCAAAATAAGTGCCTCAGCAGTTGAAAGTGCATTCAGAGGTGATGTTCAAATATAGAGCAAGTTGTTAAACGTTTGCTTAACTGGTTCGAGATGTGTATGCACTCTCTGCTTTAAAGAAAGCAAGCATACATTGCTATGCCTGTTGGCCAGCTGGGTAGTGTAGCAAAGGTCTCCCATCAGCATAATCTTCCTTGTTGTTTTGATTCTCCTGTCATAGAATGATATTCCTGTGGTCCGTTTAGAACTCAGTTGGCCCATGAGACAAAAGCTAACATCAGATTTCTGGTTTCAATTATCCTCAGCAAACTAACGCAGGAAGAGAAAAACACCTCATGTTCTCACTTATAAGTGGGAGCTGAACAGTAAGAACACATGGACACAAGGAGGAGAACAATGCACACTGGAGCCTGTTGGGGCCAGGGCTATGGGGGGAGGGAGAGCATCAGGATAAATAGCTAATGCATGTGGGGCTTAATACCTACGTGATGGGTTGATAGGTGCAGCAAACCACCATGGCACACATTTACTTATATAACAAACCTGTACGTTCTGCACATGTATCCCAGAACTTAAAATAAAATAAAATAAAAATTCTGGCTTCTGTAAAATTCCCCACCCCTAGGAGAGAACCAAAGGGAGAGACAGTCTCTCTTTTGCCTCTACACATTTTTCTATCTCACGTGATATTTACAAGTGCTGCATCCATTGTGTTACCTCCTCAAAGATGGGGCCAGAACTGAGGATAGCAGAGCAGAAACGTGGAAGGAACTGAAGGCCACTTTATTTCAAAAATTTATATTATGTTAGTTAATAAATTCCATTCTTATTTAAACAGTTTTGTCTCTGAGCTTTTGTTACTTGTAGAAGAAGTCTTCATAATTACTACGCCTTTGTAAATAGCTTCACCAAATGGTGAATTTGGACCTTCACAACAACCAGTTGCATGAATCACATAGAGCTGGCCTCATGACAGCAGAGACCCATCTTCCTGAACCAACTCAAACATCTCTTTCCCTGTGACACTGGTTCAGAGCTAGATAATCCCCATGGCGTGAAGATAGAAATAAATGTTTAAGAGAAGTATATTAGCTTATTTCATAGTACTGCAAAGAGCTATTTCCCAGCTGTCTCCTGAGCTATTCTATGAGTATATCAAAAAAAGAAAATATTTTCCACTCACTTCTGTATCCTTAAGACAGTATCTGGCATATCATAAGTGTTCAATAAATGTTTTATGGATGAGTGACCAAAGAAATAAGTAGTATTTTTTTTAACTGGTAATTCTCATTAGTGTTCTTTATCTCTCTAACAGTGACTAAAGACAGAGTTTTAGTACATTATCTTCTCCTGACCTGGTCCTATGACAGGCCTTTTATTCTGGTCATTATCAGATGGTGGAGGGATGCTCAGACTCTCTTCATCTTTCTCAGTTATATAGCACAAGTCTCCCTTCTCAACTAAGAAAGTTCTCTGCTATTTCTGTTGCTACCACCGCTAGCCTTTGGCACTTTGGTTTGATTATATAAAAAAAGTGAACACCATTTCCTCAAGTAGAAAAAAAATTTTTAATCAGATTGTTCCTAATGTTAATCCTAGTAAAGGAACTAGAATACTGTAGTTTGTTATAGAATAGTTACATGTCTTGTTCTTATGACAGTTTCAAGGCTCATTTCTCCAATATGTCATTTTTCTATGAACTTTCAGCATCTCATTTTCTATATTGATTTTCTTGTGACATTTTAAGACATCAAGTAGTTTTGAATAATTTTTAATTTTGAGATGCTATGGTTGCCACTGATGATGGATACTGGTAAAGTTAAACATATACTGGAAGCTACACAAGTATTCAGAAATATGTCTGATAATTTATTGTTGCACATATAGTACTTTAGCTGGATTTGATAAAGCATCTAAGATTCTTATTTCCACATGCAGTGACACCTCTAAGTATCATATTCCTTACTGTGTTCATCATTCAATTTCAATTTTAAAGATGCAATAATATAATGACTTTTCAAAGTGTACATTTAATCTAGGACTCTGAAAAGTAATTATTTAAAATTTTTCTTTTTAAGACGATATTATATTATCCAATAAGGAAAACAAGTATTTTGAAATTAACTTTGGTTAATAGTCTGAATGTGATATTTGTCATTGAAATAGTCTTCCATTTGCTAGTATTTTCTACACTAGAGGAATTGATGTTATAATTTCAAGAGACTATTTGCTTAACATAAAAGATATATTTTTTTAAAACATCACTTTTTCCAATAATTTTTTTATATATGGGGCTTATAAGAGAATTTTTACATTGTTTTTACTTCTGGATCACTTCACTTATAATAAAAATTTTACTTAAAACAACCATACCAAATTAACTCTGAGCAAGTAATTGTTTTAATATGACAACTTCCAGTTTATTTTTACTAGTTACAAAATAAGTCCATCTCTTATCTATTATTTACTGCTTAATAGGTATATATAAAAATAGCAATTTCTTTCTTTTGTTTTTGGTGAAGGTTATTTATTTGAAGTGCTCACTATTTAAGAGCATATGGAGGCGGCTGACCACCTTGAAAATTCACCTGTAGTAGGACTGTTCCTTTTTTTTTTTATTTTTAATTTTACGTTAAGTTCTGGGATACATGTGCAGAATGTGCAGGTTTGTTACATATGTATACATGTACCATGGTGGTTTGCTGCACCTATCAACTGTCATCTAGGTTTTAAGCCCTGAATGCATTAGGTATTTGTCCTGATGCTCTCCCTCCCGTTGGCCCCCACCCCCTGACAGGCCTCAGTGTGTGATGTTCCCCTCCCTGTGTCCATGTGTTCTCATTGTTCAACTCCCACTTATGAGTGAGAACACGTGGTGTTAGGTTTTCTGTTCCTGTGTTAGTTTGCTGAGAATGATGGCTTCCAGCTTCATCCATGTCCTTGCAAAGGACATGAACTCATTCTTTTTTAAGGCTGCATAGTATTCCATGGTGTATATGTGCCACATTTTCTTTATCCAGTCTATGATTGATGGGCATTTGGGTTAGTCCAAGTCTTCGCTAAAAAATAGCAATTTCTTTCTAAGGAGTTATGCATATCATATTTATTAACATGTAAAGAATTTTTAGGCAAATTCATTTTTTGGCAATTGATATTTTCTCTTGTTTCATGCCACCTTCTTCCCCTAACTTTATTCTATTTGGTTGAGGTTTTTTTTGGTTACCTTTTAAATTTGAAATAATTACAAAAACACTTCCCGAACAACACAGAAAACTCCCATATATACTCTTTGCCCAGATTTCACAATTGTCAACATTCCAACACTTTTGTCCCTACCTCTCTCTATCTCTCTCCCTCCCTCCCTCCCTCTCTCTCTTCATAAGAAGCAAGCTGTTTGTTGCTCAGTCATTGAGAGTAAGTTGAGAAATGTTGCCCCACTCCTCTCCAAACAAGGATCTCAATCAGGAAATCAACACTGATGGCAATACTGCTATCTAATCCACAGACCCCACTCAAACCTTACCAATTGTCCTGACAGTTTTTCCTTTTCCTACTAAAAAAAAGGGAAAAAACCCAGCCTTTCTGACCCAGAATCCTGTCCGTGATCATGCGTTGCTTTCAGCCATCATGTCTCTTTAGTCTCCTTCAATCAGGAACAGATCTTTAGTCATTCCTCATCTTTTAGTACTGGAGACACTGGGGAAAAAAATCACTGTTCTAAGCAAGAGGCTGGGTCATCTGCTGAAAACTGACAAGTAATTTTTACATGAAAACTGAGGTCAGTAATGCTTCAGACTTTGAAAGGAGTATATCTAAATCAGAAATTGTAGCCCTTTGATGGCTAGAGTGGGAATTAGGGAAGAGGGGATAGCCAGCTCATTACTTAACCTGATCCTGTGTTTCTAAAGAGGGAGTGACTGGCTTTTTGGACTATTCATATCTGCTTCAAGATATAGGTGGACTCTATGACCACACTGTGGGTTTTGGAGAGGTACTCACTTAATCCTGCCTCTCTTCCTTTCAGAGTACAGTGTCCTCTATGCCTTTATGTATGTATTGATAGAAACAATGTCAAAAAGTGGAAAATTATATGAGCTTCACAGAGATCCCAGGCAAGATAAATGGGATAAATTGGGGAGCTGTTACTTGAAGATCTTTCTTGGATGTATCTATGGACTTAGTTTTATGGTGAAAATATAGGAACGTGAATTTGACTTATCTATCAAATTTATATTGAACTGGATCTTCTTATTCTATGATTCCACACCAATTGAAAAATAATAATTAGACTTGAAGACTACATTTTCAAAAATGACTAAATTCACAAATATACCTACATAAACGGACTTTGTAAAGGATTAGCACAGAGGCAACATTAGGGATGAGGAAGGCTTGAGAAGAAGGGAGTGGGAAAAAATGAATTCTGCCCAGGAAGAAGCAGAATGTAAAGTACAAAACAAACAGAAACCTTGAGGCAAGAAAGAAGATGCATGTTGGTATGATGGAAGCAAGAAATGTGAAGAGAACAGAGACATGATAAAACTGGAGAGTTAGATTTAAAAAAGGCAAGGATAAGACAGCTTCCACATGCCATGCTAACAGGATTGGACCTTTTCTGCCTACAATGAGAGTCACTAAAAGGTTTTAATCAGTGAATGTCCCAGTCAGATTTCCATTATCTAATCATTCATAAAGTCTACAGGGCTTAGGAAAGACTGGAGGTAATAGAGACCTAAAGACAGAACTCTGAAGTAATTAAAGAAAAAAATTACAGTAATATGGGTGGTGGGAAGAAGAAAAGCAAACATAGTAAAGAAGTTTGAAGTTAATATAATCAATATTTTAAAAAATAAAGTAAATGTTATGGAGTGAGGAAGGAGGATTATTCGAGAATGATTTTAAGAGTTTTGAAATGAAAAACAAGATGGAACATTCTGACGTTGCTGAGATGTGGAAAAGAGGATGAGGAACAAGTTTAAGGGAGAGGGTGGAAGGAATTGCTCATGATAAATTTGGGTTTAGGGGCCGGGGACATCCACTTGTACACCTTTAACTCTTTTTAACTCTCCCTTCTCCTTTGGTTATATAATCACCTTTTTTTGGTGGGAGAGTTATTGTGGTAAAATACACAAAATATTTGCTATCTTAACCATTTTAAGCATGCATTTCAGTGGTGTTAAGTACATTCATATTGTTGTGCAACCATCACCACCATCCATATCCAGAACTCTTTTCATCTTGCAAAACTGAAACTCTGTGCCTGTTAAATAGTAACTTTGTATTCCCCTTTTCCCACAGACCCTAGGAACCATGGTTCTATTAATACATTCTATCTGTGATTTTGACTACTCTAGGTACCTCATGTAAGTGAAATAATATAGTGTTTGCCCTTTCATCACTGGCTTATTTTACTTAGCATCATGTCCTCAAGGTTCATCTGTGTTGTAGCATATGTCAGAATTTCCTTCTTTTTAATACTGAGTAATAATAATTCATTGCATCTATATACTACATTTTGCTTATCTATGCATCTGTCCATGGATGCTTGAGTTGCTTCCATGTTTTAGCTATTGTGAATAACTTGCTATAAACATGGGTGTACAAATATCTCTTTGAGACCCTGCTTTCAATTTTGGGGGTATACATCCAGATGTAGACTTGCTGGATCACATGGTAATTCTATTTTTAATTTTTAAAGGAATTGTCATACTGTTTTTTACAGTGGCTTTACATTTCTACCAACAGTATGCAAGGGTTCCAATTTCTCTACATCCTTGCTAACACTTGTTATTTTCCAGTTTTTGTTAATAGTCGTTATTCTGATAGGTGTGAGAAGGAATCTCATTGTGGTTTTGATTTGCATTTTCCTAATAATTAGTGATTCTGAGTGGAAAAAGCACAAACTATTTTTCCTCTGCTCTCATACTACAACAATCAACACTGAAAACTTCTGTGACCAAATATGTGGGGATTTCTCCCCACCAACAAGCTCGTAATAAATTCTACAGCAGACACCAGCTGAGTGTCCTCTAACTCAATTCAATTCTGACACAATCTCCCTGGAGGTAAAATCAATCTCACAAGACTGCCCCCAACTTCAGACACCAGTAGCAAGTCCAGGCCGCTGGAACTTCTGACCAACAGGCTTCAAGCTGGGGTTTCCATGACCGCCTCCTGGGGTTTGATTAATTTACTAGAGCAGCTCACAGAACTCAAAGAAACACTATGTTTACTGGTTTATTATAAAGGATATTACAAAGGATACAGATGAAGAGATGCATAGGGTGAGGTATGGGGTCAGGGGCATGAAGCCTCCCCAGGTACTCCACCCTCCAGAAACCTCCTGTGTTCAGCTACTGGAAGCTCTCTGTAACCCATCTCTTCAGACTTTAAGCAGATGTCATCAGACAGTCATGATTGAAACACAGACAACAATGTAGAAATGTAATTGGACCAAAAAAGTATGATTATAATACAAAAGACTGAGTGAGGAAACCCAGCAAGGCCTACCTGTTTAGTTCTTCTTTGGTTCCCTGGAGCAGGACCCCTTTCTTGTAGTGTCTCTGCCTGGCCTTACTATCAGGATAATGCTGGCCTACTAGAATGAATTAAAAACGGTTTCCTTCTCTTCAACATTTTGGAAAAATATGAGAAGGATTGGTGTCGTTCTTTAAATGTTTGGTAAAATTCACCTGTGACGCCAAGAGGTCCAGAGATTATCTTTGTTGTGAGATTTTTTATTATGATGACCTGCAATCAGACAAGGTAAGTCAGAGCATTTTTTCATGTCCAGCTCCAACACAGAGTGGTGGGGTTAGAGGAGAGTATATTTTTAGCTTTTATGACCTGCCTTGGGGAGAAAAAAATGTTCCCGGACCAAACTGAAGGTTGAGCTGCCATTTCTCTTGGCCCCATAACAAGATGCAGAAGAAGTGGGGAGGAAGAAAGTTTTAATTTCTGTAACCAGTTACAGAGAGAAGGCCTGGAAATTATTGCCAGACCAACTCAAAATAACAAAGTTTTCCAGAGCTTCTATACCTTCTAAGCTATATGTCTATGTGTAAATGTGCATTCATCTAAAGACATAAGTGATTAACTTCTTTTAATCTATAGCTAAGGTCTGAGTCCTGAAGACCTTCTTCTGGAGCCTCAGTAAGTTTACTGAATCTAAATGGATCTAGGTGCTGGGGTGATTACCTTTATCTTGCCTCCCGCTAAATCATAAAGGTTTGGGGAGTTCCTTTAGACACCAATAAACTTTTTTGTGGAGGCCTGGGGAGTTTCTTCAGACCCCCAATAAAACTTGTTAAATCCTAAAAGGGTCCTATTAACAATTCCTTCATTATCTTGTCATGCTTCAAGGCCCAGGAAAAGACTAGGCAAAAACTCTTGGTGAGCTCTTTGTTACACTCCAGCCTTTGTATACGGGCACTGGCTCAATCATCTTTTAATGGTTAACCTTGTTACTCAGTCAGTGCTGGGACAGTTGTAGTGGAGGCCTGCATTAGTGAGACCTAGCCTGCCACAAAAGGAGCATATGAAAGGAGGGCAGGAGAAGGTCAGAGAGAGAGAGAGACAGAGATTCTGTTTTCTGAGGCCTGCTTCTGAGGCCAATATTGTAACAAAACGCTGTCCTTCATGTTTATTGCTCTGACACTTTCCTGAAGTTGCTTCAGGGATCAAAGACAGAAGGCTGAATACCTAGCTACTTATGAAATAACAAGGCTGTGGGAGTTCTGAGCCAAGAACCACGGACAAAAATAAATAAATAAATAAATAAATAAATAAATAAATAAATATATCTTACCCTTCATATAGTCACAGGGATGTTGAGCATCTTTTCATATGCTTATTGGACATTTATATATCTTCTTCTTTTTTTTTTTTTTTGAGACAGAATCTCTCTCTGTCACTCAGGCTGGAGTACAGTGGCATGACCTCGGCTCACTGCAACCTCCACCTCCCAGGCTCAAGCGATTCTCGTGCCTCAGCCTCCTGAGCAGCTGGAACTACAAGCATGCACCACCTTGCCCAGCTAATTTTTTTGTATTTTTTGTAGAGATGGGGTTTCATTATGTTGGCCAGGCTGGTCTCAAACTCATGGCCTCAAAGGATCTGCCCTCTTCAGCCTCCCAAAGTGCTGGGATTATAGGTGTGAGCCACCACACCCTACCTTATATAACTTCGTTGGAGAAATGTCTATTCAAGTTCTTGGCCCATTTTGTAAATCAGGTTGTTTGTTTCTTCTTGTTGAGTTTTAGAGGTTCTCTAGATGTTCTTTTTTTTTTTTTTTTAGTGATGGGGTCTCACTCTGTCACCCAGGCTGGAGTGCAGTGGTGGAATTATAGCTCACTGCAGCCTCAAAGTGAGTAGCTGGGATTATAGGCATGAGCCAGTGTGCCCAGCTGCTCTGGGTATTAATCCCTTTTCAGAGATATGATTCACAAATATTTTCTCCAGGTCTACCTTTCCACACTGCTGATAGTGTCTTTTGATGTACAAAATGTTTAACTTTCATAAAGTACAACTTGACTATTTTTTCTTTTGTTGCCTGTCCCTTTTGTGTCATATTCAGGAAATCACTGCCAAATCCAATGGAATGAATTTTTTGCTCTATGTTTTCTTCTTTGCTATGGTCTAAATGCTTGTGTGCCCCCAAAATTCGTATGTTGAAATGTTAACCTCCAAGTTGATGGTATTAGGAGGAAAAGCCTTTTGGAGTTGATTACATCATGAGAGTGAAACCCTCTTGATTGAGATTCAAGCCCTTATAAAAGAAACCCCAGAGAAGTAGCTTATTGCTTCCACCATGTGAGGACACAATGGGTAGGCAGTAAGTGGACCCTTCCCAGACATTGAATAACACTTTAATCTTAGACTTCCCAACTTCAAGAACTATGGTAAATAAATTTCTATTATGTATAGCTCCCTAGTTTGTATTGATTTATTATAGCCTAAATGGACTAAGGTAGTCTTTGTGTCTACCTTTCTGCCAAGACTATACTATTTTGGTTATTATAGCTTGGAAATAAGTTTTGACAGCAGGGAGTCTGAGCCCTCCAAATACATTCTTTTTCAAGATCATTTTGGCCATTTGGGGGTCCTTGGAAATGTTATGAATATTAGTATGGATTTTTCTATTTCTGCAAAACATGTCATTGAAATTTTGAAAAGGATTACATTAAATCTGTAGATTGCTTTGGGTAGTATTAACATCTTACCAGTATTGAGTCTTCCAATTCATAATCATAGGATGTCTTTCCATTTATTTATGTCTTAATTTATTTCAGCAAAATTTTGCAGCTTTCATTGTACAAGTTTTTATCACATTGAATAATTCCCAAATATTTTATTATTTTCAATGATGTAAATGAAATTCTTTTCAAAATTTCCTTTATATTGTTTATTGTTAGTGTATAGGATTACAACTGATTTTTATGTTAATTTTATACCTGAAACTTTGCTGAAATTATTTATTCTTCCTAACAGTATTTTGTGTGGAATCTTCAGGGTTTTTTACACGTAAGATCAGATCATATGTGGAGACAGTTTTACTTCTTTCTTTCCAGTTTGGATCCCCTTTATTTATTTTTCTTGACTAATTGCTCTAACTAGGACTTCCAGTACTATGCTGAATAGAAGTGGTGAAAGCTGGCATCCTTGCCTTGATCCTGATCTGAAAGAAAAAAACCTTCAGGTATTTCACCATTATGTGTGATGTTAGCTATGGGCTTGTCATAATTGGCCTTTATTACGTTGAAGTAGTTTCCTTTTATTCCTAGTTTTTTGAAAGTTTTTTTTTTTTTTAATCATGAAAGGGTGTTGAATTTTGTGAAATGCTTTTTCTGCATCAGTTGAAATGATTGTGTGTTTTGGTCCTTCCATTGTGTTAATAGAATGTATTACATCAATCAATTGTTATATTTTGAGCCATCCTTGAATTCCAGGAATAAGTCCTGCTTGGTTATGTTACTAGTACTTTCTTGAAGATTTTGCATCAATGTTCATAAGGGATATTACTCTGTAGTTTTATTTTCTTGTAGTGTCTCTGTCTGGATATGGTATCAGGGTAATGCTGGCTTCATATAATGAGTTAGAAAGTGTCTCCTTCTCTTCAATAGTTTGAAAAATTTTTGAGAAGAATTTATATTACTTATTCTTTAAATATTTGGCAAAATTCACCTGTGAAGACAGGAGGTCAAGGGATTTTCTTTATTGAAAGATTTTTTTGATTAAATTTCCTTGCTAGCTATAGGTCTATTCAGATTTTTAAATTTATTTCTTTATAATTTAGTCTTGATAAGTTTTGTGTTTCTCAAAATCTGTCCATTTCGTAAGGTTATTTCATTTGTGTACAATTTTTTATAGTTCTTTCTTCTAATTATTTTTATTTCTGTAGAATTGGTAGTAATATACTAACTTCCATTTCTGATTTTAATAATTTGAGTTTTCCCTCTTTTTCATTCTTAGTCCATTTATGTCTGTCAATTTTTTTTTTTTTTTTTTTTTTGAGATGGAGTCTTGCTGTCACACAGCCTAGAGTGCAATGGCATAATCTCAGTTCACTGCAACCTCTGCCTCCCGGGTTCAAGCGATTGTCCAGCCTTAGCCTCCCGAGTAGCTGGGACTACAGGTGTGTGCCTCCATACCTGGCTAATTTTAGTATTTTTGGTAAAGATGGCATTTCGCCATGTTGGCCAGGCTGGTTTCAAACTCCTGACCTCAAGTGATCTGCCCACCTCGGCCTCCCAGGGTGCTGGGATTACATGCATGAGCCACTGCACCTGGCTCTGTCAATTTTTTTTTTAAATATTTTCAAAGAATTAACTTGGTTTCATTGATTTTTTCTACTGTTTTCTCTATCTCTCTTTTGTATATCTCTGCTCCAATTTTTATTATTTTCTGACTTCTGCTAGCTTTGAGTTTATTTTGTTGTTTCTCAGTTCATTAAGTTGTAAAGTTGCATTTTTTATTTGAGATCTTTCTTGTTTGCTAATTTAAGTATTTATAGCTCTACATTTCCTCCTGAGCACTACTTTCACTGTACCCCATAAGTTTTAGTATGTTGTGTTTTCATTTTTATTCAATTCTAAGTGTTTTCACACTTCCCTTTTGATTAATTCTTTGATCCACTTATTAAAAGTGTGTTGCATATGGACACATATAGGGGAACAACACACTGGGGAATTTCAGAGGGTGGAGGGTGAGAGAAGAAAGAAGATCAGGAAAAATAACTAATGAGTACTAGGCGTAATATCTAGCTAATGAAATAATCTGTTCAACAAACCCCAATAACACAAATTTACTTGTGTATCAAACTTGAACTTGTACCCTTGAACTTAAAATAAAAGGTTTTTTAAGAGTATTGCTTAATTTACACAATTTTGTGAATTTTTTAGTTTTACTTGTTATTGACTTCATGAGGAAACTGTGGATATTTTCTATCCTATAACATCTATTGAGACTTAGTTTGTGGCCTAACATATGGTCTATCTTGGAAAATGTTCCATTTACAGTTAAGAAGAATATGTATGCTGCTGTTATTTGGTGGAATGTTCTATGTATGTCTGTTGTATCTAGTTGGTTTATTGTGTTGTTTAAATCCTCTGTTTATTTACTTGTCTTCTGTCTGGTTTTATCCATGGGGGTTGGAGGGGGAGAGTATTATTGAAATCTCCAACTATTACTGTAGAACTGTTTGTTTTTCTGTTTGGTTTTGCTTATGTTTTTTATTGTCATTAGGTGAGTAAATGTTTATAATTGTTATACTTTCTTGATGTATTGAAACAATATACATTGCCCTTCTTTGTCTCTTGTGTGTAATTTTTTTTTTTAATTTAAAGTCTATTTCATCTGATATTATTATACCAACCCCTGTTCTCTTTTGGTTACCATTTACATGAAATTTATTTTTCCATTCTTTTACTATCAATCTATTTTTGTCTTTGGGTCTAAAATAAGTCTCTCGTAGACAGTGTACAGTTGGATCATTTTTTAAAACTTTATTCTGACAATCTCTACCTTTTGATTGGAGAGTTTAATCCATTCACTTACTTCTGTCATTTGTTGTTTGTTTACTATATGCATTATAGCTTTTTGTATTTCGTCTTCTGCATTACTGTCTTGTTTTGTGTTTACTTGGTTGTTTTATAGTGAACACTTTAATTTGCTTCTTATTCCTTTTTGTGTATATTCTATAGCTATATTTTTCTGGTTACCATGGGGATTACATTTAACACCCTAAAGTTATAACACTCTAATTTGAATTTATACCAATTTAACTTCAGTAACATACAAACATGCTGCTTCTTTACAATTCTGTCCTATCTGGTTCAATTATTCATGTCACAAAATTACAACTTCATACATTGTATGTCCAAACACAAAAATCATCATTTTAAAAATGCATCCGTTTCTTTATGTAAAAAACAAAATATAGAGTCACAAACCAAAGCTAAAATAATACTAGTTTTTAGGCTAAAAATCTAAATATTTTTAGTTTTAGACTAAAAATATATTCGTCTTTTAAATAATGTAGAAAATAAAAAGTGGATTTACAAACTGTTGTTACTACAATACTAGATTTTAGAATTGCTCACATATTTACCTTTATTGAGATCTTTATTTCTTCATATGGCTTTAAGTTACTATGGAGTGTCCTTTCATTTCAACCTGTAGGACTTCCTTTAGCATTTGTAGGGCATCTCGTAAGGTAGGTCTAAGAGTAACAAACTCCTTCAGCTTTTGTTTTTCTGGGAAAGTCTTAATTGCACCTTCACTTTGAAAGATGGTTTTGCCTAATACAGGATTCTTGGTTAATAGACTTTTTTTAATTTTAGCATTTTGAATATATTATCAGTCTAATGCCTTCTGACATCCAAAGTTTCCAATAAAAAATCTGCTGATAATCTTATTAAAAATCCCTTGAATATGGTGAGTTGCTTCTCTCTTGCTGCTTTCAAGATTCTCTGTTTGTCTTTGACTTTTTAAGTTTGATTAGAATGTATCTCAGTATGGGTCTCTTTGAGTTCATTCTAGTTGAAATTTGTTGAGCTTCTTTGATGTTTATAGTCATGCCTTTCACCAAATTTGGGAAGTTTTTGGTCATAATTTCTTATTCTCTCTGACTCTTTTTCTCTCTTCTCCTTCTGAGACTCTCTCAATGCATATGTTGGTCTGCTTGATGGTGTCTCAAATGTTCCTTAGGCTCTGTTCATTTTTCTTGAATTTTTTTAAATGTTCCTCAAACTCAATAATTTTCATTGCACTGATTCTTTTTGCTATCTGCTCAAATATGTCTTTGAATCCTGCTAGTGGATTTTTTTATTTCCATTGTTGTGCTTTTCAGCTCTAGATTTTCCATTGGTTTCCTTTTTGGTTTTCTATTTATTTACTGATATTTTCATTTTGTCTATTCCTCATTTTCTTGACTTTCTCTACGTCATCCTTTAATTCTTTGAGCATATTTAAGGAAGTAATTTTAAAGTCTTTGTCAAATAGGTTACCATCTGGTCTTTCTCAGGAAGAGTTTCTGTTGGTATATTAATTTATTTTTTGAATGGGTCATACTTTCCCATTTCTTTGTATGTCTTGTGTTTTTTTGTTGCAAACTGAATATCTGAATCTAATATTGTGATAACTCTGGTAATCAGATTCTTCCCCACCTGAGGAATTGCTGTTTTTGTTTTGTTTAATTTTTTATTGTTGTAGGCTATCTATCTCCAGAGTTAGCCTAAGGAATAAACTTAAGGTCTTCTCAGGTTCTTTCTGAGCCTGTGACTTCCCTACGTATGCATACTGACTTTTTAATTTTCCTCATACATGTGGTTGCTTGAATGTCCTAGTCTTTAATGTCTGGATCCTAAAAAGAAAAAAGAAAAAAAATATGATGTGGGAAGTAGGGAAGGAGCTGACTTTTTAAATACACTGGAAGCTGCTTCAGCCCAAGAAGAAATGACTTACAACAATAAGGGGTGTTGTGTGTGTGTGTGTGTGTGTGTGTGTGTGTGCAACAATAGCTGCTGGCCAATGTGTCTGCACTTTGTGATCAGAAGCAGCAATCATCAATCAAAACACAGATCCATAACATTTGGAAAACTTGGTTCTTATTGCCCATCCTAGTTCCTGCAAGATGACTGCAAGCTGCTCCAGGAACATGTGCAGAGTGGCCTCCTATGAGGGTTGTGGGTGGGTATGAGTATCTGCAACTGGGTTAAGAGCTGAAATTGACCAAAATTAACTGCAACTTATCATCTAAGACTTCCCCTGAATTTTGCAAGGATTCAATAGATTTCAGAGTTTCAAAATAGATACGTTAGACAGATTCTGCCAGTGCATTTTTTGTCTAGGTAGGAAGACAAATTCCTGTTCATCCTACTCTGCCATCTTCCAGAACCCTCTTCAAATTGACTTTATCACATTTTCTGAATGAAGTTACCACTTGGGCACTTATGGCTTCCAGGTCTATATTCAAGACAGGATAGCTCTCTTGAATTTCAGATTCTTATATCTATTTCTTACTCAGTTTTATGATGTTTAGCTCTGTGCCTCAATTTCTTTATCTGTAAACAGAAATCCAAATCCTCCCATCAGATTATTTTGATGACAAATGATTTAAAGCTTGCAAAGTGCCTGGCACCATCATTAGTACTTAATAAACATTTGTTTACCAAGAATTGTCCTTATCAATGCTTATACATCTTCTATATTTAAGTTCCTCAAACCCAAAGTGAGAGTCTAACTCTATGTTTTTATAAAAACAGTAAATTCTTATGGTCAGTGAACTAGTCCATCTCTTCTGGCCTCTGCATATCATGGTGTTATGCATAGGATAAGTATGCAGGAAATGAAAACCTTTGGATTTATTTTTAAAGAGAGAATCACAAACAGAATTATATCAACAGCAATATACACTTTGGCAGATTTTGTCTTACTATAAAATGTAAGCATGTGATTTGTAAATTTCAGTCTACGTACAGGAAACCTCAATAATATGGAAAGGTGCTTCGTAGCTTCTACAAGAGGTGGGAAAAACATACAGACGACACACACATACACAGACATACACATTCACACACACAGTACCTTGGAAAACTCATTATCAATTTTGTGTGTTTTATAAGCTGAAATCCCTTGGATATTTTATTTGAATCAAAAGTTCCATTGGTGAGAAAAATAAAACTTTGGAAACCACGACAATAAAATTTGAATCTACTCATGTACAAGACTATCTTCACTTTTCTGAAGTGAGTATGATGGAATTATTTGCACTGAATTCTGGAGAGATATTAAAAATATTTTGAGAGGGAGAGAGAAAGAGAGATCACATACACATAATTTTATTATAGTATATTGTTATAACTGTTCTGTTTTATTATTAATTATGGTGCCTAATTTAAAAATTAAACTTTATTGTAGGTATTTATGTTTAGAAAAAAAACATAGTATGTATAAGATTCGGTACTATCTGTGGTTTCAGTCACCCACCGGGGGTCTTAGAATGTACCCCTGTGGATAAGGGGGAACTACTGTATATACTCCTCTCTTGCAACGCACTAAGACAGAGCGGGTATAAAATGTGAGCACTTGGGCCAGCTTGCTGTGGACAATTTCACTACATTTAAAACTACCTTAGGTTTCTGAGATACACCTACTTAACTGTAGCTATGGTAAAGAAGGATTTAATATTCAGTAATGGTACATACTTGTTATCTCCTACCTAGGGAAATCCATAGATATCCCTTTTTACCTTGAATTATTATGAAATATGTTATTATTCATATCAGAACAAAGAAATAATGCAAATTTCCCATTTCCTTCACTCAGTTATGACTAAGAATACATCATAAGCACAATGAATACATCATTACATCACCTTCTAAATCTAAAAAAAGTTTATTTAACCAACGTAACCATATTGAATAAAATCAGCTTGGGAGAAAATTAGTTGCTTGCTAAATCATGGAAAACAACAATATCTTTTTGAACAATATATCCCACAGAATGTTGTAGAGTTCAATGCGAACTTCAGTCCAGGTCAACGTCCCTTGGCTTATGCTCTCTCATAAACTCTCGTGGAAGTGACGCCTTTCATGACGCATTCCTAGACACAAAAAACAATTCTTGGTCAATCACTGGATTAAACCATGGATTTATTTATTGTCTCTCTGAATGTTGGGAATAAAACAATATTCATTCCAAAGATATTCATTTCTGGACTCCTATATATGTAACCCATATATTGTAATAAGATAGGGAGATATAAAGACCAGGAAAATACAAGTTTTCCCCTCCAGGTGCCTTAAAATCTGTATGGTGACTGAGAAACATAAGCAGAGATAGGTAATACAATATGGTGGAGGTACCACTGGAGACAGCCTTAGGATGCCTGGAAGCAGGCAGAGAATGCTTCCTAGAAGACAGCATGCCTTTGTTGAACTCAAAAGCATGAAGGGCAAATGCCAGAGTGGAAGCATAATTCCAATAAAATCCTCTTTTTGTTTCAGATAATCAAAAGGAAAATCTGTTTCCTTAAGTGGAATAGTGATCATGAGATAACCTAGCAGTAAGATCCAGAATTAAGTAGCTAGAAGATACTCACCACCACCAGTTTATCATCCTCTCGTTTTCTCTTTATGGTGGTTGATTTTCCATCCCATTTCTGCACATGTACCAGGACACCCCCATCTAAGGTTATGGTGCTCTGTAGGCATAAGAAAATGTAATGACAATGTGCAGAGGGAGGCAGAAAAAAATTTAAAATAGAGTGCCTTTGTTCAAAGGAATATTTTGAGGTCATTAGTAATTCTAAATGACAAGAATATATTGCAACAAGAAAAAAAATGAGTCTCAAAAACAACAACATAACCACTTATGGATACGTTATGTCCAGAGTGTTATACAAATTACATAATTGGAAAAATTACTGTGAAGGAATATGAAAAAGAAATTTACATTGCGATGGTAGTAGTATGGGTGGTTTTTCTATTTCTTTCTTCCATTTTTATAAACATTCTCTTACATTGTTATAGTATTTTAATTCACTTGAAATACTCTATGTATTGTATGACTCAAATAAATTATGTTAATAATTTTTTTGTTAATTTGGAGACAGGCCAGGTGTGGTGGCTCACAACTGTAATTCCAGCATTTAGGGAGGCCAAGGCAGGAGGATTGCTTGAGGCCAGGAGTTCGAGACCAGCCTGGGCAACATAGTAAAACTCTGTCTCTACAAAAAAATTAAGAAATTAGCTGGGTGTGATGGCACACAGCTGTATTACCAGCTACTCAGGAGGCTGAAGTGGGAGAAACACTTGAACCCAGGAATTCGAGGCTGTAGTGAGCTATGATTGTGCCATGTCACCGCAGCCTGTTTGACAGAGTGAGAACATGTCTCTAAAAATAATAATACTTTTTTAACATGAGGACAACTTAATAAAATGGGGAAAAATTCACCAACTCTATATCTAAGGAAACACAGTTTAGATGTAGGAGTTCAGGGATCTTTGGCTTATGATAAAATGGTGTTCCTCCTTTTATCATAAAATGATTTCTTATAGCAGTGGTGATTTAGAAACCAGGCATGTACTCTGTGCCACTTCCTTATTTCTCACCTTGACTTTCCTGTCATCTGCAGTGACTTCGTCAAATTCCTGGCCCAGTATGAAGGAAATCTCAGTATTTTTAAAGGTACTTTCAGATTTAATGGTGATCACATCCCCATTCACACTGATGATCATGTTAGGTTTGGCCATGCCAGCCACTTTCCTGGTGGCAAAGCCCACTCCTACAGTTAGGAAAAGAAAAGATGTCAGATTTACATTTTCTCTCACGTACTTATCCAAGTCAGAGAATGTGTGTGTGCACACAGGTGCATGTGCAGGAGGAAAAAGGCACAGAGAGTTTCTTAAAGGCCTAATTTAAACAGCTCCTGCAGATAAAATCAGGCCAATACTTAAAAAAAAAAAAAAAAGAAAACCCACAAAGAAAACAAAAACACAACCTCTGAGAAACAATAGGTGTAGGCCTATTCTTTAAACTTCCCTTTCTCTGGTCTGGATACAACTTCTCAGGAGACCCATTGTTTATTTTCAACAAAAATATGTATAAAGGTTAAGTGGTTGGGAAGATATATATTTAAAATGTTAGCCACTGTTATTTTTCTCTCTTAATAAAATACTTGAGGCTACTTGACCATTCCATCTTAGATACTCAATATTACATTTAAGAAGGCACAAAGACAGAATTTTCAACAGAATTTTGGGGGTTAATGTAGAGTTATTTAGTTAAAGGTTCGTCTGTTTTGAGTATACAAAAGTCACATTTCATAGCATTTGTTGCCAAGTCTACTTTTCTGTGCTTCTTTCTCAAATTACTCCACCATGAAATGAAGATTTTCATGAATTTCTACAAAAGGCAAAATGTTTCCTACATTTATAACATTTTAGAATGGTGATATCATTGCTAATAATTTATAGGGGATATTTAAAAGGGACTAGTCATCAAATTGTGAAAACTTTAACATTTAATAAATCACTATTTCTTAGTTTAAAATAGGTTAGAAGCCAATACTTTGATTTCCAGTCACCTAAGTTGTGAACTTTTCTTTCTTAAAAAGGGGAATATATTTTCTTGTGCAAGGTATGGAATGAATAATTTACAGCCTAACATAGCAGTAACTTGCTGACACTGTGTATGTCATGCAGAGTTTATGGCAGTCATAGATTTGCTGAATTTTTTAAACATGTGCATGTAAATCTAAGCTCTTTCTTTGACTAAAGGCAACCAAAGGTTAGAAATTGGGAAGAACTGGGAGAGATATATGGCGCAAAATAAGTAATGCTGAGGCTCCGATTTGGCTGTCTGTCTGAAAAATGGCCACAGGTGTGTCTTCATGTCCTGGCTCAGTTACAAAATATAACATTAAATGTATGAAGTGAGTCCACTTCGTGAATGCAGGCAAAACTGAGTGTGATTCTAGAATGACTGACCTTGGGAAAAACCAGTCTCCATTTGCTTGATTTTGCTTTTATTTGATGATGAAGACAATACCTGCCCACTCATCCTCAATTACAGCAGCTAATTTCATGCAGAAGGTGTTTTATTGACTTTAATTATAATCAGCCCTTTATAATTTAAAAACACAGTATTATTAGAAAATATAAATATTAAAAGTATAACATTTTTCTAAAAATAAATAGTTAAATGGCCCCAAATCCTGGCTTTTCTGCATCAGTGCATATTAATTAGTTTATTGAATCACTCTAGTTTATTCTAGAAAGTCTCTCTCATGCTGAAGTCACCAATTTCCCTATCATCTAAAAACAAGAAACATAGTTACAGACAAGCAAAAAAATATATACTGTATAATTTACAGGAGGGTTAAGTGTTTTGCGATTTAATGATTACATTCTAAACCCTAAGATTGCATAAAATTCCTCCCCAGTTTGCTAACCCCAGTTCTGACTTTATTGGACTGTCATGCATGGGGTTGAGGGAGAAAGGTTTTCAAAGTAGAAGCTGCCTGAGTGAGAAGTTGTCTTTTCTGATTTACCTCCATAGTTATCTGAGAGACATTCATCCAATGACATGCTGACAGTTAACAGCGTCTAAAAAATTAAAAACCTCTACTATCAAAGAAGAGGTATGTTATATGCGTAACATTCTCCTTTTAAATTGGTTGATAATTCTATGGCATACTATGTCATTTCTAGTCAAAGGAAGTATTTAAGCCATTTAAGAAACATATTTTCTGAAATTAAAATTTTTGTCTATCATAAAACAACCACATATTTTAATAGATTAACATTGAGACAAGAAAATAATTGGCTAACATACGGTTACTGAAAAAGAACCTTGCATTAAGGGAACTAGAGTGCTTTCAGTTTGAAATGAAAATTATTGCATACTAACTTTTTTCCAAGTTATTGCTTAATTTACATGCAAAAGGGGATGAAAGAGAAACAGGCAAAGAGCTAAGTAAACCAAGGATACCCAAGTTTTTCAAATAAAGTCAAATCTTATCATTTCTAAAGACAATAAACATTCCATTTAGACACCTTTTTATATTGGTACACCTTTAGGAAACATTAGTTGTAGCTTTGGTTCAGAATTTCTCTAGAAACAAATGATTATCACTTGCTATGTGTGCAGCCTCTCTATAGAAAGCAGCATTTTTCATTTCTGGCCAGGGCTTCCAGACATTGCTATAAACACAGCTGTAAACTCTTTTTCCCAAAAGAAAATATTATAAATCCAGTCATTCCACAACGCATTTCCTTACCTACTTCTTTCATATAATCATCAAAGTTTTCACTGGAGACAAGTTTCCAGGTACCTACAAAAGCATCACACATTTTGTGAGTTTTCTAGGATTATTCTTCAAGGTGAGAAGGAAGCTGCAGTTTTCAGGAGGGTGCTGTGACCCTCTTGAGTCCAGATAACTTCCTTTTAAAGATGCTCAGAACATGTGATCTTAGGAATGACCAATTGGGAATGAGATCCAATCATTTCCTTCATTACCGGCCTCTGCATTTTTTTCTCTGAGTCATGTTTTTAATAGAAATTTCTCAACTTTGGTTCTCCCTGGCAAATAGTCACTGGACTTAGAGTACAAATTATTTTTAAACCACTAACAGGATATTTTAAACATTCCTGTTTTGACAGCTTAATGCTCAGTGCACTGAATTTCCCCCTATTATTCCTATACATATTTATCCCAGTGTAGAGAGGGGAAATTATTTTGAGATAAACTTCGACCTTATTTTGTGTGTGTGTGTGGGGTGTTATTTAAATTGCAGTTATGTGGTTCTTTTGAATTGAGGAACATAAGAACTGCCTCGGAGATTCTTACATAATTGCAAAGGCTCTTCGGGACACTCCTGTCTCAGGAATTACCTGGCGATTAAAACAAAATAAATAATGGGATTTAAAAGTACTCCAGATTTCTGATTTCAAATGTTTTATATGAATAAAAAAGTACATTCAATTCATCCACCAGTAATCTGGACTGTAGATTTAATCGAAATGATAATTTAACCTCACTCTTTCCATCTCCTAAATGAGAGCATAGCATTGATTTCCACAGATCCTTTGAAAAATAGGCCTTATTCTAAAATACTTTCCTCATATTGAGAAACTGCATTCAATTTCTGAACTGTATTATAAGTTCTGAATTTATTCAGATCAGAAATGGTGTGTGGTCACAAGCTACCAAAACCAATATCCTTCTTTTATACAGTGACCAATCTGTGAAACTAGTTTTCTAAAGTAATCGTGGTTTTCAATTCCCTTTGCCTCATGCAAGAATGACAGAAGTTGTTCACATGTGCTGCAAATTCCCACGAACATACCCAGATTTAGGGGAAAAAAAGAAACTAAAATATTTCAGAGTGATGCATCGCTACACTGTGTATCCCACTGAACAGTACCTGCTGAGCATGTGATTGATTCACAAGCCTGTGTAAGTGTCCTGAGGGCTTCCCAAAAATGTTTGTGGCAGGAAATTCTGTAAGCAACAGGATTTTCTGTAGGAAAGCAAGTTGCTATGAAAGCCTGATAAAGTTAGGTTTTGCATTTGTTAATGGCACAGTAATAACGCTCATCTACTCTGGACTGTTGCATAGATACACAGACTGTGGTGATGTACCATCCAGGTAGGCTTGCTATTAGTGATCCACCTGTTTCCCATTGAATAAGACTGTTCAGATGGAAAGTAAATAAAAGTGACAAATCTTAATAGAGGGATGTTTTTGATAATGTTTTAAATTAATTTGCTTCCTACAGGTTTTTAAATGATTGAATTTGAATACATACTATGTGTATTCTAACACTGCAATTTGGTTTTTTAAAATTTTTGTTTCTATAGATTTCGGACTACATGTGCATTTTTGTTACATATGTATATTGAGTTGTAATAAAGTCTGGACTTTTAGTGTAATCATCACCCAAATAGTGTATATTGTACTCAATTGGTAATTTCTTTCTTTTTTTTTTTTTTTTTTGAGATGGAGTTTTGATTTTATTGTCCAGGCTGGAATGCAGTGGCGCGATCTTGGCTCACTGCAACCTCTGCCTCCCAGGTTCAAGCGATTCTCCTACCTCAGCCTCCCTAGTAGCGGGGATTACAGGTGCCCACCACATGCCTGGATAATTTTTTTTCTCATATTTTTAGTAGAGACAGGGTTTCGCCATGTTGGCCAGGCTGGTCTTGAACTCCTGACCTCAGGTGACCCACTCGCCTCAGTCTCCCAAAGTGCTGGGATTACAGGCGTGAGCCACTGTGCCCGGCCCTGATAGGTAATTTCTTATCCCTTGCCCCCTCCCACCTTCCCACCTTCCCACCTTTTGGAGTCTCCAATTGTCTATTATGCCACTCTGTACGTCTGTGTGTACACATTGTTTAGCTCCCACTTATAAGTGAGAATATGTGGTATTTGACTTTCTGTTTCTGATTTATTTCACTTAAGATAATGGTCTCCAGTTTCACCTATGTTGCTGCAAAAGAAATGATCTCATCCCTTTTTATGGCTGAGTGGTATTCCATGGTAAATATATATCACATTGTCTTCATCCAGTCATCCACTGATGGACACTTAGGTTGATTCCGTGACTTTTTTATTGTGAATAATTGTTTTAGAGATTGACTCTCTGGTAGTGTAATCTCCGGTCACATGTGGCTCTTAAAATGTGGCTAGTATGACTGAGAAATTGAATTTTTAATTTTACTTAATTTTAATTAAAATGAAAGAAATGATCCTCAATTCAGTTACTGAAAAACTTTTAAATATGTTTGAACCAATGTGGCTATGTCAATCTACTTTTTCAATTGTAAATTTTATGAAATCTAAATGTTGGACAAGTATTTCAAAAGAAAATTTAGAATCTGAATTGAGATGAACTGTTAGTATAAAATATATACCAGATTTTGAAGACAATATACAAATATATCCTATATTATTCATTTTCTTACATTGATTACATGTTGAAATGACAACATTTTCGATATGTTAGGTTAAATAGAATGTATTACGAAAATTAATTTAACCTATTTCTTTTTTACTTTCCTTATGTGGCTGCTAGAAAATTTTAGATTATATATGTGGCTTACATTATATTTCTCTTGGGCAGTGAAGTTTTAGAGTACCATGGTAACAGCAAGCTTCGCTTATTTATTCAACATGTGATCAGGCATTGTGCTAACCAATGCGGATTCAACAGTGAGCCAGCCAGGGCAGGCATTTGCTTGCTCTCAATGAGCTTATATTCTAATACTGGAGAAGGTCATATACAAAGAGACCTTGTGTATGAAATATGAAATAAATAAGCCAATCACAGGTAGTGCTGTGTTTTAGAGCAAACAGAATGGGGTACTCTGATGTAATGACCACTGTGAGGGTTGGAGCACTAGATGGGGCAATCCGGGAAAGTCTGTTAAAGAAGGTAGATAATTGAGCTGTTAGCTGAATGATGAGAAGAAGACAGCCACAGGAAGATCAGGAAAGAGACTGTATACGGGACAGAAAACTGCGGGAGCTGCTGGTTCCATTACCTTTCAGAACAATTTCACCCAAACACAGCCACCCTGACATATACAGATATATGTTCCTGGTGAGCAAAGTCCAAGGTCCATTAAGGAAGAGACTTTTGTTCAGATTAATTCATTGTTAGATACAAAGTAATTATATATTCAGTAAAACGCCTGAAGGAAATCCTTCTTCGACGGGTTAGTGAGAGTCCACCAGCACGCCTATAAAAAACAACAAAAAAAACCTTGAAGAATGTATTTGTAGGCCAGTAGCCTCATCTTCTATACCAGCATATTCAGTGCCTGATCATCGTTGGAGAAATGGCGTAGTTGAGATTTTCTAGAAACAACTATTGGCTCTTTTAGAGTTCATATAAACAAGAATAGTAGTAACTTATAGTAAAGGATCTTGGTAACTTAAACAGCAATGAGAGAAGTAAGATGTGAGAAGGTAGTTGAGTCCACAGGAAGACCTTTCATATGATCACTTGTTAAGAGTAACAAGGCTTGGCAGAGTTTCTTACCTGAGAGATATTGCCCTTAAAAGCAGCTCAGTGTATATCCTAAACACATGGAACATGTTGTGGAATACTAATATTCTTACTATGCAAAGGTCCACTAGGTTTTGTCTCGTGTAGGGTAGAGAACTCTTTCTGGATGATAAGCTGTCCAGAAATTGAATGCAGAGGCCGAAAACTCCTGCTCTGCAGTATAAACAGGAATGTAAACAACTGTTCAGCTCCTAAAGAAATTATTTTTATCTTAATACCTAAGAGTTATTCTTGCCGACATGGAGAAAATGGAATGTTCACTCATCAAATTACTATCATCTTTCATCACAATGTTGATGGATTGCTATGTGAATGAAGCAATACAAAATAAGAAGAATCACATGAAAAAACGAATTCAATATTATACGACCTTGGCCTCAATGCTCTGTGAAGGAAATCCTCACTAAGCATTAATGAAGAGAATCTGGACTTCACCAAAATTTTGGTGGTCATCCTTTCTTGAAAACTAGTAGAAATTATACTATTGGCATTTTCAAACATAGTTTCATTGTATAAAGTGCACGCTGGCAAATAATTTACAAAAAATCTTTTTTTGCAAGCCTGTTATGCTTAAGGCACTGTACTACATAGGGGTAAGGGAATATAATAATAAATAAGACATAATTTGTGTCTCTCTTTTGTAATCTATGCTCTCATTCTAGTTACCAGCCTGGGACCAAAATAACATACAAAGCATTTTAAAAGGTGTTTTGTTTTGATAGTCTTCTTGATATTAGCATATTTTGTACAGAAGGCACTAGTAGCTCTTCCAATTTTTTTTACACTTTTATCACCTTTCATTAGCATGTAATGTATACAAGATGAGAGATACATTCATCCCATTCCCGATCTATCCTCATTCCTGACTTCCCTTCTCCATCCCAAACTCTATCCCATGCATGACTTAAAGTTCCTGGCACCTGGTTCTTCACCAAATACTTGAATTAATAAATAATTAACAAAAGGAATAAGATACGGATTTAAACTACATATTCATGCTTAATGCTTGTATATGTGTTTAAAACCCCCCATGGGCTCCTATTTCAGTTTTAGAACAATGAATACAGTGGCCCTAGGCAGAGTGGATTATAAAGGATAGAGTGAGCAGATGTAAATCTGCTCACAAGGCAGGAGTTAAGAGATGATGGGGGCTGGGCAAGGGCAATGAAATGAGACAATGGGGTAGCAGTGAAAGATATTGAGAAACAATATAGAAAGTACATAGGACACTCCTTCCCTTTTGGAGGGGCTTAGTACTCAGAAACAAGGTGCATAGGAGACAATTTGCCTTTGACTATGAAAAGAATTCCCACAGAGGTGACTATACTTTTATTCACACGTACCCCAGTACAGCATAGACATGCACACACCAGGTCAGAATGTTTCCTTAGGGCTGTGGGAAGGGGTCTTCAGTAGCCAGAGTTTTGCTTTTCTTTGGGGATGTGGAGACTGGGGACATAGCCCCAGACCCTCAGTGCTTCATAGCCCTGGCTCAGGCCGTCTGCCTTGCACTTTGCTCTCCTATGGACAGCTTCCATGGAATGCATCCCTCTGACCTTTGCCTGTGTTTATTTCTTTTGGAGGAAATGAGAGCATTTTTTCTGACAATTTTTAGGTTGAAGAGGAAACATACCCTCTCTCTGGATGATGAGGAGTAGGGACAAAGCCCTGATGAGGGGGAGTGTTTTCACAGCATGTATGTCATAGGTTAAGGATCATGCCAAGGCTCTCCTTTTATTTGAAACAAAGTTCCTTTCTGAATGCATTATTATTACCAATGTTTTGGGATTTGTTACGAGTTTTAAGACGAAACCCCGACAGGAAAATCAAGCATATTTTATTTGGTTCTCTCTCCCCATGGACTAGTGGGAACATTTAAGATGAGAATTGCTTTACATTTCCTACCCTGGGTTAAAGACGCAAAGTAAAGGTAGCTCTGTACAAGTTTGTGTGTCATTTACTGCACAGTAAGTGGTCACTGACTCTTGACTCTAACTTCAAAATGGTGACAGTTTTGGAAAGAATGAGTAAGCCATAGGCTATGGATCAGTTCAAGGCTAATTATAGACTTAGGTTGTGCCTTGAAGTGTTGCCCAACACTTCACTTGCCCTCTTACTCATTAAAGGGACTCTTCATACATAGTGTAGTGGGTACAAGAAGGAGCTAACAAAAGAGCTGGCAAAGCGCATTCTGAGTGTAAAGTAGTATGCCCTACTTTGTCTTTATATAATAAAGCAAGCTTCACTATGAACTGACTGTGGGCCAAAGAGAACAAATCGCTAGAAAATGTCCAAGGGGACAGACAGAAACACACACACACACACACACACACACACACACACACACACGTAAACATTTCACGTTTGTTCTCTTCTTTGTATTTATGTAACATGAAGTTATTCCCCTTCTAATTCCCAGGTGTGAGCTCTTTGGGGATAGAGGATATGTCTTATGCATCCTTGTATCCCCAAGGCTTATGTCTGACATGTGGTAGTTCTGTCTAGTTCATTGTTGATATAGGAGAAAATCAATCAGGTTACTTTAAATGGCATTGAGGTATAAATGGCAGATGTAAGTATTTGCATTTAAATCCTGATTGACCCCTCCCCAGTGTTGTTTGTGACAGAGTCAAGGGAAAAATTTCAGGTGTGGCCCTCCGAAGCTGTGATAGTATGTAAACTGCTACTTGTTTTTATGAGAATTGTTTTCAATCCACAAGGAAGGAACATACCCTGTCTCTTCCAAACTTCTGTTCATAGCCTCACTTTTGCCAATCTCAGTCCATTTACATTTTATCTGCTTTTTAAAATAGCATACATATTCTGTAATTTAAATTACACAAATAGAGCTAAATGCAAAGAAGACATTCAGCCACGTACTCACTAAATGCCTAGTGCCAGTCACTGTGCTTGATGCTCTGGTCCAAGGATAAATAAAACAAGTGGGGAAAGCTACACGAGGACCACTACGAGGTCAAAGGATTATACGTTTAAAAAAAAAAAAAAGGCTGGGCGCGGTGGCTCACTCCTGTAATCCCAGCACTTTGGGAGGCCGAGGCGGGAGGATCACGAGGTCAGGAGATCGAGACCATCCTGGCTAACATGGTGAAACCCCATCTCTACTAAAAATACAAAAAATTAGCCTAGCGTGGTGGTGGGTGCCTGTAGTCCCAGCTACTTGGGAGGCTGAAGCAGGAGAATGGCGTGAGCCCGGGAGGCGGAGCTTGCAGTGAGCTGAGATTGCACAACTGCACTCCAGCCTGGGCGACAGAGCAAGACTCCGTCTCAAAAAAACAACAAAACAAAACAAACACACAAAAAAAACCCCACAGGATGCTATGGGAGTGAAATTGTACCTCATGCAGCCTTGATCAGGGTGGAGGGGATCAGCAATGACTTCCCAAAGCCCTGACATCCAAAATAAGGCTGAAGGATGGCTCAGAGTGTGCTGAGAAAAGCGGGGCCAGAGAGGTACTGTTCTACACAGACAGAACATTTTATGGGGGCACCTAATGGGAGTCTGGGAACATGAGGGAGGCTCCGCCTTATGGCAAATTGAAAAATGCTGAGTGGCAAGAATGTGTATGAGGGGTAGTAGAGAATTAGTGTTTAGAGCAAGGAAGGCCTCACAAGCTAGGTTGAATATTGTGGATTTAGCTAAAGAGCATTATAGAATAACTGAGGAAATTTAGTGAGGTAGTAGCATAGTCAGATTTGAGTTTTCCAAGAATATCTTGGATGAAGAGTAGAAAATGGATTGAGGTGGGACTAGGAAATTGGTGGGGAGATTTGAAAATAAAATTTACTAATAAATACTCATCCAGAAATTACCACTGAACATTTTGATATACATTCCCCAGACTTTTTGTATATATTAATATACTATTTTGTAAATGGCATTATAGTCCACACTGGTTTAGAATTGACTTTTTCACTTAAAGAATATTCATAAAATGTATTTAAAATCTACTATGTATCAAGCAGTATTCTAGGCACTGAGAATACAACCATGTACTCTGAATATGATTCTGTGTCCATAAGTATACTGGTACCATACCATTTTTAACGACTCCAAAGTCTTCACTGATTGAATGTATACTGTATTATATACCATGTATAATCAATATTTTACAATAAAACATCTTGTTTTTTTCCAAGGCTTTTTTGCTGCAATAGGGAATACTGTACCCCAGTGACCATCACTATGCAAATATCAAAACAGATATTTCCAATGATATCCATAGGATACATTTTTGGAAATGAAAATGTTGGGTCAAATAAATAGATATTTTAAGGCTTTAAAAATGTACTGCCAAATTTCTCTCCAAAATATTTGTACCGGTTGACCATCTTATTTCATGTGGATATATGTCCTAAAAACATTCAGACCCTTTAGAATTCAAGAAATTTCAAAATATTATAGGTAGAAGATATTTTATACATATATAGTGAAGTTAGTTTTTTATGAGAAAATGGACCAAGGTTAGACAAACAATAGTGGCAGAGTTGCCCTAGTAACCAGGTTTTCTTCTTCTTCTTCTTTTTTTTTGTAGACAGGGTCTCACTCCAATTGCCTGGGCTGATCTCAGCTCACTGCAGCCTTGACTTCCCAGGCTCAGGTGATTCTCCCATCTCAGCCTCCCTGAATAGCTGGGACTACAGGCATGTGTCACCATGCCTGATTAATTTTTTGTATCTTTAGTAGATACAGGGTTTCATCATGTTGTCCAAGCTGGTCTTGAACTCCTAGACTCAAGGTATCCAGGTTTTCTGAGTCCATTACTCTTCCCATTAATCTGTGCTCCTCCTTCCAGAAAGCCTGGAACTCCTTAATCAATAAGCAAAGCAGTTTTTAATCACATCATAAACTTTATTAGAGTGTAACATGCAAATGGATTTAAGGAACATGAGATTTTAGTTCAATTTCTCTGAAAAGCCATAATTCTTCTGTGATCTCATAGCACTTTGCACATCATAACCATATGTGCTTATGTTTCTGACCTCCAGACTATGAGCGTCTTGGGTTTTTTTTTTTTTTTTGACAGAGTCTTGCTCTGTTGCCCAGCTGGAGTGCAATGGCACAATCTCAGCTTACTGCAGCCTCTGCCTCCCAGGTTCAGGCGATTCTTGTGCCTCGCCTCCCGAGTAACTGGGATTACAGGAGTGCACCACCACACCTGGCTCATTTTTGTATTTTTAGTGGAGACAGGGTTTCACCATGTTGGCCAGGCTGGTCTGGAGCTCCTGACCTAAAGTGATCCACCCACCTTGGCCTCCCAAAGTGCTGGGATTACAGGCGTGAACCACCGCATCCGGCCTCAGACTGTGAGCTTCTTGAAGGGGCAGTTGTACATGCAGAGCATTTCTGGCAAACAGTAGGCATGAGTTTCTGGTTCATAGTAGACACTTGGGAAATAATGTTTGAGAGAGAAAAATGGGGAAGAGGTTAGAGAGGAGAAAGAGAAAAATAAGGAGAAAAAAAGTAAAGAGGAATGAGAGAGGAAGGGGAAAAGTGAGAGATGGCACATTGGGATGAAGACACAGGTACCTTAAGTTTGCAGACAAAGTGAGAACCATGTGCTGGAATGAAAACACCAGATAGCAGCAGATGCCACAATAGGCACTAACTGTGATGAGATGCTGATAAAGAGACAGAACAGGAGCAGCTCATCCAGGAACAATTTTGATTACAAGGAAACACTGAGTATTCTTTCTGGGAGGCACTTTTGCTGTGAGATTTCCCCCAGTGAACTCTGATCGAGTAAGAAACCACAAACGTCAGGCATCTGTGAAATACATTTGCCATCTGGGTGTTAACTTCCCTCTTGACGAAAATCCTCTCTCACTAGGTGAAATGTGAATAAATGCAGAATAAATTACTGCATTTATTACTGTGGCTTGCCAAGATTCTCCACATCTAGATGTTATTCCTTCTGCTGCAAGATTCTTGATGGCAATTCTATGCTGTGAAGAGACTATCATCCTTTACAACTTTGTCATTGTATTAAAGCTTATATTCAATGGATATGAACATACCTGTGACATTTTCTTGGTTGCCTTATAAACTGTGTTATGGAATAAAACAACCATGAGCTCTGGTATTAAGACATGTTGAAATTTGATTGGCACTATTCACTAGCTTGTGATCTTTGGCAAGCTAGTTAATTTCTGTGACACTCAGCTTTCTCATCTGTAAAATTGAAAAACTATGCTTTATTGCTATTGTTTAGATTAGCAATCTTAAATGCCAAGTATTTTGCATGTTGCTTAGCATATAGTTGCATATGTTCCTTAACATATACCTTACTCGGCAGGTGGCAGCTTATATTAATAATAGTAGTAATAATAATAATATAGTCCTAGAAGACAAATCACAAACTTGGGGTTGTGTGTCCTGGGCTGGGAAAAATTAGAAAATTTTCTCTGATGCAGAATAGCCTCTCTGAGCATCATCTTTGGTCTCAAAACTCTCAAAACACTGAGCTTTCTTTAGCAATAATTCTGGAGTGAAAGTTTAATTTTGAGACCAATCTCAGCTATAGAAATTCATAAAATTCAAAATGAGTTTTGTTGATATCCATGACACAGAACAAGATTTTTTTTCTTAAGAGATAATACCATGTTAACACTCTCCTCTTTTCATAGTGGAAAATTTTCTTCTCCAGATGAGAATATTTTTGATATTTTAAAGATTAATATATACTTGATACAAAAATTCAAACTATATAGAAGAGAAAGTAATTGTGTCATTCTTCAGTGATCATAAGTTTTAACAATTCCATGAATACACTTTTCAGTCTTTTTCAATACATATGCAAACATACACATGGAATATGAATTTTATTAAAGACATTGGATAATATTGTGAACCCCAAAAATCTGAGACAGCTCTCAGTTAGTTTAGAAAGTTTATTTTGATAAGGTTGAGGACACGGGCCCGTGACACAGCCTCAGGAGTTTTTTTTGTTTGTTTGTTTTTGTTTTTGTTTTATTTTGAGACGGAGTCTCGCTCTGTCGCCCAGGCTGGAGTGCAGTGGCGCGATCTCAGGTCACTGCAAGCTCCGCCTCCCAGGTTCACGCCATTCTTCTGCCTCAGCCTCCCAAGTAGCTGGGATTACAGACACCCGCCACCACGCCCGGCTAATTTTTTGTATTTTTAGTAGAGACGGGGTTTCACAGTTTTAGCCAGGAACGTCTCGATCTCCTGACCTCGTGATCCACCCACCTCGGCCTCCCATAGTGCTGGGATTACAGGCGTGAGCCACCGCGCCCGGCCTAGGAGGTCTTGATGACATGTGCCCAAGGTGGCCAGAGCACAGTTTGGTTTTATACATTTTAGGGATGCATGAGACATCCATCAATATATATGTAAGTTGAACATTGGTTTGGTCCAGAAAGGTGGGACATCTCGAAACAAACATGCAGGACAACTCTAAGCAGGGAGGGGGCTTCCAGGTCATAGGTAGATAAAAGACAAGTGGTTGCATTCTTTTGAGTTTCTGATTAGCCTCTCCAAAGGAGGCAATCAGATATGCATTTATCTCAGTGAGCAGAGGGGTGTCTTTGAATAGAATGGTAGGCAGGTTTGCCCCGAGCAGTTCCCAACTTGACTTTTCCCTTTAGCTTAGCGATTTGAGGGCCCCAATATTTATTTTTCTTTCACAATATCAAGACTGTGTATGTATACACTCTTTCCATAACCTTCCTCTCCACTTAGTAATACACTGTGGTCATCTTTTCGTGTCAGTGGTATAGATATGTCTTATTTTTTAAAAAAATTGCTGCCAAGTATTCCATTTACATAGGTGCCATGTTTTAACCAATACTCCAGCTTTTCATTATTAAAAATTGTTTTAGTAAACATTCTTGTACATATATACCTTTGTTTAGTTGTGTAAATATTTTGCTATAATTCATGCTAGAGGTAGAATTGATGGACCAATGGTTATATACATTTAAATGTTGATATATATTTAAAGTTTTAAAGTGCCCTCCAAAGAGATCATATTCTTTAAACTCCTACCAATAGATGACCTATTTCCTCTCAGAGGAACTGGCTTAAAATGGGACTTGCTTTCAATGGGACTTATCACTTGAAATAGCCAAAATGGGCACAAAGCAAGTAGATTTAAAAAACACAAACTTGAGTACTAGACCAAGAGCCAGAAGCTTGTACAGACCCTGATTCACAGTAGTCAACAGTCACTCGACACATATTTGGTGACAGACTGAGTATCTGGCTATCTATCATCAAGGACCCAGCTTGGGAAAGGGCAAATAATTGAATGAGAAAATAAGTAACATTATATGTAAACATTAGTATTCATGGTCTTCTGCTAAAAGAAAAAGTGTGTGAGTGAAGAGTTTGAAGCAACTTCTCTTGGAAAGACTTAGAGCAGATGATGGGACCTTTTCAAATTTCAATTGGAGAGGTGAAGTCTAGAACCTTTGACTGTGTATTTTCATCAGCTTCTGAAATAATGAGGCATGTAAATTTCTGGGACTGTATCTAAGTCATAACTACTTTCTCAAGACCACTCAAGACCTTACAGCAGGGCATGGTGGCTCACACCTGTAATCTTAGCTACTCAGGAGTTTGATCAGGAGGATCACTTGGGCCCAGGAGTTTGAGACCAGCCTAGCCAACATAGCAAGACCCCATCTCAGAAAAAAAAAAAAAAAAAAAAAAAAAACCAGACCTTACAAAGTGTGCTTGGGAATTTGCATAGCTCTCAAGGCAGGTGATTTTTTTCTCATAGTAGGTATAGGAAACCATTTTAAAATATTAAATTTTTTTCTGAGATAAAAAGACCTTGTGATTTTAATTCTCTTTTAATGCTGATTCTCTGAAGTGCATTTCATTGGAGAGTGTCCTACATGTACTAAAGACAATGTTGTATGAACAGGTTTATCAGTCAGAGAACTAGGTAGCCTAATCAAATTAAGAGCTAATTTGCAATAAATACACAAATAGTACAGTACTTCCTTAAACATGCAAATCAACAGAGAAAACCCAGCATAAAAACTAATTTAACCTTCAGGAAACTGTTGATTGTGTTTCCTAACATTATGATTTCCAAGACGAAGAGTGTACCTTTGGGACCATCTGTCCTTTTCATAACCCTCCCATGGCTGTGTGCATGATGAAGCTGCCTCCAATCATTAGTATTGCAGAGAGCAAGGAATTCTACCAAGAATAATTTGGTTTGCCCAGACAAAAATATCAATCGTTCTTCAGAGGTATATCGATGAATACAAATGCTTAAAAATGTCTTTTAAAATCTCTGTTAATAATTGCTACTAGTGTTAAATAATAATGAATGAAAATTCTAGGTAGCAACATTTTCATCTAGTGCAAATAAAGAGAACCCCTTGATTATTTCTGAGTAGATTAACACTGCATGTGTGTGTAAAGAATCATGCATTACTTTGACAGAATTGATTTTTTTCAGGATTTCTCTTATGTCCTTTTTTTCTGGGGAAATAATTTAATGTTTTGGCAAAAAAATTGTGGAGTTTGTAAGTTCATTTGTACATTGAAGCCTGTGCTTTTTCATATAATCATTGAAGTTTAACTCTATATTTTTAATATTTGTGTTGCTGCTCCAAGATGTTCTCTGGAATATATTTATATTCTTTAAATTGTCTTAATTATTTATTTCTTAAATTCCGAAAGGAAGGAGTTCTGGCTTAGGGAAAACATCTAATTGGAAATGCTTTTTTCTTTGCCCTAACATGTCCAAATTTTAAAGACTGTATTTCTTTTCCTTTTCTGGTTTAGCCAAAGGAAAGAATCAGAATCCTTTTAATAAGATTATCAGGCAAGACTATGAGCTTAAACATTCCCAGTAATTCCAAAGTGAAATTTCCCTTTTTCCAGGTCCCTCTGGGGTTTTGATTTCTGATTGCCCTGGAACTTGGAAGAAGTTATTCTAGCTCTTGCTCTTTTTCCTAGTTGTCTTGCCAAACTCTGCAAATGTAATTCTTACTTTCTCACAAATCAGACCAAGGGACATTGTCCTCACTTCTTTCTGGATGGCTTTTTTTCCCCCTTGCCCTTTGACATACTTCTGAGTTCCTCTGAACTCCAGAACATGGGCTATTTTAAATCAAGTCCATGACACACTGTCAGTTCCCATATTCATGTTTTTTTACTTAAGTAAGCGTATTGCCTTTATTTTAAAATAACCCTTACCACAGAAATAGTAATCCAGAGTATAACACAATTATGTCATAGCTGCAGAAATATCTGGAACATAAAACTTCAGTGAACATATCTTTTTAAAAGTACATTATTTATATTAATTGTTAGATACTTGTCTAATAATATGATTTGGAAGTGCAAATGAAAACATTTAAATATATAGAAGAAGGTATATGATAATTTTACACATAGTACTTAGGCTTTACTTTTTGATATTTTTAAGTTAATTTTTCCAAAATGTTATTTTTCTTTCATGAAGTATAAAGTATATTGTTGTTTATAAATGTACTACTTTTTACTCTTCCCCTAGATTCCTTCAATTACTCAGATTTTATAATGACATCAAGAAAATAATTTTAAAAATCATGGAATTATGCTGCTGTTATTGACCTCCAATGAATTTTCTTTATTTTATGGATGAGAACATAGGGTCCCAGTATGTTATATGGCTTGTTCAAAGTCACATGGATACTGAGTCAACCAGCTTCAAAACAGAGTTAACTTTTTATGTTCTCTTCCATACTGAAAACTTATTTTCTTGGTGTCTTTCTATTTTTCCTAAATTATAGTCTGATGTATACTTTATTGGCAGTTATAATATTCACCCTCTATACTGGACACATTCAAGCATCTACTTAGATTTTCTCGTTGTTGTTTCTTGGGCCTTCAGCTATTTCCTCTGCCCTGGTCTCCACAGCAGCCAAGACGGTAAATCATAAATAATACTGCATTCCTAAAAGGATTGTATTGGCATCACCACCAAAGATTTTAAGAATGCAGAGACTGTGGTCCTTATCCTATTCTTATTCCATTTACCTGTCTAGCCCCTGACAAAAACTAAATAGATCATGGCAGATGGTGACAAACTACCATCAACTTAACCAGATGAACTCGCCAATCTAAGCTGATGTGCCAGATGTGATACCTTTACTAGAGTGCCAAGCACATTCGGAGAGCCAGGTGAGCAGGCACTCTTGGGTGGGCCTCTTATGCAGGTAGCAGGATCTCTAGGACAAGGCACACTTGGGACTTGACCAGGAGTCTGATTAACAACATGAGGCCAGCCACTGGGGTAAGACAGTGGCTTTCACCCTGGATCTATTACACAAAATAGGCACCGGGTCCCCAAAACAAGAAGAAAGCCCAATTACCAGAACTGGGACATTAATGCCTTGGAGCCTGGGCTGCAAGATCAGAGGGCGAGATGAGGCTGTCTCTGAGCAAGGACTCAGTGAAACTTGGGCTTCCCCAGGACAGGGCTTGTTCCAGAAGTAGAGGCAAGGCTAAGACTCCAGAAAGGATGGAGTGGCCTCAGCCATGGCGGGGGGCACTCTGAGTGACCAGGGCATAAACAGGTCAAAATACCATGCACAGTTCCACCCTCTGTCCACTGACTTAACTTTTAAGGTCATTTTTTTCCTGTGTATTTCTTCACACATGAATTTTATTTCAATATCTATCTTCTAGTTTTCTTTGTGAGCCTCATTGTTGAAGAAGAAATTTTCAGACAGAAAAAAATAAACAACTTTTGGTACCTCCTTTTTGCTCTCTCTGCTAATAAAAATACTGCCCAAGAACCCCCTGCAGGTCATTTGCTAGTAGCAACAGCCATAACTTTTTACTTAACAACCCTTCTGAAAACTTGGCATCATTTTTTCATTCATGTATTTATATACCAATAATTTATTCATTCAACAAATGTTTACTAAGAGCCTACTGAATACAAAGTGCCTACTCTGAAGTCAGACAGACCTTTTGTCTAACATTAACTGGCTGTTTTTTATGGGTGGAACCTATTTCTTAACATGGCAGAAGGATTAAGTGGCATAATTCACATAACTCATAAAGCATAGAAGCTTGCCACAGTAATTAGCAATCATTGAATAGCTATTATTACTTTTACTCTTATTAATATTAATAAGTATTAATATTAATGTGAATAAACATTAGGATAAAATAATATTGAAACATGGTTGCAGTCGTTTGTGCAGAATAGACTTTAAAATAAATAAATATAATATAGAGTAATAGGAGCTATGGCACATGTATGTACAAGATTCGAAGAGAAAAGTAATTCTCCTCAGACAGGTCATAGATGCTTTCACATGATGAATCATGCTTTAGTTTAAGGTTGAAAGTTGAAGAGTCTCCCAGACAGTCACGGAAAGCATGTTGCAGGCAGAGGCATGTGTTCGTGCTATTTGAATCAGCACAGAATGTAAAGCTGGAAATGTACAAGAGGCCAAATGACAAACGGTCTGAAACCCTTTGCAGAGGAGTCTGGATTTGGTAGGGAAAAATTATTGTGTATGCTTAAAGAGTGTTAATTCCTGGAGAAACAAAAGTTACCTTTTACAAAAATAATTCTAGTAGCAATATGAAAGTTGGAGCTGAAATCAAATTGGGGAAAGGGAAAGATGCAAGCCAGGAAGACATTGCGGGTAAGGCTGGGGAGGAGCTGTTACAGCAGATGAGTTGGGGGGGGGGGGCGTGAATGTCTGCCTGGTTCTGTGCCTTTAAACAGCAAGATACACCAGGAAGAGCCCAGCCCTGTCCCCATAGTCGTCTTCCCCACCCTCATTCTCTCTCTGGCACTGGTGTGTCTAGACGCAAGTAGATGCCATGTTTGGAGGACTGCTTTGCAACTGGCCTTGGAGAGACAACAGCTGAGCCTCACAAATGTGTCATATTCTTTCACCCTGTGCCCATCTTTGGCCAAACCCTTAATGGAGCAGTGTTCCCTAAAGTGAAATACACTGGCCACCTGTTTCAAAAGCACCTGGACAACTTGTTAAAAATGCCTATTTCTAGACATCACCCAGCAATGAGAATCCCTTGGAGTTGGACATGAAATCTGCACTTTTTACAGTCTCTCAAGGGGAGACTGATGTTAAGAAGCCCTGCAAGAGGGCACTAGACAAGTCTTTCTGAAACAGAACTAATCATGTAACCGGCAAGGGTAACTTTTAAAAAATAGCCTTTAAGATCCCATCCCTTTAGAGATCTGGAGGCCTAGGGTCAAGCAGGGAGTCCTGACACAGCAAGAGCACACCTGGAGCTGGATACTTAGTCAGATTTAGGAACAATTGCCCAATGTTGTCATCCTGATAAATTACCCTTCTACTGCTTGAATGCATGAAATAATTAGTTCACAAACCTTTCCTGGTGTAATTACAAAGGGATAGCTGAGTTGTAATTTTATTGAATTGCTACAGAAAGATTTTGAAAAACAAAGAGGCTAAGATGAAAGGTCTTAATTAGCTGTAAGAAGGTCCATCTCACAATTTATTGCTATTAGGAGGTGGCCTTGAGGAGGAACAACTATAGATGGCCACAGCACTTATTAACTTTGTGCACTGCAAGGTGTGCATTACGGGGAACAGCACCTGACATGGGACGAAGAATTCCCTTTGATCTAATCACTTGCATCAGGCACTTTTCCAGCTCCTCTCTCATTTGCCTCAGAAGTCAAGGGGGAACTCCCTTTAACCATGTTATGCCTGTGTTTCCAGTTCAGAAAGCAAGGATCATCATTTTTCCATTGCTCACTTGCTAGGAAATGTGGAGTTCATTGAGCCTAAAAAGGATCTAACATAATCATGGACCTGCTTGGGAGGTAGGGGTAGGAGTTCGGGCAGAGGAAGAATTTTGGATGAAGCTGCTTACACAGATGAGAGTTATCAATTCCACGCTCATGTTTCCCAAACCTGGTGCCACATCAACCACTTAGCATAAAACCACAGCAACAAAACAGGTTGCTGGGCCTTGTGTACGGTATTAGAATCTAATGACTGCTATAGAGATTAAAATGAGATTAAGGAGTTGAGGTGGAAAATCCTGCAGAAACAGAGCATTATACCACTTAAAGTCTATCTGGCTCCACTGTTTATTTTTTCCTGGTTTCATGACTCCTCCATGATTGTGCCTATTCAAGCTCTTTGCTCAATAAGAAACTCTGTTGAATGTATTCAAGGGAGATTTTACTGGTTTGTGAGCTGGGATGATGAAGGGACGGTCTTGAAATATCTTTCAAATGAATAATGGTATCAGCCCAACGTTTTTGCTTTAATTCACCATGGTGGGACAGATAGGTAGGCTTCCAGCAAGAAATCTTTCAGAACTTGCAAGTAGGAAAGAGGATGATCATCATCTATAATGAAATGTGAGCCTTCCCATTCATTCCTCTTGTTTATACACGTTCATAGAAAGAGAATAGCACAAGAATATGACTGACTGATCCGTTCTACCTCCAATGAGAACAAGAGGAGAATTACCTTTGAAGCCCACACCTGCCAGTAATAGTGTTTCTCACCCATTTGGCTGGGAAATTCCAGGAGGATCTTCAAAAGACAAATGCCACTGCAAACTAGATGTACTTAGTCCAGAATTATTAGGGAAGGGCCAACTCCATCCAGAGAGTAGGAAAGACTTCCCTGAGAAAGTGTCACTGAGCTAAACGTAGAACGATGAATATATACAAGCTTGCCAGGTGGAGGAGGAGAGAAAGGACAATGTAGGGACTGACCAGAAGGAAAAGAAGTTTGAGAAGGCTGGCAAGGAGGCGGGGCAAGTGCATGGGCAGAAATAAGAAAAAAAAACCTAGTGCTGAAAGTGTGCGGGAGGGTGGAGATCAGGGCTTGAGGTGTCATTCTTTGGGGACAGGCGATCTTGTAGCTGTAGGTCATGCTAAGGAGTTTGTCCCTCAGCAACAGGGAAGTCATCACATATTGCCAGCGGGAAAATTTATTTAGAAATCTGGTTAAAGTTTTTTTGTTCTTGTTTGTTTGTTTTTTGAGATAAACTGTTGCTCTGTCACCCAGGCTCGAGTGCAGTGGTGGGATCTCAGCTCACTGCAACCTCCATCTCCCGGGTTCAAATAAGTCTCCTGCTTTAGCCTCCCTGAGTAGCTAGGACTACAGGCACCCACCACGAAGCCCAGCTAATTTTTGTATTTTTGTTGAGCGGGGATTTCACCATGTTGGCCAGGCCGGTCTCAAACTCCTGACCTCAGATGATCCGCCCTCCTGGGCCTCCCAAAGTGCCGGGATTACAGACGTGAGCTACTGTGCCTGGCCTGGTTAAAGTTTTAACAAGGTGATTTCTAGTTGCAGAGTGGTTTAGTTTAAGGAGCAACGGGCAATTGTGACTAGGAGACCAAATTAGAAGGCTACTGAAATCATCTTCAAAAAAAAAAGAAGAGAGAGAGAGAGCTTTGTGCAGTGGCAGAACATAGCCATTGAGGTTCATCTGAGGTGTAATTATTGCTAATAAAAAAAAAAATGAAGACAGGGAGAATTAGGATGGGGATGAAGCAGCACCAGAAGTTAAAGCAAGTTGACTACAGTCACACAGAGAGGCTTCTTGACTTGCAATCCTGTGATTTTTTTCATGCTCTCCTCTCTTTATTACTGCATCATAATTTGCTATCATTTGCTGTTTTTAAATAATATATGTCCTCTTATCTCCCACACCCACAGCAGTCTCCCTTCTCTGAAATACCACTGCCCTCATCACATTCTAACTTCCAACGTTTGTAAGCTAGTTTGAGATAGGATTTGCTTCCCTGCTTTAAATCCAGCTTTGGATGTAGCTGCCTATCTCTCTGCATAGGATCCAAAAAAACACATTAAGTGGGATGCTAAAGCAAAATACATTCTTCCTGGACTCAAATTTTTGCAGAACTTTTCAAATTCCTGGGCAATGATGGCAGGCCTCCATTTTTCAGCTGTGAAAGAAATTTTGAAAACTAGGAAAACAGGTAATGAATACCAGTGATGAGATAAATCAAATATTTGTCAATTTATCAGGATTATTCTTAACGTAGGAATATGGCACAGGATGTTCCCTGGTTATCTATAATATCAAAGCACCATTTTCCAAATGAGATTCCCACATTTGGTGACCATATGAGGGTCTTATAAAAACAATGGAAATCCCAGGCCCTAGCCCACCTACTGAGTCAGACTCCCGAGGGTTTTAGCTCGAAATCTACATGTTTAAAAATCTCTGTAGGTGATTCCTATGCAGTAAACTTATTTTTAAAAATCACTGGACTAAAGACTTAGTCACCGAATTTAACCTCTTCAGATGGTTTGTCCTTAAAATATATTTTTATCTGCAAAATGAGATAATAAAACCTTACTTCCTTAGAATCAAGAGGCTAGATCTGGTGATCTCTTTCTGTACCTCAAGGTTCTAAAATCTGCCATTCAAATATTTATTATCAATCATTACTGATGATTCATTACTGTTTCTGTGTTTACACCATCCCCTTCACCCAAATTCCCCTATAAAGTCTTTTCTCTCATGTAGGATCCATCCCCTCTGTGAAATTGTCCTCAAGTGAGTTTACTCTCTGAGTAAACTCTGCCTCTTCTCCAAATCTTGAGGCATTTTTGGTCCCAACACTGATTTTGCCCAATGCAGCAATTGCTTTGTGGTGACAATCTTTGTTAAGTCCCTGTTATGACTGCCATCGTGAGAGCAAGGACTGTCTTTGTTGATGACCATGATGTTGACCATACTAGGTAAACTATCATTGCAAACAATTTTGTGATCATTTTAATGTGCATAGTCAATCAATGTGAATCAGATCCTCTGAAAAGCCTAATATGCACAGACTTCAAGCTTAGTTTCTGATAGATTTAAACTCATAGGAGTTTGGCTTTCATTAGCTAAATGCAGTTTAATCTCCCATGTCTAGCTCTCTAGACTCTTTAATTAAAAAAAAATGTATACGCCAGGTGTAGTGGCTCATGCCTGTAATCCTAGCACTTTGGGAGGCCAAGGCAGGCAGATCACTTGAGGTCAGGAGTTCCAGACCAGCCTGGCCAACATGACGAAACCCTGTCTCTATTAAAAATACAAAAAAAAAAAAAAAATTTTAGCAGGGTGTGGTTGTGCATGCCTACAATCCCAGCTACTCAGGAGGCTGAGGAACAAGAATCGCTTGAACTCAGCAGGCAGAGGTCACAGTGAGCCAAGATCAGACGCTGAACTCCAGCCTGGGGGACAAAGTGAGACTGTCTCAAAAAAAAAAAAAAAAAAAAAAAAAAGGATAAATTATTTCCTGGCTACAAAGAAATTTTAATTAAACTAAAAAAATACTAAGTTGAAATAACCAGTCTTTGCTTACTAGGGAAATAAATATGTTTGAAAGATATAATATCAAGCATGAAAACAAGGAGATAGCCAGCAAGCCAGAACTTCTCAAGGTGCCCTGAAAATGGATGAGAATGGAATAGATTTTATTTTTGACATTGAAACAGGCAGCATTCAATTTACCCCCAAAACAACACCTCTGTTTACATCAGGGCTATTCATTAAGTTATACTGTGAGTCTCTGGTCATGAGTTCCTTTGATGTAGGATTGCAAGAAACAGTCCTTAGTCTTAACAAAGTTAGTATGAGAAGATGCTTAAATATTATCTAATTGTAAGCTTTAATGTCTCTGTTTTTTTTTAAGTAATCTGTTGTTCTCTTATTTTAAACTCAAACTCTTGAATCTTGAGGCATTAAGATTTGTAATTGGAAGAAGAAAAGTAATCTCCTGAATAGATAATTACATAGAGAAATCCACTGGAGAATTTGAGTGATGTCAAGGGGTTGCCGAGATTGGAGGACCAGCATTTTCAGAGTGAGCTCTGGTGTTTCTCTGGAAGTTCTCTATGCATTCAGGGAAAACAAATGTGGCAAACAGAAAGAAATCCCATAAATCTTTCTCAAGGTTGATTGCTTTGCAGTGGTCCACCATTACCTTAACTTGACCCTTTTCCATAATTGTTCAAATGGCTGAATATCAATTAAATTTGAATTATTATTTTTAATAATTATTTGAAGTATTATTTTAATATTATTAATAATTTAATATTAATTAGAATTATTATTTTTAATATTAATTAATAATTTAATAATTAATAATTTAATATTAATTAAATACAAATTATTATTTGATCTCATAATCGGTTTTCTTGATCAGTTACCTGACACTATTTGGGTATTCTAGAGTGTGCTCTGTAGGAAAGGAAAGCAGGAAAGGGTGGGGACTAGGGAACAAATAAGGAGCTAAGAAAGCAAGTGACATGAAAAATATTCTATTGGCTACGATTTAACAAATAACTAGAAAGCAATCCAAAGGTTATATGCAACAGCATTGTTCTCCTAGGGAGATTACTAGAATTCACCATCATCAAAGTATTGAAACCAAAAGTGCAGTGATGGTTAATCCATCAAACAATAGCAACTATATTTAACGATAACGAATCAATGCAGGGCAACATTATGACTTTCATGGACACTTGCAATTTTTGCCTTCATAGGTCCTTCCCACCATAATAATATCAATATTAAAAATTATTTTTTATATAACTTTAAACATTTAAAATCTCGTTTCTCTGTTAAACTTGTGTGGGCCCTAAAACATTGTATTTTTTGGCATGAGAAAAAATTAAAACATTATTTGACCCTAAAAGTTTATTTTTTTCTTTTGGTTTTGAAATAAAGTAAGATTTTCATGGGTTCCTAAAAGTATCACCGGCCATGTGCACTATGCTACTGTGCCTAGTGGATAAGTTGGTCCTGCATCAATGAAGTGGAGACCATAATTGGTTTGAGGTAAAATAAGTCTTTTTCATTCTGAACTCTTATTTTGTCAGATGTTACCTGGTACCAAAACCCCCTCCAGGCTGGATGCTCAGTGGTACAGTTAAAATCAAGAGAAATTTGGAATAATATCTTCTCTATAAACCTGCTTCTCTTACAGGATTAGTTTTCCTAGCTGACAGAAAATCCCAGATTTATTTTTTGGCTTTCAAGTAATGACCTGAACTGGGAAATCATATTTACAGCACTAGACTAAGACGGTTTTTCAATGTCCTCTGACTCAACTAGCTTGTGTGATGTTCTTGTGATATTTGACCAGTAATTACCTATTACCCACTGGTATTAGAGACCTGTTAACATTTTCAAAGATTGTCATTAACTAGTCAAATTTAGTGACTAAAGTAAGGATTGATTGATGGTGATGATGATGACCACGATGAAGACTACAATCATTGTGATTTTTAAAATACATGTTTATTCATTCAAGAAAAGAATACAAGTATGTGAATTTTAGTTCTTTTCTCCTCCAGATCAACATACCTAACGGGTTCTGCTTGTTGTTTAATAGTGTTATTTCTATCACCCAAAGAAAGAAAAATAAAATAATTTTTTTTAATTTCAAAATACTTTACATTGACTTAACAATAATAAAATCGAATTAAAATGGCAAGAAGAATATGATATAAAGAGCACTGGAAATCTAGAAGTTTTGGCCTTTCTTCTGCCACTTAAACTGTATTTGGGAAACTGACATGCCTTTTCTGGATTAAGGAAATTGAGAAGGATGGGAGAATTCTGAAGACCTCTTCCAATGCTAAAATTGTGTAAAGAAAATGAAAGGCTTATCCCTAATTAATAAAAGTATTTATTTCAACATTGCACTTATACATATCTATCTGGATTGCAAACCCTTTTGAAAATTCTGGTCCCTAGGCTGTAATCCATGCCTTCAGAGGTTCTGATTTTTCAACAGGCACCCTAGAGTTGGAAAACACTAATTAAATACTAGAAAATTTATAAATGTTTCTATTTTGCAATAATTCTGGACTGTGTTTTAATTAACAAAGATGATGTTGAAGGAATTAGTTGCATTGCAAGGCCGGGAGGAAAGCAAGGTACTTAACTATAGCAACAATGCAAAGGGCTAAAGGCATGAATAAAGTGAAACAATAAAGTCACAGTACCTGGGCATAAAACCGCTTTTCAGAAATAGAACATAAATGCTAAAGTCAATTATAGATCAACAGAGTCAGAAATAAGAAGATTTCTGAAAAAATATTAAATCTTTCTTGTCTCAAAATTGTCTTTAAAAATTAATTTTGATATAGGAAAGATGTTAATTTCATCAAATGGTTTGAGTTTGGAATATCTAACTCTCTATTCCTCTGTACCTCTTGTATTTTCTTTAGTGTTGAGAGGCAATATTTTTGACATTGTACCACCATAATAATAATTATAAGTAATACTTAAATCGTGCTTACTATGTACCAGGGAATTCAGTGAGAGATTTGTGTAGACTAAACAATTTAATCCTCAGAACAACCTCATGAAGTAGGCACAATCATTATCCCAGTTTTACAGCAAGACAGACTAAGGCACAGAAATGTTTGGTAAATTGATCAAAGTGACAAAGGTGGTATAGCACCAGAGTCTTTACACATAAACCCAAGTTAAGTATAGACCAAGTCATTGAGTGTTTCCACTGAGGGTTACATAATAATATCAGCATTCAATTATTCTTTCCCCTACCTGAATACTTGCTAAACTCTATCAAAATCTTAATTATCATCTTGCTAACTTCAAAATACTATGTAATTCATTTTATTTATTTATTTATTTATTTTTAATTTTTTTTTTTTTTTTTTTTTTTGTGATGGAGTCTTGCTCTGTCGCCCAGGCTGGAGTGCAATGGCATGATCTTGGCTCACTGCAAGCTCCACCTCCCGGGTTCATGCCATTCTCCTGCCTCAGCATCCCAAGTAGCTGGGACTACAGGCACCCGCCACCATGCCCAGCTAATTTTTTGTATTTTTAGTAGAGATGGGGTTTCACCATGTTAGCCAGGATGGTCTTGATCTCCTGACCTCGTGATCCACCTGCCTTGGCCTCCCAAAGTGCTGGGATTACAGGCTTGAGCCACTGCGCCCAGCTGATGTAATTCATTTTAAATATCTTTTTGGTATAATCCTACCACCACCACCATATGCCAGGTATCAAGAAAAGGGAGAAGGTGAGGAAAGGGGATAACAAATACACATTAAGATATGTTATCTGCTAATGCAATAAGACAAGAAAAGGAATAAAAGATATACAGATTGGGAAGGAAGAAATAAAACTGTTTCTGTTTGCTGATGATACAATCATCTATGTAGAAAATCTAAAAGAATCAACAAAAAAAACCTTCTGGAACTAAAAAGTAAGTATAGAGGGGTTGCAGGATACAAGGTTAATACACAAATGTCAATTGCTTTTCTATTTACCAACAATTAACAAGTGGAGTCTAAATTAGTCTCCACAATACCATTTATATCACCACCCCTAAAAATGAAACACTTAGATAGAAATCTAACAAAATATCTATAAGAACTAAAGGGGAACTATAAAACTTATGAAAGAAATCAAGGGAAAACTAAATAAATAGATATTTCATGCTCATAATAGGAAGACTCAATATTGTCAAGATGTCAGTTCATCCCATCTTGATTTATAGATTCAATGCAATTTCAATCAAAATGCCAGCAAGTAATTTTGTAAATATTGACAACCTGATTCTAAAGTTTATATGTTGATACAAAAGACCGAGAATACCCAACACAATATTGAAGGAGAAAAAGTTGGAGGATCGACATCAAGACATACTATAAAGTACAATAATCAAAGCAGTGCAGTACTGGTGAAAGAAAGGGCAAATAGATCAATGGAACAGAACAGAAAGCTCAGAAATAGACCCACATAAATATAGTCAGCTGACCTTTGACAAAGGAGCAAAGGCAACACAATAGAACAAAGAGTCTTTTCAGCAAATGGTGCTGAAACAACTGGACATCTACATGCAAAAAAAGAATCTAGATATAACCTCATACCCTTCACAAAAAGTAAGTCAAAGTGGATTACTGACCTAAATGTAAAATGCAAAAACTATAAAACTCCTAGAAGAAAACATAGGAGAAAAATCTAGCTGATCTTTGGTATGGTGATGACTTTTTAGATATGACTCCAAAGGCACAATCCATGAAAGAAATAATTGATAAGCTGGACTTCATTAAAATTAAAAAATGCCTGCTTTGCAGAAGACACTGTCCAGAGAACAAGAAGACAAGCCACAGACTGGGAGAAAATATTTGCAAACAATATATCTGATAAAACACTGTTATTCAAAATGTACAAATAACTCTTGAAACTCAACAATGGGAAGATGAATAACTTGATTTAAAAATGGGCAAAACACTTGAACAGATACCTCACAAAAGAAGATAAACAGGTGACAAATAAGCATATGAAAAGATGCTCCACATCATATGTCATCAGCGAATTTCAAATAAAACAACAAGATACCACTACATGCCTATTAGAACGAACAACATTCAGAACACTGCAACACCAAATGCTAGTGAGGATGTGGATCAATGGGAACTCTGATTCATTGCCAGTGGGTACAAAATGGTACAGCCACTTTGGAAGACAGTTTTGCAGCTTACTTCAAAACTAAACTTACTCTCCCCGTCATCACTATACCACGCAACTGCACTCCTTGGTATTTACCCAAAACAATTGAAAACATATGTCCACACAAAAATCTGCACATAGATGTTTTAACAGCTTCATTAATAATTTTGCTCTAACTTGGAAGCAACCAAGATGTCCTTCAGTAGGTAAATGGATAACCCGTGGTACATGCAGACAATGGAATATTCAGTGATAAAAAGAAATGTGTTATCTAGCTATGAAAAATCACACAGGAAACTTAAATGCATCACTAAGTAAAAGAAATCAATAAGAAAGGCCACCTACTGCACAATTCCAACTATATAATATCCCGGAACAAATGAAAAAGATCAGTGGTTGCCGGGAGTTAGGGGGAAGAGAGGAATGAATAAGCACAGAGGATGTTTAGGGCAGTGAAACGATTCTGTATGATACTATAATGGTAGATAGTTGTCATTATACATTTGTCCAAACCCATATAATGTACAACACCAACAGTGAACTCTAACATAAACCAGGGACTTTGGGTGATAATGATGTGTCAGTGTAGGTTGTCCAGTTGTAACAACTGCGTCGCTGTGGTGGGGGATGTTGGTAATGGGAGAGGCTAGGCATGTGTAGAGACAGGGTAGATGAGAAATCACTGTATCTTCAACTCAATTTTGCTGTGAACTTAAAGGTGCTTTAAAAATAAAGTTTATTTTAAAAGTAAATAAATATTTAGAAAATTTACTACAGTTGACTCATGCTGCCCCATTAATACATAGATCACAGTTCCCAGTGCAAATACCATCATTGCTTCTAAAGGATGAAAATACTGATGTGTGGGTTGACCAACTGGTATGTTGATCCATGGGAGGCTGCACAGAAAACCCTGTGGCCAGGAGAAGCATTTTTAGTGGCATGTCTCTTTCTGAGCTCTGCCCATTTGTTCTAGGTGAGGGTTATGTATACTGCTCTTATCTCATAGCCCTACCAACATCCCTATGGCTCCTGTCACAAGATGCCTTGCCCAATGGCTCTCTCAAGGCCAAATGAAGCCTATAGTTTTGGAGAGTAAAAATCCCTTATTCACATTTGCTTTTATTCCTCTGATACACTATCCTGCCTTTGTTCCGTAGAGATGATTTTATTAGCATTTCATTTGTGTATGTACTGTATTTTATTTGTGTATCTCCTGAATTTGAATATCAGCCAAAAAGAAAACATAAGAACAATCTGGAAAAAAAGTTATCTGAGGAATCAATTAAAGATGCTCTTTTTTAATAAAAAAGAGAAATATTATCTGTGCTCATAGAGTTGACAAATATTGACATATTTGCTATGATAAATTTGTTTTATATTTGCATTCACCTGTGCTTAGATTGTTAATTTTTCATGAACAATGTGAAAGAATGCACAATATCTATGGTAAAACAGAGTATCTGCAGCAGTGGAATGGGCATAGCACACTTTTAGCTCCACAGAGCTCAGTCAGGTATTTGCATTTATGAGTAGCCTGAAATCTTTAGAGTTTTGTAGGAGGGCAAAAAGGAGAGATACTACCCTGATGGTGCAGTTACATCAATAGCCTGTAGACCATAAGGCTGCTTGCCCATAAGACCTTGCAAAACTTAAACTCATCCAGTGTTAGGTGACAACTGGGCCTAAGGTAGTCCTTTTCCTTTAAGTAGTATTTGGTTTCAAAATGGAACTCTTGAAGATAGAAACATTTTGAAGAGTCAAAGGGAAAATGTGTCATTAGAGTTCTCCTGATAGGAGATCTCAGAGGAGAAGGGGAATGAAGAAAAGCTTTCATGATATCTCTCAAATTATTCCTCCTGGACCTGTACTAGTTTCTCCTATATGGGAGGCTAATACTTAACACATGGACCTTATTGTCTCTAGAGTCAATCTTTTTGAGAATAACCCATCATAATTTTACTCCCCCAATTTCTTAAAAGACATTTTCTTCATTCATACATTTCACCTTTATGTCTAATAATTAGGGTCAGTATATATAAGATTTCATAGAACTTATAAAAATCTGGAAATGTATCTAAACATAGAAAAATTATAATAAAAAGAGGACGGTCACTACTATACACATGTTAGAATAGCTAAAATGAAAAAGACTGACCCAAATGTTGACAAGGATGTGAAGAAACTGAAACTTTCATACACTGCTGGTGAGAACGTTAAATAGTATATCCACTTTGAAATATTGGTTGAAAATTTCTTTAAAATTAAGCATGCACTTACCATATGATCTAGCCATTCCATCCCTTGGTATTTATCCAAAAGAAATAAGTGTCCAGGGAAAGGTCTATGCATAACTGCTTATAGCTGCTTTATTTGCAATAGGCAGAAACATAAAATAACCCTAAAGTATACCAATAAGTGAACAGATAAACAAATTATGGTATCTATACAAAGAAATACTACACAGAAATAAAAAGAAATGAAGGATACATGTAATTATGATGAGTTTAAAAACCCAGAAAAAAAAAAGAGAAAAGAGTGTATGATTCCATTTACAAGAAACTCTAGAAAATGAAAACTAATCTATAGTGAAAGGGAGGTGATCATCAGTGATTGCCTTCAGATGGGGTGGGGCAAAGACAGGGGGAGTGGCATGGAAAGGGACACCAAAGGGCAGGAGGAAACTTTTGGGAGTAATGGATATGCTCATTATCTTAATTGTGGTGATTGTTTCACAGGTGTATGCATGGATCACAATATATCAAAGTGTATAATTTAAATATGTGTAGTTTGTTCTATGTCAAATATATCTCAATAAAATTATTTAACAAAGAGACTGGTCAGTTTAAAATTCGACTGAGAAAAATACTGGACAACAGACATCTAGAACAAAGAAGAGACAGAGAAATGAAAACTTGAACATTAAATGTATGAAAGCCTTTAGATAAATCTTTCTATAATAAATGATAGAGAGAGTAGGTAGAAATAAAGCAGTAGATGTAATATCTTTCAGGAAGTGTTCAAAGGCAAGTCTGCTTGTACAACTAGGTAGAGATAAACAAGGGGAGGAAAAGGCAAGAAAACCAATGCCTCTGACAATCTAGTAAGCCTCTGCCCACAAATAACATAAATCTAAAAAATTGGAAAATCAGAGAGATGGGAAGATTTAAAAATTACATAATAAAAGAAAATATCGAAGCTATACTAGGAAAAAAAAGTTTTAAAGGTGACCCTTAAACTGTACTACACAGCACCACCTTGAGGAAAACAATAGAAAATACTATTTCATGTTTAACAGAGCCTAATTGATTCACTGATTTATTCATTCAGTATTTATTAATACTTAGCATTTCTAGGTATGCCAGACACTGTTGGGACAACAACAAAGCATAAATGAAAGCAACAACCAAAAATCCCTATCCTCTTAGAGCTTGTCAAGAAAAGCAGCTTTGTTTTTAAATAATTTATGTTGTCTGTAAATTCGTTTTACAAACTTTTAAAAAAATTCAGTAAGGATTTAAAGGAAGCCCTTTGTATCAAAAACAAAAAAGACTATTATGATTTTTCTTTTTAAATGAGTTTTCATAGAAGAGATTTGCATAAATCAGAGTTTATTTGTAACACTCCATAGTCAATTCCAAGATTTCTCAAAAAAGCAAAAACAAACAAACAAAAACAATGTAGTGGATGCTGCCTTGTACTCCTTTATCCCATGTCCAAGATGAGGCACACATAAGCCCAGCTGCCAGGAGTGCAGGTTTCACAAGGCTAACAGCTGTGCCCACATCCTGGAATGATTATACCCTCATATCAGACAGCCATTGTGTCATGGCTGCCCCTCCCTCTGGGAATGTATTTAAACTTGGGCAAGGGAGCTCTTTTTAGCCAAAGGATTTCTCAGTCTTCATTTCTGTCTGTGCTTCAGCCTGGATAGATTCTATTGCTGCATTTTCAAGTTCACTAATCTTTTCTTCTCTAGTTTCTAATCTGTTCTTAATCCTATCCAGCAAATGTTCATTTCAGTTATAGTATTTTTTTATTTCTAGGACTTTTATCTTTCATTTATCTTTTCATTATGCTCAAATTCATCAAATCCCTGAGCATTTGAGCATATTTATATGTTTTAATTTGTGTCTGCTAATTCCATCATCTCTGTCATTTCTGGGTCTGTTTCTATTAAGAGATTTTATTTCTGATTATAGATTTCATTTTCCTGCTTCTTGTCCTGTATAATAATTTTTGACTGGATGCCTGGACATTGTGACTGTAATATTATTGAATGTCTGAATTTTGTTGTCTTCCTTTAAATAGCATTGGTCTTTGTGCTGACAGGAAACTAAGTTACTTGCAGATAAGCTTCTCTTTCCAATGCTTGTTTTTAAGCTAAGGTGGGTCTAGTGTAGCCTTTACTCAAGGGTAGTTCAGCCCTAGTACCAAGACAATACCTTTCTGAGGTCTCTTCTGAATGCCCCAGTTGAGTACTGACCATCTCCACTCTGGCCACAGATTCAACAACTCTCTGCCCTGTATAAGCCCCAGGAATTGTTCAGTTGACAGCCCTCTGGTCATTCTTTCCATGGCTTCATTGAAGTTTTACTCTATGCATGCACAGCTAGGGATTTCGCCAAGAATAAAGAAGACTCTCCATACTTATTTCTAGAGGTCTTTATCCCACAGATTTTATCTTCCTTTCCAGAATCTCTTCCTTTCAATATCTCTCCTCACCTCAGGGAGGCCACTGCGCTCTTCCTGTAACCCTGCTCCCTGCATGGCCACTGGGGATAAGCCCCAAGGCAGAAAGCTGGGAGGATGGTAGAAGTTCACCTCCAATGTTACACTTTCCTAAGGCATCATGATCCTCCTGCATCTCCTGTTCTCCAGTATCTGAAAATAGCTTCTTCATATATCTTGTTTAGTATTCTAGCCACTTAGGGGATGAGGGTAAATTGAATGCTTGTGACTGTATCACGGTTAGAATCCAGTCCCAACATTCTTCTTTAGCTCATCTATGCATGCAGTGTAGCATTAATACAAGCTTATTTCAGTAATGCATATCTTCCATTTTTACAACATTGTTCTTTAAGAAAATGTCTTTGAGGTTCTAATGTGAGGAGGTGGTGAAGAACAGAGCTTTTTCCCCCTGTCAGTCCTGGAGTAGTGGGAAAGGAAGCAGGTGCTGGAATAGAGAATTGAAACGGGGTATGTCTATAACCCTCAATGCCACAATATGCCAACTCTGTACATTTCTATATTTGTATAGGATTTGGGAATCTTAGGTCAGTAACTGTCTAGGAGAAAAAACAACAGCAAAAACAAAACAAAGAGCAGTATCACAAGGGAAGAAAGTAGCTAGAATCTAGACTCAAAATGATGCAGACTTGAACTGTTCTAAGTTACCCAAATGTTTCCAAGTAGTGGCCTTCTAGGACTTTATTATTTTGAAACACTTTTTAGATTGCACTCAAGAGAATAGACAAAAGTTGCCAAGTATTAGATCTAATACCTTGCATGTAAGAACTTCTGTGTTCCACGTTTGATAAACTTGTTCTTGGTGTTCAAAGGTCACCAAACTACCACTACCAAAAATCAAGCAAAAAAGGATTCGTAATACTTCATTGTAGGCATTGGAATAATATTTACAGAATTCTTGAGGCCAGCTTATCTTTTATCCCTTCCCCAGCCTTCAATATCTACCAGAGGTAAATGATTAGGAAGTTACCAAAATAGAGTAGATCATCCAATCATGGAGGAGATTGCTACCAGTTCTTAGCTTTGGAATGCATTTTTGTGTCTTATATTTTATATGGAAAGAGTTTTATATGGAAGAAAATATATATTCTTCATATATTTTATATGGAAGAGTTGCTTTCTAGTTACAAAGTCATTCAAATGAAATTTTTAAAACAAATAGAAATAATCCTGGCTTTAGCCATAATCCTAGAAGTAATGTCAAAAGCCTCACTTTTTTTTTTCCAAAGCCCTTTGTCCAGCTACAGTGTTCTTTAGTGATAGGGAGCGCTTACAGTGAGATGAAGCCTTTACAGTGAAATAGACTGCAATCCTGGAAGTACTATAAGCATCATTATTTAACTTCTCTGAGACATAAATTTCTTAATTATGAAATAAGCATGGTTTTTATCTACCAAATTGTGTTTTACTAAAAATTTTTAAGATGGCGTAAGTGACTTAGTACATCGTTTGACACATCATAAGCATTTTATACCAGTCAGAAAAGTAAAAATCACACATCAGAGATTTTAAAACAAGGAAGTGTTGAAGCTGGTATTGGAGAACTAAAAAAATAACACAGAGGTAACACGGAGTAATAGCAGGACTCAACTACTACCCATATGGCTGCAGGAGCAAAAGAAAGGGACGGAGTTTTAGAATGCAAAAGCTTGGAGGAGGGGTCCTATAAAGCTGGGACTCAGACTTCAGAGCAGAGAGCAGGTGGCTGAGCTGGTGCTGGTACTCCTAAAGGTATACTAAGAGGCTGGGGCAATGAGCTGATTTCATTCATTTTTCTTCTCTCTGGAATCACTGTTCTTTTTGGGTGATATCCTTTGTCTTGAAAACAATTTTCATATAATTTGTCCATTTTTTGTTGTTTCAGGTGGAAGGATAAATCTGGCCCCTTTTACTCCATCTTGGCTAGAAAGGGACGTCTCTAATGTTTTCTAGGCAAACAGGTTAGCAACTTAGCCACTTTTTAAAGATGAGTTCAATAGGTTCTGTCTCATGTTGTTTAGTTTTTCAGTGTACTTATAAAATCAGGCAATCGTTTTGGCATAGTTTAGATATAATGCCCTTTAATGACATGCAGCTTTCTAGGATCTAAGACCAAAAACTTTTAAATCACTCTTAACTCTCTCCTGCTTTCAAATCCAATCCATCAATACATTCTGTAGCTCTAACTTAGAAAGTCTTACTACTTCTCATTCTCTCCACTGTCATCCCCACTGCAAGGCACCATCAGCACATGCCTAGAATACTGTTAAGACTTCCTAATTGACTTACTTCTGAGTTTTTGAACCCAACAGCCATGATTCCCTTAAACTGTACATCAGATTATGTCGCTCGTCCCCTAAATACTTTCCAGTGGCTCCCATTTTTCTCAGAGTAAAAGCCAAAGTTCTTGCAATGGCCTTTGAGGCACACCATAATCTGTCTCTACTATTATCTCTCTGCATTCATCTCATGCTACTCTCTCCCTTGCTCTGTCTACTCCTGCCACACTTAATATCTTTCTTGTCTTCAATCACAGCATGCTCCTACCTTAGGGCCTTTATACAGTCTCTTCCCTCTGCCTAGAATGCCCTCCCCTGAGTTATATGCCAGGCTCATTTTCTCTCTGCCTTCATAGCTTTACTCAAGTGTCATATTTTCTGCTCCCATCAGCATGACCTCAACAATCTTTCTTTAGGCTGCCAGCAGCAGTAGGTTACAGTTGCTGCAATTAATTTCAGTTCACAATTTTTTATTGTCTCTGAGCCAACCTCATGGCACTGCCTCAGAGAAACCAGCACAAACCATCTGGAACCTTCTCCCTCTTCTCATACATCTCAGACCCAACCCGATGGGGCCCCATAGGAGCAGTGCCTCCTCTGAGGCCTAAATTTCAGCTCTTACTGGTCGCAGTGGCTTGTGTCTGTAATCCCAGCACTTTGGGAGGCTGAGGTGGGAAGATCATTTGAAAGCCAGGTGATCAAGAACAGCCTGGGCAATATAGAGAGACCCCGTCTCCACACACACACACACACACACACATTCTTAAGTGTTACCTGCTTTCTGAAGTTGCTACTTGTGTGAAATCTTAATGTTCTTTTTATGCCATTTAAGCTTTTTATACCTGTTAACAAATCTTCATATTAAATTCTCCCTATTATTACATAATATAACCAGTATGGTTTCTAAGTCCTGACTGAACCCAGAGCGATAAAGAAATTAGTACTAGGAGTAAGTTTTTAAAGATAATGTCTGAGTGCATTCTCTGTTGCTTATAACAAAACACCTGAAACTGGGTAATTTATAAGGAAAAGGAATTTTTGTTTTCAGTTTTTTTTTAATTGATACATAACTGTACGTATTTATGGGGTACATGTGATATTTTGATCCATGCATATATATAATGTGCAATGATCAAATCAAGGTATTTAGGATATCTGTCACCTCAAATACTTACCATGTCTTTGTGTTGAGAACATTCAAAATCTTCTTTTCCAGCTATTTTGAAATATACAATAAATGATTGTTAACTATTGTCACTCTACTGTGCTATCAAACACTAGAAGTTATTTCTTCTGTCTAACTGTATTTTTATACCCATTGACCAACCTCTCTTCATCACCCCCACCCGCTTCTCGGCCTCTAGTAACTATTGTTCTACTCTCCACCTCCATGAGATAAACGTTTTTATCTCCCACATTTGAGAACATGTGATATTTGTCTTTCTGTGCCTGGCTTATTTCCAGGCACAGGTCATTACATAATGACCTCCAGTTCCATCCATGTTGCTGCAAATGACCAGATTTTATTTTTTTATGTGGCTGAATAGTATTCCAATGTGCATCTACACCACATTTTCTTTATCCATTCATCCATTGATGGACACTTAGGCTGATTCCATATCTTGACTATTTTGAATAGTGCTGCAATAAACATGGGCATCCAGATATCTTTTTGATATACTGACTTCTTTTTTATTGAATATATACCAGCAGTGAGATTGCTGAAATATATAGTAGATCTATTTTTAGATCTAATTTTTAGGAAAGTCCATATTATTTTTCACTGTTGCTGTACTAATTTCCATTCCCACCAGCAGTGCATTAGCATTCCCCTTTCTCTACATCTTCACCAGCACCTGTTATTTTTTTGTCTTTTTGATAACATACATTTTAACTGGGGTAAAATGTTATCTCTTTGTGGTTTTGATTTGCATTCCATAATAACTAGTGATGCAGAGTATTTTTGCATGTGCCTGTTTCCCATTTGGATGTCTTCTTTTGAGAGATGTCTATTCAGATTGTTTGCCCATTTTTAATCAGTTTATTTGCTTTTTTGCTGTTGAGCTGTTTGAATTCCATAGATATGTTGTTTATTAATCCCTTGATGGATGAACAGTTTGCAAATATTTTCTCCTATTCTGTACATTGTCTCTTCACTCTGTTGATTGCTTCCTTTGTTATGCAGCAGCTTTTTGGCTTGATGTGATTTCATTTGTCCAATTTTGTATTTGTTGCCTGTGCTTTTACGGTCTTACCCAAAAAATTTTGCCCAGGCCAATTCATTTCTCCAATACTTTCTTCTAGTAGTTGTATAGTGTCAGGTCTTACATTTAAGGCTTTAATCCATTTTGATTTGATTTTTGTATTTGGTGAAAGAAAAGGGTCTGGTTTTTTTATTTCTATATATGGATATATAGTTTTCTCAGCACCATTTATTGAAAATACTATCCTTTTCCCACTGAATATTCTTGATGCCATTATCAAAAGTCAATTGGCTATAAATACATGGATTTATTTCTGGGTTCTCCATTCTGTTCCATTGGTTTATGTGTCTGTTTTTGAGTTACTATAACCTTGCAGCATATTTTGAAGTCAAATAGTGTGATGACTCTAGCTTTGTCCTTTTCTTTTTGCTCAAGATTGCTTTGGCTATTCAGGGTCTTCTGTGGTTCTTACAGTTATGGAGGCTGGGAAGTCCAGGATTATGGGATCACATATGGCAAGAGCCTTCTTGCTGGTGGGTACTCTCTGCAGAGTTCTGAGGCAGTGCAGGGCATCATATTGTGAGGGGACTGAGCATGCTAACTCAGGTCTCTCATACTCTTCTTACAAAGCCACCATAATTCACTGACTCATTAATTCATTGATCCATGAATGGACTAATGTATTCTTGAGGGCAGAACCCTCATGACCTAATCTCCTCTTAAATGTCCCACCTCTCAATACTGCCACATTGGGGATTAAGTTTTAACATGAGTGTTAGTGGGTACAAACTTTCAAACCATAGCAGATGAGATTTGTGGTTTAAGTTGGTTGCATCCTTGCTCTTCAAAGTAGGTTTGAGCTCCTTGCTAATAGAAAATGAAGTGGTAATGGCATCACAGTTAGATTAATTATTATGTGTATTGATTGTGATGAAGTGTGTATCCTGATGGCTGTAGCACTTGTCCATGAAGGCAAGAATGGAATGGAATGACTTCTTTTGAATGCTGTGGAGTTCTTATCCAAAGAAAATGACAAACTCATATCATTATACTCTCAGTTTAAGTCATGTTCAGAGAACTAGAAAGCATGTGCAAGGACCTAAAATTAATATTTTTATAATGGCAGAGCTGACTTTGCTGACAATGAGGTGCAAAATTTAGTTGTGTGGGGTAGAGTTACAATGTAAGTTGAATTCACGTCTTCACTAAGTTTCTCACTTGAAAACTAGGGCAGTCATTGGGAAAGAGTGAAATAATGACACTTGGAATGGGGACATCTGGGTGATCACAGCTGAAAATTTGGAGCTCTAGAATCACTCTGAGCCTCTCTTGACAGTAGAAGCAAACTGCCTTTCAGTGTCTGAAAAGACTAACTCTTTTTGCTTGATGGCCTTATCTGGAGCAGTTGCCTTGCAAGAAGGTGCCTTTCTCCCTAGGACTCACTGCAACCATACATGGTTGCCACTACAACCAAAATTAGATAAGATCTCCCCATGTTCTAGGAGGACAAGGGTAAGGTCTGACCCTGGAGGAAACGTTATACTCTAAAAGAATTTAAAGATGTTCGTTTATATTGACAGAGATCTGGGTAATACATATTGGAGTGGATTCTAAGGATATTAAACCAAGGAGAACAAACTACAACACTTCATTAGTCCAACTTTATTCATATGACTTCATTTACCAGAGACTCTTCATTTAATTGTTAGCTTGTGCAGCTAGCAATTTATTCTAACAATTTATCCCTAACAATTTACTTGGTTAATTGACTTGGTTAGTTGAAACTTGGGCTCAACAGCAGACTGATATTTAATGAGACTGAGATTCTAGAATTTCCTTGGTCTGACATAGAGAAGGAATCCAAAATCTTAAGGAAATTAGAATTTGGGAATAGTCTATCATATGCTAGGCCCAGAAGATACTTCCTTCACTAAAGTATGAGAAATAAGTGAGAGGAGCATGAGTGTCCTTAAAGAGCTCTGTGGTAACTGTTGTGTAGATGGGATACCATGGTGAGAGGTGCCACCACAACACAATTAATCAACATTTGGTTGTTTTCTGCTTCTGTTTCTTCTTCTTCTTCTTTTTTTTTTTTTTTTTCATGTGAGACAGAGTTTTGCTGTTGTCACCCAGGCTGGAGTGCAATGGTGCAATTTCGGCTCACTGTATCCTCCGCCTCCCAGGTTCAAGCAATTCTCCTGCCTCAGCCTCCCAAGTACTTGGGATTACAGGCATGTGCCACCATGCCTGGCTAATTTTTGTATTTTCAGCAGACATGGAATTTCACCATGTTGGTCAGGCTAGTGTCAAACTCCTGACCTCCAATGATCTGCCCACCTCGGCCTCCCAAAGTGCTGGGATTACAGGCATGAGCCACTGCACCCAGCTGTTTTCTGCTTCTTAAATCTACAGCTCCAAAAAGTAATCTTTCTGATCAGTTCAGGGCATAAGAGTTCATGTAGGGTGGATTTCTCAGGCTTTACAAGTTCAGGTTAGTAGTTTTAATAATGCATTTATTTATCATATTCATTATTACATAAAAAGACTCTAAAAGAAACTCTAATAATTATTTTCTTGATTTCTGGAGATGCATTCTGGCATGCTTCTCCAGAAATTAAGACCTATTTTGAAGTCTGGCCTTGGTATTGATTAGCTGAGGAACTTTAAGGAAACCATTTAGCCTATCTGAGTCTCAGTTTAATCTCAAAGAGAAAATGAAGTTATGCATAGAAAGTTTAAACATAGTGCCTGACACTTAGCAAGACTCAATAACAGCTGTTATCATTGTTATTATTTCATTTTCCATCTCAGGTTGTCAATTGACTTATTCAAATAAAACATGATTTTCCCAAACTTATAGACAGGAAATATTCAACATTAATTCTACTGTTAAATAAACCTAAACGCCTCCTCTTTCTTTTTTTTAATTTTTTATTTATTAATTATTTTGGTACCAAATTTCTTTATTTGAAGGAATGGTACAAATCAAAGAACTTAAGTGGATGTTTTGGTACAACTTATAGAAAAGGTAAAGGAAACCCTAACGTGCACGCACTGCCTTGGTGACCAAGGAAGGCACCCCACGGCTATGGGGAAATTAGCCTGAGACTTAGCTTTCATTATCACTGTCTCCCAGGGTGTGCTTGTCGAAGAGATATTCTGCCGAGCCAGATTCGGGCGCTCCCATCTTGCGCAAGTTGGTCACGTGGTCACTCAATTCTTTGATGGCTTTCACCTGCTCATTCAGGTAATGTGTCTCAATGAAGTCACACAAATGGGGGTCATTTTTGTCAGTGGCCAGTTTGTACAGTTCCAGTAGTGACTGATTCACATTTTTTTCCAAATATAATGCACACTCCATCGCATTCAGCCCGCTCTCCCAGTCATCACAGTCTGGTTTCTTGATATCCTGAAGGAAGATTCGGCCACCTCGTTGGTTCTGCAGCTTCATCAGTTTCTCAGCATGTTCCCTCTCCTCATGAGATTGGTAAAGAAAGTATTTGGCAAAGTTCTTCAAAGCCACATCATCGCGGTCAAAGTATAAGACATGGACAGGTAAAAGTAGGAGGCGCAGAGCTCCAGGTTGATGTGGCGGTTGATGGCGGCCTCTGAGTCCTGGTTGTAGTCCTGGCGCTCCTGCGAGGTGGACGGGGTCGCCATGGCGGCGACTAAAGAGAGGCGGCTGCAGCGGCGGCGCTGGAGCGGCGGCGGGGGGACCTTGGGGCGGTCTGAGGGGGCGGTGAAGAGGTGACGGACGGCTGGCTATGGGCGGCCGGCCGGGCTAGGGGAAGAGCGCTGGGTTCCGTCCAAGCACTGTTGAAGCAGGAAACCCCGACGACTCTCGGCGAAGACCGTCTCCGCCTTCTCTTTCTTTAGTTGGTGTTTTTTAAATTTCTGTTCTAGCAATATTTTGGCTACGTCTGAATCAAATAATATGGTTTTGTTTAAAACCCCAGACTTTTCCCAGCTTAAAAAGAACAGGTTATGCCTCACTAGGAATAACTCCATATTCCTTAAATATCTTGACTGATGATTACTGACTTGAGCTGAATTAATGCAAACTGCACTGAGGCTGTGGCCCAGAAAGAGAGATGTCATGAAAAGGAGTGATAGGAGTCCATTCATGCTGATATGTCTGCCGCCCTATTGCTAGTTGTCTTCCATCCTGGGCAAGGCAATTATTCACCAAGAAAGTGGTTTTAAATCTTTCTTTCCAAGTAGAAACATTTGTATTATGGCGGGGCGTGTGGCTCACACCTATAATCCCAGCACTTTGGGAGGCCGAGGTGGATGGATCAGTTGAGGTCAGGAGTTCCAGACCAGCCTGGCCAACATGGCGAAATCCTGTCTCTACTAAAAATACAAAAATAGCTGGGCATAGTGGTGTGTACCTGTAATCCCAGCTACTAGGGAGGCTGAAGCAGGAGAATCGCTTGAACCTGGGAGGCAGAGGTTGCAGTGAGACAAGATTGCACCACTGCACTCCAACCTGGACAACAGAGCGAGATTCCATCTAAAAAAAAAGAAAGAAAAAAGAAAAGAAACATTTGTTTTATAATCTGTTGCTTATACATTCCTGGAGATTAGTACACCCATGTGATGTCTTTCCAATATATCACTTCTCTATGGAGTTGATCAAGATCAGCAAGCATGACTTCATTCTCCTTCTATCCCCGGCTCTCATGCAGTGTCTGGTGCACAGCAGATGTGCAGCAAATCCTGAATTACAACATCACTCAGGAGCTGTGGTATGTCTTGTTTGATTTGGTTTATTTAGATCAGTTTCCCAACCATCCCTGAGAGATATGCACTTCGATCAACCACAGTAAATGATTTTCTACTTTAATGATTCTCAACTGCATAAAGGAAATGAGAAGACAGGAGGCATGCTGCTCATCTCTCCTGGAAATGTGCAGTTGCTGTTGTTGTATTTTTGTGGGTTGTTTTTTCAGTTGAGTACTCAAACATCCCTAGATTTTATCAGATTGTTGACAAATGAAATCATATTAACACCTACATCCAATGTCATGCTCCTGTTCATGAAAAACTCTAGCCCTTGAAAGTCCATCCTTCTCCCAGCCCCTGGCCCCCAGGTGTTCCTGAGAGTCATCAGGGATGTCTTTCCTGGGTTCTCCTGGTATCTGCTAACTATCCCTTCAGCACAAGGCTTCCTGCATTGGTTCTTATTGCCTATGAGAGTATCTTCATGACCACAGTAGGCAAGACACCCTAATGCCAAAGCCAGGAGCACCGTTTTTCAAAGTTCCCATAGCTACTGACTGTGGAGGTGTCAGAGCAGTGCTGGGCTCCTTTCCAATAGGGGGACTGCTTCTCCTCTGTCTTTGCAGCAAGCTGTTACTTGGGCCTGCAGTAGAGCTGCTCACATCCACAGCCATGCACAGGGCCTCAGGAAAACTGCTCTTTCAGCGTCTGCCTCGAATCCTCTCTCTGTCCAGTCCAAGTAGCTGAGGGTACAGATATCTTTGTGTGCCTTCCATTGTCCTCTTCGTCATTTCAGTACACCAAAAAATAAACAAGCACTTCTTCCACATCTACCAGACGACTGAGATCCCCCATATATCAATTCAGACAAATAGGCAATGACAGGCCTCAGGTTCAAACGGTAAAACTCTATATCCTCATCTGGACTCAGCTGTGGCATCCTGCTACACATTTTAAGACAAATGGAAGCTTGTTTATTCATTAGTATAATGTAGTATTACACTTGGTTCATAATTGTACACCATAAACCTCTTTCTACCTAACTGTTCCAATCTAAGTTCACTTTGTTATGGTTGTAAGGTTAATAACTGGGCAACATGGATTCTGGTTCTAATTCTTCCTGAAACCATCTGAGTGATAGTAAAGTGTACAATTAACTGTCTCGGGCCTGTTCCCCCAACCACAAAATAAAGTGTTCAGTCCACACAGTTTCTAAAATCCCTCCTAAGCCTGAGAGTGCATGAGGTTTTGTGCTAATAAAACAGAATATTCTTTGCAGTGGCTTTCAGTGATGTTGGTAGTGGATATGGAGTTCTCTGTCATAACAGTTTAGTATTACATTAGGATGTCAATTACTGCCTTAGTTCTAGACATGGTTTCTTATCTTTTCATATATAACTGAGGTGTACCTGCAAGGTGCGCTGTATTCTATTTATTAAAAAATATTATTTTCCCAATAAAGTGCAGATTATGTTGAATTTAGAGGGTGGACATAAAATGCATCATAAGAAAAAAATCAACATGAAGTGCCTCTCTGAAAATATCCCAGCCTTGCATTGAACAGGATATATCATCCTGGATTCTCATGGCCGCGAATGCCAAAGTACTACATGATACAGGCATGTGCAATTTGGCAAGCAAAATTATTGATGCTTGTGCAAAGAAAGGCTCTCTCATATTAATAGTCGTAATATTTTACTTTGGAGTTTTATTTAAACAACCTCAGTAGTTTGGATGACAGCTTGAGAAAGCCTTAAGAGTTTGAGACTGAGTTTGATGATACTTTCTCGTATGTTCGTGTACAGATAACACTGTTCACAGTACTTTCCTACAAGACAAAAGAAATATGAGGTATTTCAGTATAGTTAGTGAAATTAACATTTAGAAAAGTGCAAACTAAGTACTATCCACACATACATTCCTTAAAAATATTGAAAGAGAGGCCGGGCGCGGTGGCTCACACCTGTAATCCCAGCACTTTGGAAGGCCAAGGTGGGCACATCACCTGAGGTCAGGAGTTCAAGACCAGCCTGGCCAACACGGTGAAACCCCGTCTCTACTAAAAATACAAAAATTAGCCGGGGATGATGGCATGCGCCTATAGTCCCAGCTACTCAGAAGGCTGAGGCAGGAGAATCACTTGAACCTGGGAGGTGGATGTTGCAGTGAGCCAAGATCACACCACTGCACTCCAGCCTGGATGACAGAGTAAGACTCCGTCTCAAAAAAAAAAAAAAATAGATAGATAGATAGATAGATAGATGATAGATAGATAGATAGATAGATCTATATAGACTATAGATAGGACCTATCTGTTAGCTGGTTTTGCCATGTTCTATATAACCTATGTATGGCGAATCACATACATGTGGTATATTTCGGGTATATATAATGTTTATATATGTATAAAGCAAGGCATACAATTTGGAATTTAAGTTTTTATTTAAATATTTTAAATGCCAACATTGATGCATTTTGCTATTTTACATACTCTACACTTTCTAAATGATAATACTAGCTTACATTGATGTAGTATTTTATGGTTTTCAGGGCACTAATATACACATGATGATACTTAATTCTCTCAGAAAACCTTTGGCAAAGACACTTTCTACATCTTGAAGGCAAGGAATCTGAATCTTGAAGAGATTAAATGAATTGTCCAAAGTCACGTAAGTACTGAATGGCAGGGGTGGAAATCCACATCCTTTGATTCTGAGTGTAGCATTCTTCCTAATGAACTATAAAAGCTTTCTGTTTATTGGCTAATGTCATTATAAACAGCAATAAAATCAATCATCCTTAGTCTTCCCCTTGTGAATTTATAAGGAATAAAATGTACTCTTCATTGTAGAAAGAAAAAAAATCACTGTATTAAGAAACAAGGTTAGATTTTTGTAACCTACACACGAATCTTGCATATTCCCTTAGAACTATTTTATATTATGTAGAAAGTTACCTTTTTACTCATTTTGGTATAGGTGGGGGTTTGGGAGAAGGAAAATCATGAACACACATTCTTCTACTCTGGAGAAGTGGGGAAGGTGACCTGGGAAACCATCTGAAAGGGAGCAGGATGGATTCTATAAAATATAGAGTGTTCAATGAAAACAACCTGATGCTCCTCCCAGTACCATCACATTTTTCTAGCTGCATATCCTTAGGTAAGTCAATGTCTGAATTTCAGTTTCCTCACTGTTAAATGGGATAATAAGCTTTACCTTACAGGATTATTGTGGAAATTGGGAAATAATATTAATATATGAAAACATAGGGGCATGATAGTGACATGTATTAACTCATTCATACACCAAAAAAACACCACTTCAGCTTCTTATCCCTGGTCTAGAATTCCTTTTCATGTTTTTGTTTGGTGTTGAGATGGAAAAACAGTGAGAAGTTAATCCTGGAGTGGAGTAGAGGATTGGCAACAACCCTCAACCCCTGCTAAAATCTTCATTGCACAAATACATGCTTGCTTTGTTTTACCTGTGAGTCAAAGGATTAGGCTGCATGATATTTTCATTCTCTTTAGTTTTTTAGTTCCTCAATCCACACACATTTTATATAATGCTTACGATTATACATTTATCTCATAATTTTTTTCTCATTCTTTAAACTATGAGAACAAGGAAAATGGCATTCATTTTCATTGTTTGAGAACAAGTTGTGATTTTATATTAGTCGTTGCAGAAGGTGGGAAGAAAGCGAGGATGGGCTAACTCACCACCACCATTTTCCCATCCACCAGCTTTCTCGTTATGGTGGTTTCTTTGCCATCCCAGTCCTGAACTTGAATCAGGGACTCCTTATCTAAGGTTACTTTACTCTGAAAAACAGAAAAAACTAAATTCAGATCAGCTTGTCATATTTCAACATTAAAATTTTATCAGGCAGCAAATTCTTTTTAGCTGTTGTAATACTCTCAGGTAGTTTTAGAATGGTATTGACAACTCTATTTATTTTAAGACTTTGTCAGCAGTAAAATTGTTGCCTAATTCTGCTGAAGAAAAAAGGTTTTACAAGAGTAAAACTGTAATATTATCTTGAAGAATAAGTAAAATGTTCTTTCTTTTTCTTTTTTTTTGAGACAGAGTTTTGCTCTTGTCACCCAGGCTGGAGTGCAATGGTGCGATCTTGGCTCACTGCAACCTCCGACTCTCTGGTTCAAGCAATTCTCCTGCCTCAGCCTCCCAAATAGCTGGGATTACAGGCACATACCACCACGCCCAGCTAATTTTTGTATTTTTAGTAAAGACGGGGTTTCACCATGTTGGCCAGGATGGTCTTGAATCTCCTGACCTTGTGATCTGCCCACATTGGCCTCCCAAAGCACTGGGATTACAGGCATGAGCCACCACACCCGGCCATGAAATGTTCTTTTTATCTTTGACTGTGTAAGCAGAGTATTATCTTTTTGCATAAAGAATTACAAATACATTTTAACTTTCAAAATAAGTGTGAAACTCCAGCCTGGACAGCACAGTGAGACCCCCATCTCCATAAAAAATAATAAATTAGCCAGGTGTTGTGGCACATGCCTATAGTCCCAGCTACTTGGGAAGTTGAGGTGGGAGAATCACCTGAGCCTGGGTGGTTGAGGCTACAATGAGCCAAGATTGTACCACCGCACTCCAGCCTGGGCAACAGAGACCCTGTCTCAATAAAGAATAATAATAATAATAATACATGTGAAACTAATTCAAACTCCCATTATATGAGCTTACTTAAAAGAAAGAAGGCCTCTTTCCTCTTCTTATCCCAATAATATTTTCCAGTTTTTTTTGTTGTTGTTGTTGTTTTTGGAGATAGGGTATCACTGTGTCATCCAGGCTGGAATGCAGTGGTGCAATCATGGCTCACTGTAGCTTCAACCTCCTGTGCTCCAGCAATCCTCCCACCTTAGCCTCCTGAGTAGCTGGAACTATAGGCACGCACCACCACAGTGGCTAATCTTTGTGTTTTTTGTAGAGGCGGGATCCTGCTATGTTGTTCAGGCTGGTCGTAGACTCCTGGCATCAAGCAATCCTCCTGTTTTGGCCTCCCAAAGTGCTGGGATTACAGGCATGAGCTACCGCACCCAACCTAGCTTTTTTATTCTAGTAGATTTTTAAGAATTTAGCATAGAAATCCATATTAAGCATTTAAGTCAAAAATTTTCTTCCATTTTATATGGTACAAGAATTTAAACTCTCATATTCATTTAGTAACTATTACAGTGGCATGATAGTTCCTTTTATCAGGATATTATCCTCCATATAGTTTAACAATCCTCTATTGAGTTCATTCATTCAAATAATAAATATTTATTGAACAACTGTCATGACCAAGCACGGGGTTCTGTGAAACAGACAGGAAATCCTGTTTTGGATGAGCTCTTACATTCTGGTGTAGGGAAAAAGACTGTAAACAATACGTGTAGAAGTAAATTACATATTATAAATAAATAATATATTCCTGAGATATGTGCCCTTGAGATATGAATGAAAACTCTGTGTGGCACTTTCAGGGTGAGACAATAAAAAGCCCATGTCTCTTTATCCTGGTGTTGGAGAAGACCAGGATGTCCACAGGTGGTAGTTGAACCTCTTTTGGCATGGATCCCTGAGAGATTAGGGGGAGCAGATTTCCTGTTTACTCCACTACACACACACAAACTTCCCCAATGCCACCCAACACTACGTATGTACTATAAGTTAGAAATAAATCCCCATTGTGTTAACTCACTCCAGGCTTGTGGTTCATTGTCACGGTGGCATAACCTTACCTCTGCCAGCTAATACGAGGTTTATTCACTGTAATTCTATGTGTAGAAAACTGCTACAAAATGGATAGGGAAAACTTTTGTTTCTGAGAGGACTAAACAGTAATCTAGGGAAATGATTCTCAAAATGTGGTCTGCTAAGCGTCTGCATCAGATTCATTAAAAATGCAATTTTCAGGGCCTCTGGCAGTGAGCAGGAGGCATTTTTCACAAGCATCCCAGAAGATTTGTATCTTCACATTGACATCCTTAGACCTATGTTTTAGACAAAAGTTCCTCTTAAGGACTTTAGATATGTTTGCTAGAATTGCTTACTTACCGAGGATGATATCTGACTAACATTCTTTTGAAATGTGTCTGAAAGACTGTCGTAGGCCTCACCTTTGTTTTGTGGCCACCTGGCGTGATTTCCTCAAACTCTTCTCCCAGCTTAAAGGAGATCTCATTATTTTTAAAGATGCTTTTGGTTTTTATTGTGATGACATCTCCATCTGTACTGATGGTCACAGTGGGTTTTGCCAAACGGCCCAGTTTCCTGCTGGCTCTTCCTATACCTGGAAACCAGATAAAAGGAGTATTATCTTTTTGCATAAAGAATTACAAATACATTACATTACAATACAATACTTAAATCTGTTGTTGACTCCAAAAACTCAACATTATCTGTATAATTCTTTGCTAACTAGGAGGTTTGCGAATTGAACAGATTTAATGGTGCATGACTTCACATATCCCAAGCCAGCAGCTCCACCATGACATGTTAAAATAGACTATCTTTGCAGAAAAAAAATCTGTCTCTAGTTGTTGTTTAGTGAGTATTCTTTTTCACTAGTCCAGTAGCTATTAATCTTACTGATTTTTGAACCCCTTTGAAAATCTGATTAAAGCTATCAACTATCTCCCTATTTTAAAATTATATCCACTCACATACAAACAAAATACTTTGGTATGGATTTTGCCAGATATTTAGCTCTTCACTTGTATTCTTACATGTATATATATATGGGTTTGTTTCCTCAATGATGTATGTTTTTATTGTGGTAAAATATTTATAACATATATTTACCATTTGAAGTTACAATTCAGTGGTATTGAGAACATCACAATGTTGTGCAAGCATCACCATTATTTATAGGATTTTAAAAAATATGTTATATCTACTGTTTTTCAACTTGCTTTTTCCCCTTATCTTGTCTTGGAAGTTTTCCCCTTATCTATGTCTTGAAAATTTTCCATGTCACTCTATATAGATATATACTTTTTCATAGTACATAATATTCCACAGTGTGTATAGACCAAAATTTATTTTGTCTGTCTCCCTGTTGATGAACAATTCATTTGTTTCCATTTTGGTTATTACAAATAATTATGCAGTGAACATCCTTGTATACACAGCTCTGTGCAGCACATGTAGGAGTATTTTCAGTAGAAATAGCATTACATATACTGCAATACCTAAGTTAAAATTCTAAGGGAAGATATATTGGGAAAATACTATAATGTAGTTCATGGAATTCATATCATAAAACACAATCACAGGATGTGACAGATTGGATAATGGTTCCTAAAGATATTCACGTCTTAATCCCTGGAACCTGTGAATGTTACCTTTACATGTTAGGAGACTGTACAGATGTGGTTAATTTAAGGATCTTGAGATGGGGAGAGTATCCTGGATTATCAGAGCAGATCTCAAACATAATCATAAATTTCCTTTTAAGAGGGAGGAAGAGGGATGCTATACTACAGAAGAAGAGAGAGCAGTGTGAAAATGGGAGCAAAATTTGGAGCATTGCTGGCACACACTAAGGAAAGCCAGTAGCCAGCAGAGGCTGAAAAACAAAATCTACTCTGAACTTTATTCTGAAGATCCCCTAAAGCTTAGAGCAAACATTTACAAAATAATCATTTTAAAAAATAGTTGTATTTTTTTGTTTTAAAACATTTATTAAAATCACTTGCTGTTTAGTTAGTTTATGTAAATTAATGGTAACTTATATGAGAGATTATTGTCAACTCCAACATAGTTTTGCACAGAACTATATCCTGGTACTCAATCAATATTTATTTTTTCCTATGTGAAAAATTAGGGAGTTCAAGATTAATATTATTTTATACAGAGCAAGTTCTGTGCTATCAAAATGCCCATTTTTACTGGATATGATATGCAAGTAAACATAGCTCACCCAGCTCCTTCATGTAGTCTTCGGAATTTTCACAAGAAATGGACTTCCATGTTCCTTGGAGCTGGTCAATCATTCTGTCTGAGATAAGTTGATCTCAAAGAACAGTAGTTTCATGTGTATGCTGGTTTTCCCTGAAGTAGTATGGGAACTTGTTTTTAATACAATTTTGGGTAGAGAATGAGATGAGAAAAGTTAGGAAATAAAATAAGGAACTCTAATCCTTGCAATGTTCCTTGAGTATCATCTAAAGCAGAAAAGCTTTCTTAAATTTAAATACATCAGGATGAAAATGGAAACACAGTAGAGTGTTTAGCAGAACTAGATATACCTTTTCCAACACCAATTTAGCATCAAAACTAAATGTTACTTTCCTTCCCTAGGACCTGCCAGGCACAAAGCAGTGTGTAAGAGCTGGGCCTGGACAGCTGTGTTTATGCCGTGGAACTTTTGTGCCCAGGTCTCTCTCTCTGTCTGTCCAAAGATGATTCAGAAAAAGCCAATTTATTGGCTGTTTGAAGATCATTCTCATTCTTGATAGTTTCAACTAAACACCAGACAGACTTCATAGATGGTACTTGACATTTGAAGTAAAAAGTTAAGTTTAGTAAGGGCTAGAACAACCACTTTAAGTCATGTGCACAATGAAAAAGAGAATGGGACAGAGAAAAAAGAAAGGAAAGAGATCATGTTACAAACACATGCACACACACACACACACACACACACAGCCCTGTTACTGACACTTTTCCAGGTGCCAGCTCAACTTCCCAACGGTTTAGAGAGCCATCATTGCCATGAGAACACCAAATATCTTTTAAGTCCTCTTTAATTTAGGCTACTTTCTGTTCCTTTCAACCCTGACTGTAAAATCTCAGTGTCCACTAATAACTGTAAGTCAGAACAGGGGTCAAGGAATATAACAGCAAATCCATCAGCTAGAGAAGAGGGGACTCCAAATGCTAAGTAAAGGACAAACATGCCCTTATACATTCCATCAGCCCCTGAGGACATCATTGTTAATTCTAGGCAGAGCTTGATGTCCATAGGTTGACACAAAGCTATTAAGAAATACTGAAGTTATAAAATTATTTTAAGACAAGAATGGGGACATGGCATTTTATAATTCCCATTAAAATGTTAAATTTCCAAATTCTAATATCCAGGCCAATAGTCTTACTGATAATTATTCAACTAACATTTATAAAGCAATTAGCATTATATGCCTAATATGAGGCAAAAATTTTGCATACACTACTGATTAAATGTTCCAGATATGGTTGGTAAAGATACTATAGTTTGGCCAGGTGCAGTGGTTCTTGCCTGTAATCCCAGCACTTTGGGAGGCCCAGGCGGGCAGATCATGAGGTCAGGAGTTCAAGATCAGCCGGGCCAATATGGTGAAACCCTGTCTCTACTAAAAATACAAAAATTAGCCAGGCATGGTGCAACGCACCTGTAGTCCCAGCTACTCGGGAGGCTGAGGCAGAAGAATCACTTGAACCCAGGAAGCAGAGGTTGCAGTGAGCCAAGATCGTGCCACTGCACTCCACTGCACTCCAGCCTGGGCAACAGAGCAAGACTCCGTATCAAAAAAGCAAAACAAAACAAAACAAAAAGCCTTAGTTCATTGGTTGGTTTTCCTGAGTAATTTGTACGACTGTGCTCATTCAACTTAATAGGCATGAGGCTGAAGCCAGGAAATGACCCAACATTGAGGGTAATCTGGGCACTGAAGGCACTACAATTCCCAGGATTTTTCAAGAAAATGTCGAATGTGCTGCCACATATGTCGGATGCACATGGATCCCCTCCCACAAGGAAAATCACGATTGAAGATCACCTCCTTGAAGATGTCGTATTGGGAGCGGTGTTTTTCCCTGTTGCTGACAGGTTAGACTTGCACAGGCGTCAGTACTGAGGTGTGAGACGGAGCCCATGTATGGCTTCTATCTCTGCACTGTGGCTGCTCCGTTCATGTGTCAGTCACATCAGCTCAGAGACTGCCTAATGTCAACTGGCCTAGTCATTTTGTCTACTCTGTTGTTCAGTGCCTCTTCTGTGATTGATGCTTTCTAGTGTTCATGAATACAAGAGCCAAAAATCTTCACATATTTTGCCCACTCCTATAGGTTCACACACATTCCTCTCCACCAAACATTCTTGTCTGCAATTTTTCAGTCCTCCTTCCAGGTCCCTGACCAGCTTTTCAGACGATTCGCTTCCACCCATGAGTATATATATGTTCCCATTCCAAGCCACTGTGTCCTCCACATGAAATAGGGAACAGGTGCATGACTCTGAGCTTTGTCCATTGATATGATTTTCCTTACCAGTTCCTCAAGTCCCCCCCACATCCCAAGTGTCATGAAACCACTGCCCATTTTTAACTTGCCTCCACACCCTGTGCTGACTGGTACATTAAACATGCTCAGGTTTTTTCTCCTCCTTTAGCTGGTCACGTGGGACCCACATACTGTCTGGGGCATGATCTGAAGGAGGGGTGCTGGTGCTGCAGTGGTGGGTGACATGGGGATCTGCACCACCTGCTCATGCAGTTACCTTAGGACTTCTGGTCTTGTTTAGGCTTGACCCCAGATGCACAATCTGATCTCACGATGGACTTCTGCTGGACATACCTGACTTGATGACTCTGTGGGTCTGACGGAACCTGGCTCATAATGGACACTTCCAGATACATTGTTACTTGATATCCTATAGTCAAGAATTCTGTCTCTATGGGGCCCCAGTAACACATTAGGCACTCTGTTTTAATAGGTGTATAAGTCTCTGTTACAGATGGCATGATCTTTCTTCACAACCCCAGACATTGGTGCTATGATGCTCACCCACACACATACATACACACACTCTCTCTCTCACACACATACACACACACCATACACATTATATTGCATATTTTCCTCTCACTAACACCTCCAGCACCGTGGAGTTTACCAATCACATGACCCAAGCATCAGGGCAGCTCATATCACAGCCCTTCCTTCCTGCAGACCCTTTCCTGCTCTGGGCTCCACTCAAAGCAGGGAGCCTTTCATGCCATCCAGTATATGGGCTGCAGCACATGCCTAAATGTGCAATATGTTGCCACCATAAGCCAAAGAGTCCCACAAGAATTTTGATAGAACAGGCAAAATGTAGCAATTTGTCTTTTGGAAAAGATTTCCTTATATGTCCCTGGTCAAGCTGGACCCCTAAAAACTTTACTAGAAGTTGCCTCAATCATTACCAACTTTAACTCTCATATTCTGTGTTGAATGTGTCTTACCAAGGCCTCCATTATACTAGCCACTTCTTGTTCATCCTGCCTGATAACATGATATTGTGCCAAGTGTCCAGACAGCCTAGATCTCATCTGATTATATTATGATAAAGAGTAGGAGTTAACATAGCCACAGGACTATGTAACAGGTGGCTCATGCCTGTAATCCCAGTACTTTGAGAGCCCAAGGTGGGAGGATCACCTGGGGTCAGGAGTTTGAGACCATCCTAGCCAACATGGCAAAACCCCGTCTCTACTAAAAATTACAAAAATTAGCTGGGTGTGGTGGTGGGCACCTGTAATCCCAGCTTCTCGGGAGGCTGAGGCAGGAGAATCACTTGAACCTGGGAGGTTGCAGTGAGCCGAGATCACACCACTGCACTCCAGCCTGGGCAACAGAGTGAGACTCCAACTCAAAAAATTAAAAAAAAAATGTAAACATGTGTCATTGTCTGTTCCATGCAAATGCAAATGGTTTCTGATCTTTCCTGATTGAGGTAGGAAAGAATGTGAAATGTGGTCTGACTGAACACCATGTACCTGACACTGTATTAATCTGCACTAACAAAGATAACACATCAAGCACAGTAGCCCATCATTGGGGTTATTAGTTGATTTTTCACTAGGCTAGAAATATTCTAAGATTCACTTGGATTTTGCAGTGATCAGACTCATGAATTAAATGGTGCTATGATATGAACCACCACCTTCTGCAGTCTTAAAGTCCTTTTGAGTAGCCCCAATTTCTGTCATTCCTCACTCCTCCCCTGCCACCGAATACAATGTTTTTTATTCACCATCTTATCAAGGGATGGAGAGAGGATAGCAGTGAAGAAGGTGGGAGTGTGGGGGTGCAGTTTCAGAAGCTTCCATTTTGCCTTCCCCACTATAATAATTCTTGTTTGAATTAGAAAATGAGAAAGGTGGAGCTTACTCCAACAGCCAAGGAGTCAATCCCAATTACGCATTCAAGGCCTAGGGAAATGACTTCTGGAGGAATCCACAGACCTACCGGACCTACTGAGACCTAGACTTTGGCCAGGATTCTATTTATTACCTAGCTGCTGTATGTCTTCACTCTAACATGATGATTTGGCACTCTGTGAATCGACAATAATTCAGACCCGAGGCTGTCAGAATATCTGGATTTTCCTCTTTCCTCATTGCATATTTTCTCAAGTAAACGATAACAGATCTCCTTTGAGGAAAATGGGGGACATTAACAGTTTATGGTATCTCAGGGTTCTTCCTTCTGTGGGCTTGTCACCTATTGAGACAAAGGATTCTGGGTCTGAAAATTGGCTCAGATCTGGAATCTGAGCAAAAGATCATGACTTTCTACTGGGGCGCTCATCCTTAGTCTGCTGCCCATCCATTCCTGCCTTCTTTTGATTGTATGTATGAAGCAGCACCCTTGTTGGCTAATCATCTATTTTGCCTCTATGGATTCAGTGTTATTTTAATCATCTCCATAACCCCTTTCGGGTCAAACACCCTTAGCTGTGCCTTCAGCCTTGCCCTATTTTATGGTGAAGTGCAATCAATCCCCTGGTTTCTGGCAGTAATGTGCTGCCATCTGGCCCAGATTGAATCAAATTCTCTTCATTCCCATTGCTACCAATGAGCTGAACTCTAACAACCCAACAAGAGCAACCACTGAAACTCTTAATGATGCTGTGGCCCTCTCACCAGTGCATTCCTGATGGCCCAGTAAATACGGAACATAATTATCTGTTGCTCTTCTGATGTATATACACATATACATGCACACACACACTTTTTCTTTCTATAGAAAAGTATTGTGACTATATTTATTCATAACAGAAGTACAGATCTCATAACTTTCCTACAAAGCAGGAGAGGAAAGCCCCAGCAGGCAAGATTTTCCAGTCTTTTGTCATATTAAACTTGAGTTATTTCAACGAAGCAATTTGAAGTGTATTGGAGCTGGACAAGACATAGTGGGCACTCTGTAGATATTGGCATGCAAGGAGAACTCAGGCCTTACTCATTTGCAACTAATTCAATAAACACTTGAGTGCCTACTAAAGGAAAGATCCCTAGGATAGGTCTTTCCCACCACTGAGTATATAATGGGGATTGAAATAGAAATCCGAAATGTTTCCAACTCTGTGAAAGAGAATCTGAAACTACACTGAATTCCTTCATGTTTCCCTGTGGGTATCTAGCAATATAATACACAGCTGGAGAATAAGTTGATATTTTAGATCAGGGGTTGGCAAACTATGACCCATATACTAAATCCAGCTGCCACGTGTAGATAAAGTTTTATTAGAACACAACCACACTTATTCCTTTACATATTGTCTATGGTTGCTTTTGTGCTGCAATAGTGAGGTTGAGTAGTTATAACAAACATATGACTGGCAAAGCCTGAAATATTTACTACTGGCTCTTCACAGAAAAAATATTTGTCAACCCCTGTTTTAGAGTCTCAAGTATAAATTTTTAAAACTGGGGATCATAACTTAACAACTACTATAGGCTTTCTTTTCTTGGGATAGAAGAATGGTGGATACCATTTTTCATTTAAGATTTTTCATCAAAAGACATTTTTATATTTATGCCATGGATAATGCCAACAGAAAAATTAATATAAGGAGCCAAACTCCGGCATTTATAAAAGTAACATGAGATGGTTATCAGTCAAATATATGGAATATTTTTAAAATCACTCTAAGTGCTGTAAGACAGAAAGATACGAGAATCAAAAATTAATTGTGTAAGGAAATTGAGGAAAGAAACCTAGTTTAAAAAGCTGTCCTGCTATCTGCTTCTTCCTGAGTCTAAACTGGAATGGTTAATGAGCCTGTTAAATTATAAAGTTTCTTCAGAAATAGCCCTCAGTAGCTATAAAATTCTTCTACTTTTTTTTTTATCACCTTAGCAATATTAAGCCTTCAAGTTTTCCATGCGGTTCTAATGCACTTGGATTAAAACCATTCTGTAAGGAAAAAAATTTACAGTGGCTTTTTAAAGTAAAATTTATTGAAAATGGAGAAAGTTCACTAGAAAAATTTAAGTGCTGTGGCAAACAAAAATTAGCGACCTAAATATCTGCATGAGTCTCTTCTTATATTGGGTGGGCTTTGTAGGAAGGGCATTAACGAAACTGGGTCATCTCTTAGTATTTTCTGGCTAAGAACATCGGGAAACTTGGCCATTCATGAGGCTCAGGGTGTTTCTGCCTTGGTGCTGCTACTCAAATGCACACCTGGAGGTGGGCAGTGGACAGGAAGCTGAGCTGAATGGCTGGGATGAGGCACGTGGTCTTCCAAGCAAGCAGTAACATGGCACTGCTCCATGCCAACATTCTTCACACAGTTCAACTTTTTTTTAATAGTGTTGGGAATTGTGTTTGACCATTTTTGTGTTGCTATAAAGGAATACCTGAGACTGGTAACTTATAAAGAAAAGTGGTTTAATTGGTTCATGGTTCTGCAGACTGTACTGGAAGTATGGTGCCAGCATCTGCTTCTGATGAGGGCCTCAGGAAGCTTACAATCATGGCAGAAGGCAAATGGGGAGCTGGTGTATCACATGGCAAGAGCTAGAGCAAGGGACAGAGATCGGGAGGTGCCATGCTCTTTTAAACAACCAGATCTTGTGTGAGCTCAGAGCAAGAACTCACTCATTATTACGAGGGCAGCACCAAGCCATTCATGGAGGATCTGCCCCCACGACCTAAACACCTCCCACCAGGCCCCACCTCCAACACTGGGGATTATTACATCTCAGTATGAGATTTGGAGGGTGTAAGCACCCAAACTATGTCTGAAACTGTAGTGGGTTGAACTGTGTCCACCACAAAAGATACGTTCAAGCCTTAATCCCCAGTACACTTGTAAATGTGACCTTCTTTAGAAATGGGATCTTTGCAGATACTAATTAAGGATCTCAGGTTGAGACTGTATTGGATTTAGGCAAACTCTAAATTCAATAACATATGTTCTTATAAGAGAAAGGAGAGGGAGATTTAAGACATATGGAGACAAAAGAAAAGGTCACATGAAGATAGCAATTGACGAGCTGCCATAAGCCTAGGGACACCATGGATTGTCAGCAGCCACCAGAAGCCAGAAGAGAGGCATGAAAAAGATTCTCCCCCAGAGCCTTCTAGAAGCTACCAACACCTTAGTTTCTATCTCTGGCCTCCAAATCTGTAGGAGAACACATTTCTGTTGTTTTAAGCCTCTAAGTTTGTGGCAATTTGTTGTGGCAACCCCAGGAAAGTAATACAGAGAAAAATCTCATTTTAAAGAATCTTAGGGACCTTTATGTTTTATTTTAATTTTTATTACTTTTTAATTTTTTTATTGTTTTTGAGATGGAGTCTCACTCTGTCACCCAGGCAGGAGTGCAGTGTGCAATATCAGCTCACTGCAACCTCCACCTCCTGGGTTCAAGAGATTCTCATATCTCAACCTCCCAAGTAGCTGGGATTACGGGCGTGCACCACCACACCCAGCTAATTTTTGTATTTTTGATAGAGATGGGATTATGCCATGTTGGCCAGGCTGGTCTCAAACTTCTGACCTCAAGTTATCTGCCCACCTCGGCCTCCCAATGTGCTGAGATTACAGATGTGAGCCACCAAGCCTGGCTACCTTTATGTTTTAAATAAAAAGTTTATTTTATTATGTAAAATGCCATTTAAACTTATTTGCAATTGTCTTTATTACACAGAATTGTTTTTTGTCAGTTAAAAATGATAATACTTTTCATCATATTCACCAAGGATAAAGGTAATTTTTATAAGTAATAGTAAGTTATTATGATAATGGAATAAAAGGCTGAATAATAATTATAATAATTATATGATAAAATTATATAAATTAAATTTTTTCTGAAGTTCATGTAAGAAAAACATTTTCCTTACTTCTTTAGTTCTTTTTTTTTTTTTTTTTTTTTTTTTTTCTAATCTCTCCCTCCTTCATCACCCACTCCCGTCAATTTTCTTTTGGAATCTTTGTAATCATACAACATCTTTTGCGTGAATACTGAAGAACTTAAGATTTAGGCAATAAAATAAATTAGTTGATGCTGGTAAACAGCATGCTATGCGATGCCTTACTCTGTTTTAGAATTTCAGCAGACTGCTCACTGAAGGCTGCTCTTAGGGTTGAGTGCTGGCTTGCTGGTGCTGTCTGCTTCTGAGCAATCATGTGATTCAGACAAATCAAAATAATACACGGAATTCCTGGAGGGATGAATAAAGACAGCAAGGTCAGACCCAGGCAGCCTGAAGGCCTATGATTCAGACCCTGCTGGGTTCCCAGGCTCTCCCACCCTTTGCTTCTTACAGCTGGAGCTGTTGGGACCCCACCTGCTGCCTGAGCACTTGCCCCCAGGCTCTCGGCCAATTACGCTTTAATCAGATTATTGCAGAGTAGCAGTAACCTCATGGTTCTCAAGCCTGACTTGCATTTGTAAAAATGCCAACTCCTATGAGCCGGCATAGGTCAGAATTGCCAAGGACAAAGCCTGGGAATATATATTTCTAAAATTATTCCCAGGCAATTCTGACTGAAGTCTAAGGCTCAGCAACTAAGGACAAATGTTCTAGACCAGTAGTTCTCAAAGTGTGGGCTTTGGACTAGGCGGCATCACCATCACCAAAGAACTTTTTAGAAATGCACATTCTTGGCCCCAGCCCCAGGCCTGCTGAATCAGAAACTGAAAAAAGAGCATAGTTTTTATAAGTCCTCCAAGTGATTCTGATGCATGCTCAAATATGAGAACCATTGACCACACTTAGACTCACTTCCAAAGAACAGAGTGTGAAAAGGGAAAAATAGTAACTTCAGCAAACTGGTAAATATCACATTAACCACAGGATCAAGTTTAATATCCCCAGTGTAAAGTCATGCTGTCATGTACCCTCTGCTAGGATGCAATGAGAAGGCATTTCACTTCTGTGGTCTTCCTAAACACTCATAACCCAAATTTAATCTTCATGTAATCTCAGATATATGAAGACAAAATTGAGGGATATTCTACAAAATACTCTTCAAACTGTCAAGGTCATGAATCACAAGGAAAACCTGGGAAATTGTCACAGATCTGTGGAAACTAAGGAAACATGATGACCAAATGCAATGTGGGATCCCAAATTGGATCCTGGAACAGAAAGAAACATTAGTAGAACAAATGGAGAAATCCAAATAAAGTCTATAGTTTAGTTGCTAGTATTGTAGCAATGTTCATTTATTGGTTTTGAAAAATATACACGTTAGATGTTAACATTAGGGGAAGCAGGATGAAGGGTATGTGGGAGCTCTGTACTGTATTTGCAACTTCTCTGTAAACCAAAAATTATTTCAACATTTAAAAACAAATCAAGGCCAGGCACGGTGGCTCACACCTGTAATCCCAGCACTTTGGGAGGCCGAGGCGGGTGGATCACGAGGTCAGGAGTTCAAGACCAGTCTGGCCAAGATAGTGAAACCTCATCTCTACTAAAAATACAAAAAATTAGCCAGGTTTGGTGGTGGGTGCCTGTAATCCCAGCTACTTGGGAGGCTGAGGTAGAGAACTGCTTGAACCCGGGAGGTGGAGGTTGCAGTGAGCCGAGATCACGCCACTGCACTGCAGCCTGGTTGACAGAGTGAGACTCTGTCTCAAAAAAAAAAAAAAAAATCAACAAATATAAAAAGACACACACACAAAGCGTGTATCACAGATATGCAGTATCTGCATCACCTGGAAGCTTGTTAGCATTGCAGATGATCAGAACCAACTCCAGATTTACTGAATCAAAAACATGCATTTTTCAAAAGATTTCTTTGGTGAATTGTTTAAACATACAATAAAATTTGAGAAGCCCTGTTGTTTACCATCAGCCTGGGAATTAACATTAGCTCAATCTTGTCTGGACCTGAAATACATATCAGTTTCGATTATTGAGCATCTGTGTACTTTTGAGACCCCCACGCTCAATTTGCAAACTAATTCTGACTGCTAAGTTTCTGAGCAATTCCCCTGGCCTCAGTCCTTGCATGGTAACACCCCTGATGAGGCTCAGACCATATCTTGTGTTTGCAAGGTTTTTTCTTTTTTAACTGAATGGAGTTTTGCCTTTGATCCCTTACTCTGTGCCTGTGGACCTGCTACCTGCCAAAGGCTTCCCTCTTGCTGACAGTCAACCTGCCTGGTATTTTAAGTACTGCCTTCTAGAAGTCTCCATGTGTCTCCCATGCTGACGATACTTGGATTTCTATCTATTGTTACTATAACCTCAGATGTTGTGCTTTACTTGTCAGATCCGACCATGACTTGGAAGTATCCAGAAATAGGACAGCGTGTAGAAATACTTCCCAATCAACAGCTCAACAAATAGGACTGGACTTCCAGGAGTCCCAGGGTTTAAAAAAAAAAAAAAAAAAAAAAAAAAAAAAAGACAAAGAAAATCTTTCAACAGGATCTGAGCCTAGAGGTAATGTCTAGGAGCCACTAGAGGCCTGGGAATAAAACTAGAAAGGTAAACAACTTCCTCTAGGGCCAGACTTTCTTTACTTTTGTGTCAGTGAAGTCTCAAAAACAAGAACCTACTGACTCTGTAAAGACAATTTGCTGATGGAGTATTGTTATAAAATCCCAGCCAGAATGGAGAAAAGGGAAACTTCCCGGGAGCTACTGGCCTTGACCTCCTTCTCTTGAGGAAAGGGAACGAAGTGAAATGCTGAAAGTTAAACATCAGGAGAACTTACTCTTAAAAATCAGGAGAACTTACTCCTTAAAAATGTTCCTGACCCAGTCTGTCATAAGGGAGCCTGGGGGGGTTCTTGCTTTATATAGGGTAACACTGGGCACTCACCTTGGGGCATCTTGGCAACTATCATCTTTGGGAAATATGGTCTGAATGGGACCATGGCACAGGGATTTTTAAGGGAACAGGAAGACCAGCAGTCAAATGACTTGGAGGTAATTGAGGCAACCCTACAAGGACCCGAAAGCTAGAACCAACCTGGTGAGAGGACACAGGGAAAAGCTTATGGGATTCCACATCTCTCTGAGTCATAAATGAGCTCTGGATGGGGCTGGATATTCCCACAAGTCTACAGGTGAGGGATAGGTCATGGATAACCAATATGCAACTCTCTGGGAGTGCAGAGTGTACTCAAGTTGCCAGTGATCTGCAGACAAGCCATTGGGTCACTAATCCATATTTACGCATGCACCCATTTCTAACTTTTATGTGTCTGATTTCTAATCTCCTCTTTTGAAAAGGTCTAATCTTGTTGCTGATGAACTGAGAAAAGATTTTCCCACATTTTGAGCAGAATAGAGATGAGATTAATATCTTTCACAACATCAGTGATTAAAACAGTTGCAAAATTTGGTGAGTCAGGATAGCTGGCAGGGGTGGGAGGTGTGGAGGACAAAGACTACCTGACAACATTGGCCCCTTGCTGCTGTGGAAAAGGCAACCTGTGCTCTAAGGGTTGACTTCAGTGAAAACTGTGGGAAGAAAATCCACTGTTCTATCAAAAGCTTTATAAAATATTCTGATATAATCTCCAATTTAGGACCTTTAAGCTTAACATTTTCACACTTCGGAGTCTAAAAATTACAATGAAATATCCAGTAGTAAAAGACATTGTCATTGAAGGCAGAGCACTTCCATCTCTGGCTTTGTGATCATACATGTACTTACGAAACTAATTAGCTTCAGGCTAGGCGGTATGTGAGTAATTTATCCCTCCCATATTAACATCAACTGTGAAATCTAAACTGAATGATGACATTCCAGAAACAATTGCATATGATGATTCTTCAGCAGGTTTGGGCAATGTAGAGTAGCTTTCATGAGAGACTACATCATCTCATGCTATTTTAATGATTATGGCTCTACTGGAAAGGAACACAAGGTGGAAAACTAGTTTAGCGCCTGGGCTCTGGTTCAAGTCAAAGTGAAGATGATGAGCAAGCACTATTTTAAAATTAATTTAGGAGATTATTGGTAATTGATGAGAAGTTATGTTTCAGAGATGCCTAAAACAAACACTGACAATTCTGAAAACAAGTGAGATGTTCTCATTAACCTATAAGTATATAAAAGTATGTATACCCTGATCACAAATATGAAAAAGCAAAATGGCTGGAATGAAGTGCACTCAATGGTTAATGGTGATTGTCTTAGATGGTGAGGTTAGGAGTAAGTTGTTTTTCTTTCTATTTTTCAATAATTTCAATTTATCTAAAATTGTTCTATAGTTAGAAGAATAAATTCTGTCTTAAAAAATATGTTCAACAGGGACTTGTGATGCTGATAGGATTAAGAGTTCATATCAGAAATTATTGTAAAGTGCCCTCCCAGTGGTACCAGGCAGAAAATAGGCCATCCAAAAGGAGTTTTATAGGAAAGAGAGAGAGACAGAGAGATGAGTGTATTTTGAACAACCTACAGGTTAGTACATTTACAGTGTCTAACAGGAAGTTGACTAAACAGATATAGAGCACAGGAAATAAAGATCTGGATCAGAAAAATACGTGGTGGTCTGGAGTAGGTAAGTTCACTCTAGGTTACAGTGTAAAGTAAGAGGAGCAGGTACAGAACTATGGGGAAAACTATCATATAAGGAGGCATCAGAATAACAAATAATGGAGGCAACTGAAAAGGGAGGAGTTTATTAGATTCCTAGGGCTGTTGTAACGAATTAACGTTAACTGGGTGGCTTATGGCAACAGAAATGTGTTCTTTAGAAGCTCTGGAGGGTACTCTAGACGTTCTGGAGGGTAGAAGTCTGAAAACGAGATGTTGGCAGGGACATGCTCCCTCTGAAGTTTCTAGGGGAAAATTCGGCCTTGCCTTTTCCAGCTTCTGGTGGTTCCAGGTTCCCCTGCTTGTGGCTGGATCACACCAATCTCTGCCTCCATCTTAACATTGCTTTCTCCTCTTTTATTTCTTACAAGGAAACTTGTCATTAGATTTAGGGCTTAAATCACACCCCTAGGTTTCTCCCATTAGAGTGTGGACATATTTTTTTGAGGGTGACCATTCAATCTATTACTGAGGGAGAGTGATCAATTGTGAGAACTATGGGGAACAAGGTCTCTTAATATCTTTGTATGAGTCAGGCAATGAGAAGTTCTGCAGTTAAAAAGAAAAAAAAAAAGACCTGCTTAATTTTGGGTAACATACCTTTCTCCAAATGCACTTGGCACTCTTTTCTCCCAGAGTAAATACAAAGATGAATAAGACCCAATCCCAGACCTCATGAGGTCTGGTGGGAGAGAGAAGTATGTAATCAAAATAACTGCAGTGACCTGTTCAAGTGCTAAAATAGAAAAATATCTTAAGTATAATGGAAGCCCAGTGAGAGGTAAAAGTAATTTTCTTCAGGATCAAAGAAGAGTTTACTGAGTGGAAACTCTGATTTTAAAATGATATTGTGTAATTCCAGGAAGAGATTTTATGGCCAATGGCGTAGAGGCCAGGAAGTACTTACAGAGTGTTTAGGAGACTGAGAGGTTGGGTAACTCTTTTTCTTTTTGGGACAGTTTCATTCTTGTTGCCCAGGCTGGAGTGCAATGGTGCAGTCTTGGCTCACTGCAACCTCCACCTCTCGGGTTCAAGCGATTCTCCTGCCTCAGCCTCCCAAATAGCTGAGATTACAGGCACCTGCCACCATGCCCGACTAGAGGTTGGGTAACTCTTGGGCATAAGTGAACAAGAAGTTGTGGCAGAGACTAGGACTGTCAGCAGAACATAAAGGGCCTCGTGCTCCATTCTAATCTAGATCTGGAAAACTAAAGGGAGTCACTGGGAAACAAGGGGATTTTTTCAAATAGAGAGGGACATGATTGGACTTCTCTTTCAGAAAGATTACATTATGTGGATGATTGATTAAAATGACAACTAGAGTTTGAGAGACTAATCAGTTTCAATTAATGAGTGTTTTTAAATGAATTCATTAAAAATTAGTCCAGTGAAAGAGCTGGAATTAGTCTAGCATTTTGAAAAGATTTGTGGTCAAATACATTGAAAATGGATGAAGGATATAAATAATCCTGCAGTTTTGTTTTTTATTTCAATAAGGGCTTGCTTAATTTTATGTACTTTTCTCCAAATGCATTCAACAGTCACCTCTCACAATGTAAAAGGATGACCCCGATTATTTCTCTTTTCTGAGTTGTTAGAAAGTTGTTTCTAATTACTTCGAAAACTGGTTTTCTATTTTACAAGATTCCAAATAGTGTTTTAAAAGTTTTTTGGACTTAAAGGACTATATTATAGGGATGTTTTCAATCCAGAGACTCATTCAGGGTCACTCATTCTCCCCACATATTCCTTATCTCTAGCTTCAAGTTCATGGGCCGAATCAATCCACTTGGGAATCTTCTCTAGAAAGTCATAGGTCCACTCTCTACCTGAATGCAGCCCACTCTCATCCCTGGAGTTGTTCCTTTAGTCTGGATACACAATTAGTAAGATACCAAGATCTCACAATTTAGTGGAAGGTTGAAATGTCATGAGTATCCTAGGGCTTTTGCTTTGCACCTTCATCAATTAATGACTTCATCATACACTGTCCCCTGCAAAGTTACCATACATAGTGGGGGTATATATAGATAATTTATTGGAATGACAATGGTTCTTAGAAGTAGCCTAATGCTTTTGCTTATGTCTCTGTTATCAAGCCAGTCATAACGTGATCTGTTTCTTGCCAATCAATTTCAGAAAAGAGATGAAAACCTGAAAGTGTTGTTTATGACAAGTGATTTTTATTTTCTTTACAAAACTAATGCAGTAAATGCAGCACCAGAGTTTAGTTTCTGCCTTTTCATTATAGGAATCTTAACTATTGTGTCATAAATTTCAAAATGGCTGGGCGCAGTGGCTCCCGCCTGTAATCCCAGCACTTTGGGAGGCGGAGGTGGGTGGATCACGAGGTCAGGAGATGTAGACCATCCTGGCTAACATGGTGAAACCCCGTGTCTACTAAAAATACAAAAAAAAAAAAAAAAGTAGCTGGGTGTGGTGGCGGGCGCCTATAGTTCCAGCTACTCGGAAGGCTGAGGCAGGAGAATGGCGTCAACCTGGGAGGTGGAGTGAGCTGGGATTGTGTCACTGCACTCCAGCCTGGGTGACAGAGCGAGACTCCGTCTCAAAATAAAATGAAATAAAATAAAATAAAAATTTCAAAATATAATTTAAGGTTTAATGTATATAGTAGCCCCACATACAGATTTTCCTGTGTCGTTTTTTTCATCCAAGAAAACTTCTGTGATAAAATGTCAACTGGTAACCCTTGCATATTTTGTTTCGACGTCTTCACTGTTACTGAATCAAATTAGCCCAACATGGAGAGCCTCCTGTCTTCACACGCCCACCTCAAGTCACAGAACACCCAGGTTTTGTTTGAAGCTAGACCCTTGGCATATAGCATTTTTCCTCAGGCTGTTATTACTTGCTCAAGCAGGTTCCTAAGAGTTCTTTGCAAAAACTCACTTGTTCCTTTTATGTTTATTTTCTGAGTAACATGAGGAAGAAAGAAAGGGAAAAAAGTCAGAAGTTCCCACACTTACAGCTAGAGAGAAGAAGAAAAGCGGAAGTTGAATAGCTAGTGACAATTTAGAAATAAAAGTAGCCCTTCACCAGCTCACAGAGTCCTGACACAGGGACCAAGTTTAATTCAACATTTTGTATTGCAAAGTTTGCATTTCACCAAACTGTGTGTTTGTGTGAACACAGGCACACCACCGGCAAATGTGGAGTTCACACATACACACCACAGACAAATGAATGGACAATTCAAAAGTGTGCTCCTCTCTTCATTTCCCTATGTAGTCCTAGCATTACACAATGACCTTTAAGGTCTCTGAGAGTCAATGAAAATTAAGCATGTTATTGCAAGTAAGGTTTGGGACCAAATGAGTTCATTTGATCACGTTCCAGTTTCTTAATTACTATGCCTTCATTTTAATAAGAGAAATTTCACACAAACTATAACTGCTCTTCTTTTTAGCAGGTACTGACAGAAATATAGCATAAATAATTGCAGCATATCCTGTGATTAATATTTACCGTCTTATCTCTTCCCTGGAGTGGGACAGTGGAATCCACAAAGCCAACAATTAAAATGAGACATTATCACGTTTTAGTCCCAGATAATGTATCTATCATTTAATTTTTCATAACTCATTCATTCAATACACATTTCACGTGTATTAAGTTTTTGTGCCCACAGAATTCCTGCCAGTGTCAGAAATAGGATGAGAACACCAACTTTTGAAGGAAAGGGAGTTCACTTTTGATCAGCATCTGCTATGTGACAAATAACTTGTCATCTCATTTATTCTTCAATACCATCATTATTGATATAGGTATTGTTATTCCCATTCTATAAACATGGTGAACTGAGGCTTAGAGAAGTGAAAGGACTTTTACAGAATTCATACAGAAAAGAAAATGATCAAATATTTGACCCATTCAATCAAATATTTGACCTACTACACATCTGGCACTGCCCTGGGTACCAGAGATATACCATGATACCAAAAGGACAAAGATTCCTTCCTCTCATCTCTTTTCACAGTAACTGTGATTCTCAGTCCTGGTTGAGAATACACTGGAATCACCTGGAGAACTTCTAAAACATACTGGTGCCCAATGTCCACCCCTGGTAATTAAATCAGAAGCTCTGGAAATGAAACCTGAGCATAGGGATTTTCAAAAATCCACCAAGTGATTCTAAAGTGAATCCAGGGCTGAGAATCTTTTCATGTATTAGATTATGCTGTATGCTGTATGCTGCATATGTTTTGAGGTCACTACCCTCAAAACACATTGTACAGAAATGCATATAAATAGAACACACTTAGAAAACTATTTTAAGGGGATATAAAAGGAAATTTGAAATCGTGTGAGATGTATTCAAAGTGTTGGAGTTTACAAAAGGAAAAATTACTTTTGGATTGGGATGAGATCATGCAAGTATAACTTTTTAAATAAAGGGAATGTCGAGGGGCCACTTGAATGTAGGATATACCTTTGACTAAAGAAATGTTTCTCAGACTTTGGTATGTATCAGAATCATTTATGAAACTTGGTAAAATGCAGATACCCAGGCCCTGTGTTACTCCCACAAGGTCGGGCCTCTCTATACTTTGCTAGTTCTGATGATTACAACACACAGTACAGTCTGGTAATCATCAGGAGAGAATTTTGAAGACATTTTTGGCAGATAAGAAAGTGGTTTTTACTGGGAGACAAAGAAAGGCTAGAATGAGTATAGCATGTATGGTGTGGGGGTGGGGCTGATAATGTTAAGGAAATCTACATAATTTAGATAGAAGATGTGATGATTAATTTTGTGTGTCAATGTAGCTGGGCCACAGTGCCTTGATATTTGGTCAAATATTATTCTGAATGTTTCTGTGAAAATACTTTTTGCATGAGATTAACACTTAAACAGACAGACGTTGACTAAAGCAGATTACCCTCCATAATGAGGATGAGCCTCATCCAATCAGTTGAGGATCTTGATACAACAAACACTGACCTCTCCCAAACAACAAGGAGTTGTCAGCAAACTGCCTGTAGGACTCAGACTACAATTCTTTCCTGGGTCTCCAGTGCCAGCTTCACCTGAAGATTTTGGACTTGACCCTCCATGATAGTGTGAGCCAGTTCATCTCTTTCAATCTCTCTCTCTCTTTCGCCTCTACACAGACACACATACACACACACACACACACACACACATGCACGTACACACCCTGGTTGGTTCTGTTTCTCTGGAAATCCCTAACAGAGAAGGAGAAATTAGAAAAATGACAGAATACATTAACAGAAGGCCTTGATGGACACGGTAAAGAGCTTGGTCTTTATCTGATTGTAATTCTGGAAGTTTTCAAATAAACCAAGGGAGACTTCAGAGTACAGATGTTGCCTTCGCCACTCACAGACAGAGCAAACACCAGTGTATAGCGTTGGTCAATCCCAGTTGTTCTTTTCTTGTTAAAACTGGCACCCCAGAAAGAGAAGCAGCTACGTAGAAACATGTAATTTATAGAGCAAGATTTAAAAGTTCACTGAACTGTGAGTTTTCTTAATTGGTATACTAAGGAACCACTAAGATATTCACAGGGATAAAGTGCAATAGAAGTGAAATAGGGTACTGAAGAATGAGGCTGGAGATTTCAAATCCTTGAGGTACTAACCTCATGTTCTGCTGTCATTTTGTGAGATGTTAAATCTGTACTTTTTGATGCAGTAACCATGAAAAAGTCCCTAGTGTTTAAACAAATAAATCAGGTTAGACTTCAAATGATTTAAACAAAGAACACTAGAAATTTTGTAACCTGCATTCCTAATTTCATTTTCAAAACTTTTTGCTCACATACATCTTTTGTCCCCAGTGCCACTAGACAGATAGGAAAAGCTGCTGAATATGAATTTGCTTTAAAAATGTTGCTGAAATTATCTATGCTTATTATACTCTGTTATAGCTATGGAGTTAAGCGAATTTTCTCTGTTCTAGACCTGTAAAGATTTTCTTCTGAATTTGTCTCAAATCTGTCCATTTTCTTTCCAGTGTATACTAGGCTGTGTTGAAATGCTACTCCATTCATTCATATACCCACTTATCCTATTCAGCATTTATTAAAGAAATATGTATTGGGTACCTACCTTAAATCCCACACAGTGCCAGCTACTGGGGATACAATATTGATCAAGACAAAAGATACAACCTTGTTCTCATTAGAGTCTTATAATATTTTTAAATGATGTCTCAAAATGAAAAGGTAAATAAGGTAAAATGTTCCAAATGATGCTGACCCAGTGACCTGATGAAACTGCATTGGCTTTGCAAACATGTTGAGGTTTTCTTTGTTGGTGCTTGATTTCTAGAAACTGCATGGAGCAGAACTTTCATGAGTGGAGATTCTAATAGACATACTTTTCCAGGAGACATGTGATGTGAAGTAGTTTAAAGCTTTCCTCCTTCCTCACTTCCCCAACCTCTCCTCTCTTTCATTTCATGAGTATGTTCGAATCTCTACTAAGAACAAGGTTGGGTAAGGATATGGTGAGTGAAAACACAGTCTTTCCACTCCTAGAGCTTACAGTAAAGTAGGGGAATAAGGAAGGAATTTTTTAAAAATCACACAAATCAATGTAAGCTCTATTAAAAGTACAATTATTGAAAGGCACATATAGAAATGACAGAGGGAGCTCACTTAGTCTGGAGAGTCAGAAAAATTACCAAACCTAGGTACCTTTATTTCTACTCACAGAAAATTATAAAGTTCTATTCATGCAGTAGCTCAGTTAACTTAGTATCAATCAATGTCAGGAATAACATGATTCTTTTCTCTGAAATGCTTTATAAAATGTCTGCTGTTAAATATCCCAGAAGAGGTTACTTTTCTTATTTGTATGGCCAGACAACTCTATTACATAATTGTGAGGAAGGTTAATTTCCCTTCAGAGTGGGTAAATAGTATCTGAGTTGAAAATGGATTCCCCCATAGGGCAAAAATAGAGACAACCAGAGCACTCTCTGCTATAATAACATTAAATCTCCCTTCTGGATGTGCAAGTCCAAGTGGCTGCTATTTAATCATTATATATATTTGTCTTATGGGCTACAGAAATGGTCTTTAGGATCACCTGGAGAGCTGAAATACTGACTCCTGAGGTCCATCCCTAGACATGTTGATGGGTTTGATTTAACTGTGTTTTTAGAAGCTCTCTAAGTGATTCTAATGTGAAGCTATGATTTAAAACCATCAGGCAACAGTGATCTCAAACCTCAGGTCACTGTCATTCTAAATGTGACCTATATTCTCTGGTCACAGTCTTGCCTATTATTCTCAAAGTTTTGCACTCTACCAGTGTTTTGACTCTGGGAAGAGAGGTCCCAGTATTCTCAGAAGTTAAGAAGCATTCTGTGCTAATCACATGTTATTGATCATTATTGGTTAATACATTTCAGAGGTGAAATACTCGTTTTATAAAAAGACTTAAGGCAGGGAATGTTTGGGGTACAATATGAAAAACTATGTGTGGGTTTGAAATGCATCTAAAGACTGAATCTTGTGACACAAAGTCTAGTGGGGATGTATATTGAAGTATATTTAGCTCAAGAGACACTTAAACCAAAACAAAAATTTGCAGTTACAGTAACCATAAATTACAGTATCTGGAATGCTGAGAAAAATTTCTATCCAAATTCAACTAGACTTAAACTATAGTAATGATTCTTAAGGCTAGACAGTGATGTGTGTGTCATGCTGGACCCCTAGTGACTTCAATAGGGATAACACTATGTTAGAGAGGCCTAATAGTTCTGGGTGTCTGCTGCTCCAAGTGTTCATCTCATTCATTCATTCATTCATGTATTAATCATTCAATCATGTAATAAATATTTAAGGGTCTAGTCGGGGCCCCATACTGTGCTAGCTTCTAGGATGTAGCAGAGAACAAGGCAAACGAGGTCCTTGTAATACAATGCTTATCATCTAATTTGGACCACAGACTAGCAAACAAGCAACAGCAGGAATCTGTGACTAATGCAAGCAGAGATCTGATGTGGGGTACGAGGGAAACTCAACACAGGAGCAGCTCACCAATCTATGGGGTACAGAAAGGGCTTCCCTGAGAAAGTGACATTTAAGCAATAGCTTGAAGAATGAATAGGAACAGTGAGAAAAAGAAGAAAGTGGGGAAGAACATTCCAAGCGGAGATAACAACAATTACAAAAGCACAGGGTGTGAGAAACAGAGCAAGGTCCTTTAGGGCAGTTGGAAGAAGTTCAGTATAGTAGGAGCAGGTAGTGCCAAAGCAGGAAGTGTTACAACAGGAAACACTTAAGGAAGAAGGGTCAGGTCACAAATGCTTAAAAGAGATTAAATGGTACCCTAGGGTGTTGGCAGCTGTTGAAGAGATTTACACTGGGGAGTGATTTGATCAGATTTGGATTTTAACATGTTCACTCAGGCTACTGGATGGCAAGAGAGTTGGAGGCAGGATGAAAGGAGACTTGTTAGACTGTCAGAGGAAATAAGAGTGGAGAATGCTTGGAAGTAGGGTAATGACAATGAGGTAAAGAACACTGGATGAATTTGTGAGAGATTTAAGAAGAATCAGGGGCACCAATGCTTCATTTAAATTCCACAGAGGAAAGTAGCTTTTTTGGGTCTATTTTTTTCACTGATAAATCTCAAATGCTTTGACCAGGGCCTGGCACACAGTAGAAGATGATGAATATTTGAAGAATTGATTGGATATAGTAGGTAACTTAGAAGAATGGATTGAGAATATTATCCAAGTTTTGGGCTTGGGAAACTGAGAAGCTAGTGGTTCCATTTACTGAGAGAGGAAGGAAAAAAAGGGGATGTCCAGGGGGAACAATGGGACCAGTCATGTTTTAGATATGTTTTGTTTGACAAAACTTTGAAACATGGAAATGTGAAGTAGGGAGTGAGAACTCAGGAGAAAGTTCGGGGCTAGGGATTTGTGAATCTTTAATGTAATTTTTATTTTATCAATGGAACATTTAATGTGACCATGGTGGAGATGGCTATGTAAGGTATGCAGAGGAAAAACAGAGGAATATCTAAGATGCACCCCAAGGAACACTAACATTTAAGAGACCTAGAGAAGAAGGGATTTCTCTCTTTCTCCAGATACCTATTTTGCACCTTCTTCATAATATGCCACTAGACCTATCTCTTCCAGGAGCTCTTATTTTATTAACCTTGACTCAAGAAGAGAGAACATTAATATCTATAATTTCTCAAAATCCCTTGGTGTCTAAAATGTATGGCTGGGTGATCACTTCTTCATTTGCTACCTTAAATCTTGTTTTCAACCTAACGAAGATTTTGGACACAGTGCTATTGTATCAATTTATACTATATTTTCACAGTGCTATTGTACCAATTTATACTATATTTTCACTTGATATGGTAAAGTCATAGTCACAGACATCCAATTTAATGGTAATTATTATCATTTTTTTCTGCAGAGCAGAATTATCAAATTCAGAAATGGGAGAACCTAGAGAAAGCATCTGTCATGCTTTTATTTTACACAGGGAATTTGTACTTACTCAAGATTATTTGGCGGCAGAATGGAGATTCGAATACAGAGTTTCTAGCTCGCAGTTCAGGCTTATCCCACTATTCTACCCTGTGTCTCATACTTTCATAAGTTTTAGTTTCTGTGCTTATTTAGGTTAAAACCCCTTGAAGGCAAAGACCATGTTACTTTTGTAGTGTTTCTTCATCCTCGATGTACGTAGTGCAGTGCTCAAATGTAGAGAAGGGGAAAAGGAGCGCTGGGGCTGATGTTCTGGATGCTACAGGGTCACTGTTCAAAATGATCAGACAATTCCCTTGCAACATAACAAGGGTTTCTTTCACTCATGTAACCTTGGTGTCAAAGATGCAGCACGCAGAGAATCTAAGTACTTCATTAAGGTGTCCCATTCCTTTAGCTCCAGAAGACTTCTTAACTGACCTATCCTGTAGCTTAAATCCACCCCCTTCCACTTGCAACCACACAGTGTATCAAAATTAAGTATTATTTTAAAAATCAGTAATATATGCATATAATGCCAGTTTATGATACAGCTATCTTGAGGGTGTCATTCTCTTTGCTCAGTTGTGCAAGGCACCTAAATTTATCAAGGACACCAAAGATAATGGCAAGGGAGTGTTGGGTTATACAAACAATACCGTCTGTATTTTCCGACTGGATATTAAAATAACAATAGAAGCCACATTGGAAGGCCTACTATATGCAAAGCTCTGTACTAGATGCCTTGCATAAATAAACCTATTTCAATCCCCTCAAAAACTGTGAGGTGCAGAAACCAAGAATCAGAGATTGTGGGGGATTTTCCTAAGGATACACAGTCCCTAAATGGCAGAGTCAGGATTTGAACTCAGATCTGATTCCAAAACCCATTCCCTTCTCATTATGATACATTGAAATAACTGAAATTCAACCTTCTGTTTATCTCTCAATAGTAAAGAATATTATTTTTATTCTACAGGAACCACATTCTACTTGTGTAGGAGCTGCGACAGTAACCAACTCATCCTGCCCTACTCACAGTATAGCATCTTTAGGCATTGACTACAATCAGCCAAGTCACCGGCTGAGGGGAAGAACAAGAACCAACCTTGAACTATGATCTAAGACAAGGTGTCCAATCTTTTGGCTTCCCTGGGCCCCATTGAAAGAAGAATTGTCTCGGGCTACATATAAAATACACCAACACTAACGATAACTGATGAGCTTAAAAAAAAAATCACAAACACACAAATCTCATAAGGTTCTAAGAAAGTTTACGAATTTGTGTTGGGCGGCATTCAAAGCCATGCTAGGTCGTGTGTGGCCCAGGTGGGCCACAGGTTGAACAAGCTTGATCTAAGATAAAGTGGTTCTGACCTTCAGCCTAAATTCCTCTCACTAGCATTCGAGATGGAATGAGGTCAGGGCACACACTTTCATGTTTTCTTGCTACAAATTACTTGGATGAGAAATTTCCCTCTGAAAATACTAAAAAAGTGAAGAGGAAAACAGCTACTTCACCCTTAATTCTGACCAAGAAGGGAAAATTGTGAACTAAAAGGCAGCCACATGTTCCTTGGGAAAGAAACAATCACATGATCTTCGTTTAATTAGCCAGATAATAAAACCACGGATTTGTTAGTCAAAATATATTTGACTATTCTGTGCCAGACATTGTTCTAGGCACAGGAGAGAACAAGACAAAGACCCATAGCCTCGGATTGCTGACATTTCTATGTACAGAGAAAAATAGACAAATAAACATTAAGATTTCAACATTTATCCTAGAGTTTAGAAAATCTAACTTTAATTGTTTTTAGAAATTTTTAAAATCTAAAGTCCTAATACCAGACAAATGGTTCCAATTTTTCTTTTTGATTTTTAAAAAATTTACAATAAGATACTTTGAAAATGGAAACCTGGTTTTAAAGTGAAAATGTATTCAGTGACTAATGAAATTTCCATGGGAACAGTGGAAAGAATACTGTCACAAAGGATAGTTGCCATCTTTTGATGGTTATTTAAAGTCTTGGATATGTTAGAAAATGTATCGCAATTTTAAAATCAGTATTCTTTGTTACTTTGTATCAATTCAATTAAGGCAACATCCTATTCCATAGTGAAAATATAGCTATTCTGTTAAACTCCAGCTTGGAATACATTTTAAAGTGCATTCTTAATAAAAAATTTTAAATAGGAGAACATGGAACAAAATTAAAAGTATTCAGGAAAATAATTTTATACCTAGAGACACTAGAGAAGAAGGTTAACTCAAGAGTGACCAAAGACTTTAGATGTTCTAGTATTTTTTTTTCTTTTTAGAAATTAGACAAATTTAATTTGTGGAAAATTGCTAGAATGAATTCATGAATATAGTTTGCGAGCATGTAGGAAATGAAATGGTGATTTTTAGGGGATCATGGGTATCTTGGTAACAGATCATGCTTTTTTAATGAGCAGAACAAAATGTGCCACAAACACAGTGCCTTGGTATTTGTAAATCATTTTCCAAAATTTTTCACAATATCTATATAAATAAGATTTTTAAAATTGTATGTATAACACTATAGTTGGCAAGTTTCATTCCTGGTTCCACAATAACACTGATTAGTGGTTGGATGGAAAGCCGGCAGGAATGTGTTGTGTCTGTTCCTGTTTAACATTTCTGTAAGTGATTTGGTGAGGATACAGAAGGCATGTTATTGAATGTGTAGATGGACAAAGTTTAGGGTAAAAGTTAATGTGTTTGAAAAAAGAGGTTATATTAAAAATACCTTCATTGACTGGAACAATTGGAAAGGACATACTTGTCTGCCTACAGGGACAGAAAACTCATTACCATGGTGGCTTTTTCATTGGGTTTGCTAGGGCCAGAATCCAGAACTCATTGAGTACTTCTTCTTATAGCATATATAGCAATTCATTAACATTGGGGAATAATAATAATACAATAGTCATTGTCCAGAAAGGACTAACTTTAATGGTAAAAGGCTTTTTTTGTCATCATTTTCTTCAAAAGAATAAAAATATAAAATATTAAAGTAGGAAAATATCCCATAGAAATAATGCATTTTAACTTTTCTCTTTTAATACAAAGATCTTCTATAACATCACACATATGTGGCTATCAAACCTTATTTATATATATAAAAATATATAATTATTATTTTATTTTAAATATATATTTATATATAAATTATTATTTTATACATATATATATGGTGCTTAAAACAGTGCCTAGAACTTACTCACTCAAAAAATATTTGTTGATTAAATGATTTTATGGAAGGGAAGTGTACATCTTTTTTTTTTTTTTTTTTTTTGCGAGACAGAGTCTTGCTCTGTCACCCAGGATGGAGTGATCTTGGCTCACTACAACCTCCGCCTCCCAGATTCAAGCGATTCTCCTGCCTCAGCCTCTTGGGTAGCTGGGATTACAGGCATGCACCACCATTTCCAGCTTATTTTTGTATTTTTAGTAGAGACGGAGTTTCACTATGTTGGCCAGGCTGGTCTCGAATTCCTGACCTCAGGTGATCCGCCCACCTCAGCCTCCCAAAGTGCTGGGATTGCAGGCATGAGCCACCGCACCTGGCCAAGCTCACACCTTTCTTAAGTACCATATTTCATTTCTAGAAGCTACTAATTTTTGAAATAGTCTTCCTCATACTGAGTCAAACCCATTTTTCTGTAACTCTTTACTTATAAAACACAATTATGCTTTCCTGATATGGACAAAGTAAATCTAGCTGTCTTCCAAATATTTTAAGACAGTTGGCATTTTCCCTTTAAGTATTTGTTATTTTTTCCAGGTAGAAGTTAACTAACTCCTGAACCTTCTTCATATAACATGGTTTCCTATCCCTTCATCATTCTTATCATTTTCCACTGAATGTGGGTCAAATTTTCGAGGATTTTCTTATTTCTTAAAATGTGTTGCCCTGAACTAAAGAACTCTTCAGATGAAAGTTAATCTGAACACCACAGCACATTATTGTAAGATATTAGCTATCACAGACAGCTATATAAGCAGTGATTATTTCAGTCTGAAATCAATTAAAATCTTTAAGTGTTTTCTGAAACTACAGGGAACTCCTAGCTGACACCTGAGTTAAACATGTTAACGTTTTTTAAAAGTAAAATTATACTTTAGTTTTGTTTCCTATAGCGAGTCTTTTAGTTTCTCATTTTCTTAGCAGAAGGATAAAAATGAAGCATTTATTATAAGAAAAAGCTTTTTTTTCCTGTAAAATCATTTAAATTTGGTTTTAAAATCTCATACAGGCCTAATCAGATGACATTCATTTTTCTCTGTGTTTAGTCCTGAGTTTTGAAAGTAACACCCTGGTACTCATGGCCTTGGCCCTCCCTGGGCAGGAAGCCTGCCCAGGCCCTAGGTCAGCATGGGCACTCGGTGAGGGAGGTGCAGGAGGCCAGCTGGGGAAGAGGCCACTGGAGCACAGCAGAGCCAGATTGCCCAAGTTTCCCTCTAGGCCAAACAGACACGAAGATTGCATGAGCATTATTATTGGCAAATCGGGAACCTTGCTTCTCTACTGCGTGCTCTGAAAGGAGGAAGAATGCTAGGGTTTTTTCCCTGGAAGGGAGAAAAGAGTAAACAGACAAAAAAGCACATCAGGACACATTCCTCCCAGTCCTCCTCACATACTGAGGCTGGAATGAATATGAGTCAGAGGGGAGTCTCTTCCATATGGACCTAAGAGGGTGCATTGCAATTAGAGTAAGAATTCTGTTCATTCATCCTTAGGTAACGGATTTTGAGCAATTTGCAGGTCTAGGAAAGGTAACAGTAGATGTGAGGAAGACCCAGTCTGTACTCGCAGGAGCCCCCTCCTCCATCTTTCCTGCACCACAGTGAGCCAGCCCTGCCTACCCACTCTCTCTTCCAGGCTGCCGCAGTCCCTGAGCCTGCTCCACGTGAAGGCAGCCATGGCCAGGCAAAACCCATGTGCCCTCAGGGGTCACATAGCCGAGATACTCTTGGCATTTAAGTGCATAGAAGTTGGATGAGGGCAGGGCGCGGTGGCTCGTGCCTGTAATTCCAGCACTTTGGGAGGCCGAGGCGGGCAGATTGTGAGGTCAGGAGTTCGAGACCAGCCTGACCAACATAGTGAAACCCCGTCTCTACTGAAAATACAAAAATTATCCGGGCATGGTGGCACACGCCTGTAATCCCAGCTACTTAGGAGGCTGAGGCAGGAGAATCGCTTGAACCCGGGAGGCAGCAGTTGCAGTGAGCTGAGATCATGCCACTGCACTCCAGCCTGGGGGACAAAGTAAGGCTCCATCAAAAAAAAAAAAAAAAAAAAAAAAGAAGTTGGATGAGTACTTCCAGGGGAAGGACAGAGAAGGAGGACCTACTAGTGACAGGGGACTCTTTCTAAGGTCCTGGCAATTCCACTCCACCTCCAAACTTACACACTACACTCAGCCAAACACAAACTTGATCTGAGAAGACTCTTTCTCCTTAGAAGAGAGGTTAGCTACCATATCTTGTTCTCTGAGCATTCCCCTTTGGAGTCTTATCCCAAATTTCACCCACTTCAAGCCACTTATCAATGTATTCCTTTAAACACCTAACAGTTCTCTCCCTGAGAGGAGTTCCAGTGATAAAATTTTCTCCATTCCAAAGAGGGACACAACTTTGCAAGTCTAGACCATACATGCAGTTGGCTGCACAGTAGCAGTCCCAGTGACGTTTTATGCCCCCCCGAGTTGTTAGGCTGTTAAACAGCTTTTCTGAGGCAAATAAAACAAGGCTATTTAACAGTGGTGCCTTGGAAAATGCCCTGATGGCCAACTGATCAAATATGGGATTGTCCAAGGCTAGATCTTACGTTCTTTTCATGTATGGGTCTAGGCCCCACTTCCTTTTCTAGGCCAGGGTGATCGGGGGCTGGTCCAAATGGAGCCAACAGTGATGTGATGGAAATGAGCTCTTTCTGCCTTGCCACGTAGCTTCTTTCCCTTGCCATGAGTCTAGTTTTCTGCAACTATAATAAATCTGGAATGGCAGATCCTTGATCTACACTTTTCTGAGACCTCAAAGGATGAGTCTTCCCCAGTAACACTGGCTAACTCTTTGCAGAAATTTCAGTGTCTGATGCTCTGTTCCTAAGAGTTCAAGAAAAACCTGGGTGAGCCTTGCAACACTACTGCCCCCTAGACTGGGGAGAGGTTCAAGCCACTGGATACAAGAAGAGGTTAAAATTTGTCTACAGGATGAAGTGATCAACCTCTAGAGTCTAGCTCAGGAGGAAGCAATTTCATTTCTGAACTACTGAACCATAATTCACAAGCGGAAAGGATTTCCACATAGTTCAAACCATTCTTTGTAGGAATGCAATGTTCAGATATCATTATATGGGAAAATAATATGTTCTATTTATTTATTTGTTCTTTCTGTCCTTCCATCCTCATCCCCAGCCAAGCCACAATCTCTTATTATGAATTCATTTTGAGAAAAAAATAATTAAAAGTATTTCCCAACAGAATAGTTTCTCACCATTCCCTCAGCTATATTTACATATGGCTGCTGCAATGGTCTCCAGGTACAATGAGACGAAGACTTACAATAAAGAATGTCAACTGAAGGAAATGAAGAAGTAAATAACCAGACATAATTGGCCCCTACTGCCCTCCCCTTGGCAGGTAATCACTTCTATTCTCTATTTTCCTCATACTTTTTTATGCTGAGATGACAGGATTTGGAGAGACTCACCTTACCTCTAAACTCAAGAGAAGATGCTGGAACAAAGCTCTAATTTACAAATTGAAGGAAAAATTTAAATGCAACACCATCTTTAAATTATAGTCAAGGCATTTCTCATCTTATTTTCCTTTCTTTTTTTCTGTTTTTTGTGAACAAATAGCCTTGTTTTATTGGCCTCAAAAAAGGTTGTTTTACATTCTAAATACTGGACAGGCCATCCCCCCATCAGCCAGACAAAACACATTAGTGGATTGTATTCAGCCAGAGGAACACAACTTTGAAAGTCTAGACCATACATGCAATTTACTGCAGATTTTTAAAAATCTCATCTTTTATTTCTTCCAAGTTCCTCAAGAACTCTGTAGGAGTCATCATTACCTCATTTAGTCTCCTCAGCAACAAATAAGAGAAATATTATCTCCATTTTACAGAAGCACAGACTGCAGAGATTGAGTTCCCCCAGGAGCACACAAGCTGGTAGGTGGCAGAGCTAAGCAAGGACGCTGTGACATTAAAGTCCATGCTCTTAATCCTTAGGCTGTGCTGCTTCTAGGTAGTAAGTGAGGAAAGCAAAAGTAACCTCCGTGTTGAACTCACATTTGGCTGTTGTATCTTCAGGGTGTTACTGTGGCCTGAGGAGCCACAATGCTGCGGGGCAAAGGAGGGAAGGTGACCCGGCCACCCTTCTCTGCACACAACTTCTCATCCCACTCTATGTTTGTATCACATGTCTTTTCTAAGAACCTCTCGTTCTCTTTTCCCAGCCCCTAGAAGCAACAGGATTTGGTGGAAAACTGGCAGAATTTTTTCTTCCTAGTCTAGTCTATTTTTGGTCACTGTGAGAGCTCGGGCAAGTCCTAATTGTTCTCAGTTCCAAATCTCTAAAACAGAGTAATTATCTCCCACTCTTTCTGAAAGAATAAAATGATAACAGTGCATATGAAAGTACTTCATAAATGGGAAAATAATCTATATAATAGATTGGTCCAAGCTTAAGTTTGAAAAGTTGAGAACCCACTGGCAAAAAATAAAGTGGCATAAACTGATTTTTTTCTCTTCTAGTACTGTACCTAAGGTCCTAAAACATATTGGTGATATGGAAGGTAGACAAAATGGCCAAATAGAAGCCTTCACCCATTGTTCTCCCTGCAGAAACACTAAATTGAACAACTATCCACACATAAATCACCTTCATATGAAGCAAAAATCAGGTGAGTGATCACAGTATCTGGTTTTAACTTCATATCACTGAGAGAGGCACTGAAGAGGGTAGGAAAGACAGTCTTGAATCACCAATGGCACAGAGATAGAATCTGTGTGCATGGGGGAAGGAGGGCACGGTGATTGTGGGACTTTGCATTGGAACTCAGTACTGCCCTGTCAAAGCCGAAAGCAACACTAGAAGAACTCAGCCGGTGCCCACAGAGGGAGAACTGAGGCCAGCCCTAGGCAGAGGTGAGTTATCCATCCCAGTGTTTGGAACCTGAGTTCCAGCTAGCCCCATCACTGAGGGGCAAAGTGCTCTGGGGTCCTAAATAAACTTAGAGGCCAGTCTAGGCCATAAGGACTGCAATTCCCAGGAAAGTCCTGGTGCAGTGCTAGGATTGGAGCCAGTGAACTTGGGATGCACATGACATAGTAAGCTACTATCCAGGGTATCCAGAGAAGTGCTTGTGTCATGCCTCTTCCAACACCAGGCAGTACAGCTCCCAGCCCCAAAAGGGATTATTTCCACTTGAGGAGAGGGGAGAATAAAGAAAACTTTATCTTGCAACTTGGATACCAGCTCAGCCACAGTAAGATAGGGCATCAGGCAAAGTCCTGAGGCCCCTATCCCAGATGCCAGCTCCCAGATACACCCTGGGCTAGAAGGGAACCTGCTGCCTTGAAGGGAAGGACCCAGTTCTGGCAGGATTCATCACCTGCTGACTAAAGAGCCCTGAATAATCAGCAGTGGTACCCCGGCAGTATCACTATAGCCCTTGGGTAAGACTCAGAGATGTGTTGGCTTCAGGGGTGACCCAGTCTTTTCCCACCTTGGGTGGCTGTGGGGAGGGACCCCTTCTGCTTGAGAAAAAGAGAGGGAAAAGTAAAGGGACTTCGTCTTGTAGCTTACCTACCAGCTTGGCCACAGTAGGGTAGAACACCAGGTGTCATCTTGGGGTTCCCAATTCTAGGCCTTGGCTCTTGGATGTCATTTCTGGACCTGCCCTGGACCAGTCAGGAGCTCACTGCCCTGAAGGGAGAGTTCCACATCTGGCATTTACCACAGCTTGACTGAAGAGCCCTTGGGCCTTGAATGAACATTGGTGGTAGCCAGGCAGTACTCACTGTGGGCCTGGGGCAGTGGTGGCCACAGGAGAGAAGAGACTCCCCTGCTTGTGGAAAGGGAAAGAGTGAGAAGAACTTCATCTTGTGGCTTGGGTGCCAGCTTAGCTGCAGTAGAATAGAGGACCACATAGATTCCTAAGGTTTCTGACTCTAGGCCCTGGATTCTAGATGGCATCTCTGGACCTGCACAGGATCCGGGGGAACTTACTTACCTAAGGAGAGGATACAAGCCTGGTTGGCTTCACAACCTCTCATCATAAGAGTCCTGGGGCCTTCAGCCTTGAGCAAATGTAAGTGGTAGTCAGGCAATGATTACAGCAGGACTTGTGTGAGACCCAGTGCTTTGCAAGCTTTAGGTCAGACCCAGCACAGACCCAGTGGGGGTGGCCACAGGGGTGCTTGGGCCACCCCTCCCGCAGCTCCAGGCAGCTCAGCACACAGAGAGATACTTTGTTTGAGGGAAATGAAGGAGTGAAGACCAGTCTCTGCCTGTTAATCCAGATAATTCTTCTGTATCTTATCCAAGTCCACCAAGGTGGTACCTCTATGAGTCTGCAATAGCCACAGCATTACTGGGCTTGTGATACCCCTAAACAGATACAGCTACAGTGATCAAACACTTAGATCACAGCATGCAAGTCCCTTCAAATACCTAGAAAGCCTTTCCAAGAAGGATGGGTACAAACAAGCCCAGATTGCAAAGACTATAATAAATACCCAATTCTCCAATGCCCAGATGCTGACAAACCTCCACAAACATCAAGACCAGCCAGGAAAATATGACCTCACCAAATGAACTAAATAAGGTACCAGTGACCAATCCTGGAGAGACAGAAATACATAACATTTCAGATAGGTAATAAGTAATTTTGAGGAAACAATGAAATTCAAGATAACACAAAGAAGAAATTCAGAGTCTGATCAGATAAATTTAATAGGGAGATTGAAATCATTAAAAAGAATCAAGCAGAAATTCTGAAGCTGAAAAATGCAACTGACATACTGAAGAATGCATAAAAGTCTCTTAGCAGCAGAACTGATAAAGCAAAAGAATTAGTGATCTTGAAGGCAGGCTATTTGAAAATACACAGTCAACAGAGAAAAAAGAAAGAAGAATAATAAAGAAAGAAACACACCCACAAGATCTAGAAAATACCCTCAAAATGACAAATCTAAGAGTTATTGGCCTTAAAGAGTAGAGGCTTTAAAGAGTAGAGGGTAGAAAGTTAATTCAAAAGGATAATGACAGAGAACTTCCCAAACTTAGAGAAAGATATCAATATTTAAGTACAAGAAGGTTATAGGACACCAAGCAGATTTAACCCAAATATGACTACCTCAAAACATTTAATAATCAAACTCCAAAAGGTCAAGGATAAATAAAGGATCTTAAAAGCAGAAAGAGAAAAGAAACAAATAACATGGTGTTGCTCCAATATGTCTGGCAGAAGACTTCTCAGTGGAAACCTTACAAGGCCAAGAGAGAGTGGCATGGAATATGTAAAGTGCTGAAAGAAAAAAAAACAAATACATCCAGCAAAAATATCCTTCAAACATGAAGAGAAATAAAGACTTTGCCAGACAAACAAAGGCTAAGGGAATTCATTGACCACACCTGTTCTATAAGAAATGCTGAAGGGAGTTCTTTAATCAGAAAGAAAAGGAAATTAGTGAGCAATAAGAAATCATCTGAAGGTATAAAATTCACTGGTAATAGAAAGTACACAGAAAAACACAGAACATTATAAAATATAATTGTGGAGTGTAAACTGATAACTTGAGTAGTTTTTCTTTCAGAAAAACTGAAAGATAAACCAACAAAAATAACTACAACAGCATTTCAAGATAGAGACAATACAATAAGATACAAATAAAAACAACAAAAAGTTCAAAAGTACAAAGACAAATGTAAAATGTAGTTTGTATCAGTTTTCTCTCTGTCAGTTTGTTTATGCAATTGGCCCTAAGTTGTCATCAGTTTAAAATAATGGGTTATAAGGTGTTATTTGCAAGCTTAATGGTAACCTCAAATCAAAAAATGTAACAACAGATGCACAAAAATTAAAAAGCAATTAAAAGATACAACCATAGAAAATCACCTTCACTAAAAGGAAGACAGAAAGAAAAGGAAAGACAAAACTGCAAAATAACCAGAAAACAAATAAGAAACTGGTAGGAGTAAGTCTTTACTCCTGAATAATAACATTGAATGTAAATGGACTAAGCTCTCCAATCAAAAGAAATAGACTGTCTGAGTGGATTAAAAAACAGGACCCAATGATCTATTGCCTACAAGAGACACATTTCACATGTAATGACACATATAGGGTGAAAATAAAGGGATATAAAAAAACAATCATACCAATGGAAACCAAAACAGAGCAGGAAAAGCTATAATCATATCAGACAAAATAGATTTCAAGAAAAAAAACTATAACAAGAGACAAAGAAGATCACTGTATAATGATAAAGGGGCCAATTCAGCAAAAAGATATAACATTTTAAATATATATGCAACCAACACTGAGACACCCAGATATATAGGGCAAATATTTTTAGAGCTAAAGAGGGAAATACAGTCCAATACAATAATAGCTGGAGAATTCAGTGCCCCATATTCAGAATTAGACAGACTATCCAGACAGAAAAATCAGCAAAGAAACATTGGACTTAATCTGCATCATAGACCAAATGCACCTAATAGGTATTTGCAGGACTTTTCATCCAATGGTTGCAGAATATACATTCTTCCCCAGCACATGGATCATTCTCAAGAATAGACCATAAGTTAGGTCATAAAACAAGGCTCTAAAAATTCAAAAAAAATTGAAATTATATCGTGTATCTTCTCTGACCACAATGGAATAAATAACAAGAGGAATTTGGGGAACTATACAATCATGTAGAAATTAAACAACGTGTTGTTGAATGACCAGTGGGTCAATGAAAAAATTAAGAAAAAAATTAAAAAATGTCTTCAAACAAATGATAATGGAAGCACAAGATACCAAAACCTTTGGGATACAACAAAAGCATTACTAAGAGGAAAGTTTATCAGTATAAGCACCTACATCAAAACAGAAGAAAAACTTCAAATATACAACCTAATGTTGCATCTTAAATAACTAGAAAATAAAGAGCAAACCAAATCTAAAATTAGGAGAAGAATTAATAAAGATCAGAGCAGAAATAAATGACATTGAAATGAAGAAAACAATACAAAAGATCAATAAAAGGAAAAGTTGCTTTCTTGAAAATATTAATAAAATCAACAAACCTTTACTCAGACTAAGAAAAAATGGGAGAAGATCCAATAAATAAAATCAGAGATAAAAAGGAAACATTACAACTGATACCACAAAAACTCAAAGGATCATTATTGGCTACTATAAGCAATTATATGCCAATAAATTGGAAAATCTAGAGGACATGAATACATTCCTAGACACATACAACCTACCAAGATTGAACCATAAGGAAATCCAAAACCTGAATAGACCAATAACAGGTAACAAGATAGAAGCCATAATAAAAAGTCTTCCAGCAAAGAATGCCATCAGTGACCCGATGGTGTCACTGTGAATTCTACCAAACATTTAAAGAAGAACTAATACCAATTCTACTCAAACTATTCCAAAAAATAGAGGAGAAGGGAATACTTTCAAACTCATTCTACAAAGCCAGTATTACCCCAATACCAAAATCACACAAAGACATATCAAAAAAAGAAAACTACAAGCCAATATCTGTGATGAACATTCATGCAAAAGTTCTCAACAAAATACTATCAAACCAAATTTAACAATACATTAAAAAGATCATTCATCATAACCAAGTGAGATTTATCCTAGGGATCCAAAAATGGCTCAACATATGCAAATCAATCAGTGTGGTACATCCTATCAATAGAATGAAGGACAAAAACCATATGATCATTTCAATTGATGCTAAAAAATCATTTAATAAAATTCAAAATCCCTTCATGACCAAAAAAACCATATATAGATGGAAAATATCTCAACACACTAAAAGCCATATAAGATAGACCCACACTAGTATCATACTGAATGGGAAAAAACTGAAAGCTTTTATTCTAAGATTTGGAAAGTGACAAGGATACCCACTGTCCCCAATATTATTCAGTATAGTACTGGAAGTCCTAGCTAGAGCAATCAGACGGGAGAAAGAAATAAAGGCATACAAATTGGAAAGGAAGAAGTCAAATTATCCTTGTTTGCAGATGATATAATCTTATATTTAGAAAAACCTAAAGACTCTATCAAAAAACGATTAGAGTCAACAAACAAATTTAGAAAAGTTGCAGTATACAAAATCAACATCAAAAAACCAGTAGCATTTCTACATGCCAACAGCAAACAATCTGAAAAAGAAATAAAGTAATCCCATTTACAATAGCTACAAATAAAATTAAATACCAATAAATTAATTTAACCAAAGAAGTAAAAGATCTTCAATGAAAACTATAAACTATTGATGAAAGAAATTGAAGAGGACACAAAAAAATGGAAAGATATTCCATGTTCATGGATTGGAAGAATCAAGATTGTTAAAATGCCCGTACTACTAAAAGTAATCAAAGCATTGGTAGGGATTCAATACAGTCCCTATCAAAATACCAACGATCTGCACAGAAATAGAAAAAATAATCCTAAAATTTATATGGAACCATAAAAGACTCAGAATAGCCAAAGCAAGCCTGAGCAAAAAGAACAAAACTGAAGGAATCACATTACCTGACTTCAAATTACACTGCAGAGCTATGGTAACCAAAACAGATGGCATTGACATAAAGACAGACACATAGACCAGTGGGACACAAGAGAACCCAGAAATAAATCCATAAATCTAGAGTAAACTCCTATTTGACAAAGGTGCCAAGAACATACATTGGAGAAAAGACAGTCTCTTCAATAAATGGTGCTGGAGAAACTGGATATCCATATGCAGAAGAATGAAACTAGACCCCTTTCTCTTGCCATATACAAAATTCAAATCAAAATGGATTAAAGATTTAAATCTAAGTCCACAAACTATGAAACTATTAAAATAAAAAATATTGGGGAAACTCTTCAGGACACTGGACTGAGCAAAGATCTCTTGAGTAATACTCCACGAGGACAGGCAATAAAAGCAGAAGTGGATAAATGGAATCACATCGAGTTAAAAAGTTTCCACACGGCCGGGCGCGGTGGCTCACGCCTGTAATCCCAGCACTTTGGGAGGCCGAGGCGGGTGGATCATGAGGTCAGGAGATCGAGACCATCCTGGCGAACAAGGTGAAACCCCGTCTCTACTAAAAATACAAAAAAAATTAGCCGGGCGCGGTGGCGGGCTCCTGTAGTCCCAGCTACTCGGGAGGCTGAGGCAGGAGAATGGCGTGAACCCGGGAAGCGGAGCTTGCAGTGAGCCGAGATTGCGCCACTGCAGTCCGCAGTCCCGCCTGGGCGACAGAGCGAGACTCCGTCTCAAAAAAAAAAAAAAAAGTTTCCACACAGCAAAGAAAACAATCAACAAAGTGAAGAGGCAACCCACACAATGGGAGAATATATTTGCAAACTATCCATCTGACAAGAGATTAATAACCAGAATATAGAAGAAGCTCAAACAACTCAATAGGAAAAAAAACCAATAATCTGATTTAAAAATGGGCAAAAGATCTGAATAGATATTTCTCAAAAGAAGACATACAAATGGAAAACAGACATATAAAAAAGGTGCTCAACATCATCGATCATCAGAGAAGTAGAAATCAAACTACAATGAGATATCATCTAACCTCAGTTAAAAATGGATTTTATCCAAAAGACAGGCAATAACAAATGCTGGTTAGGATGTGAAGAAAAGAGAACCCTTGAACACTGCTGATGGGAATGTAAATTAGTACAGTCACTATGGAGAACAATATGGAGATTCCTCAAAAAAACTAAAAATAGAACTACCACATGATGCAGCAACACCACGGCTAGGTAAATGCCCAAAATAGAGGAAATCAGTATATCAGACGTATCTACACTCCCATGTTTATTGCAGCACTATCCACAATTGCCAAAATTTGGAAGCAACCTAAGTGTCCATCAATGCACAAATGGATAAAGAAAATGTAGTACATATACACAATGGAATACTAAGATCCTGTCATTTGTAGCAACATGGATGGAAGTAGAGTACATTATGTTAAGTGAAATAAGTCAGGCACAGAAAGACAAATTTTGCATTTTCTCACTTATTCTTGGGAGCTAAAAATTAAAGCAACTTAACTCATGGAGATTGAGAGTAGTATGATAGTTCCCAAAGGCTAAGAAGGGTGGTGGTGGATGGGTGGGGGAGTAGAGATGGTTATGGGTACAAAAATATAATTAGATAGAATGAATAAGATCTATCACAACAGGGTAACTACAGTGAACAATCATTTATTGTAAATTTTAAAATAATAAAAACAATATAATTGGATTGTTTGTAACACACACAAAAAATAAATGTTTTGGGTGATGGATACCCCCTTAACCCTGATGTAATAATTATACATTGTACACCTGAATCAAAATCTCATGTACCTCATAAATATATATATCTGATATATACCCACATAAAAATTTTTCAAAAAGTATTTGTGTTTAAAATGTTGACTTAATCAGATAGATGTTTCTTAGAAACCAAGATCGCCATCAAACCGGTTTTTCACATTGTGGTTATTGTATGGTTCTGTATTGTAGCCACATTAAACAATGATGAGTTCAAATGGAAACATACAGCCTTTCAACACTGGCTCCAAGAGATGGCATCTAGAAGAAACAGACTGATTCTGCAGAGTTCTGAAGGGAGCAGGTGACTTAGCAATTCTGTCTTCAGTTTCTCTGTGGTGAGTTGAGCACAAAAAGAGAGCAAAGCCTGAGATTATGCTTCATTTAGTCTGTATCTCTCATCAAAACAAAAAGAACAAACTGAAGAGACTGCAAACACAGTACATGCTCACTCCAAGATTGAGTAAGCAGTTTTAAACTATGACAGCCCCCTCAGAGGGCCCAATTTATTCCAAAAAGCTTTGGGAATGAAATGGGTTATTTACCCTTGTTGTTAAACAAACCAGCAGTCTCTTAGTCATAAAAGCATTCCCTCCAGGTAATAAGTATCATTTTCTTTAATATTATTGTTACGGGATCTTTGGGGTGTTGCTTTTCTGGCCAGAAACCTGTGGCCGGTGGTGCCTTTGCCCAAGTTTTGCTCAGGCCTACTGGGCTCGTTCTGCCCGCTCGGCCTGGCAGGCTGCACTCAGTTCATGCTACTGGCCTGAATCCCAAGTCTCCAAGATAGACTGGAGTCAGGCATGGAGCTGCAAGGAGCATGGGGTCTGGCCACTGTGCAGTCAGGCATGCCAGTTGCTGCCACGGGGCGGGCAGCTCCAGGTGCCAGCATTGGTGCCAGCTTTCTGCAAGGCTGCAGCTGGACCCGGTGCATTGCAAACAGCTTCCCCAGCTGGCACCAGGGAATGTGGTGGTGCCCAGAAGCTTGGAGATGCCAAGATCCACAAGGACCCAAAGAGTGAGTCACAGCCCTGGCTGAGGGAGCTCCCAGGTCTGGGATCCCCAAAGGGCTACAGATCTTCTCTCCTTCTCTTTGCTCACAACATGGCAAGCGAGGCGCATGTTTCAGCCCCGTTTGTCTTATAGCAGCTCTTTAAGCCTCACCATTTGGCAGGTCCGAAGTTCTTGTTCTGCTACCAGGAAGAATGAGGCATGCAGACACGTGAAGGGTGAGCAAGACAAAGAGGAGCTTTACTGAGTAATAAAACAGTTCAGAGAAGACCGCAGTGGGCAGCTCCTCTTCGTTACCAGGGTGCCCTGACTAGTGTTCAGCTCCTAGCAGAGAGGGCAGCTCCTCTCAGCAGGCAGGTCGTCCTGACAAGTTTTCAGTTCTCAGCAGAGAGGGTACCTCTCTGCAGCTGGTTGTCCCGTTGTCTCCAGCTCTCCGCAGAGAGGAGGCCCTAGAGTGGGTGGCTCCTTTCTGCAGGCAGCTTGTCCCATCGTCTGCAGCTCTTGGCAGAGAGGGTAGTTTCTCTCTGCAGCTAGTCGTCCTGTCATCTCTCAGTCCTCTGCTGTGCTCTGGCTAAACCCGGGACTTTTATTGCCTTAAAGGGGAGGAAGTGCGCACCAATTGGTTTATGAGTGGCCATGAGTGGGCCTAGAAAAGGTACCACAGGTCCCCACTCTGGTCCGCAGGACTGGAAGCCCAGCCCCCAGCCTTCAGGCCCTCCCTGGCCTGAAGATGGGACCTCACAGGGACCCACCCCCTTCTGCCCAGGAGCCCGTATGCCTCCTGCCACCGTCCATGGCACCCAGGCTGCGAGCTCCAAGAGGCACCTGCAGGCCAGCGCCGAGCCACCCTCAGGCCCCCACTCAGTCCCCCCACCCCACTTACACTTGTGGGTGGCCAAGGTCTGGAGGAGGCCAAAGTGGCAGAGCCCCAGCATGAACACGCTAGGCCAGGCTGTGATAGTACTTGGGCTCGGCCTCAACCCAGCTCTGAGATCAAAGCTGGTGCTGGGAGCAGGAGAGAGGCCAGGCAGCCAGAGCAGGCACCTCCGAGCCTGCAAGGGCAAGTGGGGGACCTTCCCAGGCCCCCAGGAGTGCAGAGAGGCCCAGGTCCATAGCCCCAACTTGGGCCTTGAGTAGCTGCAGCCGCACTTGGTCATCCCGATGTGGAGTGGACCCTGGGGTGGGTCCGCCTGGCCGTAGGAGGATGGGGGCGGCGCAGATGTCTGCCTCGAAGACGTGGGGCACAGGGGACGCACTGCTGCTACTGCTGCTCCCTCAGCCTCCTCTGCTGCCGCCGCCCACACCTCCCCCACTGTGGATGGCCTGCTGCTGCTATTATTAACAAATACTTTCAAATACCGTAACTTATTTTATGTGAGGAAGGATTATTCCCTTTTTATAGACGAAGAAACTAAATTTCATGGAGACTAAGTCACATGGCTAGTAACTGACAGAGCTAAACCTGAACCCAAACCAACTTTTTCAGAACATCATCAATGTTTTCCTGTGCTCCAGTTGTCAAACTTCATCAGCGAAATGTTGGGGTCATTTAAAGCTGCTGCTTTGCATTCACTGAAACGACTAACAACCACAAGGAAACATGGTAAATTTACATAAATCATTTATTCTAGATTTTGTGAAATAACCCAAATTGAAACTTGACTTCCTCCAATTCTTGAGTCTATCATAACATCCTTCCAGAAATATGCTTACTATTAAGATTTTTAAGATATTCTATATGACTATAACATTATTTTTTTTCTTTTTATTATTTTTCCATTAGTTATTGGGGTACAAGTGATGTTTGGTTACATGACTAAATTCCTTAGTGGTGATTTGTGAGATTTTGGTGCACCCATCCCCCGAGCAGTATACACTGCACCATATTTGTAATCTTTTATACCTTGCCCCCTCCCACTCTTCCCCCCCAAGTCCCCAAAGTCCATTGTATCATTCTTATGCCTTTGCATCCTCATAGCTTAGCTCCCACATATCAATGAGAATATACAATGCTTGGTTTTCCATTCCTGAGTTACTTCACTTAGAATAATAGTTTCCTGTCTCATCCTGGTCACTGCAAATGCTGTTAATTCATTCCTTTTTATGGCTGAGTAGTATTCCATCATATAAATATGCCACAGTTTCTTTATCCACTCATTGATTGATGGGCATTTGGGTTTGTTCACGATTTTGCTATTGTAAATTGTGCTGGTATAAACATGTATGTGCAAGAATCTTTTGCGAATAATGACTTTTTTCCCTATGGGTAGATATCCAGTAATGGGATTGCTGGATCAAATGGTAGTTTTACTTTTAGTTCTTTCAGAAATCTCCACACTGTTTTCCATAGCGGCTGTACTAGTTTACATTCCCACCAGCAGTGTAGTAGTGTTCCCTGATCACCGCATCCATACCAACATCTACTGTTTTTTGATTTTTTGATTATGGCCATTATTGCAGGTTGAGGTGGTATTGTGTTGTGATATTGATTTGCATTTCCCTCATTAGTGATGTTGAGCGTTTTTTCATATGTTTATTGGCCATTTGTATATCTTCTTTTGAGGATTATCTATTCATGTCCTTAGTCCACTTTTTGATGTGATTGTTTGTTTTTTTCTCACTGATTTTTTGAGTTCATTGTAGATTCTGGATATTAGTCCTTTGTCAGATATATAGATTCTAAAGATCTTCTCCCACTCTGTGGGTTGTTTGTTTGCTGCTAACTGTTCTTTTGCCCTGCAAAACTCCTTAGTTTAATTAGGTCCCAACTATTTATCTTTTTTATTTATTGCATTTGCTTTTGTGTTCTTGGTCATGAAATCCTTGCCTAAGCTAATGTCTAGAGGGTTTCTCCCAATATTATCTTCTAGAATTTTTATAGCTTCAGGTCTTAGATTTAAGTCCTTAATCCATCTTGAATTTATTTTTGTATAAGGTGAGAGATGAGGATCCAGTTTCATTCTCCTACATGTGGCTAGCCAATTATCCCAGCACCATTTGTTGAAAAGGATGTCCTTTTCCCACTTTATGCTTTTGTTTGCTTTGTCAAAGATCAGTTGGCTCTAAGTATTTGGGTTTATTTCTGTGTTCTCTATTCTGTTCCATTGGTCTATGTGCCTATTTTTATACTAGTACCACGCTGTTTTGGTGACCATGGCCTTATAGTATAGTTTGAAATCAGGCAGTGTGATGCCTCCAGATTTGTTATTTTTGCTTAGTCTTGCTTTTGGCTATGCAGGCTCTTTTTTGACTCCATATGAAGTTTAGAATTGTTTCTTCAAATTCTGTGAAGAATGATGGTGGTATTTTGATGGGGACTGCATTGAATTTGTAGATTGCTTTTGGCAGTATGGTCATTTTCACAATATTGATTCTACCCATCCATGAGCATGGGATGTGTTTCCATTTGTTTGTGTCGGCTATGATTTCTTTCAGCAGTGTTTTGTTTTCCTTGTAGAGGTCTTTCGATTCCTTGGTTAGGTATATTCCCAAGTTTTGTTTTGTTTTGTCTTTTGCAGTTATTGTAAAAGGGGTTGACTTCTTGATTTGATTCTCTGCTTGTTCACTCTTGGTGTAATAGAAGAGCTACTGACTTGTGTACATTAATCTTGTATCCGGAAACTTTGCTGAATTCTTTTATCAGTTCTAGGAGCTTTCTGGAGGAGTCTTTGTGGTTTACAAGGTAAACAATCATATCGTCAGCAAACAGAGACAGTTTGACTTCCTTTTTACTGAATCGGATGGCTTATTTCTTTCTCTTATCTGATTGCTCTGGCTAGGACTTCCAGTACTATGTTGAAGAGGAGTGGTGAAAGTGAGCATCCTTGTCTTGTTCCAGTTCTCAGAGGAAATGTTTTCAACTTTTCCCCATTTAGTATTATGTTGGCTGTGGGTTTGTCATAGATGGCTTTTATTACATTGAGGTATGTCCCTTCTATGCCGATTTTGCTGACAGTTTTAATCATAAAGGGATGCTGGATTTTGTAGAATGCTTTTTCTGCATCTACTGAGATGATCATGTGATTTTTGTTTTTAATTCTGTTTATGTGGTGTATCACATTTATTGACTTGCATATGCTAAACCATCCCTGCATCCCTGGTATGAAACCCACTCGATCATGGTGGATTATCTTTTTGATATGTTGTTGGAGTCGATTAGCTAGCATTTTGATAAGAGTTTTAGTATCTATGTTTATCAAGGATACCAGTCTGTAGTTTTCTTTTTTTGTTTGTGTCCTTTCCTGTTTGGTATTAGGGTGATGCTGGCTTCATAGAATAAATTAGGGAGGGGTTCTTCTTTCTCTGTCTTGTAGAATAGTGTCAATAGGATCGGTACCAATTCTTCTTTGAATGTCTGGTAGAATTCTGCTGTGAATCATCTGGTCCTGGATTTTTTTGTTGGTAATTTTTTAATTACCATTTCAATCTCACTGCTCGTTATTGTTCTGTTCAGGGTATCTAAGTCTTCCTGATTTAAGCTAGGAGCATTGTATTTTTCCAGGAATTTATCCATCTCTTCTAGGTTTTCTAGTTTATGTGTGTGAAGGTGTTCATAGTAGCCTTGAATGATGTTTTGTATTAGAGTCGTGTCAGTCGTAATACCTACTGTTTTGTTTCTTAGTGAGGTTACTTTGATTTTCTCTCTTCTGTTCTTGGTTAATATTGCTAATGGTCTATCAATTTTATTTATCTTTTAAAGAACCAGCTTTTTGTTTCATTTATCTTTTGTATTTTTTTTTTTGTTTCAATTTCATTTAGTTCTGCTCTGATCTTGGTTATTTCTTTTTTTCTGCTGGGTTTGGGTTTGGTTTGTTGTTCCTGTTTCTCTATTTCCTTGAGGTGTAACCTTAGAATGTCAGTTTGTGCACTTTCAGTCTTTTTGATGTAGGTATGTAGGGCTATGAACTTTCATCTTAGCACTGCCTTTGCTATATCCCAGAGGTTTTGATAGGTTGTGTCATTATTGTCATTCAGTTCAAAGAATTTTTTAATTTCGATCTTGGTTTCGTTTTCAACCCCATGCTCATTCAAGAGCAGGTAATTGAATTTCCATGTATTTGAATGGTTTTGAAGGTTCCTTTTGGAGTTGATTTCCAGTTTTATTCCACTGTGGTCTGAGAGAGTGCTTGACATAATTTCAATTTTCATGAATTGATTGAGGCTCGTTTTATGGCCTATCATATGGTCTTTCTTGGAGAAAGTTCCATGTGTTGTCAAACAGAATGTGTATTCTGCGGTTGTTGCATGAAATGTTCTGTATATACCTGTTAGGTCCATTTGTTCCAAGGTATAGTTAAAATCCATTGTTTCTTTGTTGACTTTCTGTCTTGATGACCTGTCTAGTGCTGTCAGTGGAGTATTGAAGTCCCCCACTATTATTTTGTTGCTGTCTATCTTATTTCTTGAGTCTATTAGTTATTGTTTTATAAACTTGGGAGCTCCAGTGTTAGCTGTATATATGTTTAGGATTGTGATATTTTCCCTTTGGACAAGGCCTTTTACCATTATGTAATATCCCTCTTTGTCTCTTTTAACTGCTGTTGCTTTAAAGTTTGTTTTGTCTGATATAAAAATAGCTAGCCTCCTGTCAGATCAGTGGCAGCATTAGATTCTTAAGATTCTCATGGGAGCCTGAACCCTACTGTGAACTGCTCATGTGAGGGATCTAGGCTGCATGCTCCTTATGAGAATCTAACTAATGCCTGATGAAACCACCACTCCCCAAACCCCTGTGTATGGAAAAATTGTCTTCCACGAAATTGGTTTCTGGTGCTAAAAAGGCTGGGGACCGCTGTTCTATATAGCTAATCAGAAGCCTTTATTTAAAAACAAAACATCTTAGCTGATAAGAAAGCAAATGTATTTGCAAATTAAAATGATAATTTTCAATCAACTAATATTTGGAGACTTTCTTGGCCAAAAATACACAGCTATAAGACTAATGACTTTTCTCTTAATTTCTAGACTTTACTTATGATTTGAATGATATAACGATAGTGATAAAATCTCAAATAAGAAGCACAAAAAAATCCCATTTTCAATGCCACATTTATGAGATTAGCATTTAGAGGGGGGCCTTGAAATTTTTTTCCAATGAATGATTCATATAAAATATTCATATATATTTCTCCAAATTTAATTTTTAATATATAATATTTTCACACAACTAAAAATGCAAGTATGTATATAGTAAAAGGTCTTCTCCCACTCTAGTTCTCTATCAAGTATTTTTTCTTATAGGCAATCGAAATTTCGAGGGCCTTGAGTATGTTTCCAGAGGTGTTCTATGTTATATATAACACAAACACACACACACAAACACACAAACACACACACACACATTATACTATATATACTGTTCTGCACCTTGATTTTTCCACTTAACAATATATCTTAGACAATATATATTGGACATCACTCCATAAATACATAAATTGTTTCCTTTTTTAACAGAATAGCCATTTCACATTCAGTTAAATGGATATGCTGTTAGTATAGCCTAGGGTATGTTCCAGTGACAAACTATCCCCAAATCTGAGTGGCTTAAAACCACAAAGTTTTATTTCTAGCTCATGCTATATGTTTATCATGAGTAGGTCAGGAGTTCTATTCCATGTCTACATCAGTAGGCCATCCAGGCAAATGCAGCAAGCTTTATCTAGTCATTTTGGCAGTACAAAAGAGAATTTTAGACTCACACTAAAATTAAATGATTCCATCTAAAAGTGGCAGAAGTTATTTCTGTTTATGGCATTGGACAAAAGGGTCACATGGCCATATACCACCTCAATAGAACCAGGAAGTGCTGAAAACATTTGAGCATCCCTAATAACCAGAGGGTCTATCATACTTTTAAAATCAGTTTTCTACTGATGATCCTTTAGCTGTTTTCAATTATTTGCTACAATAAATAAATACTATAGTAAATGTGCACATGTCATTTTGCATGTGTGAATACATCTATAGGGTATATTCCTGGAAGTAGAATTTTGCATGCATCTTTACAAGTCTACCTGTGGCACACAGCACACCAAGAATTTAGTTTCTCCACATTTGACATACACTGAACACAGATTATTAAGATTATGTATTTATTTTTGAGGTGGGATATGAAAGCAAAAAGATATTTCAGTGGAGGTATTTCCTTCAAAGATCCCAAGAATATGTTGTATTAATTTTGATTTTACTAAATGTATTAGATAAAGAATATTATGTTTCTTGGCCTTTAGCTGCTTTAATATATTTAGTTATTATATGTATCTTCTTTTAGAAGTCTTCCAATGGCTGGGTGCAGTGGTTCACGTCTGTAATCCCAGCACTTTGGGAGGCTGAGGTGGGCAGATCACTTGAGGTCAGGAGGTCAAGATCAGCCTGGTCAACAGGGCAAAACCTTGTCTCTATTAAAAACACAAAAAAATTAGCTGGGCATGGTGGCACAGGCCCGTAATTTCAGCTACTCAGGAGGCTGAAGTAGGAGAATCGCTTGAACCCGGGAGGTGGAGGTTGCAGTGAGCCGAGATTCCGCCATGCACTCTAGCCTGGGCGACAAAGTGAGACTCCGTCTCAAAAAAATAAGTAAATAAATAAATGAGGTCTTTCAGGGACACAATTTATTACAGTTATATTCTCTGAGCCAGAATAGGGAACAAGAATAGCTACAATGTTTTGTGTTTAAATCTTATTCCCAATATTCTCACAATTACTTTTACATTTCAGTTAAGTCAGAATCATAGTCCTGGATGTTGCACTGAAGGCTAGGATTAGATGATGGAATCCTCTAATTATTTGTTTTTACTAAATATCCCAATAGACCCATGGAAGGTTGATTGTGGTATATTAAAAAATTATTCTGACTATATTAGTTTGGGAAGCATCAGGTTAAACACCAGTGAACTTTTTAACCACAGGACTTTACACAGCCTCGTTTAATATAGGTGCAGAAACTAAATTTCCGACATAAGAATACACCAGATGTTTCCTCAAATTTATTTCACCATGGAGCTAATGTTTTATGAGCTTCTGCCTAGAGAACCTAATTCTTAAAAGAATACATTTAGATAAATATTGGTTTATAGTACTAAAACCATAATTCGACAAGTAGCAATTGAGCATGAATTATATTTTAGTCCTATGTAATCATTCTGTGATTACATAAAAGTAGGCCAAAGTCCTTGTTTCAAGTAGTCTGCAGGCTTATGGGAAATAATAACACGAAAAATACAAGTCACTGCTATGTATACAGAATATAAATGAGAATTTGCCTGAGACAAAAGAATTATTTAATTTTCTTTTCTTTTTTTTTTTTTTTCGAGACAGAGTCTTGCTCTGTCGCCCAGGCTGGAGTGCAATGGCATGATCTCAGCTCACCGCAACATCCACCTCCCAGGTTCAAGCGATTCTCCTGCCTCAGCCTCCAGAGTAGCTGGGACTACAGGCACACGCCACCATGCCCGGCTAATTTTTGTAGTTTTAGTAGAGATGGGGTTTCACCATGTTGGCCAGGATGGTCTTGATCTCTTGACCTTGTGATCCGTCCACCTCGGCCTCCTAAAGTGCTGGGATTACAGGTGTGAGCCACCGCGCCTGGCCTATTTAATTTCCAATACAGAATCTGACACATTTGTTCAAGTTTTTTTTTTTTTTTTTTTGAGAAGGAGTCTCGCTCTGTCACCCAAGCTGGAGTGCAGTGGCACAATCTTGGCTCACTGCAAGCTCTGCCTCCCTCCCGGGTTCACGCCATTCTCCTGCCTCAGCCTCCGGAGTAGCTGGGACTACAGGCGCCCGCCACCACACCCAGCTAATTTTTTGTATTTTTAGTAGAGACGGGGTTTCACTGTGTTAGCCAGGATAGTCTCGATCTCCTGACCTCGTGATCCACCCGCCTCTGCCTCCCAAAGTGCTGGAATTACAGGCGTGAGCCACCGCGCCCAGCCTCAAGTGTCTATTTTGATGTTCATTCACTTTTTCATTATAAGGAAGTAAATTACTTAGCACAAGAGAAAAACTTTTTTTTTTTGCAATCTAAAGTGTTCCCCAGTGAAATTCTGAGGAAACAAATGTTATCTCAGTTGACTCATGGCTTTAATTTTACTGTTTTCAGATTTCTCCGACAGCAATGAATAAAACAATTGCCTGACTAAAGAGGAGATATCCTCTTTAGATAAAACGACTGAAGACCCATTACCAAAATAGGGAAAAAGAAACAATCTCTATGAAAGAGTTTCAAATAAAAATATGTAGGTGCTTTGGACTTTTTTATTTCTTTATTTTCCCAGCCATGTCATAAATGTTTAGATTGACAAATATCTGAGAAAAATCATCACATAAAAATCCCCTTAAAGCAAATGTCATTTTGGTGCAATTAATTCTTGATTACTCTTTGACACTTGCTAAGCTTCTTTCAGATGAAAAAAGTATACTCTTGTTGGCATGTCACTAGTGTAATGCCCTCAAATATGTTAACATTATTCATGACTTCGTTCTTAAGTACATTTTGACTGAATTATCTTGAGTCAGGATATAAACAAAGTGATTTTACAAATAAATGTTTTGAAGGGAAGTTTCTTGAGATGCTTCTTTGATGATGTAAAGTCAAAGGTTTAACCATATTTCTTTCAGCAATTATCTGAAAATTGGTTTTTATTCTTAAAAATGTACAGATATGTCTATTTTATTTGCATTTATTCTCTTTCTTTTTTACCTAATGAAAAAAAAGTAACAGTGGGTTCTTATGAGCTATTTTTACAAAGGAAAATTGAGTTCTCTTCTGAGACAAAACTGAGCTGTAAACATACTGGTTTAAAATTTGTAAAAAACAATGTACACACCTACTTTCCACCTGGTACTTGCCAGTAAGAGAAAAGCGTGACAATTGTCCCTATATTGTTGCATTTTGACCTTACTGGTCAACAGCTGTCAGCTCCTGTAGAGCTCCATCAAGCACCTAAACAAATATACCCCTGCCAGGCCACCTTTTAAACATATCTTTCCAAGTCCCTAGTGATACTAAAGTTAGAATGAGAGATTTAACATGTTTGTAAGTTTTTAGGTTCTAATTACAAATATATGTAATTTGTTAAAATTTTTAAATCTTATTTTGGTGCCACTTTATTTGCCCAATTTACTGCTATTTGAAATAGAAACTAATACACTTACATGCCTTTAGATGAACTCTATTTTACTTTTATAAGTTTTAATCTGAGCCATAACATCTTTGCTTTGAATATATTGTCAACAAAATGAGCTCATTAAATAAAACTCTTCTATTAATTAAAAAGGCCAGTGGTCTGCCCAAGTAACTACCTTATCATTTCTACACAGGGTAAACAGACATTCAATATGTTGGTAAAAATATAGACTTATCACAAAAAAAAAATAAAGGAAGAACTAGCATCTAGTCTTCTTTAGTTGTTTTAAGACACATTCTATGGACAAAGCATGTACTTTCTGCATCAGAATCCAGATGTTGGCCACAATCTAGTCTCTTGGAGTTTCCCATTGTCCCCCCAAAGGCAAAGTTCTGTCAATGCCTCTCAGCTGGACCCTAGGCACAAGTCTAGCTTATGCCCACCCACCCTGCCCAACTGTCTCCTTAAAACAGGCCTTTCTACCCATATTTTTGTTCATCCAGAAAGGGAAGCTATGGTAAGAGTCTTGAGTAAAATATACAACAGAATACTTTATAAATATAATAAATTCAATTTTATTCTTCCTATTGTGTAAGACTCGGGATAGACTGAGAACTTTTCCTGCTTCTCTAACATTTTTGATCCAAGCTGCTTTATCCTAGAGGTTCTCTTACTCTCAGGGGAGAAATAGTAGGACTTTGCTTTTGACTGCATGGCCTAAAAGCATGGCCTGGAGCAAGTCTCCAAGACAAGGGCAAGAGAAAATCAACAGGACGGGGAAAAGATTGAGAAGAGTCTGTTGCTGGGTAGAAATGCTAAACTCTAATCAGAGTGCCAACAAGGATACAATGAAAGCTGGAATGAAGGCAGAGCCCACTCTTAAAGGCTCTTATGCCTTTGTTGAACCCATAGGGGCCAATGCTACCCAATCACAAGGCTTGAAAAGGGAGGACTTTGATTGTGATCATAAGTGTCTCTTTCCTAATATTTTTACCTGTGGAAACACTCTTCTGCTCCAAAAGTCTGGTTTGACCCTCAGGAAGGGGAAGGAATTCCCTACCCATGACTAAGATTGAATTTCTTAGCATCCTGGGGGGATAAAGCTCAGAACCAGATTTAACTTCATTTTGAACAAATAAGGGAATGTAACATTTCTACATCCCTAAACAGATACAGTGCCAAAAAGGTCTTCTCCATGGCATATTATAGTCAATTTTTTGAATGTCAAAGACAGAGAGAATTCTAAAAGCAGCAAGAGAAAAGCATCTAGTCACTTATAAAAGAACCCCCATCAGATTAACAGTGGATTTCTGAATAGAAACTTTACAAGATTGGAAAGAATGAGATAATATATTCAAAATGCTGAAAGAAAAAGAGTTAGCCACAGATTCCATACCCAGCAAAGTTATTTTTCATAAATGAAGGAGAAATAAAGTCTTTTCTAAACAAGCAAAAACTGAGAGAATTAATCACAATTAGACTGACTCTACAAGAAATGCTCATGGGGTCCTACACCTGGAAGTGAAACAGCAGTATCTACCATCATGAAAACACACAAAAACATGAAAACAACTGGTAGAGCAAACACACAAACAAGGAAGAGGAAAAGCTCAAATATTACCAATACAGAAAACCACCAAATGACACTGAAACAAGGAGAGAAAGAAAAAAACAAAAAATAAACAAAACAACCATAAATCAATTAATAAAATGAAATAAGCATCAATGTATCAGTAATAACTTTGAATGTTAATAGGTTAAATTTCCACTTAAAAGAAATACATTGGCTAACTGGAATTTTTTTTTTTTTTTTTTTTTTGAGATGGAGTCTCGCTCTGTCACCCAGGCTGGAGTACAGTGGCATAATCTCGGCTCACTGCAACCTCTGCCTCCCGGGTTCAAGTGATTATTTTGCCTCAGCCTCCCCAGTAGCTGAGACTACAGGCGTACTCCATCACGCCTGGCTAATTTTTGTATTTTTAGTAGAGACAAGGTTTCACTATGTTGGCCAGGCTGGTCTCAAACTCCTGACCTTGTGATCCTCCCGCGTTGGCCTTCCAAAGTTCTGGGATTATAGGCGTGAGCCACTGCACCCAGCCCTGGATTTTTTAGTGACCCAACTATAAGCTACCTACAGGAAACTCACCTCACATGTAAAGACACATGTAGACTAAAAGTAAACAGATTGAAAAAGATATTCCATTGAAACAAACCACAAGCAAGCAGAAGTAGCTATAATTATATCAAATAAAATAGACTTTAAGTCAAAAATAGTAAAAAGAGACAAAGAAGGTCATGATATAATGATAAAGATATCATTTCAGCAAGAGGTTATGACAATTCTAAACATAAATGCACCATGCACTGAGGATCCAGATATATATAACAAATATTACTAGATTTAAAGGGAGAGAGAGACTGTAATACAGTAATAGTTGGGGACTTTGATACCCCATTCTCAGCATTAAACAGATTATCTAGAAAGAAACTTAACAAAGAAATATTGGATTTAAACTGAACATTAGATCAAATTAACCTAACAGACATTGACAGAACATTTCATTCAGCAATTACAGAATACATATTCTTCTCAGTACATGGGAGATTCTCCAGGATAGACCACATGTTAGGACACAAAACAAGTCTCAGCAAATTTTAAAAAATCAAAATTATATTAAGTACCTTCTCAGACCACAATGGAATAAAACTAGAAATGCATAAAAAGAGAAACATTGAAACTATACACATATATGAAAATTAAACAACAGACTCTTGAAAGACCACTGGGTCAAGGAAGAAGTTAATGAAGAATCAAGAGCCTCTTGAATCAAATGAAAATCAGCACACAACATGTCAAAACCTATGAGATACAACAAAAGCAGTGACAAGAGGGAAGTTTATAATAGCAATAAGCACCTATATCAAAAAAGTAGAAATATTTCAAATAAACAATCTAACAATGCACCTCAAGCAACTAGAAAAGCAAGAAGAAACAAAACTCAAAATTCACAGAAGGAAAGAAATAACAAAGATCAGAGCAGAACTGAACAAAATAGAGACAAAGAATCAACAAAACAAAAAGTTTGTTCATTTAAAAAGATAAACAAAATTAATAAAATATTTGTTAGACCAATCAAGAAAAAAAGAAAGAATGCCCAAATAAACATAATCAAAAATGAAAAAGGAGACATTATAACCGATATCACAGAAATACAAAAGAGCATCATAGATTATTATGAATGACTACACACTAAAAAACTGGAAAGACTGGGGGAAATGAATAAATTCCCGGACACATACAACCTACCACGATTGAGTCAGGAAGAAATAGAAAACTTGAACAGACCAATAACAAGTAATAAGATCAAGGTAATAATAAAAAGTCTCCCAACAAAGAAACAGCCAGGAATCGATAGCTGCACAGCTGAATTCTAACAAATATTTAAAGAAAAACTAACACTAGTTTTCTTCAAACTCTTCCAAAATTGAAGAGGAGGGAATGCTCCCTGACTCATTATATAAGGCCAGCATTACCCTGACACCAAAAGCAGACAGGACACAACAAAAATAAAAAACCTACAGGCTAATATCACTGATGAATGTAGATGCAAAAATCCTCCACAAAATATTATCAAACTGTGTCCAAAACCCCATCAAAAAAGTAATACACCATAATCAAGTGGATTTATTCCAGGGATGCAAAGATTGTTCAACTACACAAATCAGTCAATGTGATACATCCTATCAATAGGCTGAAGGACAAAAAACATATAATCATCTCAATGGACAAAGAAAAAGCATTTGATAAAATTCAACATCCTGGAGAGTGACACCAGCAAGTTGGGTGAGTAAAGAAGCCTAGAATTCTTCCCCCAACAAGAAAGGACCAAGTCAATGAATAAACAGCTAAGATTTGACTAGAGTGTCAAAGGCGTGGTGTTAGACTGCAGGAGGTGAGTGGAGATGCACCTGTGGTGATTGCAAGTCCAGGAGAGAAGCATGGAGGCACCGGCCTCTGCAGCTCCATCTTCCCCACTCAGATCAGATTGGCCTGGACTCAGAAGAGACTTCCCATTATAGGTAAAAGGTAAGTAAGCAAAAGATTCTTACCAGCCTCCATTGCCACAGCAGATACCTACAGTTTTTACAACAGGCAAATCCCACAGTCCTCACAATTTCTGAGACCAGTTTGAAGAGCTACTAGGAATTCACACAGCTGCATTGCCCTAGATTAGGAACACAAGGTGTGTGGCTTCCCACCCTGACCCAATCCCCTGTGAGCCAAGCTGCTGCAGATATCTCTTTGATATATTGATTTCCTTTCTTTTGGATATGTACTCAGAAATGGAATTGCTGGATCATATGGTGATTTTATTTTTAGTGTTTCTGAGGAACCTCCGTACTGTTCTTCATAGTGGATATTCTAATTTACATTCCCACCCACAGTGTACAAGGGTTCCTCCTTCTCCATTTTCTCACCAGCATTTATTAGATAATAATCTTTTTGAGGAAGGCCATTTTAACTGGTGTGAGATGATATCTATTATAGTTTTGATTTGCATTTCTCTGATGGTTAGTGGTGTTGAGCACCTTTTCATATACCTGTTGGCCATTTGTTTGTCTTCTTTTGAGAAATATCTAGTCAGATCTTTTGGTTATAAATCCCTTGTCAGATGGATAGTTAGCAAATATTTTCTTCCATTCCGTGGATTGTCTCTTCACTTTGTTGATTGTTTCTTTTGTTGTGCAGAAGCTTTTCAGTTTGATGTTATACCATTTGTCAGTTTTCGGTTTTGTTTCCTGTGTTTTTAAGGTCACAGCCCAAAAATCTGCCAAGACCAATGTCTTGGAGCATCCCTTCAATGTTTCTTCTAGTCGTTTCATAGATTCAGGTCTTAGACACAAGTCTGTAATTCATTGTGATTTGCCGCTTTTTGTGTATAGTGAGAGATAAGGGTTCTATTTTTATTCTTCTGCATATAGTTATCCAGTTTTACCAGCATCATTTATTAAAGACTGTCCTTTCCCTATTGTATGTTCTTAGCACCTTCATTGAAAATGAGTTGGCTGTAAATATCTGGATTTATATCTGAATTCTCTATTCTGTTCTATTGGTATGTGTCTGTTTTTATGCCAGTCTCCTGCTTATTTGGTTACTATAGATTTATGTTAAAATTTGAAGTCAGGTAGTGTGATGCTTCCAGCTTTGTTCTTTTGGCTTAAAATTGCTCCACCTATGAAGGGTCTTTTGTGGTTCCATATAAATTTTAGGATGTTTTATCTATTTCTGTGAGAATATCATTGGCATTTTGGTAGGAATTTTGATGAATCTGTAAATTGCTTTGGGTATTATCATTTTCACAATATTCTTCTAATCCATGAGCATGGAATAACTTCACATTTTTTGTGTGTGTCCTCTTCAATTTCTTTCATCACTGTTTTATTGGTTTTTTTAAATAGATCATTAACTTCTTTGATTAAATTGATTCCTATGTATTTTATGTTCTTTCTTTTTCTTCTTTCCAACTTTTATTTTAGAGTCAAAGGGTGCACATGCAGGTTTGTTACGTGGGTAAATTACATGTTGTGGGTGTTTGGTGTACAAATAATTTTGTCACCCAGATAATCAGCATCATATTCAATAGGTAGTTTTTCATTTCTCATCCTCCTCCCACCCTCCACCCTCAAGTAGGCCCTGGTGTCTATTGTTCCCTTCTTTGTGTCTATGTGTACTCAATGTTTAGCTCACATTTATAAGTGAGAACATGCAACATTTGGTTTTCTATTCCTGTGTTAATTCTCTTAGGATATTGGCCTCCAGCTCTATTCATTTTGCTGCAAAGGACATGATCCCATTCTTTTTATAGCTGTGTAGTACTCCATGATGTATATGTACCACATTTTCTTTATTCATCCGACTGTTGATGGGCATCTAGGTTAATTCCAGGTCTTTGTTATTATCAAGAGTGCTGTGATGAACATACGCATGCATGTATCTTTATGATAGAACAATTTATATTCCTTTAGGTATATACCCAGTTATGGGATTGCTGAGTCAAATGGTACCTCTATTTTAAGTTCTTTGAGAAATCTTCAGACTGCTTTCCACAATGGCTGAACTAATTTACGTTCTAACCAGCAGTGTATACATGTTCCCTTTCCTCCACAACCTCACAAGAATCTATTATTTTCCACTTTTTAATAATAGCCATTCTGACTGGTGTGAGATAGTATCTCACTGTGGTTGTGATTTGCATTTCCCTAATGATTAGTGATATTGAGCATTTATTCCTGTCCTTGTTGCCCACCTGTATGTCTTCTTTTGAGAAGTGTCTGTTCATGTCCTTTGCCCACTTTTTTAATGGGGCTGTTTGGTTTTTGGTTGTTGATTTGTTTGCAAATATTTTTCTCATTCTGCAGGTTGTGTGTTTACTCTGTTGATAGTTTCTTTTGATGTACCGATGCTTTTTAGTTTAATTAAGTCCCACATCAATTTTTGTTTTTGTTGTAATTGCTTTTGGAGTCCTTGTCATGAAGTCTTTGGAAGGGCTAATGTCCAGAATAGTATTTCCTACGTTTCCTTCTTGGATTTTTATCGTTTTGGGTTTGACATTTAAGTCTTTAATCTCTCTTGAGTTAATTTTTGTATATGGTGAAAAGTTGGGGTCCAGTTTCAATCCTCTGCATATGGCTGGCCAGTTATCCCAGCACCATTTGTTGAACAGGGAGCCCTTTCCCCACTGCTTGTTATTGTTGGCTTTATTGAAGATCAGATGGTTGTAGGTGTGCACCTTTATTTCTTGGTTCTCTGACTTGTTACATTGGTCTATGTGTCTGTTTTTGGACCAGTACCATGCTTTTTTAGTAACTGTAGCCTTGTAATATAGTTTGAAATTGGGTAATGTGATGCTCCCAGGTTCGTTCTTTTTCTTTAGGATTGCTTTGGCTATTCAGACTCTTTTTTAGTTCCAAACGAATTTAAGAATATTTTTTCAATTTTGTGAAAAATGTCATTGATAGTTTGATAGAAACAGCATTGAATCTGTAAATGTCTTTGGGCAGTATGGCCATTTTAACAATATTGGTTCTTCCTATCCATGAGCATGGAACGTTTTTCCATTTGTTTGTGTCATCTCTGATTTCTCTGAACAGTGTTTTGTAATTCTCATTGTACAGATATTTCACCTCCCTGGTTAGCTGTATTTATAGATATTTTATTATTTTGGCTATTTTGAAGCCACAAAAGCATTAGTAGCATTTCTATACACGAGTAATGCCCAAACTGAGAGCCAATAACTTGATTTGGCTCTCAGCTTGGACATTATTGATGTATAGAAATGCTACTAATTTTTGTACATTAATTTTGTATCCTGAAACTTTGCTGAAGTTGTTTATCAGATCTAGGAGCCTGTATTAGTCAGGGTTCTCTAGAGGGACAGAACTAATAGGATAGATGTATATATAAATAAACGGGAGTTTATTAAGGTGTGTTGACTCAGGCAATCACAAGGTGAAGTCCCACAATAGGCCATCTATAAGCTGAGGAGCAAGGAAGCCAGTCCAAGTCCCAAAACTTCAAAAGTAGGGAAGCCGACAGTGCAGCCTTCAGTCAGTGGTCAAAGGTCCAAGAGTCCAAGAGCTGAAGAACTTGGAGTGTGATGTTCAAGGTCAGGAAGCATCCAACAATGTAGACTGGAAGACTAAGCCAGTCTAGTTTTTCCACGTTCCTCTGCCTGCTTTTATCCTAGCCACACTGGCAGCTAATTAGATGATCCCCACCCAGTTTTGAGGGTGTGTCTGCCTCTCCCAGTCCACTGACGCAAATGTTAATCTCCTTTGGTAACACTCTCACAGACACACCCAGGAACAATACTTTGCATCCTTCAATCCAATCAAATTGACACTCAATATTAACCATCACAGAGCCTTTGGGCAGAGACTGTGGGGTTTTCTAGATATAGAATCATATTTTCTGTGAAAAGGAATAGTTTGACTTCCTCCCTTCCTATTTGGATGCCTGTTATTTCTTTCTCTTGACAGATTGCTCTGGCTAGGACTTCTGGTATTTTATATTCTTTGTAAATTGTAGCTATTACAAATGGGATTGCTTACTTGATTTCTTTTTTAGATTGTTCACTGTTGGTATGTATAAATGCTACTGATTTTTGTATGTTAATTTTGTATACTGCAACTTTACTGAATTTATTAGTTACAACAGTTTTTTTGTGAAGTCTTTATGTCTTTCTAAGTATAAGATCATGCTGTCTGTCAATAAGGCTAATTTGACTTTTTCTTTTATAGTTTGGATGCCCCTTTATTACTTTCTCTTGCCTAATTTCTCTGGCCAGGACTTCCAGTATTATGTTGAATAAAACTGGTGAAAGTAAGCATTCTAGTATTATTTTAAATCTTATAGGAAAGGTCTTAAATGTTTCCCCACTCAGTACAATAACAGACCCTTTAAGGAGACGTGATTTGGAGATACAGGTTTGCTGGAAACACCACAGGAGGAGAAACAAAGAGGTGCAGTCATCAGATGAAAGCCATATGAATATCCCAGGTGGGGGCTGGCAGTGGATATGTCCAAACTTAGAAGTGAATCACGGGAGCTTTAAAGGCTTGAACCCACTTCAATAGGGCATGTTGGAGCCACAGCCCATCCCTAAGCACAGCACTCCAGATCAGCAACTATGGATGAGGTGACTGTGACCTCCCTCAGGTTGCATAAGTAGGGATATATTTATGCCTTTCAAGATGCTGAAGGAACCAGCAACTAGAGGAGAGAAAAGGGAAAGCTCCATAAAGAGCAAATCATGCCGCCTTCCCGAAGGAAAAAGACTGGGACTGGATAGTTGGATCTTGCCAATGCTGGAGTCATGGGAGGAATCTTCAAATTAAATTTGCGAGTTAATTTTTTAAAATGAACAGAAATGAATCCTTTAAAACAAAACAAGCCCTGGCAGGGTCATTCATGCCTATAATCTCAGCACTTTGGGAGGCCAAGGATTAAGGACTGCTTGAGCCTAGGAGTTTGAGACCAACCTGGGCAACATAGTGAGACCTAGTATCTACAAAAAATAAAACAAATTACCCTTCTTCTGTCTGCAACATCTCTCCAGCTGACAAAAACACAGGGGATCCATCACCTTCACCTCCCAGAAATCACAAACAGCGCTGACCTCCCCCTGGCCCCACTCCTAACCTGGCAGTCCCTGAGACAGCAGGTCACCCAATTCACTTTCCCCCTGTTTAGGGAGAATAAGAAAGATTGACAAGCCCCTGCTTAAGCAGACATTTAAAAAATAAGTATCAATCTTCCTTTTCTTTAGACAGCACCAAAACTTATGAAGATTCTTTTGGCACCTCCAGCTCTTTGGGTTGCTGGGAGCAAAGCATCTCTCTCTCCCTGCAAACCACCTTCTAAAACAGGCTGCCTTTTCCCCTCTGTGCAGGCAGGCATCAAGTACCCAAAGAAAACAGCTGGCTCTGAGTGGTCTCTCTCTAGTTAGCCTTTTGGGAAATAGTTGGCCTTAAATATAGATGCTTTCTTGAATTTAAAATTTGAACCATATAATGACTTTTGTTCATAATTTTGAGCCACTGAAATTCCAACATGAAAAATTCCAGACAACATTGTATTATTTACACATATATAATCAGTTCAAAAGGCATTTCTAAAATTGTTCTAATTGTGATAACATAATCTCCATTTAAGCAATAGATTGTCCTACCTGAGAATTCCAAGAAGAGAATTGAAGTGAACCTGAGGAAAGACCATGGGACTTCCACCTGCATGTTATGCAGAGGCAGCACTTAACAATGAGTCCTCTGAGGTTAGAGGATTTCCAGGCTCTGTTAGAGGATTATTGTTCTATTTATGCTTCTCACCATTTCAACATATGCTCAGCATTGGTTTTACAGGGACCATTTATACTTTACAAACTACATCCAAGAATAAGAGACAGAAAGAAGTTGTAATGAAATGCAAAATATTATGATTCTCAAATTGTCTGGATTGAGCTTTCAAGAAAACATGCAAAAAAGCAGCAATACCGGCTAATCTTCATTCCTAAAACAATCAAGTGATAACGTTTTTAAAGCATCATAATTTGAATGCCCAAAGATTTTTTTAAAAAAATTCAGCTTTACTTATTTTGCTTCTTTCTGCTAATAAAATAAAAAGGATTTATTTAGTGTTCATTCTTCTTTTACAAAGTTTGAATGACTGTAGGAATCACATTTTGATAATTTCTTTTGACTGCTACTTGATTTGATCTGAGACTATTTATTTATTTATTTTATTTTATTCATTTATTTTGAGATGAGTGTCGCCCAGGCTGGAGTGCAGTGGTGCGATCCCGGCCCACTGCAATCTCCGCCTCCTGAGTTCAAACGATTCTCCTGCCTCAGCCTCCTAAGTAGCTGGGACTATAGGCGCGTGCCACCATGCCCGGCTAATATTTGTATTTTTAGTAGAGATGAGGTTTCACCTTGTTTGCCAGGCTGGTCTCAAACGCATGACCTCAGGTGATCCGCCCACCTCGGCCTCCAAAAGTGCTGGGATTACAAGCGTGAGCCACCCCTCCCAGCCTGAGACTATTTATTTTAACCATCTACTTAAATAAAAATGTGCAGGACAGGCCATTAGATCTCATCATTGTTCCACTAACTCATCATTTTAAAACAGCTTCATCTGAGCTTGGGAAACACTGACTTATGTTAAGTAATAGCCTCCCTCTAGTGGATAAAGATGGGAGGAGCAGACTGAGTTTTTTTTGGTTTTTGTTTTGGATTCCCCAAAAGCTAGACTTTGTTAGATTCAATTTATCAAGGCTCCAGCAAGCAATGTTGAACTTCTTTGTGGTTTAATTTCATCTGCATTGTTGTATTTTATTTCCATTATGGTTCTCTTCATCCTTGAAGTCATTCAGCTAATAAATATTTATTGGATACCTGCGATGTGTCAGGCACGGTTCCATGCCCTGGAGATACAGCAGTGAGTGAACAAAACAATTTGAAATCCTGTCTTTGGGAAACTTAAAACAATATTAGATTGTTATCATCATGTGCTTTCTACATGCCAGACTATGTACTTAGTTGTTTGCAATTATTATTAAATTGAGTCTTTCCAACAGTCATGTTTGAAAACTGAGAAGCTAAGAAACTTGCCCAAGATCACACAGAAACTGACGGACCAGAACACCTCAGGAACTTCTCTGACCATGTGGTCAATTACAGACAACCCAGTAATTCTGAGTGGCCCTGTCTTGATTTTCATTGTGTTATGCTTTTTTTAATTGTCTGCTTCTCCAACTAACATCATTATAACCCTAGCACCTGAAACCTTCCACTGGGTTCTCCAGAAACACCTGGTTAAATGACTTAAGGATAATGAAATAAATGAACAAAGAGTCAAACTCTGGACTATTTGACAGCAAAGCCCTTCTCACCGATGTCTCCACTGCCTGCATGAGTGTCCAGAAAACAGAAAGCAACCCCTTCCTGGATGGCTCAGTTGAATTATTTCAGAGCTATATGTCGACTCCATTTTCTTAAAGAGTAGGTGAAGAAAATGAGTCTAACATAAGTGAGATCTGATTCTGTGGAAGATTTTTAAATCTTTAGCCCTTTTCCTGTTTAGAAAAAAAAAAAAGTGCAGCTCGCTGCCAGTGCTCATTTTATTTTACATAAACTTGCTCTTTGAGGCTGAAGCAAATCTCACTGATTTTCAACATGAAAATACAATGTAAAAATTGTTCTTTGAATTATCTCTAAACAGAACTAATATGAAAACTGTCTGAATCATTAAAACTATTTTGGAAAAATCTGATTCATCAAATGAATCTTTGGCCAACAACTGTTCAAGAACAACGGTAGGAATACCATGTTTTTTTAGGATTTGACATTTTCAGTGAATGAGAATTACTGTATTTTGTACATGGAAATACCACCTCTAAAAACAGAATGCTATAAATAGAATGATGGATTTTGCTTCCAAAGTCACTATACTAGAGAGATGTGAAAATAATAATAAAAGTGAGATACTTCATGGAAGTTATCTCGGAGTAAATGCTGCAGCTGTCAGCGCCACTGGCAATTACTCTCAGGGAGAATGGGAAAGGGGTTAAACAGGTTCTCATTTGCCAACTCTCCTGGGTTTTACCACTAGAAGAATCAGGGAGAAGCTAAAGGTGCCTTCAACTTTTGGAGGAATGTATTCCCCTGAAAGGGCCTATTCTGCTGTGGGCAGCAGGAACTTACCAGAGAGGAATAGATTCAAAACCCGCTAGAGATATCATCTATTGGAATTTGGCAATGATTAAAGAGATGGTGATGCAGGACCAGATGTGGGAATGAGTTCTTTTGGGGACATGATGAACTTTAAGCAAGTATAGGAAGTCCAGGTAGAGATGCCCAGAGGGCAGCTGGAAGAGCCACCTGAGTTTGGGAAGGGAGAATTAGGAAGATTAAGAGTTATCTGCTGAGAGATGATAGTTGACATTGTAGAAGAGGTGACTGCAGAAAGGCAGGAGGATAAGATGATTTAGAAACAATTTTTCCTTAGAGGATCTTCTTAGTGTGGATCCAACCTATTGGGGAAAGATTTATCAAGGAAGTTGTTATATGAGCTGGACAGAAATGAGCTGCCCTTGCATGTGCAGCAAAACCTGCTGTGAGTAGAATCTAATGCCAGTATAAAGGAGCCCGTTTGCATGGTACTATTTTGTTATTCTATAGTAGTTATTTCATCAATCATTATATGCTCTATACCATTACTTGCCACTAACCAAGTAACTTGAGAGTGTCATAGCTATCATTCAAATCTATTAATCTTTCTTGGTGTGTTTAAAAGTCATTAGCGTTCTGGCCAATTGCAGAATAGTAAATATTGAAAGAGTTGTCTTACCATTTGAAGTGTTTTCTGGCTACAATAAATATTTGTTCAGGTTGTAGCACTGCCTGGGTAATCACTAGGTAAAAAGGCAGGATCAACTTCCAGTGCTAGAACAAGCAGAAAAAATTACTAGGTGCAGGAACAGGTTTTATGGTGGATCTCTCTTAACCTACTCTTTATGTTTGAATTTTAAAGAGGAATTATCATTGTCTGCTCACATTACACAATGCACAGTAAAACAAACCAAAAAGAACAAATGAAAAAGGGCTTATTTTAGGACAACAGTTTTAAAAAACAAAACAAAACAAAAACCAAAACAGGGTGATCCTGAATATTGCAAATCAAGAGGCCCAGCCTGTCATCCAAACCTCATTAAATTCACAGAAGTGGTTCTTCCCTCCTTGTCAAGCTTTTTCTGTACACGGAGTTTTGAAAGATAAGCTTGCCAATTGATTCTCTGCAGTTCTTTCTTCATCTCACCCTGATTGTTTTCTCCAGTCAGATTAGGGTGATAACTGACAACAAACATCTTAATTAGAGAGGTCAAGATATCAGTTTCTGGTAGGTTAAAATGCTCTTAGAGTCACTATTTTTATTTTGCATGTAACAACCTCTTTGATAAACCTTTCTTCAAGAGGCTAGATTCACACTAAGTAGATGCTCTGAGGATCCTTCGTCTCTGATTTCATCTTTCTGCTTTAGTGCAAACACCTGTCCTACAGTGTTAACTATCACCTCTCAGCAGACAACTCTGTCTTCCTAATTCTCCTTCCCACACTCAGTTGGCGATTCCAGCTGCCCTCTGGATATCTCTACCTTAATTTCCTACTCTTACTTGAAGCTCAGCATGTGCCAAAAAGAACTCATCTCCAAATCTGCTCCTGCACCACAATGTCCCTAATGATTGCCAAAATCCCATGGATGATATCTCTACCAAGGATTTTTGATCTGTCCCTGTCCTGTGAGTTCCTGCTGCCCACAGTCAAGTTGCCCTCATTCATCATTTCTTGGACTATTATAAAAGCCTTTTAACTGGCTTCTATTATTTCTGAATACACTTCTGTCTGCATGCTGCCATTCATCAATCTCTGAATCCGGTGTGCAAGTTGCCATTAATCTCTCTGCTGTTCAACAGCCTTGAGCAGCCCAGCCTGGCATCCAGGACCCTGTGCAATAGGGTGTCTCCCAATATGTTCTTAAACCTAAGTGCATGCTCCCTAAACCAGAGTTCTCGCCCTTCCCTAAACTAATCAGTCTTTCCCTGTCTCCCAGGGTTTTCTTATACTATTTCTTCTTCATGATATGCCAGTCACATCTCTATCTTTCTGGATTTCATCCATTCTTTAAGGCCTTCAAGTTCAAAAGCCAACTTTTCCACAAAGTATTTCCAATTCCTCCTGGGAGTTTTCCCTCCAAATCTTTATCACACATTGTTGTCTAATTTCATCAAACCTTCCTTATTTTTTTTCTTGGTATTAGGGTTATTAATATAATTTTTATTAATTTATAATGTTTTATTTATTAATAAGACACATTAATTTATGTGTCTTCTTCCCCCTATACCCACACACCCCCATGCTGGATGTGGTACAGCAATGAGGCGTGAAGAGAAAATAAGTCTCAGGACCACTAAATCACTAAGCCAAAGGGAAAAGTCAAGCTGGGAACTGCGTAACAGGCAAAGCTGCCTCCCATTTAATTCCTAAATAAGATGGCTACAAAGATTTTTAAAAGCTACATACCTCTCTCACAATTTTCTCACTAGGAGATTCCTTGTGGTCCCCAAGATCCTTACCCTAAAACAGTTCTGTCGAATTTCACACTGACAATGTAAATTGATAGATACGGGAGAAAGGATAGAACTCAAAGTCATCCCTCAGCTCAACTGAGACAAATGCATATCTGATTGCTTCCTTTGCCCTGTGTTTATTTTATCTTATGTAAAAATGCAGGTTCACTGAGTCAGATAAATGCAAAAGTGACTATTCTGGCCGGGCGCGGTGGCTCACGCCTGTAATCCCAGCACTTTGGGAGGCCGAGGCGGGCAGATCACGAGGTCAGGAGATCAAGACCATCCTGGCTAACACGGTGAAACCCCGTCTCTACTAAAAATACAAAACAAAATTAGCCGGGCGCGGTGGTGGGCGCCTGTAGTCCCAGCTACTCGGGAGGCTGAGGCAGGAGAATGGCGTGAACCCGGGAGGCGGAGCTTGCAGTGAGCCGAGATCGCGCCACTGCACTCCAGCCTGGGCGACAGAGCAAGACTCCATCTCAAAAAAAAACAAAGTGACTATTCTTCTGCCCACCTCTCACATGTGAAAGGCTGATCAAAGATTCAAAAGAATGCAACCATTTGCCTCTTATCTACTCACACCTTTTAAATATTTTTCCCCTTTCTCCACTACCCTTCCCCCTTTAAATATTGAAGCTCTCAAAATCATCTTTGAAGAAAGGCACAGACCTGTCACCCAGGTGCATGTCCTTAACTTTGGCAAAATAAACTTCTAAATTGATTGAGACATATCTCAGATACCTTTTTGTTTACACAGGAAAAAGCAGGTGCTTTGAATCCTAATTCTAACACCTATCTGCATAGTCAGGAGTAGTTTCCTTATCCATTCTAGACTTATTTTTTTCTTATTTGTGAGAAGGGAGTAATGCTCAACTTTTTCAAATTAAATTAAATCATGTATATTAACTACCAGGTACTCACTAAATGCTCCTCTTATTAACTATAATTATCCAGAGGGGGAGCACTCAGCCTTCTCATCTCCAGACCCCTGCAATGCCCTGCCCATACCTCCAGAAAACAGGTGCTCAGAAGCTTGGTTGAACTGAAGGAATTTGTCTTTAGGTGGGTCCCTTTGCTTAATACTTACCTCAGAATTTAGAAGCAGTTTGGCAAGCCCTGTGCTGATTGATGGAGCACTAAAGGATATTTCCCCATTAAATTAGTCAGACTTGGGTTTCAGCTGGATGAAAATGGCCCAATTCTTGCCCAATTATTATAAAGCTGCTGTTGGTATGATGAAGCCTAGCTGTCATTATGTTTCAGAAAAGATGAAGGCATGTGACAAGTAAGTATTTAAAAAAGTGAAAACACAGTAAATGCAATGACGCCCAAAAACCTCAATCCTGGTTTCCAAGGCAGAAAGTGGCACTACACTGCGTCCTCTAATGGCTTCTGGGAGTCATTTAGCTGAGAGGTCTCAAATTTTGGTCTCACTGGAGGTTCCTCATGGAAATGACTGGGGAGAGTAAAACAAAATAAGAAAATCTGTATTTTCCAGCTGTAACACATGGCCAATCATCAGACAGATAAATCAGACCGTCCCCAGTCCCGATGTGGTACAATTTCCTGACTTAACTCCATTTGTAGTGATTCTCACAGGCAGGGAGGTTGCGGTACAGATAGAAAGGCTAGAACGAATTTTCCCTTATGGAAACATTTCAAAACAATCTAGGGGTAGCCTTCACTGCCAGTAATTCTGAGAATCATTCTTTAAAGCTCCTATAAATTAGTGGCTTTATGGTGATTAGCTAGCAAGTAATGAATACAAGACAGTGATTAAGGAGGAAAGGTTTATGCCCAAGCAAGAAAAGTCACAAATGGGGAAAAGTTGTCTCACCAAACATCCAAGCCACTGTTTCAGAAGTTTTCTAGCTGGTACCATGAGTTTAATAAAGAGAAAATAGGACATATAGTTGCTTTATGACAGTAAAATAAAAAAGTCATTCACTGATCAACAAGTACTGTATTTCTCTAGTACATATGCACAACCTCCTCCTCCATACTTCCAGCACAAGTGAGCATACACACACACACACACACACACACACACACAGCTTTCTCCAGGTCTGCCAAGGGTGCTTACTCTGCACCAATTGCCAAGAATACCTTGTTCTCTACAGAAGCTGAGTGTAATCATTATTTTTCTATTTGTCTGGCTATCTACCTGCCTGTTTCTTGCCCTGTTTCAAAAAATCATTTTAGATGGCTATATGGATATATAACATAACAAGAACTTAAATTAGAAGTGAGATAAAAATAGAAATAAAAACAAATCAAAGATGAAAACACAGCAGACAGAGAAATAACTAAAAAGCATAATGCTCCACACAATTGCTACCAGGGAATCACAAATTTGTCTATAAGTTTTCCAGTGGCCACATTTGAAGAGAAACCTAGTCAATTACATAATTCTGGTCTATAAGAGAGATTCCCAAAGTTTTGTGTGCATCTGAGTCACCTGAAGAGCTTATAAAATGATAACCATAATTTCAAATTCTGTAGCTCTGTGGTAGGCTCCTAGAATGTATAATTTAAGCAAGTTCCCATTGACCTTGGAGATGAACACATAAGGACTCGGGAAAAGAACAGTTTTTTTTTATATTAAAATCTTAAAATCATAGTGAACTTTCTTCTAGGGAGTAACAAAGAGAACCTTGTGAGATACAATGAACATTCTTACAGTGATGCAAAATGAGTTTCAGAGGTCACTGGCTGCTGCTTACAATAACATTCAAATAGGCTTTCACAGAGCTTTGTAAAAGTAATTATATTGAGATTTGGTGAAAGTGGAAATGAGGGCAAACTATATAATAGTGTTTCCCAGGAACTTGATTTTTGCCAAATTGGCTTGACCCAGGATAGGAACTAAAAAGGACTTTATAACTACTCAGTGTCAACTTTATACCAAGCAAAAAGGTAAGAACCCCTTAGTAACTATCCCAGCAAAGCATACAAGCTTCAGGTCAGCACCGAGGCTGATCTACAAACTATAATGTGGTTTTGAAGGAGTGTAATCTAATTAATCTTGTCTTTAAAGTTTATTCTCCTTCAGGGCTTTAGTTGTGATGGAGGGAGGAGGCAGAGAGAGCCTGAATGGAAGGGACTGAGTAAATCCCCACTATGGGGATTGCTCTTCGTGAAGACTGTTTTAGTGGGCTAAAACAGTCTTTAGCCCACTTTAGTGAAGTTTGTTTTTAGTGGGCTAAAATCATCCAAATTTCTCAGTATGATAAAGTTGTCAATATAGATGCATTTTACATAATCATTTAAATTTCCTTCATTTCAGTTTTATAGCAGAAAATATTTGTTTTATTATATTTTTCACATCTCATATCTGTCAGTTTGATCTGAAATGACTGCAAGATTTTGGGGTGCTTCATGGGGTTTTGTTTTGCTTTGTTTTGTTTTTTAACAAATCAAGTATTATATGAGCTGGTCCTTTATGTGAAAAGGAGAAAATCTGGACTACTTTTAGACTATCTATTATTTGCAGGTGCGCATAAAATTATGGCCCTCAAACCTGAGTATAAAATAGCATAAGAGAGATGCTATTAGATATTAAGATTTCATTCATTTATTCAACAAGTATTTATAAGAACTTGGTATTTGCCAAGCACTGTGCCAGATAATTAGAGTACAAGAATGAGCAAAACACTGCCTCCACAGTGTTTATAGTCATGTCCTTACAGGCAAAATGCAATTATAACATAGTGTGGTAAGTGGTCTGAATGAAGAAATGCAGAAGACTCAGGAGAGGAAATAAACCCACCCTTGGGTTGTCAGGAAAGGCTTCTTGAAGGAAGTCACAGGGAAGGTAAGACCAAATATGTAGGTAATATACAAGTGGAAGTTAGACATGTGTGGGTGGGTTCAGTGTGAGTTGGGATGGGGTTCAAAATAGAAGGTGGAAGAGGGTATGGTCTGACCTCTGTATCTGCAGGCTGTGCATCTGCAGATTAAACCAAATGCAGATGGAAAATATTTGAGAAAAACAACCAACGACAACAACAAAAATACAACAAAAAAGAATGATACAAGCTTTTAAAATACAGTATGACAGCTATTTACATAGCATTTATATTGTAATGTAACCATCCAAGGGGTTCACCTTGCCTGCTGCCTACATACAGCTGATTTATCAAGACTGGGGAATTGCGATAGAGAAAGAGTAATTCACGTAGAGCCAGCTGTAGGGGAGACTGGAGTTTTATTATTACTCAAATCAGTCCCTGGAGCATTTGGGGATCAGAGTTGTTAAAGACAATTTGGTGGGAGGGGAGGGGCATTGAGCCGGGGGGTGTTGATGGGGCATCACTGTCTTCTTGCACTGAGTCAGTTCCTGGGTGGGGGGTCACAAGATCAGATGGGGCAGTTTCTCAATCTGGGTGGTGCTGGCTGTTCATCAAGTGAAGGGTCTGCAAAACATCTCAAGCATTGATCTTAAGAGCAGTTTAGGGAGGGTCAGAAGCTTGTAGCCTCCAGCCACATGACTCCTAAACCATAATTTCTAATCTCGTGGCTAATGTTAGTAGTCTAGTCCCCAGGCGAGAAGGAGGTTTGTTTGGGGAAAGGGCTGTTATCGTCTTTGTTTTAAACTATAAACTAATTTCCTCCCAAAGTAAGTTCCGCCTATACCCAGGAATGAACAAGGACAGCTTGGAGGTTAGAGGCAAGATGGAGTCATTTAAGTTGGATGGATCTTTATCACTATCTCAGTCATAATTTTGCAAACGCAGTTTCAGTATTAGGTATTGATATGGTTTAGCTCTGTGTACCCACCCAAATCTCACCTTGAATTGTAATCTCCATAATCCTCACGTGTCAAGGGTAGGACCAGGTGGAGGTAATTGGATCACGGGGGCAGTTTCCCCTATGCTGTTCTCGTGATAGTGAGTTCTCATGAGATCTGATGGTTTTATATGCATCTGGCATTTCCCCTGCTTGCACTCGCTCCATCCTGCCACCCTGTGAAGAAGGTGCCGGCTTCTCCTTTGCCTTCCGCCATGATTATAAGTTTCCTGAGGCCTCCCTAGCAATGCAGAACTGTGAGTCAATTAAAGCTCTTTCCTTTATAAATTACCCAGTCTTGGGTATTTCTTCATAGCAGTGTGAGAATGGACTAATACGGGTATTATAAATAATCTAGAGATGACTTAAAGTATAAAGGAGGATACCTATAGACTATATGCAAATACGGTAATGCCTAACCTTGTTTTTACTCTAACTCGTTACTTTTAAGTTTTCCCTGCTTGTCTCCTTAGTTACCCAGCCTTGTTTTTCCCATACGAGTAAGACTTTCTCTTGGCTGGGAAAGCCGGACAAACTCCATTTGGCTTCTTGATGTTTACAAGACATTAAGGGCTCCTTACCCAACCCCCTTCCTCAAGGAGTTAACCTGTGTAAGCAGATCAGCATTTCAAAGGAGCCCAATTGACTGATGAGGTACTGAAACAAACAATGTAAGAAGTTCCCAGGATTTTACTCAAAGAGGTAACAACATAAAGCCTTGAGACTGTGTCCGGCATAGCATCTATATCTAACTCTAATAAAGGACTTAGAGCCCCACACCTGGTTCCACTGTTTTTTTGTAACCATTTGTCTTTTAAATTGTTTATCTCTCTGTAACCATTTGTTTCTTTGATTCTTGCATGTTTTTACTTCTGCAGAATTATTGCATTTGAGTTCCCCTCCCCTTCCTAAACCAAGGTATAAAAGTTAATCAAGCCCCTTCCTCAAGGCCGAGAGAATTTTGAGCGTTAGCCATCTCTTTGGCCGCTGGCTTAAATAACGGACTCTTAATTCATCTCAAAGTGTGGCGTTTTCTCTAACTTGTCTGGGTATAACAATACTACACCATTTTATATTGGGCATTTGAGCATCTGCAAATTTTGCTATCAACCAGAGGTCCTGGGACTAACCCCCAAAGACACCAAGGGAGGACTGTATTACCTCTTACCCCTCAAAAACGAAAAAAAAAATCTCAGCTTGTTGTGAAGGTTCACAGCAGAGGAAGGAATGCTGCTGCAGCTGAAAGAAATCCAGTCTGAACTTTATGTCAGTGCGTGAAGCTGGAGGTGAAAACCCTGAGATGAGGAGCGGGGGATCAAGCCTGATGACCTTATAATCCATATTAAGGAATTTAGACTTCATCCCAAAACTGAGGAGCCATTAAGCTGGTGATCACTGATTTGCATTTAGAAAGAGTATTCGAACATCTACAGCCCTCACACCTCACCTTTCATCATGTGTAAAGTCAGATGAATGATAAGGGGTTAACACTTGAAACTCTAAGGTAGTAAAATAAATTCAGAATGGAGAACGCTGTGGTAGGAAAAACTCAAGCACCATGCACAGGTGCACAGGTCCTCACTGCCCTGAGTCTGCCAACTCTGAAGTGACCAGACAAGTTGCTGCCACTTTGAAGTCAGGGATATGAAGGTACGTTGCCAGTTATGAGAAACTAAATCAATGATAATGTTATTACATTTTTCCTCAACATAACATAAATAGTAATTGTATACTTCTCTTATATTGTTCCTCACAAACCCCACCTCCATTACTCCATCATGCAAGCAAACACAATTTCTAAGAAAAAAGAAAAGGAAAGTGGACATATAGTAGTGTCTAAGCGCCCCCTGCCTTGTACCCCTGGAGATACAAGCTCCCAAATGTTTTTATTAGTGAGTCAATTATTTAACAGGGATATTGAAATTATTTGTGGAAAAGTGTTCTCAGATGTGATAACAAAAGACAAGTATTTTATTTTCTATATGTTTGTGATTAATGAACATCTTTTAACAGCTGAACCTGGAAGGCAACTGAAATCCAGGCCATAGTGTGTACAGGGCACCTATGGCTCTGCTGAAGGGAATGTGAGTTAACTCACGACCCAGAGTAATTCAATTTATGAAGGATTCCCTTGGTTTTAATACTATTTTACTAAACTCAAATATTGGCTAATGAGGTTATTTGAAGAAAAAAATAGTGTTTCAGAAATGGAAATACTTAATACAAGATGATTCCTTATGTGTAGTTTGTCATCTAGTGTTAATTTGTGGGAATTAAAAAAGGCAGGTACAATAATATCCAAGGAGGCTCATCAGGTAGCAAAGCAACATTTTAATTTTAAGGTATCAAGTTGTGTCCTAAGACCCTCTAAGCTTCCTGGAGGTGGATGAGTAGGTGGGTATGTGAATTGGCTACTTTTAAGAAATCAAGCCAGACACAGTGGTCCTTGCCTGTAATCCCAGCACTTTGGGAGGCTAAGGCACGAGGATTGCTTGGGCTCAGAAGTTTGAGACCAGCCTGGGCAACACAGAGACTACATCTCTATAAAAAGTAAATAAAAACAAAAAAGCCAGGTGTGGTGGCTCACGCCTGTAGTCCCAGCTACTCAGGAAGCTGAGATGGGAGGATTGCTTAAGCCTGGGAGGTCAAGGCTGCAGTGAGCCATGATTGGGCCGCTGCACTCCAGCCTGGGAGACAGAGCGAGATCCTGTCTGAAAGACAAAAAAAAGTTACATCCAGGAAACAAAATGGTTCTCAATTCTGGCTGCTTGGTATCACCTGGGAAACTTAAAAAATACAGATGGCCAGGTGACCCTCCAGACCTGGTCAGACTCACTCAGGTGGGATGCCAGCAGTGGCTTATCTATAAGCTCCCCAGGTGGTTCTAACGTACAGCCAGCAGGAGGACCACTAGGCAGGGGGTTAAGACTGTGCACCTCAGCGGTGTCTCTGCAGAAGTGTCATTGCTTAGCTATGTCACCCTGAGCAGGGAAATTGGGCTAATTAACATCTATTTGCCTCAGTACAAGGAGGATAATGATGTTTCCTGGGGTTATTGTGAGGTTTAAGTATGATCATGAGTATCAAGTGTTTAGCATAATGCATGGTACATTGTGCTCAGCAAATGCTAAATATCATTAATAACATTTTATCAAGGAAAATATTTCATGAATTACTTAAACTACCTAAGGGATATGAAGGTATTATATAGGACATACTGGAAGTAAGAACATATTACCTATGGCATATTTCCATTCTTCTTAAACAGGCAGCCTGCTGGGGTTGAATGCTGATACCCAGCTCCATCTGAGAAGCTTGTTACTTCTTTTCCAGTGCTTACTTACCTAAAGTGCTTTATAACACATTGAATTATTCCCAATTTTTCCTAATCTCTGTCTTTGGGTTCAAAATATCAAATGCCCTAGCAAATTTAATTTGTCCTTTTGGGTCAGATATCCTTTCCTGAATTAAACAAGGAACAGAGCCACACCATCTACAGATGTGGTGACAGTCAGCACAGTCCTGTTTGTTGGGGTCAACTCCCAGAGAAAGGAGAATCACTGTAACTTATAGTAAACTTCACAATCATAAAAAAGTAATCTATTATTAGTGTAGACTATTCTGGGCAGAATGACGGTCATCTGAAAAGGCTCAGAGGAGGCCAGTGAAGAGCTAGTGTTCCAGTTTGGTTGGACAATTGAAACATGACTTATGACAAATTGGATATGAAGACTAGGGAAAGAGAAAACTCAAATATATTAGGTGCTAATTTGAAAGGGCCGAGGTGAATGCTGCAGTATAGTAGTAGAAAAGCATGAGCAAAAAATAGAAATATATTGAACAGATCAAGTATGGGCAGGAGATGCAGGGGGAGAATTCAGATGGGAAATATGGGCTGTAGGTCAAGACTGGGGAGTCAGTAGAAAGGATGTGATGGTTGAAATCATGGGGCTTGCATGGGTCTCCTCAGAGTGACTTGACAGTCAGAAGGTAAACCACCAAGGAGAGCACTCTACAGAACTGTATTATCACCAGAGAAGAAAAGTCAGCAAAAGAAACAAAGAAAGGAACAAAGAACATTTCAACATGGGATTTTTTTTTAAAACAAAACAAGCAAGGGGGAAGGACTGAAGAGAGGTTAAGTTCAAAGCAGAAACAATTTGGCTTCTGTAAATTATTAGGATATCGTTGGTGATATCAAAATGTGCAGAACCATTGGAAGTTAGAGCTTCAGCCAGATTGCAATCATCCACATTATTGCGTGTAACTGGAGTCTATTTTTTCATTGCTACAGAACATTCTTCATGTGATTAGACCACATTTTTTAAAAAAAATCCATTCTGTTGGCCAAGGATGATTAAGATATTTATTGGTGGCTGGGCGTGGTGGCTCATGCATGTAATCCCAGCACCTTGGGAGGCCGAGGCAGGTGGATCACGAGGTCAGGAGTTTGAGATCAGCCTGGCCAACATAGTGAAACCCCACCTCTACTAAAAATACAAAAATTAGCTGGGCATGGTGGCGCACACCTGTAGTCCCAGTTACTCAGGAGGCTGAGGCAGGAGAATCACTTGAACCCAGGAGGCAGAGGTTGTGGTGAGCTGAAATTGCGCCACTGCACTCCAGCCTGGGCAACAGAGTGAGACCCTGTCTCAAAAAAAAAAAAAAAAGAAAAAAGATATTTATTGGTATTTACTGGCCAGGTTGGTGTGAGACAGAGGAAATTGCAAGTCATACTTGTCTGAAAAATGTCATCTATTCTCTTACTTAAAGGCTGAATGGAATCCAGTTACAATGAAATTATATAAGGATTTGGGAGGAAACCAAATAGTTGAATATTAATAATAATGCATAATTTGCCAACATAAATCAGCATCAACATCTTTGAAATGTGACTATTGAAATGAGTAAAATGTTACACTGTATCTAAATATATCAGATATCTGATGAGAGTGCTTTTTGGGAACAGTTTCTTCTCTCTTAGGGAGTTTAAAGCAAATTAAAATACATACCTTAACTAAGTGCTTTGGAAAATATATTTATCGCAGAAATGCCTACAATAAGCAACTCTATCTGGCAGTATGTTAATGTGAAATATACAAAATATAACTAGACTGTTTTTACTTCAAAATTCACATCATCATGAAAAATACAGCAAAAGTACAGAATGGTGAGCTCATTATGTATCTACTCTATATAATAACTAGGAATTGATGACTTCAAAATATTCATTCTTACAATGTTTAATTTTGATTGCTAACTGACAAGCACGGTGCTAGGTGTTATATGAGCACTGAATAAAACAAAAAAGTTTCTCTGCAAAGAAAAAAACCTTGGTCTAGGAAGTACTCAATATATCCTTACAAATTTAAATATGGCTTTTGAAACCAAACAATTTTTTTTTCCAAATAGGTAACTTTCTAAGCGAGTGTCTAGGCATACATATATATAGCAAGTCAAAATTTCAGACCATTGATACTCAGAAATGCAAAATTGCTAACTATTTCAGTTGATGTTATACTTATTTCATCAACTATACTTTTTGTGTATTTTTCCTAAAGCTCTTACATGCAATTTTTTTAAACAATGAAGTAAACATCATGTCTATTCTTGCAAACCTAGCCATAGTAAAATATGAAACAAGTTCAAAATTCTTAATCTGGACAAAGACAATTTAAACTAAGCATATAATACATCTGAAACACGTATCCACAGTGAGTCAGCAAATCTGGGGAAAAGCAACTGTGATTGACTATGAGGCTGCTGTAATTAATCTTCATCATCTCATTGAAAAGGTGCTACCTGAATTTCTTTGGCTATCCTTTCTGCTAATGCTGTACAATTTGCAGCAATTATTCTCCGTGACATTAAATGGAATGGTCCACCTAAAACAAATCAAGTATGGTAAATAGTTATATCTGGTACAAAAATAATTTATATCAAACAAGTACAGCAATGTGCACTATGGTCAATCACGACATTTTAATACTTTCAGTTTTCTTTTAAAAATCTACTGTCACATAACTACAATGTTTAAGCTTTGGCAATCCATAGCTGAGTTTCTAAGTATATGTTTTTTAAAATACCAGTTTTTTGGTATTTACTGGCAAGGTTGGTGGGGGAGAGAGGGAGTCTCAAGTCATGCTAGTCTGAAAATGTCATCTATTCTCTATTTCTTTGTTTGTGTGTGTGTGTGTGTATATACACTGTTATTACCTCTTTACTGTTTAAGAATCTATGGACAGAAAATGTGACTCCAATTAATTTTCATACCACTATCCTTCCCATTTCCTTATTTCTTTGTTGCCTTTCTCTCAGATCACTGGTGAATTCTTTGAACCCAGGTTCACTCTTCACTTCAAAAATTTCACCATCAGCTCAAAGCAAATATTTAACTTCTCTAGTCCCAACACAGAAGGTGATGGTGGAGGACTGAAGTCAATCATCAACTATCACAATGGTCAGCATTCAAAGAACTCTAAATACAAGCCTCAGAGTCAGTGACTCTCTAGGCTTTCTCAACAGCCTTTCAGGAGTTCCTATTACTCACATTTGAAAAGGCTTAGCCATTTATCACTATCAGTCCCATATTGCCATTAGTTCTCATCCTTGCCTCTATCTCCTAATGTTTATTTTGATTTTGCACAAAATTATATAGCCTGTTTGTCTTAAAATCCAAGCTATCATATGTATCAAACTTTTTTTAAACTCCATATACAGAGGAAAGTCCAAGAGATGTAAAGGGAAAAATGATTCACTATCTCATAATTTTACCAGTAACATCCATTAGCACGCCACCAGCTTCAGTAACAATAATGGCAGCTACTGCAATATCCCAGCAGTGAATTCCCATTTCATAAAATGCCTCTGCTCCTCCACTTGCCGCAATGCACATATTAGTAGCTGCTGTTCCAACACTCTGGATCCTCAAAAATAGTATTCAAAAATGGCAGATTGAAAAAATAACCTTTCAAGTAAGGTATTCCTCCTAACTTCAGTTTGAATGTTGATTGAGATAAGTTGAACCAATCTAGAGAATAAATGTAAAAAAAGATGGTATTTAATCTTAAAATAAAAATATATAAAATCCAGTTATCGTGATATACTATATAAATCCCAAAACTAATCCTCACAAAGCAATAATTTAATAAGATAAACATGAAAGCAATAATTTTGCAGAAAAAAAGCCCTAAAAATAATGCTATAATTCTACTATAACAGCATGCAAATATATTCATATTTTTTTAAACCCAAGGCAACCACAGCTTATTTTACACAGATACACACACACATGCACACATACACAATGCACAATAATCTCTAGGGAGCATAAAGTATCATGATATTGATCATTCCCAACTGGATGTGCATCATATCTAGACCTAAAGGGATTGCAACCCACCTGGGTTCTGCACAAACCTAGGCCTCTCTTGAAAGATTACTACAGGTTTTTCCTCTCATAGCACCTCTTCCTTGAAAATACAGCAAGGTAAGATGAATGTGTAAGATATAAGTAAGAATAAGTAAGATACTACTTGATAGCAATTATAGTAATAACTTATTCAGTAAAGAATCATCAGCCGGGCGTGGTGGCTCACACCTGTAATCCCAGCACTTTGGGAGGCCAAGGTGGGCAGATCACAAGGTCAGGAGACCGAGACCATCCTGGCTAACACGGTGAAACCCCATCTCTACTAAAAATATATATTAAAAAGAATTAGCCAGGCGTTGTTGCGGGCACCTGTAGTCCCAGCTACTCAGGAGGCTGAGGCAGAAGAATGGCGTGAACCTGGGAGGCAGAGCTTGCAGTGAGCCAAGATCGAGCCACTACACTCCAGCCTGGGCAACAGAGCAAGACTCCATCTCAAAAAAAAAAATCATCAATAAATGTTAAAATTAATGGGTAAAAGTTTGATATTTTTGGTATCAAAGTATCTCTCCACAAGATATATAATAAGTACAGTGAGGAAAAAATAGCATTTTTACAATGATCTATCTACCATTACCAAGTAATCAAAGTTAATATCACCCATAATAGGACAAAAAGATACCATGTGCCTCCTGATATGATGCACTGAGAAGTACAGAACATTACTTCTGTGACATTCCTGCCAAAAATTCATAATCCAAATGTAATCATAAATAAACTAGACAAATTCAAATCAAGAGATAGACCACGAAATAATTGGCCTATACTTTTGAAAAATGTCAAGGTCATAAAAGATAAAGAAAGACCAAGCAAGTTATAAATTAAAGGAAACTGAAGAGAAATGAGAACTAAATGCAATCAATGTATGAGTCTGGATTGGACATTGGGTTAAAATTTTTTTCAAAATTTGAATAAAGTCTTTATATTAGATTATGTATCAATGTTAATTTCCTGACTTTTATAATTGTGCTGTGGCTGTGTTAGACAATGTTCCTTTTTATTAAAGAAATACACACTGAAATGTGTTTTTAGAAGAAAAAGATCATTATGTCTGCAAGTTAATTGCAAATGGTTTCTATTCAAACTCCTTTTGTGACTGTTTAAAGCTCTGGAAATAAAGCAGTGGGTTCTATTTACCAAGATCTTTCCCAGTTTATTTTTTTAAAAAGTAATGATAAATTGATTACAAATGTGGTATTTATTTTGTATTGTATTGTAAAAAATATTGCACCTAAGTACATCCTTCATCTCAAAGGGACTTTTTAAAAAAAGGATTAGAATGATATAATGTCTTTGATTTGGAATTTTTTCCTGCCTATGTTTTTGCTGCACATCTAATTTAAGAAAGAACTAGGAGGTGCAATAAATTTCCAAGATGTTTGTTTCCCAAATGCATGAAATCAAATTAGCTTTTGTGGCATTTTTTCAGTTATAAAGAAAGATGTGTTTCTCCCCTTTTCATATGAGATATGTGATAGCTGATATCTCATATTATAGAAAGCAAAGACCAAGATCTTCTACAAGTAATCCCTTAGTATTCTATTCAGAGAATCCTAGGCTAGCAGAACAACAGTGATAGCAACTAGTGGTGCTTCCATCACTTCTAATGCACATCATGGGATCTCAGGCAAGGAGTCTTGTAGTCAGCTAGAGCATATATTTTGTGAGCAAATATTACCAAAGAGATTACTTATATTACCAGGTAATTAAGGCTATGGTATAGATTCTACAATGTGCCTTCTGAATCCTATCTTAATCTGATCCTCCTATACAGCTAATAGGGTATATCATAAAAAAGCCTATGTTTGGGGTCACAAAGAGTTGAGTTTGTTCCATGCTCAGCTGCTTAAAAACCCTAATCTGGGCCAGGCATGGTGGCTTATGCCTGTAATCCCAGCACTTTGGGAGGCCAAGGAGAGTGGATCACCTGAGGTCAGGTGTTTGAGATCAGCCTGGCCAACATGGTGAAACCCTGTCTCTACTAAAAATACAAAATTAGCCTAGTGTGGTGGCACATGCCTGTAATCCCAGCTACTTGGGAGGCTGAGGCAGGAGAATTGCTTGAACCCAGGAGGTGGAGGTTGCAGTGAGCCGAGATCACACCACTGCACTCCAGCCTGAGCAACAAGAGTGAAACTCCATCACAAAAAACAAAAAAACAAATCTGGACCAAGTTTCTTCTTTGAGTTTTAGCTTTCTTGTCATCAAATAGGGATACCAATTTGCCTTAGATCACTGTTACAATAACTACAAATAATATTTGTAAAGCACCAAAAGAGTGCCTGCCATATAAAAGATACATAATAAAAAGTAGCTATGTTTATGACAAAATTATTCTCAAAAGATGATGCCAGAAAATATATACCAGGTACATTTCATCTAATTAAATTTTGAAAAATTAAAGGAAATTGAGCCACAATAATTGTTGTCTTAAAAATATTTGTTCCTAGTCAGGAACCTATTAGACTGTTTCTGCTTGTTTAAAGCATTCATTCAGATTATGACTCCCTTTAGTTTCATTGTTTTGTATAAGTAACTCTGAAATCACATTGCTAAACTAAAGAAGCAGCTGAATGCAAAAGATCTTAAATCAATGTCAGAACTTCTCCTTGGTAATATTTCCCTGGTTACACTTCTGAAAAAATCCTGAAGTAAAAATTAGTTTTTACTTTATCCAACAGCAAAATTAAAGGTTAAAATTGTAAACCTCTTGCAGCTCTTTTATGACTAACATAACCATTTTATAGCCCATGGTTACAGTCCTTGCTTCAAGACAGCACACTGTAGCAATAAGTTTATTGCCCTTCCCTCAAGGACATCATTCTGGGAGGTTCTGTAGCTATTTGACAGAGGCTCTCTCTCTTTTGCTTTACTCATTACTATATAGAACAAAGATGTATAGTATAAAATTAGTTTGTACATGGCCAAACTATATTTTTAAGGTCCCGACTCCTAAGAGAAGTCCAATATTGGAGAAAGATAAATGATCTGGGAGCCAGGATTCTAGTCATATTTCCACCCAGCTGTTCGATCTAAGGCAACCACATCACCTCTCTGAGCCTCAGTCGACTCACCTACAAAAAAAGGCTGGATTATTAGATGATCTTTGATCAGGTTTAAGACTCTTATAACTCAGTGATGATATTTTCAAAAGGAAAAAAGGTAGAAACAGTAGGCAGTAAAATATCTGTTATTCAAAACTTAACAGATTTTGTTGAATAACAAAATTTATGATTTTTAATGCAAACAACTACAATAAAGGTCAGAAATTCTATTTAATATAGCATAACTATATTAAAGACTTCAAAACTCTAGCTTTTCTTGAAAATGTAAACATAAAAGTAAGGATAGATATTTGCTTTTAATTTCTTCATTTATGAAACTGATTACAGAAGGACTCTGAGGTTTAGAAAGGAATAGTGGCATGCTGATTTTGAAACTCCCCATTACCCACCTGAAAAATAAAATTAAATAAAATCAAAAAGGAGGACAAATAAAACACACAAGACCTATTCCTTCAGCATTTCTAGGAATCGGAAAATACAAATCTCAAACTACCTGTAAGCAGAAGAAAGAGCAAACAAACTAATTCTAACACAGCATTCCTAGCCTGTGGATACACGGAGTGGAGGAGAAGAGGCAGAAAAGACTTTGTGAGGGAGAGCAGGGAGGAGCCAAGGACCCACAGGGAACACAGAAAAAACCACCCTCAGAAACGAGTATAAGTGAGACAATAAATGCAAAGACACTGAGCACAGATCAGCCCTTGGTAATTCACAGTCCAGCTACCTCGGGGAAACTGTGATTTTGGAGGAGAATCAGATAAGACAGAAGAGGTGGTACCTCTTGGAGACCAAGTATTCAAAGAAAAGTTGGGACTAAGATTGAAAAATTAAGGATCCTGCAGAAATCAATGATAAGCAAGACAAGCCAACCCTGCCTACCACAACCACTCAAAAGATATCATAAAGGAAACTACACAGAAGGGCAGAACTGACAAAATACAGAGCTCTGAACCAAGGAGCCCTGATAACAAAATGAATCAAAATAGAAAAAAGTAGAGCACATCCCCACAAGCCTGCAAAACATCAGACATTGCTAATAAAAATGGGTTTCTTTTTGTTTGAAGTCTCTCCAGAAAACCAACATTGTGAACAGTGAGAACACATGGACAAGGGAGGGGAATATCACACACTGGGGCCTGTCAGGGAGTGGGGGATAAGGGGAGGGAGAGCATTAGGACAAACACCTAATGCATGCGGGGCTTAAAACCTAGATGACAGGTGCAGGAAATCACCATGGCACATGTATACCTATGTTAACAAACCTGAACATTCAGCAAATGTATCCCGTAACTTAAATTTTTTTTAAATTGCTGCTGTAACACAACAAAAGAAAATAACAACATTCTGTCTTTTAAAATAAAAAACAATAATGAAGCAGAAGAAAACTGAAACATCAATACAATCTGAGTTAAATGGCCTCAAATACTTGTGGTTGTGAATATGAAAAAAAATTGTTAAATCTGAAATAGAGACTGAAAGCAGAAATGAAACAAAATTTTTTTAAAAAAAAACAGGATAAGTGAACTCAGGAAAGAAATGGGGACAAAATGAAGAATAAATTACAAGGTGCCCAAAAGGGCACAGATGCAAAAGAAAACTTAAAGAAAATCAGGAAAAGCAATAAAAGAAAAAGAGACTGAGAGAAAGCAGCTGAAATGGAAGACACAAGGAGATGGAATATTCATATTGGTGTCTCTGAAGAAGAAAATGATAACCGAAGTGCAATAATATTTAAAATTATATCTCAAGGAAATTTTCCATAAGTAAAGAAGATATGTATCTACATATTAAATAGAAAATTTATGCAGAATAAGCAATTCTAAGATATTCTTGTAAAACTGTTAGTTAAGACTTTAGGATAATGGTAATGAAATGTATGAATTTGTATGTGAGAAAGACATGAGTTCTGGGGGTCAGGGGTGAATGCTGTGGTTTGAGTGTTTGTCTCCTTCAAAGTTCATGTTGAAACTTAATCTCCAGTAGCAGTATTGAGAGGTGGGGCCTTTAAGAGAAGATTGGGTTGTATGGGCTCTGCCTTTGTGAATGGATTAATCCATTCATGGATTAGTAGTTTATTGAGTTCTCATGGGAATAAGACGTATTGAGTTATCATGGGAATATGGCTTTATAAGAACAGGAAGAGAGACCTGAGCGAGCACGCTCTGCTCCCTCACCATGTGATGCCCTGTGCTACCTCAGGACTCTACAAAGAATCCCCACCAGCAAGAAGGCACTCACCTAATGCAGCCCCTCGACCTTGGACTTCTCAGCCTCCATAACTGAAAGAAATAAATTCCTTTTCTTTATACGTTACTCAGTTTCAGGTATTCTGTTATAAGCAACAGAAAACAGGCTAAGACTATCTGTCCTTGTGAAAATTTAAGAATTAAACTCTTGGGTGAAAAAGGAACTACAAACAAATTACAGAACTTATGAAATATACTTATTATAATGAAAACAATAAATAGAATGTATGGAAGATACTGAAAGCAGTGATCAGATAAAAATTCATAGCCTAAAAACTTTTATCAATAAATATCAAAGAATTAAAATTTTCTACTCAAAAGGGAAAAAAGAAAACAAAGTGGACAAAAAGAAAGCACAAGGATGAAAATAATAGGGTGGAAAAGAGAAAAACAGTAAATAAATCAAAATTCTGGGTCTTTGATAAACCACTAGGTAACAAGACTAAAAACATGAACAAAGAAAAAAAGCACAAATACACAAAATAAGTGAGAAGGGGGAAATAATTATTGATATGGAGAAGCCAGAAATTGTTTATAAAATTCTACCTTGCAGACCTCTATGCAAATAATTTGAAAACTTAAAGGAAATGAGTAATTTCTTAGGCTATGGAAATGTTCCAGATCAAAGGAGGCTAAAGAGACATGACATCTAAATGTAATGCTCACCCTAAACTGAATCCTGTACCAGTGGAAGGCAAATGTTATAAAGGATATTATTAGATCTACTGACAAAACTGACAAGACTGAATATGGATGGTAGATTAGACAAAAAGTATATTTTTGAAGTCAATTGTACTGTGGTTACAGAAAAAAACACAGTATTATATACTCTAAAATAATGAGGGAGAAAAAAATGTGTGTGTACACACACACACACACACACACACACATACAGAGAGAGAGAGAAGATGAGAAAGAATAATTAAATGATAAAGCAAATGGAGTAAAATATTCACAACAGGCAAATCTATTAAAAAAGGCAATTGTTCTTTGCACTATTTTATTTCTACAACTTTTCGTTATGTTTGAAATTATTTTCAAAGAAAACATTTCAAAGCTACATTACAAAATTAGAATTATGGTACCAATCCCATTTCTATTAATATTTCATTTCTAAAGGAAAATATATTATTTTAAGATGTTAAATGATCTAGAACTTTAGGTGTAAAATGAAAAGAGCTCACCGTGAATAGGAATGCAAGAAAGCTTTTCCATATTGGAAAGAATAGTTCTTACAATTTCTGATGTTCTGCAATAGCCCAGCTCGGTCACCAAGAGTGATTTGGTAATATCTAAAAAGGAAATGTTTTAAATAATCACTAGATTTTAATAACTAGAATTCTAAAAAAAGACACTTTTATTCAGAAGAAAATATAACATGTTTATCCCTCTTCCTAGTTTTATCAAATTCATTTCTAAGTTTTAAAATATTAAAACTGATAAACTTATTATTTCCAAGTCAGCTTTTTATAAGCATCAAAAAGAGTCCAGCTCCTTAGACCATTCCCCAAATGTACAGAATATAACCAATTTGCCTGCAGGCATGATACGTGTAGTGAAAAATGAGCAAATATCTTAAACACAAAAAGGTAGATGTTAGAAACTAAATTCAATAGCGAACTTATATATAGATTTGAAAGAAAACAAAAATGAAAATTACATGGTAGCTCTTCTCTCACTTCCATTTACAAAGCTGGCAAATTATCCAAGGCTTTCCATTTTCCTCTGAAACATCCTGACTGCAGCTCAGGACACACTTGACACCCCACACTTCACCTCTTCCCATCAGACAAGATATATGTTCACCAGGTGTGTTTGTCAGCATTTTTGTAACTGTTGTACTGCTTTTTAAAATTAATTTTAAGTTCCAGAGTACATGTGCAGGATGTGAAGGTTTGTTACATAGGTAAATGTGTGCCATAGTGGTTTGCTGCACCTATCAACCTATCACCTAGGTATTAAGCCCAGCATGCATTAGCTACTTTTCCTGATGCTCTCCTGTCCCCCAACTCACCCCCGACCGACAGGTCCCTGTGTGTATTGTTCCCCTCCCTGTGTCTGTGTGTTCTCATTGTTCAGCTCCCATGTACAAGTGAGAACATGAAATGTTTGGTTTTCTGTTCCTGCGTTAGTTTGCTGAGGGTAATGGCTTCCAACTGCATCCATGTCCCTGCAAAGGACATGATCTCATTCCTTTTTATGGCTGCATAGTATTCCATAGTATATATGTACCATATTTTCTTTATCCATTCTATCTTTGATAGGCATTTGGGTTGATTCCATGTCTTTACTATTGTGAATAGTGTTGCAATGAACATATGTGTGCATGTATCTTTGTAACTGAATAATTTATATTCCTTTGGGTCTATACCCAGTAATGGGATTGCTAGGTCAAATAGTATTTCTGGTTCTAGATCTTTGAGGAATTGCCACACTGTCTTCTACAATGGTTGAACTAATTTACATTCCCACCAACAATGTAAAAGTGTTCCTATTTCTCCACAACCTTGCCAGCATCTGTTATTTGACTTTTCAGTAATTGCCATTCTGACTGGTGTGAGATGGTATCTCATTGTCGTTTTGATTTACATTTGTTTAATGATTAGTGATGTTGAGATTGCTTTCACGTTTTTTGGCCTCATGAATGTCTTCTCTTGAGAAGTGTCTGTTCATGTCCTTTGCCCACTTTTTCACGGGGTTGTGTTTTTCTTGTAAATTTGTTTAAGCTCCTTGTAGATGCTGAATATTAGAACTTTGTCAGATGGATAGATTGCAAAAAGTTTCTCCCACTCTGTAGGTTGCCTGTTCTCTTTGATGATAGTTTCTTTTGCTGTGCAGCAGCTCTTTAGCTTAATTAGATTCCATTTGTCAATTTTTGCTTTTGTTGCAATTGCTTTTGGCGATTTCGTCATGAAATCTTTGCCCGTGCCTATGTCCTGAATAGTATTGCCTAGACTTTCTTCTAGGTTTTTCATAGTTTTTGGTTTAACCCATCTGGAGTTAATTTTTGTATAAGGTGTAAGGGTCCAGTTTCAATTTTCTGCATATGGCTAGCCAGTTCTCCCAGCAGCTTTTATTAAATAGGGAATCCTTTCCCCATTGCTTGTTTTTGACAGATTTGTTGAAGATTGATGATTGTAGATGTGCAGTGTTATTTCTGAGTTCTCTATTCTGTTCCATTGGTCTATGTGTCTCTTTTTGTACCAGTACCATACTGTTTCAGTTATTGTGCCTTGTAGTTTGAAGTCTGGTAGCATGATGCCTCTAGCTTTGTTATTTTTGCTTAGGATTTTCTTGGCTATATGAGTTCTTTTTTGGTTCCATGTGAATTTTAAAATAGCTTCTTCTAAATCTGTGAAGAATGTTAATGGTAGTTTAATGGGAATAGCATTGAATCTATAAATTACTTTGATCAGTATGGCCATTTTAATGATATTGATTCTTCCTATCCATGAGTATGGAATGTTTTTCCATTTGTTTGTGTCCTCTCTGATTTCCTTGAGCAGTGGTTTGTAGTTCTCCTTGAGGAGGTCCTTCACTTCCCTTGACGGCTGTATTCCTAGGCATTTTATTCTTTTTGCTGTACTACTTTTAATAGTTAAATAATTTAATACTTTGTAAAGTGAAGAATAATTATGCAAAGGAAAAGAGTTGTTTCTATGAAAGCTACCACATTTCTTTGGTTCATACATATTTCTATTATCCTATGATTTACTTTACCTATTTTATATAGATTATCCTCTGATTTACCTTACCTATTTTATATATATTATATTTATATAATTATAATTTTTATATAAATATAATATATATTATATTTTAACTTTTCTATAAAATATATGTATTATATTTTGTTATAATAGGTAAGGTAAATCACAGGATAATTTTGGGATAATTTTGTTCTTTATTAAAATCAAAAAGCCTATATGATTAGGGATTAATGAAGTGGGGATGACAAATAAATGTACATTTCAGACTTTCATCACCAATGAAAAAATAAAGCATTTTTATACACTTAAAACTGTCATTTTAAGCAGTGTTAGATTTTGGATAAGGATTCAAAATGTAAAAAAATCTCTACAGTAATACAATGTTAATAGAAATTAGTCATGCACTGAGTTCATTTTGGTGAGCTACCATTGTTTAAATTTCAGAAAAGTAGAGCCGGGCACGGTGGCTCATGCCTGTGAACCCAACATTTTGGGAGGCCAAGGAGGGTGGATCACAAGGTCAGGGGATTGAGACCATCCTGGCTAACATGGTGAAACCCCATCTCTACTAAAAATACAAAAAATTAGCCGGCGTGCCTGTAGTCCCAGCTACTCAGGAGGCTGAGCAGGAGAATCGCTTGAACTTGGGAGGCAGAAGTTGCCATGAGCCCAGATCATTCCACTGCACTCCAGCCTGGGTGACAGAGTGAGACTCCGTCTCCAAAAAAAAAAAAACAAAAAAACCAGAAAAGTGATTTCTTAGTTCAAATTAGTGAAACCTTTAAAAGGATTGTCTTTAAAGATCATTATTTGAGAACAGTGCTTTTTCAGACATATTCTGATATTCACATTCACTTTATAACAGAATTACAGATTAACCTTTTAATTATATCTTTCTTAAAAAGCTGTCAGAATTCCATTTCTTCAGGAGATATTTTCACCAGTGTGTAGTTTGATTCCACAGATTAAGCTTTTGCTTTCTTCATTATTATTAAGAACTTCTTACATATTAGAGAGATTGCCATTCATTGCTTTTTTGTCTTTTCGAAGAGACACAGGCAGACTTGCTAGACTAAAGCTGACACTCTTAAAAGCATGCAACAAGAATATCCCCACGATTATTGTAAAGCCAGTCAAAAGTACCAGTGACATCATCAATGGGCATATCTTGCCACTCCTTAAAAATAATAGCTGAACAAGTTTAAAAACTGATGTCGTAAAGAATATGTAATGTATTGGAGTCATGATGGAAGTGTTAAATATATCCAGGGCGCAATTTAGGTAATTAATCTATGTGTTCACACAGACAATGAGGCTTAGCAGCAGAACACAGGCCAGGGGATGTGGCAGTGCAGGCTTTCCAGCAAACAGCTCTCTGATAGCACTGCCTAGGCTCTTAACCCAGGAGACTGAAAATGTGCCAATTTGTTACATACACAAATGTGCAAATTGCTACATACACAAGATCGTTGTCCCTGGTGGGGACCCACCAGGAAGATTAATATCATGGCCATAATGACCACAAGTGTTGCAAAGTCCACAAAACCTGGATCACCTAGCTTGTGAGATATTTTATTTAGTCTCAATATCCTCTTCTTTTGGAGGATGAGTGATCGTAACTGTAGATCCTCAAATACTTAGCAAACATCCAAATTTCCCGTAAGGATTAAATCTTTCATTTAGAAAGTATGAAGAAAGAATAGCACTTACTAGGACGCTGAGAGTTCCTAGTGGAGTCACCAGTGTGGCCGGTGCAAACCCATATGCAGCTGAGTTGGCCACCTCGCCAGCTGCCATTGACAGCAGTCTAGCCCACCACAACCATTCTTTAGGATATGCGTGGCCACCTTGACCTGCTCTCAGAGGACCTTTTCTGGCAAGTCGCAGAAAGCCTTTTTTTTTCCCCTCCCCAAATGAAACTACCTCCAGTGAAAATGCTGGAGCTCATAGCTAATCCCAGACCAATATAAAAGTCATATTTTCCACACCCTCGGCTCATTTAACAAAATGTTCCTGTGAATCACATTGATCACAGAACAGAGAAACTGCCAGTACTGGAGGCAGAATGATGCAATTTTCAAATAGTTTGAAAATAGGACATCAGTGTGAATGTCCTTCAAGGAATGAGTTGCTTTGTTATCTCAGACCTGGTCTCCCTCCGCTCTCAGTCTCTGTAACTGAAGGGCAATCACAGCTAGGAGAGTGCGTAAGTTTTATTTGGTCTCTTATGAAAAAAAAAAAAAAAAAGGCTGGAGGAGGTTAGATATGATTTACTCTCTCTCATTTTCTCGTAAATACTACCCTTTATTCTCATTTCAAGTTTTTAAACCCTAGCAGAGTAGCTCCAGCCTGAAAGGAAGGAGTGGCGACCTCACCCCAGTCTGCAGGCCAGCCTCCCAGCTTCACTTCTGCGATCTGGCCCTGGGTACCGTGGCTCACACCCGCACACCCGCACAGAGACCGCCCCGTCTTACGCAGGCCATCCCGGTAGGAGGTGCGAGCATTCCTGGCGGCATCCTTGTGCAGCTTTCTCCCTTCAGAAGCGCCAAGAAGCCCCGCTTCCTTCAGTTCTAAGATGCACGTTTTTTCACGTTAACATCTCGAAAACTAGGACGCCTCAACCAATCTTTGGGGCCTTAGAATTCAATAAAAAGAAAATGACCTAAAAATCTGCTCTCAAATTAAGTGATTGAGGAGAAAAATTAAATAAAAGTCTAGGAAGATTCTGAACTCAAATTGCTTTGCAAGCATCTTTAAATTCTTGCTGCATTTAAAAGAATCTCAAAGTGCAAACTGGAAAATGTTGGATGTAGTTTGTGGAAGAAACGTAGCTCAAAACTTCAATCGGCTGTGAGAAAGAAGGAAAAAAAAAGACTTTTTTTCTGTGGAATGTCAGCCCCTTTAAATTATCAGGCCCAGAGAGGCATTTAAAGTATACTAGCAGTCAGTCTCACTCCCCCTTGAGCTAAATAATTGTTTCTTGAAGCCACTTGCTATGCAGGCTCTAGACTAACTGATGCCAAGTAGCCATAAAATGCCATATGCTCTATAGTTCAACAATGTATAGCCAATCACTAATTAATGTGATACTGGTAAACCAAAGAAAATTCCTGAAAAGCATTAGAAATGACCTCTTCTTCTGATTTATCCTTTTTTCTTTAAAAACTTGAGCCTCTCCTTAGTTCTCTGGAGCACTCTCTAAGACAACCTAGAAGTGCGTCCTGGGCTGCAGACCTCAACCTTGGCCCAAATAAACTCTCTATATTAATTTTGCCTGAGCTTTCTTCTTTTAGGTCGACAGCTGTCACAGAGGAAGAAGACTTTAAATGCCAATCATCCAGTTCATGTAAAATGTATGTGTATCATTATAAGTGATTCCATCTTTAATTGACTTTTTTCCCCAAATTACTTTCCAGTAATTTGTCACAATGGCATCAGATCAGAGGAATTCTATAAGGAATTTTAGCTACAATGGCTAATACATAAACCATGAACTCAAACGAGGGTAGGAAGCCAGTCTTAATCATCTTCCTATCTCCATCGCCAAATCCAATGCTGAGCCTGAAGTGTTTGCTCAATTACATTTGCTTTCCCTATTTCCACTCCACATTCAAAACTGAAGTTGAAATAACAGAACAAAGAGAAAATAAACAGTTTATGAATCACTTAACAACTGGGGAATTCCATAGGTAAATATTAAAAGAACAATAAAATATGAGTACACAATATCAATTGCACTAAAAATTGGAGAATAAACCTACCTTCTTGTGAAACCTGTAGTTTTTGACCATTATAAAAGGCACCTTTTCCTTTCCTGACAGTGTACCTCTTGTCTTCCACACAACTGTACACAACTCCAAATTCTATCTGCAGAAGAAAAACAAGTTTCCTTTACCAAACCTGAGTATTTTTCAACATTAAATCAATGAATTGTTCTAAGATCATGACAAGAAAATATCATATACTACTAATAATAGATTGAAATGGCTATACTGTAGGATGCTTTCCAGCCTAATCAGAGAAAGAGTTCAACAGATCTGGAATCCTCCACTCTCACCTCATCTATGTCCAGAGTTAATAGTATTCACCTTACCTCTCTCCCTCCTGCTCCAGAAGAAGACAGAGTTTTTCCATTTTCTAAGGTGAACACACCTCCTGTGTTAGGATTTCTACCCTCTCTTATATTCTCTGAAAAACTGCTCCATCAACTGCTACCTCTTCTCTTGGATTTTTCTTCTCATACCTTCTCACCAAGTTTCTCCCTCCCTTACAAAACCTTCAAAATGTTATTCCCTCCTTTTCCCTTTACTGCCAATGAGTAGTCTACAATTGCATCTCCTGTGCTCCTCTTAATACATTACAATTTGGCTTCTGCCCTGATCACTTATTCTTCTGAAAGCCCCTCAGAGAATATCAGTGAACTTTCCTGACCAAATGTATTGTCTGAAGAATTGGAGACTGCTGGCCATCATCAACCCTTATTTAATACTTAATTCTGTACCTCCATGTTTCCAGAATTACTCTTTCAGTTCTACCTCACTCACCAATCCATTTCAGAGTCACTATTTTAGAAACTCCTTCTCTGCCTCAGCCTTAAAAGTTAGGTACTTCAGGCTTTTCTTCCTTCTTCCATTACTTCCATTTCCCTTGTAGCTCTCCATATTCATACGGGTTGGCCTTTCCAGTCCACAAATTCAACTTATGAATAATTTGGCTCCCATCAACCCCGTAATCATAGATAAAAACATATACTTTGGAACCTAGTCTTGCAGAATCTCTATCAAGGAGGTCAAAATCACTCATTGCCTAATTACCTCCCATTGCTTCCCCATAAATCTCATCATTCAAATTTAATCTTAAAAACACTTCCCAATTCTGGCATTTCCTTGGCTATTCTCACTGCCTCTACTTAGTTCAGAATTACCCAAACCCCAGTATAATCTGTACATTGTTAGAATTATCTGTCACTTTCCACTCCAAAACCTCTTCTGTTTCCCAACTACCTAGAAACAAAAACTAAATTTTCTCACATAGATTGGCCACTGTGCCTTACAGTAAGGCCAAACTAACCTCTGCCCCGGCCACTTCCAGTGCTTCCCTCTCCATGACCATCTCACTGTTCCATGCACACATCATGGTCTTCGACTTCTCCAAGCTCTTCTTTGGATTAAAACGCTTTTCTTTTTTCTTTTCCTTTTTTCCCCCCATCTGGCAAAGCCCTAGTTTTCTAAGGATCAACTCACATGACCAACTTCTAAGACCCCCTTCTGTTATAAAGATTTTCCCAACCCACTTTTGGCAGATTGGTGACATCCTGTGTTCCCACAGTATTTTTTTGTAATAGTTCCACCACATATCATCTTTACCTGTTCACACATCCAACTCTGTGCTGAGCTGTGAGTTCAATGGCAGGACCAGCACACAGCACAGGGCTGATTATAGACTGAATGCTCACTTAGCTCCTTTTGGACGTTCTCATGATTAATACAACCCTAGGGCTAAGCCTCCATTTGTATTAATTTGTGTTTTATTTTCAGAAATTTCTTTAGTGTTTTTGTGTACAGGTTGATCGAACATATCAAAAATTCCCCGAAGACAGGGATGTAAGATAGTAGCAAACATCTTCACTGTTTAACCAAACAAACAGCCAAACAGCAAGGAAATGCAATAGCTATGGATTTTACTCTGCTGGGCTTTCTACACAAGTATTCAATAATGTGTCGATCCCACAATACACTTGCTATTTTCAAACCATGCATTGGCCCTTGCTAATTCTTGGTCTTTAAAGGGCTCTTTTCGCTGATACCTATTGAAGCATTCCCAGCTTAAATCCCACGTTTTCCATGAAGCATTTTAGATCACACATAAACTCCTATCCCATTTCACTCTCTGACACATACAATGGTGGCTAAATACTGAACTTTCAGTTACTTGTGTGCATTTTCTCCTTACAACCCCTGCTTCTCAGAAAGCATTACATTTTCTTCACTGGAAATGTGTCATGAACATTTTAACAGTCCTGTAGCTTATATTCAAAATAATGCAGTTATATGAATTGAAAATAAAGACATCTAAATTTATTATGAAGATACATTTACTCTTTCCCAGAAAACGAAAGCAAGGCATTTAATCAACTATACATTTAAAACAACATACCTTCTTATTTACAACAAGGCCAATCGAAACAGCTACAAAAGGAAATCTTAAAAAAAGACAAAACACAAGTTTACCAAGATAGAACTTATTGTTAATATAGTTACTAAAATTCATCTTTTTGTAATATAAGTTCTCATAAAATTTTTCCTATAAACAGTCTTATCCCTCCTCCCCGCAATATCTAAGATGCAGAACAGTGTGTATTGTATACAACTCCTTGTGTAAATAGGGAAGGGGACATATTATACACACATACATGCATTCACACAAGATGCTCCTACAGGCATGAAACCTCTCGGAAAGGATTCATAAGAAATGGATAACAATGGTCACCTGAGAGATGGGTCCTGAGAAACTGGGGACAGAAGTGGCAAGGGTACCTTCTACTGTATGCCATTTCCTATCTTTTGAATATCAAATGCCATAATCTAATGACTGTGAAAATATCTTTTCAAAAAATAAAAGTAAATTTTAAGAAAATTAAAGTGAATTCTTAAAAAGAAGAGTCTATTTTCATCATTTTTCCTGCAGCCTGGAGCCTTGGTAGACACAGGTACTGCGTTGTTCAGGATTGCTGTTACTTGTCTCTATTCCAACACCAAACATGTAACTTCACATCTGAATAGTAGACAGTTCACCATTATTTTTATGGTTGCATGACAGTTTAAACACATAGGTTGAAATTTCTGACCCACAAGAGAGTCAAGATCAAGGCAAAATAGGGTCAACATAACTACTACAAATAAAAACCTCTAAATATGAGTTTTTATTTTAACAAAAATAGGATCAAACTATACACACTGTATCATATAATCTTCTCCTTTTACATTAGATCATAAGCATCTTTCCACATTTAAAAGATACAACACTATCATGTATATAAAGTCTACAAAACTTTATAGATTTTAACTATTCTGTACATAGTACAGATGTGTACAACTACATGGCAACTTCAAAAGTAACACTGATGGGCCGGGTGTGGTGGCCCAAGCCTGTAATCCTAGCATTTTCGGAGGCCAAGGTGGGAGGACCGCTTGAGGCCAGGCATTTGAGACCAGCCTGGGCAACATAGTGAGACCCTATCTCTACAAAAATAAATAAACTAGCTTGGTGTGGTGGCTTGCACCCATAGTCCCAGCTGCTTGGGAGGCTGAGGTGGGAGCATACTTTGAGCCCAGGAGTTCAAGGCTGCAGTGAGCCATGATCTTGCCACTGTACTCCAGCCTGGGTGACAGAGTGTGACCTTGTCTTAAAAAAAAAATAAGTAACATCTATGTGGAATCCCACCACAGTTGGCTACTCATTTTAACTCACATGCACAATTCCATCAGGCTTTCTTCTAGTGATATCATATACTTAAACTCTGTGCCAGGCACTATACTAAGTTCTTACATAAATGTACCACTCATAGAGTCCCATCAATAAACAATTCTATTAGACAGGTGACATTAATATGGTCTTTTTTAAAACTGAGGCTTAAAAAGATTAACTTGCCCAAAGTCACAAAGTCAATTTAAAAACACCAGAATTCAAGCCTAAGCCTGTTGAACCTAACACTCCTCCAATTTTTAACCCTGTTTTCTCTTCTGGACTGAACTCATTCTGTATTGACAGCATTCCAATAGTGACCTCATTAGTTTCTTTCTCGATCTCAAAGAAGCAAGGTTGTTTGCTTCCATTTTTATGTGGCTCCAAGAGTAAGAAAAGAATGGTGAACAGGGCATGCTACTCCACATAAAAAGATCACACCATTAATATTTCTTTACCTCCATATCCGATGAGAAGTCTGCATAGTACAATTTGCTCTGTTCACTTTAGATACACTTTCTTAGAATAAAGATGCATAAACAAAGTGCACAATTCTCTAAAATGTGTATGTTCCCGCACAGAGCACTCTAAAGGGCTATCCAGGTAATATACGAAGAGCAATTGTACTAAAATGTTTAAAACATACCTATGGACAAACTTAGTTGTTCCATCAATAGGGTCAATGATCCACGTAGGGTTGTCAGTTAAGACACCTTTTTCCCCAGCTGCCAGATTCCTCACCAGTGAAACTAAAAGCAAGAAGGACACACTCCTATTAACAATTTCCAAACCATGACATTTCCTTAGCTACACAGTCTTGTATAAAATATAAAAGTCTGCACCCTACTTTTCTATTGTTGCTTCTTTGTCCCTAGAAAGACTGATAACAGTGAGAGGGAAGATTTATTTTATTTCACTGAAAGTAAAGTCATGTGAAAAATTACAGAATTCAAAATTTTAAAATGTGGCTGGGCATGGTGGCTCATGCCTGTAATCCCAGCACTTCAGGAGGCCAAAGCGGGTGGATCCCCTGAGGTCGGGAGTTCAAGACCAGCCTGACCAATATGGTGAAACCCCTCTCTACTAAAAATACAAAAATTAGCTGGGCGTCGTAGCGTGCACCTGTAGTCCCAGCTACTCAGGAGGCTGAGACAGGAGAATTGCTTGAACCCGTGAGGTGGAGGTTGCAGTGAGCTGAGATCGCACCACTGCACTCTAGCCTGAGTGACAGAGCAAGACTCTGTCTCAAAAAAAAAAAAATTATAAAATGTAATACCAGAATAAGTAATGGCATATGCATGGCATGCGCGCACACACACACACACACACCAGACAAGAGCAGTTTTTGGAGATGAGAAATCATTAAGGAAATGCCATGATTTTAAAAATGGGTCCAGACACTCTCTAATACTCCCATCAAGAGGCAGAGCCTAATACCCCTTGCCTTGAGTGTAAGCTACACTTGGTAACTTGTTTCTAACTAAATCTTATGGAAATCCCATAAATGGTGCTAGACTTCACTGGTTTTCTTCTTTCCTGTTTTCTTTTCTATTTATTTTCTTTCATTTAAAACCGAACTGTCTTAATAACCACTATCATCATCTTTATTTATCTCTTTTTCTCTTAGCTATAAATATTTTTATTCGGAAGAAATACACTTAGCCACGGCTTTAAACATTTTTTCTTCTCAATGGCTAAAAACACCAGGAATGGCCAATGACATGACTAGGAAGAAGTCCAGAATCACAGTGCTAACAGTTTAGAATGATAATGTTTCTGTTAAATTTCTGTGCCTGTAAAAGAGCTCTAATTTCAGGATTTTCTCTCAGACTTTCTAGAGCTACTGCCACTCTACCATATAAAGAAGTTTACGATACACAGAATGAAATTGAACTTTTAAATCATGCCAACGGCAGACGTTTGTCACGTTAGCTTCCCAGCACCCAACCATTCCTTTTACTATGAAGGAATCCAAATATTCCTCTTTCCTACTCCCTGTCAGCTTGAGCATATGCAAAGCACCTAAACTCAGAAACTGCATATCCCTGTCCAGAATTTGTAATCTTAAACTAATGAGGTAAAGATAAAAGGTTAGTTAGAAAGTATTCAAACCATCAGAGTCAGGAGTGAGGCTACCAGTGGCCTCCTCAGCCATAGCTCCTGTGTTCCCTCAGATACTCCTCCTCCCTCCCATGGTTCTGGCCCAAGGAGCCCACACCCACAACATAAATCCCTTTTCAGCTTAAGCTAACTAAAGTCAATTTCTGTGTCTAAAATCAAAATGCTTGCCTGGTATAAGTAACTCCAACTTAGATTTCATTTTATCATTTGAAATGGAAATAAAAAAATACCTATGAGATGGATACTTTTCCTTTATGGAAGAGATAAGCATTTTTTCAACTTTTTGGTCAGTAGCAGTTACCAAATCAACTGGAGAACCTTTCAGGATAACATTCACTTCATTTTTAAGAGCATCATGAACCACCTAAAAAGGGTTTTTGGTAGGCAAATAGAAAAACATAAGTAATTTTCAATCAAACAAAAAGATAAAACACAAAAATGGTTTACAACATTCAATCTGACTTTAAATAACATTCCTTAAAGATATTCTTGGCTGGGCACGGTGGCTCACACCTGTAATCCCAGCACTTTGGGAGGCCGAGGCAGGCGGATCACCTGAGGTCGGGAGTTTAAGGCCAGCATGACCAACATGGAGAAACCCCATCTCTACTAAAAATACAAAACTAGCCAGGCATGGTGGCGCATGCCTGTAATCCCAGCTACTCAGGAGGCTGAGGCAGGAGAATCGCTTGAACCCGGCAGGCAGAGGTTGTGGTGAGCCGAGGTCATGCCATTGCACTCCAGCCTGGGCAACAAGAGCGAAACTCCGTCTAAAAAAAAAAAGATATTCTTAAGAATTTCTTATAAAAATGTTTATAACATAAGCCTTCAATAATTATGACCTTTTAGGTACAGAATTATATATTCTAACATCCTATTTTAGCTTCACAACTGTGATCACAAGACGTTTAATGATATAAAATTGAAGTGCTCACTATAAAGTGTTTAGTAAAAGGAAAACAAATGCAGACTGAACAAAATACATATTTTATTTAATAAGGCAACCACACACTTCACACCCATCACATTATGGCTGACAAAATTTTAATTCATACCTCTCCAGCTTGTCTTGCTAGGGTTACTGCATAATCCATGCATTCCTGCCAAGGATCAGCCATCTTCTGAAAATATTTAACACATGTCAGCACAAAGTGGTTAGAATTCTCTAAAAGTCTTAATTATAGAATAGTTTTTTCCACAAAAAAATCTTAATTAGCAACAGACTTTCATTTTGAATTTACCCCCTGCCCTATTCCAGAGTTCAATTTTTTTTTCCAAGATTTACTCCTAGACCAATTAAAGAACATTTTCTACCTGGATTACTTCACTACTAATACAGAAATATACAAAAAAAAAATTCTATTAAATTATCTCCAAATGTGTCCATACCAAAACACATTAAAAAACAAAACACACTCTCTGGTGCACGCCTCCAAGATGACAAAGAAAAGAGGGAACAACGGTTGTACCAAAAAAGGGCTGCAGCCACGTGCAGCCTATTCTCAGCACAAACTGTAACCAATGCATGCCCAAGGACAAGGCCATTAAGAAATTTGACATTCGGAACATAGTGGAGGCCACAGCAGTCAGGGACATTTCTGAAGCAAGCATCTTCGAAGCCTAGTTGCTTCCCGAACTGTATGTGAAGCTACATTACTGTGTGAGTTGTGCAATTCACAGCAAAGTAGTCAGGAACCGATCCTGTGAAGCCCGCAAGGATTGAACACCCCTACCCTGATTTAGACCTGCAGGTGCTGCCCCACGACCCCCACCAAAGCCCATGTAAGGAGCTGAGTCAAAGACTGAAGACGGACTATTCTATGGAGAAAAATAAAATAAAAATTGTGCTTAATATTGCATGTTGAGTGTATCTGTGCCAGATAGGGTGGGGATTTTGTGGGCGTTAGAGCAAGTGAGAAGTTACACATAGTATTTTCATCAGAAAGAAAGCTTATTCATGTAAATTAAACCTTAATTGTTTGTGGTCATATCCCTGGCCTCGCAATTTGCATAGCTGGGTGAAATAAAGGGAGTTTAGGAAAAAAAAAATCAATAACTGGTTTAGGAAATAGAGAAAAAGGACCCAAGAAAACATTTTAATAGATAGGTAAACGTTTGGGTGAGGGATAAAGTGAAGATAAAAGAAAGAACACTGGGAATACTGAAATAAAAGAAGTTTTGAAAGGAAGGAGCAAAAGGCACATGTACTAACTAAATGCCAGGCAGGCAGGTGCTCTACACAGGAGATGGATTTTTTAATAAGATTATAAAGATCAAGAACTTAAGGCTTAGAGATGAGAACTTCTGTACCCAAGATGATAGAAAGAAATAACACAGTAAGAATTTGAACTGATTTTAAATTCCATTGTTCTTTCTATTATGGCAATCTGAGAAAAGAAAATTCCAGGACCAAAAGAATAATAAAAAAAGAAAAAAAATGAGATGTATTACTCTGAGATTAGAGAGGAGAAAAAACAACAACATTTATTTGTGTTCTGAAGTGTCCAGCTTTCCACTGACTTCTGAAGACTAGAATAACTCATCAGTGGCTTGATCACACTCTAAAGACTGTACCTAGCACAATGAAGCTTTTTAAGCTGTCAGATTCCAAAAATGTGGCCTCAGTATAAAGCAACCCTAGTTTTGTCTTCTTTACAATGGAGAATAGCTAACATAGAGTTGCATCTTGAAGATACTCAGAAATCCCTATGTTGGGGCTTACATTATAGGAAAAGAGACAGAAGAGGAAAGGAGGGCAAAGGACTAATACAGTGAGTTTCTGCCTGTTGCTTTTTCTTCCTGATAAAGGCATTAAAAAAATTTTTTTAAGGAGGCCAGTCTCTGAGTCATATAAGTAACTCCTTAGAGATCTTCAAGAATTGTTACCAAGCTTTTTTTTCATTCTGACACTCATTCTGCTCCACTAGTCTTAACAGAACTAGACATTTTCAAGCTGCACCTGCTTTCCTGCCAGAAATGGCTCAAGCCACTCACAGCACTAATGTCACTTCGACCAATTCTTCAGGGCCTATTTCAAAAGCTACCCTCTCTTCTAGGGATTCTTCACCCAGAAGTCACTATGTGTTTCACCTTTAAATAGATGTTTGCTGAATACTTATTATACCCTATACACTGCACCATGGGGAGGAAAACCAGGTCCCATTCACACTTACTCTCTAGGAGGGGACTCAGATATTAATCAAAAATGCACAGACCACATGCAAAATCATAACTGTAATAATAAAGGCTAAGTAGGAGAAGTGCAGTGAGAAGCATCTAACAGGGGAGCTTTCACCTGGACTTTGGCATCAGATCAGGTTTCCCTGAAGACAAGATTAAGCCAAGATGAGAAGAACAAGTGAACAGGCATGAACTCACTCAACTGCAGGATGCCTGGTACATGAAGACTAACTGAAGGGCCTAAGTGTGACAGCTCAGACGTCAAGGGAATTAGGAGGGATAAAGCTGGGGAGGAAGTGGGGTCCCTTACAGGGTAGGTCCCTTACAGGTCCTTGTAGGACCTTACTGGACCTTACAGGTAATGAGGTCCCTTACAGGACTTCAGGGATAAGACTTTGATGGGAGACACTTGAGGAATCACTGCATTGTGGCTACTGAACAGACTGGCAGAAAGTGGGTGTGGGTAGACGGTTAGATGATTTACATTCAGGATGCAGTAGAGCGGAGGAGACCTGATGATTGGCTGAAACCTGGGGAGGGAAGTTTTCTGGTGGAGAAGCTAAGGGAGTCAAGAGATAATCTGTTTTGGGAAATAAAATTGGGGAGACTCAGTAACAGATTGGCTATGGAGTATGAGGGAGAGGAAGAGTTCAAGGATGACCAGATTTTCCAGTCTGGCAACCGAATCCATAACGGTCACATCTACTGAATGGGGAGTAACAAAAAAAAGAGTCAAGTTTGGGATGTGGGTAAGAGGTTGGAAAATTAAGAGTTCAATTAGCAGAGATATGAGGCCTCCCTGAAATCAAAAGAAGCTGTCAATTATTCAGCTGAATAGATAGATCCTGAGCTCAGAAGAGAGGTTTGGCCTGCAGATATAAACATGTAAGTTACTTGAGTAGATAGCAACTGAGGGCCTGAGTCTGGACTTCATCGGATAGGCATGATTGATAGATAATTGTGTAGGAATATCATCCCACAAAATCTGTATGATCTAATAGTAATAGACCAGGGAAACCCAGTGAGGTCTGTCTGTTCAGATTCTTCTTGGTTCCCCTTTGCAGCATTCCTTCCTCCTGGGTATGGAGCGGGGCCTCTTCCGAAATGGGAGTCTTATGAACTACAATCAGACAAAGATAGGCCAGAGAATTTATTTATAACCAGCTACAAGACACAAAGGTAGGGGAAGATCCTTACCTTGGGGAGAAAAAGCAGCAGATGAAAGGAGGACAGAAGGTCAAAGAGAGAAATTCCATTTTTCTGGGGGCTGCAGTGCCCCGACATTATAACAAAAGACTGTAACAAGGGCTTATGGGAGTTATGAGCCAGTAATGGTGGATGAAAACATATATATGTAATACATTTATTCTGATATACACATATGTATCATATCACAAGTACATTTCTTAATGGAAAGGGGCCGTATTTACTCACTTTCATTTTCCCAAATCCATAAACACCTGAACTGTTTCCTGCTGTTTCTGTCCTGGTCACACCCTTCCCAGCGTGGGAGCCAGGCCATCTTCCTCTCGGCTACCTGTCCCCAGCAGTGCGACTGGCGCTGCGCCATCTCTTACGGTGACTACCTGTAAGTGATCTCTCTGCCATCTGTCGGCCACCTGTCCCTAGCAGCGCGACTGGCGCTGCCAGTCATCCGGGCGCTGCCCCATCACTTACGGTGACTAACTGAGCCTGGGATGCGCCAAGTTTCTCTAAGCTTTTCGGAGTAGGGAAAATGAAAAGCGGCAATGATTCCACAGAAGCTGCCACAGGGGTTAAGTGCAGTGGCGTCCGCGAACCGCTACTCCAACATCGGGAGTGTTCCTGGTCACCCCAGGGCAGCTCCAGATAACGTGGCAGGCAAGAGTCACCCAGATGCGGCCTTCGCCCCAGGGGCTGACCGCACACCGCAGACCGCCCTCGCCCCCACCCCAGCAGAGAGAAGCGCCGAACCCGGAGAGGGTGGCGAGGGGGGCGGGGAAAACAGGAGCCTCACCTCGAGTCGGCGAGCGGGGCGGGGAAAACAGGGGCCTCACCTCGAGTTGTCCTGCTAGCTGGGTGCCTGGTGCTATCCAGCCTCAGTGCTTTGGGAGGCAGAGGGGCTGCCCGGGACCAAAAGGTCGCCGCTTCTTAAGCCCATCAATGAGGGGGCGTGGTTGCTTTGCTGGGCCCCGCCCCGAGCTGCGCCCTGAGAGGCTCTGCTAGGCCCGGCCCGGGTCTTCACCGGCGCAGGAGCCTCAGATCTGGCCTCTTCTTTCCCAGTTCTGGTTCTTCTAACTTCTTTTCTCCTGCTTGCCCCTTCTTCTCTAAATCTTTTTAAAATTCAATTCCTCTTTATTTTTCTCTTTTCTTCTTTATTCTTCCATTCACTCGCCTTTTCCCATTTCTCTTTCTTTACCCTTTCTCTCATTTTTCCGTAGTACCATTTTGACAAAACACAAATTGGAGATATGACTTCGGTTGAGCAGCTTTTATTTGCCAAAGCATTACCTGGTAAACTTATATTAATTTTTTTTAATAGTCAGTAGCCAGAACTAACTGCCCTTTTTCTCAGTGATATATTTAGATACCACCTATCGAGGACTTACTATGCTTTCAGCAATTGTGTTTTTATATGCATTATTTTTGTTAAACGTTGCCTGAGGTACGTATAATTAGCTTCATCACACAGATGAAGAAACTGAGGCTCAGAGAAGGTAAATGATTTGTCCTCACACAGGTCACAGGTCACACAGCAAGAGCAGAGCAGTGAAACACACTGACTCCAAAGTGTTGGGGCTCAGAAAACGACACCCCAAAATGAAGTCCTCAGAAGCAGCCTCACAGAAAAAAAGTTATTTGAAGCCTCTTGCCTTCCTGTCTCTGGCCCCACATTCTCCCTCAAGGCTTGCCTTAGAAACTGGAATTCTTCTTCCCCAAGGCAGGTCCTAGAAACCCAAAAATATTATTCTAATCTCCCCAATTTTTCGCGTAAAAACAGACCATAAAGAAATTATCCAACCCACTTTTTCTGACTGTAGGTCTCAAGACCCCCATTCCACAGAGGGTCTTGCCCAATGCACAGAAGGAAGGAATGCACCACAGAGAGGCCAAATAAAATCTAAACAGACAGGCTTTGCTGGGTTTCCCCACTCAGTCTATTTGCATTACACTATACACTTTTGGTCCAATCCTATTTCTACACAGCTGGTTATACTTTGTTTGAACCTAAACATAAAAATGGACTGTTCCCCTGTATCTTGGGTCTTCATTCTGAAGGCTCCCATGTCACTTAAAACTATGATCAAATAAATTTGTACCCTTCTCTCCTATTAATCTGTCTTTTGTCAGTTGATTTTCAGCAAGCATTCAGAGAACAAAGGGAAATTTTCCTTTTGGTCCTACAAAAGTCCTCACGCAGAGAATGTACGGCACAAGGAGGTTGCATTATACGAGGTACAAGGACTAGTTTATGGTCCTTAAAATGTTTCCTCTTCTTGAAGGGGCAGCATCGTGGTACATACATCATCATCATGCAAAAACTGTTGCACAGATATAAGATGTCCCAGCCACAGCAGGAACAGAAAAGTGAGCTATTTGGCTCCTTGCTTAGGAAGTGATTGTTTCTCTTCATTTAATCTAAGGACAAGATGTTGTCACAATCATGTTGCCAATGAAACACTTCCCAGAGATTAATGATATGAACTGTGGACCCAATTCCCACACCCCACAAAGAGCAAGAAACTTGTCTTTAATTGTCTAAAGAATGATGCCTAGGTATCTGGTTTGGATATCTCTATTTGCCTATTAAATGATTTTTTGTTTTGTTTTAAAGACAAGCTTTCAGAAACTAGCTATTTCATTCTTCATTGTCAATCATCTTAAAAATCTTGCCAACTGCATGATGACAAGTGTTAATTCATAACTAAATAAAAATTTCCAGGCTTTTGCAGAAATGTCATCCATCATCTTTTAACCTTTTTAAATGAATGTGGTCCCAGTGATTTGGCAAAGCTGCTAAAATCAGTATAATCAATTTGAAGCAAGAGAGATTCAATATCACCTATCTTATTCCTTCAAATGATAACATTTCAAATTACCTGTGTCAGGTGAGCAAGAAGCCTAGTATTTTTCTAGAGACCTTAGCATCTGCCTCACAATTGTTGTCAGGTAACCTAGATTTTTTCAGTCCAAAGAGGCCGTTCTGCTTCCAAATGCCTACTGAAAGTGAAATGCAAAATCTGTCGGTACACAGGGAAGTCTTAGTGTTCAGATTTGATTGTGGTAAAGCTGCAAACTGGTCTCACAAATCCAAAGGATCTTTGGTCCAATATTGTGAAAGTAGTTCAGAAAGTTGCAGAGACCTCAGTACAGGATGCACTACCTCTGAGTTCCCAAAGGGGCAGTATCTAAAACTCTGGTCCCATCTGCAGCCACTGTTCCTAATCCTAAGAACGTCTGCCGTGCCCAGGTGTTGTCGGGGGCAGGGGACAGCAGCACAAACTCTGCTTCCTGGCATGATGTCCAGCTCCTCACTCTTTCAACCTTCCCTAAGGGAAGCTCCCTCTTGGAGGCCTTTGGTATCCTTTCCTGTCAGCTGACTCCCATCTGTGAGAGAGGTTGTAATTACGCTGAACCTCAGAATGAAAGAGAGGTGAGATCCAATGCCCCTGACACCTCCCCAGACAGCTGAGCATACAGAAGAGAGTTCTAGGGAAGGGTGGCCCTGTGAAGCCACAAGAAGGTCTGTTATCCTTTCCCAAAGGCAAGGATGACAGTGCTTACTTGCCCTGTATTTGCATAATAAAGAGAGGCCGCCACAGGAATGAGTGGGCAATTTCCCTCCCCAGAAATCATAGGCATCTTGTCAACTGCACTTAGTCTTTGGAGTTGACTTCTTTTAAATGACCTCTCTCTTCATTAAAAAAAAAGTTTTAGCTTCTACATGCCATGATATTCTCAGTTAATAGTTAATGATTTAAGTGGACTCTGACCTAATATAATTATATATACACCATGGCAGCTGGTCAGGGGTGGAGTGTCCAGGATAGCTAATAAGATCTTACGTTTTGCTACCATAATAAAGTATCATATTCACCTTGTACTCCATAAAACATTCTCAAACCAACACAACTGAAAAGTTACCGCCTTCCTCTGAACTCCTGTGTAGCATTCTACTGTTGGAAGCACTCTTTGGATGCTTAACATTTATGGTGTTGGGTATATATACACATGTATTCTTCCTCACCCCATGTCAACTTTTTTATCAGCTCATAAGTGGCTTATGAATGGACATCATTTTAGTTACTCTTTGACTCTCCACAGTGCCTGAGTAGGAATTCGGCAATGCTTTAATTGTTAAGCTAGGCAATTTCTTTTTCTCTTATCTTCTAAGATAAGGGTACAGCTTTTCTTAGCCTTGTAAGACCAAAAGGAACAGTAACATTTCACATCCAGAACACATGGCTCCTGTAAAAGGAGCCACAGAGGCTAAGTTTGCCTTGGACTTGGAAAAGACAGCTGAATAATGGCCAGGACTAAGAAACTATTTAACAACCAACTTTCAATAGCAACAGTTTTATAAACAAGAAGACACAGCATACAAACTTTAGCAAAAAAGTGCCCAAATGAGAAATGTGAAGCAGGAACTAAGAGACCCAACAAAAGCACCTCTAGGTTATCTGTTTTTAGAAACATTAATCCCACTCTGAAAGTCAAATAAATCCCTATGAACATTAAAATAAAACTCAGAGGTCTAATTATTCTCTCTAAGAAGTTTGCTCTTTCAGGTATTCTACGCTTGATGACTATTTCAACAGATACTGATAAAGTATGAAAAGGAGTGTTGACACAATTTTAGAAATAGGAATATGAAATGTACCTGACAACCCTAATATCTTACTGTATGTGTAAAATTGACAGGCATCGTGATCGGGGCAATAATGTTAATGTGCAAGTCATCAAAATGGCCAATGTGAAATTTCCGTCTAGAAGCAGAGAAAAGAGACAGCCCCCACCCTTCCTGGGCACGTGCAGGTCATTACAAATCCAAAAGCTTGTGCCTCAGGCAATGCCACAATCTGAGACAAAAGAAATCCACAAAATGGCATCAAAAAAAAACTGTGTAACTGCCCCAAGAATTACTGGCAAAGGTCTCTTCAATGCTGTTTGAAACACCTGTAATTCAATATTGCAACTAAATGTGCATTTATTCAACAGTATTAGTAGTAAAATAAGCATTAGGATATTTCTGTCAATATGCATTGGTGCCTGGAGAAGACTGTCTTTTTGTCTGAGTACTTTGACTTTCACATTCTTGATTTCTTTAATGAGTCTTTCTTGCCTACCTTCAGAATCCCAGAATTGAATAGTCACATTTGTTTCTCCTTCTTCATCAGTCACCAGATTTATGGTACAGTTTATAACATATGATGATATCTTCTTGGTCAAATAAAGGGTTCAGTTCATCTATAAAAGAGAGACACTACAAAACTGGATTTAAAAAACAAAGTCCAGCTATATGCTGCTTATAACAGACATCCTAAAACAAACAACACAGGAAAGTTGAATATAAAGGGACAAAAACAAGACATAATAGTTAAATATTCACCAAAAAAAAGCTAGTGAAATGATATTATTATAATTCAAAATAGGATTTAAGGCAACATTCATAAAGAGCATATAAATGCAGAAATTCTATGCACCTAATAATATACTACTCAGCAAAACCATTAGAATTATAAGAATAAAATGAATAAAACCACAATAGTGGGAGATTTTAACACATCTGTCTCAAAAACTGATAGATCAAGTTGACCAAAAACTAGTTAAGTACACACACACACAAGCACACACACATCAATATGTGCATACATATGGACAGAGGGGGACTGCAAATGATAAAACAAACAGGACAAAGGTAAATAATTGGTGCATTTGGGTAAAGTCTATGGAAAAGTTATATGTACTATGTTTGGAACTTGCCTGTGTTTTAAATGGTATCAAAATAAAGATCATAAAAAATCACATCCAAATAAGTAAATTAAAAACAGTAAGTTTCCCATCCTATTTGAGGAATTGGAAAAAGAACATCAGATAAAATCTTTTTAAACAGCAGACAGAAGGAGATAATACAAGGGCAGAAATTGACCAGGCACAGTAGCTCACGCCTGTAATCCCAACACTTTGGGAGGCCAAGGCTGGTGGATCACCTGAGGTCAGGAGTTCAAGACCAGCCCAGCCAACATGGTGAAACCCTGTCTCGAGAAAAATACAAAAATTAGCCGGGCATGATGGCAAGTGCCTGTAATCCCAGCTACTTGGGAGGCTGAGGTGGGAGAATCACTTGAACTCGGGAGGTGGAGGTTGCAGTGAGCCGAGATTGCGCCACTGCAGTCTAGCCTGGATGACAGAGCGAGACTCCATCTCAAAAAAAAAAAAAAAAAAAAAGTAGAAATTAGTGAAACAGAAAGCAATGAAACAATAGGGGAATAAAACTGATATATGTTTCTTTGAAAAGACTGACAAAAAATAAAGATGAACCTCTAACTGTACTGTTTAAAGGGGAAAGAAAGAAAACTACAAATGACAATTATTAAAAATGAAATGGAATGGCTAAAGACACAATAGAGATTTGGGAATATAAGAGAATAACTTGAACAACTTTATAACATCTTTATAACGGATAAACACATGTATTTATATTTAAGTAGCAATTTTGAATCAATTAATACTTGCAGATTTTCTTTCCAAAAAGATAGCTAATGCCTTTCTTTCCTTTTAATTCCTAGTCTTTACTTATGATTTGACCTGAGTAATATAACAATAGTGATAAAATCCCAAATCAGAGGCACCAAAAAATCCCACTTCAATGTCACCTTTGCCAAACTGGCATTTAGGGGGGGCCTTAAAACTTGTTTTTTCTGATGCAAGATTCATATAAAATCTTTGTATATATTTCTCTAAATATAATTTTTAATACATAATATTTTCACACAATTAAAAATGCAGGTAAGTATACAGTAAAAATCTTCTCCAATGTTTGCCTCCTGCTGAGGCAGAAGAATTGCTTGAACCTGGGAGGCAGAGGTTGCAGTTATCTAAGATTGCACCACTGCACTCCAACCTGGGCAACAAGAGAGAAACTCCATCTCAAAAAAAAAAAAAAAAAAAGATGTTATTTGCAAGCCTCATGGTAATTAAATTAAAAAATAAAAAAACTACAAAGTTACACAAAAAATAAAAAGCAAGAAATTAAAACATGCCACCAAAGAAAATCACTTTCATAAAAAGGAAGACAGGAAAGAAGGAAATAATGAAGAGAAGACCACAAAACAACCAGAAAATAAATAAGAAAATGACAGTATTAAATCCTTACCTATTAATAATAACATGGGATATAAATGGACTAAATTCTCCAACCAAAACACAGAGACTGGCTAAATGGATGTTTCAGTATACACTATCATTCCGTGTGATAAATCATATCAACACAATGAAGGACAAAATCATATGATCATTTTAATTGATGCTTAAAGGCATTTGATAAAACTCAACTATAGGCACCTACATCAAAAAAAGTGAAAAAACTTCCAATAAACAACCTAACAATGCATCTTAAAGAAGTAGAAAAGCTAGTTCATGATAAAAAACCCTCAAAAACTGGGTACACAAGGAACACACCTCAACACAAGAAAAGTCATATATAACAGACCCACAGCTAGTATCAGTCTGAATGAGGAGATCTGAAACAAGAATGCCCACTTTCACCACTATTATTCAATATAGTACTGGAAGTCCTAGCTAGGAGCAATCAGACAAGAGAAATAAATAAAGTGTATCCAAATTGGAAAGAAAGATGTCAAATTATCCTTATTTGCAGATGATATGAACTTATATTTGGAAAAACCTAAAGACTCCACCAAAAAACTATTCAAACTGATAAGCAAATTCAGTAAAGTTTGAGGATAGAAAATCAATATACAATAATCAGTAGCATTCCTATAAGACAACATCAAACAATATGAAAAAGAAATCAAGAAAGTGATTCCATTTATAATAGCTACAAATAAAATAAAATACATAGGAATAAATATAACCAAAGATAAGGACAATCTCTCTGTGAAAACTATAAAACATCGATGAAAGAAATTGAAGAGGACACAAAAAATGGAAAAATATTCCATGTTCATGAATTGGAAGAAACAATATTATTAAAATGTTGATGCTACACAGAACAATCTACAAATTCAGTGCAGTCCCTATCAAAATATCAATAACATTCTTCACAGAAACAGAAAAAAAAAACTCTAAAATTAATATGGAACCACAAAAGATCCAGAATAGCCAAAGCAATCCTGAGCAAAAATAACAAAACTAGGGAATCACTTTACCTGAAAATTAACTACAGAGCTATAGTAACCAAAATAGCATGGTTCTGGCATAAAAACACACAGATAGACCAATGGAACAGAAAGGAGCCCAGAAATAAATCCATATATCTACATAGAACTCATTTTCGACAAAAGTGCCAAAAATATATATTAGGGAAAGAACAGTCTCTTTAATAAATGGTGCCCGAAAACTATATTCATATTCAGAAGAATGAAACTAGATCCTTATCTCTTTCCACATACAAAAATCAAATCAGGCCGGGCACGGTGTCTTATGCCTGTAATTCCAACACTTCAGGATGCCGAAGCTGACAGATCACATGAGGCCAGGAGTTTGAAACTAGCCTGGCCAACATGGCGAAACTCCATCTCAACTAAAAACACAAAAATTAGCCGCATGTGGTGGTGTGCCACTGCAATCCCAGGGAATGGGGTGGCTTAGGCAGGAGAATCACTTGAACCCAGGAGGCAGAGGCTGCAGTGAGCCAAGATCACACCACTGCCCTCCAGCTTGGGCAACAGAGCAAGACCCTGCCTAAAAAAAGAAAAACAAAATCAAATCAAAATGGATTAAAGATGTAAATCTGAGACCTCAAGCTATAAAATGGCTGACAGAAAACATTGGGAAGACTCTCTAGGAAATTGGTTTGGGCAATGATTTCTTGAGTAATACCCTATAAGCACAGGCAACTAAAGCAAAAATGGACAAATGGGATCATATCAAGTTAGAAAGCTTCTGCCCAGCAAAAGAAGCAATCAACAAAGTGAAGAGACAGCCCACAGAATGGGAGAAAATATTTGCAAACTATTCATCTGACAAGGGATTCATAACCAGAATATATAAGAAGTTCAAACAACTCAAGAGGAAAAAGAATCTAGTAATCCTATTTTTTAAATCGGCAAAAGATCTGAAAAGACATTTTCAAAAGAAGACATACAAATGGCAACCAGGTATATAAAAGTGCTCAATATCATTGATTATCAGACAAATGCAAATGAAAACTACAATGGGATACCATCTCACCCCAGTTATATACTTTTATCCAAAAGACAGGCAATAATAAATGCTGGCAAGGATGTGCAGAAAAGGCAACCCTTGTACAGTGTTGGTGGGAATGTAAATTATTAATACAGCCACTATAGAGAATGGTATGGAGCTTCCCCAAAACACTAAAATAGGGCTACCAAATGATCCAGCAATCTGACTGTTAGGCATATACCCAAAAGAGAGGAAATCAGCATATTGAAGCAGTATCTTCACTCTTAGATTTATTGTGGTATAATAGCCAAGATTTAGAAGCAAATTACGTGTCCATCACCAGACAAATGGATAAAGAAAATGCAGTACATATACACAATGGAGTATGATTCAGCCATAAAAAAGAATAAGATCCTGTCATTTGCAAGAACTAGAGGACATGGATGGAACTAGAGGACATTATGTTAAATGAAATAAGCCAGGCACAGAAAGACAAACTTCACATGTTCTTACTCATTTGTGGGCACTAATAATTAAAATAATTGAACTCATGGAAATAGAGAGCAGAATGATGGCTGGGAAGGGTAGAGGGGAGGCAAGGTGAGTGGGGATGGTTAATGGTACAAAAATATAGTTCAATAGAATAAATAAGATCTAATATTTGATATCACAATAGGGTTACTTCAGTCAACAATAACTTATAGTACATTTTCAAATAACTAAAAGTGTATGACTGGAATGTTCTTAACACAAAGAAATTATAAGTGAGGTAATAAATGTCCCACTCACCCTGATGTGATTATTACGCATTGTATGCCTACATCAAAACATTTCATGTACCCTATACACGTATATATGTACTATATACCTATAAAAATTAAAAATAGAAAAAAATTAAACATTTTAAAATGAGAAATATGATAAATCCAGAAAAAATACATTTTATTGTAATAATATATGATTTATTTTCACACTATTACACTAGCAGCAGATGTCACTTTTTCAGATGGCCTTTGTTTCTCTGCCATACTCTCTTGTTTGTGCAAAGACCAACCTAGCACCCAACAGTGTCAAAGCTAAATAAATGTTTGTTGAATGAAAAAAAAAAAGAATACACCAGGTAGTTCCTCAAATTTATTTGACCATGGAGGTAATGTTTTACGAGCTTCTGTCTAGAGAGCCTAATTCTCAACAGAACATATTTAGGGAAATATTGGCTTATAGTATTAAAAACATAATTCAACAAGTAATTATTGAGCATGAATTATATTCTAGCCCTATGGCAATCATTCCATGCTTATAGAAAAGTAGACTAAAGTCCTCATTTCAAGTAGTTTGCAGGCTCTTGGTAAATAAACAACAGGAAATATATAGCAAGTCACAGCGGTTTACACAGAATATAAATGAGCATTTGCCTGAGACAAAACAATTATTTAATATTCAATATAGAGTCTGACATATTTATTCAATGCAAGTGTCCATTCTGGTGACCAGTCACAATTTCATTTTTAAGGATGTAAAATATTTAATAGAGGAGAAGAATCCTTTCTTTCAGTCTAAAGTGTTCCCCAGTGAAATTTGAATTTTACTGTTTCCTCCTCCCACAGAATTGAATAAAACAACTGCCTGACTAAAGAGGAGGTATCTTATGGTTTAACTGATTAAAGCTCCACTACCAAAATAGGGGGAAAAAACAATCTCTAGAAACAAGTTTCAAATTAAAATAGGTGTTTTGGACTTTTTTATTCCTCAGTTTTTTTCAGCCATATCATAAATGTTTAGATTGACAAATATGATCCAAGTAAAATCATCACATAATGATCCCCTTAAAACAAATGTCATTTTGTACAGTTAATTTTTTATTATTCTTTGGCACCTGCTAAGCTTCTTTCAAATGAAAAACTATACTCTTGCTGGCACGTTACTGGTGTAATGTCCCGAAATATGTTAATATTATTCATGATTTTGTTCTTAAGTACATTTTAACTGAATTATCTTGAGTTAGGATATAAACAAAATGACTATGACAAATAAATGTTTGAAAAAAGAAATTGATGTAATTTCTTTAATGTTTATTCTTCTATTACAAAGTTTGAGGAAATATAAGAATCACATTTTCATCATTTCTTTTCGATACTATTTATTTTTTATCTGAGACCATTTAGTTTAACCATCTGCCTAAATCAAAATGTACAGGATAGGTCATTAGGTCTACTCGTTGTTCCATTAATCATCATTTTAAAACAGCTTCTGCCGTGCTTGGGAAAGGCTGACTTGTGTTAAGTAATATACGCCCTCTAGTGGATGAAGATGGAGAAGAAAGTATTTGAGTTTTTCACTTAGGGCTAGTTATGAGTTCAATTTCTGAGCACTAATTCTGTTTTCTAGCTTGGATTTCCCCAAAAATGTAACACTATGAGTCAAGTCATGGTGGCTCATGCCTATAATCTCAGTACTTTGGAAGGCTGAGGCAGGAGAGTCGCTTGAGGTTAGGAGTTCCAGACCAGCCTGGGCAACATAGTGAGACCCGATCCATACCAAAAATTAAAAAATTAGCCAGGTGTGGTGGCACATGCCAGTAGTCCCAGCTACTTGGGAGGCTGAGACGAGAGGATTGCTTGAGCTCAGAAGGTTGAGGCTGCAGTGAGCCATGATCCCATCACCCACTACACTCCAGCCTGGGCTACAGAGTGAGACCACAATCTCGAAGAAGAAGAAGGAGGAGAAGAAGAAGAAACATTTTGTTATGTTAAATTTACAAAGGCTCCATCAAGTAGTGTATGAATTTTCCTTGTGGTTTAATTTCATCTCCGTTATTGTCTTTTTGTGCCATCATGGTTCTCTTCATCTTTAAAGTCAGCCAACAAATATTTATTGGATGCCTGCCATGTGCCAGGCATAGCTCTATGCACTTGGGATGTAGCAGTGAGTGAACAAAACAATTTGAAATCCTGTAATTGTAAAATTTAAAACAATATCAGATAATGATCATTGTGTGGTTCCTACATACCAGACCACATAGTTATTTGCAATTATTATTGAATCGAATGCCCAAGAACCCTGTTTAAAAACTGAGGAGCTTAGGCTGGACACGACAGCTCACGCCTGTAATCCCCGCATTTGGAGAGGCTGAGACAGGCAGATCATCTGAGGTCAGGAGTTCGAGACCAGCCTGGCTAACATGGCGAAACCCTGTCTCTACTAAAATACAAAAATTTGCCGGGCGTGGTGGCGGGTGCCTGTAATCCTGGCTACTAGGGAGGCTGAGGTGGGAGAATCACTTGAACTTGGGAGACAGAGGTTGCAGTGAGCCAAGATTGTGTCATTGCACTCCAGCCTGGGCCACAGGAGCAAAACTCTGTCTCAGGAAAAAAAAAAAAGAAGAAGAAGAAGAGGAAAGAGAAGAGAGAAGAAGAGGGAGAGGAAGGAGAAGGAGAAGAAGAAGAAGAAGACAACAACTCAGGTGCTAAGACACTTGCCAAAGATCACACAGAAAATCCGAAACTTGTGGCCTTGTTTTGAATTTTATTACGGTATTTAAAAACTTTTCCCCTGCAGCTAAAGTGTATGCTCCATGAGGGCAGGGACGGTATCTACTTGTTCATCACCATAACCCTGGGACCTGAAACCTGCCACTGGGTTCTCCAGAAATATCTGGTTAAATGACTTAAGGATAATGAAATAAATGAGCAGAGAGCTGAACTCTGGACTAATTGACACCAAAGCCCTTCTCACCAATGTCTCTACTGCCTGCATGAGTGTCCAGAAAACAGGAAGCAACCCCTTACTGGATGGCTCAATTGAATTATTTCAGAGCTATATGTCGGTTCCACTTTTTTAAAGAGTAGGAAAAGAAAATGAGTCTAAAATGAGCAAGATCTGATTATTTAGAAGATTTAAAAATCTTTGGCCGGCACAGTGGCTCATGCCTATAATCCCAGTACTTTGGGAGGCCGAGGTGGGCGGATCACCTGAGGTCAGGAGTTGGAGACCAGCCTGACCAACATGGAGAAACTCCATCTCTATTAAAAATACAAAATTAGCTGGGCATGGGGGTGCATGCCTGTAATCCCAGGTACTCGGGAGGCTGAGGCAGGAGAATCGCTTGAACCCAGGAGGCAGAGATTGCGGTGAGCCGAGATCACGCCATTGCACTCCAGCCTGGGCAACAAGAGCAAAACTCCATCCACCTCAAAAAAAAAAAAAAAAACAAAAAAAAATCTTTAAGCAGAATCTCCTTTGCCAATTCTCCTGAGTTTTACCACTAGAGAAAACAGGGAGAAGCCAAAGTGCCTTCACCCATGAAGGAATGTATTCCCCTTAAAGGGCCATTCATGCTCTTGGGCTGGAGAGTGGAGCTGGACAGAATTGAGCTTCCCTTTCACTTGCTGAGAAACCTGCTGTGAGTAGCCTCTCATGCCAGTATAAATGGGTTCATTTCCATGGTAATATTTTGTTATGTATTTTATAGTAGTTATTTCCTTGATCATTATATGCTCTATACCATTATTTGCCACTAACCTGGTGACTTAAGAGTACGATAGCTGTCGTTCAGATTTATTAACCTTTCTTCGTATGTTTGAAAGTCATTATGAGTGTACTGGCTTAAGCTAATAGCAGATTAGTAAATATTGAAAGAGTCATCTTGCCATTTGAAGTGTTTTCTGGCTAGAATAAATGTTTGTTCAGGTTGTAGCCCTGCCCAGGTAATCACCAGGTAAAAATACAGGATCAACTTCCAGTGCTGGAACAAGCAGGATAAATTACTAGGTGCAGGAATGGGTTTTATGGTGGCTCTCTCTTAACCTATTATTTAGGTTTATATTTTAAAGGGGAATTATCTATGCTTGCTCCTATTACACTGGACAGAGTAAAACAAACCAAAAGAAGGAAACAGAACAAAGGTTACTTCAGGACAATAGTTATAAAAATAAAACCAAACAGGGTGATCCCAAATATCACAAATCGGGAGGCCTAGCCTGTCATCCAAACTTTATTACAATCACAGGGGTGGTTCTCCTCTCCTTGTTAAGTCTTTTCTGTATGACGAGTTTTGAAAGATAAATTTGCCAATTGATTCCTTGCAGTTCTTCCTTCGTGTCACCTGATTGTTTTCTCCATAGTCAAATTGTGCTCTTAATTGATAACCAACATCTTAGGTCAAGATATCAGTTCCTGGTGGGTTTAAATGCTTTCAGTCACTTTTATTTTTTATTTTTTATTTTTTTATGATGGAGTCTCTGTTGCCCAGGCTGGAATGCAGTGGCTCTATCTCGGCTCACTGCAAGCTCCACCTCCCAGTTCAAGCAATTATCCTGCCTCAGCCTCCTGAGTAGCTGGGATTACGGGCACCTGCCACCATGGTCAGCTAATTTTTTGTATTTTTAGTAGAGATGTGGTTTCACCATGTTGGCCAGGTCTCGAACTCCTGACCTCAAGTGATCTGTCCACCTCGGCCTCCCAAAGTGCTGGGATTATAGGCATGAGCCACCGTGCCCAGCCTCAGTCACTATTTTTATTTTATACATAACAACCTCCCTGACAAGCCTTTCTTCAAGAGGATGGATCCACACTAAGATCCTCTAAGGAGGATCTTTTACCTCTGATCTCATCCTTTTGCACTTCTGCAATCACCTCTTTTCCCATAGTGTCAACTATCACCTCAGCAGAAAAATCTCAGTCTTCCTAATTCTCCCTTCCCAAACTCAGGTGGCGATTCCAGCTGCCCTCTGGGCATCTCTACTTGGACTTCCTACTGTTGCTTGAATCTCCACATGCCCCCAAAAGAACTCATCCCCAAATCTGCTCCTGTGTCACCGTCTCCCTAATCTTTGCCAAAATCCCATGGACGATATCTCCACGAAGAGTTTTGGATCTGTCCCCATCCTGTGAGTTTCTGCTGCCTACAGTCAGGTTTCCATCACTCATTCTTTCTTGGACTACTTTAAATCTTTTAGCTGGCTTCAGTCATTTCCAAATATACCCCTGTCTGCATGCTGCTATTCAACAACCTCTAAATCCTATGTGCTAGCTGCCATCAATCTAGGCTCCACAGCCTTGAACAGTCCCATGGCAAATTAGAGAGAAACTCCTTGGCCCAGCCTGGCATCCAAGACACTGCACAACAGGTCCCTCCCAAGGGTTCCTTAGACTTACCCTGCATACTCCTTAAATCGGAGTTCTCACCCTTCCCTAAACTAACCAGTCCTTCTCTGTCTCCCAGGGTTTTCTCCTGGCGTTTCCCCTTCATGGTATGCCAATCCCCGCTCCAGCTTTCCAGATTTCGTCAATTCTTTACGGCCTTAAATTCAAAAACCAACTTTTCCATGAGGTATTTCCAATTCCTCCTGAGAGTTTTCCTTACAAATCTTTTTTGTTTTGTCTGGTTTTGAGACAGAGTCTCACTCTGTTGCCCAGGCTGGACTGCAGTGGTGAGATCACAGCTCACTGCAGCTTCTACTTTGCAGGCTCAGGCAATTCTCCTGTTTAGCATCCTGAGTAGCTAGGACCACAGGCACATACCACCACACCTGGCTAATTTTTAAAACTACTTGCAGAAATAGGCATCTCCCTATGTTGCCCAGGCTAGTTTCAAACTCCTGGGCTCCTACCTCTGCCTCTCAAAGTGCTGGGATTACAGGTATGAGCCACCACACTGGCACCTCCAAATCTTTATAGCAGATAATTGGTCTTATTCCATCAAACTTTCCTTATATTCTTCTTCTTAATATTGTAGCTAATTACATTAAATCATGTATATTAACTGCCAGGTGCTCACTAAATACTGCTTTTATTAACTATCATTATCCAAAGGGAGAGCACTCAGCCTTCCCATCTCTAGACCCCTGCAGTGCCCTGCCCATACCTTCAGAAAACAGGTGCTCCTAAGATTGGTTGAAATGAAGGACCTTGTCTTTAGGTGGGTCCCTTTGCTTAATACTTATCTCAGAATTTAGAAGCAGTTTAACAATCACTGTGCTGACTGACGGAGCACTAAAGGATATCCTCCATTAGATTAATCAGGCTCTAGGGTTTCAGCTGGACCAAAACAGCCAAATTCTTACCGAATTATTATAAAGCTGCTCTTGGTATGGTGAAGTCCAGCTGACAGGGTTTCAGAACGCATGGAACCATGTTATAAGCAAGTATCCAAAAAAGTGAAAACCCAGCAAATGCAGTCACACCCAACATTTTCAATCCTAAATTCCTAAGGCAGAAAGTGGCATCGGGCTACATCCCCTAATGTCTCCCTCAGGTTAGCTGAGAGGTCTCAAACGTTGATCTCACTGGATCTTCTTCATGGTAATGACTGGGGAGAGTAATACAAGATAAGAAGATCTGGTTTACCTGGCCTGGCCGTAACACATGACCACTTGTCAGATAAATCAAATAGTCTCTCTATGTGGTATTGAGGCAGGAAAATAGGGGCTGGAGGGAGGGAATGTAAGGCCAATTCACACTTCAGCTATAACAGGAAATATCCTCTCCATAGGGCATATGCCTAAATGACTTTGTAACTTTACTTCATCCTCTCCATTTACATAGGGCGTACTGCAAGTAACCATGGGGATTCTCTCGGGGGTATTTAAACTCCCAAAAATTCTGTAACAGGGCCTTTGAGCCCCTGTGCTCAGGCCCGCTCCCACACGGTGGAGCGTACTTTCATTTTTTACTAAAACCCTCCATTCTTTCCTTGCTTTGCACATTTTGTCCAATTCTTTGTTCAAGATGCCAAGAACCTGGACACCCTCTACAGTTAACAGTGTAATTCTTAGGCTCAACCCCATTTATGGTGATTCTCACAGGTAGGGTGGTTGTAGTACAGATAGAAAAATGGAAAGTGAATTTCCTCTTATGGAAACATATCAAAACAATCTAGGGGAGGCCTTCACTCCCAGGAATTCTCAGAATTACTCTCTAAAGCTGTTGTAAATTAATGCCTTCATAGGGATTAGCTAGTAGGTAACAAAGACAACTAAGGTGGAAAGGTTTGTAGCCAAGCAAGAAAGGGCACAAAAGAGGGTAAGGATTTGTCCTATCATCCACATTACTGTTTCACATGAGCTTTCTAGCAAGTACATGTACCATGAATTGAATGAAGAGCAACAAGGAAGTACAGTTGTTTCTTTTCTCTTCTTTTTTTTTGAGACGGAGTCTTGCTCTGTTGCCCAGGCTGGAGTGCAGTGGCACAATCTTGGCTCACTGCAAGCTCAGCCTCCCGAGTTCATGCCATTCTCCTGCCTCAGCCTCCTGAGTGGCTGGAACTACAGGCGCCCACCACCACTCCCCGCTAATTTTTTTTTTTTTGTATTTTTAGTAGAGACAGGGTTTTTGAGACAGCGTCTCACTCTGTCACTCAGGCTGGAGTGCAGTGGTGCTATATAAATCACTGTAACCTCCAACTGCTGAGCTCAAGCATCTTCATTCCTCAGACTCCTTAGCTAGGAATACAGGTGCATGCTGCCACACTCATCTAATTTTTAAAATTTCATATAGATGGGGTCTTGCTATGTTGCCCAGGCTGGTCTCAAAATCCTGGCCTCAAGTGGCCTTTCTGCCTCAGCCTCCTAAAGGGCTGGCATTCCAGGCAGGAGCCACTGAACCCAGCCAACAGTTGCTTTTGGATGGAAAAGTAAAAAGTCATTCACTGGTCAATAAACGCAATAGTTTTCTAATTCACATGCATGACTTCCTCTCATCTACTTAAATGACACATACATACACAACAATACACACACACACACACACACACACACACACACGGCCTTCTCCAGGTTTGCAAAGGGTGCTTACTCTGCACCAGTTGCCAAGAATACCTTGTTCTCTACAGAAGCTGAGTGTAATAACTATTTTTCTATTTGTCTGGCTATCTACTTGCCTGTTTCTTGCCATGTTTCAAAAAAGACTTAAGATGGCTTGTGTGGATATGTCATATGACAAGAACTTAAATTAGAAGTGAAATGAAAATAGAAATAAAAACAAACCAAAGGTAAACCCACAGCAGACAAAGAAATAACTAAAAATCATAATGCTCCACACATCTGCTACCAGCGAACCACAAATTTACCTCTAAGCTTTCCAGTGGCCAAATTTGAAGAGAAGCCTAGTCAATTACATAATTCCTCTCTATAAAAGGGATTCCCAAATTTTGTGTGCATCTGAATCACCTGAAGAGTTTATAAAACTAGAATCACTGAGGCCCCACTTACAGAATTTCAAATTCTGTAGATCTAGGATGCGATGCTGGAACTTATAATTTCATCAAGTTCTCACTAATCGCTCAGGTAATAACAAATGAATCACTCAAGACAACAACAGTTATTTGTGATATTAAAATCATATAGGATTTTCTTCCAGGAAGTGGCAAAGAGAACCTTGTAAGATACAATGAATGAACACAGAGATGCGTTTCAGAGGTCATGGGCTGTTGCTTACAATAAACAATAACCTTCAAGATAGACTTTTACAGAGCTATTTAAAAGTGATTATGTTGGGATTTGGTGAAAGTGGGACCAAGACAAAAGTTATGTTTCCCATGAAGTTTTTTTTTTTTTTTACCAGTTTGTCTTGACCCAAGGTAGGAACTAAAAAGGACTTTATTCAGTCTCATTATCTTTCTACCAAGCATAAACTTAAGAACCCCTTAGTAAATATGATAGCAAGGCATACAAACTGCAGGGCCTTGGCAGCACTGAGGTTTATCTACAAACTATAATGTGGTGTTGGAAGAATGTAATCTAGTTAATCATATCTTTAAAGTTTATTCTCCCTCAGGGCTTGAATTGTGATGGAGGGAGGAAGCAGAGAGAGCAGGAATGGAAGGGACTGAGTTCATCACCACTATGGCAATTGCTCTTTGTGAAGACCTAAGTCTGTTTTTAGTGGGCCCAAATCATCTAAAGCAAGCTTGTCTATCCTGACACCCACAGGCTGCATGTGGTCCAGGATAGCTTTGAATGTGGACCAACACAAATTTGTAAACTTTCTTAAAACATTAAGACTTTTTTGCTTTTTTTGTTTAAGTTCATCAGCTATCATTAGTATTAGTGTTAGTGTATGTTATATGTAGCCCAAGACAATTCTTCTTCCAATGTGGCTCAGGGAAGCCAAAAGATTGGACACCCCTGATAAGTTCTCAATATGGTGAAGTTCTCAGTATACCTGAATTTTGCATGGTCATGTAAAGTTACATTCATTTTGATTTTGTAGCAGAACGGACAGAAATTTTATTATATTTTTCATATCTCACATCTGTCCCTTTGAATCTGAAGTGAATCTGCAAGACTTTGGGGTTCTTCATAGCTTGGCTTTAAAACAAAAACAAATCAAGTACTAGATGGGCTGGTCTTTAGCTTTTCTGGGAAAGGGACAATTGGGGTGGTTCTAGGCAATCTATTATTTGCAGGCATGCATATATTATGGCTCTCAAACCTGAGTACAAGATGGCATAAGAGAGGTGTCGTTAGGTATTGACACCTCAAGTATTCAACAAATATTTATAGAGGGCTTGTTATTAACCAAGCACTGTACTGGATGTTGAGAATACAAGAATGAGTAAAGGACCGCCTCCATCCTCCATGGTGTTCAGAGGGCCATCTTTCCCTACAAGAGGCAGTTATAACAAAGCAGGTAAGCCGTCTGAAGAAATGCAGAGCACTCAGGAGAAGAAATATATCCACACTTCGGTGGTCAAAGGATTCTTGGAGGAAGCTAAAAGAAAGCTAAAACCAAATATGTGGGTAATATGTAAATAGATATTAAACATGTAAAGGTAGGTTAAGCCTGAGTTAAGATGAGGTTCAAAGGGGAAGGTAAGAGAGAGCATTACTAAAAACCAAATAAAGTGAAACGAGCCAGCTTGTTGTGAAGGTTCATAAGCTAGAAGAAGGCATGCTGCAGAAGCTGAAAAAACTCCAATCTGACCTCTATGTATGTGAGGCTAGAGGTGAAAAGGCTGAGCGGCAAGGAGAGGGGACCAGATCGTGAATGGTCTTCTAATCCAAATTAAGGAATTTAGACTTTACCCCAAGAAAACTGAGAAACCATTAGGCTGGTGATCATGTATTTGCATTTAGAAAGATTACTTGAACCTCTACATCCCTCACACCTGGCCAGGCACGGTGGCTCATGCCTGTAACCCCAGGACTTTTCAGGCTGAGGCAGGAGGATTGTTTGAGACTAGGAGTTTGAGATCAGCCTGGGGAACACAGCAAGACCCAGTCTCTACAAAAAATTTAAAAATTAGCCAGGTGTCGTGGCACATGCCTGTAGTCCCAGCTATTTGGGAGACTGAGCGGGGAAGGTCAATAGGTCAACTGAGTCTATGAATTCGAGGTTACAGTGAGCCTGATGGCACCACTGCATTCTAAACAACAGAGCAAGACACTGTCATTCATTCATTCATTCATACACACATACATAAAGTATTAAAAAAAAAAAACAAATCCCCCACACCTCACCTTTATGTGTAAGGTCTGATGAGTGATGTTGTCAACTCTGAGGTAGCTGGATGAGTGCTGCCACTTCGAGGTCAGGGATATGAAGGTATTTTACCAGTTATGAGAGACTAAATAAATGACAATATTATTACACTGCTCCTCAACGTAAGTAATGTATACTTCTCTCATACTGTTTCTCACATACCCCACCTCCATTACTTCATCATCCAAGCAAACAGTTTCTGAGGAAAAAGAACAGGAAAGTGGGCATATAGTAGTATCAAAGCACCCCCTGCCTTGTATCCCTAGAGATATGAAAAGCTCCCTGAAAGGTAGGCAGGTATTTGTAAACGTTTTTATTAGTGAGTCAATTATTTAATAGGGATATTAACATATATTGTTGGAAAAGTGTTCTCAGGTGTGATAAGGAAGTATTTTGTTTTCTATATGTTTATGATTAATAAACATATTTTAACAGCTGAACCTTTAAGACAACTGAAATCCAAGCCATAGTGTATACAGGGTGCCTACGGCTCTGCTGAAGGGAATGCTAGTTAACCCATGACCTGGAGTAATTCAATTTATGAAGAATTCTCTTGGTTTTAATACTATATTACTAAACTCAAATATTGGCTAATGAGGTTATTTGAAGAAAAAATAAAGTGTTTCAGAAATGGAAATGTTTAATATGATTCCCTGTGTGCAGTTTGCCATCTAGTGTTAATTTGTGGAAATAAAAAAGGCAGGTATAATAATTTCCAAGCAGGCTCATCAGGTGGCAAAGGCATGGCTCACAGCAACATTTCCTTGTAAAGGTATCAAGTCATACCCTAAGACCCTCTGAGGTTTGTTGAGGTGGGTGAGTAGGTGAGTTGGCTACTTCTAAGAAATCAGTTATTCTTGGAAAACAAAATAATTCTCAATCCTGGCTGCCTGATATTGTTACCTGAAAACTTAAAAAAATATACAGATGGCCAGGCGACCCTCCAAACCTGGTCAGTCAGATCCACTCAGGAGGGACCCCAGCAGTGGACGGTCTGTACCCTCCCCAGGTGGTTCCCATGTGCAGCTTGAGGGGGAGGATCCCTGGGCAGGGGGGTTAAGATTGCACACCCTCGCTGTGTCACTGCAGGAGTGTCACCACTTACCTGTGTCACCTTAGCAGGGAAATTGGGCTAATTAAATATGTGCTTTGGTACAATGAAAATAACTTCTCCTGGTGTTATTGTGAGGTTTAATTATCATCATGAATATTTAGTGCTTAACACAACACATGGTACAGTGCACTCAACAAATGCTAAATATCATAAATAACATTATCAAGGAAAATATTTTAAGAGCTATTTAGAGGAAGAAACTACCTAAGAAATGAACATATTACATATGACATATTAGAAATTAGAACATATTACCTATGAAATATTTCCATTCTTCTTAAACAGGTAGCCTTGTGGAATTGAATGCTGACACCCAGCTCAATCTGAAGGATGCCTCCTGAGACACATGTTACTTCTTATCCAGTGCTGACCTAAAGTGATTTCCAATTATTTCCAATCTGTCTTTGGGTTCAAAATTTCCAATACCCTAGCAAATTTCACTTGTCTTGTTGAGTCAGATATCCTCTTCTGAAGTAAACAGAGAACAGAGTCACACCAACTACAGACATGGTGACAGTAAGCACAGCCATTTGTTGGGAGCAATTCCCAGAGAAAGGAGAATCACTGTGACTTTATCTTCACACTCATAAAAAAAATTAACCTATTATTACTGTAAGCTGTTCTGGGCAGAAGGAATATCACCTGAAAAAGTTCAGAGGAGGCCAGTGAAGAGCTATTGGTCCAGTCTGGCAGGAGTATTCAGTGGGAATGTTAGGTGGGGTCAAATGATAAAAAAAAACTTGGCTATGAAAAATTGGATGTGAGGACTGGGGAAAGAGAAACATCAAATATATCAAATGCTAAACTTGAAAGGGCAGAGAAAAATGAAAACAGTTGAGTAGCAGAAAATTCTGAGCAAAAATTCATTTGTTTTATTTGAGACATATTGAAATCAAGTAGAGGATGGTCAGAAGGGGGCATCCAGGAAGGAGCAGGGCAGAGCAGAGGCAGTGGCAGGGAAGGGGTGAAATTCAGAAAGAAAATATGGGCTGTAGGTCAAGATTGAGTCAATAGAATGGATATGATGATTGAAGTCATGGGGCATGCATGAGTTTCCCTACAGTGACTTGATAGAAGAGAAACCACCAGCCCAGCCCGGTAGCGCAGGCTTGTAATCCAGCACTTGAGAGGCCAAGGGGGGAGGATCCTTGAGCCCAGGAATTTGAGATTCAGCCTGGGCAACACAGCAACACCCCATGTCTAAAAAGAAAAAAATTTGTTTAAATTAGCCGAGCATGGTGGCACCTGCCTGTAGGTCCAGCTACTCAGGAGGCTGAGGTGGGAGGATTGCTGGAACCCAGGAATTCAAGGTTGCAGTGAGCCATGATCAAGCCACTGCACCCCAGCCTGGGCAAGAGTGAGACTCCACCTCAAAAAAAAAAAAAAAAAAGAAAAAGAAAATCCATCTGTTACTGGTAGACTTTTGCATTGTTTACCGTTTAGGGCTCATATAACAGAATGCTACTACGAACATAGCTGTATGTGCCTTTTGGTGATATATGTGTGCATGTATGCTGAATAGGTGCAGAGGAATGAAGCTGCTGGATCCTATGACAAACAGATGATTAGCTTTAGTAGATACCACCAGAGTTTCCTAAAGTAGTTATACCAATGTACATCCCCGGCAATAGCATATGATGTTGGGGGGTTATTTAGTTTATGTGTTCACTGGATTTATTATTTGCTTTAGCCATTCTGATGTATGTAGTGGTATAAGATTGTTTTAATTTGCATTTTTGGGATGACAAATAACATTGAACACTTTTATTTTTTATTGTTTGAATATATAATTTTGTGGAGTATGTAGTAAAATTATTTGCCTATTTTGTAATTGGATCTTTTTTTTTTGCTACATAGGAGTTATTTATAGCCTCATTATAATTTCTCAGATAGATGTATTGCAAACTCTGTGGGTTGCCCTTCTCTCTTAACGGTGTATTTTGATGCAAACCTATTAATGCAGCCCAATTTGTCAGTCTTTCTTTAGGGTCAGTGCTTTTTTGTATCCTGTTTTTTGTACCCTGTCTTTGCCTACCAAGGACAGGAAGATATGCTATCTTCTAGAAGCTTTCTTTCACCTTTTATTTTTAGGTCTAGGATCATCTGGAATTGATTTGTGTGCATGGCATGATGGGACCAATATTCTATGTTCTCCTTTAATATGGATATCCAACTGCTTCCATACCACTTATTGAAAAGACGATCATTTCCTTACTACATTGCAATGACATCATTTTCATCAACTAGATAGTTCTATACATTTGGGTTTATTTCTGGACGCTCTGTCCCACTGGTCTATTTGTCTAGCCTTGTGCTAATATCACTGTTTTAATTACAGAGCTCTACAAGTCTTGGTATCTAGTGGTCTAGTCTTCTAACATTGCTCTTCTGCTTTAAAATGGTTTTAGCTATTTTGGGCTCTCTATATTTCATATACATTTCAGTCCTCCCTCTTTACTCCCTCCCCCAAGCATTACTGAGATTTTCTTAAATCTGCAGATAAATTTGGGAAGGATTGCCATCTGGGCAATATTGAGTGTCCCAAACCATAAACATAGTATATTATGCCATCTACTATGATCTTTTATATTTTTCACAGCAATATTTTGGCTTTGTAGTTTTTCCTGTGTGGAGTTTTTACATGTTTGTCAGAACAATTTCTAGGTATCTGATGGCTTTAAAAAACATTACTGTAAATGCTATCTTCACCAAATTCTATCTTAAGTATTGCTAGCTTATACAAATGCAGTTAATTTCTGTACACTGACCTTATCTCTAGTGACATCACTAAAGACACTAATTCTAATGGTTTGTCTGCAGATTCTTTTGGATTTTCTAAGTGGACAATCACATAGACTATGAAATATTTTTATTTCTAACAGTCAATCCCTCTATTTCCCTAATTTCCAGCTAAGGTTATAGATTTCCCTATTAGCAGTACTTTTACCAGTATCTCATACATTTTAGTACATTTATAAAACAAAGGACCATTAGATAGTTGAGGATGCCAAAAAATGAAAGAGAACAAATAAAAAATACAACCAAAGAACAAAAAGCAACTAAAAATTGAGGAACTTGAAAGGGACAATGCAGGACCTAGAATATGTTTTAAAATATATAAAAGAATATCATAGAAAGATAACATATTTAGTCAATGAAATCAGAACACAGTGATTTTTTAAAAGTTAATAGGTTGGAAGATAAAGATATGGAAATCTCCTAGAAACTAAAGCAAAGAGATTTTTTTTTTGTTTTTTTGTTTTTTTTTGAGATGGAGTTTCACTCTTATTGACGAGGCTGGAGTACAGTGGCTCGATCTCGGCTCACTACAACCTCCACCTCCCAAGTTCAAGCGATTCTCCTGCCTCAGCCTCCCGAGTAGCTGGGATTACAGGCGCCCGCCACCACGCCCAGCTAATTTTTGTATTTTTAGTAGAGACGAGGTTTCGCCATGTTAGCCAGGCTGGTCTTGAACTCCTGACCTCAGGTGATCCACCTGCCTCGGCCTCCCAAAGTGCTGGGATTACAGGCGTGAGCCACTGTGCCCAGCTGCAAAAAGATGTTAAACAGAGGAAATAAGTTGATAAATATAGAGGATTCAACAACTGAATAACAGAAATTCTAGAAAGAGAAGAAAGAGACTAAGGAAGGGGGGAAGTTACCACAGAAACAAAACCCTTAAGACTGGAGGAATTTCCAGCACAAAAAGACACGAAAAATTAACACAAAGAATGAAAAAGACGTAAGTCAATGATCATCACAGGGAAATCAGAAAACTCTAGATAAGAGAAAATCCTAAAATCTTCAACAGAAAAGAGTACACACTGATGGAGTGACCGTCACAACAGTGTCTCATCAGCAATGCTGAAAGCTCTGAGAGTGAAGCAATGCTTTAAAAATTCCGAGGGAAACACTGCTGCAACCTAGAGTTCTAGACCTAGGCAAACTATGAATGCAGCAAGCAGGAATAGACATCTGCTGATACCAGAGATCACAAAATTTTACCTCCCAAGTACCTTTCACAGGAAGCACTTGGAAGATGGGCTCATCAAAATGAGCTAAGAAAGACCCAGGATATGGAAAATTCAGCATAGAAGCAGAGGCAAGCCCTGAAGGACAGTGCAGCATACCCAGCCAGAAACCAGTTCAAACAGAAGAAAAGGAAAAGGGCCCCAAAAGGGCTATCTCCAGAGAGAAAAGAAAATAGTTCTCACACAACAGAATACTTAAGTATGGTGAACCAATGGAAAATCCTGGGAGAAATCTGTTAATTTCAGAAAGTATAAAAAGTTGCACAGGAAAGAAACTGTAATCATAACACACTACTTGCTAGCTAACCAATTAATAAAAGTCGTAAGTTAAACAATGGACATAATTTTAGCAAAAAATTTTATATATCACTATTGTAGAAGGATGGAAAAGAGGACAGAAAAGCAACTCATGGGGTCTGCTTCCATAATACCAAGTTAACTGAGATGGAGTGAAGCCAATAAATAAAGATTTAGTAGAACATATCTATCCTTTTCAAAGATGGAGGTAAATACCAGCAACAACTGCTAAAAGAGTTTGAGGAGATAAACTAGGGTGGGATAGAATGGAACAGGAAAATGCTGGTTTTCATTCTGAACTGTGTAGCAGTATTTGAAATTTTAAACTATGTGTGTGACTAAATAGACAGTAATAAAAAGTACGTATTTTTTCTAAATGAGGCAGGGTAAACATAGGGAACTGAGGTAAAAGGAAACAGTTTAAAATAATTATTTTTGTTTTCTTCAAACATGGTATTTTAGGCTCTACACTAGATCTTAAAATTAAGGACAAATTAGTCAGAATAATACATATCCCAGGAAAACTTCTGACTTAGCATTGTAAACCAATTCTAAGAATGGCTGGTAATTCATAACAAAGCCAAATAATGCTTCACAAGTAAGTATAGGATAGAATGAACACAATTTCGTTAAAAGGCAAGTACATATATTTTATGTGTTCAAGTACATATATTTATGTATATTTATGTATGTATCTGTGTATGTATCCACATGCAGAAAGATAATATACCCTGATACAAAATATACATGTTAAGTCTAAGAAGTCCTGTTACTCAAAGAAATATTTTCAAATATTATTAGATAATTCACTTGTCGATCATCCTTTTTCAGCATCTAAAGAAATTTCAGACACAAAATATGCAACTGCATTTAGAATAAACAGATGGAAAAGCTATTGTAGAAAAAAATATAGGTTTTTAGAAAAGTTGGAAAGATTACAGGCAAAAAATAAGAACATATATTAAATTACATTTGCAAGTTTCAAATATTTGTAACTCAACACAAAAACCTCTAAAAGTATGTTGGGTGCAATGGCTCACATCTGTAATCCCAGCACTTTAGAAGGCTGAGGCAGGAGGATCACTTGAGCCCAATGAGACCAGCCTAAGCAACATAGGAAGATTCTGTCTCTACAAAAACTAAAAAATTAGCCAGGCATGGTGGCATGTGCCTGTGGTTCCAGTTACTAGGGAGGCTGAGGTGGGAGGACTGCTTGAGCCCAGAAGGTTGAGACTGCAATGAATGGTGATCATGCCACTGCATTACTGTTTGAGCAGAAGAGCAAGACACTGTCTTCAAAAAACAAAAACAAAACAAAGCCTCTAAAAGTAGTTTGAACTATTAACTTTAATAATGTAAATATCATGGCCTGGCTCGGTGGCTCACATCTGTAATCCCAGCACTTTGGGAGGCCAAGGGGCCTGGAAAACATAGGAAGATCCCATCTTTACAAAAATAAAATTAAAACATTAGTAGGGCATGGTGGCATGAACTTATAGTCCCAGCTACTCAGGAGACTGAAAGAGGAGGATCACTTGAGCCCAGGAATTTAAGGATACAGTGAGCTATGACTGCACCACAGCACAGTCAGAGACAGACCCTGGGCAACAGAGCGAGACCCTGAATCTAAAAATAATAATAATGATAATGGTAATAATAATAAAAATATCAATTTAAAGTTTTATTCATGATCGTCTTATTAAAATAAATTTAATTGCAAAAACAACCTGTCTTAGAATACAGTATCAGATGTTTTAAGTACATGTGATCAACAGTACAAATAATTATAGCAGTCAAACCTTAGTATCACACATACTTAATATATTAGATATACACAATAATAAAATCACTCCCTACCTTGAAAACTTTACAGAAGCATTTTTAATTTTACAACACAAAGCTCAAACGAACCTACAATAAGTCTAGTAGTCTGTTTACGTGCCAAGGGATAAGGCTGAACAATAAATTAACCCTTTAAAAATGTCTATGAACAAGTACAATTTTCTTTTTGAGTTCTGCAGAGCAATGACCACTAAGAAATATTTTTAAAGGCTGAACAGAATCCAGCGGCAATGAAGTTAATTAAATAAGAAGACTAAGAGAAAAATAAACAGTTCAATATTAACAATACAGTATATTTGCCAGCACAATCAAATCAGTATAAACACCTTTAAAACATGAATACTGAACTTAGTAAAATGTTATATTGTATCTAATTATGTCAGATATCTGATGAGAGTGCTTTTTATTATAGAAATAGTTTCTTCTCTCTTACACAAGACTTTAAAGCAAATCCAAACAGACAATTTAACTGTTTTGGAAAATGTATTCACTGCAGAAATGCCCACAATAAGCCATGCTATCTGATGGTATGGTAATGTGAAATGGCATGGTAACGTGAAATAAAAAAAATTTAACTAGATAATTTTTACTTCAAACCTGAAGCAAAAGTACAGAATGCTGAGTTCATTACTTTATGTATCTATTGTAACTAGGAATTACTACATTAAAAATATTCATTCTTACAATGTTTGTTTTTAGTTGCCTAGATATGTAATGGGCCAGGTGCTATATGAACACTGAAGAATAAAACAAAAAAGGTTCTCTGCAAAGAAAAAAAAGTTGGCCTAGGGTACTCAGTATATCCTTACAAATTTAATTATATATGGTTTTTGAAACTAAAGAGAAATGTTTTTCCAAACAGTTAACTTTCTAAGTGGGTGTCTCTGCACCTATATACTAAGTCAAAATTTCAGGGGACCATAGATATTTAGAAACACAAAATTGCTAATTGACTATTTCAGTTGATGTTATATTTATCAACTGTACTTCCTGGGTATGTTTCCTAAAGTACATTCTTACATGCAAAATTTTTTAAATCAGTGAAACAAACATTATGTCAATTCTTGCAAACCTAGACATAGTAAAATAAGAAACAAGTTCCAAATTTTTGACCTGGACAAAGAGAATTTAAACCAAGCATATCATACATCCAAAACACATATCCATTGATGAGTCACCAAATCTGGGGAAAAGCAACTGGGATTGACTATGAGGCTGCCTTAATTAATCTTCGTCGTCTCGTTGCAAAGGTATAACCTGAATTTCTTTAGCTATCCTTTCTGCTAATATTCTATTATTTGCAGCAATTACTCTTCGTGACATCAAATCAAATGGTCCACCTAAAAGCAAACAAGTATGAAAAATAATTTTATCTGGTACAAAAATAATTCATATAAAACAAGTATAGCAATATGTACTATGGTCACATAACATTTTAATACTTTCAGTTTTCTTAAACAAAAATCTACTGTTACATTTCTACAATGTATAAGCTTAGACAATATATAACTGTTTCTAAGCATAATTTTTGAGTAAATAATGAAGTCATACCAGTTAGAAAATGTCATATTTTCTCTATTTTTGTGCATTCTTATTACCTCTTTATTGTTTAAGAATCTATGGACAGAAAATGTGAATCCAATGCATTTTCATACCACTGTCCTTCCCATTTCCTTATTTCTTTGTTGCCTTTCTCCCAGATCACTGGTGAATTCTTTCAGCACAGATTCACCCTTCGGTTTAAAATTTTCACCATCAGTTGAAAGCAATTATTTAACTTCTCTAGTCTCAACACAGAAAGTGATGGTGGAGGAAGTCCATCATCAACTATCACCATTGTCACCATTCAAAGAGCTCTGGGTATAAGCCTCAGACTCGGTGACTGTCTAGGCCAAGGGTGTCGAATATTTTGGCTTCCCTGGGCCACACTGGAAGAATAAGAATTGTCTTGGGCCACACATAAAATACACTAGCACTAATGACGGCTGATGAGCTAAAAAAAATTTTTTTAATCGCAAAAAACTCATTATGTTTTAAGAAAGTTTACAAAGTTGTGTTGGGCCACATTCAAAGCCATCCTGAGCCACATGTGGCCCATGGACTGCAGGTTGGACAAACTTGGTCTAGGCTTTTTCTACAGCCTTTCAGGAGTACCTGAAACTCACACTAGAAAAGGATTAGCCATTTATCATTGTAAGTCTCACATTACCATTACCTCTTATCCTTACCTCTATCTCCTAAAGCTTATTTTGATTTTGCACACAATTATATAGCTTGTTTCTGCTTCAAAAACTGCAGTATAACATATATCAAAAAGTTTTTTAAATTCTACATATGGACAAAAGTCCAACAGATGTGTGGAGATCTGCTTCACTCTCCATAATTTTACCTGTAACATCCATTAGCACGCCACCAGCTTCAGTAACAATAATGCCAGCTCCTGCAACATCCCAGCAGTGAATTCCCATTTCATAATATGCATCTGCTCCGCCAGTTGCCACAAGGCACATATTAACAGCTGCTGTTCCAACACTCCGGATCCTAACAAATAGAATTTAGAAATAAAATTGGAAAAAATAATCCTTTCAAGTAAGATATTCCTCCTTAACTTCACTTTAAGTGTCGATTGAAGAAACTTGGAACGATCTAGAGGATAAAGATTTTAAGAGGTGATATCTAATTGTAAAATAAAAATATGTATAAATCTAATTATCATCGTATATTATATAAATCACAAAACCCTCACAAAGCAATAATTTAATAAGATAAACATTAAAACAATAATTTTTCATAAAAAATAAAGACAATGCTTAATTCTACAATAATGAAATGCAAGTATATTAATATTTGTCTAAATCCAGCTACTAAAGCTTATATTATTTTACACACATATACACATACCCACAATGCAAATAGTCTCTAGGAGGTGTAAAATATCATGGTATGGGTCATTTTCAACTGGGTGTGCGTCATACATGTGCCTAAAGCAACAACAGCATGCCAGGCTCTGCAAAGACCTAAGCCTGCCTTGGAAAATTACTGCAGGTTTGCCCTCTCATAGCACCTCTTCCTTGAATACAAGTTAAGTTGAATATAAATACACTTGATAGCAATTATAGTAATAATTTATTCAGTAAAGAATCAATGTTAAAATTAATGGGTGAGTCTGATAATTTACAGAGTGTCAAAGTGTCTCTCCACAAGATACATAATAAGTACAATGGAAAAATAGCATCTTTACAATGGTCTACCATTACCAAGTTATCCAAGTTAATATCACTCATAATGGGACAAAAAGAAATGTGCCTGATAAAATGCACTGAGAAGGACAGAACATTACTTTTGCGGCATTCCTGCCAAAAATCCATGATCCAAATATAATCATGAGGAAACCAGACAAATTCAAATTCAAGAGACAGACTACAAAATAATTGGCCTATACTTCTGAAAAATGTCAAGGTGATAAAAGACAAAGACTAAGCAAGTTCTAAATTAAAGGAAATTGATGAGAAATGACAACTAAATGCAATACATGACTCTAGACTGGATGTTGGATTAAAATTTTCAAAATTTGAATAAAGTCTTATATTAGATTATGTATCCATGTTAATTCCCTTACTTTTATCATTGTACTGTGGCTATGTTAGACAATGTCCCTTTTATTAAAGACACACACGCTGAAATGTGTATTTAGAAGACAAACGTCATCATGTCTACAAGTTACTTTCAAGTGGTTTTTACACAAATTCCTTCTCCAACTGTTTAAAGCGATGGTAATAAGGGAGTGAGTTCTGTTCAATGAGATCTTTCACAGTTTATTTATTTAAAAACATGGAAAACTGATGACTAATGTGGCATTTGTTTTATATCTCAAAAATAAAAATAAAAAAATTGCACCTAAGTACATCCTTTATGCCAAATAAATTTTAAAAAGGATTAGAATAACATGATGTCATTGATTTGGCATGTTTTCCATCATATGTTTTTGAAGCACATTAAATTTGAGAAAGTAGTAGTAAGTGCACCAAATTTCCACAGATGTTTGTTTCCCAGATAAATAAAATCAAATTAACTTTAGTGGCAGTTTTTTAGTTATAAAGAAAAGTGCATTTCCCCACTTCTCCCATGAGATATGTGATATTTGATATCTCATATCATAGAATGCAAATACCAAGGTCTTTCATAATTAATTCCCTGGTACTCTATTCAGATATAGAATCCTAGGCTAGCCAAACAACAGTGATATCTACTAGCGGTGCTTCCGTCACTTCTAATGAGCACCATGGGATCTCAAGCAAATGGTCTTACAATCAGCAAGAGAATATTCTTTTATGGAAAATACTATGAAAGGATTACCAAACAGATTACTTAACTACCAGATAATTAAGACTATGGTGTAGATTCTGCACTATGTGTTCTGAATCCTATCTTATGTGGTCCTCCTATACAGCTGTGGTCCGCCTATGCAGCTAACATGGCACATTGTAAAAAGGATTATGTTTGATGTCACAAAGATTTGAGTTTGCTCCCATGTCATGTCATCAAATAAGGATTCCAATTTACTTTAGACAAATGTACTAATGACTACAGCTAATATTTGTAAAGCACCTAGCAGAGTGCCTAGCATATAAAATGTCCATAATAAAAATAGCTTTTTTTATGATAAAATTGTTCTCTAAACCATGATGTCAGAAAATATCATATACCATACATAGTGAATTTCATCTACATGAATTCCTGAAAATTAAACAAAGGAAATTGATCCAGAATAACGTACTTTGCCTCATAAATGTTGGTTCTTAGGAACCTATTAGACTATTTCTGCTTATTTAAAGCATTCATTCAGATTATAACTCTCTTTAGTTTCATTGTTTTGTATAAGTGATTCTGAAATCCCACTGCAAAGCTGAAGAATCAGCTGAATGCAAAAGATCATAAAAGCAATCAGTAAGTCAGTACTTCTTAGTAATATTTTCCTGGTTATACTTTTGAAAAAAATCTGAAGTAAAAATTAGTTTTTATTTCAGCCAACAGCAAAATTAAAGGTTAAAGTTGTAAACCTCTTGCAACTCGTTTATGAGTAACATAACCATTTTATAGCCCATGGTTAAAGTCCTTGCTTCAAGACAGCACACTGTAGCAGCAAGTTTATTGCCCTTCTCTCAAGGGCATCATTCTGGGAGGTTCTGTAGCTATTGACAGAGGCTCTCTTTTACTTTACTCATTACTATATAGACCACATATGCATAGTACATAATTAGTTTGTACATGGTCAACCTATATTTTGAAGGGTCTGACTTCTAAGAGAAGTCCAATATTGAAGAAACAGAAATGATCTGGGAGCCAGGATTCTAGCCCTATTTCTATCCAGCTGTGCGATCTCAAGCAGCCACATCACCTACTTGAATCTCAGTCAACTCACCTACAAAATAAGGCTGGATTATTAGATGATCTTTGATCAGTTCTAGGACTCTTATAACTCATTGATAATATTTTCACAAAGAAAAAGACAGAAATAGTAGGTGGTGAAAATATTATGTTGTTATTTACATTCACCAGATTTTGTTCAATAAAGGATTTTTATTATGATTTTTCATATAAACAACTATGGTCAAAGAAATACTATTTAATGGCGGGGCGCAGTGGCTCAGGCCTGTAATCCCAGCACTTTGGGAGGCCAAGGCAGGTGAATCACGAGGTCAAGAGATCAAGACCATCCTGGCTAACATGGTGAAACCCCATCTCTACTAAAAATACAAAAAATTAGCCAGGCGTGGTGGCGGGCACCTGTAGTCCCAGCTACTCCAGAGACAAAGGCAGGAGAATCACTTGAACCCCGGAGGCGGAGGTTGCAGTGAGCCAAGATTGCACCATTGGACTCCAGCCTGGCGACAGAGACTCCGTCTCAGAAAAAAAAATAAATACATAAAAAATAAAATAATATATAGCATTAACTATATTAAAGTTAAGGACCTCAAACCTTTAGCTTTTCTTGAAGATTTAAGGATAAAAGTAAGGATAAATATTTCCTTTTAATTTCTTCATTTATTAAACTGTCATTACAGAGGGACTCTGAGATTTGGAGAATAATAATAGCATGACGATTTTGAAACTCCCTGTATACCCTCCTGGAAAATAATAAAATGAAATCAACCAGGAGGACAAATAAAACCCATAGGACCCATTCTTTCAGATAGAAATCAGGAAATGCAAACTCTCAAACTACCTCTAAGTAGAAGAAAAACAAATAAATAAATTCTAACAGAGCACCGGAAGCCCGTAGATACACAGAGTAGGGCAGAGAAGGCAGAAAAGACTTTGTGAGAAAGAACAAGGAGGAGCAGAGGACCCACAGGGAACAAAGACAAAACCACCCTCAGAAAAGAGTCACTGAGACAATAAACACAAAAACAAAAACACTGAGCACAGATCAGCACTTGGTAATTCATAGTCTTGGCTAGAGGTAAGGGGCTAGAAAACACTCAGAACCTGACCAGGCAGCCTCAGAGAAGCTGTGATTCTGAAGGAGAATCAAATAAGATAGCAGAGATGGTACTCCTTGGAAACAAGTGAAGGAAAAGTAGGAACTAAGGGGTGCGGGGACGGGGGAGGGATAGCATTAGGAGATATACCTAATGCTAAATGACGAGTTAATGCGTGCAGCACACCAGCATGGCACATGTATACATATGTAACTAACCTGCACATTGTGCACATGTACCCTAAAACTTAAAGTATAATAATAACAAAAAAAAGAAAAAGGAAAAAAAGAAAAAAAAAAAGAGTGAAAACTTAAGGACCCTGCAGAAATGAATGATAAACAAGACAAGCCAACTCTATCTACAACCAGCAGGTATTCATAAAAGAAAATGCACAGAAAGGCACAACTGGCAAAATAAGAAATTCAGAAAGCAGGAACCCTGATCACAAAACGAAGTGAAAATAGAAAAAAGTAGACCACATTCACACAAAACTACTGCAAAACATCGAACGCTGTTAATAAAATGGTTTTGTTTTTTCTTTTTGCTGTAAAGTCTCTCCCCCAAAACCAACAATGAAGGGGAATAAAATGAATATCAATCGAATCCGAATTAAATATTTTCAAACAAAAACTTGTGAATACTGAAAAAAATGTTACATCAGCGATATAGAAACTAAGAGCACAAATGGACCAAAATACGTACATAAAACAAGATGACTGAACTCAGGAAAGAAATGGGGGGGAAATAAAAGACAAAATTATGTCAGGAACGAAGAATAAATTACAAGGTGCCAATAAAAGAACAGATGATAAGAAAACTTAATAAAGAGAAATTAGGAAAAGCAATAAAAGAAAGAAGTAAAAAGAGACAGAGAGAAAATGGCTGAAATGAAGACACAAAGGAGATGGAGCATTCCCACTGGTGTCTTTAAAGAAAAAAATAACAGAAGTGCACTAGTACTTAAACTATATCTTAAGGAAACTTCCCAGAAATTAAAAAGACATGAACCTATATACTGAAACACACGACTGACCCAGAATGAGCAATTCTAAGATATATCCTTTAAAAACTGTTAGCCAAAAATTCAGGGGAAAAAAAACAGCCTCCAGTTAAAAGATAAAATAATGTAAAAGCCAAGAAAAATTAGATTTGCATCAGATTTCTCAAAAACAATATACAAAGCAAGGCAACAGTGAAAGAACATTTTCAAGAAATTTATACTTTCATTAAGGATACTATATCCAGCCAAGCTGTCCTTCAAGTCTCAAGGCCACAGAAAAGCATTTTGGAAAATACCCAAACTCAGGGAAAACTGTGCACATGTGCCCTCCCCCAAGGAATCTACTAGAGGACGAACTTCAACCAATTAAAAAGGTGCCTGCAACACTTCACAAAAGGACTGTGAGCATTTTATAATGTTAAATGAAGAACTAGGATCAAAAAGCGGGGTCATGGGTTGAAGAATATGTAAATATAATATGTTCTGGCAAAGTAGACAGAATGCAACTTTAAAAATGGGATAAAGAGAGAGAAAAGGGGAATGGGAGACTTACATAGGCAATAGGCGAAGCCAAAACATTCTAGATAGTAAATAGTTAAGTAAGAAAATAATATTAAAGGTACTATAAAAGTTGTATTACAAAAGAAACCTGCTGGAATAAAATGTAATCTTTATAAATACAAAAATAAATTTTAAAAGAGGCAGAGAAGGCACATCAAATGAACGCAGTAACTATAACATCATACAGACAGTAATTATACCACACAATAATACAACAGAATTGAGACAAAAACAGTCATATCAATAAATCAATAGGCCTAACCTATCTGTTAAAAGAAAAAGATTTTCAAATTGACTTATAAAGTGAAATTCCATGCAATGCTGTATATGACAGGCACACTTCAAATGCAGTGGTTCAAAGGACTAAAAATAAAAGGGTGGACAAAGATTTATCAGGCAAACAGGAAAAATAAGAAAGCAGGGGCCAGGCACAGTGGCTCACGCCTGTAATCCCAGAACTTTGGGAGGCAGAGGTGGGTGGATCACTTGAGGTCAGGAGTTCCAGACCAGCCTGGCCAACATGGCGAAACCCTGTCTCTACTAAAAATACAAAAGCCGGGCATGGTGGTGCGTAGCTGTAATCCCAGCTACTCAGGAGGCTGAGGCAGGAGAACTGCTTGAACCTGGGAGGCGCAGGTTGCAGTGAACCGAGATTGTGCCACTGCACTCCAGCCTGGGTGACAGAGGGAGACTCTGTCTCAAAAAAAAAAAAAAAAAAAAAAAAAAAGCAGGAATTGCAATTCTGATGTCAAAGTAAATTTCAAGCACAAAAACATGAAACAAGACAAAGAATACGTAAAAATTACACAATGAACTACGTATGTAACTATTATGAATAAACATCAAATAACACAGCTTCCACCTACATAAAAGAGTTGCAAGGAGAAATACAGAGAAACACACTAATAATAAAAGACTGATACATCAGAGACTCTCAGTATAAGACAGGGCAAATAGACAAAAAAAATTAATTAGGTAAATCTTTTGGCTATATACTGAATGTCATACCCTGGAAATAGGGAATTATACTATTTTTCAGTGCATATGAAACTTACAAAAATTGATCACAGAACAGGGCACAAGGAAACCATCAGTAGGTTTCAGAAAGTAGAACTGTTAAAATGTAATAAAACTGGAGATTAAAGATGAAATTTTTAAAAATCCAAAAAGGTGTCTGCTATGGTTGAATGTTTGTCCCCTCCAAAACGCATGTTGAAACTTAATCCCCAATGTGGCAGTACTGGTGTGGGGTCCTTTTAAGAGGTATTAGGTCATGAGGGCTTTGCCTTCTAGGTTCATGGCTTATAGGTTAAGGGTGGGGTGATGCTGATTAACAAACAGAAGCGGCTTTGAAATGGGTAATAGGTAGAAGACAGAAGAATTCAGAGGAGCAGGCTAGAAAATGCCTGCATTTCCGTGAATGAAGCATTAAGGGAGATTTTGGTGAGGGCTTAGAAGACAAGGCCAGGGAAAGTTTGGAATGCCTTAGAGATTGAGTTAAGTAGCTCTGACCAGAATGCTAATAAAAATAGGAACAGTATTCTGATGTGGTCTCAGATAAAACTGAGGAACAAGGTATCGGATCCTGGAGGAAAGGCCATCCTGGTTATAAACTGGCAAAGAACTTGTCTGAACTGTGTCTATGACTAAGGGTTTCTTTTTTTTTTTTTTTGAGATGGAGTCTCACTCTGTTACCCAGGCTGGAGTGCAGTGACACGATCTCGGCTCACTGCAAGCTCCGCCTCCCAGTTTCACGCCATTCTCCTGCCTCAGCCTCCGGAGTAGCTGGGACTACAAGCGCCCGCCACCACGCCTGGCTAATTTTTTGTATTTTTAGTAGAGACAGGGTTTCACCGTGTTAGCCAGGATGGTCTCGATCTCCTGACCTCGTGATCCACCTGCCTCAGCCTCTCAAAGTGCTGGGATTACAGGCGTGAGCCACCATGGCCAGCCAACTTGACAGGGTTTCCTGAAAGCCTAAACTTGAGAGTAATGAATTAGGGTATCTGGCAGAAAAAAATTTCTAAACAAATTATAGAAGTAGCTGCATGGTTACTTTTGACCATTTATGCTGAGATTTGCAAGCAAAGAAGTAATTTAAAGACAAATGAATAATTAAAGGGGAAGCAGAGTGGCCAGATGCAGTGGCTCACACCTATAATGCCAGCATTTTGGGAAGCCAACTTGGGCAGATCGCTTGAGCCCAGGAGTTGGAGATCAGCCTGGGCTGCACGGCGAACCCCATTTTTATACAAAATACCACAAATATAAAAATTAACTGGATGTGGTGATGCAAACCTGTGGTCACAGCTACTTGGGAGGCTGAAGTAGGAGGACTGCTTGAGCCCAGGAGGTTGAGGCTGCACTGAGCTATAATTGCACCACTGCAATCCAGCCTGGGCAAGAGAGTGAGAACCCATCTCCAAAAAACAAAACAAACAAACAAACAACCAAAAAGAAAGGAAGCAGAGCAAAAAAATTTGGAAAACTCAGCCTGGCCAAGAGTGAAAAGGTGTGTTCAAAGGAGGAAACCGAGGGTTAGCCAGGAACCATTTGCTAAATAGATTAGCACAGCTACAAGGGAGCCAGGTGTTACTTCTAAAGACAATGAAAGAAAGAACCCGAAGGCATTTAAGAGATCTTCAAGGCTGCCCCTCCCTTTACAGGCCCAAAGGAGGGTAGAATGGTTTCATGGAACAGGCCTGGGATACTCTCCAATGCTGGCTGCCCAGGGCCACCCTAGACTGTGCTCCCTACATCCCAGCCAAGGTCAAGTGACCCTAGGTGTGGCTTATACCACATCTCTACAAGGTATAAGTTGTAAATGTTAGCAGTATGATACTAATTCTGCAAGCTTGCATAAAGGAAGAGCTGTAGAGGCTTTCCAGCCTCCACTTGGCCTCAAAGATTGTCCTCAGAAGCCTGGGAGCCAGGGAACAGACTTGTCTCAAGGGCAGAGCCACAGTGGAACTGTGGGGTTAGTGGTAGCTGAGAATCTCCACCAAGGTAAAGCCTAGTAGAGCCCAGGAAGTAAGGCCACCACAGAGAGTCCCCACTAGGGTAATGCCTAACTAGTGGAGCCATGAAAGCAGGACCACTACCTGGGCCTCAGAACTGTGGAGTCACCAGCAGCATGCAAGGTACACCTTGGAAAGCTTCAGGCACTGGACTCCAACCCATGCCAGTAGCCATATGGGCTGTACCCTGCAAAGCCACAGGGGCAGGGCTGCCAGAGGCCTTTACCCAGCCCTCAACCCCCAGTGTCTCCATGAGGTGGTACATGCAGTCAAAAGTGATTATTCTTGAGCTTTAAGATTTCATGTCTGCCCTGCTGGAATTCTGGACTTGCCTAGCGCCTGTTCTTTCTTTTTGCCTAATTTTCCGTTTTGGAATGGGAATGCCTGTCTTATGCCTGTGTCACTATTGTATCTTTGAAGCAGATAGCTTGTTTTGATTTCACAGGCTCACAAATGAGACTGTGGACTTTAAACTTTTAAGTTCATGATAGAACAAGTGAAGACTTTGGGACCCTGGGGATGGAATGAGTGTATTTGTATGGAAAAAGACAAATCTGGGGAGTGTCAGGGGTGGAATGCTGTGGTTTGAATGTTTGTTCCCTCCAAAACTCATATGGAAACTTAATCTCCAATCTAGCAGTACTGAAAGGTGGGGTCTCTAAGAGGGCTATGCCCTCATGAATGGATTAATCCACTCATGGGTTAATAGATTAATGAGTCATCATAGGACTAGGACTGGTGGCTTTATAAAGAGAAGAACAGAGACCTGAGCTAGCATGCTCAGCCCCACCATGTCACATTCTGTGCTGCCTCAGGACTCTACAAAGAATCCAGCAAGAAGGCCCTCATCAGATGCAGCTCCTCAGCCTTGGGCTTCTGAGCCTCTATAACTGAAAGAAATAAATTCCTTTTCTTTATACATACACATTACCAAGTTTCAGGTATTATAAGCAACAGAAAATGGACTAAGACAGACTCTCCTTGTGAAAATTTAAGAATATAACTCTCAGTAAAAGAGGAAATACAAGCAAATTACAGAATTTATGAAAAAAATAATGAAAACAGTAAGTATCAGTATTTATGGGATACAATGAAAACAATGATCAGATGAAATTCATAGCCTAAATATCTACATCAATAAACATAAAGGAATTATAATAAATTTTCTAATCAAAAAGGAAAAAAAAGGAAACAAACCAAAAGAAAGCACGAAGATGAAAATAATAGTGCAGAAAAGAAAAAACCAGCTTAAATTAAAATCCTGGTTCTTTGAGAAAAAAGAACAAGAAAAAAAGCACAAATAGACAAAATAAGTGACAAGGTGGAAATAACCACTGATATAGAGAAGCCAGAAATTAATTATAAGAGTCTATCTTACAGACTTCTATGCAAATAATTTGAAAACTTAAAGGAAGTAATTTCATAGGCTGTGGAAATGTTCCAGATCAAAGAAGGCTAAGGAGACATGACACCTAAAAATAATGCTGACTCTAGACTGAATCCTACTTTATTGGAAGGCAAATGCTATAAAGGACATTAGCAGATTAACTGACAAAACTGAATATGGATGACAAATTAGATAAAAAGTGTATTTATGAAATCAGTGGTTTCATGGTTATGGAACAGAATCTCCCTATTCTTTAGAAACCATGATGTATATAATTTACTCTAAAATGGTACAGGAAAAAAAAAAGGTGTGTGCACACACACACGTATACAAAGAGAGAGATAGAATAATGGTAAAGAGCTTACCCATGAACAGGAATGCAAAAAAGCTTTTCCATATTAGAAAGAACCATTCTCACAGTCTCTGGTGTTCTGGAAGAGCCCAACTCAGTCACCAAGAGAGATTTGGTAATATCTAAAAAGAAAGTGTTAGGTTTCAATATTTAGACTTCTAGAAAATACCTGACACTTGTAATTCAGAAGAGGGCATTTGTATCCCTCTTCCTTGTTTTATCGTGTTTCTTTATAAGCATTTAAATAATAAAATACTGATAAATTAATTATCCCTATGTGATCCTTTTTATAAGCATCAGAGTCCAGCTGCTTAGGCCCTTCCTGAAAAAGTACATAATGTAACCAATTTGCCTGCATACATAATACTTAGTGGGAAACAGCAAATGTCTTAAATATTTAAAAAGGAGAGACTAAATTCAATAAGGGATTTATGTATAGATTTGGAAGAAAACAAATTACAGTAAAATTACAGTAAAAGTAAAAATTTTACTTTTACAACAAAAGTAAAATTCTCTGACATCCATTTACAAGGCTGACAGGTTATCCAAGGTTTTCCATTTGAAGCTCAGGACACACCCAACACCCTAGATCTCACCTCCTCCCACCAATGGAGATGTATGTTCACCAGCTGTGTTTGATCTGAGCATTTCTGTAACTGTTGTACTACATTTAATAGTTACGTAATTTAGGGCTGGGCATGGTGGCTCACACCTGTAATCCCAGCACTTTGGGAGGCGGAGGCAGGCAGATCACGAGGTCAGGAGTTCGAGACCAGCCTGGCCAACATGGTGAAACCCCATCTCTACTAAAAATACAAAAAATTAGTTGGGCATGGTGGTGCGCACCTGTAATCCCAGCTACTCCGGAGGCTGAGGCAGGAGAATAGCTTAAACCCGGGAGGCGGAGGTTGCAGTGATCCGAGATCACGCCACTGCACTCCAGCCTGGGCAACAGAGCAAGACTCTGTCTCGGGAGGAAAAAAAATAAAAGTTACATAATTTAATACTTTGTAAAGTGAAGAATGACTATGCAAAGGAAAAGAGTTGTTTCTATCAAAGCTACCATATTCCTTCGGTCCAAGATTTGTATTTTCTCACATGATGACATCTAGAAAAATAAGAATGCATCCTCCATTTCATGGGGTCTTAGATTTTAATGAAAAGGAAATAGCCTAAAAATCTGCTCTTAAATTAAGTGTTTGAGGGAAAAAGGTATAAAAGTCTAGAAAGATTCTAAACTCAAATTGTTTTGCAAGTACCTCTAAGTTCTTGCTGCACTGAAAAGAATTTCAATGTGCAAACTGTGGAAAATGTTTGGTGTGGTTTATGGAAGAACAGTAACTCAAAACCTCAATAAGCTGTGAGAAAGAAAAAGAAAAGTTTTAATCTGCAGAATGCCAGTACCTTTAAATTATCAAGCCTGAAGAGGCATTTAAAATATACCAGCAGACAGTCTCACTCCCCTGGAGTTAAATAATTGCCACTTGAAGCCGCTTGCTACAGGGGGCTCTAGACTCACTGATGCCAAGCAGCCATAAAATGCCATGCACCCTATAATTCAACAGTGTATAGCCAATCACTAAGCAATGTTATTTCTGTAAACAAATGAGAATTCCTGAGTACAACTTTTCTCATCATCCCCTCTCCCAGTGTGTCCCTTTTTCTTTAAAAACCTGAGCCTCTGCTAAGTTCTCTGGAGCACTCTCCAAGGTAATCTAGAAGTGTGTCCTGGGCTGCAGTCCTCAACTTTGGCCCAAATAAACTCTCTACATTAATTTTGCCTGCACTTCCTTTTTTGAGGCCAACAGATGTAATAGAGAAGAAAGAACTTAAATTGCCATTCAGCTTATAAAATATATATGTCTCATTTTCAGTGATTCCCAGCTTTAACGGGCTTTTTTTCCACCCATTTACTTTGTAGTAATTGGTCCTGGGGCATCAGATCAGAGGAATTCTATAAAGAATTTTAGAAGCAGTAGATAAAACATAAACCATGAATTCCACAAGGACAGTGTGAAAGGAAAATAAATCTGAGGACCCAAAAAACACTAAGCCAAGGGAAAAGTCAAGCTGGGAACTATGTCAGGCAAACCTGCCTCCCATTTAATTCCTAAATAAGACACCTACAAAGACAAAAGAGCTACATACCTCCCTTACAATTTGCCCACAAGGAAATTCCTTGTGGACCTCAAGATCTTTACCCTAAAACAGTTCTGGCTGAATTTTGCCCTGGCAATGTAGACTGATAGCTTATCTTCACAGGTGTGGGAGAGAAAGTCATCCCTCTGCTCGCCTGAGACAAATTCATATCTGATTGCTTCATCTGCCCTATTGTTTATGTAAAAATGCAGATTCACTGAGCCAGACTCAATTGTGTATTTAAAGGCTGATTACGGACTTAAAAGAATATAATCATTTGTCTTTTATCTACCTATAACCTGAACACCGCCCCCTTCCCCACTTCTAGTTGTCCTGCCTTTATGTACATCTTACACATATTGATGTTTCACGACTCCCTAAAATGTATAAAAGGAAGCCGTACCCCAACCACCTCGGGCACATGTCGTCAGGACCTCCTGAGGCTGTGTCACCTTAACTCCTTAACTTCGGCAAAATAAACTTCTAAACTGATTGAGACCTGTCTCAGATATTTTGGGTTCACAATAGGAAGCCAGTCTTAATCATCTTCCTATCTCTATCACAAAATACAATGCTGAGCCTGAAGTGTTTGCTCAATTACATTTCTTTCCCTACTTCCATTCCACATTCAAAGCTGAAGTCAAAAAGAATAAAGAGATAATAAACACAATTTATGAATCAGTTAACACCTGGAGAATTCCATAGGTGAATATTAAAAAACAATAAAATATTGAGCACACAATATGAATAGCATCAAAAATTGGAATTAATCCTACCTTCTTGTTGTGAAACTTGTAGTTTTTGACCATTACAAAAGGCACCTTTTCCTTTTCTGGCAGTGTACATCTTGCCTTCCACACAACTGTACACAACTCCAAATTCTATCTGCAGAGGAAAACAAGTTTCCTTTACCAAACCTAAGTATGTTTCATCCACTTTTTTCTAAGAAAATAACAAGACAATCTGGTATACTGACTAGTAACAATGGACTGAAATGGCTAAACTGTGGGATACTTAAAATGTTAATTTCCAGACTAATCAAGAGAAAGAGGTCACCAGAACTGATATCCTTGACTCTCCTCCCATCCAAGTCCAGATCTAAGAACACCCACCTTACTTCTCTTCCTCCTGCTTCGGAAGACAGGGCTTTCCTATTTTCTAAGTGAACGCTTCTCCGGTGTTAGGACTCCTACCCTCACATACATTCTCTGAAAAACTGCTCCATCAGCTGATTCCCTAGTCTCTTGGATTTTTCTTCTTATACCTTCTCATTAAGTTTCTCTCCTCCTTACAAAACCTTTGAAATGTTATTCTATCCTTTTCCCTTCACTGCCAATGAGTAACTTTGCATCTCCTATTCTCCTCTTAATACATTACAATGTGGCTTCTGCCCTGATCACTCATTCTTCTGAAAGTCCCACAAAGAGAGTATCAACAAACTTTCTTTGTTGCCTCAAATGCCTTGTCTGAAGAATTGGAGTCTACTGGCTCAAGACTTATTCAATACTTAATTCACTACCTCCATGCTCCCACCATTATTCTCTTAGTTCTACCTCACCTACTAATTCGTTTCAGTTATGATTTTAGAACATTCTTTTCTGCCTCACCCTGAAAAGTTAGGCACCTCAGGCTTTTTTCTTCCTTCTCCCATTGCTTCCATTTCCCTTTTAGCTCTCCATATTCACACAGGTTGGTTTTTTACAGTCCACAAATTCATTTTGGCTCCCATCAACCTCATAATCGGGGGAAGAACCTACGGTTCCAAACCTAGTCTTGCAGAATTTCAAAGACAAAATCATTCATTGCCTGATCACCTCCCATTCCTTCCCCATAAATCTCCTTCAAATTTAATCTCAAAAACACTTTCCAATTTTGGCATTTCCTTGGCTATTCTCACTGCCTCTACTTAGTTCACCCACACCCCAGTATAATCTCTACATTGCTAGAATTATCTGTCACTTTCCACTTCAAAACCTCTACTGGTTCCCAACTACCTTGAAACACAAACTAAATTTTCTTGCATGGACTGGCCACAGTGCCTCACAGCAAGGCCAAACTAACCTTTGTCCTGGCCACTTGCAGTGCTTCCCTCTCCATGAACATCTCACCATTCCCCACACGTATAATGGTCTTCAATTTCTCCAAGCTGTTCTTTCTGATTAAAACGCCTTCCTCTTCCCACCACCCCCCCACCCCCGCCAATCTGGAAACCCCTAGTTTTCTAAGGGCCAACACATGATCAACTTCTAAGACCCCTGCTGTTATGAAGATTTTCCCAACCCACTCTCAGCAGAACTGGTGACATCCTGTGTTCCCATAGTATTTTTTTTCATGGTTCTACCACATATCATCTTTACCTGTTCACACATCTAACTTTGTGCTGAGCTGTTGAGTTCAGTGGCAGGGCCAGCATACAGCCCAGAGCTGATTATATACTGAAAGCTCATGTAGCTTCTTCTGGACATTCTCATTAATTAATACAACCCTGGGGCTAAGCTGTCATTTGTCCAATATGTGTTTTATATTCAGAAATGTTATAACTGCTGTTATACATGTTGATCTTACATATCAAAAGTTCCTTGAAGATAGGTAGGTAAAATGTTAGTAACCATCCTTTACTGTTTGACCAACTAAGGAGCCAAACAGCAAGGAAATGCTATAGCTATATGTTTTATTCTGCTAGGCTTTAGATGTAAGTATTTACACATAAGACAACCTGAACTATGTGTAGGTTCCTAAAGAGAGTCTGTATTTTCCAACCATGCTTTGGCCCCTGCTACTTGCTGGTTTCTAAATGTATTTCTTCACTAACACCTACTAAAGCATTCCCAGCTCAAATCTCACCTCTTCCACGAAGCATTTAAGATCACATATAAACTTCTATCCCATCTGACTCTATCACACATATAATGGTTACTAAATACTGAGTTGTATTTCAGTTACTTGTGTGTATTTTCTTCTTACAACTCCTGCTTCTCAGAATACATAAAATTTTATCCAATGCAAATGTATCATGAAAATTTTAACAGTCCTGTAGCTTATATTCAAAATAATGCAGTTATATAATCAAATATACAGACAAACCTGAATTTATTATGAAAACACATTTACTTTTTCTCAGAAAATGAGAGCAAGGCATATAATCAACTATACGTTTAAAAAATCATACCTTTTTATTTACAGCAAAGCCAATTGAAACAGCTACAAAAGGAAATCTTTTTTTAAAAAAAAGGACAAAATACAAATTAACCAACATAGAACTTTTGTTAATAAAATTAATCTTTTCATAATATAAGTGTTCTTAAAATTTTTCCTATAAAAAGTCTCATCTCCACTCCCCACAAAATCTAAGATGCAAAACAGTTTGTATGGTATACAACCCTTTGTAAATAGGATAAAGTGGAGGTATTATACACACACACCCTCCCCCCAACACACAGGCACACGTTCACACAGGATGCTTCTATAGGCATGAAACATCTCTGAAAGGATTCACGAGAAACTTGTAACAGTGGTCATCTCCAGAGATGGATCCTGGGAAACCAGAAATGGAAGTGTGAAGGGCATTTTGCACTGCGTTTTCTATCTTTTGAAGGTCAAATTCTATGAATATAGTAGCTATGTAAAAATATTTTTTCATGGCCACGCACAGCGGCTCACTCCTCCCAGCACTAATTTAGCAGGCCAAAGCAGGAAGATCACTTGGGCCCAGGAGTTCGAGACCAGCCTGGCTGGGCAACATGGCAAGATCCTGTTTCTACAAAAAAAAAGTCACGAAATTATCTGAGTGTGGCGGTGCACGCCTATAGTCCAAGCTTCCCCGGTAGGCTGAGGCAGAAGGATCCCTTGAGCCCAGAAGGTCAAGGCTGCAGTGAGCCATAGTCATGCCACTGCATGCCAGCCTGGGTGACAGAGATGCTGTCCCCCTTTAAAAAAAAAGCCAAAATGTAAAAACTTTTAAATCAATTTGGTTAAAAAAGAAAACTGTAAAAACTTTTAAATCGATTTGGTTAAAAAGCATATATTTTAGTGATTTTTTTTTTTTTTGGAGACGAAGTTAAGCTCTTGTTGCCCAGGCTGGAGTGCAATGGCACGATCTCAGCCCACTGCAACCTCCACTTCCCGGGTTCAAGTGATTCTCCTGCCTCAGCCTCCCAAGTAGCTGGGATTACAAGCATGTGCCACCATACCCGGCTAATTTTGTATTTTACGTAGAGACGGGGTTTCTCCATGTTGGTCAGGCTAGTCTCGAACTCCCGACCTCAGGTTATCCACCCACCTTGGCCTCCCAAAGTGCTGGGATTACAGGCATGAGCCACCGCGCCTGGCCTGTGATGTTTTTTTCCTATGTCCTACACCGTGATAAACACAAATACTGCACTGGACAAAATAAATGGCTGTTACTTGTCTCTACTCCAACAGCAAACTTTAGGCTTGGCCTCTGAAAAGTAGACTTTGAGCCAAAATTTTTCCATAGCTGCATGACAGTCTGAACACAGGTTGTAACTGCTGACTCACAAGAGAATTAAGATCAAGGAAATAGACAAGATCAACATTCAACTATTGAAGCTAAAGCTGTTGAAAATAAAAACTTTTAAATATGTAAGAAAGTTTTTATTTTAACAAAAATAAGATACTATACACACTGTATTGTACTGTCTTCTCTTCTGTGAAAATATATTAGCATCTTTCCACATTTAAAAGATATAACATTCTATCACATATAGATTCTAAACCTTAGCTTTGTAGATTTCAAGGATTGTATATATAGTACAGATGTGTACAACTACATGGGAACTTCAAATATGACATCTATATGTAATCCCACCAGAAGCGGCTACTGATTTTAACTCTCATGGGCAATTCCACCAGGCTTTCTTCTAGTAATATCATATACCTACTCTGTGTCGGCACTATACTAAGTTCTTACATTAATGTACTACTCATAGAGTTGAGTTACAATTCTACGAGGCAAGTGCTATTAATACGGCCTTTTTATAAATGTTTTTTAACATTGTGGCCTAGAAAAGTTAACTAACTTGCCTAAGGTGAAAAAGCCGTAAAAAAATACCAGAATGCACGTCTATTCATCCTAACACCCATGCAATTTTTTTTTTTTTGCCGGCCCCAGCCCCAGCCCCATCCCCATCCCCGTCACCCTAAGGGCTGAGGAGAGGGGCCTCCTCTGCACTTTTTAACCGTGTTTTTTCTCCTGGACTGAACTCATTCTATATCGACAGCACTCCCCAAGAGTGACTTCATTAGTTTTACTAAAATACAATCTTTTTAACATAGTCAGTTTATAATTTTTTAAATTTATTTTTATTCTTTGAAAACATATCTTTGGCCAGGTGCAGTGGTTCACGCCTGTAATCCCAGCACTTTGGGAGGCTGAGGCAGGAGGATCACCTGAGGTCAGGAGTTCAAGACCAGCCTGGCCAACATGGTGAAACCCCGCCTCTACTAAAAATACAAAAATTAGTCGGGTGTGGTGGCAGGTGCCTGTAATCCCACCTACTTGGCAGGCTGAGGCAGAAGAATCGCTTGAACCCGGGAGGTGGGGGTTGCAGTGAGCCAAGACTGCGCCATTGCATCTCAGCCTGGCCAACAAGAGGGAAACTCCATCTTAAAAAAAAAAAACCATATTTTTACATAGTTACTACTAATAGATGCATATTAGTAGATCCATATAGATCTATGGTACATGCCACTCAAAGAATAGAAAATGGCATGCAGTGCAAAGTGCCCTTCCCACTCTCAAAGCAGCAATGTTGTTTGCTTCCCTTTTTAGATAGTGCCAACAGTGGGAAAAAGAATGGTGAACGGGGCACTTGGCACCACAGGACAAGATCACATTAGTATTTCTTTACCTCCTCCATATCTGATAAGTCTGCATAATACATTTTGCTCCACTTTTACATTTTATATATACTTTATTAGAATAAAGAAGCATAAACGAAGTATACAATTTTCTAAAGTGTACATGTTCCTAAATAGAGTATCTATAGGTCAATCCAGTTAATATGCAAAGAGTAATTATATTAGACATTTTAAAACATACCTATGTACAAAGTTAGTTGTTCCATCAATAGGGTCAATGATCCATGTGGGGTTGTCGGTTAAGATACTTTTTTCCCCAGCTGCCACAGATTCTTCACCAATGAAACTAAAAGCCAAGTAGGACAAACTCTTAATCTTTACACTGATTTCAACAATTTCCAAATCATAACATTTCCTTAGCTACACAGAGTACTATAAAACATAGCAGGCGAGGTGTGGAGGTTCACGCCTGTAATCCCAGCACTTTGGGAGGCCAGGGAGGGCGGATCACCTGAGTCAGGAGTTCAAGACCAGCCTGGCCAATGTGGTGAAACCCCATCTCTATTAAAAATACAAAAATTAGCCGGGCATGGTGGCAGGCGCCTGTAATCCCAGCAACTTGGAAGGCTGAGGCAGGAGAATGGCTTTAGCCTGGTAGGCGGAGGTTGCAGTGAGCCGAGATCGTGCCACTGCACTCCAGCCTGGGTAACTGAGAGAGACTCTGTCTCAGGAAAAAAAAAAAAAAAATAGCAAAAGTCTGTACCCTACACTTTTCTATTGTTGCTTCTTCTTCCTTCAGGTAAAGACTGATAAATGTAAGGAAGCTTTAATTTATTTCCCCATGAATAAAGCGATGTGAAAAATTTCAAAATTCAAATTATAAGATGTTATACTAGGGTAAGGTGTGTGCACACACACATTTGCGGCAGATAAGAAATCATTAAGGAAATGTAATGATTTTAAAAATAGGGGCCAGGTGTGGTGGCTCAGGTCTGTAATCCTAACACTTTGGGAGGCTGAGGCGGGCGGACCATGAGGTCAGGAGTTCAACACCAGCCTGACCAACATGGTGAAACCCCGTCTCTATTAAAAATACAAAAATAAGCCAGGCGTGGTGGCATGCACCTGTAATCCCAGCTACTCAGGAGGCTGAGGCAGGAGAATCACTTGAACCTGGGAGGTGGAGGTTGCAGTGAGGTGAGATCATGCCACTGCACTCCAGCCTGCCTGACAGAGCGTGTCTCCGTCTAAAAAAAAAAAAAAAAAGGTCACTCTCTAATACTCTCCGTCCTTCAAGAGGTGGAGCCTAATATTCCTTCCTTGAGCGTGAGCTATGCAGATACTTGTTTCTAACCAATAAAGCGTAAGTGACAGTATACAAAACTTTGGAGACTAGTTCACAAAATGCCCCTCTAATTTGCATCTGGTTCACTCTGTTTCTCCCTTCCTGTGCCACCTGCTCTGGACTAGGAGATGTCAGCTTCCATGTCGTGAGCTACTCTGTGAAGAGGCTACATGGTAAGGAACTGAGAGAAGCTACCAGCAGACAACTCCCCCAGGAACTGACATCTGCCAACAATCACGTGAGTGAATGGATCCTTCAGTTCCAGTCCAACCTTCAGTTGACTGCAGCCTTGACCAACACTTTGACTGTAACTTCATGGAAGACCTTGGCAAGAACCGTGTAGTCAAGCTACTCTCATATGCAGAACCCCAAGAAATGGTGAGATAATAAACATTTCTTGTACACAGTAAATAAAAATACCTGTGAGATGGATACTTTTCCTTTATGGAAGAGATAAGCATTTTTTCAACTTTTTGGTCCGTAGCAGTTACCAAATCAACTGGAGAACTTTTCAGCATAACATTCATTTCATTTTTTATAGCTTCACAAACTACCTAAAAAGAGGTTTTGGTAAGCAAATAGAAAAGGCATAATTTTAAACAAAAAGATAAAATACATAAATGGTTTAAGACATTCAATCTGTCTTAAATAATATTCTTTAAAGACATTCTTAAAAATGTCTTACAAATATATCTATAAAATAAGCCTTTAATAGTTACGTCTTTCTAAAAACAAAAATTATATAATCTTACATCTTATTTTAGATTCACAACTGTCATCACAGAAAATTTTATCATATAAAATTAGGGTATACACGCAAGAGTATTTAGTAAAATGAAAATAAATGTAGATTGATCAAAGTGTATATTTTATTTAACAAGGCAGGCTGGGTATGGTGGTTCACGCACGTAATCCCAGCACTTTGGGAGGCCAAGGTGGTCCAGGAATTCAAGACCAGCCTGGACAACACAGCGAGACCCTCATCTCCACACAAAAATTTAAAAAATGAAAAGTAGCTGGACATGGTGGCTCATGCCTGCTGTAGTCCCAGCTACTCAGGAGGCTGAAGTGGGAGGATTACTTGAGCCCAGCCTGGGAAGTTGAGGCTGGAGTGAGCCATGTTCCTGCCACTACATTCCAGCTTGGGTGACAAGCAAGACCGTTTCAAAAAAAGAAACCAAATCGAAACAAACAAAACAAGGCAACAACACAGTATACCCACCAATCACATTATAATTGATTATAATTGACAAAATCTTAGCTCATACCTCTCCAGCTTGTCTTGCTAGAGTTACTGCATAATCCATGCATTCCTGCCAAGGATCAGCCATCTTCTGAAAATATTTGACAAATATCTGTACAAAGTAGTTATAACTGTCTTAGAAGTCTTAATTATAGAATAGTTAGTTCACAAAAACGTCTTAATTAGAAACAGACTGTCATTTCAGGATTCACCCCCTGCCCTAGAGTTTTTCCCAAGATTTATGCCTATACCCAGTAAAAAACATTTCTCACCTAAATTACCTAATTTCTATATCAAATTATTTTCATAAAGACTATTCTATGAAATTGCTTCCCAGTGTGTCTGTACCATATTACATTTTTTTAAAAAACCAAAACATTCGTTTGGAGAATAGATAAGAAACAACACAAGAAATACTTTAAAAGTTAGGATAATATTTTGGAGGAGAATACAGTGAAAACGAGAAAGAACACTGGGAATACTGAAATAAAAGAAGCTTGAAGGGAAGCAGCAAAAGGTACTTGAAAAAATTATGTGTAAAGATGAAGAACTTAAGGTTCAGAGATGAGAAATAATTTGCCCAAAATTACAGACAAATGACACAGAACTTGAATTCAATTCTGATTTTAAAGTCCATTTTTCTTTCTATTATAACATTCTGAGAAAAGAAAATTCCAGGACCAAAAAAAATAAGAAAAAAGCAAATTTATTTCCCTGAGTTTCACAGAGGGAAAAAAAAACCCAACATATATTTGTGTTCTAAACTGTCCAGTTTTCCACTGACTTCTGAAGACTAAAATAACTCACCACTGGCTTGATCACACTCTGAAGTCTGTACCTAGCACAGTAAAGCTTTTTAAGCTGTCAGACTAAAAACTGTGGCACCATTTATAAAACAACCCTAATTTTGTCTCCTTTCCAATAGAAAATAATAGACACAGAGTTACATCTTGAAGACTATTCAGAAACTCCTATCTTGGGGCCCACATTATAGGAAAGAGGACAGGAGTGGAAAGGAGGGCAAAAGACCCACACGCTAAATTTCTTCCTGATGCTTTTTCTTCCTGATTAAAGCATTTTTTAAAATTTTGTTTTAAAGGAAGCCACTCTATGAGTCATATAAGCAACTCCTTCAAGCTCTTCAAGAATTGTTTCCAAACTTTTTTTTTTCACTCTTACTCCCATTCTGCTCCACTAGTCTTAACAGAACTAGATGTTCTCAAGCTGTACCTGCTTTCCTGCCAGAAACAGCTCAAGCCACTCACACCCCCGCCTTCTAACAGCACTAATGTAACTCTACAAATTCTTCAGGACCCATTTCAAAAGCTACTTCTAGGGATTCTCCACCCAGAAGTCACTATGTCCTTCATCCTTCAATAGATGTTTACTGAATACCTATTGTATGCTATACACTGCACCATGGGGAGGAAAATCAGGTCCTGTTCACACTTTCTAGGAGGGGACTCAATATCAATCAAAAACTAAAGACTACATGCAAAATAACAACTGGAATAATATAAGTTAAGGAGAAGAAGTGCAATGAGAAGCATCTAACAGGGGAGCTTTCACCTGGACTTAGGCATCAGATCAGGTTTCCCTGAAGACAAGATTAAACCAAGATGAGAACAAGTGAACAGGCATGAACTCAATCAACTGCAGGATGCCTGGTACATGAAGACTAACTGAACAGCCTAAGAGTGACAGCTCAGATTAAGGGAAACAGGAGAGATAAAGCTGGGGAGGTAGTGGGGATCATCCTCTACAGGGGGGCCTTAGGGATAAGACATTGATTGAAGGGGCTTCAAGAATCACTTCATTGTGGCTACTCAACAGAAGGGTAGAAAGTGGGTGTTGGTAGAGGGTCAGCAGATTTACATTCAGGATGCAGTAGTGGGAGGATACCTGATGATTGGCTGAAACCTGGGAGGGAAGTTTTGCTGGTAGAGAAGTTAAGAGAGTCAGAGATACCTGTTTTGAGGGAATCTAACAGATTGGCTACAGAGTACCAGGGACAGGAAGAGTTCAGATTTCCTCTGAATCTGGATGTCCAGATTTCCCACTCTGGCAACTGTATGGATAACCGTCACAGTCTACTGAAACAGGGAGCAACAAAAAAAGAGTCAAGTTTGGGATATAGGTAGGAGTTTGAGAGATCAGGAGTTTAATTAGCGGAAGATGAGAGGCCTCTGTAAAATCAAAAGATGTCAGTTAGGCAGCTGAATCATGGATCCTGAGCTCACAGGAGAGGTATGGCCTCCATGTAGAAACATGTAAGTTACTTGAGTAGACAGCAACTGAGGTCCTGAGTCTGGATAATCACTGGATAGGCATGATTGACAACTGTGTAGAAATGTGATCCCACAAAATCAGTATGATCCAAATGGAACAGACTGACTGTGGAAACCCAGCAAGGACTGTCCATTCGGATTCATCTTGGCCTCTCTGTCCAGCATTCCTTTCTCCTGTATATGGGGCAAGACCCCTTGTGAAATGGAGGTCTTACGATCTACAGTCAGACAAGGTAGGTCAGAGAATTTCTTCATGGCTAGTTCTAAGACAGAAAGGTGGGCCAAGATTCCTGTCAAGGGCTATGGGAGTTATGAGCCAGGAATGGTGGATGCAAACTATATATATATATATATACACACACACACACATACACACATACACACACACACACACATACACACACATACACATATATAATACAGTAAATATACTTTATATACTATATATTTAGATACTATATATAGTATATATACCATACATAAGTATATTTAGATACTATATATAGTATACCATACATAAGTATATTTAGATACTATATATAGTATATATACCATACATAAGTATATTTAGATACTATATATAGTATATATACCATACATAAGTATATTTAGATACTATATATAGTATATATACCATACATATTTAGATACTATATATAGTATACTATACATAAGTATATTTAGATACTATATATAGTATACTACACACAGTATCTTTAGATACTACAGTATACTACACATAAGTATCTTTAGATACTATGTGTAGTATATATACTACACATAAGTATCTTTAGATACTAATGTGTAGTATATATACTACACATAAGTATCTTTAGATATATATATCTAGTATATATATACTACACATAAGTATATATACTACACATAAGTATATATACTACACATAAGTATATTTAGATACTATGTGGAGTATAAATACTACACATAAGTATATTTAGATACTATGTGGAGTATATATACTACACATAAGTATATTTAGATACTATGTGGAGTATATATACTACACATAAGTATATTTAGATACTATGTGGAGTATATATACTATACATAGTATCTATGTGTAGTATATATACTATACATAAGTATATTTAGATACTATGTATAGTATATATACTATACATAAGTATATTTAGATACTATGTATAGTATATATACTATACATAAGTATATTTAGATACTATGTATAGTATATATACTATACATAAGTATATTTAGATACTATATATACTATACGTAAGTATATTTAGATACTATATATAGTATATATACTATACATAAGTATATTTAGATATATATACTATAAATAAGTATATTTAGATACTATATATAGTATACATTAAGTATATTTAGATACTATATATAGTATATATACTATACATAAGTATATTTAGATACTATATATACTATACATAAGTATATTTAGATACTATATATACTATACATAAGTATATTTAGATACTATATATACTATACATAAGTATAGATACTATATATAGTATATATAGTATATATACTATACATAGTATATTTATGTACTATACATATAGTATATTTATATACTATATGTAAGTATATATGTAAGTATATTTATGTACTATATATAAGTATATATACCTAAGTATATTTAGGTACTATATATAAGTATGTATACCTAAGTATATTTCTGTACTATATATAAGTATATATACCTAAGTATATTTCTGTACTATATATAAGTATATATACGTAAGTATATTTCTGTACTATATATAAGTATATATACGTAAGTATATTTATGTACTATATATAAGTATACAGAAGTATATTTATGTACTATATATAAGTATATATACTATACATAAGTATATTTATGTACTATATATAAAGTATATAAGTACATTTTATATATATTTTTATATATAGTTATATATAATATATGAATAGTTATATATATATAAATCACAGTACATTTATTGATGGGCAGGGTCCGTAGTTTACTCACTTTCATTTTCCCAAAGCCATAAACACCTGAACTGTTTCCTGCTGTTTCTGTCCTGGTCACAGCCTTCCAGCGTAGGAGCCAGGCCACCTTCCTTTTTGCCACCTGTCCCAGCACCGCGACTGCGGGCAGCACAGGACCTGGGCGCTGCCCCATCACTTAGAGTGACTACCTGGGCCTGGGGATGCACCAAGTTTCTAGGAGCTTTTCGGAGTTGGGGACATAAAAAGGGGCAATTATTCCACAGAAGCCGCCACAGAGGTTAAGTGAGGTCGCGTGAGCGAACCGCTACTCCAATGCCGGAACTGTTCCCGGTCGCCCAGGGCAGCTCCGGATAACGCAGCAGGCAGGGGTCACCCAGAGGCTGCCTCCACCCTAGGCGCCGACCGCGCACGGCGCTCGCGCCCGCTCCTGAGGAGGGAAGGGGCCTCCCTGGAAACCCACAGCGCCCGCTGAACCCGGAGGGTGCGGTGAGGAAAATAACGGTCTCACCTTGAGTCGGAGGACGTCCGGCTAGCTCTGTGAACGGTGTTACCGCACTCGTCTCTTCCGGAGGTAGAGGGGCTACTCGCAACAGGAAGTTCCGCCCTTAAAAACTCCATTCCTGAGGGGGCGTGGTTGCTTTGCTGGGCCCCGCCCCGAGCTGCGCCCTGCGAGCCTCTGCCAGGCCGGGCCGGGTCCTGACCCGCGCTGGAGCATGGGATACTGCCTCTTCATTCTAGCTTCTGGTTCTTTTCTCCTGCTTGTCTTTTCATCTCTCAGTTTTTAAACATTACTTCTCTCTTTACTTTGCCTTTTTCTTCTTTCGTCCTCCATTCATTCACGGTTTCCCATTTAGCTTGCTTTCTTCTTTCTCCCATTTATTCTATAGTACTATTTTGACAAAACCCAGATTGCAGATATGATTCCGATTATGCAGCTTTTAGGTGCTAACCTAAAGCTGGTAAACCTATACTAGATTAAAAAAAAATAAACTGATAACCAGAACCAACTGCCCAATTCTTGATAATTTACTTACATACTATTTATTGAGGACTTACTATGCTTCAAGCAATTGTGTGGGGTTTTATTGTTTTGTTTTTTTGAGACGGAATTTCACTTTTGTCGCCCGGGCTGAAGTGCAATGGCGCGATCTCGGCTCACTGCAACGTCCGCCTCTTGGATTCAAGCGATTCTCATGCCTCAGCCTCCTGAGTAGCTGGGATTACAGACGCCTGCCACAACGCCCGGCTAATTTTTGTATCTTGTAGAGACGGGGTTTCACCATGTTGCTCAGGCTGGTCTCAAACTCCTGGACTCAAGTGATCCGCCTACCTCGGCCTCCCAAAGATTACAGGCATGAGCCACCACGCCTGGCCGAAATGTGTTTTTATATGCATTATTTTCCTTAAAGTTTTAACAGTTTCTTGAAAAAGGTATGATTAGCTTTGTCAGACAGATGAGGAAACTGAGGCTCAGAGTAGTTAAGTGATTTGTCCTCAGGTCACACAGCAAGAGCAGAGAGTGAAACACACTGAGTTCAAAGTTTTGGGGTTCAGAAAATGATACCCCACAATGAAGGCCTCAGAAGCAGCCTTAGAAGGAAAAATTTTCCTCTGACTCCTTTTGGTCTCCTGTCTCTGGTCCCACATTCTTCCCCAGACTAGTCATAGAAGCTAGAATTCCTCTTTCCCAAATCAGGTCCCAGAAATCAGGACCCCTTTTTTATAAAGCCAGCCATAAAACATAAAAATACTACTCTAGGCCAGGCAAGGTGGCTCACGCCTGTAATCCCACCACTTTGGGAGGCCAAGGCAGGCGGATCACGAGGTCAGGAGATCGAGACCGTCCTGGCTAACACGGTGAAGCCCCGTTTCTATTAAAAACACAAAAAAATTAGCCGGGTGTGGTGGCTGGCACCTGCAGTCCCAGCTACTCGGGAGGCTGAGGCAGGAGAATGGCATGAACCTGGGAGGTGGAGCTTCCAGTGAGTGGAGATCGCGCCACTGCACTCCAGCCTGGGCGACAGAGGGAGCCTCCGTCTCAAAAAAAAAATATATATATATAGAGAGAGAGATATAGATAGATAGATAGATAGATAGATAGATAGATAGATAGATAGATAGATAGATATTACTCTAGCATTCTCCCTGTGTTTCTATGTAAAATCTGACCACGAAGAAATTATATGACTCACCCTGTCTGAGTTTAGGTCATAAGACCCCCATTCCAAAGAGGGTCCTATGGAGAGAGGCCAAGAAGAATCTAAGCAGACAGGTCTTACTGGATTTCCCCAGTCTAATAGCATTAGGTTATACCCTCTTTGTCCAACCATATTCTACACAGCTGTCCATATGCTGTTGAAACTAAGCATAAAATGGACTGTCCCCTTATACCTTTGGGTCTTCATTCTGAAGGCTCCCAAGTCACATAAAACTATGATCAAATAAAATCCTTTTCTTCTATTTATCTGCCTTTTGTCAGTTGATTTTCACCAAACCTTCAGAGGACAAAAGGGAAGTTTTTTCTTTGGCCCTACAAAAGTTTACACACTGAGAATATATGGCACAATGAGATCACATTATATGAGGTACAAGGACTAGTTATGGTCTTAAAATGTTTCTTCTTCTTGAAAGAGTTGGCCAGGTGCAGTGGCTCATGCCTGTAATCCCATCACTTTGGGAGGCCAAGGCAGGCAGATCACCTGAGGTCAGAAGTTCAAGACCAGCCTGGTCAACATGGTGAAACTCTGTCTCTACTAAAAATACAAAAATTAGCCAGGCATGGTGGTGGGTGCCTGTAATCCCAGCTACGAGGGAGGCTGAGGCAGGAGAATCGTTTGAACCCCGGAGGTGGAGGTTGAAGTGAGCCGAGATAGCGCCATTGCACTCCAGCCTGGGTAACAAAAGTGAAACTCCATCTCAAAAAAGAAAGAAAGAAAGAAAGAAAGAAAGAGCGACATCGTGGTACATACACCATCATAGTGCAAAAAGCATTGCACAGATATAAGATGTCCTAGCTACAACTGGACCAGGAAAGTAAGTTAGTTATTTGGCTCTTTGCTTAGGAAGTTACTGTTTCTGTTTGTTTAATCAAAAGACAAAATGTCACCAATATATTTCAAATGAAATGTCTTAGAGATGAGTAATTTGGACTGGACTCAATTCTCACACCTCACAAGGACCAATAAACATCTTTAATCCAAAAAGAGTGATGCCTTAGGTATCCGGTTTGGATGTCTATCAAATGATACTTTATTTTCTTAGAAAAAAAAAAAAGGCTTCTGAGGCTAGTTTTTCGGTTCTTCATTGCCAATCTTCTTAAAATAAAAATATTGCCAACCGCATGCTGACAAGTGCTCATTCGTAACCAACTAATATTTCCAAAGTTTTAACAGAAAAGTCATCGGTCATCTAAGTTTATGTAAATGAATGTGGTTTCAGTGACTTGAAAAAACTGCTAAAATCAGCATAAACAATTTGAAGTAAAATAAACTAAATATCAAATATCCCTTCAAATGAAAACCTTACAAGCTTCCTATGTCAGGTGAGCAGGAAGTCCAGTTTTTCCAAGAGGCCTCACCTCAACAGCTACTTCACATTGGTTCTCAGGTAACTCACTCAGTATTTTTCAGTCCAAAGAGGCCGTTCTGCTTCCAAATGCCTTACCGAAAGTGAAGTGAAAATCTGCCGGTGCACAGGGAAGTCTTAGTGTTCAGGCTCGATTATAGTGGGGCTGGAAACTGGTCTCACAAATCCAAAGGATCTTTTCTCTGATGCTGTGAAGGTAGTTCACATGGCTGCAGAGACCTCAGTACAGGATGCATGGCCCTTGAGTTCCCAAAGGGGCATTTTTTAAAACTACAGTCCCATCTGCAGCCATTGTTCCCAAACCTAAGAATATCTGCTGTGCCCAGGTGGTTGTCGGGGGCAGGGGACAGCAGCACAAACTCTGCTTCCTGGCATGATGTCCAGCTCCTCACTCTTCCAACCTTCCCTAAGGGGAGTTCCCTCTTGGAGGCCTTTGGTATCCTTTCCTGTCAGCTGACTCCCATCTATGAGAGAGGTTGTAATTACGCTGAACCTCAGAATGAAAGAGAGGTGAGATCCAATGCCCCTGACACCTCCCCAGACAGCTGAGTGTACACAAGAGAGTTCTAGGGAAGGGTGGCCCTGTGAAGCCACAAAGTGGTCTGGTCATCCTTCCCAGTGGGCAATAGGTGCTTCCTTGTTCTGTATTTGTACAATAAAGAGGGGCCATAGGAATTCCTTCCCCAGAAATTGTGGGCATCTTGCCAACTACACTTAGTCTTTGGAGATGACTTCTTTTTAAATAACCACTCTCTTCACTAAAAAATAATTCAGGTTCCACATGCGAAGACGTTCTTGGTTATAATAATTATTTAAGTGGACTTTGATTTAAATGATCAAATATAAATACACCATGGCAGCTGTTCAGGGGTGGAGTGTCCAAGGATATCTAATAAGATCTCATGTTTGATATAACAGATTGGAGTTGCATATATTGGTTAAGACTTTGACATACCCTTATAAGGCCAACAGCTTTCCAAGATATAAAAATATATATCATAAAATTGTTATTCTTGGAAGAGTGTATCATAGAATCATCTCTTAAGAGCTGGAAAGAAACTTTTTTAAAAATTGGCATAACCATTCTATCTCTGGATCGTTATTCTATCTTATAGAATCGTGGCTGTGGAAAATAGTTGGTATGAACTCAACTGATTAGTCAGTCTGCTTTATGCCTCTCATTCTTATTTTTTTAAAAAGGAATAACTTGGGTCACCCCATCCCTATCCATATTTTTGGACAAGTTTTACTATGTAAAATCTGTCCTCCTTGATACATCTATTAAAGAAATAAAATATACTCCAAATTCCATCCATGCCCTTGCAACTGCTTTATAAGATCATTTAAATATGCATAATGTAACAAAAATAATAATAGGGCTTACCATGTGTCAGGCATTCTTATGAGGACCTTGCTCATATTAATTCACTTAATCCTCACAATAATACCACGAGGTAGGTACTACCATTATCGCCATTTTCAGCATGAATTTGGGCATAGAGAAATCAAGTAACTTGACCAAAATGTTCCCCAGCTGGTAAGATGATGGAGCTAGAAGTGCAGCCCAAGAGGTCAGGAGTTCAAGACCAGCCTGGCCAACATGGCGAAACCAGATACAAAAATACAAAAATCTCTACCCAAAATACAAAAATTAGCTGGGCATTGTGGCAGTCACCTGTAATCCCAGCTACTCAGGAGGCTGAGGCAGGAGAATTGCTTGAACCTGGAAGGCAGAAGTTGCAGTGAGTGGAGATCATGCCACTGTACTCCAGCCTGGGTAACAGAGTGAGCCTCCGTCCCCCCGCCCAAAAAAAAAAAAGAAAAAAAAAAAAAACAAGTCAGCCAGGCACGGTGGCTCAGGCCTGTAATCCCAGCACTTTGGGAGGCCGAGGTGGGCGGATCACCTGAGGTTGGGCGTTTGAGACCAGCCTGACCAACATGGAGAAACCCCATCTCTACTAAAAATACAAAATTAGCCGGGTATGGTGGCGCATGCCTGTTGTCCCAGCTACTCAGGAGACTGAGGCAGGAATCGCTTGAACCTGGGAGGTGGAGGTTGTGGTGAGCCAAGATCGCACCATTGCACTCCAGCCTGGGCAACAAGAGCAAAACTCTGTCTCAGAAAAACAAAACAAAACAAACAAACAAACAAAAAACCCAAAACATTATGTAAGTTAAATTTGTACAAATGTAATTCTATTTTAAACCTATAGTGGATATTTCAGTTTAAAGGAGTAAAATATTCTACATACACAATTATCACTTTATAAACCAAATAAACATCTATCATGTCTATTTGGTTTATATCAGATTTTATACAAATTTTGGTAGTCATATACTGGATTTGGTGGCATTTAAAGAAAAAAGAACCTTGGTTATCTTATCAACTGGCAAAGTAAACAAAAATTCTCTAATTCTATGATCAAGATGGTGAATAGTACTGATAGAAAATGTTGAAAGTTTTAGGCTCCATACATAGTTATACGATTGCTATTTCAAACTAGCAGCAGATCTACCAGGGTTGAAAGTTAAAACTGATAAAACAATAGCACTTACTATGTCCCAGGCACTCTTCCAAGCACATTACATGTATACTCTCACTTAATTCCTAGGACAATCTATGGAGTTGACACCATTAGCTTCATTTGTTAAATGAGAAAACTGGACTATAAGAAGATCAAAGAATTTGCCATAAGGCTAGGAAATAGGGAAAGCAGGATTATTTAGAGTGATATTTCCTATTCTCGATCCCACACTTTCTTGCACAAGATCGTAGACTTGCCCTAGATAATAAAAATTTTCACTGAAGATTAAAAGGAGGTTTTTGAAAAGCACACTATTTATTTGGACACTAGTCTGTGCTTCAACACATTATTTGAATAAGCACACAGAAGATACTGTGTTAGATGTGATAGGGAATATCAAAATGAATAAACATAGTTATTATGCTCAAAGACTTAGAGCAAAATAGGAAAATTAAAACAGGACACAAATAGTCATAAAACAAGCCAGGTTAGCTGGAATGAACAATACTCATAACATACTAAGTCATTCTGTTTGGGTAAAAGACTATGTGTAACGAGGTGAGAGAGGAGATATAATGAAACTGGGAAACTGGCTGGGCGTGGTGGCTCAAGCCTGTAATCCTAGCACTCTGGGAGGCTGAGGCACATGAATCACAAGGTCAGGAGTTCAAGACCAACCTGGCCAAGATGGTGAAACCCCGTTTCTACTAAAAACACAAAAATTAGCTGGGAGTGGTGGCAGGCGCCTGTAATCCCAGCTACTGGTGAGGCTGAGGCAGGAGAATCACTTGAACCTGGGAGGCGGAGGTTGCAGTGAGCCGAGATCACACCACTGCACTCCAGACTGTGTGACAAAGTGAGACTCCTTCTCAAAAAAAAAAAAAAAATAATAATAATAAATAAAACTGGGAAGCTAGGTTAAGGTCAGACAGTAGAGTATAATAAATGCCTCATTAAGAAATACAAATTCATTTAAAAAGCAAAAAGTCTTCATTGCTGGGAAATTATATGGTCAATGTTAGATTTTAGGAAAATTAATCTGACAGTGAGTAGAGGGTGGAGAGACAGGCCAGAAGCCAATTTAGAAAGGTTTAGGGAAGAAGCAATATAGTGCAGAAAAAAGTGATAGCACTGAGAATTGAGAAGAGCACTGGCAATTGAATTACAGGCTGTTTCTGTAGGAAATACATTCACTATAAAGAAAGAAAGAAAGAAGACAGAAGAGAGATGAGGTTGAAGAGCTGACCCTGTGTTGTGGGGTAAACAGTAATGCCTTTGGTGGGTTAACATGGAAGACAGGAGAAAGCTTAGCTCTGAGGGCAGAGATGCCACATTTACTTTAAAACATACTTATTTTGATGTGCTAATGAAATTTACAAATTCATTCACCGAGTGAGAATTTGTCAAATGTCTGCTATCTGGGTGTTCCTTCTTTTAATACTTAGGATATATCATAATCACTAAATAAGTTTTCTATTGCTCTGTCTCATTTAGGAGACCACTGAAAGTATCATATTGACATCATAGCCTATAAAACATTCTCAAACCAACACAGTTGCAAAGTTGTCTCCTTCCTCTGAACTTCTGTATTATCATCTCCACCACTCATTGAGTACTTAGCATATACGAATGTGTGTGTGTGTGTGTGTGTGTGTGTGTATATATATATATGTATTCTCTACCCCCCAATGTCAGATTTTTAATTACATTATAAGTGGCTTAAGAGCAGGTATCATTATAGTTATTCTTTTACTCTCCCACAGTGCCCTACCCAGAGTAGGAATTCAGTAATGCTTTAATTGTTAGATTAGGAAATTTCTTTTCCTTTTATCTTGTAAGAAAAAGATACATCTTTTCTTAGCCTTGTAAACTAGAATGATCAGTAACATTTCACATCCAGAACACATGGCTACTGTAAAAGGAGCCACAGAAGCTAAATTGGCCTTGGACTGTGGAAAAGACAGCTGAATAACGGCAAGAGCTAAGAAACTATTTAACATCCCACTTTCAATAGCAACAGTTTTACAAACAGGAAGAGGCAGCGTACAAACTTTAGCAAAGGAGTACCCAAACAGCAAACCCAAAGCAGGAACTAAGAGACCCAACAGAATCACCTCTAGATTATCTGTTTTTAAGAACACTAATCCCACTGTGAAAGTCAAATAAATTCCTACGAACATTAAAATAAAACTCAGAGGTCTAATTATTCTCTCTAAGAAGCTTGCTTTTTCAGGTATTCTATGCTTGATGACTATTCCAATTGATACTGGCACAAGTATGAAAAGGAGTGTTGACACAATTTTAGAAACAGGAATATGGAATGTACCTGACAACCCTAATATCCTACTGTATATATAAGAATTGACAGGCATCATGATCAGAGCCAATAATGTTGATGTGCAAGTCATCAAAATGGCCAATGTGAAATCTCCATCTAGAAGCAGAGCAAAGAGATAGCCCCCACCCCCTCCTGGGCACGTGCAGGTCATTACAACTCCAAAAGCTTGCGCCTCAGGCAATGCCACAATCTGAGACAAAAGAAACCCGCAAAATGGCATCAGAAAAAACTGTGTAACTGCCCCAAGAATTACTGGCAAAGGTCTCTTCCATACTGTTTGAAACAGCTGTAATTCAATCTTACAACCAAATGCACACTTATTCAATAGTATTAGTGGTAAAATAAGCATTAGGATATTTCTATCAATATGCATTGGTGCCTGGAGTAGACTGTCTTTTTGTTTGAGCACTTTGACTTTCACATTCTTGATTTCTTCAATGAGTCTTTCTTGCCTACCTTCAGAATCCCAGAGTTGAATAGTCACATTTGTTTCTCCTTCTTCATCAGTCACCAGATTTATGGTAAAGTTTGTAGCATCTGATGAGATCTTCTTGGCCACATTCACCATTTGTAGTATTTTAGGATCTTCTATTTTCACAAAGAGGTGGCTGGAATTAGGCCGTTTATTTTCGTAGCTTGAACTTACAAGGATGGTTTCTTCAGTCTTTGTGAAAAATAGTATTTCAGTCTTCTCTATATTCAGAAAACTGAGCGATGACATCCTTGCTTCTTCTATAGTCACAAGCAACAAAAGTAGAACAATAAAAAGTTTTCTAATCATTTTGAAAGCTGAAATAAATCATATATGCAAAATCGTTTTTAAAAAATGAAAGAACATTCTTCATGCAGGTGTTCCAGTGACAGTCTGAGGGTGAGTTAGATAACAGTTGTTTTTGTAGGATCAAAGTCCAGTAGGAGGGACTGCTGTACTTTTAAACAAATATATAGCCATCTAAGCAGCAACACAACCGGTTTAACTTGTGATTAAGACAATTAAAAAGTCATGGCATTTAACAGATTCGATTTATCACAACAGAAATCTAATCTCTTCCTCTTGATTTCCTCATTTCTGCTTATGCGAAAAAAAAAAGCCTCCTATTTACTTGAATTTAAAGCTTAGTGTCATCATTCGTTAGTTATTTCTTGCTAAAAAAAAAAAAATTAAAAGCAGTCAGGATCAAGAAATCTGTAACAGACACTGAGGAAACCTAGAGTTCAGTGTTACCATTTTGTTCAATCAAGTCGAAGTCAAATCAATATTCACTGAATGTCTCTTTGCCTAGGGCATGGAATTGGGAGCTGGCCATCCCATAATGATTAAGCCAGATGCAGTCGCTGCTCTCCTGGAGCTTAGTGGGGTGACCCAATATCACAAGTTAGAAAACTGCAGAGCCCAGACACTGGCCTTGGCAGCATCCCTTGGCTGCTAATAGTTTTCCTGCATCTCTGAAGGATGATTTAATCTGTCAAGCAAAAACTGACACTGTTTTTTGTATACCTAAGTAGGAAAAAAAATTCCTGAATGGTTACCAGATAACTTGGGGACATAGGGAAAGTAGGTAGCTGGTGCCACGGCCAAAGGTACAGGCTGGTTAAGGGACCACAGCTACTGGACACTTGGACCCTGACACGATGGGGCAATGGAAAGACACTGGCATTGATTCTAATCTTTTATTCCTTGTTTGTAACACTACTCTCTGTTCACAGTTAGGGGCAAGGGCATTCAATTGACCCAATTTGGTCATATCCCTTGGTTGCCAGGAATGAGAAAAAGCATCAGGCTTTTTGGATTTCAACCCATAGACTCACACACTTGTATATTTCCCACACAAGGGGTGGGTGTCCTGATGCTAAGCAGCAAACCAACCAGCCGACCAACCAACCAACCAAACGTTTACTATTAAGCCTACAGATGTAGTAGTCTCTGAACACATGACCATTTCAGCAGCTCTTTCATGTAATCATGATGCAATGTGTTCAAGGTAATGCCAATTTGTATTAAGTATTTTAGATCATTTGTTCCTCAAAAATGTGAAACCTTTTTGTCATTTTAACGAGTTTTATAAAAGTATACCATTTATGTCGGTTAATCTTTCAAATGCAGTAGACCTTAGGTCTCATAAATTTTATTAATATGTACCACATTAAGAAAAACAAGATCCGCTGTACCAATGGTGAGGATAGGGAATGGGACTGTTCATTGATATTTCAGTTAAAATTTCCCTATTTTAACTGACAAAAACAAAACAAAAAACAAAAATGTCATAAAACCTAAGTTATCTTTAGTTATGTGACCAAATATCTTGACTCATAACTTTTGTTGCCTAGGTCGAAGATGTGAGTATATCAGTTTTTCTTTCCCCTTAGGACTCTTTCTGCAACCCTTTTAGTTCTTCGGTTTCTCCAGGCCCTTTCATTTGAAAACCGTGAAGAACAAAGCCTGACAAATCTAGGAAAACTTTGATAATCTATCATTCATCTATATAAGTGTTCTTCTAAATTTTCATGGAAAATATGTATTATAAAAAAGTGTGTATGAATTTCAATTTTTTTTTTGCACCAGAATAAACTTTTTGTAACATGTCTGAACAGGATCTAGTGAGGGACACTAACTATGATAAGACATTTAGAAAAGAGCTCTTTTATCAGAGAAACATAAATTCTGCTAAAATTGAAGGAAGAACACACATCAAATTTATGGTGAGGTTTGGGTGGAAGAATGGTGAAATCATTGATGCTTCACATAAAGGTTATGGAGACAATACCCCAAGGAGATCTGCAGTTTACAAATGGATAACTCATTTTAAGAGATGAGACAATGTTGAAGATGAAGCCCGTAGCAGCAGACCATTCACAGCAATTTGTGAAGAAAAAAAGCACAGACAATATCTAATATGGTTTGGCTGTGTGTCCCCACCCAAATCTCATGCAGAAGTGTAATGACAGGAAGTGTTGGAGGAGGGACATGGAGGGAGATGATTGGATCATGTGCATGGCTTCTGATGGTTTAGCACCATCGCCCTAGTGCTGTCCCATGATAGAGTTCTCACAAGATCTGGTTGTTTGAAAGTGTGTAGCACCTCCCTCTTCACTTGCTGTCTCCTGCTGGCCATGTGAAGATGTGCTTTCTTCCCCTTCTCCCATGATTTTAAGTTTCCTGAGCCTCCCAGCCATGCTTCCTGTAGAGCCTGTGGAACTGAGTCAAGCTTCTTTTCTTTATACAGTACGCACTCTCAGGTAATTCTTTTTTGGGAGGACAGAGTTTCACTCTTGTCACCCAGACTGGAATGCAGTGGTGCTCTCTCGGTTCACTGCAAGCTCCGCCTCCCAGGTTCAAGTGATTCTCCTGCCTCAGCCTTGTGAGTAGCAGGGATTACAGGTGTTTGTCATCATGCCCAGCAAATTTTTGTATTTTTAGTAGATATGGGGTTTCACCATGTTGGCCAGGTTTGTCTCGAACTCCTGATCTCAGGTGATCCACCTGTCTTGGCCTCCCAAAGTGCTGGGATTACAGGTGTGAGCCACCACGCCCGACCTCATGTAGTTCTTTATAGCAGTGTGAGAATGGACTAATACAATATCCAACATCATAGATGTCTCAGTTGGTTCAGCTTACACAATGCTGACAGAAAAATTAAACTTGAGCAAACTTTCCACTTGATGGGTACCGAAACTATTGCACCCAGATCAGCTACAGACAAGAGTACTTTTGTTCTCCTGGTGGGTTTTCTACTTAAAATTTCAGTTGTCTTTCAATAAAAATTTTAAACAAGTGGGATCAAGATCCTGAAGGATTTCTTCCAAGAATTGTAACAGGAGATGAAACATGGCTTTACCAGAATAATCCCGAAAACAAAGCACAAACAGAGCAATAGCTACCAAGAGGTGGAAGTGGTCCAGTCAAAATAAAAGTGGACTAGTCAAAAGCAAGGTCATGGCAACTATTTTTTGGGATGCTCAAAGCATTTTTCTTGTTGACTTTCTGGAGAGCCAAAGAACAATAACGTCTGCTTATTATAAAGGTGTTATGAGGCTGGGTACAGTGGCTTATGCCTGTAGTCTCAGCACTTTTGGTGGCCAAGGCAGGAGGATCCATTGAGGCCAGGAGTTCAAGACCAGTCTGGGCAACATAGCAAGACCTATCTCTACAAAAAGAAAAAAAAAATATGAGAATGTTTAGAGACAGCCAAAGTTTTAGCAGAAAAATGCCCAGGTAAGCTTCACCAGAGATTGCTTCTCCACTAAGACAATGCTCCTGCTCATTCCTCTCATAAAACAAGGAAAATTTTGAATTTTGATGGTAAATCATTAGGCATCTACCTTAGGAGGTCTAATTTTGCTTCTTCTGACTTCCTGTTTCCTAATCTTTAAAAAAAAAAAAAAACTTTAAAGGGCACCCATTTTTCTTTAGTTAAGAAACAGACTGCATTAACATGATTAAATATCCAGGACCATCAGTTATTTTGCAATGGACTAAGTGGCTGGCGTCATTGCTTACGAAAGTGTCTTAAACTTGATGGAGCTTATGTTGAAAAATAAAGTTTATGTTTTATATTTTTATCTGTTTTCTTTTTTGAGACAGGGTCTCGCTTTATTGCCCAGGCTGGAGTATAGTGGCAAGATCATGGCTCACTGCAGCCTCGACCTCCTGGGCTCCAGTGATCCTGCTGCCTCGGCCTCCCAAAGTATCAGGATTACAGGTGTGAGCCACCACACCTGTCCTTTTTTTTTTTTTTTTTGAGACGAAGTCTTGCTCTGTCACCCAGGCTGGGGTGCAATGGTATAATCTTGGTTCACTGCAACCTCCCCCTCCTGGGTTCATGTGATTCTCCTGTCTCAGCCTCCCAGGTAGCTGGGATTACAGGCATGCACCACCATGCCTGGCTAGTTTTTTGTATTTTTAGTAGAGATGGGTTTCACCATGTTGGCCAGGCTGGTCTTGAACTCCTGACCTCAAGTGATCCACCCACCTCAGTCTCCCAAAGTGCTGGGATTACAGCCTTGAGCCACTGTGCCCAGCCCTGGCCTATTTTTATCTTTCAGTTTTTCCATGAACTTTTTGAAGTTCCCTAGCATTTGCTGCCTGATTTTTTAAACTAGAACTCATTTTTATTATATTGTTATTTCCATTACTTATGTAAATTTAAAACACTTTTATTCTCTTTGTGGATTTGCTACTTGAAATTTGTCTGCAAGCAGGTGGAAAGATGCTAGAGTGGAGTGGGGAGAGTGAATCTTTAAAATTTTTCTAAGCATCCTCAACTGAAAACCCTAATCGAAAGCCTGAGAAAGTTGTCTGCTTTCTGAGTAATTTAGAAATAGAGGCTAGAAACTGAGTCTTTTCCCTTTCTCCCACATCTTGTTCTCTTTAGGAGACAGTTCCTGCTGCAGCCACCAGTCCCCAGTACTAAGGATGCTAGCTCCTGTCTCCACCAGACTAGTTTGCTCCACTATCTGGGACCACACCTAACTTACCACCAGTAAGCCTGCTAATATTAATAATATAAGTCCTTCCATCCAGACTGCCTTGTCTCTTTTCTATCTAATCATTGATAGGACTTCTTCATTCTCCTTAGGTTTAACTCAATTCCTGTCAGCCTTACTTCCCCACTTCTCAACCTCATTATTTTTCTGGCATAGTTTTAGTCAACTGCATGACCATGTGCTGATCTTCTCGTATGTGCAAGTAATTGTGCTAAGCATTACAGTATTAGTTGTCACTAAAATTTATTGGTATCTGGGCATATATTTAAGTGTTATACTTTCTGATAAAAGAGTTATTGGAACATAGGCATACTGATTATCTACTAAATTAGCATCCGCTACACTACTTTGTATGTAAGTGCAAACATAGCACATGTTATGGCACTCCATTTTGTGTTGCATCAGATTAAATCAAATGCAGTCTTTTTTGCTTTGTCACCAGGCTGGAGTGCAGTGGCATGATCTCGGCTCACTGCAACCTCTACCTCCCAGGCTCAAGTGATTCTCCTGCCTCATCCTCCCCAGTAGCTGGGATTACAGGCGCCCACGACCACACCAAGCTAATTTTTGTATTTTTAGTAGAGACAGGGTTTCACTATGTTGGCCAGGCTGGTCTCGAACTCCTGACCTCAAGTGATCCACCCGCCTCGGCCTCCCAAAGTGCTGGGATTACAGGTGTGAGCCACCACGCCCGACCTACCAGAGCCATTTTTCTAATAGCATGCATTTACTTTGTGTATCTGTGTCACAGTCTGGTGAGTCTCTCAATATTTCAAACTTTTTCATTATTATTACATCTGTTTTTGTGATCTGCAATTAGTGATCTTATAATTGTAGATGTGGTGGAATTGGCAAGAAAACAAGAAGTAGAAGTAGAGTTTGATGATGTGATTGAATTGCTGCAATCTCTTAACAAAAGCTGAATGGATGAGGTGTTGCTTCTTATGGATGAGCAAAGAGTGGTTTCTTAAGAGGGAATCTCGGCCGGACATGGTGGTTCACGCCTGTAATCCCAGCACTTTGTGAGGCTGAGGTAGGCAGATCACCTGAGGTCGGGAGTTTCAGACCAGCCTGACCAACATGCAGAAACTCCGTCTCCACTAAAAATTCAAAATTAGCCAGGTGTGGTGGCGCATGCCTGTAATCCCAGCTACTCAGGAGGCTGAGGCAGGAGAATCACTTGAACCTGGGAAGCGGAGGTTGCAGTGAGCCAAGATCACACCACTGTACTCCAACCTGGGCAACAAGAGTGAAACTCCACCTCAGAAAAAATAAATAAATAAATAAATAAAATAAGAGAGAATCTCCTCCTAGTGAAGATGCTAAGAACATTGTTGAAATGGTAACAAAAAATTTAGATATTCCATTATCTTAGTTGATAAAGCTGTGGCAGGGTTTAAGAGGATTGACTTCAATTTTGAAAGAGGTTCTACTCAGGAAAAAATGCTATCAAAAGCATTGCATGCTACACAGAAATCTTTCATGAAAAGAAGAGTCAATCAATGTGGCAAACTTCACTGTGGTCTTATTTTAAGAAGTTGTCACAGCCACCCCAACCTTCTGTAACTACCGCCCCAATCAGTCAGTAGCTATTGAAATTAGGCAAGACCCTCCATCAGCAAAAACATTACAAATTGTTGAAGGCTCAGATATTATTAGCATTTTTTAGCAATAAAGTATTTTTTTACTTAAAGTATATACATTTTTTAGACATAATGCTATTGCACATTAAATAGACTATAGTATAGTGTAAACATAATTTTTATATGCCCTGGGAAACAAAAAAAAATTTGTCTGGCTCAATATACTCCAATATTTGCTTTGTGTGGTAGTCTGAAACTGAACCCACAATATTTCCAAGGTATACCTGTATGTATACATATCATCATTGTATTAATCATGGCAATTAGGACAAATCCCTACATTTAGTGGGAACTCAAATAACTATGCTAATGAATGAAAGTACAAGAACATAATAAAAGTTGGAAATTATCTCCATTCCTCACATAAAAATAATATGAAGAATTAGAAAGGAAATAAACCAAATGAGCATTCCAAATTTATTCCTTTTAAGTAAACCTATAGCCACTACATATGTCCCTGACAATTAGAACAGAAAACAAAAAAAGGACAAATAGAAATACTTTCCATTCTGTCTATATAGTAGTAGTTTTGGGGGTATAGATAGTAAACACTAGTCAAGAATACTCGTCTAAATATGTTGGTAAAATGTAGTCATCATTTGGCATGTGTTTTGCTTTGGTATATAATGAAGTTGAGCTATCCCATCTTTCTTCTCTATGGAATATAGTCACACAAACAAAAAAGATGAATCTCACTAGAGGTGGGTCTTTATCAGAAATATGCCCCAATCTAGTTAGGTAATAGAAAGAAAATCATTTTCTCCTCCTAGGCCTAAGATTCTTCATGTAAAAATTATAAGACTGAATAAAGATCACTTCTAAGTTTCTATAATTCATGTAGATATATCAATTTATACATCATGATGTAGACAGACAGCAAGGCTATACTTTCTGGCTCCATGATGCTAGGCTTGGCCACATGACTTGCTTAAAGCACGTATGATACATGCATCTTTTAAGAGAAAACCGAAGTGTATTTCATCTCTTTCTCTCTCTGCTAAAACAATCACAATGTCCCAAAAGAGATCCCTTCCTTTGCCTTTGATCATGGTAAGAAGATGACACAAAGCAGTGTCACAGCCAATCAACAGCTGACATCCCCCACCAGGAAATACATCTTTGTTGTTGTCACTACAGCATAAACTAATGAAAGCTAATTAAATATAAGAATTTGCTAATAATTGAGGATCCGTACACAATTAAACTTAAAACCAAAAAACTCTAATAGAAAACTCATAATTTAAAATGTGACATAAGGGGAAATAAGTTAAAAAGCAACTTTTAAAAATTACAAAAATAGTATTTGTAGTAAAATAAATGGACTTAAACATGTAATAGAATTTTCCCTGTGATTTCTGACTTGAATCTTTGAATGACTATTCCAAGTAAGATTCAACATTTTTACAGAATTGTTCTTCATCATTAAGATATTCCAAGATTATATTTCCACCATTATATAAAGGACAATCCTCCTTAGCAATCCAGGTTTCCAAAGTATGATCCAAGGGTAAGGCTTCTCCTGAAGTAATGTGACACAGCCTTAATTTCTGTGAAGGGAGAAGTAAGTCATACTGTAATAAATAAACATGCTTGAATGGAGCATCATAAAACCTTTATTAATATAGAAATATTATTATAATGAGATGTTACCTTAGCTGTAAATTTGTTATTGTCATTTTTAAGCCTGGCTAGAGAAGCGGCAAAGTCTATGGCCTTTCCAATGCTCCATCGGTGGCAAAAGAACATTGGTTTGCTCTTCTCTTTGCTCCCTTTAGGTAAGAAAACCTGAAAGTAAATTCTTTCTGTCTGTAAAAAGAAAAAGTTAAAACAACCATTACATAGACAAAATAGACATCAGTTTTTGTCTGGTGCCAACCGTTCCTCTCTTCTGGTCAGAGCAGAATTACCTTCTAACAAGGTATCTGCTACTTGGAATACCAATCACAGTAGCCAAAAACACACATAAATGCATGGGCATAGGACCAAGACCCTGGCCAGGGTGATCTGTGCAAAGACAGATATGTGGCCTAAGTTAGGCCAATCAGATCTGTTCCTGGGATTTTATGTTCAACAGCTTAGGAGACAAAGAGCACTCTCCTTATTTATTTATTTATTTATTTTTGAGAGGGAGTTTCGCTCTTGTTGCCAACGCTAGAGTGCAATGGCACGTTCTTGGCTCACTGCAACCTCCGCCTCCAGGGTTCAAGTGATTCTCATGCCTCAGCCTCTGAGTAGCTGGGATTACAGGCACGTGCCACCAGGCCCAGCTAATTTTTGTACTTTTACTAGAGACGGGCTTTCACCATGTTGTTCAGGCTGGTCTTGAACTCCTGACCTCAGGTGATCCACCCGCCTCGGCCTCTCAGAGTGCTGGGATTACAGGAGTGAGCCACCACACTCGGCCTCTCCTTATTTTTTTAAGTTTTATCAAATTAAACCTGGAGTTGCCTACAGCAAACCCCGTCACCTAACAGCCATTCCTGAACCAATGTGGAAAAAGTTTCCTCGAATGGGAAAAAATGAGGTCAATGTAGAAAGAGAAATAACAAGAAAACAGATGAGCTCTTTCAACATAATCTGAGTTCCTGAATTCATCCCCTAAGACCAGATCAATTCATTATTCCCCATTATATGAGGAAAAAAGTTTGTTTTGATTTTCCTAGTTGGAATCAAGTTTCCGTCACTTGCAATTCAAAGATTTCTGACACATACAACATTTCTTTTTATGTGAAAGACCTCACTATGTATTTAGACAGAAGGACTTTTCGGAACAAGGAAACATTAAAAACAAAAAAAAAAAAAGAGATAGAAAAAGACCTCCAAACCCCAAGTACCTTATCAACAAAAGAAAGGACTTGGAAAGGATTTCTCTAGTATTCTATATCTTATCTGCCCTCTCCTTATATTGTATTTTCTTGCCTAATTAACAAATGGATGGCTGAGCATGATGGCTCATGCCTATAATCCTAGCACTTCGGGAGGTTAAGGCAGGCAAATTGTTTCAGCCCAGGAGTTCAAGACCAGCCTGGGCAACATGGTAAAACTCCATCTCTACAAAAAGCACAAAAAATTAGCTGGGTATAGTGGTGTGTGCTGGTAGTCCCAGCTACTTTGGAGGCTGAGGTGGGAGGATCACTTGAGCCCAAGAAGGTCGAGGCTGCAATAAGTGGTGAACATACTACTGTACTCCAGCCAGGGCAACACAGTAAGACCCTATTTCAAAAAAAAAAAAAAAAAAAAAGCAGGAAAGAATGAGTAGGAGCAAAAGGCTTGGCCTTTGCTCTTCACTGATTCCGAAAAACTGCTTTTTAAAAGTGCTGGCTTTACAGGTCAATTCTTGCTAAAACAAAAATTTTGGCATAACAGGAGCATCTCTAACTTGTGGGGGAAAGATCACAATTATTCTGAGAAATAATAAATCCAACACAATTCCCAACTCAGCACTAAGGAATTTAGATTTGTTGAAGACCAGTGGGGTGTGTTATTACAGGTAACGAGTATTAAAAGAAAAAACAAGAAATCACTGGAAATTCAAACTGTGAGCCACCTCTATAATCAAATATTACCTGCTCCAAAAAGAAAGCAGCAAGAAGATAAATATAGAAAGAGAAAATTGATAAGATATAGCCTTATCTTTTTTTTTTAAAAAAGATAAATATGTATGAGGATCAAAAATGAAACAGAAATGCAAAGTGATAGGCTGGCTAAGCCACAGGCTTTCAGGGCTCCAGAAGAGGAGGAGGTCAGCTTATAGGTAAGTGGGAAATAACAGCACCACAGGGAGATAAGTATAAAGCTCCTGGGTCAGGCTCCCTGCTCGGAAGCAGAGGAGTGTGTGGGACCTCTGCTCTAGGAAGGGCAGCTAAAGTTACTGCTGAATGCTGACTTAAGTATAAAATTGCCAGACAGGGATCTGTGAGTGAGAGGAAGGAGAAATATAGGAAGAACCTCCTATTCAAGATGAACATTTTAAATGCATTAACTGAAATTTCAAAACAAACTGAAGATTAACTCATTATGGGCAAATGAAGACAGCTGAACTTTAAAAAGACATTTAAAAAAGGTAGTTAGGATGCACAATTAGATAAAAAAGGAAACAAGAAGTTATAAAACCAAAATAGGCACAAATAAAACATAAAAGACATGAAGATCCAAGTCAAAAAATGAAAATTAAAAAATAGTTTCTGGAGTAAAACATTCAAAATTTATTATAGATAAGTTTCTATAATCCTCAATAAAAAGGCCTAATTTATTATAAGATGGATATAAGGAAGTCATCCACAATACCGCATAAAGAGACATAAGATAGAAACAATTATAGGCTGGGCATGGTGGCTCACACCTGTAATCCCAGCACTTGGGGAGGCTGAGGTGGGCAGATCACTTGAGGTCAGGAGTTCGAGGCCAGCCTCGCCAACATGGCAAAACCCCGTCTCTTAAAAATACAAAAATTAGCCAGGTGTGGGGGCACGCGCCTGTAGTCCCAGCTACTCAGGAGGCTAGGCACGAGAATTGTTTGAACCGGGGAAGTAGAGGCTGTAGTGAGCCGAGACTGTGCCACTGCACTCCAGCCTGGGTGACAGAGTGAGACTCTGTCTCAAAACAAAAACAAAAACAATTATAGATCCCCAAAATATGTCGACAAGAGATTCAGAAAAGAAGAAATGGTGAAGTAGCACTATTTAGAGAGAAAATGAGTAAAATTTTCCAAAAAGTCAAAATTTACAATGTGTCAAACGGAATAATTAAAATAAATCCACACGTAGAAACATTCCACAGAAATTGGAAAATATCACAAGAAATCTTAAAAGCTACCAAAAAAGATAGATTACTCATAGAGTAAGACTGACACAGATGTTCCTCCAATAATAGATGACAAAGTATATTAAAAGTGTTGAGAAAGTTTAATAGGCAATCCAGCTAAAAGTAAGGGCAAAATAAGGACATGTTCAAAAAAGACTCATAGAGTTTATTACCAGAGACCTTTATTAAATGAACTGCTAAAGAATGTACTTTAGTAAAAATACAAGTAAGCCCTAAGGAAGGAGAAACAAAAAAAAAAAAAAAAAAAAAAAAGAAGTGTTGGTAAATTTTAATAGCTATTAACTTAGAATTAATTTTTATGTTAAAAAAAGATGATGGGATAGGAGAGAGTCAACTGGATAAAGCCTTTCAAGCTCGTATTCAGGAGGATATAATACCAACTAACTTCAGGCTTTGAGAAAAACATTGATATTTAATTATATATGTTAAGAATGTAAGCACATAGTTGTTATCACCATTATCATTTTAGGATATTATATTGGAGATTATAGATAATGTAGTATGAAAAATGAAATAATGAGTATAATTATTTAAAAAATTAAAGCTATTCTTATTTGTTAATGAGGAATAATTTTTAACTAGAAAATTAAAAAACACTAGTAGAAAAAACTTCTAAAATTAATAAAAGATTTTGGTGATGTAGCTGAATAATATGAGTATACAGAGCTGAAGATTTTTTTTCTCTTTATTAGAAATAAGTACTTGGCAATAGAAGTGGGGAAAATATTCTGTTCTCAACCTAAACAAAAACCGTAAAATAAGTAGCAATGAAAATAAGGAATACAATATAAAAGAAGAAAAATATGAAATGTTACAGAAGGGAATAAAACATCTGAATAAATAAAGACATATAAGGTCCTTACAGAAAGACAATGTCATAAAAATGTCATTTCTTCCAAAATTAATGTATGGCATATAAAGCAAATCCAGTGTGAATCCTTCAGGAATGGTTCTGAGTCAGGCCAAAAGCCTAGACTTGCTAGTAGATACTGCTGGGATTTCAAACTGTACTTCACCTAACTTCATAGAACCCACTCAGGTATTCATTAAGGATGTTTTGCATGCATTACTGGAAGCTTAGGAGCAGGAAAGGAGCTGGAATCCTCAGGACATAAAAAAGGAGGCCAAGATGGTATAAAATCTCCAGGAGAATGGCAAAGGGGCCTTCAAATAAATGGTCAAATCCTCACTTCCTCCAGGCAATATTCACTCATCACATCCTTGTGGGAAACATGAGGGGATGTAGGAAGCCACATTTCTGTCTAAGACTATGCTGTGCTATCTGTTGCTTTTTATAATCATACTCTCAGCTTCCACATTTTGCTTTTAAAGAGTCCAACTTCTTTAACAGGCTATGTTGAAGTCTGTTATTCACAACCTTGCCCCATTATGATAACCTATAAATCCTAAGAGTGGTATTTTTTAAAATCTGAATATAATAATCATAACATTCAGATGGATTAACAAATGCTAATAAAAATACTAAGAAAAAAATGGAAAAATATGGATGGGACTTGCATGATCAGATATAGAACATTCTATAAAGCTATTGCACCAAATCAATTTGGTATTAACTTATGAGTAAAAAATAAATGAGTAGACTGTAACAGAAAATTAAGAAATAAATCCATATACAGAAATAAAATGTTCAACTTTTCATGAAGGTGGTATTTTGATATTTCAATCCAATAAAACATAGATAACTTATTAAATAATCAGTGGTGGCAAAACTACCTAAACAACTGGAAGAAAATAAAATTAAGCCCTCAGCTCACATCATATGCTAATTAAAAAAACAGGTGGATTAAACATTAATCCCAAACAAGCCAGGCGCAGTGGCTCACGCCTATAATCCCAGCACCTTGGGAGGCTGAGGCAGGTGGATCACCTGAAGTCAGGAGTTCGAGACCAGCCTGACCAACATGGTGAAACCCTGTCTTTACTAAAAATACAAAAATTAGCCGGGCCATGGTGGCACATGCCTGTAATCCCAGCTACTCAGGAGGCTGAGGCAGGAGAATTGCTTGAACTCAGGAGGCAGATGTTGCAGTGAGCTGAGATCGCACCATTGCGCTCCAGACTGGGCAACAACAGCAAAGCTCCATCAAAAAAAAAAAAAAAAAAAAGGCTAATGCAAAACAAAACAAACATACCCACAAAACCCAAAGGAAAACCACAACAGGAATGAAAGAAAAGACAGAACTTGGAAAATGTAAATGTAAAATATTGCTATGTCAATTAGAAATATAAGTAATATCAATACACTGATAGATTTGAAAAACAATTTACAAATAATGATTTTAGATAAAGGATTAACATCTTTTATAGTCTAGGAGCTCCTATAAGTTGACCAAACAAAATAAAAAGAAAAATATCCCAAAAGAAAAATGATCAAAGCATACTCACTAACAATTCAGAGAAGGGCAAACCCAAATGCCTAAAAAACATATTAAAAGTTGTCCAAACTGAATAGTAGTCAGGAAAATACAAATTAAAGCAATTATGAAATATCTTTTTATAGCCACCAGACTGTAAAATATTAAAAAGAATGCTAATAGCTACTGGAAACCATGGAGAAAAAGGGTACTCTCATGTTTGGCCACAAGAGGCAGTATACGGAACTGGTTAGAAGGGCAGGCTCTTACCAAGTTAGTGCTCTTAAAAATACTTCACTCCAGATTACTCATCTGTGAAATTAGGATAAAAATATATCTCAGAAGAGCTGCAAGTACTAAAGATGATTAAAAAACTAGAGCCACAAAACTATACTTAGTATAGGCAATCCGTCAATGAAATTTGATTCGAAATGTGAATTGTAATTTCTTTGTAAAGTTGTTTGACAATTTTTATTAAAATCTAAAATATGCGTACCATTTGACACAGCAAACACACTCTTGGGAATTTATCTCACAGAAAGAAAAGTACCACACAGCCTATTTAGCACAGTAGCCAAAACTGGAAACAAAGTGAATGCTCATTAATTGAAAAATGACAAAATAAGCCACAGTACACCCACACCACAGAAGAGAATGCAGTTTGTAAAGAAAATGATTTAGGGCCACACCAACTCACTTGAGGGAATTTCTACTAGGCATTAATGAGAGAAGGATATATAGTCTACCCCAAACCTGCTTTAGTTTTATTTATAGCCCTAATCACTACATGAATTATTATATATTTAATATCTATCTCAGCCCAGTGGCATATAAACTCCAGGAACTCTAGGTTCATAAGGGCAGAAGGGATTCTGTTTTATTCACTACTGTATTATCAGGGCTTGGTATATAGAAAGTATTTTTTTTTAAGTGTGTTGACTAAATGATTGATACCATTTTTATAAAATAATGACAGAAAAATATTCTTTATGCCTTTGCACACATATACAAGTAGAATACATTTTCATTTATGTAAAATGATATACACACACATATAACAAATACACTTACACATATACGTATATACATGAATACAATATGCATGTATATATTATACATGTATGTATAAACACATAAGACACCCACATATATCTCTAGTATATCTATACTTACACACACACAAACATTAATAATAAAGGGAAAAACTTTTATCTACAAACTTATAGAATGCTTTATGATATATTGTTAAGTGTGTGAAGAAGATGGTTTGTGAAACCAGACTGCCTAGTTTCAATTCGTAGTTCTCCACTTACTAGCTATGTTAATAGAATGTTACTCTTTTTGGGTAACAGTTAATAGTGCATACCTTATAAACTTGTTGCAAGGATGAAATATGTTAGAAGATTGCCTCAAAGTAAGTCTTATAGAAGTTTTTACTGTTATGTTTTAAGTAATAGAAGAATTGCAAAGTAATGTAAGTATTACTGAATACTTGAGAGCAGGTCTTCTCAACTTTGTCCCTATTTACATTTTAGGCCAAGAAAAAATTCTCTGTTGTCGGCCTTGTCCTCTACAATGTAGGAATTTAACAGCATCTCTGGCCTCTACCAACTAAATACCAGTAGCACCCCATTCCCAACTGTGACAATTAAAAATGTCTCCAGACATTGCTGAATGTCCCCTTAGGGAGCAAAACTGCTTTCAGTTAAGAACTGCTGCTTTAGGGGATGTAAATGGATGAGAGACACAGGAGTGTGTATGTTTTTTCTCCATATGCATCTTTTGATAGTTATACTTGTTAAAAGCTTATACTACCTTTGCAATTTTAAAAAAATCAAACAAAATTTCAAAAAAGGAAAATATCAGGGGTAGTCAATAAAATAAGAAAACTGTAATCAATTGTTTCTAAGCCATCAGAACAAATTCAATACAAAAGGAAAGAGAAAGAGTCAAAGAAAAAGGGTGATGAGCAGAAAATACATGATGGAAGAAATATGTTCAAATACACCAATGACCACCATAAACAAGAAAGGATTCAATTCACCTACAAAAGAGAGATACTATCAAACTGGTTTAAAAAAAACAAAGTTCAGCTATATGCTGCTTACAAGAGACACCCTAAAACAAAACAACAAAAAAAGTTGAAATATAAAGCGATGAAAAAATTACATACTTGTTAAATATTCACCAAAAGAAAGCTAGTGAAACAATATTATAATTCAAAATAGGGTTAAAGGCAAAATTCATAAAGAACATATAACAATGAAGAAATTCTATGTACTTGATAATACGTAACTCTACAAACTATTAGAGTTATATAAAAAAATTAGCAAAAACACATCCATAGTAGGAGATTTTAACCTGAGAAAGTGATAAATCAAGTGGACAAAAAATTAAGTACACACATATACATATGGTACATATAGACAGAAAGAGACAGCAGATGATAAAGCAAACACAGCAAAATATAAATAATTGGTACAATTGGGTAAAGAATATGGAAAAGTTATTTGTACTATGTTTGTAACTTGCCTGTGTTTGAAATGGTAACAAAATAAAGACACCAAATAAGTATATTGTTATACCTAAACAAGTATATTAAAAATAAACAAACTGCCGGGCATGGTGGCTCACGCCTGTAATCCCAGCACTTTGGGAGGCAGAGGAGGGTGGATCACGAGGTCAGGAGTTCAAGACCAGCCTGACCAACGTGGTGAAATCCCATCTCTACTAAAAATACAAAAATTAGCTGGGCGTGGTGGTGCATGCCTGTAATCCCAGCTACTCAGGAGGCTGAGGCAGGAGAATCGCTTGAACCAGGGAGGGGGACGTTGCAGTGAGCTGAGATCGCACGACTGCACTCCAGCCTGGGCGACAGAGCAAGACTCTGTCTCAAAACAAAACAAAACGAAAATAAAATCAATAAATTACCATTCTATGTGAAAGGCTGGAAAAAGGATGTCAGAGAAAAATCTAAACAAAGCAGAAGGAAATAATATAAAAGCAAAAATTAGTGAAACAGAAAACAAAACACAGAGGTCTTTAAATCCAAATCATGGTTCTTTGAAAACACTACGAAAAAATAAGGATAAACTTCTAGCTGTTCTGTCTAAAGGAGAAAGAAGGAAAAGTACAAATGAAAAATATTAAGGAAGAAGCAGAATGACTAAAGACACATAAAGATTCTGAAGTATAACAGAATAACTTGAACAAGTTGAAAATAATAAACTGAAAAATCTACATCAAACAGTTTTTTGGAAAAATATTTACCAAAATTGACTTCAGAAGAAATAGATTATCCAGATAAAGCAAGAAGTAACACATTGGAATAGTATTCAAAATTCTCCAAGAGTTACTACAACTGAGTGTTACCAACCTTTGAGAACAAATTCCCACCCTCTACAACTACCTCAAAGAATAGAAGAGAGAAAGCTACTCAACTAATTTTTAAGCATAATCTTGCTATTAATGTCACTAACACACACTAAATAATGTTAGCAAATCAATTTCTCAGTGCATTTTAAAAGAATTATATACCAGAGTCAGTGATTTATCCTGGAATATTTGATGATCTAACGACAGAAAAACTGATCGATAAAATTTATTACATTGATGAGGAAAAAATGATCATCTTACTAGATGTAATAAAAAAATTTACAGTAAAGTTTAATATCCATTCATAGTGTAAATTCCTAGCAAATTAGGAATAGAAAGAAATAATAGTATCAAGAAAAAGGCTACTTATACAAATTCACAGTATATCTAATACTTGATGAAACTTTAGATACATTTGCATTAAAGTCAGAAACATGATTAAGATTCCTTCTATTGCCCATATTATTCAACATTGTTCTGAAGATCTCAACATTAAGACAAACAATGATAATGAACACAAGAGAAGAGAAAATCTGCAGAAAAAACTCACAAAAATTGGCATTTGGAGAAGATATGACTACACAGAAAATAGCCCAGAAAATCTACAAAATATGGGAACTATTAGGAATTTATTTGCTGGATAGAAGGGCAACATAACATTAACCAACAATAATTAGCTAGGAAAATGTAATTTTTTTAAAAAGGTATTATTTATAATGACAACAAAAATTATAAAGAGCCTAAGAATAAAACTAGGAAAAGGTATGTAAATATTTATGGTAAGCATTATAGAAGGTTACTTCTATAATTACACATAAAAGGAAACCTTAAGAAAAGTTGGGAAGATATACCACAGACATAGATGAGAAGAGTCAAAATTCTAAAGATGTCAACTCTCTCTAATCTCAAATTCAGCATAATTCCTACCAAAATCATAATTTCACCGAACAGGGCAAAGTGATCCTAAAATTTTTATTAAGGAATAAATGGCCAAAAATAGACATTGTTGGAAGCACTAACAGAAAGAGACAAATGAGTACAATCACTGACAACAGGAAGTTGACCATATCTAGTAAAGCTGAAGATCAGCAAAGCCCATAATCCAGGTTTTCTATTTCTAGGTATATTCCCTAAAGTAGCATTTTTTAAACAGTAGTCTCAATCCATTAGGGATTGGAAAATCAACCTGATAGGTTCTAACAATCTTTTTTTGTTTGTTCGTTTGTTTGTTTTTGTTCGTTTTTTTTTGAGACGGAGTCTCGCTCTGTCGCCCAGGCTGGAGTGCAGTGGTGCAATCTCAGCTCACTGCAAGCTCTGCCTCCCAGGTTCATGCCATTCTCCTGCCTCAGCGTCCCGAGTAGCTGGGACTACAGGCGCCCACCACCACACCTGGCTAATTTTTTTGTATTTTTAGTAGAGATGGGGTTTCACCGTGTTAGCCAGGATGGTCTCGATCTCCTGACCTCATGATCCACCCATCTTGGCCTCCCAAAGTGCTAGGATTACAGGTGTGAGCCACCACGCCCAGCCACAATCTTTAAAACAGAATAACAAATATCATAATATAACACATATAACACTCAACTGTGTTAAGGTATGTATGTATATATATATATTGGGTTGTTATATAAAATAACTGATATTGTGAAGTTTTAAAGGAACAGTCCTAGAGAAACTCTTCTACATATACACAAGGATGGTCACCATAGACAGTTTATAATAGCAAAAAATTGAAAAAAATCCGAATTTTGTTGACTAAATCTCAGCATGGATAAACATTAACAGCACATCCCAAGTGGGAAAAAAAAAGACAACTCGAAGAAGTATACATATGGTTCACTATCATGTCTATAAAGTGAAAAAACTCAAAAAACTTTGTATTATTTATGCAGACATATACCATGCAACATTAAGAATGATACATACCAGGTTTAGGTTAGTTGTTAATTGATGGGAAGGAGGAATACAAAGAGGACTTCAACTATATTTGAAATTTTTGTGTTTTAAAAAATCTCTAAGACCAACCTGTGGTAATGACTTATCGCCATCAGCATGCATCTTTAATTTCATCAATGCAACCTTTGCAGCTGTTTCACTATTTTTGGCACCTTTCCATCGTTTACTTGCTGTTTCTCCTGTCTTGGAATCTAAGAAGTGTAAGCATGTAATCACATAAAACTTTCACATTACAAATAGAATTTTATTATAATACACTTATTAATTATGGCTCAGAAACATATATAAATTACACACAAGAGAGATATACAGAGACCACATTCATTGTATAGGTATTGTATTTACATTGTCAATGGAAAAATATCATTGAGATTGATCTAGGCAATCTCCACATCAAAAAATCCACTATAATGTGCTTCTTTTCAACTTAAGCCTATTTAACCTAAAGCAGTCATTAATGCTTCTACAGACAACCTTAAGATTTGGTTATGCAAGATTGTAATAAAGGTACTATCCTTAATATGGAATAAAAATTCTGAGCTAACATACTGGCAGGCAGACTGATTTAAGTCACAGATACATTCATTCCTGGTATCTCTTATTATCAGCAGCATTCACAGAACAGCTGACTAGGCTTAGAGTTTAATCTGTAGAGAAAGCAGCTGACTACTTCAATCTCATGAATACCATTTCTAGCCCAATGGTTAACTAGCTAATCTAAGTGGCTCAGCAAAAGAGATAAGTACTTACAGTGGAGTACCTCCAAATAATTTCCAAATTTCCATCGGTCAGGTAGACCTCATAAGAAATACTGTCACAAGAATATCATCAAAATACAAGTTAATACGAATACCACTGGGGTTATTAATGATGCCTCCCATAATTGGAAAGTAGATATAAGAAGCAGGAGCTCTGGAACTAGGAAAGCAACAAAACACGCTTTCTAGATACTTACCAATAATGTCTTTAACAAGTTTCTGAGTGGCAGCCATTCGAGGCTTTGGGATTTCCAGTTTTTCACACTCATGATCTGACTGATGACGGTGTCTATGAGCAACAGAAGAGTGACACTAGTTCATGTGTTTGTATAGCACTTAAACAGATATACAAAGTGTGAACAGCCTAAGTGATCAATCACCTCAGGCAAAAATTCTTCTCACAATAAGGACATATAACTGCCACAAGTTCTCTCTCAGCACAGTCTTTGAAAGAGCATGGGTAAGATGTATGTTGATCTGTCTTCAGTCTCTCATTGATTACAGTCACCTGAAAATGCAAAAAGGAGGAAATGTATTACATTTCAGACCTAAAACAAATCAATGTGTCTTATTCTAGAAGGCAGTATTCATTTTATTTTTGCTTAAACTTATTAGAGCAAGTTACTTACTCTCAAAGATTATAAAGAATGTTTTATGTGACAAATGATTACTATACTGACTGTTCCACACTTTCATAATTTTCCTACTGTGGTATATTTGTCTTCTAAGTCAAGTTGAAATGACTATTTAATTACGCTCTATAATTTTAACCTGCTTTGTAACAGTCTCATACAAAGGTGCCCCTATGATATGCTCAGGTAATTATCTCATCAACCCTCAAATGGCAAGTCAACCTAATTTCCACACTAATTTTAGGAGATGAAACACTTAACTCAGAGAATAAAACACTTAAAAAATATTTATTTATTTGTGAGATAAAAGGTTAAAGACGGTTTTCATAATCATATATTATTCTCTATGCCCTATTTCATATTTTTATTACCAGCAAATACTCCACTACAGGAAGAAAGATTTTATAAGACTAAAAAAAAAAAAAAATTCTAAATCAGCCAGGCTATTCTGAGCATTAACAAACCAGGTTTCTAAAGACGAGTAAACGTAGGGAAATAATTGCTTGAAAACTACAACCAAAGGGAATTCCTTTTTATAAATAATAGTTACACCTTGTTGGAATTAATTTAAGTATCTTTTTGAACTTGTTGCAATGGCCTAATGATGTTTCAATATTTAATTAACGAGACCTAATTATCTGAGACACATTCAGAGGAATCAAATTATATCCTAAGAAAAAAGAAAACACAGGATAGATTTATAAACTGCAAGAAACTTCAGTAAGTTTTATTGTATGACTGAATATTTCCTCCAATTAATGCTGCATAAAATCAACATGCTAGGTAATTCAAATTTTCCTCAAATAGATCACGTAAACTTCAAAGGGTCAGATTTTGACTGATCATTTAAACTGGAAAGAATCAGATTTCAACTGAACCTCATGTAACTTTAATAACTTTCTATAACTGAGAGAACAGATGTGAAAATATTTGGTAAAGCACTTGGTAAATGGTGGGCAGGAATAAATGTCCACTGAAAAGTGTTAGAACACATTGAACATGGTGGGCTTAGCTTTCTCTCTTCCTCTTGGAACTGTACTGCCTTCAGGGAGAAAGCCTAACCTGGTCCAGTACTGCTGTGACTGCTGGGCAAGTCTGCCTAATTCTGGATATTCTTTGCAAACCCATTTGCTCTATGCTGAACTTCATCATTCAACTTATCTTTACCAGTAATAAGGGTAATATTTTGACTTCTATTTGCCAGACCTTTCTTAACTTATGATTTGTGCAAAATTAGGGTAGGAATTTTATTAAACTATAGGTTTCTTCCTGGTTGTCTTAAGTCGACTGAGCCAGAATGATTTACTACCACAGATCCTATCAGCAGGCATCAGTGAAAATGAACACAACAGTGAAGGACACAGTGAACTGGAGGGAATATATAAGGAGGACATTAACTTACGTGTATATTTATAAATATATAGCCTTGGCTGGGCGCGGTGGCTAACACCTGTAACCCCAACACTTTGGAGGCCAAGGCGGGTGGATCACCTGAGGTCAGGAGTTTGAGACCAGCCTGGCCAACATGGTAAAACCCCATCTCTACTAAAATACAAAAATTAGTCGGGCGTGGTGGCACGTGCCTATAATCCCAGCTATTCGGGAGGCTGAGCCAGGAGAATCACTTGAACCCCGGAGGCGGAGGTTGCAGTGAGCCGAGATCGTACCACTGCACTCCAGCCTGGGCAACAAGAGCAAAACTCCATCTCAAACAAAACAAAACAAAACAAACAAATAAATAAATATATAGCCTTATACTGTAAGTGGGCTACCTAAACAAATGTTAAGGAATAAAAATTATGAGGATAAAAATTTACAAATACCAAGTAAAACAATTTTTCTTTCAAACAAAGAAAAATAATATAAATGAAGCAAAAGCCTCTTTACCTAATCAGTTTAGTATGCCAAACTTTAATCTGTGATACTGACTGCCTTTAAATCTAATCAAATTCTGAATGAAAGTACATAAATACGAATACATTTTATCAGATTGGAAAAATACTAACATACCTCAGGACAACCATGAGACTCCCTGCTTCTGTGTTCAAGGCTTAAATAATAATAGCAAGTGTTTATTTAAATAACATACTTAAAGATAACTGCAGAAATTTGCGATATTTTAATGTTCAGTATACTTAAGATACATTATGCTCATACTACATTAATAACTTTGAATATGAGAAAAAACTGAAATGTCAGATAAAGATGGAGCATCTATAGTCTCAAAAGTTTTAAAACACAAATGTTCAACTTCAATATGAGTAAAAACAATTCACCACCCTAAATTACGTTTACGTTGCATGAAAATATAAACATATCTTTCAGCTCTTTTTATTTCTAAAAGATCATCAGTAGTAAAATGTGAAAAGTGCTCTAATTCCAAATAATTTAAAAATATACATTACTTTTATTTACTTCCAACAAATCATTCTGAATTACATTCTGAAAAAAATTCATTCTTTCAGTGCTCTATTTTATAATTTAAATGCTTGACATTTTAAAGTTTAACTGTAAGGAAAATCCATTTTCCAAAATTCTTCATTAATTCCCAGGTTTTACTTGGCATGTAATGTAGTCAAATGCTGTGATTCCTATTTTAAGGCATTTATAGGTTGGGCTCTTTTCATTTTATTAATTAAAATAAAGAGCAATAATTATAACTGGATCTTTACCATATTCTTTATATTGTGAATATTATTTTCTCCTTGTAATTAAAAGACAAAAATATAACTTTTATATAAAATTCACATACATAACCCCACTTTTGGAAGTTTAAAAATCAGTCATATATATGGAGAAGTAATCAGAGTCTATAACTATACTGAATATCAATAATCAATGGCTAAAGTAACAATTATTTTAAATCATTCTACTTTTCAGAAATAACCTCATATTAATAAACACTAAAATTACTCCCAAATCCTGCATAAAAACTTAACTTACCAAAATATTCCTGAACAATCATCACACACAAATGGAAGAAAATCTAAAATTGAGAGAAAATGTATATACTGGTCAGTATCTGATTTTGATTTAGTTTTCTTAAGCAAGAAGACAACCTCTATGGAAAAACTTCCCATTTTGACTAATATCCTAGTGTAGCAAGCACTATGTAACCACTCTAACAAAATTAATCACAACTTCAATAACTGACAGAAAGTAATTGGATTAACATAAGGTATTAATAGATGTTACTTGTAACTTTACTAAGTCAGACAAAAATAAGTTCTAGTGGTTTTCTTTTTCTTTTTTGTTTTGTTTCCCAGATTTACTAGGTGTTGTTTTTGATGACTGTATACTGCAAAAATTCCGCATTTGGAGTGAAAAACCTGGGATTCAATTCTGATTCCACTGCTTACTAATCTAACAGTGCTAGGCAAGTTACTTAACAGTAAAACTTTGGATATATATATTTTTATATATATCCAATAAATATATATATTTATATCTGTGTACTAATATATATGTGTGTGAACAACATATATATATATATATCGCCAAAGCTTGACTATATTCAAATATATTTATATTTATATATACACCTATAAGATTTATGGTATTTCAAATATATATAATTTGATGTAATATATAGTACAGTTAGTATAAAGTATATGTGTGTGTGTTTCTATATATGTATGTAAATAAACATATACAAAACCAAAGCTCTTTTATTGGGTAAGAAAAATAGAAAGATATAGACAGGTAGATACAGAGACAGATATAAAGATACAAGCACATCCTTTCTGTGTATATATGTATATGTGTGTATGCATGTGTATCTATATCTGTATCTATGCTGTATGCCACACCGACCTCACAGTGTACTTACAGAAACCAAATGAGATATATATGAAAGATCAGAATAGTAATACAGTAACTATAATTAATAAGAATAATACAACAATTAACTTCTTTTGAGTATACTCAACTCAGAACAGTACTGCAAGGGGCCAGGCACAGTGGCTTAAGCCTGTAATCCCAGCACTTTGGGAGGCCGAGGGGGGCGGATCACCTGAGGTCAAGAGTTTGAAAACAGCCTGGCCAACATGGCGAAACCCCATCTCTACTGAAAACACACACACACACACACACACACACACACACACACACACACACAAATTAGCTGGGCGTGGTGGTTCATGCCTGTAATTCCAGCTACTCAAGAGGCTGAGGCAGGAGAATCGCTTGAATTCAGGAGGCAGAGGTTGCAGAGGGCCGAGATCGCGCCACTGCACTCCATCCTGGGTGACAGAGCCAGACTCCATCTCAAAACAAAACAAACAAACAAACAAAAAAGGACAATACTGCAGTGACTGGGTGGAGATGCTTAATATTTTGCGACTTTTAATAATCAAGTATTAGATGCAAACCAGAAGGACCCAGGGGAAAGAGTTAAGTCAAGACAACTTCCCAGCACCTGATACCATCCTTCAATCCCTCCAGAAGGTAGATAAAATTTAGGATATACACTTGACGTAGTCTAAATCTTAACTGCTTTCCACTAGTCCCAAACAGATAGGCCTGGCCTCATCTCAGTTATTGACACTAAAGACATATATAGCTGGAAAGGAAAATGAACTATGTCATGAATGGCATATAATGTGTATTGGACTCACTAGCGAAGGATCAGGCATAGACACACATAATTCACAGTCAAAACCCAAATGGCTAAGCTTCCACATGAAAAAAGTCACACTGGCTTGTTATTACAGCCAGTGGTGAAAGATAGATAGATAGATGGCTATAAGTAACAAGAACCTAGAAGGGATTGTGTCACCTGTCCTATCACGCATTCCCACAGTAGAAATCACTAATCAATTATGGAACTCCACTGAAACTGGGCTAAATCTCAAGAGTCTTTGACACGGTAATTCAGGCACTTGATACCAATGACTGAAGTTCCAAGGGGAGATTAAACCTGTTTGCTACCTTATGTAGTGTGTGAAACCTAGTAACAACGACTGAGCAGTCTGTGTGGTTCTAATGCTTCAAAAACTTGCCTTTTCAAGGTGTATGGCATCCTGAAGCCAATGCCACATCACCTTGGACTAGGTATATCCCAAGGTCTCTCAGTGCAATGGGGAGAGCCCATTGCCATATTATTAACTAATTCTCTCTAAAATGCAGCTTACTAGTTGGAAAGGTCTTCCGTGTAAAAGACTGTAGTTTACACCCTTATGTGGTCCAAGCACCAAAATCAATAATCTGTAAATGTTTGTTCAAACAATAATAATGAGAATCAGGGAATGACAGAGCTGGGAGAGCATGATGACCATTTGGTGGAATAATCTGAGGATCAGGATGCCTTTGAGAATTTGATAAAAGCTAAGGAAGGGCCTTCTTCCGGACACACATCCACGTGAACACTAGTTGGGCGAGTTGACCTCCCCCAACTCCTCCTGACAGCTACGTAACAGATAAGTAAAAAAAAGTATGGGAAAGTAGCTGGCCGTAGGTCGCAGTGGCAAAGCCAAAAGACAACAGTCCCAGACCAAACCTACGCGTCCCCATACCCGCGCTCAGCAGAGTAAGTGTGAGCCACGCGATCCAGCAGTGGGCTTCGTGCACTGCTCGGACACGGCACACTCGAACACCAAAATGAACACTGCAAGGTACGTTTTCAGGAATTGCATGGCTTCCTTCCAAGGAGACCACACGTCATTTCAAAAGCTCACGGCCAAAAAAAACCCGCACCAACCGATCTCACTGCAGCCCCAGAAGAAACGCTCCCACCCCGCTCCTCAGGCCCTGCCTCAGGAATTGCATGGCTTCCTTCCAAGGAGACCACACGTCATTTCAAAAGCTCACGGCCAAAAAAAACCCGCACCAACCGATCTCACTGCAGCCCCAGAAGAAACGCTCCCACCCCGCTCCTCAGGCCCTGCCCAGCCTTGTGGCCTCCCTTCACCCGCCGCCACCATCCGCGGAGCCAAAGCGGAGCCCTGGTCTCCCGCGGCCGGGGATGGGGGCTGGAAGCTCCCGGATCACCTCGCTGCCGGCAATGCTCCACCTGGCAGTGCTGCCCGATGTCCAACTCCGCCATCTCTCCGGCGCCGTAAGGGGCGGGGCAAAGCCTGAGGGGCGGGGCAATGAGCGCGCGCGGCGCCTGACGGGAGAGTGGCGGACCCAGAGGCGGAGTCTACAGGTGGGGGCGGGGCCTGGAAACCAGCTGTGCGATTTGTCCTAGGTGCATTCGCCGTGACCAGGAAAGGCCACTGTTCTGTGAGTGTTCTTCTCGGAGCGGAAGGCCTCTCGCCTAGTCCTTAAAGAAATACCCACCTGCAGCCGGGCGCGGTGGCTCACGCCTGTAATCCCAGCACCCTGTGAGGCCGAGGCGGGCGGATCACCTGAGGTCAGGAGTTCGAGACCAGCCTGACCAGTGTGGCGAAACCCCCGTCTCTACTAAAAATGCAAAATTAGCCGGGCGTGGTGGCACATGCCTGTAATCCCAGCTACTCGGGAGACTGAGGCAGGAGAAACGCTTGAACCTGGGAGGCGGAGGTCGCAGTGAGCCAAAATTGGACCATTGCACTCCAGCCTGGGCAAGAAGAGCGAAACTCCGTCTCAAAACATAAAAAAAGAAAATGAAAAAGAAATGCCCACCTGCCTTTCTGGACGACTGCTTACCGCGGTTCCCTGCATACGGCCACGAAAATCAGCAACGGCTTCACATTTATTTTTTTAAAAGTTAGTAGAACTCCAGGAACCAGAACAGTGCCGGGCACACAGTGTTGCAATAATCAAGCAAAAGAGACAGACATGGGTTATTCAATTCCTGAGCCATCCCTCAACCAGTGTTACTTGATTATGTAGTGTAACATACATGCCCCTTGCAAAACAGTCATCAGGCTTTTTAAAAAGTTAATATTTCTTTATCTTTGTCCTTTTTTTTTTTTTTTTTAAATTCTGGTAGGGGGAAAAAAAAAGTCTTAACTCCTGAGCCCCTGAATGTGTACTGAACCTTACAGAGTTCCTCAGAGAACCCAGACTCATTTAGCACAACTACCTGAAGAAAGCTTATGGGATTCCACTGGGATGTAGGGGAGTATCAGGTGCCTGGTGAGCCACTGCAAAGGTACTGAAGGAGAGGTACTTCTGGGTGGGGTACATATGAATGCCATTCCACCAACGTGATGCCAGGCACCATTCAGCGTGGATGGGTGACAATCACCTGCACTCCTGACAGGAACTAGAAAAGTATTCGATGCCTCCTATATACCTTTGGAGATTCCCAATCAATAATCACTGAGGAAGGGCGAAGGGTGACACTAGGAAAGGGGAATCATTTCTTCTGCATTTGCTCTTGAGCCAATCTATTTAAGATTTCCGTCTCAGAATTGCTTGAGTCTCTGGAGAAACTTTATAAGATGTCATCTGGCTATCCCAGCCTCCATAGCTTTTCTTTTATTAAGATGAGAAAACCAGTTCATAGACATTAAATGATTGGCTCACATTAGTGGATGAACCAGGACAAAAAATGCAAGTACTAAAGACTTTTGGTATTCTTGGATCTAGGGATCAGTGGCTTACCTAGATTTTATGTTTAAGTTGATCAGATCAATCAATAACAGGTTTCCTGGAATTTTACTAGGTGTTTGGAATGTTCTAGATAGGTGGCAAATATATGTTTTATCAGTCCAATTATTATGGATATGTTTTTATTTTTTCAGTTATTGGACACCTCATAGAACATCAGATGATTAGCGTAGCCAAGATTGCAGTTGCTACCTCTGCTTTCTCTATTTAGTCTCCTTTGCTGATTTCTTCTCTAGGTGCTGCTTAAACACATCTATTTCACTATGTTTATGTCTTTGGTCCATTTATCAATTTACATCCTCATGCAAGTGAAATTCCCATGGCTTCCATATTAAAGACTCTCATACCCATATTCTCAGCCCTGAGAACACTTTACCAAACATGAAGTAACTATTTCCAACTGTCTGATAGATCTATCTATGTGCATTCATTTGTCATGGTGTCTTAAGCCCAAAATGGGATAATTTCCTACCATATCATCCCCTTTCTAACAAAGGCAGCCTGCCACATACTTGTTTCATTCAACCAATCAATCAATCTTGGATTTATTCTCCACCTCTCCTTTCTTACTTCTCATGGAAGTAGCCATTAAACACTGTCAATTCTCCCTCAGAAATGTCTCTTAGGCCGGGCGCGGTGGCTCACACCTGTAATCCCAGCACTTTGGGAGGCTGAGGCGGGTGGATCACCTGAGGTCGGGAGTTCAAGATCAGCCCGACCAACATTGAGAAACCCCGTTTCTACTAAAAATACAAAAATTAGCCAGGCGTGGTGGCACGTGCTTGAATTCCCAGCTACTCAGGAGGCAGAGGCACGAGAATCGCTTGAACCTGAGGAGGTTGCAATGAGCCGAGGTAAAGCCATTGCACTCCAGCCTGGGCAACAAGAGAGAAACTCCATCTCAAAAAAAAAAAAAAAAAAAAAAGAACTTAGTCTCTGTAGTTATCCTCAGTGACTGTGACCACCCTTTAAAAAAAAGTTATGATTGCTGAAGAATAACATTTAAAAATTAAAATTAAGAGGGGAAAAATGCCTCATGTGTTGTCATACATTTGAAAAGAAGGCCGTGATGTTTATATTAAAATTCCATATTATAGTGATCATTCACTATAAGTTATATTATTATGTATAGATTTTAAATCTCTCATATGAAAAATTTCTGCTAAATATAATACTAATAAATGTGGATAAAATAGAACATAGTTGTTAATTGAGGTTATTATCCCTTAATATGAATATTTACAAAGTGTTATGAACTAGCAGGTGTGACTTTGAATTATGGGTCAGCAAATATCTCTCTTTCCATCCCATTGAGGGCAGAGTGTACTTTACCACCTCCTTAATTTTGAGCTTGGCCATGTAACTTTCCTTGGCCTATAGAACATTGGCCAATTTGACCCAGGTAGAGGCCTTACATGAGGTTTGGCTTGGCCCTTGTGCTCTAGTGCTCCATCATGAGAGGAACATGGGGCAAGTAGCTACTGCTCTTCAATCTGGGCCCTAGAATGAACACATGTGGAATACACCTGAACCCAGCCCACAGACTGGAAGTAAATTCAGTCAATCCAGACTGAAGAAGAGCTACCAAGCCAAGTCTTTTCTAGCCCAGTGAGATCTCATTAGACCTGCAGGTCTGTGAGCATGAATATAAATCCTTTTGTTGTATGTCCTGAGGTTTCGGGATGTTTTGTTACACAGCATCATCATGGCAATATCTGACTAATATACAAGCAATGAATAAAACAAATAAAAAGTGAGATATTCCATAGTTCACATGACAGAATCATTTTTCCTTTCTGGATATGAGTATATCTTGCATATCATATTCAAAATCGAATCTAAATTCAAACTTTAATAATAACAGCTGCAATTCTTATTATTACTTACTATGTACCAGGCACTTAAAAGGATTATTTTATTTAATCTTCACAACAACACTTTTAGATACTATTATCCCCATTCTATAGAATGGCTTATAAAAATGACTCAGCTCCTGGCTCCCTCCCACATCTAAAACTACTCTCTCCTTTCATGTCCCCACTGACCTCTTAATTATTTGGACTTACCAGTTGTCCCCCTGCCCAACCTCAGGGACCAGTCTATAGTCTAGAATGCTTTCTTCTTTCCCCACATTTGCCTGGTTATCTCCTCCTCATCCTTCAGCTCTCAAAAGAGGTATCTAGGATCTGCCCCAAATTGGATCAGGTCCTTTGTTCTATGTACTGATTTCTTATTGTTGCTTTAACAAATTAGCATCAATCTAGTGGCTTAAAACAACACAAATTTAGGCTGGGTGCAGTGGCTCATGCCTGTAATCCCAGCACTTTGGGAAGTAGAGGCGGGCTTATCACCTGAGGTCAGGAGTTCAAGACCAGCCCGGCCAACATGGTGAAACCCTGTCTCTACTAAAATACAAAAAAAATTAGCCAGGCATGATGGCGAGTGCCTGTAATCCCAGCTACTCAGGAGGCTGACATGGGAGAATCGCTTGAACCCAGGAGGTGGAGGTTGCAGTGAGCCGAGATCATGACATTGCAGTCCAGCCTGGTCTAAAGAGAGAGACTCAAAACAAAAAACAAACAAAACAAAACAAAACAAAAACCAGAAATATTATCTTAAAATTCTGGAGGTCAGAAGTCCTAAAATCAATGTATTGATGGGGCTGCATCCCTTCTGAGGGCTCTGGGCAGGATCAAATTCCTTGTCTTTTCCAGCTTCTAAAGGTTGCCCAAATTCCTTGGCTCATGATTCCTTTCTCAGTCTTCAAAACCAGAAAGTGGCATCCTCAAATCTCTTCCTCACCAAACCCTTACCATTTCTCCTTTTGCCACATCTGTCTCTAACCCTTCTGCCTTCCTCTCTTAAGGACCCTCGTGATCACATTGGGCCCACCTAGACATTTCAAGATAATCTCATTTGATGAGCCTTAACTTAATCACACCTACAGAGTCCTTTTTGCCATGTAAGGTGACAGAGTCACAGGTTCATGGATTATAATGTATATAACTTTGAGGGCCATTGTTTTAACTACCACAGTATACATTCTCATATTTCTCATAGTATTTCCATAACATTTATCACAATTTCTGAGTTTATTTTTGCATGATTATTGATTAATATCTGTCTCCTCTTTGTCACTTGAGAACAAAGACTGTGTCTTATTCATTATATCTCCATCTCATTGCTCAATGCTTGGCACATGGTAAAACCTCAAAAAATATCTGTCCACTGAATCAATGAATGAACAAGTCAACACTGATATACAACTGCCCCCAATGTTGTTATACTTTCAATCGGTATTAATAAAAATATAAAATTCAGAATAAAGAACATGAACATGGTAGTTTGTTCACTATGGTTGGCCACTCAAAACCACTGGGAATATTTTGCTTGGTTCTGAGAACCATACTTCAAATGTGAAAGAGGCAAATTGAGGCATATATTTAAAAGAAGGCAGCAGGATGGCGAAGGAACTAAAAACTATTATGTAAAACTGAGAGTTTATAATGTTTACGGCTGAAGCAGTAGAGATAAATAAGGGTGTCAAGCAAAGGAAAACCTATCATCAAAACTATAATCCCTACTATTATCATGGCGGCAGTTGGGTGGGTGAGTTTTGAAAAGCATTATTTTTTTTAAGCAATAGTTTGCCTTAGCAGGTAACTTTGTAACATTTTCTCAGGTAATTATTCTTTAGAGAGACAAATTTACTAGTCCTGATAAGCATACATAAAATTATTTTGAAATGATGGCTTAAATTGCATTTTGGCACTAATGGGATATTCAAGATAATTAATCTAACTATAGAAAAAAATTCTGATGTTGCAACAACACCCACTATTAACATTACTCCTTAAAATCCTCAGCAATGAAAAGAATCAAATATTTTAAAATATGAACTAGCTTCTAGAGGGTATATTTCCTTCTTCTTCTTTTTTTTTTTTTTTTTGAGATAGAGTCTTACTGTGTCGTCCAAGATGGAGTGCAGTGGCACGATCTTGGCTCACTGCAACCTCTGCCTCCCGGGTTCAGGTGATTCTCTTGCCTCAGCCTCCCTTCTCCTGCCTCAGCCTCCCGAGTAACTGGGACTACAGGTTCGTGCCACCACGCCCAGCTAATTTTTTTTGTATTTTTGGTAGAGATGGGGTTTCTCCATGTTGGCCAGGCTGCTCTCAAACTCCTGACCTCAGGTGATCCACCTGCCTCGGCCTCCCGAAGTGCTGGGATTACAGGTGTGAGCCATCTCTCCCAGCCTAGAGAGTAAATTTCTTATAAGAGGAAGTGATCACCTCCTTCTCTAATGCTAGGTGCAATATCTGTCCAAAGTTTTTTGGTTTTCTGTGGGGTTTTTGCCCAAAATAAGGTGGGCCAGACACTTTGTGAGAGTCTTTGCATACTGGTTCTAAGATTTGATGCTTAGAACTATAGGTGTCTTTTTTGTATTATCGGAATAACACAGATTCTTGGATCTAGGAAATGTGTTTCCAAATATTTTCATATGCTGTACAATCATTTGGATATTTTATCACTTATGTTGTATTTCTTTATTCATTCATTTATTCAACAAATATTGATAGAGTGTCTACAATGTGCCAGGCTCTGTTATAGGAACTGGGAAAATACTGGTGAAAATAAAACAAATAAAAATTCCTCCCCTCAGGGCCAGGATTCTAGGGGTGGTGGGGAAGCAATGGAAAATAAAAATTTAAAAATGTGAAACAGTGTAAGATAGTTAGTGGTAAGTACTATGGAGAAAAATAAAGCTGAGAAAGAGGATTAGAGTTCTTTTGCGGTACAGAAGTGAGACAATAGGGTTGCAGTTTCTGATATGGTGGTACAAAAATGTGATAAAGATCTAAAGAAGGTGAAGAAGTGAATGAAATGGGTGTCTGGTGGCAGGTTTCTAGGCAGAGGAGCAGCCTGTGCAATGAGAGTATGCTTGGTATACTCCAGCCAAAGTGAGGACACCAGTGTGGCTGGAGCAGAGTGGATGGGGATGTATGGAAAGGGAGACACAGGTGAAGTAAACTTAGGAGTCAGTATTATTTCATGTAGGGGCTTGAAGACATTTGTGAAGACCTTCGCTTATAATTGGAGTAAGGTGGGAAGTCACTGGAGGTTTTTGTCTCAGTCTCCATCTGTTTGCTATGTAGGGAGACTGTAATAGGGTCAAGGTGTTTGTAGGATAGTCAGAAGTCTAGTGGGATAATCTGGGTGAGAGATGACAGTGGTTTGAAGCATGGTGTTAGTTATATTGGTGGTGGCTAGCAGTCAGGTTTCCATCATAGTTAGAACTTACGGGATCTGCTGATGGATGGGATGTGGGTCAAGGTTGACTCCAAGGTTTTTGGCCTGAGAAAAAGGAAGCCTGGAGTTATTAACTAAGAGGTAGAGGAGCAGGATTGGAGAGATTAGGTGTATTTCTTGATTAGGTACAAATCTCATGTGATTGTACTCCGGTATAGTGAAACTCTAGAGGTAAAGGAAAGTTTAGAAATCAACTTTAAGTAGGTAATGCAATAAGAGTAACATTGAGGTAGGGGGCTATATTTCACTTTAGATCCATTAAATGAAATGGTTTACATTTAAGTCTGATGAACCTTAGGATCTTTTTTTTTTTTTTTTTTTTGAGTTGGAGTCTTGCTCTGCCACCCAGGCTGGAGTGCAGTGGCACGATCTTGGTTCACTGCAACCTCCAACTCCCAGGTGCAAGCAATTCTCCTGCCTCAGCCTCCTGAGCAGCTGGGATTACAGGCGCCCGCCACCATGCCTGGCTAATTTTTGTATTTTTAGTAGAGACGGGGCTTCACCATGTTGACCAGGCTGGTCTCGAATTCCTGACCTCAGGTGATCTGCCCGCCTCAGCCTCCCAAAGTGCTGGGATTACAGGCATAAGCCACCATGCCCAGCTGAACCTCAGGATCTTTAACTTCTTTCTGATCAGGGATGAACAAAGGTATGAAACACATGAATAAAGAGCTATGCAGGCAAAACCCAGTCATAGGCACCATCCATCTTCATTATGAACTAGGGTAATCAAACTTTTAATTTTGCAAAATTATAATTTTTTAAATCATAGCTACTTTTGTACTCAAGTGTGATTGAGTATTATATACGATGGATATTTGGTTCTAAGAAACAGAACTGCTGATAAAAAGAATCTGTACATGCTTGTTGAGCTGCTTAATAAATAACTATTTGATGATGAATTCTGCAGTATGTTTAAAGAACAATCCTTCTTCTGTTGCCTTAGAGAGTTCATTTGGCATTGTAAAAGTGGACGTAATTTCAAGGGGTGGCCAAAATGTATCAATTAGCCTGACAACTAGGTCTTTTTAACAGATCTATAAATTTCAGTTTCCTTTGCCCTGTTAATCATGGTAAATTATCCTGAACAAGATCATTCTTTTGAACAACAGCCTCTTATTAGCTGAGATCAATTGAGATCAGAAAATGAAAAATACACTAGATGCTAAGAACTCTTTGTGAAACCACATTTGTAGGATGAGAACTGAATGAAGATTAATGTGTTATTTTTGGCTTCTAAATCAGTGATTTAAAAACTTATTTTCTACATCCTGCTGCTGGATTAAACACTAATATATATTTGGTTGGTTTACTTGCTTGCAAGTATTATCTTTTCCTCTTTGAGCTTATGTATTAATGGAAGGAAATGATTTTTAATTTAAATGTATCTTGCTTTGCACACCACATGTGTTTCTGAAAGAGCTACACATTAAATTGGTTAAATTGATTATTTTTTCCTATGGAATTACAAATTAATGACTAGCTTCTTTGTTTTAATGTCTGATTGATTTTCATTTGCTTTTTCAATAAAATGCGGATCCTTAGCACATCATGTGGACCTTATGTAATCTGGACTCTGTCTACCTTTGTAGGGACCTCACCACACTCTCCTACTCTCCTCTTCTGTCTCCAAGCGCCAGCGACAGTGACCTTTTCTCAACCCCTAGTACTTCAAACTCAAGATTTTTGCACATATTGTTTAAAATTTTAATTCTCCAACATTCTTTGCCTTGTTTTTTAAAATATAGTACACATAGTACATTGCTATCTTAATTGTCCATCTTCCCTTAGCTAGAAAGTAGGCTCCAAAAATGAATGTATTTTTGTCTTTTTATTCACTGCTGAATCTCTACATCTAAAAGTGATGAATAAATGAATAAATAAATTGGTAAATGAATAAGGAATTCCTTATAATGGAATACAAATTTCCCTTCCCTAAAACCAGGTAGCTTCTATTCATCATTCAAATTCTAGCTTAAATATCACTTTTTCAGGCCACTCTGACCCCAAGACAAGGTCAAGTTCCTCTACTATTTATTCTTATAGATCCTGTACTTCTCTATATAATTTATTAGAACCCCAACTTATGAAGTTTATTGTTTGTGAGATAATTTGCTTAATTTCTGTGTTCTCCCCTAAGCTGTAAGCTCTGTTGGAACAGACAATGTTTCTTACTCTTACCTGTATCCCCAACACTAGCACAATGCCTGGATCATAGAGACACCTAATAAGCATCAGTTGAATGAAACCATGGATGTGTGGATTAGGCAATTCCTCAGTTATAACTTTGTCTCTCTGTTCTACTGTCCAATGTTCTCACAACAAAAAAAGTAACTAACGAACCCCAAAGAATGCCTTAGTATTCTGGATAAGTTCTTATTTAAATGCACTCCTCCATGAATTCAATAATGCTTGGAGGATCCCTTAAAGATAATGCCTAATAATTACCTCTTCACCCCATGCTATTTAATTAAACAAATACTTAATGAGTTTTTCCTCTAGTCCAAGTTGCACAGAGGGAAATACCATCATGTAAATAGTGAAAAGACCATGCGTTTTCAAACAGAAAGATCTCTTTCACTTTTGCTGCCTGTTAAATTTGGTTAAGTTATCAACTGAGCCTTGGGTTCTTCTTCTGTCTAACAGAAACAGCAATACCTATTTTGCAGGGTTTATGTAAGGATTAGTGATAAGCATATATTTATTGATAAGCCTGACACATAGTCAGTGCTCAAAAGATGGTAGCTGTTATTACTGTCACTGGAAGGTAAGCTCTTAGAGGGCAGACTATACTTGCATTCCCTGTACCTTACACTCAATAAAGGCTAGTTAAACTGAAAAGCAACGGGAACAATAGCAGAATATGTGCTACTTCTCAACTCTCAAGGGCCTTAAAAATCTAATCAAGAAAATACACTCCAAAACTTATTCATGAAATATTTAGATAATAAAGAAAAACAATACTTACGACAACTTATACATGAAATTAGAGCAAAATGTGTGTTATAGACCATACATGCTTTACATGGCCAGCCAGGAAATGATAGGAGGTGGCTGGCTGCAGTTACTGTGAAATGATAAGTTCACATATTTGTGTGTTAGAAGATGCTTACTGTAAGCCTCCTATGGAAGTGTTCAATTTCTTTGGCAAAATTTTATGCTATCTATGCCAATGTTGGATAAATAGATTAACTTGCTGCTTTGTGTTTGTATGCTTGCAGACAAAATTGTGTTATTGATCTTGGGTATCAAGGTGAATTTGTCAGAGTAATGGGTGTTTTTTTTTTTTTTTTTTCTCTTAAACAGTGGCTGGCTAACAATCAAAAATAGGTTTTGGTAATGTTGGGTAACGTTGCTCAAATACGGCTATATTATGCAGAGCACATGGCAATCGTTGAAGAGTAAAACACAGATAATTCCACTTCTTTGTAGTGTGCTTGACACAGGTTTGCAGCAGTATTGCATCATCTATAAGCATTACATATGGCTGTCCTTTCATCTTACTAAATTATTTGCCAGCAGATCTAATAGATGGGCTGAGATAGTGAGCATGAACAAAAGAATGTTTCTCTTCTCCAGGATATTCTCTACTTTTTGTTACTTAAGTATCTATGTAATAGCATTTGACATACAGCCAAACACCAGGGCAGCCCCATTTAAGGTTTTTGATACACTGAGGATCATTCAGAAAACTTCGGATTCCTAGTTATAGAGTTGAATCCAACCACCAACACACTCCAGAAGTCCTGACATTAGGAAAAGAGATGGCCACCATCTTTCACCCACTTCAAGTCCTGTAAGGATGATCTAGAATCTACACTGTGCCAACTAGCATCCAGGCACACATCAACCTGCCCGGACTACCAAATGCAGAAACAAGCCCAGTAGCAGCAGCTGCTCCGAGCTTGCCCACACACCTGCATCCTAGTGGCAGACAAATATCCTGGAAGCCTTTGTGTCCACACACTCATACCTACATGACATACACTTAGAGGAAAAGATCTGAATATTCTTATTCACAAGAACAGAGGCCTGAATACAGGAACACTATGCTCACGTACACACAAAAGACACGCATGGAATAAAGCATTTTGCATATCCAGTCTTGCGCACTTACACTTTCAGGTCCTGCACAAGACCCCTGGACATCGGTTTGCTTTTCTTTGAGCCATTCACAAACTAGTTCCTCGTTCCTGGGACCGTCCCTAGTGTGGATAAAAGCCAACTTCCCACAGTCTTTGTCGGTCTTTTCAACTTTTCTCTGCTCTCGCTCAACTCCCAGAGGGCCGGGTGGCGCCGGCCAGCCGACGTCCCAGCGGTGGCCTCCCCGCCCAGCCGCTGTGCAGCGGGGCGGGGCCGAACTGGCAGCCAGGAAATGCCCTGGAGTGTGTGTCACCTGTCCAGGACGACTTGTTGATTCCCAGGAGGGCCGCCTTTCCGGTCTGGGTCCCCGAGAGGACTGCCTTGCTCACCTGTCCCCTCGGCGCGGCCCCGGGGAGCTCCCGAGAGGCCCCCGGGATCGCTGGCCCTCCGAACTCCACAGCAATGAGCAAGTTGGGCAAGTTCTTTAAAGGGGGCGGCTCTTCTAAGAGCCGAGCCGCTCCCAGTCCCCAGGAGGCCCTGGTCCGACTTCGGGAGACTGAGGAGATGCTGGGCAAGAAACAAGAGTACCTGGAAAATCGAATCCAGAGAGAAATCGCCCTGGCCAAGAAGCACGGCACGCAGAATAAGCGAGGTAGGCTGGGGTCTGGCCCACAGGCGGGAGCCCATCTGCCTCTAGCCTTTCCCTTGGGGACAATCGGCCCACACCACTGAGGTCCCCAGGTGGCCAGGTTTGCTCCTGCAGTCTTTTCTAGGAACTGGTACTGACTCTTAGGGCACTGACTAGGGTGAGTTGAGCTAGACACTGGCACTGATGGCAAAATGTAAGGGGCCGCCAAAAATCTCAGTAATCAAGATGAACAATACTTTAATGCAATACCTAAAGGACTCAGAACCAATGCCAAAAAAGAAATGATGAAGAAAATATCAAAATTTTAAATAAAGACAAGATTGGTATTGATTTTTTTCATTTGCCTCTAGCTCTTATGTTGTTATGTGCAGCACATCTTTATTTAAAATTATTTTTTATAATGTGATGATTTGTTCATCGTGGATTTTTTAATATTAATTTTGAATTTTAAAAATATTGCATTAAAATATTATTTGTCTTGATTACTGAGTGTTTTCGCACCCCTGTAAATTTTGCTCCTGGTCCAGCTTTTTCTAGGCCAGCCTTGCTGACTCCAACACTAACCATGAAGTTTTCTGCTGTATGTTTGTATATTAAATTACACATTTTAACTTGCACGTAAATCTTCAGAAAAGGATATTCTAGTACGTTGTGGTCTACCTTGCTCCTCAGCTGTGGAAAGCTTTAGCTGGATGTTCGGCAGTTGAAGTCTTAAAAAAAAAAAAGGTAGAGGAATTAATTATTAAATTTCCTATCACTGACTTTTGGCACACACAAGAGACTTTGAGTCAGTAATGATTCTTGGTGTTCCTGTTGCACCTTGAACACCTGTTCTTTGCCAGAGTTAACTGATTTCTTCAGTATACTGCTCCTTCTATTGGAATACCTCTAAACAGCACCTGTGGCACAGATAAAAACTCAGTGAGAAGTTGAAGTGATTTGCTCTTGTAACACCGGGTTCATGGCAGACCCAGAAAAGGAAGTGGCAATATCGGACTCTGCTTACCACCAAACCCAAACATTTGCACCCTCAAGTTGGGCTTCTTTAGTCATAATGAAGCCTTGGGAAGATTTGGCTCACTCTACAGGATGCTGCCATTGTTTAATGCAGGAAAGGAATGAAGTCTCAAGGAGATGAACTTGAGAACTCTGCCTCTTTCTGTAAAAGTGTGCCAGCTACATTTATGCCCACTTACCACCAACAATAAGAAGGCTGTTTTATTGCATATAACTTTTGTGCATATTATAGCCTGTTTTAGAGGTAAGTACTGATTTCTACTTTTACTTTGTGTCTGAAAATATTCTGGGAAGTTATGCAATGGCAATTTCTAAAGAAAGACCATGTCATTATGGCTTGCTAAAAATGTTGTTGGTCATTTTGCTCCTTGGCCCTTCCTCTTCAGTTTGATACACACTCTGACGTTTGCTTAGTGTCTGTCAAGGGTTTTCTTCCCTTTGCCATCTATTTGGATCTGTGTACAGCTTTGTCTACCATGGTTGCTCAGCAAATATTGGTGGTGGTTGTTGTTGTTTTGAGACAGAGTTTCACTCTTGTTGCCCAGGCTGGAGTGCAATGGCGCGATCTTGGCTCACCGCAACCTCTGCCGCCCAGGTTCAAGCGATTCTCCTGCCTCAGCCTCCCGAGTCGCTGGGATTACAGGCATGTGCCACCACACCCAGCTAATTTTATATTTTTAATAGAGACAGGGTTTCTCCATGTTGGTAAGACTGGTCTCGAACTCCTGACCTCAGGTGATCCACCTGCCTTGGCCTCCCAAAGGGCTAGGATTACAAGTGTGAGCCACCGCACCTGGCTGATGTTGGTTTTAAAAATCTAAAAAATTGACCATTTCCTTCTAGGAAGTGGTAAAAATGTAAATTTGTTTTCAAAGACAGAGTGCAAAATAATGTGGGTTTTACTGATTTTTTTCAGAGGTACTCTTCAATTGGCAATGCACAAAAATTCGATCTCAATTTGACTTTATGAATAAAGACAAAAAATTTAAAGACAGTGCTAATTAAGACTACCAATCTAACTTCCTTAAATCAAGAAAGTTATAGATGCAAGTATGAATGGCAAATAAGTTTTTTTTTTTTTGAGACAGGATCTTACTCTATCGCCCAGGCTGGAGTACAGTGGCAGGATCTCAGGTCACTGCAGCTTCCAACTCCTGGGTTCAAGTGATTCTCCTGCCTCAGCTTCCCGAGTAGCTGGGATTACAGGCGTGCACCACCATGCCCAGCTAATTTTTGTATTTTTAGTAGATACGGGGTTTCACCATGTTGGCCAAGCTGGTCTCAAACTCTGGGCCTCAAGTGAACCTCCTGCCTGAGTCTCCCAAAGTGCTGGGATTACAGGTGTGAGCCACTGCGCCTAGCCCTAATTTTTAATAGAAAAGTCATTAACTCTGTCTTCAGAAGCTTCACTGGTGTTAGTGTCTAGAAACTCCCAGAGCTTCTAGAGTGACTCTGGGAGTAAGAAGAGGCTGGTTAGCATGAGGTCATCTGTAATCTAAGCTATGGAAAGAATTCAATCTTAGGCTCCTGCGTTGGTAACACGCTCAATATCAGAACCTTCTAAATAAACCAGATAACTTCATATACTTCATAACTTCATATACATAGTTAACTGTCTTCTATTAGCCACCAAGTGATATAAAATAGTAAAATAAAACCTGATATACTTACTACTAAATGGCCCCTGTGTGGCACAATGCCATTGCTAGAATGGCTGTAATTTATATGATAATCAGGGTGACATAATTTATGTGCAATTGAAGTTTTATTATTAGAGATGGTTGGTCAGCTAATATATTCTCTGAATGGCCAGGTAGCATTATATCAGAAAAGGCCACACTCCTAGCCATTTCAGATTCTTCAAAGATCAATTTCTCTACAACAACAGAAGCTTTGACAGCATTCTAAATGTCAAAATGAGTTTTACTGGTAAAATGAAAAACTTTTAATTAGCATAATAAATGTTAGAAATGGGGCAGGACATGGTGGCTCATTCCTGTAATCTCAGCAATCTGGGGGGCTGAAGTGGGCAGATTACTTGAGGTCAGGAGTTTGAGACCAGGCTGGCCAACATGGTGAAACCCCATCTCTACTAAAAGTACAAAATTAGCCGGATGTGGTGGAGCGTGTCTGTAATCCCAGCTACTTGGGAGGCTGAGGCAAAATAATTGCTTGAACCTGGGAGGTGGAGGTTGCAGTGAGCAGAGATCGCGCCATTGCACTCCAGCCTGAGCGACAGAGTCAGACTATGTCTCAATAAATAAATAAATAAATAAATAAATAAATAAATAAATAAATAAATAAATAAATGTTAGAAACGGGATCTCACTGGTGAATTTTTTTGAGACAGGGTCTCGCTTTGTCACTTAGGCTGGATTGCAGTGGTGTGATCAGGGCTCACTGCAGCCTTGACCTCCGAGACCCAAGTGATCCTTCCACCTCAGCTTCCTGAGTAGCTAGCACCACAGGCACGCACTACCACACCCAGCTATTTAATTTTCTTTTTTTTTTGTATAGGTGAGGTCTCCCTATGTTGCCCAGGCTGGTCTCAAACTCCTGGGCTTAAGCAATTCTCTTGCCTCATCCTCCCAAAGTGCTGACAAGAGCCACTGGGCCTGGCCTAATTGGTGAAATTCTACATATTCTAAATATGTGGATTGCTAAAACAGTTTAGAGACACTTCCAATACCCTCCGCACCCACCCCATGTATGAACAGGATGAATCTACTAGGTGTGTAATTAACTTAACACTAGAATGGTGCCTGAAACTAGATCTCAAATCAGTGCAGTGTCCAGTCCTTAGTTTAGGTGGGTTTCTGATGGTGCGCACCTCTAATAGGGCACAGCACCTGCCAGGGAACATTGCTGTCTTCCTCAGTGAGCCTTTCATGCAGGGTGAATTGGAGCACCTCAAAGTACCTAGAGTTGGGACTTCATTGAGCTCATGGGACAGGTTGGCAAATTATTTTTTGTGCTTGCTAGTGTATGTTTGTTTAATAATGTATATGCAGAATTTAGTCTGAAACTTGCTTTCATTACAACTCATTACTACTCATAGTACAGGGGTAGCTACTTCTCCTCCCTTCAAATTTATCTGGCAGTTACCATCATCATCCAGCAAAAAGAATTTGAGTAAACATGAACAAATTGATTTTGCAACAGTTGCTATCCAAGCCTCTGTTGATCAAAAGAGTAACAGTTGGAGCTTGAGTTATAATTTGGTTAAAAACTTTAGGAGGCCAGAGATTCTTGAATGCAGTTTATTTAGATTACTATGCTATAACTCTTGCTTTATAGGTGGTAATCTACTTTGTGGAAAAGCTAACTTTTTATATATTATTTAATTTTTTGTTCTACTTCTTCTGAGCACTGCGTCTTAAATAGTCACCTGGATGCATGGGGCCCACCCCCATTTATTCTGATATAATTGACTGGAGTGGGGATCAGGCATCTGTTTTTTTTAAAGTGCCCCCACCTGATTCTGACCTGTGGGCCAGGGTTAAGGATGGGAAGCCTAAATCCATAGGAATGTTAATGAGATGGAAAAACAAGATCTGTTCCTATCCCAGTGCTTCCGGCCTTGGGAGCTAAAGGGTATCAATATCTCAGCACACTGCAGAACTCTCCTGCCACACTGATCTGGCAATACACACCTTACAGGTCACTATTCCAACTTTATTTATTGATTTATTTTTTGCTTAAATATAATATCCCAATCCATTTTTTTGCATATTTAATAGAAAGTATCTTGGTGTTGTAGTTAAGAGCCTGGGCTTCAAAGCAGACAGCCAAATAAAGTCCCACATTTGATTTCCATCCCTGCCTGGCCACTTAGTAGCTCAATGACCCTAGACTAATAATTTGACTTGTCTAATCCTGTTTCCTTATCTGCATAATGGCAACGATGACATAAATCCTCGGAGTTGTGGGGATGAATGACATTATTGGGTAAAGCATTCAGTGCAGTGCTTTATAAACATTAGCTCTTGGTATAAACTAATTACATTTTAAAAAGCTGTACTTGGCCCAGTTTTTGGCCAAATTTGGTCTTCTGGAATACCACCAAATAAATCTACTTCATCTGTCCTCTGAAGGCCTTTCACATATTTTATGACAGCAATCAATTCTTCAAGTCTCCTGTTCCTTGCCTACCTTTTTCACCCTCCTCAGTGACTCCTTACTGTGCTGAGGTTTTCTCACTAGGGGCAGGTCAAGGATGAGGCAGGTGAGATGCCTAGGACACAGTTGTGTGACCCTGAGAGTGAGTGCCTCCTTGCAGTTTGCCTCTTTTTCCCCCTCATCCTAGTCCTAGCTCTATTGCTTGCCATATCCCAGGCTTAGCAGTAACTCCAAATATGTAAATATGTGAAAATGAGTGGATCTAGTCTGGGGTGATTTGTAGGCTGATAAGGATTAAGGGTTGAGATGGAGAGAAAGCAAATTTGGCCAAAACCCCTACTCAATATCATTACACACGATTCCAGTGAAAACTGGGTTCAGAAGCTGTTCTACCTCTTCATCAGGTGTCTGTTTGGAGAAGTGAGTCTCCAGGACAGAAGTCCTCTATTGAATAAGCTCTCTCACTTTGAAGCCTGGGCTGTATTGGTAAGGATGAATTTGTTTTCAGAATCATGATGTGGACTTGATCTTCTTTGGAGAGAAGGAGTGTGCACAATCCCACTCTTAGTTCAGTGGGAAGAACCTCCTCGGTCTCTTAATTTTGCTTTTTATCATAGTTGTCATAGAGCTCAATTCTGCAGTCCTCAGACACTGCAGATCAGAAGGACATCTGTGTAAAGAGATTCAGCTAGTTGAATGTCAAACTAGTGATAGCAAAACCATGGCTCAGGTAAAACGACACAGCCATGGACTGCAAGAGCTTGATGGAAGTTCCCCTGGGAGATATAACTTACCTAGTAACCTCCATTCTTAAGACAATCTCTCAAAATGTGATACTCAGATCACCTGCATCACAATTCCTTCTGTTTATTTCACTCATAAGTATTCACTAAAGATTCTAATTTTGTAGGTTAATTATAGGGTCCAGAAATTTGGACTTTGAACAAGTAACTCAATGACTGCTCCCCACTTTGAGAATTTATGAAGTATTATTCAATAAGCTGTTAAACTGGAAGGGATTACTCTCTATTTATTCTATTTTCTTCCTCACCCATTCGTACTTTTTCTCCCTTCCTCTATCATCACTCAGATAATTGGATGAAATATCTATCCACCTTTCCCTCTGCTTACTCTTTTTTTCTTTTCCCTTTTTTTTTTTTTTTTTTGAGATGGAGTCTTGCTCTATCACCAGGCTGGAGTACAGTGGCCTGATCTCGGCTCACTGCAACCTCTGCCTCCCGGGTTCAAGTGATTCTCCTGCCTCAGCCTCCTGAGTAGCTGGGACTACAGGTGTGCGCCACCAAGCCCAGCTATTTTTTTTTTAATTTTTAGTAAAGACGGTTTTCACCCTGTGTCAGACTTATCCAGTATTCAAATTAGAATCAGTCATTAAAATACATTTCTTTGTGTGCCTTTGATTTTCTGATTATTTTGTACCATACTCGGTATTCTAAGGCCTGGGGGATTGTGGGGGGGGGTGGAAAAAAAAAAAGTCTTATCCCTGGGGCATTAACAACCAATACCTAGGCCAGATCTTACTCTCCAGTCAACTACCCCTCTCCTGGAAAAGATAGATCAATGGAAACATGATCCTCCCCTCAACCTTCATCCCTAATTTCCCTCCCTTACCAGAAGCTCCACTTGGGCTTTCACCCCACAGTAGGAAAACCTGAGACATGGGCACCTAGCCCTGGGAACCCTCTTCACTTAAGTTGTTGTTTTAAACTTTGAGCTTCCCCACTATCTCCCTCTCTTTTCTGAGCCATTGCAAGGATCCAATATAGACTAACACTGCACTTGCACCCTTAGTTACTGGACAGCACAGAGTGGCCTGGGCTTGTTATTTATTTTGTTCTGTTAATACTGTCTCAATTTGAATATGATTTTTCAGATACCCATTTCACTTGCCTTTTTCCCATTGGATGTGGAAAGAGCTAAAACTCCCAGCCAAATTATTCCCCACACTCCCGTGGAAATCAATATGTTCAGCTGCATTTAGTATTTGACATTTATTTCTATTAAATGTCCTCTTATTTTCGGTTGTTTTAGAATTAAGATTTTAATTCCAATTTTATTGTCTTATATGCAAGCTATTTCTTTTAGTTAAATTAGCCACAAATTTGACCTGCAGCCTCTATTGTTGTTGTAGAAGTTGTTGTTAAAATATTGAATAAGACAGAACCAAGGACAGAACCTTGGCATGCCACTAGAGACTTCATTTCAGGATGGCCTTTGCATGATAGCAACCGTGTTTCATCCGCTGAGGCGGCAGTCCCCAACCCTTTTGGCACCAGGGACCAGTTTCATGGAAGACAATTTTTCCATGGCTGTTTGGGGGGTAGGGGGAATGGTTTTGAAATTAAACTGTTCCACCTCAGATCATCAGGTACTGGATTATCATAAGAAGTGCACAACCTAGATCCTCGCATGCTCAGTTCACAATAGGTTTCTCGCTCCTATGAGAATGTAATGCTGCTGGTGATATGACAGGAGATGGCGCTCAGGTGGTAAGGCTTAATGGCCTGCCGCTCATCTCCTGCTTTGCAGCCCAGTTCCTAACAGGACATGAACCGGGGTTTGGGAACCCCCGGAGCTAAGGCATAATCCCAGTTTGACAGATCAACACTCAATGAATTCAGATGTTCATCTAGCTATAAATACACCTGACCCACATTTCTACTCCTTATCATCTTATTTCTCCAGCTTTTTCTCTTTTATTCAGCAATGCCCTCAATATTCCTTCTGAATAATATTCCTAAAACTGAACTGTATTTACACACCTGGGGTTCACAAATGCTGGCTTCTGAACTGATAGCGTGTTACCTTCATCAGATTCTCTGGAGAGCTTTTTAAAAATGCCACACCAGGAGATTCTGTTTCAAGGGATCTGGAATAAGGTTCAGGATCTTGGTACTCAAAGATGGGGTGATTTTGAAGTGTGTAATGCTTGGAGGCTAGTGGATGATCTACAGTTTTTCCTTGAGTCAGTATCCAGCAACCAAAAGAAAAGAAGCCTATGAAATTATTTTGGTATTTTTCATAGCTATGAACTCATATTGGCTTAGGGTAATCATCATCTTCTAACTCGTCAGAAACTGGAGTATTTTTGTTCTAGAATTTTGCTTTTAGTGTGTGTGACACAGTTTGCTGATGGATTGTAGCAACTTCTAGAAGAGCAATTGCTACTGTTTCTTATGTTATATAATATTACATCTAGTTTTTTTTCATGAATTTGGAGCAGTATTGTAAATATTTGAACATTTATCATTATTCATTTAAATTCCACAAGGATGAAAGGCACCACATTTGGGGAAATATTTACATTAAGCAAATAATATAATTCCCTTCATTTATACTATTTTACAGTTTATTGAGTCAATCAAAATAAGGTAGAATAAGTTAGAAAAGGTATTACTAACACCATGATTATGCCAAAGTCATAGGATTTACACAGTTACAAGGAATTATGGCAAGAGAGTACTGTGAGCTTACCTACAGATGTGCTTAGTACTACTAGTTTATTTCTCAGTACTTAGGACCACTTATTTCAGGTGATTTTTTAAGATAAAAGTACCAGATACTCTAACCAGTGATAAATAAGACAAGGGATCTAATACTCAGTTAAAAAAATTATAAGGTTTGGCTTTGGGGGTCAGCTTTGGAATGGGTAAGAATGATCTATTTTGACATTCGTTTTTTGTACTATGCCTAAGTACATGTGAATCTATTTGTACTTTTAAGGAATAAAATTATCACAGAACTTAAGATATACAGATGATATTGTTGATTTATTTTTAAATGCCACAGTCTCATCTGCTTTAGTAAACTTAACTAGTTTCATACTTTTCATGCCTACTGGTAATTTTCGTTTCTCCTACCTTTTCTGCTTATCATTTGAGAGAAGTTTTAACAAATACACAGTTAGTTTAAAAGTTTGCAGAAGAAGAAAAAATAAAATTAAAACAAACAAAAGTCTGAATTAAATATGAAACATACAGTATGCCACTCTTTGAATAATTGACTTTTCCTGTACTAGACATTTTGATTCTTTACTTCAAGCAATTGGTGCTGATAGGGAATTGCTTGTTGGAAAGATTTAGGACCCTGTCCAAAGCTTCTAAGATCATGGTTTAAAGCAGTAAGAGCTATTATACCTAGACCAATGGCTTTTTTAACCACTGCTAAGCCTTTTTGCAGGTATTTCTCATTTGTAGGAATTTCCAGGTAGCTAGAAGCCCCCACTACTATCACTCTGCACAACCTCCAACATCTCTTCCCCAATCTAAGAATCTAGTGACTTAAAATACCAACACTGTAATCACTACTTGCAAAACAAACAAGCCCCAAAAAAGCAAGCAAACGAGAATGGTAATTTTAAAATTACAGGCAAGGAAAATAGGTCATTCTCTGTTAACAGTTGGGAAGCCTTGCATTAAGAGTTAAATTCTTGATTTAAAAATTAAAATTCAATGTCAGCTATCTAGCTTAAATGAAATAAAGTTTACATGTGTATGTTTAACCTAGATGGAAATTTAGAGGAGTAAAATTATGCAACTAAACATTTAAGAAGTACTTTGGACATTTTATTCTTTATTTAAATATGAAGTCTTAGTGAATCTTTTTGGCTCTATCACATGGTGTTATATGCTACGTAGTCATACTGGGTGCGTCTTATTTGCTGCAGCAGTAACGTTGTTTAACAGGCCTTGCTCACTTAGCAGTGCTATTTACATTATCATTTCTTTCCATATATTTAATATATATAAAGTGAAAGTAAATATAACCTTGGAGTTTGAACAAAGATATTATTGTAACTCAAAACTTCTACTGTATTAACTGTAGAAAAAAAATTATGATTATGGTCAACTAATTTGCAAGTATTTCAAAGACCCCGTATGTAAGAGCCTATGCTTTATCATTTTGTGAGCAGTTTGAAAAGGTTTATTTATGAAAACTATATTGATTTGTTGGTGTTACTTGTATTTGAAAACATTAAAGAATAGTATAGTTCATCATCAATTTCAAGGTAAATCTATTCTTAAAGAATTTCAAATACTAACAGTTAACTTGAGGAGCTATATATTTTTTAAGATTTTTTGACGTTAGGGGCTCAAAGGAATAGTCATAGAACCACAGACAGTGAGAACTGAGAGGGGCTAAAGGAATACAGTTTGCTGGTTCTTGAACTTCACGTGTTAGAGCATCTGCAAGCCACAGGCACAGTGCTATGATATATTGCTGCATAAGATGACTAAGGAATACTTTTTTACAAGTAGATAATTGAATCATATTAAATATATACATAATATATTATATATAATAAATTACATCTGTAGGTACACACATCTACTTTGTAAAATTAAGCATAATCAGCTATTTCTGAGTTTTTCTGTTAAATATATAAATATGGCTTCATACTTATACTTAAAAAATATTCTAGATGATAACAGGCCCCCAAAATTTAACAATTTGTGGGGTTATTAATAACACTAGCAGCAAATAAAAGACTCATTTATTCAATTAGTTATATATTCTGACTGGTATCAAACAATTAATTAGATTTTTACAAAGAATATAAAATAGATTTTAATTAGTGTATTGGTATGTTGGTCAAATATGTTAATTTCTCTTGCCCAGCAATTGACTTCTGAAGCAATTAATTACAAGAGATGAGAATTTTAGTGAGTATTTAAAATAAGTCTTTTATGCAAGCATTTCTTCCTTTTTTGACAACTCAAGGCACTTTTAGATCATGAACTTCCCTTCTCAGATTTACCTTTTTAAATATTCTCTTGCGTGATATCCTGGTAGCAAGAATTGCCTCATCTTCAAAAACAACCTCAAGCTCTTTAGAATAAGGAGCATCATTTCTGTTGGAAAATAACCTTAATTTCCTTTGCCCGTTTGCTGTCTCTCTGGAGAAGAGAGGGCACTGATCAGCCAGCCTATTTTTCTCCTCTTTTATACTTTATAGTATTAATCAATCACCTTGTTTAAACACAAAATTCAGTCCAAAGTTACTAGCTTGCTTATAGCAATATTGCACTTCCAAATGCCCTTAGAATATCTCTTATTTACTTTCTGCAATCTCATTCCTTTTTACTGCTTTCTCAGGCATCTGCTTTAGCATTATATAATCCTATATATCACTGTTGTGTGTTGGTCTTCTTCTAGATTGCTATTTACCCTCCATGTGACATTTAATATTGATGAGACCTCCAAAAATATGGAGGTTACATATAAGATTCAGCTGCTGTGGCAAGCAGGAGTGCAAATCTTTAAAACGAAGATGTGCTCTATATTTGAGGCTTATAGTTCCCAATTTCTAATATATCTCAGACAGAAACTTTTCAGTGGTATGAGATTTGTAGTAGGAGAAAGGGTTGGGGGTGGAAGGAACCCATTGTGTAATACCTTTTTCATCATTCATGTTCTTTATTTATCAATGTGTTGAGTATACATATAGACAGTCACTGGGGACTTTATCTACATAGAAGAAATGTAGCCATATTTCTTTCCATATATGAAAAGAAATGGTAATGTAAATAGAACTGCTCACCGAGTAAGGCCTGTTGAACAAGGTTACTGCTACAGCGATGTCTGTGAAGCCTTCCCTTACCCTCCAGAGAGAGCCTGCAAATTACTCTGGGTACCCACTGCACCTTGTACATATCTCTTCTTATTCTCCTCTACATCTTCTCTACTACTTGAGGTAAAGAATGTAACTTACACACGTTAGTATCCCTAGGAACTGTGCCTATAGCATAGTAGGTGCTTAATAAATGCTTACTGAATGATGAATAGGTGATTGCCCATTTCATATTTTGTCTCTCTCTGAGACTGGAGCCTTATTTCTTTGTCCCTCCAGTGCCTAACACAGTGCCAGGCATGTCATAGATCTTTAATACATACTTGTTAAGTGACTGAAATGAATGAATAAAGGTATTTTTTAAAAGTAAAGACGTTCAGTGAAATTCATAATGGGATGCCTCTGGCCAAATGCGTGTTAAAATTTTCTATTTCCCCAGTTGTTTTCAATCTAACCTGTGACATTGAGCAGATATATTTTGTTTTTTTTCCATTTGGGAAATGTCTATGATGATGCTTATTCAGATTGTGCTTTTTGAAAACCAAAACAATGTGCCATAAATTGAAGGTATTGTTTAATTAATGAGGTGATTTGTATATGAGTAAGAACAGGGCTTACACTAAAGTTCCTCAAATAAAACATGACCACGAGCCTTCCCAGTTAAAAGCAAAAAATGACATAAGCAATTATGTGTGACATGTCTCTTAAGCATTCTCATATCTGGGCTTACTCTTTAAAGCCTCATCTTTTAGCCCTTCTCTAGAGATCATTCCTGGGACAGAGAAAAGCTATTATAATGCAGTTTCACCTTTCAAAAACAGGTTTGTCTGTGTTCACTGGATATGATGGTTCCTAAAAGGTTCTTCCTGTGTGCTGACTAATGGATTAACAATGTGCACATTTATCCACCCCAAAGGAACGAAGAACAGGTTGACTTTTAAAACCAAAATGTCCTATACATTACATGAGCAATGAAATTGAAACTCTTTTCTGCTAGTTTAAATTATTTGGCATAAATGACTGAAAGCCTTCGTCCCTTGGCAGCATAGTGGAGTTGCATAGGAATAGTTAAATTTTGGTTCAAATGGATAATTTTTGCATTTTAGTTCCAATCCCCAATGGGCTGCAGTAAGGACTCTTCACGTATCCTGCTAGCAATAGTACATAAACGACATTGTTCGGCAACTCCAGTGCTGAAGGAACATCACTGTTATGCAAGGAGACAAAACCCCTGGCTGTTTCTCTACCACAAAGGAATACAGTAGATTCCTTTGTCTTAGAAAGAATGTTGTCCAGGTCTCATCAGCTGCTTAAAAGCACATACAGGAGTTTGGAAGATTGAACTGCACCTTCTACACAGGTTAAATTTCACGGCTCTGAAAATGTCCTTTTTGGCCAAATCAGTAACAATGCTTGATTTGCAGCATTTGTTGCATGCCTTTGAAAAAATACAGCTGCTTCTTTCCCAAGTTGTTTATTAGGGAACAAGGTTAAGGCCTGTCCAGCTCATGATGTATCAGTGGCATCATCGTTTCATATAAGGAACAGCTCACTGAGAGACTCACATACACTTCTTGGTTATTTAAAACAAAAGCCTCCTGTCTTAATGTTTGGGAGAAGCTTAACGTGCCAGGCAGAAATCATAGTAAATGTCAGGTATCCTAGGACCTGATCCAGCCATGCAGAAGTTACTGGTTTCATTCACACAGGTTTTTAGAAAAATGTAAAATAGCATGTAAAAATTGGGGAATTTTGCATGGAAATCCAGATGTCTTGCTTCTTTTGAACACATGGTAGGCTGGGACTACAGGTCTGCAAGGCAGCCTGGCACTGAATCCCAACAGTGCTGCTTCCATTAGATCAGGTTTATGCTCCCAGATCACTGGGGTCTCCAGTTCTTCCTCTTGACTCCCTTATACTGAGGCCAGTGTCTGTTGCTCTGTATTGCCACCATTGCACTAGTTTTTATTTTTATAGAAGAGAAACAGTTCTCTCTTTTTCTTTCTTTCTCACAGGAGAAAAAACAAAGAAGGACTTTTCCCTGACCTTCTAGCTGCTTCACTTAATTTCATTATCTGCCTGGCTCCCTCTGAGTTTGGGACTCTGGTTGGGCCAACATGTAGTGTGTGGTATGGGAATTACAGTGTAAGTTGAGATCCCAAATGTTGGTGAATTTTAAAAAATTTCCCAAATATTTTGAAAAGCAGAAACCATATGCTAACATAGGTGTTTAAAATTATGTCCAAACCAGAACTTATTATTACTAATGACTAACAATTGTAAGGTTCAGTGTCATACCATGAGAGTCCCACCATGTGGTTCTGACAACCTACAAAGGAAATGATGATGATAAAGATCCCTAATATTTAGTAATCACTCACTATGTGCCACTGAACGAAACATTTTATGAATGCTATTTCATTTACTTCTCAACAACTAAATGAGTTATATCTCCATTTTTCAGTAAGCAACTTATGTAAAGCCACATAGCCTTACATGTGAATGAGGGAGCCCAGATTTGAAGGTAAACAATCCTAGAGCATGATGTTCTATTGTTGTCTTCTAGGTACTGTTGTTCTTGTCATGCAGGTGAGGGAACATCACTTAAAATGAGTACAGGTCATGCATCACGATTATTACACACAGGTATTAAGTGGTTTAGGTAGAATTAAAACATAGGTCTAGAGCTTCAGAGCTCCACCCTTTATACCAAATTGCTTTTCTAGATTTTCAGAAAGTTATCTAAAATTAATTTTTACTAAGAAATATGACATATTTTTAAATGGAGAACTTAAAAAAGTTGCTCAAAAAAAAAAAAGAGTAAAGCCTTAGGGTCAATGGGTACCCGTTCGGTTCCAAATATGTATAGGCACTGAACCAGCCTGACGAGATAGGGAAGACATGCACTCTGAAGATTCCACTTCCGGGTATGTTGGGTGGGGATGTATATTTAGAGTTTAGCTTCATAGGATACTCTGCTGAATAGTACTGTTTGTTGTACCTATTGAAATGTAGAAATGTTTTGTAATATTATGTTTCTGTTATGATGAGGTATTTTTGGGGGACCTGCCCCAAAAATCACATAGGTTCTTTTCTATTTTCCTAAGCATCAGCTGGCTTGAGAAATAAAGGGACAGAGTACAAAAGAGAGAAATTTTAAAACTGGACGTCCAGGGGAGACATCACACGTTGGTAGGATAGGTGTGGGTGACAGACATCAAGTACTTAACAGGGTAATAGAATATCACAAGGCCAGTGGAGGCAGGGTGAGATCACAGGACCACAGTACCAAGGCAAAATTAAAATTGCTAATGAAGTTTCGGGCACCATTGTCATTGATAACATCTTATCAGGAGACAGGGTTTTGAGATCAACCGGTCTGACCAAAATTTATTAGGCAGGAATTTCCTCTTCCTAATAAGCCTGGGAGCGCTATGGGAGACCGGAGTCTATCTCACCTCTGCAATCTCGACCATAAAAGACAGGTACGCCCCGGGGCGGCCAGTCCCGAGACCTACCCATAGGTGCGCATTCTCTTTCTCAGGGATATTCCATGCTGAGAAAAAGAATTCAGCGATATTTCTCCCATTTGCTTTTGAAAGAAGAGAAATATGGCTCTGTTCTGCCCGGCTCACTGGCAGTCAGAGTTTAAGGTTATCTCTCTTATTCCCTGAACAATTGCTGTTATCCTGTTCTTTTTCCAAGGGGCTCAGATTTCATATTACACAAACACACATGCTGTACAATTTGTGCAGTTAACGCAAATATCACATAGTCCTGAGGCGACATACATCCTCCTCGGCTGACAGGATTAAGAGATTAAAATAAAGACAGGCATAGGAAATCACAAGGGTATTGATTGGGGAAGTGATAAGTGTCCATGAAATCTTTACAATTTACGTTTAGAGATTGCAGTAAAGACAGGCATAATAAATTACAAAAGTATTAATTTGGGGAACTAATAAATGTCCATAAAATCTTCACAATCCATGTTCTTCTGTCATGGCTTCAGCCAGTCCCTCCATTTGGGGTCCCTGACTTCCTGCAACAAGGTATGGTAAAAACAAATAGGTAATTTGTTATGCGGTAGTCTCAGAAATAAGATATGCAAGCTTAGGGCTGGGTGTGATGGCTCACACCTGTAATCCCAGCAGGCCGAGGCAGGCGATCACGAGGTCAGGAGATTGGACCATCCTGGCCAACATGGTGAAACCCTATCTCTAATAAAAATACAAAAAATTAGCTTGTCATAGTGGCGCATGCCTGTAGTCCCAGCTACTTGGGAGGCTGAGGCAGGAGAATTGCTTGAACCAGGGAGTTGGAGGTTGCAGTGAGCCAAGATCGCGCCACTGCACTCCAGCCTGGTGACAGAGTGAGACTCTGTGTAAAAAAAAAAAAAAAAAAAATGCAAGCTTAGTAATTATGAATGTTGTATAAATTGCTACTATTTATTTAGTTGCTACATCCCTATCATTCACAGGGACTATATAAGGTGTTTTCCATAAATTATCACTAATTCTTATAATCACGCAGCCTGATATAATCACTATTTCCAGAACAGCAAACTAAAGCTTAAAGAAGGGATGTGACTTGCCCAAGAACACACATCTGTGAAGTCATGGAAGAGGGATTTGCACTCTGGTGTTGAAAGGCCACACTCTTTCCATTATATCATGCTGTCCTTGTTCTATGTGCAAAATTATCAAATTTATTCACTAATATCTATTCATTTTATTTCTGTAAAATGACCAATATCTACTCTTGGGATTCTTGTGAGAATTAAATGTCATAAATCACATAATGCACATAAAGCACTTATCACCAATTGAACATATGGCAAATGCTCCATAAATGTTAGTTTTTGTTATGTATTTTGTTGGCCAGGTGCCAGGAAATGGACAAGGTGCTGGGGAAACAGGTAAATAAGATGCTGTCTCTTTTCTCCAAGGGCTTATAATTAGGCATAGGAGAGGTGAGGTAGGATACATTTTAGACATAATTCTACTATAGTGTGATAAATGCACCAGCAGATACGGAAAAGCAATTTGGTATAAAGGGTGGAGCTCTGAAGCTCTAGACCTACGTTTTAATTCTACCTAAACCACTTAATACCTGTGTGTAATAATCATGATGCATGACCTGTACTCATTTTAAGTGATGTTCCCTCACCTGCATGACAAGAACAACAGTACCTAGAAGACAACAATAGAACATCATGCTCTAGGGTTGTTTACCTTCAAATCTGGGCTCCCTCATTCACATGTAAGGCTATGTGGCTTTACATAAGTTGAGTTGGTCTCAGATGGAGATGAGGAACTTGTTGGATATTGGAGTAAAGGTCACTATTGCTATGCAAAGAGACTGGAGGCATTTTGCCCCTGCCCTAGAGATGTGTGGAATTTTGAACTTGAGAGAGATGATTTAGAGTATCTGGTGAAGGGAATTTCTAAGTGGCAAAGTGTTCAAGAGGAAGCAGAGCATAAAAGTTTGGGAAATTTGCAGCCTGATGATGCAATAGAAAAGAAAACCTCATTTTCTGGGGAGAAATTCAAGCTTGCTGCAGAGATTTGCAGGGAGATTAAAGAGGCTATTACATCTATAAAACAAGAATAGGCTGCCATTAAAAAATGAGCAACTAAAGAACAAGTTTTTAGAAGTTAGAAACATAATCTTTTAAAAAAGGGTAAAAAAGTAGAATGAATATAGCTGAAGACTAAATTAGTGATCTGCAAATAAAGTCAAGGAATTCTCCCAGAACATAGATCAAAAAGACAAGGAGGGCTGGGTGTGGTGGCTCACACCGGCAATCTCAGTACTTTGGGAGGCCAAGGGGAGTAGGATTGCTTGAGGCCAGGAATTTGAGACCAGCTTGGGTAGTATAGCAAGACTCTGTCTCTACAAAAAAATTAAAAAAAAAAAAGACTCCGTACAGTGACATGTGCCTGTAGTTGCAGTTACTCTGAAAGCTAAGGCAGGAGGATTGCTTGAGCCAGGAGTTCAAGGCTGCAGTGAGCTGTGATTGTACCACTGCATCCAGCCCGAGTGACAGAGTGATACCCTGTGTCAAAACAAAAAAATATATAGGACAAAGCCAAAGAATACAATGTTCATCTTATATTATAGGCATTTCAAAAGAGAGAAAACAGAATGTTTTCAGGGTGTGTGTGTAATTGTATATATAATTAAATAAAAAAATACAAATTTCAGAAGATAGTAGACAGAAATACAGAGGAGAAAAGAGTGATAAAAGAAATAATAGGATACAATTTTTTCAAGCTGAGGGAAGATTTGAGCCTTCAGACCGAAAATACTCACCGAATGCTCAGTTGGAAAAAGCAAAAAACAAAAGATACATACCTAGATGCATACCAGTTAAATTTCCTAACTCCAAAGTGTAAAAGAAAGTCTTTAACATTTTTGGAGAGGAAACAAGAAAAGAGATTATTTGCAAAGGGATGAGGATAATTTTATTATCAAACTTTTTAAAAAGTTAGCTATTAAAAGATAATCTTTTGAAATATTTTGAACCTAGCATTCTGTAAAAATCCAAACTGCCACTCAAGTTTGAGGCAAAATAAAGACATATTCAGACTTATAGGCATTCAAATAATTTATATCAATGCACCTTTTCTGGAAAATATAATACTGTAAAGTTTTACTCCAGTAAAATAAAGAAGCAATCCAAGAAAGAGGACAATATAGAATACAAGAAGCAATAGTAAGAAATTTATAAATGATTGCTAGAATTGTGTCTATGAAGCTTATGATTGTTAAAATTGTGTCTATGAAGCTTAGGGCAATTGTTAAGAAAGATTTCCTTAAAATTGGAAAGTATAATAAAAAAACTCTATGAATCATCAGGAACTAATAAAATTGCAGATGATTTCAATCAAACCTTTCAGGGTTTGGAGTGGGAAGGGAATCTTATTTGGGAACAATAAATTATAGATACTGATTAATTTCCTTTCAACATAGAAGAAAACTTGTTTAATTATATGTGTCTTAAGGGTATCCATTAAGAGAAAAAATTCAGTATATACAATTGCCCAACAATTAAAGGGAAAAAATGAACAAAGACAATTTAATCGATCTACATAAAGACAAGAAAGCAGAAAGAGAACAAAAAGCATAACAAACAGAAAACACAAAAAAGATGACAATAAAGAAACAGTACTGATAGCATAGCAGTTACTACAATAAATGAGACTGAGTGAAAATCTTACATTAAGTAACAGAGACTATCTAAATGGGTCAAAAACAATCATAAAAACTAAACACTCATGTAGCGAAATATAGGTGTCTTTAATATGTATATAAAAATAGAATAAAACAATGTTGAAATAGTGGTCTATGTAAAAATTTTTAGAGACAAATTGTAATAAAAAACTGGCATATTAACTTAATATAAAACAAAATGGAATTCAAAGCAAAAAAGAATGAATGGGATAGAGAGTAATACTTGATTACAATAAAATCCACCAAGAAAGTATAATGGCTGAGTCTTTGTGCACCATGGAAAAAGCACTGGAATGAATCAATCAAATTTGTTGCAATTACAAGAAGAAATGGACGAAAACAGTTAGAAGAGAGACTTCTCTCCAAAATCTCTGTTGTGATAACTTACCTGCTTTACTTTGAAACCTTAAAACCATTTGAGTTCTTTTGCCAATTCCATTTAATTATCACTTATTTTCGTATTAACATTCTGCTGCTGCTCTTTTCCTGCTCTCTCCCTAAATGCATTATCAAAACAGATATTTTAGGGCTTTTTTTGGTTGCCTTCCAAGGTGCCACAGTCAAGAGGGCTCTACTTGTTTGGTGGTTTTAGAGTGAGGCAAGTTAGGTTATCTTGTTAAAATGTTAATGGGAAGATTATTTGGTTATCATTTCTCTGAAGGCCCTGCTCTTTTCTCTCACCATTGTGCCATCTAATCCTTGAATACAACTCTAGCAGTGCTGAATTCATGGATGCTCACGGTTAGATGTAACCTCAATAGCCATCTCAAAATCATTTCAGACCAAGACATACAGCTCAGTATTCTGAGTTCTTATTGCAGCTACCACTAACTGTCTGCCTTTAAGCAAGTCACTTCACTTCTCTGGTCTCAATGAACTTGCCTTTAAGAAAATGGGGCTAGAATCAAAGGCCATTAAGGTCTTTACGTTCTCTAATGGTTTACTTTTCTATTGTATGATTTTTACTCATATTTTTATCTATCCTTTTCTAAAATCTGACATTGACAAAACATTTCTTTGGCATATGTTTTGGAATAGGAAAACTGACTTTCCATCTGCTTATACTTGCCAGATCTTTGGAAGAAAAGAATAATAAAATGTTGGAGACGGTACTAGTTGGTATAGGTAATTGAGAGGACAATATGAGTTGTTTATTTCTCAGGTTTATTTTGGTATACTCGTTGTCCTTAGTTATCAGAAGGTCTAAGTCCATAGTGGTGCTGAGCAAACATCTCTTGATTTAGTGTCTCTTTCTCTTTCCTAATAAATGTGGCTTCTCTCTTATTTAGCTGCATTACAGGCACTAAAGAGAAAGAAGAGGTTCGAGAAACAGCTCACTCAGATTGATGGCACACTTTCTACCATTGAGTTCCAGAGAGAAGCCCTGGAGAACTCACACACCAACACTGAGGTGTTGAGGAACATGGGCTTTGCAGCAAAAGCGATGAAATCTGTTCATGAAAACATGTGAGTGACTCTGGTCTCCCTCTGAATCATAAATTCCCTCAGTGTTGGGAAGAACCTTTGGAACCATATGATGGTTTTGGCAGGAATGGGTTTACTCATTTGAGGCTCTTTGACATGTTGAATAAAATACTGTCTCAGAGAAAGATTAAAGGTTATAGCAACAACAACAAAAAAGACCATGAAAAAAGAAAGGGCATTCATTTTTCCTGTAATGTTTCCCCATTACTTTATGATTGCTGGAAACTGTACCTGTAAATATTTTAATTCTACAGTTTAAAAAAGGCTTCGATTTCAACCTGTGTGAGGGTGTTGGATTTATAGGATAGTGGCTGTCAAACTTTGGAGGGAATCAGAATCACCTGGAGAATAAATAAAGAGAACACAGATGCCCAGGCTACTTGAACTTGCAAAGTGTTTGGGTCCATGTGATTCCGATGCTAACCAATGTCTGAGAACCACTGACACAGAAGAATAGTCATGAGCATGGATTTGGGGGTCAAATTTTCTGGGCTATAATCCCAGGTCAACTGCTGACTATCCCTTGGGCAATTTATTATACTTTATTCAGTTTCCTTATATGTAAATTAGAGATTATAATAGTACTTACTTACCTCGTGGTTATTGTGAGATTCAATGAGATACTAGATATAATGCACTTAGTATAGTTCCTGGCACAAAGTGAGCACTCAATAATTAATATTCACAATTTGCTTTACATTCACACTGGGAAATATGTCTGGGACCGGATCCTTTCCTGATATTGGATGTGATAGTGGAACCTGGGGCAAGGATGCACAAGAGCAATGAGTGCCTAAGAGATGCAGACAAATTTCTGTAGAGTGGGAAAAGGTGAAAAAGGTGGTGGCTGGGGGCAGTGAAGACAACTTTGCTAACATTTTCTTTTCTGAATAATTCATTAACAATCAGCCTCCATTTTGACAGCTTCAGGTAGACATTAGATTCATTATCAGAGTCAAAATTCTCTATTGCTTTTGGATACAAAAATGTGTCACAAAATCAGCCTTTCCCTCCAGGCAGCTTGGCAGCATCATACCATTGTATTACATTTGAGAAAAATTTGTTCCCAGGCCCAAAGTTGAGCCATACATTTTTTCATATTCCTTTTAAAAATATATTTGTTTTATATTCAGTATAAATAGAATAATAAGGTTTAAAGATAAGGGATGGTCAGAGGGAGGTAAAAGTATTCTTTTTGATTATTGCATGAAAATATGTCAAAATAGCTCTTACAGAGTCAGGGAAACTCACAAAAAAATTACTTCCACTGGGAATCAAACTTTTGGTATTTAGGCTACTTAATAATGAGGGACATTGTCAGTTCTCTTATATCCAATCAGTTTGGCCTAGTTTCAGAGTTGGAGGAATTACTCAGAGATAAGCTACTATAGAAACATACCAGAACCTGGCATGTAGACACCGACATGCTTAGGCGGGTGTTTAGGAGCCAGTGAAGCTCAGGTGTTGGAAAATGTCTTCAAAGTGGCTGTCCATCCTGAGCAAGTAGCTACCTAGATTTATTTGCTGCAGTTGCTAATTCTTCTGAGGGCTGTATAGGTTTAATCCTGCTCTCTTTAGTAACCTCTCAGGGCATCACCGCTATGCAAAAACCCTTGGGGAGCCAGGATTTCAGAGCTGCTAAGTGTTACAAAAAATAGATCTCTAGACCCAGTGTTTAGCTTCAACAAAGGGCCGCTGTCAGATAGGGGCTCCTAAAAGCTGCCAAAGCTCATCTAGTTACAGTGGTCCTGGTGGTCTGTGGTAGTGTTTCCTGCAGAGTTGATACACAGCAGCATGTATTTAAATTTGTCATATGCCCTATCAGACAAAATTTCAAAATGGGTTTACAAATAGTGATAGTTATAAAATACTTTTATTTTTAGTGAGTTCCAAATGTAATAGGTATTTACTTAATGTTTATAATATATGGATTATTAAGTTTTTAAAATATAAGTTATCTTTAAAGTTTATAAATATCATCAGGAATATTTATCCTACTCAAATAACTAAGAATTTATATTAAATGAACTGACTTTTTATATAGGATTATATCTAAATTCATAATTATAAGTTAAAATTCTAAAATGTTCAACAAAATATGATTTCCCAGGGATCTGAACAAAATAGATGATTTGATGCAAGAGATCACAGAGCAACAGGATATCGCCCAAGAAATCTCAGAAGCATTTTCTCAACGGGTTGGCTTTGGTGATGACTTTGATGAGGTACGTAACCCAATATGAAGAATGCAGGATTGTGGCTGCTATAAAGAGTAGCTTCCTGTCATATATAGTAGGCATGTTCCCTTACTACTGAAAGAACAAGTGATATTTGTAAGAAAGGTACTTCTCTTAAGAGAAAAATAAAGTGTTAGTACCTCTGATTTAAAGGAAAGATGAATACAGTTTGGCAAACAGTGGCCTGATTAAGTTTTCAGCTATTAAGGAAAGAACAGCATGTGATTGTGTAAAGTTAGTGACTTTTAGTGGTTGAAGCCTAAACAGCCCCATTACGAGGAACTGAGTGCTTGCACATCTGGGCAAAACAAAGTAGACTTCGTCATTCTGCATGAAACAGACGTATCATGCTCTGTAGCTGTTAAATTAGAGGTTAGGCTGCCTCTGTTTATTACTCAGGCTATGAAACCAAATAAATGTGGAGTGGCATTATTAACACACACATTCCATTTAGATTAATCAGTCCAATAATACAGACAGACTATAATTATAATGGTGATGTCTGCACTGTGAATTTCAATTGTTCTGCTCAAAGCACACACAAGTAGGACTAGTACACATTTAGAAACATTTCCAAAGCTTGGATTAGCATGGCAAAGAATCCAACTTCCTGCATCTATGTGATATTAAAAATAACACATTTAGCAAGTAAGACCTGGTTCCATGGAATCCCCAAAAATGAGAATGGGGTATCAATACCTTTTAAAAATGGTGTAGACAAGGGGTCAGCAAAAATATGGCTTGCAGGCCAAATTCTTCCCGTGACCTGTTTGTATATCCCAAAAGCTCAGGATGGGTTTCACAATTTTAATGTTGTAGAAAACAATAACAACAAAGGAGACTATGGGGCAGAAGAAAACATGCAGCCTGCAAATCCTGCAATATTACTATTTGGGCCTTTACAGAGAAAGTTTTTCAACTCCTGATGTAGACTAGTAAGCATCTAGTGAGTACATTATGATATGGTGGAAAGGAATCTGGGCTTATGTGGACATCTGGGCTCTATCATTTGTTAAAAACTTTGTGTAAGTCTCTTTTACTTTTCTGACTGTTAGTTTTCTTATCTGTGATAATGAAGATTTTTGGATCCCTGGATTATCTCCAAAACATCTTAAGTTCCAAAATTCTATTCTCAATGGTCAAATTAGTGTTTGGTACCTAAAGGATGAAAATGATGGAGGAGATGATTACTCTGTTGTTACCATATTGCTAAAGAAAACATTAATATGTTTCTGCTGCTGTTGATAACGATGATGCACTATTGGCAATTGTGGGCATACATTCGGCATAGGATAGCTTGTTCTGCCATTACTATATTTATGGTATTTGTCCCTGATTGTTTTGTGAGCAGAAATAGGACGCCAGGGTATTCATTCTGTTCCATTTTAGTCATATAGCCTGTGGAGATCCATCAAGTACACAACTATATTGACTGTGCTATTTCATACGGCCCAATGCTATACACCTTCATATTTTCTTCCCTTTTTATGAGGCGAATTTAATAGAGGTCAGACAATCTTTAGCTTGCTGCAATTCTGATACCCACTGACTTAATCAAATGTTGTGGTTGGCTTAAATATCTTCTCTCTTTCCCCACAGTGTTATTACTCTCACTTTAATATTGGATAATTATTTGTTTATGTGCCTTCCCCCCACATTTGAGTGTAAGCTCCTTGAATATAGGGAGTGTTGATTCAACTTTGCATCCCAGCACTGAGTTCAAAATCTGCCCAGGAGTGAGTGCTCAATGAATTTGTTGAATAATGAATGAATGAATTCTCTCATTCGTTATTCATCCATGAAAGAAAAATCTACTTGGTTGAATATAAGGTGTCCCAAGTCATTTCTAATAGTGACAACCTCATAATTCCATCAATGACAAGTTCAGTTGTGACTCCCAAATTCTCTCTGAGAGGGGTTGGACTCTACTTCAGGACTTATGGAGCCAGTGAGATCTGAACTATCTGAGTCATCTCAGAATTGGCATAAGGTGACTTACATTTTTAAGGTCTCAAACTAGCCTTGTCTCTCAAAAGTTTTTGGGACAGAGAGTAGTTTAAGATTAAACCAGGCTCTCTCGGACTATTGCTAAAAGAAGGAAATACAGTATACCTATCTTGAATTGAACTTTTCTTAACCCAAATGCACAGCATAATTTATATTGGCTTTGGTGATTTGATAAAAGAACCATAGTATCTTTAATTCCTTTTACTTTCTGTACGTTATGGTTTTGCTATACCTGTTGTTTTATTTTCAATCGCATTAGCCCAAAGAAAAACATTTATTTCCACCAGTTAACATTTTGTGGATTCTAAACAGTAGAAAAGAACACATTGGAAAGATGACAGACAAGGTGTAAGTTTCCCAGAAACTGTGGGGAGGTTATATATTCAGCTAGCACAAATTACTTGAATGGCTGTTTACTGAAGTATTAGAAGATTAACTACAACAAATTTGCACAACCCAGAATATTCATTTTTTAATCATTGCTCAGTGTTGCAAAAAAGACTTAGTTTTAAAATAAATATTCCATTTCACTGGGTTCTCACATATCAATTGGGTAGCAGATGTTCTTGTTATTGTGTTTGAGGAAACCCATGTCTTGAAACGTTAACTCCATAATTCTTCCTTTCTCCTGTGTTCAGGATGAGTTGATGGCAGAACTTGAAGAATTGGAACAGGAGGAATTAAATAAGAAGATGACAAATATCCGCCTTCCAAATGTGCCTTCCTCTTCTCTCCCAGCACAGCCAAATAGAAAACCAGGCATGTCGTCCACTGCACGTCGATCCCGAGCAGGTCTGTTACCCAGCTCAACTACATGTGGTCAGATAGTTGCCTAAAATGATAGCCAGGCCCATTCTTTTTAGCACATGTTTTTGATTTCAAACTGAACACATTTTTATATGTAATTCATACCTGTTTTCTATGCTGAAAGTGTGAATGTCACCAATTACTAATTTTTATCTATTTTATGTTCCAGCATCTTCCCAGAGGGCAGAAGAAGAGGATGATGATATCAAACAATTGGCAGCTTGGGCTACCTAAACTAAAACACATTTTTGATACCTAAATTAATGAGCTATAGATAAAATATAAAAAATGTTTTTACCAAGTTCAGAAGTTAACAAAGACTCTGCTTTATAATTATATTGAATGAATAATTGTGTTTTAAGCCTCCTAAGTAAAAGTAAAAAAGGAGTCATGTGCATACATAGAATCAGTGATGGAGGCCAGGCACGGTATCTCATGCCTATAATCCCAGCACTTTGGGAGGCTGAGGCAGTTGAGACCAGGAGTTCGAGTCCAGCCTGACCAACATGAAGAAACCCTGTCTGTACTAAAAATACAAAAATTAGCCGGACATGGTGGCAGGCACCTGTAATCCCAGCTACTTGGGAGGCTGAGTCAGGAGAATCGCTTGAGCCCAGGAGATGGAGGTTGCAGTGAGCCAAGATCATGCCACTGCACTCCAGACTGGGCAACAGAGGGAGACTCCGTCTCAAAAACTAAAAAAAAAAAATACATTTAGTATAGCGGGGGGTGGGGGGGAGAAATAATGTTATTTCCTATGCGAATGACGTGTATCCCTGTACCCATGGTAAATGTAAATATACTGTGTCTCTTTTGGGAGAGCCTTTTAGTAGAGGAGTCTTATATGAGTCTCTACATAAGTAGTTTCACTTGAGTTTTGCAGTTTGAAATCTTAAAGGAGCTTTAATTGACATTTATTATACCAATTAAGCTTGGAATGGGGCAATGGATGCATTTCCCAAAACGTGTGAAAGCACTAACAGCTTATATTGCTGAATGAGAATCTCCTGGGTGTAATTTAGCCACTTAGGGAACTGCGTGAACACTCCCAGGCCATTATGATGCTGTTACAGCTTCAGTGTATAAATGCATGAGTATTCTTTCTGTTCTGTTTTGTGCTCTCTTGTACATTTATTTACCCTTTACAGAATATTTCTTGTAAATACATAAAAATATTGGCAATTAAAAGTACATCTTGAATAAAATGTTGGCCGTTATTATTTTTAAATGAAAATAAATTACAAAATTACGTATTACCCATAATAGATCATGGACCATCAAATGACAAATATCATTTAATAAGATATTTTAGTATTCTCTACATTTGCTTACCAACATGGTGGAATGGAAAGAGCACTAGACCCGATGGTAGGAGTCCTGGGTTTTAGTCCCTGCTCTGACACTAACATGAGCCTTAGACTCTCTGAGCCTTTGTTTCTTCACTGGCAAACTTAAGGATTGGACTGGATGATTTCTAATGATTCCTTCCTGCCACAGGCCTTTTGCACATTCTGTTCTCCTTGGCAGTCTTCCTACCCTGCACAGTGCAGGTACCAATCTTATTTATTCCTTAAATCTTAGTTAAAAATGTCCTTGTTTTCGGAAACTTTGCTTGATTGCCCAAAGTCAGTTTTTCCCTTATATGCTGTTGCAGTGCTCTACCTTCTGTCATTTCTTTTCATGGTTTATATTACATATTTACTTGAACAAATCTTTAATTATTGTTGCTCTTCCCTGCTGAGCTGTGCTAGCCACGAGGGCAGGGACTGCATTTCTTTTAGTTCAATAGTTGATTCACAGCATTCTGCACTTTCTCATGAGCAGGCAATCAGTCAGTATTTATTAAATGAATGGCAATTAACAGTTTATATCTTTTGGGCCATGATAGAATAACAGGACCTAGATTTACCTTATACTGTTAAACAACTGGAAAACTGGACAAAATACAGGAAACAAAATTTTTTCAGACATTGGACAACAGGCAGCACTGGACAATGTTTCCCGGGAAGGGAAACCAGTAATGTGAGCACTTCCATGGCCCCAGCCCCTGCCTACACAGGGAAAGGGAACCCAAGTAGAGCCTGGTGGTCTTGCTGAGTTGAGAAAATTTGTGTGGAAGAGTGCTAGTAAGGAAGTTTCTGCAGAGATTGAGAGAGAGAGAGAGATTGAGAGACAGAGAAAGAGAGCCGTAAGCAGGAAGGCATGAGCTATCTGTGGTCTGAATGTGTCCCCACCCCCTAAATTCATGCATTGAAATCCTTACCCCTAAAGTGATAGTATTAGATGTGGGGCCTTTTGGGAGTTGATATCATTAATGATCAATGAGATTAGAGCTTTTATAAAATAGGCCCAAGGGAGCTCATTCATAACCTTCCTCCATGTGAGGACACAATAGGACACAATAAAGAAGGTGTCATTGATGAACCAAAGAGTGAGCCCTCACAAGATACCAAATTTGCTGATGTCTTGACCTTGGACTTCCCAGACTCCAGAACCATGAGAAATAAGCTACCCAGTTGATGATGTTTTGTTATGGCAATCCCAGAAGACAGAGAAAGAGAGAGGGAGACAAAAGGAGAGAGAGAGACAAAGAGAGCAAAGTGGTGGTGGGGGGATGGGGGAAGAGAGAGAAGGAGAGGCGAGAACTCTGGAACTCAGCAGGAGAGTACTTTCAAATCTTCCTCTGAGAACCGATCTGCATACATGTGTGAGAAGACTACTGACACCAAGAAGAACTGCTGGAAAGACAGGCGGATCAATCTCCAGAGCACACACGGGTCCAGGAATAGCTTATATGCCCACTAGCCAGAGTGGAAAGACCTCCTAATACAGGGGGCATTAGGTTCAGTTCTCAGAAGGGTATTTATCACTAGTGGGGCCATATTACACCTAGACTAAAGGGCACATCCCACAAAGCCTAAAAGCAAACCTCAAAAGTATCAAATGATTCCAATTGACTAAATTGCATCCCAGAAAAAAGCCCCTAAATACTTAAAGAAATATAAAAACTATCAATTAACAGTAACACAATGAATAAAACCTTGGCATCCAATAGCATAAAATTCACCAAGTCCAGCATTGAGTCAAAAATGTTCAAGCATGCCAAGAAGCAGGGAAATACAATCTATAACCAGGAGACAAACAGTAGGAACAGACTGTGAAATATGTCCAAGAAAGGAGAGGAAAAGCATGATTGTGTTGAAGAGAAAAGTGGAAAATATTTTAAAAGACCCAAATTGAAGTTCTGGAGATGAGAAATACATGATCTGAAGTGAAAAATGCGGAATATCACGGATGACATTAACAGCAGATTGGACACTGCAGAAGAAAAGATGAGTGAACTTGAAGACGTAGCAACAGAAACAATTCTAAATAAAACACAAATGAAGAAAAATACTAAAAAAAAAAAAAAAGGAAAAAAAGAACAGAGCAAGAGTGAGCTCTGGGACCATATCAATCAGCTTAACATGCAGGTAATTGGAGTTCTGAAATGGTGACGGTGGGCTGGGTGGATGAGGGGCGATTTGGCAGAGGAAACAGAATAGAAAAAAACCTTTGAAGAAATAATGGCCAAAAAATTTCCAAATTTGTTAAAAATTATAAACCACAGTCCAATGAAACTCAACATACCTCAAGCAGAAATCCCTGTATCCTTCAATAACAAAAGTTATTGTAGAATGTTAAAATGTCGAAATCTCATGAGTGAAGTCTGGGAGATGTCTGAATGTCTCTCCTTACTCTAATTAAAATACACATACCTAGCCGGTTTAGCTAGACCTGTGAGATCCAAAGAGTATCCATTAGCCACATGAAATGAGCATTCAATAAATGCTAGTACAATTGAGAAACTGAACTTATAATTCCATTTAATTTTCGTTAGTTTAAATGTAAAAACTGACACGATTCATTTATTAAAAAACTTTAAGTATGTTCAGAACTCCTTGGGTATGTGAATTGACTTTTTATTTTCTTTCTTTCTTTCTTTTTATTTATTTATTTATTTATTTGATATGAGGTCTCACTATATTGCCCAGGCTGGACTCAAACTCCTGGGCTCAAGCAATCTTCCAGCCTCAGCCTCCCAAGTAGCTGAGACTATAGGCATGTACCATTGAATCTACTTTTTTTTTGAGATGGAGTCTTGCTCTGTCACCAGGCTGGAGTGCAGTGGTGTGATCTTGGCTCACTGCAACCTCTGCTTCTGGGTTCAAGAGAATCTCTTGCCTCAGCCTCCTGAGTAGCTGGGACTACAGGCGCGTCCACCACACCCAGCTAATTTTTGTATTTTTAGTAGAGATGGGGTTTCACCATGTTGGCCAGGATGGTCTCAATCTCTTGATTTCATGAACTGCCTGCCTCGGCCTCCCAAAGTGCTGAGATTACAGGCATGAGCCACTGCGCCCGGCTGAATCTACTTTTTCAACTGTAAAATTTATGAAGTCTTTATACAAACCAAGCACTTCAAATGGAAATTTGCATCTCATTTAAAATGCACTCTAAGTGTGAAACATGCATTGGATTTCAAAGACTTAGTATTATTAGAAAGAATATAAAAATATCTCATTAATAAGTGTATATTGATTACATGTTAAAATATTATTTTAAATGCATTGGGTTAAATAAAATATATTGTTAAAATCTATTTCACCTAGTTTTTAAAACTTTAATGTGGCTCATGGGAAATTTAAAATTACGTAAGTGGCTTACATTATTTTTCTATTGAGTATTCCTGGGCAAGACCAAATCCTGGCTACCAGCAAGTATACAGATAATGTATAACTTGAAATACTAAGCTGCTAAAGTATTAAAAATAAATGTTTATAAAACATGGTATTTTACATTGAAATGGAATAAAAATACTTTGACATAAATCATAATGCTGCTCCTCTGTCGACAGTAAGGAAGAATTGAAACACGAGAGAACAGTTGTAAAAGTAGATCAACTTTGGACTGAAAGTTGTTAAAAAGAATAAAGATATTAATCAGCCATCTAACAGCATTTTTGTTAAAGCATCCTTAGAATGGGTAGACTTGTTTGGAAGTTATAAATTCTGGTATGTTTGCTAACAATGGGTCCTACTTCTTACAGGGACACCTCAGTGGTAGACCTCAGTTTGGGCAGTGCTGGGTAACTAGTCTGTTGGTATTCTGTCTTTTTAAATAAAAGGTTTTCTAATAAATAAGGTTTTTGTTTTTCTTTTTGGTTGTAGAAGTGCATTCAAGATAACTTAAGAGAAAAAGTTGTATTTATTGGAAGGGATTTGGATATTCCAGAAATGAAAGCAATGTTTAAAATGCAAATCTGAGGAGGGTCACAAACCAGGGAGCTCTGGAGGTCAGGGTATCTCTGGAGTTACTCCTTCTGAGCATTCAACTCTAGGGAAAGTAAGCTATCACCATTGTGAGTAAGCTATTCTACTCAAGAGTCAAATTCCAGATGCAGAACATTTGATTGGCCAAGCTTGGTTTATGTAACTGCCTCTGAAGTCAGCCATCTGAACCGTTATAAACTGAGAAGCAGGAAGGAGGGTGGATAAAGTATAGTGAAGATGATCCCACTTGAAGAAAGGGGAATGCATGTTGGCCACCTAAAACCTAAAAATACCACCTACAACAATAAGTGTCCGTGCAATAATGGAGAATAATTAAATCTGTATTGCAGTGTTTCTTCATTCTTGGCAAACACAGAATCTGAGCAAAGACTTCTTTAGCAGAAACTGGGGTAGCAGATAGTTTATACACTGCAATTGTATGTGTCCTACTAAAACAAGATGGACAATGTATTAAAGTTAGCAAGCATAGCAAAAAGAAAGAAGAAAAAAAGGAAAAACCCAAAGAAGCTAAGACTAATAAAGATATCTTAGTACCATTACATTACATCCTTAGGGAATAAGTTGATAAAATGTTAGTCAATTTCTATTTCATCTCTCCACTTCCTTTCCCCCATCTTCTGAATTTAAGATGGACATTAATCTTTCCATTGGAGAAAGTGTTTGTTAAAGTAGCTAAAATCCTCTTCTAACTTCAAATTCACTTTGCATCATTTGTTTATTTGTTTACCAGAAGTTTTATTGCACTATATACAGGATACTTGAGCCATTTTTTCAGAAGAAAAACGCTCAGTATACATAAGAGGAATACAGACAGGGCAAAGCAATGGAGTTGTTATTTAGAAGAGAGATGAACAAACTCTGAGCAAGTAGGCAATGCTTCTGATTATGAACCATATTTAATTATGATATCAGAAGAATTAAGTGTTTCCTTTCAAAAGTCAGAAAACACTCCAGTTTAGGCTTCTCTGTGGTGTGCTGAAACAGTGACATGTATGTGATTGATTATTTTGATTATATAAATACACACATATACACACATGCATAAATATGTGTATATATAATCTATGCTTAGATGCAAATTTTATATACTCTGTATATATTGATACAATATGTATGTGCCCTGTGATCTTTTGATAGTCTACTGCTCTTTATCTTCAATTGTTTTCTTGTATTTTCTTACTTCAACACTTGCTTTTCTTTCATTTGCCTCATAAATGCAAATCTTTCCCACATTTTCCATGATTTAGTTATTTGTGGTCTCTCCTTTCTATAGTCTCCGTAGATCTTATTTTAAATTATAGCTTCAACTATCACTTCTATGGGAATGATTTATAGTACATATATAATTTCATTCACTCAATCAATATTTATTAAATATCTATTATACCCTAAGATCCAAGCTAAGTATGAGGATTAAAGTTTAATAAAACATGGTCCCTGTCATCATGTATATTTATAGCCATGACCTCTATCTCAAGCTCCAGTAAATTAGAACTCAGAGATTTCTTCTAGTTTTCCTGCCATCTCTTCAATAGCAGTATCTTTGTCTTAAAATCTATTTTGTCTGATATTAGTATAGCTTCTCTAGTTCTCTATTGGTTACAGTTCATGGAAACTTCTTTCATATTTTTACTCTTAACATATATCTGTGTTTTAATCTAAAGTATCTTGTACACGTCTTATAATGTATCATGCTTTTTAATCTATTCATCAATTTCTTTTTCTTTTTCTTTCTTTTCTTTTCTTTTTTTTTTTTTTTTTGTGAGATGGAGTTTCACTCTTTTTGCCCAGGCTGGAGTGCAATGGTGCAACCTCGGCTCACTGCAACCTCTACCTCCTGGGTTCAAGTGATTCTCCTGCCTCAGCCTCCCGAGTAGCTGGGATTAGAGGCGCCTGCCACTACACCCAGCTAATTTTGTATTTTTAGCAGAGATGGGGTTTCACCATGTTGGCCAGGCTGATCTCGAACTCCTGACCTCAGGTGATCCATCTGCCTCAGCCTTCCAAAGTGCTGGGATTGCAGGTGTGAGCACCTTGCCTGGACAATTTCTACCTTTAATTAGAGAGTTTAATCAACTGATATTTAATGAAATTACTGTATCTGCTATTTTCTTTTTGTTTTCCGTATGCTTACTGTGGTTTGAATGTTTGAGTTCCTCCAAAATTCATGTTGAAACTTAACCTCCATTGTGGTACGATTAAGACGTATGGTATTTTGGAAAGTGATTAAGTCGTGAGGGCTCTGCCTTTGTGAATGAGATTAATATCCATATAGAAGAGGCTTCAAAGAGCTGCCTGGCTTCTTCAACTCTTCTGCCATGTGAGGACACAGCATTTGTCCCAGTTTCCTCTTTTGTTCTTCTGCCATGTGAGGACACTGTGAGAAGATGCCCTCCCCAGACACTGAATCTGCTGGTGCCATGATCTTGGACTTCCTAGCCTTCAGAATTGTGAGAAATAAATTTCTATTGTTTATAAATTATCCAGTCTGTTATTTTGTTATAGCACCATAAAGGGACTAGAGTGATATGTCTGTTTTGTTTATTAATTCCTCCATTTGTTCCTTATTTTGTGTTAAATATATTCTGAAATTACATTTTAATTTTTATTTAATTTAGCTGACCACTAATGGAACAGAGACTTCAAGGGGTACACACAATGAAGAGTGAAGACTTACAAAATTAGTTTAGAAAAGTAACTAAATAAACAACTACAACAAGAAGCAACAACAAACACTATGGAATGGGTTATAATATTCAAGTATATACTATTCCTAATATTGCTTTCAGCAAAAAAATATGAGACACACAAAGAAATCCAAGAAAATATGGCCCTGGCAAAGAAAATATATTCCACAGGAAAAAGTACTATTTAATTTTTTTTTACTACGTATTTTTGGATTATTTTGTTAGTGGTTCCCTTGAAGATTACAATTAACACCTTAATTTATAACAAACTAGTTTAGACTAATACAAATAATTTCAATAGTATACAAAGACTTTATTCCTATAGAACGCCATTCTTTCCCTCTTTTATGCTGTATAAGTTACATATTTATACATTATGTGCCCATCAACTAAGATTTATAATTACTGCATTATGCGTTTGTTTTTTAATAAAATTTTAAAAGGAGGAGTAATAAAAAATGCATTAATACTCTCTTTTATAGTTACTTATGTAGTTACTTTTGCCAGTGTTCTTAATTACTTCGTATGGATTCAAATTACTGTCTAGGGTCCATTTATTTCAGGGTGAAGAACTCCCTTTAACATTTCCTGTAGGAAAAGTCTACTAGCAATAAACTCCCTCAGATTTTGTTTATCTGGGAATGTCTTAATTTCTCCTTCATTTTTTTGAAGAACAGTTTTGCTGTTTTGGTTGATGAGTTTGTGATGAGTAATCTGTTCATCTTTAAGTATCTCTTATACATCATGAGTCTTTTTTCTCTTGCTGCTTTCAAGATTCTCTTTGTCATTGGCTTTTGACTGTTTGATTACAATGTGTCTTAGTCTCTTTGAGTTCATTTTTTCACAGTTTGTTGAGCATGTTAGATATTTATTTTCATGTCTTTCATTTGGAAGGAGTGTGATCATTATTTCTTCTTTCTGTTCCTTTCTCCTCTCTTTTTGGGGTTCTTATTATGTATACTTTGGTAAGCTTGATGGTGTTACATGGGGCTCTTAGGCTCTATCCACTTTTTCTTCATTTTTTTCTTTCTGCTCCTTACACTAGAAAATCTTAATTGTCCTGTCTTCAAATTCACTGATTCTTTCTCTGCTGGCTCAAATTTTCCATTGAATCCCTCTGCAAATTTTTCATTTCACTTATTATATTTTTCAGCTTTGGAATTTCTATTTAGTGCTTTTTAAAGAATTTCTTTCTCTTCATTGGTATTTTCTGCTAGGTAAGAAGTTTTTCTCATGCTTTCCTTTAGTTCTTTAGAAATTGTTTTAGCTCTGAATATATTTGAAATCAATTACTTAAAATCTTTGTCTAATATGTCCAACATCTGGTCTTCATCAGGAGCAGTTTCTATTGATTGTTTTTTTTCATATGTGTGGACCATATGCTTTCTTATTTCTTGGTGTGGCTCATACTTTTTGTTGAAAACAGGGTATTTTGAATGTTATGTGTTTGAATTTTATAACCTATCCCTTAGTGCTTGTTTTTGTTGCTTCTTTTGAAGTTGTTCGTTCAGCAAATTTTCTGAACTAATTTTATGATATCTGTATTCTTCGTTGTATATTCCCCAGAACTCTCTGTTCCATTAGTGATCAGCTAATAATTGGACAAAGATTTCCTTAAATACTTGGAACTAAAATATATTGTATAAAACTAACTTTGTATAAAGTGGTGAGTAACACTCTCTACACCTTTTATCAGTTTCCAGTGATAATCTAAATGATTCCTTAACATTTCAGAAAGACTCTTGTTGCCTTGAATGTGACATGCAAAGTCTGCACTACATGGGATATAAAGCTTATATTTGATTTATGCATTCAGCTGTTAATGTATCCATCACCAAATACTACTTGATGACAGGTGTTGTGAATTTAAACAAGACACAGATTCTGGGAGGAGCCAAGATGGCCGAATAGGAAGAGCTCCGGTCTACAGCTCCCAGAGTGAGCGACGCAGAAGACGGTGATTTCTGCATTTCCATCTGAGGTACCGGGTTCATCTCACTAGGGAGTGCCAGACAGTGAGCGCAGGTCAGTGGGTGCGCGCACCATGCACCAGCCGAAGCAGGGCGAGGCATTGCCTCACTTGGGAAGCACAAGGGGTCAAGGAGTTCCCTTTCCGAGTCAAAGAAAGAGGTGACGGACGGCATCTGGAAAATCGGGTCACTCCCACCCTAATACTGCGCTTTTCCGACTTAAAAAACGGTGCACCACAAGATTATATCCCACACCTGGCTCGGAGGGTCCTACACCCACAGAGGCTCGCTGATTGCTAGCACAGCAGTCTGAGATCAAACTGCAAGGCGGCAGCGAGGCTGGGGGAGGGGCGCCCGCCATTGCCCAGGCTTGCTTAGGTAAACAAAGCAGCCGGGAAGCTCGAACTGGGTGGAGCCCACCACAGCTCAAGGAGGCCTGCCTGCCTCTGTAGGCTCCACCTCTGGGGGCAGGGCACAGACAAACAAAAAGACAGCAGTAACCTCTGCAGACTTAAATGTCCCTGTCTGACAGCTTTGAAGAGAGCAGTGGTTCTCCCAGCACGCAGCTGGAGATCTGAGAACGGGCAGACTGCCTCCTCAAGTGGGTCCCTGTCCCCTGACCCCCGAGCAGCCTAACTGGGAGGCACCCCCCAGCAGGGGCACACTGACACCTCACACGGCAGGGTATTCCAACAGACCTGCAGCTGAGGGTCCTGTCTGTTAGAAGGAAAACTAACAAACAGAAAGGACATCCACACCAAAAACCCATCTGTACATCACCATCATCAAAGACCAAAAGTAGATAAAACCACAAAGATGGGGAAAAAACAGAACAGAAAAACTGGAAACTCTAAAAAGCAGAGCACCTCTCCTCCTCCAAAGGAACGCAGTTCCTCACCAGCAATGGAACAAAGCTGGATGGAGAATGACTTTGACGAGCTGAGAGAAGAAGGCTTCAGACGATCAAATTACTCTGAGCTACGGGAGGACATTCAAACCAAAGGCAAAGAAGTTGAAAACTTTGAAAAAAATTTAGAAGAATGTATAACTAGAATAACCAATACAGAGAAGTGCTTAAAGGAGCTGATGGAGCTGAAAACCAAGGCTCGAGAACTACGTGAAGAATGCAGAAGCCTCAGGAGCCGAAGCGATCAACTGGAAGAAAGGGTATCAGCGATGGAAGATGAAATGAATGAAATGAAGCGAGAAGGGAAGTTTAGAGAAAAAAGAATAAAAAGAAATGAGCAAAGCCTCCAAGAAATATGAGACTATGTGAAAAGACCAAATCTACGTCTGATTGGTGTACCTGAAAGTGATGGGGAGAATGGAACCAAGTTGGAAAACACTCTGCAGGATATTATCCAGGAGAACTTCCCCAATCTAGCAAGGCAGGCCAAGATTCACATTCAGGAAATACAGAGAACACCACAAAGATACTCCTCGAGAAGAGCAACTCCAAGACACATAATTGTCAGATTCACCAAAGTTGAAATGAAGGAAAAAATGTTAAGGGCAGCCAGAGAGAAAGGTCGGGTTACCCACAAAGGGAAGCCCATCAGACTAACAGCGGATCTCTCGGCAGAAACCCTACAAGCCAGAAGAGAGTGGGGGCCAATATTCAACATTCTTAAAGAAAAGAATTTTCAACCCAGAATTTCATATCCAGCCAAACTAAGCTTCATAAGCAAAGGAGAAATAAAATACTTTACAGACAAGCAAATGCTGAGAGATTTTGTCACCACCAGGCCTGCCCTAAAAGAGCTCCTGAAGGAAGCGCTAAACATGGAAAGGAACAACCGGTACCAGCAGCTGCAAAATCATGCCAAAATGTAAAGACCATCAAGACTAGGAAGAAACTGCATCAACTAATGAGCAAAATAACCAGCTAACATCATAATGACAGGATCAAATTCACACATAACAATATTAACTTTAAATGTAAATGGACGAAATGCTCCAATTAAAAGATACAGACTGGCAAATTGGATAAAGAGTCAAGACCCATCAGTGTGCTGTATTCAGGAAATCCATCTCATGTGCAGAGACACACATAGGCTCAAAATAAAAGGATGGAGGAAGATCTACCAAGCAAATGGAAAACAAAAAAAGGCAGGGGTTGCAATCCTAGTCTCTGATGAAACAGACTTTAAACCAACAAAGATCAAAAGAGACAAAGAAGGCCATTACATAATGGTAAAGGGATCAATTCAACAAGAGGACCTAACTATCCTAAATATATATGCACCCAATACAGGAGCACCAAGATTCATAAAGCAAGTCCTGAGTGACCTACAAAGAGACTTAGACTCACACACATTAATAATGGGAGACTTTAATACCCCACTGTCAACATTAGACAGATCAACGAGACAGAAAGTTAACAAGGATACCCAGGAATTGAACTCAGCTCTGTACCAAGCGGACCTAATAGACATATACAGAACTCTCCACCCCAAATCAACAGAATATACATTTTTTTCAGCACCACACCACACCTATTGCAAAATTGACCACATACTTGGAAGTAAAGCTCTCCTCAGCAAATGTAAAAGAACAGAAATTATAACAAACTATGTCTCAGACCACAGTGCAATCAAACTAGAACTCAGGATTAAGAATCTCACTCAAAACCGCTCAACTACATGGAAACTGAACAACCTGCTCCTGAATGACTACTGGGTACATAACGAAATGAAGGCAGAAATAAAGATGTTCTTTGAAACCAACGAGAACAAAGACACAACATACCAGAATCTCTGGGATGCATTCAAAGCAGTGTGTAGAGGGAAACTTATAGCACTAAATGCCCACAAGAGAAAGCAGGAAAGATCCAAAATTGACACCCTAACATCACAATTAAAAAGAACTAGAAAAGCAAGAGCAAACACATTCAAAAGCTAGCAGAAGGCAAGAAATAACTAAAATCAGAGCAGAACTGAAGGAAATAGAGACACAAAACACCCTTCAAAAAATTAATGAATCCAGGAGCTGGTTTTTTGAAAGGATCAACAAAATTGAAAGACTGCTAGCAAGACTAATAAAGAAAAAAAGAGAGAAGAATCAAATAGACGCAATAAAAAATGATGAAGGGGATATCACCACTGATCCCACAGAAATACAAACTACCATCAGAGAATACTACAAACACCTCTACGCAAATAAACTAGAAAATCTAGAAGAAATGGATACGTTCCTCGACACATACACTCTCCCAAGACTAAACCAGGAAGAAGTTGAATCTCTGAATAGACCAATAACAGGCTCTGAAATTGTGGCAATAATCAATAGCTTACCAACAAAAAAGAGTCCAGGACCAGATGGATTCACAGCCGAATTCTACCAGAGGTACAAGGAGGAATGGGTACCATTCCTTCTGAAACTATTCCAATCAATAGAAAAAGAGGGAATCCTCCCTAACTCTTTTTATGAGGCCAGCATCATTCTGATACCAAAGACAGGCAGAGACACAACAAAAAAAGAGAATTTTAGACCAATATCCTTGATGAACATTGATGCAAAAATCCTCAATAAAATACTGGCAAAACGAATCCAGCAGCACATCAAAAAGCTTATTCACCATGATCAAGTGGGCTTCATCCCTGGGATGCAAGGCTGGTTCAATATACACAAATCAATAAATGTAATCCAGCATATAAACAGAGCCAAAGACAAAAACCACATGATTATCTCAATAGATGCAGAAAAAGCCTTTGACAAAATTCAACAACCCTTCATGCTAAAAACTCTCAATAAATTAGGTATTGATGGGACGTATTTCAAAATAATAAGAGCTATCTATGACAAACCCACAGCCAATATCATACTGAATGGGCAAAAACTGGAAGCATTCCCTTTGAAAACTGGCACAAGACAGGGATGCCCTCTCTCACCACTCCTATTCAACATAGCGTTGGAAGTTCTGGCCAGGGCAATTAGGCAGGAGAAGGAAATAAAGGGTATTCAATTAGGAAAAGAGGAAGTCAAATTGTCCCTGTTTGCAGACGACATGATTGTATATCTAGAAAACCCCATTGTCTCAGCCCAAAATCTCCTTAAGCTGATAAGCAAATTCAGCAAAGTCTCAGGATACAAAATCAATGTACAAAAATCACAAGCATTCTTATACACCAATAACAGACAAACAGAGAGCCAAATCATGAGTGAACTCCCATTCACAATTGCTTCAAAGAGAATAAAATACCTAGGAATCCAACTTACAAGGGATGTGAAGGACCTCTTCAAGGAGAACTACAAACCACCGCTCAAGGAAATAAAAGAGGATACAAACAAATGGAAGAACATCCCATGCTCATGGGTAGGAAGAATCAATATCATGAAAATGGCCATACTGCCCAAGGTAATTTACAGATTCAATGCCATCCCCATCAAGCTACCAATGCCTTTCTTCACAGAATTGGAAAAAACTACTTTAAAGTTGATATGGAACCAAAAAAGAGCCCGCATCACCAAGTCAATCCTAAGCCAAAAGAACAAAGCTGGAGGCATCACGCTACCTGACTTCAAACTATACTACAAGGCTACAGTAACCAAAACAGCATGGTACTGATACCAAAACAGAGATATAGATCAATGGAACAGAACAGAGCCCTCAGAAATAACGCTGCATATCTACAACTATCTGATCTTTGACAAACTGGAGAAAAACAAGCAATGGGGAAAGGATTCCCTATTTAATAAATGGTGCTGGGAAAACTGGCTAGCCATATGTAGAAAGCTGAAACTGGATCCCTTCCTTACACCTTATACAAAAATCAATTCAAGATGGATTAAAGACTTAAACGTTAGACCTAAAACCATAAAAACCCTAGCAGAAAACCTAGGCATTACCATTCAGGACATAGGCATGGGCAAGGACTTCATGTCTAAAACACCAAAAGCAATGGCAACAAAAGCCAAAATTGACAAATGGGATCTAATTAAACTAAAGAGCTTCTGCACAGCAAAAGAAACTACCATCAGAGTGAACAGGCAACCTACAAAATGGGAGAAAATTTGCGCAACCTACTCATCTGACAAAGGACTAATATCCAGAATCTACAATGAACTCAAACAAATTTACAAGAAAAAAACAAACAACCCCATCAAAAAGTGGGCGAAGGACATGAACAGACACTTCTCAAAAGAAGACATTTATGCAGCCAAAAAACACATGAAAAAATGCTCACCATCACTGCCCATCAGAGAAATGCAAATCAAAACCACAATGAGATACCATCTCACACCAGTTAGAATGGCAATCATTAAAAAGTCAGGAAACAACAGGTGCTGGAGAGGATGTGGAGAAATAGGAACCCTTTTACACTGTTGGTGGGACTGTAAACTAGTTCAACCATTGTGGAAGTCAGTGTGGCGATTCCTCAGGGATCTAGAACTGGAAATACCATTTGACCCAGCCATCCCATTACTGGGTATATACCCAAAGGACTATAAATCATGCTGCTATAAAGACACATGCACACGTATGTTTATTGCGGCATTATTCACAATAGCAAAGACTGGGAACCAACCCAAATGTCCAACAATGATAGACTGGATTAAGAAAATGTGGCACATATACACCATGGAATACTATGCAGCCATAAAAAATGATGAGTTCATGTCCTTTGTAGGGACATGGATGAAATTGGAAATCATCATTCTCAGTAAACTATTGCAAGAACAAAAAACCAAACACCGCATATTCTCACTCATAGGTGGGAATTGAACAATGAGATCACATAGACACAGGAAGGGGAATATCATACTCTGGGGACTGTTGTGGGGTGGGGGGACGGGGAGGGATAGCATTGGGAGATATACCTAATGCTAGATGACGAGTTAGTGGGTGCAGCGCACCAGCATGGCACATGTATATATATGTAACTAACCTGCACAATGTGCACATGTACCCTAGAACTTAAAGTACAATAAAAAAAAAAAAAAAGACACAGATTCTGCTCTTAGACAGATCACAATCTAGTTGTGTGACTCTGGGAAGGTTCCTTAATCTCTCTGAGGCTTCAGTCCTTCCACGACATAGTAGGAATATTATTATCAATCTCACTGGATTGTTATGAGAATTAAATGGGAATATGTATGTAAAGATAGTGCTGTATCTGATATCAAGTTAATGCTTAATAAATGTTTTCTCCCTGCACTTGTCTATTCTCAGTGCAACAGAGGAACTTTAAGTAGCAACTATCATCATCTGTCATGTGCTATTTATATGCCAACTGAGTGCAAAGGGTCTCATTCAATATTTTATTCAGTTTATTTAAAAATGACTATGTAGTAGGTGTTAATATAGTAGTTATTAATTGATTAACATAAGTAGTCATTAAAAGAACAGCTGAAAGTGGCTCAAAGACATTAAACAACTTCCTGATGCCATGCAACTGCCACATTAAGATTAAGAGTTTGAATTCAAGTCTCCTTGAATCCAATATCTACATTCTTAACCACTTCCCTACATTTTTGTTGGTACAAGTGCTTTCCTCACAAAATGACACAAACATAAAATTCTTAAGGAAGTAATAGTTCCAGAGTAGTAGTTCCATAGAACTGATGGAAAGACCTTTTCTTGCCTTTCTTTGGTTGCAGAGGGCAACAGAAAGCCAGAAGGGTCAGCATGAGAGAGATGGAATATGAAAAGAGTGAGTACCTCATAGTGTCAGCTTAAATTCTAGTCTCTCTACTAACATTTCTCCAAGAAATTTATTTTAATTTGGACAATGAAAAATTATATAGGTTTAACACTGTGCAATAAGCTTCTAGGAAACTGAGCCAGACTGACGGGCTCTTGATGTTTTAATTAACTAACTAATTTTTCTGACAGAGTTTTTAAAAGCACATTCCTCAATTTTGCAAAGACCGAAAGCAAACCTCAACCAAAAAATTATGACAATAACAGTTCAAACACTGGTAAAGAATACTCCCTGCAGCACCTATTTGAAAAGTTAGCCCTTCTGTAGCTTAGTTCTTAATCAAAGTTGAGAGTTCAAGATCAGAAATATGTATGTATGTACGTATGTCTGTATGTACGTATATATAATTTTTATTTGCCTTCCGGGGTACATGTGAGGTTTGTTACACAGGTAAACTCGTATCACGGGGGGGTTGTTGTACAGATTATTTCATCACCCAGGTATTACACTCAGTATCTGATAGCTATCTTTTCTGATCCTTTCCCTCCTCCTCCCCTCTATCCTTAAGTAGACTCCAGTGTCTGTTGTTCCCCTCTGTGTGCTCATAAGTTCTTATCATTTAGCTCTCACTTATAAGTGAGAGGATGCAGTATTTGATTTTCTGTTCTTACATTAGTTTGCTAAGGATAATAGCCTCCAACTCCATCCATGTTTACACAAAAGACATGATCTCATTCTTTTTTATGGCTTCATATGCCATGGTGTATATGTACCATATTTTCTTTATCCAGTCTGTCACTGATAGGCATTTAGGTTGATTCCATGTCTTTGCTATTGTGAATAGTGCTGCAGTGAACATTTGCTTGCATGTGTCTATATGGTAGAATGATTTATATTCCTCTGAGTATATATGTAGTAATGGGATTGCAGGGTCAAATGGTAGTTCTGCTTTCAGTTCTTTAAGTTCTTTTAGTTCTTTACTGCTTTCCACAATGGTTGAATTAATTTACGCTTCCACCAACAGTGTATAAGTGTTCCCTTTTCTCCACAACCACACTAGCATGGTATTTTTTTTTTGACTTTTTAATAATAGCCATTCTGACTGGTGTGAGATAGTATCTTACCGTGCTTTTGATTTGCATTTCTCTAATTATCATTGATATTGAGCTTTTTTTCATATGCTTGTTGGCTACATGTATGTCTTCTTTTGAAAAGTGTCTGTTCATGTCCTCTGATCAGTTTTTAGTGGGGTTGTTTGTTCTTATCTTGTAAATTTGTTTAAGTTCCTTATAGATGCCGGATATTAGACCTTTGTCAGGTGCGTAGTTTGCAAATATTTTCTCCTATTCTACAGGCTGTCTGTTTACTCTGTTGATAGTTTCTTTTGCTGTGCAGAAGCTCTTAAGTTTATTTAGGTCCCATTTGTCAATTTTTGCTTTTGTTGCATTTGCTTTTGGTTTCTTTCCAAGATCATGTTTTAAAACGAAGGTTTAAAGGTATTTGAACTGTCTTTACTCTGGTCTGTTTCCTGAAGAGGTCTGTTGGCAGGATCTAGAGCACTCTGCCATAGCCAAAGGCTTCAGGTGGCTATAATGCTTGAAGTCACCAGCACAGATTTTAATATCCAGGGAGGCTAAACTTGTGGCATGGACAAGTTCTGGGAAGATCTACGGTCATTAGGCACTCATGAGAGCCTTTTCTTTTCTTCTCTTCTCTTAAAATGTTTTTCTTTTTAATTGCTTTAAAGGTATTTAGAAAAATAACAAATAAGATGTGGATCAGGCTTGTGTTTAAGAAGAAAAAATATCATTGCTAAAATTTTGGGTTTCTAAAAGCGTTGTTAAATAAAACAAAGCTTAAACTTAGAGAACGTTTGTGTCCTGTTTGAAGTAATTAAACTTACATTTATTGACTTGATCTTAAAACCATGCACTTTAGAATATAATTTTCCTGCCCCTTCATGGCCAATAGACTAGATTGTGAGGTTCTTGAGGGCAAGTACCCTAAACAAATGGCACCAACCAAATAAACAAAAAAACAGATGAAACATTTGTTGTTTTTTTTGTTGAGTGCCTGTGCTCAGTACCTATGTTTTTCTAGCTGTGTGAGTGCCACAGGATTCCCTGGGGAGCAGAGTCTGAGATGGAGAGAAGAGTGCATGAGGCTTGTTAAGGAGTGCTTTTGCAATTGCAACAACAGCAAAAATTGACAAATTGGATCTAATTAAACTAAAGAGCTTCTGCACAGTAAAAGAAACTATCAACAGAGTAAACAGACCAACCTACAGGATGGGAGAAAATTTTCACAAACTATGCATCTGACAAAGGTCTAATATCCAGCATCTATACGGAACTTAAATTTACAAGGAAAAAAAAAAACTCCATAAAAAAGTGGGAAAAGGACATGAACAGACACTTTTCAAAAGAAGACATACATGTGGCCAACAATCATATGAAAAAGCAGCTCAACATCACTGATCATTAGAGAAATGCAAATCAAAACCACAATGAGATACCATCTCACACTAGACAGAATGACTATTAAAAAGTCAAAAAATAGCAGATGCTGGTGAGGTTGTGGAGAAAAAAGAATGCTTATTCACTGTTGGTGGGAGTGTAAATTAGGTCAACCTCTGTGGAAGACAGTGTGGCAATTCCTCAAAGACCTAAAGACAGAAATACCATTTGACCTAGAAATCCCATTACTGGGTATATACCCAAAGGAATAAAAATCATTCTGTTATAAATATACATGCACGTGTGTGTTCATTGCAACACTATTCACAATAGCAAAGACATAGAATCAACCTAAATGCCCATCAATGATAGACATGATAAAGAAAATGTGGTATATATACAATGGAAAACTATGCAGCCATAAAAAAGAGTGAGATTACATCCTTTGCAGGGACATGGATGAAGATGGAGGCCATTATCCTTAGCAAACTAACACAGGAACAGAAAACTAAATACTGCACGTTCTCATTTATAAGTGTGAGCTAAATGATGAGAACACATGGGCACAGAGAGGGGAACAACACACAATGGAAACTATTGAAGGGTGGAGGGTTGGAGGAGGGAGAGGATTAGGAAAAATAACTAATGGGTACTAGGCTTAATACCTGGGTGATGATATAATCTGTACGACAAACCCCTATGACACATGTTTACCCATGTAACAAACCTGCACATGTACCCTGAACTTAAAATAAAAGCTATAAAAAAGAGTGCTTTTAGCATTGATGTCTTTTAAAGAAAGAGAAGGATGAGATTGGATAGAGGAAAAGTTGTGTCTCAAAGGAGGCCTCTGAGCTGACCTCATGAGATACTCTGAATTGACAACTCAGTTGAGGTAATCTCTCATAGGGGTCAGTCACTGAATGTGCCCCAAAGGACATAGCCTTGGGTAAAGAGTACCATGGACAACAGTCCACACAGAATAGGCAGTAAGGCCTTTTTCTCTTTCTTTCTTTCTTTTTTTTTTTTTTTGAGACAAGGTCTTGCTCTTGTCGCCTAGGCTGGAATGCTATGGCGTGATCCCATGTCACTGCAACCTCCGCCTCCCAGGATCAAGCAATTTTCCTGCGTCAGCCTCCCGAGTAGCTAGGATTACAGGTGCCCCCCACACACCCAGCTAATTTTGGTATTTTTAGTAGAGATGGGGTTTCACCATGTTGGCCAGGCTGGTCTCAAACTCCTGACTTCAGGTGATCCATCCGCCTCGGCCTCCCAAACTACTGGGATTATAGGCGTGAGCTACTGTGTCTGTCCTGTCTTTTCTTGAAGGAGGATTTGGAAGGTACATTACAGCTTCCGCCATGGTGACCTCAGATAATTTAACTTTGTTGACCCTTTGTTGACTTTGTTGGCCCTCATTTTCTTCATTTATAAAACAAACATTAAAAATATCTTCATAGGGTCAGTATGAAGATTAAATATAGCCATACATGTAACACCTTTGTAGTGCTTAGCAGAGAGTAAGAAGTGTTCTCCATTATCATATTTTCTCAACTTCTCCAACAAATATAACAATCTGTCTGTAGGGCATTAGGTTTTCAGAAATGAACATCAACAGTTTCTGCCCTCAAGAAGTCTAGTAGGGGAAGAGGCAGACACATAAAGACAATGGAATGCAATGTGATCCTTGTTCTAATGTTGCCCACATGCCTTAAGCTGACCTCCTGGATGACCCGTTGCCTAAGCTGAGGACTGAAGGAACTAGCCTGAGGAAGTGGTGAGCAGTAGCTAAGGCAGGGAGGTGTGGAAAGGAATGTTGATGTCTAGAATGGCTGGAAGATTGGGTGAAAAATGGCGAGTAGGAAGAGATGAAGCTGGGAGGTTCTAGAAGCCAGATGATAAAGGTCTTGATATCCTCATGTAGGAGTTTCGATTTAGGATGAAAGCTCTGGGGAGTCAACGAAGGATTTTTAGGTGGTGATCAATTTGCATTGTACAAAGCTCAATCTATCACAAAAATACAGAATTTACTGGAAAGGGCCAACAGGGAGAACCACTGAGAAACTGTAGAAATCATCATGGCAAAAGATGACGAAAGGGTGAACTGAGAGTGAAAATGGGATTTGGGGGAGGTCAACGGGGAGGGAGGAATTATAGTTATCCCCCAGTTCTGTTTTGGGAGGCTCAGCAGATGGTAGTACCATTTTCTACGAGATAGAGGATTTTAGGAGGAGGAGCAGATGTAGGTGGGAGGAAGAGGATCCGTTTGGTTTTCAACATCGAAGTGGAGAAGTTTAATGCCAGTTCATTACTGTAGGGCTGGCACTCAGGGGATAATCTGTAGAAGAGCCTGGGTTTGGAATCAGCAAATTACTTCCGTGTAGAGAAGAGGATAGAGTGGAAGGGGGCTGGCTAACATCCAGTTAGTGGAAATTGCAACTGAGGAAGAGAACTTGGATAAGTAGTAGAAAATCCAGGAAGTTTCTCAGTTTCTGTGATGTGTTTTGACATTATAGAAAAATGTCCAGTTTTCAGCTAGTCAAGTAGCAGCTTTCTATATTTAAAATTCTTTGAGCAAAGCCACTTCTTTCAATATACTCTTCCTCTAAAGGAAAGTATGGAGTAAATAAGATAGATTTTATTTTTCCAAAATAAGGTGACAAAAAGTTATTAACTATAACCCTTTCAGAAAACTAGCTGAAGTAAAAAAAAATGAGCTAATGAATAAGGAAAGGTTTCAGAAAAAATAAACAGAATGTGAGAAAATATAAAAGGGTAATATTAGGAATAGTTCTGGTACAGAATTATTAAAATCTTTTTGAAACAAACATATCTCAATGGTGTGTAGCTGGATTCCTAGTGAAAAACAGATAAAACAATAGAAATGAATAAATTGAAAGTTTATTAAAATTCAACATTCTCAATAATAACCTTTAGTATTTCGAATATGAACATTTCTAAGGAAAAGGTCAACTTCATGTTTCTGCCTTATGAAAATAAAGGGGAAAATTTACCAAAATATTCTACAGTAAATGAATTACACTTCTATTTAGGATGTTTGAGAGCTAGATAAGATGAATATCCTGATGGAGCTAGGACGCCTTTTTAGATGAGGTAGTCACCTTGGGATATAGCTCATTTAGGTCAGGCAGGCCCATAAAACAGCAGCCCATCACCAGGACCTTGGGACTTTCTATTTATAACGTTCCCGATGCCTCCCTTGATAGTTTTTTCCTCTACAAAATGTTGTCACTGCTGCCGCTCGTTGTTCCCACTAGGCGGCACTCTAAGCTCATCGTCAATGCGAGGACCGAGCACCTGCTAAAATCTGCGGCAGGCATCTCCGTTGTGCAAAATTGGTAACAGTTTGGATTTTATTCATCGAAACTTTAGAATGGAAAATGATTGTTTCTAAACGAGGCAACAAGGCAGGCCATATGGTTTGACTGCGTCTGAGAGTATGTGGTCTTTGGAATCCTGTTACTGCGTCGTCTCCCTCTAGGGTGCATCATCTCAGACCAGGAAGGCAAAGCTGCCGGGGACAATAATAGGGTTGCGGTGACACCTGGGGGTGGCCCTCTCCTCCTCAGTGCTGATGCCTTGGGACTATAGGACCTGGGAGATACTTTGGTCGCCTGGGAAGTCTACTATTGCTTATAAAACCCAAGGATCTTGCCCAGCCCTGCGCATGCGAATAGAGGTGACTTCTCTAACCCGCAACCTCAGAAGGAACGCTTTTCATTCCAGGAGGACAGAGGGGAGGCCGCGTAAGGGACTGTAAGTGGCTGTGGGGCTCACATCCCAGTTAATTCAGAGAACAGCTCCCCTCACTTCGGAGGTTGCAGGCACTGAATTAAGCTTTCTGCATTCTTCATTGCATTTCATCTTCACAGGAGTCTCTTAGGTAGCGTGTATTATCTCTACTTTTATAAATGAGGAAATGCAAGTTCAGAGAGCTTCCCTCTAGCTTGCGAGTTGCTAGGGTTTGGGCTGTGTATGGTTTTTCTATTGTTGCTATAACCAATTACCACAGACATAGTGGCTTAAAACGACACCAATATATTATCTTATATCTCTGCAGATCCGGGTTCCCTTGGCTAAAATCAAGGTGCGGTAGCATGCATTCCCTAGGGGAGGATCTGTTTCCTAGGGCAGGATCTGTTTCCTGGCCTTTTCCAGCTTGTGGAGGACATCCGCATTCCTTGGCTCATGGCTGCTTCCTCCCATCTTCAAAGCCAGCAGCTCTCTGACCCTTCTTCCATGGTCATATCGCTCCACGATCATAGTCAGGAAATGTTCTCTGCTTTTAAAGACCTATACTGTTTAATGAGGCCCACCCAGTTAATCCAGAATAATCTCTCAATCTCAAAGTCCTTAACTTTATCAAATTGTCCAAGTTCCTTTTGGCATGTAAGGCCACACAGTTACAGGTTCTGGGGATAAGGATGTGAACATCTTGGGGGCGGGGAGGGGGCATTATTCTGTCTACCATAAGCAGGAAAGGTTTTTTTTTTAAATTTTAGAACTTACTTCTTAAAACATATAGGCATTAAAATTGAGTCACAGAAAGAAAACCGATAGGGTCAAATCTCTTAGGCCAACGATGAAGTGTGAACAAATAGGAAAATTACAGGATCCTATAAGTAAAATACATGATACGACTTGAGTACAAATCACAAAAATTTGAAGTAAGAATAGGATAGCCAGGAAAAACTGAATTTATTTGTGATTTAATGCTTAGTCAAATGTGGAGCAATTGACTATGAAGACAGAAACAATTATTCTCACAATTTAAATGTATTTAAAGACAAGGCCCATGCAGAGAACAACACACAATGGTCTTTAATTTCCTTTCTTTCTTTCTCTCTCTCTTTCTTCTTTCTCTTTCTTTCTTCTTTCTTTCTTTCTTTTCTTTCTTTCCCTCTCTCTCCTTCCTTCCTTCCTCCCTCCCTCCCTTCCTTCCTTCCTGCTTGCTTTCTCTCCTTCCTTCCTTCCTTCCTGCTTGCTTTCTCTCCTTCCTTCCTTCCTTCTTTCTTTCTGACTTTTATTTTATGTTCAGAGGGTACATGTGCAGGCTTATTATACAGGTGAGTTGTGTGTCTCAAGGGTTTGGTGTACAGAGTATTTCATCACCCAGGTAATAAGCATAGTACTGACTGGTAGTTTTTTCATCCTCACCCTTCTCCCACCCTCCACCTTCAAGTAGGCCCTGGTGTCTGTTGATCCCCCCTCCTCCTTTTTTTTGGTCTATGTGTACTCAATGTTTAGCTCCCATTTAGAATTGAGAACATGAGGTACTTAGTTTTCTGTTCCAAGCAGTGAAGCTTAAGTAGACAATCGTAGTTTATTTTCATGAGTTGTAGTCAGTTTATGAGAGTAAGATTCTGTTTATATTTTGATTTTATATAAATATAAGTTAAGATGTAAGACTTATTTCTTGTTAACATGAAAGCATCTGACCAATCTGTATAGTACCTTCCGAAAATCTAGCTAAATGTAATTATACAAGATTTATTTATTAAACTCCTACTGTCTCTCAGGTATATTAATTAGGTGGTGGTCATGCAATGGTAAAAAGGTAAGGTCTCAACCTTTAATACAGTTGAGAAGAGGGAATTATATAAACAAATAAGTGTAATGAAGTGATATTACAAGAGAAACCTGCACTAAAGAAATTTACATTGAAGGAGAGTTTAAAACTAATATTCTACAAGTTCTCACCCAACCATCTACTCACCGTGCTTAGTCAACATCTGTCTAGTAGCCCCTGTGACAAGGAGGAATAAACCTTCCCAAGAATGTGTTATATCCACATTAAACTATCATAACCTTTGATTACTATGTTTCTGTTCTAAATGTTGAATGTCCTGTCTGAATTTGGAAGGAATCTCTGCAGATTGATAAGAGGGTGGAAGGTTCATGTTCTGGTTTGTCTGCAGGAGGAAAACAACTCTTAGATGAAGATTCATTCACTGAGATAAGTCACGATCCACTCATCGTGTGCCTCCCTGCATTCGTGCCTGTTGGGTCTTTGTTCGTCAGCTGAGGCTATGATGTGCCCATGGGGCAACCACGGGATTGGCTCATTAACCCTCTCCCAAGACCTCACACAGAGAGGGTGAAGAGCACTGGCTCACTCGCTGCTGCTAAACCTGAAGAGCAGGGGCCTCAATCCTTCTTCAGGAAACTTACCTGGAAGTGAACGTGGGGTCTGGGGACAGAAGTGGGGAGTTGTGAAGAGACAGACCTTTTTAAGAGTGGCTGTGATGTCAAGGGAGGGTGCTGGATATTGTCTTGCCCCACCTTCTTCCTATGTCTGATGGAGTTTCCTCTCTAAGTAGCCATTTTATTCTGCTGACTCACCCTCTAACTCCTGGTCTTATTCCATCCTGTCTCAGGGTCTGTGGTGTAGTCATAGCACCTAATGAGGTAGCATTTGTTTAGTGAGATCAGGGTGACTCTTCATTCAAAAGCTTTTGGGCTAGTGCATGCATGAATGGCATTGGAATGGGCAGCAGTTTCACTGTAGGGAGGTGGGTAGGATGCCTGCAGCTACCTCAGGCTGGGTGGAAGTTGTTGACCCTGGTTGATGGTATTAAAATATGACTCAGCAATCTCCTTCATCATCCTAGGCCCAAGAGGTAGAACTGGAACGTGGAATAGGGACAAGGCTGAGAACTCTCCTTCCACTGGCTATGGTGGAAGTATAATTCACAGATAACTGCCCTGATCCATCATCCATGAAATGTTCACAGATATAACCAAATACAGGAGACATTTGTATGAAATAAAGTATCATTAGGTTGGGAGCCAAAGAGCTTTGTTTTCCACTCACTGTGTTCATGTCACCTTGCTGGTTTGTGATTTCATCTGTAAAATGAGAAGTTTGGAGCAGAAGACTTGGCAGGCTCCTCAGGCATGAGCATTCTAGGGTTTGAATCTGGCGAGGTAGATGCTGTCTCAAACTGTCACCCTAGAGCCACTTCAGGAGTACTTTCCAAATCACAGTTGCTTCTGTGGGAATGGCAAGCTTGCTATGAAAGGAATTTTTGCCCTGAGGGTCAGTGTTGACATCTACTTTCTAAAGTACTACTAGTTATGAGAGTCCCTGGATCCATGTTACTTGAGAGCAGATTATAAAGTATTAATTGACTGAGATCTAAGACTTCCATATACCCTATTTTGAAATGTTATTTCCCAGGCTGGTCACAATCTGCTTGTATGTAACAAATATCTATTGAGCCTCTGTGGTGTACACTCCAGCACTGTGATGTGATAAGCAGTGAAGGGTTGCTCAGAGTCAGCCTGCAGTGGTAATGGACTCAAGATAAATGAGTTCAGCCCAAGGTGGTAAGTGGTCCACCACAGGAGGAGGTTACAGGTGCTACAGGGCTAACTTCCTGGTTATTATGGAGTGAATAGAGCATGCAGAGCTGGGATATAGCATGTCCCTAGCTGGGGCTCTGGGTGGGGATTGGTTGGCAGAGGAGACTGGAGAAGTAGCGGGTTAACAAAGGGCCTTGTTCATCTAGCAAATGTGAAGCCCATGCCCTACCATGCAGTAGATGGTCAGTAATGTTTGCTGACTGAATGCCTGGATGTATACAGATTACAAAGTGTTGAGTAATTGAAAGCAATGCCTAAAATGTTTCTGAGGTCTTTCTGTAGACAGAACCCAAGGTCAGCAGACATTGTGTTTTTGTTGCCATCATTTTTCTAGAAACTCCATGCACATAAACAGTAATCTCAACATGTACAGGTTGAATTGAATTCAACCAATATTGGTTGAATTGAAGGGAATTCTTATTTCAGTATCTTTAAATTCAATTAACTTTCTTAGAGTGTACCCTTCCACTTCAACAGAAGCTAGTGACCAAGAAAAGTGGAATCAAGTTTACTCCAATAATATTTACTTTTAAACATTTTAAAGTTTAAAACTCCTAATGTAATTGGGTGAGGATCCAACTAATGCAGAAAGGAGCACTGTATATTTAGTCACAGTGACCATTTTGTATCTTGAAAATAAATTTAGGAAGTGCCTTTCATATCAGCTTTTTATGCCTTGACAACACACAAAATCAATATTATTTTTCTGATATGTTTGAAAGGTGAGACTGAGCCAAAAGAAAAATGTTTCCAAGAAAAAGCTTAAGGGAATTTGTGACCTGACCTTAAATAGATCAACTTCCTTAATTTCCCTATTTCTTTATGTCCTTAAATACCATTCTTATTTGCTTGATGCATTTACATAGGAAATTGCATTTTAACTTTCAGTGTTTATAAAACAATTATTAAGCATCGCTTAATAAAACAAGATTTACTGGAAAGGCTTCAGAACCAGGAAGTTGAGATTTCCCTAGCTAAGGTTTGGCTTTCTTCCTCTATAGAAAGAAAATGTACAGCAAATGTTGTGTTCGAGGGTTTTGAGGTGGGAAAATGTTTAGAACACTGATTGAACTGAAAAAGACTAGTATGGCCAATGAATCAGAAAAAGCATGACAGGAGATGAGATTGAAAAGTTGAGCTCCAATGTATTGTCAACTTGGGTGCAATGAAAATGTGTTTCTGTGAAGCTAACTATTCAAACACAGAGCCCATCATCACCAAGTAGGTCTACAAGCTACTATAGGACTATGGATAATTCAGCATTGCAGGTAGCTTTTTCTTGTTTCCAGAATGTGACTGAATTGTTGTCTTTTCATAGCAGCTTAGCGGGCACTGGATGAGGCATAAATCTCTGACTGGCAAACATTTTTATGTGGGCATGGAAAACACGCACTGCCCCACTTAACACCTCCACAACATCCACACTGACCTGCGGCGACAGTGCGGTTTCCTGAGCCACAGCAGATGCCAAGTTCTCTGTTGAACAGTTTACATTCTCTTTACCTGTTCTTCTTTCAATAAACCAGATTGGGGGGCACTATTGTTGTCTCCCTTTAAATGAGGACTGAGGCTCAGAAATGCAAAGGAATTTGCCCCACTTGTTAGAAAGCAGAGTCCAGACTTTAAGTTTGTGGAATTTTAAAGTATACTCCGAACTAGAATTAGATTAAGAGGCAGGTGAGCTTGGAAAGTTGTAGCCTGTAAGAACTGGGGAAAATTAGAAAACATTTTACAGACATAAAATGCTTAAAAAAGTAAACTCAATAGATTTTTCTTTTTCCTGAGACGGAATCTTGCTCTGTCACCCAGGCTGGAGTGCGGTGGCACAATCTCAGCTCACTGCAACCTCTGCCTCCCGGGTTCAAGTGATTCTCCTGCCTCAGCCTCTCAAGTAGCTGGGACTACAGGCCTGCGCCACCACGCCTGACTAATATATGTATAATTTTGTATTTTTAGTAGAGACAGAATTTCACCATATTGGCCAGGCTGGTCTCGAACTCCTGACCTCAAGTGATCTGCCCACCTTGGCCTCCCAAAGTTCTGGGATTACAGGCATAAGCCACCAAGCCCAGCCTCAACAGATTTTTTAAAAAGATGTTGAGCAAGGTAGTATAAATATATCCATGTAAGCAACATCAACCTTTAATGAGTAATTATCATCTAGCTGAAAAAGGAAAGGCAACTGTCTTTTATTTTATTTATGTTTTTTAGTACATACAAGAAAGGTCTTATTTAGAACATAAAGTTGTTCATATACTACAAAAGCAATTTCTCTAAGACTCTACTAAATAAACCCCTGATGCACCAAGTTGAAGATTAGAGGGCTGGCACATACCAGATTATAAACCTTCCAGACTGAGTGCTTTTGTGCCTTCTTGCTTTTGTCTGGTTCAGTTTTATCTGCCATATTCTCCTGGTCATCTTTCTTTCCCTCTCAGCTGCTTGAGTCCATACGATATTGTAACTTTTGTCTTCTTTTACCATGCATACTTTTATTAATTCAATTGGAGGCAAACCCTCACTTCTTCCTCTGTCTTCTAACTCCTCTTCAGCCATCACAGGAATATTTTTATTCCATTTTAAGTAAAAGCACAGCCTTTATTTTGATTAACAAGCATAAAATTAAAGCTAGTGATTGACAGACTTATGCAAAACAAAAAATTAAAACCCTGTGCAATGTTTTTATAAGCCCCTGTGCAGCAGGCCATGATATAAAAGAAGCCCTTACAAGGCACTAGGTCAACCCTTTAGGGTTGATACGCTTCACCCCAGCCTCATTACACAAAAGGCAGGGAAGGACGCAGTGGTTGCATTGCTCCTGTGCACTGTGGGAACGACCAAACCTGCAGTCAGCTTCCATGAGGAACCAGGAAGGATTCGGGAAGCTATCTCCTTGCTTACTTGTATCCTCAAGGCCTAAATCTTTTGCCTTGTTTGTTGACCTATTAAGTTGAGGTGGACAACTCTGCACAACTGTAAAAACTCCTCGTGTTTGACGTAGCTTACTCTGAAATCTCCCATTAAATTCTTCACAAAAGTTTCCAGTTACCTTTTATTTCTAATTAAACTGCTTTTTCCAAGCCCCATGCATCTAGATAAATATCTGTAACTGTTATTTCATTATTATTGTTTAATTACTAGTTCAAAGCCGTTGTGTCCTATTGAAAACATTACACAGACTTCCAGTATTTCATAGATTAAAAAGGTATTTTAAGTTTAGTTTGAGAAAGCCCTATTTACTAACGTGTAACTTGGAAATGAAATTAGAAGAAAAGTCATTTGTAACCTGGGTGGACCCTATTTAAGCCTTCAAAATTTAAGATTAGGGTGAACAACTGAAATAAAATGGTTAGTTAATGAATGACATTAGGTCTGTTCACCAATATCAGTTTAATGAAATATTTATGCTGTATAGTTTAGGCATACAGATGGACTCTTCTTCTGAATGGCCAAAGATAATGGTAGTCAGCACAGGCTGAATGTCAGATACTACCCATTCATGAGTGCCTACTATGAGACAGGCTGGGTTTAGCATATGCACACTTTATTTAGGCCACAGCAATGCCATAGCTTGGATGGCATTATCTTCCTTTTATAGGAAACAGACATGTTGAGGAATTTGCCATAAGTCAGATAGCAGATGGTGGGGCAATATACATATTAGTTTTTATTAGTTTAAAAGTAATATTTAAAAATTACAAAGTAATACATGCTTATTGTAGAAAATTGATAAAATACAGATTCATGAAAAGAAGAAAATAAAACTTCATAATTTCATCAAGTGGAGATAACCACAGGTATTATATTTATTCTTTCTGTATACAAATGCATAAATGTATATCTTTTTACTTGTAAAACTGAAATTATAGTTTTGTAACTTGCTTCTTTCATTTAGTGGTTGTCTTAGTCTGTCTTCCATTGCTACAACAGAATACCACAGACTGGGTAATTTATAATGGACAGAAATTTATTTGGCTTATAGTACTGGGTACTAGAGGCTGGGAAGTCCAAGGGTGTGGCACTGGCATCTTGTGAGAACCTTCTTGCTGCATCACAACATAGCAAAAGGCATCACATGGCAAGAGAGAGCAAGGAATTAAATTCAGCTTCAAGCCCTTTTATGATCAGCATTAATCCATTAGTGAGGGTGGAGCCCTCTTGACCTAAACACTTCCCATTAGGCCCCACCTCCCAACACCATTGCAGTGGGGATTAAATGTCCAGTGCATGCTTTGTGGGGGACACATTAAAATCATAGAAGTAGTGTATCATGAATATCTTTAATCTTCCTTTTTTTATTTTTTAAACTCTTATTTTAGGTTCAGGGGTACATGTGCAGGTTTCATGCATAAGTAAACTTGTGTCATGGGGGTTTGTTGTACAGATTATTTTGTAATTCAGGTACTAAGCCTAGTACCCACAGTTATTTTTTCTAATCCTCCCTCCTCCCACCTTCCACCCACAAGTAGGATCCAGTGTCTGTTGTTTTTCTCTTTGGGTCCATGTATTTTCATTGTTTAATTCCCAGTTAAAACTGAGAACATGCATTATTTGGTTTTGTGTTCCTGTATTAGCTTGCTAAGGATAATGGCCTCCAGCTCCATTTGTGTTCCTGCAAAGGATATGATCTTGTTCTTTTTTATGGCTGCATAGTATTCCATAGTGTATGTGGACCACATTTTCTTTATCCAATCTGCCACTGATGGACATTTAGGTTCTTCGTCTTTGCTACTGTAAATAGTGCTACAGTGAACATACACGTGCATATGTCTTTATGGCAGAATGATTTGTATTCCTTTAGGTATACAACCCAGTAATGGGATTGCTGAGTTGAATGGTATTTCTGTTTTTTCTCTGAGGAATTTCCACACTACTTTCCACAGTGGCTGAACTAATTTACACTCCCAACAACAGTGTATAAGCATTCCCTTTGCTCTGCAATTTTGCCAGCATCTGTTGTTTTTTGACTTTTTAATTATAGCCATTCTGACTGGTTGAGATGGTATCTCATTGTGGTTTTGATTTGCATTTCTCTAATGATCAGTGATATTGAGCTTTTTTTCATCTGTTTGTTGGCTATATGTAAGTCTTCATTTTATCGGGTACAAAAGAGTTCGCAATTTTATATGCCATACAGTATGTAACAAATCCTCTAAATACTTAAAACTTTTAGTTGAAGTATTTGTGATAAATGTAATGCACATCCTTTGAATTAAATCTTTACACATCACATATGTGTCATTATTTTAAGTTCATAGAAATGTAATTGCTGTGTTAAGGCTATGAATGTTTTTAATGGTTTCGCTGCATATTCCTAAATCAGCTCCACAAATATTCTTAAAGAAATTTGCACTCCCATCAGGAATGCACAGAGTTCATTTCCATATACTCTAGGGAGAACACTGTTTTCACAACACATTCTTGCCAATGTAGTGTCTTCTTGTAGTTGCAATTATATTTCTTTGATTGCTAGTGAGATCAGTTTTTTTTTCATTCTTTAAATTTCCTCTTAAAATTTGCTTTATTTCTTTATTGATACATTGCAGTTATACATATTCATGGAGTAAAATTTGATGTTTTGGTACCTATATGTTATATAATAATCAAAACAGGGTATTTAGCATATTCATTATTATCCGATACATTTATCATTTCTTTGTGGTGAGAACATTCAAAAGCCTTTCTTTTAGCTATTTTATAATATACAAAGACTTACTCTTAACTATTGTCATCCCACTTTGCAATAAAACACCACAACATATTCCTTCTATGTAATTGTAACTTTCTTCCTGTTGACCAACAGTTTTCTGTCTTCCCTAGCTTCCTCTCCTCCCCAGTCTCTGCTTCTAGGATATCAACTCCTTTTTTTTTCAGATTCCATATATAAGTGAAATAATATTATATGGCATTTGTCTTTCTGTGTCTGGCTTATTTCATTTAATATGCTGTCTTTCAGGTTCATCCATGTTGCCACAAATGGCAGGAATCCTTTCTTTTTTATGGCTGGAGAGCATTCCATTGTGTGTGTATGTGTGCATATAATATTTTCTTTATCCATTCATCTGTTGTTGAACGCTTAGGTTGATTCCATATCTTGGCTATTGCAAATAGTGCTGCAATAAACATGAGAGTGCAGATATCTCTTCAACATACTGATTTTATTTCCTTTGGCTGTATTACCAGTAGTGGGATTGCTGGATCATATAATAGTTTTATTTTTAATTTGCTGAGGAATCTTCATACTGTTTTCTACAGTGGCTGTACTAATTTACAATCCCAACAACAGTGTATAAGTGTTCCCCTTTCTCCACATCCTCACAAACACGTGTTTTCTTTTGTCTTTTTGGTAAAAGCCATTTTAACTGGAGTAAGATGGTACCTCGTTGTGATTTTGATTTGCACTTCCCTGATGATTACTGATGTTGAGCATTTTTAATGTAGCTATTGACCATTTGTATATCTTCTCTTGAGAAATGTTTACTAAAGTTTTTTGCCCATTTTTAGATTTTTAGTTATTTGTTTTATTGTTGTTGAGTTGTGGAAATTATATATATATATATATATATATATACTGGATATTAATCTCTTGTCAAATGTATAGTTTGCAAACAGTTTCTCTCATTCTATAGGTTGCTTTTTCACTGTGTTGTTTCCTTTGCTGTCAAAAGCTTTTCAGGTTGAGGTGATCCTGTGACCCCATTTGTCTATATTTTTGCTTTTGTTGTCTGTGCTTCTGAGGTCTTATTTTTAAAATCCTTGCCCAGTCTAATGTTGCAAAGCATTTGCCTTATGTTTTCCTCTAGTAGTTTCATAGTTTTGGTTTACATGTAAGTCTTTTTTTTTTTTTTTTTTGAGACGGAGTCTCGCTCTGTCGCCCAGGCTGGAGTCCAGTGGTGCAATCTCGGCTCAGTGTAAGCTCTGCCTCCTGGGTTCACGCCATTCTCCTGCCTCAGCCTCCCAAGTAGCTGGGACTACAGGCGTCTGCCACCACGCCTGGCTAATTTTTTTGTATTTTTAGTAGAGACGGGGTTTCACCGTGTTAGCCAGGATGGTCTCGATCTCCTGACCTCATGATCCGCCCGCCTTGGCCTCCCAAAGTGCTGGGATTACAGGCATGAGCCACCTCGCCCGGCCCACATGTAAGTCTTTAATTAATGAATTTTGAATTGATTTTTGTCTATGGTGAGATGTAGGAGCCTAATCTCATTCTCTTGCATGTGACTATCCAATTTTCCCAGCATCATTTATTAAAGGGACTGTCCTTTCCCAATTGTGCATTCTTACACCTTTGCTGAAAATCAGTTGGCCGTAGATCTGTAAATTTAATTCTGAGCTCTCTATTCTGATCCATGGTGTATGTGTCTGTTTTTATGCCAGTACCATGGTGTTTTGGTTAATATAGCCGTGTAGTATATTTTGAAGTCAGGTAGTGTGATGCCTCTAGCTTTGTTCTTTTTGCTCAAGATTGCTTTTGCTATTTGGGGTCTTGTGGTTCTATACAAATTTCAGGATTGTTTTTTCTATTTCTGTGAAAAATGTCAGTGGTATTTTGAGAGGGATTGCATGAATCTGTAGATCATTTTGGGAAGTCTAGCCATTTTAACAATATTAATTCTTCCAACTCATGAACATAGAACATTTTAAAATTTATTTGTATCTTCTTCAATTTTTAAAGTCAATGTTTTGTAGCTTTCAGTGTACAGTTTTTTAACCTCCTTGGTTAAATTTATTCCTAAGTATTTTTTTTGTAGCTACTGTGAGTGGGATTGTTTTCTTGATTTTTTTTTGATATCTTGTTGTTAATACATAGAAACACTGCTGATTTTTGAATGTTGATTCTGTACCCTGCAACTTTACTGAATTCAGTTATTAGTTCCAACAGTTTTTTGGTGGAATCTTTAGGAGGTTTTCTCTATATAAGATCATGTCATCTGCACACAGGGACAATTTGACTTCTTCTTTTCTAGTTTGGATACCTTTTCTTTCTCTTGCCTAAGTGCCCTGGCCAGGACTTCCAGTATTATGTTGAATAGGAATGGTGAAAGTGGGCATCCTTGCTTCCGGTCTTAGAGGAAAAGCTTTCAGGTTTTCCCCATTTGGTATGATACTAGCTGTGGGTTTGTCATAGATGAACTTTTTAAACTATTAAATATTATTAAAATAAGCAAAGAACAAAGACAAAATTTTGTGATATTGTGCTATTATTGTATCTCCCTTGAGGGAAAAAAATACCATCTTCTATGATAACAAATTAATTATGGAATGAAAAGAAATTATCTGGATGAAACACCTGGGTCCATCAGGTATATTTCCATGGCGCTTGTCACCATACTACACATGGAGCCATGTGTTTCTGGTCTTCATTTAAGTGCTGCTAACATATGAGTCCCTAATATGTTTTAGGCCATTACACTATGGCCAAGGGATGTGAAGAACAAGAGAAGAAATATCTCCTAATTAATCTGACTCAAATTCTGTAAGACATGCCTCTCGCCTGAATTTTGGACTATTGTATCCAACTGCCTGATGGAGAGCTCCAGATTGCCTGCCATATTTCAAAAGCAGCATGTCCCAAACTGCATCTACCCTCTGCCGCTCTAAATCTACTCCTCCCTCTGTAAGTGTCTCCATCAGTTAGTAGCACAACAATCTCCTGAGAGTGTCAGTCCCCAAGACTTACAGTTTCTGTCCAAATATTTTTTGCCATTGACTTCTATTTTTTAAATTATTAGTATACTTTAAGTTCTGGGATACATGTGCAGAACGTGCAGGTTTGTTACATAGGTATACACGTGCCATAGTGGTTTGCTGCACCCATCAACCCATCATCTACATTAGGTATTTCTCCTAATGCTCTCCCTCACCTAGCCCCCCACCCCCTGACAGGCCCCAGTGTGTGATAGGCCCTGGTGTGTGATATTCCCCTCCCTGTGTCCATGTGTTCTCATTGTTCAACTCCCACTTATGAGTGAGAACATGTGTGGTGTTTGGTTTTCTGTTCCTGAGTTAGTTTGCTGAGAATTATGGTTTCCAGCTTCATCCATGTCCCTGCAAAGGACATGAACTTATCCTTTTTTATGGCTGCATAGTATGCCATGGTGTATATATGCCATATTTTCTTTATCCAGACCATTGACCTCTTTTATCTACTACTGCCTGAATTCAGGCTTTTAGAATCCTAATTATTCAATAAATATTTTTGAACACTGTGTTCCAGATCCTCTTCTAAGTGGGTGGGGGGGGCAGGAAGGGAGGAGAAAAGAGAAAACAGATAATAAGAAAGTAAATAATAATTTTATTTTATTTTTTGAGACGGAGTTTCACTCTTGATGCTCAGCCTGGCATGCAATGGCACGGTCTTGGCTCACTGCAACCTCCGCCTCCCAGGTTCAAGCGATTCTCTTGCCTCAGCCTCCCACGTAGCTGGGATTACAGGCACCCACGACATGCCCAGCTAATTTTTGTATTTTTAGTAGAGACGGGGTTTCACCATGTTGACCAGGCTGGTCTCAAACTCCTGACCTCAGGTGATCCACCTATCTCAGCCTCCCAAAGTGCTGGGATTACAGGCGTGAGCCACTGCATCTGGCCAGTAAACAATAATTTTAAGATTAAATTTGGTAACTGTTTTGAGGGCTCTTTTAAGTTGCCCAAAGAGGAAAAATTTAAGACTTGAAGAGGAAGAGCCAGACAAATAGCATTCCCAGACAAAAAGTTAGGAGTCAAGAGAGCTTGGGACTCAAAAAATGAAAAGGTAGCCATGTGGGCTGGCATTAGAAAACAGTTTGTAGAGGTGAAACCATGTTTGAATGCCAAAAAAAAAAAGAAGTGTGAATTTTATAATAAGTGCAAGGGGCAATCTTTGAAAGTTTTTAGGTAGAAAAAATTGATGTGATTTAGATTTTTCTAAAAGAACACTGTGGCTCCTGTAAGAGGATGGATTATAGTTGGGGCTGAAGTGGAAGTAGAGAGATCAGTTAAGATTATTGTGGCCGGGCGCGGTGGCTTACGCCTGTAATCCCAGCACTTTGGGAGGCTGAGGCAGGTGGATCACGAGGTCAGGAGATGGAGACCGTCCTGGCCAACATGGTGAAACCCTGTGTCTTGTAAAAATACAAAAATTAGCTGGGCATGGTGGCGCGTGCATGTAGTCCCAGCTAGTTGAGAGGCTGAGACAGGTGAATAGCCTGAACCAGGGAGTTGGAGGTTGCTGTGAGCTGAGATCACGCTACAGCACTCCAGCCTGGTGACAGAGCAAGACTCTGTCTCAAAAAAAAAAAAAAAAAGAAAGAAAGAAAGAAAAAGAAAAAGACTATTGTAATTGTTCATTTGAGATAGTTTTGACAGTGGAGATGAAAAGAAGTGGATAGATTTAAGGTATAAGGGAAATAATCCCCACACTCTCCAACCCTGGAATACATACATAATAGGCCTGCCACAGTTCTCCCTTTTCTCTATAAAATGTGCTGCTCACATTCATGGCACCCTGAATGCTTGTGACTAGTAGCTTCCTTTTTAGGACACCTGGGTATTTCTCTTCCTCCCCAAGAGAGATGGATGATTACCAAGAATTAGTTTTGTTTCTAAATTTGTGCATATCAGCTGTATTTTAAAAAATTTAAATGTTTATTAATAGTATATGAACAATACTACTTGAGTAGACTGGAGCCAAACTTTCTGCTGGGTGTGGTCTTCTATCTTTTAAGAAAGCAACTAAAATGTGCTAGAATTCTGTTTTTTGACAATCTTTGTCCTCCTTTTTGGCCCTCACATCTCTATAGTTTACCAAGCTTACGTCTATGAATTTACCATGAATATCTGTGCCACATTAACCACAGTGATGCACAGTCATATATGTAGTTTGCTGGAAAGACTTTCAGAAGTTAAGGCACCTTTGATTAGTCTAACAGATGTTTCTCTCTCCTTTGGCTTTCAAAAGAGAAACAACTTTTCTCCTTCACTAACAAAATGTAAAATATTTTCCCAGATAGATGTTTCTTGTTTCACGCAGATTATCCTGTGTAAAGAGCCATATCACTCTGAACTCCTTGAAGGGATCGTGTGTTTCATAATAATTTTTACTAAGTTGTGCAAAAACATGTTTGTCAAATGAACAAATAAAAGAATAAACTAATCTTCTGAACCGAGAAACATCTTTGTAAACATTTAATGATGCTATATGCATACCATACTGTTACGGACTGTTTATGTCTCCTTCCCAATTTTATGTTAAAGCACTAACCCCCAGTGTGGCTGTATTGGAGATAGGGCCACTAAGGAGATAAATAATTAAGGTTAAATGAAGTAATAAGGGAGGGTCCCTGATCTGATAGGAACCATCTAATTATGAGACACAAAAATGTTTGTTCAAAGCTCACGCACACAAAGAATAGATTATTTGAATGCACAGTGAGATGGTGGTGGCCTACAAGCTAGGAGAAGATAGTTTAGAAGGAAACCTACCTTGCCATCACCTTGATCTTGGATGTCCCAGTCTTTAGAACTATGAGGAAATAGATTTCTGTTGTATAATCCACCCAGAATGTGGCATTTTGTTATAGCCGTCTGAGCAGACTAATACACACACACACACACACACACACACACACACACACACACACACACACACGCAGAATATACAATAGACTGCTTTCTGTTTCATACATATTTTGTTTACCAAAAGGAACCTCAGAGGTAAGGGACTTTGAATGTCAGATATTCTCTCCCCTTTAGCTTTCAAGAAAACCATTTTTTTTCTCCTGTTGTCTTTGCTAACAAAATGTCATAGACATTTGTCATAGACATTTTTCATAGACAAGATAGACTTTTCTTGAAAACCTTTTTTTTCTGAAGTTTTAATCAAAAATACAATTTTAAGATAGTCTTTATCTTGGTACAATTAACACAAAACCTACAACTTACAGCTGCTTGGCAAGTGGCCAGAGTCTTTGTGATTCTCTTACCCTTCCCTCAGGCTTGTCACAGTCATGTTTGCAGATGGTTGCCATGGGAGCTCTGAACATCATCTGAGATCAAAATGAGAGGAAGGGGGAACGGCCGTATTAGCAGCATTCTTGCCTTATAGGAAAAGACTTCCCAGAAGCTACCAGCAGACTTCTATTTATCTCATTGGTTGTAACTGTGACAGGCTCAAAGCTAGCTGCAAGTGCAGCTGTAAAAACAAGTATTTAGTTTTTATCATTCCTATCTAAGAGGTGGCAAAACAGAAGAGGAATATAAGTATCTGTAGTGTTAGCCAGTGAACAGTCTGCTCTCCAAAGGAACTATTATAGAAGCGTGGACTAGCAGATCAGCTAATTCTAGAGTCCTCCAGAGTTATAGGTTTAATAACCGCAATGTGGGGCTTTACATTTCACACCTTAGCCACTATTTGACTGCTGCTAATGTCTTTGATTACAGTTAGCTAGGCTGCAAACATTATTTAAGGTCTATACTTACTCTCAGCATATCTATTATAATAAAACATTATTGAGTATACATTGGTTGCTTTGCTTATTATTTTGTGTGGAGATGACACTGATCTAATATTCTGTAAATTATTTACAAGTGACAAGTGAGGTCTGTTCTAATTTGAGGCTGAAAACCATGATCATGACTTCATACTGTGCTCTAGTCAAAAATCCACCTATAGCTTACCATTAGCTAGCATTTCTAAGTGCATTCCACATTCAGTGATCTTCTTTCAAGGCTTTTTTTTTGTTTTTTGTTTTTAAATAGTATCTCACTCTGATGCCTGGGCTGGAGGGCAATGGTGCAGTCACAGCTCACTGCAGCCTCACCTCTGGTGCTCAGGCGATTCTTCCACCTCAGGAGCTGGGACTACAGGCACAGGCCACAACATCTGGCTAGTTTTTTGTAGGGACGGGGTTTCTCCATGCATGCTACCCAAGCTGGTCTCCTGAGCTCAAGCAATCCACCCAGCTCGGCCTCCCAAAGTGTTGGGATTACAGGCATGAGCCACCGCACCTGGCTCCCAAAATACGTATGTTCTAATAGAACGACTTAAATAGGAAAAAAAATTGAAGAAGATAAAAAATAAAGTCATGATTACAACAGAAAAGCATAACCATACAAGTGAACTACAATTTGGCCTAGAGCTGCCCAAAAGACAAAGAGGAGCAACAAAGAGAGCATTAGACTCTTTAAGATGAAAACGAATCCCAAATGCCCATCAAGGATAGACTGGATAAAGAAAACGTGGCACATATACACCATGGAATACTATGCAGCCATAAAAAAGGGATGAGTTCATGTTCTTTGCAGGGACATGGATGAAGCTGGAAACCATAATTCTCAGCAAACTAACACAGGAACAGAAAACCAAACACTGCATGTTCTCACTCATAAGTGGGAGTTGAACAATGAGAACACATGGACACAGGGAGTGGAACATGACACACTGGGGCCTGTCAGGGGGTGGGAGGCTAGCGGAGGGATAGCATTAGGAGAAATACCTAATGTAGATGACGGGTTGATGGGTGCAGCAAACCACCATGGCACGTGTATACCTATGTAACAAACCTGGATGTTCTGCACGTGTATCCCAGATCTTAAAGTATAATAAAAATAAAATTAGGGAAAACCACTAAATAGAAAAAAGAGAGAAAAACAAATTAGGCTGGTCACAATGGCTCACACCTGTAATCCCAGCACTTTAGGAGGCTGAGGCGGGTGGATCACCTGAGGTCAGGAGTTTAAGACTAGCCTGACCAATATGGTGAAAGCCTGTCTCTATTAAAAATACAAAAATTAGCCTGGTGTGGTGATGTGCACCTGTAGTCCCAGCGACTCGGGAGGCTGAGACAGAATTGCTTGAACCCGGGAGGCGGAGGCTGCAGTGAGCCGAAATTGCGCCACTGCACTCCAGCCTGGGTGACAGAGCGACTTTGTCCCAAAACAAACAAACAAACAAAACAAAAACCACACAACCCTCCCCTGAAACTCAACTGTTTAGGAGAAGCACATGTTTTGCTGAGATCAAGACCCAAGAGAAGTTTCTCCTATGGGTCTTCATAAAAGGTACACTATGTGATATATTTAATAGTAGCCATTAGCCTTAAAAACACATGTATTGAAAATATATGTTTTGATGACTGTGTTTGCTATTAGGAGCCAACAGCATAGAAACAAAGCATAATGCAGTAACAGTAATTCTATGAAGAGCCAAAATGTGGATCAAATATGTAGCTCTCTGAAGATTTCCTAGAGGATAAAATTTAGATTCTTCTGCTAGTTGGGAAAACAGACTTGTTTTATCATAATCCCCAAACTCATGTGTTCCTATAAGTAATAAAATCCATTTCAAAACCAAATTATTTTTATATCTAAAGCCACTGTTCCCTTTTAATATCACAGACTGAACTAGACTACATAGATAATTTATCTAAGCATGGTTTTCTAAATAAATGTGCTGTAAATGGCTAATCTCGATGTAGTAGATACATTTTAAAATGCTGTTTTATGGTTGTACTAACTATATGTAAACTTATTTCTAAAAGGTTAAAAGATTATCCACAAAAATGTTATTTCAGTTACATTCAATTTTTAGAATTATTAGTATAGGTTATGTTAAAGTGCATTGCACCTATTCACAAAGACTTTCAAAAAATGATCAGCAATATAAAGTGTAAACCTAAAAAGAAAATCAGACTCATTCTACATCTGTGAAATTCAGCACTTAAATATAATTCAATTTACAATAATTGTAAAAGATAGGGAGAATATAGAAAATGGAGGGGGAAAATGGTATTCAACATATGAACAACACAGCTACTGTTGTAGTGAAAAAATAATTTATTAAATGAACATAATACTGGGAGTAAAATGCATTATAAAAGTAAAAAAAAGTAAATTATAAATATAAATAATAGTGGTTTACCTAATTAACAGATTTTTTTCTTCATCCTTGAAGAACTTTAAATACAATCTTCCAAAAAGCCAGATTGAAAAAGTGGCTGGTTCGCTTTAGAACAGACAGGCAACACTATAATATCTAGAATTTGGCAAAGATCTGTTATATAAGATACAGAATGGTACTGATTAAATGATTGTTCTTTTTAAGCCTTTTGTAAGTCTAGAATAATAATTTTAATAAATAAGCAGATCAATTTATTATATTCATTTCTGTCTCTAAGGATAGCAAACATATTTCTGATACACATTGTGAAAAATGTTCTGAGAACATACCTGTGCACTTTGACAGACTAAAAATTTTTGGTTATTTGGTAAAAAGTGATCTCCTTTTTACTTCAAAGGTTAACAACAGCCATTGAATGTGTTGATATATGTCATTAGAATTTTAAACAGCCACACCTTAATATATATATACATCAAGATACCGATAAACTTTTAGATAGTAAAGAAAAAAATGGAGATTGTTATTCTATTTCCCCAGTAAGTTTCCCTCAGTTTTTAGAAAGCATACCGACTGGGATTGCAAAATGCCAGCATGATTACAATGCTTATTAACAGCAATATGCAAAACAGTGAAAATAGAAAATAAATAACTTCATCCTATAAAAATGAAACAAGGCACTTTTAATGACTGTACACAAAGCTGAAATAAACAAACATTTTTTCATAAAGCTGACTCAAAGACCCTAGGAGACTTTTGTAGAAAGTGAAATAGTAAAGGCACTACATAATTCTTTCTCCTAACTCTACTTACTAAAAAAATCCACCAATTAAACTTGGCACAAAAGAGTTTAATTATCATAAAGTGCATCACTTGGCTAAATATATTAAAAAGAAAATCAGCCATAATACAGTATAACAACATCTTCACACAAATAGAAATAAAAATGCAATGTCAGGAGTCAAGCCAGTTAGGAACTTTGCAGTATATATGGCTTTTTATTTTCTTTTTTGTATAAGCCCCTATTTATTTAGAATCTATATTTTCGAAAGAATATGCCTTAACAAAAGGAGGTAGTATTCTGAAAGAGGCAAACTCACTAAATCTAGGTAGAGATAAAGATTACGTGGAAACTAAACAAATGTAACATATTAATAACTGTGACACTTATTAAAGTATTTTGATATTAATGAATCAGCTTTTAAAATCAAGGCTATCTTATCACTTTAGCTATATGATTACAGCTCTTTCAAGTAGTTTTCCTTTGGTACTAGAAAGTCATTTTTCTAAAGAGCATTAACATTTCAAATAAGCAAATTTTATTTAGAGATGTAAACATGTAAACATTAAAAACTCAACTAAATTTTATCTTTATTATGATGGTCACTGATTTAAACTATTAATGAAAATATGTCATGTCAGAGATATAAAGAAGAATATATCACCCAGATAGTAACATGCAATTAATTTCCATTTGATTAATATAATTGGTGATTTAACACACATACATATATACACAGTAGTTTGGAGCAATATATAGGCAAAACACCATAATAATTTATGCACAGTATTTAAGAATGTGGGCCTTGATAACAGAATTCCAACAAGATTTTTTTTAGTGTATTAAATGTAATTGGATAAAATACAATTAAAAGCAGCAGTGAATATATTTCCTATCTCAATAACTTAAAAAAACTTCTTTATGTAAACTTTATACATGTGCATTCTTGCTCTTTTCTATATGTTTTACAGTTCTTGGTTCTTCTTTTAAAATAGTATTTGCCACTCTTCTAAATTTTTGAATAGTCTAAATGGAGGGAACTGCTTGTGATACATTAGTCTTCTTCAGCATCATATGCCACTTCTGCTACTTCTATCTCTGATACAGCATTTTCAGGTTCACTAAAACTTAAGCATGGTTTATTATCAGCTCTGCAAAAAAAAAAAAAAAAGGAACATATCAATGATGGGACTGGATGCATGCTATTATTTCATTTTCACTATTACCTTTAAAAATCTTCTACCTTATAGAAAATTTACATACTTAGTGTAAAAGTATTTAATGTAAGAGTATTTAAACATTCAATCAGAAATTTGATATATTTAAGTTGTCATTGCCAAGTAAGACCTTTGGAGATAGGTTTTTAAACTCAGCTCTCCAAACTACCATTTACCAATAAAAATCTACTTGGTAATTACCTTTATCAACATAAAATTTTTCTCAGAATTATAGTTGACCATTACCACTAAACTATTAACAATTACCTTGGATTTGTATGCAATAAAAATTCTATGTGCTTTTAAATTCATTACCTTTTCATCATTCCTATTAGGTAAGAAGGGTGGTTTGCTATTATATTATAGTAGCCTACTTTTTCAATGGAAAAAGGGTGATATTGAGGGAGATTAAGGTAATCTGTCAATATTTAAAAAATTAGTTAATTACCTGAGTCAGAGGCCAGTTAATGCAGACACAGCTCTAAAGTAAGTAATGAGAAAACTTACATCCTGATGTCAAAGACACTTTTTATTTTTAAAGTGTTTTTATTTTTAAATATTTTAGGAAAAGCCTAAAATATTTCCAATTCATTCTCTGTTTGCTTAGCAGATTCGTGATACAGTAACACTGAGTTCATAAAAAAATACTCTATAGAGTATTAGAATCACTTTCCTCCAATTATTCAAGAATTAAGCTATCATAAATGAAATATTATATACCTAGATTCTTCATCCAGGACATCTTGATCAACCTCAAGTGCAGAGGACTCCACCTTTAGGATCTGTTCACCTTCTGTTTCTGACACATCCAGTGATTCTTCAGGTTCTAAAGACAATGTTCTAAAAGTATGTTATAGCAACAAGTTATTTTCTATGAACAAAACAGGCATATGTTTAATGTTGTGAATACAGGTAGCTATAGCAGTCTTTAGCTGTTAAGCCTTAATGTAGTTACATAGCTAATAAATAGCTCACTTTGGAAGTCAACAGAGAAAATCAGTAGCTATGATTAATTTAAAATGACTTTAGTATCAATTCAAGATATGCTGATGAGATGGCAAACCAGAGCTTTCATATGTGAAAAGCTGGCATAAATGCCTAGAAACTAAGATGTCACTTAAATAAAATAATGGTATTCCATTTAATAATGATTATTTATTTAATAATGATTTAACAATGATTAAAATGAATAATGTTTACCTTGTTGAACAGTTAGTGGCTTATTTTCCTGATGTTTCCCATCCTTCAATGTTCAAAATTTATTTAGCAAAATTATGCTAAATAAAGCATAATTTTCCCAATGAAGTATGCCAAAAGCCTACAACTTTCAGAATCAGAAAATTCCTAAATCATATTAAAATATAAAGGGCAGTTAGCCCAGAGTATTAAGGGTTGAATTAGTCAGAGTAGAAATGCAAGTATCACAACACACCTGATTCTGTTCTCTAAAGTGTCTATATGAAGTTGCTTCTCACTGAGCAGTTTCTTTAGTGATTCCATCTCCTTTTGTTTTTCAAGTAGTTCTTTCTGTAAGCGGTAGTTTGTCTCTTCTAAAGTTTCACAGAATGCCTTAAAAAAAACAACAAACAAAACTAAACACATGCAGAAAAAGAATACAATTAATTACAAATGCAGTATCTTTCTCAAGAGCATTATTGAAGAGTCAAAGAACACAGATAATCAAAATAATAGTATGAAACTCCAAATGATTTGTTCTCTACCCTCATCTTTTTAGGTCACTGGTATCTTAACTTTAGTTCCCATCCACCAGGGGGACATAACTACAAGTTCTTTTTCTTAAGACTTACAGTAGTAAGCTAGTGTGCCTGAAGTGAGTATGTGATATCCCTCTAGTGTAGAACTGGGATAAAAAATAATTGGCAACTACTGCTTTAGTTTTTACTCTCTTTAATCTACTTTTGCCTAGTCATACATGATTACACTTAAAAAATATCAACTGTGGTTGATGCCATTTGTATTAGCTCAGTAGACATACTACTGTAACAGCATTTTGGTAATCTTGACACTTGGGTTGCAGTACCAGGATGGTACAAGAAATGAGGAGTCAGGTACATTTTGGGAAGTAAGTGACAAAAAGTGATAGATTCAGGAATAAAGCAAAGACCCTAAAGAGCCTATTAATAAAAGTCACTCAACAACACAGAAAAACATCAAGAAAGATTGTTTGTCTCAATCTGGTTTCTAGGTGGGCGAGGTAAAGTCTCACCTGAAGAATCTAATCTAAAAAGCCTCATATGGATTTTGGGAAAAACAATGTATCATAAGGAAGACAAATAAAAACAAATATATATATATAAATACAAGATACTGAAGTTGCAAATATCAAAATCAAATAGATCTCTAAAACACCAGGAAGACAAATCAGTTTACTATAAAATTGTAAGACAGTAGGGGACTGGGAGTAGATGTCATAAAACAGTCTATGTCAAAGGCAGTGGAAAACACTTTAAAGCACTGAGAAAAATAACTATCAAGGTAGAATTCTACACTCAGTTAAATCATACTTCAAGAATGAAACAAAATTAAAAGACATTTGAACATCAAAGATCTAAGCATTACCAATACACATTCACTGAAAGAACTATTAAATTATGTACTTTAAGAAGTAGTTAACTGAATCCCAAAAGAAAGAGTAGGATGAAAGTAGGAATGGAGAGGAATGAAAGTGACAAAGACTTAGGTAAATCAAAAGAAACATTGACTGTGTGAAATAATAATGATGGCCAACTTTGAGGAGGGCTGTAAACAATCGGTTTCCAATATATGAGAACATATGACCATTAAATAAAAGACAATGACTACAGAAGTTAAAAACCAAGAGCAGAGAACAAAGAGAAAAACTCATTAAATAACATGAAAAGAAAGAAAGGAGTAAAAAAGCATTTTATAAAGCAGAATCAAAAGCACAAAATAAAATAATAGAAATAAATACAAATATATTGGTCATTACCATATATAAAATAAACTCAAAACTTAACAGATTTTTCAGACTGTATTAAAAAGAACTATGATGTTTAAAACAGCCATATTTAAAATACAAAAGTAGAAACATACTTAAAGGCAACAGACAAATGTTAGCCTTTTCTCCCCTACCAAAAGTTGTAGTTTTCTTAATATCTGACAGAATGCAGTTCAAGGTGATAAACATTATTAGGCACAAAGAGTCTCTACCTAATAATAAAAGTAATAATTCACCAGGAATATTTTAAATGCATAATTACAAGAAGAAATTGAACAAATCCACACCATAAGGGGTAAATTTGACATAACTCTTGGCAATTAACGGATTAAACAAAAAAATGAGTTAAGATTAAAAAAATTTTAACAATACAAATTAGTAAGTTTGATATGATGAACATATATTGAACTGTGAGTCTAACAATTAAGAAATACATATTCTTTTCAAGCACACATGGAAAATTTAGAAAATTTATCACATATGTGCAGATCCCAAAGACTGCAGAACACTGTCAACAATAACCAAGAATTGGTGTCAGACAGAACATAATCTCTGAAAAAAATGCAAATAGACTAAAAAACAGTCAATAATATTAGAAAAAAGTGCTTGAAAAATTAAAGAGAATTCTAAATTTATGGAGCAAACAAGATAATAGGAACAATATAAAATATGAACGAGAATGAAAATATTAAGACTTGTGAGATGCAATTTGACTGTTATATAAAAGAACTGTATAATACTAGAAACAACTGAGAAAGCATCCAATTAAAGAAGTCAAAGAACATACTAAAACCAAGTATAAGAAAGGAATTAAGAGACAGGAAAAGAATTTAATCAAGAGAATCAAAAAGGCAAAAAGTGGTTCTTTGAGAAGACTATTAAAATACACCAAATCCAAGGAGAAAAGACTAGTGGAAAAAACAGTGAGATTCAAAGTGGATATATAACTAAAGATATGTTAAGAGATTTTCAAAAGTCATGTGATACTACTAAGAACAACAGTTTTGCGGTGGCTCACGCCTATAATCCCAGCACTTTGGGAGGCTGAGGCGGGCAGATCACGAGGTCAGGAGACCAAGACCATCCTGGCTAGCACAGTGAAACCCCGTCTCTACTAAAAAATACAAAAAAATTAGCTGGGCGTGGTGGCGAGGGCCTGTAGTCCCAGATACTCGGGAGGCTGAGGCAGGAGAATGGCGTGAACCTGGGAGGCGGAGCTTGCAGCAAGCCGAAATAGCGCCACTGCACTCCAGCCTGGGCCACAGAGCAAGACTCTTATCTCAAAAAAAAGAAAAAAAAATGTATTTTAAAATCTATACAAAATGGTCAAGTTCTAGAAAAATACAGATTCTCAAAACTGAAACCTCCCCAAATAATCTGAATAAACTACAGACATCAAAGAAACAGAATCAGTTGTTAAAAATCTACTATAAGACAAGCTAAAGAAAATATCAAATCCAGATTGTTTTACAGGTGAATTCTAACAAACATTTAGGGAACAACCAATATGCATTTATTCAAATGGTTCTGGATAACAGAAAAAGAGGGACTATTCCTTATTTTATAAAACTGGTATAATTTTGATGCCAGACCCAACAAAGGGCAGTAACAGAAACAAATGTTACATATGCCAAAATTCTAAATAAAATCATTACAATTCAAATCCAGTAATTAAAAAAATACGCTGAATTTGCGTTAATCTCATAATCAATGTTTTATCAACTGAAAATCTATGAATGTAATTTACCACACCAATAGATTAAAAAAAACCCATATGATCATCTATACAGATGCAAGTGAAAGCATTCACACACACACACATCCCTACAACCTCTTAGCAAACTAGAAATAGAACTTCTTTAATCTAAAAACAACAACGAAAACAATAAACAAATCAACATAACTCACAACTACCACCAGCCTATAGAAAACTCCATATCCAACAGCAAAATACAGGATCATTTTCATTAAAGTTAGGATGAAAGGAAAAGGATGCCCACCATAATGGCTTCAATTAACCTCCAAAGAATCTATCTAGCAAAATAATACAGAAAAATGAAATGAAAGATATTACGTATTAGGAAAAAACACATTGTTAATATTGCAGGGGATATGATTACCGATATGGAAAATCCAAACAGATCTATAAACTAACAAGAGAATGTGACATACAAAATAGATATATAAAAATCAATAATAAAACTAGTAACTTAGAATGTAATAAAAATACCAATTATTTCATCAACAAAAATGATGAGGAATCCTATGGCTTTCCCTAGATGAAAAAAATGTAAACTTTTATTGAAGAACTTAAAAAAAAACCCTCCATATGCAAAGATCTATTAATAGGAAGATTCAATACTATAAAGATACTCTTCAAAATTAATAAATAAATGTATTAAAATTCCAAACAAAATGGCAATAGGATTTTTTCATGGAACTCACAAAGTTGTTCTAAAATTCATATGGAAAAGTGAATAGCCAACTTGGAAGAATAAGGGCACCCTTGTTCTGCCAGTTAATAAGATTATTTAATTATAGTAATTAACACAATATAGTACCAGCAGAGGGATGAGACTACTAAAAATGAACTGAGTGGCCAGGCATGGTGGCTCATGCCTGTAATCCCAGCACTTTGGGAGGCTGAGGTGGGCAGATCACCTGAGGTCAGGAGTTCAAGACCAGTCTGGCCAACATGAAGAAACTCCGTCTCTACTAAAAATACAAAAATTAGCTGGATGTGGTGGTGCGTGCCTGTAATCCCAGCTACTCAGGAGGCTGAGGCAGGAGAATTGCTGGAATCCCGGAGGCAGACGTTGCAGTGAGCCAAGATGGCGCCACTGCACTCCAGCCTGGGTGACAGTTTGAGACTCTGTCTCAAAAAAAAAAAAAAAAAAAAAAAAAAAAAGAACTGAATGACCATAAACAGACCCGTTCACACTCAACTATTTAGCATAGAAGAATTACTAATTAGTGCAGTAGGGATGAACTTTTAAATAAATGAGGTTGGGATCACTGGTCATCCATACAGAAAAAGTTAAATCAATTAAAAGATCTGAGGTCAGCTTGCTCCTTTCTGCCCGTGGATGCCGCCGAAGAAGCATTGTTAAAGTCTCTCTTCTCCCTGCTGTCATGTCTAAGTCAGAGTCTCCTAAAGAGCCCAAACAGCTGAGGAAGCTTTTCACTGGAAGGTTGAGTTTTGAAACAATTGATGAGAGCCTGAGGAGCCATTTTGAGCAATGGGGAACCCTCACGAACTGTGCGGTAATGAGAAATCCAAACACCAGGTGCTCCAGGGGCTTTGGGTTTGTCACATATGCCACTGTGGGGGAGGTGGATGCAGCCGTGAATGCAAGGCCACAGAAGGTGGATGGAAGAGTTGTGGAACCAAAGAGAGCTGTCTCAAGGGAAGATTCTCAAAGACCAGTTGCCTACTTAACTGTGAAAAAGATATTTATTGGTGGCATTAAAGAAGACACTGAAGAACATCACCTAAGAGATTATTTTGAACAGTGTGGAAAAATGGAAGTGATTGAAATCATGACTGACCAAGGCAGTGGCAAGAAAAGGGGCTTTGCCTTTGTAACCTTTCACGACCATGACTCCATGGATAAGACGGTCATTCAGAAACACTATACCATGAATGGCCACAACTGTGAAGTTAGGAAGACCTGTCAAAGCAAGAGATGGCTAGTGCTTCATCCAGGCAAAGAGGTCGAAGTGGTTCTGGAAACTTTGGTGGTGGTTGTGGAGGTGTTTTCGGTGGGAATGACAACTTTGGTTGTGGAGGAAACTTCAGGGGTCATGGTGGCTTTGCTGACAGCTGTGGTGGTGGGGGATATGGTGGCAGTGGGGATGGCTATAAGGGATTTGGTAATGATGGAAGCAACTTTGGAGGTGGTGGAAGCTACAATGATTTTGGCAGTTACAACAATCAGTCTTCAAATTTTGGACCCATGAAGATGGGAAACTTTGGAGGCAGAAGCTCTGGCCCCCATGGTGGTGGAGGCCAATACTTTGCCAAACCACGAAACCAAGGTGGCTATGGCGGTTCCAGGAGCAGCCGTAGCTATGGCAGTGGCAGAAGATTTTAATTAGGAAACAAAGCTCAGCAGGAGAGGAGAGCCAGAGAAGTAACAGGGAAGCTACAGGTAACAACAGATTTGTGAAGTCAGCCAAGCACAGTGGTGGCAGGGCCTAGCTGCTACAAAGAAGACATGTTTTAGACAAATACTCATGTGCATAGGCAAAAAACTCGAGGACTGTATTTCTGACTAATTGTATAACAGGTTATTTTAGTTTCTGTTCTGTGGCAAATGTAAAGCATTCCAACGAAGGGTTTTAATGTAGTTTTTTTTTTTTTGCACCCAGGCTGTTGATTGCTAAATGTAATAGTCTGATTGTGATACTGAATAAATGTCTTTTTTTTAATGTGCTGTGTAAAGTTAGTCTACTCTGAAGCCATCTTGGTAAATTTCCCCAACAGTGTGAAGTTAGAATTCCTTCAGAGTGATGCCAGGTACTATTTGGAATTTACATACAACCTGCTTGGGTGGGGAAGTCATTGTCTTCAGAAACCTTGGTGTAGTTGAACTGATAGTTACTGTTGTGACCTGAAGTTCACCATTAAAAGGGATTACCCAAGCAAAATCATGGAATTATTGGTTATAAAAATGATTGTTGGCACATCTTATGCAATATATTTAAATTGAGTAATGGTACCAGATAAAATTATAGATGGGAATGAAGCTTGTGTATCATCCATTATTAGGTGTAATCAATAAACAATTTAATTCTCTTAAAAAAAAAAAGACCTGAGTGTGAAAAGCAAAAGTTTACACTTATTAGAAGGAAATTTAGGAGAAATATTTTTATGTGCTGGTGTGTAGGGAAGAACAAGAGCCATAGAAAATGTGACAAAGAATGTGCAGCTACTATGGAAGATGCCAGACCTGGCTGGTAATCAAGAAAATTAGGCTAAAATAACAGTAAGATATTATTTTATACCCATCAGACTGACAAAAATTAAAAGATTGACAATACTTGTATTAGTGGTGATATAGAGCAAAAGGAAAACATATTGTTGGTAAAAGTACAAACTGATATAACAAATTTGGGGTGTAATTTTAGCATATGCAGTGAAGTTGAAGAGGAGAATATCTAACAATGAAACAATTGTATTCCTAGGAAAGTACCTTTAAAACCTTGGGTTTCTTCCAAGATTAACATCCACCCCAGTGAGGGAGGTACCTTAGGAAAAATGTATATAGGAATGGAGACTGTCCTTAGAATAGTCATTGGAAGGCTATATTGATATAAATTTCCTTCTGGGATAGAGATCAAACAGTTCCATCAGGACAGGAAAATCTGCTAGCAAGTGATTCTAAGAAAACAGCTTCATTACATATTACAATTTAGGTAGAGAATAGATGGCTTAAGAATTCTGCTTTAATTGTTTGTACTTATAATTCATATAAAATATTAAAAATTATAATTTATTTCTAATAAGCTATTCATTAATGTTAATACAGTAAGACCTCATTTCTTCCAATTATATTATCTCCATACAAGTAATAGATTTGAATTTTCCCAAAAAAAGGTAGACTAATTTATATCCCTAATCTTAATTCCCTCTTTTAGTACAAGTATATGAGGGGTAGAAATGACTACCTTAAATAGGGAACAGAGAAAAGTAGGTTAAAGATTTGCCGAACTGAGTATCCTTTGAATAAGTTTAATTTTACACTCCAAGAAATGTGGGTTAATAAGTCATTTTGGGATTTTTCTTAAAATGAGAGGCTGCTTAAGTAAGTCTGCAGACAAAAGAGATATATATCTCATTAGGTTACTGTAGATTTTACCTTGAAGGAGAGGAGCAAACACAGAATTTCTTCATTCACTGTTCAAATAAACATATATTTTCAAATACAACTGTAGGAAAATGCATTTATTTTAGAGAAAGAGTCTAGGAGATACATTCCATATTACTCTGTTGAGTGTATAAACTTAATATTGCCTTGGTGACTTATTTAAATCAGTGGTTCTACATCAGGAGCGATTTTAAACTCAGAAGACACTTGGTAATGTCTGGAGACATTTTTACTTGTCATGAGTGGGTATGCTATTGGTGTCTAATATGTAGAGGCCTAGGATGCTGCTAAATATTTTCAATGCACACGTCAGGCTGTGCTCTAGCCTCGGCCACCAAAAAGTTATCCAGCCCTAAATGCCGATAGAGTGTATGAGAAATCCTAACTCAAATCAGCTTCCACTCTTCCCCTGCCAAGTTATGATACTTGACAATACTAACTAGCATATATTTTGAACTAAGAACACTAAAAAGATATTCAAATTATTATTTTTTTGTAAAAGGGCTAATTTAAAAATTAAAAAATGAACTAAAGGCTGTCTTGCAAGAAGAAAGAATACTATACTTTAAAGGAATAAAAATCCTGGAATCCTTGAGCTGGAAAAGGAGTGATAAACACTTAGCTTCTTTAGCCCAATGTTCACTTAAAATAGAACTTAATTTTCTAAACAGATTCTAAATCAAAGAGACAAAATGGTAGCCGAAAGGCTGAATGAAACCCAGAAGCAATGATCTAGCCAGGATTTAATAGGGAGTTCTGGGAAACGATATATCTATGGGGCCTTGATAAGCTTTCCACATATCCTGGGACCCAAGCCACACAGGACAACAGAGCCCATATGCGTGTATAGAATAGGAGATGGGAAAGGATTCAGCAGAAACTAAAATCTACAGCATACTTGAAAATGACCTTAACTTTAAATACACTCCTTAGACTATATACAGATCCATTACCAGAGTGTAAAAATCTTACTAGTTTGAGGTATATAAGCAAAATTTATGACCAACTGTTGACTGAACATTAAGCTATGCAGAAATACAAGAAAGCCAGGCTTAAAAATAAAATGAGGAAAAAAACACTGAGAAAAGACATCAGTGACCACACATTGCTGAGGAGACAAACTTCACAGATTTAGTCCAGGCAAGTTACTAAACAGACAGACAAAATAATAATAACCACTATAGGAGACAGAGATTAAGAATCAAGAGTTGCTACAGTGTATCACCTAAAATATCTTGTATTCAAATAAATGTACAAAACACTCAAAGAAACAAGGTCAATCTAAGCATACTCAGGAAAAAAGGCAGTCAATTGAAGCTATCTCTAAACGGCCCCAAATGTTAGGCATATCAGGCAGTGATTTTTAATGCAACCATTACGTACATGAAATAAACTAGAAAAAATTGAATTAATGATAAGGATAATGATAATGAGTCAACAAATAGAAAAATCTCAATAAAGAGAAAGAACAGTTAAAAAATAAGCAATTGAGAATTTTGGAGTTGAAAAGCACAGTAACTGAAAAATTAACAAGAGGGGCTCAACAGGAGATTTAATATGACCGAAATATAAATCTGTGAATCTGAAGATCAATAGAAATTTTCAATCTGAAGATCAGAGAAAAAAGCAATTGAAGAAAAATGAACAGCACTTCAGAGACATTTTGCACAACACAGGGTATACAAATATACAAGTAATGACAGTCCAAGAAGGAGAAGGGAGAGAAAAAGGGAGTGAAAAAGTATTTGAAGAAATAATGGCTAACAAATTCCAAAGTTTGATATAAAACATTAATCTGTCAAGTCAACAAAGCTCAATGAAGCCAAAGCATGAGAAACAGAAAGAGATCTACACCCCAATACATCATAATCAAACTGCTGAAAGTCAAACAAACAGAATATCTTGAAAGCAGCAAGGGCAAAATGGCTCATCATGCACATGGAAACAATATAAAGGTTGATTTTTTTTTTATCAGAAATAATAGGGGCCAGAAGGCAGTGGAATGACACATTCAGAGTGCTGGAAGAAAAAAATCTGTCAGTAAAACTATCTTTCAAAAATGACCATTTCCAGCTAAACAAAGACTGTGAGAATTTGTTGCTAGCAGACCCGTCTTACAAGAAAAACTAAACGAAGATTATGAGACTGAAAGGAAGTGATACCAGATGATCACATCAACCTCCAGGAAGAAATGAAGAGGGCCAGAAATAGTAAACACGTGGATTAAATAAAATAATCTATGAAATATATTTTCCCATTTCTTAAGTTCTTTAGAGCACAAAAGACTGTATAAAGAAATAATTATTGCACTGTATTGTTAGGTTTATAAGATATATGTAAAATAGATAACAATAGCAACACAAAGAAAGAGGGAGGAAACGGAGAGATATTGGAGCCAAGTTTATATTTCACTGAAATATAATACCTTTAGCAGTCACTGAAAAATAAGAAAAAGTAAAAAATTCTACAGAAGAATCAAAATGGCATACTAAAAATTATTTTACACAAGATAAAAGGAGGAATGGGATGGAGACAGATGAGAGAAACAGAAAACAAATTGCAAAATGGCAGATGTAAAAGACAGATGTCGGAAAGAATAACAGATCAAGACCCAATTACACGCTATGTAGAAGGGATGGATCTTGGGTTGAAAGATACAAACAGATTGAAAGTAAAAGGATGGGAAAAGATATGCTATGCAAACAGTAATGATAATAGAGCTGCAGTAAACAAGACAGTATCATACTGGCACAAGGACAGGAAAATAGATCAACAGACTAGAATTAAGAGTCCAGAAACAAACCCTTCTTTTCATGGTCATTTGATTTCTGACAGAAGTGTCAACATAATTAAACAAAACGAACTAAAAAAAAATTAAGATAGGTATAGGAACTTAAGACCCTTACCTAATACCTTAAAAAAAATTAACCCAAAATAGACCATAAACCTAACTGTAAGAGCTAAAATATAAAATTAAAAATATATATATGAGAAAATATTTGTAATGTTGGGTTAGGCAAAGAGTTTTTATAATACAATAGTAAAAGCATAAGCCATTAAAAAAGTGATAAAATAAATTCATTAAAATTAAAAACTTTTGCACTTCAAAGAATGCCATTAAGAGGATGAAAAGACACCTACAGACTGCAAGAAAATATCTACAAATTGTATCTCTGATAAAGGATTAATATCTAAAGTAAAGATTTTATAACTGAATAAGATAAACAGCCCAGGTTTTTTAAAAAATGGGCAAGACGTGAACAGACATTTCATTGAAGAAAACATGAATGGCTAAAAAGCATGTGGCATGATATCAATATCAAAAAATCATTAGAAACATGAAAATTAAAGCTATAATGAAATATCACTACCTATCCAAGAGAATGGCTATAATCCAAAAGAGAGATAATATCAAATGTTTGTGAGGACATAGAGAAACTAAAACTCTCGTACAGTACAAGTGAGAATAGAATACAGCAACTTTCAAAAACTTTATTGGTTTCTTTAAAAAGTTAAACTTGTTACATGATCAAACACTTCTACTCTTAGGGAAGTAGAATTTCTCAGTCCATGAGAAATAAAGCCATATGTTCACACAAAACATTATATGAAATTGTTCATAGCATTACTCATAATATCACAAAACTGGAAACAATCCAAGTATCCCTCAATGGGTGACTGGATAAACAAAATGTGGTATATGCAAACAATGAAAAACCATTTAGTAATGAAATAATTATAGAGGATAACATGGAATACCCTCAAAAGCATGCTAAGTGAAATAAATCAGGTGTAAAAGATTATAATACTGTATATTATATATTAGGCAGACTGTATATATAAAAGTTATGTATATGGTAAACTAATACACACAAACACACACTGTATGATTTTATTTATATGAAATATCCAGAAAGGGCAAATGTGTAGAGAATGAGAGCAGATCAGTGGTTGCCTTGGGCTGGAAGTGCAGACTGACTGCAAAATGGCTTATAGGAATTCTTTTTGAGGTGATGAAAATATTCTAAAATTGGGTTACAGTGATGATGGTAACTGCTCTATAAATTTCCAAAAAAGTATTAAATTGTACATTTTCAGTAGAATAGCAAACAACAAATTGGTGAATATTATGGATGAAAATATTACTCCAATAAAGCTGTTTTAAAAAGGCCAGGGCATTCAATCTAACACAAAGAACTGACTCAGCTTGAATGAAAACATTACAAACCTACCAATTAAATCTGTTCCATTTAAATGCCATTAAACATTTGGGGAAAAAACTTGCATAAAATCCTAGCTAATCTACTATTACCAAATCTGTTTTGTGAATCTAGGCTATTGCTTCAAGAAACAGGACACTTTAACACGTCAATTAATGTAATTTGAGAAGCATCAGGCACAAGCTAAACCGATAACAAGATAATCACTCCTACCCCTGAAGTTTTAAATTTGATTTTAGCTGTACATTCCTTATTTTGACACTCAAATGGAAGAAAACTCAGTTTACACATAGTATTATTAAATATAAAAAGGTCCCCCAAATCATTTTTTTTGAAACAGTAAAAATAATGCAGGATTTAATTTTAGAGCTTTATTGACTATAAGACATATATGAATTTTTACTTTTTCACTGAGCTAAGTCTATGTATTTCACTGAAAGCAACCTTTGACTCAAACATGAAAGCTTTCTGTGCAAAACTACCATAGCCTGAAATTATAATATTTTGCTGTTTGCTATTCCATCCAAGAAACAATGTAGTTATTGTACTGCATTAATTGTTCCTCTTTTCATGTGCTATATAATACAGCACTTACCCTGCTTTCTTCTAGGCTATCAAATGGACCCGGTGGATCATCCAAACAAAGAAATTCTCTCACTGCAAGGCTTTTCAAAGGAAAAAAAAAATGATCTGAAGTACAAATAAGTTTGCAAAAGATAGCAAAAAGCAAAAGTTACTTTGAAGCTGTACAGTGTTTTAAACAAGTTGGTTATGTGTTTTCATACAAGTAACTAAATATAAATATAAAACTATAGAAGATGCAAAGATCTTAAGGTGTTTTCTAAGATCTTAGAACATAAATATCACAAATTTATTGTTACATACAAACTATGGGGCATAAAACATACTTCACAATAATGGTTCAAGAGACCAACATAGTGAATAGCCTCTTTATGATTTTCAAAGAAATATTAGTCTGAACTAGTCTAACAGTCATTATCCTTTTATGAATAAATGCAATTTCTAATTTATACCTCACTTGTTTTTGTTTCAGTAGATTCTTCTAAAGTGACCGAAAAGCATTTACTCTCAAACAAGTTAAAGACTGACCTTGCAATCATGTTTATTATATTAATTTACTTAAATATTTTCCCTAGATAGTTCGAGAGAAAAAATTCTAACCATCCTATCTCTAAATGACCACAAATTTTAAAATAGTTATTAAAAAATGATATTGTTATGCTTATACTTTGCTATTATCAGAGAAACAGGTTAAGGAGGTAGATAACCAAACTTCCTTATAATAAAAATGCCTCCCTGCCTTTCTAAAAAGCAAGTTTGGACTGTTGAACTGAGAGACAACTCTATGTACACATCAAAATATAAATGTGGATCCTTATTTTAGATTTGCAAAATAAAATCTTTACAAATTTCCTTTTACAAAGGATTTTCTTTTTTTTTTTTTTTAAGACGAGTCTCGCTCTTGTTAACAGCCCAGGCTGAAGTCTGGAGTGCAGTGATGTGATCTCGGCTCACTGCAACCTCCGCCTCCTGGGTTCCAGCGATTCTCCTGCGTCAGCCTCCCGAGTAGCAGGGATTAGAGGCTTCCACCACCACACCCAGCTAATTTTTGTATTTTTAGTAGAGATAGTGTTTCTCCATGTTGGCCAGGCTGGTCTCCCACTCCTGACCTCAGGTGATCCGCCCGCCTCAGCCTTCCAAAGTGCTGGGATTACAGGCACGAACCACCGCGACCGCACCCAGCCAGGATTTCTTGATACACTACAAAAAGGGGATGTCAACTTATGCTAAAAGGGAATGGGGCTTTTGGTTTCAGATTAGGCCAGACAGGTTGATGATGTCAGGAGGTGTCCATGAAGAGTTAAATGGAATTTTACATATCTTATTGTATTTAATATGCTCACATATTCTATTGTATTTAATTTTCACGACAATCAGGTAAGATTAGGATAAGTATTGGATCTTCATTCACAAATGATACCGAATTTCAGAGAGGTGAAATTACTTGCCTATTGTCAGAAAGTGCAGGTGGTAGAGCTGTACTTTCAATCTGTTCCCTGAGTGTGAATATGTGTCCTTTTCTACCTTTAAATTCTTCTGTCTTATGCTTTGGTTCATTTGGATTCTCCTTGCTGGACACTTCTCTCTGAAAACATCTGATTTATCTGCAACCCTCTCTAGTCATGGCCTCTAGTAGAAAACTGCAGTTGGCTGATAGCACAGAATAGAACAAGGTCTTCTGATGTAGATATTATGCTTCTATCCACCCATTATTTATACTGGGGCACCTGCTATTACATACAAATGACTCCTAGGAAATCAATTGATCTGGGATTGAGAGGTCAAGTTTGTATGAAACCCTGAGGAAATAGCACTTAAGACTGAAAGCAAACTGCTAAGAAACATATGGAAGGGTCCTGTTTAATACTTTCAGTATATGACAAATGTGAGACATTATTTTCTTACAGTTTTATATTCAAATTTCCTCATACTTTAATGTTGCTTTTATGTTTACAAATTACTCTACTGGACTGCTACTGCTAGGAAAGAAAAAGGGGTAAAGGAGTACACATATATCCCTTTTTATATCTTTGGTTTACAGTAGAAATTTAGCCAAGATGGACAGTGAATGTTGACAGTGTATCCAGCTGGAGGAATCATTTTGGAGTGGTTATTCTGTTTCATTCACCTTCCCTAAAAATCTTTATGATCTATGGCTCACTAGAGTTCTACTTACATGAAATCCAATGGATTCTTTAAGTTTTTATCCATATAGTTCCAAGGTTATACTCTATGCTTTACTTTCTTTAATCAGTAGCAGAATAAAATTTGAAACTGGCTTTACAATGTTAATTTACATAAAACCTTTTCAGTGGCTCATTACATTTCCTCTGCTTCAACAAGACTCAGTCAGTAAAGAAAGCAGTCAATACCCTCAAACTCTATTTTCTTTCTAAGGAGAGGACACACAAGAATCTCTGGAAGATGGTAGTAATTGAGAAAACAATTCCTTTCTTAGAAATTCTGATACATTTTTCCCCCTAGGAAAGGAAACCCTCACCCTTGCTTGAGAATCACTGACTACATAACTTTATTTAGATCCAGTGAATATTTATTGACTGTCTATGTGTGCCATTATTCCTTTTATTATCTGGAATACATTTTTACTGTGTTTGGGAAACCTATTTTAAAATTGGGGTCAGGTGTTGACTTAATTTACTAAAGGCAGATAAGGAAATCACCTATGGTATCCCTCAGCATTGTTTTAATTATCAGAGCAAATCTGTACTATAAATTCACCTGTTTCTTTGATTCTCTTGAATTTTGTTTAAAGAGTTTTACCGTATTTTCAAACTATGCTCTTAAGAACAACATATTTGACTTTATTGCAAATTTTATAACTATCTGTAATTTAATTTCTACCAAAATAACATTTTGTAGCAAAAACCATCCAACCAACCTTAGTAATGTGTTGATTCTCATGAGATAGCATTATATGAACTACTGTGTAAATAACTGAATTCTTCTTTCATTTTATATAAATACTAAGATTAACTTCTCTGAATATCTTAAATTTTCTTTTTTAAATTAAAAAAATAAAAACAACTTAGAGACATTAATGATCACATTTCCTGTGAAAAGATAGTTCAGGTTGCAAATGTACAAAAGTTATCTTTAAGTATTCTTGTTCAAGTAGAGAATTATTGAATTTTTTTTAACTAGAAGAAACCTAACTTGTCATCTAATCAAACATATCCCATTTAATAATTCCCTCTTTGATACCACTGATAGTTATCTACTCTCTTCAAATAGTTAAGATGAAGAGAAATCTACTTTTTCAAAAGGCAGAACATTTTTATATTGGACAGCTTGAAATGACAAGTAACTTTTTAAAATCTGAGCTGATAGTACCTTCCTCTAACTTCTTGTTGTTATTCCTATTTTATATGTTAGCCTTGCTATTCAAAATGAGGTTATTAGACCAGCCAGTATCAGCATCACCTAGAAACCTGTTAGAAATGCAAAATCTTCCCCTCACGCTTGCTGAATCAGGGTCAGCATTAACAAATCCCAGGTGATTCACAGACACATTACAGTTGGAGAAGCACTACTCTTAAATATACATGATCAATCCTTCCTTCCAAAAACAATCTTTCAAATCTTTCAAGTATGTAAAGATGGCTATCATATCTCCCAAGTAGTTTTTTAAAAGAATATTCTCATTTATTTCAATTGTTCTGTCATATTAATGTTTGGATACTATTTTCTTTTCTTTAAAGCCATGAACTGCTATTAATCCAGATCCATCCTGAACTTTAAAAAAATAGATGTAGAATTAAAAATACTGAATTTTCGTACTGAATCCCTTACAGATAAATGATAGTGTGAAGACAAATACATAACTTTAACTTTTGAATTTCGAAAAATTAAAAAGAAAAAAATGGCATGTAAGATACATGTGAAGTACTTCTAAAAATGGAGAATGGTAAAGTATTTGCTGTGCTGATTAATGACATAATAATTTAAAAGTAGTTCAAGACACTGTAAAACAAATAGCTATATTTTAACTAAGACTGTGCAATGTAAGACTATATTCACCTTGATAAACTGACTTGCATGTTGTTCCTGGTACAAGACCTGTACCTTCTTGCTTCTGCATTTCGATTATGATATTTCCTATCATTTGCAAAGTCCTTCTTCATCTTTCCTTGCTGGGCCAATGATCACTAATTCTTTAAAGTGCAGTTCAACTATCACCCTCTGCGAAACCTTTTCTAATTTTCCTAGTCAAAAGTTCTCTTTTCCACCTTTAAAAGAGATCTAACTATCCATTATGATTTCTGGGGGTATGTCTTCTTTCTATTCAGTTTTTTTAAATAGGATGAGTATCTAACTCATTTTTATATAGTCAAAGCATCTTTTAAATAGTAAGCTCTAAATAAATATTTATTGAACAGATAAAATCTCTAATAAATCTGTTTATTATGTAAATATTAATGTTTTTATCTGCATCCTTACTTTGAACTTTCTAAATAAATCTGAAAACAACATTCTTTTAAAATATTCAAATCAATAGTCCTTAACATCCATTCAATTCGTATTTTCTTCCATTTCTGCTTTGTTAAGAGTTGGAGAATATGTAGCATTAAGGGCTGCCCATTGTGTAATGGTAAGGGCTTAGCCAAGAGGAAGGTTAAGAACTAGCCTTGTTGTAAGGTGCTAAGGATACAAAAAGTGAAAGAACAATTAATAAACAATTAATATGAATGTATAAACAATATCAAATAATTATTTGGCCAGCTAAAGATACTAAGCTTTTTCTATGTTGCCATTCCAACTGTACCAGAATGCTAACAGGCATCCCAGCAGGTAATATGCAACTAATTGATGTTTTTATGTAGTGATTCTTACAAGCAGTTTTATGTTTTCATAAAGAAATGTTGAGATTTTGTCTTTTTTCCTTTTCTCCCTTAGGAGGGATTTCCCCCCCTTCCTTTTTAATTGTAAAAAATGAGACAATCTTCTTTCCCTCTTCTCCTACTTTGTTGGATACAATCAAGCTTTTGTCTGATGAACTACCTTATGCTCCAACTACTATTTGAATTTAGATTGCAGAGATAGTTAAAATCTTGGCTGTGCAGTACAACAGTAGTACTGATGGCAGAATCAGTGCAATAATTTAGTCTGTGATACATTTAGAATTAGGTATGTATTTCATAGAAGGAACAGTACTGAGGGATGACAAGATATAATCTCAAAAAATGTAGGAAAGTACTGTGCTAGTTTTTTAATGGATCAACCATCAATTCATAAATATTTGGCAACCTCAGACTTTCTATATACTTTCTAATTATTTGTTTCTGACTTATATCCATTTTCCTACCCATAATCTTAAGCATTCCAGGCTCCCCAAATCCCATTCTCAGTACTGCTTGACCATTGCAAACAGCACTGATCTCCCCGCTTCTTTGAGTTCTTGTTACTTTTATAAAATGTATCATACCAAGTAGCAATTCACAAATGTCATTATTTTGTTTAAACAGGAGCCTAATTTCTCTAAATGAATTTTAAAACCAGTGAGTATATATCCCCTCTTTTATACCCTTTAACACAGGGCAAATGCATAAGATTTGCTCTGTATGAATAACCCTTCCTCCTCTTCTCTGACTCACATTTTAAGCAATATGTTATTAAGAAGTCTCTTACATTGTGAAACAAAAAATGCCACCCATCACCTATAAAAAAGATAGTGAGTACCAAGGCACAAGTACCCTGCTTTTAATTGAATTGAGGTTATCTTCCTGCATTCCCTAAATGCCTGATAATATATGACAAAGGCAGGTAGGCAAACAAACGCAAGGCATACTAGATTCTTTCATGCAAGATTTCTTAGAACCTTTAATCCTTTAGGGATATCAAATGAAACCTTTCCCCAACTTATTTAGCTAAGAAACCTTTCTTTGCCTAAAATGCCTATTTATGAATTGAGCAAGACCATTACCACTGTTCTGAGCTATGCAGCTTTAGAAATGACAGGATCTCAAATGGCCCTAGTAATCTCTACTTTAGCAACTAAGATCTATTATCAGTATTTTAAAAATAGAGAATTCATTTATAGAATACATTTGATTTTAATTCACCATAATATTTTAAATACAGAGACATAAAGGTTTACCGAACAAGGGACAAGAGAAAAGGGGAGAGGATATGTCGACTTCTTGGTGGTAGTACAAGTCCTCTTTTATGGTATGCTATTAAACATATTTTCTTCCAAGGCTTTCTCTATAATTTTGGTGTTTACTGGTTTTTATTCCTGCTTTGTGTGTCTGAATTAACACTAATCTTTTCTCTTTTTTCTTTTGAGATGTAATATATATATATAAAGTGGGGAGCACTAATGTTTTCACCACCTAGACCACATAATCGCTAACTCTGTCACATTGGCTTCAATTTTTTTTTTCTAATACACAGTATATCAGTGAATATCAATAGTTATATCATTCACTCAAGAAGTACTTATTGAGAACCAACTATGTTAGTGCTGTGCTAAACATTAGATTGGATGGTGAATAAAATAGCCACATGACCTGTTGTTAAACATCTTACAATCAATCTGGTGGGAGAAAGACAAATATTGACAGAAATAATTATAAGCTGAAATGCTATGAAAGTGAAGTACCAATTAGCCTTTCTCAACTGAGATTCCAAGAGAGAACTGACCCCTACTGATAATGATTTAAGTGATTGTCTCAATTCTATTGAGACTGGCACATAGCTAGTATCATCTTAGAATATAGGAAATAAGTTAATTCATTACCTGTGGGTGATGAACGGTGTCTTAAAGCATCAGAGCCAGTTGAGAAGGGATGGTACAGACTCTGTGATAGAGAACTGACCTAGTGTTTGGTGGTGGTGGTAGTGGTGGTGAGTGGTCAGTCAGGAGGCCAGTTACCTAACGAAGTGCAGTTTGTGTTGAAAACTGAAGGATGGGTAAGGTACGAGGTCAGGGTTGGATGGGGTAGTAGTGTGAAAGGCTGCCTTTTCAGGAAATAGCATATTTGAAGGCTCTGAGAAACAAGGAGCAAGCTGATTTTGGAGAATTAAAAGAAGACCAATATGGCAAATGTACAGAGAAGGGGAGGTGGGCAGGAATAACAAAACCTAAGATTGAAAAGAAGGCAGGCAGGCAGGGACCAGAAAGAATAAGTCAAACTGCATCACAAAGATCACTGTGGCTCTACTGGGCTATAGTAGTAAGAGGGGAGGAGGAAGACCAGTGAGAAAGCATCTACAGTAATTAAGGTGAGAGATACGTGCTTGGACTAGGGTAGTGATGGCAGGGATGGAGAGAAGTAGACAGACTTGAGTGGTACTTGCAAGGGAAATGTTAAGGGTAGTGAAGGATGTGTTAAAGATGACTCACAGGTTCTGGGTAGATGATGCTGCTACAAATTGGAGGAAAAAAGTCTGCATACTAAACTTTCAAATATGTTTTAGGTTTGACGTAATTTTGAGATATCTGAAGATGTCGAGGAGACAACTGCATATATCAATCTGGAGTAGAAAGAATGGGTTTGGCTTGTAGTTCCTTCATTAAGAGAAAAATAAGGGAGGATGGGCAGAGACCTTGAGAAGCCATCAGGCTTATGTGGCACACACTGAAAAGCAAGATGTGTATATATATATATACATATACATATATATATATATATATATATATATATACACATATGTGTGTGTATATCTATATATATATATCGCACGTGTGTCATGCAGGAAAAAAATTGATACATGCAAAGGTTGAGAAAAAGAGGTAGAAAAAATTAGATAGAATGGTTTTCTTAATTTGTTTTCCATCCTCATGTGAAAAACTGCCCAAGACAGTTACAGGCCCAAGTTATCTATAAGCTATTGCTACACTGTAAATGCTTTCTACTTTTTTTTTCAAAGTAGTTTTAATTTATCTGATAACATAAGTTCCAAAATTAGATACTCAGCTGATATTGAACCACTAAGCAATTTTCTTGTAAATATATTCTGAAGCAAAAAACCCACATAGATCTGTTCTTTTCCTTTTTTAATGCTGTTTGGTATTTTCACTCTACCTTCTATGTAAATTAAGCCAATTTCACAATTTTAATATTTTTGCATTACTTTGGAGAAATATAAAGAATATTACCCTTACAATTACATAGTATCATATTAACCAAAATTTTACTAATATGTAAGTGGTTTTGTTTAAGTCATTGCTAAAATACAAAATACTAAAAGTTTACCTTTGGGTGGTTTAGTACATGGTACACTGGATTTTTCACTTTACTGACTATTTAAAATAAGCTTTGATAAAAATGAAATGTCAAATAAAGTCCTTATTGAAAGAAAGCAAGAAAATCTCTTGTAGTACTTTGTTAAAGAAGACAAGTAATTATACTCCAACCCTGTATTTTTGTGCTTAAATAACTATGATCATAGATTTATTCTTTAATTTACGCCAGTTATTGGAATGCTTTTATAATCTCTTATTTCAATTCGTTACATACCAGTTAGCAATGTCCTTGTGAGCTACTAAATTTTGAAGAAACGCTTGTAATCCTAATTGTCTGTCTTCTAAAAAGTCAGCATTGTAATTATCTTTAAACCAGCGTTTTGGAGGAAGTGCTAGTCGAAAACCTGGAAACATCTCTTTTAACTGAAAAAGAAGAAAAGAGCAAATACAATGTTTAACTCAAGCACTATCAATTCTACAAAATCTATCCTGTTGACTACATGAAATTATTCATGAAATAAGTTTAAAATAAAAGAATTAAATTCAGTTAAGCTTTTTATGCCTTGTTTTATTTCTTGTTTTCTACCAGCTGTGTATACAGAAGAGTTCCAGTCTTTCCACATCCTTGCCAGAACTTGGCATTGTCCATCTTTTGAATGTTAACCATTTTAGTGGGGGTGTAGAACCATTTCATTCTGGCTATAATTTGCATTTCTTTGCTGACAAATGAAGTTGAATATCTTCTCATCTGCTTATTTGCATTTGAGTATCTTCAATGGTGAATTATGTATTAAATTTTTTAGCACCTTCCCTTTAAAAAAATTAGGTTGCCTAAGTTATAAGAGTTCTTTATATATTTCAGATACAAGTCCTTTGTCAGATACATGCATTACAAATATTTTCTCCCAACTTGGCCTGACTTTTCAATTTGTCTTAACAGAGCAGATTTTTTTTAATTTTAATGTTATTTAATTCATCCATTGTTTCTTTTATGGTTTATGCTTTTTTTTAGATCATAAAAAAAGTCTGCTTACTCCAAGGCTGTAAAGATTTTCTTCTATGTGTCTTTCCTAAAAGTTTAGTTTTAACTTTTATATTCTGGTTATGACCTATTTTATACATTTGGCTTAAATTTTACTTTCTTAGGGAAGACTTTCCCAACCCTGTAAACTAAGTGAAGTCTTCCCTTTTACATTCTGTTCAAGTTACCACAACTGTGTAACAAATTACCTAAAATCTCAGTGATACAAGATAACCATTTCTTAATATTAAGCTCACAGATTTTTTAGGTCAATAATTCATATGAGGTACAGTAAGGATGATATATCTCTATTATGCAATGAATTCAGGCCTCAGCTGAAAGACTTGAAGGCTGGGTGCTGGAACTGTCTGAAGTTCACTCACTTACATCTATAGTGGATGATGCTGGCTGCTGGCTGAGAACTTTGCCAAGGTTGTCAGCCATAAGCCTAATACTGGCCTCTCCAGGTGTCTTGGACTTTTCTTGCAGCATGGAGGCTGGCTTCAAAAGGGAGCATTCCAAGAAAGCAAGCCAGAATGAAACTGTGCACTTCTTGTAATCTAGGCTTAAAACTCACACAGCATTATTTCCACTGACCTCTATTGGGTTGAGTAGTCGCAAGACCATCCAGGTTCAAGGGGAGGGGAAATGTATTCTATCTCTTGATGGGCAGTGGCAAGATTCAGGAAGAGCATATGGGACTAAACATACTGCTGTGGCCACTTTTAGAAAAGACAAACTGACACACATTGTCAAATCATGAATTTATTTCTTTAATGACATCATTCACAATGTAAACAGCACATTTAATTTAGGCTGTCTTAGTAGACCAGTGATTCTAAACTCTGGCTGCACATTAGAATCACCCAGGAGTTTTAAAAGATATTAATGATTGTTTCCCATCTCTGATAGATTAGGATTTAATTAGTTGAAATGAGGCCTGGGCATTGTAATTTTAAAAAGCTTTCCAGTGGAATCCAAAGTGTAATTAAGATTGAGAACCATTTTACTACACTACAATTATTATGCATGCCTTAGTCATAGTTGCATCTTTAATGTCTAGCATAGTGCCTGCTACATAACAAGCAGTCAACAATATATGTTCAATAAATGAATGACTGAAATGAATCCGTGTATGTTTGCATTTCTATACTTAAATATAAAATGAATATCACAACTACAAAGGAAAAATGCACTGCATAAAATAGTGGAAAAATGGTAAATTATAACATTCTGTCTATATTTCTATAAACGTGAAGATAAAATAAATAAGGCAAAAACTAGAGAATAACTTAGATAACTAAAACCTTAATTTGATTTCAAGATGTAATTAGATATTTATGGCCTTGGAGCTTTGATATTTAATGTATCTGGACAGAAAATTAAATAACAAAAGACATGAGGGAAATGAAAATAGGCTTTTTATTAATTTTAAGCTTTATAATTTAAATTATAAAAACCATTTACAATTTAAATGGTTAGATTTTTTTTTTCCCCTTAAAAAATTGTCCACAGAAAAGAAGGAGTTGTCCCACAATTGGGTAATTCAAGAAGAGGAAGATAAGGGATAGAGAAAATAAGATCCAACAAAGGAGAGAAATGAAAAAAAATTGCCAGAAAGACAGTGAAAGGCAATCTCAGGATGCCACTTACAAAGCTCATATGGAGGGCAGATCAGTTTAGGAGAGAGCAGCGTGACTCAAGAGACAGACATGTGGAAGAATATAACTGAACTTCTTTTTAATGTGAGGACTGAATGCCTGGTTGCATCTGCCACAGATTTTTTATATGAACCTGGAATGTCTTGACAATGAGTTGGTAAGGTCCTGCTCTCTCTCTCCCTATGCTCTGCTGCCTGGAAGCAACTGAGAACAGTAATTTTACCTCACAGAAATGTTCAGCTTTGTCCTACTGCTGTAACCTGGAAGTAGAAATATTGAGCTTCAATTTTAAATAGAATTTAGAAAAAAACTCACTTCTCATGGCCATATTTCTACAATCAATGCATCTCCCAGTCCACCCTAAAACCCCGCCTGGTTGCCCCAACTCTGATAAGCCCTGTGCATTCCAGAATTTGCTCATGACTTTGTCCTCTGACTTCCTCAGCAGAGGCTCTTATCACTCCCAGAGAAGTTGAAGTCAGACCATAACCCAGGAAATAAAAATAAAACAAAAAGAAAATATTAATGTTCTATATAAATGTTCTCTTTCTAAGCAGTGTTATTTTAGCACATTCAATAATTTTTGTATTGCCAATTAGCTATTTGTACTTCACAACTATATAACTGGGAAATGTAAATTCCTTAAAGTTAGAATCACATCTATATAGTTTCTACATAAGAGTAACTCCAAATTCCTAGCACAATGCTGAACTCTATCTACTCATTTCATAAATACTTCATGATTGATTTTGTAAAATGAAAAATCCTAAGCTTTTATTTTTTACAATTATATCAATGATAACTACAATTTAAACTGTGTGTTTCTTAGTGTTTGACATACTTTTTAAAAATATTGCCAGTAAAAGCAACTGATGGGTAGAGCTCTTTCTGGTACCTATAACACCAACATAAACACTTATTAATTTTAAATGCCCATCTTGGAGGATCAAGGAGATATTTACTAAATTTAAATTAAACTCCTATCATCTTTTTTCTAAAAGATTTATCTAAATTTCAGCTTGCCTAAGAAAATACTTCAGCAATAAAGATGAAATCTAAAGAGATAATAGGAAGTAAACACTAAATAACAGTATAGTCTGAAAAGAAAAATAATGGATTTTTTTTCATAAAGGATTAAATAGGTCTACAATGAAACTGTTTGAAATTAGTCTGCATGATCAAAATTGTAATAATTTCATTAAAAACTAAGTATTCCACTTAACTATCAGGTAACTTCATGAATTGCTTTTATCTTTCGGCTTGTTTAGTCATTTAAAAAAATTAACAGAAGTACAGAATTATAGATTTCAAATTCATCAGTATAATATATGAAGCTCAGGAACAGTAAATAAAATTCATATATAACTGTAGGTATACATTAAAAATAACACTTTATTTTGGCATATTACAAGAAAGCATCTTAACCAAATCTTAAAATGGATAAAATAATTTAGCATTCCATATTTTACCTTTTCATTTAAACTGAGGTTTTTACAGTGGCAGAAAAATTTGGCAGCTAAATAACTACAAAGTTACATGGGTTTCCCATCACCAAACACTATAAAAATATACTAACTTTAAAGCTTCAAGGAGTCCAAAGAAGGAGGAAAGGACAAGTCACAAATGGGAGAGAACAGGACCAGTACAGCTTTCTTATTAAACACCTGTCAAAATTGGAGAGTAATTTCTGCATGTTCTAAGATCATCTTACTTGGCCTCTCAGAAGCATAATGAACTGCTTGCTTCTTTTAGATAAATGATTTTTCTCTTGGCTTCCAAAATATCACACCCTCTGCCTCCTGCCCCATCTAAATTTCCTCTAGCTCTGGGGACAAGGCAGCTCTTCTTTTGCTATTATATTCTAATAATAATTTACTTAATTCTTCACTTTTAGAAATTTAGGTTGCTTCCAACTTTTAACTACTAAAAGCAAAGTAAAACACAGATAAACAAAACAATATACAAAACACTGTGGTAAGTGCCCTTAAAGCTAAATATTTCCCATGTTTATGACTACTTATATATGATAAATCCTAGAAATGTGATTATTATGTTAAATTATGCAAAACTTTTGGGTATCCCCTAGGAAGATTCATACTTCCAACGCTGGGTATTATCATTTAAATATCTGTCAGCTTGACAGGTGAAAAAGAGTGTCTTAGTTTCCTTTTCTTGGAGTATCTGTGATATTAAGTGTTTTCCAGGTTTATTGATCATTTATGTTTCTTCTGTGAATTATCCTGCTCATACTGTTTGTTGCATTTTTTACTTTGGGGTTCACTTTCCTAATTTAGTTTTAAGGGTTCTTAATACACTGAGGTTTATTATTCTTCTGTTTTGTATGCACAGTAGACAGAATTCTAGATGGTCCATGATCTTTGCCTCTGGTGTTACTTCTGTGATTTTATTATGTTACATAGAAAAAGGATTTTGCAGCTGTAATTAAGGTTACTAATCAATTGACCTTAAGCTAAGATTATCTGGGTGAGCCTTATCTTACCACCTGATCCCTTTAGACTGTTTTCTCTAGCTGGTGGCAGAGGAGAAAGTCAAAGAGCTTCAAAGTACAGGAAGAACTTGGCTCACTGTTGCTGGCTTTGAAGATGGAGGGGCTATGTACAAGGACTGGAGAGTAGTCTCTATGAAGTATGAATGATTTCTGGCTGACAATCAGCCAGGAAACAGAAAATTTGGCCCTACAACTTCAAGAAACTAAATTCTGCCAACAACCTGAATAAGCTTGGAAGGTAATTCTCCTCCAGAGCCTCCAGATAAGTGCCCAGCCCAGCTAACAGCTTGATTTTGACTTTGCTTGATGCTAAGCAAGGAACCCAGCTGAACCCACCCACACCACTAAATAATAAACAGGTGTTAATTTAAGCAACAAAGTTTGTGGTAATTTATTATGCAGTAATAGGAAACTAATACAATATGTTAAATATGTTTTTGTTCATTATCTTATAGACATATATAATTTTATAATAATTCAAAAGATCTTATACACATCTTTTTCAGACTCACAAGATAATTATTTATATTTCTGTTGGCAATTTTAAAGTTTCACATTTTTATGCTAAAAATTTTTATTTTAAAAATTTATTTAAAAAATTAATTTTCTTATGAACTAGAATGAATTTGACTCATTAACAAAGAAAAAATATAACAGAAGTATAGGAAACAGAAAAGAATTCAAAACTGAAATGTTAGTTTGGATTTATTATAGTACTTACTTTGTCATTAAGCCTAGAGAAGTCAGTGTATCTTCTGAAAACTACCCAGCTTTCTTCTGGGGTTTTCTTTACTAGTATTTTATATACCTATGCACAGGAAGAAAAACAGACGGAGAGAAAAATATAAAAGTAAAGATATTTAAAAACTCAAGCCAAATATTTTAAAAAATTTTACTTGATAACCCAGACTATAACAATTATTATGTAAAAAATATCAAAAATCATTTAAATTATCAAAAGTACAAATAATCAATGCAGGCACCAAAAGCCAGATTTTTTCCTTAGGAAATATAACAGATTTGAGACAAAACGCTTTTTCTGTGCACACTAACAATAAACTCATCAGCTTCCAAAACATGATTTATGTCAATATATTCTAAAATTGATTAAAAAATTATACTTGAAGAAGCTATGAAAAATAGCCACTTTTGTTCTACACAATTTTTAAACTTAATAACTATCAAGCAAAGTTTTCAAATAAGTTCAATGTTTTTATTGCCAAGAATAAAATATGGAAGTCCTAGCCAAAGCAATCAGGCAAGATATAAATAAAAAGCATCCAAATAGGAAAAGAAGAAGTCAAACTATGTGATTCTATGCCTAGAAAACCCTAAAAACTCTGCGAAAAGGCTCTGGGAACTGATAAAGGACTTCAGTAAAATTTCAGGATATAAAATCAATGTTTAAAAATGAATAGTATTTCCATACACCAATAACATTCAAGCTGAGAGCCAAATCAAGAATGCAATCCCATTTACAGTAGTTACACACAAAAAAACCACCTAGGCATACATCTAATCATGGAGAGGAAAGATCTCTACAGGGAGAACTACAAAACACTGCTGAAAGAAATCACAGGGCCGGGTGTGGTGGCTCACACCTGTAATCCCAGCATTTTGGGAGGCCGAGGTGGGCGGATCATGGGGGTCAGGAGATCGAGACCATCCTGGCTAACACAGTGCAACCCCATCTCTACTAAAATACAAAAAAAATTAGCCGGGCACGGTGGCAGGCGCCTGTAGTCCCAGTTACTTGGGAGGCTGAGGCAGGAGAATGGCATGAACCCAGGAGGCGGAGCTTGCAGTGAGCTGACATTGCACCACTGCACTCCAGCCTGGGTGACGACAGAGCAAGACTCCGTCTAGGGGGTAAAAAAAAAAAAAAAAAAAAAAGAGAAATCACAGATAACACAAAGAAACAGAAGAACATTCCATGCTCATGGATTGGAAGAATCAATATCATTAAAATGGCCACACTGCCCAAAGCAGTCTATAGATTCAATGGTATTCCTATCGAACTACCAACATCATTCTCCACAGAATTAGAAAAAAACTACTCTAAAATCCACATGGCACCAAAAAAGAGCTGAAATAGCCAAAGCAATCCTAAGTGAAATGAACAAAGCCAGAGGCATCACACTACCTGACTTCAAATTATATTACAAGCCTACAATAACCAAAACAGCATGGTACTGGTACAAATACAGACATATAAACCAATGGAAGATAATAGAGAACCCAGAAATAAAACTGCACACCTACAGCCATCTGTTCTCTGACAAAGTTGACAAAAATAAGCATAGGGAAGCGATCCCCTGTTCAATAAGCAGGGCTTGGATAACTGGCTAGCTATATGCAGAAAAATGAAACTGGAGCTCTATCTTTCACTATATACAAAAATTAACTCAAGATGGATTAAAGATTTAAAGGTAAGGCCACAAACTATAAGAGTCCCAGAAGAAAACCTATGAAACACCATTCTGGACATCGGCCTTGGGAAAGAATTTATGACTAAGTTCTCAAAAGCAACTGCAACAAAAACAAAACTTGATGTGAGACCTAATTAAAATAAAGTTTCTGCACAGCAAAAGAAACTATCAATGGAATAAAGAGACAACCTACAGAATGGGAGAAAATATTTGTAAACTATGCATCTGGCAAAGGTCTAATATCCAGAATCCATAAGGAACATAAACAATTCAAGGCTGGGTGCAGTGGCTCATGCCTGTATCTCAGCTCTTTGGGAGGCTGAGGTGGGCAGATCACTTGAGGTCAGGGGTTTGAGACCAGCCTGGTCAACATGGTATGGTGAAACCCCGCCTCTACTAAAAATACAAAAATTAGCCAGATGTGGTGGTGGGTGCCTGTAATCCCAGCTACTCGGGAGGCTGAGATGGGAGAATTGCTTGAACCTGGGAGGCAGAGGTTGCAGTGAGCCAAGATCACACCACTGCACTCTAGCGAGTGACAGAGTGAGACTCCGTCAAAAAAAAAAAAAAAAAAAGGAACTTAAACAATTCAACAAATAACCTCATTAAAAGTAGGCAAAAGACATGAACAGATACTTCTTAAAAGAAGACATACAAGCAGCTAAGAAACATAAAAAAAATGCTCAACAACACTACTCATCAGAAAAATGTAAATCAAAACCACAATGAGATACCATCTCACAGAAGTCAGAATGGCTATCAGTCATTATCATGACAGATGCTGGTGATGTTATGGAGAAAAGAGAGCACTTATATATTGCTGGTAGAACTGTAACTTAATTCAGCAACTGTGGAAAGCAGTTTGGAGATTTCTCAAAGAACTTAAAACAGAACTCCCATTTGACACAGCAATCCCATTCCTGGGTATATATCCAAAAGAAAACAAATTGTTCTACCAAAAAGACATATACACTTACATGTTCATTGCACAAACTACTCACAATGGCAAAGACATGGAATCATCCTAGCTGTCCATCAAGGATAGATTTGATAAGGAAAATGTGGTACAGATACACCATGGAATACTATATAGCCATAAAAAAGAATCAAATCATGTCCTTTGCAGCAACATGTATAGAGGTACAGGCCATTATCCTAAGTGAATTAATGCAGGAACAGAAAACCAAATACCTAATGTTCTCACTTATAAGTGGGAGGTAAACATTGGGAACTCATGGACATAAAGATAGCAACAATAGACACTGGGGACTCCTAGTGGAGAAGGATGAAGGGGGGAAGGAGTTGAAAAACTGTTGGGTACTATGCTCACTACTTGGGTGATGGGTTCATTAGTATCCCGCAATATACCTATGTAACAAACCTGCACATGTATCCTTTGAATCTAAAATGAAAGTTGAAATTATTGTAAAATAGGGCAAAATATAAGCTTGAAATACCAAAAAACCCCAACTGAATAAAATTTACATTTTTGTAATTATGTACAATTATGTAGGCTACTGAGTAGAAAAACTTGGTTGAAGCAAGTCAATGTATTTTTAAAAGCACCTAAGGAAAAAGTGGATTCTATTTTTTATAAGTATGCTTTTAGAATGTATTAAGAGAAAGTGTTATTTATGATAGAATCTCAGAGAAGCATCTAGTAGTTTTGATACGGTATTTTGCACTAAGCTACATATAGGCACATACGAGATACTCAATAAATATTTGCTGAATAAGAAACTCTCTTTAAAAAAGTAACTTCTTTTCTGGACATTTGCTGTGCAACAATTTTCAACTGCAGCTCTAGAGCTGCACTTTTGGTCACACATGGCAATTGAGCACTCAATGTGTGACTAGTCAAAATTGAGATGTGCGTAGTGTGCAACATATACACTGAATTTCAAAGATTTAATGTGAAAAAAGATGTAAACAGCTTTTATTAAAATGGTCTAATACTAACTACATGTTAAAATGATAATATTTTGGACATATTAGGTTGAATAAGATATATTAATAAAATAATTTCACCTATTTCTTTTTTTTTTTAATGTGGCTCCTAAGAAATTTAAAATTACAGATGTGATTCACAATTACTGCTCACATTATACTTCTATTGGACAGTGCTGCCCTAAAGACCATTCATTAGTTAGGGACTATAGATTATCCTTACCCTTTGATTTTTCTCCCATACAAACTTCTCTTTCAGCTTTTAAGGGAGAGAATAAGGAGGAGTTAAGGATAAATCCTTTAGCTTTGAAGTTTAAAAAAATAAAGCAATTTATCTTTGTAACATCTAAGGGTGGGAAACAAGGTTACTCGGATACTCTTTAAAGTCAGCAGAAGGTCCTGATCTAAAAAAGTTGCAATGGGAATACAAAAGAAATTCTTTTTAGGAGTCACTCATTAAAAGAAGAGAGAAGTCGACTTTAAAACTTTTGAGTATGAATGACTGATACAGGATAAAAGTGCACTTCATATAATAATTAGGAATATCTACAAATAATACATACTGACTTTATTTTCTTGTCTTAGAAAATGAACTCCCCCTTCTAAATAAGCTACTCTCCACTGTGGCCACTGAATACCCCTGTTTCTCTAGCAAGATAAAATACGACTTTTGTGTTCTATCTCTTCTAGAAAGTGCTTTCTACTTGTTTAAGTAGTGCTTTCAATGAAAACTTTATGAACAGTACTGATCATTCCCTTCTCTATATTCCAATAACTGTTGTTGTTTCTACTCTTTATTTGAAGTTTCATATGTATTTCCTTGTACTGTTTTTATTTTAATGTAGTTGTTTTTGAATTATAAAATATATACAAAAAGTGTGCAATTCATAAGCGTACAACTTGACAAATTTCACAAAATGAACACACCTAAAGTACTATGAGTGTATTAGTCCATTTCATGCTGCTGAGAGACATACCTGAGACTGGGCAATTTACAAAAGAAAGAGGTTTACTGGACTTACAGTTCCATGTGGCTAGGGAGGCCTTATAATCATGGTGGAAAGTGAAGGCACATCTCACATGGCAGCAGACAAAAGAAGAGAGCTTGTGCAAGGACATTCCCATTTTTAAAACCATCAGATATCATGAGACTTACCCACTATCACAAGAACAGCATGGGAAAGACCTGCCCCCATTGTTCAATTACCTCCCACTGGGTCCCTCCCACAACATGTGGGAATTCAAGATGAGATTTGGGTGGGGACACATTCAAACCATATCATTCCACCCCTGGCCCCTCCCAAATCTCATGTCCTCACATTTCAAAACTAATAGTGCCTTCCAGACAGTCCCCCAAAGACTTAACTCATTTCAGCATTAACTCAAAAGTCCACAGTCCAAATTCTTATACGAGACAAGAAGTCCCTTCCGTCTATGAGCCTATAAAATCAAAAGCAAGCTAGTTACTTACTAGATACAATGAGGGTACAGGCATTGGGTAAATACAAGCATCCCAAATGGGAGAAATTGGCTAAAACAAAGGGGCTACAGGCCCAATGCAAGTCTGAAATCCAGCAGGGTAGTCAAATCTTAAAGCTCCAAAATACTTTCCTTTGACTCCATGTCTAGTTCATGTCTGGGTCCTGCTCATGCAAGAGGTGGGCTCCCATGGCCTTGGGCAGCTCCACCCCTGGGGCTTTGCAGGATATAGCCCTCCTCCTTCCTGGCTGCTTTTATGAGCCGTGGCTTTTCCAGGTGCATGGTGCAAGCTGTTGGTGGATCTACCTTTCTAGGACCTGGAGGATGATGGCCCTCCTCTCACAGCTCCACTAGACAGTGCCCCAGTAGGGACTCTGTATGGGGCTCTGACCCCACATTTCCCTTCCACACAGCCCTAGCAGCAGTTTTCCATGAGGGCCCTGCCCCTACAGCAAACTTCTGCCTGGGCATCCAGGCATTTCCATACATCATCTGAAATCTAGGCAGAGGTTCCCAAACCTCAATTCTTGACTTCTGTGCACTCACAGGCTCAACACTATGTGGCAGCTGCCAAGGCTTGGGGATTACACCCTCTGAAGTCACGGCCTGAGCTCTATGTTGGCCCCTGTCAGCCATGGCTGGAGCGGCTGGGACGCAGGGCACCAAGCCTCTAGGCTGCACATAGCACAGGGACCCTGGGCCCAGTCCACAAAACCACGTTTTCCTCCTACGCCTTTGGGCTTGTGATGGGAGGGGCTGCCATGAAGACCTCTCATATGCCCTGGAGACATCTTCCCCATTGTCTTGGGGATTAACATTGGGTTCCTTATTACTTATGCAAATTTCTACAGCCAGCTTGAATTTCTCCTCAGAAAATGGGATTTTACTTTCTATTGCACTGTCAGGCTGCAAATTTTCCAAACTTTTATGCTGTGCTTCCGTTATAAAACTGAATGCCTTTAGTAGCACCCAAGTCACCTCTTGAATGCTTTGCTGCTTAGAAATTTCTTCCGCCAGATACCCTAAATCATCCCTCTCAAGTTCAAAGTTCCAGAAATCTCTAGGGCAGGGGCAAAATGCCGCCAATCTCTTTGCTAAACCTAACAAGAATTACCTTTTCTCCATTTCCCAACAAGTTCCTCATCTCCAACTAAGACTACCTCAGCCTGGACTGTAGAAAGAGGTTTATTTGACTTACAGTTCCACATGGCTGGGAGGCCTCACAATCATGATGGAAGGTGAAAGGCAAGTCTCACATGCTGGCAGACAAGAGAGGACAGCTTGTGCAGGGAGACTCCCGCTTTTAAAACCATCAGATCTTGTGAGACTTATTCACTATCACAAGAACAGTATGGGAAAGACCTGCCCCAATGATTGCCCCTTGTCCCTCATCTGAGACAAGGCAAGTCCCTTTTGCCTATCAGCTTGTAAAATCAAAAGCAAGTTAGCTATACTTCCTAATTACCTCCCACCAGGTCTCTCCCACAACACATGGGAATTAAATGAGATTTAGGTGGGGACACAGCCAAACCATATCAGTGAGCAAGAAATGAAACATTACCAATCAAAGAGGTCCATAGCATGCTTCCTTCCCAATTCTACTCACTACACATCCTAGTCAATTTTTGTCTTTAAACAACCTTTTTAAAGACTAGACACCTTATATATTATCAGATCAAGAGTGAGTCCTAATACTTTTTTCAGTTATGAGAGCAATTCAAAAGAATATATCTAGAAAAAATTATTTTACAAACCTAAGATTCTCAAGTTTGTATCTCCAGCTTATACCTCTCCCTTAAACTCAGCTTATATGTATACACACACATTACATATGTATGTGTACACATTAACACATGTAACATCTCCATTTCAATGTTGAACAGACATATCAAATCTAGCATGTCTAAAAACAAATTTTGATCATCCCTCAAAACCTGTCATTTAATTAAATGGCAGCCATATCTTCCCATTGTTTAGGCCAAAACTTTTGAAGTCACCTTTGACCTCTCTTTCTCCCACACTCCACTTCCAAATCATTAGGAAATATTGCCGGTTCTACTTTTAAAACAAATCCAGAACCTGATCACTTCTCAGGACTTCCTCCACCACCCCAGTCCACACTACCATCATGTTTCCCTTGGATTACTAAAAGAACCTACTAACTGCTTCCTGCTTTGACTGTCCCCCATCTCGACCAAACCAGTCTCAATTCAGTAGCCAGAATGAACTTTTTAAAACATTGTCAGATCACATGACTCTTCTTTTAAAAACCTTTTAAAAGATTCTCATCTCATGCAGAGTAAAATCCAAAGTCTTCACAGTGCCTCCTTCCCTATGTGATCTGTGTGCCACACTTCCCTGCCTGTCATCTCATTCCCTACACCTCCCACAGCTTACTCTGCTGTCAGCCACAAGGATCTTTGTAGTTGTCCCATCTGTGTTGAAAACACATTCTCATGGCTCATTCCCTGTTAGCACTAACATCTTTTTGTGAGGCCATGACTGATAGTGCTATTTAAATCCCAACCCCAGATTTGGGGAAACTCCCTGTCTTCCTTCTCTGTTTTATTTCTCTCTATAGTGCTTATCACCATGTGACATATCAGGCGTCTTATTATTTACTTACTTATCATGCTTTCATTCAAATTGCTGTACCACTATTACCCAGAACAGTGCCTGAGGCATAATAGGTAATTAAAAAAATGTTGAGTTAATAAATAAATGAATATGACTAATTTCATATCTGTCATTTACTTCCTCCTCTCCAGTCTCTTGAAATGCTTTACATAACACCACCTTGTATTTGGCCAAATACTTGCATCTTCACACATATCATCTGTCTTAGTCTGTTAGGTCTGTTATAACAAAATACCATAAATTTGGTAGCTTGTAAACAAAGAAATTTATTTCTCAAAGTTCTAAAGTCTGAGAAGTCCAAGATCAAGACAGTAACAGATTTGGTATCTGGAGAGGGCCTACTTTCTGGTTTATAGATGGTGCCTTATAGCTATGTCCTCAGATGTGTAAAGGACAAAAAGCTCTCTGGGGCCTCTTTTTAAGGGTCCTAATCCTATTTATGGGGGCTCTGCTCCCATGACCTACTGGCTTCCAAAAGCTCCATCTCTTAATACCATCACCTTGAAGGTTAGGTTTCAACATATGAATTTTGAAGGAACGCACATTCAGACCATAGTATCAACTCAATAAATGCCTATTTCTTAATTCAGGAAATTGGCCATCAGTTTATATTTTCTAAAAATTTTCTAAAAAGAGAGAGAGAGACAGAGTTCCCTGAAGATTTCCTATATCACAGTCTTATGATAATTTTAAAGACTGCCTCTTCATAAATTATCTCAACAATTTTTCCTTGGAGGTCCTCCCATCCTGTCATAAATTTACAGCATGAAACATTGAAGTAAACATTAAACTTTACTAAAAGAACAAAGTCTTACCAAAAAAGTAAACCTTTTGAGTTAATAAGAGAGTTGAGCAAGGTTGCTGGATATGTAAACATAAAAGGACAAATTATATAAAATAGCAGTAAATAGAAAACAAAAATAGATGTCTCTCACAAGAACATCAAACAACATCCATATCCTGAAATAAATCTAACCAACAGATGTAAGAACCCTGCACCAAAAACAACAAAACATTACTAGAAAAAAATGACTTAAGTAAATGGATTAGGTTCATAGATTTGAAAACTCAGTAAAGATGTCAGTTCTCCCCAGATTAATCTATAGATCTAACAAAATCTCAATGCAAAGGGTGAAGAATAGCCAAGGCCATCCTGAAGAAAAAAGCTAAAGTACATACACTGCTACATATCAAGACCTATTATAAGACTTTATTAATTAAGACAGTGTGAAATTAGTAAAGGATGAAAAAATAGAACACAGAAGCAGACCCATGCATTTATGGTCACATGATTTATGACACAGACAACACTGAAAATGAAGAGGAGAGAGAGTGGTCTTTCAAATAAAAGCCTGATTAATTGGTCCCATCTGGAAAAAAAAAAAAAAAAAGACTTGACCCTCACCTCACACCATGGACAAAAATCAATTCTGGTGGTTTACGAATCTAAATGTGAAAGGTCCAACAATAAAGATTTTAGAAGAAAACATAGGACAGTATCTTTGTAGCCTTGGAGTAGGCAAAGATTTCAAAAAGTGCTAGCCATTAAAAAAAGTAATAAATCAAGCCAAATTAAAATTAAGAACTTTTGTTTATCAAATGTATTATTAAGGAATTGAAAAGGCAAACCACAGAGTGAGAGGATAGTCATAATACATGTATCTGAAAAAAAAATTATATCCAAAGTGCACAGAAAACTACAAATCAAAAGGGAGACTTCCCAAAAGAAAAATGAACAAAAATCATGCACAGATATTTCACAAGAGAATATCCAAACAGCCCAAAAAAATTTTAAATTCAATTAGTCATTAAGAAAATTCAAATTAAAACCACAACCAATGTGATATTACTCTGTACCCATGAGAACAGCTGAAATGATAAAAATGTTAAAATATCACATGTTAGGAAGCTATGGATCAACTGGAACTCTTATATGCTGCTTTTAGGAGTATAAATCAGTACAACCATTCTGAAACACTGTTCACCAATATCTTTTAAAGCTGGGCATGTAATTTGGCAAGGCTAAAGAAAAGAGACCAGATGCAAAAAGAGTATATAATTCCATTTAGATAAAGTACAAAAATAGGCAAAATTAATCTAGGCTATACAAAAGTATTGGGTGAATGGGTCCTGACTGGCAGAGAACCTAGAGCATTTAAGATTCTAGTAACGTTCTTTTCCTTGATTTATGTGCTATTAATAGTTACATAGGTGTGTCTGGTTTGTGAAAATTTATTAAGGTAAAGCAAAAGTTTACTACAACATGATAGAATTCAGTGGTGTAAAAACCATTAGAATTTCATATTCAAGAAATTATAAGTACAAGTTTACATTAATTTAACACTGGTTTGAACACAGAGATTAGCCAATCTTTCACTTTGTAGTGTTATACAGCAGAAGTCAATACTTACAGTAAATTTAGCTCTTTCTTCCATCACTTCATAACCCAGTATAGTAGGTGTAGATGGTCTATCTTCCCAATTCACTGTTTCCGGATTTTGTTCTTCAGTGTCTCTTGGTCTAGTAGAATACTCAATGGAAGAAGCTGTACCTGTAAATTTAGTCCTAATGAGGGGACTGCTACAGACAGATGAAGTATTATCCATTTGATCAGGAACACTTGTCTGTTTAAAATTACCCATATTTGAGTCTTCTAACTGGCCCTTAGAAGAATTTGAGCTTGTTGAGACACTGCCAAAAGAAGAACTTCTTTGATTTCTGTTTGTTGTAAAACTGGAAGCAGAGTTTCCTATGGGCATAGGAACTGGGACATAAGGAGTTGCCATCTTCTTTTGGCTTTTCCAACAAGCTTGCACACTGTTGAGTCCACTTAGAGAACAACTAATATGCAATCCATTATTTTCTTCTTAGGAATTCACTATCTAAAAATGAAAAGGACATATTAAAAGGTTAGTCTTTAATGTGCAGCAGGATTCAAAAGAAAAGTATTCTTTTCAATTTTATGACACTATTATTTTATTTGGAATGAAAACATACCTCAAACCCCTTCTCCCAGTTGTCTTTAAGGACTCCTATTTGCAAGATAGAGAGAGCAAAACTACTTCACACTCTTTTTCCTTGACTCCATGTTACATGTTATCCCTTTTTCCTCTACTTTATTCCCTTGTGAAGTATTTCTGTAAAGTTCATTTTAACCTGATTTCATGTATGTAAAAGTTGGTAGGAGAAAGATTGGTAAAGACCCTTCTGAAGCTTTATTCCATGCTTATCATCTTGACAGTACTACATTCAGTACAAGAGAGAAAAAAGAAAAGGAAGAAAACTATTTACATTACCTCTGGATTTAATCAGAAAGGGAGGAAATCTATTCACATTACCTTTCAATTTAATTAGTGAAACTATAAAGATTTACACAGAGTAGTAACAATGAACCAGATGCTTTGATGCTACATAGTATAATTCTATAGAACCCAGGATTAAAAATACACACTTGGTCAAGTTACTCAAATAAAACCCAGTGAACACTGAACTTATATGCAACAAAATTAAATAGTGAAAATTGTAACCGTTCTTCACAGCTTACAGGTCATCACTAATTCTGCTCTACGATAAACTGAGGGTATTTAAATCTTTATAACTTACACTCAAGAATCTGTTATCAAACGGACCAGTATATCTTGTGTCAGAATAGTATCATAACACAAAGAAGAAATGGTTTACTATTACTTTGTTAAATAATAAACTCATAAGAAACTGTAACAACTACAGACCAACAAAATGACAAGACTACACACAACAATAACTGCCCAACTTTTCATACGAAACTCTACTGGTGGGAAAGGTAAGAAATGAGTCACCTGGACTTGGAAAGATGCTGAAATAAGATTTTTAACTCTGGGCTGGGCGCTGTGGCTCACGCCTGTAATCCCAGCACTTTGGGAGGATGAAGCGGGTGGATCGCCTGAGGTCAGGAGTTCGAGGCTAGCCTGGCCAACATGGTGAAACCCCGTCTCTACTAAAAATACAAAAATTAGCCGGGCATGGTGGCGCAGGCCTATAATCCCAGCTACTTGGGAGGCTGAGGCAGGAGAATCGCTTGAACCCGGGAGGCGGAGGTTGCAGTTTGCCGAGATCGTGCCATTGCACTCCAGCCTGGGCTACAAGAGGAAAACTCCGTCTCAAAAAAAAAAAAAAAAAAGATTTTTAACTCAAGTGGCTCTCGGCAACATTTCCCCATTATCAAAGATTCATGAAACTTTAGCTGCTGATTCACCGCTCCTCGGTTCCGCCTGACGGCCTCCCCAAAAACAAGTAAGTCTGAAATCTCAACCTTCTCAAGGTCCGAGGGATCTACCTGGCCTTTGCCACTCTACTACCTGAGGCCGCCTGGCTGGGGGGAGGTCGCATATCAATACATATCAACACAACCACTGACGTCCGAAGATGTGAGCGCTACCCAAGCGTTAAAAAAACAAAACAAGCAAACAAACAAACAAAAAAACGTGCTGTGCTCATTAGGAGCGTCTTCGCCTCTACCCTGATGCGGAGTTGCTCCCAGGACGCTCAGTTCATTCTCACTCTGGAAAACCTCAGGTGAGGTGGCCCGACTCTGAGCAACCCCGTGGGCGGGAGGAAAGAGGCAAATACCAGGCACAGTTCGACCCTCGGAAGGTAAGGCCGGGGTCTGCGCCGGTCACGGGTCTTCCGCACTGCAGGCGGCGAGACCCGCAGCTCCCTGGGATCACAGACTCTCCCGCCTCCGCTGACCGGTGCGCGCCCAGCGCCTCCCAGACGCACAGTGGGGTCGGCGGTGGCCTGAAGGTGGCTGGGCTTCCTGCGGCGCCTCTCCACTCTCCCGCGGAGCCCCTTGCCGCCCGCCAGACATCAAGGTTGCAGGTGTCACCCGTACGAGAACCCGGGACAGCGACCGCCTGTCCTGAGGTAATGACCCAGTCTTTACCTCAGCCCCCTCGGCGATCCCGAACGAGCGCGCTTCCCGGTGACGGTTAAACCGGACTCTCCTTAACCGCAGCTTTTCGCCTCCTCCCTCAGCAGCGAGAAGCCTCACGTGACACCCCCGCCCCAAAAGCAGCTGCTCCCCGCCTCAGCCAGTCTCTGCCCGGGCCCAAGATCCCTGCTGTGTGGAAGGAGGGGCCGAACTGGGCGGGGGGGGGGGGGGGGGGAGAGAGAGAGAGAGAGAGGGAGGGAGGGAGGGAGGGAGGGAGAGAGAGAGAGAGAGAGAGAGAGAGAGAGAGAGAGAGACAGAGACAGAGAGAAAGAGAGAGAGAGAGGGCAAGAGCGAGAGACAGAGAGAGAGAGAGAGAGAGAGAGAGAGAGAGAGAGAGAGAGAGAGAGAGAGAGAGAAAGAGAAAGAAAACGAGCGAGGGAGAGAGCGAGAGCGAGAGAGAGAGAGAGAGAGCGTCACACACACATCTCTGCCGGAAGTGATGTCACGGCATGGGCGCCCGCCCACCGGAGGAGCGACTGGAGTTGATCGGCTGGGCGCTCAGGTAGCGAAGATAAATGTAATCTTGTGGCAGGAAATCGACATTCTCTGCACTATCTTTAGTTTTCCAACTGAACTTCTGAGAAATGGAGGCTACAATACCTAGTTTGCCAAACAGGAGAAGACTACAATTCCCAGAAGGAACTGCGACCAACATTGGTCCGTGCTCATACTTTGCATCATGGGACTTGTAGTCATCACCAGCTTGCGCTGATTCTAACAGGTTATAGATTGTTTTCTAGAATTAGCAGCGCTTTAAGGGATGACAATCGATTAGAAGAGTAGGAAGATAGAACACTGCTTAGTAGCTGATCCGTTCTACATAATTCAGAAGTTCTCATTGGCAGAGAACCCCTGAAATTCTGTAGTGTCTTTTTACTATCCGGTGAGCAATTTGATCCCGATGATGGAATATTAGCCTTGTTAGACATGCGCTTCTGAAGACCTGTGCAGTAGGGAAAGCCGAGTTTTTTGATAGGCAAATCCCAAGATTCAGACCGGTCTACAGGTCTGTTCATCATTAGAATCAGATAATGTGGTTGAAAAATCATTCCACGATTTCTAAGGCTTTTGTATAGTCCCAATGTTACCCATGGAGGGTCTTGACTACAAGTCATCCAGGTTCTTGGTTTTTTTAACAAAGAATTGGACAAAACGCACAAAGAAAGCAAGGAAAGAATGAAGCAAGGAAAGCAGAGATTGAAATGACTGTACACTCCACAGAGTGGGAATGGCCTCCAGCCAGTGGCTCAAGAGCCCTGGTTACAGGATTTTCTGGAGTTTAAATATCCGCTAGAGATTTCCCATTGGTTACTTGGTTTACACCCTCTGTAAATTAAGGAGTAGCCTGCAACCAATCAGAGGCTAAAGTTAAGTTACAAAGTTGTACTCCTATGGAAATGAAGACTAGGCCCAGATACCAAGGGCCTAGAAGGTTGGGCAGGGGGTTGCAAAGGGAATAGCCTCTGGTCTTTTTGTTACTTGGGCTTGGAAAGTTGGAGTTTTCCTTTTGATTTAGTTCTAGGAAGTCAGCGTGAATGGGCCTTAGGTTCCCTGCCTCCGGACCCTATTCTACTGCCCGACTAAGAGTGAGAAAAGGTGATAGTGGTCATTTTGAAATGAAGGTTGGAAAATAGTCTGGTTTGTGACATGATGATGGTTTTGGTTTAAGAGATTCTGCCCTTTTAGTGTGAATGAAATAAAAATAGAATTCTGTAGAAACAATGTTAGGTAGGAGAATAGGGTCTGGAAACAGGGGACCTAAGGCTGATTCATGCTGACTGATATCAGAGGCGACTCCATTTTCAACCCCTCTTTTTTCTGCGTGGCAGTTGCTGCGTGGCAGTTGCAACCCTCCTTTCTTTGGGTGGCAGTTGAAAAATGAAAGAACCTCTGATAGAGCCCCTCCCTCAACCAATCAGACTGGTTGAGGGCCTACTTTTCACTCTGATTGGTCTCCTTCCACAACCAATCAGACTGGGCATAGGCCAATGGGAACCCTCTAGAGGGTATTTAAGCCCCAGAAAATTCTGTAGCTGATGCTCTTGAACCCCTTGACTGAGTCTGTTTTCCTTCTGTGGAGTATACTTTCATTTAAAATAAATCTCTGCTTTCCATGCCTTGTTTGTGTGTTCTGTCCAATTCTTCGTTCAAAACACCAAGAACCTGGACAACTACCCTCAATTGGTAACATATTTTGGTGAGCCAGCCAGAAGGTAAGCCCAAAGTTTGGGATTTGTATTTTTCTTTTTCCTCTTTCTCTCTCTCCCTTTTCCTTTCCAAGCTGGGATCCTTGATGGACAGTGCCTAAGCATGGAGGCAACTGCAGGTTTCTGGCCAGGGCCACTCTCTGGTGAAACTAAAAGGTCCATGTGGAAGCACCTGACTGCCACCACCTGGTTCAGGTGAGGAACCTGAGTTCTTTTCTTTTTCAGTCTTTCAGTGGCCATTTCCTAGTAGCTCCTTGGTAACTGAAGGCAACTGGGGCCACTCTCTGGTGTTAACTGAAGGCCCAGGAGTGAATGGGGATAGCTGCCTTGCCCAGAAAGGGGAAGGACTCTTTTCTGTCTTTTCCAGTTGTAGTCCCTGATGCCTATGAGTGATGCAATTGGCAGTGGCAGCCTGTCCAGGGAAAATTCACACATGTTTCAGGTGGCTTAAGCCTTCTTTCCTTATGTTAAATTCTTCCGTCCCCCTACTTGACTGGCTAAGGATAAGTCACAGAGTTTGGGCATATTGTGGTCTGTGTAACTCATGGAGGGGATTCATGAAAGGGAATCTATGTACAATTTAATCTTGTCCAAATTTAGAAAGTTAAAGAATTGTTTTAAGTGTGATAGGAAAAAAAATCCAAAGGTTTGTCTGAAAGTTAATTCTAGAAGTAGAGACCTTCATCCAGGGACAAGAGGGAAAACTCACAGTGGGTCATCAGTGGTGGTTGGAATCATTCCAAAGTGGTGGTGGCACCAATCTAAGGTCAGAGACGTCTAATGTACTAAGAGGGGTCTCTGGCACTAGAGGATTGACTGCACCCGCTCCCACCAAGGGGCTCAGTTAGGCAAAAGTCTAGCAGTGTGAAAGGAGGAATTAGATGAAGACTGAAGGGGCCTAGAGTCTTCCTCACTGCCCCTGTCCAGGAACATCATAATTACTATTGCAGAGCCCTGGGTAACTAGATGTCATGGGTACCCAAATTCAGTTTTTTTTTTCCAATACAGGGGCGAATTACTCTGTCCTTACTGCTTATGCAGGAAAACTTTCCTCCCAGTCTAAGAGTGTTCCGGGAATGGAAGGAAAGCCACAAACGAGATTCTTTACTTCTCCTTTGTCAGTTTGAGAAACAAATGTTCCAACATAAATCTTTAGTAGTTCCAAGCTGCCTTGTCCACCTGTTGGGAAGCGATATTATCATTAAAATAGGGGCACTACTACAAATTTAAGCATTACCCAGTAAAATTGCTAATAGTCAAAAATACAGACAATATCCCAGACCACATTAATAAACAGGTTAACCTGCTAGCATGTTATGCTGGGAAGCCAGGTGTATTAGTCCATTTTCACACTGCTGATAAGGACAAACTCGAGACTGGATGATTTACAAAAGAAAGAAATTTAATGGACTTGCAGTTCCATATAGCTGGGGAGGCCTCCAATCATGGTGGAAGGCAAGGGAGGAGCAAGTCACATCCTACGTGGATGGTAGTAGGCAAAGAGAGAGGTTGTGCAGGCAAACTCCCTCTTATAAAACTCTCAGATCTTGTGAGGCTTGTTCATGATCATGAGAACAGCAAGGGAAAGACCTTCCCCTATGATTCAATTACCTCCCACTGGGTGTCTCCTATAACATGTGGGAATTCAAGATGAGATTTGGGTGGAGACACAGCCAAACCATATCACCAGGGAAAGCTAAAACAGCAGTGCCAGTCAAAATACCAGTTTAAAGACCCCAGCTATTGCCCCAATTGAAAACAATACCCATTTAAGCTGGAAGCAAGAAAAGGCCTGGCATCCATAGTTGAGATATTGCTTACCCATGAGCTCTTAAAAACCTGCAATTCTCCCTGAAACACCCCCATCTTAACCATTCTAAAGCCCTTGAGGGAATACCTGCTAGTACAGGATTTCAGAATAATTTATCACACTGTTATCCCCGTCCACCCATTGGTGGTGGATCCATATACCCTCCTGGCTTAGGTGCCAGGGGATGCAAAATGTTTCTCCTAGACCTAAAAGATGCTTTCATCTCTATTCCTCTGGCCCCAGAATCCCAATACCTTTTTGCCTTTGAATGGGAAAATCCTAATACCAGAAAAAAAAAAAACAATACATTTGGACAGTACTCCCTCAGGGCTTTCAGGATAGCCCTGATTTCTTAGCCTGATCTGTAGAGAGGGATCTGAGGGATCTGCAATTGGAGAATGGAAGTATATTCCAGTATGTGGTTGAACTTCTTGTGTGTAGCCCAACCCAGGAGGCTTCTGACCAAAATACTATAAAAACGTTGAATTTCCTGGCTGACAGAGGATGTGAAGTGTCCAAAAAGAAGGCTCAGATTACCCTCCAATGGATCCAATATTTAGGGTATGTCTTAACACCGGGAACCCGACAAATATCCCCAGAATGAGTGCAAGCCATATGTGGTTGCCCCACAGCCACCAAGCGCAGCTTTGTTCTTTCTGGGGAATGGCTGGGTTTTGCAGAATATTGGTACCAAATTTGGGGCTTGTAGCAAAGCTCGTATATGAAGCAACAAGGAGGCCTGAAAATGAGCTAACGGAATTGACCCCAGAAATGAGAAGCCTTCACCAAGCTAAAATAGGCCCTTACCAGGCTCCTGCTCTTGGCATCCCAGACATAACTAAGCCCTTCTTGTATGTAGCTGAGAAGGGCGTAGCTGTGGGAGTGCTAGCCTAGAAATTAGGATCAGAACCCAGACCAACTGCCTGCTTTTCAAGGAAGTTGGATGGAGCAGCCTCGAGATGACCAAGTTTCCTGCAGGCAATAGCCACTGCTATGTTTGTGGAGGAAGCCACTAAAATCACCCTGGGCCAACCACTGGAAGTTCTAACCCCCCATCAGGTAAAGCCAGTCTTAGAGATAAAAGGACACATGTGGATGATGGAGGAAAGGTTAAACATATGCCAGGCCATGCTGCTAGACAATCCAGATGTAACCCTTAAAACTTGTAACACCTTGAATCCAGCTTCATTGCTACCCACAGGCCCAATAACTGATGATTCCTGTGAGCAGGTCATTGTACACACATATATTAGCTGGCCTAATTTAAAAGATTAGCCTCTCCCAGATTCTGAAGATAACTGGTTCACAGATGGCAGTAGTTTTGTGTCAAATGGGGAGTGCTGAGTTGGATATGCAATGGTAAATCACAACACCATTATTGAAGCCCAGCCACTGCCCCCTGGCACATCAGCACAAAATACTGAAATCATTGTTCTTACCTGAGCACTAATGTTGAGACAAAGGAAAAAGCTTAACATCTATCCAGATTCTAAATATGCGTTCCTTATGTTTCATGCTCATGCTACAATCTGGAAAGAAAAGGGACTACTAAATAGCAAATACTCCCCAATAAAGCACGGGCCTGAAATTCTTCAGCTGTTGGAAGCAATACACCTGCCAAAGGCTGTAGCTATAATCCATTGTAGGGGGCATCAAAGGGACTTACTTCCTATAGCACAAGGGAACAGAAGGGCTGATAGAGAAGCTAAAGCCGTATCCCTCAGGGTGCAATCCCAACAGATCCTAGCACTGCTTCCTTTCTATGATTCCTGAATGGATCCTGAATACACGCTATAGGAAGAACAGTTAATAAAGGAACAAGGGGGACAAAAATAAGTATCCGGGTGGTATATGGAATCAAACTAAATCTCCCTCAAACAGCCCAGTGGAGATGCCACCCTGGCCATGGTTAACAGGCTCTTCATTGGGCCTAACTTAGATTCAGTGGTTAAGCAGGTCTGTCAATCCTGCTCACTGTGTGCACTTAACAGTCCAGGAAACAAAATGCTTCCTCTAATAGAATCAGTCCAGAGGAGAGGAACTTACCCAGGGGAACACTGTCAATTAGACTTCACCCAAATGCCCGCTTGTAGAGGATACAAGTTTTTGTTAGTCCTGATAGATACCTTTACTGGTTGGGTCGAAGCTTATCCTACCAGAACAGAGAAGGCTATTGAGGTTATAAAGTTTCTCTTACAAATAAATAGTCCCTTAGTTTGGGTAACCTCAGAGTCTCCAAAGAGATAATGGCCCATCCTTTATCTCCCAAATAACTAAAGGGGTCGCTAAGACCTTCAGAATCAAATACTATTTACATTCAGCATGGAGGACTCAATTCTTCGGGAAAGTAGAAAGGGTTAACCAAACTCTAGAACAAGCATTAGGTAAGCTATGTTAGGAAACATCAGAAATTTGGGTCAGCTTACTGACTATAGCCCTCTTAAGGATCTGCAATACCTCTAGAGCAAAAATTAACATAAACCCATATGAAATGTTATACGGAAGGCCATTCTTAACTAATGATCTAATTACTGATCCAGAAACAGCTGGTTTAGTGAAATACCTAGTTAATGGACAATTTCAGCAGGCTTTCACAAAAGTTTGGAACTCAAAGGTTCCCCATACCAGGAGCTAACCAGCATCCCAAAATCAGGCCAAGAGATAAGATACTTGTTAAAACTTGGAAGGAGGGATCGCCTGCTCAACAACTACAGCCCAAATGGAAGGGAACATTTTCAGTGGTGCTGGCCATGCTTTCCATGGTCAAAGTATTAGGATTTAAATAATTGGATACATCTTTCAAGGATCAAGTCTGTGATACCTGAAGCCTCAGACCTGGAACCTGAAGTTTCCTTCAGCCACTACACCTGTGAACCTGTGGAAGACCTGAAGTGCCTGTTTAGAAGACAGCCAAAAGATAAGTAAATGCCTACCAACTTTCCTTGGTGTTTTTGTTGCATAGTTATTGTAGGTTGGATAATAATAGCCATATTTTTATATATTTGGCTGGATAATAATAGCCATATTTTTATATATTTTTGCAGTTTTTCTTTTTTCAAATGTTTGGAATCACTCCCTTTGTAGCAATTAAGCAGAATGTTTTAATTTCTCCCTATAACAAACATTCCTGATAGCATAGGTATCCACCCCCTGAAGTTCCCATTAGATCTTTTAACCAAATTCATTTCCTCTCACCTAGAGACCATTGAGCTTCATATGATCATGCAACAACATTGCCAGCCAGTTCCAAATGAAGATAGCACCCCCAGCGATCAATAAACTACCCTGCCTCCACTGGATAGAGCAGGGAAAAATTTCCATGATCAGCAATAGGTAGGGATTGCACCCCAAGTTAGCATGAAGCAGCTACAGAAGAAAGACCATCAATCCCTCTGCTTCCCATAAAGATTTATGGGAATCACATCTCTCAGGGGGAATATGAGGCAGGAAAATAGGGTCTGGAAGCAGGGAACCTAAGGTTTATTCATGCTGACTGGATATCAGAGGCTACTCTCTTTACGACCTCTCCTTCTCTGTGGCAGTTGAAAAATGAGACCAATATCCCTGATGAACATCAATGCAAAAATCCTCAATAAAATATTGGCAAACAGAATCCAGCAGCACATCAAAAAGCTTATCTACCACAATCAAGTCAGCTTCATCCCTGGGATGCAAGGCTGGTTCAACATATGCAAATCAATAAACATAATCCATCATATAAACAGAAGCAATGACTAAAGCCACATGATTATCTCAATAGATGCAGAAAAAGCATTTGACAAAATTCAACAGCCCTTCATGCTAAACACTCTTAATAAACTAGGTATTGATGGGGATGTATCTCAAAATAATAAGAGCTATTTATGACAAACCCACAGCCAATATCATACTGAATGGGCAAAAACTGAAGCATTCCCTTTGAAAACTGGCACAAGACAAGGATGCTCTCTCTCACCACTCCTATTCAACATAGTGTTGGAAATTCTGGCCAGGGCAATCAGGTAAGAGAGAGAAAGAAAAGGTATTAAATTGGGAAAAGAGGAAGTCAAATTGTCCCTGTTTGCAGATGACATGATTGTATATTTAGAAAAACCCCATAGTCTCAGCCCGAAATCTTCTTAAGCTGATAAGCAACTTCAGCAAAGTTTCAGGATGCAAAATCAATGTACAAAAATCATAAGCATTCCTATATACCAATGATAGACAAACAGAGAATCAAATCATGAGTGAACTCCCATTCACAATTGCTAGAAAGAGAATAAAATACCTAGGAATCCAACTTACAAGGGATGTGAAGGACCTCTTCAAGGAGAACTACAAACCACTGCTCAACAAAATGAAAGAGGACACAAACAAATGGAAGAGCATTCCATGCTCATGGATAGGAAGAATCAATGTCATGAAAATGGCCATATTGCCCAAGGTAATTTATAGATTCAATGCCATTTCCATCAAGCTACCAATGTCTTTCTTCACAGAATTGGAAAAAACTACTCTAAAGTTCATATGGAACCAAAAAAGAGCCTGCATAGCCAAGACAATCCTAAGTAAAAAGAACAAAGCTAGAGGCATCACACTACCTGACTTCAAATTATACTACAAGGCTACAGTAACCAAAACAGCATGGTACTGGTACCAAAACAGGGATATAGACTAATGGAACAGAACAGAGGCCTCAGAAATAAGACCACACATCTACAACCATCTGATCTTTGACAAACCTGACAAAAACCAGAAATGGGGAAAGGATTCCCTATTTAATAAATGGTGCTGGGAAAACTGGCTAGCCATATGTAGAAAGCTGAAACTGGATCCCTTCCTTACACCTTATACAAAAATTAACTCAAGATGGATTAAAGACTTAAATGTAAGACCTAAAACCATAAAAATCCTAGAAGAAAACCTAGGCAATACCATTCAGGACGTAGGCATGGCCAAAGACTTCATGACTAAAACACCAAAAGCAATGGCAACAAAAGCCAAAATTGACAAATGGAATCTAATTAAACTAAAGAGCTTCTGCACAGCAAAAGAAACTATCACTAGAGTGAACAGGCAACCTACAGAATGCGAGGAAATCTTTGCAATCTACCCATCTGACAAAGGGCTAATATCCAGAATCTACAAATAACTTAAGCAAATTTACAAGAAAAAAACAACCCCATCAAAAAGTGGACAAAGGATATGAACAGACACTTCTCAAAAGAAGACATTTATGCAGCCAACAGACACATGAAAAAATGTTCATCATCACTGGTCATCAGAGAAATGCAATGCAAATCAAAACCACAATGAGATACCATCTCACGCCAGTTAGAATGGTGATCATTAAAAAGTCAGGAAACAGATGCTGGAGAGGATGTGGAGAAATAGGAATGCTTTTACACTGTTGGTGGGAGTGTAAATTAGTTCAACCATTGTGAAAGTCAGTGTGGCAATTCCTCAAGGATCTAGAACTAGAAATATCATTTGACCCAGTGATTCCATTACTGGGTATATACCCAAAGGATTATAAATCATGCTACTATAAAAACACATGCACATGTATGTTTATTGCGACAATATTCACAATAGCAAAGACTTGGAACCAACCCAAATGTCCATCAGTGGTAGACTGGAAATGTGGCACATATACACCATGGAATACTATGCAGCCATAAAAAAGGATGAGTTTATGTCCTTTGCAGGGACATGGATGCAGCTGGAAATCATCATTCTCAGCAAACTATCACAATGACAGAAAACCAAACACTGCGTTTTCTCACTCATAGGTGGGAATTGAACAGTGAGAACACCTGGACACAGGGCAGGGAATATCACACACCAGGGCCTGTTGTGGGGGTGAGGGGTTGGGGGAGGGATAGCATTAGGAGAAATACGTAATATAAATGATGAGTTGATGGGTGCAGCAAACCAACGCTGCACATGTATACCTATGTAACAAACCTGCATGTGTGCCCATGTACCCTAGAACTTAAAGTATAATAAAATAAAATAAAAAAATAGATGAATGGATAAAGGCAAAAAAAAAAGAAAAATGAAAGTGCCTCTGATTGATTCCCTCCCACAAGCAATTAGACTGGTTGTGGGTCTATTCTTTATTCTGATTGGTCCCCTCCCACAACAAATCAGACTGGTTGTGGGCCAATGGGAAATCTCTAGAAGGCATTTAACCCAAGCAAATTCTGTAACAGATGCACTTGAGCCACTTGCTCGTGCACACTCCCACCCTGTGGAGTGTACTTTCATTAAAATTCTCTGCTTTCACTGCCTTGTTTGTGCGTTTTGTCCAATTCTTTGTTCAAAACATCAAGAACCTGGACAACTACCCTCAACCAGTAACAAGTAGACTAAAACATAGGTAGTTTTCAGGATAGACTTGGCAGTCTTGGCCTTGTGGTGGCAATTATATCCTTGAGTTCTTAAACCTGTAATCCCAGCACTTTGGGAGGCCGAGGCTGGCGGATCACGGCGTCAGGAGACGGAGACCATCTCGGTTAACGTGGTGAAACTCCGTCTCTACTGAAAATACAAAAAAAAAAAAAAAATTATCCAGGCATGGTGGCACGCGCCTGTAGTCCCAACTACTCGGGATGCTGAAGCAGGAGAATTGCTTGAACCCGGGAGGCGGAGGTTACAGCGAGCCGAGAATGTGGCAGCAAAAGAGACCTGTGATGAGGAAAACCTGATAGTCCCATATCTAGGAAGCCAAGGAGAATTATACTTTCAAGAAGTAAGGGTGTACAGATAACAATTAGGAGGAGGATAAAGATCTAGGTCTTTGAAATTGTCCAAGAACTTCCTTCACAAACTATTGAAGGGAGTATAACATACATACTACATGTTTTCTTTATCTTTCAGAATATCTGGTATTGATAAATGTTTTAGATTTTACTTTCAAGAAATGAAGTAAACACCTTTGGTAATCAAGAAAGATTATTCTGTGATTGGTCAAAGTTATTAGACAAATGTATTATTATTAAAGTTATTAGATTTTCATAGACTATATCTGATGATTAGTCCCTATTTTTGTAATATTTTAGTCTAGCTCTGGATGCCTCTACATGGTATAATCAAACGGAATTGTTTATATTTTCACTTAAAGAATAACAGAGGATTGTTTATTCTGCCCCTTTCATTACTTTAATTTCATATTTACTTCTAGAAGGACAAGGTATAATTTTATACAGTGATATATAAATATGGATAACTGGGGAAGGGAGGAAGGAGGTAAAAATCACAGCAGAAAAAAGCCTGTGCAATGGGCAGACTTCTCTTGAGGTGGCTTGCTGGATACCAACATTTCTCCCTTTTGCAAACATTGGTCTCTTCTACAAGGCAGGGTCTCTGGTGGCCATGTTTGTAATATATCACTCTTTTGACATATGTTTTTGTCATAGTTGGTTGTGCTTGAGCAGGACATTTGACCCAAGTTGTGTTCAACATATGCTTTTTCCTAGAAATTACAATTTGGGGACAGGAGGAGAGATACAGGTGGGAAGTCACAGGAACTAAAGTCAAACTAAAGGAAAATCTGTGGCGAGAAGGTCCATGAAGTTCTACTGCTAAGGTCCCTGAAGTTGATCTGGTTCCTCCCGCTTCTGGACTTTTCCTTGGACTCCATGAGATAATCTAATGTTCTTTCAATAGGTTAGCTTTGCTTAAATCTAGCTGGAGTTGGTTCTTTTGCTTAAAACCAAAAGTACAACTAATGCAGCCAGTTGGAATGAGGCAAACTGACAATAAATAGTAGATGCTAAGGAAATACCCTCCTAGTTTTTGCAAATAGCTGTCAACAATTTATCATCTAAGATCTTAAAACAAAGTATGGTATTTCATAACTTATTGTCTGTTTATAACATAAATAATGCTTCCATAATTACTAAAATAACACAAAATAACAACTTCATTAATTATTTTAGTTTAATTCCATAGATTCTTTAATTCATGTGTGTTGTTTTTCATAGGCAGTCTTTCTTTCATCTTAATATTCAGGATCTGTAGTCCACTTGCCCTCTATCTTCTTACTGCCATGAAATTGCAGGTCCAGAGAAAGAACCACAATCTGTTCTTAATGTGAGATAACCAAAACAGTAACAGGGTAACATGACAGCTGATTTTTTTCTCAATGCACCTGTGACCTATGCAACTTTTTAAACCCAGGGTAAGAGTTATATTTATAATGGCACAGAAATTATACTCTTCAATAGTGCTACCATTGATGAGTGATTTTATACTGATCATATTATACAGAAAAGTTCTGAAAATGTGTGAAAATGCTACTGGAAACATAAGAGATCACATTGTTCTTCAAAATCAGAGTCATAATCTTCGAATTGAAAGGAAGCATAACGACCATGAGGATAAGCGTCCATTTTTCTAGCTAAGAAAACTGAGGCAAACACAGGCTAGATGATCTTGCTGAGGTCACAGAGCCAATTACTCCTTGACTCCCAAACCCATAAATTTCTCATCACACACAAGAAAACGCTCTTTCCTGAGCACTTCTACACTCTGCTGTGTCATATGTGTCTTTCAGCTTTCCAGTATGTCCAACCTCTGGTATGTTCTCAATTAGCATTCGGTACCTGGGAAGTCTTCAAGGATTTTATGGGTGAGGAAGGTCTGCACTGGGTCTTTAAGGGTTGGTAAAAATTGAGTAAGTAAAGAAGGCAGAGCAAACCAGGCAAAGTGAAAGACTTGAGAGAGGACATAGGAATGTGGGGTGTTGCGGGACACTTAGGAGACCAACCTGATTGGAATGCAGGGAGTATGTTGGAGTGTAGCTAGAAACAGAGAGATAAGCTTCTGCTTATTCCTCAAGTTCACCTCAAATAAAATATCAGTAATATCTTCCTGCTTCCTTCAGATGAATTAAGTAAGCCCTCCTTTATGATCTTATTGCTTTTGGTACATGAATGGAGACAAATCATCATGTTATATTGATATTGTTTGTACTTATTTATGTATGTAGCCTAAGGGCCAGGAGTATGTATTAGACATCCATGTGTTGACAGTAATAAGGTATAGTCTTCATAATTACTATTTTTTTACACCTGGCCAACTTATTCACATTTTTACAAGATCCCTATAGACATTTGCATTTTCAGGTCCTAGGTTAGAGAATAAATCCAAATTATTTGGGTAAACCTGTAAGCCCCTTCATGAACTGACTTTCACAGGCTTATTTCCTCCAGAATACGAATTTAGTTGGTAAATAAATTAACCAGCTATTTATTGAGGGCTTACCATATGCAATTAACCTCAAAGTACAGCTACATCAATTATTTCCCATTCTGAGCTCTCTATTTTTTTCTGTTGCTAGCTTTTGTTGTTGCTTTTGTGTGTAATTCTTGCACTTCTCTCATCCTATTAATGAGGCTCAGCCCTAGGTCCTATCCTCTCTGAAAGCTTTTTCCAATCTCCCTCCACCATGTCCTCATACTGTTACTGGTGGAAGGTCTTGACTACGAGTCATCAAGATTCTTGACACTTTGAACAAAGAATTGGACAAAATGCACAAACAAAGCAATGAAAGAATGAAGCAACAAAAGCACAGATTTATTGAAATGAAAGTACACACCACAGAGTGGAAGCAGGCTCGAGCAAGTCACTCAAGAGCCCTAATTACAGAATTTTCTGGGGTTTAAAGACTCTCTAGAGGCTTCCCATTGATTACTTGGTTATACCCTATGTAAATGAAGATTTGGCCTATGACCAGTCTGATTGGTTGTGGGAGAGGACCAATCAGAGGTACATTCCATGTTTCATCTGTGCACAGTGGAAGTGGGCATGTTGCAAAGGGAGTAGCCTCTGACCCTTTTGTTACTTGGGCGTGGAGAGGTGGGGTTTTCCTTTTGATTCAGTTTTAGGAAGTCAGCATGAATTGGCCTTAGGTTCCCTGCCTCCAGACCCTATTCTCTTGCCTAAATATTTATTCGGCAAGCCTCTGCTATGGCCTTACTCCCATCAATGCGGTTTTCTCTGTATGTCTGCCTTCCTGACCAGAACAGGAAGGCTTTAAGGCTGAGAGAGTGTCTTTTTTGTTTTCGTCTCCACTGGCTGAAAGAAACATGGGCACTTAGTGGTGCTAAACTGAATGATTAAATAAATGAAAATGAGTAAAGTTTTCTTATTAGATCAGTGTGGTGGTTTAATATAAATAAACCTATACACACACATTCTCAGTGAAATTATGTTTTGTAGAAACAATAAATGGAAGCTCACTCCATAAAACAAAAGCGAAACAGCTCTGGTTAAAGAGAAAGAACACCTTTAATTATTTGAGTAATTTGTAAATCAGTGGGCTATATAGATAATTTCTAAGGTCCACTTCAGATCTAACTCTTGAGTTTATGTCTATCAATGGAAATCTGAAGTCAATAACGAAATAAATATTACAGCCTAGTTAGCATTGCTAAGATCCATAAAAGGCACTAGGAAGAGCCAAAATAAAATTTTAAAAAAGTTAAACTTCTGAAATTAAATAGACCAATGAATCAGACATTATTGTGTATTTAAGTCTTTGTCTTAAGTGAGTTTGAGATAACTCGTGGCATATGTGTAGAGAATGATATATATTCTCTGAGTTCCCAGTGCTAGGGATTTTAACACCCCAGTTTATAAGAGACTCTTCCAAAAAAGAAAGAAAAAAAAGTTTCCAAGGAGAAAACATCCTTGAAAAGGCAGCAAGTCTCTAACCCATCAACACCAGGATTCCCGCTTATCTTCTAGAGGAGCTTGATACCTCTTCAGGGAGGACTTAAACATCTGGCTTACCCACGAGTCTTTTGTTTGGGTTACTTTTGATGTTTTTCATGTGAAATATGGGGCAATGATAGTTCTTATGAGGTTATTTTGAAAACTAAAAACAATCCTGCTTGTTAAATGCTTAGCAAAGTGACTGCCAAAAAAATCCAATAGCTATTATCATTACCTCCTGAGTCAACTAGGCAGCTCAGCTACTTTAAAAGATGTAAACAATATTAGTAATAATGTATATAGATATTTGTTAAATGAACAAATAGCAGTTAAGAGCAGAGAACTGTGCTGTTGACCTTGTCCATTAATTTTTGACCCATATTTCTGTTTTTTCCTATGGACTTTTATTTACTTATTTGTTTTTTCCAGTTTTATTTAGCTTCAATGTACAAATAAAATTGTATGAATTTAAGGTGTACAACATGATGATTCAATATTTGTATAAGTTGTGAAATGAGTTCCATAATAAATTAACACATTACATTGATTTATTTAAACCCCACAATAATCCAGTGAGATGGTACTACTAATATAATTGTATTTCACAGATTTGAGTTGCTGAGAGGTTGATTAGCTTGTCCTTTGGGAAAGTTATTCTGAGAAGTTATCTTGTTTGGCATCATTAGGACTCAAAACCAGTTCTGTCTCCAAAACCCATGCCAGATTCCCACTCCGCCTTACATTCTCCTTCACTCTTGGAAGTGGAGCCTGGACCTTTGAAAAGCCACACTTGGCAAGACACTGGTTGAAAACTAAGTCTCTGAACTTAGTTCCAGGAAGTCCTGGTTTCTGCACACCATTTAATACACATAGTATCTAGCCCAAATGATTTCAGTTTTTTTTCTTTCACTTTGACCATTAGCTAATTCTAGCATAATTTATGCACCCTAGCTTTGGCCCCTAAAAATATTTCATCTTGGTAAACTGATGTTATCCTGTGCCTATTCTGTCCTCTAGTCTTCTGTTGTTTTTCTGACTTACTCTCTGGTATTAGTTCTGATGTCTCACTTCTTTCATTTTCCATGTTGAAAGACTGGATCAACCAGACAGATTGGAAGGTGTTGATCAGTTGAAGCATGTTTCTGGAGAGGAGACGAGGAATATAGTTGGGTAGAAGAGTGTCCCAGGCAGAAATGTGTAAATGATATTATATAGAAGTTGCTTAATAATGAGACAATATTGTTTGAATTGAATTAAAGACTTGCAGGCATAAAACTGGAATTTTTGCATGGTTATAATAATGGCCTTAGTTCTATGAGGAGCCAGATCTTAATACTTATTCAACAAATATTTCTCGAGTGTCTACCGTATGTGCCAGTTATTGTTCTAAGACTGCAGGAATTTACTAGTAACAAGATATGCAAGTTCACTGTTCTCATGAGGTCCATATTCTGGTGGACTCTGGTGAAGGCTTATGCAGGAGCAGTCATAAACATAATAACTAAGTTTTAAGAATTTATATTCATATTCTTTGCAGAAAATAAAATAGAGTAATGTAAGAGTTGCTTAGGTGGGGGAAGTGAAGCAATTATAGATTGGGGTATCAAATCAAGTTTTTCTGAGAATGTGTCATGACTGCTGAAATTTTAGTGTCTACAAGAAAACAACCTTGCAAAAATCTGGTGGCTGAGCTTCCAGGAAAACTGCCTCACAAGAAAAAGGGAAACTTGTTATCAAAAGTGCTCCCTTTTCCTTCTTGTAAGAGCTCCAATTCCAGGAAGTAAGTGCTAGATGTTTCTCTAATCACATATGTGATCCATATGTCCCTGAGACATTAGATTTCTAAATTTAATACCCAATTCCTCCTCATTTCAAACCCTGACTTCCTTGTTAAGGAATTCAGGCACTTGTAGATTTTTCTTTTCCTGAATATTCTTGGCATCCCTAAAAGGCATATTCAATGCTTTAGGGAATCTGTTCTGGTTGTTGTTCCCTGTCACTGTTGCTGGATGAGGTGCTGTCATTGCCTTTGCCGCTGGCTGAGTCACTGCTTGCCTTGACAGTTCTGCACTAGCCTTTGCCCTAAAAGAGATTAGTCATGCAGTGTCTCTTGAGTTAAATTCTGACACTATGGATGCAAGCTAGAGAGCTGTCGGTAATACTACCTACCTCCACTAAGCTGGAGACTCAGTACAAGTCAACTGAAATGGAGAAGCTTCTTTAATTTTTACATGAATCTGAAAGTATTACAGAGTTTAGTGAGCCAGTTCTTTCAGTTTTGTTCACAATCCTCTTCTCCTCAGGGAGCACCATACTGCGTGGGTGGCTGAGTTGGCAGAAGCTTCTGTAACAACTGTCTAATGGACCTTACTGGCAGCCAACTCTCTGAATCCTTTTTTGTGTCTAGGGAATCCTTGCCCTCTGTATTTTGGTAAGAGGTCAGAGCCCACTTCCAACTATAAAATTGTAAATTGTTAACATACTTGCTTTCTCAGCCTCCTTTGAAACTAATGTATAGATACATGCCCTAGGCATGCTAATCAAATGAACCTGATTGGTGTCTGAAGTATAGGATCTAATGTTCAGTGGTAACAGCATCCTCACAAGACTAGTTTTGTGGTTTAGTTTGAAGCTTTGTTTCTGGCTGCATTGTCCCCAAGCTTTCTAGAATTTCTATGAGCTAGTCAATATCCTTAATATCTTCCTTAAATTGGACACAGCAACTTTTGGCTGCTTGTTACATAAGCATGTGAAGAAAAGGGCCAAGAAAAAGGCTAAGAGAAGAGAAGTACTTATTTCTTGTGCGTGGGGGAAAATATTCTCCTCTTCTCTTCAATTGCATATGAACAAAAAAAGCACAGAGTCCTGACTGCCTTTGGCAGTCATCTTGCAATTGCAAGGGAATCTCTTCCGAATGAAGCCAATAGGAGGACAGCAGAATGAAGAATGATAAAGCATTTAGATAATATCATTGAGCCTTTGATTGTACTGTACCCAGAGTCTACTCTGCTTTTGAATTTGAAATTACATGAGATAATATGTTTTCTATTGATAAGCAAGCTTAAGTTAGGATTTTCTGCTGTAACTATCTATACTACGATAGATACAATAGATACAAATAATAATGGCTAACCTTTATTGAGAATTTAAAATTTTGCAGGAACCTTTAATTTTTTGACAAATATCAGTTGAGCATCTACATATATTTACTTGTTTAACTGTTATAATAATTCTAATGTTACAACAATGCAGTATAGTCATGTGTCTCATAACAATGTTTTGATCATGATGAACTGCATATCTGATGGTGGTACCATAACATCATATTGGAGCTGAAAAATTTCTATCACCTACAGATGTTGTAGCCATTGTAATGTCATAGCACAACACATTACCTTTTCTATATTTAGAGATGTTTATATATACAGACACCATAGTGTTACAATTACCTATAGTATTTAGTACAGTGACCTGCTGTATAGGTTTGTAGCACAGGAGCAATAGGCTGTACCATCTAGCCTAGATGTGTAATAAGCCTAGGTGTGGCAGAAGCTCATGTAACAACTCTCTAATGGACCCTATTGGTAGCCAACTCTCTGAATCTTTTGCTGTGCCTGGGGAATTTCTGCCCTATGTATCTTGGTAAGAGGTCAGAGCACACTTCCCAATATAAAATTGTAAATTTTAATATACTTGCTTTCTCAGCCTCCTTGCTATTTAGGTTTGTGTAAGTACACTCTATGTTTGCACAATGACAAAATCACCTAATGATGCATTTATCAGAATGTATACCTGCTGTTAAGTGATGCATAACTGTATTAAGTATGCAGCTGGATGTATATATTTATACATAGACATGTGCATAAATATGGATATATATGTGTATAAATATAGATATAAGCATGTATATGGATATTCATATAGGCATAGGTATGGCTATGGCTGTAAGTATAGATAAAGGTATAAACATAGAGATAAAGATTATGCACCTAGGTGACAAATGAGATTTCTATGTTGTCCTGAAATAGCTAAAATCCAAAGCTGAAGATACAAGTTGCTAAGTGTCCCCATGTCCTAAGAGTATAGCGCACAAGTAGTTAAAGCTACAATATTTTCCAAAATTCTTATCGAGGAGTGCCAGTTCAGAGAACTGGCCCAATCACCAACATCACCCAGGTACTGTTAGAGGAGGTCTTAAGATAGGATGGTGTGCCCTTTTGGAGAATGCAGTGTTTATGAAGTGTGGCTGTTTCTTTCCCATCACAGCAGTTAACAGTTTAAACAACATTTATTTTTTCAACCTCATAATCAGGATAGCCTACTACTCAATAGAAGATATTGCCCTGTACCCTGCGTCTCTCACTCAGCCCATTTCATCTTTTAATACCACATCCTGAATTAGGTAGTATGCTTTGGGGGTATAAATAATAGAAACTATAGCTTAAACTTGCTGAAAAATTAGTAAGAAAATTTTTGGTTTAATTCTCAGAAAAATCTAGAAATAGGACAGATTTCAGGTTTGGATGATTGCGAGACTTTCTGTTCTCCTTTCTGTGGTGTTAGGTTAATTAGCCTCATGGATGTAGAATGGCTGCTAGTAGTAATCAAGCTTATGTGTTTCTCTGGTTAGTCCAGTGAGAAAGAACTTTTGTCTAAATATGCCAACCAAGAGCCCTGAGATTCATACTGACTAAACTGTTTAAGTCACATGCCCAACAATGTACCAGTGACTTTGGTCAGGGGAATAGAACATGTTTGCTGTCTTAGGTCAACCAAGGTCTACCCCTGAGGTCTGAGAATCTGAATCAGCTTTACATAAAATATGTAGGTTACATGGGCACGAATATGGATATCCAAATTAAAACCTGAAAGCTGTTAGGAAGGGAGAATAGAACATGAATGTTGAAAAACAATCAATAATGTTTCCTCCAAGGAAAGTTAATGACCTAATGAGAGGCGATCAATAGTGAGGATCTATGTAAACCCTAGGTAAGAGGCAGAAAAATTCGGTATCCCAAATAATAGGTAACAGATGTGCAGCTTTTAGAGAAAGGTTGGGATAGCTTTGAATAATTCTTTCTCAATTAAGATCTTCTTACCCTTTCACTGGCATCTGTATTCATTTGTGGAAAGTCAGGTTAGGTGGTATCTAGAACAGGTGGAGGAAGGCTATTCCTTATAGTGATCCATTGGTAGAAGCACTGACTTTATTGTAGCTGCTTAGTGATGAGGAGCATCTGCCCACTGACAACAGTCCAGCTGGAGAAATGGTAATGTTGGCCCCTGCCTCCAGTTTTCTCTTCCCTAGAAGAGAAGAGACACACTCCGTGGAACAGAAAAGGAAGGAGCACACCACCTAGGCTTATTTCCAAAAGCTGGTTGAATGTTTCTATCTGAATGTTCCATCAGTACTTTAAAGTAATCATGTCTTTAGTGCCGCCTCCTCTCTACCTAGCTATTCCTTCTCCTCTCCACTTTGGTGATGATATCGCTGCCTACCAGGCCACCCAAAGCCAAAAACTTGGGAATTGTCCTAGATTTCCCTAACTGTATTACTTCCCCTTGTCAGAAGCAATCCCTGTCGATTGGTTTCTAAATATCAGCTAAAACTATTTTCTCTTCTAGCATCACCACAAATACATACCTTAGGTATTTACATAAATTGCCTTGGACTCATACAGTTAGCTCCAGATTAGTCTCCTAGACACTGGACACCCTTTCTTGACTTTGCTACTAAAGTGAGCATTCTGGAACACAAATCTACATGCATTATAATTCATCGCTCAAAATTCTTTATTATTTCAGTCACTTAAGTTGGAGTCTCTACCAATGGAGATAAAATGAAAAACCCTTTATTCTGGCAGCTGGCACACAAGGGACCTTTATAATGTGGCTCCTGCATACCAACTCTAGCCACATCATTTCTTATTTTCTTTTTCTCTCCTCTTAGTCCAGGTCCTGGATCAATCACTTTTCATAAATGTGAAATGTCTCCTTTCCTTGGTCTGTGCTGCTTCTTTCCTCTTCTCTGAAGACCTCCATTTATAAAGCTCACATTTTAAATCCTGTGTGTGTGTGTGTGTGTGTGTTTACAAATTTTCCAAGCTTACTTGACATTTCTTCTTCTAGTCTTTTGTAGAGAGTGTGTTAGTCTTTTGTAGAGAGTTTGGTCTTTGTCACACTGCATTGAAATTGTTTCCATGTTTGTTTCCCCATTCAGTCAGCCAACATTTCTTGAACAACTTTTATGTGTGAAGAATAATTCTAGGTGCTGGCCACATAAAAGTAAATACTTCATACATATTGACTTCAATCAGCAGTTAGGTAGAGATAGGCATTTAAATCAGTAAAGATAATAAAAGTGTTCTAGATGCTCAGATGTGTCTCTCAACAGAGTATCTGATCATAAATAAGCATAAAGAAGAGAGGGGCAATTTTGCTTGGAGTTGGAAATTGTGTGTCAGATCAGAGCTAGTTAATTTTACATGTGTTATTTCATTTATTCTTTTCACCAACAAAAGATATTTAATGGAGACTGTGGAAAAGATGGCCAATGAGATGCAGCCAGCAGGTGTCACTCCCACCAAGAGAGACCAAATTATTGAGTAAACCAACATAATTTGGGCAGCTCTTAAGAGAGAAAATGCCAAGAGTGGATGGAGAGATGATGCTGAAGCTGTAGCTGAAGAAAGAGGAAGCTGGGAACCCTGCATGGGGCACCTGAATGCGAGGGCTAACTCCCAGCCTTGAATGGCTCCTGGGAAAGTGGTGAGTGAGGGAACTGACGGGTGGCTCACTCTCACTGCAGACATCTGGGATCCTAGCTACAGGGGAGCCCGTATCCCCATGGACATGTGAGCTGGCAGGTGGATCACCCCTGGGAGAAGGCAGAGACAGGATTTTGGACAGCAGAGATCCCAGGAGCTTTTGAGTGCTGGGAAGCTCTGATGGAGCATGGTCATAGGTACCTATCCCCCAGCGCTCCCAATCCTCTTCTGGGAGGCTCTGGCTCTAGCTGACCACCAAGCCAGGAGAAACTGGGGCTGGCTGCCTCATGGGACTGGGACATGTCTATTCCATAAGCCCTCCTGCCCACCAGCCTCTCCCAAGGCCCATGTCTAGCCACCTCACAGGACTGGGTACCAAACACAGCCTCTGCAGCCCAATCTGAATCCATTGCCCCACCTGAGTATTTTTCTGGTGACCTGAAAGCACATCAGATTCCCCAATGCAGTTGGAGCCCAACCCCAAGCCACAGAACATCCTGGTACCCCCAGAGCTGTGGCATGCAGCTTGGGAGTACCAAACTGAGATCTGTGACCAGCAATTAAGTCATGGTGGAGCCCTCACTCTCAGCTCACTGAGATGGGCAAGACTTGTGGGTTTCTGGGCCAGGGCAGGAGTGGGGCATGTCTTCCTCCACAGGGCTGGCCCAGAAAGGGTGTGGCCTATCTTTCAATTGCAGCCCCTGCACAAGGGAGCCCCATGGCCCAGAACACCTCACCAAAAAAAAAAAAAATGCAAGTGTGGCACAAGTGATTGGAGGGGACTTCCCCAAGGCCAAGAAGCAGACCTGGTGAGGGGGCCATCTCTCTCCCATCCATACACTGGAGAGTATGCCTTTGAATGAAAGGAAGTCCAAAAAGGCTGTGCAACTGGGTAATAGCCTAGCTACAAACCATTACTTGTAAGCACTGTCTACTGGATCAGAGCTCAAACTATACCATCAAAAATTATTGGGCTAATATGTACACTGTTGAAACCAAGTACAAGAATTCACTTACATATAACAATTCCTTACAGAGCCCTGGCCTTCTAAAAGTATCCAAAAAAGAAGCCAACTGACTGTACTCAACTTACACCACAATTAAAGGAACATCAGCTCTCCTAGACGAGAAAGAATCAGCACAATAATTTTGACAATTCAGAAAGCCAGAGTATCACCTTTACCTCCAAAAAGTCCACTTGCTCTCTAGCAATGGTTCTTAATGAGATTGAAATGTCTAAAATGACAAACAGAGAATTCAGAATCTGGGTAGAAAGGAAGCACATTGAGATCAGAAGGAAGTTGAAACCCAATCCAAGAAATCCAAAGCATCCAGTAAAATAATCCAAGAGCTGAAATACAAAATAGCTATTTTAAGATAAAACCAAACTGAACTTCTAGAGCTGAAAAATTCACTACAAGAATTTTATAATACAATTGGAAGTATTAACAGCATAATAAATCAATCTGGGGAAAGAATCTTGAGTTTAAAGACTGGTTCTTCGGATCAACTCAGACCAAAAAAAAAAAGAATTTTAAAAAATGAACAATGAACAAACCTCCAAGAAGTATGGGATTATGTAAATAGACAAAATCTATGACTCATTGGCATTCCTGAGAGAAAAGGAGAGAGAATAAGCAACTTGGAAAATATATTTGAGGGTAGAGTTGATGAAAATTTATCTAATCTTGCTAGAGAGGTTGACATGCAATTCCAAGAAACAGAGAACCCTAACTATATACTATACAAGGAAACCATCCCCAAGGCACATAGTCATCAGACTCACCAAGGGCAATACAAAAGAAAAAATCTTATAGGCAGCTTGAGATAAGGGTCAATTCATGTACAGAGGGAAACCCATCAGACTGGCAGAAGACCTCTCACCAGAAACTGTACAAGCCAGAAGAGATGGGGCCTATTTTCAGTGTCCTTAAAAGAAATTCTAACCAAGAATTTTATATCCTACTAAACTAAGATTCATAAGTGAAGGAGAAATAAAATCTTTCTCAGACAAGCTAATGCTCAGGGGATAATTTCAACTAGACCAGCTTTACAATAAGTCCTCAATGGTATACTAAACATGATATCAAAACAATGGCACTTGCTACCACAAAAAGACAGTTAAGCACATAGCCTACAGGCACTATAAAGCAATTATCCAATCAAGTCTGCATAACAACCAGCTAACAACACAATGACAGGATCAAAAGCTCACATATCAATACTAACCTTGAATGTAAATGGGCTAATTGTCTCACATAAAAGGCATAGGGTAACAAGCTGGATAAAGACAAGACCCAACCATCTACTATCTTCAAGAGATCCATCTCACATGCAATGACACCCACAGGCTCAAAGTAAAGTAATGGAGAAGGATCTACCATGCTAATGGAAATAAAAGAGCAAAGAGCAGGAGTCACAATTTTTTTTTTTTTTTTTTTGAGATCAAATCTCACTCTGTCACTAGGCTGGAGTACAGTGGCACAATCTCGGCTCACTGCATGCAACCTCTGCCTCCCGGGTTCAAGTGATTCTTCTGCCTCAGCCTCCCTAGTAGCTGGGACTACAGGCGCTCACCACCATGCCTGGCTAATTCTTTTTATTTTTAGTAGAGATGGGGTTTCACTATGTTGGCCAGGATGGTCTTGATCTCTTGACCTCGTGATCTACCCACCTCGGCCTCCCAAAGTGCTGGGATTGCAGGTGTGAGCCACTGCACCTGGCCAGGAGTCACTATTCTTATGTCAGATAAAACAGATTGTAAATGAATAAAAATTAAGGACAAAGAAGTGCTTTACATAATGACAAAGGGTACATTCCAACAAGAAGACTTAATTATCCTAAATTTAAACACATCCAACATTGGAGCATACAGGTTCATAAAACAAGTTCTTCTTGGCCTACAAAAAGACTTAGATAACCACACAATAATAGTGGGGGAACTTCAACACCCCAGTACAATAATACAAATCAATACCAAGAAAACCTCTCAGCCAGGCGCGGTGGCTCACGCCTGTAATCCCAGCACTTTGGGAGGCCAAGGTGGGCGGATCACGAAGTCAGGAGATCAAGACCATCCTGGCTAACATGGTGAAACCTTGTCTCTACTAAAAATACAAAAAATTAGCCAAGCGTGGTGGCAGGTGCCTGTAGTCCCAGCTACTCGGGAGGCTGAGGCAGGAGAATGGCATGAACCCAAAAGGTGGAGCTTGCAGTGAGCCGAGATGGTGCCACTGCACTCTAGCCTGGGTGACAGAGTGAGACACTGTCTTAAAAAAAAAAAAAAAAAGAAAAGAAAGAAAGAAAAGAAAATCTCTCAAAACTAAATAAATACATGGAAATTAAATAACTTGCTAATTAATAACTCCTGGGTTAACCTCAAAATTAAGACAAAAATCAAAAAGTTCTTGAAATTAATGAAAATAGGGAAACAACTTACCAAAATCTCTGTGATGAGCTAAAGCAGTGTTAAGAGAAAAGCTTATGATGCTAAACACTTCATCAAGAAGTTATAAAGATCTCAAATTAACAATCTAACTTTGCACCTAAAGGAACTAGAGAAAAAGGAACAAACCAACTCCAAAGCTAGCAGAGGAAAGGAAATAACTGAAATTAGAGAAGAACTGAATGGAATTGAGGTGCAAAAAGCTGCATGAAAGATCAATGAAACCAAGAGTTGATTTCTTGAAAAAACAAGATTGGATAGAACAATAGCTAGATTAACAAAAAGAAAGAGAAGATCCAAATAAGTATAATCAGAAATGATAAAGATGACATTACAACCAATCCTGCAGAAATACAAAAGATTCTCAGAGAATACTATGAATAACTTTATGCACACAAGTAAGAAAACCTAGATGGAAATATGCGACCTACCAAGATGGAATCAGGAAGAGATTGAAGCCCTGAATAGACCAAAATTGAGCTCTGAAATTGAATCAGTAATAAAATACCTACTAACCAAAACCACCCCTGGACCAGATGAATTCATAGCTGAATTCTACCAGATGTACAGAGAAGAGCTGGTATCAATACTACTAAAACTATTCCAAAAAAATCAAGCAAAAGGGGCTCCTCAACTTATTTTATGAAACCAGCACCAGCCTAATCCTAAAATCTGATAGAGGCACACACAGTAAAACAAAACTTCATGCCAATATCCCTGATGAACATACATGCAAAAAGTCCTCAATATAATATTAGCAAACCAAATCCAACAGCACATCATAAAGTTAATACACCATGATCAAGTAGGCTTTATTCCTGAGAGGCAAGTCTGATTCAAAATACACAAATCAATAAGTGTGATTCACCACATAATCAGAATTAAAAGAACAATGCGATCATCTCAATGGATGCAAAAAATGCTTTTGATAAAATTCAATATCATTTTATAATAGAACCCTCAACAGACTAGGCATCAAAGGAATATACCTCAAAATAGTAAGAGCCATTTATGAAATCCCCACAGCCCACATTATACTGAATGAGCCAAAGCTGTATTTCCCTTGAAAACTGGAACATGTCAAGGATGCCCACTCTCACAACTCTTATTCAACATAATATTGGAAATCCTAGCTACTGCAATCAGGCAAGAGAAAGAAGGCATCCAAATAGTAAAAGAAGAAATTAAACTATCTGTCTTCACTGATGATATGATTCTATATCTAGAAAACCCTAAAGACTCTGTGAAAAGGCTACTAGAACTGATTAATAATTTTAGCTAGGTTTCAGGATACAAAAGCAATGTACAAAAATCAGTAGCATTTCTATTCACAAGTAATGTCTAGGCTGAGAGTCCAATCAAGAACGTGATCTCATTTACAATAGCCACAAAGAAAATGAAATACCTAGGAATGCAGCTAACCAAGGAGGTGAAAGGTGTCTACAAGGAGAACTACAAAACACTGCTGAAAGAAATCAGAGACGACAGAAATGAAAAAACATTCTATGCTCGTAGATTTGAAAAATCAATATTATTAAAATGGTCATTCTGCCCAAAGCAATCTACAGATTTAATGTTTTTCTTATTAAACTACTAATGTCATTCTTCACAGTATTAGAAAAAAAAATTCCAAACTTCATATAGAACCAAGAAAGTGCAAATAGCCAAAGCAATCCTAAGCAAAAAGAACAAAGCTGGAGGCATCACACTACCCTACTTCAAACTATGCTAGGCTATAGTAACCAAAATAGCATTGTACTGGTACAGACACTTAGACCAATGGAACACAATAGAGAACCCAGAAATAAAGCTGCACAGCTGCAGCCATCTGATCTTTGACAAAGCTGACAAAAGCAAGCAATGGGAAAAGGACTCCTTATTTAATCAGTGGTGCTGGGATAACTGGTGAGCCACATGCGGAAGAATGTAACTGGAGTCCTATCTTTACCCATATACAAAAATTAACTCAAGATGGGGTAAAGATTTGAATGTAAGACCTCAAACTATAAAAATCCTAGAAGAAAATCCAGGAAATGCCCTTGTTGACATTGGCGATGGCAAAGAATTTTTTATGATGTCCCCAAAAACAACTGCAACAAAAACCAAGAACTGACAAGTGGGACCTAATTAAACTGAAAAGCTTCTGCACAGCAAAAGAAACTATCAACAGAGTAAACAGACAACAGACAGAATAAGAAAATATTTGCAAACTATGCATCCAACAAAGATCTAATATCCAGAATCTATAAGGAACTTAAATAAATCAACAAGCAAAAAACAACCCCATTAACAATAGGCAAAGACATGAATAGATACTTCTGAAAAAGAAGACATACAAGTGACCAAGAAGCATATGAAAAAATGTTCATCATCAATCATCATTAGAAAAATGCAAATCAAAAACCACAATGAGATACCATTTCACACCAGTCAGAATGGTTATTATTAAAAAGTCAAAAAACCACTGCTGGCAAGGTAGCAGAAACAAAGAGTACATTTATACATTGTTGGTGAGAATGCAAATTAATTCGTCCCCTGTGGAAAGCAGTTTGGAGATTTCTCAGAGAATTTAAAACAGAACCCCCATTTGACCCATTAATTCCATTCTTGGATATATACCTAAAGGAAAATAGGTATATATAAATAAATTATACCAAAAAAAACACATTCACTGGTATATTCATTGCCACACTATTTATAATAGCAAAGACATGGAATTGACCTAGGTGCCCATCAATAGTGGATTGGATAAAGAAAATGTGGTATATCTACATCTTGGAATATTACGTGGCCATAAAAAGAACAAAATCATGTCCTTTGCAGCAACATGGATGAAGCTGGACGCTATAATCCTAAGCGAATTAATGCAGGAACAGAAAATGCCTACCACATGTTCTCACACATAAGTGGGAGCTAGTCGCTTGTTTCCTCATAGCAGTGTCTGGGTTCCAAGGGTGGGCATCCTAAGATAGAGGGAAGAGCATATTGAAGTTATATCACTTTTTCTCATTGGCCTTGGAAGTCCCTGCATTCTATTCATTAGGAATGCTTCACTAAGGCCAGCTCAAATCTGAGTAAAAGGGAATTAGACTTTTGATTGATGCAGTATCAAGGAATTTGCCTATCTGATTTAAATCCACTACAGCACCTAGTAATAATAGCTACCACTTATGAAACACTTAAATATAGTGAGCATTATTCTATAGCCTTTACTTCACTCAGTTATTTAATCCTCATGACAATCTTATATTATTATACCTATTTAACATATAAGGAAATCTGGATGCAATAAGTTAAGTATTTTACTAAGACCACACTGATAATAAGAAGTGTAATCACTATTGAAGTCCTGACAATTTGGCTCCAGGGTCTATGTTCTTAACTGCTATGCTGAGCTGTCTATCTATTGTACTGTCTGGAATATAGAGTAGACCAATATACATTTGTTTAATGGATAAATGCTTTGTATTTGGGGCTTCCGTCTATGTAAAGCCATTGCTAGTAAAGCCATTCTTTAAGTGAATGATTTCATATGTCATCCTTCCTCGGATATTGAATGGGAGATATGCTCCTATACAAGAGAAGAAACAGCAATCATGGATTGCCAAGTAAGTGATGAAAGTACCTGTTCAGGGTGCCTTTTGTTGAGGAACTGCCTTCCTTAGGAGGTACCACATTCTGCTACAGTAACTCAAGAGCCTGGATATCTTCTAAATAAATACATTATAATGGCAGTCTCTCTCTCTCTCTCTCTCTCTCTCTCTCTCTCTCTCTCTCTGTGTGTGTGTGTGTGTGTGTGTGTGTGTGTGTGGACACACCAGAAATCATTGAAAGAATCTAACTATTTATCTTAGATTTTTCCTCTATTCCCAAAACTTGTTTTATATCAATAATATTCACTTTAAAAGAACGTTTAGGAGATAATATAGTCTTTATGGAAATTTTTAAAAAGAGCTGCTTAGATGATACAGTTAGAGTCTATGAAGAGCCACCTTGTGGCAAAAGTTAGCATTTCACATTTATATATTTTTAAAGAAAAAATTACAAGCGGCTCTAAAAGAAATCTATTGAATAGCAAAATGAAAGTATTGATATTGTATACAAGTCAGATAATATGGTTTCTGAGATATATAGTGTTGATTTTAACAGCAAATATTATTCAAAGTCACTTATTGAGAATTTAAGAAACCTAGAGTAACACATGCAGCAGATGTTACATCCACCAATGAATTTATATTTTAAATAACAATGAAAATAAACTCATCCACTAGTTTATATTTAAAATGTAATTTCATTTGTATTTAAGAGGGCCAAGTTGCCTCATAGTACTCTCAGTTTCAGCACTAACTTTGTCCTTAAAAATGAAAACTTAAAAAGTATATTCAATTAGTTTTTTTGATATTTAATTTTAATAAAGCTTATTTGTATATTTCAATATATTTACATAACTTCAATTGTAATCCTGTATCAATAATCAAGAATATTAAATTTCCTTTTTGATTCAATTGTAACATTGATACCTTTGCAATTTTTCCTCATTTCCTTTCTTATGCTTTGGCAACTAACTAAACTTTTCTTTTTTAAATTAATTCCCAATTTTTAAGTTTTTCATAAAACTTTCCCATTTAATTGAATGTGGTAGGAAATTTGCAATTTTTAATGAGTATTCATAATGTACACTCAAGAATAAATAGCCACACCACTGTAGAGCTATCTTTCTCTTTTCCTTTCTCCACTGGCGCTTTGAAAACTTGCTGGAAGTGCTGAGGTTAATTCAGCATATTACTATCTGCCCTTCCCTTCTCCTACCCTATCTAGTTTCCTTCATTCCTGGTCTCCAAATTTCATATGATATCAGTGCTTGTCTGGTAACGGTCGGGGATGGGGTCAGGATAGGTGGTAATGTAGGTATTGGCATGGAAATATAGCAGGGAGATTTGGAATCTATATATCACAGATAGCAAGAAGCATAGCACAAGAAGCAGGAATGAATTGGAATGAAAATGAGAGAAAGAGAAAACAATGGGTCATGCTGTTACTCCTGACTAACAAAACCTCTCTGTGGTTCCGTGCTTCTTTTCCCATTCCTCAGAACTCTTCTTCCTCTCAAACCACCTCTCTCATCCAACCTCGTCTTAATTATTTTCCTTTCACCAGCTGTCAGTTTACAGATTATTCTTAGAACAGTGGTTCTCAAACTTTGGATTTCAGGACCATTTCATGCTCTTTAAAATTACTGAAAGAATCCCAAAGAGCTTTTGTTTTTGTGAGTTACACAGGAGCTCTTTGTCACCATCATATTGAACTTGTTTGGTCTCAGTATGGAATTCACAAGTTATCATGTCAGGTCAGTCGAGTGATTCTTTTTGTTTTCTTTGTGTTTTTGTTGCTCTAACTGGAGTGGGACCATATGATGCAGTGTGGATAGCTGCATACAAGCATTAAGACTCTTGAGAAAATACAGTGCACCAGGAAAACTACTATGAAAACTATCAGAGAATAATGGCAAAAGACTGAATAAAGTGCACTCCTAATAGGAACTCTCCTGAACTGAACAAATTAAAATCAGACAAATTTTTAAAATAAGTCAGAAGATGAATCTACTTGTTTTAACCAAGTAGCTTGTTTGTTGATTTCTTAAAATGGAGCTGCTGTCATACCAGACACATGTATCCAAGTGCAGCAAGAGATCTTAGCCATCACTCCCCATCTTCTGCCAGCCTCCCCACCCACCCTGCCCCAGTTCAGCCAACAGGTAGTCCAAAGCAATGCCGTTATCTAAAACAATCTTAGCAAGAGGATTTTTAAAAGGTTGCTGGGCAACTAAAGCCTTTGCAGTTGAGTCAGATATAGTAGCTAATGTTTAAGACAGAATTTTAATAATAACTTTACTTACATTTATGCCAATCCAGGGAAGGAGTATTCTACCAAAAATGCTCTCTAAATCTCAAGATCTCTCTACATGAGATATTTATGACTGCTGACAAATTCCTCTTTATTTTATAGAACAAATTAAGAGGTGTAGACCAATATTTAGTTTCCAATTGGTTATGGAGTGACAATAGTACTGTTAGAACTTCTAATCCACATTGGCCTCTTATTTTCCACTTATTGAGATATAAAGTTGTCCATGCATGCAGTTGATGATTAAATGCTCCACACATAAAATATCTCCTGGAAGGGCACAATAGGTAGTTCCCTGCGGGATGCCTGTGTGTTAGAGGTTACCAGTAGGGAAGCAATGGTAGTAATATTTATCCAAGGCTTCTTTGTCTTTCTTCTTTTTTTTTTTTTTTTGACAGTTTCACTCTTGTTGCCCAGGCTGGAGTGCAATGGTGTGATTTCAGCTTACTGAAACCTCCACCTCCTAGGTTCAAGAGATTCTCCTGCCTCAGCTTCCCGAGTAGCTGGAATTACAGGTATGTGCCACCATGCCCCGCTAATTTTGTATTTTTAGTAGAGATGGGGTTTCTCCATGTTGGTCAGGCTGGTCTCGAACTCCCAACCTCATTATTGCATGGTTGGAAGCTACTGACAGTTAAGGAATTGGGGTTATAAATTTGTCTATAAACTTTCAAATTATCTTTCTTTTGGTTTTCTTATTTTCTGGCATACTTTAACTACAAAACCCTCACTATGGGTTTTGCCTATTGTTAGATCTAAACAGTTAGATTTAAACATGGAACTTGAATATCTGACTCTAAAAGCCTCACGTTATAGAAAGCACCAGATGTGAAATTTGAATAAATAGTCACACTGAAAATAATGGTGAAATTTGTTACAGGGTAAACTTAAGGATCTCTAAAATCACGTAAGGGTTTAGGTTTAACATGACATATCCAACATTTAGTGCATTTCTCTGTGGAAGCTGTTGATTATCACAGAAGCCTTAATTATCACATTAGCTTGCCACATATAAGCAGAAAAGAAACACAGGGCAAAGTGGAAAAATAACAAAGGTTTCATGATGACAGAGGAGAGAAATTTTGATCTGTGACCTTGGAAAAGCTGTCCACACCTAGGATGTTGTCTGACTCTGAGGAGAAACCTCTCTGGTAAGTGTTATCTTGAGGTTTCCAACAGGAGTACAGTCCCAAGAGTTTGGAGAGATTCTCTTGAATTGAGAAATGTAGACCTAATACTCAAGGCCCTAAAATTTTGCTGCAGTGTGGCTGGTGAGAAGAACTTGGGATGATCCCTTCCTGTGGGGTTCAAGAGCAGTCTTTCTCCGGTGTCATTTCCAAAAGATCCAGTCTCCAGGTTCTAGGTCATAAAAGGTTTGTTTGTCCTCAGTTGGTGGATCATGAATGTTTTCTTTTAGTTGGTGAAAATATACTTTGGCATAACAACAATCATTGTTTCTTGATATATTCGGGTGTTCCAAAATATATGTAATAGTGTTATATCTGGAAAAAAGCCATGGTTTTTCTGTATTTTATTTTCATAGCCAATGTACTGCTTTACAGAAATACTTTAAAATACTGGAGTTTCCACTCCAGCCTGGGCAACATTGCAAGACTCCATCACAAAAAAAAAAAAAAAAAAAAAGCTGGAGTTTCTACCTATTAATATAAATTTTTCCAAGAAAAAGATAAGGGACAACATTAAAACTTCACAATTATACTGTAACCCTTGACTGTGTTTTCAGAAGTTGTTTGGGATGAATAAAATTGTTCAGGTTGTAATGAGTTTTAGAGAAGATGAGGAAAATGGATGAATTGGAAAATAAAGTATGTCTCTTAATTGAAAAGAGACTATGATTGTTTCTTTCCTATCTAAATCAAATTATTATGACAGTGGTTTCAGGCAATTAGAAAGAGGAATTATTCTCTGGAAATAATGACCTCATTATATAACAAAAAAATACAAGTAAAAAAAACTTCAGTTGTCCTTCCACTAAAATAAATGATTTAAAAAGTGAAAATATTCGTATTGTTTATCTGCAGAATTCATTTTTTTCCTCAAAATAATATACATATAGACATTAGAAGATAGGTGTCTGATTTTTTTTTTTTGAGATAGGGTTTCACCCTATTGCCCAGACTGGAGTGCAGTGGCATGATCTTGGCTCACTGCAGCCTTGACTTCCTGGGCTCAAGCAATTCTCCTACCTCAGTCTTCTGATTAGCTGGGACTATAGGCATGTGCCACCACACCCAGCTCATTTGTGTGGGTTTTTTTTTTTTTTTTTTTTTTTTTGTACAGACAGGGTTTTGCCATGTTGCCCAGGCTGATCTCAAGTGATCTGCCCGCCTTGGCCTCCCAAAGTATCAGCATTACAGGCATGAGCCACCACAACTGGCCAGGTATCTGATTCTTTACCAGAATTTTCATTTGGGCCACTATGATATATAAACTACCTAGGCAAAGGAAGTGAAACTATATAAATACATAAAATATTGCATAAATATTTAGGGTAAAATGTTTATGATTTTATGGGTTTATTTTCATAAAAGTTTCAGGAAATTAATTATTAAATTTATAACTTGAATATAATTTTAAATTTAGAAATATAATCTACATTTTCATATCATACATACTAATAAAAACACAATCCCAGAACATGAATGAAACAGTACATTGGACATTGAGTGTCTCAAATATTGATGCTTTTATAAAGATGCCATCATGTGCCATCTGGGAGAAGAAATACTTTCAACAATTTATTTTTTAACTTTTAGGGAAAATGATCTCCCTAAACTCCAGTAGTCACTAGACTTTTTAATAATGTGAAAAAGTACCAATTTATAGCCTCAAGAACAAATACTAATTGTCCAAATCCGGATGTTAGAAATAATTCCTAAAGCTTTCAATCATTTTGCTTTTCCCATTTACCAGTACATGGACCATGCAAACATTATTCAGGCATAGCTTTTCAACTCATAGAATTATCTTGATCATGACTTCCACATTTTGGAAATGAGGAAATTTGGTAAAATCATGTAATAATACTTATTTGCCTGTCTATTGATCCATATCTATCTAGTTAAAATATCTATTGATTGATCTGCCAATCTATTCATATGTCTCTTACCAGTCTACCTATGGCACATACACAGTGCATGCTGCTGTTCCTTCTACTGAACACATACTATCTTCTGCATATATACAGTGTTAGCTATCCTTTTCTATTTTTGTATAACGTTCTATAGATTGAATATTTAGAATAGAGGAATTTGGGGGTTAAATGCTCATAGAATCATATCAAGTCAATTCATCCTTAAATTGTGGGTATTGTTTGAAATATTTTCTTTGTTTTGAACCAGAACTTCAAATTCTAACCTTTGAGCCTCATTCTTCTAAAAAGCAGACCTAATCTTTCCTGAAATACTGATCTCGTTTCTAGCCCTAGTGTTTGTTTCTCCTTTCATCTTCAACCCAACCCTCTCCTACAGGCTTTCACACCAAGCTTTGGGGCTTTGTTTTAGGTACGTATCTCTAAACAAAAAATGTGTGTGTGTACAAATACACATATGTACCATCTCTTTATGGTTACTTTTCTTTCTGTGTTTTGGCTATTAATCTTATTCTCCACAAGTCTTAGTTGCAAACAATTCCTAAAGTTGTCACATGTGTTTATAACAATGAGTAGAAAAGGGGTAAAACAATAAATTTGAGATGATAAACCAATATGATTAAAAACAACCTTATAATTCTAATTCAGATTCCTTCTGTATGCTGCTTTCAAATGTAAATCTTCCAGAAATAGCCTTGCTCAAATCAGTTTCTCAAAACTTTTCATCAGCTCCACACTGTTTAAGGAATAAAGTACAAATAGTGTAAAATACCCTTTCATCCATCTTGCCAACTTTACCTACCACAATTTTTTTCATCAAAAACTTTAACAAAATATATCTGGTCATTATTTCCTAGTAGTCAGGCTATTGCAGAGGAGCCAGGATGCCTACGTTTAATTTTTACTTTGCCATCTCCTCACTGCATACTTTGTATACATTTGTTAAATTGACTCTATTTAACTAAAAAATTATGCCGCACTAAAAAACTAGTAATAATATTTATGCTGTAGGATTATTTTACAGAGAAAAAGTTGTAATACATGTAAAAACACAAAATTGTGCATGGCACATGGTAAGAATTCAATGTATATTAGCAAAAAATGGCAGGTATGCCTCATTGAGTTTACTTTTAAGTACCATTCATTTTTCCTATAAAATCATTACTTTTTTTCTCTTTGTTTAAGCCCTCCCTTCCTTCAAGACGTATTTCATCCTTTAGTGAAGGATGTAATATCTTTTATCCTTCAGCAATATCTCTTCTTCTGAACTTGTGTGTTTCTTCTCTGTGTCATTGATGCAGGGCTTAGGTAGGGTGACCACATTATTTTTATTGTTCAGGTTGGGACTGTGGATATGGAAAGTGAGTACTATTGATTATTAAACTGAGATAACAGGCATAGATTGGATGTGACCAGGGCAAAGGGACAGATGGTTACCCTATGAATAATGGAACCGTAAGTGATCAAACCTGTTATTATCAAATCAAAGCAAACTTTATCTTTGTATGCAAATTATTATGGCAAATATCCCATCAACTTAATTATCAGGAAATGAGAGTCATCAAAATGAACCTTAGCTGTTTCTGGCTATTCCCAGAGTACTGGTTCTCATCTGGTCCAGCACAAACCCTTATGTTTCTCCTGTTCAAGCTTCTTCATTTGATCCTCACGCTTCTGTCTTCTTGACTGCTGATCTTTAGTAGAGGGCCACTCCACCTGGTGCGGCTGCGTTAGCCAGCTCCACCGACTCTAACTCTCTCCTCTCCACCCTCACACTCACATCCTTTTCCAGGGTCTAGAGAGAAGAAACTGCTCTCACTTGTATCATTCCTTCCCAAAATGCAAACAGCAGGCCTTTCTTAATTATCCACAACAAAACTGAGACCATTATACTATTTGCTTAGGCTTTAATGAAGCATCATGGATAAAAGAAGTGTTTATATCAGAGAATTCCTAACAACCATTACCCCTAAATATGCCCACATCTGTAGTGACATGGGTTGGCTGTGTACCCATCCACCCATCCAAATCTCATCTTGAATTGTAGTTCCCATAATCCCCACATGTCATGAGAGGGACCAGGTGGAGACAATTGAATCATGGGGGAGATTTCCCCCATCCTGTTTTCGTGATAGTGAGTGAGTTCTCATGAGATCTGGTGGTTTTATAAGGGGATTTTCCCCCCCTTTTGCTCTGCACTTCTCCTTGCTGCCATGATGTGAAGAAGGACGTGTTTGCTTTCTCTTCTGCCAGGATTGTAAGTTTTCTTAGGCTTCCCCAGACGTGTGGAACTGTGAGTCAATTAAATATCTTTCCTTTATAAATTACCCAGCTTTGGGTATGTCTTTATTAACAGCATGAGAATGGACTAATATAATAGTTACTTATAAGCTTATTCTTTGCCTTGTTTTCAGCCTTTCTCCTCTGACCAGGGACAGCTCAAACCCTACCATTTGAACCACTCCATAATTCTCAGATTTTTTTTCATTCATCAAATAGTCCTTAGAAAGAGGCAAGTTTCCTCTATAATCCAGCTCTCCGCTCACACTCTCTGGTTTAACCCCTTTTAGGATCATTGACAATAGTAAAAATGCTCCTTTTTGGAGGTACTCTGCCCTATTCCCTAAAGATTGGTCTGGTTCTAATGTCCTGGATTAGATAATCATAAAAGCCTAACATCATTATAGTTTTGCAAATCTTGGTATTTAGCTTAATTCATCATCACCTTGTTACGAGTGTCTGGTACTTCATTATTTGTCTTTTCATAAATAAAGCCAGGCGTGGTGGCTCACACCTGTAATCCCAGCACTTTGGGAGGCCGAGGCTGAGATGGATCACTTGAAGTCAGAAGTCGAGACCAGTCTGGCCAACATAGTGAAACCCCATCTCTACTAAAAATACAAAAATTAGCCAGGCGTGATGGTGGGCACCTGCAATCCCAGCTACTCGGGAGGCTGAGACACGAGAATTGCTTGAACCTGGGAGGTGGAGGTTGCAGTGAGCCAAGATCACAGCACTGCACCCCGGCCTGGGTGATAGAGCGAGACTCAGTCTCAAAAAAAAAAAAAAAATATATATATATATATATATAATCTGTATCCTCTACTACATTGTCCTTCAGGACAGTTATTTCCTTTGGGGTACTTGCTAGGGCAAGTTTCCTGTTACACAGACTGTGCTTAATAAAATTTTCTGTGTTTGATGAGTGTGAGTTAGTACGGTAATATGTAACATTCTCGGCTTATGAAACATCTATTCCTCCCTCAAGTATTGTTTCATTTTTACACAGTAGTTCACACATAGAACAACTTGCCATGAATCTTCAAGAGAACTCAAGTTCTCTTGAGAGCCATGTAGCTTACTGATCTACTCCATACATTCTCCTTCTGGCCTATGCTACTTATATTGTAACAACTTCCCTCCTGGGACAAGTTGGTCTTATACTCTTTACCTCAAGCACAGGGCAGCACAGACCTTGGTGAAAGGAAGGTTTCACTGGAAAGCGAAATCCACAAGATTTTTGTGTCACAAAATCACCAAGACTGGTGCTGGGCTTACCATGGTGATTGGTGTTAGGAAATCCACCCCCCTCCCCACCTCCACCTGAATATTATCTTTCTCTGAACATACCTGTCAGCAAAACTTCAGTGGCGTGTTCTGGCAACTCCTCAATTGTTTAATACAAACTATTTCTCTCAAGTATAAATTTTCCTCTTTCAACTCTGATAGTGTTCACATAATAATATATCTTTGCCAACCAATGCTTTCTGTATGTGCCCCTTTGAATATCAAACATGACACAAAACCAGGAAGGTCTTGCTCTTTTATGAGTGCAATGTTTCTTTCTATCATTCATGTTGACCTGGTGTCAGCAGCTCTTTTACCAGACACCATCATCAGCACTTACAGTTAACCACAGAGATGTATTCTCAGATTTTGACCTCTGTTTTATACACTGAGGATAAAGGAGCAGAAACAGAAAATGATGAAAAGACAGAAAAGGTAACCCTAAATCAAATTTTTTATCATTTGTTATAATTTAATAGTTTTTAAAAAGTACATATTTATTTTAGTTAAATATATTGAAATCTTCCAAACAATAGCAGAACTATTTTTTTTTTTTATTTCACTGACTGCTATAGAATTTTAAGGCTTTCCGTTTTTTCTGGGCATGATAGTATTTTTGGTTTTTAAAGCAAGTAATTAAATCACAACTTAGTTTTTGGTGATAGGATGATATTATTTATTTTATTAAGAATATTATACTGAAAAGTATGGAATTTAATTTAAGGGAATTTTAAATTAATATTTGTTGGGGATCATTGGGAGGAAAAATAAATATTACCTCTTTTCCCCAAGAAGCAAGGCAGATGGAAGTCTGAATATTATCTGTATCCCACGTAAAGCTAGTATTTCAGAATGTGCCCTGTATTTGCAGACAAATGTATTTTTGAATACTGAATTTTGCAATTATGCAAATTTTCTCACCAAGTTATAGCTGTCCGGACTAAGGAAGCCGTCTCTCCCGCATACATACATGCCATAAACCAAGAGACAGGAATCCGGCTGGAGCTGAGCTGACTGTCCACTCGTTGTAGGCAGGGCCTTCCTAAGAAAATGGAAAGAGCAGGCTGGGCATGGTGGCTCACGCCTGTATTCCCAGCACTTTGGGAGGTCGAGGTGGGCGGACGACCTGAGGTCAGGAGTTTGAGACCCGTCTGGCCCACATGGTGAAACCCCGTCTCTACTAAAAATACAAAAAAATTAGCCAGGCATGGTGGCGCATGCCTGTAGTCCCAACTACTTGGGAGGCTGATGCATAAGAATCACTTGAACCCCGGAGGCGGAGGTTGCAGTGAGCTGAGATCGCGTCGCTGCACTCCAGCCTGGGTGACAGAGTGAGACTTTGTCTAAAAAAAAAAAAAAAAAAAAAAAGGAAAGAGCAGACAGGGCTTTGCATACCTAGTTTCCCCTTCCAGACTCACCTGTCATATAAGTCACTCAAGGAATTGACGAGTGAGGGGGTAGATAGAGGCCAAGAATGTTTTACTAATGGGATTCCCTCTGCATCAAAGAAAACACCAGGAGTGGGCAGTAAACATCTGTCACCATCAAAATTTCTTTTGTTCTCTTAATCCATTGGACTTAACTATTAAATCTTTCTTCAACCAAAGGTATGAACGTACACTGGGAAGGTGAACAGCAGCCTCTCAGGATGACCCTTCCCTCCTCCACTTGTTTGAGGCTGCTCTGAAAATACTAGTTATTGCTCCTTTGAGTACCTGCTGGGACCACTGGTAGGCCCTATGGATTTTACATATAGAGGCTTACAATAGGTCATAGTGATAGGCAATTAAATTAAGTCCTCCAAGGCCACCGTGTACCCAAGCATGAAGTTTACTTATATGCTACTTGATATCCCTAATATGTCCAGCTACATATCCAAAATGGCCTATCAGAAGTTCTTCAAAGACAGCAAATGACAAATCATAAAATACAACCCCTTTCCTACTACCAAATTCCTAGGGAGAAGTTTTAAACTCAATTTCTCTTTCAAGTTGTATCCACCAGGTCATAGTAGGAAGCAGATGGTACACTCAAACTGGGCAGTTGAATTTAACAAAGGGAATGTTTACACTGATGTGGACACAGTGTAGGGAAGCCAACAAGGATGGCCATCGCTCTTGAGTTATCAATAGACAGTGCCTGTTACCACCTTAGGCCTGAAGAAGCATGGGGAGGAAAAGATTTTTGGAATCTAAACAATGTAGTTATATGGAAAGTGATGCCTTAAATAGAGGGATGCCACCAACTCCTGGTAAACCAGCAGAGAAGGAACCAAGGGGAAAAAATACCCTGACCTACTTTCCTTCCTATCCTATTGGTGCTTTCCACTGGCTGAATCCAGCGGGAAGTCAGAGGAAGGGAGACTATGCAGCCTCTGGGGCACAGAGCAGGGTATAGAGTAGATCTGTAGGAGCAAGCAGAAAAAAATCTGGCTCATAAATTCAAATTTAAGAAGAAGAGTGAAGGAAATAAAGTCCAAAAATCAAATTCTCTTGCCCTTGTGTTGTAAGATGCTAAAGAAATCCATTCTTTTTAGCTTAATATTCTACTCAGTCTCAGCTAGAGGGGTTCTAAGTGCTTGGTAAGGTTGGAGTTCTTTTAAAAGCTGCAACCTGGGCTATCTGTTACTGAAATGGGTGTAGCTCCTTCAGGGCCTCAGAAGTTCTATTAGCTTAATGCCCAATGATTGGCGAACTACACTTTAAAGAGTCCAAATGATAAATAGGACACACCAGATGGTCACAGCCCTAGGCCCATACCCAGCACATTTTGAAATGAGCCAATCTTCAGTCCCAGAATGCAAGGCAAATAATGTTCCCAGAATCTAGGACCCGGGATCTAGTCTAATTAAATATTGCTGCCAAATACCACAGCATAGGCTCAATGGTATTTGGGTGAAGGAGCTCAGGCTGAGAAAATATTCTTGGTTTACCTATAATGCTAGCCACTTTATGCTAGTTATCCAGAATTTGTAAACTCAATGGGGAGGAATTAGCAAGAGATTAATTTTAGCATGTACATGGGGGAAACAATTTACCTTGTTGAGCTGTCTCCTTTCCCAGATTGTAGCATTTGAGACACTGCTGCTGTTTTTCAAAGTTTAGAAATTTTTAATGGTGGAAGCTCCAGAGAGCAAAACTTATTTGAGAACACCCTCTCCCATCCCATATTCAGAGCCTTTTATTTTTGTATGTCTCTTTTGTACTGTTCATCTACGTCTGACACTGATAACGCAAACCTAGAACTTTATGAGTACAGTGTAGTATATGTAAAACTCAGATTCAGCATTGCTAAATCCTTTCCACATAATACTAGCAAATGTTGTTCTGCCTCCTAATGTTTAATAGACCTAGGTATAAAAAGACTGTTTCTTACATTTGAATCTTTGCCTCAGCCACACCTGTTTAGGAAGCTGCACCTGAATGGTCGAAGCTGAAACAGCACTATCTTGTATCCTAAATCAGCCCAAGTCTGCTATAGATCAACCATTTGATGAAGCTCTCAACCCCACATTTCTTACGGTGATTATCCAGTTTAGTCTTAGTGTATATGGCACTGTCCTTGAAGAAAGAGCTTCCATAGGCTGTGGTTACCACCAAATGAAAAAATACCATGGAACCTAAAACTTAAAGCCTTTCAAGCCAGGGCAGAGGAACAAAACAAAACAAAAAACAACAAAATTGCACAATTGCAAACTTCTAGATAAGCTTGATATAAATTTCTATACATCACCAACTCAAAACTGAAGCCATATATCACAGCTACTTTGGAAAAATCCTCAGTCACTATTGGTGTTAAGTCTGTTGCCCAAATTCAATTCTTATTTTGGTTACAAAGACCTTGGCCTCATGTACTAGGTATTTCCTCCCTCAAAAACAAATGCTGACCTCTTTACCCACCTTTATAAGAGTAAATCTTATATATTTGCTTGGAGCAGTAAAAAGCATAATCTTTTGAAAGGAGTTCAGCTGCCAAAAGGAGAAGAGAACTAGCTAGGTAATAACACATGCCGTTTCTCCTGTGGCAGCCAGGAAAATGCACTGCTTGCATCTTCTGCAGCAGGGAACATAATTGACTGACTGCCCCAATTTCTGCCTCTCTCGATCCAACTCTGTAATTACTCAGAAGCTTTGCTACTTGTGGGCTACTCCCAGTCAGTGACTGAGCACTGCTTAGGGACTGTGCTAGTCCATTCGTGCAGACTCCTCTAATGGGCCCATTATGAGGTCCCACATTGGCCTTGTCAATCCTCTCTTGGAAATAAGAGGCTGCAACCTGAGACTCTTCTTACCCAGTTCTACCAAATAAGCACCAGACTTGCATCTCTCCTTCATTGTCTCCCTTCCCCTCATCCCTCGTAGGCATTTCCCCCCAAAGAACCTCTTGCATGTTTAATCCCATCTTAGATTTTCTTAGGGTTTAAACTAACACACCTTCCAGACTCATCGTATTGTTGGATAATCTCTCCTAGAACTTAAAAGCAGGTGAATTTTAAATTCTCTAAATTTAAATGTTAAATTTTAAATTCTTTAAATTTAAATGTTAAATTTTAAATTCCATTCTGGGACCTCATAAACATGGGTTCTTAGAGGCGAAAAAAAAAATTAAAAAAATTAAATGAGATAAATAATGAAATGTTACTCATATTTGCTTTTGAACTTATTTAGAAACATATTTTACTGAAGTTTATATGATTGAAAATTCTTTTTGTAAGACAAGTATTAATTGTTGGGTTATGATAAACAAATCGTCACTACTTTGTGTCATACTTAGCTTTTAGCTTTAAACAACAGAAAATTGGTCAATGTATTGACCACATATAGACTATGGTATAGTTAGACATATGCACTTGAATTCCCAACCAGAGTCCCTTATAGGGATTTCACTTTATACACTGATACTTACTCAATCCTAGGTTGGCATTATTGTCTATGGCCTCGCATATGAGTTGGTAATAGGAACAAGATTTTTTTCTGTTGTTTTAAATAGTGTACAGAGGGGATATTTCATTCAAAAATATGGATCATCTAGCCCACTCGTTTTGGTAGATACAATGTTTTATTACTCTAAATATTATATATGCATTATATACATTCTGTTGTATATAGGAAATATTTCATAAGTTTTGTTTTTTACAAAATTTACTAATTTATACACTACCAGGTAGCTATATAAATGTGGTCGTTTCACCATGTGCTCACAAAGATTGATGATTTTTACTCATTAACATTTTTACCTCTTTATTCAGGTTCAGTCACTATCTCTTGATGGGTAGTCAAATAGGCTTTTGAGTACCTCTGAATGATTTTCCATTTCTTGAAGTGTTCAGAAGTTCTTCATCTTAGACACTGGTCTCTAATGTCTTTGAAAATACATGTTTTCTTCAATTGTGAACACACATTTTTCAGATTCAACATCACTTTTATTTGCTTTTGAAGATATGTCTTTCTTTACTGGTCTCCAAGTGATTATCCCTAATGTCTTCCGCCCCCAGCGCCAGGTGAATTTTGTGTATGCTATCTTGTCTATTTACTAAATTAGACTTTCTAATTGTCCACTTGTCTGTTGAAAAAATTCTATCTAGCTATGGTGACAGAAACACACATAAACATAAACATATTTATTTATTTTTTGACACCGAGTCTCACTGTGTCGCCCAGGCTGGAGTTCAGTGGCGCAATCTTGGCTCACTGCAACCTCTGCCCTCCAGGTTCAAAGGATTTTCCTGCCTCAGCCTCCTGAGTAGCTGGAATTACGGGCGTGTGCCACCCCACCTGGGTAATTTTTGTATTTTTAGTAGAAGTGGGGTATCACCATATCAGCCAGGCTGGTCTCGAACTCCAGACCTCAACTAATCCGCCTGCCTCGGCCTCCCAAAGTACTGGGATTACAGGTGTAAGCCACTGTGCCCGGACAACATATTTATTTAAATTGGGAAAATATATGGCTGTTAGAGTGACCAAAATGGGTATCATACAAAGAAATTTGTTCTCATAGGTTTTGGGATGGAATGGGAGAGTCAAGTACCCAAATGAGAATGCACCCATGATGCAGATGCACATTTTCTGAAAGCTAGAAATGACTGCTACATAAAAAAGCTGGTTGCAGTGGCATATGCCTATGGTCCCAGCTACTCGGGAGGCTGAGTCAGGAGGATCACTTGAGCCGAGGAGCTCGAAGCTAGCCTGGGCAACATAGTGATAACTTATCTCTAAAATAAAAGAAAAGAAATGACTCCTATAACCAAAACCCTGGGAAAGTTAAGAGATCCAGGAGTGCCACAGGAAAGAGCTAGTGCCTTGTGCAGCCAGTGGCAAAGGGAAGCCAAGAAGCTGTTTGTCTCTCTCTTCATTTTGTCCCAACTGAAAGACCTTCCACAAATGGGAAAATTTGCATGGCATAAGCAACCTTAGTTCCTATATACCATTTACTGCCTTAATGCTTGTTATTTTTAATTTGAATGTTAATGACAACTTATTTTTAGAATCTTGTAAAAACTTGTAAATTGAATGTGTACTATGTGTTTTAATTATTGTTTTAATTTCTTGGGGAGGAATTCAAGGAAGCCTATTTAGACATGCAGCTACAATTCCTTATTATACATATATACCTATATGTACATACTATTGCTTATAATATTGATTTCCAAGATGATGTCGTTGAAAGGCCTTTAGATAGAAGACTTTGTTTTGGTCACAATATTACTATTAAATAGGAAGTAATTTCTCTTTGTAGGGCCTTTACCTTTTTTATGCTAAACAATAAACAAGTGTGTTAGGTAAAATAATTTCAGTCTCCATTCAGTAATATGAATTTATTAGTTTGTCTTAATTTAAGAAGATGGTGAAGAATAATAGAGAATCTGTAACTTAATTTTGCACAAAATGATTCTCATGTATATGTACTTTCTACTTGGTCACACACTGACATTTATGAGGAAATTGTATTAGGAGGTTTTGAATATTTCTTACCTATATAACTTGAAATAGATTGTGAAGAATCAATAAAATTATTGAAATAGTTTTCATTATAAAGGTGGAAAAATTTTCTGTATGATAACATAACACTTCAAATAAATTTAGGAATACTGCAAACGGATTAATGTAAAATTAAATTATTGAACTTCAGGCATATTATATAATTTCATTTTTATTCATGTGGAAGAATAGAAACATAAACTAGTGGAGATAGTAGAATATTTTAGAGAGAAATAGTCAATTTAAGTGCAAGTAACTAAGAATGATTGTTGATAGGTGTTAAAAAAAAAAGAACCTCCCCCCCATTTTGATAATTATTGTGAAAGGTAATATACTTATTTGAGAAAAAAGTATCTAAATATTTATCTTTTTTTCAGATTGAGAGTATATTATCTTAAATTGTGACTCAAATATTTTGTCATTCTTGATTACAGTTGAGATTTTACTTAATATTACATTACATAAACCATTAGCTGAGAATAATTGAAGCATATTGCAAACCACTAAACATAATAATCTTTTGTAAAGAGTGAAGACTGGAAATGAGTTTTCAATTTTTTATAACAAAATTCCATTAGTGGTGGTTTATATATTTTTAGCCAGAAAGTATTTTTGCCAAATAATATCATATGTAAAACTGCAACTTAGGAATAGATTGAAAAATTGATTAGAATGATGCTGGTGGACCCAGAGTCCAATTTTCTTGGCCACTTAGTTCTCTCCTTTTTTTCCACCCAACAAGGCTCAATACTCTAGAACTCTGGGCATTGGAAAAGCAGTTTGAAAATCAATACCTTATTGCATAAAGTATGTAACTGTAGTATATGCAGTAAATTATTCTATAAATGGAGACATTAGCCTATAATATAACCAATATTTGAGAGACATTTTTTTATTTATGCATATAAAATACAAGTGATTGTTTTCTTACTAATAGAAATTAAATCTTTGCATCCTAAAGAGAGTTTAGACTAGACTATGAAAAAAGGGTAGTCTAGTTTAAAATGGTGCTCCTGATTACTTAGAAATAATCAAATGAACTACGGAGCTTCTATGTAGGAAATCAATGTGCATTCTCAAGAAAATGAAATAAATTATTGCTCCCAAGTTTGCTCAAACTGCTGCATTAAAATCCTGGCTAGAATCAGATGGTTGTGAAAAACACAGCACTGTTGATTTATCAAAATACTAGAAAACATATTTTATTTTGGGATCTTTTTATTGAGTGTCTCACTTTGGAAAGATTTAAAATAACGAGTTTCAGATCTGGATGTTTCTCCGGATGTTAATGAACTGCTCAGATGTACTCAGGCGAGGTTAGCTGGAAATCTCTCCAACATGTTTGATGGCATTTATATAATGTGATTGTCTTCATAGAATGTTTACCACTGAGCATCTTCCCGAGAAGCAGTCAATAAACACTTGACTGATAGCTCACAGAGCTACTAAGCTAACAGATGTCTTTGTTGACAGTCTCAGTATAGCCAAAGCAGATTTACTCATCATTGTTTACAAGTTTTCCCATCTTCCCCAGTTTTCTGTCAGGCTTAGTCATAAACACTGTACCATCTTCTCTGAGCATGTAATCTCAGATTCACCGTACTTTTTCACTTCTCATGACTCTAGTAGTCAACAAATCAAGAAACGTTATCATTTCCCTAATTCCACAAAGCCATAACTGTATTTTTCAACCAAAACCTGCCCTTGAGTCAGAATTGGATTATTCCACAGGCAAACCAGGCAAAGGTCTGTTGGGCCTCAGATTAACTCGTATTTTTCCAGAAAGGGAGAGGCAGCATCACCAGCTAGCTGTAACAATATTCTTGTCCTTGATAATGACATCACACTGGATGACACCAATCCTTGAAAACCTTCAAGGTAGCTTGATGTTATGGAAATTACCCATGCCCCTGAGCAGATTTTATTAGACACTTTTATTTGTGAGCCAATGGTATAATCACATTGTGCTAGGAACAACTAGAGAGAAACCAAGCGTGCACAGTCTATCACGTTAAGAACCTAAATATGGCTTGAGTGGCATTATTGTATTGTGGTGAAGAACACAGACTCTAGAGCCAGATCGCCTGAGTTCAAATCCCTCTTCTGTTGCTTACTACCTGTGCAACCTTGAGCAAGTTAAATCTTTTATCTCTTGATTTCTATGTCTTAAATGAGGATTATGAAAATAACTATCTCATGCAATTGTGATAATTAAATAAGTTAATATAGGTTACTTATAGGTCCCAAGTGCCTGACACGTAGTAAGCCCTATGTATATTTGCTACTGTACTTGACAGGGCACTTCTTTGTCTCTTTATTTCTCATTTGCTCATGCCACATATATTTTGAATTCATCAAGCTGAACTCCAAAAGCGGTAATGAGGAAAACACCTCTCTAGTATTTGTTTGTACTAACTGATGTACGTATGTGTGTGTATATGTATGTGTGTATGTATGTATGTGTGTGTTGCATTTGAAAGAGAAGGAGCTGAGAATAAAGCCAGCAGTTTGATATTTATCTGCAGGTCTATGGACTGGGTTTGAATGGCCATGTTTAAAAGACTGACAGAATGATAACTGTAAGAGAGATCTGGGAAGTGCCAAGCAGGCTGTGATGGTCAGAAGCTGAAGAAACTCTCCAGTGAGACTTTGTGAATAGCAAACAGTTACTCTGGAGTGTTGCAGAATAGCTTCTGAAGGCTGACTCTATTGATTAACCATCACTTACTGCACTTCACTTTAGTCTACTTGCCTAGTTCAAATAAATCGATACCCCCTTTAGTATTGGGCACTTGAACAAACAAACAAAAACATCCTATTTAGTGGGCACAAGCCCATAATAGGAAAAGCTAAGACTGAATAGTTTTTCAGGTCTCATTCTTCCACTTTTGGCTTCAGAGCAGAAAACCCTCGGTGATAGAATATTCTATCCCTGGAGCTTGGGCAGCTCCAGTGTGGTTCCTCCTAGGCCATGAGTAGCCAGGATCGATATCTTTTCAGTCCTGGGACAGTTGGAGAAAGGTCCATTCTGATGAATGCGTAATACCAATTGTAGCAGCCCAGTTGGTGAATAGAGCTCAGACCTTTCGAAGCATTTCCCCTACTGCCTTTCCAAAGACTTCTCTCTGTCAGGATCTTGCAGGTTCCTGTCTCTTAAGGCTGTCACAATGAGCTAATGACCCATTGGCTTATTTCCCCCTAGAATCGAGAAAGAGAAGGGAGGCCTCAATTACTGTGACGAGCCAGAAGACAGTAGCTTCTTGTTATTTGTGGTAATTGTGTTCTTATGTTTGAATTTTAATCAATCCAGTACATGTACGTAAGGAAAAATCAGTTTAAAAACTTATAGCAAACACAGTAGCTTTCTACCCCGCTCTTCTCCACCCCAGATCCTGCCCTTTAGAGGAGAGCTGCACGCGCTTCTTTGCATCTGTATAATTTCCACTATTTCTAAAGAATCTGCTTCTGCTGCTAGCTTTTGTTTTATTAATTTTAGGTATCTATTGGCTTCTGTTATTGTAGTTAAGGATGGATCTTATTTACATGACTTCCCCTTCCTACTGCCTCTCAATGTAGTTTTATCACTATTTTTGGTTTTCACTATCAATCTTTAGAATATTTTGACCACTGAACTACATGTAGATTGTACCATGATTATGTTTCATATCTTTCATGATAATTTTGACAGCTCTTGTTTGTTGTTCTCTACTCTCCTGTTTTCTTCATTCTTATGGAATTATATTTTTTCATTTATTTTCAATCTTGAGTAACTTGTTTTTGCTCCTTGAAAACTTGTAAAATTTTCTCTTTACCTTCTGTGTTAGTGTTCTGTGGTTGCTGTAATAAATTATCATAAATAGGGTGGCTTAAACAACAAAAAAATTATTCTCTTACAGTTCTGGAGAATAGAAGGCTGAAATCTGTATCACCTGGCCGAAATCAAGGTGTTGGCAGAGGTGCACTCCCTCTAGAGGCTCTAGGGGGGATTCCACCCTTTGCCTCTGCCAGCTCCTGAATGTGCTACAGACATTTGCTTTAAATGTTTAGGGGATTATTAAAATAGACGAGCAATGAATAGCCTTCAGAATAAATCTTGTTTTCCAGGCTCTGATGGCTGCTGGCATTCCTTGAGACTGGACATCACTCCAATCTCTGTCTCTGTGGTCACTTGGCCTTTTCTTCTGTGTGTAGTATCTATCTGATGCTCTCTTATACACACATATGATGGCATTTAGGCCCTATCCAGATAATTCAGGATAAATCTCACATCAAGATTCTCAATTTAATCACACCTGCAGACTTTACTATTCAAAGTAACATTCACAGGTGCCAGGGATTAGGAATTGCCATCTTTGTGGGTCATTATTCAGCATACTACACCTTCAAATTCCATTATTGCCATGTATGCCCTACTGTATGTCTTGTAAAATCTTCCTGAACCTCAGTAAGAACCTTAAACGTACAGATTCAAAACATTTTTTAAAATCACAAATTTTTTTCATTATAATGTCTTTAATTTTTTCTTTGTTACTTTTTCCCTGAAATTTCATGATTTATTTATTAGATATTTTAGATCTATTTTTTCCTTTTTCCTTATGATTAACTTCTCCATAAATTTTTTTTTCTTTTGAGATATGTTTTCCTCTGGATCTTTAAAGACACTAATTGGGTTATCAATAGTGGCCATTCTTTCAATTAAACTATTTAATTTTTTAAAGAAAAATATCTAGTAATTTTTGACTCACAGAAATCTCACGGTATTTAAATCATAGGTTCTTTATTTTTGGATGCTGTCTGATCTAGTAGTTTTGATGTTCTATTTGTTCTTTCTCTTCTTCTTTTTATGCTTATTGTTACTTTTTTTTTTTTTTTTTTTCTCTGTCTTGGGTGCATTGTGCTTTTATTCTTTTTCTTTACCATTGGGGCTTAGGTTTAGCTGCTGGGATATCTTAAAGTAGCCTCTGCTGCTATGGTCTTATTTCTTCACATCTAGTAATTTTTGATAGTGTACTAGATATTGTAAAACATATTTATAAAAGTATGATTTTTTTTCTTTAAAAGTTTGGATTTTGAGCTGGCAGGCAGGAAATTTACTGGTGGATCATCATAATTCTTTGAAACCTGTTTTTAAGCTATATCAACTTTATTAAAGGTCTAGGGTAGATCTTCTTCTATAGCTAGAGTAGTTCTGCTTCTAAGCTATGGCCTTTGTAAGAAGTCTCAACTGAGCGCCTGGGGTTTTTAGCAAGATCTTTCCATGGTTGCTGGTCAGAATTTCTATTTCTTCAACCAATTTGAAACCACAAAGATATACATTTTATTTCACAAATACCTAGCAGTTGTTCTCTACCATCTTCCTGAGTCTCACCATGTGCATGCACAGCTTTAGAATTTAGCCAATGTAGTAAGAGGACCCCTATATAGATTTGTGAGGTCTTTGTCTTCATGGCTTCCTTGTCTGCAGTAGCCAGTTCCACATACTTCAGCCTTCTTAGCAACTTTAAACATTGATTTTTGCTTCCTCAGCTCAATGATACTGCTGTGCTCTGCTTAACTTGCCTCCCTGCATTATAGTCTGGAAAGATTTCCCCTGTAGAAATTCAGGCCAATTATGGGGCTTACTTTGTGTGTTTCCTCTTTCTCAGGGATCAGAGTTTTGTGCTGCCTTTTGACTAATGTCTGACAATATCGCTATGTGTGTTGTCCAATTTTACAGTCATTTACCATGGGAGGAATAGTCTGGTACCAGTTACTTTATTATGTTTATAATCAGACATTTTCCTGCTGCCAATTTAATATATTCACTTGAATATTTTAAAGGCATTTCAAATGCAACATGACCAAGAAAAAAAAATTAATGGTCCTCTTTTCCCAAATCTGGTTCAGTTATACAAGTTGGAAACTTAGAAATCATCTTTGATGTCTCCTTCTTTCTCATCTTCCACATCTGGTGAATCATCAAGATACCTAAGTATCTCTTGAATTTATACTTCTCTCCATCTCCACCACTCACCTGTTAGATGAAGCATCATGTTGAAATAGCTTCCCAACTGATTTATTTAATAGTTAACTCTTGACTCCTCTATCAGTTTATCTTCTCATTGCAGCCTGGCTGATCTTGTTTAAAAGTCAACTGGGTCATGTTTTTCTCTTCTCCACATCTTGGTTTGAATCCTTCAATGGCTTTCCATTGGTCATAGAATGTGGGCAAAACTCCTTAACATGGCCTTGTAATCTCTGCATGATCTGTTCTCTACCTACTAGACAGCTTTGTTAAAGATCTCATTTACCTTACTCTCTTCACTTCATTCCATGAGATTTTGCTCATGCTATTTTCTTAGGAATGGTTTTCTTTCATCTATTTAGTTAATTTTCTCTCACCTTTTAGGACTCAGTCTTATTATTTATCTCTTCTTTACAGAAAATTCCTGACTAGGTCAAATTCCTAAATTAATATGTTCAAATTCATATATATCAATTGAAATTTCACATTTGTGTGACTTCTTTAATGTCTTATCCTCTGCTACAGTAAATACTATAAAAGCAGTTTCATTAATATTTTTTGCCCATACTTAGCAGAATGTCTGAAATAGAAGTGATAAAGTAATATTGCTTGAATAAGAAAATTTGCTCAAAATCAAGAAGATGGTAACTGTAGGTACATCACTGCCCATACCTGTTATCATATGAGAATTGCAGGCATAGTTTCCATTAGAAACATAAAGTTCATATTTATATCAGTGTCAGAAATGTCACAATACCAATTTCTATATTGGATGGCAGCTCTCTTTTAAGTAAATTCTGCTTATTATCAAATCATAAATAAATATTTAGAAGTTTCTTGCTGTTTTCAGAATTTAAATACTAAAATCCCAAAAGCAGGTATAAAAAGTATTTTTAACATCATACAAGTGTTAAATTTACACATAAAATGAACAACATCTAAAGTTACATTTAGTAGCAGTATACCATGATTCTATCATATTTATGTTAACTTATGCTGGTTTGCTTGTATGCCAGACACTATTTGAAGTGCTTTGAAAGTATTAACTCATTTAACTATTAAAGCAACATTATGAAGAAGGTATTATAATTATTATTTCCACTCTATAGATGAAGAAACAGAGGTACAGATACATTAAATAATTTTCTAATGTTCAACAACAGAATCAAGATAAAAACCCAGAATTGTTGGCTTTAGAGAGTTTAATAATTTTTAGATTCTTTTTGCGTGGCTTCTGGATTCTAGCCAGTTTCTTGAAAGTCACAGTAACTGTACAATGAAAGTTTGGCCCATTTATACGACAGAGTTTTATTATACCTAGTCTTTGAAAATCCATATGTCCTACATCTCAGTAAAGGAGGTGAGACAAGTGAATATGTATGTGGAGATAGAGATAGGTACATTGTTAACATTCTATGTGGTATATTTTTCTTACCTCATGCTTCCCTTGAAGAAAAATAGTGTTAACTCTGAAATATTTGTGGGGGTTGTAAAATGGGCAGAATTTAAGGATTTCAATGTGATCTATTAGATTGAATGAGAGCAGCCAGAAAATTAGTTAAATGTACTCAATTTGGTAAATGATCTGTCATAGGACTCAATTTAAAAAATCCTTTTAAGCAGAATTTAGGTTTTGTGGATTTGGCAAGGTATCAAATCTTATGAAATATTTGGAGGTCTTAATTCAGCAGTGGACTCAAAATAGATTCTCCTTAATGAGAGTTAAAAGATAAACGGCAAAAATCGAAATACAGCTTGCTGTAATGTTTCATGAAATTGCCAGATTGCCAGATGATACTTAATTGGAAGCTCAGAAAATAATGATGAGCAACCTAATCAGAAAAAATGTTTTTGGTCTAAATTCCTGAAGAAGGAGATTGCACACACAGTAGACCATAAACTGGAGACATCTAAAAATGAGTTTGTGAAAAACTAAACACTAGTCCCTCTAAACAAAAACAGGCATACAAACAAAAAATAGAAACCAGCTGTTTACATTAACGTATCACTACATTTTTTGAGAAGGAAAGAATTTACTCAGACTGAAAAATGAAAAGTAGCTCTGAATGCTTCTGTGCAATAGTGTGTCTCTGTACTTAGCAGCGACTGCTAAAAGTCTTTCATCGAAGTATATAATACATTTGCTCCATTTAAGAATTACAGCTTGGCATGCAATGTGTCCAATTTTGTCATTACTTGAGGGAGAAGAAAAAGTGTGATCAGTATACTAGAAATCTTGTTCTGGAAATTCAGAGTTGCATTGCTTTTCTTGTAATTAGCATCTTAACCTCTGGGTATATTTTATTAGAGAGACAAGAAAAATTCCAGGGATCCTGTAGAGTTGTACCATGTAATACAAGCGGCAATTTAAATTCAAATTTAAATAATTAAAGTTAAATAAAAGTAGAAATTTAATTCCTCAGTTGCATTGGCCACATTTTAATTGCTCAGTAGCTTCTTGTAGCTAGTTGCTACAGTATTGAACAGAACAAATATATAGAATATTGGACAGCACAGATACTAAACATTCCCCCATCATCTTAGAAAGTTACATTGCACAGTGCTACTTCTGAGTACTTATATTTGGTCATCTCAGTTCTGTTTTCTTATTTTTATTTTTATTTATTTTTTAGAGATAGGGTCTTGCAATATTGTCCAGGCTGGTCTTAAACACCTGGTCTCAAGTGATCCTTCCACTTCAGCCTCCCAAATTTCTGGTATTACATGTGTGAACCATCATGCCTGACCTCAGTTCTGTTTTCAGTTTCCATGGTTTTATTCTATCTGTCTGAAGCTCATATTAATTTTCCATGTGGATATATTGTAGTGAAAATGTCTTTCCATTATTCATTTCTTAAAACTCAATCTCCTAATCTGTGGCTATTAAGACTTAATTTACAGGGTTTTTAATGAGCATTAAAGTGAAATAATATAAGAAAACTGACACATAGTAAATTTGCAATGAATACTAATTTGCATTCTTTATAATGTAATCTTTTTTTCAATGATAATAGATCATACTCCTTGGGGAATCTGGTGAAGGTTATGAGGACTAAGAGCTGATTTTTTTTTGTTTTACCCAAATTCCTATCTAAGGGGTCTGGGGAGTCATGCCCTACAAAACATAAATTCTTATCAGATGGGTTATATTTAACTCTATATATCATGACTTACTTTCCAACCTGACTTTGGCATAATATAATGAGACAAGAAAGAAAATTAAAAATTTTTATCCCAAAACATATTTCTTTGCGGTATCTCGAAATGGCCCTGCAAAGCTGTCCTTTGTGGGGGAAAATTTGCATCTGTAAAGAATCTGTTAACATAGCTAGATCTTTTTCTTCCAGGCCCTCCCAATCCTAAAGAGATTAACTAAAAGTCTAGCACCTCTTAAAGATCTGAATAGGAAACACCTGTCATCTATTGTCTCTAAGGGCAGCCATTGTAAGACTTCAAAAGAACCTTGATCGCCACAATCTTTCATCTTAACCTCAACATTTCCTTTCTACTGATCCCAGGTCTTTAGACTAACTCAGCTAATTATCAACTAGAAAATGTTTAAATTTACCTATAGCCTGGAAGCCTCCCCCTACCCCCAACCCCGTTTTCAGTTGACCCACCTTTCTGGACCAAAACAATGTATTTCTTAAATGTATTTTGATTGATGTCTCATGCCTCTCTAAAATGTGTGAAATCAAGCTGTGCCCGACCACCTTGGGCTTATGTTCTCAGGACCTCGTGAGGGCTGTGTCATGGGCCATGGTCACTCATATTTGGCTCAGAATAAATCTTTTCAAATATTTTACACAGTTTGACTCTTTTTGTTAACAGTTATAGGAGAAATAGATATACTCTGAGTTTAGAGAAAGCCTGTTTCGACTTCTGCATGACTTTCATCTAATATTCTTATCTTCTTATTTTTTATGCTCCTTCTATGTTATCCTGTCATAGTACTTCTTAGGGAGTGTACTGTTCCTGGTCTCTATGCCATTTTCAGGCATGGCTTCTGTATTTATCCATTTACCATCAAAATTGGGCAAGGGAATAACAAGTGACATTAAGTGGCTCACTTATGTGTCAAATATGTTTCTCCCTGCCTCTGTTGTATATTGGTAGCTTTATCTCCTCCTGATGATCAAATTCAATTACCTCTACCAACCAGGTGATTTTTCTTTTCTGCTGCTCCCTTGTTATGTGAAGTCCAAAGTGCTAGACTGACAGCCATAGATTAAGGTTCACGGGGACTCTTGCTGTTTCCCCTAGTAGAAGCATTCTTTCTTTGGTAGTCAGGACTTCTCAACCTGCAGAGCCCAGCACTGTGAGGCAGGAAACAAAAATTCCCCATGTGGTGTTTCACAGGGAGTGATATAAGTGAGATGATCTTTTCTTCCATCTCTTGGTTTTCAGACCCATGCATTTATGTCTTGAGGACACAGCCATTATCTATGTATATGTGTGTATGTGTATATGTGTGTGTATGTGCATTTGCATTCTGGAGGACAGTGGCCCATTCTTATAGGGTATTGTCTCTGAGCTGGTGCCTTAGCCATACCTTCTTGAGTAGGCTTTTCTTTGCTTTAGCAGGCTGGCAGATTCTGGGTAATTCTGTATGTGAGAGGACCATGGAATCTCAAGCTCATGTGTCTACTGCTGTGCTTCCATTGGTCTGATGTGACTTTGTGTGGGATTCCATGTTGACAGAGCAAATACTCTTTAAACATTTGGATAATAATATAGTCTAAGGCTCTATAGAAAGGAATGGCAGCTGGGCACAGTGGCTTATGCCTGTAATCCCAGCACTTTGGGAGGCCAAGGCAGGCGGATCACCTGAAGCCAGGAGTTTAAGACCAGTCTGACCAACATGCCAAAACCCTGTCTCTACTAAAAATGCCAAAATTAGCCAGGCATGGTGGCATGTGCCTGTAATCTCAGCTACTCAGGAGGCTGAGGTAAGAGAATTGCTTGAACCCAGGAGGTGGAGGTTGCAGTGAGCCAAGATTGTGCCACTACACTCCAGCCTGGGCAACAGAGTGAGACTCTGTCTCAAAAAAAAAAAAAAAAAAAAAAAGAAAAGAAAAGAAAAAGAAATTGCAACTTATATCTTAATATGTTTATAGCAGGCAAAATAAATCATTACTCTTCCAGGGTAGAAGGTGTCAACTTGCCACCAAGTATCTCCTTGATGTCCTTGAAATCCTCCTTCTTTTACCCTTAGTCTTTATGCTATTTAATCATCTTCAGCTACTTTAAAATCATATTTTCTAAAGCATGGTCTCCAGCAGCAGCCATCTGATTCCATTGTCATTATAATTTTACTATTTTCCCAACATTTCTCAAACTGTAGATGAATTCTGTCATGCACGTCCTTGTGAAGAGACCACCAAACAGGCTTTGTGTGAGCAACAAGGCTGTTTATTTCATCTGGGTGCAGGTGGGTTGAGTCTGAAAAGAGAGTCAGCAAAGGGAGATGGGGTGGGGCCGTTTTATAGGATTTGGGTTAGGTAGCGGAAAATTACAGTCAAAGAGGGTTGTTCTCTGGCGGGCAGGGGCGGGGGGTCACAAGGTGCTCAGTGGGGGAGCTTTTGAGCCAGGATAAGCTAGGAGAAGGAATTTCACAAGGTAATGTTATCAGTTAAGGCAGGAACCTGCCATTTTCACTTCCTTTTGTGATTCTTTGGTTACTTCAGGCCATCTGGATGTATACGTGCCGGCTTGGGCTCAGAGGCCTGACATTCCTGTCTTCTTATATTAATAAGAAAAATAAAATAAAATAGTGTTGAAGTGTTAGGGCAGTGAAAATTTTGGGGGGTGGTATAGAGAGATAATGGGTGATGTTTCTCAAGGCTGCTTTGAGTGGGATTGGGGTGGCGTGGGAACCTAGAGTGGGAGAGATTAAGCTGAAGGAAGATTTTGTGGTAGGGGGTGATATTGTGGGGATGTTAGAAAAAACATTTGTCGTATAGAATGATTGGTGATGGCCTGGATATGGTTTTGTAAGAATTGAGAAACTAAACGGAAGACACAGGTCCAAATAAGAGACGTAGAAAAACAGGTATTAAAGGACTAAGAATTGGGAGGACCCAGGACATCCAATTAGAGAGTGCCCAAGGGGGTTCAGCATAATTACTTGGTTGGCGAGTTTTTTGGGCTCTATCCTTGAGTTTTTTTATGTTGTCATATACCAGGCCAGATTGATTTAGTTTTGTAAAAACACTCTTCATTTTAAAATATACAGAGTTCTCTTTTTTCAGCAGTAAGTCAAGGCCTCGGCAATTTTGGAGGAAAGAGAAATGCAAAGCCAGCAATTGTTTGTTAAAGAAGGATTAGAAACGGCTAGGAGGGAGTGAGTGAAATTGATAGTGTGGTGGAGATAGCTGGGGAGAGGTAGAAGGTGGCATAAGAACAGGAATGAGAGTAAGAGTGAATGTAAAAGTAAAGAATAGGACCTCATCAGGGTGAAAGTATTGGAGTGTACCTTGCCACTGAAGATCTTCTATCCACTTTGAGAGACTTAAGGGTGGCAGTTTGAGGTAAAACCAGGAGATATCAGTTATGATGGTTTGGAGGAAAAGTGTAAACCAGCAGTGTAAACAAGGGCAGGGCATTTATGAGTAGTTGAGAATAGTGAATAGGAGTATGACTAGACAGAAGATAGTAGGGATGAAGGCCAGTCCGTTATTAGACTGTATAGAGGTGGGAAGGCCAAACTGAGGAATTATGTTTGACAGAAGGGAAGAAATGACCATGGTGGCCTTCTCAGACCCTGTGGGAAAGACCTCTACCCATCCAGTGAAAGTGTCTACCCAGACCAAGAGGTATTTTAGTTTTCTGACTCAGGGCATGTGAGTAAAGTCAATTTGCCAGTCCTTGGCAGGGGCAAATCCCCAAGCTTGATGTGTAGCGAAGGGAGGGGGCCTGAGAAATTCCTGAGGAATAGTAGAATAGCAGATGGAACACTGAGAAGTGATTTTCTTGAGGATAGATTTCCACAATGGAAAGGAAATGAGAGGTTCTAAGAGGCGGGCTAGAGGCTTGTAACGTACAAGGAAGAGGTTATGAAATGACAGAATAGAATGGGCCTGTGAGGCTGGAAGGAGATATTTTCCTTGGTCCAAGAGCCATTTGCCTTGTGTGGGAAGAGATTGATAGGTGGAAGTTTCATCTGAGAGAGTAGGTGGGAGTGACTGATGAGAAGGAGAAAAACTGGCCGTGAGGGACAGAGGTTGGGATGCTAGCTGCTTCTTTTAGCTGCCTTATCAGCATAAGCGCTGCCCTGAGTGATGAGATCTGATGCCTTTTAATGGCCCTTGCAGTGAATGACTGCAGCTTCCTTTGGAAGTAAAGTGGCCTTGAGAAGAGTTTTTATTAAAGAGGCATAGTGAGGAAACCTTTTTTCTGCCCAAATAACAGCATGGTGGTACAGGATATGAAAGGCATATTTAGAGTCAGTATAAATATTGATGTGTAGTCTCTTTTGCAAGAGTAAGGGCCTGAGTTAAGGCAATGAGTTCGGCTTGCTGAGAGGTAGTGGAGTGGGGCAGAGCAGTAGCCTCAAGGATAGATGTTGAAGATACTATAGCATAGCCTGCCTTTGCTGGTGAATGGCAGTTAGGCCTGGTGGAAATGCCATCAATAAACCAAGTGTGATCAGGGTAAGGAACAGGAAAGAAGGATATATGGGGAAATTGAGTGAATGCCAGGTGGATTAGAGAGATACAGTCATGGGGGTCAGGTGTGGTATCAGGAATAATGTGGGGGCCAGCCTAAAACAGTAAGGTCAAGTTGTTTGGACAGAAAGACTATAGGGTGTGGTACTGGCTCTTGTGTAAGAATTTTGACTGCACAGCCCTGTACTTTGGCTGTGTGTAATGAAAAGTGTTGGGATGAGTTAGGGAGAGCTAGTGTGGGAACAGCTTCTAGGGCTGTTTTTAACGAATGGAAAGAGGAGTGGTGAAAGGATTTAGGATCTATGGGGTCAGTTAGGTTTGCTTTTGTGAGTTTATTTAATGGTTTAGTCAGGATGGTAAAACTAGGTATCCAAAGGTGGAAGTACCTAACCATGACTAGGAAGGAAAGGAGTTGTTGTTTTGTAGAAGGGGTTGGGGTTTGGGAGATTAGCTGGACATGATCAGCAGGGAGAGCACATGTGTTTTCATGAAGATTTATGCTGAGATAGGTAATGGATGAGGAAGAAATTTGGGCTTGACTGAAGTAATGGGGGCTGTCAGTGAAGCCTTGCGGCAGTACAGCATAGGTAAGTTGCTGAGGCTGATGGGTGTCAGGATCAGTCTAAGTGAAAGCGAAGAGAGGCTGTGATGAAGGGTGCAAAGGAATAGTAAAGAAAGCATGTTTGAGATCCAGAACAGAATAATGGGTTGTGGAGGGGTTGTGGAGGGAGGTATTGAGGATAGGAGAGTATATGGGTTCGGCACCATGGGGTGGATAAGCAAAATAATTTGGTTGATAAGGCACAGATCCTGAACTAACTTGTAAGACTTCTTCGGTTTTTGGACAGGTAAAATGGGGGACTTGTAAGGAGAGTTTATGGGATTTAAAAGGCTATGCTGTAACAGGCAAGTGATAACAGGCTTTAATCCTTTTAAAGCGTGCTGTGGGATGGGATATTGGCGTTGAGTGGGGTAAGGGTGATTAGGTTTTAGTGGGATAGTAATGGGCATGTGATCGGTTGCCAGGGAGGGAGTAGAGATGTCCCATACCTGTGGATTAAGGCGGGTAGATACAAGGGGAGGATGCAAAGGAGACTTTGAACTGGGGGAATGGGTGACAATGAGGTGTGGCTATAGCCCAGGAATAGTCAGGGAAGCAGATAATTTAGTTAAAATGTCTCAGCCTAATAAGGGAACTGGGCACGTGGGGATAACTAAAAAGAAGTGAATAAAAGTATTGTCCAAGTTGGCACCACAGTTGGGGAGTTTTAAGAGGTTTAGAACCCTGGCCATCAATACCCACAACAGTTATGGAGGCAAGGGAAACACACCCTTGAAAAGAAGGTTATGTGGAGTGGGTAGCCTCTGTATAGATTAAGAAGACAATGGACTTACTTTCCACTGTAAGAGTTACCCAAGGCATCTGTGATGGTCCAGGAGGCTTCCGAGGCAATTGGGCAGCGTCAATCTTCAGCTGCTAAGCTGAGAAGATTTGGGAAGGAGTCAGTCAGAGAGCCTTGGGCCAGAGTTCCAGGGACTCTGGGAGTGGCTGCCAGGTGAGTTGGACAGTCCCATTTCCAGTGGGGTCCCACACAGATGGGACATGGCTTAGGAGGAATCCTGGGCTGCAGGCATTCCTTGGCCCAGTGGCCAGATTTCTGGCACTTGAAGCAAGATCCTGGGGGAGGAGGTCCTGAAGGAAGGCCTGACCACTGTGGCTTAGGCGTTTTGAAGTTCTTATGTGCTGGAGATGTGGCTGGGGTTTCTCTCACAGCAGAGGCAAGTAATTGCAACTCTTCTCTGTTATTGTACACCTTGAAGGCAAGGTTAATTAAGTCCTGTTGTGGGGTTTGAGGGCCAGAATCTAATTTTTGAGCTTTATTTAATGTTGGGAGCAGATTGGGTAATAAAATGCATAATGAGAATAAGCCTTCTGACCCTTCAAGGTCTAGGGCTGTAAAGCGTTTCAGGGTTGCCACCAAATGAGCCATGAACTGGGCTGGGTTTTCATATTTGATGAAAAAGAGCCTAAACCCTAACTGATTTGGGAGAGGTCGGATAAAGAAAAAGGAGCATTAACCTTGGCTATGCCTTCAGCTCCAGCCACCTCTTTAAGAGGAGATTGTTGGGCAGGTTGGGGAGGGCTAGTTGCTGAAGGAAACTGTAAGCCAAATTGGGTATGAGAAGGGGAGGTGATAAAAGGATAATACGGTGGGGGAGTGGAGGCTGAGGAAGAATTCGGACCTGGCTGGACCTGATGAGGAGCAGCCTGGGGAGGAGAGGAGAGGTCAGATGGGTTTGTAGAAAAGAAGGATTCAAAGGACTCAGAGCTTGGGGTGGAAACTGAAGGAACAGACAGGAGAGAAAGAAGAAAGATTTGGGATGAGTTGCATGGGGAGCAGAGACTAGGGAGGGACCAATGTGTAAAAGAATGACTGGACATCAGGCACTTCAGACCCATGTGCCCATTTTTTGACAAAAATCATCCAGGTCTTGTAAAATGGAGAAATCAAAAGTGCCATTTTCTGGCTATTTAGAACCATTTCTTTCTAAATGGTTTGTATTGGGGCCAAGTGGTGTTGCAGAAGAAAATAAGACACTTAGGTTTTAGGTCAAGCAAGAGTTGAAGAGGTTTTAAGTTTTTGAGAACAAAGGCTAAGGGAGAAGAAGGGGGAATGGAGGGTAGAAGGTTGCCCATAGTGAAGGAGGCAAGCCCAGAGAAAAGAGAGGGTAGAAACACAGAGAAGGGGGGTGGTGAGTAGCCAAAGCAGGCGTCCCCGCAATTGACTTGCCACCAAGGGAATGTGGGTGAATGACCAAGGCAGGCATCCCCACAGTGATCAGACACCAATGGAGTGTGGCTGAATAATCAGGCAGGCATCCATGCAGTGATTAAACACTAAGGGAAGACTGTCTTCCCAAGTCCGTGACCAGTGCCGGAGTTTTGGGTCCACGGATAAAATGTGTCTCCTTTGTCTCTACTAGGGAGGAAAAAGAACTGAATTGGAAGGACAGGGAGATTGAAGGGTAGCGAGAGAAGGAGATTGAAGGGTAGCAAGAGAGGCTGGAGAAGAGAGTGAAAAGACTGCTTACCTGATTTGAAATTGGTGAGATGTTCCTTGGGCTGTTTGGTCTGAGGACCTGAGGTCGTAGGCGGATCTCCTCATGGAGTGAGGGTGAGGACAGGGGCTGGTCTCCCAAAGGAGTCCTCCTGTTCCGGGTCTTTGGCACCAAATATCACGCACGTCCGTGTGAAGAGATCACCAAACAGGCTTTGTGTGAGCAACAAGGCTGTTTATTTCATCTGGGTGCAGGTGGGCTGAGTCAGAAAAGAGAGTCAGTGAAGGGAGATAGGGGTGGGGCCATTTTATAGGATTTGGGTAGGTAGTAGAAAATTACAGTCAAAGAGGGTTGTTCTCTGGCGGGCAGGGGCGGGGGTCACAAGGTGCTCAGTGGGAGAGCTTTCGAACCAGGATAAGCCATGAAAAGGAATTTCACAAGGTAGTGTTATCAGTTAAGGCAGGAACCATCCATTTTCACTTCTTTTGTGTTTCTTCAGTTACTTCAGGCCATCTGGATGTATAGGTGCAGGCTTGGGCTCAGAGGCCTGACAAATTCCATATGCTTGTGTAATTCCTTCCATTTGTATGTTATCCCAATTTACCACCAGTCAGAGGTTAATATTTATGCTGCTATGCTGTTACTTTGTGTTGGGCACTGTACATATTCCCAACATTCTTAGAAAATCGTTCCTCATTGCCAGCCAACCTGCAGCTGATTAAGTTCCAGAATTTAGTGATTGTTGTAGCTTGGATACCCTGGGAGGCCAATTCTGAGACTGAGATTAACATGAAGGAAGTTTACCTAGGGAGCTGATACGGTTTGGATCTATGTCCCTACCCAAATCTCATGTTGAATTATAATCCTCAATGTTGGAGGTGGGGCCTTGTGGGAGGTGATTGAATCATAAGGGTAGATCCTTCATGAATAGTTTAGCACCATCCTTTCGTTGCTGTTCTCTTGATAGATTCTCATGAGATCTGGTTGTTTTAAAGTGTATAGCACCTTCCCCCACTTTCTCTTCCTCCTGCTCTGGCCATGTGAAGACATGCCTGCTTCCTTTTGCTTTACATCATGATTGTAAGTTTCCTGAGGCCCCTTCAGCTCTGCTTCTTGTACAGCCTTGGAACTGAGAGGTGAAGCTGGCTGGGTTTCTGGGTCGGGTGGGGACTTGGAGAACTTTTCTGTCTAGCTGAAGGATTGTAAATGCACCAACCAGCGCTCTTTTTTCTAGCTAAAGATTTGTAAATGCACCAATCAGCACTCTGTCAAAATGGACCAACCAACACTCTGTAAAATGGACTAATCAGCTCTCTGTAAAATGGACCAATCAGCTGGATGTGGGTGGGCCAAATAAGGGAATAAAAGTAGGCCATCCAAGCCAGCAGCAGCAACCTGCTCGGGTCCCCTTCCACAGTGTGGAGGCTCTATTCTTTTGCTCTTCACAATAAATCTTGCTGCTGCTCACCCTTTGGGTCTGCACTGTGTTTATGAGCTGTAACACTCACCGCAAAGGTCTGCAGCTTCACTCCTGAAGCCAGTGAGACTGCAAACCCACCAGGAAGAATGAACAACTCTGGACAGGCCACCTTTAAGAGCTGTAACGCTCACTGTGAAGGTCTGCAGCTTCACTCCTGAAGTCAGCAAGACCACGAACCCACCAGAAGGAAGAAACTCCAGACATATCTGAACATCTGAAGGAACAAGTTCTGGACACACCATCTTTAAGAACTGTAACACTCACTGCAAGCGTCCGCGGCTTCATTCTTGAAGTCAGCGAGACCAAGAACCCACCAATTCCAGACACAGAACCATGAGCCCATTAAACCTCTTTTATTTATAAATTACCCAGTCTCAGGTATTTCTTTATAGTAGTGTAAGAACAGACTAATAAAAGAGTATGCTCAGAATTAAACCTGTGGCTAGGCTTGTCATATTAGCAAATAATAATACAGGACTGCCAGTTAAATTTAAATTTTTGGTAAACAATGAGTAATTTTTAATATAAAATACACCATTTGGGACCCAATTATCTGAAATTCAAATTTAACTGAGTGTCCTGTATTTTATGTGACTACTATATCTGTGGAGGAAGGGAAGGAAGTTGACAGTGTCTTTAGCCTCAGCTGGCCCTTTAAGGAACTCTGAAGTTAGGCTGCATCTTCAATTTTGTTACTAACTGGGGCAAGGAGGCTGAATTCTATATCCTAGAATTGACCAGTCATTGGGTGCAGACTGTAGCCAAGAGAGAATCATTACCTTGGGGAAGGCAGCTCTTTTCAGCTGAGATTAATTTGCTGAGAAAGCTGGCAGCTGAGGGCTGTCGGTCAACAGCACTCCCAGAAGCCAGGGGAATACAGTCCTGAAGGGAGTACCTGGCGGGGTACATCAGAGTGTCTATTTTAATCATCATCATTATCATCAACATCCTCATTATTTATCTCTTCTCATGTAAATGCTCTTAATGTTATGTGAAAAACCACTTTGGTAACAGTTCCCAACCAGGGTCTTTCTCACTGCTAAAGGTTGTGGATGAAGGTCATCTCCCCGAATAAGGCCTTGATGCTAGTTTCTAAGACCCTTGCTCTCCCTCCCTAAACTCTATGGCATACCATCCTCAGATCAGTGTCCTGCCATTGCTCTGGAGACCACGCAGGAACTCTTGCTCAGAACCAGCCTTCTTTGCAGCCTTGGATACTTTTTCCTATATGTTCTTTCTTCTGATACTAATGGGGGTCAAGACTTTGGATTAAGGCTGAACAATCCCTCTATGTTCTTGATTTTATTTTGGCTTCTCTCTTCTGGGACCTTAATCCATTTACTTTTCCCTCTTTCCTGCACTTTCAAGTTCTCTTCGGCTTACTAGAATTCAAGTCACCTATACTAAAAGGCACATACTCTTGACCTATATCTTTTTTTAGCTTCAATTTAGTCAATCCTCTTGCATCTTTAGTCCTTTAAAAGTAATCTGTGCTTGCTATTTATTCTCTTTCATTTTCTCTACCTGCTGCCATTTGGCTTACAGCAATCCTCATGTACTAAAGGGGTAAAAGGCTACTAGTTTCCTCTTAATTGCCTAAGCCAGTGACCATTCTTTCAGCCTTTATTTTCCTGGAATTTCTTATTGTATTTGAAGTCATAGTTTAACCCCTCCTTTTGAGAGTCTTTACTACCTTGATTCTACAATTCTACAATCTCCTGGCTCCCTTCATTTCTCAGGACTTACTCCTCTCACTTCATCTTATGCTTTTGTGCCTTAAATGTTAGTGTTGTTTTATCTCAGCTCTCTTATGATTCTATATATTCTTCCTGAATAATACTATTTCCTATATAGTTTCAACTAATATTTATATGCTGCTTACTCTTGATTTTATCTCTCCACCCAAGATCTTTCCCAAAATATACAGACTTGAAACTCAAGTTTGTATATTCAACTCTTCATAAGTTATTTCTGTTTGGGTGTTCCAAAGATGCCTTGAGGGCAATATGGACAAAACTGAAATGGCCACAATACTAGATCTTCTTCTGTATATAAATTTTTAACACTCAGACACCCAAACTTGAATTCTTAGAGCTATCTCTGGCTCCTTTTTTCTCTTCATTTTTTATATTCAATAAGTCATCTAGAGTTCATGTCCTTTGCAGGGACATGGATGAAGCTGGAAACCATCATTCTCAGCAAACTATGATAAGGACACACAACCAAACACCGCATGTTCTCACTCATAGGTGAGAATTGAACAATGAGATCACTTGGACACAGGGCAGGGAACTTCACACAGCGGGGCCTGTCGGGGGTAGGGGGCTGGGGGAGGGATAGCATTAGGAGAAATATCTAATGTAAATGACGAGTTGATGGGTGCAGCAAACCAACATGGCACATGTATACCTTATATCAAACCTGCACGTTGTGCACATGTACCCTAGAACTTAAAGTATAATAATTTTAAATATATATATATATATATGAATTAGTCATCTAGTCCTCATAATTTTACCTTCTAAATAATTGTGGAACTTCTCTCTTTCACCAGTCTAATCTTTCTCACATTTTTCTTCCATAGAACTGCTACAGTGATCTGAAATAAAAATATAACAATGGCAGTCTTTTGACTAAAATCCCTTATTGGCTCCCCATCAAGTATAATTTAAAGTCAAAGATGAAACTTTCACTCTGGAACTAGACTTACCATCCTTCCACAAACAACTAGAAAACTGGACTACATATGAAGCAGCAATTTTCAGATATTGATCAAGCAGTTGGCACAGTTCTGAAAGAAGGAAAACAAATAAGATAAGCCTACAGTCAGATAAGTCCCAGCTTTCTGCTTTCAGGCACTTTCTGGACTACAGTGCAGGGTTGGTTATCTCCATCAGAGCACAGTGGTATCATTGAATTAAGCAGACAGAGTCTAGTGTACAGGAAGACTGATGCATCTGGAATTTGTGAACAGAATAACAAAGAGGTTAAAGTTGCATGCAGAAAGAATGTCAAAAAATCTGTATAGGAATCCCGTAGAGTTTGTTGCTAAATACTAAGCTGTGCCTATGTAAAAGAAACTCCCTGAGGCCAGGCAAAAAAACTGCTGGAAAGCTGTAAGTTGAAAAGTTTCTAGAATTCGTACAGGGCCGGGAGACATTTGAGTTTTGGTCAGCTAGAATCAAGAGTCTTTTTGAACACCTGGCCTTTAGGGGAGATGTCAAAGGGGTTATACCTTAGTCATGTGCCTAAATTGTCTTTTTCAACTGAGGTTTTATGAAACATAATATGAATAAGTATTTTCTTAATTCTTTCAAGCTTGGTATAATACCATTCTAAATACATTAGAGAGAAATTAATTCATTATCTACAGCATTGCCTTAGACATTAGGGTTTAATTATCTTGTGGAACACCCATTGAGAGGGAGTATTTTAATACCCTCTCTTCAAAGCTTAAAAACAAGCTTCAAAAGGATCAACTAAATATACTGCCTATCAGACCAAAATCTAGACCCCAGCAATGTAAAATACACACTATCCATCACCTAATCAAAAATTACTAGACCCTAATATTCAGAATTTACAAAGAACTTAAATATATTTACAATAAAAAAAAACCCATCAAAAAGTGGGCAGAGGATATGAACAGACACTTCTCAAAGGAAGACATTTATATGGCCAAAAAACATATGAAAAAAAGCCCAACATCACTGATCATCAGAGAAATGCAAATCAAAACCATGCCAGTTAGAATGGTGATTATTAAAAAGTCAGGAAACAATAGATGCTGGCAAGGCTGTGGATAAATAGTAATGCTTTTAAACTGTTGGTGGGAATGTAAATTAGTTCAACCATCGTAGAAGATAGTATAGTGATTCGTCAAGGATCTAGAACCAGAAATACCATTTGACCCAGCAATCCCATTATTGGGTATATACCCAAAGGAATATAAATCATTCTACTATAAAGACACATGCATACGTATGTTTATTGCAGCACTATTTACAATAGCAAAGACATGGATCCAACCCAAATGCCCATCAATGATAGACTGAATAAACAAAATGTGGCACAAATATACCATGGAATACTGTGCAGCCACAAAAAGGAATGAGATCATGTCCTTTGCAGGGACATGGATGAAATTCAACAAAATTATGTTTTAGGGTAAAGATTTTGTTGTCCATAAGCCATTCTCTTGGAAGGAATTTATGAAGGAAGCCATCTAGAGAGATATGTGGCTTCCTATCTTTGTAGTTATCTGTTTAGAAACAAAAAGGAAGGTAGATTTTGTGTGACTCTGTTCCCAAGCTGAACTTCCCTTTGATATAGTGAGTTTGGTGTCCCAAAATTTTATTTTCCTTTCACAGTCTCAGTGAACTTTTGGGACAATATCAAGTAGTCTATCAAATGTGTATTTTCAGTCCCAGAGAAGGGAAAAGCAGAATAAAAATTATTTAAAGTCCAAGACAATTTACATCTCTCACTATGCATTTAATGATCTAGCTTTTGCCTGTCTTTCAAGTTTCAAATCTAAACCATTTCCTGACATTCCGTTTTCTCTTCAGTTCACTACATGACTCAGTTTATCGCACATACCATGCTATTTCTTATCTCTATATCTCTGTTCATTCTACAGTCTGTGCCTAGAATGCTTCTAACTCTCATCCTATGCAACCTAATTCCTACTTTTAAGTTCCAACCCATGTGTCATCTCCAAGGAACCTTTCTTTATACTTTCCATTCATTTTCCACCCAACAAGAGATAGTTGTACTCTTTGGTGCTTCCAGAAATACTTTTGCATATCTCTAGTGCTGCATTAAGCCATTATATTGCTGAGATCTGTTTTTCAGTCTTTTTTGTTTAATGCTAGAAGGACTATGTGTAATACATGTTTGTATCTCCAGCACTTAGTAGAAGGATTGGCATAAGATTATTTAAAGAATAAATAAGTAATGACTTCATTGATCTGGCTCTGGGTCTAAGGTTGATACACATACCATTAACAATAATAAAATACCATTAACAATAATAAAAATCAAATTTCCCTTAAATCTCATTCATTATGGCTTATATATTTGAAAATAAAAATATATTATAAATAATGAGTCTACATTTAAAATCTGAATATTATATTTTGGTAACTTATTTGTCATATGTATGTATATGGTAGAAATACATGTATTTTTCACTGCACAAAGCTTCAGTAAATAAGTCCAGGAATCCAGATGAGGAATTATGGAATCTATAATTCAAACACTTTCAAATTTTAATATGTCCAAAGAACCTTTGGGAGACTAATTAAAATGTAGTTTACCTTGCCTGATATCCAGAAATTCTGATTCAGTAAATCTAGACAACAGCTTAGAAATTTGCATTAAATAGTAACTACTCAGGAGATTCTGTTGTAAACGATATATAATGTCTGGTAGATACAAATATTTATGATCTATTGATAAAAAATTGATTCTTTAAGTTGTAGTTAGAGAAATGTCATTTAACAGTATATCCTACATTTTCACTTTACTAGATAAGAAAAAATTGAGGTTTAAAAGACCAACATTTACAAAAACTCTCTTCTGAAATAACATACGTTAACTACATTAATTTTAAAGTTCTGAATACATTTCACACTTCAGCAGTTAATGGAGACTGGTATGAACGTTTTCATAGACACAGGAAGAAAAAGCAAGCAGAATAATTCTCTTTATTATATTTTAAAATTTGTTTTCTAAAGAAGAAAACATTGTCTTTAAAATTTTTGTTTGATTTGGAGCACTAGATTCCTGGAGGAACAAATTGTCATTGAAGGCTCATGAATAAAAGGCTGAAGGGAGACTGCTGTAATCTATGTGCTCAGCAGTCGCTACAGTTAAGAGCAAGATTTCCCACCTGATTGCTCCATTCTAAATATTGTATTAACTCAGTTACTTAAGGGTATTTTAGAAAACAAGTTAATGGGCAATCTTGTCATATTATATTATATGCAGCAATCATGCTGCGTTGAATGGCCATATAAAAGAGAAACTTTAGAAAAATTGAGCCAAATTAGAGAATAAGAGAGTTAAAGAGTTGTTTTTACACACAAAGTTACAAGCCATGAAATGTCTTATAGAATATTACATTTGGCCTATGTAATTTTGGCAAACAATTTACTGATGGAATCTCAAAAGTGTATTATTTTGGATAAAAATTTGAATTTAATTCATTCTTTTTGATTATACTAAGTTTCTCACATCATAGTTTACATTGCATATTCACGAGTTCTCTGAGAAAGCCACTTATCTACTTTTCCACCAATCCATCTATTTATAAATTTAATATTTAAATGTATTCATGTTAGAAATGCAAAATGCTTGTTTCTTGGTGCTGCAAAGAAATAGCACTCGAACATAAATTTAATTCTCTCAGCAAGGCAATTTTTACTTCTATAGAAGGGTGCGACTTGTGAATGGAGTAATGGCAAGAGCATACCTGGACAGGGGAGGGGAAAGAGTTCTTATTCCTGATGCAGGTAGCCCCTACTGCTGTGTTGTTCCCCTATTGGCTACGGTTGGATGGCACAGTCTAAGCTAATTCTGATTGGCTATTTTAAAGAGGTCAGGGGTATGAGCCAGAGTGGTGGGGTGAGTAGTTTGGTGGGAAGGACGTTTAGGAACAGGTAACTAGAGGTGACTTAGGTCAGAGCAGGTGACCAGGAGTGACTTAGGTCAAAGCAGCTGATCAGGATGAGTCAGGATGGAGCAGGTGACCAGGGAACAGATGTGAACTACTAATTAGGACTGGTGGGAAAGTTGTTTACTGAAATTAGAAGCAAGGGAGCGAACAGAACCAGGAAGTTAAACTTTAAAATGGAGAATAAAAGAATAACAGAGCTGAACATATGAAGAGTAACTTGGGGTTCATTATATTTAACATTCACAAAACTTGGAAATGAAATTCTCCAAGAAGATGGTATTTCAATTCTAAAGGGTCCTAAAACCCATATCTCAATATAGACCAGGTGTGGTAGAATCTTGAGTCATTTTCAGTCAGGTCGATTCTACTCTCTATTCCTCAAAAGGCCAGATAATTCCTTTCTTGGATCAGACTACTGAGGGTCTCATTGGATATCTGATTCATGGGTCAGCAGATATGGAATATGTAATTGCCACCATAAAAATTATAGAAAAGAGGAAAACAAATGTCAATTTGAACATAAAAATGAATATTAATGGCCCATTGAAACCAATATAATATTGAACCACATGATTCCATCACCCCCATTTTCCATGCAAATCTCTATGTCAATCTTTTTTGATTCATGTAGGTTTTCATATTCCTTTTCTTTTTTTAATACTTTATTCATTATGGGAATTGATTTAAATTTATTTTTATTAAAATATGCTTAATAAAAATTTAAATCACTTATAAGTAAACTCTTTTTTAAACTTTTAATTTTTAGTTTTAGATTCAAGGAGTACATATTTATGATTGTTACATGGGTACATTGCCTACTAGTGGGGACTGGCCTTCTAGTGTACCCATTACTCAAATAGTGGGCATTGTAACCCGCAGGTAAGTTTTCAATCCTCACCCTTACTCCCACCCTCCTTCCTTTTGGAGTCCCCGGTGTCTATTATTTCCACGTTTATGTCCATGACTTACAAGTAAACTCTTAAAATATGTTCACCCTGAAGGAAAGTAGAGTATCTCACCCCAAAATATACTTTTTTGGCATATTTTGAGATGGATATTCAGAGGGGCTACAGACAAAGGAATAGTTCTGAAGAGTTGTCCTTTTGTGGAGGAGATTTACATCTGTAGAGGAAATCTACATTAGCGAAGTAAACAGTAGATGCGAACAGGATTTCTCTGAGACCTTATCTACATTATCTTGATCTAGGAAAGATTAACTTAGGAAAAAGAGACACTTTTGAAGTTCTAACAGAGAAACTTTCACTATAGGCTATTATCTAATCTGAGAGCTGCTACCTGAGAGATTTCATTTGCATAACAAGATACTTTTTGCTTGATATGCAATTCCTCCCCTCTCCCTCCCATAACTGATCTCCATGTTCCAAGCCTCTATTCCTTTCCATATGGTATTAAAACTTCAGTACTCTCAAAGAAATGTGAGATTTCTTTGAGTCTCATACTTTTGTGTGTGGTCCCCATGCCTATGCATACAATGAGTTTTGTTTTTCTCCTGATAATCTATTGTGCCAACCTAAAATAATCAAAAGAGTCAGAATCTAATTTAAAGAGAGTTTATTCAAGTGCAGAATTTAAGGATAGCCTTCTTGGAAATACCAACTTCTAAGGGATGGAATTAGAATTCAGAAGTAGGAAAGTTTAGGTTTCATTTAGATAGGCAGAGGGAGATGAGTTTTAGCAGGATTACAACATTTTACATACAAGGCTAGAGCATAATTACAGCAATGTGATTGGTTACAGATGGTTTTTCTTTTGGGGAAGGGTATATTTAACACTTTTTACGGAAGGCATAATAGTCATGGGTTTTCTGTCATCTGGTCTAAGCAAAGCAGGACAACAAATGAGAAATTAATCTGTAACAAGGGTCACTAAAAGGCAGAGGTTTGTGTCCCTGATATCATTTAATTCTGTCTAGTCACTGTGAAGAAAAAGATAAATAAGAAAGTGAGTTAATTTATAATCTGAGAAATAGAAGTTGTAACCATATGTGACTCAGATCACAGTCACATCTTTCTTAAGGCTTAAAGTGTTTTGGGGGTTCCAACAGCTTTTAAATTGTGTTTATTTTCAAAATTGTCAAATAATTTCAGCAGACTTAGACTCAAATTTTCAGAGGCAAAGTTTCAACTTCCCTAAAACCCTTAGTTTTGCCTTTCCCATGCACTGGTTAATTGTGGTTTATGCCTAACTACCTCCTGTATCAATCTTGAGTTTTAGAGAATGTTTCCAGAAGGGATTAAGGCACCTTTGAATTCTATTTAGTACTGGTCCAACAGATCGTTAATTACCCTTTCCTTATTTTTCTTTGTAGGACCAATAATCATCCTTTTCTTTTGATGCCTGGTTTATATATTTGAGCTCAGCTCTAGTAAAATCTACCTGCCACTCTTACTCTTTTATGCATAAATCTTTGTTTTGAGCTGTGTAGCAGCTTGCTTAAACATGGTGGCTTTGGAATCAGACTGCCTTGGTTTAAATCCCTATCCTATCACTTGCTAGGTATGAACAATTTAGATATCCTTTCTAAGTATTGGTTTAAAAATCTATAAAATGAGGATTCTTTGAGGTTTAATTGAGATAGTAGAGGCAAAATACCTGGCACATAATAAATATTCAATACATGTAATTCATAGTTGATATCATTGCTATTATTATGGTAGGTAACTAGTCATAAATAAGCAGGGCAAGAGAGGCTCCCCATCCCACCAGAAATGTCAGGCAACCATCAGGTGATGGTCAGGTAGTTGTTAAACTGCCTCTCTAAAATAATAATTGGTCACAGCCAGTGCCAGGGAAAGGCAGTCTCCCAATAAACAGAAAAACCTGAAACTGATGATCAGCAGTGCCAGGCCTCTGAGCCCAAGCCTCCACGTATACATCCAGATGGCCTGAAGAAAGTGAAGAATCACAAAAGACATGAAAATGGCTGGTTCCTGCCTTAACTGATGACATTACCTTGTGAAATTCCTTCTCTCCTTGTCTCTACCCTCTCTTTTCTCTCCACTTTCCTGGGGGGCAAGCACCCCCCACCACTTCTCTCCATGTCTCTACCCTTTCTTTTCTCTGGGCTTGCCTCCTTCACTATGGGCAAACTTCCACCCTCCATTCCTCCCTCTTCTCCCTTAGCCTGTGTTCTCAAAACTTAAAACCTCTTCAACTCACACCTGACCTAAACCTAAATGCCTTATTTTCTTCTGAAATGCCTCTTGACCCCAATACAAACCCAACAATAGTTCCAAATAGCCAGAAAATGGCACTTTTGATTTTTCCATCCTACAAGATCTAGATAATTCTTGTTGTAAAATGGGCAAATGGTCTGAGGTGTCTGACGTCCAGGCATTCTTTTACACATCGGTCCCTCCCTAGTCTCTGTTCCCAATGCGTTTCGTCCCAAATCCTCCTTCTTTCCCTCCTGCCTGTGCCCTCAGTCCCAACCCCAAGCATTGCTGAGTCTTTTCAATCTTCCTTTTCTACCGATCCATCTGACCTCTCCCCTCATCCCCAGACTGCTCCTCAGGTCACTCCCCACCAGGCTGAATCAGACTCCAATTCTTCCTCAGATTCTGCTCCTCCACCCTGTAATCCTTCTATCACCTCCTCTCCCCACACCCAGTCTGGCTTACAGTTTTGTTCCACAACTAGCCCTCCCCCACCTGCCCAACAATTTCCTCTTAAAGAGGTGGCTAGAGCTGAAGGCATAGCCAAGGTTAATGCTCCATTTTCTTTATTTGACCTCTCCCAAATCAGTTAGTGTTTAGGCTCTTTTTCATCAAATATGAAAAACCCAGCCTGGTTCATGGCCCGTTTGGCAGCAATCCTGAGATGCTTTACAGCCCTAGACCCAGAAGGGCCAGAAGTCCATCTTATTCTCAATATGCATTTTGTTACCCAGTCAGCTCCTGACATAAAAAAAAAAAAGCTCCAAAAATTAGATTCCAGCCCTCAAACCCCACCACAGGACTTAATTAACCTTGCCTTCAAGGTGTACAATAATAGAGACAGCCAAGTAGCAATGTATTTCTGAGTTGCAATTCCTTGCTTCCACTGTGAGAGAAACTCCAGCCACATCTCCAGCACACAAGAACTTCAAAACGCCTAAGCCACAGTGGTCAGGGCTTCCTTCAGGACCTCCTCCCCCTGGATCTTAATTCAAGTGCCAGAAATCTGGCCACTGGGCCAAGGAATGCCCCCAGCCCAGGATTCCTCCTAAGCCATGTCCCATCTGTGTGGGATCCCACTGGAAATCGGACTGTCCAACTCGCCTAGCAGCCTCTGGAACTCTGGCCCAAGGCTCTCTGACTGACTCCTTCCCAGATCTTCTCAGCTTAGCGGCTGAAGACTGATGCTGCCCAATTGCCTAGAAAGCCTCCTGGAACATCACAGACACTTTAGGTAACTCTTACAGTGGAGGGTAAGTCCATCCCCTGTTTAATCAATACGGAGGCTACCCACTCCACATTACCTTCTTTTCAAAGGCATGTTTCCCTTGCCCCCATAACTGTTGTAGGTATTGACAGTCAAGCTTCAAAACCCCTTAAAACTCCCCCACTCTTGTGCCAACTTGGACAATATTCTTTTATGCACTCTTTTTTAGTTATTCCCACCTGCCCAGTTCCCTTATTAGGCCGAGATATTTTAACCAAATTATCTGCTTCCATGAGTATTCCTGGACTACAGCCACATCTCATTGCCACCCTTCTTCCCAACCCAAAGCCTCCTTCACATCTTCCTCTCATATCCCCCCAGCTTAACCCACAAGTATAGGACACCTCTACTCCCTCCCTGGTAACCGATCACACATCCATTACTATCCCATTAAAACCTAATCACCCTTACCACACTCAACACCAATATCCCATCCCGCAGCACGCTTTAAAAGGATTAAAGCCTGTTATCACTCGCCTGTTACAGCATGGCCTTTTAAAGCCTATTAACTCTCCTTACAATTCCCCCATTTTACCTGTCCAAAAACTGGACAAGCCTTACAGGTTAGTTCAGGATCTGTGCCTTATCAACCAAATTGTCTTGCCTATCCACCCCGTGGTGCCAAACCCATATACTCTCCTATCCTCAATACCTCCCTCCACAACCCCTCCAAAACCCATTATTCTGCTCTGGGTCTCAAACATGCTTTCTTTACTGTTCCTTTGCACCCTTCATCCCAGCATCTCTCCGCTTTCACTTGGACTGACCCTGACACCCATCAGCCTCAGCAACTTACCTGGGCTGTACTGCTGCAAGGCTTCACCGACAGCCCCCATTACTTCAGTCAAGCCCAAATTTCTTCCTCATCCATTACCTATTTTGGCATAATTCTTCATAAAAACACACGTGCTCTCCCTGCCGATCATGTCCAACTGATCTCTCAACCCCCAACCCCTTCTACAAAATAACAACTCCTTTCCTTCCTGGGCATGCTTGGATACTTTCGCCTTTGGATATCTGGTTTTGCCATCCTAACAAAACCATTAAATAAACTCACAAAAGGAAACCTAGCTGACCCCATAGATCCTAAATCCTTTCCCCACTCCTCTTTCTATTCCTTGAAGACAGCTTTAGAGACCGCTCCCACACTAGCTCTCCCTGATTCATCCTTACCTTTTTTTTTCATTACACACACCTGAAGTGCAGGGTTGTGTGGTCAAAATTCTTACACAAGGACCGGGACCATGCCCTGTGGCCTTTTTATCCAAACAACTTGACCTTACTGTTTTAGCCTAGCCCTCATGTCTGCATGTGGTGGCTGCCACCACTCTAATACTTTTAGAGGCCCTAAAAATCACAAACTATGCTCAACTCACTCTCTACAGCTCTCATAACTTCCAAAATCTATTTTCTTCCTCATACCTGACGCATATACTTTCTGCTCCCTGGTTCCTTCAGTTATACTCACTCTTTGTTGAGTCTCCTACAATTGCCATTGTTCCTGGCCCAGACTTCAATCTGGCCTCCCACATTATTCCTGCTACCACACCTGACCCCCATGGCTGTATCTCTCTGATACACCTGGCATTTACTCCATTTCTCCATATTTCCTCCTTTCCTGTTCCTCACCCTGATCACACCTGGTTTACTGACGGCAGTTCCACCAGGCCTAATTGCCACACACTAGCAAAGGCAGGCTATGCTATAGTATCTTCCACATCTACCATTGAGGCTACCACTCTGCCCCCCTCCACTACCTCTCAGCAAGCCAAACTCATTGCCTTAACTGGAGCCCTCACTCTTGCAAAAGAATTACGCATCAATATTTATACTGACTCTAAATATTCCTTCCATATCCTGCACCACCATGCTGTTGTATGGGCAAAAAGAGGTTTCCTCACTACGCAAGGGTCCTCCGTCGTTAATGCCTCTTTAATAAAAACTTTTCTCAAGGCCACTTTACTTCCAAAGGAAGCTGGAGTCATTCACGGCGAGGGCCATCAAAAGGCATCAGATCCCATCACTCAGGGCAGTGCTTATGCTGATAAGGTAGCTAAAGAAGCAGCTTAGTGTTCCAACTTCTGTCCCTCATGGCCAGTTTTTCTCTTTCTCCTCTGGTCACTCCCACCTACTCCCCCACTGAAACTTCCACCTGTCAATCTCTTCCCACACAAGGCAAATGGTTCTTGGATGACGGAAAATATCTCCTTCTAGCCTCACAGGCCCATTCTATTTTGTCGTCATTTCATAACCTCTTCCTTGTAGGTTACAAGCCGCTAGCCCGCCTCTTAGAACCTCTCATTTCCTTTCCATCGTGGAAATCTATCCTCAAAAAAATCACTTCTCAGTGTTCCATCTGCTATTCTACTACTACTCAGGAATTTCTCAGGCCCCCTCCCTTCCCTACACATCAAGCTCAGGGATTTGCCCCTGCCCAGGACTGGCAAATTGACTTTACTCACATGCCCCAAGTCAGGAAACTAAAAAACCTCTTGGACTGGGTAGGCACTTTCACTGGATGGGTAGAGGCTTTTCCCACAGGGTCTGAAAAGGCCACCACCGTCATTTCTTCCCTTCTGTCAGACATAATTCCTCAATTTGCCCTTCCCACCTCTATACAGTCCAATAACAGACCGGCCTTTACTAGTCAAATCACCCAAGCAGTGTCTCAGGCTCTTGGTATTCAGTGGAACCTTCATACCCCTTACTGTCCTCAGTCTTCAGGAAAGGTAGAATGGACTAATGGTCTTTTAAAAACAACCTCACCGGCCGGGCACGGTGGCTCACGCCTGTAATCCCAGCACTTTGGGAGGCCGAGGCGGGCGGATCACGAGGTCAGGAGATCGAGACCATCCCGGCTAAAACGGTGAAACCCCATCTCTACTAAAAATACAAAAAATTAGCCGGGCGTAGTGGTGGGCGCCTATAGTCCCAGCTACTTGGGAGGCTGAGGCAGGAGAATGGCGTGAACCCGGGAGGCGGAGCTTGCAGTGAGCCGAGATCCCGCCACTGCACTCCAGCCTGGGCGACAGAGTGAGACTCCATCTCAAAAAAAAAAAAAAAAACAACCTCACCAAGCTCAGCCTCCAACTTAAAAAGGAGGACTCTGTCAAGGATAGAGCCCAAAAACTCACCAACCAAGCTGAAACCCCTTGGGCACTCTCTAATTGGATGTCCTGTGCCCTCCCAATTCTTAGTCCTTTAAATACCTGTTTTTCTCCTTCTCTTATTCGGACCTTGTGTCTTCCGTTTATTTTCTCAATTCATCCAAAACCATATCCAGGCCATCACCAATCACTCTATATAACAAATGTTTTTTCTAACAACCCCACAATATCACCCCTTACCACAAAATCTTCCTTCAGCTTAATCTCTCCCACTCTAGGTTCCCACGCCACCCCTAATCCCACTCGAAGCAGCCCTTAGAAACATCACCCATTTTCTCTCTATATCACCCGCAAAAATTTTCACCACCCCAACACTTCAACACTATTTTGTTTTACTTTTCTTATTAATATAAGAAGACACGAATGTCAGGCCTCTGAGCCCAAGCCTGCACGTATACATCCAGATGGCCTGAAGCAAGTGAAGAATCACAAAAGAAGTGAAAATGGCCAGTTCCTGCCTTAAGTGATGACATTACCTTGTGAAATTCTTTCTCCTGGCTCAGAAGCTCCCCAACTGAGCACCTTGTGACCCTAGCCCCTGCCCACCAGAGAACAACCCCCTTTGATTATAATTTTCCACTACCTACTCAAATCCTATAAAACGGCCCCACCCCTATCTCCCTTCACTGACTGTCTTTTCAGACTCAGCCCACCTGCATCCAGGTGAAATAAACAGCCTTGTTGCTCACACAAAGCCTGTTTGGTGGTCTCTTCACACAGACAGGCATGACAAGCAGTTTCCCCATAAGATCTCAGGAGCTGGGCAAGTGTGCTCCTGCATGTACACTGAGAGGCAAAAAGGTGGAGTTTAACTGGCATATGACCATCTAGGAACATTTGGACTGTTTAAGGGAAGAGCGCCTCTAGTAAGCATGCATACAACTCCATTAAACACACTGTGCATGCTGCCCCTTCCAAATGCCGATAAGTCTTTGCACATGTAGGCAGCCCACCCCAAAGGAAGAATCAGGGGACAAGGGACACAAGACCCTGGAAGCCTGCTAACATATAAAACCCTAAGTCAAAGGTCAAACAGTACACTCGATCTCTCGAGTAGTCTTCTTGGCCCTCTTCCAAATGTACTTTCCTTCCTGTCATTCTTGCTCCCAAAGTGCTGGGATTACAGGTGTGAGCCACTGCGCCCGGCTCTCTAAAGCTTTTTTTTTTTTTTTCAGACAGAGTTTTGCTTTTGTTGCCCAGGCTGGAGTGCAATGGCGCAATCGTGGCTCACTACAAACTCTGCCTCCCAGGTTCAAGCGACTCTTGCACCTTATTCTCCCAAGTAGCTGGGATTACAGGCACGCAGCACCATGCCTGGCTAATTTTGTATCTTTAGTAGAGACAGGGTTTCACCATGTTGGTCATGCTGGCCTCGAACACCCAGCCTCAGGTGATCCGCCTGCCTCAGCCTCCCAAAGTGCTGGGATTACAGGCGTGAGCCACTGTGCCCGACCTAAAGATTTTTAATAAACTTTCACTCTTGCTCTAAAAGTTGCCTTGGTCTCACCTTCTGCCTTATGCCCCTCAGTTGAATTCTTTCTTCTGAGGAGGGAAGAATTGAGGTTGCTGCAGGCCCATACAGATTTGTGGCCACTTCGGTGCTGTATGACTTGGATATATTCTCTCCTGCTAACATTAGCTCCTGTGCTTTCCAACGTTTCTGGGATTTCTGCTTTTTACTTTTTGTTGGATCTCTGCAACTCTGCCATACTGAGAGTGATTTAGAAGAAGTAACAAAACTGTTTGGATCACCATGTACTACCACTCTCTTAATATCATGTTTCAACTGACTATATAAGTCTCCTCCCACTGCCAGTTTCTAGGAATTTTAAGAATGGCTGGCTCCTGAAGACTGGAAACATGCCTACAGAGACTGCCTGGTCCATTTCTCAGTTATAGTACAAGTTGTATAAAAAATACTGGGTTCTATAATCCTTCAATCACTTACATAACAGAATTTACCTTTACATATAGTAATTGTCAATACATGCATTTCAGAGCAGAAAGGTTGTTTAGAACACACTACTCTAAGGTATTATTAGCTGCTAGGTGGCTATGTGAGAAGAGTAGATTTTACTTGAAGTGAAGTTGTAGATATGGAGTATAAGCCAAAAATATGCTTATTTCTTCAAGGCTTTGGTCAGAAATAGAGTATTCATAAGACACAGGTGAAAGTAAATGTGTAATGACAAAGACCTAGTGAGTCAAAGGATTTGTTCCCAGGTGAATCCAGTCTGCCTGGAGGAAGGTTGAAGCTGAGAAGATTGCAAGACAGTTGGGGTTTTCAGGATCTAAGCTCATCGAGTAATGCAAAATCGAAATGTAAACTTTTCAATTACATCTTTCTTATAAAGTTTGAGGTCTAAGATTTCTAAAGCTGTGTTAAAATAACCTGGACTTTTGAACCACATACAATAAGAAAGACTGCCAGTGGAGAGAAGGGCTTATGAACACTAAAATTGTATCTTTGAAGGAGAAATATTCTCTATTATTTTAACTGGTGACAGCTAAATTTTAATGGGAAGATTGTGGATGGCTCAGAAATTCTGTTGGAGATTGTGGTCAACATTTTACATTATTGATATTTCTCATTATTGGAATATAATTAAACATTCTTATGCTTTTAAGAATTTTATTGAAGTTCTTAATTTAGTGATAGCTTGTATCTTTTCAGCTGTGACTTAACATCATGACTGCTTAGCAGTATTTTGATTGTTTGCATTTCTTTTAGCTTAAAAGAGCATTGCCTGCAGAATACTTAGAAGTAAAATGATTCCTGTTGAATTAATCTTTATTTTATTGCTAATGAAATTATATATAGAATGAAATTTTATATGACATATAACCATGGTCTGCCTCTTAAAAATTGCTCTATTTGTGGTTTTATATGCTTTCTTTAGCTCACATCAATGGCAATATATTCAAGGCATTAATTTGTTGGTGAAGTTTACATGGCACTGTATATGAAATACTCATATTTTATTTAAAATTAATTTATCAGAGCAGAATGGGCATGCTAAAAACTCAACTAGTACAGAAAAGGTTATAATAAAAAGTTCTACTCTGCCTACTCACTTGGCAGAAGCAATCATTTTCAACTGTTATTATCATTTGTTGGTTGATTCCATACCTTTATACAATAAGCTATTTCTTGAAATATGGACTCTGTTGCCTCTATTATGAAAGATACATATTTAACTCATACTATTTAATCCCTTTCTGTCCTCCCAATTATTGAGATTAGTATTATTAATTATTCCATTAGCTCCCCTTGTAATTTTAAACATTGTATGTAAATTTATATGTATTATTTCATCATATTCAGACAGTAACTCTTGATTTTGAACTAATGTTAAAACATGGTTTTTTGCAACTTTATTATTCATTTTCAAATTTTGCCACTTATAATTTTACTTTCACATTATTAATGTTGATAATATTTATATTTGACTCTGCAGGTATAATTGGGTCTTCTGTTGTTAATTTATTACTTGGCTCAATGTAAATATTCCATGCTTTATTTATATCCATATCTACAGAAATATTCCATGAATTATCTACATTTAAATAAATATCTCAGTATTTGTTTATAGGTTGATTCTAAATAAATTTTATTATTTTAATGTTTTTAGCTTCAGATCCAAATGGTATGCTAGCATTCTCTTCCTAGCAGTCCACTGTCAAGACTTCACTGTTAGAAGAAGAATCACACCAGAATTAAGGTCAAATGGATTATCTTATTCTTAATTGCTGAAAATCACACCTCATTGAAATTTGCTTCATAACTGAACCATGAATTTTTCATCAAACATACTTTTGTGTTTCTCCTCCTGGCATTCTTTATGAGGAACTTCTTTTTGGAGCTCACTGACTTCCTGTTCTAATTTGGTCCAGTTATTTTCTAGAATTGCTACATGACTGTCATCCTGGGACATCCTTCTGTTGGAATCTGGGAGAGCTTACAACTTTTCATATCCTCTCTTCTTCTTTGTGTTTTTCACCCTGAAGTGTACAAAGTCAAATGAATTTCCTAGAAAAACTAGTGAGTTAATATTTTGAGTCCTTGTGATATGGGAGGGGGGCAGGGAAGTGCTGGGTAGAGAAGGGTGGGGTCCCTGGTGAGGGCTCCACTCTCAGGCCTGTGCTCATGGACCTAAATGAGGACAGGCATTTCTGTTTTCATGCCCCAAATGTTGCCTTTTGGCCCACCATGCGCCCCATCCTGTACCCATAAAAACCCAAGACTTGAGAAGGCACAGACACAAGTGGCGGGACGTCAAGAGAGCTGAAGAACACAGCAACAGACACCAGCAGACAACATCAGGCCATCGATGGCTGCATGATGTGGAATTTGGCTGGGGGCAGTTGGAGGAGAGTCTGGCTATTGGGCGACCTGACTCCAGGGGAAGACTACCTTCCCACTCCATCCCCCTTGGGGCTCCTCATGCATCTCACGAGAGCTACCTCCACCACTCAATAAAACCTTGCACGCATCCTCCAAGCCCACGTGTGATCCGACTTCTTGGGTACACTAGGGCAAGAACCCGGGATACAGAAAGCCCTCTGTCCGTGTGATAAGGCACAGGGTCTAGTGGAGCTGATTAACACAAGCCACCTGCAGAAGGCAAAGCTGAAAGAGCACACCACAACACATGCCCACTGGGGCTTCGGGAGCTGCAAACACTCAACCCTAGACACTGTCGTGGGGTCAGAGCCCCAAAACACTCCCCACGACCTGCTCATCTGCATGCTCCCCTCAGGAGTTTGAGCAGCAGGTCACCGAAGAAGCGAGCCACACCCGTTGCATGCCGTGTGAGGGGGATAAGGGAACTTCTCCCATTTCATCTGAATATCTGAAAGTATCTGTAGTTGGGACTCACGTTTTATTTATAATTTGTCTCGATATAGAAGTAAAGGTATAATTTCCTATAGAAATTTGAAACATTGTTCCCTTGTCACATCTTGCTGATAAAAAACCTTATGTCAGATGATTTTTGGTCTGATAATATAGAAATTTTGATTAACTTACTAAATAATTATATTTCAATATGATTCATTTGGTAATAATTTTATTTTATTTTTATTCTGTCATGTCTATTTAAGTTGTATAATACTTTCAGATATAGAATTTGACAAAGTTCCTATGGCAAATATGAAGCTGCATAAAATCTGCTTCCTGACCCAGAGAACTTGGAGGTTGTTGTGATTATGATTATTTTATATTATGCTCATACTACTTAAAACTCATTTGTTCTTTCTTAGTTATTATAATTTCTTAGGACTTTTAGATCACAGATTATTGTCCCATTACTTTGTAATATATGTTTTGCTTTTAAGAAAAAAAGTTCAGCTGCTTTATTTTTTGTATCAAAATACACAATTTTAGCATTTGGAACGTGAGAGAGGATGAGAAAAGAGAGACTTAGAAGATATAATTAGTATCAATTAGGGCAAAATATATATGTATCACTATAGCAACATGTTATATCATTTAAAAGCATATACTGTGGAGCTAAGTAGATAATGGATTCAAATAACAACTCTTTTCTTTATTGTTTATGAAGATTTTGGAAAGTTACTATTTCTCATCTCCAGTTTCCTCCCCTATAAAGCAGAGCAAATCATTTCTACCCATGAAATTATAAGGATGTGTGAAATATGGTATACAAAAAGCCTGGCTTATAGTTGGCATCAGTGTAATATAAGCATTTTTGTATACACTCTCTTTATATGTATTATTACTTTTTTGAGATGGAGTCTCACTCTGTGGCTCAGGCTGGAGTGCAATGGCGCTATCTCAATTCACTGCAACTTCTGCCTCCCAGATTCAAGCAATCCTCCTGCCTCAGCCTCCTAAGTAGCTGGGATTATAGGCGCCCACCACCACGCCTGGCTAATTTTTGCATTTTTAGTAGAGATGGGGTTTCACCATGTTGGCCAAGCTAGTCATGAATTCCTGACTTCAGGTGATCCACCTGCCTTAGCCTCCCAAAATACTGGGATTACAGGCATGAGCCACAGCACCTTGCCTATATGTATTATATTTTTAAACAGCTCTTCACAATAGATGATTAGCAAGTAGCCCCAATTGTTGGCATATTTTTATTCAAAATATTTCTTCATCGTCCTTTTACTGTCTTTAAGGATCTGTAGTGACAATTTTCTTTCAATGTTGATATTGGTAATAAGCATTTTCTCTCTTTCTCTCGTTATTTCTGGATTAGCCATGAATTTATCAATTTTGTGGATTTTTTTTTAAACTGGCTTTTTACTTTTCTCAATTGTCAGTTTTCTGTTTCTTCCATTTCTGCTCTTTATTCCTACCTTCCTTTGATTTACTCTTGGTTTACTTTTCTTTTTCTAGCTCCTTCAGGTGGAAATGTGGGTCATTAGGTTAAATCTTTTTGATTTTCTAATATAAATATTTAAAGCTATACATTTGCCTTATATGTACTGTTTCAGTTTATCCTACATATATATATATTTAATTTTACTTTTGTTTGAGTGCTTTGTTTTATTAGACAAGGTCTCTGTCACCCACGCTGGAGTGCGGTGGGGTGATCTTGGTTCACTATAGCCTCTGCCTCCCAGGCTCAAAGCAGTCCTCCCACCTCAGCCTCCAAAGTAGCTGGGACTACAGGTGCACCGCTCCACCAGCTATTTTTTTTTTTTTTTTTATTTTTCTGTAGAGACAGGGCTTTATCATCTTGCCCAGGCTGGTCTCAAACTCCTAGGCTCAAGCAATCTATTTGCCTTGGCCTCCCAAAGTGCTGAGATTACGGGCGTGAGCCACCACACCTGGCCCATCCCACATATTTTACGTGTTATGTTTTTATTATCACTCAAGACATAAGTTACATTTAGTCTTGAAGTGTATTTTATCTGACATTAACATAACATTACTCCAGACTCTTTATGCTGCTAACATGGTGTTATGTTTTTTCATCTATTTATTTTTGATCTATCCGTTCTTTATTTTTAAAGTACATGTCTACAAAAGCCAGCATATGCACTGTAGTTGGGATTTGCATTTTAAAAAATCCAATTTGACAGTTTCATTCTGTTAATTGGCATACGTTGTCCATGAACGTTTAATTTAATTATTGATAATATTGTTGGATTTATTTTATCAATTTATTATTTACTATTTGCCACTTCTGCTTTTGATTCTTCTGTTCCTCCTTTTTTTTCTTTTTGCCATCTTTTGACTAACTGAATTTTGTAAATTCTATTTTAAATTTAGTTACTGGCATTTTAGCCATATTGTCTTGCATTACTTCTTAAGTGCTTGCTTTAGGAATTATAATTTCTTCTTTGCTTTTCATGCTGTGCCTAAAATTAATATTTTACTAGTTTGCATAAAATATAATATTTAAATAGTTCCCCAGAAAGAAAAACATGCCTTTAAGAATGTTGAGAGAATGTCAGGTAAATCTTTACTTTTAAATAGCTGATCTTTTAAGGTTGTGTACCTATAGTAGTCCTAGAGAAACTCAAGGTAGAGAAGGGGTTAACCTGATTAGATTTGTTGATGTGACTTTTGTGTAATAGGGTGAACCACACAGCATTTATCAGGGAACTACACTGTTGAAAACCTCAACAGCTTGGAATAACAGGGATGGAGTTAATTTAAAACAAGATAAAATAAAATGAAAAGAGGGCATTGGATATCTAAATATATTGGGTAAAAAGCAGGCTGAGATACAAGCTCTTTGTTTCATAATTTTGTCTAGGTTAGTTCTGGATAGGGCTATGGTAGGTATAATTAATATTCATTCTGGGAATGTCTTATATTTCCCTTGATGAACTCTATAATTTAAGGCACATTTTAAACCCTAGTAGTTTTGCAATTTAAATAGGACCACACGGAATAAGACATTGATTAATTCATTTGAGGAGACAATATTCCAATTTATTTAATAGGTATTTTTACTAGATCTTTACTAACAGCATCTATAAATAAATAATGATGGACATACCAGCTGTAATTATCAACATCAGAGCATGCATTTTAAAAGTTTCAGAACTGACTATTAACATTTACTAATTTCAGTGTTTAGAATCCTATTTTTCCAGAGCCTACTAATGAGACACTTAATGAACAACAAAGCTGTCATAAATCTTCTTGGGAAGATTAGAAATATCCATTAATCCACTAAAATTAAGAAGGGAATAGTTACATATGGAATGCTAATTATAAAATAAATTCTTGATTTTAATGAAAATGCTCACAGCCTTTTTGGGATACATCTGAAACATTTGCTAAAACCATTTTTTCTCCTGATGGTGACAGCCAGACTGTTTAAGCGTATGACATATAATTTTCCAGACACTCTTTTTAGAATGCTCAATAATATCATTTGGATGTGGATTAAGGCATGTGCAGATGCTAAGGCCCTACTCAAAGCTGCATAACAAATAAGAAACCTCATGAAAGTGTCCTTTTGCATTTCATATTTTTGAAAGATGGCCAATTTTCTATATGAAATGATAATCTGTAAGCAATAGTATAATTTAAAAAATTATTTCTGTATGCTATCTCTGTGTGTACAGAATAAATAAAAGAACTGAGGCAATTTTTAGGTATAATTTAAGCTAAACAATATTTTTGAATTAAAAAATATATATCCAAGTAATTTCCATTATGGAGAGTTGCTTCAAGTTTTCCTGTTAGGTAGAATGTATGTATTAGAGTGTGTAGGATGGGTTTGCACATATGTCAGTGTATGTAGCATGTGTACCAAATTCAGAAGGAATGTTCTAAAGGGCGTTACTTACCTGGGATTTAGACTTATTGTCAGAATCTTGACCCTAATTGTCAACATATCCAATCCAAGAATCAATTTCAGGGTGTCTCAACCTCAGCAGTTTTGACATTTTAGGCTTTGTTTTGTTGGGCTGCCCTTTGCATTATTTGATGCTTAGCACCATCTCTTACCTATACCCACTAGATGCCAATAGAAACCTCCCATTTGCAGTGACAACCAAAAATGTCCCCAGATATTGTTAAATGCCTCATTTGGGGGAGTTTCAAAATTGTACCTGGTTGAGAACCATTGGTCTGTATATAACCTGGCTGTTATAATCTTCACTTTCTAAAAGACTTTAGAAGGATGGCTAAGTACCAAAAAGAGCCACTTACTTTCACTGTATCTTATCAAGAAGTTAATTGGGACTGTGGACTGTCCAAACAAGATGGCAAAATAGAAGCCAATACCATTTATTACCACCCACCTCACTAGAACAACACCAAACTTTGACAGCTATCTGCACACAGAAAACACCATCGCAAGAACGAAAAATCAGGTGAGTAATCATAGTACCTGGTTTTAATTTCATACTGTGGAAAGAAACATTGAAGAGGGAAAAAGAGGCAGTGTTGAATTTCCCCCATCCTCTCACCCCCAACCTCTGGCAGCAGCTGTGCCTCCTGGGGAGAGAATCTGTGTACTCTGGGGAGGGAGAGTGCAGCAACTGGGGAACTTTACATTGAACTCAGTGCTACCCCATCGCAGCGGAGAATAAAGCTGTGCTGAGCCCAGCCAGCACCAGCATGGAGGGAGCATTTGGACCAACCCTAGCTAGAGGGGAATTGTCCATCATTGGAACTTGAGTTTCTTGGCAGGCCTCACCAGCACGAGCTGAAGTGCTCTAGGATACTAGGTTAACTTGAAAGGCAGTCTAGGTCACAAGCACTGCAATTCCTAGGCAACTCCTAGTGCTAGCTAGGCTTACAGCCAGTGAAAGAGTGTGGCATGTGACCTAGGGAGACACCAGCTGGGAAGGCCAAGGGAGGGCTTATGCCATTTTTCTCACAACCCCAGGCAGTGCAGTTCATAGCAACGAAAGTGACTCCTCCCTTCTGCTTAAGGAGAAGAGAGTGAAGAGTAATGAGGACTTTATCGTGCATCTTGGATACCAGCTCAGCCACAGTAGGATAGAGCACCAGGCAGACTTGTGAGGCCCACATTCAAGATGCTAGCTCCTGGATGACATTTCTAGACACACTGTGGGCCAAAAGGGAGCCCACTACTTTAAAGGGAAGAATCCATCCTGACAGGATTTAGCAACTGCTGACGAAAAATCCCTTGGGCTCTGAATAACCACCAGCCTTTCCCAGGGAGTATTTCATGGGCCTTGTGCTCTGAGACATGCTGGCTTCAGGGGAGACCCAGCACATGCTCAGCTACAGTGGCTATGGTGAAAGACTCCTTCTGTTTGAGAAAAGTACAGGGAGAATTAAAGGGGACTTTGTATTGCACCCTAGGTACCAGCTCATCCACATTGGGTTAGAGAAACAAGCAGGCTTTTGGAAGTCCTTGAGTGCAAGCCTAGGATTTTGGACAGCATTTCTGGACCTTCCCTGGGAAAGAGGAAAGCCCACTGCCCTCAAAGATGAGTCCTAGGCCTGGCGGCATTCACGATAATGTGATGGAAGAGCCCTCGGACTTCAAGCAAACATCAGTGGTGGCCTGGCAGAACCCCCCATGGAATGATGATGGCCAAATGGAAAGGCTACTCTGCCTGTGGAAAGGGGAGGTAAGAGTCTCTTAATAGAATTAATCAAACAGAAGAATCAATGAACTTGAAGACAAGCTATTTGAAAATACAGTCAAAGAGACAAAAAAGAATAAAAACAAAGAAGCATGCATACAAGATCTAGAAAATAGCCTCTAAAAGGCAAATCCAAGAGTTATTGGCCTTACAGAGGTGGTAAAGAAAGAGCTAGGGGTAGAAATTTTACTCAAAGGTATACTATCACAGAACTTCCCAAACCTAGAGAAAGATGTCAACACTCAAATACGAGAAGGCTCTAGAACACCAAGCCAATTTAACCCAAAGAAGACTACCTCAAGGCATTTAATAGTCAAACTCCCAAAGGTCAAGGCTAAAGAAAAGATCCCTAAAAGCAGCAAGAAAGAGGAAACAAACAACATACAATGGAGCTCCAATATGTCTGGCAGCAGACTTTTTAGTGGAAACCTTACAGGTTGGGAGAGAATGGTATGACACATTTAAATTGCTGAAAGAAAAAACTTGGCTGGGCATGGTGGCTCATGCCTGTAATCCTAGCACTTTGGGAGGTTGAGGCAGGTGGATCACCTGAGGTCAGGAGTTCGCAACCAGCCTGGCCAACATGGTGAAGCCCCATCTCTACTAAAAATAGAAAAAAAGAAAAAGAAAAAGAAAAAACTTTTACCCTAGAATGGTATATACGGCAAAAATATCCTTCAAGCACAAAAAAGATAAAGACCTTCCCATACAAACAAAATGAGGGATTTCATCAACACCAAACCTGTCCTACCAGAAATGCTAAAGACAATTCTTCAATCTGAAAGGAAAGGGTGTTAATGAGCAAGAAGAAATCATCTGAGGGAACAAAAGTCAGTGGTAATAGTAAGCCTATGGAAAAACACAGAATAGTATAACACTGTAATGGCGATGCATAAAGTTTTCTTGGCTTAAGTAGAAAGACTTAATGATGAATTAATTAAAAATAAGAGCTACAACAACTTTTGAAGACATAGACAATACAGTAAGACATAAAGAGAAACAACAAAAAGTTAGGAGGAATGAAGTTAAAGGGTAGAGTTTTTATTAATTGTATTTTTGTATGTTTCTTTGTTTATGCAATAACTGTTAAATTGTTATTAGTTTAAAATAAAATAGAATTTGCAAGCATCATGGTAACCTCAAATCAAAAAACATGCAATGGATGCACCGAAAATAAAAAGCAATAAATTAAAGCATACCACTAGAGAAAATCACCTTCACTAAAAGAAGACAGGAAAAAAGAAAAAAAGAAAAGACTAGAACCACCAGAAAACACTAACAAAATGTCAGGAGTAAGTCCTTACTTGTCAATAATAACATTAAATGGAAATGGATTAAACTGCCCAATCAAAAGACATAGAGTGGTTTAATAGATGAAAAAAGCAAGACCCAACAATCTGTTGCCTACAAGAAACACACTTCATCTATAAAGATACACATAGACTGAAACTAAAGAAATTGAAAAAGATACTCCATGAAAATGGAAACCAAGAAAGAGCAGGAGTACTTATACTTATATCAGACAAAATAGATTTCAAGACAAAAAATGTAAGAAGAGAAGAAGAAGGTAATTATATAATAATAGAGGGATCAATTCAGCAGGAAAATATAATGATTGTAAATATATATGCACCTAACACTGGAGCACCCAGATATATACAGCAAATATGATTAGAGCTAAAGAGAGAGATAAACCCCAATACAGTAATAGCTGGATACTTCAACACTGAACTTTCAGCATTGGACAGATCTCCCATACAGAAAATCAACAAAGAAACATCGGACTTACTCCGTATTATAGAACAAATGGATCTATAGCTATTTACAGAATATTTCATCCAACAACTGCAGAATATACATTTTTCTCCTCAGCACATAGATCATTCCCAAGGATAGACCATATTTTAGGTCACAAAACAAGTCTTAAAACATCAAACAAATTGGAATAATACCAAACATCTTCTCTGACCACAATGGAATAACAATACAAATCAATAATGAGAAATTTTGGAAACTATACAAACACATGGAAATTAAACAGTATGCTCTTGAATGAACAGTGGATCAATGAAGAATTTAAGAAGGAAATTGAAAAATTTCTTGAAACAAATGATCATGGAAACACAACATACTAAGACCTATGGGATACAACAAAATCAGTACTAAGAGGGACATTTATGGCTATAAGTTCCTACATAAAAAACTTCAAATAAATAATCTAATGATGCACCTCAAAGAACTAGAAAAGTAAGAGCAAACCAAACCCAAAATTAGTAGAAGAAAAGAGATAATAAAGATCAGAGCAGAAATAAATAAATTTTTAATGAAGAAAACAATACAAAAATCAATGAAACAGAAGTTGGCTTTTTTAAAAAAAATAAAATTGACAAACCTTTAGCCAGACTAGGAAGAAAAGATCCAAATAACATCAGAGATGAAAAAGGAGGCATTACAACTGATAACACAGAAATTTCAAAGGAACATTAGGGGCTATTACGAGCAAGCATATGTCAATATATTGGAAAATCTAGACAATATGGACAAATTCCTAGACACATACAACCTACCAAGCTTGAATCATGAAGAAATCAAAAACTTGAACAGACCAATAAAAGTAATATGATCAGAGTCATAATAAAAAGTCTCCCAGTAAAGAAAAGCCTAGTACCTGATGGGGTACTGCTGAATTCTACCAAACATTTAAAGAAGAACTAATACTAACCGTATGCAAACTGTTACGTAAAATAGAGGAAGAGAAAATACAAACTCATTCTATGAGGCTAGCATTACCCTGATACCAAAATCAGACAAGGTTGCATCACAAAAATAAACTATAAGAATATCTCTGTTGAATATTGATGCAAAAATCCTCAAAATATTAGCAAACAAAATTCAGCAATACATTAAAAAGATCATTCATTATAACCAAGTGGGATTTATTCCAGGGATGCAAGGATGATTCAACAAAATTGTTCAATATGATATATCAACAGAATGAAGGACAAACACCATATGATTGTTTCAATTGATGCTTAAAAAGCATTTGATAAAGTTCAACATTACTTCACTATAAAAACCTTCAAAAAAGCAGGGTATAGAAGGACTATACCTCAATTCAATAAAGGTCATATATGACAAACCCACAACTAGTGTTTTACTGAATGGGGAAAAACTGAAAGCCTTTACTCTCAGATTTGGAATATGACAAGGATGCCCACTTTCACTACTGTTATTCAACATAGTACTGGAAGTCCTAGCTAGAGCAGTCAGACAAAAGAAAGAAGTAAAAGCCATCCAAATTGGAAAGGAAGAAGTCAAATTATCTTTGTTTGTAGATGATATGATCTTATATTTAAAAAAAACCTAAAGACGCCAACCAAAAAACTATTAGAATTGACAAACAAATTCAGTAAAGTTGCAGGATACCAAACCAGCATACAAAAATTAGTAGCATTTCTATATGCCACTAGCACACAATCTGAAAAAAGAAATAAGAAAGTAATCACATTTTTACAATAACTACAAATAAAATAAAATACCTAGGAATTAGCCAAACAAATGAAAGATTTCTACAATGGAAACAATAAAACATTGATTTTTAAAATTAATTATGGTACAAAAAGGAAAGATATTCCATGTTCACGGATGGGAAATGTCCATAGTACCCAAAACAATCTACAGATTTAATGCAATCCCTATCAAAATACCAATGACATTCTTCATGGAAATAGAAGAAATATCCTAAAATTTATATGAAACTACAAAGACCCAGAATAGCCAAAGCTATCGTAAGCAAAAAGAACAAAACTGGAGGAATCACATTACCTTATTTTAAATTATACTACAGAGCAATGGGAACCAAAACAACATGATACCGGCAACAAAACAAAAACATATACCAAGGAAACAGAAGAGAGAACCCAGAAACAAATCTATACATCTATATTGAACTAATTTTCAACAAAGGTGCAAAGAACATACACTGAGGAAAAAACACTCTCTTCAATAAATGGTGCAGGGAAAACTGGATATTCATCTGCAGAAGAATGAAATTTGATGCCTATCTCTCCCCTTATATAAAAATCAAACAAAATGAATTAAAGACTTAAATACAAGACCTCCAACTATAAAACTAATACAATAAAACTTTGGAAACTATACAGGACATTGTTATAGGCAAAAATTTCTTGAGTAATACCCTACAAGCAGAGGCAACCGATCAATTCCACTGCTGAGTATATATCCCAAAGAAAGGAAATCAGTATATGGAAGAAATACCTGCCCTCCCATGTTTGTTGCAACACTGTTTACAATAACTAAGATTTGGAAGCAACTTAAGTGTCCATCAACAGATGAATGGATACATAAATGTGGTACTTACACATAATGGAGTACTATTCAGCCATAAAAGAATGAGATTCTGTTATTTGCAACAACATGGATGGAACTGGAGGTCCTTATGTTAAGTGAAATTAGCCAGGCACAGAAACACAAACACTACGTATTGTCACTTTTTTGTGGGATCTGAAAATTCAAACAATTGAACTCATGGAGATAGAGAATAGAGAATAGAAGTATGGTTACCAGAGACTGGGACGGATAGTGGGGAAGAGGGAGGTGGGGATGGTTAATGGGTACAAAACAAAAAATTAGAAAGAATATCTAAAACCTAGTATTTGAAAGCAGGAGGACTACAGTCAATAATAATTTAATTATACATTTAAAAATAACTTACAGTGTATAATTGGATTGTTTGTAACACAAAGGATAAATGCTTGAGGGGATGGATGTCCGATTTTCCATGATGTGATTACATATTGCATGTCTGTACCAAAATAACTCATGTATCCCATAAATATATACACATACTGTGTACCTACAAAATAAAAAATAATAGTACATATAAAAGTTAAAAAAAATTAAAATCTAGAGGATAATATAAAATCATTCCCTTATATTTACATTAAGTTCTCTTTCAGTTCATACAGGGTTAGCCTCTGTGGGTGGCTGGAAAATTATTCTATCATTCTGTTATGGTCAAAGCTAAGAACCCTTCCCTAGTTCCATGATAGAAGGACTATATTGGATTCTTACTTTTTTCAGATTGGAAAACCTACAACAAAAAAACTTGATCTTTTCAGTATTGATTGCTCCTTCCACTGCTTGTATGTAATTTTATGCTGCCTTCAGCATTTCTGCCTTCACAATTTCTGCTTAGGGATGAGGATAAGTAAAGCTGAAGTGAATGAAGTGGTCAGTATATCATTCTACATAAACTAACAATTAATGGAGGGCTTTTAAATTTTAGTTGGCTAAATCAGGAGTCAGCAACATTTTTCTTTAAAGAGATAACAAATATTTTAGGATTTGCAAGTCATATCTTTTTCACAAGTATTCAACTCTGCTGTTGGAGCACAAAAGCATCCACTGAAAATATATGCACAAATGCACATGGTTGTGTACCAGTGAAACTTTACCAAAGAAGTTGCAACTGGATTTGACCTCTGGGCCACAGTTTGAAGGCTTTACCTAGACACCAGGAATAGCTTTTATCTTTGTGTTCTTCCTTTATCCGATATCCTTGCCTTTCTTCCAACAGTGATCACTCTTCAAATTTCTATTTCTAATTTTCATTTAGTTATAAATGTGTATCACTCATTTGCTTTTTATAAACATAGTTTGTGATAATATATATGGTAAATAATATGTTTAATTTTCCTTGGTTTTGAGCTTTATGAAATTGTATTGTACTCTTGTAAGGGTTACTATAAAAACATTATAAATTATGAAAGCATTTTCAAGAGTTGTTGATGATATAAATCAATTAGTAGTACAGATGGTTCCCAACTTATGATGGTTCTACTTATAATTTTTTGACCTTATGATAGGTTTATTGAGACATAACCCCATTGTAAGTAGAGGAGCATCTGGACTTACAATAGTTTGACTTATGATTTTTTCACTTTATGATAGGGTTGTTGGCAGTATTAAATGCATTTTTGACTCACAATATTTTCAACTTACCATGGGTTTACAGGGACATAATCCCATTGTAAATCAAGGGGCATCTGTAATAGCCTACCTATATCTTTGCAATTGGTTTCCATCTATTATTTATTTCAGCTTAGTTTTAATCCATTAAGAAAGATGGAATACATTTTTAATAAGTATATTTAGAAGGAATAATAATTACAGTATAATGAGATGATTTTTAAAGGATAGACCAAGCTCATCTCAAAATAGAATCAATTGTACAGAAAAGTTCATCAATAATTAGGTAGACATGCAAAGTTTTGATTATTTTTATGCTCCCATTTTATCCCAGTCATAAGTTAGGTCTTCTTTAACCATTTCATTTCTGTGTAATGATTAGTATGATGAAGCATCAATTTAAAGAGTGATATATTCCTACAATAACTTGAAAGAATTAAGATCAATTCCAGAGCTGATAAGCTTACTGAAATTCAATTTACTCATAAGATACTCCTATGTCAAATCAGTTTAAAAAAGGTAGAATCTAAAGGATGGAATATCGGCTCACTATTTTTTGTCTCTAGACATTATTCAGCTTTTCCTCCTTTACTCCTCGTCTCCAACTCCCAAGCTGAGAGTGCCTTAGTTTAGTACCTAATCAAGCTCATGGGTAGCAGCTGAGGCCATGGAAGTTGTTTTTTGGAGGGAAATTGAAAATTCAGGAACAATGTAAAACTGAAAACAAGACCATAAAACTACTCAATGCATTTATTGTCAAGTATAAAACATAATTTCTACTTACTTATAACTAACTGCAAAAGGCAATACTACCAAGGACCAAATGTTAGGCGTCACAAAAGTGAAAACTTATAAATCAAATGTAATTGGTATAAAAAGCACAGAACCACAGTGGAGTGCTAACACTCCCTGAATGACAACTTTAAATAACTTCTCTAAATTGGCTTGTTGCCATAGGGTTAATAACAGGTCCATAACTATGGATGGGTAATTTTACAGCCTTTCCACATTCTGTCTGTAGCATTTAATGTGATTTCTGTTTTAGGGCTCTGATCTCCTGGCTGTGAATAAGTAATGTGAATGCATAAATAGATTTTAACAAAAGTATAAAATAGCATGTGGCAAATTGGAAGATTCATCGGGGAAGGGTTGGAGGGTCACGCAGATTGTTAATGGTTCTAAAAACAATTTTAAGTCAGCTAATTCATTTTTTGACTTGTTTTCCAAAAGAGCTCAGTGTCTAATCATTTCTCAAAGTTCTCTCTTTTTTTTCCCTAAAATATTAGACTTAAAAGAAGATAGATAATTTACCTCACTGCATTTAACTCTGAAACACCTTCAGGCTAACTCTGAAGACAAAGACATTTTGACAGTGTTCTTTAGGAAAAATTTACTTTTTCCTTTCTTTTCTTCTTCCTTTTTACCAGTAACAGTCAAGTATGTCTGTTATGTGACTTTAGGACATGTGAAAAGCACTCTTTGGCAATAAAAATTCCTTCTTCATCGACTCACCGATCCTTGACATCCTTTACTCAGAAATTTCTTGCTTTAGTTTTAGACTTCTAGTGCCCCGGAATGGAAACATTAAACCATCATTTATACCAATGAGTAATCAGTTTACCTTATTATGTGAGTTGGTTTCTATAGCAACAGTCATGGTTAATATATATTGAGTTCTTTTACATGTTCTAGATACTTTATGTCTTATTTCATTTCATCCTCACTTTAATATTATTAATATGCTAATTATTTTATTCCCATTTATATAGGTAAAAAAACTGAGGCTCAGAGTGGTAAGCAGTGTTGTCTAATGTCACAGAACTAATAAGGGGCAAAGCTGAAGCTCCAATTCAGATCTCTAATTCCAGTGTTTGTGTTCTTCAATACTACACTATGATGTTAGGAAAGGAGAGAAAAAGCATTAGGCAGTGATGAAGGTATAAAATGCGGTGAAGGTCAGGAAGGGACAGATGAGGACACTGGAAGAAGGTCCTGGCTGCGTGTTGTTTGCGTTTTTTTTTTTCCTTATTTTTGTTAAGGCTGAACCAGGAGTAGGCATAGAATGATTCCTCAGTTATTATAGGTAGCACAGAGTCGTCAGGCCAGAGTGCAGTGGCCCCATCTCGGCTCACTGCAATCTCTGCCTCCCAGATTCAAGCAATTCTCCTATCTCAGCCTCCCGAGTAGCTGGGATTACAGGGGTAGCACAGAGTATTTAAACTGTAAATTACAACTTATTCATGGGACATGCAGTCAATTTAGTGGATTATGAGCAGCATTTCAGAGGAACTGACACAACACTAGGAGATTTTATTAAAATATGTCTTAACCCATATTGTGGGAGTTAAACAATATTAAGAACCAATGATCAGAAAATGAGAATTTCCCAAGGTATTTACTCACAGGTACGCAATAACACATGCACAATAGTGAATATTGGGGTGGTCTTCTCAACATCCACCCTGCTCCTGTCCCATTATGAAGTGTGCAGTTTGGGGGATTTATCATAGCTCCAGGGGAAGAAAATGATTAAGCAGTTTTTATAATTCTCCCCCAAATTTCCATGATTATTATTTTAAGCTTCCAGGTCTCAGTCAAGCAGCCTGTAAGATTCTCGAGGGAAGATTTATGTGGCCAGCATGTAAATAAAATTAAATAAAAAAGAATAGAAAATAGTTGAGTGCATCATAGAGATCTGTAGCGAGAACAGATCTGTAGCACATCAGAACTAATGCTGTGGCCACTTGTAATCTGTGTGTGATACAATTAGTGGAAGAGATGTTAGAAATGTAATATCTTGGCTGGAAAGAGATTTAATCTTTTGCTCTCAGATAGCTTTCTGAATTTGAGGCATATAATAACAGTATTAATTAATGCAAAAAAGGCCCTGATTCTGTGTCAGGGACTGTTCTAAGAACTTTATGTACATTAATTATTTAATAATCACTGCAAGTCTATGATTTAAGGACCCTTCTTAGTCCCATTTTACAGATGAAGAAATGGGCAGAGTGCAGTCATGTGTCCAGAGTCCACAGCAAGCATGAAGAGGAGCAAGGTTCAGCACCAGGCTGTTTGCCTCTATAATCTGTGCTCATGAACACAGTGCTATATTGACCATTTTACATTTGGGCCAATACTGTATGATTTAATTTTATATTAACACAATTGGCATTTCATTGTGAAGCAAGGTGCAAAGAAACTGACTCACAACTGGCAAAGTGTTGAGGCTTTCAACTTGGTTTAAGTGTGTATGGGCATTTTTTAAAAAAGAACCTTGCCGGGGCCAGGCGCGGTGGCTCACGCTTGTAATCCCAGCACTTTGGGAGGCTGAGGCAGGCGGATCACGAGGTCAGGAGATCCAGACCATCCTGGTTAACACAGTGAAACCCCACCTCTACTAAAAATACAAAAAAATTAGACGGGCATGGTGGCGGGCGCCTGTAGTCCCAGTTGCTCGGGAGGCTGAGGCAGGAGAATGGCGTGAACCCGGGAGGTGAAGCTTGCAGTGAGCGGACATCTCGCCACTGCCCTCCAGCCTGGGCGACAGTGCTAGACTCTGTCTCAAAAAAAAGGAACCTTGCTGGGTGCAGTGGCTCACGCCTGTAATCCCAACACTTTGGGAGGCTGAGGCGGGTGGATCACAAGGTCAGTTCTAGACCAGCCTGGCCAACATGGCGAAACCCCGTCTCTATTAAAAATACAAAAATTAGCGGGGCGTGGTGGCACACGCCTGTAATCCCAGCTATTTGGAAGGTTGAGGCAGGAAAATTGCTTGAACCTGGCAGGCGGAGGTTGTGTGAGCCAAGATCACGCCACTGCACTCTAGCCTGGGCAACAGATAGAGACTCTGTCTCAAAAAACAATCAATCAATAAAAAATAAAGTGAGCTTATGAAATATGACTTTTTTAGAATTTAAGACAAACGTAACATTTCAGTTGAAGTAGCACAATTGCCTTTAAATAAATAATTTTATTAATAAAAGAATGGGAAGGATGAAGTGAAAAATATAGAGGCAAACCTGATGAATATGTATGATACTGTTCCTGAGAGGAATAAAACCCAACCTGTCCTTTCCCTCTTTGAAGAGAGAGTACCTTCAGTCCATGCTGGAGATGTTTGTTCTCTTCCTGATTGCAAACCCCATCACCAGTTAATCTCTCCTTTCTCCTATTTAGCCATCCTGGTGGTCTTTTGAATGACATCATGAATTTTGATTAAGTTTAAACAATTTTCTTATTATATAGAGTGTATTGCTTTAATACTATTCAAAATGACCTGTTTGTGTAAATTAGGATTTTCAAGCAAGACCTGATTGAAAACAAAAGAAATAGGCTCAGACATGATGAATCAGATCAGTATGTATCTATGTTTATGTGCATTCCACCTTGGAACAAACTAATGAACAAGAAAGTGTACTCATGCTATTGAGTAAAATCACTCCAAACTTTTGTTTATACTGGCAATTATTAGCTGCATTATATTTAAATATTAATAAAGTAAATATTAATAAACTTGGTTTAGATGTTATCTTTATTATGTTCTTTATCACAGATAATTGGGACAAGTTTTTTGTTGTTAACTTTTGTTTCATATGCAGGCTTCTGTGCATATTTTAAAGTAAACTGTGTTTCTTTTACTGAGGTTGACAAATCAGCAAAAGGCAACAACATCATTGTAAAAAAAATCTGTGGTTAGAGAAAGAATAAGGGAAGAAAATGGAGGCATAAAAACACATAGTGTGGCTAAATTAAGATTTGTGCAGGGATGGATGCAGTGGTGGAACAATGAAGAATGGGAAATGGCCTTGGGAGCAGCTCATGACTGAGGTTGGGTGGTATAGCAGGAAGATGCCCACAATGAGAGCCTTCTAGTTCTGCAGTGCAGCTCAGCTTCCTGTCCGTAACACAGGTCAGGTCTGCTGTGGAGATGGCCATGCTCCCTCTGCTAGAATTGGCAGTGGGTATATAATGGTTTCTGTGGGAGTAGGAGAGTCTTATCATTCTGCCTACTCTATTTTTAAAATTTTTAGATTTAGTCTGGTAAAATAAAGGGAAGCATATGTTATTACTTTCAAGGTGCTCTGTCTCACAGGGTATGAGAATGTTAAGAAGATCCAGAAAATCACTATAGCAGTTTTTGGTTTTGCAACAATACTTGCTTATTTCCCTACTGTACATGGAAGATTATGGGCTCTGAAGTCAAGGCTCCACCTCTAGCCATGTGATCGCTAACTCATTAAATGATAAATTGGCAAGGGAAAACATTAAGATAATGTTAAAAAAAAAAAAAAAAAAGCAAAAGAAAGACCTGAAGTACAGGGTCTCAGATAACATAGGACTGGGATTTATGTTCTCGTGTAACAGTCAAGATGATGGTTGTGGTCTATGTAAGGAGGCAGCTCTGCTTCTGGAGGCCCTCAAGAACCAATCTCTTTCTATCTCATTGCTCCATCATCTCCTAGTGTAGTGTCCTCACTCAAAGATTGAATCTGGCACCACCACCACCACATTCACCTTGCAGCCTAGGGTACAGGAGTAAGTAGGGGGGAAATAGGCTTCAATGACATGATCCAGAAGTTGCAGAGTTTAATTTTACTTACAAGCCAGTGGCCAGGGCTTACTGAAATGGAAATAGAGTCTCTAGCCTGAGTGCCATGTGCACTGCTAAACCTTGACAGTTTATATTAAAACTAAAGAGGATGAAGAAACATTTGGGGAAGCTCAGTCTCTACCACTAGTAAGAAAACATATCAGTTTCAGTTTAACCTAAAATCCTAAGAAGGTAACTCTGAGGAATATATGAGAAGACACATACAGGCATATCTTATTTTATTGTTTTTTGCTTTATTCTGCCTCTCTATCTTTGCATGTTTTACAAATTGAAAGTTTGTGGCAACTCTGCATTGCGCAAGTCTATCAGCATCACATTTTCCACAGCATGTGCTCATTTTGTGACTGTGTGCCATATTTTGGTAATTCTCATAGTATTTAAAAACTTTTTCATTGTTAGTGTATCTCTTACGGTTATCTGTGATCAGTGATCTTTGCTGTTACTATTTTAATAGTTTTAGGGCACCATGAACCATGCACAGATAAGATAACAAACTTAATAAATGTGTGTTTTGACTACTCCAGCAATTGGCCATTACCAGTCTCCCCTTTCTTGGGCCTCCCTATTCCCTGAGACACAACAATATTAAAATGAGATCAATTAATAATGCTGCAATGGCTTCTAACTGTTCAAATGAAAGGAATGGTTGCCCATCTCTGGCTTTAAAGCAAAAGCTAGAAACAATTACGTTTACTGAAGAAAGCATGTTGAAGACCATGGGGTGAAAGCTAGGCCTCTTGTGCCAAATGGTTAGCCACATTGTGAATACAAAGGAAAAGTTCTTGAAGAAAATTAAAAGTGGTACTCCAGTGAAAATATGAATGACAAGAAACAGAAATAGCCTTACTGCTAATATGGAGAAAGTTTGAGTGGTCTGGATAGAAGATCACACCAGTCACAGCATTCCCAGAAGCCAAAGCCTAATACAGAGCAAGGCCCTAACTCTCTTCAATTCTGAGGCTGAGAGAGGTGAGGAAGGTTTAGAAGAAAAGTTGGAAGCTAGCAGAAGTTGGGTCATAAGGTTTAAGGAAATAAGCCATTTTCATAACATATATGTGCAAGGTGAAGCAGCAAGTGCTGATGTAGAAGCTGCAGCAAATTATCCAGAAGACCTGGCTAGATAATTGAGTAAGGTGGCTACACTGAACAACAGATTTTCATTGTAGATGAGAAAACCTTCTGTTGGAAGATGTCATCTAGGACATTAGAAGCTAGAGTCAATATCTGGCTTCAAATCTTCAAAGGACAGACTGACTCTCTTCTTAGGGGCCAATGCAGCTGGTGACTTTATGTTGGAGCCAATGCTCATTGACAATTCTGAAAATCCTAGGCCCCTTAAGAATTATGCTAACTCTACTCTGCCTGTGCTCTGGAAACGAGATAATAAAGCCTGACTGACAGCACATGTGTTCACAGCATGGTTTACTGAATTTTTTTTTTTTTTTTTTGAGATGGAGTCTTGCTCTGTTGCCCAGGCTGTAGTGCAGTGGCGCGATCTCTGCTCACTGCAAGCTCCACCTCCCAGGTTCACAGCATTCTCCTGCCTCAGCCTCCCGAGTAGCTGGGACTACAGGCGCCTGCCACCACGCCTGGCTAATTTTTTGTATTTTTAGTAGAGACGGGGTTTCACCATGTTAGCCAGGATGGTCTCAACCTCCTGACCTTGTAATTCGCCTGCCTCGGCCTCCCAAAGTGCTGGGATTACAAGTGTGAGCTACCGCACCCGGCTGGTTTACTGAATATTTTAAGTCTGCTGTTGAGACCTCCTGCTCAGAAGAAAACATTCTTTTGAAAATATTACTGCTCACTGACAATGTACCTGGTCACCCAAGAACTCTGATGGAGATGTACAAGGAGACTAATGTAGTTTTTATGCCCACAAACACATCATCCTTTCTGCAGCCCATGGATTGAAGAGTAATTTCAAATTTCAAGTATTTTTATTTAGGAAATACATTTCCTCAGGCCATAGTTGCCATAGATGTGATTTCTCTGATGGATTTTGGCAAATTACATTGAAAATCTTCTGGAAAGAAGTCACCATTAGATGGTACCATTAGATGCCATTAAGAATATTCATGATTCCTGAGAGGAGGTCAAAATATCAACGTTAGCAGGAGTTTGGGAGCAGTTGATTCCAACCCTCATGGATCATTCTGAGGGGTGAAAGACTTCAGTGGAGGAAGCAACTGCAGATGTGGTGGAAATAGCAAGAGAAACAGAAGTGGAAACTGAAGATATGACTGAATTGCTGCAATGTTATAATAAAACTTTAATGAATGAGGAATTACTTCTTATGGTTGAACAAAGAAAGTGGTTTCTTGAGAGGGAAACTTCTCCTGATGAAGATACTGTGAAAATTATTGAAGTTACAGCAAAAGATTTAGAATTTTCCATAAACTTAGCTGATAAAGCAGTGGCAGAATTTGAGAGGATTGACTGCAATTTTGAAAGAAGTTTCACTGTGAGTAAAATGCTGTCAAACAGCATCGCATGCTGCAGAGAAACCTTTTGTGAAAGAAAGAGTCAACTGATGTGGCAAACTTCATTCTTGTCTGATTTTAAGAAATTGCCATAGCCACCCTAACTTCAAGCAAGCCCTGATCAATCAGTAGCCATCAACATGGAGGCAGGACCTTCCACCAGCAAGAAGATTTTAATTTGCTGAAGGCTCAGATGATTGCTATCATTTTTATTAGCAATAAATTATTTTTAAATTAAGGTACATAAATAGTTTTTTTGATATAATGTTATTTCCTTTTTAATGAAGTACAGTATAGTGTAAACTTAACTTTAGTATGCACTGGGAAACCAAAAAATCTGTGTGATCCACTTTATTGCAATATTTGCTTTATTGTGGTGGTTAGAAACTGAACCCACAATATCTCTGAGGTATGCCTGTACTAGAAAAGTGCTTTTTAAACTGTAAAACACTAGTCAGTTACATTATTTTTATACTTCTAATATTAAGTTACCATGTATGAGACCTAACTCTATGATGTAGATGTACTAAGATATATGTACTAAGACTATATAGGTAAATTTAACTTATATTTAAATATTTCTGTTGCAAGTTCAAAGTTCTTTGGAAAGTATCTTTAGCCTTAAGATCCTATTATCCTGAAAAACAAATGAATAAATTAGCCTTGCCTATAAATGGAAAATCAGCCCATTAAGTTTGCATTTGCCTATCCATATTGCCTTTGCAGGTAGACTAACTGAATGTTTGGAAACCTTCACAAAGTGTGTGAATTTGTCTATTATTTATTTATTTCCTTGGTGATGTAGGAAAATAAAATATCTGAATATGCAGTTTCTACATATTGTCTTTCAAACCATGTTTCATTATATTTATTTCTATAAGAATATGCATTATTGAACACATCCTAATAAAATACTGTAGCAGCCTAGTAACTGAAATTGAAGGTCAGGTTCATGGTGATGGGAAAAATATCCATGGTAATAATTAACAACTACTGAGGACTTTTTATTTGCCAGACATTGTGCTAAGCATGATCTATGCATTATCTTATTGAAATAGATGTTATTATCCTCATTGTATCAATGAGAAAATTTAAGTTTAGGGAGGATAAATGTAACTTAGACACTTTAGGAAATGCTTTGTTAGCAAGGTCAGGATTTGAACTCACGTTCTCTACTACCTTGAATTATAAATAAGATGTGCTAAGATTTTTTTCAGTCACATGATCATTGAATCCCATTCAGAATCAATAGTCAAGTAATAGCTTACGTAGTTCTCAAGACAGACCCTTTTGGATAAAGCTCATGTTGTAGCAACCACAACCAAAGATGAAGTAGAATTCTTTATGAGACCAGTAGATAGTTTTCTGGAACAAAGGTAAAAATGCAACAAAAGAATGATTCACTGGGTCTTTTCTCTGCTTCAAGGGGTGGGAGTGTGGGTGGGTGAGTAGGGAGAATAGAGCCAAGAAGCAAGTATATGCTGGTATAAAATTTCATATAAATTAGGGGTAATACAATTTTTGTTAAGAGAAACTTTTTGCTACATATCTTTAATAACTGCTTTTTTTCCCCAAATTTTAAGTGTTTTTAAGCTTTGTAGTTTAGTAAAAGGAGTGATCTTTTTTTAATTGGTGGCTCTGGCTATGAAATTTGAAAAACATTAGTAGAATCAATAGATGACATTATGATATATATGCAAGTGGAAGGCTTTTGTCTCATTTGCAATTTGCAGCAGAAATTGATGAAGAAAATATTGCAGCTGTTTCACGAAAAGGACACAATAGTATTATAAATGATATATATATATGAAGGCTGAATCATTGCAGTAATGAGACTGTAATTCTAGAAATCAGTTACTCAAAGTACACAATTTGACTTCAGGAAAAAATATGGTAAGTGGTAATAAATCAGATTTTGAAATGTTAGGTTGGTTAGACTAGATCAGGCATAGGGAAGTCTGATGTTATGTTATTCCATTGACATCATTGCCTTGGTCAGGAATGTGGGAGGTTAACTGATTTATTTGTTTCTTTGGTGATGTAGAAAAATATAATATTTGAATATGCAGTTTCTACATATTTTCTTTTAAAGCATACTTCATCATATGTATTTCTATAAGAATGAACACATCCTAATAAAATCCTATAGCAGCCTACTAACTAAAATTGAAGGTCAGGTTAATGGTGATGGAAAAAATATCCATGGTAATAATGAACACCTACTGAGGACTTTTTATAAAAAAGACCTCTTTGGTCTTTTTGGCCTTTTTTACAAAAATTGCTGTGAGTATCAGAGATGAACTTGTAGCACCAGTAGTGATAATCTTTTGGTGAACTTGTCTCCTGCTCTAAACAGTAACTCTGCTGTCAGGAGTCAGAAATGCCATGTTAGATGAGAGTGTGCATAAGATGCCAACATTGACAGTAGAGAAATGGAAACAACAAAAATAAATAGTAGTTGGAATACCAAAGGTGCTATGTGATCTTTATGTTTAAGTTTTTCCTTTTCTTTTTCTGGCTACTTTCCTTTTTAAATTTATACAGCATGCATATGATCTTGACATTTTCAAAAATAGATGATCATAACAAAACTGGGTGGTAATAAAGTATAGTCTTCAAAGAACAGAGGTGTGTGTATCTCTGTGTGTGTGTGTGCATTTTAATGAGGAGCTAGAGTAATAGCTGGAAATGGCAAGGGAAAATGATGATGCCTAATCTCCTTCTAGCTCCTGAGGTCAGTGGAGCTATGAGAAGGAAAAAAAAAATCCTGCTTTACTTCCAGTGCAGTTAAGAAACAGTGTCATTAGGAGATAGGTTTCTCCTTGGCCAAAAAGCTGAAAAAATATTAAGAAAAATGTTGAAGTTACAGGATATGTATGTATGTATATATATGTATATATAGACAGTTAATATGGTCAGATGGCCTTTGATAAAAATTATACTAATTTCTTTGCTCATCAGAAAAGTAGAGTGTCTATTTCCCCACATTCTCACTCACCATGGGCATTTTAAATATTTTTTATTATTTTCCAATATGGTAGATGAAACATACTGGCCTGATGTTCTAAATTTCATTAATTTGGTTAGTGAGATTCCATGCCCTTTTAAATGGCTATAGATATTTAAATTCTTAATATGTGAGTCAAGTACTTATTTTTGTAATACTAGTTTAAACAAAGTAAAATTATTGAGTTTGTTCACCATCCTTTCTAATTGTTGATTTTAAAGTTATCTGTTGCTTTATTATATTTTTATTAAATTATTAACTCCTTAGAAAGGTTAGATATCTCATTAAGTTATATAACCTTATATAATGATATGTAATAGCTTTATATAATAATAATACATAATTGCTTTAGTGAAGTCCTTAATAGTGTGTTAATCAGTTCGAAGACTCAACATTTATGTTAAATTTAAAAAATAAGCAAAGATCTGAGGTTAAACCAGTATAAAAGTCGTTGGAGATAAACAAATATTTAGTGAATTATGTTGGATATTGTGCTCTTTTAAACTGGATTCCCTGAAAAGGTTTATGGCTTTCATATTTGCTTTACTATTTTTCAGAAATGTGTCTCACAGAAACACTAAAGAAATCCAGACTTTTGTCTTTACAGTTACAATATGAAATACTTATTTGATTTTATAGCTTTTCCCACTGAGGTGGTATCAATATTTTGTTTTATTGAGGGCACTTTTATTGTTTAGGGCAAAGTATTCATTTTTGACAAAGCCCTTTATTGAAACTTGAAACTTGGTTAAGAACCCAGGTTCCTGCGTCCCCTGCAAACCCACCTACTGTATTTTTCAGTTTAGTGATTTGTGAATAGACTCAGAGAGTCAATTAAAGTTTTCATCAGGCTGGAATCCATGAAGCAGACCGAAAAAATAAATATTGGTGACTATTTTACCTGGCAGCCAGAGGGAAGGTTCATAATTCTAATCTGTGGTCTTCACTCTGAAATGGTTTATGTATCTAATGAAATGGAACCTTGTTTTCTACCCATTTGAATTCACTTTAAAATTACTTTATACCTGATATTTCTTTGCAACACCCTAAGATTTCTCTTGGTAATTTTTCTTTTTTTTTTCCTTAAAAGTCTTTGTTAGAGTGTGATCTTTTGGTTCTGCCTTGATACAGCATTTTAGTCCACTTAATATGCTTTTTTGATGTTAAATAAAAGAGATATAGTATGAAAAATAGAAAAAAGTTCTAAAAAGCTATAATAAATTATTCTTTACTGATACATCAACTAGAAGATATAGCATAAATTAGATATTCCACGATTTTAGAAACATGTTTATACTTGTTCACATAGCATTCTCTTTTCCTTTTTTACTTACTTCCCAGGAAATGTTTTTAAGAAACACAAGAATTTGAAATCTGTTTAGTTTGTCCCAAATTATTTCTCTTAACATCATGGATTAGGAATAAAAATTTTAAATACTTACAAATAAAATATTTCTAAATATATGCCAGTACCCTTTACCATCAACTTTTGTCATTCATTCATTCATTCATCAAACACGTTTTGGCATATAGTGTGTGTCAAATAATGTAGATATGCAAATAGGTAGACACCTGCATAGAGTATCCAGCATCTAGTTGGGAAGGGGACAGTACGACATAGTGTGATAGGTATTCTGAGGGAGGTGAGCCTGGAATGCTATGGGAACACCTGGGAAAATCATCCAATTTCTATGAGGGTGAGTGGCTTAGGAAGGGAATCCTGAAGGAGACCATGTGATTTGAATCTTGTCATTACAGGGAGGAGTTAATCAGGTAATCAGGTAAATGGGATGGATCTGGGGATAGTGAGTGTTGGTAGGCAAGGAAGAGTCTAGAGCTAAGCTCCAGAGGTGGAAGAAAAATCAGATTGGTTTTCCGAAAAGAATTTGGCAAGGTAAGAGCACAGGGTTGAGGGGGAAAGTGTGGAAAGATGATTCATAAGAGAGAAGGAGACCTAAATCATGAAAGGTCTTGATTATTATGCTGAGGAATGTGACACTTAAGGTCGAAGAAATAGGGGAGTGACATGAACAATTTATGTTTTCTTAAGATCGCTTTATAATGGAAGAATTTATAGAGACAAATCAATAGCTTTAATTATTTGAACATTAAAAGGCTTCAGGTCTAAAATAAAAAAGACTAAAATTAAGAAGCAAGCTAAACTGGAACAACTATTTATAATAAATGTGACAAAGGTTAATAGTTTTAGTATTTAAAGATTCAATTCAATTCAAATTGAGAACAACAGCACTAAGGAGATCCTCATAGATAACGGAGTGAGATACTAATAGATAATTAGGAAATAAATTAGGTTAAGAAACTTATCAGTATGCAAATTTAAATAATGGGGAGGTTTCATTTTTTGCTTGTCAGATTAGGAGATTTTTGAAAAAGAATTACAGCCAGACCTGATGGTGACAAAAGTATAGAATAAAAGAAGATTTACATGCATTGCTGAAGGGAACATAAATTAATAAAATCTTTGTGGACACAACTATGTATTGAGTTTGCAAATTGCCCATATTCAGTGACCTAGAAACCTTTCATCTTGAAGTTTTAGCTAAGGAAATAATCTGAAGCATATAATAAGATACTACTCCTTGGACTATTTTGGTGTTTAAATGAGATAATTCATTCAATATTTACCATATGTACTATATATATACTATATTTCCTGGTGCATGTAAACACAAAATGAATGTTATTATTATTATGAAACAAATCTGAGCCATAAAACATATTCAGAATCACTGCTAGTAGTGATTATGTAGATTACTGTGTTACAGAGAATAATAAGTTCAATTTGGTTTGTTATGTTATTTTAAAACTTCTCTCAGGAAATAATTTGACAATCATGACATAAAAACCCACATCTTGAGGCATTTTGTGTCTAGAAGAATTCTATAATATAAATAATGTTCTACTTGATCATTAAGAAGAGTGATAAAAGTTTAAAGAGAAACTTGAAATAATAAGAAACCCAGTATAGTGTTTAACCAGAGAAAGGAGAATGGTACAGTAGACACTTGGACAAATATGTGCTGTTATCTGAAATTATCTTAAAATGGCAGAATTAAGGTAAGACTTGAGGCAATTTTTCTTATGGTCAGGAGGTTGTAACCTAGCTGGAAGCAGGGGAGTAGAAAGCAAAATTATAACTGAATTATAGATAATGGCTTAAATTGCACTTTTGGAAACTGCATGTAGTCCAAAATTTGGTCAAGTCTTTTTTTTTTTTCTATTTGAAATAACTTTCTTGGGCTTAGAATTACATAAGGAATCAGACTAACTCAAATTACCCTCAAATGGCAATTGACATTTGGTAAAATATACACAGTTGCAAGTTTCAATGTTCAAGGCTAATTTTACTTTTGAAATGCATTTGTCGTAAAGAACTGTGATGTGCACAGCATGTTACATCCAATAAAGTGGAAGAGAGAAATTGAAGCATTAGATTGGCTCCCACCTATGCACTTACCAGAAATGAATACACGTGCCTTATTTGTTAGAATTTAATCGCTGCCACCATGAAGTTATTTTGAACTCAAAATGCACCCAGAACAGAGTGGGATAAGTGAGACGGGGAGAAATTGATGGTTTTCTGGGTCCCCTTCATTCCCTCCCTCTCTTTGTTTCCTTTCTTCTCTTCCTCCTTTTCTCCCTCCTTCCTTCTTTTCCTTCCTTCTTACTTTCTTTCAACATCTCAACATTTCGATTTTGATTCTTGGCTTAGCTGACCTGACTCTGAGTTAGTCTTTGCACAGCTTGAGAGCTGAGAATAGTTATGGGTATTTCCATGGATGTATGAAAGATGTCTTGATGCCAAGACATCATTATTCTTGTGAAGTGAGCATAAGTTTTAGAGTGAGATAGTCCTAGTTGATTCCCAGTTATACAGCTTATTAGTTGTGTGATATTGTATAAGTCACTGAACTTCACTGAACCTCAGTTTTCTTAATTATAAATTGGGTTCCATATGACCAAGTTTGCAAGGCTGCGGTACAGCTTTGGACATATAGTAAATGTTCAATATTTGTTGTCAATTATTGTACCCCTCCATCCGGACAAACAAAAAACCTCTTGGATTTTATGAGAGATGATTTGCTGCATAGGTTACAGTGCTTATCAACCTTTCTTGCCACCATGGTTTATGGCTCAGATAACAGTCACAGAAACTCACTTTTAAGGTGTAAATATAATTTCTGCAATTTCTACCTTTGTCTACCATCCTGTTATCTCCCATTTAAGAAAGCATATCAGAATGCAAGAAAAGTACCATTGTGATGTTCTAGAAATAATCTTGAATGTAATCCAATTTATTTTTAGGAGGATAAGTAAATTTTTGTGTATTATTATTAAAATTACTTATAACATATTACACAACTGACCATTGGTGACTCACAGATCTATTGAAAGAAACAACGATTGAGAAGTGCTTGACTTGAGGATGTCTTCAGATGCTTGCTGGTGCATTTTTCCATAAAAAGTAATATGCCAAGTGTCTCTGGTTGAAGAGGAAAACAGCAAAAGTTTTGAGATGTAGATTTATTGAAGAATAACTAAAGGCAGGGAGTGAGCTTCCATAGCTCACAGCAGGTAAGATAATTAATAGGAATAATAAAATTAAAAGATTTGGAACATACATTAAAATGCCAATCATTCCAGCTCTCTATCCCAAGTTTATTCGTAAGATAGAGAAAGGGAGAGTGGAAAGAATGAGAGTGATATAAAGAGGAAGCAGAAGACTTCATTTCACTATATCTGTTTTTTTTTAATTTGTAAGTATAAAGATTCTGAAAACTTATTAATTTTATTCACCTTTCCCAGTAGATGTTTTTATTTATATGTAAAAAAGAAACAAAAACTGAAGTTATTTTATTAAAAATGAGTCTCATCTTGATCTATCTTTTACTGACAGTTTATTTATAGCCTAATTATTGCTATCATAATGAATTAATAGATTGTACCTGTGACAAGTCCCTGAATCTCATTGTCTTATTTTCTCCTTTACTAGTGAAGAGACAAATCAGTTGGTATAAGGTAGCTTGCTGTAACGTTCCATGTTTCTATGAGTATAAATGTTCAGAAGGGAGTCTGACAGCTGCACAACCATCTAATTTACAAATAAGTGCCCACAGTTTCCTACAGAGACAGAAAGTCCGGGGATAGAGTAAAGGAGCAGTAGAATGGCTTTGTCATCTACTCACTGGGACAAGTTACTTAAACTCTCAGTAATTAGACTTTCCTTGTCTAGTTCTCAGGGTATTCATGAGAGCTGAAAGAGATGAAGCATGTGAAAATGCTTTTCAAATCATAAAACTGTATAATTGTAATTTAACATTATTAGATGAAATAGAGCAATCCAACAATTATGAATCCCAAGAATTAATCAAATAAACAAGGATAGCAACAACAGTATTTCTGTCATCTAGTTTTAACTTGAAATGAGCAATAGACACTTCTTCATTATTAAGAGATATTATTTTTAAGCTTATTGTTTCCTTATGCAACTAAGAGGTTGCTACAAGCATTTAATATGGATAATAGAAAAAAATCCTGCAGTAAGAATTTTTCCAATTACAATATTCAGTTATTGCATAAATATAATTTTCAAGTGTTATATTACCCTTTCATACAAAACATACTACTTACTAACTCATCATCTGAAGATTGTGCTGACAAAGCCTGCCTGCCTGCCTTCTTGCCTTCTTCTCTCCATCATCCTCCCTTCTTCCCTCACCCTCCCTCCCTCCCTCCCTTACTCCCTCCCTTCCTTCCTTCCCTCCCTCCCTCCTCTCCCTCCCTCTCCTCTTTCTCCTCATTCTCCCTCTCTCTGTCTCCTTACCCATGCTCCTGTGTTTCTTAAACTTACATCACAGAAAGATCTTTTATTGTCCATTTTATTTTCCCTCCAGAGCTACTCTCTTGGTAGACTATCTCATATAAAGTCATGACTTTGAGCCAGGTGCAGTGGCTCACACCTGTAATCCCAGCATTTTGGGAGGTGGAGTTCAGGAGTTCGAAACCAGCCTTGTCAACATGGTGAAACCCTGTCTCTACTAAAAATACAAAAATTAGATGGGCACGGTGGCATGTGCCTATAATCCCAGCTACTCGGGAGGCTGAGGCAGGAGGATCAGTGGGACCTGGGAGGTGGAGGCTGCAGTGAGCCAAGATTGTACCATTGCACTCCTGCCTGGATGACAGAGCGAGACTCTCTCAAAAAATTATGTATATATACATACACACATATATATGTGTGTGTGTGTGTGTGGGTGTGTGTGTGTGTGTGTATGCCAGAGGCACTTGGCATATTATTTTTATGGAAAAATGCACCAGAAAGGATCTGAAGACGTCCTCAAGTCAAGCACTTGTCAACCATTGCTTCAATATATCTGTGAGTCACCAATGGTCAGTTGTGACTATATATATATGTGTGTGTGTGTGTATGTGTGTGTGTGTGTGTGTATATATATATATATATATATATATATATATATATATATATATAGTCATGACTTTGACAGTCAATGATGTGCAGATAGTTTCCACTTCTATATGCCCAGTCCTGATCTCTCTTCCAAGTTCCAGTACTATATTTGCAATGACTTGGTTATATCTAACTATGCTGAGTACTAACTTAAACTCGAAGTCCTTGTATTATTTACTTCTAGACCTGCTCTTCTTTTTCTGGTTCCGATTTCTGTTAGGGGTTACTAACTTCCCTACACAGAGACTCCAAACATTCATGTCATCTTTGAGTCCTTCCTCTCTCATGTTCTCTTCATCCAATTAAATATGTCCTCAACATTTTAATATTTATTTGCTCTTCTCCATTTCTAGAATTATTATTTAATTAGACTTTACCTCTTACCTATACTCTTGGGAAATTTCTTAGCTGGTTTCTCTATCTACACACTCGTCTCTAATTAATCTTCTAACACTGTTGTCAGATGAACCCTAGAAACTTAGAATCATGGAATCATAGATGTTGGCATTACAAACAGAATTTAAAGTGACCTAGTTTAGTTATTGGATGTTCCTTAATCTTTCTATATCCCAAGCCAAAGCTATACTTAAAGAACGGTATTGCTAGCCTTAATCTTTAAAAATAATGTATTTTAGGCCAGGGACAGTGGCTCATGTCTGTAATCTCAGCACTTTGGGAGGCTGAGGAGGTTGGATCACCTGAGGTCAGGAGTTCAAGACCAGTCTGGCAAACATGGTGAAACCCCATCTCTACTAAAAATACAAGAAAATTAGCTGGGCATGGTGGCTGGCGCCTGTAGTCCCAGCTACTCGGGAGGCTGAGGCAGAAGAATTCCTTGACCCCCGGAGGCGGAGGTTGCAGTGAGCCGAGATTGTGCCACTGCACTCCAGCCTGGGCTACAGAGCAAGATACCATCTCAACAAAACAAAACAAAACAAAACATATTTTAAAGTATTTTTTCTTCTACTTATTTATCCTCTTCCTCCTCCTCTATCTTCTTTGAGCTAAAATCCTTCTCCTGCTTTTATCTTAAGTCTATCTCTTGGGGCCATACAGAAATCAAATCCCTCTTCCATAGGTCAGGATTTCAAGACAGTTATTCTGTGTCGAAGTATAAATGCTCTCCCCTGGGAGAGGCTTTAGAAACTGTCAGAAGTACTGTTAATTTTAATCATGCTGGTTGCAAACTTTTGTTGAAAGAAGATGGTGCATTTTGGCAGCCATCTCTGAAATCAAAGCTGTCCTAGATATTTAATTTTTTTTTTTTTTTTGGTGGGCTGTGGGTTGTGGGTAAGGGAGGAAAAGGCAGAACTTTAAGACCAGGAACTTCCAAAACATGCATTATGAACTCATACACATCTGAAGGGATTCAAAATTACAATTTGAAAAATATGTATCTTTTTACTAGTAATCTAGTAATGCTTTATTTCATAATTAATTAAAGTATGTTCCACAATTCCAAAAAAAATAAGTTCACATATATATATAATTTGGTTAGATGGCCTTTCTCAAATTCATCCTCCATAGAACATATCAGATCTATCTATCTATCTATCTATCTATCTATCTATTTATCTATCTATCTATTCATCCATCTATCTTCATCACAAGGCAGTCTTTATATTTTACACAGAATGGCAGAAAAATACAGCAGAAAAATTTGTCATTTAATACAGAGAACAGTTTATATCCAAATTTAATTTTATTTTAGACTTTAGTTTAACCTGATTAGTTAGCAAATATGTGTAGCTTTTTTGGGGTAGCTCCCTAGGTCATAAATATTCTGGATTTCAGATTTCCTTCTATCAGAAAAAGGGAAAATCATTACAATATAAAAATTGACTAAATAGAAGAACTTTTATGTCCAAGTGATTTGCTTTTCAATGTTTCTTCAATAAAGGTTAACTGTGTTCTTAAATGGAGAGTGAAATTTCTGATTACCTATTTCTTTTTTTCTAGGCAGAACATTCTTTATTTCTTCAACCATTATTCATGCTATATAGTTTCAAGAGCCTTCATTGCTCTGATTATTTTCCCCTGAGAAAGGCTCATTTTGTTTATAACCCTTGCAGCAGAGGCTGTTGGTGCTCCACCATCTGCCTTAGGCACTTGTAGTTCCCACTCACATCTCCTGTCCCATGGCAAGCACCTGCAATTCCCAGCTAAAGGGCTTCCTGTTTCTGGTATTACCTGAGTCACCTCCATATCATCTACTTTGACTCAAATCTTAGTCTCAAGGCTTGCTTCTGGGGAAACCTAACCTTAATCACCCCTTTTAAAATATCCTGCTGTATACTTTGCACACAAGCATAAAACCATTCCTTGAATTTTAAGAGACAGGCAATATGAAACTATCAAAGATATTTTGGTAAGCCATGTTAAGATTTTGTTTTTAACTTAACTCTAAGGGCAAGGGGAAATCACTGAGAAGTTTAGCAATGGAATGGCCAGATCGGATGTGCTTTGTGAAGGATGAATTTGAGAAAGGCAAGACTTAAAGGGGATGTCCACTTAGGAGTTTGTTCCCCCAGGCAAAAAAATCATGGCCAACGGTAATGACAGCAGCAAAGAACAACCTCATGGGGAAAAAAGGTGTCGTTTTGAGAGACATTTACACAGTAGAATTGGCAGACCTTGGCTACTGGTATTAATTGGATATGGAAGATGAGGGATTAACTGGATAGATGTCAGTGCCATTTTCATTCTTAAAGGAGAAGAAAGTTTAGGGGATGGGAAGAGAAGCTTTTTCCTTTTCACGTGTTGTTTTATGTTTGAGATGTTTGTGTGAACCTGATGAAGTACATGCTGTTTTAGAGAAAATGCAAATAAAACATGTTTATGAAGCTGATCTATAGCATTCATTTCACTTGTACAAAAGTGTCTTCCACTTTCTCTGCATAGCATCTGTCATCTGTGTCATTTTCATATTAGTTGTCTTTGAATTTTTCTGTTACTAAAAATTATATAATGTTGTAACCATTTAGAATAAACCATTTACATATCAATAGACAATGCTGGGCATCACAAAATATAACTTTTGTACCTGTAAGACATTTGAAATTGATAACATAATTACATTGTGTGTGAGTGTAAAAGGATTACGCTTATTCAGAATATTTTAAAAAATAACTCTAGACTTAAAGAATAAAACATAGTTTGTAAGATTTGTACAAACTACAAGTGCCTAAACTACAAATGCCTTGGCCCTCTGCAAAGCTCGAATAATGTGGAAAGCCCTGTTTAATATGAATAAAGATTAATTACTTTATGAAATAATTTTGTTTATCCTTTCAATATATGTTCATTAATACACCTAGTGCTGTTTAATGAACAAAGCAGATAAAGTCCCTTTCCCTCATGGAACTTATATTCTAGTGAAAATAGAGAAAGAAGAGAGAGAGACAAAGGACAATCAAAACAATAAATGAATACATTATTTACTATGATAGGTGCTGACAAATTCTCTAAAAAATGCGGAACTAGCTCAGGAAGGGGAAGGAGAGGAGGAGAGGGGTGTAGCATTAAGGCAGACCTCTGCGAAAGTGCTCAGAGGCAGACCTCTGAGCAAATATTTGTAGGAAGTGAGGGAGTAGCCAAGATATTTGTAAGAAAAATGTTCTAGGCAGAGGGGTCAGCTAGAACAAGGGCCCTAAAATGAGAGCAGACCTGAGGTAGTGCAAATATAGCAAGGAGACAGACCAGTGGGCTGGAACAGAGTAAGCAAGAGGGGCAAAAGGGCTTCAGCCATGTAGGGTCTTAGAAGGTATTGCAGGAACTTTAGCTCTTACTGTGAGTGAGATAGGAAGCAGTAAAAGGCTAAGGGCAGAGCAGAAAATTTTTCTGACATATTTTTAAAGGATCATTCAGGCGTCTGTACTGAGAATAGACTAGAATGAAGTGTGGATGCAGAGAGAACATTTAAGAGGCTTTTAAAACTGTCCAAGTGAGAGATAAAGGGGGCTTAGATCAGTATAGCACTAGCTGGAGAGGTGAGAAATAGTTGGACTTTTAATATGTTTTGAAGTAGAGCCAAAAGCATTTGCTGGTGGCTTGGTTGTGAAATGTGAGAATCAGAAGAGTCAAAGGTGAATGAGGTTCTCGGCCTGAGCAAGTAATAAGATGGAGTTGCTTTTTACTAAAGAGAAAATACTATAGAACCACAGGTCTGGAGAGTGGGCTGAGAGTTAAGAGTTCAATTTTTGACATATCAAATTTGAGCTACTTATTAGATAGTGAGGTGGTTAAAAAATAAAATAATGCTGAGGATCTGAGTATGGATAATTTATCCAAACTCACATTTTTGTCACTTATTCCCTTTTGTTAATGACTGTCTATTTATAGCAGGGGGATCAGGGCATTATCATTATAAGCCTGAACTTGTGTGGGTATGTCTTGTGCATTGGCAAGACTAGGTGTGCTGAAAGATAATTTACAAAAGAGAGATTGAAGGACCGCATGAAAAATAAATTCATTTTAAGGGAAAGGCGAAGAAAATAAGCTTGGTCTAATAGTGCAGCAGCTTTAGTTGTCAAATCACAGGGCTAATTTTGGCCACAGCATGGTGACCATCTCTCAGATTTGTCCAAGGCCCAGCTCCTTCTCTTCCTACTTGTTTCCATGATAGGCTCAGTTTTGGATATTATGAGAGAGAAGCTATGCGTACAAAGTGAAAGAATTACTTCCATTAAAATTTCTATACTACATCAGGACAAAAGAGATTATTGCATTGGTTAATTCCTGGCAGATTGTTACAGATGAAAGAAGGGATTCATCTCTCCCTACATTGATATAGAACAGTGAGTAGATTTGAATACCTTGGTATTCAGTATATTAGCAGCACCAGAAAAGGCTGTGATGCAGGAAAACCCAGCATTGTTAAGTGTGGGGTACCTGGGAATTATAGTATGGTGGTACCCAGTGGAAGTGACAGCAAGGCTTAGGAAAGATGGTGGTGCCTAGTTACAAGATGAGTGTTAGTGACTGCATGTTTGTGTCTCCCCAAAATTAATATATTAAAATCCTAACTCTTAATATGATATTAGGAGGCAGAGTGTTTGGGAGGTAATTAGGTCATGGTATTAAGGTGGAGCCCTCATGAATGGGATTAGTGCCCTTATAAGAAGACACATAAGAGAGATGTTCTTTCTCTTCCATGAAAGAACAAACAGAGAAGACAGCCATCTATAAACCACGAAGAGGGCCTTCACCAAGAAGCTGACCATGCTGGCACCCTGATCTCAGATTTCCAGCCTTCAGAATCGTGGGAAATAAATATTTTTTGTTAAGTCACCAAGTTTATGGCATTCTGTTATAGCAACCAGGACAGACTAAGAGGAGATCCCTAGTTCAGTATGAAATTCCCACTGGGGACTCAGAGCAGTACTTTGGGTGTGTTTGTGTGTGTGTGTGTGCACGTGTGTGTGGATGTGTGTGTGTATGTATACAATGCATACTACTGAGTCCATAATATTAGATGAATTTGAGAATTAGAGAAGCATAAACTTTTATTATCAAAGTGATTTGATTTTGGCCTCAGTCTGGGGTAGACTAAAAGAGTGGGTTCAAATGCATTGCTTTTTTTTAAAAAAAAAGACTGCATTTTTGATCACTTTGGTTATTTAGCATAGGATGCTACTGAAACAAAAATTATGAGTCCCGTGTCTTAATGGGCCCATAGGGAACATGTGATTAGGAAAGAAATTATTGGGTCTACTCTGGATGAGATACTATTAATAGATTTGTACACAAACTATTTCATGATACAAGCTACCATTTCCTCATGGAGGACTGGATATAGAAAGAAGGTCTTTATGATAAAGATTATAATGATGATGATGATGACAGCAACTTTTATGAACTAATGTCTCAAGCCTATTCAATTTGTTTTATATACATTGTGCTCTTTAATTTTTACAGCAGTACTATAGAGATTGGCATCACTGTACAATTTGATATTTTACAGTTCCTCATTTACAAATGAGGAAGCTTAAACTCAGGTAGGTTGAGAAACATGCCCACAATTACATAGCTAGCTGCAGTGTGACTATTCAAATCTAGACCTCCATGACTTTACAGTCTACTTTCTTCACACTTGCTAAGAAGCTATTGATTTAGTAATGTTATATAGCTGACTATCCAAGGATTCAGAGGTTTTTGATAACAAATATATATATATGTGTGTATATATATTTATATTTTTTCTCTCATTCTGTAGTCCATGGATCTGCTAAGAGAGCGCTGTTTCAGGCTGTTGGTCAGCAGGGCTAGACTCCAGCTTTGGATTGGGTTCATGTCTGTTCATGTATCCCATTTTGGGTGCGTTAGGAGTGTAGTTTTGTCATGGCCACCAGCGATAACCCCATCAGATCACACACCTTTTTTTAAATGCTTCTGCTCATGTCATATCCACACACATTACAAAGAAAGCTACAAGTCTAAGCTCAATACTAATGGGGTGAGGAAGCATCCTGATAGTGGGAAGAACTGCAAAATTACATGGCTTAGGGAAAAGATTCATAATTTTATAATAGGAAAGGAATGAAGAATGAAGAACAAGAATCTAATTTACCACAATAGTGTATAAAACTGCTTTCCTGTTGAGAAACAATTTATCACTGCTTCAAAGGAGGCATTCTAACTGTATTATCCCTTGATGGTGGTTCAGAAGTGCCATCTTTCTAAATGAAGAACTACATAACACAAAATATCAGATCTTTATAGGTGCTTGAAAAGGCTACTGATGACACCAAGTTTTTTAGTTAACTGGAAAGTGCAAATGCACATTTTCTACTTCTATTACTTATATGCCTTTCTCTTGGAATAACATAAATTTAAACATTACTGTCTGTGTTCAAGTTGGATCTTTTCATGCTTTCTAGACTTCCATCCCAACCATAATTGCTAATTCTTTTTACATCTGGATGTTTCTATAATACCGAAGTTTATCTTTATAGCTTTTTCTATATGACAGGAAAGCAACTGGTTGATTTCATTAAAATCAGAAAAACAATATGATCCAAGAAATTGTTTGGCCTCATACATAATCAAAAAACACTTTTATTGATTATGCATTGGTTATTACGGCTTCATGCAGACAATGTTTTAGTTTACGGAGATTCTGCACACTCAGTCCTGCTTGCATCTATTCTTTTGAAATTTTATAGAAAGTAAATGCTAATAACTGTGAATTATTGTTTATTTGTACCCTGCCAGGTCGAGGTGCATTCATCAACATTCATCTGGACTCTGGGGTTCCTTTCCTGCATAATGTTCCAACTGAGTCTCTAAATGTCTGTAGAATCTTCAAAATTAATATAAAAGCATTTTAATGGGGAGTTGTAGCATAGATTCTTGTTCTTTATTTTTATTTTTAGCTTTTCAAGGGGTTGTTTTCAAGAGTGCCCCATGGTGGAGCCGGAAGTAGCCACAATAGAAGACAGCTTCTTGCAGAGAGAAAGCTTGGTTTTGACATTTTGCTTCTTTAACATTTCCTTCCCATCTTCTATCAAAAGCATCCATCAGGGGTCTGTTAACGCACATGGGGTATATGCTGTGAAAAACTGGTCACCTTTGACAGCCAATAGCAAAAGTGAGTCAAAGGTGACCTTTTCGTCTATTATGTAGCTCAACTGAGGAACTTGCTTTTTGAACTTTGCCAACTTAGCTTCTTCAGTCACGGAGTTCTTGTAATAGCCAATATGCGACAGCCCAGCATGCAAGTTAATTGCATCTTATTGTAAAAACCTGTAAAGTTCACTTTTCAAAACACTCCACAGTTAGTGGTGTGGAACATACCTTCAAATATTCAACAGCAGTTCTAGGGGCCAGGAAGCAGTTCTGCTCATTCTCTTTATACCTGCTGTCAGCCCGTCTAACTATGCTCCGAATGCCAGGCTCTAGGCTAGGGGCTCTATGGAACAGCCTTATGAAGTAGGTGGTATTCTTAGACCCATTTCATGGGCGAGGAATCTGCAGCATAGAGAAAATACAGTTGGGTCATGGTCACACAACCATGAAGTGGAAGAATCAAGTCTCTCCGATGCTAAAACATGTTTGTAACCACCACCAGTATCTAACACCTCTCTCATTGTATCTTCTCATTGCGATTGCATCACACCTGGGCAGTGGCCCAGGAGAAGCTTTAAGTAGATGATTTAATTTAAAAATCTTTTACATACGGTTATATGTGTGTATGTATGTTTCTGTATCAAAACCAATTTGAGGGAAAATGTTATGATTCCCCAAAATGTTGTTTCAAGGACAAAAGCCTAGAAAAAGCAGGATTGTAGAGTAGAAGATATAGTTTATAGAAGCCAAGCACTTGAATTAGACTCTAATTTTTTCTTCCTACATGTGTGAACTTTGAAAAATCACCTTACATTTCTGAGACCCACTTTTCTCATTTGTAAAATGCAGATACTTATGGGAGGGGTCAATGAGATAATACGTCCTACAATCTGTGTCTAATAATAGTAGGACTCAGCCAATAATAGGTGGCTTTGGTTTCCTGTAATTCCTATGTGTTTTTGTGTGCACATGTATGCATGTGTGTACATAGGAGAAGGGGGGCAGGGGATGTTTATCACATTGTTTTGACAAGTATGTCAATTTGACTTTCATAAGTATTTCATAAAATGTAATCCTGGTGGAGTTGATCAGTAATCCATATTAAGAATAGAAAACCAGTGGAGAAAAATGTTTACACCAATGCTTGATATAATGTTTGAGATACAATTATATAACATACACACTAATGCTTATACTCTTGGCACTGAGAATTCTTATTTTAAGTTCTGGGGTACATGTGCAGGATGCAGAGATTTGTTACATAGATAAACGTGTGCCATGGTGGTTTGCTGTACTACCAACCCATTACTTAGGTATTAAGCCCAGCATGCATTAGCTATTATTTCTGATGCCCTCCCCACCCCCTCACGCTTTCCTGACAAGCCCCAGTGTGTTGTTCCCCTCCATGTGCCCATGTGTTCTTATTGTTCAACTTCCACTTATAAGTGACAACATGCAGTGTTTGTTTTTCTGTTCCTGCATTAGTTTGCTAAGGATAATAGCTTCCAGCTTCATCCATGTCCCTGCAAAGGACATAATCTCATTCCTTTTTATGGCTGCATAGTATTCCATGGTATATATGTACCACATTTTCTTTATCCATTGATGGGCATTTGGGTTGATTCCATGTCTTTGCTATTGTGAATAGTGCTGCAATGAACATACATAGGCACTGAAAATTCTAATATGATTACCTTTTTATAGTAGACTTAAAGACATCATTGTTATAAATTGCTCCCCCCAGCCCTTGGTAGAAGAACAACTCTTTTATATAGAATTTTATACTAGGAAAGAACAATAATTATACTAAATAAAAGTTGTATAGCCTTTTGGCTGGGTGTGGTGGCTCACGCCTGTAATCCCAGCACTTTGGGAGGCCGAGGTGGGTGGATCACCTGAGGTCTGGAGTTCAAGACCAGCCTAGCCAACATGGTGAAACCTCATCTTTAATAAAAATACAGGAAAATTAGCTGGGTGTGGTGGCACAGGCCTGTAGTCCCAGCTACTCAGGAGGCTGAGGCAGGAGAATTGCTTGAACCTGGGAGGCAGAGGCTGCAGTGAGCTGAGATCAGGCCACTGTACTCCAGCCTGGGCCACAGAGCAAGACTCTGTCTCAAAAAACAGAACAATTATATAGCATTTTTCATATATTTAACCCTGCTAAAGAACATGACTTTTTTTGGTATTTTCAAAAGACAGACAAATTCAATTCTTATTTATTTATTTATTTTTGAGACGAAGTCTCACTGTTGCCGAGGCTGGAGTGTAGTGGTGAGATGTTGGCTTACTGCAACTTCTGCCTCCTGGGTTCAGACGATTCTACTACCTCAGCCTCCTTAGTAACTGGGATTACAGGCACATGCCACCATGCCCAGCTAATTTTTGTGTTTTTAGTAGAGATGGGGTTTTGCCACGTTGGCCAGGTAGGTCTCAAACTCCTGACCTCAAGGTTATCTGCCTGCCTCGGCCTCCCAAAGTACTGGGATTACAGACATGGCCCACTGTGCCCAGCCTCAATTTTTATTTAAATTAGAAAACTACATATTGTCCAAATGCCTATAGTTACCCAGAGCTAGCCTAAAATTCTGAAAACTACAAAATAAGATTTTTAATTTTGGAAGGCACACATTATATTGGCATTCCCTATAAACAGTACTCCCTTGTAGTTTCAAAAACTGTAGCTATGTGAATAAAAGTTTCCAGTCCCTTCTTTCTACTGTTCATTTGACTTTTAGAAAGTAGAGTAGTGCATTGGGCAATATAAATTCTATAGATGGCTTATGACTCAAAATCACACTTTTTGTCATCTAGATCGTTCACTAATCAGTCATGAATGACTTAAAGAATGGAAAAAACAAAGAAATAAAAAAATCTATAAGATGTCTCTTAGTTTAGGCACTGGGAATCCAGCAGGGATAAAACAGGGATAGAGCATGTAGTATAGCCAGACTATTTTTACAGGTTTTCTCCTTTATTCAATTATAGAACTGACATTAGACCTTCTGTCTGAATAAAGGTAGCTCCATGAGTTGTAATGCCAATTGTCTATATTTTTGATTTCATCTTAATAATGCTAAGGTCTTCATATTAAAACAACAGGAATTAGCATCTAGCTGTGAGTTTAGTTAAGTCTACTTGTATGCCAAAAAACCTCTTTTCTTAAAATTCCCAAGGCTAATTCATGTGTCAGGATAGGTTATTTAATTTGATGTATTTCTCTGACCTTGACATAACAGAACTTCAAATATCACTAAAAATTCTTAGCACCGGGCAGCCCAGTCATGATTCAGGATTTAGCTGCTTATTCAATTTTTGGCAAGAGTTTCTAACATGTCAGCTGAACAGATTTTTCATTCTCTGTGTTTTTGATCCCATAAAATCAAATTGCCCATACCTGTGTTTTTGATCCCATAATTTCTCCATTCACATTCATAGCTGTTCCCTGGCCAGGTTTGGGTAAATGTCTGTTGCTGCTGATTCATGGGCACCCTGGCTGGCCTCAGAATGGACAGAATGAAGTTTCATAGAGCACTTTGGCATGTCTCTCTCCACCATTTCTCATAGACTCAAGGCATAAATAATTTGTTAGGTACAGAATGTGCAGAAGTATAAAGAGGAGTGGATGATGAGAAAGTGAGTCAGGAGCCATTATTAGGTGTGTGCACAACTGATGGAAGATTTAGGATGCCAAAGAGTTTGGAGGTAATCTAATAGTGGAGAGAGAGTGTCCTTGAATATGGGAATAGTGTAATGAAAACTATATCTTATCAGGAGAACTTGAAGTGGTGTCTTGGTTAAGCTAACATGGGGAAGAAATAGGAGGCAATAACAAGTAATCATAGGATTGACATGTGATAATGAGGTTTTAATGATTGTTTTAAGATTTCCTGCTTAAGCAGAATACAATCAGAAGTAAAAAATGACAATTTTTCCCCTCAGGTTTTGAATAATTGGAAAGCATAAAGATATAGACAGTCTTGAAAAAAACTTAAGGAATGAGTTTAAGGTTCTAATTTTCAACCCTCATTGTTCATCCTAGATTTCTTTATACCATGCTTCTGTCTTGACACTGCAGTCCTTACCCTTAACTGAATGATGTAGAAGTAATTGCAGATTTTTGTAATTAAACATTTTTACTAGAAAGAGGAGTTTTAGGTAACTCATAGTAATATCTACCTATCCATCATTTTTCTATTGATATAAAATTGCTTAATATAATGTAATCTTTATTAACAAAAATACAAATTATAAAATTACAAAATGTAAATTTTATCCAATTATAAATTTTTCATCATCATCCATTTTCTCATGAATTCAGCAAATATATATCCTCTTACAAACTTGTAAGTAACATTTATAAAGCATTTCAGGATACTTTGAGGGACAGATCACTGTGAATTTTGATCTTGCACTTCTGAGTTCCCTGTAGAGCCCATTACTTCAAGGTTCTCACTGGTAATATTAGATAAGACAATGATAGCCACATAAACCACCTAATTTGTACCTAGGAATTGACATAGATGAAAAAACTGACTAAAAAATAAGAAGGAGAGTGTTATGGCACATGGTGGTATTTTTCTGTATTTCTTGTTAAGCTCAGACATACATTCATTAAAGAGAAATGATAAAGCCCAGGCTACTATTATGATTTCATATCAACTCTCTGGCTCTGAGCCAATATGTTATTCACTAACAAAATTTGCTATTCTGACCTGAAGTGTGTTGTTGTGTAAAATATGCACTGGATTTTGAAAATTAGTACATAAAAGCCCTATAAATTATCTCAACAATTTTTGTATTGATTAATATCTTGAAATCAATTTTCGAAATATTGAGTTAAACAAAATATATTATTACAGTTATTTTATTTATTTTTAATGTAGTTACTAGAAAAAAAATCTAAAATTAAACATGCGGCTCACTTTTTTATTTATTTATTTATTTATTTTTTATTTTTTTGAGACGGAGTCTTGCTCTGTCGCCCAGGCTGGAGTTCAGTGGCGCGATCTCGGCTCACTGCAAGCAGCTCACTTATTTTTATAAGACAGTACTGTTCTAGATTAAACCTTCTTCCAAATAGTTACACAGATGAGTAGGCTTATGAAAATTCTATTTGCTGAATTCCTTTGGCTCTGTTCTCAGTAAAATGCCATATTTGTTGGGGCCACATCTGTCCTCTCACACTCCTACCCTTGCGATCCCCCGTATCATGAAATAAGAGAGCAAAAGCATCTGCTTGAAGTAAATATAAATGTGTACTTCTATGAACACCAAACAGAGAAACACCACAGGAAGGAGAGGCAGCTGTTCCTAAATTTTAAAAAGACTTACTGATTTATTTTTAATTGGCTTGTGATTGCTCTGTCTTGCCAGATCTGTCTCAGCTTTATGCATTTGAGGTCTGTGATAATCCTTGAGGATGGTTCAGTCTGCTAGGGGCCATCACATTTCAATGAACTCTGTGAATCTTGAGCAAGTTACACCAATCTATATTATCTTGGCAATAAAAAACCTTAGGCCTTAGAGAAGAGACTCTTTTTCTTCCTTTCGTCTTCTTCTTCTTCTTCTTTTTTTTTTTTTTGACACAAAATGTTTCTCTATTGCCTTCATCTAATGAGATAAATGTTTGGAAGAGTCAAAACTTTTCCTAGGATCAGCCACTCATCTACTCAGCCTCCTCTGACTGTGGCAGTACATACAGGTGCCCATGAGAAGGTTGGCCTGATCTTGGTAATATCAGTCTTAAAGGAGGAGAAAAGAATTTTCTTGTTGAATACCTGCTATGCACTAGACACTAAAGGCTGTTACAGATGTACTCTCAATTAATTCTTACTCCAAACGCATAAGAATTTTTTTTTTAAATTTAAATTTTACAGCAAAAAAAGGCTAAAATGTAGACACAATGAAGACTAGATTTAAAATCAGCTCCCTCTGAGTCTATGCATGATTTTTCATGTTTTGTTTTCCTAGGAATGCATTTCCTGTTTCATTAATTACTAAACATCAATACATTTACTAATATTCCTTTTTTGGTTTATGTACTATTTTTATTTCTTCCCCAATTATAGTTGGAATGAAAAAAAATCTTATTTTTTTTACCTTATACAGCATCACATTGACTTTTTAAGCAATCTTTCTTATAACTTACTCATACTTTCTAAAATGTGTACTCCACATATTGACTTTTAATCACGTTGAACAACTTCTGGTCATAAGTAAACTGTTACTTCTTCAAAAATAATGGCTAATAAGTATATATAGGTTTTACTACATTCCAAGAACAGCTTTCAACATTTAACATATAACTTCTCATTTAATTATTTACCAAATCCCATGATGTAGGTACTATTACACCATTTTACAAATAAGAAAACTGCAGCAATAGAAATTTATGATGACCAAGTGAAGGGCCTGTATCAAGTCAGGTGACCTGCCTCCAAAGTCCACATATTTAAACTCCTATATTATTCTTCCTCTTCTTAATTAATGGGTTGCCAAGTCCTTATTGTTCTCTCTTCAGAGATATATAAATTTAATGCCAGCCTCCATTTCCCAGGAAGAATAATAGGACCTATCAGAGAAACACTGTGGAAGATGAACTGAATTTAAGTAGTGAAGTTTGGAAACACTGACAAATCTTTAAATTATCCTTAGTGCCTTGAGTCTTCTGCATCTATAGTTTGTAAATTATATACGGTACAACTTTTATTATAAGAATTCAATAGGAATTCATATTCAATTCAAATTTACTTAGTCTTCACTAAAACTAATAGTAAAACAATGGAGGAATTTTGGGGCATTGCTACTAGTTGGCATTTGCATCTTTTTCTAGGTCTCTGATCTTTCAGATCAAAAGGAAGACAGAATGTAGTATTGGAAAGACAGAATCAATGGGTCAAGTCCTTGCCAATCTTGAACTCGCCAGTGACAGTGGTATGACAAGAGACACATCTAAACCATTAAGATCTTTGGGTCTTAAAGTTGAAAAGACCCATTATCTTAAGTGAAACAACTCAGAAACATAAAATCAAATTTTTCATGTTCCCACTTACAGTTGGGAGCTAAATAATGAGTAGAAACGGGCAATGGACATGGAGTGTGGAATAATAGTCATTGAAGACAAGGAAAAGTGGGAAGGTGGGAGTGGGGAGAAGGATGAAAAATTAGTTAATGGGTATAATGTACACTATTCAGGCGATGGCCACAATAAAAGCCCACACTTCACTACTATGCAATATATTCATGTAACAAAACTGTACTTGTACCCCTTAAATATATACAAATTAAAAAAAGAGAAAAAGAAGAGACCCAAAGAGAAAGAAGATGGTAGTATATTCTGAGTGTAAATAGGATATGGGGGCTTCACTAAGAAAATTAAGCAAGATGAATTACTTTTTTAATAGACATTTTCTGGTACCATGTTTACAGAGATGTGTAACATAACATTTATTCAAAAGACTAGTTCTGCTTACTTTGAATTAGTCCTTCTACATATTCTAATTCTTTTGATACAGTCAATTATTCAAAACTTGTATCAGATCAGCTGCATCTTTCAGTAGAAATTTGCTTTTACCTTCATGACATGTAACTCAAAGTTTATGAGAGGCTTTCGTTGATATTAAGAATTTTGTTTTGAAAACATACAGTAAATTGCACAAAAATGATCTTAAATTTTTCTGATCTAATTCTGGAAATAAGTTCCTGTGTATTTTTCCTATTGTTCTGAGAATATGTGGAAAATGATGCAGAATTTAATGGATGAAAGGATTTAGTGTATAGTCTATTTCCTTGATATTTTTGTGCTTGGAAATCTCTTAGCATTACAGCTATTTCTGATTTTGAAATGGGATGTATAAAATTTTAATTCAAATGTAATTCTCTCTGTTGACTTGTTATGTGAGTGTGTGCTTGAAGATTGTAAAGGCCAGACAGCTTAAAGTATATATTGCTCTGAAATTTGTTTGTTATATTGAGAATAAAGATCTATGTAGGCTTCTGTATTGGTCACAGAATGAAAGGTTTACTTACCAAGTAAATTTCTCTGATGATTCAAGCTATCCTTCAGGTTTTGTAACACTTATCTTTCTTTTTCCCTGTTCCTGGGGTTCTGGTTCTTGTTTCAGCTTATCTCTTTTATTCAGTATCAATTCCATATAAGCACATTTGGGAGTGTCTATATTACCAGGTAGCCATACTCTCTCCACTTTTCTGTACCAAGATCACAGAACAAGGAATTAGCTGAAAATTGTAAGAAAGCATTATTACTGTAAAATGTGCTATACTATTATTCTGTTAAATTCTAAAGCTTTCAAATGTTAGCCCACACAAGGAAATACATAAACAAAACTTAGTAGTAAAATGATTGCATTCTGTCTCTTTTCTTTCCTCTTGAAGACTTTCATGTCACTTTTTTTGTTTAAAATCTTCCAATCTCTGCCCACTGCACCTTGAATTAATCTAATCCTTTGAGATGACCTCCAAGGTTCCATGTGATCTGGCCCCTTAGACCTCATCTCTGCGATTCCCCCATCACTCACTGTGCTCCACTACACTGATTCCTCTTCCATTCCTTAAACATGCTGAGCTCTTTTCTGACTCGGGGTCTTGGTATTTGTTATTCCCTCGAGCCAAAATATCTTCTCTCAGATTTTCTCACCATTCATGTTTTAGCTCAAATATTACTTTCTCAGAGAAGCTTTAATTATCCACTCACCTTAAAATAATTGCCATCTCCACCCTAGGTCACCTTACCCATTTAAAATTATATTTTTTATTTATTCCCCTCTCTGCGCTCTTCTCTCTACACTGTATTTTAAGTTCCATGATATCAAGGATCTTGTAATTTATATTAATCTTTGTATTTCCAACTTTGAGAATTCTTCCTAGCATATAGTAAGTGTTGAATAAATACTTGAGTGGATGAATGGCTAAAGTAGTCACAACATAACTTATGCTTTACGTAGCGGTACTTGAATCAGCTTTGCGTTTGGGCATGATTTGTGCAAAGGTTATAAAATAGCTTTAACCAAAGGAGACAAAATGAGAAAAATGGCTTTTGAAAGGACTGTATTTATTATGTGACTAAGGAGCTGACAACAGTCTTCTTGATGAAATAAAAATTCACAAAACGGTTCAAGGGGCAAAAAGGAAATTTAATGTAAATTGTGTGGTAATACCTCTGAAAATTAGAGATGAAGTAAAATTAGACTAATTGCATACAGAAGTTTCTTTGTTTGACTATAATTATTATTTGGAATCACCTATGCCCTGAATCTATCTTACTCGATTTCAGGAAGAGAAAGGCAATTACTTGGGCACAAATGCATTTTGTTCCTTTCTTACTGCAGAGCTCCAGTGCTTTTGGTTTGATAAATTGCCTAAACTACCCGGCTGGCTTGAAGAGAAAGTTATGTTTTTACATTTATATTAAACAAAGAAACTCATGCTTTAAAAATAAATCATCACATCTGATGGTATTGCCTCTCTTTCATTTGTTTGCTATCAAGTATGAGTGAAAGGTTACATGCGAAACAATCTCAGGGGTGCAATTTACACTTCCAGGTAGCAGTAAAGCCTTGTAACCAATAACCATCACAAACGGAGGAGCTGTCAGAGACCAAATTTATTGCTTCCATTCCCGAAGTCCTTTTGTTTTTAGAAGACACTGAAATATGTTCTCTTTTCTTAGCTCATGAGAATGTCTAAGATGTCCTTTGACCTGTCTTTTGGCACCATATGATAAATACAGAAAAAACAACCTACCTCCTTACAATCACATTTTGGAGGAAAGGGAGTGGGCACATAGAAATTATACTGAATGACAATAACCGTATTGTCATAGAGCTTTTAAAATTTGGTGCAGAACTTTAAATAAGACCATGGAAGATTCAGCATAATTTTTGGTGGGCAATGTATTCTCACTACAAACCTTCCTTGGGGAAAAAAAATATATATATATATAAACTGTGGTAGGTTTGTCTTCAGCTTGCCTAACATGCTATCATACCTGGCTGGGTGCTAGTGTCTTCCAGGACCTTGAAGTTCACGATGGACTTTCCCTAGATTGTTCTTCAATGTTTTACTTTTTCTAGTCTTTCTAAATGACTACAACAATAAATGTCCAGCTGTGTGATTTTTAAAAGCTCTCTTGGTTTTTCTGGACCCAAATGCTCTCCTTTGCAGGACATTGCTAGTAAAGACATTATCCAAGATCTTTCCCAGCTCTAAAATGAAATGGCAAAGTAATTAATGCCATTCTCCTTAAGGTGCAGCTGTTTTCCGATAGGATTTGAGTAATATTAATTTACGTAACCTATATTTTTGTCATTTTTCAGTCAGAAAGAAGTAGATTAACTGTGTTTTGTTAATTTTTGTAAGCAATCTTTACTAAATGAAAGAAGGCATTCAGGATGAAAACATTATAAACGCAGCAAGGATTCTTTCTTCCACACAGTCGGCATTTCAATATGGCAAACAGCAGTGGGGGTGGGGGCCAGTGAAGGAGGCATCAGATTCTATTAATTGAGGAGGTGAGGTCATCCCTGGGAAAGAACTGGCCCTGAAGGAAGGTGTCAGGGAAATAAATTTTTCCAAGAACAAAACCTTTGGCATTAGAGGAAATAGCTTATTCTTCAGACAGTGTATCAATTTTCATTTGTTCCCATTTCTGATCCATGGACATATCCCTGTGTGTTAAGAATAAAACATACAGTAATGAAAAATAGACTTATTCAGCTACTCAGGAGTCTGAGGTGGGAAGATTGCTGGGGCCCAGGAGTTCAAGGCTGCAGTGAGCTATGATTGCATCGCTGCACTCCAACCTGGGCAACAGAGTAAGACACAGCTCTTAAAGTGATAATAGATTTACCTGACTAAAATCTATAAACTGTTGGGACATAAAGCATCCCACCTTGACCCCCACCAGTAAAATATAACAAAAAGGCTGATATTATTTGATCTATTACCATAGTAATAGACTTTGAGGACACCATATATTGGTCCTGCTTTCTAGCATGCAATGGTAGAGCACCATTAACAACCAGTGGGAGTTAATTTCTTCTTGAGAATATGTAAAATATCTTCTGGGAATTCCTCAAACACTTGAGGGTGACTGAGGGAAACTTTTCACAGGGCTGAAGTTCAGCCTTGTGAGTGTTTCTGAGCCAGTAAAATTGCAGTTTTTGTTGTTGTTTTTTACAATTCATCAGACCCGATTAGAACGTTGTGAAAGCTCAGGCAACTAATATATACATGAATCCCACTTGCCAAAAACCTGGAGCAGCGAATTTAATGCAATGAGATATGTTTCTTCAAAGCTTAGCAATAGATACTCAGATGTTTGAAGAAAAAAATTTAGATTTACATCATTTAAATACTAAATTTTTGGGCCGCAGAAATTGATGTTGTGTCATTTTTGCGGTAATTGCATAAACCATTGCCTAGAGTGATATGGCATCTAAAATATCTGAAGATCACTTGTAAAATATACATTAGAGCAGATGGCCATGAGGAGAGCCAGTTGGACAGAATAATAAACAATACAAATTAAGAAATTCATAGTTAATTAAAGAAGATAAGGAGTACTTAAAAAGGACATAAAGACCTAGGGACCTTCTCAAACAAAGAATTAACATGTTGGTGCTATGCCATGCTCTCCTCTTCTTGTGCAGCTAATGAAAGGACAGTGATGTGCAGAACAGATGAAAATACTTCATTAGAATGCTATCTTCAATAACCCAAATCCCTTGACTCAACGTACAGGGACAGAGTGTCATAAATTCTTGTGTAATTTGGTCTGGGTATTCCTCTCTTTTATTCTGCTATATGCATTTGGATCCCATTAACTTTTAAAAGGACTTTCATGCACAGACGATAATAGGCACATTTATTGGGCACAATGACTTAGTGTACTTTATAGTCTTCAACTCTGGGAAGCACTGCTTTATAGAATGTTAATTCTCAAGGGCCTTGCCCTTAGCAGGTGCTCTTCAATCAATATTTGTAGAATGAATAAAGAAGATTGTTCAGGGAGAAAAATAAACCATTTTCCTTTAGATTTAAAAGTATTTTACACTTTTATTTAAAGGGTCATCTGCTAAATCTTATCCATTTTTCAAGATCCACTTCAAATTAACATGTATATTCATCATCCGTTCATTCATTTATTTATTCATTCAACAGTCAACATTTATTGAACACCTACAGGATACTAGCCATTTTCTTATATACAGATTAATAAAACATGGTTTTTATTTTTGATGGATTCACTGCTTAAAGGGGCAACAAAATATATAAATAATTTACATAGTACAATGAGAGAAGTGCTATAATAAAAATATGTACAAATTCTAGGTGAGCACGAAAGGAGAAATTCTATTTTTGCTCAATGGGGGTAAAAGCGAAAAAAGTTTCATGAAAGGAGTCAGAAAAGATAATTTCCAAACTGAATTTCAGATGAGGCTTTGGTAACTCCAGCCTGCAGGGCACATCTGACTCTTGTCTGTTTTGCTGTAACAATACAGCCGTGCCCATTTATTCACCACAATGTCTATGGCTGCTTTCATGCTACAACACAGCAGAGGAGTTGAGTAGTTGTGACAGTGACAGTATGGCTGGTGAGGCAGAAAAGACTCTGGTCCTTTACTTAATTGTTGAAGTCTTATAATAAACTTTAACAAATAAGGAGTTGTTTATTATGGGTGAACAAAGAAAGTGGCTTGTTGAAATGGAATCTGCTCCTGGTGAAGATGCTGTGAACATTGTTAAAACCACAACAAGGGATTTAGAATATTCTGTAAACTTAATTGATATAGCATTGGCAGGGTTGGAGAGGATGGACTCCAATTTTGAAAGAAGTTTTACTGAAGGTAAAGTGCTATCAAACAGCATCACATGCTACAGAGAAACCTTTTGTGAAAGGAAAAGTCAACTGTTGTGACAAACTTTATTGTTACCTTAGGAAGTTGCCACAGCCACCCTAACCTTCAGCAACCACCACCCTGATCAATCAGATGCCGTCAACATGGAGGAGAGACCCCCTTCCCATTAGCAAGATTACAACTTGCTGAGGGCTCAGATGATTGTTAGAACTTTTTTTTTTTTTTAAAATAAAGTATCTTTAAGGTGTATAAATTGTTTTTTTATTTGACATAATGTTATTGCCTACTTAATATAGTAAAATACAGTGCAAACATGACTTTTATATGCATTGAGAAACCAAAAAAAACTGTATGTGACTTGCTTTATTGAAATATTCACTTTATTGTGGTGATCTGGAACTGAACCTGCAATATCTCCAAGATATCTGTAATTACTGATCTTTTATTTTATTTTATTTTTTTTGAGACAGAGTCTTGCTCTTATTGCCCAGGCTGGAGTGCAATGGCACGATCTTGGCTCACTGCAACCTCCGCCTCCTGGGTTCAAGCGATTCTCCTGCCTCAGCCTCCTGAGTAGCTGGGATTACAGGCATGCACCACCTTGCCCGGCTAATTTTGTATTTTTAGTAGAGACGGGGTTTCTCCATGTTGGTCAGGCTCGTCTTGAACGCCCAACCTCAGGTGACCCACCTGCCTCGGCCTCCCAGAGTACAGGGATTACAGGCGTGAACCACTGCACCTGGCCTGTAATTATTGATCTTTAAGGACTTACTACTGCCATTTTTTTCATTGTTTTCTGTTTGTTTTATAGAAGATTTGTTCCTTTCTTCCTCTGTTGCTGTTTTCCTTTGTGATTAGGTAATTTTTCTCTATAGGTAGGCTTTGAGTCCCTAATTTTCATTTTTTGTGCATCTAGTATAGATGTTTGCTTTGTGGTTACCATGAGGCTTATACAAAACTTCTTACAGTTACAACAAGTTCTTTCAAATTGCTAACAACTTATGCAAGTGTTAAGTGTGTTTGCTAGTATTTTAAATCTATCTTCTGTGAGATATGTGTTAAATCATTTTGCAAATGAAAGTCACCATATAATTTTAGACATTATGATGTCTAATTTTAAATAAATATTGAATTGAAAATCTAAATTTCTCTATCTACCTCCCTCATCTATAGAGCTAGAAATAAGAAGGGTAGGGGCCAAAATTTACTTGTGATAAGACAGTTCTCTCTATAGTCCTGGTGCAAAATAAGAAGCATCCTTAAAATTCTTTCTGCCCTAAGTTTCATGTGTAACTCAGGATGAAAAATGAAGTAAGATGTTCTCTTTCTTTGCACTTACAGGAATGCCTGGATCTTTAGACTTTAAAGTCACACTTAGTTCTGGATAAATATGACCTTAAATTATTGACCTCTATTATATAAGGCAACAATACTCATTTAAGTTCACCATTGACCATTCAATAGACTTTGGAAAGACACAAATGACCTATTCTTAAAAGGTATAATATCCACTCCATTGTCAAATATGCATTTACCTTTCTACTCTCCTCAATCTCTCACATTATTGATGAGTGAATACGGTGAGAATAAAATGGTGATGGAAAATGTTTTTGCTTAAGTTAACTTCTCTAAACAAGAGAAAATTATAGGTTTTCAAGTTAAGGCAGAACCTGTCTATTTATCTGTTTAAACTGCAATTCATATGAAATATGGAAAGACTCTTGAGGACTTTGAGTAAAAGCCATCTTTGCATAATGTGATTTCTTATTATTTTTTTCATTAACTCTGTCCCCTAACATTTAGGATGTTTCTTTTAGAAAGAGTAGAATTTTGAAACATTGAATATTACTGTGAGAATCTGTTTGTATCAACTGATTTCTAATATTGTACCTTGAATACAGACAGGATATAAATCTCCATTACTGAAATAAATGAATGGCATGCTATTAAATATGACAGATTTTTAGAGATGGAATTCTGGTAAGTTTTCAGCAATGTTTTATGAGATGATTCACTGACATGGGTAATTCAGAGATAGAATAAGAGGCAACAGAATAGCCGAAAGCCTGAAGGGTAATAATGTATTTTACCCCCCCGACCCCCACCCCCTACAAGCCTGTACAGGCAAGCAGTGACTGAGCTTTAAGTGATAATGGACATAGTGTTTTCCTACTAGGGCTCCTGACATATTTCATGCTGGATAATACATAAATCCGTTCTTGTCTTCATGCAACTAGAATCTAGCCATGAAGAGCAAAGTATGCAGGTTAAAAATAATTGATCAGAATATGACTCAGTATTACTAAAACTATCAAGTAGAAGTGCAAACTTATTGATTTTGGTGAAAATAGACATTATAATTATTCCATGTGATTTTTGTTTCAGAGGATCATGTTTGTGATGGATTAGATGTTGTAACAAGCAGCATTGGCTTGATCTTGAAGATCACATACCTGATTAATTGATACTGATTTATAAAGGACCAATATAATATAGTGAGGATGACTTTTCATTGTATTGAAATATGAAGTAGGTCAAAGCAAAATATAATTGTGGAAATAATCTTGCCAATTATCAGCAAAAATGATCAGAATGTAATATCTAGGATAAATATCAAATTAAATGACTAATGTTAAAGATTGAAAACAGATTGCATTGTTAGTTATCTATGTATAAAATAACATGGAGAGCAAAAAACGATAGTTCATTGGGAATGACAAGTGTGACAATGCTATAGAAAGAAGCAGTTGGGATCTATTCTGTAACCACTGTATTAGTTCATTTCCACACTGTTATAAAGAAATACCGGAGACTGGGTAATTTATAAAGGAAAGTGGTTTAATTAACTCACAGTTCTGCATGGCTGGAGAGGCCTTAGGAAACTTACAATCATGGCAGAAGGAGAAGTAAACACATCCTTCTTTACAAGGTGGCAGGAGAGAGAAGTGCAAAGTGAAGGGGAAGAGCCCCTTATAAAACCAACAGATCTCATGAGAACTCACTTGCTATCATGAGAATAGCATGTGGGAACCACTCCTGTGATCTAATCACCTCCCACAAGGTCTGTCCCTCTATACATGGGGATTGCAATTTGGATTACAATTCAAAATGAGATTTGGGTGGGGACAAAAAGCCTAACAATATCAACCACTGTACTAGGACCTTCCTTAAACTGGAGATAGTTCTTAAATCAGAGGTGGATGGAATGTTAAGGCAGTTATTTCATAAATGATGACTGTTTAATGAATAAAGGGAATCTGAAAGGTCACCAAGACTAGTTTGTGAAAAGCAGAAATTTTAAAGTACTTCTAGAAGAAAGGTCCTATCTTCTTTGCTTGTTTTGGGACTTTTAAAAACATTTGGGAATATATGAATTTCAGACAATAAAGTATTTTCAATATTTTATATGTATTTGAAAGAAACAAATGAGTATGCTAATGAAAATGCAATGGACTGAATGTTTATATGCCCTAAAATTTCATATGTTGAAATACTCACCTTCAAGGTGATAGTGTTAGGAGGTGGGGCCTTTGGAAAGTGATTAGTTCATGAGAACAGAGCCCTCACAAATGAAATTAGTACCCTTATAAAAGAGACCCCAGAGAGCTCGTTTACTCCCTCTGCCATGTGAGGACACAGTGAAAAAATGCCATCTATGAACTAGAGAATAAACCCTCACCAGACACTGAGTCTGCGAGAGCCTTGGTTTTGGACTTCTCAGGCTCCAGAACTGGGAGACATAAATTTCCATTGTTGATAAGCTACCCATTTTGTGGCGTATTTTTTATAGCAGCCCAAATGGACTAGCAACAACTACGATAACTTTTAACAGTATACATTTTTTTGACTCAGTGGCAATCTTTAATAATTTCTTGCCTAGCAGCTAAGCATATTAAAAACAGTGATTTCTTATAAATGTGTGTCTTTGAAATTTGTAGCACAAACTCTGAAGACTGTTTACTAGGTATAGAGGTGGTGTCCAATAAATACTTGTTGGCAGGCTGATTCATTAAACAAGAAATTATAGAATGCCTTTTTAGCATTGTTATTATTCCATTAACTTGAGTTATTGTATTTGGAAGTAATAAAATGGCATGTCTTTTATGCTTTAAAATTAATATTTTTTCTCATTAATTCATATGGGCTTTCTCCACATTTGATTAGAATCAATACAGTTTTCCTCTATGCTTGGGAGAGAAGCAATATGAACACAATTTAGAAAATCATAATATTTAAGATAGCTCTAATATGATTTTTGCTTCTTGTTTCTGCTTGAGAATAGACTACACAGACCTTGTGGATCCATGCAAACTATTCCTTTTAATCATACTTTAATTATCGATTTATTTAGTCAGTTATCAGTTATTTAGTAGGCATTTCTATGTGCCAGGCGTGCAATAAACACGAAGTTCTTCAAGTAATAGGTGAGTGCAAAACTACTACAGAAAAATTTGTGCCCTCCAGAACATGGATCAGGTGTTTTGAGAGAATCAGAACTATAGGCAGGAGTCTCCAGTGTGACCTAGGAGCAAGAGGTAAACAAAATTGTCAAGGTAGGAGCTGATGGGCCTGAAGTTGACTTCTGGAAGCTTGGTCCCTTTCTACATTTTTGTCATCACACCTAGCTGTGAGGTCTTCACACACAATTTCTTTTGCCTGGAGTTCTCATTTTCCCTCTTTTTCCAAATTCCCTATTATGATCAAGGTCTCAATTTAAGTTTCACACCTTCTGGGAAGCCTTCCTTGAACCTCTAGCCTTACCTACACTGAATTAGGTCCTTCTGATATATGAGAATGGCACCCTTTGTTTCCTTTGTCATTTCAATTTTACTAAAATTATCTCATTTCTAAATACTTGTTTGATGACTATTTTTCCTCCTTTCTGAAAAGACACTATTGGTCAGGATAGGCAGTTTATTAATTCTGAAATTTCAAGTAATTAAAACAACAAAGGTTTGTTTATTGTTCATGCTTTGTTTTTAGTGCAGGTCAGCCGCAGATTCAGCATTATATGATTATTCAGGGACTTAGGATAATTCAGACAGGCTCCATTATAAAGAACAGGTGTTTTCTTTTTTTCTTTCCTTTGTGTGTGGGTTTTTTTTTCTCTTTCTTTTCTTGGTCAGGAGCAGAGAGGCTGGAAAATCACCTGAGGGCTTCCACTGTTCCTTGGCTAGAACTAGCCACATAGTCCTGCTTAATTGGAATGGGATTGAGAAATACAGTTTTCCATGTGCCCCGAAGGGAAGAGAACTTGCCATTGGTGAAAAAAGGTAATCACCTTTGAATTGAAAACATTAGAAGAAACAATGGTAAGAGGGAAATAAAGCCCCAAATTATTGTCAAAATTGAAAAAGCACTTTTAGCTATTCCAATTAGCTTTGGTCTAATTATACCACACAACTGCTAAAAAGATTTGCCATTGGGATTGCTAATCCATTTTCAGTGATTATTGAATAATTGTGCAGAGTAGAAGAAGGTTAAGAAAAATTGAGAGGAGAAGGTATAATCCATTTTCTAAACATTTATGGAAAGTGGATTTCTGCAGATGAAAAAATCAGTGGAGTATTGGATGGATTGTTCATGGAAGGTTGTGGAAAGTGTAGTCCACAGACAGATGCTTATCTGTAGACTGTTTATTACTGCTCCACGTGATAAAATAAGAAAGACAGAGTAAGCATTTAGAAATTTGGTAGACATTTGTTAGAGAATTTTATGACTATTGAATTTAATAATAATTTGAAATAATGTTTTAAAACTTAAAATAATTAAAAATGCACTGTATTCTGTATGTCTTTGGGTTTTTTGTTCTTTTATTTTTATAACAATCATTTTATTTTATGAAAATTTAATTCTTGATAGCTTGAAAATTACAAAGAACAAGACTTATTCATTACCAGATTGTGAAGCACTGATTTGAGCATTTACTGAAGAAAATGAAAAAAAAAAAAGTGATCACTGGGAATTAGCATGGGTTGATATTAAGAGAACAACTAATATCAGACTAAATTTATTTTTCTTTTTAACAACTGACTAATCTAGAAATACCAGGAAAACATAGTGTATCTAGCGTACAGACAATTTTTCCACTCTACGATGGTGTGAAAGTGATGCATATTCAGTAGAAACCATACTTCAAGTGCTCATACAACCATTCTGTTTTTTCTCTTTTAGTACAGTAGTCAAATTGCATGAGATAGTCAACACTTTATTATAAACGGTCTTTGTGTTAGATAACTTTTGCCCAACTGTAGGCTAATGAAAGTTTTCTGAGCATGTTAAAGATAGGTTAGGCAAAACAATGTTCGGTAGATTAGGTGTATTAAATGCACTTTTGACTTAATGGTATCTTCGGTTTATTATGAGTTTATTGAGATGCCATTCCATCAGAGGTCAAGGAGCATCTCTATATGGATTTTGGCACATGACAAGTTTTCTCACAATATGTTTTTTGGAAAAGGTGTTAAACTATGGGCTAAGTGCTGGCCTTATTAAGTGGATTATTGATTAAATAATTATGTCCAAAGATCTGGTTTATGAGTCAGTGAATACCACTCCAGTTACTACTCCATTATTTCCTGTACACTCTATCTCACCTTTGGTGGCTAAGTCCTAGCTCCTTCCTACATTTGCCATTCTCACTTTTCTGGTGGCACCTTTGCACGAGTTCTGAGATGTAGAGAACAGAAATAATTAAATAAAACTATTTTTAAATAATTTACAGAAAAAAATGGGAAGACATGCATGTAAAACATGCAATAAGACATTTATATTTCAATTGCCAGAGTTAAATGTGTAATATGGCTATCAATGAAAGTAATGTTAGACTGGATTATTAGGAGATTTATTGACCTACCTATCAATCAATCTATATTTCACTCTTCTGGATTTTTTTTTTTACTACCTAAATATTTTAAGAAATAACATTAAACTGTTGAAACATGTTCAATGAATTTTATTATATACTTTAGTATTAAAAAAGACAGGTCTAAAATTTGTTTTTGAACCATCCAGTGGTAAGAACAAAGACAGAAATAAGAATCATGGATAAAATAAAAGTAAAGCTGTTTTCCAGGAAAAGCGAAACTTTTTCCTGAAAGTCATACTTGCTATGTTCTCATAGAGAAGGAATTGTGTGATGTCATCACTGTCCACTAATAAACATGTAAAATCAATACAATGTTGAGTGTATACATATATATATATATATATATATATATATATATATATATATTTTTTTTTTTTTTTTTTCTTACTGTAGCTTTCTGGTGATATAGTGAAGCACATCTGGCTGGGCACGGTGCTCACACCTGTAATCCCAGCACTTTTGAAGGCTGAGGTGGGTAGATCACTTGAGGTTAGGAGTTTGAGACCAGCCTGGCCAACATGGCAAAACCCTGTCTCTACTAAAAACATAAAAATTAGCTGGGTGATATGTGCCTATAGTCCCAGCTACTCAGGAGGCTGGAGCAGGAGAATCGCTTGAACCCGGCAGGCGGAGGGTGCAGTGAGCTGAGATTGCCCCACTGGACTCCAGCTTGGGTGACAAAGCGAGACTCTGTCACTAAAAAAAAAAAAAAAAAAAAAAAAATGAAGCAATCTAAAATAAGTTCTCAATTTTTAGGTGGCACAAGGATTACTTAGGGAGAGCCTGACTCCGCAGATAAAGGGTGTGGTTCAGGAACCTGTGTCATTCAAAAGCCCCTAGTTCATTCGGATGCTCATGGACCATAGATTAAAATTTGAGAAATATTGATTTAGAGGAGTAATTGGCAGTTTTCCATATATGTGACTCATCACAATTGAGGCTTATGTAAGAATAGCTAGTATTTATGATTCTGCTATTTGCCAAAAATCTGGATTGCAGAAATTAAACTTTGCTAATTCAAGTGGCAACCATATAATTTGACCTTAAATGCTTCCTGTTAAATGTACTTTTCAAAAAAGAAAATTTGGTTTTGTCATTCAATATATTTATTATCCTGGCTCTTTGCTATCAATAAATATGCTGAATATAGGATATGATTTGTTCTTATGAAACTGAAAGAGGCCACACGGAAAAATTCCCACAGAAAGCACTGATATGAATTGCCTGTGGAGTTCCACAGAGAATAGAAAAAATTATTTAAAATATTATTTTAAAAGTCAAGTTAACAAACACCTCCTACTTAGCCATTTTAAAATTAATATACTAATTAGTTTTAAGCTTTATTTTGGTTGACTTGGAATATTTAGTGTTCTTTTATTTATTCTGTAACCTGGTTATATTGTCCAAGATGTAAATGAGCTAGTGTCTTTTTAAAACTGTGGTTCAAAGTAATGTGTTTGATAGTAGAAAAAGGAGTCATGTGTTTTGAAGATTTTAGGTCCTTTAACATATCTAGCAATACTAGGTAGGGGATGGGTACTAAATTTCTTAGAATTTGTGTTACTGATCCCCTGAGAGGATGTTCGAACCATCCTCAAAAGAAAATATCAGTCACCTTCTTACAACTCAGGCAGTATTAAGAATCAGAGAATAAGATGAAAAGAGTGTGCTTTGTGCTAAAGGAACTCTTTTGAAAGAAATTCTGAAAAGAGTTATACAAAAGAATGAATGTTTCCTAGATAGCATAACTTCTTTCAATTTTTATATAAATATGAAGCCAAATAATCCTAAATCTAAGTTAAGTTTTTAAGCCTCCTGCATGTGGATCTATTAACTACGTGTTTTCTAAAAGTTGCTCTATGTTCTCAAACACATTAGGCATGGCACACTAGAATTAATCTCTTGATCAGGGGACAATCTTTTTCTTAAGATAAATGTGCTGCCTAATTGTGTTGGTTCTTGAAGCATGACAAATTTTGACATGGGATCTAAAATAAAAATAGTGTTTTGGCCAGGTGCACTGGATCATGCCTGTAATTCTAGCACTTTGGGAGGCTGAGGCAGGAAGATTGCCTGAGCCTAGGAATTCCAGACTAGACTGGGCAACATGGCAAGACCCTAATTTAAAAAAATTAGTCGGATCTGGTGGTATGCGCCTGTAGTCTTGTCTACTCCAGAGGCTGATGTGGGAGGATCACATGAGCCTGGGAGCTCAAGGCTGCAAGTGAGCTCTGTTCACACCACTGTACTCCAGCCTGGGCGGCAAAGCGAAACCCTGTCTCAAAAAAAAAAAAAATCGTGTTCATGAAGATAGAGAATGATAGTTATTGTGCACGGTGTCAGGCCTCTGACCCCAAGCCTGCAAGTATTCATCTAGATGGCCCGAAGCAAGTGAAGCATCACAAAAGAAGTGAAAATGTCCGGTTCTTGCCTCAACTGATGATGTTACCTTGTGAAATTCCTTCTCCTGTCTCATCCTGGCTCAAAAGCTCCCCCTCTGAGCACCTTGTGACCCCCACCCCTGCCAGCCAGAGAACAACCCCCTTTGACTGTAATTTTCCACTACCTACCCAAATCCTATAAAACAGCCCCACCCCTATCTCCCTTCATTGACTCTCTTTTCGGACTAAGTCTGCCTGCACCAACGTGATTAAAAAGCTTTATTGCTCACACAAAGCCTGTTTGGTGGTCTCTTCACATGGATGCACGTGAAACACAGAATCAAAAATATTAGAGACAGAGCAAACATTTTTACCCCACTTCTCTGTTCTTGTTAAACACATTTGGACACCCCATCCTCTTCACAGCAGGAACAGTAGGGGCAGCAGCAGCCATACCTCAAAGTGAAAATCCTTCTTACAGTACCTCTTCCAGGTTTCATCTACCCTATGATCAGACATTTCTAAAATAGGGCTCACTACTTCATGATTAAGTCTCTTGCTCTGCATTTCTAAATGTTGTAAAGTTCTTAGGTCAAGACTTGCCTTCCCGTAATTTTCCTCCTTACTTTCTTGTATGATACGATATATCTAGACACACATCTAATGCTTCCCTTCAGCTGTTTGCAGACATCCATCATATTTCCCCAAGTCTGTCCTCCAGGCAGAGCATTCCAATTATCTCAAATATCCCTTACATCACAGAGTTTGCAGATACACACCATCTTGTGTATTTGTTTTATTCCTTTACTGTGTCATCTGCTCTTTGTGGACAGGAACAGGGTATTTAAATTTTTTTTTCTTTTACCAGTTTCAGATAATGCCTGAAACAGAATAGAAACTTAAAAATTAATTTCCAAATAGTATAAGATTTGTCTGTTAGAAGAATGAATAACCAGTCAGCATTGAACTTTCTATAGTTTTTCAATATTTCTATTAAGAGTATTGCCGAAAACTATGTATCATAGCCCTAAAATTATCTGGTCAATGCAGAATACAGAGTTATTATTACATTTTAGAATCTGGACAATACACATTTTAGACTTAATATTGGATTATAAGCTTTTTTTTTTTTTGTATTTTACTCTATGGGCTAGCTTTGAGATTATAGTCCATTAACTACACCAGAATGTTTTCCAAATTAGCCATATTAGCCATTAGCCTTTGTCTTCCCATTTCTATGTATGCAATTGATTAAATCTAAGACCTTAAATGCTTTCTGTTAAATTTACACTTTTTATACAAAATTATAGTTCTGCCATCAAATGTATTTTTCCTGGCTATTTGTTATCAATAAATAGTGTAAACCCATCTTTAATCTATCCCTCCAAATGAGAGGACAATAGATCACTAGAAACTTATTGTAATTTTTCATCAATCTAACAGTCAACATATTTTAGTTATAATTAACATCTCACCTAACTATGCTATCTCTGTTCTTTAGCTTTTTCACAAGTATTTCAGTTGAGGCTTTATCAAAACATATGTTAAATCAAAATATACTCTTTAAAAAGTAACATCAAAATTATTTGTCTTATAAGTCTATCAGATAAGGAGATTAGGGTGTTAGAATCTGTTCTTGGTGACTGGGCTGGTTTCTGGAGATAACTTCTTTGCTTTTTAAAGTATTTATACATGACTCTAAAATTCTTACAGGGATTTGTGCCATTAGTTTATTCATTGAATAATACTTCCCCTCTGTTTGGAAAATAACTGGCGATATCTATCTTTAGTAGTTTGGAAACTCGCACATATGCTAGAATTTCTTCCCCTCCATCCATTTCTCCAAGATTCTAGAATGGGGACGTTTCTTAATCTTTTCAGTGCTCTGGGTATTGTGAAACATGAAACATGAAATTTTCAACAAAGAATGCCTAGAATTTATCATCAAATATTCTGCACTTAGGTTTAAAAAAAAAAACTTTACAAGATATTGTTATACCGGAAGTACTTTTACCTTTTCTCTTTTGTTACCTATGCAGTTTTGAATCCCTAACTTTGATGTGGCTAGGTGCTCTGTAAGTCACATTCCTAACAGTTTTTTTTTTTATTATTATACTTTAAGTTCTAGGGTACATGTGCATAACGTGCAGGTTTGTTACATATGTATACATGTGCCATGTTGGTTTGCTGCACCCATTAACTCATCATTAACATTAAGTATTTCTCCTAATGCTATCCCTCCCCCATCTCCCCACCCCATGACAGGCCCCAGTGTGTGATGTTCCCTGCCCTGTGTCCAAGTGTTCTTATTGTTCAATTCCCACCTATGAGTGAGAACATGTGGTGTTTGGTTTTCTGTCCTTGTGATAGTTTGCTCAGAATGATGGTTTCCAGCTTCATCCATGTTGCTACAAAGGACATGAACTCATCCTTTTTTTATGGCTGCATAGTATTCCATGGTGTATATGTGCCACATTTTCTTAATCCAGTCTATCACTGATGGACATTTGGGTTGGTCTTTGCTATTGTGAATAGTGCCACAATAAATATACATGTGCATGTGTCTTTATAGTAGAATGATTATAATCCTTTGGGTATATACCCAGTAATGGGATGGCTGGGTCAAATGGAATTTCTAATTCTAGTTCCTTGAGGAATCGCCATGCTGTCTTCTACAATGGTTGAACTAGTTTATACTCCCACCAATGGTGTAAAAACGTTCCTATTTCTCCACATCCTCTCAAGCATCTGTTGTTTCCTGACATTTTAATGATCACCATTCTAACTGGTGTGAGATCCTATCTCATTGTGGTTTTGATTTGCATTTCTCTGATGACCAGTGATGATAAGCATTTTTTCATGTGTCTGTTTGCTACATAAATGTCTTCTTTTGAAAAGTGTCTGTTCATATCCTTTGCCCACTTTTTGATGGGGTTGTTTGATTTTTTCTTGTAAATTTGTTTAAGTTATTTGTAGATTCTGGGTATTAGCCCTTTGTCAGATGGGTGGATTGCAAAAATTTTCTCCCATTCTGTAGGTTGCCTGTTCACTCTGATGGTAGTTTCTTTTGCTGTGCAGGAGCACTTTAGTTTAATTAGATACCATTTGTCAATTTTGGCTTTTGTTGCCATTGCTTTTGGTATTTTAGACATGAAGTCCTTGCCCATGCCTATGTCCTGAATGGTATTGCCTAGGTTTTCTTCTAGGGTTTTTATGGTTTTAGGTCTAACATTGAAGTCTTTAATCCATCTTGAATTAATTTTTGTATAAGGTGTAAGGAAGGGATTCAGTTTCAGCTTTCTACATATGGCTAGCCAGTTTTCCCAGCACCATTTATTAAATAGGGAATCCTTTCCCTATTTCTTGTTTTTGTCAGGTTTGTCAAAGATCAGATGGTTGTAGTCGTGTGGTGTTATTTCTGAGGGCTATGTTCTGTTCCATTGGTCTATATCTCTGTTTTGGTACTAGTATCATGCTGTTTTGGTTACTGCAGCCTTGTAGTATAGTTTCAAGTCAGGTAGCATGATGCCTCCAGCTTTGTTCTTTTGGCTTAGGATTGACTTGGCAATGCGGGCTCCTTTTTGGTTCCATATGAACTTTAAAGTAGTTTTTTCCAATTCTGTGAAGAAAGTCATTGGTAGCTTGATGAGGATGGCACTGAATCTATAAATTACCTTGGGCAGTATGGCCATTTTCATGATATTGATTCTTCCTATCCATGAGCATAGAATGTTCTTCCATTTGTTTGTGTTCTCTTTTATTTTGTTGAGCAGTGGTTTGTAGTTCTCCTTAAAGAGGTCCTTCACATCCCTTGTAAGTTGGATTCCTAGGTATTTTATTCTCTTTGTAGCAATTGTGAATGGGAGTTCACTCATGATTTGGCTCTCTGTTTGTCTGTTATTGGTGTATAAGAATGCTTGTGATTTTTGCACATTGATTTTGTATCCTGAGACTTTGTTGAAGTTGCTTATCAGCTTCAGGAGATTTTGAGCTGAGACAATGGGGTTTTCTAAATATACAATCATGTCATCTGCAAACAGGAACAATTTGACTTCCTCTTTTCCTAATTGAATACACTTTCTTTCTTTCTCTTGCCTGATTGTCCTGGCCAGAACTTCCAAAACTATGTTGAATAGGAGTGGTGAGAGAGGGCATCCCTGTCTTGTGCCAGTTTTCAAAGGGAATGCTTCCAGTTTTTGCCCATTCAGTATGATATTGGCTGTGGGTTTGTCATAAATAGCTCTCATTATTTTAAGATACATTCCATCAATACCTAGCTTATTGAAAGTTTTTAGCATGAAGGGCTGTTGAATTTTGTCGAAGGCCTTTTCTGCATCTATTGAGATAATCATGTGGTTTTTGTCTTTGGTTCTGTTTATGTGATGGATTATGTTTATTGATTTGCATGTGTTGAACCAGTCTTGCATCCCAGGGATGAAGCCAACTTGATCTTGGTGGATAAGCTTTTTGATGTGCTGCTGGATTCAATTTGCCAGTATTTTATTGAGGATTTTCACACTGATGTTCATCAGGGATATTGGTCTAAAATTCTCTTTTTTTTGTTGTGTCTCTGCCAGGCTTTGCTATCAGGATGATGCTGGCCTCATAAAATGAGTTAGGGGGATTCCCTCTTTTTCTATTGATTGGAATAGTTTCAGAAGGAATGGTACCAGCTCCTTCTTGTACCTCTGGTAGAATTTGGCTGTGAATATGTCTGGTCCTGGACTTTTTTTGGTTGGCAGGCTATTAATTATTGCCTCAATTTCAGAGCCTGTTATTGGTCTCTTCAGGGATTCACCTTCTTCCTGGTTTCGTCTTGGGAGGGTGTATGCATCCAGGAATTTATCCATTTCTTCTAGATTTTCTAGTTTATTTGTGTAGAGGTGTTTATAGTATTCTCTGATGGTAGTTTGTATTTCTGTGGGATCAGTGGTGATATCCCCTTTATCATTTTTTATTGTGTCTATTTGATTCTTCTCTCTTTTCTTCTTTATTAGTCTTGCTAGTGGTCTATCAATTTTGTTGATCTTTTCAAAAAACCAGCTCTGGATTCATTGATTTTTTGAAAGGGTTTTTGTGTCTCTATTTCCTTCAGTTCTGCTCTGATCTTAGTTATTTCTTGCCTTCTGTTAGCTTTTGAATGTGTTTGCTCTTGCTTCTCTAGTTCTTTTAATTGTGATGTTAGGGTGTCGATTTTAGATCTTTCCTGCTTTCTCTTGTGGGCATTTAGTGCTATACATTTCCCTCTACACACTGCTTTAATGGTGTCCCAGAGATTCTGGTACATTGTGTCTTTGTTCTCATTGGTTTCAAAGAACATCTTCATTTCTGCCTTCATTTTGTTATTTACCCAGTAGTCATTCAAAAGCAGGTTGTTCAGTTTCCATGTAGTTGTGCAGTTTTCAGTGAGTTTCTTAATCCTGAGTTCTAGTTTGATTGCACTGTGGTCTGAGAGACAGTTTGTTGTGATTTCTGTTCATTTACATTTGCTGAGGAGTGCTTTACTTGCAACTATGTGGTCAATTTTGGAATAAGTGCGATGTGGTGCTGAGAAGAATGTATATTCTGTTGATTTGGGGTGGAGATTTCTGTAGGTATCTATTAGGTCTGCTTGGTGCAGAGCTGAGTTCAATTCCTGGATATCCTTGTTAAATTTCTGTCTCGTTGATCTGTCTAATATTGACAGTGGGGTGTTAAAGTCTCCCATTATTAATGTGTGGCAGTCTACGTTTCTTTGTAGGTCTCTCAGGACTTGCTTTATGAATCTGGGTGCTCCTGTATTGGGTGCATATATATTTAGAATAGTTAGCTCTTCTTGTTGAATTGATCCCTTTACCATTATGTAATGGCCTTCTTTGTCTCTTTTGATCTTTGTTGGTTTAAAGTCTGTTTTATCAGAGACTAGGATTGCAACGCCTGCTTTTTTTTCGCTTTCCATTTGCTTGGTAGATCTTCCTCCATCCCTTTATTTTAAGCCTATGTGTTTCTCTGCACATGAGATGGGTCTCCTGAGTACAGCACACTGATGGGTCTTGACTCTTTATCCAGTTTGCCAGTCTGTGTCTTTTAATTGGGGCATTTAGCTCATTTACATTTAAGGGGTTAATATTGTTATGTATGAATTTGATCCTGTCATTATGATGTTAGCTGGTTATTTTGTCCATTATTTGATGCAGTTTCTTCCTAGCATTGATGGTCTTTACAATTTGGCATGTTTTTGCAGTGGCTGGTACCAGTTGTTCCTTTCCCTGTTTAGTGCTTCCTTCAGGAGCTCTTTTAGGGCAGGCCTGATGGTGACAAAATCTCTCAGCATTTGCTTGTCTGTAAAGGATTTTTTTTCTCCTTCACTTATGAAGCTTAGTTTGGCTGGATATGAAATTCTGGGTTGAAAATTCTTTTCTTTAAGAATGTTGAATATTGGCCCCCACTCTCTTCTGGCTTGTAGAGTTTCTGCTGAGAGATCTGCTGTTAGTCTGATGGGCTTCCCTTTGTGGGTAACCCAACCTTTCTCTCTGGCTGCCCTTACCATTTTTTCCTTCACTTCAACATTGGTGAATGTGACAATTATGTGTCTTGGGATTGCTCTTCTCGAGGAGTATCTTTGTGGCATTCTCTGTATTTTCTGAATTTGAATGTTGGCCTGCCTTGCTAGGTTGGAGAAGTTCTCCTGGATAATATCCTGAAGAGTGTTTTCCAACTTTGTTCCATTCTCCTTGTCACTTTCAGTTACACCAATCAGACATAGATTTGGTCTTTTCACATAGTCCCATATTTCTTGGAGGCTTTGTTTGCTTCTTTTTACTCTTTTTTCTCTAAACTTCTCTTCTTGCTTCATTTCATTAATTTGATTTTCAATCACTGATACCCTTTCTTCCACTGGATCCAATCAGCTACTGAAACTTGTGCATGCATCACGTAGTTCTTGTGCCATGATTTGCAGCTGCATCAGGTCATTTAAGGACTTCTCTACACTGTTTATTCTAGTTAGCCATTTGTCTAGTCTTTTTTCGAAGTTTTTAGCTTCCTTGCGAAGGGTTCAAACATCCTCCTTTAGCTCGGAGAAGTTTGTTATTACCGACTCTCTGAAGCCTACTTCTGTCAACTCATCAATGTCATTCTCCATCATGTTTTGTTCCATTGCTTGCGAGGAGCTGTGATCCTTTGGAGGAGAAGGGGTGCTCTGGTTTTTAGAATTATCAGCTTTGGTTTCTCCCCATCTTTGTGGTTTTATCTACCTTTGGTCTTTGATGACGGTGACCTACAGATAGGGTTTTGGTGTGGATGTCCTTTTTATTGATGTTGATGCTATTCCTTTCTGTTTGTTAGTTTTCCTTCTAACAGTCAGGTCCCTTAGCTGCAGGTCTGTTGGAGTTTGCTGGAGGTCCACTCCAGAACCTGTTTGCCTGGGTATCACCAGTGGAGGCTGCCAGAACAGCAAATATTGCAGAATAGCAAATATTGCTGCCTGATCCTTCCTCTGGAAGCTTCGTGTCGGAGGGGTATCTGGCTGTATGAGGTGTCAGTGGGCCCTTACTGGGAGGTGTCTCCAAGTTAGGCTACACGGGGGTCAGGGACCCACTTAAGGAGGCAGTCTGTCCATTTTCAGAGCTTAAACACCATGCTGGGAGAACCACTGCTCCTTCAGAGCTGTCAGACAGGGACATTTAAGCCTGCTGAAGTTTCTGCTGCCTTTTGTTCTGCTATGCCCTGCCCCAGAGGTGGAGTCTACAGAGACAGGCTGGCCTCGTTGAGCTGCGGTGGGCTACACCCAGTTCCAGCTTCCTAGCCGCTTTACGTATTCAAGCCTCAGCAATGGCAGACGCTCCTCCCTCAGCCAGGCTTGCAGCCTCACCGTTGGATCTCAGACTAGCAGTGAGCAAGGCTCACTGGGCGTGCGACCCACGGGCATGCGCCCCACTGAGCCAGGCATGGGATATTATTTCCTGGTGTGCTGTTTGCTAAGACCGTTGGAAAAGTGCAGTGTTTAGGTGGCAGTGTCCCAATTTTCCCGGTACAGTCTGTCACGACTTCCCTTGCCTAGGAAAGGGAAATCCCCCAACCCCTTGTGCTTCCTGGGTGAGGCGATGCCCCGCCCTGCTTCAGCTCATCCTCTGTGGGCTGCACCCATTTTCTGATCAGTCCCAATGGGATGAACTAGGTACCTCAGTTGGAAATGCAGAAATCACCCGTCTTCTGCGTTGATCATGCTGGGAGCTGCAGACTGGAGCTGTTCCTATTCGGCCATCTTGGAACGGACTCCACAATGTTGTTTCTTTTACACTTTCTTCCTAATCTTGCCTCTTGTTACCCAATTGTGTTTCTGCTTTTAGGTCTGTGGATTTCTCTACAGGTGAAACGGGAAAATTTCCCTTGTCCCCCTTGCAGGGTGTGCGATGGGGGTGTGGCTTGCTTCTTCAGTGCCCCGCTGTGTAAGCCTCTATGGGGAGCATGGGAATGAGCAGGTTGTGGGGCTGCAACCCCATGGCAGCATCTAGGGGTGAATGTTTAGAGCTCCCGAGGCCCCAGTGGGTGTTTGTTGCTATGTGCTCTTTCAGTGTAGCTGTCCATAGGCGGCTCGTGTTATTCAGCTCAAGTAGATCCCCTGCCTTATCACAAAGACAGAGGGCTTTCTGTATCCTGGGGCTTCTTGCCTTGGTGTACTTGAAGAATTGGATCACATGGGGCCTGGAGAATGAGTGCAAGGTTTTATTGAGTGGAAGTAGCTCTCAGCAGATGGGGAAGCCAGAAGGGAGATGGAGTGGGAAGGTGGTTTTCTCCCGGAGTCGGGCTGCTCAGCGGCCAGGCTCTCCTCCCACTGCCCGGGCCAAACTCCCATTGTTCTGCTGTTCAATGGCCTACTGGCCTGTCAGTGTCTGCTGGGGCCTGTCAGTGTGCTCTTCCACCAATGTGTTCCTCTCAATGTCCAGCTGCTTGTGTCCCTGCCTGCTAGGATCTCAGGTTTTGATACGCACAGGATGGGGGTTTGGCGGGCCAGGTTGGTCCTGGGAAATTCAACATTTGGGCACAAAAGCAGAAATGCCTGTCCTCACCTTGGTCCATGGGCACAGAGCCGGGGGTGGAACCCTCGCCAGGGACCCACCCTTCTCTACTCAGCACTTCCTTGCCCCCATCCTGTATCACAGGAAGGTATATAGTCTTTAAATATGACCCTACTTTCCTCCTCAACAGTATCTGTGGTATAGATCTGTTGCTTTTTCGGGCGTGTGTTCCATCTCCCACTAGTTGTCCCTGATATCTGCAACATCAACTTACTTCTTTAGGTGGCATTTTAAATTTTGTTTTGTAAAGTACCCATATTCTTAACTATCCTAGATACAGACCATAACCAAACACATAAGGCCTTGGTTTTATTACCAAACTTGTCCCCTGTGAATCAATAAACATCACGTTCATCATTACTCTTTTTAGGTTGAATTTATTTTTATACTGTTTAACCTTTTAAACTGGTCACTATCTTTCCTTCCTCATGTCTTACAAACCTTCATCATAGCAAAATATATTATTCACAGGCTTTTAACTATTTATCTCTTTTCCGAATAGCCCATGATTTAGGAGTCAATAAACCTCCATCTGGAAAACCAAATCATAGTAATCATCTTTTAGGTAGGTAGATGTTCACTTTCTGTATTTTTAAGATTTTACTTCTATAGTCATACTTTTCATCTTGAGAAAATATGAAATCTCTGTATATGTCTCCAGGCCTATACTAGTTATCTATTCTGTGCAACAAATTGCCTCCAAACATAGCAGTCTAAAACAAGTATTTATTATCTCACACAGTTTTGAGGGTCAGGAACTTAGGAGCCTAGCTGAGTGATTCTGGATGAGGGTCTCTCAAGTTGCAGCCAATGTGTAGGCTTGGCTGAAGTCATCTCAAGGCTCTATTAGGGCTACAGAATCACTTTGAAGCTAACCCACTTGAGAGGCTTTGGTTCCTTACTAGCTTTTAGTTGGAGACTTTAAGGAAAGAGAGAAAGAGAGAAAAAAAAAAAAGGAAAGAAAGAGAGATTGAGAGAGGAAGAGGGAGCTCACGAAGGAGTGAGTACCGACGATGGAAGCAGCAGTTATCAATAACCTAATCTCAGAAGTGACACCATTATTTCTGCCACATGGTATTGATCACTTTGTACCAGATTATCCCTGGTACAAAGTGGGAGGAGACTATACAAGAAAGTGAGACAAAAGAGGTGCAGATCATTGAGGCCATCTTGAAGACTAGCTACCATTGTCCAATGCTTTCCGTTTCCCATCCTAGTCATCATATGGAAGCATTTTAGGATTCTTCCCAGGGAATTAGTAATTTCCACATAAATTAATTAAGTAGTGGTAGTGGACTGGGAATATGAGCCTTTATAAGTCCTCTGGCTAATTTCAGATAAATTATCATTAATTTAGCATACTCTAATTAGCCTTATAATAACTTTCAGATGATGATCTAAACTGTTCCTTAGTTTCCAAATTATCTCATCTCATACTTTTCAAAGATTAAGGAGAATTATTCCTCATGTTAACATGAGAATTGCCACCTGGAAGATAAACTCTTGTATATGATCTTCACCACATTTCATTCTATTTCAGAAATTTTCTGTAAGCAAATATGTGAAAATGTGTTGTATTATAGTGGAATTAGGTGGTGCTGTACAAAGATAAAGGGGTTATGGTAGCACAAAGGGCACAAATTCATTTTAGTTCTTAAAACTTGTACAAAGCAATGTCCTCAGTAGGGGAAATGAGACCATCAGATATTATGCTCACCCTCAAGGAGCATAATATCTGTAATTATTCATCTTAGAACAGACCTGACCTCCAGCCATCATTCCATTTTCCCTTACCTCTTACCTACTAGCTTCTGATGGAGATCCTATCTGCCAATTATGGATGAAGTGAAAATTAGGGAGATGATTTTTGTAGCCCTGTGACCTATCCAAAAGTAACGTGATATATAAATCTCTTATTACACTATGAAAAGCCTGTCATAGGCATGGTAATTATCCGATGTTATCACACAAACTGTGTATATTTTCCCCTTGTAACATAAGTATAAAAGTTTCTAATGCAATCACAATGATTATGAGGCTTTTCTTACAAATATGAACCTAAGTGGAAAAATGGAAATAATTTGCTAATTAACGCAAAAAGGGGTCAAACCCTTTTCTCCCTTTATGGCTGTATTTCAGGCAAAAATGGTTTTTGGCTTGCAAAGTCTTACATATAATATTTTTAAATATTTAATATAATTTTGGGTAAAACAGCATTACCCTCTTAAGAAATAGAATAGAGAGGTGTTTAGCCCTTCTTAAGTTCACACAGTAGTACTGAAGGAATAAACAATCCAGGTTAGCTTTATTTTTTATTTTTTATTTTTTTGAATCTTGCTCTGTCACCCAGGCTGGGATGCAGTGGCACCCTGTTGGCTCACTGCAGCCTCCACCTCCTGGATTCAAGTGATTCTCCTGCCTCAGCCTCCCAAGTAACTGGGATTACAGGCACCTGCCACCATGCCCGGCTAATTTTTTGGGAATGTGTATACACACACACACACACACACACACACACACACACATTATATATATATAGCATATATGTATACACACACACACACTATATATATATATATATATATATATATATATATATAGTAGAGATGGAGTTTCATCATTTTGGCCAGGCTGGTCTGGTACTCCTGACCTCAAGTGATCCGCCCTCCTTGGCCTCCCAAAATTTGTTCAAAAACAAATTTTGAAAATGTACACAGAAACATCTTTATCCCATAATGAACTCTCAATCTGCAGTTTTTAAAATGAGGTCTTTGTTTCTTCTGAAAGATTTTCAGATGGTCTATAGTTAAGTGCAAAAAGCGTCACACAAAAATATATATACCAATTCAAATGATACATCACATTGTAGGTTTGAATTAGTATTAAAGAGAAAACTAAATTAATTTAGCTATCATGAAGTTTATTAACTAAGAAAAACATTGATATATTATTTTCTCTCTTTTGGGGCAACCAAGTTAAACTCAACCTGAGACCCTGAATTGCAGGAAACTTGTTTGACAATAGTCTTGATTAATTCACAAATGTTTACTACCTGTAGTACATAAAAATAAATGATAATCATCTTTTAAAACTTCTTCTGGTAATGCTGTGCTTTTGAATTCTGAACTCTCCAGGAGTAATTTCTGTATCTCCTGGCATTTTGTTATTTGCAAATTATGACTGTATTATTTTAAGAAAATTCAATATCTGAGGATTGTTATTTACCAAATGCATTGAGGAGAGAAAATTGTTGCTATTTGTACTATAAAAAGATTCTATTTTACAAAATGATGCAACATATGATTCCTTCAATCAGGGAGCTTCTTCAGTTCATTTAAGAGACTGAATTGAATAACAGAAACATGACATGTGCAGAACTTTCCAGTTACACATCTATTGTAGAACAAAAAGAGAGAGAGATTTTTTTCAATGTAAGGCTGTTTCTGATTCATTTGTGTGCAGGAGGAATTTAAATTATTTAACAAATATCTGGATCCATCTTGGGAATCTGTTGATTACTTTCACCGGTAATCTTATTGTAGCTTTCACCAATCAGCATAGTCAAATTTATCTTTCAGTTCATCTAGGGCCTACTGAATTTCTCTGAATTTTATCAGTCAAGATGCTAAATGAGGATATAGAACATCTATGATCTTCTAATGCATTGGTTGCCATGGAAGCTGCTCTTCTGGCCTGGTTTGATCAATTTTTTTCAAGCAAGTAATTTGATAATTCTTTTCAGACAGAAAATGTCATAATGTTCTTGTTACAAAATTGAAAGAACCAAATCGTTTCTTTTAATTCATAATGGTCTCTTTCTAATAACCATGATATTTTGGTCCTTTTATTTACATTCACTGGACAGTAATACTTGAATTTATTTATTCCTGTCACTTGACATTATTCATGTCACTAAATTTCATTTTACTTTTAATTTCAATTGTTTTATGCTTTTCAAAAAGGTATTTTAAAAAATCCAAATCGTTTTAAAATATAAATTTTGGAAGTGTATTCTTTGAGAAAGAGTGGCTAATTGTATCACAGTTAATGAAACATGTAGCCAACCACAACTGCCACCAAAAGCGTTCATTAAACACTGCATTTGAACATTACATTTATCTCCATTAGCAGAACTGGGATCCTTATTTAGAATCTTTTGACCACCTATCCTGATAATCTGCTTCCTTTCTGAAATGAAATGGAACAGGAATGAAAATGTGCTTTGCTATTAAATGTCATGGGCAGGGAGGGACTTTTTCAGCTTCCCTAAACTAATCTCAAACTCCAGGCAGCATTTTTATTTTATGATTATAGACATAAGATCCAATGTGCACTTGCGTGCTTAACTTTAATACTGCATGCAAAATAGGGGCATCATGAAATTAATTAGGACATTTATTTGCAGCCATGAGAAAGAAAACACATTACTATGTAGCAATTGCCTGCTATCCTTTAGGTGGCAGTATGAAGTAAGGAGAGGCTGGCTGTGATAGTTAACTGCATAGGATCTCTTAACAACAAAAAGTAAAAAGGAAAAAAAAATCAGTTTCCTGTCAGAAATGTCTTCTTGCATCTTCTGCATTTGATTTCTTTCTCTAATGTCAGTTTCTAGTTTGAATCCCAGAACATACATGCCCTGTATCATTGAAATCATTATTGTACATTTTCTTTGGTTCAAAAATGTTATCTAACTTCTTTAATATGTACCTCCATGTACTCACTGTAATGTTAAAAGCCTTGTGGGTATTAAGGAATATTTTTGACTGACTGTCAATACTGAGTTGGAAGTAAACATCCCACCTGCTTTATCATTTTATGTTTTTCAAAATTGGAGCACAGAAGTTACCTGGAGAGTGTTGGCCAAGATATGAAGAACAAATATGTAGACATGCTGTCTAAAACTATTCAGGAATAGGTATTTGTTTTTGAATTCTGAGTTTCTCTCTGTGATATGTTGATCCATCTGGTTTTGTTGGGGATTAGACTTTGCCAGCTCTGCCCAAGTGCTCTGTTATAATTTCAGATATGAAGCTGTGTTTATCCCTGTTGGTTATAACCATATATCCATGCTCTACCCACTTTTTACAAATGTGCATATAATTTTCATATCAAAAACATTAGTAGTCCCTAAGATTTTTTTCTGATCTTTTCTCCCATACCAAACAGGAGTTATTGGATTTTTGGAAATAATGCATATCTCTAATTACCAACGTGTCTTAAAAAGAGATAATAAGGGTACTTGAGCAGTCCAAACATTGCAACTTCAAATCTTGATCAGAGACTTTATTACTTTTTATGTAATTATATTCTGTTTATGTTTGATTAAATTAGGAGTCTTTCCAACAAAGCAGGTTACAACATCTGGAGCTTTTGATCTCTTTTAAGCCTCTGATGTAATCAGGCAAAATCATCACTTCAAAAAGAGAACAGCAAACCTCAAAACCTATCACCCCAATTTCAAGTGATACTTTTAATCCTCAGTGTTTTCTGCAGCTGTCACCCTTAGTCAACAGCTGGGTTTAGCTGCAGGCTGCAAGCGTAACTATTGCAGAATATTTTAGCCATCTTTTAATGCTGTTTGTCAACACTGGCTTATTTCCTTTGCCTTCTTTTTAAAAGGGCAGTGAAATCCAGCTCATTAATTCAGTTCATTAAAAAACAAAACAAAACAAAACTCTGGCAGTGAAACTACTTAAGATGAACTTTCCTGGCTATTTGACATCTATAGCCTTGCTAGGTTGTAAGGGATTTTCTCTGTCTCCTTAGTCTTTTCAGTGTTTTCAGATTCATAAAAACAAGCTTTTTCTTTGACCCTAATTTGCTGCTTTCTATCTTCAAGCTGTAATGCCGTTCCACTGGGTCTCTTGTGTTGTATCAGATGTCACTTGTCTTTATTCTCTGGATGTACTTTGTGTTTTTGTCCTTTTCAAACTACTGCGGGTGATTGTGGGCTTCAGTTCCCTGACACAACTGTCCAACTCTTTTGTAAACTTCCTCTCGTGGGCAGAAAACAGATCAGCTGCTGTTTAATAAAGCAGGCATCTCATTTCATTCCTTTCACATCCATCAAAATGACTTTTCCTGAAACTGGCATTCTTCCACTATTATTTGGTTAACTTGCCACATACAAGTGATTTTTCATCTCTTGATTGGGGAAAGCAACTCTCAAGGGTGATGTTTTTCTTGTCGATTCGGAGAATACCAGCTTTCCTCCTACAGACAAAGCTTGCTCCTCTGCTGTTTTGATACCTTCCCAGCCTCTAGCACCTTGAAGTGATGGACTTTTGTGAAAATAGTGATATTGGGAGAAAAAATGTCACATACTTAAGTGCATCTTGAGTTAAGGAACAAAAGAAAAATTACATAGCCTAATCGTTGATGGACAGCTAAAGTTAATTATGGTAATAGCAATTACTGTAATAAAGTTAATTAAAGAATGTATATATGTATATATACATTTGTAAGAATATAGAGTTATAGCATTCATGTAGATATGTCCATTTATTTTCTTAACTAGCACTATTAAGAAAAAAGCAGAAAAAAGCACTATTAAGAAAAAATAAGAAAAAAGTTGTTTTTCTTATTTTGTGCATGGGCAAAATGAAGCGAGGCTAAGTGAGCAGAAATACAGTGACAGAGGAGGGAATAAATGTCTCCTGATTACAAGCCTGCTGCCTCCAGCACTTTGAAGCTGCTGACTTCTATGAAAGTTAGTGATATTTGGAGGAAAATGTCACCATAAAAGCATACTATAGCTTCTACTGGACCAAAGGGATTCTGTGTCTACCATGGGCGTGTAATGCAGTGATATGTTTTTGAAAAGCCGTGTGGATCTGTAACGGCTAAAAGAAGGTAATTTTCTTTGATTGCTCCAAGGGTCTGTTAACTGATTAGAAAGGGTTCTTAATAATATAGGAGGCTCAAGACTTCCTGCAAGTTTATCCCAACTGTGCAATCCATTTGGGGGCTTATCATTAAAATACTGTTAAATACTTATGATATGAATATTGAGCATTTTAAGGCAACATCTATTGTGAGGACTACACATAACCAATATTCTTTTTTTCTGAGAAGTCAGCATTCTATTTAAAAACATATATATGCCTGTTTGTATGTATATATATATGTGTGTGTATATATATATATATATAAAATATGTATATTTAACCCTTTTTCCGAACTATGGTATATCTTCATAAAGTAAAAATGTAGAATATGCAAAGATAAAAAAAATTAAAAAATTGTCTTCCATTGTATCACTTTGGTTTAATTATTTTTCAGATTTTTAAGTAAGCATACATGCAGAATTTTACAAAATTGAGTTTATGAGTTTTTCAAGGAAATACCAATAAACAGCACCCTCTTTCCACATCTGAAAAATTAGAAAAAAACAAAAGCCAAAAAAAGGTAGGGGCCAAAATACCACCTTTATCACTAACAGAGGTTAGGTAGAGAGTAGATTTTTATCTGTTTGCCTTATAGGATTGCAAATAAAAAACTCCAGAATCACAGAAATTGCCCCATCTACTTCCAGGTGGCTCTAAACCAGGGCTTGCCTATGCCAGAAGCCTGCCTGGGTAAGATGTACAGCATGAAAGAGAAGGAAATTTGTGTTCTCTGCAGGAAAGCTCCCTCTCTAGAGGAAGTGAGTGGAGTTAAGCAGAGCATGTCCTGTCATTCTTTCCACATTTACCAACTGGTTAACTCATAGAGCAGCCCTTCTAATTAAAACTAAGCTTTGCCTTTTGGCAATTGGAGATTTAGAGAATTCGTAAAAATAAGTGGAAATCTTGCTATCATACTTTTATTTCATTCTTGCTGATAAATGCCTTTTTTTCTTTTTCTGCCATGAACTATACATTTGTTTAGTGAACTCACTGCCATGTGACTGAGCTACATGTTTACACTGTGTTAATAAATGACTGAATGGAGTTCCCTAGTTGAGCAAAGAAGTCATAGTGTATCCAATTGTTCAATTCTGATTTTTGGCATATAGTAGGTAATCAAAACAGGAAGCTATTATTATTATTATTGTGTACAAAGGAGATAATTTTTTCTCTTTTTTTTTTTTTAAGATGGAGTTTTGCTCTTGTTGCCTAGGCTGGAGTGTAATGGCGCGATCTCCGCTCACTGCAACCTCCGCCTCCTGGGTTCAAGTGATTCTCCTGCCTCAGCCTCCCAAGTAGCTGGAATTACAGGCATGCACCACCATGCCTGGCTAATTTTTGTATTTTAGTAGAAATGGGATTTCATCATGTCGGCCAGGCTAGTCTCGAACTCCTGACCTCAGGTGATCCACCCTCCTCAGCCTCCCAAAGTGCTGGGATTACAGGTGTGAGCCACTGTGCCCGGCCCAGAGGAGATAATTAAAAAAAAAATAAGAGGAATATACATAATTCTGCACTAAATTGGGTTATCTAAGCTCTAAATATTCAAAATAAGGATATATTAATTGGCTTAAGTAATAAAAAAGGACTTAATGGGGAAATCCATATATTCTTTGACCAATGAAAGATGGATACAATTTGACAGGCTGTGGATCAAAAGGGAAATAGCATAAAAAAGATATAGCAGTATCTGAGGCTCAGAGAACTTAATTATGTACATTCTCAGAGACAGCGGCACATCTCAGATTAGAACACTAGTCTGATTCTTGGGTTTTTTTCTTAAGATAACTTTGGGCTGCATATCTTGCATCTCCAGAGCTAGAGTGAGCAAATCTAGTTCGGCACCTTCATCATTCTAATAATTCTGATTTTCTCCTTCTGTTCTTTAGCTCTTGTATGTTTTCCTGTCTATAGTAAAAATGGTAAGAATTGGAAAATTGAATCTGAGTAGTTGTAGCAATTGGAATAGTTACCTCTGTGTGAACTTCAATTCTCATAAAGCAATTATAGATAATCCTATTACCATTAACTTGAACATATTTGTAGTAACTGCTAAGTGGTAACTGTAACCTAATCTTCAGGGTTATATTACACAGTAAACAGTAGCTACAGTTACCATACTTTGTACACATTAAAAGTATATGGAATATGCAGTGAAAATAGCTGAAGCCAAGAATATTAGCATTTAAAAAATTAAATGTTGTTCACCAGGGACTAGTATAAATTCTGCTGTGGTAAACAAGGGAGGATTGTTAGCACTTTCACATTTATAATAATTGGTCTGATAAAGTATTGACTCAGCCACAAACATTAATATTTATGAACTGTGATTTCTTGGTACATTTGATAACGACATATGCCACTGTGGAATTCTTTACCACTTGGTATCGGTTGGTGCTATGAATAATGAAAAACCACTGTATTAAATAGTCTTTGGAACTAGGGAGCATTTTTTACTGGAATAAATTCTTCAAATATATTTCTGAGTTGTGAATAGATTAGGAAGTGAAAAAATTAATTCGGATTAGGATTTTGAATTTTGTTGGCCATGATTTTTCCTCCCTTTTGGAAATACCTATAATCCAAGAAAAGGCTAGAATTTAAGAACTTTTATTCATAATCAAGACATTCTTCTGTGCATAGTAGCTGATTCCAAACCATCAGGATGTAGAGTATGGTTTTAAAAATGGATTTTCACATTTAAAGTCACTATTATTTAACTTCAAAAATTCGATTATTGTAATCCCATGATATGCCTACACAGCAAACAATTTATGAAAACTTTAAATCTGCTTCTTAATTTCTGCTTTGTTTCCCATTAAATAGTATGGATAATATACTCCATCTAACTGGTCTATTAAAAAGCATTTATCTTTTTTGTTATGATTTTAAAATTAAACAATAGTTTTACTTTCGTCCTTCCTACCCTACATGTCTTGGTTGCTGTTTGTTAATGTCTTTTCCTCTCTCTTCTATACCCATTGGATGGGCTCTTATGAAATTTTAAATTTTGTTGTTGGATTTTATTTTTAATCTCACACTGGGCATTCTGTAGGCAAATTTTCCTTGGTTCATAAGCACATCTATTAAAGTTTTATATTATAATAGCATGCTACATTATATCATATTGATTTTTTAACAATCACTTTGACATTGAATAGTGTATTCCTTTAGGATGTATTTATTTATGGATATCATTGTAACAATGCATATTTTTGTAAATATGTATAAAGGTTTGCACTTTTCCAAAAAACCTTACCTTTAGATCTTTAAGGGCACTGTGCAATGAGTTAGTGCTGTATGTTTTCCAAGAGACAGTAACTTCCTAGTAGAAAAAGTAAAGAATCAATCCCAGGAAAATTAAGGATTGGCCTACATAAGTTAGCCTTAACAAGCATATTGGAAGTGCTAATTTCCTGTGTAGTAGTGATATCATAGAAAAATCAACATTTACATCTCTGGTTATATAGGACATAGAATTCTTATAAAAGTTGTTTTTTGGTTTGCAGTTGCAGCATTATTTCTCTGCATCTTTGATTCACTGTCTATATCATTGTTCAAAACAACAACAAAAACAACCATACTCCCACTGAGCATAATTATACTCTGATGGACAAGTGAGTTGGCCATTGTGGTTTGTTACCATGTCACAACAACGCCATTATCTTTTACCTTTGTGATTCATTAACTACCTGTTTATGGCACTGCCATTTCTTTCTTTATATGTCAGCTTTTAAATAACTTTCTGTCATTTGTTCTCCAGCCAAGACTAACACAGTGAGGTTGTTTGGAAGCAACATTCTTTCAGAACTGATAGCTTAGCTTTGTTCTAGGATATTAGTTAGTGACTTTTATTTTTGTCAGTAGATGTTTTATTACTCTTGGATAATGCAAATGTAGCTTGATTAGAAATCCAGGGGCCTGTCAAATAAAGAAGGGTTTTTTTATGGGGCTGAAATAGAGTGTGGAACTAAAGAATCCTCAAGATAGAGGATCAACTCTTCTGGGACAAATTATGTTGTACTAGTTAAAAATATGTGTTTCTTTTGTTGTTGTTGTTTTTTGTTTTTCTTTGAGATGGAGTCTTGCTCTGTCTCCCAGGCTGGAGGCTGGAGTTCGGTGGCACAATTTCGGCTCACTGCAACCTTTGTCTCTCAGGTTCAAGTGATTCTCATACCTCAGCCTCCCGAATAGCCTGGATTACAGGCATGTGCCACCCTGCCAGGCTAATTTTTGTATTTTTAGGAGAGACAGTGTTTTGCTATGTTGGCCAGGCTGGTGTCCAACTCCTAACCTCCAGTGATCCACCCTCCTCGGCCTCCCAAAGTGCTGTGATTAAAGGCATGAGCCATTGCTCCCGGCCAATGTTTTTTTTTTTTTTAACATGAGTTAAAATCATGTATCAAAGTTATAAGAAGGTGCATGGGGACAGTCAATCTAGTGTATATGTTACACAAATTTTTATTTATGTCAAACACAAGGCTTTAGAAAGTTTCAAACAATTCTCTACAGTATACATGTCAACAATACTACTGACTATGGATAGAAGAGAGAATGATTTCAGTAGCTTTGCCTTAGGTCAGTCGTCTAACACATAGGTTAATGATTAAGAAAGCATTTTTAACATCTTACCTTTAGAAAGCATAAATGTGCAAATATCCTATTTTTTATAGCATCTTTATATGCTGCCCAAGGTGACTAATTCAGAGCTAGAAACTTAACCACAAAAGTTAAAGTCATAAAGGCAACCACTAGAATAGCTTAAATTAATAATACAAGGTAGAGGACAGAGAAGAGGAAGAGGGTAGAGCATGTTCACAAACTCCTCATCTCTCTAGGTGAGAAGGCAATGGGCACTGTCAGGTAAAGAGAGATATAAATATATTGTGGTAATGAAAGCCAGTAAAATAACTGGAAATAAAAGATGTTGAGATACTTGTTTTAGGAGACTAGGAGGGTCAGCTTTGAGAAAAGAGATTTTACCTTTTTACTCTAAACTTCCATATTGTTTAAATTTATATTTTTCGTGTGTATCCTATATTGCTGGAAGGAAAATAATCTCTCTTTTGGCAATTCCATTCTCTGTTCTCATCATCTATACCTTTGTAATCATATACAGCTTTACCAAAATCTCAAATCGCCTTAATCCCCCCAGCCCTTTCTAAGAATGTGTCATGTCATATGAGCTCCAGGGCATTTTCACTGAATTTGTTCCCCCTGCCAATCTTTGGGTGGAACCATCTACCTGTGTCTACACTGTCGGTATGAGGGAGCAAAACAGCGGTTACAGAATATGGTTCCAAAGGTTAGAACAAAAACTTGTATGCAAATACAAGAAGAAGAGAAAAGTCAGAGTTGTTCAAAGATGGAATGATGTACTTGCGAAGATAAGAGGATCTGTCGCCAGAGGTTCAGTTTGGAACAGGTGACTAATAAGTGGCAACAGCCTCATTCATACAATGGGCAATGAGACAGAAATGTGGTGATTTTCTGCCTCCTTAGGGTGCAGAGCATATGCAGGAAATCTTGTTTTCTTTGGGGATGTGGAAATGGAGGTAGAACACAATGTGCAGGGCAATGTTTCTCCAGGTATCATCCATAAACCTACTGCATGACAATCACCCTGGAGTGCTTGAAAATGCCCAGGCGCCAAACTATACCGACTGCCTCAGAATCTTTAGAGTCCTGGGAATCTCAACTTTTAATAAGCTCCCAAGTGGTTCTGGTGCCAACTAAGTGTGAGAGTCTCTGCCTGGAAAGCAGAAGAAACTACAAAATTTGTTCCAGGTAAGTATGTGCTTCAAGAATGTGGCTGTTATGCAACCATCACAACATGTACGGTGAAATAATGCTTAGGGAGATATGATCCATGGCAAGACTAAAAAAAAATTTGTCCTTTTTTGTCATAGTTTTATTTCCTCTCTTCATTTATTTTATTTTTTATTCTCTTCATGCTATAGCAATAGTGATGAATGCTGATGAGGCAATAGTTAATCCAACCCCAGGCATTCATTTTCAGGTAATTATTTGAAACCAGAGGAGCACTTCACAGCACTGACTTACCTGTTTGGAGGATTAACTAATTAAAAGCTCAAGCAAGACAGATATATTTTGTTTTTTTTCCCTAAACTAGCTAAAAGAAAAGAAAAGAAAAGTATATTTTGTCTTCTGATATTTTCTACTATCATTTTATGTTATTAAAATGTGGTATGTCATTTTAATGTCTTTGTTCTGATAAATAGGATGATATATTAATGTGTCATGGTGGAGGAGGCACAATTTTAAAATGAATCAACTTTATTCATTTGAATTTATTTAAAAAGATGTAGTAGATGGGGGCAATATTTTTGACAAATTATTCAGATGATTAAGGGAAAACAAATAAAAGTTTTGGATTTCATTAACTAGGTGGATTTTTTATACTGTTTTAAATCACCATACCTTGTGGTCTGTAAATTTTAATCCAAATTATAATTGGTCTAATAAAAGAGATTAAGGACACTTCGGGTGGCTGAATCTGGTGGATCACTTAAGGTCAGGAGTTCGAGACCAGCCTGGTCAAAATGGCAAAACCCTGTCTCTACTAAAAATACAAGAATTAGCCAGGCGTGTAGTGCATGCCTGTAATCCTAGCTACTTGGGAGGCTGAGGCAGGAGAATTGCTTCACCTTCAGCGGTGGAGGTTCTAGTGAGCTGAGATCATGCCACTGCACTCCAGCCTGGGCACAGAGTGAGATTCTGTCCAAAAAAAAAAGCAGATTAATGATATATATGCTACAGTACAAGTAATTACTTCCTTGGGTATGTGAAAACAAATGTCCCTATCTTGTTATTGATGCAGTGGGAGAGGATTTTGTTTGTTTGTTTGTTTCTTTTTTTTTTTTTTGAGACAACCATCAAATCAAACCCCAATGTATCTTCCACCGTCTTGCACTTGGCCAGGTGAGTACTGAAATGTGTCTTCCCGAGAGCCCTTGTTGCACTTGGGTGCCCATTTACTTTTGAAGCTGTGTAGTGATAGATCAAAACTATCTCTTTTAAAGCAGAATCCATATTAAATGACAGTATCCTGTCTTTAAAAGTTTCCAATTATCTTAACAGTCTAAGAAAAGCTGAAATACCTGCTATGGGCAGCAGGGTTTTGACTACATTTCACACATTATTAATCTGGCGATGTTCCCTCATAGACTCCGGGTAGTTTCGTTGCACTTTTGCTTTTCATGTGAACTTTTAAACTGTGAAATGTGGCTTCCCTTTCTCCTGAGAGGTGACTGTGATATCGTTGGTGTGAAATGATCCTGTTTATAGTTTGATGTCAGCTTGTTAAATCTGAGAAGTGATTATGGGGTTCTTTGGTTTGAGAAACATGTTAAGATATTGTGAGCATTGCCATTCATGAATTCACATTACTCCATGTAGATTGCACCTTTTTTTCTTCCCCACACCCTTTTTTTTGAAATAGAGATGAGAGCTTTTAAAATTATTCTTTAAGATGCTACATACTCTTTAGGAGAATGTGAAATGTAACTCTAATAAATATTCATCTAATCTGCAGGACTTGTACACAGAGTTTATCGCCATTTCCATTTCAAGCTTTCATTATCTGCCTCCAGCACTGTCACTCTGGACTAGCTCATTTCCCCCGCTTTGGTAGCAACAACAAAAGACCTAGGTCCTTTTTATATTTCATAGTTATGTTTAGGCTTAGTAAAAAATCTTATAACATTCATTCACACATGCTTGTGTCATGGGATAAGGTAACCGTATCATTTGCTTCAGTTCTTTTCCTTTTCTTGTTTAAATTCGGAGGCTCTTCTATTTTATTTCCAAATTCATTTTCTTTAGTACATCCAATTCTCTCCGGCACTCCCATGAACAGCTGTGGGTGGTGATGGGGCGATGTACTGAGATAGTGCTTCAGCACTCTGAGCATCCCTTCTGAGCAGCTTTATAGAACACGGGAAAGCATCGTATAGCTCTGTGGCAGATGGACTTTCAAATAGCATTCACCGAGATCTTTCTCTTTTATATCAGGAAACACAAGCTATATACCCTACTTAGTATGCTGACATTTCACAGTTGATATCCTCATATATTTTCCTTTTCACTTGATGGGCAGGGATGGGAATTGAGGTGCCCTTTTCAAACAAAACATGCCTTTCCTTTTAGTATTGCTGAATATTGACTACAACAAATCTATTTGGCTGAATTCTACTTGTTTTCTATATTCCTACATTGTACACTTAATGCAGTGACTACCAAGCATTGGGAAAAATGCTAAATAGTTCTGCAAGAGTTCATTGCCTGTTTGGCTCAAGAATTGCTATACTTGAATATATATTTAGTTTAGAAATTTAAAAAGTAATCTTCCTGCCATCTTTCATTTCTTTTTCCCTCCACTAGTGTGAATACTTGTGTTTTATTGATTTATAAACGTCACAGAAATGGGTGCTGAAAGAACTCCTGGACAGTTTGATGATGTCAAATGTGGTGTTTACAAAATGTTGACAGTGAAGGGCATTATTATCTGGTTTAATTTAGGTCCTGTGTTTTGAACTTATTTTACTTTGTACTATGGAACAATTAGACGGCCAAGCATTTTCCCAAATGAAAAAAAATATGAATTTTGCTGAAGAGAGGAATTGCACTTACGTTTTAAGCTTCTTTTTAAAAGGCAGTTTGAAATATCAAAAACTTTCAGCAGAAATATCTCATGCTTGTTCTCAGCCCTGCAGTAAATTTGGTTATGGAAAATTTAATACAGTCTGTGTGGAGAGTCTGGAGATAAGTAAGTGTGTTGTTTCCTCTTGGGTAATTCCAAATTGTTTTCTTTAAACTTGTGATTTAGCAGGTAATCCTCCAGGTGAACCTTGACAATCTGGTTATACTGTGATGCCAGGACCTCTGAAAGTAGCAGGTGATTGGCTGGCTTCCTCACCACTTGCAGCCCTGGGCCTCAGAGAGAGAGACATGGGAGTGTTTATAATGAATTTCAGTGAGGGGTTTATTTAGATTGAAAAGTAACGTGCATGGTCATAAGAGAAGTTTTGCAGGGGTTTAGGGACCATTATTGAGTGGCAGTTTTGAAAATTTCATGTGTACAGGTATAACCCCCCTTGTCACCTCTCCAGCTTATTCGAAGGGGAGATAAATGCTTATGAAAGGTTTAAGAAAACATTGTCCTCCGATAAATATAGAGAAGAATCTGGGATAGAAGATGCTTTGAAATCAATGACCCTGACGGTTTTGTGGTAGCAGGAAGAGGGTTTTGCTAGAAGCAAGTGAGAACAGCAAGAACAGGTTATTACTTATGACAATAGCTAACATTTTCAGGCCCATAATTATATGTTAGATACTAAGCTAACCATTTTGTGTGTATACTCACCTATCAACCTCAACATTCTATAAAGTAGGAGCTATTTTTCCTGTTATACTGGTGGGAGAATTGAGACTCAGATAACTGTGGTAGGCAAAATAGTAACCTCTCCAAAGATATTCATATTCTAATCCCTGGAATCTATGAACATGTTATCTTACCTAGCAATGGGGAATTGGCAGATGTGATTAAGGTTAAGGACTTTGGGATGAGGGGATTATCTTGGCTTATCTGGGTGGGTTTCATTGAATCACATGGGTCATTAAAAGGAGGAGAACCATTTCTGTCTATGATCAATGATACAGATGTGATGATGGAAGAAAGTGAGAAAGATGCAATGTTGCTGGTTATGAAGATGGAGAAATGGGGCCAGGGCTGAGGAATGTAGGAAGCCTCTAGAAGCTGAAAAAGACAAGAAAATGGATTCTATTTTAAAGCCTTCAGAAAGGAATACAGCTCTGTAAACACCTTGATTTGTGTTCATTGAGACCCATGTCTGACTTCTGACCTCCAGAACTGTAAGATAATAAATATGTGTTGTTTTCAACCACTACATTTATAATAATTTCTTATGACAACAATAAAAAGAATACAGCAATGGTCTTTATTTAAGAGTACAGATACCTGGTGGTACAGCTATGAAAAAAGCTCAGGTTTAACTGGCTCAGAAGCTAGAGCCCTTTACCTCTGTGAAATTTTCTTCTTGTGAAACTACCCATGATTTCTCTCTTCTTCAAACACAGTGTGCAGAACCTAGAATTGCAACAAAAGTTCCAGGTCCCTTTAAACATAAGCAATGATGTTAAAGTTTGGCTCTGGAAAATCTGCAAGTATTCTAAAGTAGGTGGCACAGGCATGTCAGTTGAAACATGAAACAAAGTAAAACAAAACAGAAAATGCAACATTGCAAACCAAAGGAACAGGTAAAAAGCAAATGGTCTGAAGGGTCTTTCTGCCTGAATTGAAGATAACTCATTAGGCTTTGGAGACAGAGAAGTCTGTGTTCATCGAGGCTATGACCCTTATTAACTGTCTTGCTCATGGCAAATCATTTATCCTATCTGATCCGTCTATTCTGTTCAAAATAAAGTAAATGATACAGATGTTACCATGTAGTTTTATGTAATGACTAAGATGTCAGAGATGCTGCACATGCCTGGCTATATTTTTCTTTCTTTCAGCTTTCTCTCCTAAGGTAGGAAAATATTTGTATGATTGTTCAAGCTTTAATATTTAGTTCCGTGCTTCTCTCAGTCTCCTAGTTCTAATCCCAGCTCACCTTTCCATTTTGGAAAGCAATCTTCCTAGAGGCTGCAGGTGCTTGGATGCATCTCCAGGTAGTTTCTATACACCCACCATCTGGAGGTATGAAAGCATAGGCTGGTGGTGCCATGAGACTTGTCTTTTTTCTTTCTTCTCCCTAAGTGAACTTTAAGTGAAGATAGTTGAATATGAGCATAGTGAATATGCTCCCTAACACCTTCACCCCCAGTTGTTTATCTCAAGGGCTACAATAGTGACTTGGTTCCTTCCTCTCCTCCAACTCCTTTTCCTTCTACATTTTTCTCTTGATATTATTGTAAAATTCCTACTGTCTTCTACTTTGTTTCACATTTCATAATGTGAGTTGGTGGGAGACTAGCTTTGATAAGTGGAATACTACCATACCTTTAACTGTGGGACATATACTCTATAGAAATAAGTGACACTTCTTATACTTACACCTCAGAGTAAACCTATGGGCTGACCTTTTAAGTGGGATTTGGGAGAAGGGGGAAAAAAAACTGTATGATTAGGAAATAAACAAACAACAAAAACAACCCCCCGCCCCCCGCAATCTCAAACCGCACAGAAGATACAAGAGCTCACTTCTTGTTTAGATTGAGATATGTCTGGCTAGAGGGGTCATGAATACATTCTTAGCTGATCTTAACACAACTGAATGGTGTTTTTATTCCCTACTACCTTATTATAATAATTTTATAACACACGAGGTGCCTTTGTTACTAGCAACTTGAAAGGAATTCTTTAACACTTGCATTCATATATTCTTTATTTATTCATTTATTCATAAAAAATTTATTGATTGCCTACTGTCTGCCCAGTATGCAGCTAGGTGTTGGGTACATGGTGGAATATGTTGAAACAAACAGTCGTGGTTCTTGATTTTTTTTGGAAGCGGGATGTACTCTTGTTGAAGACATTCTAAAAAATGAAAACATATAAATGGTCACCTAAGTATTGTAATTATAATTGTGTTAAGGGTTATGGGGCATATAAATTTATGAATTGTGGTAGACTTATGATGGTAACTGTGATGGACATACTTTAAATGGTTAGGGAAGGCATCTCTGAAGAGGTAATGTTTACATTGATACTAGTTTAAATTGAGAAGCATAGAAAAAGTGGGCCTCTGGGAAAGTAGGAAGAGTGTTAGACACAGAATAGGGCATTTGCAAATGCCCCAATGCAGGCAAGGGCTTATTAATATGTCCACATATCCTAGTTGCTGGAGAGAGTGAGCTAGGGAGAGGACTCAAGATGAGGTTGGAGTCACAAGCTAGACCAGGCAGTGCTTTGATAGGCCATGCATAAGAGTTCAGGTTTTATTCTAGTCACAGTAAGAAGCCGTAATAGTGTTTGTAAAGCAAGGGAATGATGCGAATTGATTTATGCCTTATGAAAGCTTGTTATGCAGCGAATGAATTGTAGAGTCAGCAGTCAAGGCAAGGAGACTAAAAAGACTGTAATCCATGACACAAAAGGATTTCCAACCTGCCCCTGTCCCCCTAGTCTGCACTGTAGTGAGTGTCTCCTTGTGAAAGACAAAATGCAAGATTATTGTCTTTAGAAAACGACAGAGGGGCTGCATATATTTGTATTATCTTTTATCAAGAATGCAAATTGCAAAATATGAACTCCTCACATGACTGGACATAAACAACAAAGATTTTTGCAGCCTGGTCCTACTGAAATTTATCATCTCTACATAGATCTCTGTGCGTTTTTACCCCAAATTTGGTAGTATGATTTTGGGGCAAATATCAATTAAGTATGTGAGATGGAAAGTGAAGATACAAAGGAATAACTTCTTCAGCATCACAATTTATATGTGAACCATTTTAAACATCTTCTGACTCACAGTATAATTTATAAAATTCAGGATAAATAGCCAAGCTTATTGGGTATGAAATTGTCTCCGGTATAGATCTAATATCTCTACATATTCCTATTACCTTTGATGATGATCTCACCTTTATATAAGAAGCTCTATTTTGCTCTGAAGACATTACATGGAATTTAAATTTCTTCTAATTTCATTTTGAATTAAAAAACCATCAGTAGTGCAAAACTTGACAATGATGACAAGTTAAGGCTTTATACAGAAAAAAATTCTTCAAGGAATTAAAAAGCCAATCATCTTACAACAATAAGCACTTACCCACATTTTTTATATTTAGTGTTCTGCTTGTCAAAGAGGCTTTAAGAGTCTGCATTAGTGTGTAGAGTTAGTGCCATGTTGGTGAATTAGAGTTGCTAACTGCTTGAATTGTCAACTGTGCATTTTGGTAGATTTTTGCCTTGAATGCTAATGTGGTCTTTTAAGTATCATTTTGATGAATTTTATTGTTACATTAGAGGCAGTCTGGTTTTTCCAATCAGTCATGTCCACTTCATCACTGTCAATGTGCTACCATAACATTAAATATGACCAGAGGTAAACATTATTGAAAGCTGCGCCTGTTACTGCTGTTTTACAGTAGTGTAATTTTGTTTTTATTTCCTTTGATTTTATGCTGATATGGGTTTCAGCAGTATTTGCCTGCAGCCTCTTTCAACTTTTCCTTTTAATTAAAAAGCCTAATTGGGAGTAATAAAAACTTCCAATTAAGTCTTTTAAATAAAAACTGAAAGCTGAAAGTGGTTGCGGTTGCAGATAGAGGCTGGCACTGACATGTTCACTATGGAGGATACCATTACTACAGGAGAATTTGTGGTTGACGGGTTCAACTTGAGACCTGTGAGTTGAGAGAAGCGGATCTTGGCAAAGCTACCCAAGAAGATAATCATGCAGTTAAACATCCATGTTTTTTGGGGGTCTTTGTGTTTGAGGCAAGAGAGATACTGAAGGAGATCTTAGATCAATTCTTTTTGTAGTGGTAGGTTCACTAGATAAAAAATTTCAGTAATATTGCATTTTTAACAATACAAATAAAAGATTCAAGTATTTAAACAAATTGATAAAATATTCTAGCTTGTTATTTTCATTTTGGTATAAAATAATTTAAAAGTTTTTGCCTTTATTTTCCTTTATTTCTTGCATTAGAGAAATGTGCTAGAAAAAGCCTGCCATGGAGCCTAGGATTATACAGTCTGTAATTGGACAGAGTAGTGTGCAGTTTGCTGATTCTTGTATACTAACTGAATAATAAAAGACTAAAATAAACATTTCATACTATATGAAATGTGTAAATATGTGACTTTCTGGGATTTTCCTTTAAAAATAAATGGTAGATATCCACTGTTTTTTTTTTTTTTTTTTTTTTTGAGACGGAGTCTCGCTCTGTCACCCAGGCTGGAGTGCAATGACATGATCTCGGTTCACTACAACCTCTGCCCCCTGGGTTCAAGCCGACTCTCCTGCCTCAACCTCCCAAGTAGCTGGGATTATAGGCACATGCCACCTCACCAGGCTGATTTTTATATTTTTAGTAGAGACAGGGTTTCACCATGTTGGTCAGGCCGGCCTGGAACTCCTGACCTCAGGTGATCCACTCACCTTGGCCTCCCAAAGTTCTGGGATTATAGGCATGAGCCACCATGTCTGGCCTAGATATCCAATTTTTAATTCCTATTAGCTTGTAGTATTACATGTTTCGGGAAATGGGAAAGATACATCAGGAAGTTGGATTCATAGGAGGGTATTTTAGCTTTGCTCCATAATTAACCCTTCATTGATTTCATATATTTTGGGAAGATTAAAGGAAGAGCATTTTCTGTGTCTGAATATTTTACTGTATTTCACTTTAATAAAATATTATTTTAAATAACTTTTTATCTTATGATCACTAACTTAACTCATACTTATTTTAAAAATTAGCTTTTATTATTTGTTTGTTATAATATCTGTTGCATACAGAAAATTTGGAATGTATAAAAAATCAAAATTTATGTAATATTACCTCAAACCACAGTTAACATTTTTTTTATATTTCTGTCCATTTTTTTAAAGCACTCTTTATACACACAGACACACATACACCCACAGGCAAAAATAATAAAATTAGGATTGTATTATTTATAATGTTTTATTTATTCCTTTTTAACTTAACATTATATTTAAGCATTTCCTCTTTTCAAAGACATACATATGTATCCTAATTTATTTGACTGGTTTCTAATTTTTGGACACTTGGGATTGAGAAGCTAAATACCATAGGAGCAAACAGCTCAGGTTTTGAAATCATGCTATCTGGATTTTAAGTCTTTGTTCCAAAATCTACTAGCCACATGATCTTGGACAATTTCTTTTTCTGAGCTTTTGTTTCCCCCTACATAAGATGCAGAAAAGCACAGTTTGCACCTCATGGAACAGATATGAGGCTTAAATTGTTAATGTATGTAAAGGTGTCATAACACATAGTTAGCACTGCATACAAATTAACTATGATATTTCCAATTATTTTCTATTTTCAGTAATTTATACATTTTGCATATTTCTACTTAAATTAGCAGAATTAACTTATTTCCTATAGTCCTTCATCATACAAGATGCCTCTAGAAAAATTTATTCACATCTTTAATTCTATGTTAGAAAAGTTTGGAAGTTTATTTTCTATGGGGCCACATATTTATTGTTAAGTTTATTGTTAAATGTTTTATATTATATTTGGTGGCTATTCTGAATGAAATATTACCTCTTTATTGCATTTTCCAATTGCTTGTTGTTTGTAAGCCAGTTATTGATTTCTAGAAATTGATCCTGTCCAGCAATTTGCTAAACTTTTAGTAATACCTGAAATTAAATATTTCTTTAATGATATAAGGAGCCTCTTGGTAAAATAGTCTGTTTCTAGTCCTTTCAAAAATTAATATTTTTATAGGTTTTAGCCTTTTTTAAGCCTGATTATTGTTCTTTTTAGATTTCTGTTTTCCTTTGAGTCAATTTTCAGATTTCACGTGTGTTTTTCCAGAAAATTATCTATTTCATCAATTTTTTCAAATATTTTAATGTACAATTTTGCATTTAATGCACAGGTAGTGAAAAGTTATTTGTTATCAGAGCTACTTTTTTTTTTTTTTTTTTTTGAGACGGAGTTTCATTCTTGTTGTCCAGGCTGGAGTGCAATGGCACCATCTTGGCTCACCGCAACCTCTGCCTGCCAGGTTCAAGCAATTCTCCTGCCTCAGCCTCCCGAGTAGCTGGGATTACAGGCATGCGCCAGCACAGCCAGCTAAGTTTGTATTTTTAGTAGAGATGGGGTTTCTCCATGTTGGTCAGGCTGGTCTCGAACTCCCAACCTCAGGTGATCCACCTGCCTTGGCCTCCCAAAGTGCTGGGATTACAAGCATGCGCCACTGCGCCCAGCTAGAGCCACTTTTTATATTTAATTTTATTTGCCCATTATTTAATCTTTTATTCTTGGCTAGGTTTTCTAGAGATTTATTAACATTATTATTTTAAAAAATATAAGTTCCTGGATTTATTTTATTGTTTTCTCTGTTTCAATTTTATTTTTACTCTTATTTTTAAAACTTAATTAATTTTTAAGTTTCTCCAGATAATTGATTAGCTCAAGTAATTATTATGAGTATCATAAGACAATGTTTTCATCATAAATTTACCTCTGAATATTGCTTTGCTTGCATTTAGTACATCTTGCTATAAATTAATTTCTTTCTCTCATTTTCTCATATGCTCATAAATTTTTAAAAAGTGTTTTTTATGTCCTAATGTTTTATACTGCTGTTTACAATTTTCTCATTATTTCTTGTCTTGGCTTTTGGTTACTGTGGAAGTTTTCTTTATCTGTGAGTCTCCCTGTCACACTGTGCTCTGAACTGCTGCTAGGAGGACCTTTTAAAAAGCAATACACTCTATTTTTTCTAATTAAGTGTATCCACTGACTCTCCATTTTATATGATGTAAAGTCAAAGACCTTAGAAGACACATTGGGCCCTCTGTAATTTAGCCCTAACCTTCATGTGTAATCCTCATCTGCCCTTTTGTCCCCATCACCTCCAGAAAATCTACTTCTCATTCCCATTATGTGGCTGCCTTTATTTGGTTGCTGTAATACTCTTACTCTGCTTCTCTGGCCACATGCTTTATTATGTGTAGTACCTTTTGTGTAACTTCTCCTTTATCCCCATCAACAATCCATCCATCCCTCCTGGGTACTGTCTAGAGTTTTGGAGCTATGCTGATACAGCACTCACCATGCTCTATGGGCATATGTGCCTCCATTCTTGTCTCCCACAGTTGGCTGTTGATAAGAACAGGGAACAAGTCTTGACTTTCATATCACCATTACAATTAATCATCAAAATAATTGATAAACTAGATGTTGTTAATTTATGAAAATGAAGAAATTGTGATTCAGAGAAATTAATATTTTCAAAGTCACAGACTAGTCAATAACATAGATAGAATAACTCAAATTTATATCTACTTCACTTATGTTCACAAGCTTTGACAAAAGTATTTCCTTATGGCCAAAGAAAATAGATGAAGAGCAGTGTCTGCAGGTTTAGCCTGAAATAGTCCAATACCAGCACAATACTCATTTAAAGTACTTTCCTCCATATTCCATATGGAATTAGTTTAGTGTCATTAGTTTAGTTCTACTCAAATATGTAGTCATATGTATTTTAATATAGAGCAATATTTTTTATTCTCCACTATGAAAAATAGTAATCTTTTACCTGGCCTTAATAGTTAACTGTAAATGTTATTCTATGATGAGTCTATCACATTACCATTGTTAGACTAAATTGCAAAGAAATGAAGCCATATTTTAAATTCAGCATTGAGATAATTTCTTTTTTATATTAATTCAGGCTCCCGTAGGGGTATAAATATAAATAACAGCAGGGGTGACTTCTTCAGTCACTGAACAGAGGTACCCAAATGCTACTGTGAAGGTCGTATGGTGCAAAATTTTTAAGCTTACCTAAGTGAAAATTTCTGTATACTTATCATCTTATTGAGATAGCAAGCCACTTTTCATAAAGTATACTGAAAGATTATCTGAGCTCTGGGTCTTTTACTAATTTGGAAAACTTGTCAAAGGACAGTAAAACTCACATTCACAGAAAAAAATCTGTGTAGTAGAATAATCCTTCATATTTATCTTTCATGTGGTTGTGTTTTATATATAGATGAGCCTTCATACAGTATTTAAACTATTTTTAAAAAAATTTTTTATTGTATTTTTTTTCCTAGGCTTCTTTTCAGATGGATAAACCAATTCTGTATTCTCATATTTAACATCTCTAATACCTATTGAACACACTGAGATGATCTAGAAGCATATCATTTGAGTTAAATTCTTTGTAGTTCTCATAGCTGCTGAAGGTCTAATTTGGTGCAAGCTAACTTCCCTGTGCTTGTTACTGTCAACATTTGGCTCCATTCATATTCACCCATTCACTCATTTTATTCCAGTCAATAGAATTTCTTCTTATAAAAACCCTCAGGTAGATTGTTAAAAACTTGTTCAACAGTTATGTTATCATTAGTCACTTTAAAATTCTACACATTTTCATAGATCATAGGCATCAACAAGAGAAATAGTGTACCACGATGTACACAATTGGCTATTCCTCATCTGAGATTTTCACTCTATCGTCTCCTTCCACATGAGTTTTACTTTCCAAGATAATTTCGAAGTTGACTTTGAAGGAAACTTTAAGCAACTGTATTTACTTGATTGTAATTTTCATTATATTATTCCACATCTCCTCCCCTTCTTAGTTCATAGCTTGTCAAATCAGTACTCTGGTGATTTGATTTAAAAATTTCCTTAATATTAGAATTTAAATGATGTAAGGTGGCCACCTGAAGTTATGGTGCAGGACGTTTACATAAAAGATACAACAAGGTTTAGGATCATTTGACTTGCCCTGGCAATAAAACCAGTTCCATAAATAAGCATGTATGGATATTCTACTGGGCTTAAATTTACTTACTACTAATTTACAAATTGTGGTTGGGTTAGGATTATTATCACTTTTGCTGTTAAGTTTATTTGATGGAGCTACAGGGATAAAACCAAATAATGAATGAATTTCTGTCATCATCATGAATATCTTTATGTTCCAAGATGGCTCTCTAACTTGGCTATTTTTAGCACTGCATCTGTCTGTTTGAAGGTACTTTAATAAAGTTATTAACCTTTGTAAAGTAAATAAAAAATGACACAGAAATAACCCAAATCAGAGTTTTTAGTACTTAAATATTGGCAGGGAAGTAAAAGCAATAAGAGATAAAATTATATGTTCTTGTATTTTATAAATCAAATTTTATCTAGGCCAATTTGATCAGAGAGTTGAACTGATGAAAATTGATTTATAGAAGTCAATTTGTGTGTGTGTGTGTGTGAATTTCAAACACTGTGTAGTCCATAATGTTACAAAATCATTAAAAAAAAGAAGAGGAGAAAAGAACATACAACTCTGCATGTCTCCACAGACTTGTGAGTCGTCATACAATAAGCTCATCTCCTCTACTGGCCCAATGACGTTAGAATAATGTGTTCTGCCAGCCATGGCTCTTTCTGTTTTGAACATACCTCAAACAGACATACCTTTAATTTTTCTCATAAAGGAAATGGACAGCAATTTACAGTCATTTATTACACTTGAAAATATTCTACTACAAACTGTTTTCATGGAAAATCATGGATTGCTCAGTATGGAAAAATAGAATACTGTAGATAGAATATGTTTATGCACAAATATGATAAAACCTAATGTCATTCAATTGCCAGCCTTCCTACCCTATTCTCTCTTCTGTTTCCTCTCCCCTCAGACTTCTGCAGCTTACTATGCTTTAGGATTTATTGGGAGAAAAGGTCTTGTCCTGTTTGGAGTCATTCCCACTGAAGCTACTCCCTGGAGTCTTTCCCAGCCCTACTTTGAGCCTGTTTACCTCGGTGCTGTTCCTTGCTGAGTATTCCTGGATAAAGTCACTCAACAGGATGCAATGCTGCTCACTTCTCAGCAGAGCCAAGAGAGAGGTAAAAGTGAGTGATCCACACTTCCATATACTGCCTCCTCCCTTTATTTATTTCTAATACTCTCAGTAAATTAATGCACATTCATCAGACTTGACAAAAGTTTCGTGAGGGTTTCCAGATATTTATTGTAGTGGGAAGATGAATTCTATCTTCTGACTGCCTCCTGTGTGAGGAGGAAGCACCTTTCTAATGGGGTGTTGGGAATCTGGTCTGCAGGTCTTATCTTTGCTTTCTGGACTTCAGGGCATTTCAATTGTTCCAGAACACCTTCTTTACATCTCATGGCATGAATACTCATTATTTTAGAGGAAGACCCATGAGACAAATACTCCAAAGTGCATTTGTCTATTTCAAAATTTACTTTAAAGGCAACATAACCTAAGTTTTCCGGAAAATATGTCTTTTCCACGGTTTTATCCATATGCCTCTGCTTTATGGTCTGACTTCCAGAAATTGATTATAGCCAAAAGGAGCTCTGCCTGTTGGGAATTTGCCCTTGTTATTCTTATAAGACTTGGAACTCCTGGGAAGAGGGTGGTGGCTTTGAGTATTTTTAACAGTGAAATCCCTTGGAAGCATCATTTATTTTCAAAAGCTCGTATTTTCTTTCTTCTTCCATCACAACTCCTCTTGTTCCTCCCTTCCTCTCTTTTTCCTTGCTAATATGTTTTTAGAGTCTAATATGTATGTGTTATGAAAATAATTTAAATAAAATATCCTCTAAAAGGTTTCATGAAAGAGGTATCTATTATGAGAAAGTGAATATGTTGAAAATGAAATCAGTAATAGGACTTATACACACTTCCATACTGATAATTTGGCTTTAAAAAGTAATGGTTAAGTTAAAAAGATAGTAACTATGACTGGATGATGTGATTAGGCTTTGTGTCCCCACCCAAATGTCATCTTGAATTGTAATCCCCAAGTGTTGAGGGAGATACCTGGTGGGAGGTGATTGGATCATGGGGTCGGTTTCCCCTGTGCTGTTCTCATGATAGTGAGTGAGTGTACTCATGAGTTTTGATGGCTTTATAAGGGGCTGCTCCCCCTTAGCTTCTTTCAGACACTCTTTCTCACCTGTTGACATGTAAGACGTGCCTCTTCCCCTTCTGTCATGATTATAAGTTTCCTGAGGCTTCCCCAGCCATGCAGAACTGTGAGTCAATTAAACCTATTTTCTTTATAAATTACCCAGTCTCAGGTATGTCTTTATAGCAGTGTGAAGGTTTTAATTAAGGTTTTAATTTTGGAGAGAGAGGTTGAAGACAAATATCTCTGCTCTGTCTTATCTCTTTCAATCAATTCTCCACATGTTTTGCCTCTAGACCCAGCAAACTCAAATGCTTGGATGAGCTGCTAAGTAGAAATAAAAATGATAATTCTCTTTTATTTCTTCTTTTTCTATGCAGTCATAATAGGTGGATTTTCATTAAACACGGGAAGTAAAAAATGGGAAATGCACTTTCCCTGAACTCTCTCAATGTTCTATAAAATGTTCAATTAATTGTACTTGCCACTGTCCATATTTCTTTTCATATACTTTAGATTGCATGAGGTCTCTCCAGTGGCTCAGTTAACATTAAAAAAAGAGACCCAATTTATTATTTTTTACTGAACTTAGAACAGCTAGTGAATAAATACCACTACTAATCATTTCATTTGCTTCGTGACCTGTTGTTTAAACTTTTGAGGAACCATAACACAGTAGAAACTAAAACTGTCTTGAAAGAAAAGTCAGCTAGTAGATAATAGGAATAAAACTTGATTTTTTTCCATGCCTTCGTGCACCACAGCTAGGCACTGTCTTTCAAGTAAGTCATCAAATCATGTAATAACCAAGCAAGTAATTCCATTCCACATACCACATAGAGAATTAATTAGAGTTAAACATTACAAAAGAGGATAGTGAAATGTTTAAGAGCATGAGGATTTGCACATAGAGAAATTTGGGTATGAATCCCAGCTCTGTAATCTAATGACTATGTGACTTGGAACAAGTTATTTACAACTGAGACACTGAATGTAGAACATCAGAAATAATAAATGGCACAGGATGATAGCTCAATAACTCAGTAATGCTATTGTCAATGGAAATCAAACAAGAACATTTTTTCTGTCATTGTTATAATAAAGGGACTATTTTGACATAACGGAGCAAAGTTCAAAATAGTGATTTCTTTTTGTATTTCAGAAAATGTGGAGCTCTATCAGTTTGTATTATTAGAGAGGGGTGTGTGTGTGTGTGTGTGTGTGTGTGTGTGTGTGTTAAGGAGAGAGAGAAAGAACTGGCAGAGTGGGTAGTGATGTATTCCATCTCGGGTATTCTTAAATGGACTATTTAAACATTATTTAGTGGCAGTGTAATGCAAAGAGCAATGAACTTGGAACAAGAAAACTTAGGTTTCTATCTCAGCACTGTCAACTTTGATTATATTAAATACTTGATTTGCATAGGTGCCTAACAAATGTTTTTTAGATTTAAAGACAAATGAGTTGTTAGTCCCTGAATATTGGGGTTGGATGTAACTTCAGTAGGCTACAATATTTGCTTCTTTTGAAGATCATGACAGAGTGATGAGAACCTGAAAACAAGCTTAGGTCAAGTGGGTGTCCATGTCTGTGAAACTGATGGAGGCTGATAAAAGTGTCACATCCTCCAGGTCAGGTGCAGTGGCTCTTGTCTGTAATCCCAGCACTTTTGGAGGTTGAGGTGGGAGGATTGGTTGAGCCCAGAAGTTTGAGACCAGCCTGGACAACATAGCAAGACCCCATCTCTACAAGAAATTAAAAGAAAATATTAACCAGGGATGGTGACTTTCCCTTGTAGTCCCAGCTACTCAGGAGGCTGAGGTGAGGATCACTGGAGCCCAGGAGGTTGAGGCTGCAGTGAGCCATGATCATGCCACTGCACTTTAGCCTGGGCAAGAGAGCAAGGCCCTGCCTCAAATATATGATCACATTCTCCAAAAAATTTTGTTAAGCTGATCTGCAGCCACTAATAGAAACTTCATTATTACTTAATAATTTACTTTTGTTAGTATTTCCTAAAGTTTTTTTGTCTTAATAATAACTGATGACCCCAGAGCTCTTATTTGATTATATCTATTGAAATTGCTGTATTAAGATTAGAACTGAGAAACAAAAAGTATTATAATTAGACCATTACCTGTTAAGATAAATAATATTTTCACAAAAGAGAGCTATATTTTTCAAAACTAAAAACAAAATAAGAAGAGTGGTATTTTCCCCCAATGCCCCATTTTTACAAATCTGACTAAAGTTTGACTTAAGACAGCTAGATTTTCATATTTGCCTCTGCATTCAATCTGTTGAGATATCACCTGTCATGTAGTCCTGGAAAACTCTACTGTATACTTATAAAAGCACGACAGTGAAAAAGGAAATTGACGTCTTAGATTTGTTATGAAATAAATCTTGACCTCATGAGCTTCCTGAAAATATCTCAGGGTCTCTTGTGGGTTCCTGGCCCACATTTTGAGAAGCACTGATATAGGTTAATCATTGTTGCTTTCAGCTGTCTTATTTAAATTCAAAGACCCTTGGTAAGCAAGCTATATTTACTCAACAACTTGGGGTGAATTTATTAAATTCCTGAGTCCTTCTGAGTGGGAGAGATGGAAAGGATAAGAGCAATGTAGACTTGAAGGGAATGTGGCCTTGGAGAGTGTGGAGCATGGGGGCAATGAATCAGTATTAATTTCATTTGCAGTATACAAACTGGCTCCATTAATTAATAGTGTCTTAAATTTGGATCAGTTTCTTAATCTTTCTAACTCTCAGATTCCTCATCTATAAGAGAGGAATAATAATATTTAATTCATGGTGGTGTTGTGATGATTAAATCAGGTAACATATGTAATATGCTTAGCTTAATGTCTGACATATAGTAAGTAGTCCATTATTAAATTGTTGTTTTAATTGTTATTTTATACGGTATTTGACCTGCTTATAAACACATGTAAACGCTTTCTTCAGAGTTACACTTTTCTGCAGCAAAAAGTATCTTTATACAAAAGCTTTCCATATTTAGAATAATGTCCTTAGGTTAGAATCCTACTGGAATTACTGGCTCAATGGACATTTTTAAAGCTTTGAATTTATGTTAGGAAATTACTTTTTAAAGGGCTATATCATTACCACTTCTATCAGGAATGTATAAGAGCATTTGATAAGCTTATATAGATTCTGAGCCCTGGGATACAGGAGTAAGGAAAACAGAAGAGCTGCAGTTTTAACTGTATCAGGAAATATAATTTGTTTAAATTTTTACAAATTGGATAAGTAAGAAATGAAATGTCTTCTGAGCACAAAGTACCAACATAAGCACTTGGGAAAATTCGTGCGGTCTTTGGTATATATGAAAACTTTCCAGTGATTCAACTAGCATTTAATAAAAGTAAATTTATTATGTTTTCCTGAACCCCTAGTACTAAAGATTTTGTTTGGTTTTGGCTGGTTTATAAGCATTCATAGCATGGTTTATCAACCTATTTATTTTCGTGGCAGGAGCTTACACTTGGGCAGAATATTCTAAGGGCTCTAAGTTTTCTCCTGTTTTACAATCCTGGTAGATATGAGGCAGGTATGAGGGCAGTATAGAGGAGAGAGTGGAAGTAGTTAGACTGGGATTGAAATTCAAGACAGACATGATGAGACAGATTCTCAACTAGGACTGAGGAAGTAAGAATGTGGAAGAGAGGATCAGATGGTGTTATGGCTGAACTGTGTTTCTTCCAAAATTCATATGTTGAAATCCTAACCCCCAGTATCTCAGAGTGTGACTATATTCAGAGATAGGATCTTTAACAAGATAATTAACGTTAAATGAGGTCATTGGGGTGGCCCCTAATCCAATATGACTGATGTCCACATAAGAAAAGCAAATTAGGACACAGACACGCACAGAAGGGAGACCATGTAAGGACACCAGAAGACAGCCATCTAGAGGCCAAGGAAGGTGGCCTCAGAATGACACCAAACCATTGACTCCTTAATCTTGGATTCCAGCCACCAGAACTATGAGGAAATAAATTCCTGATGTTTAAGACACCCACTCTGTGGTACTTAGTTAGCAGCCCTAGCACCCTAATACCGATGGGATCTGGAGGAAAGGGTAAGTCAATTCATGTTCCATGAGTTTCTTTCTTTCTCTTTCTTTCTTTCTTTCTTTCTTTCTCTTTCTTTCTTTCTTTCTTTCTTTCTTTCTTTCTTTCTTTCTTTCTTTCTTTCTTTCTTTCTTTCTTTCTTTTTCTTTCTTTCTTTCTTTTTATTTGAGACAGAGTCTCGCTCTGTCTCCCAGGCTGGAGTGCAGTGGCTTTAATCTCGGCTCACTGCAACCTCTGCCTCCTGGGTTCAAGCGATTCTCATGCCTCAGCCTCTCGAGTAGCTGGGACTGCAGGAGGGCACCACCACACCGACTGACTAATTTTTGTATTTTTAGTAGAGACAGGGTTTCATCATGTTGGCCAGGCTGGTCTCGAACATTCTGGCCTCAGGTGATCTGCCCACCTTGCCCTCCCAAAGTGTTGGGACTACAGGCGTGAGCCTCTGCACCAGACCAGAGTCCCTTTTTATCTTTTTCAACTTTTATTTTAGAATCAGGAGATACTTGTGCATTTTTGTTACAAAGATATATTCAGCAATGCTGAGGCTTGTGGTATAACTGAAGCTGTCACCCAGGAGTAAGCATCATGCCAAACAGGTATTCAACACTTGCCCGTTGCCCTTTCTTCTCCTTCTAGAGGTCCCCAGTGTTCGTTGTTTCCATCATTATGTCCATGTGTACACAAGGGTTAGCTCCCACTTATAAGTGAGAACATGAAGTATTTGGTTTTCTGTTGCTGCATTAATTCACCAAGGATAATGGCCTCCAGCTACATCCGTGTTTCTGCAAAGGACATGATTTCATTCTTTTTTTGTGGTTGTATGTTTACATGGTATATATGTAAACATTTTTCTTTATCCAATCCACCACTGATGGGCCCCTGGGTTGATTTCATATTTTTGCTATTGTGAATAACACTGTGATGAACACACAAGTGCATGTGTCCTTTTGGTAAGATGATTTATTTTCCTTTGGATATATACCAAGTCATGGGATTGCTGAGTCTAATAGTAGTTCAACTGTCCCCTGAGAAATCTCTAAACTGCTCTCCACAGTGGCTGGATTAATTTACATTCCTACCAACAGTGGATTAATTTACATTCCTACCAACAGTGTATTAGCGTCCCCTTTTCTCTGCAGCCTCACCAACATCTGTTAGTTTTTGAATTTTTAACAAAAGCCATTTTCACTGATATGAGATGGTATCTCATTGTGGTTTTGATTTGCATTTCTCTGATAAGTGATGATGAGCATTTCATACATTTGTTGGCTGCTTGTGTGTCTTCTTATATGACATGCTAATTCTCACAAGCATTAAAAAGTTTTACTTGGTCATTTATTTTCCAAATGACCTTTAATGTACCTCTTTAAAAATTTTAAGTGAACTACCAGAAGGTCTTCTTACAGCATAACTTTTGCCCTGTTAAGCATTTTTTTCTACTAAACTTTTTTTTTTCTTTTTGCAATTGTTGCAGGCTGCTTTGGAATAAATGTAAACTTCCTTAATTGAATTAGGTTTTATTGAAGTTATAGAACTATGGATAATTAAGTCATGAACAATAAACTAAGAGATTCTAGTGGAAAAAAAAATCAATGCATGCAAACCTGATGGTTGTTTATCCTAGAAATACTAAATTAGGGACTGCAAGACTGCATTGTGTATACTAAATTTGGAGCTAGTCTACATGAATAGATGGATCATAAACCAATTTAATGGTGACAGCTTCAATATAACAACTTTTCTCTTGCTTTTCTGACATTTTGCACACTGAAAACATATTCTGAAATATTTCTTTAAAAGGGAAACTGTTATTCACATTATTAGTTTCACATTATTAGTGTTTTTTTCCTTTGTCAAATTAAGCTAAGTAGGAAAATACCTATAGTGATTTGGAATTAAGCAAAGAGACTAAATGGCAAATACTTCCTTTTTGAGAAAGAGTCTTTAAAATATTTTTCCCTAAAATATTTGATCATATTATCTATTCATTAATTTATTAGTTAATTACCAAGAGCTTTATATATATTTTTTGAGCTATTTTAGAATTTAAGGAGATAAACTATGGGTTCTTTTGGTTATCTTTATTTCTATAGGAATCCCTGGAAAATGTATAGGGCAACACATTAAAAAGGAGCACAGTTTTTTTTTTTTTAAATAAGTAGAAGATTTCTTCCTTCTTTATTTTCATCATCTGGATTAGGTGTATAGGATATGACCTGTATAAAGGTTAACATATAAATTTCAATGAAAATATAAAGAATGTAATTCTAAGAAAACACAATATTAGAATAGCTATGTAACTACAAATTCACATAAACTCATTGTTCACTTGTGTATCTGAATTATACACATTTTATGTCCTAAATATATCTTAATTTCAGCTGTTTTCCTCTCTGTTTCTCTCTTTCTGTCTCTCCTTCCCTCCTTTCTTTCCTCCTTCTCTCTACCACCTTAGCTCATAGATTCATCTTATTGCACTATTCAGGTGATTTCTACTGTGGTTTATGTGACTGTGTCCCCCTGGATTTATGCTGTGCTCAACCATTGTGGACTGCCCCCTCCCCAGCAGTCCCATGAATCCCATATTTGGCCACTTCTTAATTTCTACAACAGTTCCCTAACTGGTCTCTATTAATGCCCTCTACTTGGTTTTCTACTTCGAATTCAAGAAGGTAAACAAAAATTTAAGTTATGTAATGGCAGTTGATTGATATGAGGTCCTTTCAAACACTGAAATACCCCTGGGGGAATAGATCCATCAGACACACTCAGGCTTCCTTATTAATTTCACTGCCAGCCCATTTTTTCTCATCTGTTTTTCTAAGGTAGTTAAAACTCTTCTAAAGAGATCTTTCAGTATCTGAAAAAAAAATCCATGGAAACTTAATCTTCTCTGGTTATTGGGTTGGGTATTAAAGAATTTTTGTGGACCTTTGCTTCCTTATCTGTAAAGTGAAGGTTGTGATAATATACTGGAGGTTTTTAAACTCACTATAGTACAAGACATTGTTAAAAATATAGATTCAAAGTCTGCACTCCAGGATTTTGAAATTTCAGGGGCTCAGACCCAAGACAATGTATTCCTGACATGCTTCCCAGGTGACTGGGACTTGGGAACCATTGGAACAGGAATTATGATACTTTTACATGTACAACTGCCCATGATGAAATTTTTCCACCTATAGTTGAGTTTTTTGGGATACCTTGCTTCCTTTTTCTCTGCTCTACCCCCCGCCACCCTCGCTCCCCGCACCTCATTAGTTTGCATTTGGCTTGCTATTTGTTCTGCTTGCTAACTTATTTTAAGTCAGGAATGCAGTGTTAGTATATTGATAGCATGTGTTATGCCTTGAGTTATTTTACCATATGTCTGCTTCCCACTTTTGCAACTCTATTGTAACTCTTTTTTTTTTTTTTTTTTTTTTTTTTTTTTTTTTTTTTTTTTTTGAGACGTAATCTCACTGTCGCCAGGCTGGAGTGCAGTGGTGCAATCTCAGCTCACTGCAACTTCCGCCTCCCAGGTTCGAGTATTCTCCTGCCTCAGCCACCTGAGTAGCGCCCACCACCAAGCCTGGCTAATTTTTGTATTTTTAGCAGAGATGGGGTTTCACCATGTTGGCCAGGATGGTCTCCATCTCTTGACCTCGTGATCCACCCGCTTGTCCTCCCAAAGTGCTGGGATTACAGGCATGAGCCGCCTCGCCTGGCCTATTGTAACTCTTTATTTAATTTCTGTGCTTGAATTATTAGTTATATCTACTTTGATCTCGACTTTTTTTCTTAACACAAATTGAATGAATTTCCTGAACAAATATAGAAGAGAAATTACTAAAATGTATAAACTAAAATTAAAATTCTAAGCCCCCCAGCTGACTGGATTCCCTTCTTGGCCAAGGGCATTCCAAAGAAACCTGAAAAACTAGTGCATGCCATGACAGGAAAGGCAGGTCCGATAGGCCTTATTGTACCCCCTTTCTTTTGGAGACTAGACACAACTGACCAACATTAACATTAAAATAGAGATCCTAAAACTGACAGAACAGACTCTTTGTAGCAATGAGATAAAACTCTAACCTGACTCAACCAATGTATACCTTGCATGTATTGATTTATGTCTTTGCCTGTAACTTTTGTCTTTCTAAAATGTATAAAATCAAGCTGTAACCCAACCACTTTGGGCACATGTTCTCAAGAACTCCTGAGACTGTGTCACGGGCCATGATCCTTAACCTTTGCAAATTAAGCCTCTAAATTGATTGAAACCTGTCTCAGATACTTTTGGTTTACAAATGCTAAAAAGGAATAAAACTATTGTAGATTGGCTCACTCTAACAATAGGAAACACCATGACAAATAAAATATTTGAAGTCAGAAAGAATTGCCTCTGAATTTTGCATGTTTTAAGAGGACTACAGAATGAGAAGAAAAGAAGGCATTGTTGTTGATAGGTAATGGGGGCCATTGAATAACTCATCAGTTTTTTTATGGTGTACTTATTCTATATCAGACTGTCCTGGTGATGCAGGGGTGAATAACAGAGACAACATCCTTGCTCATCTATATTAGAATTGTATTGGTGGGGAGACAGAGAGACAACCAATAATCAATTGATAATTCATTAAGTAAGTGCTAATATTTAAATAATGATAAGTGGTACAAAGAAAATTTTAATGGAGTGGTGTGATGGAAAGTAACTATGTGGTTACTTTGTATTATGAGGCCAGGAAGAGGTGCTCTCTGAAAAGATAACATTTAAGCATGAAATTGAGTGATCAGAGGCAACTATGCAAAGATCAGGGGGAAATATTCCAAGAAAAAGGAGAAGCTTAGTGTAAAGATCTTAAATCTGAGGACAAGCTTGGTTCCTTTGAGGAGCCAGAACAAGGCCAATGTGTTAGGAGAGTAGTGGATTATAGGAGAGAGTATTGGGAAGTGATAGAACAGCAGCTAAATCTTGTAAGGTGCTGAAAGCGTTATGTATAAGCCAAAAGAAGATAGTGACATTATTTTATTTAGTTTGCATTTTTGACTGCCATGTGAGGAACTTACTAAAAGGGGCCAAAGTGAAATTAGAAAACTCAGATGGGAGCCTATTGCATTGGCAAAGCAAGGCATGGTTGTGCCTTGGATTTGAGGGATGTTAGTAGAGACAGAAAGAAGTGGAAGGATTTTGAAATGTGATTTCAAGGTAGGGTGCACAAGACTTACTTATAGATTGGTAAGGATATTGAGAGAAAGAGAAGCCCACAAAAGTATGTCCTGAGCAACTGAGGGAACAGTAGTGCTAGTTACTTGGAGGTGCATGACTGGGCAACAACCTGTCACCTCCCTACTTGTCCTTTATAATTCTCTCAGGTGTTTTTATGTGAGACCCCACAATCAGTCTTGTATAGTGAAAAAAGTTTTAAAAACATCTAAGCTCTGCCCCCCACCAGCTTTGGGCTGTTGGGAAATTTGCAAGATTTTATAATGTCAAATTTCTAATTTATAATCTCAGCACTGGATGAGATCATGAATGTGCATTGGAGGGGGCTGTACAGAAAAAGAGTCTAAGTCTTTACATAAAAATCCAAACATTTCCCAACTATATTCTATTCTCTCACCACAGAATACAATTCTTATGATTAGGTACCACTAATCATGGTTATCACTTACGGTCATTTTAGTGAATTTTATCTGAAATGTTGGAGGACTCTGAAGTTCTTTCCATCTATCTGAAGATAGACCTATCCTGAACTATAATTACCATTTGAATTTACTTCGTAGGACCAATCATTTCTCTAGTTTATTAACTCACAGCATCATGATCATACTGGACAAACTATATTATTCTTCTGACCTTGAAAGACTATGTGTCTTCTTAATTGCCTAAAGGCAAATTATCACACCTAGAGGCCAAAGTAGCGTCAGATAAGCTCCATGAAAATGAGACAGCTGGTCAATTGGGTAAACTGACGAAAACTCAGCTATGACTCACTATCAGAGTTTACATGTATGTTTACATATGTATGTTTGAATCATATGTAAATATAAAGTAATAAACCAGAATGAGAGAGATATATACAAGTCTAGATGCTACTAGAAATAGTTTCTTTTCCCAATTTTTAAAATTGTGCTAAAATACACATAATGTAAAATTTACTATCTTAACCATTTTTACATATATAGTTCTGTGGTATTAAATACATTTATAATGTTGTACAACCAACACCACTATATAACCATCTCTATAACTCATTAAAATTTTTTATTTTTTTATTTTTATTTTTATTTTTTTGAGATGGAGTCTCGCTCTGTCGCCTAGACTGGAGTGCAGTGGTGCAATCTTGGCTCACTGCAACCTCTCTCTCCTAGGTTCAAGCGATTCTCCTGCCTCAGCCTCCTGAGTAGCTGGGATTACAAGCGTGTGCTACCACGCCTGGCTAATTTTTTTGTATTTTTAGTAGAGATGGGGGTTTCACCATGTTGGTCAGGCTGGTTTCAAACTCCTGACCTCGTGATCCACCCACCTTGGCCTCCCAAAGTGCTGGGATTACAGGGATGAGCCACTGTGCCTGGCCTATTCTGTTTTTTAAGGTATATGACATGATGTTTTGATATACATGTAAATAGTGAAACGGTTACTATAGTCAAACAAAGTAACATCTCCATTATATTACAGTTGCCCGTATCTTTTGTGTGTGTGTCAAGAGCATCTAAAATCTACTCTTTTAGCAAGAATTCTGAATACAGTATTAACTGTAGTCCTTATGTTGTACCTTAGATCTCTAGACGTTCTTTCTACATATCTGCTACTATGTAATTTTTGCCCATTTTCACCCATTCCTCCACACCCACCCCAGTAACCACTGTTTCATTCTCTATTTCTGTTTTAAATGTTTTTGATTCCACATATATTGAGATCATGCAGAATTTTTCTTTTCATGTCTGGCTTATTTCACTTAGCATAATGTCCTCCAGGTTTACTCATGTTGTAGCAAATGGCAGGATCTCCTTTTTTAAGGTTAAATAATATTCCATTATATCTATATTTATATCTATGTGTATGGGTGTAAAAAGAAAAAAAATGTATATATATATGTATATACACATACACATCACATTTTTATGCTTTGTTTTTTCTTCTTGAGACAAGGTCTTTCTATGTTGCCCAGGGCAGAGTGCAGTGGTGGGATCAAGCTTACTGCAGCCTCAACTTTCTGGGCCAAAGTGATTCTCCCACCTCAACCTCCTGAGTAGCTGGGACTACATGCACATGCCACCTCATCTGGCTAATTTATGTTTTAGTTTTGTTTTTTAAACACATTTTTAAAATCCACTTTCTTGTTGAGGAACTCTTTGGTTGTTCCTTTATCTTGGCTGTCGTGAATAATGCTGCTGTGAGTGCAGATATCTTTACAAGGTGGTAATTTCATTTCCTTTGGGTATACACAGAAGAGTTATTGTTGGATCGTATGATAGTTCTATTTTTAATTTCTTTTTTTCTTTTTCTGTTTTTTTTTTTTTTTTTTTTTTTTTGAGATGGAGTCTCTCTCTGTTGCCCAGGCTGGAGTGCAGTGGGGTGATCCTGGCTCACTGCAACCTTCGCCTCCCAGGTTCAAGCGATTCTCCTGTCTCAGCCTCCTGAGTAGCTGGGATTACAGGTGCCCACTACCATGCCCAGCTAATTTTTGTATTTTTAGTAGAGATGGGGTTTCACCATGTTGGCCAGGCTGGTCTCGAACTCCTGACCTCACGATCCACCCACCTCTGCCTCCCAAAGTGCTGGGATTACAGGCGTGAGCCACCACGCCCAGCTGGATTGTATGATAGTTTTATTTTTAATTGCTTTAGGAACCTCCATACTGTTTTCCTCAGTGGCTGCACCTATCTACATTTCCACCAATAGCATAAAAGGTTTCCCTTTCCTCCACACCCTTGCCAACACTGATCTCTTGTTAGGGAATAGCATCCTAACAGGTGTGAAGCATTATTGTGGTTTCGATTTGTAATTCCTTGGTGATTAGTGATGTTGGGCACCTTTTCATACACCTGTTGGCCATTTTTATGTGTTCTTTGAAGAAATGTCTCTTCAGGTCCTTCACCCATTTTTTCATTGGGTTATTTGTTTTTCTGCCATTGAATTTTGTGAGGTCGCTATAAATTTTGAATATTAACCCTTATCACATAAATGGCTTGCAAATTTTCTACTAATCTATAGGCTGTCTTTTTATCTTTTTGGTTGTTTCCTTTCTGTGCAGAAGCATTTTGGTGTGTGTGATATGTTCCCATTTATTTATTTTTCTTTTGTAGCCTGAACTTTTGGTGTGACATCCAAAAAAATCATTGCCAAGGCCTATGTCAAGGCACTTTTTTTTCTGTGTTTTTTCCTAAGACTTTTACGGTTTTGGGTCTTACATTTAGATGTTTTATACATTTTGAGTTGATTTTTGTAAGGTCAAGGGTCCAATTTCATTTTTTTGCATATCTATGTATAGACTTCTCAGCATCATTTATTGAAGAGACTAGCTTTTCTCCATTATGTCTTTTTGGTGCCCTTGTCAAAAATTAGTTAACTGTATATTTTTGTGATTACAATTACATAATGTTTTTTTCTTAAAAATATAGAGTAAACATTTTCCTACCTTTGTATGTACTGTGAGGACCTGATTTCCAATATTTGTGTGGTATTACTTTATATGAATGAGTCATGAGTTATTTAATAAATTCTCTAATCTCTAATAGAACCCTGATATCACTACCAGTATCAGTTTTTTGCTAGTTAAAGTAGGGTTGAGAATTTCAGAAATGTGTGGACTCACTCATTTGTGGATTCACTTTGCTTTTGGCTGCTAATGTAGAGTTATGATCAGCTATATCCCACTTAATATACTTTATATTTTGAGTACAGATTCTCTTTGATATGGGATTTTGATATAGTAAAGCATAGCTTTGGGCTCATAATTTTTTTCATGGATGGCGGATAAATAGAATTATTTTAGAAAAGGAAGGAAATGGTATACTTTAAGAAGTCTGTATAACTTACCTTTAGCTCTTTTTCTATATTTAAATATATTTTAGAGAAAAAATCATAGTACCTAATACTTTTAAAGCTAGAATTAAAATGCATTAAGGCTTTCTTAAATCTTGTTATCTGTCATTCTAAATCCTCTTGAAGTTAGCTATAAAGAATAATAGATATGTATTCAGTCAGGATACTGAAGATTTTTACTGGCTTTTGGATTAGAAGATTTTCAACTATCAGTGTTAAAGCTTTAACTTGCTGTCAGTTAGTCTGACAAGGCCAGAATAAGATTCTAATAGTTGTGATTGTGGAGAGGGTGGTTTTTCATTAGGTGAGGCAAAGTGTCAATTAAAAGGGTATTGAGATAAAGAAATAGAAACTAGATTAAGTTTATACTTTTTCATGATGATAAGAAAATCCATTTTCGAGTTATACATTTATTTGAGAGTATGCTATCAGAGGCAAAGCTGGAATACCTTACATACTTAAAAGACTGCCTTTGGTCCTCAAAAGACTTATCAACTGCTTAATAATCATTTAAACATTTTTGTATGTATGAAATAAGCATATTTTAAATAAAATGAAATGCCAAGGTCAAATAATGGCAGTAACTTTTAAAGTCACTATAATCAGCAATCTTACTTTCTCCCCAGTCTCTCCGCATAGTTCCCTACCATTTAAATGCTGAACATTTGCTGTCTTTCAGTGGGGATTTTAAACTTATAAGGAAGTCTGAAACCTATATTTGATGTATATCCACAAAAATAAAATACTGAGCATGTTTCAGCGTGACTGTCCTTTTTTAGAAGCAATGCCTGGTAAACCTAAGCTTAAGATTTTAGTGCAACAATGAAAACTGAACATGCATCTATAAAATGCATTGAACATCAAGCTTAATTTGCTTTTCTGACTAATCTACATAAATAAAGTTTCTCTCTGATAGTTGCTGCAGCTAGTAAAAATGACTGTATAGATGTTCTTAAATTTAGGAAGCCTCCTTAGGATAATTTGATTTAAAATCTAGGCTATTTCTCAAGTACGAAATTCACTTAGAGAAGACCCAGTAAACCTCTTAAAGAGATGTCTTCAGTGGAACTTAAAGCATTGATCTGCACAGAGCTGCTCTCACACTGCAACTGCATCCAGTTTGCTTCTAGGTAAGTAGCATTAGGGATTTACTATTTATTTAGTGACAGTTAATGATTCTTCCTGTTTATTGGGAAAAAAATTACAATATTGATTTATTTAACTACTTTCTTGCAGCCTCCACAGTTTCATATGAGCAATCCGCTGTTATGAGATTGGGTGTTCAATAAGTGATACATCACTTTTTTTCTGATGGCTTTCAAGATTTTTTCTTTTTCTTGATTTTCAGAAATTTAATTATGATGAATTTTGGAAGGATTCATTTGGGTTCATCCTGTTTAAGGTGCACTTAGTTTCTTGAATCTGTAGGTTTGTGTCTTTTGCTAAATTTGGATGTTTTCAGCCATTATGTCTTGGAAGACCCTTTCAGTCCCACTCTTTTTCCTTGCTTTCTGGAACTCCTATGATATGAATGTTTAATCTTTTTGTTTTCATCCCATAGGTCTCTGAGTCTCTGTTCACTTTTTCCCCATCGATTTCCCTCTATTTTTCAGACCGAGTAAATTCTATAGACCTTTCCTCAAGCTTACTGATTCATTTCTCTGTTATCTTCACCACGATTGAGACCATTCAGCAAGTTTATTATTTCTATTATTATATTTTTAACTTCTGTGATTTTTATTCAGTTTACTGTTATTATTCCCATTTCTTGGCTGAGATTTTCTATTTTTTCGTTTGTTTCAAGAGAATTTGTAACTGATTTTTAACCATTTTTATGATGGCTGCTTTAAAATCCTCTTCAGATAATTTCAATATCTGTTTGATCTTATTGTTAGCATCCATTGTTTTTTCTCATTCAAGTTGTAATTTCTTGATTCTTGGCATGATGGGTGTTTTTTTCTATTTTATCCTAAATATTTATTATCATAGGGGACTCTGGAATCTATTTAAATCATATATTTAGCAGGTAGTTTTTCTGCTTAGGTTTAGTACACAGGTTCTGACCTATTGTTTTGAGCTGTGGTTCCAAAAACAGCTTAATTTTCAGAGCATTTGCAAAGTTATTTTGGTCTTCCTGCACTTTTGTCAAGTGCTAATGTGGCTGTTACTGGTCCCTGTTAATGCTGACCTAGGGGAGATAAGGGGTTTCCTGAAGCTAGGGAACCCGTATCTCCAGGTGGAGGGGAGAAGTCTCAGCTCACTGGGACTTTGAGGCTTTCCAGGCCAGGTGGGTTTGTGGCAAGATCCCACTTGCAGTGTCACCCAGCTGCCCGGTACCTTTTGATGGAGGAGGGGCATTTCAGGCCCTGAGTAAAAGGAGAGAACTTTCTATGACAGGTTGTCATTAGTGGAGTTGGTTTCCTATCTTTTCCCTTTGCTGGTGGTGCTGGGCTCACCTGGCATTGTCAGGGGAACTACGATTCTTTCTAGGGGAAGTAATAACTTATCTCTCTCAGCTGCCTTCTGTTTCTAGGTTGAGGGTCAGGGAACCAGGATTGCCTTTTTCTGTCCATTGGGAAGGGAGGACGTGTACAATACCCTATTATGTTATTTTTCTAGTCTTAGTGTCTCAAATAATTTTTCCTCCCTCTTATCATCTTTCAGAGTTTTTCTATGTTGCCTTTTATGCTATTTCCAGGGTTTATAGTTATACTAAGTGGGGAGGAGTGGGAGAAATGAGTCTCTGGCATCTTGTCTAGACCTCAGTTTGTCATCTGCCATGTCATATCGAAAAAAGAAGGGAATTTGAGGTCAAACCAGCTTGGAATGCTGGTTCATCCACAATCTGTATGACTTATAATAAATTTATGTAACTTCTTTGAGCCTCCTTTTCCTCATCTGTAAAATAGAGTTAACTTATTTATTCATTCACTCTTTATGATTCAGTAAAATATCTGTCATTGAGACCTTACTCAAGACTGGGCACTGTTCCAGGTACTGGGAATGCAGTGGAGTACAAGACAAGTAAGGTCCTTGCTTTTCTGACCCTTCATTCTTTACACAGATAATCAACAGGCAATCAAAAAATAATTCTGCAAGGCAGTGATAAGTTCTATGAAAAAATGAAACAGAGTAATGAGGATAATGACTGAGCCGGGGACTTAGATGACTGTGCTTCAGATACTCAGGGAAGGTCTCTGTGAGAACGTGGAATTTCATTATTTCTTTCTATTGATTCAGCCCATATTTATTGAGCTCTTACTAGGTCCTAGGGATACATTTGAGCAAAAACCTGAATGATGAGAGAGACCCAACTATTTGAAAATATGGAGCAATACCATTTCAGGAAAAATGTACACTCTATTAAAAAGATCCCTGAGGTAAAAAAATATCTAGAGAAGATCAAGGAACTGAAGAAGTTGTGCAACGTGGTTGGAACATTGTAAATGTGAAGGTGCATCATCCCGAAGTGATCAGAGAGGCAGGCAAGAAGCTGACTATGCAGGGGCTTTTGGGGCACAATAACGAGTTCAGTTTTATTCTGCATGTAATGGGAAGCCTTAGAGAGTTTAAGCAGATAAGGGATACAATTCATATATGTTTATAAAGATTACTCTAGCTTTTTCGTAGAGAATGAAATGTTGAAGAGCAACAATAGAAGCTGGGATACCAGTTAAAAGCCCATTTCTGCTGTCCAGGTAGGAAATAATAAAACTTGATAGGCAGCTGTGGAAAAAGAAGAGGTTGTAGATTGAAGGCATATTTAGCAGTTTGAGCAGGCAAGATTTTCTGAATTGGCTTTGTGAAGTTAGGAAAGATGAGGACTCTGTTTCTGATTTTGGCCAGATGACAGGAGCCATTTTAGAGATAAGGGAGATTGAGAGAGAAGACTGTTTTAGAGCTGGGGTCAGAAATAATTATATTTGTTTTGCAAAAGTTAAATTTTGAGGTGTCTGTAGAGATCTGTGGAGATGTACTGTAAGTAGTAAATATTCAGTTCTGGAGCTCATGGGGTTAAGGGCTGAGGCTGTTGTGTAATCGGATGTCACCAGCATTCAGATGATATGTAAGGCAGTGGGACTGCAAGACATCATCTGAGGGGAAAACACTGAAAGAGCAGAGAAAATTGTGAGCCACTCCATAATTTTAACATTAGGAGTAGGAGATGCATCTAGCAAAGGGAGATCCAGAAGGAGTAGTTAGATTGAACCAAGCAAAAAATCAGGTAATTCAGTGTCAAAGAAGCTAAGTGCAAGAAATATTTTAAGAAGGAGCAAATGACCAACTTTGTCAAATGTCTTAGTAAAATAAAGACAAAAAACTGAGTGCTGAGTTTGGTAATTTGGAATTATTAAGTGGCCTTGATGGGAGTTGTTTTAGGGAGGTTGCCAGGGTTATTGTGAAACTTATTAATATATGAAGTTAGGCATTCTAATTTTAATTACTTTTCCCTTCCTCAGTTTCTTCATGTGTAAAATGGTGATACTAATGCTTTTACGCCTGTGTCACACTTTTTGTGCTCATATCACTAGATTTTTAAAAGGAATAAATGGCAATCCATGAGAAAAATGAAACTATGCAGAGTGACATAAATGTATGCTTAATATATATGTATATTTTTTATATAATTGCAGGTAAGCATGTTTTAAGAAAATTCACATTCAGCATATGTCTCTGATGAATGGATGTTCATTCCTTTAAAAACAAGTTTCATAAATAAAAATTGTCTCTGAAATCATAGATATTTAAATAGTTGGACTTGTCTTTAAATATATATGGAGATATGCAAAAAATACACATTGTTTTAAAAACAGATATTGAAATATAATTTTCCAAGGTGACCTAAACTTAACGTAATCCTAACTCTAACCCAGGTGACATATATAAACATTTTAAAGGTGCTCAAAAGTTTATTTTTGGTGATCATCTTTCATTAAAAAAAACTAACCATTTCTACCAACATCACCATCCTTACAACCACATTTAAAATCACAGCAAAAATAGCTACCACTTTTAGTGCATATTACATATCAGATACTTTATATGTATAATCTCACTTAATCTTTACAGCTATAATATAGGCATAATTATGATTTCCACTTTACAGATAAAAATTGAGGCTCAGAGAAGTTAAGCAATTTGTTCAAAACCTGCAGATAGTGTCAGAGTTATTTTTAAAATCAATTATTTCTTAATCCATCGTTCTCACTCAATGCAATTGTTTCTCATCATATTTGGGTGTGTTGACAGGTTAGATATGGAAAGATAAAGGTTCTGGAGTAGCTATGTAGTTAAAATTTCTAGACTTGAGACCAAAGCCAAGTTTTACTTATTCTAGAAAACACACATACACACACATGAAAAAAGCCAGAAGGTAGGCTAGAACATCAGGCCAAGGAGAGAAAGGACTTGAGATATAGCAAAAGCATTTGCAAATGTGGAACTCTATTCAAGACTGAATGTATATATTGCAAAAGGGACAGGGCAGAAAGCCAGGCAATAGGTAAATAAAACATAATATATCTTGGTTGTCAGTTCACTAGGCTGGAGAGAATTCTAGGAGTCATGGTTGGGAATGCTGAAGTTTAAAGATATGATATCCATCCTTTGGAGAGGCTCATGAAACAGAAAACCAATATGTATGTGTTTTAAGGGTACCCAGGGTTTGCTTTAATCAGGTAAGGTAAGATATGCATTATTACTGCACTAAGTAATCACCTTGCAGCACTGGACCAGATCATTCTGAAGTTGCTAAAGGGTATGTCTGTGGGTGGTATAGAGAAATAGGACTAGATGATTTCTAAGGTTTCCTACTGCCTGTGTTGCTTAGTATAGTCTAATGGGGTCTTTAGAAGAGCGTGATATAAAACTTTTTCTGGCAGTGTGTGCAGGATGCACTGCTGAGAGGGAGCTCACCCAGGAGAGTGCTGTAATTGAAGCAATTGGCATAGCGAAGAATTGAACTAATAGTCAGCAAACCTGCATTCTAGCTTTCCCTATCCCACTCTGTTGCTGGGTAACATTGAGTGACTTCCTGGACCAATGATTAAAAAGAATTCCAAAGAGTTTAGAGATTCAAAGCTTGGAAGAAGAGCCAACAGTGATGGAATGAAATAGTAATGGAAAATCATGTGGTAAAATACATTGTTAATTAGGTATATAGAAAGTATACAATAAATATATATTCCTTTGTATATAATTCCATTGGATGGTAGGTTTTCTAAGGAAAGTAGGTTGTAGTCAACCTGAAGATAATATGGATATTCTTATTAAACTTAAACAGAGATTTCCATTAATTACCTCTCCTTTTCTCCTGTTCCTATAATGCTAGTTAGCTGCCACAGGGTCTCTGGTAAATAACCTAGTAAGTGTTTCTTAATTGCCTTTTATTTTGCCCTAAATGTTTTCCCTGTCTTACAAAAATAGACTATATGTGTCTCAGGTTAAAAACCTATGTCTAGATCTCTTACAGCATCTAGAAGTATGGATACTTTCAAAATATTAAGAGACTATGAATTTGTTGCTTGGAATAATTTTAGAAAGCTTCTACTTTTTGTCCTCTAGTGATGAAGAAATCTGTGGGAGGATGAGGTGCTCATCCAAGGTCAAAGGCAAGGTAGTGCTGGTGCCATGACTCAGCCTAGTGCCTGGTTCTCAACCATGTCTCTTGATTGATAGGTTTAGTATTGAGTGCTTGTTTAAGCTTTCTTATGAGCTGACTGATTTTTAAAAGAAAAACTAAATTCATTTAAATGTTTTACAAATTCTAATTGCCCACGATTATATAAAATTTCTTGGATGATATAATTTTTGACTAGGCCTTTATTCTGTCATTTGTCATTGATATAGATGACAGGAACAGAATATGTATCAAAATGTCAAGTGTACTAGGATGATGACATTTTATGTAAGCGCATAATTAAATCACGTTTTGGAAGAACTGATAATCCTTATTTCCAAAGGAAATGAATTATGCTTCAGAACAATTTTTTGAGGTGTCTTCAGTTGGCATTCCATAGCTCGGTACCAACCAGCTTTATATGTTACCCCAGAGCTGCCAAAGAAGAAAAGATGATGCTTTCTGTGCCAACGTGGGGAAGACTATGTAAAAATGTACCAATATCTAAACCCTTCCCCAAGGCACAGTGGAAGATGCACATTTTATTTCTAACAGCATGTCCTGGGGCCAAAAACTAACTGCTTACCTTCACTACAAACATTGACAGAGGTATGATCCAATACGGGATTAACTGAAAAATATTTGCTTACTAGGAAGTGATATCACTCATAGGGCTGCAAGTGATACTAATAAAAAATGATTTTGCAGCACTAATGTTTGGTAACATCTGTGTTTTTATGACAATTGTTTGTGACTGTCAAATTGCCAAACTCTTTACTCAATCCCTCATCAAAAGGGGAGAAGTATGGTGATAATTTTTAAAAACTTAAGTATATCCTGATTGTACTTTATGGTTTGCTGAGCATAATCCTATAGGGTAGAGAATGTTAACAATAAAAACAAAAATGTGTTGTAAAAGAACTTTAACTTCCCTTTTTATGTGTATATGTATGTGTGTGTTTGTGTATATGTACATAAATCAGCTGGAAGACAAAAGTAAAAAATCATGCTTCAGGATTATTTTAATGATTAGATCCTGAAAAAATTATTTTAAATTTATCATTTATAATTTGATTGTGCATTCTTTATATTTTCTACTGTGGCATGTGTTGTATGTTTATGTAGCTTTAAATTTTATATTACACTAATGATGATTGTAATGGTTTCTTAAGTGGAACTTGAAAATTATTTAAATATGCCAAATATTATTTCCTCCCAGATCTTGCATTTTCAGTGACAAATGAAGACAAATGAGGCACTGCTATGGGTATAGTTATTTAAATATTATATTTTTCTTATGGGTAAGTTGCATCACTTAAGACATCTTTAATTAATTATTTAAGTGAGTTCTGTGTCTTCTCCTCTGCATCCAAAATTGCAGATATAAAATGTCAGAGAAACTTTCTTGCAAGGGAAGAATAATTTTCCAGCTTAACAGTAAGCTGTTTTGATATATACTCATTGATGAACAAGAAAAAAGTATTAAAAGAAGGAGATGTGAATAGGTAATAGAGATAATTTGTTGTTAGTATGTTTCCTAGCTGTGATCCAAGAGTGGTAATCTAAGACTCTCTTTCTGATTAGTTTAAGCAGCCAATTCAGGGATGATAGACAATCAGTGTTGAGAGAAAGGAAAAAAAAAGTCTGTCTATCTATCTATCTATCTATCTATCTATCTATCTAATCTCTCTCACTCTCTCTCATCTCTCTCATCTACCGTATCTATCATCAATATAATCTAACATCTATCTCATGGATCTGCCAGGGTCTTGTCGAGAAAACAAAAACTACATTTAGAATTTCAAATACAGATGACCTAATTTATGGAATTGTGTACAAATATATTATAGGGCTCAAAGAGTATAGAGAGAAAGCTGTGGTATCCCATAAATTTGTAACTGTAGGAAGGAACAACTACCCTTAGAAAAGAGGGTATGCTACGAGAAACTGGGAGATTGAAAGAATGGTCCCTGCAGGGCTGATGCTCGGGCCTCTGAGGTGGAAGTGTGGCCTCGTGCATGCTTGCAGCTCCCAGGGACGCAGGCAAGTGGCTGGTGCTCTGGCTCCAAAAGAGTGAGGCCTGGGGTCTTGGGTACCCCCGAGGGATGTGAGGAAGCAGAGCGATGTTTCTATTGCAGAAGAAGCTTGAAGCTGGAGGCCACTATTATGCTGCTGCTAGAATAATGCTAGCAGCAACTAGAAAACATGAAAATAGTCCCTCATACCTTTATTTTTCTTTCCAATCTCCTTCAAATAAAAAATAAAACCTAAATGAAAGCCAGAATGCAAGGGCATATGGAAAATGTAATGTATAGAAAACTAGTCCTGGCCTCACAGAGCCAGGTACAGAAAGGGGTGCTTGCAGCAGAGAGACAACAGCCAGCTCATCTTATTCTTTACTGCCTTCATAGCTCAGATTTGTTTTCCTGGCAGCCTTCACTTAGATGTCTACCAGGTGTCTCAAATATCAAAATGTTGCAAAACCAAAGAGATTTTTGTTTTTCACCCCCAAATATGCTTTTCTCATGTCAGTAAATGGTGCTATAATCCATCCACCTATTTGGTGCAAAATCTAGTCGTCATTTTTGACACCTCTCATTCTCTTGCATTCCAAATTTAATCCACTAGGGAGTGCTATCAGCTCTACCTCTAGAAGAGACCCTGACTCTATTATAGATACTTCCTGACATCTCCACAGCTGTGATCTGAGCCCATCACCATCCTTTCTCATGGAATATTTATTTAGTCTCCTAACTAGGCTCCTTGCCTTCATCCATGTAATGTTTTACTACTTTCCTTTTCACGCACTGTGACTCAGTTGCCCTGGAATAGGACAAACTCCTTTCCTCCTCAAAGCCTTCTTTCTGCCTTGAAATCTATTCTTCTGCATATTTGCATGGCTATGTCCTCCAAATTAATGCTGCAGCTTTAATTTCAGCACCTAAGGGAGACCTTCCCCCACCATGTTTTTGCACCTTGCTTCTCTTGAGCCACTGTTGCCTTCTAATATATTCTTAGTCTTTTTGGTTTTCTTTATGATACTTGCCTTTACCTATAACCATCTTTATAATTGCATATTCATATTCTTAATCTCTCTTAGAATAGCAACATCATAGAGCTTAAAGAACACCCACAAGGTATATTTATTGACAGAAAAATATCTGTGAAAGGGACATAAAGCCACAGGTTCCTGAAGCCAAGGTAACTCTGTTAAAATGTAGGAGAGCACTTATACAAAGGTAGGATTCATGGTGAATAAAAAGGGAATACTTTTATCAATAAATTGTTAAAAAAATAAGTCAATAAAAATATTTGTAATAAGTTTATATAGAAAACTGGTTAAGCATTAATCTATGGATCATATATTTTAGATTTTAATTTTCATATATTTTTCAAGTGTTCCCAGGCATTCAGACTATAGGTGTGAGTTTTAGGTTTTGGAGAAGTATTTTCAGACACAACTAAACCACTTGAGAGAAGAAAGCATAAATATAAACCAAAGAGCTGTCAGCTCTGTCACATCTCTTTTATTAGTGAGACATTTATGTCAGGACTAACTCCTGTTGCGGAAACAAATGTGGACTAAGTAAGGAATGAGAGTTAATGGAAAGCAACAGAAATTATATGAGAGATAGGGAGAAGCAGAATTCTTAATCAGCCAAAATTTTCACAGACCAAGTTGTCAGTGGTTTCTCAAAACTAGTTCTTTTCTTCTGGATATTGACATTCCAGAAGGATGCAATAGGTGGGACAGAAAATAATACAGCTTTGTAAGATGATGAAGCTTTTCAAATCTAGGAAAATTCATCTAAGATGATATGGTAGGAGAAATGAAATTTACAGCAAATTGGCTTCAGCCACTAGTAGAGACACAGAGCATTAGCGGTTCAAGCCTCTGAGGGTCAAAAAAAAAAAAAAAAAAAAAAAGAAGCCTTGAAAATCTAGGAAGCACAGAAAGTAGGAAGAAAGTAGGAATCATGTAATTGATGCCTTCCCCATACAAATGGGTTTAGATATTTAGAGGAATAGTATCTTGGAGACACAAAGATTTTCCCCAAACTTGCCATTTGTTGATGCAAGGCTGTATTAGTACGTTTTCACACTGCTGATAAAGACATACCTGAGACTGGGTAATTTATAAAGAAAAAGAGGTTTAATGGATTCGCAGTTCCACGTGTCTGGGGAGGCCTCACAATCATGGCAGAAGGCGAAAGGCACTTCTTACATGGTGGCAGACAAGAGAGAATGAGAGCCAAGTGAAAAGGGTTTCTCCTTATAAAACTATCAGATCTTATGAGACTTACTCACTACCAGGAGAACAGTATAGGGGAAACCGACCCCATGATTAAATCATCTCCCACCGGTATCTCCCACAACGCATAGGAATTATGGGAGCTACAATTCAAGATGAGATTTGGGTGGGGACACAGCCAAACAATATCAAAGGCTTTGGTAAGTTGTCTTAGTGGCATCTCTTTGATTTTGGCTAAGAAACAAATGCATAGAGTCAAAGCACAGGTTACAGGGACTCTAGCAGTCCCTACTTGAGGTTGCTATGTTTCATTTGCCCTGTGCAGGTTTTAAAATCCTGAATTATCATTGTCTCTACCACTCTATGTGAAGGACTCAAGGACACTTTTAGTTCTTACAATTACACTGTAATGTTTGAAGTGTGGTTCACTTTGTTACAGTGGATATGGAGCAGATGGAGAGATAAAAGATATGCAAACATACAGAGAAACATGTATTTACTTATGAACAATAGTAATTTGAAATTAACATTGTTCACTTACCCAAGACTTACTCTTCAAATCTTTAAGCACTACTCTATTCTACATGACAGCCCAGTGAAACGAGGCTTGAGTTCACAAACATGGAATTATTACCTAATATTTTAATATTTTTTGAATGCTTAATAAATTTACAGGTACCATGGGGAATTCTCTAAATAAGTAGCAGGATATAGGTGTTTAATTTTTTTCTCCCCATCTTTTTTTTGATTGCATTAAAATAATATGACTTCTTCACCTCACTATCTAGTTGGATTTGAAGATTAAGCCAAAGGAAATTTATTTTCCTTCATTTACATCCTCAATTTTTAAAAGCCACTAATCACTATCATTAAAGGATATAAGAAGAGAAAAGGGTTTGCTTAGATATTAGAAAAGAGAAGAGGTTTTCTGAAGAGACAGAAGATAGTACATTTCTTTGGCAGAAGAAAATATTTTCTCACATATACCTAGAGAAGGAAACAGAGCTACCATTTGACCCAGCAATCCTCATCCCTGGATATGTAGCCAAAGGAAAATAAATTATTTTACTAAAAAGACACATGCACTCATCTGTTCATCACAGCACTATTTGCTATGCCCAATAGCAAAGACATAGAATTAACTCAGGTGCCCATCAATGATAGATTGACTAAAGAAAATGTGATATGTATATGCCATTGAATACTATACAGCCATAAAAGAGAATGAAATCATGTTCTTGGCTGCAACATGGATGCAGTTGAAGGCCATAATCCTAAGTGAATTAATGCAGGAGGAACAGAAAACCAAATAACTTTTGTTCTCACTTATAAGTGGGAACTAAACAATGAACTCACATGGACATGAACATGGGAACAACAGTACACATGGACACTGTGGACTGCTAAAAGGGAGAAGGAGGGAGGGGGGCATGGCTTGTAAAACTACCTACTGGGTACTATGCTCACTACTTGGGTGATGGGACCTATACCCCAAACCTCAGCATCACACAGTATTCCCATGTAATAAACTTGCACATGTACCACCTGTATCTGAAATAAACCCTGAAATTAAAAAGAAATAAAAAAAGAAGACTTGAGGATAAGAAGAAATAAAAAGGACAGATAAAAAAGATGATTTTCAGAAAGAGCATATTCTCTAATAGCTGATCTCAGGAAAGTTTCCCAGGAAGGAAAGGCTGGTGTCTGGGAAGAGCCAAACGTGAGGACTTGCAAATGATCAATGTAGAGTCATTGTTGGGTTTCCTGGCTCCACACAGGAACTGAGACATTGCAAACTGCCCCACCTTCAGTTGAGCACACACTTTGCATGGACTGCATCCACCTAGAATCTGTCCTAGCAGTTCCTCCTGTCAGTGTCTTTAAGGACCTCACTTCTTCATCCTTCAGGGTCCTATGGGGTTTTTGCCCAGTAGGAAACATACCTGACCTTGCCCAAAGACTTGCTTTGCTCCTGTTTGAGTATTTATTCTTGCCCTCCCTGACTCTGCCTGGTGCAAATCCCCATGACATTTGTAAGTAAAAAATGTTAGGATTCAAACCTGTGCTCCCTAGCTATATCTCTCTACTTGGGACACTTAAATAGAATCACCTTGAGACTTTCTCTGGTGGGATCAATGTTAAATATCACAATTGTATTACCTCATTTAATATTAATAACTTAACAAGGGTAAGTTTGGTTGTTAGTAGCTATATACCCATTTGGTAGGCACATTTTATATAAAAAGGAAGCTTTCAGACGTCGCACAGCTTGCAGACAATGAAGCCACAGGAGGTATCCTGTTTGTTCCACTCCAAAGCCAAATTCTTCATCCCATCTCTTCCAACCCCTTCCTTTCTCTCCCGTCCCTTCCCTTCCCTCCCCTCACCTCCCTTCACTTTTCTGTTTTCTTTTTTAATCGCCCCTCCCCCATCTCCCCTTCAGTTTTCTTTCCTTTCCTTTTCTATTTTCCTTCCTTTCTTCTCTCCCATTTCTTTCTTCTTTTTTCTTTCCCTTTTCTCTTTACTTTCCCTTTTTTCTTTCTTTCTTTCCTTTCCTTTTTCTTTTCTTTCCTTACTTTTTTTCTTTCATTTCCTATCCTTTTCTTTGCCTCTTTTCCTTTTTATTTTTTGCCACTCTCTTCCTGCTTCTACAAGCGAAGTAACTTAGTATGTAGTATCTTAACATTTTAACAAAGGCCCTTTCCATTGCATTGTTGTCTGAGTTGTCTGAGTTGTCTCAGGTGGCTAATGATAGGAATGACCCCATTTCAAGAAGTAATTCAACCCTTATATCCGTGAATTGGCCTTCTTTCTAGAAAAGAATATAAACATCTTAAATATTTAATACGTATGATTCCATACAAGAGTCATGTAATGCATTTCTGGGAGTATGATTTATTCATAACAGGCCAGCCTGTTTAAGACTGGGTGCCTACTGTAAACAGCTGCTGAAGGAAGAGATGGGGGAGGTGAGACAGAAAGAACTCACAGGCTTACAGATTCAAAAGAATGAGAAAGGTCTTAAATGGCCGATTTGCCTCCGTCTTATATGGACTTTATAACTCTCCATCCTGACAATTAGAGACCTAATCTAATTTAACCAAATTTAAATGTTCCTTATTAAAATGTTTTATGTCATTTATTTAGACTCTATTTCAGTCCTTTTGAAGTCAAGTTTGGATGTATAGTTTATAAAAAGCATGGAACTCAATATATTTTGAGATTTTGTTATTACAGTTATATATAATCATAATATATGGCTAAGAGTATTTTTTATGCATGTCTGATGTCTGTCTTTCAATTACGTATGAGTTGAGCAATATTGAAAACAAGAGAGCCATCAATACCCAAATATTCATTTAAATATGTGTATCTTAGCTCAGTGGAAATACACCAGTAAGAGATAAATTGAAAATGGTGTTTCCTCAAAAGATTGTTAGCATTGCAAGTGAAGGCTTTATTTACTGTTGCCTATATGGTTTTTGAACTTGAATGTTAAATATGGTATGTAACTAGATTAAAATAGAGCTGGATCCAATAGCATGTATGTGAATTTGAGGGAACTTACCCCACAAATGACATGTTTTTGGTCTAAAGCAGTGAAGGGGAGCTCTAGATCTTAGTAAACAGTTGAAGTATGTCCTTGTAAGTGATCGTGCGGGTGATCAAATGAAGTCTCACAATTTATCAATGAACAAAGTACTTAGTCTTGCTTTTCATGTATGTCATAATTCACATTTATAGGTTGCATCTAGAATATTTATTTTTCTATTCAATATTTTCTTGTTAATTACTGTTGATTTCCTTTTAAGTCAGCAGAAGATAAAAAAATCTATTTTTTGACTTGTAAACTTGTTCATCTAATACTTTATTTACATGAATTATTTCTGATATATTCTATAGGAATAGTTGATAATATTAGCAATAACTCACATTCCTACAGAAAAAAAATTTGGTTTTTCTTGTCAATGAAAAATTCAGGGTTTTGTTTCTCAATGTAAAACTGTCACTATTTCTGAAGTAGTAGAGTTTTGCTGAAGAAATTGCTTCTTAATCAAGAAGGTGCAATCTGGACCCTCCTTGAAGCAATAGAAAAGGACAAGTAAAACATAATTGAATAGAATAGCAAGAGCAACACATTTACAAAGGATTTTATCCACAAGTCAGATTAAATCATAATCAGCTCCACTGTTTAAATGGGACCATGGTTTTATGCAAACTTGGAAATTACTCAGGAAAGGATAAATAGAATGGAGGTTCCTCTTATCTGACCCACTGACAGTTTTCATGTTTATTCTTACATTCTTTATACTTGCACGATCTAACACATTTATTCTTCCCACTGGAGTCACTCTGATATATATTATACATTAATATGCACATTTGAATGAGGTGTCAGGTTCCAGGTTATAATAAAAGCTACTTGTAAAGGATTTTCTCCTGATTTCAAATCTTTAAAACAGCCACAACAGATTAAATTATTTTTAAGGAAGATAAGTTGTGCTTTATTACTTCTTCTTAAATGTTCAAAAATTGCTTTATTAGTTATTCTATAGTATATTCCTAGTGAATACGTTCATATTAGACCAAGAGGAATGAAACACGTCACTGAGAAGGCCCTCTAATGAGCCATATAGAACTGAAATAACTACATATGCATTCCACAAATGGACCATTAATTGAAAAAAGAACCAAAGTGTGAAGATATAATCCTATAGGGTGGAACTTAAAATGGTGATATATTTTAAGGCTTTAGAACTTTCAATTCACTTGTGTGGAAGAAAAGGTGAATGTGAAACATAATTTGTTTTTTCCTCTATCTAAGGTAAAGCATTTCCATTAAACTGCTGTGGTAACTTAACATTGAGAAAGCAATAATTTTTGAAAACTTTGTCAATTTAGCAAGAATTCTTCTCTTGATTTAATACTTCTTTTTTGCTTTTTTTTTTTTTTTTTTGAGACGGAGTCTCACTCTGTCGCCCAGGCTGGAGTGCAGTGGCGCGATCTCGGTTCACCGCAAGCTCTGCCTCCCGGGTTCACGCCATTCTCCTGCCTCAGCCTCCCGAGAAGCTGAGACTACAGGCGCCCGCCCCCATGCCTGGCTAATTTTTTGTATTTTTAGTAGAGACGGGGTTTCATCGTGTTAGCCAGGATGGTCTCCATCTCCTGACTTAGTGATCCGCCCGCCTTGGCCTCCCAAAGTGCTGGGATTACAGGCGTGAGCCACCGCGCCCGGCCTTTTTTGCTTATTTAAGTACATGTATTCATCACACTGGTGGCTCTTTTCTTGGGTTGCTGGTACTGCAGGGACTGATTAAGATGGAAAGTCCCTACTTTAGGATAAACAAGTACATCTCAATACTGCTGTGCCCACAAACAAACGTGGTGAGAACTGGGGCCCTCTTTGGAGGAACATATACTTTATCTCCTGCACTGGAATCTTTTTGAGAGTAAAAGGGGGAGCTTTTAATAATTACAACTGGGCCACAGGCATAAACCTGGTCTGTTCTTGACACACTGGGATATATGGTCATCCAACTTATTTCAAAGCAGCAGATCATTCGGTGTCTCATGTTGAACCTCCGTCCACATTGATTGATCTGTTATTTTCTTGTACCTTACTTGCCTGAATCCCATCTTCCTTTGTTCTATTATATATCTACTCTTAGCTTAGGTTAGCACTTTTCTGACTCCAGTTCCCTCACTTTGTCTTTCTTTTTCTCTATGTGTATAAATTTATCATGTCATTTTAAAGAAGTGATTAACAAGCTGTTCTGTGGAGAGGTGTGATGTGAGGGCTGGTAAAAGAAGGACTGGAGGCAAAGCGTGGGTTTTCAAGCTCTGCCTTTGCTTCAACTACGGCAGCTCTGTTTTATTTATTTTATTTATTTGTATTTTTCCCAAGAAGCTTTTATCTTAGAACAGATTAGTTGGCTAAAATGTGTTCCAAATTTACTACATATTATCTTTAATAAGTCCATGAATTTGCTTCAGATGATTCATGAAACTGCTGAAATTTTGTGTGATAATTTGTTTCTTCATGTAGTTATATTTTTCTGAGGAGAAGATACACACACACATTTTTTATTTATTTAAAAAGTTTGTAAGTCATAATGAATTAATCACCGTCAGTCAATGGTTACATGTGACAGCTTGAATTTTCAAAAACAGATCTGATTTAGAAATGACATACAAGAACTTTGAGACTGTTTATAGCTGATAAATCATCCCCTAAGTTTCTATTGAAGCACTGAAAAAAGGATACTGAAATGAGGCAATAACTCATTATTGTTGGGGGAAAAAAGAGAAAAGAATGTTATTTGAATCCACATTTGGTTAGAGCCATTCCTGCCTTATTTGTGAGTTAGCATATTTGATACATGGGGAATTAAATATCTTTCTGCTCGATAGCTTTCTCTGAAGCTTGGCTAAATAGAAAAGTCATTGAATCAAACCAAGTTTAAACAGAAAACTTCTCCGTTTTCTTCAGTTGCGTAGCAAACATTTCCAAGACTCAGTGCCATAAAAATGATATTTATTATTTCTCATGATGCTGTAGGTTATTGCATGTTTTCTTTCTTCATGTCTTGCCATCTGGGGGTCACTCAGGTGCCTGTGTAAGGCCAGGAGCTTGGCCAGGGCACCTTGGTTCTCCATGTGGCATCTTGTCCTTCTGGGTCTTTCCACATACACTTTATCTGCAGGAAAAGAGCCTACAATTCTTTACAATACGGAGCCTGGCTTCCAAGGGAATAACCTCCAAATGCTTACCAATCCTCTGCTGACTTCATATCTGGTCATCCATGGCCAAGGCAAGCCCTCTGTCCAAGCCTAGAATTTATATGGGAGAGAACTACCCAAGGCATGAATGTGGGGAGACATGATTCAGTAGGAGCTACCAGTGTAATGTCCAGCACAGAAAGGAACTTGATAAAGTTGTTTGCACCAAGCAGGCTGGTATTTTATGGTTCTATTCAAAATATCTTCTGAAATGTCCAGAAAATCAAAATTAAGAAGAACATAGGCATAAATACTAAGGTAAAGGCAGAATTGAGTTACTTGAGAAACGTACATATAAGTGATAGATTAATATGAAAAATTGCTTTTATAAAAAATCTATCAAAATAGACAAAGCTTCATAATTAAAAATCAATTAAAATAGAGAAAACATGTACACAAAATAAGGAACAAAAGTGGGTCTTAGGGCTAGAAATAATTATGGTTAATTCTAGGCTTACTAATATGTACTTCTTAATTCTATTATGGGATTTGTAACCAAATATTATAAATAAACTAATTTGAAGTAAAAACACTGAAACGGATGGTGCAAAATTTTCATTATTTGTAGATAATGTGATTCTTTGTCCAGGTAAGTATAAATAACTCAAAGTGATTAGAATTAACAAGACATTGAATATTTATAAAATATATATGAAAAAAATAAAGAGCTATATTATTTATCAGCAATCATTCTTTATACAACAGTTTTCATTCACATTAGCAGCAAAATTTTAAACTATCCAGGAATAAAGTAACACATTGCCAGTTAATGGAAAGCTGTCAAAAACATTTTCTTGATGATCAGTGTATTAGTCTGTTCTCACACTGCTATAAAGATACTACCTGAGAATGGATAATTTATGAAGAAAAGAGGTTGAATTGACTCACAGATTCACATGGCTGGGGAGGCCTCAGGAAACTTACAATCATGGCGGAAGCTGAAGGAGAAGCAAGGCACATCTTTCATGGCAGCAGGAGAGAGAGAGAGACAGAGAGAGAGGGAGAGCGAAGGGGGAAGTACCACTTTTATACCATCAGATCTCATGGGAACTCACTCACTATCATGAGAACAACATGGGGGAACCGCCCACATGACTGAATCACTGCCCACCAGGTCGCTCTCTGGACACGTGGGGATTGCAATTTGACATGAGATTTGGGTGAGGACACAGCCAAACCATATTAATCAAGGACTAAAAAAATGAGCAAGAAGTGTTTAGGAGGTATATAAATAAAGCTAACACAGATAATTTGAGACATAACAAAAGGCTTGATTAAATAACACATAGGATTCCAGGATGGGTATGAATATTGTAAATATTTCAGTTTTATTCTATTAATTAAAAAATATGCTTCAATTTTATTACATACCTCCCAAGAACTTTTTGGAACTTCAAGTCATACAGAAGTTTAATGGAAGAACAAAAAAAAAGGTGAATGATATACATTTCTTTTTTATAAAAGAAGAGAAAGGCATGGGGGCACCACCAGCACTTAATATTAAAATAGTGCCAAGACTGGATGCAGTGGCTCCTGCTTGTAATCCCAGCACTTAGGGAGGCCAAGGCGGGTGGATCACTTGAGGTTATGAGTTTGTGACTCACTTAGCCAACATGCTGAATTCCCGTCTCTACTGAAAATACAAAAAGTAGCCAGTGTGGTAGCGGGTGCCTGTAGTTCCAGCTACTCTGAAGGCTGAGGCAGAAGAATCACTTGAACCCAGGAGGTGGAGATTGCAGTGATTTAAGATTGTGCCACTGCACTCCAGCCTAAGTGACAGAATGAGACTCTGTTTCAAAAATAAATAGAAATAAAATAGTACCATGATAATCAAAGCAGAATGCCACTATCACCAAATCCCAACAGTCAAATTAATGGGACTATATAAAAATGTCAGAAACAGGCTTCATTGCCATCAGAATTTGGTATATGATAAAGTTTCAAACCAGTAGTAAAATCACGGTTTAAATAGAAACGCTGCAAACATTATTACCTGATAATAAACTAGATCTTTATGTTAAATCATAACTTACAATAAGCCAAAACAATGGTAACTGGTACATTTGCCTACATAAAAATGCAAAACTTTTGCATCTCAACATATCATAAATGAAAGTTTAAAAGCTTAAGTTTCAGTTATACAAGATTAATAAGATTGAGAGATCTGTTATACAACATTATACCTATAGTTAACAATATTGTATTGTACACTTAAAAATAGTTGAAAGGGTATATCTCATATTAAATGTTCTTAATACAGTTTTTTCCCCAAACATAAAAGAGTGAATATTCTTTTTAAATAAAGAGGCCATACAGGAAATAATTTTAAAAAATTAATATAAAAACATAAATAGCAAAAGTAGTTAGGAAATAAACCAATAAAATAATACAAAATAAAAAAAAGAATGTGAGTTGATTATTCTCACAATTGAGTAAAGAAAATAAAAATACAAATACATATATTTTACATTTTGAAATGTGAAATCTTGAGGAAAAAATGATAGCCAGTGTTGGAAACAGTTAGGTAAATAAGACTTAAAAATTAAAGAGGGAACGGTGGCTCACACTGTAATCCCAGCTACTAAGAGGTTGATGTGGGAGAATTGCTTGAGGCTACCCCTGCACTCCAGCCAGGATGACAGAATGAGACTCTTTCTCTGAGAATAATTAATTAATTAATTAAATGGGAAGTAAAAGTGAGGCAACATATGTGTAGAACAATCTGTGAATATATAAAAATATTTTATATGATCATTTTTTTGACCTAGTAATTTTTCTTCCAGAATTTGCCCTAAGGAAATAACCATGAGTGTGAATTAGAGAATTAATACTTTATAGCAAACATAAAACAAAATAAAAGTAACCCATAGTTACAGCCACAAGATATTATTAAAAACCTTATATCTATATGATGGAAATACTTTTAGGCATTAATGACTCATGGCAAAAGGAAATATGTGCTTCGTAACATATAATAATACTCAGGGCACATTAATATGTGAATAAGTAGTGTATAAAATATTACGCATAGTATAATCCCAATGCAACAAATCTTCAAAGATATATACCACAATAGTAATACTAAATATTTCTTGTTTGTGGCATTATAAGTGAATTTCGTTTCTTTTTTTAGTGTGATTTTTGTGTACTTTTCCAAAATTGCTCAAGCATTTTTCTATTTTTGTAATAAGGAGAGAGCTATCCAAAGTTACTAAGTATCATACACAAAATGTGACAAAACAAGATGGATCCTTCTGCTTATGTACACTTATGTGAACTCATGGTGCCTGTGCACACCCACACCCTGCAGAGTATAGAGCTCTTTGCTTTGTAGCATCGGCTTTTGGCTTTTGCAATATTAATTGTGAATTAGTGAGGCTCCCAGAGCCATAGTGTCCGTGGTTCATGTTGAATATTTGGACTATTCTCCGCCCGTATTCCCCACGAGGCACCAAAGACCCTTGTGACTCCTTGGTGAAGAGAGATTGTCCTGCCATGGTCAAATCTACAGCTATCTAAGGATTTTCTTCATGCCCAGACCCAACCCTTCTCAAATATTCAGAATACTTCTGGCTTCCAAGATACTTATTTTGTTTCATCTTTCCATCATTTACTCCTTTAGGAATTCTCTGTTAGCGATTGATATGATTTATTATTATATTTTATACCAGTCAAGAAAAGGGCAGTGCTATGTCTAACATTGCATGCTGATCCTCCCTCCCTCCCTCCCTTCCTTCCTTCCTTCCTTCCTTCCTTCCTTCCATCCGGTGTAACATTTGGGGTTGGCCAGAGATGAACAAACCCCTGTATGCACCTTAAATGAGCCTCAGTGGGGAATGCTTAGAATGTAAAGTAAAATTTGCCATTGAAGTATTTTGTGTTTTCAGAACTTTTATAAAATAATACTTTACACTAATTCTCACAAGGATTTAGTGAGAAAGTTGTTGAGAAGCTGAAATGTTTTGACAACTTCTAAAGAAGCATTGGCAACTTGCCTTACCATGTGACAGCCCTATTACTGTGATTACTGTGGAGCAAACCTCTTGGCATGACGATGACTTTGCAAACCCTGTCCTCAGATTGGATCTCTTTTCTCCAAATATCTGCTGGAAGTTCTTTCCAGTATACTCTGACCAGGGATAAACTTCTTTCAATTCACTATTCACTATATATAGGAACATCTAGGAATCCCAATCCTCCACAGCTGCAAACTGTTATTTAATTCTCACTATGCTCTCGAATGTCATCCCTCATAGAACATCTTGTTTTTCCAAGGTGGTTAGAAAATTAGACTTGGACTTTGCCCTCTTTTCTGCTGCTTCCCACCATTAATCTCTTTACCATCTTTAATTTCTAAAGACTCCCAACTTGGGAGTTGGAATGAAAAAGGAAAAATAAGAGTTTCATTTGTATATGGGAATTTTCCCCTAGGGCAACCTTGTCCAACCTGCATGGGTCGCATGCAGCCCAGGGCAGCTTTGAATACAGCCCAACTCAAATTCATAATCTTCCTTAAAACATTACGATATTCTCTTTCTTTTTCGCTTATCAGCTATTGTTAGTGTTAGTGTATTGTATGTGTAGCCCAAGAAAATTCTTCTTCTTCCAATATGGCCCAAGGAGGCCAAAAGATTGGACACCCCTGGCCGGGCGCGATGGCTCATGCCTGTAATCCCAGCACTTTGGGAGACCGAGGCAGTTGGATCACAAGGTCAAGAGATCGAGACCATCCTGGCCAACATGGTGAAACCTCGTCTCTACTAAAATACAAAAATTAGCTGGGCATGGTGGCACAAACCTGTAGTCCCAGCTACTTGGGAGGCTGAGGCAGGAGGATTGCTTGAACATGGGAGGCAGAGGTTGCAGTGAGCCGAGATCGCGCCACTGCACTCCAGCCTGGCAACAGAGCGAGACTCCATCTCAAAAAAAAAAAAAAAAAAAACCAAGACTGGACACCCCTGCCCTAGAGCTTTAAAAAACAGAGGCAAGGCCATGCTACTGTTCAAAATTTAGATAGCACATATACTCATGAATTAAAGACAACCTAGTATTGGTAGACAGGATTCAAATAGAATATTCTGATTTGTTAAACTTGCCATTTAAAGTAAAATAGTGTAGTTGAGCTAATAGACAACCTGTGTCTCCTCTTCTTGAATCTCAGAAGGAAATCTAGGAGCCTTGAGAGAAAGAGAAGTATAAAAACTGGTTCTGCTGTCTGATTGGCAAACATTGGGAGAGGACCTATATAATTTTGTACATCGGCTGAGCTAATTCAAATAGTGTTAGTCGCTCTCCTACCAGTCAAGGTGATGCCCTGAGACTCAACACAATTCCGCTGAATCCCACCTCCAGCATCCGAATAGAGGTGTTAGAAGCTGCACTCTGGTTGAGGAAAATCAATGAACTTTGCTTTAGCTGTGCATTGCAGCCATCCTAGCATGCACTGAAGTTAGGAGTAGGAAAGTAGAGAAGGAGGCAGGCATTGATATCATTTCTATCTATAGCCTTTTGTCAATGTTTCCTATAATGTTTGCTGTTAAGGGGTGCCTAATTGCTTTATGCACGGGGACAAGAAGAGTTGACATAGGATAGAGAACAAATAGAACAATGTTAAGAGTTTTATTTTAAAAATGTGATTGTCTTTTTGACCTTCTGAGCCTTTATTCATTCTTGTCCTCCTAGGAATCCATGAATACACAAAGAGGCTTCAGATTCTGAAATTTAGAAGGAGAGCTTTTGCATCTATACTTTACCTTTGCAAGCCAGGTTATTGTTTGCTGAAGGTTTACTTTATGCCTCTTTGGAGAAATCTTGCTCACCAGCCTAGATAACTGAATTTCTAAGTAGGGGAACTCTAGGGAGATAAAAGGGGAGAAGAAAAAGGGAAAACTCCCCTTTCCACTCTTGAGGGATTGTAGGAAGGAGAAACAGAAAGTGATGTGTGAAGTGATCAAATGCAGGGGTCTCAACTTCTGTTCCTCACACTTCAACTTGGAGAGATAGTGTGTCCAATAAACGAGAGTATCATGAAGTGCAGAGAGGAGTCCTCCTCATACCTCTGTTTGAGACGCCAGGAGGAAGCTAGATTTCGACCCTGCAGAATGACTCATACCAGCTGGGAACATTACCACATCCCTGATAATATGCCTGAGAGAAAGCATTTGACAGAAAGAACCTGACAGAAAGCACTATTAGCAGTCTGGCTGTTTAGCGGCCACAGATGGATTATCTGTTCCAGGAAGGAGTAGAATCAAAGTCAGAACTTACAAGTAATCTGTAGTATCAGTGGGAAATACAGCAAGACCTTCTAGGCCTGGACTCTGAGCAGAAACATGGCTTCAACTCAAGAAGAATGGACCAAAAGCTTACCAAGGGGAGACTTATGTACTGGAGACTGGGATTGTCAAGGAATTAGCATTCAAAAACCCTAAGTTGTTTGCCTCTGTTTCTAGTCTAGAGCATGTGAGCAGCACTACTGCTTCCACTCTAAGGAGAGAAGCCGCTGGAGAAAAGTTATCTGTGACAGAATTTTTATCTCGGAAACCAAACATATCCTGAAGGTCTCTTTTTTGGAGACTAAACTTTAGATTAGATTGGGTATTTACTTATACAAATAGTGGGGGACACAGTAGGAAGAACAGATTAGTTACAGACAAAATAACAAACTCTCTCTATAAAAGTTGGTTATATAACAAACTTAGTTTTTTGGGTTACAGCATAAGTAAAAATTGGCAAACTGCTCTTCAGATATAAATGATTTAAGTTAGTCCTCAGATATCATTCTGCAAAATTTTCTAGTTTCTCTTTTAACTTAAAAAAATTAAATTTTGATGAAAGCTTTTTCCTTTGTTTCTCTATTATTTTGTTTACCTCCCACCCTTCCAAAGTTTTTAGCACTGAACTAAGGGAACCATGCTTCCAAAATCACAATGCTTGACTTTGTGACATTCCATTCAAAGTACTTCACCTGTTGTGAAATAACTGAGTTCTTATCTTTTGTAAATATTAAGGCACAGGCACAGGTATTCACATCTGCATTTTTACATCTGGATCTAGAGTTCACTTTTTTTTTTTTAAATATTCTTTATAGGCAAGTGGAAAGAAGTGTTACTTCCTACTCCTGTCTGAAGTTGTAAAGACTTTCTTGGTTTAAAAATCTGTTGGTAGTAACTATAATTAAAGGATACAAGAAAGACTTGTTACAGGCAATCTGCAACTGGGTTCTGTTTCTTCTTATTTTTGTGTCGAACTCTGTGTAGTTATCAGTTCTTTTGTCCTTTAGATCTTTGGTTGTTGTTCTGATGTATTGACACAGATTCTGTGCTTGACCACATTTTAGTCAGGCTCCTGAACCTTATAAACCCATCTGTGCACTTACTTGTAAAATCTAGTTTTTGCAAAAAACTTGCCAAGTCATTTTAGCAAGAACCTCCCACCCTCAATATCTGAGCACCCCAAATATCTGGTCAGGTTCCCTCCTCTACCATCCCTCAGGTGATATCTTATCACCCTGGCCTGTTTTCAGCAAGAATTCTGTTAGGTCAGCTTAGCCAGAATCTCCCTTCTCCCTGATGTTTCCTTTTAGTAATTTTCCATTAACTTATGCCTGCCCTACTTCTTGTTTATACATTTTCACTTGCTCGTGCTGTATTTGAGGTCAAACCCAGTATCTCTCTCTGATGAAAAATCTCATTGCAGAGGTTCCTATACCTATTCCAATGGCCTTGAATAAAGTCTGCCTTACTATACTTTGTCAAGTGTCATTGAATAATTTTTTCTTTAATAGTATGCATGTGTTTCATGGAATCTATAAACTTACTAAAGTTTGCAGATGCTGTATGAATAAACATTTTTCTTTTCTGGTAACGATCCATATTTTTCGATAAGTTTTCAAAGAGGAATGAGATTGAATAAATTTGAAAGCACTTGTTCCATCTTTATATGTCAGCCTTATTTTTGTCTCATCAATTCTTCATTTTTTTTGTTGTTGTTTTTCTCTTCACTTTTTTTTTTCTCCTTCCTAATATGGTTAGGAAGCAAATCTGTAAAAGCATAGAAAATCTTTGCTTTCTGATCATATCATTAAAAGAAAAGAATGAGAAATTTATGTTTTACTTTAAATTATAAAGTTTTTGTGTTATGTATTCCTTGGTTTATTATTTACCTATATGTCATTAACTATTTTAAAGCAAAGAAAAAAATCACAATAAATAAAAACAGCAACATAATACCCTCTGTATTTCTTTTGATTTTGAAAAGAAATATAAGAAGAATTAATATTTTGAGGAAATAGCTTTTCAATACAAACATTACAAAATTAAAATAATAAATTAATAAAACATTTAAATCACATGAAAAGTAGAATAAATATAAATCCTAAAATCTTATCTCACAGAATTAATCACAATGAACATTTTAGAAAACCTTTTTAAGGTAAATCTTTCATATAAACACATAATTTCACATAATTAAGGTCATAATAAAATGTGTACCTTAATTTTCCATGGAAGAGAAAATGCGTAGTTTGCAAATATTTTCTTCCATTCTGTAGGTTGTCTGTTTATGCTGTTGATGGTTTCTTTTGCTGTGCAGAAGCTCTTTAGTTTAATTAGGTCCCATTTGTCAATTTTTGTTTTTGTTGCAACTGCTTTTGGGGGCTGAGTCACAAATTATTTGCCAAGGCCCAGATCCAGAATAATGTTTCCTAGGTTTTTTTTTTTTCTAGGATTCTTATAGTTTGAATTTAAATCTTTAATCCATCTTGAGTTAATTTTTGTATATGATGAAAGGTGGAGGTCTAGTTTCATTCTTTTGAATGAATCTAGCCAGCTCTCTCAGCATCATTTATTTAGCAGATATCTTTCCCCATTGTTGACTTTGTCAAATATCAGATGGTTGTAGATGTGTGGCTTTATATTTGGGTTCTCTATCCTGTTTCATTGGTCTATGGGCCTGTTTTTGTACCAGTTTCATGCTATTTTGGTCAATGTAGCCTTACAGTATAGTTTGAAGTCAGGTAATATGATACCTCCAACTTTGTTCTTTTTGCTTAGTATTGTTTTTGCTATTCGGGCTATTTGTGGTTCCACGTGAAATTTATTAATAGAACAGATTTTTTCTAATTTTGTGAAAATTGACGTTGGTAGTTTGATGAGAATAGCATTGAATCTGTAGACTGTTTTGGGCAATATGGCCATTTTAATGATATTGATTCTTTCAATACATGAGCATGGAATGTTTTTCATTTATTTTTGTTGTCTATGATAATTCCTTTTTCATTTTTTTTTTTTTTTTTGAGACAGAGTTTCACTCTTGTTGCCCAGGCTGGAGTGCTGTGGCGCGATCTCTACTCACTGCAACCTCCACCTCCCGGGTTCAAGTGATTCTCCTGTCTCAGCCTCCCAAGTAGCTGGGATTACAGGTGCCTGCCACCACGTCCAGCTAATATTTGCAGAGACGGGGTGTCACCATGTTGGCCAGGCTGGTTTTTGAACTTCTGGCCTCAAGCACTCCACCTGCCTCATCATCCCAAAGTGCTAGGATTACAGGTGTGAGCCACCGCACCCAGCCCGTCTATGATGATTTCTTTGAGCAGTATTTTGAAGTTCTCCTTGTAGAGATCTTTCACCTCCTTGGGTCGGATGTATTTTGATGTATTTTATTTTTGTGTGTGACTATTGTAACTGGGATTATGTTCTTGATTTGGCTCTCAGCTTGAAAATTATTGGTGTATAGAAATGCTACTGATTTTTGTACATTGATTTTGTATCCTGAAACTTTGCTGAAGTTGTTTACTAGATCTATCAGTCTTTGGATGGAAACTATGGGCTTTTCTAAGTATAGACTCCTATTGTCAGTGAAGAGAGATAGTTTGACTTCTTCTTTTCCTATTTGGATGCCTTTTTTAGTTTTTTCTCTTGCCCAACTGCTCTGGCTAGGACTTCCAGTACTATGCTGAATAGGAGAGATGAGAATAGGCATCCTTGTCTTGGCATTGTCAAGGGCAATGCTTCCAGCTTTTACCTATTTAGTAGGATATTGGCTGTGTGTTTGTCATAGATGGCTTTTATTATTTTGAGATATGTTCCTTCAATGCCTAGGTCCCAGGTCTGGGAAAATGCCTGCAGCTTTTCCCGGGGCTTCACTCACTTTTATGAGTTGGTTGGTGTCACAGGAGCTGTTTGTCAGTGTTCTCCCTGGAAACTGGGGTGTCCATCATGATTCCAGTGGATTCACATTTTCCTTCTTGATTTAAAGCTCGCAGAGTTGATCTTTATGCACTGTCTTGCTATTCCCAAGTGGCAGAGGCATGCTGAAAATCCTCTATTTTGCCATTTTGGAAAAGAAACAAAAACACACACCTGGTTGTCTAATGTACTACCTCATTCCTGGAGAATGAATTTCTGGATCAAAAGCACAGTTAAATAATTTTTAAAAATACATCTTATTTATTTGGACTTATTTATTCAAAAATTTTTTATTCAGTAGCTGTTGTGTGCTGGGGACTGCCTAGGCCAGGGATAGAGAAGTAAAAAACAGTCCCTTTCTTTAAGGAGAGTGTAGACTTCAGTCAAATAATGTGACAAAATAGAACATAAAATGTGATAATATAGAAATAAGAATAAGGTACAACAAGAGCATACAGAAGTTGCACCTAACTGGATATCAATAGATCTGGAAGAGGAAGTAATTAGATTAAGGGTTAGTTAAGTAATAAGAGCAAACATGAAGACTTTTCAAGTGAAAAGCAGCATTTGCAAAGTCCAAGAATGAATGAAATGAATGAATGAATGAATGAATAGTTTCCATTGAGAAACTGGCCCAAATCAGGGACAACTGGAGCATAGAGTTCCAAGAGTGAACAGTAAGGGATGAAGGTATAAAAGAAGCTGAAATTTGAGTGTTGGAAACAGAGAGAACAGAGAACTTGTAGCATGAGTTGATTAAAAAATAGTGTAGTAACTAACAAGTTTGAAGGCCTAATGGGAGAGGAAGTTATAAAGGGAGAGACTGAGGATATTGGAAAACCATTAAATTATGTGAGGAATTTTGGTATATTCACAGGTCTATTTCTTCTTAATTTTAAAATATTTCCTTTTGAAAGTTAGAGCAATAACTATGCATTCTTCTGGCTCATGTAAAATAAGATGTGGTTCTCTCTTTTGTATCCCATTCTTTCTGGCTGTGTGCATGAGGAGACGATGCTAGGTGCTGTGCTTCTTCCTGACTGGACTTTCTCACTCTTTGGTTTGACTGTCCAGAGATCAGAGTGTGGTGATGTAAAAATTGGAAGTAGTGAAATTGTTAGGTCTCTTTTCACTCAAAATAGGGCGTCCAAAAGGAGTGAATTGGCATGCAATAATAAGTTGCTCATGTTACAGGCAATTCACTTTCAAGTTTTATCTAAAGGGATCATGCTTCCTGTGGCAAGTTTTGTATAAAATGTATAGCAATTCAGGTTAATACTATTTACTACCAGGGAAGACAGTGAAATTGAGAGTGTGTGCAAAATAATCTTCCATAATAGTAGACTTGTGTTCTCTTCATTTGACCTTTGATTGCCTGGACATTATGGGCTGCAGTATACTGGAATGGTGTGCAACGCCTTGGACCTTCCAAGTCTTAGTATCTGCTTGCAGCTTAATGACTCACATCACTCTTGGCAACTGTGCTTTGGACTTAAAGCAGTAATGCTGGTTCATGTGGATAATAGAAACAGTTTTCTGCCTCTGTGATAGTAAACAGTCTTAAATGAACTTTTTTTCAAAGAATTTTTTCTTATAGAGCCATTCACACTGTTTTTGACCTGGTATAGAAGTCATTCTCCTTTGCAAAAGTGGTCATTGCTGATTAGAGAGATAAAATTATGTAACTGTCATACATACATGTATAGCTTGAACCACAAAGAAAGAAAAGGAATTAAAAAACATCAGCTTCATCCTTGTTATGTAATATTATTGTTTCCTCTATTTTATTTGAGACTAGCTTTTTTGGATTTTTTCTTCTTTGCAGCAGGGGTTTATATTACTCGAGTAATTGGCTTTCTAATTTCCTTTGGGTATCAAATTGCCTACTAGACGAAATTGTTTAGAGTCATTTTTCTATGGTTTGACTTTAGGGTATTTAGAATTCTAAGAGGGGATTTCAGTTGTTCTAATTTACCCTGAAAACAAGTAAAGCTACTCACGGACGTTCTAGTCCTTGAATTTTAAGAAATATGCATCTTAAGAAATAAAATGTTATAATGAGCATAAAGCTTGATTTTGTGTTTTTGAAATTAATTCATTTGTTAAATGTATGTGTGTATGTGTACCCGTATGTGTATGTGCATACATGTGTGTATTTCTATTTAACAAAGACAATGACAGTGACATACCTAAAATATTACAGAAAAATATCAGGAATTTGGAGGAGACATTTGGATCTATGGGAAACTTCACTTAGATGAAACTAAACAAATAATTAACTAATTGAAAATGATGAAGTTAGAACTTAAGCTGCTAAAAGGACCCTTTTAGCATCCCAGGAGCGTTGCTGGAACATTGTTCAGGTACATTTTGGAAGCTAAATCTGATTACCCTCTTTATGAGCAATATATTCATATTTCTCAGTTTTCAGGCCTTCTACTTCAAGATCTATTAAAAACTAACATCAACTAGAAAATTTATTCTAATTATTGAGTGCCTCTCATGTGAAAAGTGCCATGGGAGATATTCTGAATAACATGCATTTTTTTGTTTTACAAGTATATGTTGAACAGTTTCTATTGTGAAAATGCAGTGTGTGAAGCACCGGAAAAGCTTTGTGGTAAAGTCTAAAACTCTTTCATTTTTAGGAAGGCCATTCTGACTGTGATAAATTAGGATGATTGATGGGGGAGTAAAATAAAACTGCAGCCAGGGAGATTTATTTGGAGGTAGTTCAGTAGCCAAAGAATGTAATGGAAAGCACCTAGATCAGGGCAGTGACAATAGGAATAAAAATAACATGATGGATGGAGAAACATTTTTTAAAAGTTGACTGAGAGTTTTTAGGTGGGATAGGCAAAAGAAAAAAGCTCCTAGATCTGATAAATGAATTCAGTAAAGTTTCAGGATACAAAACTAATATACACAAATCTGTAGCACTGCTATACACCAGTAGCAACCAAGTGGAGAATCAAATCAAGAACTCAACCCCTTTTATGATAGCTACAAAATAAAATAAAATAAAATATTTAGGAATATACCTAACCTAGGACGTGAAAGCCCTCTATAAGGAAAACTACAAAACACTGCTGAAAGAAATCATAGACAACACAAACAAATGGAAGCATGTCCTATGCTCATGGATGGGCAAAATCAATATTGTGAACATGACCATACTGTCAAAAGTAATCTATAAATTCAATGCAATTCCTATCAAAATACCACCATCATTCTTCACAGAACTAGAAAAAACAATCCTAAAATTCATATGGAACGAAAAAAGAGCCCATATAGCCAAAGAAAGACTAAGCAAATAAAACAAATCTGGAGACATCACATTATGCAGCTTCAAACTATACTACAAGGCTATAGTCACCAGAACAGCATGGTACTGGTATAAAAACAGGCATATAGACCAATGGAGCAGAACAGAGAACCCAGTAATAAAGCCGAATAATTACAGCCAACCGATCTTTGACAAAGCAAACAAAAACATAAAGTGGGGAAAGGACAGCCTATTCAACAAATGATGCTGGGAAAATTGGCAAGCTGCATGTAGAAGAATGAAACTGGATCCTCATCTCTCACCTTATGTAAAAATCAACTCAAGATGGATCAAGGACTTAAATCTAAGACCTGAAACTAAAATCCTAGAAGATAACATTGGGAAAACCATTCTAGACATTGGCTTAGGCAAAGATTTCATGACCAAGAACCCCAAAACAAATGAAATAAAAACAAAGATAAGCTGAGTGTGGTGGCTCATGCCTGTAATCCCAGCACTTTGGGAGGCCGAGGCAGGCAGATCACTTGGGCCCATGAGTTGAGACTAGCTGGGCAACATGGCGAAACCACGTCTCTACTAAAAGCTACAAAAATTAGCCGGGCATGGTGGTGCGCAACTGTAATCCCAACTGCTTGGGAGGCTGAGGCAGGAGAATCGCTTTTACCCAGGAGGTGGAGGTTGCAGTGAGCTGAGATCACACCACTGCACTCCAGCCTGGGCTACAGAGTGAGACTCTGTCTCAAAAACAAACAAAAAAACAAAACAAAGGAAAACAAAACCCAAAAACAAAGATAAATAGGTGGGACTTAATTAAACTAGGGAGCTGTCATATGGCAAAAGGAACAGTCAGCAGAGTAAACAGACAGCCCACAGAATGGGAGAAAATGTTCATAATCTATACATCTGACAAAGGACCAATATCCAGAATCTACAACAAACTCAAACAAATTAGCAAGAAAAAAACAAATAATCCCATAAAAAAGTTGACTAAGAACATGAATAAACAATTCTCAAAAGTGGATATACAAATGGCCAACAAACATATGAAAAAATACTCAACATCACTAATTATCAGGGAAATGCAAATCAAAACCGCAATGCAATACCACCTTATGCCTGCAAGAATAGCAATAATTTAAAAACCCAGACTGGGTGCAGTGGCTCATGCCTGTAATCCCAACACTTTGGGAGGTCGAGGCGGGAGGATCACGAGGTCAGGAGATCGAGACCATCCTGGCCAACATGGTGAAACCATGTCTCTACTAAAAATACAAAAATTACCTGGGCATTGTGGTGTGTGCCTGTAATACCAGGTACTAGGGAGGCTGAGGCAGGAGAATCACTTGAGCCAGGGAGGTGGAGATTGCAGTAAACATAGATTGCGCCACTGCACTCCACCCTGGCAACAGAGCGAAGAGCGAGACTCTGTCTTAAAAAAAAAAAAAAAAAACACCCGAGACTAATAGGTGCTGATGTGGATGTGGTGAAAAGGGAACATTTTTTTACTCCGCTGGTGGGAATGTAAACTGGTACAACCACTATGCAAAACAGTGTGGAGATTCCTTTAGAACTGAAAGTAGATCTACCATTTGATCCTGCAATCCCACCACTGGGTATCTACCTAGAGGAGAAGAAGTCATTATATGAAAAAGACACTTGCACACGCATGTTTATAGCAGCACAATTCAGAATTGCAATAATATGGAACCAGTCTAAATGGCCATCAACCAACGAATGAAGAAAATTTGATATATATATATATATATATATATATATATATATATATATACACGTACATATATGTGTGTATATATATATATATATGCGCCATGGAATATTACTCAGCCATAAAAAGAAATGAAATAATGGCATTCCAGCAACCTGGATGGAGTTGGAGACCATTATTCTAAGTGAAGTAACTCAGCAATGGAAAACATCGCATGTTCTCATTTATAAGTGGAAGCTAAGCTATGAGGATGCAAAAGCATAAGAACGACATAATGGACTCTGTAGACTTGAGGGGACAGGTAGGACCGGAGTGAGGGATAAAAGAATACACATTGGGGTCAGTGTACACTGCTTGGGTGATGGGTGCACCAAAATATCAGAAATCACACCTAAAGAACTTAAAAATGTAACGAAACGCCACCTGTTCCTGAAAAACTATTGAAATAATAGTTGAAACGAATAATCCCCCTACAAAGAATTTTAAGTTGTCTCATTAAATGAATAATTGTAACATTGCTAGAAATAATATATTCCAAAGGGGCAAATAGTCTGTGGGAAAGGCCAAAATTTTGATTTCTAAAAATATGGAGCTTATGGAGTAGACTTTCAGTTGAACGTGTTGGTTGGCATTTGGGGCTATGCAGAGGAACAGGCAGATTGATACAATAGCCAGGGGATTGTCCGGTTGTATGGAGGAAGAAAGAGGGCAGGAAAATTGAAGATTTTCTACCTAGTTCTAGTTGATAAGCATGAATTTTTAATGAAGTATCCTATATTCAAGAACTACTGTATCACAACTATTATCATATTGTGGTAATTATCTGGAAATTTAGTGAGGCGACCAGGGTTTAGTACTTTACATACACATAAATGGATATATACCATCACATGAACCTTTCACTTTAGTTTTCTATGATTTATTTTAGTTCCATACTTGGAGGTCAAATTTGCTATGCCTGCAGGTATGAGACAAAGGTTTATCTTACCTAAGAGGTAGTTTCTGCCCCTCCCAGAGTTTAGATTGAGCACTTGCCCTTTCTGAGCTCCTGGAGTTTGTTTAGTAAAACAGATCTATAAGAGAAGGAAAACTGCAACTCTACAATGTTTCTTTTCTTTTTCTTTAGAGTGGGGAAAATGGAATTGTCTAAGTAGATACTAAGTTCGTACAGAAGTTTAGAGGATTTGGAGAAAAAGGGATAGGAAAAGGGGTGTTCTTATGTTAATGTTTTTAAGAGATGGAAAGGAACTGAAGAAGAGAGAGGCGAGATCTCACTGTTCTTAGTTGTTTTCTACCGAACTGGGAGCTGCAACTGTGAAATTTCCTGGGGCCAGAGGAAAAGCTGCCTTATCCATGTCTTCTGATTGGATTCTTAGCTCAGTGCCATGTCAACTTTCTTCACTTTGGCCACCATCTCATCCAGACTCGACACATATAGGCTCACCCTCACTCTCTTAGTGACCTTATTGGGTTCATAATATTCCATGGATTCTCAACCAATGCCAATATTAAGCTGCCCTAATTTTCCCTTGGAAAAAGTGTAATGATAATAGTAAATTTCAGATAAGCAGTTGGAAAAGGAAATAGAAAAGGGAGCACAATGAAGAACAGGGATAGTCCATTAGGAGGGATGGTAAGTTTTAGAGATGAAAACCTGGCAAGAGCAATATCCAGAAGTCCTTGCAACACCATCCAAAAATATGTCACTGGCTAAACAGTTCTCTAACACCAGACTGACTCTGATGAAAATACCCTTATCTTAGTTGGTTATTAGGATATGGGGCAGATAACCAGAAGAAGAATTCAGAACAGCAATCAAGATAAAAAGACATAGATACAAAGTGCAGACAAACTAATTAAAATGATGTGTAGGAACAAAAGAGACACATAGTGATCAGAACTGAGCTGTAGCATTTAGGTTATTTCAAGAGCAACAATGATGATGCTAACACCTAAGTAATGAAGGTGGAGCTAATTAAAGACTGTTCCTCTGCAGAAGCTTTGGCCTCTCATTTGGGAATGAGGAGGGATGTGGAAGCTAGAAACCAGTCTGGATCTTTCAAATTCCCAATACAAATTTTGAAGCAGCAGCTAATTAAAGACCCAATATCTCTGTCTCTTATATTAGTGCAGAAAGTGCTATGGAAAATATAAAAAATTTTAAAACGAGTTAATCAACTTTGAAAGGAGGAATATTACACCCAAGATTTAGGAGGTTTCAGATAAACTTCCTCTGGCAGCCAAAAATATATAAACACTGTAACCCCAGAACTCTATTTCAGCTCCCTCTCCTTGTGAGAATTTTTAATCACAATGACATTTCAATCATGGCGATTTGTAACTGAGTATTTTATTTATATGTTTATTTTCCTCATTAAGTCAAACATGATTTCTCAACTGACATCGAGACTAGAAATCCTGTCTCTAGCAAATAGCATAAACCATCCACATAGAAGTTTGTGCTGTCAGGGTAGCTGTGCCCTCCTTACCCAGTGAGAATCTGAGTTAACTGTTGGATCACATCATAGAAATGTCTTTTAATTCTTGACCAAAATTTGACAACGTCTGCTTCTCAGTAGTCACCCTATCCGTTACACACCTGGAGAATAACCCAGCATGGGAATTTTCAGAACTGATTTTAAAAATTATCTCAAGGACTTATTTACTTTTAGAAGAAACTTTTCAGAAAGGTTCTTGGTGGCTGTGGACTTCAACCCACTGTCAGCTAGGCTACCACATACTTCTTCTGAGTTTCAGAAAGTACTTGCAAAGTATCATTCCTGGTCATGCATAGGTAAGTGTTGTTTGGGACAAAAAGAAGGAAAAGTAGAGAAGACCAAAGTTGATTAGAATTAAAAATTTATGCAGATGGTTGGCAGGACCTTGACATTAAAATGTGAACAGTTTGGGCCGGGCACGGTGGCTCACGCCTGTAATCCCAGCACTTTGGGAGGCCACGGTGGGCAGATCATGAAGTCAAGAGTTTGAGACCAGCCTGGCCAACATAGTGAAACCCCGTCTCTACTAAAAATACAAAAAATTAGCCAGGCATGGTGGCGGGCACCTGTAATCCCAGCTACTCCAGAGGCTGAGGCAGGGGTATCACTTGAACCCAGAAGGCGGAGGTTGCAGTGAGCCGAGATCACACCATTGTACTCCAGCCCAGGTGACAGTGTGAGACTCTATCTCAAAAAAATGTGAACAGTTTGTTGGGAAGGCATAGCATGGGACTGAAGGGCGGGAGATGAGGAGGACAGAAGAGTCTGTGGAAGAGAGGCAATGTGAGAAGGAAGCAACTGGCTGTGTTGGCTTTGAAGATGGAGGACAGGGGTTGCAAGCCAGGGAATGTGGTAGCCTCTAGATGCTGATAAGAGCTCTCAGCTGACAGCCAAAAATAAGACAAAACTCTCAGTCCTACAGTTGCAATGAACTGAATTCTGCCAACAACCTGAATGAGCAGAAACATGGATTCTTCCCTAGGGCCTCCAGAAAGGAACACAGCCATATCAACCCTTTGATTTCAGCCTTGTGAGAATTTAAGTAGAAACTAAGCTGAGCTTGTCAAACTTCTGGCCTAAGGAAATTGTGAGATAATAGTTTTGTGTTGTTTCAAGTGGCTACCTTTATGGTAATTTGTTGTGACACTAATAGAAAACTAGATAGATAGGTTTCAGTTTTGGACAATTATGAAAAAACCTGCTATGAAGCCAAATATAAATGCTTTTGTTTAAATATAAGTTTTCATTAATCTTGAGTAAATACCTAGGAGTGTCACAGTCAATTTTCATTATTTGTGGTAGTTATGTACTGTGAGGTCTTCTTGAAGACTAAATTGGTGAGTAATGAGACATTGCTCCTGGGGGAAATATGGGGTCAAGTTCCTGTGAGCCTTTGGTGACAATGTTTTTGTCAACTGACAAATACATAACTGTTTTCTGTGTTTCTGTTTAACGACACCTTATTTAATATATATTATTGGTTAATTAACATTGAACTCACAGCCAACTGCACTATAACTCACATCTGAACAAAACTTATCCAACACACAAATTTTCTCTGTAAGGCACAGCATAGCCTTCTTGTGCTTAGAAACACTAGACAGCACTCCAGCGCTACACACGTGGGGGCCGTTTTAAACTTCAAAATCACTCACCGAAAGCACAAAAATGCCAAAAACTAACTAGACTACAAAAAGCACACTTATTTACGGTATAAGAACTAAAACTCAAAGTCAGAGCATCAACTTGTTCAATCTCAGCTGGGAAAGAGCATGTTGCATGACTAAAATTTTTGGCTGCTCTGCACATGTTAGTGAGCCACTGCAAAACTGCTGGTGACTATTGATTTTGGGGGTCACAAATAAATTTTAGCAAGTGGGCAAATTCACTAATATGGAATTTGTGAAAAATAAAGATTGATTGTATTATTGGATAATATGGTAAGCATATATTTAACTTCATGAGAAAATGCCAAACTGTTTTCTAAAGTAGCTGTACCATTTTGCATTCTCACTAGCAACCTCAGAGAGTTCCGGTGGCCCACTCCCTCAACAGCAATTAGTGCTGTCAGCTTCTCTGACTTGAGCTATTCTAATAGGTATATAGTGGTATCTCATTATGGTGTAATTTATGTTTCTATAATGAGTAATGATGCAGAACATATTTTTCCACCTACTTATTTGCCACCCTTATATCTTCATTGGGGAAGGTATTTATGTTCAAACATTTTACTCATTTATTAAACACTGGGTTGTTTGATTTCTTCTTGTTGAGTTTTGAGAGTTCTTTCTATATTCTGGATATATATCCTTTGTCAGATATGTGATTTCCAGATGTTTTCTCCTAGGGTGTGCCTTGGATTTTCATTCTCTTAAGGGTATCTTTGACAGAGCAAACGTTTGAAATTTTGATGAAATCTAATTATTCATTTTTATGGGTCACTTTTTTGTGGTGTTGTACTTAAATCTCTTTGGCTAGCCTAAAGCCATGCAGGTTTTCTTTTATGGTTCATTTTAGAAATTCTATAATTTTACATTTAAGTCTGTGAAACATTTTGAGTTAATCTTTATGAAGGATGTGAGGTATAGGTTGAAGTGTAGATAGATAGATAGCTAGATAGATAGACAGATAAATAAATGTCTCATTGTTTCTCAACCATTTGTTGAAAAGACTATTATTTCTCTATTGAATTGTCCTTGCATCTTTATAAAATATAAATTAACCACCTTTGTGTGGGCCCATTTCTGGACTGTATTCTGTTCCATTGTTCTGTATGTCTTTCTTTTCTTCAGTACCACATTTCCTGAATAGCGTAGCTTTATAGTAAGCCTTGCAATGAGGTAGTATGAGTACTCCAACTATGATCTTTTCAAAATTGTTTTGGCGATTTGAAATACTTTGTTTTTTTTTTGATGTAAATTTATGAATTAGCATGTTGACAAAAATTCTGGAATTTTGATTGGGATGGTATTGAATCTGTGAATCTATTTTGGATAATTGACATTTTTATAATATAAAGTTTTCTAATTCATGAACATATTTTATCACTTTATTTATGTTCCCTTTCATTTCTTTCATTCATTTTTTGTGTTTTCATCATATAGATTCTACATATATTTTGTTAAGTACATGTCTATGTATTTCATTGTTTGTTTCTGTTGTAAACAGTATTGCTTTTTAAGTATCAATGTCCAATTGTTTATTGCTAGCACATAGGAAAATACTTGAATATTATACATTGACCCTATAACCTGTGACTTTGTAAACTCACTTATGGTTCTAGAACCCCTTTCCCCATTTTATTTTCAATTCCATAGGATTCTCTAAGTAGACAATTATGTAGTTTATGAAAAGTGATCATTTTATTTCTTTCTTTCCAATCTGTATGCCTATTTCTTTTCCTTGCCTTATCTGTATCACGCTGAATAGGAATGGTGCAAGTGAACATCCTTGCTTTTCCCCAGTTACAGGGGGAACATCTGATCTTTCACCATTAACTGTGATACTTGCTGCAGCGTTCAAAAAATGCTACTTATCTGGTTAGTGAAAGTTTCTTTTCTGTTCCTAGTTTGCTGAATTTTAAAAAATGTGAATGGATGTGGAATCTTTTTAAATGCTTTCTTTCTGCATCTTTTGAAAGATCCTGGGTTTTTTTCTTGTTTAGTGTGTTTATTTGATGAATTGTATTGATTTTCAAATGTTAAGCCAGACTTACATTTCTAAGATAAACCCACTTGGTTGTAAGGTGTTATCTTTTTAATATATTGGTGTATATTATTTGTTATATTTTGTTGATAACTTTTGTGTCTGTGTTCGTGAGGGATATTGGTTTGTAGTTTACTTTTCTTGTAATGTCTGCTTTTGTCATTGCTGACTTCAAAATATGAGATGGAAAGTGTCCTCTCTTATGGTTTTTTTGGAAAGATATTGTGTATAATTGGTATCATTTTTCCTTAAATGTTTGAAAAAGTTCACCATTGATACCATTTGAGCTTGTACTTTTGTGTGTTAAATGTCAAAGTAATGTTTAAAGAATGTAATTGAGTAACTATTATGTATCTGAGATATAGGCCACTTTCTCACACATTTTCTCAATTATTTTCATAATATATTTACTATTTCTACAGAAAATTTTGACTTAGGTTAGCATGAGATATTGATGGGAGGAAAGATCAATTAGTAGGTTTGATGTAAAATAGACACTACTGTGTTAGTTTTCTATTTCACTGAGGAAGTTAAAATCTTTTCATGGAAGAGCTAGACTTATAGTTAAAGATGAGGTAAACTTGTGACTTTAGATGAAGTCATGACTTCTTTGTGCTCAAATTCTCTTATCTAAAATATGAGTATAATGCATCATAAAAATACATTACAACAGATAAAATATTCTGAATTTATGCCTAATTCATAAATGACTAAATTAGACTTTAATAGAATATAAACACTAATTTTTCATCAAACTAGAAAATAATCAAATTTTAAGTATAATTGTGGGAGAATTAACTAATTGTTCATTAAAATACGTATTCCCTTTGCCTTCTGAGTATATAGCAAGACTTTATTTCCCAACCTCCCTTAGGAGTACTTGTAGTCAGTGACTAAATCACATCCAGTGTAACATGAGAGGAAGCATTGAATGCCACTTCTAGTCCAAGTTTCTAACAACCTGTTGTATGCAGTCTTCAAGGTTTTATTCCCCTTCAGGCTGGCTGAGGTTGAGACAATCAATGGCAACCTTTGAGATTGCAGAGCTGCTATGAGCCTGGGTTCCTTGCATGAATGAGAGTTACTCTGCCAACACATTCACCTGTCCAATAATACTGTTTGAAAACCAAATAATCTAATGTGATTGGATCATTTGTTAACAATAACTGGTGTCACTTTCATTTGTACAATCAAACAGGGTAAAAGTTCTCTCTTAATGCTAATATTTCTTATTAGAAATATTTTCTTATTAAGAAAAATGAATGTTCAAATTTGAGCAATCCCAACAGAATACAAGTATCCTATTGCAGAGGGAACATAATTTATCATCCCCCAAAGCTACAAATCAAAGATAAAAAAGAAAAATAATACTTAAGAGTTTGTTAATCAGGTGAAAAATCCCAGGGGAGGATATATGTGATTTTCTTTGGTTGTTGTTGGTTTAAGGATAGGCATAATAATCCCAAGATAGGCATTCCAAACAGCAATGATATTTAATTCATATATTAAGAGCAAGGAACTTTACTTACACCTATAACTATGCAACACAGTATGTGAGCAATGTGGAATTGCTAAATGACTACTGTGGAAGCTTAAAGATTTGTATGTACTTATGAGCAATAGGAGATATTAGGTATTTATATGACTCACTAAGGATTTCCATAATTCTCCTTTAATACTAAAAAGTATTCACACATTAAAGCAGAGTTCCGCAGCACTTAAAAAATAACAAACCAACAATTAAAATGCAGAGAGATAATAGATTCATATTTTTCCTGTGTGATGGAAGATTGTTTAGGTATCAAGATTTATTTTGCCCTGCCAACAGAGTTATTAATCATCCTTCCTCATTTTCTTTCACTGCTGGGATTGTCAAGGATTTTCTTCTACCTTGAAAAACTGCACATAGTGAAGAGTTTCTTTGCCTTATTCCTGCAGTCTTAACATGTCCTACTGAGTAAAGGTAAGTTGTTTTTTATTGTGTATTTTGTTATATTTTTGAAAAATGGTTTTTAAATCAAGGCTTTGATTCCTCTCTTGGTATTGAAAGATCATAAACAAATACATTTTCATGTTATTTTTCTTTAGTAAGCTTTATGATTTTATCCTCGGCAACTGGACTAATTCAATAAGCAGCAGACCGTAAGGCAGTAAATGGATATACTATTAATTTTTTATTGCCAAAGTTTCTTTTATGTACTATTTGATCTAAAGATGTTCACATTTTTATGATGACACTGGCAGATTTGAAAAAATCTAGCCCTATAATTCCTATTGATAAAGCCTGGATATTTTTAACTCAGCAGCCCAAGGAATGCTAACAATTCAAGTCTCACGGACCAGTTCATTAAGTGAAAGTTTTGGGTGTGAAAGGAAAAGGAAAGCAAGTAGCTCATAGTTCCTTTGCCAAATCAATAGAACACAATTGGGAAGGTTTAACTACTGTACTAATACCAGTCCACTACAAGAACTTGGTGGATGATTTACTCTTTTCTTTGTTCGCTTTCAAAATGAGAAGTGTAGTCCTGAATTACCTCAAGAATAGCTTCTAAAAATTGCTTTGATTCTGTAGTTGCACAAAATTGGAGCTGAAGCAGTCAGCCATTAAAACAGAATGGTCAAATTAAGAAAAAATGGAAAGAAAACAAAGGATGTAAGGACATGCCTCATTCTCAGTTGGCCTGGTGTTCTGCATGCCCTCACTCCCTAGACTACTTTGCTGCTAACTTTGCAGTTGTGCTAATTTGTAAGTACAGTAGAATCTCCCATCTCAAGCTCATGCTAACTAATCCAGTGCTCTCAATTCATATTCCTTCACCTTTGCAAACGATTTATGTTCTGTAGAGATCCAAAAGAAGTGCTAGATACAATGTAAAACATGGGTGGTAATGACAGTACAAGCCTTGAAAGGGCTCAATCTGACCTATATCTATTGAGGAATTACTTGTAAAACTTCATGGAAATACAAATAAAAATGTTTCATGTCCATTGAGAGATTAGTCAGAGAAATAAGATCTGGTCACAAAAGGTACATAAAATATACACTAATAATCATGCAAAAGTTGCTTTATAGCTATTGATAGCCATACAAAAATGATAGCTAAATGACTGGTGTGGGTATTTCTATGTTCTTGTGCCCTGATAATTTTTCTGGGCATTCAGTTTACTCTTTGAAAGTTGTTTAGTATTAAGCAATGCTAGAACAACAACAACAAAAATTATTCTTTTTGCATTGCTGAGGCGGACAGTAAATACTAAAGGCACTCCAAGAGAAAAACATGATTCAAGGCTGGGTGGTATAAAAATTCTTTATGGAGTTGGTAATACCTGAGTTAGACATGTCCCCAAATCTATGGCAGATGTAATACTTAATGATGAAGTGTTAGAAACTTTCCTTTAAAGTATGGAATGAAACTGGTATGCCCATCATGCCACTATTTAACATCGGGCTAGTGATCCTAGCAAACATAGTAACATAAAAGTAATAAAAGGAATTAGAATTAGAAAGCAATATACAAAAAAGCCATGTTGCTGGACATTAATGTGTAGTAGACATTTTTTGAAATAGCTTTAATAAGACAATTTACATGTCATACAATTCACTGTTAAAATGTACAATTCCATTAATTTTAGTATATCCACAGTTGTGCAACTATCATAATTTAATTTTAGAACATTTTCTTTTGTCCAAAAAGAAACCTTACACCATTAATAGACACCATCATCTGATATACCCTTAGCCTTAGGCAACCATTCACATATTTTTGTTTTTAAAATTTACCTATTATGGGCATTTCATGTAAATGGAATTGTACAATATGTTGTCTATTGTAGTCACAATAGAAGAAGTCACAATCACTTCTTCCACTAAGGGTAATGTTTTTGAGCTTCATCTATTTAATAGTGTATATCAATACTTCATAACTTTTTATTGGAAAATAGTATTTTATTACATAGATAAGCCATATTTTTCAGCCTATTCATTAGTTGATGGACATCTGAATTGTTTCAACATGTTGGCCATTATGAATAATGTTGCTATGAACATTCGTGTACAAGTATTTTTATAGATGCATGCATTTATTTCTTTTGGCTAGCAGTGCAACTACTGGGTCATAAGGTTACTCTGTTTGGTAATTCTGTGATTACTTTAATGCAAATGGTTTAACCATTTGAGGAACTGCCAGACTGTTTACCAAAGTGGCTGAAATGTTTTACATACCCACCATCAATATATGAGGTTTCCAATTTCTATACATTCTCACCAGCACTTGTAATTATCTGTCTTTTTAATCGCAGTTTATCTAGTAGATGTGAAGTGGAGCCTTGTTTTGGTTTTGATTTGTATTTCTCTGATGACTAATAATGGTGGCACATCTTTTCACGTACCTATTGGCCATTTTGTATATGGTCAATTGTACCTGGTAAATGGATAATTTTTATTTATTATAAATGGGTTTTTAAATGTTATTGAGTTGTGAGTTCTTTATGTATTCTGGATACAAGTCCTTTATCTGATGTATGATTTGCAAATATTTTCTCTCATCCTGTGTGTTGGTGTCGTATTTTCACTCTCTTGATGGTGTTCCTTAAATGTAAAAAAATTTAAAAATGTTGAAAGTCCTTTTTTTTTTTTTGAGATGAAATCTTGGTCTGTCATCCAAGCTGGAGTACAGTGGCGCCATCTTGGCTCACTGCAGCCTCTGTCTCCTGGGTTCAAGCAATTCTCCTGCCTCAGCCTTCTCAGTATCTGGGAGTATAGGCACACACCCACACCTACCATGCCTGGCTAATTTTTGTATCTTTAGTAGAGACGGGTTTCACTATATTGGCCAGGCCGGTCTCGAACTCCTGACCTCAGATGATCTGCCCACGTTGGCCTCCCAAAGTGCCAGGATTACAGGTGTGAGCCATCATGCCCAGCCAGAAAATCCAATTTATCTACTTTTTTGTGGCTGGGTTTCTGGGTCATTCTGAAAACCTATTGCCTAATTCAAAGTCATGAATATTTACTTCAATGTTTTCTTCTAAGAATTTTAAATGTTTTAGCTCTCACAGTTAGTTCTATGATTCATTTTGAGTTAATTTTTGTATATGGTGTGAGGGAGGTGTCCAAAGTCATTATTTTGCATATGGATATCCAGTTGTCCCAGGACCATTTATTTAAAAAACATCAAATTGTTCTGGCATCATTTTCAAAAATCAGTTGACCATAAATGTGTGGCTTTATTTCTGGACTTACAATTTTTTCATTGATCTAAATGTCTACCTTATGGCAATACCACAGTATCTTGATAACTGAAGTTTTGTTGAAAATTGTGAAATTTGGATGTGCGAGTCCTCTAACTTTTCCTTTTTGATTTGGCTATTCTGCATCCTTGAATTTCCATATAAATTTTAGGATCAACTTGTTAATTCCTGTAAAAACTGCCAGTTGGCATTTTGATACGGATTATATTAAACTTAAAGATCAATGTGGGGAGCACTGTCATTTAATAATATTAAGTTTTCTTTGTGATCATTAGACATGGATATCTTTTAATTTATTTATATTGTCTTTTATTTCTTCTATGTCTTATAGCTTTCAGAGTATCAGTTTGCATTTTTTTATTAAATTTATTCCTAAGTATTTTATTTTTTGATGCTGTTGTTAATAGAAATGTTTTCTTAATTTCACTCTTGAATTCTCTATTGCTTGTGTATATAAATACAATTGATTTTTAATTTGATCTTCTGTCCTGTAAACCCAATTAATTCATTTTTTCCTCTTCTTTTTTTTTTTTTTTTTTTTGAGATGGAGTCTTGCCCTGTCACCAGGCTGGAACGCAGTCAGTGGCATGATCTCACTGCAACCTCTGCCTCCCAGGTTCAAGCGATTCTTCTGCCTCAGCCTCCCTAGCAGCTTGGACTACAGGCAGGTGCCACGACACCTGGCTAATTTTTTGTATTTTGAAATAGAGGCGGGGTTTCACCATGTTGGCCAGGGTGATCTCGATCTCCTGACCTCATGATCCGCCTGCCTCGACCTCCCAAAGTGCTGGGATTACAGGCATGAGCCACTGCGCCTGGCTTCATTTATTATTTCTTTTCTTTTTTTTTTTTTTTTTAAGATGGAGTCTCACTCTGTCATCCAGGCTGGAGTTCAGTGGCATGATCTCGGCTCACTGCAACCTTTGCCTCCCAGGTTCAAGCGATTCTTCTGCCTCAGCCTCCGGAGTAACTGGGACTACAGGCATGCCACCACGGCCAGCTAATTTTTGTATTTTTAGTAGAGACAGGGTTTCACTATATTGGCCAGGCTGGTCTCGAACTCCTGACCTTGTGATCCACCCGCCTTGGCCTCCCAAAGTGCTGGGATTACAGGTGTGAGCCACCACTCCCAACCTCATTTATTATTTCTAATAATTTGTATTGGATTCCTCAAGATTTCTATATCTAAGAACATAGTGACTTTTTTGCTTTTTTCCTTTCCAATCTGGGTATTTTAAATTTCTCTTTTTTACTCAATTATTCTAGTTAGAATCTCTGGTACAATGTGGAAGCTCCGCTGTTCTGTTCTGTAGTGAGAGCAGATTTTTTTTTTCTTATTTATTTATTTTTTTGCTTCCAATCACAGGGAGAAGGCATTCAGTCTTTCACTATTAAATGTGATGTTAATTATAGCAGGTTGCAGTGGTTCTTGCCTATAATCCTAGCTACTTGGGAGGCTCAACCATGAGGATTGCTTGTGGCCAGGAGTTTGAGACCAGCCGGCAACATAGTGAGGTCCCATCTCTAAAAAATAAAAAATAAATATAATAAGTTGGATGTGCTGATGTACAGTTGTAGTCTCAGCTATTCAGAGAGGCTGAGGCAGGAGGATCCCTTGATCGCAAGAGTTCTAGGCTGCACTGAGCTTTGATTGCACTACTGCACTCCAGCTTGGGCAACAGAGAGAGACCCTGTCTCTTAAGGGAAAAAAAAGGATGCTATTTGGGTGTGGTTGTTTAAATTATTTTGGGTACATTTCAGGTTGAGAAAGTTTTTGTGTTAAAGTTTGTGAAATGCTTTTTCTGTTTCTATTCAAGAAAGAATAGCAATATTTTAATGAATTATTTAAAAAAAATAGAAGAGGGGGGATCACTTCATTGCCTGAAGTCAGAATTATCCTGATACAAAAAACAGATATCTCAGGAAAAGAAAATTACACATCAATATTTCTCTTAAACAAATATATAAATGTCCTCAAAAAATTGTTAGCAAACTGAATCCAGCTTTCAGAAACTGGATATGAAAAGAATTATACACCATTATTTGTTTTTTGCTTGTTGAATTTATAGGTTCTGGATATTCGACCTTTGTCAGATGTGGTTTGCAAATATTTTTATTTTATAGGTTCTGGATATTCAACCTTTGTCAGATGCAGTTTGCAAATATTTTCTCCCATTCTGTATGTTGTCTATTTACTCTGTTGATAATTTCTTTTGCTGTTCAGGAGCTCCTTAGTTTAATTAGGTCCCATTTGTCAATTTTTGTTGCAGTTCCCTTTGAAGAGTTAGTCATAAATTCTTTGCCAATGTCAATGTCCAGAGTGGTGTCTCCTAGGTTATCTCCTACAATTCTTTTAGGTTGAGGTCTTACATTTAAATCTTTAATCCATCTTGAGTTAACTTCTGTGTATGGTGAAAGGTAGGGGTCCAAGTTTCATTCTTTCGCATGTGGCTAGCAATCTATCTCTGCATCATTTACTTAGTAGAGGATTTTTCTCTCTTGTTTATTTTTGTTGACTTTGTCAGAGGTAAGATTGCTGCAGGTGTGCTGCTTTATTTCTAGATTCTCTATTCTTTTCCGTTGGCCTATATGTCTATTTTTGTATCAGTACCATACTGTTTTGGTTACTATAGCCTTATAGTATAGTTTGAAGTTACGTAATGTGAAGCCTGCAGCTTTGTGCTTAAGATTGTTTTGTCTATTTGGCTCCTTTTTGGTTTCATACTAATTTTAGAACACTTATTTTTTAGTTCTGTGAATAATGATGTTGGTAGCTTGATAGGAGTAGTGTTGACTCTGGATTGCTTTGGTCAGTGTTGTAAAGTCATAAAGTTGTCCCCTGTTGTGTTACTGATTTTAGTGATTTCAGCTGTCTTTTTTTCTTGATCAGTTTACTTCAAGTTTTGTCATTTTTGTTGATCTTTTTAAAGAGCCAGCTTTTGGTTTCATTGATATTCTTTATTATTTTTACATAATAAAGTCGGGGTGAGGGTGATCTGCACCGTAGTAGTCACAGCCTGCTGATCCATGTGTAGAACTTCTGCTCCACAAGATGGGGCTGGGTGGAGGAGGAGTGCCCTAGAGCTCTGAGCCATTCTTGCCTGGAATAGAACCTCTGCAATATGGAGCCAGGAGAGAGATGAGAAATGCTGGCGTCTTACCCCTCCCGGGGAGGGACTATAGCCCTTGACTGGGAGCAAAGGGGATAGGGAAAACTTTGTTGGACTGCACTCACCTGTACTGAAGGCTGAGAGTGGGAGGAAAGGAGTGGATTGAGACTCAAATGACATAGACTCTTGCTTTCCTTACCAAGAAAGAGCAGATTTTCTTGAATAAATGTTTCTTCATTTGTTATATGCCCTTAGAATTATTTCCAGATATTTTACGTGATGTTTTTATTTTTAAAAGTAATTTTCACCAGTTACAGCTGTTTCACTTGGCTCCATAGAGCTCCTTATGCTGCCATTCTAGAAATCTAGGACCTTCTTTTATTAAATATTTTTAATAGTTTACATTATGCGCCTCAGGTATCTCTGATTTTAGCCACAATTATAGTGGATGTTCACTGTGAGCTCAAGCTCATGCAGACTGCATTACATATCCAAGTGCATCTGTGCTTCTAAAAGGCAGTTTAGAAGTGCAGGGACGCAGGGGAATTAGGTCATGGAAGTAATGTCCTGACAACTCTCAACTAGTGGACAGCAGGTACCAGTGGATGAATGTCCTGGCTTTCCACCTTTTCAGTGTATTAATTTGAGAGACATATTGGTCATTTCCCAGAGGTTCTCATTCTCTTCAACCTACAAAAGGGCAAATAATAGAAAAATAATTTGTAAAAAGGGCAATAAAATGTCTAAATATCCAAAAGGCAACTAAATCTCACAAATAGTCTGGTATATGCAAATAATACCAAACATATTAAAATAATTACACTGGCAGAAGTTCAAAAAGCCTGATAATACCAAGTATATGCAAAGATGAGGAACAATAGAAATGCTTATGTACTACTGGTGGGTGCGTGATTGTTATAAGATGCTTTGGGGAGCAAGTTTACAGTGTCTAATAAAAGTGAAGGTGTCCATAACATATGATCCAGCAATTCCACTCTTGGATACACCAGCAGATGAAAAAATGATAGCAAAAGTGTTACCGTGTGCCGCACACTTTTAAAATGCCTTTTATGTTAATAACTTTCTCATAATAATAACTTTGAGGTAGGTACTATAATTACCCAAATTTTACATATAAGGAAATTGATGCAGACAAATGTGGAGTAACATGCGTAAGATCACAAAGCTATTATTTACCAGGACCATGTTTAAATCCAAGGAGTCTGACCTTAGAGTTCATGCTCCCAACTATTTACTGTATTGTATAAAATTATTTATAACAGCATTGTTTGTAATAATGAATCATATATATTAGTGTTGATAAAGTTATGCATATTGATGTGGAAATATATTCCCTCTAGGTACATATAAATACACATGCATCTAAAAAAATTCGTCGCGTATATGTTAACATAGGCGATGAGGGGAACAAAACAACTTACTGGAAAATATGTTTAATATAATCTTATTTTGATTAAAACAAAATAAAACCATTATCTTAAATTGCAAAGGAAAAGTTCTGAAAGGATATTAAAATAAGTTTAACAAAAGCTTTTTTGACAATGTCATTTTATTATAGGTCATAGTCACTATTCATATTTATCTATTTTATGTGTTTTTTTAAAGAGCAAGTGGTATTCTTTATGATGAGAAATACAAACATGTATCATAGATGATTTTCATGAAAAGTGATTGAAATAAGAAAAATAACACTTAACATGGTTGAAGAAATATAGAATCCTTGTTACCACATTAAGAATTTTAACATTTCTAAATGTCCTCATGACAATGGCTAGTGAAGATGACTCGGGATAAACATGTTTAAACTATGGAAAAGAGCATTTGAGGTAGATGATAATAGATAATAATGTGAATTAATAGTAAATTCAGGCTATATAATGACAGTATTCACATACATCTTTCTGTTTTCTATAAGATTAAATACTTCTTAGAATTATCAGTAGGAAATTTGTGTGAATTCAAGCACCAAGAGGAAGGTATGGCCGTTGGGTCCGGGTAAAATCAGCTGACAGTGAGGCTTTTAGGGACAAAATGAAGGTATGATACAAGTGAAAACTTAGAACCAGGTGATGCTGCAGAAGAGATTCTTGTACTGGAAGAAGACACTGCAAATTCGAAATGTCATGATTCTATACTTAAATCTAGCAGTTTTCATTAAATAACTAACAAAAAAATAGAAAATATTGCCTTTGGTTGAATCGTTTAAGTCAATTGTATTTGACATATATTTATTATTTGTATATTACCTGCTGGAGACACTTCTAGGTACTATGGTAATACAAAGGTTGACAGGACATGATACATACCCCTTAGTAACTATAATAACATACTATCTTCATGCAGTCTCATGTATGTCTATTTTATTTTCATTAATCAACTATCCATCACTAGCTATTTAGTAAGCATATACTCTGGCACAGAAAATTATTATTAATTTGAAGTAAAATTTTGATTTAGCAACTTAGTCTTTCATGTTCAATATTGAGAATAGAAGTTTTGCTTATTGAAATCACATTTTATGAAAACAGCAAAATGCTAAATGTGTTCTTCAAAATTTATTCTCCTCATTTGCAAGTGTTGTGATGTGCATTATAAATGATGACTTTGCTTTAGCCTTACCCCTCCTCATGCAGTGAAGAATCTTCAGGGACAAGAGGATGCACCCATATGGAAACTGTGCTCCTTCTAGGATTCCAAAATTCTCTGAGGCCCACTTCTAAGTTCCTTTTGGGAACTCATTCCCAAGTCTGTCTTTGGTGACTGGTCAAGTACCCAGTGGTGCAGCTCTCTGCCCTAGTTGGCCAAGAGTGGCTATTTGGGGAATGTTGATGGAACTTGACAGGTAGACTGTGGTCTCCACAACACATGTGTATGAGGTCTGCAAAGGAGATGATGGGTTCAGAGTCAGGGAGAGGTGATTGGGGGTGTGCATTGGTACTTCTCCCTGGACTCTTCAAATAGTAGGTGAGGCTTTGTCTTTATATTCTTTCTCTTATCCTTTATTTATTCTTGTAATAGGCAATGTTTCTTCACATCATAGAGCCTGTTCACATGCTGTTCTCTTTGGCTGCTTTTTATCATCAATTTCTTAATTCCCCTTTCACCAATCTTTTGGGTGAATTCTCATCTTTCGTTTCCTAACTTAATGCTGCCTCCTCAGAGAGGCTTTCCTTTTTTAAAATTTTTTAACTAAAAAATTTTTTGGCTGGGCACGGTGGCTCACGCTTGTAATCCCAGCATTTAGGGAGGCCAAGGTGGGCAGATCACGAGGTCAGAAGTTAGAGACCATCCTGGCCAATCTGGTGAAACCCCCTCTCTACTAAAAATACACAAATTAGTTGGACGTGGTGGTGGGTGCCTGTAATCCCAGCTACTCAGTAGGCTGAGGCAGGAGAATCACTTGAACCTGGTGGGTGGAGGTTGCAGTGAGCTGAGATTGCACCATTTCACTCCAGCTTGGGTGACAGAGCAAGACTCCATCCCCCCGCCAAAAAAATTTGTGGGTACATAGTAGATATATATATTTATAAGTTACCCAAGTTGTTTTGAGGCAGGTATGCAATGTGGAATAAGCACATTATAGAGAATGAGTTATCCATCCCCTCAAGCATTTATCCTTTGTGTTGCAAACAATCCGATTATACTCTGTTATCTTAGAATACACAATTAATTTATTATCGACTATAGTTGCCCTATTGTGCTATCAAATAGTAGGTCTTATTCATTCTATTTTTTTTTGTGATTGACCATTAACCATCCCCACATTGCCCCTAAAATTTCACTACCCTTCCCAGCCTCTGGAACCATCCTTCTACTCTCTATGTCCATGAGTTCAATTGATTTGATTTTTAGATCCCACAAGTAAGTGAGAACATGTGATGCTTGTCTTTCTGTGCCTGGCTTATTTCGCTTAACATAATGATTACCAATTCCATCTATGTTGCTGCAGATGACTGGATCTCATTTTTCTCATGGCTGAATAGTACTCCATTGTGCATATGTACTATGTTTTCTTTATCCATTCATCTGTTGATGGACACTTGGATTGCTTCCAAATCTTAGCTGTCATAAACAGTGCTGCAACATACACAGGAGTGTAGATATCTCTTCAATATACTAATTTTCTTTCTTTTGGGTATATACCCAGCACTGGGATTGCTGTATCGTATGGTAACTCAATTTTTTGTTTTTTGGAGGAACCTCTAAACTCTTCTCTATAGTGGTTGTACTAATTTACATTTCCACCAACAGCGTAAAGGGTTCCCTTTTCTCCACATCCTCACCAGCATTTGTTATTGCCTGTCATTTGGATAAAAGCCATTTTAACTGGGGTGAGATGATGTCTCCTGGTAGTTTTGATTTTCATTTCTCTGATGATCAATGATGTTGAACACCTTTTCATATGCCTGTTTGCCATTTGTATGTTCTCTTTAGAAAAATGTCTATTCAAATCATTTGCCCATCTTTTGATTGGATTATTAGCTTTTTTCCTACAGAGTTGTTTAAGCAAGGAGGCTTTTCTTGAGGCACATTCTATGTTAGTTTCTTCTGTACAGGCCTTAAGAAAACCCCAGTGTATATTCCTTTATTGCACATTCTCCTAGCACTTAACTTTATATAGTTATTTGTCTAACACATGTACCAAACAGTATACTTAAGTTTCATGGCAGTCGGGATGATGCCTGTTTTATTTCTAGTTCCTTCTCTATCATCTGGTACAGTGGCTGGCACATAATAAACATTTAATAGATAAATAAATGGACAAATAAATAGACATGTGAATATGTGGAAGTCTCTCCATGAAATCAGAATTTTTCTCAATTTGTTTTTTCTAAGCTTTGGAGGCTCAAGCACTGGAGGTGTTATTTTTAATTTGTCTGCAATGCAAGGTGTCACACAAATTAAAAATAGCCTCCCACAATGTTCAAAATTTGGGGAGCAAGCAATTTTACTGTTTTTGAAGATGCAATTCTGTAGTTGGCTGAACAATGCCCTCCACCCAAAGTTGTCCACACCCTAATACCCGAAAACTGTCAATATGTTACCTTCCATAGCAAAAGAGATTTTGCACACATGATTAAGGTTATGGACCTTGAGATAGGGAAAATTATCCTGGATTATCCAGGGAGGATCAAATCTTATCACATGAGTCAGAGAATCAGAGAAACTTTCTGACTTGTAAGAGAGAGTTGGAAGCCCTGTGGACACCGTGATATTAGCCCTGTGAAATCCATGTCAGTCTTCTACCTACAGAACTGTAAGATTATAAGTTTATATTGTTTTAAACCACTAAATTTATGGTTACTGCAACATACTGCAATGGGAACTTCAAAGTTGAAGTCTTTTCTTTTAATCTGGGGAGAATGCTCTTTACTGTCCTTACATTTGGGAACATTCATTCCATGTTTTCTTTCATGTCCTGAATCTCAAGCTTACTTATTCATATATGCTTTCCAGTCCCATACTACTAATAAAAGACTTATCAGAAATTTTTACCACATTCCTGAAGAAATCTCCTTACAACACCCTGAAATTTTTTTAAAAAGATTTAATGTCTGATGCAGTATACAATATATTTTCTGGTTATCACCAAGTTTTGCTTTTAGTTTAACATATATTATAGACATATGAACAATTTAAGTTTACATCTTTTAACAAAAAAGTCAATATTTCTAGAGCAAGATCTCAAATGATAATGATAATTTTGGTACACATCAACATGGCGGGCTTATAACTACAAGTTCAGTATTATGTCTTCCATTGAAAGTCAGCATTTGCTAAGTAGTTTATTCATTTAAGAAAGAGGATAAGGAATATGTGTGTGTATATTATGTGTATATGTGTGTGTGTATATATATAACTATATATAATATATAATACATATATAATGTATACATATATATGTATATATAATGTATACATATATATGTATATATAATGTATACATACAAAATACACACATACATAATAATACAACATAATATATGTTGTGTACATATAGTATACATAATATGCACACACATATTCACACTTATACACATATATATACATTATATATATAATTTTATATGTATATGTGATTTTCCTTTCATGAAACACTTGGGTTTATGGAATTCAGGTTAAACTAAATTATAATGTAATATGTAGTAGTGGTTTTATTATATTGTGGCTCAGGTTTTATTTTCCTTTATAAAAGCAGACAACTTTAAAAGACATTCTCAGAATGCAAATTTTAACAGTTGTAAGAAAAGTAGTAAATAAAATGGGTATTCATTATGCTATTTTTTCCTACATTTGTATATGTTTGAAAATTTCCATAAAAAAAAAAGAAACCAGGCTCTGGTTAACATGGTCAAACTGTCAGAGGCATGGAAATTCCGGGGGCTTAAAATTTTGAAATTATCAGAAGGATGTTAACTTTTGATTTTGTCATATCATGTTCTCTGACATCTTTTTTTTTATGAGTGTGTGCTTTATATGTCATTCAGCCAAAGGCACAATATCAAGAGATCTTCTGCAAAAACAGTAGAAGTCTGGGCATTCAAATTAGCTGATGCAGAAGAGACATGGAAAGCAATAAGACAAGGGAGAGCTAGAGTGAATATCAATTTGTTATATAAAATATATGCAACTCTGGATATGTGCAAATGTGGATAGGTATGGCTATTCAAATTCTGTTCTCTATTTTCAGTAACTTTCTCCTTGGTGTTTCTTTAAAGAAAAAAGTGATAGTAACCTTGGAAAAAATAGATGAGTTTTATTTTTGCATTTTAAATGACTTTAGTATTCAATAAGATTATAAATTTAAGGATAGCAACATTAAACTCCTACAAATTTAAGGGAAATTAATGGAATAATAAAAGAGTATATTGCAATTTAATGGTATCACCATTCGTCCTTTTCTTCAACCAAACATACCTGGGGTAGCAGATTGCTGTGCGACTATGATTTTTATATTTGCCAACAAGTCAATGGAGAGAAACAGTTCATACTGGTCTTGTGTTTCGATTCTTCTTTAACATGGTGCTACAGCTCAATGCTACAGCAAGCAGGATTTCTCTTCTCATCCTTTCATCTGTCAATATCTATTCCTTTAAAATTAAATCCCAATGACAATCCTATTTTGGGTAGAATAAGAGACATGCAGTTTAGTCTTACAATTTAGTTTCCTGCCAAATGAAAAAAATAATGCCATTAATGTGCCTGTGTTTCAATGACATACCCTAAAAAAATTTCAGACTTGTGTATCCAACATTAATGAGAAAAGCTGATTTTCTCTTTTCCTAGCCCTGATGTTCAATACCACTTTCGGTGTACGTTTGTTGTGGAAGAAGTCTTGGCCTCTACTTTTATGCCATGAAATATTGTTTAAAAATCCAATGACATTTAATAGAATTGGTATAATTTATTCTCTTAAGAGGTCATACCACAACATAGTAGATCTCAGGGTTGAGTTTTTCTTTGTCTATGGAACAGAAGTGATCCTATGATTTGGCTTGTTTCCCCAGAATCCTGGAATTATAGCTATGTGGTTTATTTCCGAATGAGTGTAAGACAAGATGTGGCCTTTCCCTGACATTTAAAAATTTTAGGCCAAGCTCTCTAATAATTTAGTCTTGAAATGCAACTAGACATAAGCATGTTTATCATGTTTCACACTAAAACCAGATCATTAAAAATCTCTATGGAAGATTTTGTTGAAAAGTTCAATATTTCATAATATCAACAATATTTTACTTTTTAAGGAAGTGGCTAGCTAGGAATGTGCATCCTAGGTATTTTCCTTTTATAAACCCTGATTTTCTCAAAAAAGATGACTTTCCATGTCCAACTTACATGAATACATTTTCTGTCTGTTCAAAACAGCATCTCATTTTTTACTATTGAAAATTATTTCTCATTGGTTCTTAGTTTGGATAACTAGTGATTATATCATTGATCATGCCATATTTTTGTTTTCCTTTAGTAAGTAAACCATTACTTCTAATATATTTGCTTTATTTTAAAAAATCCCAGTCCCCTTTTTAATTTCAAAACCTTTTTTTGTTTCTTGGTTGTTTTCCCAGGAGCATGATTTTCATTCACCTTAGGTAGGACCAGGGTCTCCCCTTCCCTCATGAGGCTACAGAACTCAGGTAAAAGTATCATACTTTGGAAAAAGCATGAGAATTTGGTGGCCAAACAGATCCATCTTTGAATCCCAGTTTCACCTGAAAATGTTAAGAATAAATTCAGTAATACAGGTTGGTGCAAAAGTAATTGCGGTTTCTGCAATTACTTTTAATGGCACAAATCGCAATGACTTTTGCACCAATCATATAGGCAAAGATTCTGGCACACTTTTGTACAACGAATGTTATTTCCTTTCTCTTTATTTCTGAACACCATTTCTTCTGTAACATATGGATTATTATTCAAATTTTTGGTTTGAACTAGCAAGCAAAGTATTTGACAGAGTGTCATTAATATAGCATCATTCAACAACTATTAGTCATTATTAAAATTATGACCTTAACTTTTCCACCCAAGTTTTTCTTACTCCATTTCGCATGAAGTTTTTTATGCTTTCAGTAGAAACTATATTTATTGTTCTCTTCCAAGTATAATACTGGGAGTATTCTTGTCTAGGAAGTAGCTTTTCTTGATGTCCCTTTCAGTAGGCTGAGTTCCTGAAAGTAAAAAGTAAAAGGCAGGTAAAGTGGAAGAAACAATACCGAATTAAATAGCAAGGAAAAATTGGAAGGGCAAAAAATGAAGCTACATTTGTCTTATTTGAATAGTATTTAAGAAAGACAGTTTTTGAAGAGCAATGTACATGCTCTAATGAATTGTTATGATATTGATATTTTTAGATTCATTATTTCACCTTTTGAGTAATCTATTATATTAATAGTGCATATTTGTATTTGACCAATTTAATCATATTTGTAAGTAACATGATACAATAAATCTACTGTGTGATTACCATCAAAATATGTTTTTATTTTATGAATGATATGAAATGTTTTGAAATTGGAACTTCAGATTTTATGGGGAGAAAAAAATTGTGGTGATGTTTTAGTAGAGATAGGTAGATTTGTTGTTCAAAATACATTTTGGAGAAAATGGAATAAACCATGACCACTTGTGCTTTCATTAAACTATATGAAGTTAACAGGTTAGGACTTTCTTCAAAAATAAATCTTGTTTGATATCATCATTCTTGAACACCTGCTTTAAGTAATATTATAATCATTACTTATATCTTTTTATATCAGTGCTGGCTGTTACCTTTTCTAATTGTTCTTTTCTATAAGATCTGTTGTCACAGAATTACTTTTAGCATTTGATTCCAGCCTATTATAAAATCCTCTCCTTACCAGCAATGTAGTATTAATAATGGAAAACCAATATATGAAGTGTGTTATTGAGTCTTCTACATTTTTCAGTATTCAGTCAATTTTCCATATAAGAATGCTAAAAGAGTCCTCTCTGGAGAGTTCTCTTTCTCACCAAGGGCTACAATTGCAATCTTCCAGAGTTCCTGATCTATACAACCGATTGAGATGTTTCACCTGAATTCTATGGTGCATTCGAAACTGCTTATTGCTCATCATTACAGACATTTAAATTATAGCTATGAAGAGCAGAGCTTGTTATTTTTCCTTCAAACAAATATTTTATTAATGAAAGGAGGCACCACCACTCATGTAGTTGCTTCTTTTCTTACTGGGAATCATCCAAATGCCTCCCTCTTCATAAGCAGCTCCCATACCCAATGACTGCATCTTCTGAATTCTACCTTCTTAACTGAATCCATTCCTTGGTCTTCATCCCTACAGTCCAACCATCCTTAGGCCATCATCATTTACCCAGTTTACTGCAACATCATCCTATTTGGTTTGCCTGACTTTACACAGATACAAATAAAGGTGGGGTTATTTGTGTCATGTCACTCTGCTGATTAAAACAGGAGGAATGGCTCTCCTCTTCCTTACAATTAAAACAATTTATGCTCATGGCCTGGTTCCAGTTGCCTCCTCTAGCCTCATCTCTTTGTTCTTCTTGCCCAGCATTTTCTGCGACAGCCTCACTGGACCTTTTCCAGCTCCTGCAGTAGCTCATTCACTATCCTGCTTCAGAGACTTCGTCTTACCATTTTCTTTCCCTGAGACATTTCTCTCTCTACTGTACCTTTTTGCTTTACTCAGGTATTCAAAGGATTGGATGAGGCCCACCACAATAGGGAGTGCAATTTCCTTTACTCAATCTACTGATTCAAATGTTCATTTCATCTAAATACTCTCCCACAGGCACACATCACATAAACATATGTGATATGCATGTATATATACATATATATACACATACATATATGCATAAAAAAGAGATTTATTATACAGAATTTGCTTACATAATTAAGGAGGCTGAAAAATCTGTAGCAGGCAAGCTAGTAATCCAGAGATTTGATGGCATAGTTTCAGTCTGATCCCAAAGGCCTGAAGCAAGACAGCTGACGGTGTAAGTTCCAATCCAAGTATGAAGGAAGAAGAAATCTGATGTCCCAACTAGAGACAGTCAGCTACAGAGAGTGAATTCTTCCTTACTCTACCTTTTTTCTCTATTGAGGCCTTCAAAGTGTGTCCAGAGTTGGTTCCTTCCGGTGGGTTCTTGGTCTCGCTGACTTCAAGAATGAAGTCGCGGACCTTCGTGGTGAATGTTACAGCTCTTAAAGATGGTGTGTCTGGAGTTTGTTCCTTCAGATGTGTCCGGAGTTTCTTCCTTCCAGTGGATTTGTGGTCTCGCTGACTTCAAGAATGAAGCTGCAGACCTTCACGGCAAGTGTTACAGCTCTTAAAGGTGGTGTGGGACCCAAAGAGTAAGCAGCAGCAAGATTTATTGTGAAGTGTGAAAGAACAAAGCTTCCACAGTGTGGAAGGGGACCTGAGTGGGTTGCCACTGCTGGCTGGGGTGGCCAGCTTTTATTCCCTTATCTGTCCCCACCCATGTCCTGCTGATTGGTTCATTTTACAGGTGCTGATTGGTGCATTTACAATCCTTTAGCTAGACACAGAGTGCTGATTGGTGCATTTACAATCCTTTAGCTAGACACAGAGCGCTGATTGGTGCGTTTTTACAGAATGCTGATTGGTGTATTTACAATCCTTTAGCTAGACACAGAGCGCTGATTGGTGCGTTTTTACAGAATGCTGATTGGTGTATTTACAATCCTTTAGCTAGACACAGAGCGCTGATTGGTGCGTTTTTACAGAGTACTGATTGGTGCATTTACAATCCTTTAGCTAGACACAGAGCGCTGATTGGTGCATTTTTACAGAGTCCTGATTGGTGCATTTACAATCCTTTAGCTAGACCCAGAGCACTGATTGGTGCATTTTTACAGAATGCTGATTGGTGCATTTACAATCCTTTAGCTAGACACAGGGCACTTATTGGTGCATTTTTACAGAGTGCTGACTGGTGTGTTTACAATCCTCTAGCTAGACAGAAAAGTTCTCCAAGTCGCCACTTGACACAGGAAGTCCAGCTGGCTTCACCTCTCAATCCCCCCTCTAAACAGGACACCCCAACTGCTGTTGGGAATTGGGTGATGACCACTCTAGCTACTTCCTGCTGGATAAGGGTGAAGAAGGGGCCCTGCAGTTGTAGTGTCCTTCAGAGGGGAACTCTCTAGGCCAGCCAAAGCGTCAGCGGGTCAGTCCAGGGGTCCTCAGTAGAAGTTGTTAGTTGAGCTCATTTGGGGTTCTGTTTGTAAGACCATCTGTAGCTTGATGGCCTCGATCCTGGAGGAAACAAATTTGACAAGGAGGTTAAAAATACAGGGCCCGAAGGCAAGTAATAGCAATATGGCTGTCACGGGACCTAGAAAGGGGAGAAGCCATGTCGCCCAACTCCAGAGGTTGGTATAAGAGTTTGAAAGGCATTGTCTGATTTCAGAAAACTTTTCCTGTAAATGCTGGGCAACATCTCCTACTATCCCTGACTGGTTAGTGTAAAAACAACACTCTTCCCCTAAGAAGGTGCAGAGTCCTCCTTTCTCAGCTGTGAGGAGGTCTAGGCCTCAGCAATTTTGGAAAGTCACTGCTGTCAAAGAGTCTATTTGAGATTGTAGAGTAAGGATAGATTCTGTTATTTCTTGCAAATTGAGAAACCCTTTGAGAGTTTGTGGTAGTAGGATAATGAAGTAGATAAACCTGCTATTCCAGTTTCTGTAGCAGTAGCCACTCGTAATCCTATAAGTAGGGTTATTAGTTTTATGGCCCTGCACTGATGGACTTGAGCTTTGAGGGGCACAGATATGCTCTGCTTTCCACCAGGTTAGAAGTTAGGATAATACATGTTACACTGTTAACTTTTAGCAAACTTTACTTTTGTTGAAAACTTTGTAAGTTTGGGATTTCAATTATTCTTTGCTATTAATAAGACCCCATTCAGGCCAGGCATGGTGGCTCATGCCTGTAATCCCAGAACTTTCGGAGACCAAGGTGGGTGGATTGCAAGGTCAGGGGATCGAGACCATCCTGGCTAACACAGTGAAACCCTGTCTCTACTAAAAATACAAAAAATTAGCCGGGCATGGTGGCAGGCACCTGTAGTCCCAGCTACTCAGGAGGCTGAGGCAGGAGTATGGCGTGAACTCCAGAGGCGGAGGTTGCAGTGATCCGAGATTGCGCTGCTGCACTCCAGCCTGGGCGATAGAGTGAGACTCTGTCTCAAAATAAATAAATAAATAAATAAAAAATAAGACCTCATTCAGTCCATATTAACTTAGAATTGGTATAGATGGCACCTTCCTGATTCTGTAAGTACTTTAAGGTTTGACTGAGTGAAAACAGCTTGCACGTTTGAGCAGACCTCACTGGACAGCCTCACTGGACCTTTTCCAGCTCCTGCAGTAGCTCATTCACTATCCTGCTTCAGAGACTTCGTCTTACCATTTTCTTTCCCTGAGACATTTCTCTCTCTACTGTACCTTTTTGCTTTACTCAGGTATTCAAAGGATTGGATGAGGCCCACCACAATAGGGAGTGCAATTTCCTTTACTCAATCTACTGATTCAAATGTTCATTTCATCTAAATACTCTCCCACAGGCACACATCACATAAACATATGTGATATGCATGTATATATACATATATATACACATACATATATGCATAAAAAAGAGATTTATTATACAGAATTTGCTTACATAATTAAGGAGGCTGAAAAATCTGTAGCAGGCAAGCTAGTAATCCAGAGATTTGATGGCACAGTTTCAGTCTGATCCCAAAGGCCTGAAGCAAGACAGCTGACGGTGTAAGTTAGGCAATTTTTCGAACTGCTTCTACAACAGTTCCCTTATCACTTACTGAATACCCATTGTGTCTTTTTCCGTTACTCGCCTGGGAGGAACCATCTATCCTCCTGTCCTAAAGGGAGTTCCTCCTAGGTTTGGTTGGACCTTAAGATTTAGATCCCCTGTTAGGAAACCTGCTGGGTTAAGGATTTTTGATAGGCAGGCTATGGGTTGTCAGTGGCCTCAGTGCTTTTGGGCTATGCCCTTGTTTACACTGACAACAAGGTGGTATTGGAGTGTTATAGGGTCACAGAGAAGACCTCCAATGATCAATTATAGGTTTTAAATTTACTCTGGCTTTTGAATGATAGGGTACACTTTTTTTTCTTTACTACTTCTATCGCTTTCTCTCTCTGTGACTCCTTCTTTGTCTGTCTCTTCCTCTCTTTCCTTCTCTCTCTTTGTCTCTTCCTGTCTCTCTTTGACTTTCTGTCTCTCTCTTTCTCTCTCTCTCTCTGACTCCCTCTTTGTCTCTGTCACTTCCTCTTTCTCTCTCTCTCACTTTCTGTCTCTTTCTCTCTTTTCTTTCTGCTGGTCTTTCCTTGCCTCTGCCAGCCACTTATGCTGCAGTTCTCCCCTCTCCAAAGGATTGGATAAGGCCCACCACAATGGGGAGGCCAGTCTACTTTACTCAGTCTACTGACTCAGATGTTCATCTCATCCAAATACACTCCCACAGCCACATCCAGAATAATGTTTAACCAAATATCTGGGCACACCATGGTTCAGTCAAGTTAACACAAAATCTAACTGTCATATCCTTCTAGTCTCAGTGCAGACATTCATTTTTCCAGGAAAATTTCCATGATCCCCAAGTCTGGGTGAGACTGCACTCTTCTGATCTCGTCTTTTCCAACAATATGTTGTTACCCCAGCATAGCACCTACCGCACTATCTTGTCATTGCCTGCTTACCTTTCACACAGGACTTTATACCCTAGTCCTGCATTTGTCTTGCTTATTCTTACCTCTGTACTTCCTAACTTAGAAATTACTCTTTGACACTCAGGAGGTGTTCAATAAATGTTTGTTGAATGCATGAGATATTCTATTAACCTTTATCTTGAATCCTCACTAACATTAAAATAATATAATTATTTTAGCTTAATTGCTTATATAAAATCAGCATTTACTCCTGGCCAATTATGGTTGAATATATATGTAACAATATTCAACATTCTGGTTTCATTAACTTTCCTCTGGGATTTGTACACTAAAGTTGCTCAATCTGTGGTTTAGATATTTTATGCTGATTAAAGCTGCAGCTACCTTGTTAGAATTCTCTTTGTTGCTCACCACCAGGGAAAAGGGCATTCAATTTAGCTGTTTCAAATTAGAAAGTAGCATACGAAAGGAAAAGAAGCTTTGGAATAAAAAGTTTCCTAGGCTAGAAGACTAGTGCTGTTTGCCTTCATTTTGTCTTAATTATTGACTTCTGCATATTGAGCATTTAGAAAACTACCTGGCACAAAAGAGATTCTTAAAATTGGTAGGTAAGTGAGCTTACTTTTGATAAGTTACAAAAGTTATTTTAGTCACAGTGTTCTCATTTAGTAAGTGATGATAATTATCTATTTTACAAAGATTTCTGAGAATTACATCTAAGTTAAACATGCTCAAATTGAGTACAGTAGGTGAAAAATGGAAGTCTCATATTTCTTATTTTCATAGCATCAGAAGACCTGTGAATATGTTTATAAGCATAAAGTATTTGTTTCATCCTGCTGTCCCCAATCTTGCACTTTCCCTCCTTTATTTTTAAATAGTTTTTATGGGCCAGGCATCGTGCTAAGTGTCTTAAGTACATAATATTATTTTATTTTAATAAGGTATTGTTATCTTCGGTTGATAAATAAAATATTGCCTCATAAAGATTTAATAACTTGCTCAAGCTCACACAGCTATGGAATTGCACACTCTAAACTGGCATCTGGGTTTATCTCACACAAAAATTTGATCAGCATTCTATTGTTCTATGACCTTTGGATGTGCACAAGCACAGAGTGTATGATGATTAGGGGAGCATGGCAAGGACAACTTTAGAGCATTTCCACAAGAGTATGAGAAGGTGCTTGCTCCAACTGCTCTTGGATCTTTCTCAGCTATATTGACTGCCTCTCCCACCCACAGTTGGTCCTTCATGACCAGAGCTGAGCTAGAACAGTGTGGCTGCCATAGAGGAAGTCTTCTCTGGACAGACTTCGAGTTTCCCTGGGCTTCACTGAGAACTGGCAGTGGGAAGATTATTTGTCTTTCCTTCCACTTTGAAAAGAAGATAAGCAAAGACACAGCTGGCTACATCCAGTTAAAGGGAAAAATGCAAAGCTGAAACTTACTTTATACAGTATGTCTACACCCATCCAGGGCCCATGTTCATCTCAATATATAAATTGAGTCTCTATATTAACTTTCACTCCTTTCCATGTTTCCTCTTCTCATATTTATTTCCACAGTCGCCATTCTTCCATTATATCAAAAGTACCTTTTTTTTGTTATTATTGATCTTTTCTACTTCTCTACCTTCAAGAATCTTTTTTTCTTCCTTTAATAAAAATGACATGAAATATTTTGATTATAATTTTCTTTCAGTTATCACCCTTTTTTTCTATTTGCTGCAAAACTCTTAGAACATATAGCTATCTTAATTTTTTTCCTATTATCTTCCAAGTTCTACAATTTAAATTTTGTTAAAAGAACACTAAAAATGTGTTTGAGTGAGTTAAATAAAAATCAATTGAATTACATTTACAATCTTATAAATTAACTGAATGGTAAAAAGTGATTTCATTGTTTTCATCTGATAACTTCATATTCAAAAATGCATATTTTATCAACTATGTTGTTGTATTTTACCTGTGAAGAATTAAAGTTTTTCTATGTAATTACTAGGGGCCATCTTTCCATATTGCAAATATGTAGCCAATTTACAAATAAGTCTGATTTTCCACTCAGGGATTAATAAATTAGCCCTTATAAGAAATTTATTCAATTATAGTGGGAAGGTATCCTTAATAAAAATGTCAATAATTAAAAAATTAAATCTGTGAGTATCCAGTTAGTTTGTTCTGATTACCTGTTCTTAATGTGCAAACATATGTAGACACACACGTACACATACACACACATAGATATTTTTGCCTACTTTAACCCATATCAAATTTACTAACAGTGTGACTACTGAGATGTGGAAAATTATTCTATTTTAATTAATTTAGTGCTTTGGAAAAATTTTTAAACACTTGGTTCCGACAAGTGGAAATTAACATTCTAAACACAATGTTTTCAGAGAGTGAAGCAAAGTGTTTGGTTATTTTTTAGCCTCAAGAAACAAAAACTTATTATTTATTTAAATGCTAATGTTTTGCAGATTCTTTTGGTCTCTCTCTTCTTTGTCTCTTTATCCCTCATTTATGAGTGCTTGCATAATATATCCAGTAAGTATATTTTTTGGAAGTATAACTATTTTCAACAGATGCTGTCCTTAATTTTATTGCTTTACATTTACATTAAACCTTAACATGTTTGCCTGAATGCTTTGCAGATTAACATCTCTTTGTTTAGTTTTATGATTTTCATTTTAAGCGCCGGAGAAGTCTGTCATTGACAAAACTAAGCTAATGTCAATAATCTTATATTTCAGTATTTTTTGTGACTGATATGTTGATAAAATATGCATGCATATAAATTAGATAACGAGGTAGAAATTGAAGCTTCAGTTACAAGAATCACTCAGTGTACTTTCTATGGTTAAGCATACTACATGAGAAAATTCAAGCCATTATTTCATGTTTTTCACAGTTTATTGCTATTGTAAAAACCCTTTAACATGTTTATTCCTGTTTCTTCAATTCGTTTAATAAGAAAATTGACCTATTTAAATAATTGAAGGTTAAAATAAAATTCCACTTCAATATTTTTTAACCTAGAATTCCTAAGCATTTCTAAGTGTTTAGTTAACTTAGTTGTATAAGGGTTAACAGTCAGATATATATCCAGGTCATCTAAGGCTAACAATTGTCAGATGGTTGCTAGGCAACAGATATCAGGTTTGGCTGATGTGTGTTTCTAGGCAAAGCTTATAGTGTGAAGGAAAGAACAAATTACATGATACCTGCATTTTTGTTATGGTTTTTGAAAATAAAGTTGTATTTGGATTAAAACAAAAGCCTTGACATTTATTATGCATATTGTCTGCCTTCTAAATGTCAGGACTATATCATTTGGTAGTTAAGTGATAACGAACAATAAATTAAAATGACAGATGACATTTTATTTCTTATGTGGTCCTAGATATGGGCCTTCCATATAATCCTGTTTTTGTATCTTGTCACCAAGTTAATTAATTTTCTAAATCGTTGTGACTGAAAAGAAGCCACAGATCAAAATTAACTGAAATATAATTAATTTAAAATATACACACTTCAGTGTTACTGAGGATTAGAAATGAAAATTGCACATTACAATGACTGGCACAACATGAAAAAATGTAATCAGTGATAGAAATGATGCTGAGAGACCGCATTTTAGAAATCTAGGGTGAAACTCTTTAATTTTTTTCAAACCATTTAAAAAATACCATTATTACTTTACAAGACAAAATTACCACAAATTCAGTTTAACAGTCTTAATTTATTTTTATTCATGCCTCTAGAATCTGGCAGCCCTCAGAACCAGAACAGGTTCAAAGAACTCCAGTCTGCCATGTGATCAGACAGCATTTATGGACAGAACACAGAAAACAGAAGTGACATACCAAGACAGCTCAGTTGGTTACAGCAGCCTTTGTCTTATTTGAGCAGGTTTGAACAATTGGCAGCTTGCAATTGACTAAAGCTCGGCTGCTATGATTGGCTGAGATTCAGCTATTTGTTACAAAATTGCACTCCTAGGTTAGGCTTTTAGTTAGCTTATGTACTAAGTTCCAGCCCAGTTGTTTAAGGAAGAACACACGTTTGGAGACATCCTCAGGCCAAATTTAGTTGAATTTAACATTATATATTACTAGATTAACTTTTATTTTCTATCGTATATAATACTGGAGCATTAATATGATAAGAAGCATAAAGCATAAGAAGCATTCTAGCAGAATGCCCATCCAATAGTTATAAACTTGGATAACGTTAATTCTTTTCTCTCTTTTTCATAATTCCTAATGATTTATTACATAGAAAGTAGGTGAGAATTTTGGTTTTGGTCAAAGATTGTGCAAGGCATATGAACCCGAAAAAGAACGCCAAGGTTATTATTAAATGGCTAGAAAACAAAATCATCACTTGATCATTAGCTTTCAAAGACAATATTGGTTTTTAAAGCTAAAATTTCAGAGTTCTGATTTTTATTCCCCAAATGAGCAGTTGTGGCAAAATTCATAAAAAATTTACTTTTCCTAAGTTTAGTTTTTCATAGGGAATACTGAATTTAAAATTTAGCAATTCCCATATTTTATTTAATGTAAATGAATGCAGTCTTTCACAGATTAAGAGACTTCCCAGTAAATATTTAGTATTTAGGGTTAGGACAAAAACATAGAAGACATATATTTATATTTAACATTTTTACAGAAAGGGATTTGGTCAAACTTCTCTCTGTAATTATGATCCTGGTACTTCTCTCTGATTTCTGTTATTAGACGATATGACCTGTAAAGAGACAAAATTACAACAATTTATTTTAAAGATCTTAATTGGTTTTATTTGCGATTCTAAAATTGGGCAGCATTTCATTCTATAAAATAGAATAAATGTTCCAATGAGCCATGCAGAGGAGCTTGTTTTGTAAAGAGAAGGGCTGAAGAAAGCAAAAACAAAAACAAAAAAGACAGATTGATTGTTTCAAAGTTCCCTTTTTAGGTGGGAACAGGAAATCAAGAAAATAGGGAAATGACTGATTGATTAATATCAGGTTACCTTTCTTGGTAAAGATTAAAGCAAAGGAAACTTCACTATCATGCTAACTGAAATTGGCCTGTTTGGCAAATTAGATGTCATCTCTCTCTCTTGATTTCTTGTGTCAGATCATTTCGTTTCTTTTTGGTGACTTGGAACTTCAGTATGAGTGACTCCATTTTGGTTTTAGTCTTCTCTGTTGGGGCCTAGTGCAGGAGCTTAGTCCAAAACAATGGCTCCTATAGTTTTTATTTAGCAAATCTAAGATAACTCAACTGAAATAAAATATGCAAGGAAGATGGGTTAGATAGGGGTATAGAGTGACAATGATTTATCAAGACAACCAAAAAATAATACCACGTTTTCTTTTTTCTAATTCAAACCAAACTTTCTGTCACACAGCCTGAATTCCTGATTCACTTCACAGAGCAGGTATTTGCTGTTAGTATAGACTTAAAATATTGACACTAGGATTTATTTTATCTTTTGGAAAAATCATCCAAGCAATGTTACTTATATTCTTCATGTATTCAGTAAGCATGCCAGACCCCACATGAATTTATCGGTGATAACATATTACTAACATAACTGGTTATATCTAATATGAAGAGCAATTTTGCTTATGCTTATTATGTCTCCTCTATACAAATACAGCAGCTTTTAAAATATGTGACATTCTTCAAGAGCAAACTTTCTGCCTAACACTTTCTAAAATAAAATAAAAAAAATACTCAAATAGATATTGTTACCAAACCTAGAAATGTTTCAACATGTTATAAAATAAGCACATTTAGAAAATCAGGGCTATTACAAATTGAAGACTAGATTGCTGAAAAGGTAATGCTGCTTTCAAAATTATATCTTTTAAAACTATTATGCTCAATTTTCTTTTTCTCTTTGACATGCAGTGGCAGAGGCATGTTTGGATGAAAACAGTTTTATTTAAAATATAAGAAAAGAAACTTTAAAGAATGAATATAGATGCTTGATGCTGTAATATAAATATCTGAGGCTATTTTGGAATTAACTGTGGTTAATATACCTTTGTTCATTTCTTCTTGAGGTCTTCCATATTTAAGGTCATAAGAAATCAGTGGAATAAGATATATAGAAGATAATCAAATTGTATAAACCCCACCCCTTCCCCATTAATTTAGTGCTAACTATAGTTATCTGTATTTTAATAATGGGACTTTTATTAGTATTAGAAATGTTTTTTTGTCTTACAGCATCCATTGTGTTGTTAAATCTCTAATTGCTTTCTTTTTCCCATCTCATTTCTTTAATAGAACATCCATGAAATTTTGTACAGATAATATAGGAAATAATGATAGACTCTTTAGTCCTGAACTGAGGTAGAGTAAAATAGTAGATTTTTGTTAAGTCAATCAAATCATGATATTCATTGCAATTGTTTCATAACATATTTTGATGGAACCATAATAGGATCTTCCTTTAAAGCCATACTTTACTTTCAATCTACTAGGGACACAATCTGCTATAAGCTGACAGCATATCTATATTGGAGAGCAAACAATTCAACTTATACCAAAGAGATCCCAGATTTCCAAATTTGTGTGTGAATCCTGGCATTACAAAGAAAGATTGGTTTAAACAGATGCCTGCCCAACTATAAATAGAAGAACAGAAAAAAATGATTGAGAAGAAAAAAATTAAGAAAACATTATCATGTCACTAATTTGTCTTATATTATAGTTGAGGTTGGTTTGATTGCATAATTACAGGAGGTAAGCATGAAATATGATCATGTGCTTTATGTTAGAAAAGCTTTTGTCAGGAGACTGAGCCAGGAGTCTCAGGAGCCTTACTATACTTGGAAAAGCATCTTCATCTAGGGATTGGAGAAGGAAATAGAATAGAGAAGAAGAAGGAACCAACATTTATTAAGTGCCTGTCACTTGATAGATTCTATACAGAACATGTGTTCTCCCATTTGATATGTATAACCCGTTAAAGTAGGGAGTGTCATCTCCAACAGATAGATGAGGAAAGGAAAAAAGAAAACTTTGAAGAGTAATATAAGTTGCAAAAAGTCTTAAGCTTGTAGCCGACAGAGAAAGGATTGGAACTCAGCCATGTCTGTCTGCCAGGCCTGAGTTTGTAGTGGTTGCTGAACCTGATGTTGGCAAAGAAAGCAGCACATGTAGCAGAGGACCCATTATTATGTTTGTCACTTTATGGCTTCATGATAAGTGCTAGAGAAAGGAACCCTTGGTAATGCAGGCCCAAATTTAGAAAATATTATTTATTGAAGATTATGTTTTGACATATTATTTAATGGAAGTTAAGCCTCAGCTGACTTTATTTCCTAAACCTTGTGTAACACAAATGCTTCTGAAACAGTTATTCAGAAACCATCTGAGGATGTTAATTTTACTAAGAGACACATGCTGGTGTTAAGAAAGCATACAAGTGGTGAACATCACTTTAAGAGTGATTTTCAAACTTGTGTTTTTAAATTTATTTTAAAATATGACTCACAGTAAGAAAAATTCACTTTCTTTCATTACCAACACACACACACACACACACACACACAAATAAAAAAGTACTAAACATTAACTACATGTATTGCATATTCTATTCTATCCTATCCTATCCTATCCTATCCTATCCTATCCTATCCTATCCTATCCTATCCTATCCTATTCCATTCCATTCCGATTCATGCCATGCCGTAATATTCTCCCACATTCTTTTAAAGTACTGTTATAGGCAATTAGTTTCATAACACATGATGGGTCATGACTTCTAGTTTGAATATTACTTATTAAAATCTATCATGTAAAGCTTCCCAGAGAATATAAACTTAAATCCATAAACCTAGAATAAGAAAATAAGTGGAAGGTAGCTAGGCAAAAAGTAAGGGATGCTGGTGGTGTGCAATTGTGCTCCAGGCAGAGAAAACAAAAGGCATGGAGCTCCAAAACTGGAAAGGAGCTTGCTGAGTTCAGAAAACTAAGAGAAGGATCAGTGCAACTAGAGTATACTGACAGAGTTAGAGAGGTATATGAGTGAATCTATATGCATATAGCTCAAAGCAATGTAGACCATATTAATAATAACTTTTTTCATGGTTTATATTGGAGGAAAGAGTACTAACATGATTAGATTTGCTTTATGAAGAAGTGATCCTGAAGGCAAAGTGGAGAAAGATCTTAGAAGGGTCAAGAGTACATATTGTAAGAACAGTTATGAGGCTGTTGCATTCAGCTTGGCGAGAGATACGGTCATTTAGAATAGGAGGGTTGGAGGAAAGTAAATGGATTAAAATATATTTAGGAAATAAGAAAAGTTGGTTGAGGAGACACAGTGAAAGAGAATGATGGGTTAAGGACAAAAGTTATAATAATTGCTAAGAATAGTTACTGTTTGTCAGACTCTTTCCAATGCCACCTGTGTTTTAAATTGGGCTTTCAAATATATATATATATATATATATATGTATATATTTTCTGAATGTAACTCACATTAAGAAACACATTTTATACAAACTTATACATGCATCCCTTTATAAAACAGCACCTCTCAGATTTCTGATTTAACAATTGAGTAAGGTTTACTGCTAGAAACTGAAATAAAATATAATGGAAAATTCTGTTTTTGGAAGGAAAATGGGGGATGATGAGTTTGTTTATGAATGTAATAAACTTTAGATGTTTCAGTGTGGATATGAGCTCAGAAGAATTATCTAGGTTATAGATAAAATATTTGGGGGTGTTCATTGCATAGATAAAAATGAAAGCTTATGGACTGAATGATATCACCTGGACAGAGAAGACAGAATGAAAAGGAAATGAGGCTCTGATAGTTAATATTGAGTGTCAACTTGATTGGGTGGAAGGATGCAAAGTACTGTTCCTGGGTGTGTTTCTGAGGGTGTTGCCAAAGGAGATAAACCTTTGAGTCAGTGGACTGGGAGAGGCAGACCTACTGCAATCTGGGTGGGCACCATCTAATCAGCTGCCAGTGTGGCTAGAATAAAGTGGGCAGAAGAAAGTGGAAGGAGCTGACTTGCTGAGTCGTCCAGCCTTCATCTTCCTCCCGTGCTGGATGCTTCCTGCCCTGGAATATCAGACTCCAAGTTCTTCAGCTTTGAACTCTCGGACTTCTATCAGTGCTTTGTCAGGGGCTCTCAGGCCTTCGGCCACAGACTGAAGGCTGCACTGTCAGCTTCCCTACTTTTGAGGTTTTGAGACTAGGACTGGCTTTCTTACTCCTCAGCTTGCAGGTGACCTATCATGGGACTTCACCTTGTGATCATGTGAGTCAATTCTCCCTAATACACTCTGCTTCATATATACATCTATCCTATTAGTAATGTCCCTTTAGAGAACCCTGACTAATGCAGAGGCTTAGTTTGGAGCCTTGGGCAATTCCAATACTTAATAGTCAAATTGAGGAGGAAGAGCTGGAAAAGGAGTCTGAAAGGAGTGGCCTGAGACAAAAGATGAGTATATCAGTATTGGTAATAAAGCATTTCAAATACCACTGTAAAGTTAAATAAAGTAATAATAAAAATCTCTTCTGAACTTAGATATTGAGTGTCAGTGCACTTGTCATGAGAGGTGAGAACTGTGGTGGAATGTGCATGGGTGGTAAATATGTGATGTAAACAAACTGTATTTATTCTGTTGTAAGGTGAAATTCACAAGCTAATATGTTTTTATGGAAACATTCCCATTTTCAGATAGTTAAAAGCCTAGCCAAAATTAAAGCAAGGCCCACTAAGTCTAAGGGTGGAAGTCTGTCAAACTGTGAAGACCCACCCTGTCATCATAATAAGGGAATGCATGTAAGAGAAGCCACAGCACAATGAAGATAGCAGTGAAGTAAGGAAGGTCTTCTGACAGCATGATCAAAGTGTTTCAGGAGTTGGGAGAAGAGAAAGAGTTGGAGACATGAGGAGTGGAGCAGTGCGGGGAGGAGAAGCTCTCCTTGTAAGGCGTGGATGTACATTTGGCCTCCTTGCTATGCTCTTTAGACTGTAGGGTTTCTCTTGGATGATGTGGCAACTACATCAGAATAAAATAGAAGTTGATACTTTTCTCAGTTGCCTTAGACCTGGCCCCTAATGTTCAGGAACACAGGGACATTGTCACCTGTGCTATGGGACAGATTTTCAGGTTAGAGCAGATTTAAGAGAGAAATGTGAATAAAGACACGATGACTATTATGCACAGAAAACTCCTTAAAGAGGTTTGCCTGTGAGGAAAAGGAGAAGCTAGATCAATATTTGGGGGGGGGGGTTCTTTAAGGTTGAAGAAATATTTTTTCCTTAAGGAATAAGGCTGCCTCATTCATTGTAATGGAAAGAAAGATGGAAAATAGGGAGCTATTTCAGGTAGGCCCACAGCTGTGGTGGTGCAAAGTTGAGAGGGTTGTCTTCTGAATTTTATATTCTCTGTGAAATATGTAGAGAAAATAGGTAGTGAGATAATTTCTTGGGAGAGAGAGAAATGGCAGAAGATGAGTGAACAAGCGAAACATAACAGAATCCCAGGGAAGGGCTGAGGACCCAGTTTAGCTTATAATGGTTTTAATCTTCTCAGTTGTGTAAAATTTCCCATCAGCTCCGCAGCTTGCACAGGGGAGGCAGAAGGATGGATGCATCCTGGCTTAGGATGTTGGCAGAGGTGTAACTAAAGGACAATAGGGGAAATTTGGTTCAGCATATTAGCAAAAGGATGACTAAACTAATGAACCATGAACTCTAATTGGTAGACTGGAATTATGATGAATTCAAATGCAAAAATGTTTCTGAATTTTTTAATTTCTGAATTCATCTTGAGCTAGACTTCTCATTTCTTCAGGGCAGGAAAACAAATTTACCAATAGAGGCTAACTCAATCTTCTGTTTTAACGTCTCATTTGGAGCAAATTTTCCATTAATTAGTTAAAAAATTCCTTTTATAAATGTTTCTCCTCAACTCAAGGGATCTCGTTTTTATTTCTTTTTTTTTTTTTCCAAAAGGTCTTTTGGTAGAGGAGCTCAACACCAAATGAGTGGGAGACAAGGACACTTAAATCTGCCTTTTGTCTTTACTCTTCTTATTCTCCTCTTTGGCTTTTTTCAGTAGCTGGAAATGTTTATGTCAGTGTCTTGTCTGAATAGGAATGACTACCATATCAGATCATCTTCTTTCTCCAGGAATAATGAGGCAAAATGGAAATCTTGGCAATAACAAGACTGGTCTGGGGTTTGAGTTATCAATGCCAACTTGAAATCGTCCAAAGCAAGCATAAATTGGAGTGGAGATTGAGACCATGAGGCAAAAAGCCTTCAGTAGATGAGGCAAGTGTTCCAGAGTGGTGGCAAAGAGATTTTAAATACCATTTCAGTAGAGACACTTTAATCATAAAGTAATAAAATTGAGTGGAATGAATATAATATAGATACTTTTCAGAGGTGGGATGCAAGGGAAATTTATAGCTAGAAGCTGATAAAAGATAATAATCTTGGAATTTTTATGCTAAGATTTTCCAAAGAAGATATGATCTCTGACATACTCTGGAAGTTTGTCATTGGTCTCCAAAGGTTACAGTGGCATAGAGAAAAATTTTTTCTTCACTTTTCAATAGATAAGGGGTGGAAAAAGTATATGATGAGTAGTTTGGAGGAAGGCATCAAGATGCTCTTCCCTCCTATGTTTCTTTGCTCCTAATCTAACAGCTTTGCAAGATCTGGAGTCACCAAGATTACTGCCAAAAGTCATGTCTGCTCTTTATTGGCATTTTAAACAACAGGATATGGAAACAAGCTATGAGTAGCAATCACTGTGATATTTTTTGAATTTTGACCAAAAAGAGATACTGAAATATCCTTGGGCAAATGGACCTTGCTGAAGGTGGTTTTCAAGTATCTCACCCTGCTGTCTTGGGTATAAAATGCAGGAAGGCAGTGGGGCATTGTGAGGGGGTTGAAGATTCAGACATAAGCAATTCCTGGCTATATGTCAACTGAGAGATACTTTGAAATTTACTGCTTTATTGTAATTAACTAAACACTTGATTTAATTTGTAGTTCTTTCAATTACAGAAAAGAATCTGGTAGATAATTTTTGATATTTCCAAGGTTTCATTGAGTGGTAGATTTAATCTATTATAAAATGCATCTACATTTAAGACTGATTAATTTCTTTTTCAAAAATAATTCCAGACGATGCTATGAATAAAGTTCCATATTATGCAAAGCAATCTTTTAAAAAATATATAAACCAAACTGTTATGATTAATTCAAAGTTATCATGTGGTGGGTGTCTCTTTATTTACAGTCATTAGAATTTATGCTGTTTTCAGAAATTGTACCTTATTACATGGCTTATTTTTCTCTAATGCTAAAGGTGTTTCCTAATTACAGTACAATTAAATGTAATTTATCAAATAGAAATAAAGACAAAACCAGTAATCAGAGACTCTTCCTCCATTCACAGATATTCATTGAAGGTGTATCATGTAATTAGTTTACCAGTGTTTACTCTAGAACAAGTAGAATAAAATTGTCATCATTTTTCCTTTCATCATCTGACAACATGCTTAGAATTCATTTGCATAGCTTTACAATGGAAGTCATTACCCTCATCACAGATCCACTGTTGTATAATCAGCAATAAAAAATTGAAGTTTATGAAGAAGATAGAGACAAGAAGATGGATTTATTCTTGAATGAAAGAGTTCAAAGTTTCTATTTTTTTAAAGGGATCAAGGAAGTTTTTTTTTTTTTTTACAGAATGTTAATTTATTTTATATGGATAGAGAAAGAGTAAAGGATTTTGAATAATGCAATTAAAAATCTATTATATGCTGTAAAATAGTGACAAACTTTAGCTTGTTTCAGAATCTCCTGGAGGGCTTCTTAAAACAGAGATTAATGGGCTCCACTTTTAATTTTTGATTCAGTAGGTCTTGAATGGGGCCCTTGACTTTGCATTTCTTTTTTTTTTCTTTGGTGAGATCCAATTTCATGTTATTTTTTTGTTTTGTTTTGTTTTGTTTTAAATATACTTTAAGTTCTGGGATACATGTGTAGAATGTGCAGGTTTGTTACATAGGTATACACACGCCATGGTGGTTTGCTGCACCTATCAACCTGTCATCTGTATTAGGTATTTAACCTAATGCTATCCTTCCCCTAACCCCTCACCGCCTGACAGGCCCTGATGTGTGATATTCCCCTCCCTGTGTCCATGTGTTCTCTTTGTTAAGCTCCCACTTATGAGTGAGAACATGCGGTGTTTGGTTTTCTGTTCCTGTGTTAGTTTGCTGAGAATGATGGTTTCCAGCTTCATCCATGTCCCTGCAAAGGACATGAACTCACCCTTTTTTATGGCTGCATAGTATTCCATGGTATATATGTGCCACATTTGGGTTCAAGAAATGTTAACACAGACCTCTTGTAATCTTGAGTTTAGGCAAATTCCCAAGAAGACAGATTCTATTTACTCCTACACATGAGAAAGTGAGACAGAATACTGAGACATGACTTACAAATGAAATAGCCCCAAACTAGTGTTGTCCACTTGTTTCCTCACACATCCTCACCCATCCAAAAGCAATAAAGGGATTAAAGTTGGAGAGGCTAGGCAGTGGGAGATAGATTTCTTCATACATGGTAGGCTTTATGTTCTTCCTCTTCCCCAAGGTGCTAGTGGGCTGTGTGTGTGTGTGTGTGTGTGTGTGTGTATTGGGGTGGGTGTTTTTCTCATCTCATATCTATTAAGAGGCACTTCATGAAACCTCCTGGAAATCCAGATATGTGTATCTGTGGTTTGGAGAACACATAAGCTGGGGCAGTATCTGCTTACCAAGCAACTAAATGAAAAGAAAGATGTATTCAGGAAGTAACTACACTCATGCTAATTTTTGTCAAAGGTGTATATAACCCAGTTTTGCTCTTTTGACAAAACTGTTATAGTCATCTATATTATATATATTTAATATAAGTGGATTAGCTTCCCAAGTAGCAACTATCTAACTGGTTTGAGTTCAAGGTAGGGAAACATCCCCATTTATCCACCTCCTCACTACAATTCTTTCTCAACTCTTGGTTTCCTGTTGTAATGTTTCTCCATTTATAGTGGTTAAAAGCATAGGTATTGGGATCAGACGCACCTGAAACACACACACACACACAGAGCACACACACACCACACACACACACACACACACACACACACAGCAGGGGGCAGACAGATTTATTATGAGGAATTGACTCCTGTGATTATGGAGGCTGAGAAGTCCCATGATCTGTTGTCTGCAAACTGGAGACTGAGGAGAGCTGGTGGTATAATTCAGCTTCAGTCTGGAGGCCTGAGAAACAGGGGAGCCTGTGGTAAAAATAGGACAGGGTGAGGGCAGAAGAGAATGGGATGAGATGTTCAGCTCATGCAATAAAGCAGAAAATAAGAAGCAAATATCTCCTTCAGCTGTCCTTTGTTTTATTCAGGTCCTTAATAGATGATACCTACCAACAATGGGGAGGGCTATTGGTTTTACTCAGGCCACCAATTCAACAAATACCTTCTAGAGACACCCTCATAGACACACCCTGAAATAATGTTTATCTGGGTATTACATGGCCCAGTCAAATTGACAGATAATTAAAATTAACCATCACAATGATTAATCTCAAAAGACTCTTCCTGTGTCCAAGTGTTCTCATAGTTCAATTCCCACCTATGACGAGTTAATGGGTGCAGCACACCAACATGGCACACGTATACATATGTAACAAATCTGCACGTTGTGCACATGTACCCTAGAACTTAAAGTATAATATATATATATATATATAAATCTCAAAAGGCTCTGTCACTACATTTCATTGGCAGCTGTCACCTACTATGTGCTGGCCTCAGTGTTAAGTACTTTTTTCCCTAATCTTTCCTGTAATTCTAAAAGCATGGTATTATGATCCCTGGAACATACTAGGAAATTATGGTTCAGAGAATTCACACACCTTGCTTAAGTCTGCATAGCTAGTAAGACTTAAAAAAACATCGAAGTTGAAGCCCATGCTCTTTGCATTCTACCATGATTGCTCAGTTCAGCATATTTTTATTCCCTGAATAGAGACGACAAAACATGGGCATTTCTTTTGAAGAATTTATTGATTTCACACTGGTACTTAAAGGTATTCCTGGAATGAATTTGCCAAAGGAAAAGGGAGGGTATATAGAAAACCTAGAAATAAATGCAAATTAGGTCCACTTCATATTATGGCCTAGAAATTACACTGGTATATGTGCTTAATATTTAAACATATGGAACACAGATCTATCTGCCAGATATATAGAAACCTTAATATTTCTTCTTAGGGAAAGAAAAGGAAATAATTTATCTAGCTTCTATCCTATTATTGATGTGCTATGTTATATTGTATTAGGCAATTTATCTAGTATCAAATAAATAGTTGACCCAATGAAGAGCCTTTTAAATTTTTAACTCCCGATCAGTTTTGTTTTTATTTTTTTCCTTTAAGATAATCCTATGCCCAAAGTTTCCATGTACTAAAATATGTCAGAATTTTATTCTGGGGACACTATTTTTTGAATCATAAAATATAAGTTATATCTTACTACTTCATCATTTAACATTGTTGTATTAGTTTTGAACATAAATTTCAGATGCACAGAAACATTTAAATGGTATTTAAATATCAAACAGGCAACATATTTTTGTACTGGTTATATGCTCAGGGCAGAAAAATTAACATTTCTTGTCTTGTCTGTGGTTATCAGATATTTTTTTCCCTAGAGGGTACATGAATTAATAAATTCTTCTCCCACTTTTCAAAACCGCAACTAAATAAGCAGTTGTTGGGCTTGAGGATTGGCTAATCTGTGTAATACTCCTCTGCCCCTCAGGAAGCTATTAGTTGCCTATTCTTGTGTAGACAGAACTAAGATTTTTTCTTAGTTTATATAAATATCAGAAATATACCTTATAAAAATATAAAACCTGTATATATAAATTATATCATCAAATATTATTTCTAATTTTTATTTTTCTGTTACCTAAATTACACATGCATTCAAAACTAGTCTATAGAGAAAGTTCGTGGAATAAATTCAGAGTAAGATCTAGAACATGCATCCCTGATGTGCATATTCCAATATATTATGTTAGACTAATATCTATGATATCCATTCTTAACCTTTAAATTTTGAACTTCATTGATATATTGCTTTTGGAATCTTGAAAATAATTTTTATTTCTCACTTTTTGTTAAAATTTGCTGAGATTATTATGTTATTGCTTGGTATCAACCAAAAAAGAATGTAATTGAAAAAAAGCCTAGTGTTCTTAATAATATCTGTATGGGTTCATACTATGTCTAGTGGAATTCATTTCATTGATTTGTATCTTTTTTATATCTTATTTTACCTGCCTTTTTTTACTATTACTAAACAATCCAAACAAATTTATATACTTTGCACTTAATTTTATAATTATTTTTCCCATTTTTGCTGACCATAGCAGTATAGGGGCAGATAAGAATGGGGGCATTCTGGGAGTACTAACATTCTGGATTAAGACCGTCAGTATTATATCAAAAATATTTGAGGAATTACACTTCCATGTGAGTGTTTTCAAGGATTTGGGGGAGACACAGAAGTACTGCTATGAAAAGAAGGTAATTTCCACAAAGGTCCTTAAAACTGGTGTTTTATTTAAATAGGAATCTTTACATATTTAGGATAATGTGTTTACATTTGGAAGTTCTTTGCTTTTGATATTAATGTTTCAGTTTTAATACCTTTTCCCTAGAAAAAAATAGAAAAGGATTGCTGCATTTTATGTTTGGTTTCCTTTGGGATTTAGAAATATTCTACACCACAAACTGAAATCCCCAAATATTACTGATCAAGTTCAGCACTGTCTGAGTAAGGAAGGCTGTGAGGCAGTTGGGTGAAGTACATGGGTGAATTATTATTTCTTTTTTTTTTCCTAGACCACAAGGTGTAGAAGCAGGACATTCTGCTTTTTCTCTTGTTGCCTGGGACAACTTGGGGGCCCAGGCCTCTCAAAGTGAGCACTCCAGCAGACAGGTAGGAGAAAACCTGTGAGGGGAATGTCATACAGTGAGCTGTGTCTCTTCAGCTTCTGCTTATTGTCCCACTTGATCTAGTACACACAGTAGTATTTTTACAAAACTAAGAACCAACAAAATTGGCTGGAAAGGGCATTGGAAGCTTAGCTCACCCCTCATGATTCCTGTCTCCCAAATTGAAGTCAAGGTTAAAATAACCCAGTGGTGAACAACATATCATCCAAAGCTGTCTGTACAAGGTGGAAATGTTCTCATAAGCAGTTTTGCAGACAAGAAAAATACTGGCTTGTGTAAATTGCTAGCTCAGCCCTTTTGTGACAGGATTACAAAATAAGGACTCTGATTTTATTTCTTATGTCTTTTATACCAAGTGAATGAGGGAGTGAAAAACATCTTACAGAATCTGTCTCAGGGATCAGGAGCCTTGCCCTGAGTTCTCTATTTCTAGGATAAGAATAAGGAAAAAACCCTACACATGCTCAATTTTAACTTTAGTGTCAAGGCTAACTCTTAGTTCCTGCCATCTTTTATCTTTTTTTGTCGTTGTTGTTATCTTACCATTTTTTGCTGAACCTCTTTTGCTTTGAACTCTTTTGTCTTCTCTCTCCTTTTAAATTGTATACATTAAGGTGTACAACATGAAATTTTGCTGTACATACACTAGTGAAATGAACACTGTAGTCAAGCATATTATTCTACTCATCACCTTCCATAGTTACCTTTGTGTATATATGTGTGGTAACAGCTCCTAAAATAAACTCTTAGCAATTTTTCTATATACGATAAATTGTTATCAACGATTGTCCTCATGCTGTACATTAGCTCTTTAGATTTATGTATCCTACATAGCTGCAAATGTATACTCTTTGACCTCCTTCCCTCCCTGTCCCTAGCCAGATTTACATATGTTGTTTTAAAGGACAGGCTTTACTTTTATAAGACTGAACAATATTCCATTATACCCATTTATTTGTCTATTCATCCACTGAGGAACTCTTAGTTTGATTCCATACCTTGGCTATTGTGACTAGTGCTGCGATAAACATGGAAATGCAGATATTTCTAGAAGGTGCTGTTTTAATTTCTTTTGGGAATATACCCAGTAGTGAGATTGGTGGGCACAAATAAATAAAAAGGTATGTTTATAGATTGATAGAATGAATGTTGTTAAAATGTCCATACAACCAAAGCAACACACACATTCAACACAATTCCTATCAAAATTCCAATCATATTTTTCACAGAAATAGAAAAAAAAATCCTAAAATTTGCACTAAACCAAAAAAGCCCTTGAATAGCCAAAACAATCTTGAGAGAGAAAAATGAAGTTGGAGGCATCATACATCTTGATTTCAAATTATATTGTTACTGAAACACCAGAGGTTTGGCCTAGCTCCTGCTGCTCACCCCACAAAAAGCCAATCCCTGAGACAATGATTATTGCCAAGGAAGAAAACTGTAATTGGGTGCTGCAGCTAAGGAGATAGGAGATCAGCCTCAAATCCATCTCCCTGACTGACTAAAATTAGGGATTTCTTTCTTTGTTGTTGTTGTTGTTGTTGTTGTTGTTTCTGAGATGGAGTCTTGCTCTGTTGCCCAGGCTGGAGTGCAGTGGTGCGATCTTGGCTCACTGCAACCTCCCCCTCCTGGATTCAAGCAATTCTCCTGCCTCAGCCTCCCAAGTAGCTGGGATTACAGGCACGCGCCACCACGCCTGACTAATTTTTGTATTCTTAGTAGAGATGGGGTTTCTATGGCAGGGAAGAAATTTAACTATGTATAGGGAAACAGGAACTGGGAAAGGGCAAGGAATCAATCATGATGAATGAGGGGCAGGGCTTCTCATTGTCTGGATGTGATGATCTGGTGAGTTTCAGTTATTTGGTATTTTGAGAGGCCTGGGGGTCCTTTCCTGAGAAAGGAAGTCAGATAAAATGAATGTAAGTTTCAAGCTTTAAGACTAGAAGAGTCAATTTCTATGTTTATGCAAAAAAAAACTATCTATGAGACTATTGGGTTGGTTTCAATAGGGCAAAGCTATAGTAATCAGAATACAGTACTGACATGAAAACAGACACACAGACCAATAGAACAGAATAAAGAGCCAAGAAATAAATAAATCTAAGCAAGGGTAACTAATTTTCAACAAGGCCACCAAGAAGACACATGGGAAAAGGAATAGTTTCCTCACTAAATGGTGTTGGGAAAACTAGATATCCACATGCAAAAGAATACAATGGGGCCCTTATCTTACACCATACACAAAAATTAACTGAAAATGGATTAAAGACCTAAAAATAAGACCTGAAACTGTAAAACTTCTAGAAGAAAACACAGGAGAAAAGCTCCTTAATATCAGTCTCAGTGTCTTTGTCAGTTTGGGCTGCCATAACAAAATATCCAGATTTCTCAAAGCTCTGGAGGCTGGGAAGTCCAGGATGATGTGCCAGCTGATTTGGTGTCTACTGAGGGCTTGTCCCATTGATGTAATCTACTTGGGGAATCCTTGCATGGTGGAAAAGGGCAAAGGGCAAAAGGCAATGAACACTGTGTCTTCACATGGTGGAGGAGATGGAAAGGCTGGGTAGATTTCTGAAACCTCTTATATAAAGGCACTAATCTCATTCCTGAGAGAGTACTGATGCCCTAATCACTTCCTAAAGGCCCTCCCTCTTAACACCATCACCTTGGGGTCTAAGTTTCAACATATGAGTTTTGGAAGGACACATAGATTCAAACCACAGCATTCCACCCTTGGCCTCCCAAAAGTTATGTCCTTCTTACATACAAAATACATTCATTCTATCCCCATAGCTCCAAAAGTTTTAACTTTTTTTAGTACCAATTCAAAAGTCTAGTATCCAGAATCTCTTCTAAATATCATCTAAATCAGATATACATAAGTCCCAAAGATGTGTTTCATCTTGAGGAAATTGCTCTTCTACTGTAAATCTGTGAAATCAAATAAGTTATGTACATCCAAAATGCAATGGTTGGACAGGCACAGGACAGACATTTCTATTTCAAAGAGAACAGCACAAAAGAAAAAAGAGGTAATAGGTCCTAAGTAAGTCTAAAACCCAACAGGGCAAACAATATTAATCTTGAGGCTTGAGAAATAATTTTTGAGTCCATGTCCTGCTTTCCAGACACACTCTAGTGGGGCTTGGGCCACCAAGGCTTCAGGCAGCCCCACTTCCTTGGCTTTGCTGGGCGCAGCCCATATGGCAGTTCTGAGGGATTGGAGTCTTGTGCCTGCAGCTCTCCAAGGGTGGCATGCTGGTAGCTCTATAGTTCTGAGGTTGCAGGGGTAGTCCTGCTCCATGGCTATAATAGATATTGTTTTAGTGAGGGCTCTCTGTGGTGGCTTCACCTTTGTGGCAGTTCTCTCTGTGGATCTTGAGGCTCTCTGGCGTATCCTTAGAAATTTAGGTACAAGTAGCCATGCCTTCACAGCTTGTCCACATTGTGTGTCTGCAGAGTTAGCATCACATGGACACTGCGAAGGTTTACTGCTTGCGACCTCTGGAAGAGTGGCTGGAGCTGTATCTGGGCCTGCTGGAGCCACAGGTAGGACAGCTGAGGAGTCTGTGCCAGAATTCAGAGAGCAGATACTTGAGGCAGTGTAGGACAGCAAGTGCTGAGGTCTTGCTGGTGTCCAAGGCCCCTCTTTTGATATAGTTCTGCCTCTTAGGTCTTGACACTCTCAGTCAGTGATGGTTATAGAAGCCTCAATAATCTCCAAAATGCTTTTGGGGTCATTCTTCTATTGTCTTGCTGAAGAGCATCTGCCTTCCTTCTGTCCATACTAATCTCCTTATGAAACGTTCACTCGGCATACCCTTGGTTTTCTCTCCTGAACATGCCTTTTCATTCATCACGGACTGACTAGGCTAAAAAATTTCCAGTCTCTAAGTTCTGTTTGCCTTTTGACTATAAATTTTGTTGTGAATTCATTTCTCTCTTTTTGCATTTTATTATAAGAAGCCAAGAGAAGCAATGGCACACCCTCAAAATTTTGCTTAGAGATTTCTTCTGCCAAATATCCTAGGTAGCTGCTCACAAGCTCTGCCTTCCACAAAGCCCTAGGACATGGGCAATATTCAGCTAAGTCCTCTGCCACTTTATCATAAAGTTGGCTTTTCCTCCAGTTTCCAATACGATATTCCTCATTTTCACTTAAGACCTCATCAGAATGCCCTTTACTGTTTATATTTCTACTAACATTATAATCATGGCTATTTAAGTAATCTCTAAGAAGATTGGGGCCCTTTCTACAGCCTGAATCTCTTCTTCTGAGCCCTCACCAGAATAACCCTTTACTATCCACCCCATTACTCAGTTCTAAAGCCACTTAGACATTTTTAGGTATTTGTTACAGAAGTATCCCACTTCTTGGTACTAATTTAGGTATTTAGTCCATTCCTGCTCCTATAATGAAATACCACAGAGTAATTAATTTACAAATAATATAAATGTAAGTCTCACAGTTCTAAAGGCTGGGAAGTCTAAGATCAGGGTCTGGCAGATTTGGTCTCTAGTAAAAGCCCACATGCTGCGTCCTCACATGGCAAAGGATAGAATGGCAAATGGGATGAACTTACTCCCTCAAGCTTTTTTATAAAGGACTGTAAGACTATTGAGATTATAGTATTATAAGGGACTATAATTCTATTTATGAGGGTGATATGGTTTGGATCTGTGTCTGATTACAAATCTCATGTCGAATTGTAATCCCCAATGTTGGAGGTGGGGCCTGGTGGGAGGTGACTGGATCATAGGAGCGAATCCTTCATGAATGGTTTAGAACCATCCCTTTGGTGCTGTTCTTGTGACAGAGTTCTCAGAAAATCTGGTTGGTTAAAAGTGTGTAGCATTTTCCCTTTCTCTCTCTTCCTCCTTCACCAGGCTTGTGAAGATGCCTACTCAAGCTTTTTCCTTCTGCTATGAGTAGGAGTTTCCTGAGGCCTCCCAAGCCATGCTTCCTGTACAGCCTGTGGAACCGTGAGCCAATTAAACCTCTTGTCTTTCTAAGTTATCCAGTCTCAGGCATTTCTTTATAGTAATGTGAGAATGAACTAATATAGAAAATTAGTACCAAGAGTGGGGCATTGCTATAAAAACAGCTGAAAATGTGGAAGCAGCTTTGGAACTGGATAACCAGCAGAGGTTGGAACAGTCTGGAGAGCCCAGAAGACAAGAATGTAAGGGAAAATCTGGAACTTCCTGGAGACTTGTTAAATTGTTATGATCGAAATGCTGGTAGTTTAAGTTACAGTGTATCTATTTTGGAGGGAAACATTAAAACCAAAGCAGTTGGCAATAATCATTTGATATCACACCAAAAGCTCAGGCTACAAAAGCAAAAATAAACAAGCAGGACTGCATCAAACTAAAACGCTTCGGCATACTAAAGGAAATAATCAACAAAATAAAAAGATAGCCTACACATTGGGAGAAAATACTCGCAAACCATGTATCTGATAATGTGTTTAATATTCCAAATATATAAGAAACATGACCAAAAACCCCCAACAAATAATCTTATTGAAAAATGGGTGAAGGACCTGAATAGACTCTATTTTTTTAAAAAGAAAACATAAAAACGGCCAACAGGTTATGAAAAGGTTCTCAGCTTCACTAATTATCAGGGAAATACAAATCAAAATTACAATGAGATATTACCCTATGTCTGTTAGGATGGCTATTATCAAAAACACAAGAGATAACAAATGTTGGTGAGGGCATAGAGAAAAAGAAACTATTGCACACTGTTGGTGGAAATATAAATTAGTATAGCTATTATGAACAACAGTATGAAGATTCTTAAAAACATTAAAAATAGAACTACAATATGAGCTGTTTTAAATATCGGAACTTATAAGTTTGTCTTTTTGAGTGATTGGGAAAATCCTTTGCCTAAATTTTTAACTGATCCACAGGAAAACTTTCTTAATTAAAAAAGTCTGTTTCTTTTCTTCTATGTACTAGTAATTCTTTGCATAGATCCTGTGCTGAATCTTTTTTGATTATTACTCATCTTGAAAAGACATGAGATCTTCCCATGTGAAAAATTTACAGGAGGCATGTTGTGTGTGTGTGTGGTGTGTGTGGTGTGTGTGTGTGGTGTGTGTGGTGTGTGTGTGGTGTGTGTGTGGTGTGTGTGGTGCGTGTGTGTGTGTGGTGTATGTGGTGTGTGTGTGTGTGGTGTGTGTGTGTGGTGTGTGTGGTGTGTGCTGTGTGTGTGTGTGGTGTATGTGTATGTGGTGTGTGTGATGTGTGTGTGGTGTGTGTGTGTGTGGTGTGTGTGTGTGGTGTGTATTTGTGTATGCATGTGTGTGTTTGATTCAGGTGAAATGGGAATCTCCCTATTCCTGGGTCATGCATTTGATTTATGCCATCTTTTTCTGTGCTTTAGCTGACCAAGAAGGACACTATGGGGTCCTCACTTGCTCTCCTCCTCATAGCCTGTGCAATATCTTGTTTAGACATTTCTTTCTTTCTTTTCTTTTCTTTCCTTCTTCTTCTTCTTTTTTTTTTTTTTTTTTTTTTTTTGAGACAGTCTCACTTTGTTGCCCAGGCTGGAGTGCAATGGTGTGATCTCGGCTCACTGCAACCTCTGCCTCCCAGGTTCAAGTGATTCTCCTGCCCCATCCTCTGAAGTAGCTGGGATAACAGGTGCATACCACCATGCCCGGTTAATTTTTGTATTTTTAGTAGAGAGGGGGTTTCACTATGTTGGTCAGGCTTGTCTCGAACTCCTGATCTCAGGTGATCTGCCCACCTTGGCCTCCCAAAGTGCTGGGATTATAGGCATGAGCCACTGCACCCGGCCAGTTCAGAACATTTTCTGATCCAGGTCCTATCCACATGTTATCCAGTGGCTAATGTTGTTGTAATTATTGTTATTACATAGTTACATTTTTGCATTATAACAGATAATGATTTTAAAAATGTACTGATTATAAATGTCACTTGGAACAGCATGAGATTAAAATCCTGAGGCTGTCATTTTGTATCAGCCCTCTATTGTCATTTTATGTTGGTCTGTCATTTTAGGTCCTCAGATAATTAGTAATAGCATTTTCCTGAGTAAAAGTATCCAACTATAATAGAAGTTTCTACTTTTAGGTATCATAAAGACAGATGACTTTTTAAAAAGATAACTCTTAGTTTCCTGTGTGGCAATCTGAAACTTCTGTAGCTAACAGCAGAAAGTGAACGCTGTTATAAATTAAAATTATTTTCTCAGATCATATGTACACATATTAATCAGTCAATGAGATCAGAAGAACTTGTGGTGAAACGTAAAATTACTAGGCTCTTCTCTCCTAACCCTTGACCCATTGTTCAGGGAAAATCTTTTTGAATTATTGCTCTCCTTCTGATATTCTTAAGTAACTAATATGGTTACATCTCTATTTTTTGCTTTACCAATTTAAAAAATTATCTTTTGATTGCTTATCATAAAATGTCACTTTTATTGTAGCTGTTATTTTCAGGCATTATTCTGAGAGTCTAAATGTAGAGGTTGGGGGAAAAGCTAGATTGGAGTATGGTCAAGAGAGAGTACAGGGAAAGGAGTCCAAGACAATGAATCCAGTCAGTTTTGAGGAGTTTTGCTCTAAGGGGATTGGAAAAATGGGGTGTAGTTGACTGAAGTAGGATATATAGTCAAGAAAAGTTTTTGTTTTCATTTGTTTTGTTAGGGTGTAAGAACTTATGTGTGTACATCAATGGGAAGGATCCAGGAAAGGAAGAAAAATGATTATGCAGAAGGGAGAAGGGGGAATTGAGAGTAATGTCCTTCTTGAAAAGAGGCTGAGTGGGCTCTAGTGAAGTAATGGAGAGGCTGGCTCAGGCAGTGCAGCAGCTACCCAAAGCATCAGGAGAAAAATAGGAGTGTTTGGGAGTAGTTCACTTACATCTCTTGTTCTCCTCCTACTCTTCTTATTTTATTTTTTATTTATTATTTTATTTATTATTATTATTATTTTTGAGACAGAGTTTGGCTTTTTTTGCCCAGGATAGAGTGCAATGGCGTGATCTCAGCTTACTGCCACCTCCACCTCCTGGGCTTAAGTGATTCTTCTGCCTCAGCCTCCCAAGTAGCTGGGATTACAGGCCCACGCCACCAGGCCTGGCCAATTTTTTTTTTTTTTGTATTTTTAGTACAGACAGGGTTTCACCATGTTGGCCAGGCTGATATTGAACTCCCGACCTCGGGTGATCCACCTGCCTCGGCCTCCCAAAGTGCTGGGATTACAGGCGTGAGGCACTGCGCTGGGCCCTTATTTTATTTTTATTGTAATTATTTTCTTCTGTTGGTTGCATTTTAAACTTTAAATAATACATTTATTATTCCAGCTGCAGTCTCCACTTTTTTCCCTCTACTTTCCACTTTACCTTCATGTTATCAAGCTGGTAATTTTGATATTTTATCCTGAAACCATTACTAAGTTTACCATGGGTTGGATATAGATAGAAATGAAAAGTTCTAAACAATATACATAGTATACATTATTTTAACTAATATTGCCTCCTTGCTACAATATAGACAGGTAATTATTTTTAGAGAAGAACAATCATTCAGATATTTTCCTTTATTACCACCCAAGTTTGGTTCATTGCCTGGATCTCAAGTCATCTTTCCTTTCCTCATATTCTTGTAGTATTATAGATTCAAAAAAATTTCCTATAGCAGGTATATTATATAAACATGTCTAAAAATATCTTGGTTTTAAATCTGCTTAATAGTTTTACAGTACTTGAAATTCTAATTTTGAAATATGTTTTCCCTTGAGAAACTTGAAGACATTATTTCATTACCTTTGAGTATCTAGTGTTGTTGATGAAATATCTGAAAATAAGAGCTTAAACATATCAAGTGGTTAATTTGTGCCAGAAATTATTAGCACCAAAGCTATATTTGTATTTATATTTGTACCTACATCATATCTATATGTATGTAATCATTGAATTCTTACAACAGCACTATGCAGTAATATTGTTATACCTATTCTACAAAAAAGAAACTTGGGCACTGACAGGTTAAGTAACATACCCAAGATCACAAAGCTACTAAGTGGCCATGTCAGGATTCAAATTAGAATGTCTGTATTAAAAAACTGGACACTTAGTCACTGGTGGTCTACAGCCTCTGATATCCATTCAGTCTTAATTTTTCTGTAAGTAGCTTCTATTCCCCGCTTGGGTCATTTTGATTTGAAAACTCATGGCCTGCTCAGATCTGTGGAATTCTCTATTACTATAATCATTATCATCATCCATCATCATTTCCCTTCTGTTAGCTTTCTATTGCTATGTAACAAATTACCAAATATCTGATGACTTGAAGCAATGCCCATTTATTACTTTACAGTTCCTTAGGTCAGAAGTTCAGGTGGGTTCCAGTGGGTTCTACAATTAGGGCCTCACAAAGCTGAAATCACAATTTAGTTAGTAGGGCTATGCCTTTCTGGGGGCTGTAGGGGAGAATCTGTTTCCTTGCTCTTTCAGGTTGTTGGCAGAATTCAGTTCCTTGTGACTGCAGAACTGAGGTCCTCATTTCTTCGATGGCTATCATCCAGGTACCACTCTCAGCTTCTAAAAGCTACCTGTGTTCCTTGGCACACTGCCGCATTCCATCTTAAAAGCCAGAGATGACAGGTTGAATCCCCTTAATGCTTAAAATCTCTCACTTCCTTTTCAGTTATTAGCCAGAGGAGATCCTTTGCTTTTAAAAGCCTTGTACCGTTAGATTGAGCTCATCTAGACAATATCCTTTTTGATTAACTTGAAGTTAACTGATCACATCTGCAAAATCCCTTTTGCCGAGGAATGTAATATAGTCACGGGAGTGAAATCTCATCATATCTCATCATATTCACAGTCTTGGGGTAAAATCAGGAATTCTGCCTGATGCATCCACTCCCCTTTCATTTTTCTTTGTTCCCTTCTACTCTCACATGTTGGATTTCTTAGAAGATTCTTCTGTTTTGTTTATTCTTTCTTTCATATTTTCTCTTTCTGCATTTTTAAAATATTTTAGGAACTTTCTTCTACTCTATTTTGTAGTTTAATTTTATTCCTTTTTGGAGAATTTTTTTCTAAGAGCTTTTTCTTGTTTATGTTTAAATAAATATCATTCTGTTATTATTTTACTATTTTATGATATATTCTTAAAATCATTGATTATATAACTAAAGCTTCTTTTTTCTTTTTTTTATTGTACTTTAAATTCTAGGGTACACGTGCACAATGTGCAGATTTGTTACATAGGTTTACATGTGCTGTGTTGGTTTGCTGTACCCATTAACTCATCATTTACACTATGTATTTCTCCTAATGCTATCCCTCTCCCTGTCTAAAGATTTTTAAAGGCTGTTTTCTGTTCTTGGAGTCGTATTTTTTTCCAATGATCACTTTTACTATGTTTATTTTAAATTTTAACTTTGATGCTTCTAATATTATATATAGTGATTCTTAATTATCTGTACATATTTAAGACAGCTATTATGAAAGTGTGATTTCCTTTGACTCTTTTTATGTAGATCTGTTTCCTTGGGCAATTGAGAAATTTAACTTGAAGCAAGGTATGGGATGGAATGGGGCATATTGACTGATAGATCTGGAGGAATAGATAGATAGTTGTCTGGTAAACTGTGGGCCACACAAATAAAATAATAAGACTATGTGGAGAGTGCTTACTTTAGTGTCATACTTTGGCTCTCTCCAAACATATTATTTCATAATCTTAGTGCATGCTATCAAGTGTCATAGCTGGGGAAATGTCTGCCTGTTTTTGCTTTGGTTCTGGAGAAGAAATTAAGTTACTAACTGGTAAATTTATTGTATGTAAATATTTTTAATGAATCTTCTTGTTTTCAGTCTTATTTTTCACTTTGGCCCTTTGTTCTACCAGTTGACTTTGAGCCCAAATCCTCCTTGGGCAATTTTCAAGAGAATATGTTCAGCCTACTCAGCAATATTTTTATGACATATTCTGGCCTTTGGTTTTGTTGTATTCCTGCTCTTTCATCTGAAAATCTACCTGCATATACCTTCATCTTTGAAACATTTTCTGAAATTTATTCCATTCTCTGATACACCTCTCATTCTTTTCTCTGGTATGAATTAATTAATTACTTTATTTATTGAGACAAAGTCTCACTCTGTCCCCCAGGCTGGAGTGCAGTGGTGCGATCTCGGCTCACTGCAAACTCTGCCTCCCGGTTTCAAGAGATTCTCCTGCCTCAGGCTCCTGAGTATCTGGGATTACAGGTTCCTACCATCACTCCAGGGTAATTTTTTGTATTTTTAGTGGAGACGGAGTTTCATCATGTTGGCCAGGCTGGTCTAGAACTCCTGACCTCAGGTGATCCACACACCTCAGCCTCCCAAAATGTTGGGATTACAGGCATAAGCCACTGCGCTTGGACTGAAATTGTTTATTTTGTATTTCAAAATCCATCAAGAGTGGTTGAGGCAGGTAGGGACAATAAAGGGCAAATACGTTTCCCTCTTGCCATCAAATATTCAAAGTGAGAGTATGCATTTTTTGTTAACACATAGATGTGTTGGTTAACAATCTTTTGAGTTTGCTGATTTCAGCATAGTGATTAAGAGCACAAACTTTGGCCTTAAAGAGGCCTAGTTTAGAACCAGCTATACGGTTTAATAGCTGTACTCCCTTTAACTGAATACTTTACCAAGGTTACCTTGAGAGTACAACTGCTGAAACTACTAATTCAGTTAACACAGGACTGAAATTAAGCATAGAGTATATCTCATGCCAAGGGCTTAAGGAAATCTAATTACTATTTTTCTTAGATAATAACAAAACATTGATAGAGAAATAATTGTGTGATCAAAGTAACATGGAGTATTTGGTTTATATTGTTAGTATGGTCATTATCATTATCAATATCAAATGTTGATTGAAGCCTCCTAAACCACGGGCAATAAAATAGAAAGCTATACTGATTGTAAATGTTTTTAAATAAACATAATTGAAAATAGTTGTTGCATGTAACGTGTAGCCTCCCGAATAGCTGGGATTACAGGCATGCACCACCACGCCTCTCTAATTTTTGTATTTTTAGTAGAGAAAGGGTTTCACCATGTTGGTTTCAAACTCCTGACCTCAATAGATCTGCCTGCCTCGGATTATTTTTTATTCTACTAGGGATAAGACTTTTCTTTGAGGACACATTCCTGATTTTTATAATCCCATGTATAGTAAGATGTTTTATTAACAGAAATCATTATTTCAGTCAGATATTCTGAGGTTCTTTGTTCTTTTCCTGTGGGTAAACAAATATTATTCTTATTTATATGGTCTTTTTAAAGGGAATACTGCTTAATATAATACACCTGAAACATAAAGGTAGCTTGAAGTTTACATAATTATCTTTTAGCATATATCTATAATCTGTAATATATTCTAAAATATATTATTTTAATATACATATATGTCTATGTATATGTGCACACACACACAACCTAGGCAAAGGGGCTTGTTATTCACCATATATCTGCTTCCCTGTTCAGACAAAATTAATTCTAGTTAATGGGATGCTAGATGATTATTAGCTTTGAGAGTAGGACAACCTTGCTACTTTGAAGTCTTAAGTCATGTATCACTAAGTGCTTGCAGACAGCTCTCAGACTACATATATCAAATTAGAAAAAATAGAAATACAGAGTAAATGTGTTCTGTTTAGAAAAAGCAGAATGTGTAGGTATAGAACAGCAGCCAATTCATCTTTTGAATTTCAATTGTGCTATTCAAAACATGCTAGGTTATCATCTCAATATACAGGAACTCTAACTTTATTATGACATATCATGTCCATACTGGCATTGGAAATACTTCATGGTTAATGTTACTGACTTTTAGAATTTTCCATTTTCATCTGGGAAGTATGAATATTTTTACACAACTTATCAATGGCCATAAATAAAATATTATATTAATTTACAAGTTGGAAATCTTACAGTTTTCTTCTTACTTTATCACTTTGGTATTTGTCACATTTGACTTTTTTTTAGAAATATCTGTTTTTGAACCAATTTTGGTTCTTTCTTTACTTTGTCTAAATCATTTCTATTGCTAGATCTTCTTAAGCTCAGTAAGTTTATTCTCATTCTATATCCCATTTTTGGGAAACCTTATCCACAACATTCAGCTACCACTAAAAAGCATGAATACCTTCCACCTCTGTCTATCCTGCCCAAATCTATTTTCTAAACTAGATTTTTAAATATGAACCCCCTACTACGTCAGAGCACATGCACTTCAAGCCCTCAGTACAATTACCCTGATTGGCACAAGCACAGAGTAAAGCCCACAGGTGAGAATGGGGTGGTGGGGGATTCGTTTTCCTGGAGGCACATGGGCAAGGATTCCTCCATTCCTGGCCCCCAAACCAACCAGCTATGAGGGGCTGGACTTCTACTTTGCTCAGCTATTTTACTGGATAAGTTTGCCTCAATATCCTGGGGGTATTAAGATTTACCATGTCACAAACCAAGCTTGTTTATGAAAATTTTTTAAAGCATATTATTTATTGTTGCCTTTGCAAGTGCCTGAAATGTTCACCTTCCCTTCCTGTCTGCATAACCTGTCCTTCAAGGCTCACCTCAAATATGACTTCCTCAGTGAAATTTTCTGGAGAGAATTAGGGTCTCCATGCTCCCATATCCCCTTCATCTCTAGAAAACACCTCTATTAAAACACCCGTCACATTAGAAGTCAACTATTTTTTACATGTTTCTTTATCCAACTAGATTGAGGTTATTCAAGGTTGGGGCTGAGATATTTATTTCTGGCACCTAGCTCAGTGCCTGGCTTAATAGATACTTAATACAAGTTTGACGAATGGATGGATGAATGGGTGGAAAGATGAATGACAAAATATGTCCCTTTTTAAAGATAATGGCTTTGAATATACTATTAGTCTTGTTCTCATTGTAATGCCAACAGTTTAAAGAGATTTCAATAACATGACTTCGCTGACCCTGGAAATAAATTTCTATATTGTATAACTTTAACACAAAGAGCTAAAAAAGGCTTAAGTTGTGCATTACATTATTTTACATTTCTAAGATTTGAGGAGTGCAAGGAGAGCTTAATGGAAATTCAAAGTGGGTTTGAAGGACATCTCTATAGTTACTTGTAAATGCAAACGTTCTGTGTATCTTCTTCTAGCTCACTAAGGAAAAAAAATAAAGACAACAACACTGGGGAAAAATAGATCCTGCATTTTAAATCACAACAAACAAAACTAATAAACAGAAAACTACAGAGACCTGTCAGCTGAAAGGAAGATACAGCATTCATTTTATAAACAATTCACTACTGTGTCAACAGTCTGACAGAAAAAGAAAGTGAACAATATTTTTCATATTTTTCAAGAAATATCTGTTTTGTTGAATAAATCTTGAGCAATATATTGTGTGAGCTGTATTGACTGGGATTAAGGGCCATGAAAATAAGAGACCATATGTCCAACATTAAAAAATTTTTTTGTTGAGATGCATTTCCTCTGAAACTTGAAAATTATTACAAAATAGTTAATATTAAGTTCTTTTCTACAATAGAATATTTGAATAGATGTTTTCTATTCAAAATTAAAAGATTCTTTTTTTGTAATGATGAAAAAAGATATGGTGCTGGAAATAGTAAGATGCATGTAATTTTCTTTATATTAACAACATGATTGTGGTTCTAAGTAAAGGAAGTCATGAATCTGAAAACAGATGAGGACAGGTAGGGAGGCCAACTGATGTGATTATCCACCCAATTTATTTAAAATGCTTTTGAATTTTGAAGGTGATCAGATTAAAAATTTTAATGTAATGGGATTCTTGTCATAGTTTGGATTATCCCAAAAGCAAATCCTTAGATTCATATTAGGAACAGATTACTTGGGGGTTGATCCCAGAATGCTGGAGTGAAGGAGTAGGGAGAATGAGACAGGATGGATGAAAAGCTAATTAAAATGGGTTATTGAGCAAAATGGGTTATTGAGCAGATTGTTACTCTAGGTGGTAACAGTCCTGCTGTGGATCTATTGGGAAACTATGTAGAAGGAATCTCAGAATTGTCCCACTAAAGAATGTGAGTCTGGGGCATACATCCATTCACTGAGACCCATCTCTGACTGACTGAAGTTGCTTCTAATGTTTATCTACTATACTTATGGACTGTGCCTTTGGAGTAAGATGCCCTAGGAGCTAGGGCAGGGAAGTCTACAGTATGTCCAAGAACTGTCTGCCACAGCTATAGATTAAAGTAGAGCTGCTCTAGGGAACCCCTTGGATACCTGCTAGGTGTGGAGTACCAATAATGTCTAATATACATGTATATGTGCATTTAATATATATTTTTTTCCAGCTACTACTTTAAATATTAAAATGTATATTTTTATAACTTAAATTGCTCCAAGGGATAGGGATGAACTGAAGAAAGTAACCCAGTATTAAAGAATTTGTAAAATTTAAAGCAAATCTGAAAAGGTGATTGATAGAAAAGGAGCACCATCATCTCAGACAAACACCGCCATTTTAAGTTACAGTACAGCTCCCTTTCTAGCCTCATGCATTTCAAGGAAATTTCTTCTCTTCTAACTCAAGCAGCCAGAAAGAGCAGACAGTAGAACACAGATAAGACAGCTTGGGCACAGAAGGAGGTTGGGGGAAAGTCTCTTGGGTAACTGCCAAACTTCACCCTCATATAATGGGCCCCACTAAAACAGTGGGCCTTAATAAGCACATTCCTTTCCCTTCAGGTGCACTAACATAGGAAAGCTAAAAGCAGGCTGCAGAAAGATGTATGGGAACAGACACACAACTCTCCCTTCCAGATAAGCACAACAAAGAGACACAGAAGCAGTCCAAGCCTCTGATAAACATTCCCACCCTGAATCCTTAGGAACTCAGTCTGTATGAGAGTGTGGCTCTGACCTAACTCGTCCAGCCACCCCTCTCAGGTTTGTTTAAAATAAACTTGTCCCTGTTGACTGAAAAGCCATCCTTCGTGTTTCTCTCCTCTTTCTTTAATTCTTACAGTCATAATGCACTAGTAATGAAATAAATACATATAGTAAGGATGTTCTATCATCTACTATTGTTGCTGTTACTATTATCGTTAACAGCTGGAGATATTTGTCTTTAATATAATTGTGAAGATATCATTCCAATAAAGATCTCCTCTTGTCATTTTTTAAGACTGTTTATTTTGAGCTAATAAAATGGAAAAAAGCTTGTGACATGTAAAGAAGTATCTTTGCTGCTCCATTCTTTTGTTATGGATAGAGCAGAGCTTGTTTTGGGAATTGGAAGTCACTAATTTTTCTTTTTCTTTCCTTTCCTTTTCAGTACTAAGCAATGTCTTAAATTTTCTACAAATGTTATGTCAGCCAACATTTAACTCATAATAATTATGAAAAATTTCAAGAAATATCTATTTCATCTTGAATAAATCTCAAGCAAGACATAAGTGAGCAGAAGGTGCTTACCATGGTTCAAGTACCATTCTAAGGAAAATATCTATATTAACATATTTAACCTTAATTAAAACTCTATGAAGTAAGGAGAATTATTTTCTTTATTATGTGCATAATGAAGCTGAGGCATAGTGAGGATAAATAGCTTCCCAAAGTCATAGAGAGTAAGTATGTGAACTAGGTATCAGATTCAGCAGTCCAAATCTAGTGTCTGTGCTTGCAACAAAGCTGCAATGGAAGCTTTGCAAGTTTTGCAATAGCATTGCAAGAGGTAATGTCAGGATTTAAATTAGAGTGTGACTTGAGCCTGGATAGGTCTGATTCAAAAGCCTATGTTTTAATGGTTATTCAGCATCATGTTGCTTCAAATTCCTTATTTCACTCCTCCACCTTTTGTCCAACAGTAGATTTTTTCCAAGTGCATGTAGTGTCATGTTTCTTCTCTCCATCTGACTACTTGAAAGCCTTCAGTCATTCCCTATTACTTAAAGGATTAGGCTTATGTAGTTCCTTTTTTACTTGCCAGCTTCACATTATTGCCAATCTTTGAATGCCATATTTCAGTTATATTGATTTTTTTTTGCAATTACTCATTTCATACTTTTACCTTCATGATTTGCACATGATGATATACTCTCTGTTTAGAATGCCCTTTTCTTACTTTTTCATTTGGTTTTACTCCATTTTTCTTAACAGCATTAACTAAGATATAACCTTCTGATGAACATCATTTATCATCTGAGTGAGGACATGTTTAAAGTGAATTAAGACTATTAAAAAATATATCAGGACAACAAGTGTAAACAAGGACTATTCAGGGCAACTAGGGCTTATGGACATTACACTGATGAAGGTTTCCCATCTTCCAATTTGAGTAAGGTACTCTTTTCTGTTGCTGTATTTTTATAAATGATATGTGATTTAAGTGGCCTACTAAAATTAATGCCTTTTGGATATTCATTGCAATAGAATATAAAATTGTTGAAGATGAGGGCTTTATTTTGATCCTCTTTGTATCACTTCCCAAGTTTAACTCATTGTAACACTGTACAATAATTTGTTTAATGAATGAACTCAACATGCATTTTCAATAAGCTAACTATAGCAGGAGAGGGCAGGTTTATGGGACCATGGTTTAGTATGTAAAGGTGCTAGTACTTGGTACTGACACAACTTATATAAAAGGGATGACCAAATTAGTGGAGGTTAATTTACTGGCAAGGCTAAGAATTAGGGTTTGGTCTCAGGAGGAATATTATCTGGTTTGAGATATGGTTTTATACTTGTATTATAACTGGATTAATGGGAAGAACTTACTGAGGTTACAGTGATGAGCAAAGGGAAGAATAAGACGAACATGCAGTCCAGAAATTTTGGCCGGTGTCTGAGCTAGTATTAGATCCTTCTTATAGTAAATTTAAACATTTCAAAATAATAGCATAAAAGAATAACAAATTCTTGGAGAGATTGGGGGAAGATGGTAGATAGGAGACAGGAGTAATGTGCAGTCCTCACATGGACAGACAGAACAGCATGTGGAGACTCACACCATGATCTTTGCTCCAAGAACAACTGCAGGAATGTACCAGGAACACCAAAAAATGCAAGATATTTTGAAAGAAATGACACATCACTGCAAATTCCATGAAACAGGCAAGTCCCCACAGTGTGAGGGGGGAGAATCTACCTCTGAACACACAGCCCTACCGGGGAATCTAAAAGTCCGGATTATGGGAGACGGATTTAACCTTACCTAGAGACTAAACAGATTTAGGGAGTCACACTAAATATAAAAGTATAAGCACCAGTAGGAAGTGCTTTGGACACACTCTCAGTCTCCAGCTCAAACCCAGGGAAGCTGTCCCTGACTATATCTCACAGGGGCCCTCAGGGAAGGCAGCCAGCAGAACTGGGGAGGGGTTGCCAGGTGAAGGAAGCTCCCAACTGGAATTGGTAGTGGCTCCCACTTGGCACAAATTTCCTTGAGTGGAGTCTGGGGGACTAGCCAGAGCTGCTGTGGATATGAATGAGCGCAGGAGTACAGTAGTGGCCAAACAGGGAGAGGCAAGGTCCAAAAGCTGTGCTTGCTTTCTCAGCAGGGTATCTCACAGCCTGGGGCAAGGTCTGAGTGGAGCACTGCCAGAACAAGACTGGCCTCACTACCTGCATGGGAACTGGGTGAGGCCTCTCAAAAATGGTTATCCCTGACTTCCCTGGCAAACTATATGATCAGAGCAGAGACAGCCAAGATCTCCTCTGGAACATAACCCCATTGGCCTGAGAAGCAACCCCCCACCCCATAGTAGCCACAGAAAGTGCCCCACCCAAGGAGAGTCTGTGCCAAGCCTTGCCTAATCCTGCCCCCATCTGATGGTATTTCCCTGACGCCCTGGTAGCCAAACACAAAGCATAGGCACCCTTGGGAGCTTTAAGGCCCTGCCCATTGCCTGAGAAACCAAAATACTTACCTTGGCCGTCTTAGGGCAAGCCTAGAGCTCCTGACTACTACCACAGCTGGTGCTCTCTTGAAAGTGCCACCTCCTGGTTGGAGGCCAAGCAACTCAGGCCATTGTGACACTTCATGACAGAATGACCCTGATCTCAAGAAGGAGAAGACAACACCTAATTCTACTGTCTGCAACATCCTGGCTAACCAGAGGTCCTGAGCATGTCCACATGACAACTTCACTGCTATCATAACCAGCATTCAAGAAAGCCAGACCACTAAACATACCTACAACCAAGGATTCTCACAGAGTCTACTTCACTTCCCTGCCACCTCCATCAGAGAAGGTGCTGGTATCAGTGGCTGGGAGACCTGAAGATGGATCACATTATGGGAATCCTTGCAGACATTCCTCAACACCAGCCCAGAGCCTGGTAACCCTGCTGGGTGGCTAGACCCAGAAGAGCAATAACAATCACTGCAGTCCAGCTCTCAAGAATCCCCATTGTAGGGGAAGGGGGACAGCACCACATCAAAGGATCACCCTGTGGGACAAGAGAATCTGAACAGCAGTCCTTGAGTTTCAGACTTCTCCAATGAAATGGTGTGCCCAAATAAGAAGAAACCAGAATAGTAATTCTGGTACTATGACCAAATAGGTTCTATAACACCCCCAAAAGATTACACCAGCTCCCCAGCAATGAATCTAAATAAGAAGAAATCTCTGAACTGCCAGAAAATGAATCCAAAGGGTCAATTATTAAGGTACTCAAGGAGATACCAGAGTAAAGTGAAAAACAAGTTAAAGAAATTTTTAAAAATTACAGGATATGGATGAAACATTATCCAAAGAAATCGATATCATAAAGAAAAAACAACTTCTGGAAATGAAAGATACACTTAGATAAATACAAAATGCAGTGGAAAGTTTCAGCAATAGACTACAACAAGTAGAAGAAAGAAATTCCAAGCTTCAAAACAAGGTTTTCAAATAAACCCAATCAGGCCAAGACAAAGAAAAGGGAATTTAAAAAAATGAACAAAGCTTCCAAAAAATTTGCGATTATATTCAATGGCCAAACCTAAGCATATTTGATGTTCCTGAGGAAAAAGAGAAATCTAAAAGTTTAGCAAACTTATTTGAGAGAGTAATTGAGGAAAACTTCCCTGGCCTTGTTAGAGATCTAAAAATCCCAACACAAGAAGCTCAAAGAAGATGTTGGAAATTCATTGCAAAAAGATTATAACCTAGGCACATAGTCATCATGTTGTCTTAAGTCAAGACAAAGGAAAATATCTTGAGCTGTGAGACAAAAGCATCAGATAACTGATAAAGGGAAACCTATCAGATTAACAGAAGATTTTCACCAGAAACCTTATAAGCCTGAAGGGATTGGGGTCCCATCTTTGGCTTCCTGAAGTAAAATAATTGTCAGTCAAGAATTTTGTATCCAGCAAAACTAAGCTTCATAAATGAAGGAGAGAAAAAATCTTTTTCAGACAAACAAATGCTGAGAAAATTTGCCACTACCAAGCCAACACTCCAAGAAATGCTAAAAGAAGTTGTAAATCTTGAAATGAAACTTTGAAATATACCAAAATAGAACCTCCTTAAGGCATAAATCTCACAGGGCCTATGAAACAGTTACACAATGGAGGAAAAAAACAAGGTATTGAGGCAACAACTAACATGATGAATAGAACAATATTTCACATCTCAATACTAACGTTAAATGTAAATGGCCTAAATGCTCCAGTTAAAAGATACAGAATAGCAGAATGAATAAAAACTCACTAACCAAGTATCTGCTGTTTTCAAGGGACTCACCTAACACATAAGGACTTACATAAACTTAAGGTAAAGGGGTGAAAAAAGATATTCCATGCAAATGAAAACCAAATGCAAGCAGGAATAACTATTCTCACATCAGACAAAACAGACTTTAAAGCAACAACAGTTAAAAAAAAAAAAAAAGACAGAGAGGCCAGGCGCAGTGGCTCACACCTATAATCCCAGCACTTTGGGAGGCTGAGGCAGGCCGATCACAAGGTCAGGACTCAACAGATATTTACAGAATATTTTACCCAACAACTTCAGTGTATACATATTTTTATTCAGCACATGGAACATTCTCCAAGATAGACCATATGATAGGTTACAAAACAAGTCTCAATAAGTTTAAGAAAATCAAAATTATATTATATATCCTCTCAGACCACAGTGGAATAAAATTGAATAATAACTTTAAAAGGAATCCTTAAAACTATACAAATACATGGAAATTATATAATCTGCTCTTGATTTTTGGGTCAACAAGATCAACATGGAAATTAAAAAAATATTTGAGGTGAATGATAACAGTGACACAACTTACCAAAACCTCTGGGATACAACAAAAGTGGTGTTAAGAGGAAAGCTCATAGCATTAAATGCCTACATCAAAAAGTCTGAAAGAGTGCAAATAGACGATCTAAGGTCACACCCCAAGGAACTAGAGAAACAAGAAGAAATCAAACCCAAACCCAGCAGAAGAAAACAAATAACAAAGATCAGAGCAGAACTACATGAAATTGAATACAAAATACAAAAAGATAAATGAAATGAAAAGCTGGTTCTTTGAAAAAATGAATGGAATTGATAGACCATTAGTGAGATTAACCAAGAAAAGAAGAGAGAAGGTCCAAATAAGCTCAATTAGAAATGAAATGGGAGTTATTACAACCAATACTACGAAAACAGAAAAGATCATTGAAGGCTACTACAAACACCTTTACATACACAAACTAGAAAATCTAGAGGAGATGGATAAATTACTGGAAAAAATACAACCCTTCCAGATTAAATCAGGAAGAAATGGAAACTCTGAACAGACCAATAACAAGTAGCAAGATTGAAATAGTAATAAAATTGCCAAGAAAAAAAAGTCCAGGACCAGACAAGTTCACAGCTGAATTTTATCAGAAATTCAAAGAAGAATTCATACCAAACTTAGTGAAACTATTCCAAAAGATAGAAAAAGAGGGAGTTCTCCCTAAATCATACTATGAAGACAGTATTACCCTAATACCAAAACCAGGAAAGGATGTAACAAAAAAAAGAAAACTATAGACCAATATCCCTGATGAACATAAATGCAGAAATCCTCAGCAAAATACTAGCTAATCAAATCCAACATATCAAAAAGATAATAAACCGTGAGTAAGTGGGATTCATAACCGTGATGCAGAGATGGTTTAACATATACAAGTCAATAAATGTGATACATCACATAAACAGAATTAAAAACCAGAATTATCAGATTGTCTCAATAGATGCAGAAAAAGCATTTGACAAAAATCCAGCAACCCCTTATGATTAAAACTCTCAGGAAAATTGAAATAGAAAGAACATAACCTCAAAGCAATAAAAGCCATCTATGACAAACCCACAGCCAAACTTATACTGAACAGGGAAAAGTTGAAAGCATTCCCTGTGAGAATTGGAATAAGACAAAGATGCCCACTTTCACCACTTCTATTCAACATAATACTGGAAGTCCTAGCCAGAGTAATCAGACAAGAGAAAGAAATCAAGGGCATCCAATCAGTAAGGAGGAAGTCAAACTGTCACTGTTCACCAATGATATGATCATATCCCTAGAAAACCCTAAAGACTCATGCAAAAAGCTCCCAGATGTGATAAATGAATTCAGTAATGTTTTGGGATACAAATTCTGTGTACACAAATCAGTAGCACTGCTATACCAAGGCAAAACTGCAAGAAATGCTAAAAGAAGTTCTAAATCTTGAAACTTCAACACCAAAAACAACCAAGCTGAGAATAAAATCAAGAACTCTATCCCTTTTACAACAGCTGAAAACAAACAAACGAACAAAAAAACTTGGATATATACCAAACCGAGGAGGTAAAAGATCTCTACAAAGAAAACTACAAAATACTGCTGAAAGAAATTATTGATGACACAAACAAACGGAAACACAAATGGAAATATGAAATCAATATTGATTCTACCCATCCCATGCTTATGGATGGGTAGAATCAATATTGTAATAATGCCCATATTGTCAAAAGTAATCTACAGATTCAATGCAATTCCCATCAAAGTACCATCATCCCTCTTCACAAAACTAGAAAAAAACAATCCTAAAGTACATATGGAATCAAAATAGACCCTGCATAGCCAAAGCAAGACTAAGCAAATAGAACAAATCTGGAGGCATCACATTACCCAACTTCAAACTATACTACAAGGCTATGGGCCATGGTTACCAAAACAGCATAATACTGGTATAAAAATAGGCACATAGACCAATGGAACAGAATTGAGAACTCAGAAATAAAGCCAAATACTTACAGCCAACTGATCTTTGACAAAGCAGACAAAAATATAAAGGGGGGGAAAGGACACCCTATTCAACAAATGATGCTGGGATAATTGAAAAGCCACATGTAGAAGAATGAAACTGGATCCTCATTTCTCACCTTATACAAAATTCAACTCAAGATGGATCAAAGACTTAAATATAAGACCTGAAAGCATAAAAATTCTAGAAGATAACATCAGTAGAACTCTTCTAGTTGTTGGCATAGGCAAAGACTTCATGACCAAGAACCCAAAAGCAAATGCAACAAAAACAAAAATAAATAGATGGGATGTAACTAAACTAAAAAACTTCTGCACAGCAAAAGAAATAATCAGCAGAGTAAACAGACAACCCACAGAATGTGAGAAAATATTTGCAAAGTATGCATCCCACAAAGAACTAATATTCAGAAACTGCAAGGAACTCAAACAAATCAGCAAGAAAAAAACAAATAACCCCATCAAAAAGCGGGCAAAGGACATGAATAGATAATTCTCAAAAGAAGATATACAAATGGTCAGCAGACATATGAAAAAATACTCAACATCACTAATTATTAGGGAAATGAAAATTAAAGCTGTAATGTGATACTATCTCACTCCTGCAAGAATGGCCATAATTTAAAAATAAAAAAAAAATAGATGTTGGTGTGGATGTGGTAAAAACCAAACACTTTTACTCTGCTTGTAGGAATGAAACTGATACAACCACTATGGAAAACAGTGTGGAAATTCCTTAAAGAACTAAAAGTAGAACTACCATTTGATCCAGCAATCCCACTACTGGGTATCTACCCAGAGAAAAGGAATTAATTATATGAAAAAGACACTTGCACGCACATGTTTATAGTTACAACATTTGCAATTGCAAAAACATGAAACCAGCCCAAGTGCCCATCAATCAATGAGTGCATATAACAAATGTGATATATATACACCATGGAATACTATTCAGTCATAAAAAGGAACGAAATAATGGCATTTGCAGCAAGTTGGATGGGATTGGAGACCATTATTCTAGGTGAAGTAACTCAGGACTGGCAAACCAAATATTCCTTGTTCTCACTTATAAGTGGGAGCTAAACTATGAGGATGCAAAGACATAAGAATGATATAATGGACTTTGGGGATTTGGGGGGAAGTAGTGGGGGAGGATGAGAGATAAAAGTTTACACATTGGGCAGTGTACACTGCTTGGGTGATGAGGGCACCAAAATCTCAGAAATTACCACTATAGAACTTATCTATGTAACAAAAAACCATCTGTTTTCCCAAAACTATTGAAATTAAAAAAAAATTTTTTTCTCTGTATTCTGATTGCTTTTTCTATGTGTACATACAGTAGAGATAATGTGCAAAGGGCTCTATTATATGTCCTTGCTATCACATCATACTATAGGTGTGTGTGTTGATATCTATGCCAGTTTTTCCTATTAAGCCATATACTATGTGCAGGATAGGGGACTCTGTCTTGTACATGCTTTTTACTCTCCCCACTGAATCCATTGTTATGTCTGACATATAGTAGGCATTAACTTCATTAAATAAATAAAAAGTTCTCCTTATTTAAGTCAGTTTACTTTCTATGTTTTGGCCCACCAGATGATTGATTGCATTCCACTAAATATGATTATGTGTTCAATGAACAAAAATAGAATTATGTCTGTTTTTGGTTAACTGATCAATTAATATTTCTATTACTGTATTATAAGCTTTATGAGGGCAAAGGTTATGTCTATTGTGTATTTCTATGTCCCTTGTGGTGAATACAGTAATTATGAATAAATGTTGAATAAATGAATGAATAAATTGGAATGCAGAAATTTTGGGTTGGGTTTTCTAAATTCTTTGTGGAGTCCTCTTCATGTGATATTTTTCTTCAGGGATGTCCTCTATTCTTTGAACAGTTCTGGTGGCTAAAAAGTCAGTTCTTGCCTATAGTATAGAAAATGCCCCACTTTCCTTGGTGCCACTTTTATGACTCTGGCTGTTTTTTCCTCTAAGGTGGTGTTAGTGGAGGCTTCAATTCAGAGTTAATTAATTCATATTTTATAGATTGAGAATAAGCCTACAAGTGTTATGAAGTGGATTATTTTTAGCATTCTCTCAACTCCTGGGCTTTGTATCTCACTACTCACATCCTTATTCTAAAATCTCAGTGAAGTGACTAGTACCCTCTCTTCCTCCCACACCTGACCTACTCTCTCTGATAAACACTTCACGTTTTAGAATTATGGCTCCTTGATTTCATAATTCTCATATATTGGAATTATGGCTCCTTGATTCCCAGTGAGAGTGTGGGAAGAGGGATGCAAACCTCAGGTTTGAGCCTAAGCTTTTATAAACAGATAGAAACACAGTATGTTTACTGGGTGAATGAATGAATCAGTGGAGACCAAAATAAAGATAAATGATGCATAAGATCTTAGACAGAATTTATCAAGTAGCACTCAGGAGTGAAAGTCATACTTTCCTGAAGTTGTATATTTCTAGCTAGTTGTTTGGTTTGTGATAGATAATGAATTTCTTTTTCTTTTTAAGAAGCTAATTTCTACTCTGGATACTCAAAAAAGTATGGAATTAATTTAAAAATTACACATTGGTTTTATTTCAAATAGTCTTTAGATCTAAGAATCTGTGTTTATGTCTAACTCAAGTATGAGTGATTGTCTTCCTCTTTTCCTACTTTTCGCTATTGTAAAGTCACTCTTCACACAGTTTCTCAGTTAGATCACATTCTGAAGAGGAGAGAAAATACTTGAACTCGTCTAGAAAAAAACATACCTAATACTCAAGTATTTAGTTCACATACAAACGACATTATTTTCTAGTACAAAAATTATAGGACATTATTCAGCCTAATGATTTATTCAACAAGTATTCCTTGAATGCATATTATGTTAGGATACTATATCATGGTGTTGGATATAGAGGAGGATGTAAAGTTGAACAAGAGTTCTTTGAGAATCTTTCGTCTGGTGAAGAAGACAGATACAATTCAACTGCTATTAAACGAGCAGGGAAGTAGGATGGTTTTTTTTTCTTATTAAGAAGACCACAGACAGAAAAATGTTCATCATGAACAGAAGTAAAATTATTTCATTCGGAGGAAACAAAACACAAATAAAGTTAAAGAATATATGATTTGCCGGGTATGGTAGCTCACACCTGTAATCCCAGCACTTTGGGAGGCTGAAGTGGGTGGATGCTTGAGCTCAGGAGTTTGAGACCATCCCAGGCAACATGGTGAAACCTCATCTGTACAAAAAATACAAAAAATAGCTGGACTTGGTGGCACATGCCTGTGGTCCCAGCTACTTGGGAAGCTGAGGTGGGAGGATCCCTTGAGCCCAGGAAGCAGAGTTGCAATGAACTAAGATCATGTCAGTGCACTCCAGCCTGGGCAACAGATTGAGACCCTGTCTTTTAAAAAAAGAAAAAAAAAAGAATATATGATTTGTTTGAGAAGCAATAAGAAAGACTGAGTGGCTGGAAAGTAAAGGAGTGGGCCATGTGGGAGCAGAGTGGTTTCATTTGGAGTTTCACCAAAGATGACAGTGACAACATGAATAACAATGATAACGTGATGTGATAAAGGATTACCTACAGTAAGGGAAGACTGAAAAAGAGTGACACAGTTAATACTCGATCCAGGGCATGATAAACATTTGAGGAACAGCACTGGCCATGAAATGGAGAGGAAAGGGAAGTGTGGAATTTGTTTCTGAGATGAAACCATCTTGTGTGTGTGTTAAAGGCGACTGAGGATTTCAGGGTGGCTCCACCAGTCCTGACTTCTGGGCTGCCTGAATGCCATGATCTTTTTGGCATGATGCTTTTTCCTTTACAGTGTATATCTTACAATAATATATGGTAACTCTAGAATATTATCTAGGCATATTCACACCTAAGGGAAGGTGTGATAATTTTACCCATATTGGTAGTGATAGTGAAATTTTCAGCCTGGAAAAGATACATTTCCTTCATGAATCTCATGTATTAAGTAAAAGTTACTAGTAGTCAGTGATATTTCATGTCCTTCTTTTTCTGATAATAACTGGAAAACAAAAGTCAATTTGTTTTTAGAAATCATCAAATAAATTCTATTCACATTACAACATAGTTCTCACTGTTATGGTAGTTTCAGTTGGGCAGGATGAGCTATTCTATATTCATATGGAATTCCCTTACCAGAAGCCAAGCAGATGCTGAAGCCATGCTTGTACAGCCTTCAGAACTGTGAGCCAAATAAACCTATTTTCTTTATAAATTGCCCAGCCTTGTGTATTCCTTTATAGCAATGCAAAAAGGATTAACACAGGAATATACATATATTAGTTCATTAGTTCATTTGTTAGTTTGTTCATTTTTTAGCATCTATACTATCTCCAAAAAAACAGTTAATTAGGAGTCAGGACCTGAATTCTGTTCAGCTTCTGCTAGGAATTCTTATAAAGCTTGCCCAAGTTATCATTGTAGCTGAAGTTGTAGATAATCTATTTATATATATATGTAACTTTTTAGCCTAAACCTTACCTCCTACCTCTTCTTTCTCCAGGGTGCATATATATATGAAGAAGAGGTAGGAGGTAAAGTTCAGGCTAAAAGGTTACAAGGAACTAAATGAAAACTTAAATAAAAAGATCTTGGAATAAAGAATTCTGAGTTATATTTTTTGTATTGTCAATGATTCATTGCCTCAGGTACCCAGTTTATCTGAACACTCTGAAGAAGCTGTTGAAATACATGAGCTCTAAAATAAAGTTCTAGAAAATTTTTATTTATTTAAACAACTCTACTTAATAATAGTCTATACATATTAACATGTTTATTGAATACAGTCATCCCTCAGTATCCATGGGGCATTTGTTCCAAGACACCTATGGATATCAAAATTTGCAGATGCTCAATTCTCTTATACAAAATGATGTTACATAGTATTTATTTATAACCAATGCACATCATTCTGCATAATTTAAATAATTTCTAGATTACTTAAAATATCTAATACAATGTAAATATTATATAAATAGTTTTTATAGTATATTGTTTTTCTATTTGTATTATTTTTATTGTTGTATTGTATTTTTTTCTTTTTCAAATACTTTCAAATATTTTTGATCAGCAGTGGGTAGAATCTGCAGATACAGAATTCATAGATATGAAGGGCTGACTGTATATCTTATGGGCTAGGCAATGTGTTCATGTATTGTTTCATACGCTTTTTCAACAACTCATTAGGAATTTTGACTATCTCCACTTTACCGAAAAGAAAATTAGTTTTAGGGATTTCTAGCAAGATATTTCAAACAATAAGTGATAGAGCTGGGGTGTGTATATGTGTGCATGTGCACATGTGTTTATGGTCATATATGTATATTTATTGATTTTCTTATCCCTAGAAAAATTAATTGCCTAACACATAGATGCCCAAACAATCTTATTCAAATTAAATGATCTGAATAGTTAGAAACAGTATTGTTCTTGGACTTGTTGTGTATATGTCTGGGACTCTTGGTAGACAGCCTACATTTAGATTGTTATTTGGGACAAAGCCAGCTTTCCTGGTCCAGGATGGTGGTTTAGGGGACAGCTCAGAAATGAAGAAAAAGAAAGCAATATAATCTGACCACCTAACCAAGCACTGAGTTGTTAGAAGAATAATTATATAAATGTGAGTTTTTTTAAATCAACTATACTGTTGCCCAGCCAAATATATATTAATTCTGAGCCTCTAAATTTTATTCTTTACAGAAAACCACCACTGATCATCTTTTGTTTGTTGATTATTTTTAGTATACTAAAATTCAAATTTGGAGGCATAATTAAGTGTTTTGAATAATCAAGAGTTAAGAGTTAAAAAAAACAATAGGAAAAGTCACAGACTCTTATTTACAATTTCTCTCCCTATTTCCTATTGCTATCATGGATGTAATGTTCATGTTTTAATTATTATGCCTACTCTTCCTCCCTGTTTTTGAATGTCACTGAGATATGTATCCCCAGGTGGTATAAGAAAACATGATAATCTCTTTCCTACTACTTACTATTTTTGGAAAAAGAATAATTTTTGAATTGATTTTGTAGTAACATCTGTCACAGCTTCCAATTCAGCTCTTCTTTAGAATTCTTGTTATCTAAAGAGTTATGTAACTTTTAAATGCTTTTTCAAAGCAAAACTGGAAAGTCACACCTGTCTTTATATGTTACTTCTTACCATTAGTGTCTTTTATTTTCACATTTTTCTTCTTTTTAAGGATTTGCCTTACTTGATTTTTTTAGGCATTTTTCAGGAAGCTGCTGGAGTGCTTTTCCTACTTTTTATGTAATGGATTCCTGCTGTCAATTTTTGGTACTAGAAATAACTCCATTGTTACTATCATACGTTTTTCACAAATTTATTCCCATATCATGATTGATGTGACAATTATAAATCTGGGAACCTTGGCTTAGTGACTGGGCAATTTTTGTTCAAATATTTGTCTTTCAATTTGTCCTTAATTTCTTTGGAAATAAAAAATGCACATAATAAAGTTGCCATGAAAACCTTATGTCATTAATTGTCTTTGGATTAAATATATTGTGTATGGTTCTGGAAGGGAAAACAAAAGTCCATTGGGTGAATACTATATGTAGAAAGAGTAGATTTTTTGTGGGAATAACTCTATACAATTACAGCAGACAGAATTTTAAATGATAATCAATTTTACAACCTTAGGGATGTTTAAGAAGATATTGAATAATCTCTTGCCTAAGATGTGATAGAGGGAGGTTTATATACATGTAATTTAAGCAGAGTTGAATTAAGGAATTTAAGTAATTGAATTAAGTAATTAAGTAATTTAGGATGTATTTCTGGCTATATGTAAACATATTTGTAGTCATGTACCTATGTGTATATATACACATATTTATCTAAATTGTGTGTGTGTGTGTATATATATATATATACACATAACACACACACACACATATATATACACAAGGGTTTGGGCATAAAATGCCGAGTAGAGAGAGAAACTATGGCACTCTAATAAAAAACGAAACTGAATTGTTTGAGAGGTACTTCTGTACCCAATACAGAGTAATCCATAGATATACACTGAACACACTCTACCACCACTGACGCTCGATGAACATCACTGAGACTGAATTAATAACTAACTGATGTGGTGCTAAAGAGTAAACCAGGCAACCAACAGACTCATTGTGATTTGTGGATTCCTAGAAGTGGGAAGTGATAAAATGGAAACCCAAACACTGAGGAGGCAGGACAGAAAATATGGTTCTTCTATTGGAACAGATCGAAAGGAATCTCCTCATCGTTTCTAAGGCAATACATGTGAAGTTTCTATTGAGGTTTAGATTGAGAAGGAAATAATTTCTTTTTTATAAAAGATTTTGTCTTTCCCCAGAATGATTTTAGGAAAAGAAAAGAAGTTAGTGCACGTTCTTAGAAAACTGGAGATCAGACACAAATCTTGTATGTCTACCTAGTGATGATAGAGGGAAATGCCTGGAATGAACTAGGTTTGTACTTTAAATCTATTGCAAAATAAATGTGATGCTTAACTAGTGATATAGTACAACGTGTTCCACAAAAGACATAATTTTGGTGTTTTTGAGGATACTGCCTCTGTATGCTTATAGGTGGAAATCTGGGAGGTGTTATAGCATCACATGTATAAATTTCTATTTTTTAAATGTGTGAATGCTGGTATCCAACATGGAACTCTTGAATTAATAAAGCTAAAATAAGGAACTCTTCTGAAGTACAGAGATGCTCCTGGTTCAACTATGTAGCAGTCTGTAAAAAAGCATTTATACAGTGTACCAATTTATTTTTAAATGTGGAATCTAATAATATCCACATCTTCTGATCACTTTAACCATGAAAAAATGTTGGAAGCAAATTATAGATAAAATTAGTAAATCACAAGTTAAATGTCTCTTGCTTCTTTTTCTACCTCCTTCAGTTGATGATTGATGGATGAATCAAAAACTTGTACTAGAATAAAAATTAGAAAGTGGCTACATTGGATGAATGAGGAAAAACATCTAATTTCAACATTAAAGTATACAGAATGAACAAGTGACAATATAACCAAATTAATTTAAAAGCAGCAACAACAGAATAGGTTTATATTTTTGGTTTAGTGGGAGCTGCACTACCAACTTCTGTATTAGTATCACCATAGAAAAACTAGCATGGACACTCAACAGAAAATCTTCATTTTCCAACTGTGAAATGATTACTATTACATAACAATAGACATGAAAAAGTCTGTGCTAAGAAGCCTTGGTTAGGAGAAATAACTGGTCCTATTGTTTGAGGCCAATGCTGGGGTAAAATAAGCATTACAGCAATTGGGGTAGTGCTGCTGCTGATGGCTGTGGGCATTGTCTGTACAGAATAGAAATCTGTGCTGCCTCTCACAACATGCAAGTTTTGGCAGGACACGTTTCTTTTTTTTTTTTTTTTTTTTTTTTGAGATGGAGTCCTGCTCTGTCTCCCAGGCTGGAGTGCAGTGGTGTGATCTCAGCTCACTGCAACCTCCACCTCCCGGGTTCAAGCCATTCTCCAGTTCAGCCTTCTAGTAGCTGGGATTACAGGCATGCACCACCATGCCTGACAATTTTTTCATTTTATTTATTTATTTATTTATTGTATTTATTTATTTTTATTATTATACTTTAAGTTCTAGGGTACATGTGCACAATGTGCAGGTTTGTTACATATGTATACATGTGCCATGTTGGTGTGCTGCACCCGTTAACTCGTCATTTACATTAGGTATATCTCCTAATGCTATCCCTCCCCCTTCCCCCCACCCTACGGCAGGCCCCATTGTGTAATGTTCCCCACCCTGTGTCCAAGTATTCTCATTGTTCAATTCCCACCTCTGAGTCAGAACATGCAGTGTTTGGTTTTCTGTCTTTGCGATAGTTTGCTCAGAATGATGGTTTCCAGGTTCATCCATGTCCCTACAAAGGACATGAACTCATATTTTTATGGCTGCATAGTATTCCATGGTGTATATGTGCTACATTTTCTTAATCCAGTCTATCATTGATGGACATTTGGGTTGGTTCCAAGTATTTGCTATTGTGAGTAGTGTCACAATAAACATATGTGTGCATGTGTCTTTATAGTAGAATGATTTATAATACTTTGGGTATATACCCAGTAATGGGATGGCTGGGTCAAATGGTATTTCTAGTTCTAGATCCTTGAGGAATCGCCACACTGTCTTCCACAATGGTTGAACTAGTTTACAGTCCCACCAACAGTGTAAAAGTGTTCCTATTTCTCCAAATCCTTTCCAGCACCTGTTGTTTCCTGACTTTTTAATGATCGCCATTCTAAGTGGTGTGAGACGGTATCCCATTGCGGTTTTGATTTACATTTCTCCAATGGCCAGTGCTGATGAGCATTTTTTCATGTGTCTGTTGGCTGCATAAATGTCTTCTTTTGAAAAGTGTCTGTTCATATACTTTGCACACTTTTTGATGGGGTTGTTTGATTTTTTTCTTGTAAATTTGTTTAAGTGCTTTGTAGATTTTGGATATTAGCCCTTTGTCAGATGGGTAGATTGCAAAAATTTTCTCCCATTCTGTGGGATGCCTGTTCACTCTGGTGGTAGTTTCTTTTGCTGTGCAGAAGCTCTTATTTTAATTAGATCCCATTTGTCAATTTTGACTTTTGTTGTCATTGCTTTTGGTGTCTTAGTCACAAAGTCCTTTCCCATGCCTATGTCCTGAATGGTAATGCCTAGGTTTTCTTCTAGGGTTTTTATGGTTTTAGGTCTGACATGTAAGTCTTTAATCCATCTTGAATTAATTTTTGTATAAGGTGTAAGGAAGGGATCCAGTTTCAGCTTTCTACATATGGCTAGCCAGTTTTCCCAGCACCATTTATCAAATAGGGAATGCTTTCCTCATTTCTTGTTTCCATCAGGTTTGTCAAAGATCAGATGGTTGTAGATGTGTGGTATTATTTCTGAGGGCTCTGTTCTGTTCCATTAGTCTATATCTCTGTTTTGGTAGCAGTACCATGCTATTTTGGTTACTGCCAGGATTCTGTTGGCAATGCAGGCTCTTTTTTGGTTCCATATGAACTTTAAAGTAGTTTTTTCCAATTCTATGAAGAAAGCCATTGGTAGCTTGATGGGGATGGCACTGAATCTATAAATTACCTTTGGCAGTATGGTCACTTTCATGATATTGATTCTTCCTATCCATGAGCATGGAATGCCCTTCCATTTGCTTGTGTCCTCTTTTATTTTGTTGAGCAGTGGTTTGTAGTTCTCCTTGAAGAAGTCCTTCACATCCCTTGTAAGTTGGATTCCTAGGTATTTTATTCTCTTTGTAGCAATTGTGAATGGGAGTTCACTCATGATTTGGCTCTCTGTTTATCTGTTATTGGTGTATAGGAATGCTTGTGATTTTTACACTTGATTTTGTATCTTGAGACTGCTGAAGTTGCTTATCAGCTTAAGGAGATTTTGGGCTGAGACGATGAGGTTTTCTAAATATACAATCATGTCATCTGCAAACAGGGAAAATTTGACTTCCTCTTTTCCTAATTGAATACCTTTATTTCTTTCTCCTGCCTGATTTGCCCTGGCCAGAACTTCCAACACTATGTTGAATAGGAGTGGTTAGAGAGGGCATTCTTGTCTTGTGCCAGTTTTCAAAAGGAATGCTTCCAGTTTTTGCCCATTCAGTATGATATTGGCTGTGGGTTTGTCATAAACAGCTCTTATTATTTTGAGATATGTCCCATCCATACCTAGTTTATTGAGAATTTTTAACATTAAGCGCTGTTGAATTTTGTCAAAGGCCTTTTCTGCATCTATTGAGATAATCATGTGGTTTTTGTCTTTGGTTCTGTTTATATGATGGATTACATTTATTGATTCGAGTATGTTGAACCAGCCTTGCATCCCAGCGATGAAGCCCACTTGATCATGGTGGATAAGCTTTTGGATGTGCTGCTGGATTCAGTTTGCCAGTATTTTATTGAGGAGTTTTGCATCAATGTTAATCAGGGATATTGGTCTAAAATTCTCCTTTTTTGTATGTCTCTGCTTGGCTTTGGTATCAGGATGATGCTGGCCTCATAAAATGAGTTAGGGAGGATTCCCTCTTTTTCTATTGATTGGAATAGTTTCAGAAGGAATGGTTCCAACTCCTCTTTGTACCTTTGGTAGAATTCGGCTGTGAATCTGTCTGGTCCTGGACTTTTTTTTGGTTGTTAGGCTATTAATTATTGCCTCAATTTCAGATCCTGTTATTGGTCTATTCAGGGATTCAACTTCTTCTTGCTTTAGTCTTGGGAGGGTGTAAGTATCGAGAAATTTATCCATTTCTTCTAGATTTTCTAGTTTATTTGCATAGAGGCGTTTATAGTATTCTCTGATAGTAGTTTGTATTTCTGTGGGATTGGTGGTGACATCCCATTTATCATTTTTTATTGCATCTATTTGATTCTTCTCTCTTTTCTTCTTTATTTGTCTTGCTAGTGGTCTATCAATTTTGTTGATCTTTTCAAAAAACCAGCTCCTGGATTCATTGATTTTTTTGAGGAGTTTTTTTGTCTCTATCTCCTTCAGTTCTGCTCTGATCTTAGTTATTTATTGCCTTCTGCTAGCTTTTGAATGTGTTTGCTCTTGCTTCTCCAGTTCTTTTAATTGTAATGTTAGGGTGTCAATTTTAGATCTTCCTGCTTTCTCTTGTGGGCATTTAGTGCTATAAATTTCCCTCTACACACTGCTTTAAATGTGTCCCAGAGATTCTGGTACATTGTGTCTTTGTTCTCACTGGTTTCAAAGAACATCTTTATTTCTGCCTTCATTTTGTTATGTACCCAGTAGTCATTCAAGAGCAGGTTGTTCAGTTTCCATGCAGTAGTGTGGTTTTGAGTGAGTTTCTTAGTCCTGAGTTCTGGTTTGATTGCACTGTGGTCTGAGAGACAGTTTGTTATAATTTCTCTTCTTTTACATTTGGTGAGGAGTGCTTTACTTGCAACTATGTGGTCAATTTTGGAATATGTGCAATGTGATGCTGAGAAGAACGTAGATTCTGTTGATTTGTGGTGGAGAGTTCTGTAGATGTCTATCAGGTCTGCTTGGTGCAGAGCTGAGTTCAATTCCTGGATATCCTTGTTAACTTTCTCTCTTGTTGATCTGTCTAATGTTGACAGTGGGGTGTTAACGTCTCCCATTATTATTGTGTGGGAGTCTAAGTCCCCAATCTAGCAAGGCAGGCCAACATTCAAATTCGGGAAATACTGTGAATACCACAAAGATACTCCTCAAGCAGAGCAACTCCAAGACACATAATTGTCAGATTCGCCAAAGTTGAAATGAAGGAAAAAGTGTTAAGGGCAGACAGAGAGAAAGGTCAGTTTATCCACAAACGGAAGCCCATCAGACTAACAGCGGATCTCTCGGCAGAAACCCTACAAGCCAGAAGAGAGTGGGGGTCGATATTCAACATTCTTAAGGAAAAGAATTTTCAACCCAGAATTTCTTATCCAGCCAAACTAAGCTTCATAAGTAAAGGAGAAATAAAATCCTTTACATACAAGCAAATGCTAAGAGATTTTGTCACCACCAGGCCTGCCTTATAAGAGCTCCTGAAGGAAGCACTAAACATGGAAAGGAACAACTGGTACCAGCCACTGCAAAAACATAGCAAATTGTAAAGACAATCGATCCTAGAAAGAAACTGCATCAATTAATGAATTAATGAGCAAAATAACCAGCTAACATCATAATGACAGGATCAAATTTCACACATAACAATGTTAATCTTAAATGTAAATGGACTAAATGTCCCAATTAAAAGACACAGACTGGCAAATTGGATAAAGAATTAAGACTCATCAGTGTGCTGTATTCAGGAGACCCATCCCACGTGCAGAGACACACATAGGCTAAAAATAAAGGGATGGAGGAAGATCTACCAAGCAAATGGAAAACAAAAAAAAAGTAGGGGTTGCAATCCTAGTCTCTGGTAAAACAGACTTTAAACCAACAAGGAAATTAATACATAGTGGGTAAGCACAAGTATTGAATAAATATTGAAAGCATGTTTTACAAGTGTATCAGAGGAGAAGGCAAACAAATGTGGAAAATTCTGTAAGACCAAAAAGAGAACACAACAAATCCTGAAAAATCAGTGAGCACAGAAGCCTCTGGGTTTCTGGTCAGCTCAGAGGCTCACTTCAAGTGGGTCTTTACTCTGCAAGGAACAGGAGACAAAACCTAGGGCTCAAACACAGAAAATCATAAGATTGAAAATCTCTGAAGATTAGTCAACTTAGTAAAATGGGTAAACTAAACAAACATACATATATAAATAAGCAAATAAAAAAATTCTACCCTGCCAATAAAATGTGCTGTTTATGGCCTTTGGCTGTAGGCAGAGTGGGGAAACATTTCCTCCTTCAATCTGTTTAGATTGAAATGTAAACTGTTTCTAATGTGGCAATGAAACTGAATTTCAATAACATATATGCTGAAAACTCCAAACTTAGGACTTTATTCTAAAGTAGCTCTGATTTTTTTAGTTCACTTACGCTCTTGGGAGAGGCAAATGAAGATCATTTCTGGAATATTGCAACTTAGTGCAGGACTAAAATAATTCCCATGGATAAGTTCCAGAAAAAATTAATTCACAAAAGAATATCACAGAAACAGGAGAAAATTTTGCTATGAAGAGTAAGCAGAAATAAAAAGCAACAGATTGAGATTAGTAAATAGTATAGTTATAAAATGACTCACTAAATTAAAGAAATAAAAGAGAAAAACATCTGTAAAAATATTTTGTACAATTTAACAAGAATGATAAAATTCTGGCAAGCTAAAAATAGAAGTCAGCTTTTTAAAAAAATCTAATAACATGCATATTTACTTAGATTTACATTTAGCTCTACATGACGGCAAACTCAAGATTATTGTCTTAAATATGATAATATTTATGTTTCTTTCATAAACGAAGTCCATAAATAGGAAGTTCACAGATGCTCTAGATGCTCAGTAATCATCAGTTGTTCAGAAAGGTGCCTTCTCTCTGTATCCTCACATAGCAGTGAGAGAGAGAGAGAGCTTGGCTGTCTTCATCTTATTATAAGAATATCAATCCCACTACTGGGTCTACACCTGCATAACCTCCTTCAAATCTAATTATCTTCCAAAGGCCCCATTTCCAAATACTATCTGATATGGTTAGGCTTTGTGTCCCCACCCAAAGCTCATCTTTAATTATAATTCTCATAATCCCCACATGTCAAAGACCAGGTGGAGGGGGTGGTTTTCCCCCATGCTGTCCTCCTCCTAGTGAGTGAGTTCTCACGAGAACTGACGGTTTAAAAGTGGCACTTTCCTCTTTGCTCTCTCTCTCTCTCTCTGGCTGGAATGTAAGATATGCCTTGCTTTCCCTTCACCTTCTGCCATGATTGTAAGTTTCCGGGGGCCTCCCCAGACATGCAGAACTGTGAGTCAATTAAACCTCTTTCCTGTATAAATTACCTAGTCTCAGGCAGTTCTTTAGAGCAGTATGAGAACTAATACACCATTACACTGGGAATTAAGACTTCAACATATGAATTTTGGGGAGACCCATTTAGTCCATAGCAGGAGCTATTTGTTAAACTAAAATAAATTAAATGCGGGCCTTCTATTATTATCAAATAATACAGACATTTTTATAAAACAGCATTTTAGCTCACCTAATGGAAAATAGAGAAACGTTAAAGAATACACTTTAAATAGAAACTGGATAAGGAAGGCCATTGTATCACCCCTGTTCAGTGTTGTAACAGAAATCTGAACTGTATAACAAACCATATAAATTATAAATTATGAATGAAAGCATCAAAACTACAAATGTATTAATAAGACTCTCTGTATACACAGAGAGCCCCAATGAGTTCTTGAAATGATTATTATAATTAAAGAGACAGGCAAAGTTTCTAAATATAAGAATATGCAAAAATAAAATGTATTTCTCTACATAGAAAATAGCAATTAGAAACAAAATTTAAAAACTGACACTAAAAAGGGTTTCCAAGAAATAAATACAAAAGGAAGTACAAGATCTTAATGGAAAAATTTATAGAAGTTGATAAAAAATGCAACAGAATAGCTAAACAATTCAAGAAAGATAGCCAGTTCATGATAATTCAATCCGGAATAATCCATTAATTCACGGCAATTTAAATAAAAATTTTAATAATAAATGTAAAGGAAACATAGATTGTCCAATAAAGGTATTATTTAATACTATATCAAAATTTAAGATAGATTAAAAATTAAATGTGAAGAGCAAAACTTGTAATATTTGTGAAGTAAATGTAGGTAAATCTTGCAATTAAAAGTACATTTTCTTTTTTTTGAAACGGAGTCTCGCTCTGTCGCCCAGACTGGAGTGCAGTGGCGAGCTCAGCTCACTGCAAGCTGTGCCTCCCAGGTTTGTGCCATTCTCTAGCCTGAGCCTCCGGAGTAGCTGGGACTACAGGCGCCCGCCACCACGCCTGGCTAATTTTTTGTATTTTTAGTAGAGACGGCATTTCACCTTGTTAGCCAGGATGGTCTCGATCTCCTGACCTTGTGATCCACCCGCCTCGGCCTTTCAAAGTGCTGTGATTACATGCGTGAGCAGTGCACTGTGCCCGGCCAAAAGTACATTTTTTTTTTTTTTTTAAAGAACGAAAAGTATGAACGAGAAATAAAAGGCTTTATAAACATCTTTACTTTAAAATTGAGGTTACAGCTTCATCATAAACAGTTATAGTAAAGTGAAAAGCTAAGCCTCAAGTAGATCACTTAAACACATAAAATAAATAAGACATTTCTATTTTAAACAAAAATATTTCTGAAAACTATTAACAAAAGACAAATAATCACTTGGAAAAATTGGCAAGAAACACATTTGAAAGAGGAAATGAATGGCTAATAAACATAAGACACCCCACCTAATTTGTAAACAGGAAACTACTAATTAAAATCAATAAGATTATCATTTTAAACCTATCAGCTTAGCAAAATTTTAAGTCGGCTAATTCCAAGTATTGGTCAGGATGTAAGCTAATGCTCCTATCTGTACTTGCCGTGGCATTACCTTGTATAGCTAAGCAATTTCCTTCTAAAATAACACTTCTACTCCTTTGATATGTCCTAGAGAAAGTCATTGTAACATGTGAATGAAAATATATGTATAAAAATATTAATAGCAACATTTTCCAGGACAGGATAAAACTAGACACAACCAAAAAGTCCAAAGTCAGCTGGATAAATTGTGTTATATTTGTAAGATAGAATACAAAACAGTTGTGAGAATGAATAAGTTAGTATTTCACACAATCACAAGGGTGAATTTCACAAACACAATGAAAACAGTAAGTTGCAAGAAAAACCATTTAATAGTATTCAGTTTCAATACAATTAAAATAATACTAATCATAAATATTATCTTGCAAAACATAATTATGTGTAAAGGAATGATAAAATAAAAAATTCAAGATAACATTTACTTCTGGGTTGAATGTAGGCTATGCCGTCCAGGATAAGTGCATAGAGAACTTCAAGGTTTGAGTACTCATGAATATTTTAAAGCTGAGAAGGGAGTACATTAATATTCACTTTTTATTATTATTTAATATGAATAAAATAATAACAAAAGAATAAGAAAAATGAACGCAGTAAATCTGCAAATACTGATATGTAAGGATTTAGTTTCAAAAGCAAATAACCAACTGAGAAAATATGGAATATACAAATGACATATTTGTCATGTTCATATAAATTGTTTTAGGGAATGTGACACAAAACCTTGGGATGCAGATTTTTGGTACTATTGGAATACAGAACTGGAGCTCTCTGGGAGGAAAATCATGAAATAGATAAAATAATACTAAAATTGCTTTTAGTGTAATTTTATGGTCAGGTACATATATTTTTGAATTCATTTAAAATAATAATGGTAGTTACCTGGATGATGGAATAATGAGCCATTTTATGATGTCTTTAGGTAGAGTTGAATTTTTAAAATCTTCTGAAATTGTGATTTAAAATGGTTTTCTCTAGGTAGTTCAACTGGAGAGAGTAAAAGGACTTAATTTTACATTTATACCCTTTAGGTTTTCTTTTAGTTTATTACTTTTTGCAGGAATTCCTGTTAAAAGAAAACAAATAATAGGCACTCATGCTGAGAGAAACCTGTCCTGTTGTTAATAAAATCTTTTACACTTGAGAGAAGTAAAATACCTGAACTTTCAAAAACTAAAGAAGATTTTATTCCCCAAAAGCCACGGATCCAGAGCAAAGAAAAACTATTATAGAATAAATTTGGCTGGCCACAGGCAAACAAATTGATTACATGCTTATTGGTGAACAAGTTAAAGCAATTTTTTTTTTTTTTTTTTTTGAGATAGATTCTGGGTCTGTCACTGGGCTAGAGTGCAGTGGTGCCATCTCTTCTCACTGTAACCTTCACTTCCTGGGTTCAAGTGATTTTCCTGCCTCAGCTTCCTGGGTAGCTGGGACTACAGGTGCGTGCCATCAAGCCCAGCTAATTTTTGTATTTTTAGTAGAGACTGGGTTTCACCATGTTGACCAGGATGGTCTTGATCTCTTGACCTTGTGATCTGCCCTCCTCAGTCTCCCAAAGTGCCGGGATTACAGGCATCAGCCACCGTGTCCAGCTAAAGCTATTTTCTAAATAAGATTTGGTAAATGATTGTTAGAAAAATTTAACATTAAGAAAAGTGGTTTTATGGTGAAATTCTTTAACAGACTTAATTTTTCAGATTAGTTTTATGTTTATAGCAGAATAGTGCACAGTACAGAATTTCTCATATACTCTTTGCCTTCACAGAGGCATAGCCTCCCTCATTATCAATATCTCCACCAGAGTGGTACATTTGTTACAATTTATGAACCTACATTGACACATAATTACCACCCAGATTCCAAGACCATAGTTTGCATTAGGGGGTCACTCTTGGTATTGTACATTCTATGGATCTGGACCAAAGTATAAGACAAGTATCTACCAGTATAGTATTATACAGGGTATTTCCATTGCCCTAAAAATCCTCTGTGTTCTGCCTATTCATCTGTCTTCCCCTCTAAGTCCTAACAGCTACTGATATATTTTTAGACATTTTTGCCTTTTCCAAAATGTGATATACTTGAAACCATATAGTAAGTAGCCTTTACAGACTAGTTTCTTTCAATTAGTAACATGAATTTAGGTTTCCTCCATACCTTTTCATGGCTTGATAGTTAATTTTTTTTTCTAGTGCTGAATAATAGTCCATTATCTGAATATACCTTAGTTTATCCATTCACTTACTGAAGAACATCTTGGTTCCTATCAAATCTTAGCAATTATGAATAAAGCTGTTATACAAATCCATATGCAGGCTTTTGTGTGTACATATATATTCATTTTGGGAGAAAAAAACAAGGAACGTGATTTCTGAATTGTATAATAACAGTGTGTTTGTTTATTTTATTTATTTATTTATTTTTTGAGAAATTGCCAAACTGTTTTCTGAAGTGGCTTTACCATTTTGCATTCCCACCAGCAATGAATGGTAGTTCCTATTGCTCCCCATCCTTCTCAGCATTTGATATTGTCAGTATGCTGAATTTTGGCCATTCTAAGAGATGTGTAGTGTTATCTCATTGTTGCTGTAATTTGTATTTGTATTTCTCTCGTGACATATGAAGTAGAACATCTTTTCATATTTATTTGCCATCTATATATCTTCTTTGATGAAGTGTCTGTTAAGGTCTTTGGCTCAATTTTAAAACTGCTTGTTTGTTATCTTATTGCTGAATTATAAGAATTTGTTTTGTATTTTAATAGCAATTCTTTATATGACGTCTTTTGCAAATATTTTCTTCCAATCTGTGATTTGTCTTTTCATTCTCTTGACAGTGTCTTTCATAGAGTTTATTAATTCTTTCTTTCATGGATTGTGCCTTCGATGTTATTATTTCTAAAAGTCATTGCTAAGTACAATGTCATCTATAGTTTTCCTGTGCTATTTTTCTAGGAGTTTTATGGTTTTGTGTTTCACATTTAGGTCTGGGATCTATATTGAATTAATTTTAAGGAAGTGTTTAAAATCTGGGCCTAGATTTATTTTTTGAATATGATGTCCAGTTATTTCAGCACTATTTGTTGAAAAACTATCTTTTTTTCTATTGTATTGCCTTTCCTTCTCTGTCTCTAAGATTGGTTGACTTTATTTATGTGGATCTGTCACCGGGCTCTCTCTATTCTGTTCCATTGATCTGTTTATTTTTTCACTAATGCCACATTGTCTTTTTAATTTAATTTATTTATTTATTTATTTTTTGAGATGGAGTCTCGCTCATCGCCCAGGCTGGAGTGCAGTGGCATGATCTTGGCTCACTGCAAGCTCCACCTCCCGGGTTCACACCATTGTCCTGCCTCAGCCTCCCAAGTAGCTGGGACTACAGGCGCCCACCACCATGCCCGGCTAAGTTTTTGTATATTTAGTAGAGACGGGGTTTCACCATGTTAGCCAAGATGGTCTCGATCTCCTGACCTCATGATCTGCCCACCTCGGCCTCCCAAAGTGCTGGGATTACAGGCGTGAGCCACTGCGCCCGGCCCACACTGTCTTTATTATTGTTGCTTCATAGTAAGTTTTGAAGAAAGGTAATGTAAGTCTTCCAACTTTGTTCTTCAATACAGTGTTGGATATCCTGCCTCTTTTACTTCTCTATGTAAACTTCAGAATTAACTGGTCAATATCCACAAAGTAACTTGCTGAGGTTTGGACTGGAACTACATCAGATCTATAGATCAAGTTGGGAAAAACAAGCATCTTGACAATATTGATCTTTCCTGTTCATTAATATGGGACATCTCTCCATTTATTGAATTCTTCTTTGGTTTCTTTTATGAGAATTTTGTAGTTTTCCTTACACAGATCTTGTACATATTTTGTTAGATTTACACCTAAGTATTTATTTTTGGGGTGCTAATGCAAATAATATTGTGTTTGTAATTTCAAATTTTACTTGTTCATTGCTGGTATATAAGAAAGCATTTGACTTTTGTATATTAACCTTGTATTCTAAACAACTTGCTATAATTAAGCAATTAGTTCCTGGAGATTTTTTTTTGTCGATTCTTTTGGCTTTTCTACATAGATAATCATGTCACCTGTGAATAAAGACGGTTTCATTTTATACTTACCCATCTGTATACCTTTTGTTTATTTTTTTGTCTTATTTTATTAGCTAGAATTGTCAGTGATGCTGAAGAGCAGTGGTGACAGGGGACTTTCTTGCCTTTATTTTAGTAGGGAATCTTTGAGTTTCTCACCATTAAATATGATGTTAGTGTAGGTTTGTTGTAGATACTCTTTAAGGGAAGAAGCCTCCCTGTATTCCTAGTTTAGTGGGGAAGTGGTTTTAAAAAAAATCAAAGTCAAATGATTCTACTTCCAGAGGAAAATCTCCTTGACCACTTGGCCCAATGCATATTATCTTATGAAAATGCAAGGGCACAGAGCCTGAAAAGGCTGGAGTAGCACCTGGAAAATATCTCTAATCTTCCTCATCAAAATTCCAGAGGTTTTGTCCTTCTTTCCTTCACTAAGTCATAGTTATACATCCCATTACTTATTTCAGTAAAATGCCCCATTTTTTCCGATAAATAACATTTTTTTATTTCATTTAGAAACAGGTGATCTCTCTCTTTTAGTCAAAAGAAACATGCCCAATTCTCAAAGCAGTATCATATTCTTTCAGAAATAGCTTTGTTGATGTATTATTCACATACTATCCAATTCACCCATTTAAATTGTACAATTCAGTGATTTTGAGTTTGTCACAGGGCTGTGTAAAAATTACCCCAATCTGATTTTAAAATATTTTTGTGTCCCCTAAAAGAAACTCCATTAGCACTCATTATTCCACACTTACTCAAGCCCTATGCAACTATTAATCTTTTACTTCTATATATTTGCATATTCTGACTGGATCTCTTTGCTTTTAATAGTTGTACATTGTTGCCATAACTTTATCACAAATTTAGTAGCTTAAAACAATTTTTATCTTACAGTTCTTTAGGTAACACATCTGAGATGGAGTCTCATTGGGAAAGATCAAGGGCTGTGTTCCTTTCTGTAGGCTTTAGGGGAGAAGAAGTTCCTTTCCATTTTCCAGCTTCTAGGGGATGTCCACACCTGCTGATGGTTCTCTTACTCCATCTTTGAAGCCAGTCTTGGCAGATCAAGTTCTTTTTACATTGCATCCCTATGACTTTTCTTCCATCATCACACTGATGTCTAAATGATTTCAACTCAAGAAATGGTCTCTACATTTCAAGATTCATCTTAGATCTGAGTAATCCAGGATAATCTTGTCTGAAGATTTTTTATTTTAATCACACTTGCAAAATCTCTTTATCCATGTAAAGTAAGGTATTCTCAGGTTCTAGGGATCAAGATGTGGACATTTTGGAAGGAGTATTATTCTGCTAGTTATATTTTTAAAAACCTTTTCAATTTTATACACATTGATTTTTGCAATTAATTCTTAAATTAGTCAAGGGGACAAAGGTGAAGAAATATGCAGTTATAGTGTCCTTTATAATTACTTACATAATTACCTTTACTGATACTCTTTTTCTTAATACATCTAGATCTGAATTACTATCTGTTGCTGAGTGCTTTCAGCCTGAGGAACTACATTTAGTATTTCCTGTAAGGAAGGTCTGTTAGCAACCAATTCTCTCAGTTGTTGATTATTTGGGAATATCTTTTTCTCACCTTCATTTTTGAAAGATATTTTGCTGAATGTAAGATTCTTGACAGCCATTTTTTTTCTGCACTTTGAATATGTCATCCAACTGCCTTTGGTATCTATTGTTTTTGATAAGAAGTCCAAAGTTAATCTTACTACAGTTCCCTTGTACATAAGTAATTTTTCTCTTGCGGCTTCCAAGATTTTCTCTTTCTCTTTGTCTTTCAACATTTCAATTATAAGGTGTCTCTCTCTAGATTTCTTTGAATTTATCCTACTTGAAGTTCATTGAGTTTCTTTAATGTGTACTATAATATTTCCAATAATTTGGAAAGTTTTCAGCCATTATTTCTTCAAATTTTTTTTCCTGTTGTTTTGTATTCCCATTACTACATTGGTGTATTTAATAGTGTTCCTTATTTCTCTCAGAGTGTGTTCATTTTTCTTTATTTTCTTCTCTTTCCTTCAGATTTCATCATCTCCATGTATCTCTCTTCAAATTTATTTATGCTTCCTTCCACCAGTTCACATCTGCTTTTCAGCCCCGCTAGTGAAGTTTTCATTTCACTTGTACTTTTCAACTCCAGAATTTTCTTTTATTTTCAATAATTTATATCTCTTCATTAGCATTCTGTATTTGATAACGTGTTGTCTTTAAATATCTTTTAAATTCTTTAAACATGGTTTCCTTTAGTTCTTTGGACATATTTATGATAGACAATTTGAAATTTTTGTCTCCTAAGCCTACCACCTAATTTTCTGTAAAGGCAATTTTTAATGCCTGCTGCTTTTCCCCCAAGTGGGATGGGTCATATTTTCCTATTTCCTTGCATATTTCCTAATGTTTTGTTGATAACTATACATTTTAGATAATATATTGGTATAACATTGTATACTGACTTTCTTAGGAGTGTTGTTTTTGTTTTTTGCATAGTCATTTATCTAGGGACTTATTTTAATAAATTCTGTAAAGCCTTTTTCCTCTGCCATGTACAGCCTCTGATGTATCTGCTAGAATTGTTAATTTTTTCCTTTTTGCTTATCTTTTATCCTGGCTCTCTGGGAGAAGCCTCTGGTTTGACAGCCTGTTTATTGATTAAAATTGTGTTTACGACCCCCAGTTGGTTAGAATTTTACCTATTACTCTTTTAAATACATGTGTAGCATAAAGTCTATTATATCAGTTCAGATATTTTATTTTATTTCATTTTATTTTGTCCTGTCTTCAGCTTGGAGGTTTTTCTCCCTGATTTCTTCTGGGAAGCATAGTCTTCCAGACTCTCAGATGACTGTGATATTATTTTAAATCTTGACTTCCCAGGTATATTTCCTAGATCAGAGAAGATCTTTGTTCACTCGGTATCTGGTCAGAAGTTATGTTTAAGCACTGTCATTTTTTTTTTAATTTTTAAAAATCCAAATTTAGGTAAGGAGAGACTTTTTTGACGGATTATTGCAAAGGGGAAGAAGGGACTATTGCAATACAGAGAATAAAACAACCATAGCAAACATCTTAAGGATTATGTGAAAAGAGTTATTCTTTTGTAGAGAGGAGTAAACAAGGCTAGAAAGAACAGGATGTTCAGATGTAAGAAGAAAGGGAGGCATGATGGGATAACAGATCAGAGAATGTTTTATCCTGATGTCAGTTTATTTTCAAGAGGAGAAATTTAGGAAAGGTTGCATGCCGGCTGAGGCTGAGAGTAAAATTCAGAGATCTGTAGGAAGGAGAGAAATCTAAAGTTTGCTTACAAGTATTTGGTTCTGATTGATTATGGGGACAAACAGTTCAGCAAATATATATGAGGCAAAGAATAAGAATTTAGAATGTTTGTATCTGGTCTTGTAGGTACACAAGAGGGCCATCCGTGAGTCCTATCTAAGTCACATGAGAAAGGGTACTTCTTTGCAGCAAGCCATTTCCAGAACATAAAGTGTGATGAATTTCTTTAACTACCCTCCTTTTGGTATTTATTGCTGTTTTCTAGGATCAGAAGAGCCTGGTATAATTTAACCTTGTTAGTTCCTGGTGCCATTTAGACTTCCATCCTATGCTGATGGGTCTATCTGTGGTTTGGGAAATGTTTTTAAGCCTGACTCACATTCTGTTCTGCTTGCTTCCTGAGTGGATGCAGCATAGTGCAAGGAGAAAGCCTTTCCACCCTTAGAGCTGATGATAATCACAGAGCAACCCTTCTTGGCTATCTCTTTTCTTGGTTCTTTTTATTGAACTTCTGGTTTCTCTGCAACTTTACTTGTTTCAGAGTTACTGCCTCCTTGTAATTGCTTTCCACAAAGATAGCTATTGTTTCTGGCAACACTCCCATGCATAGAGATCTCCATCCACTGTTACAAATAAAGCCAGTCCCCTCAGGCAGAGCTGAAGAACTCCTCATCCTTATTACCTGCCTTTCTACCTGGGCAGAACCATTGTGCGACTGCACCACAGTTGGGGGCAGAAATCTGTTTCTCCCAGAGTGACATCCCTAGTCTACTTACTAGTTGGCACTAGAGTGTGTAAGGGGCAGCTCTTGATTGTCTTAGCTTGCCCTGCTTGGTACAGAACCTCCATGCTACCAGTGTGCTGGGCCCCAGTATCATCCGCCTTCTTTACTTGAAATAGGACTTCCACACTATGAGCGGGGGTGAAATAGGGGAAGAAAGTCCCAGGTCTTCTTCACCACATACCTTCCTAGAATAGAGCTTGTGGAGGTAGGAGGAGAAATGCTAGCAGCCTGCTCTTCCTGAGACAGAGAGATCCCTGTCTTCTTGACTGCACGTGCCTGGGGTAGAGCTCTTGTAATGTGAAGTTGGGAAACGGAGGTTGGTAATTAAAGAATCTTGGCTAGAATTCCACAGACTCTACTTGTTCTTAAAAAAATTAAATAGTTTTTCTTGAATGAATTTTTATGCATTTTTTTCTGGTGTTTCTAGGACAATTTCCAGATGTTACATTATTTTTTAATAATTTTCATCTCGAATTGCTATTTTTTCTGGAGAGAGAGAATCTGCCAAGATCCTTTTTCATTTTTTTAGAATTATCCCAGCAGCTTATTCTTACTCTAGTTTCCTCTACTTTTTCCTTCCTTTAGCTTCTCTATTTTTATTTAAGTATTTATTTAAATAGTCCCTACTTTTTCCCCTTTCAAACTCTTCCCAAATTATTTAGAGGTCTGACAACTGCACTTTGCAAGGTCTGAACACAGCTTACCCTCAACTTTTGTATGTTAACTATTGTTGGTGATTTATAGGCCATTGGGCTTCTAACTTTTCAGGATTCCACATGAAAATACAGTACCCTTATCTGCAGGGAATATGTTCCTAGACCCCTGTTGGATGCTTGAAACCACAACTAGTACTGAATCTTATATATATTATGTTTTTTTCTATGCATTATATACTTGTGATAGAGTTTACTTTATAAATTAGACACAGTAAGAGATTAGCAACAATAACAAATAATAAAATAGAATAATTATAACAATATGCAGCATCACTACTCTTGTGCTTTGAGGCTACTATAAAGTAAAATAAGGGTTATTTGAACACAAGCTCTGCAATACCACTACAGTTGATCTGATAACCTAAACTGCTACTAAGTGACTAATAGGTGGGTAGTGTAGACAGTGAGGATATGCTGGGTAAAGGGAAGACTCATGTCCCAGGCAGGACAGAGTGGTGATAGCGACAGGAGACAGAAAAATTCCTAGGCAGACAGAAAATTCCTAGGCAGACAGAGACAGGTCTCAGATGAAATCTGACCTTCAAGCCAAGAAGAGCTTATAGCCTGAAAACCCGAGCTGACAGTTCCGAATAAAATTCATGACCACAGTAAGAACTTATATCCCCTTCTTACCCCCTCTCTCTTTATTGGTTCCTTCTGAATGATGCTTTTCAACCAACCAAACCCGAGCTGACAGTTCCGAATAAAATTCATGACCAGAGTAAGAACTTGTATCCCCTTCTTACCCCCTCTCTCTTTATTGGTTCCTTCTGAATGATGCTTTTCAACCAATCAAATGGTGCTTGTTCCAAGACCACCCATGGACCAATCAGCATGCACTTCCCCATTCTAAGTGTGTAAGAACCCTAGACTCAACCTCATAGATGGCTATTCATTTTCACATCCCCTCACAGTGCTGAGAACTTTCTTTGTGTTGCTCAGTAAAATTCTACTCTGCCTTACTCATTCTCTGGTATCCACATACCTTATTCCTTCTGGTTACAGGACAGGAACCTGGAACTCCCCGAAATTGCGGGAGCAAAAGAGGTGTAGTGCTCCTGCTTGCTGAGCAGCGGGTGGTGGGAGTTAAAAGAGCTGTAACACTCCCTCCAACTCCCCAAACAACGGTAGAGAAGAAGCCGTTGGGTGCTACTTCCTCCTGCTCACCGAACTACGGGAGTGAAAAAGCCTTAACAATGGGATAGTGTGAGATTTCATTGCATTACACAGAACAGCACACAATTTAAAAGTTATGAATTGTTTATTTATGCAACTTTTCATTTAATATTTTCAATTATGGTTGACCATGGGTAAGTGAAACCTCAGAAAATGTGAGTGCGGAGGACTGCTGTATTTATCTTTAGCCCTAAATAGAATCATTTGTTATCTGTAATCTCAAATTTTCATTGTTTTAAATACATTTTATTCGTGTGTGTGTGTGTGTGTGTGTGTGTGTTTCACTCATATGCCTGCCTCAATGTATTCTAGTTAAAATGTAAGTTCCTAGGTTACAGAAGCCAGACCTACACATTTCTCTTGGTTCAATGGCTTGCACACCGTCATGAAGTAAAATCAGTGCTAAATGCCTGATTTAGGTGATGACAATGTTTAAGCTAAAATGGAGCATGAGGTAGTAGAATCTTTACAAGAATCTTTAACACCAAGTCACAAGACTCGACCTCAAGAAGAAATAGGTCCAGTATAATAGTCAACCTCCTGATAAAAAATGAAGAGTTCACTCGTTTCCGATTATTCCTTTAACATAGATTTATGGAAGAAACGTTTCCCATGGGAGTGATCATTGTTTCACCTTCCTCACAATATTGTAGTGATTTTTCAAATGATATAATAATGATTGTAAAAGTATTCTAAAAAAATTATTAAAATGTATAAATATAAGGTCATGTTATTCATCACAATTATTTTAAACAGTATATAGTTCTTATGACAACAACTAAAATCAGCATTTGTCTGGTGCACTCAGTTCACTATTTTTACACACAACTTGAGATTACAAAGAAAGTCAAACTATTAGAACCTATATACAAAACAAAACTCTCAATATGTGAAACATTACAGGCATGCTGTGAAACTTCTCTGTCCTTTATAGATGAGATACTATTTTGCTAAGAAAATTTATGATTATATTTTAGAAAGGACACTGGACTGATAGACAGCTCCAAGTCAGACCTTTAACATTCTTCATAGCCTTGGGTAAGTCATTTTAGCCTCACTTTCTCTGAGTGCAAATAGTACCTGTTTAGTCTAATTTGCAGGGCGCTTTGAAGGATCAAATGAAATTCGTGTGAAAAGATATTAAAGTTAAAAAATATTATATCCTAAATCTTTGGTGTTAGTCACTAACAGAATATATTCAGTTGAGTTATAAAGTTCTCAGAGAAAAGCTTCAAACTAAATATAAACTGTATTAGAAGTCTAGAAAAGTATTCCCTTGTTCCTGAAAGGATAAACTCTTGGTTTCTGGGTAATAATAAGTAGAAAAGTTAACATCTATTGGAAGATGGTTCTCATAGAAAAATTGCAGGCATGAAAAAAGGAGCCAGAGGCAAAGCACTTAGAGATAGAGGCATTACCGTGTTGCTTTGGGAGCACATTCAGTCCATAGTGGAGCAGGATTTTGGCAGAGGATAAGGAGAAGAGATTACTTTGTATACATTTTCCTGCTGGATATGTGACATTTTGGTTCATTATTCACCCACTTGGTTAGTTTGATTACTACAGTGGCCTGAGAATCTCTGGAGAAAAAAAAGGGAAAATAGATGAGCCAAAGATATTTGATATATTAGAATACAATTAATAGCAGCAGAAAGTAGTCTGCTGTTAGGGGATGTGGAAGAATAAATGGTTAACACATGCCCTGACAAGTTCTGCTGCTGCTGGAAGAATTCCATGCTGGCATTATCAGAAATGCAGAGTCATTGACTTCCAGGAGTAATAGATTTTTGCACCATTTTTTTTTTCAAAGAAGAGTTAGATAACTAGGAGGACTGATACAAGTTGTTAATATAGTAATTATAATAGTCATTAAGTAATAGTAGTTTAGAACTTCACATGTAGTTTCACTTAATTGTTATGACAGTCCAGCAAGGTATTCGTCTCCATCTTAGAGCTGAAAGAGTTTAAGTACCTTGAGTACAGTAATAGGTAGTGGGTTAGGATTCAGACCTAAAAGGTTCCATTGAAGTGTAGGGGCAGCATATGGTGATTCGACATGCAATTCTAATTTTTGGTTGTTATGTTCTTTGCCTACTTCTTTGATTTCCAAATGCTAATTGTTAGACCCATGTTTCTTCATGTCAAAATTTTCACTGGTTTACTGAGTATCTTTAGGAAGAATTCATGACTATATGCTGGAAAAATCTGCATGGCAAAATTAAGAGCTGGAACATGCATATCTGTTCTTCCTTGTGCCAGTCTAAATTTCTGATTCATAAAATTTGGACATCTTTACACCCTATTGCCGATATGAGTAAATGGATAAACAACTATTAAATGATTATATCGTTTCATCTCTGAAAAAATATTAGTTAGATCTAGGGGCCAGGTTTTTCTTTTTTATCTAAATGTTTAAGTCATTTATAATCTTAAAATGTGCTAAAACAATAAATATGTCAAAAAATATGAATGAGGACAGTTTAGCATTAAGCTTCACTTTGAAATTGTTGATATTTCAAGCATCTGCTATACAGTACAACTCTCATTAATTACGAAGACCAGAATCCACCTGCCACATGCAGATATCCCTTGAGGAAGCTTGCCTACTCTTCCTTTTTGTCTGAGCACAACACAGTAGTTTTTAAGATTCTTTCCATGAATTCTTCTTGTGTTCTTTCACTGGGGCCCGCTTCCAATTTGTGGCTGAAAATATTAGAGTGGTTGCTAAGAAACGCTGAAGTTGGAAATTTATGAGTTTTCAGAAGGTTGCATTGAAGTGTAGGGGTAGCATATGGTGATTTGACATGTTTTGTTCCCTAGCCAAGGAGAGGGGTAGCTGTCTCTGATCTCTGTAATTATTTCCCAGCACTTTAAGATGCCAAGCTGAATTTAAAAAACAGCAAGGCATCAGGGCTAAGGAAAAATAGAATGTACTTTTTGTTTCCAATATGTAGGACCCAAGTATTTGTTGTTCATTTTTTGAAAAAATTAATTGGAATAGTTTTGAAGCTCTAAAAGCAGATAAGTTTTACCTAAAATAAAGACATAAAGCCTCATTTATTTAGCTGAAATAGAAAGGAAGAAAGAATACATATTAATGTGGAAAAAAGGCAGCACTGAAATGAAGGTATTTAATAAGAAAGAGTTATAAAAGAAAATTTTAACATATAAAAATTTATTTAATAACTATTTATTGGAAGAGAATTCAATTTTTCTACAACTCAAGAGTATTTGTGAAAATTAGGAGACAGAGTAAGGAAGACAGATACAAATAAGGAATCAATAAATGAGTAAGGAATTGAAACCCTCATACTGCATAGGTTTTAATTTGTATTATGACATCCACGTGGTCTCAGGGGAAACATCACGAAAATTTTGGATGAATGAATGGAATCATTCATTCGCTTTATCATTCTAAAAATGTTCACCAAGGGCCAACTCATGGTTTCTGGGGCCATGTTAGGAACTAGGGATACAAAGAAGAGAGAGACATGGACTTTGCCCACATAAAATCTATAGTTTGTGAGACACAGGCAAATAAACCAATATGGAACCACATGTGGGAAAGTATAATGATACAGATATGCCAGAGGGCTTTGTGAACACAGAGGGGCACTTAACATAATCATGAAAAAGTAGGAAGATTTCAGGGCAAGATAATTGCTGTAAGAATTCTAAAACATCAGTGGTTTAAAATGGTAGAACTTTTTCTTGCTCATGCATTTCTATATATTTGATGTGTTTGGCAGGGCCCCTTTCACTTGCTGTTTCAGAGACTTACATCCTATGGCTCTAGAATCTCCTAGGGCCTGCTGGATTCTGCATCAAACAGGCTGGGAGCAAAAGGGAGTAGAAGTCTTCTTTATGGGCCAGGTCTGAAAGTGGTACACAGTTTACTGGCCACAACTTAAGTTACAGGGCCACATTTAACCTCAAGAAAAACAATGAACTAACTAGGAGGAATGAAAAACAAGTTTGTTGATTCACTAGCCTGGTTATGACATAGCTCTCTGCAGAAAACATAATCTCAGCTGTGCCTGAAAGATGTAAGCCTGGTAGCCAGGTAAAGAAGATGGGAGAAGGACATTCCAAAATGAAGGAATATCAAGATAAAATATATAAGTATAAACAAAAACTTATGAGGCCAGGTGTGGTGGCTCAAGCCTGTAGTCCTAGCACTTTGTGAGGCTGAGGCGGGTGGATCACTTGAGGTCAGGAGTTCGAGACCAGCCTGGCCAATATGGTGAAACCTCATCTCTACTAAAAATACAAAAAATAGCTGGGCGTGGTGGCAGGCACCTGTAACCCAGCTCCTTGTGAGGCTGAGGCAGGAGAATCACTTGAACTCGGGAGGTGGAGGTTGCAGTGAGCTGATATCATGCTATTGCATTCCAGCCTGGGTGACAAGAGTGAAACTCTGTCTCAAAAACAAAACAAAACAAACAACAACAACAAAAAACTTATGAGACATTTTAAAGACCAGTGTTGTCGGGGAATAAATTGCATGTCAGGATTCATGAGATTTGAAGTTTCACTTCTGATGATTTTTCCTCAGCTACACTTTCCAGTATATCCAGTTGCTTATTTGACATTTCTTAGGGTGACTGAAAGACACATCACATTCAACCCGTGGAAAATCAATTGCAGGATCTTCTACTCTGCTTCCTGGCCCTTGCCCTAGATCCTCTTTAAACTTAATCTACCTTCATCTCATCACACAAATAAAAAATTTGTAAATGATTCTTGACATCTCCTCTCCCTCATCCTATAAAACGAATCTATCACCAAGTTCTACATATGCTAAGTCCAAATCGTTTCTTGAATATGTTCATTTCTCTCCATTACCACTCTACTCCAAACTAACAGCATCTCTTGCCAGATCTATCACAACATGTGCCTAAGTTAATTCCATCCTTGCTATTTATTTTTGCCCCCTTTTAGGCTCTTATTCACAGTGATCCACTTGAAATCAAACCTGTTACCTCCACGATCATCTGCATTTATTGTATAATCACAGTAGTCAGCATTACTCTACATATAGTACATTGATTGTCTCATTCAGTCCCCATAGGTGCCTATAACATTGGTCCCATTCCCATTTCATTTCATCAATAGAAACTTAGGCTTAGAAGGCTTAGGGAGCATATTCAAGCTTACTCAGCTATTAATCAGATTAACTCTTTACAAAATGTAGACTGTATGTCTCCTGAGCCTATGTTCTAAATCACTCTGCTATATTTTCTCCCTCTGTAGGCATTTAAAATATTTATTGAATGAATTAATAAATGAAGAAAAAGTGGCATATTAGTCAGTGTCATGTAAAATAGAGGGTCATGTGAACGTAGCTCATCTTGTCCATGTGGTGAAAAAGAACCACTAAAATATTTTCAGAAAGCAGGGACAGAGTCAAATCTGGAGATTAAAGATGTCTTCACTACATGCACAAGAGATGGAAGGGAAGAGGAAAAATTTTAAAGCAGAGAATATTTCCACTGGACTATAAAATAAAATAAATTGTGAAGGGGGGGATAAGATTATGTCAGAAAGAGATTGAGGTTCTTTAAAGTTCTTGGGGGCATTTGGGTACACTTTCTTTTTCTCCTTCATAGCCTCATTTCCTTGCTCTGTATATCACCTGGTCCAGATTTTATAATGGTGAATAAGACATTATATGTAGATTGACTGCCTAAATAATGTTATTCAAGAACAGTAAATTTGTTTCATTACCTTCTTGACAGTCAATCCCATGGTGATCAGGATATGAGAGAGAAATGAATGTAAAGTTAATACAGTCGAGTTTAAAAGGATAAATATAGTCACAAAAAATATTAATAGAAAGATAAAGTAGCCAAGCTGGGGGAACCTTACTTTTGTGATTGCAGAACACAGAAAAGTTAGTAAACATGTTTTAATTTTGGCTAAGTTTTACTTATTCTACTGAGTCAGAAACAATGGTTCTAAATAATCTCAAACAAACTCTAAAATGTGGTTAAATATAAGCTTACATGCAAAAGAGAATAGAATGACATGCAGTTTTAACCATTTTTATAAATGATAAGTAAATACAGCACATAAAATTTATGTGTGTATGTATGTAAGAATAATTAAAATATAATTCTTAAACTATCTCTCTTGAAATATTTATTTACTCTGACATCTATGTATGTGACTGAATTTATCAGATAGAGTTAAATAACACATGATAAAATATGTTTGGCAAAATTTCTAGTTTCTGCTTTTAATGTCATAAATCTATTTAGGTAAAGGGTTTGATATAAGATTAAAATAGAAAACCTAATATATAGTAATAATACGCAGTGAATATATCAGAAAATGTAATCACAAAAATACTAAATATACAGTCTTTGCAAAATGTTATCCAGTTTTCTGAGCATATGGGTCTTGTATTGTCTGAAAATGTAGAGTCCCTCTATGCCTTATTTGACTTTCAGTGCAAGGAATTATAAAAGCTAGAGGTATAGATGAATTATTTGTAGGAGAGAATCTAGAGAGTGACACAGAAGGAGAAAGTAGCAAATGGAAAGGGAAATTTCTTTTATGCTCCTTTCTGTAAATGCACATTTTTTAGTTTAGGGAGAGATTTGAACTGAGTAATCCTTAATTATTCTATTAGCATGAGGTTCATCGGAGAAAAACATGAAAAGAAAGCTTGGATACACTGTTACAATTCTTTCTTTGTATTTTCTATTTACTTTTGACACTTGTGTTTTTACTTCTAGCTTTGGAGGGTTTATCTACTATTAATAACATATAAGTGAATTCCAATAATTAAAAATTTTTCATGATTCCAGTATCATTTGATTAAGAACAAATATATATCAATCAAGAGAATCACAATGATTTACGTAAGAAAAGTAAAGGAAGATAATTTTTAGACCTTTGCCATTGAATAACGATCAATCTATTTCTTACTTGATAGGTAAGAATGAACAATAAAATAAAAATATAAATTTTTAAAACTATAGCAACAGCTACTGGATTCTGTGTTGGCAAAGTAAAGCAAGGATACTTGTGAACATCTCATCTTTGTAAAAGTTTCAGTGCCCAAATATTTCATCCAGATACTATAAACATAACATATTTAATTCCTTTGAAAACTGTTTTTATAAGAACAGATAACTCTGTTGAATGAGAAGCTCTGTTTTTGCTGAATAGACTGGCCTTGTACAATGACTGAATCAAATGATCATTGGCTTAAATATTTTATTCTAAAAGTCAAGCATGTTAATACTTAATTTCAATCTTTGCAAGCAGGTAAGAACTTCTTCTATTTTAAAAATGCATTCAACAAATAAATCTTTGTTGTGTTCTTCCTCAGTGCCAATCTCTAGAGATCTGTGATGAGTTAGAAACAGTTTCTGCCTTAAAAAGCCCACAATATTTCTGCATAAAAACAAAGCTAATAAACTAAGTAAGAAATTGGAGACCTCAGGAATTGATTATGAATATAAACAAAGTCTTGTTAAAGTATAGATGTCACTTTTTCTGGTGGGATTTAGATATATTCTGTAGCTGCTAAATTTCATAGGGGAATAAAATAATAATAAGCCTGTTCTATAAGGGATTGTACAAAGCAGAAGTTGCTAATATATATTTCCTAGAAGAGTAATTTTTTAAATTATACTTTAAGTTCTGGGATACATGTGCAGAATGTGCAGGTTTGTTACATAGGTATACATGTGCCATGGTGGTTTGCTGCACCCATCAACCCATCATCTAGGTTGTAAGCCCCACATGCATTAGTTATTTCTCCTAATGCTATCCCTCCCCTTGCTCTATAATCCCTGACAGACCCAGTGTGTGATGTTCCCCTCCCTGTGTCCATGTATTCTGATTGTTCAGCTCCCATTTATGAGTGAGAACATGTGGTGTTTGGTTTTCTGTACCTGTGTTAGTTTTGTGAGAATGATGGGTTTCCAGCTTCATCCATGCCCCTGCAAAGGACATTAGCTCATTCTTTTTTATGGCTGCATAGTATTCCATGGTATATATGTGCCACATTTTCTTTATCCAGTCTATCATTGATGGGCATTTGGGTTGGTTCCAAGTCTATGCTATTGTAAATACTGCTGCAATAAACATACTTGTGCATGTGTCTTTATAGTAGAATAATTTCTAATCTTTTGGGTATATACTCAGTAATGGAATTGCTCAGTCAAATGGTATTTCTGGTTCTAGATCCCTGAGGAATCGCCACACTGTCTTCCACAATGGTTGAACTAATTTACACTCCCACCAACAGTACAAAAGTGTTCCTATTTCTCCACATCCTTTCCAGCATCTGTTGTTTCCTGACTTTTTAATGATTGCCATTCTAACTGGCATGATATGGTATCTCATTGTGTTTCTGATTTGCATTTCTCTAATGACCAGTGATGATGAGCTTTTTTTCATGTTTGTTGGCTGCATATATGTCTTCTTTTGAGAAGTGTCTGTTCATATCCTTTGCCCACTTTTTTCATGTTTATTACTTTTTTCTTGTACATTTGTTTAAGTTTCTTGTAGATTCTGTATACTAGACTTTAGTCAGATGGATAGATTGCAAAACTTTTCTCCCATTCTGTAGGTTGCTTGTTCACTCTGATGATAGTTTCTTTTGCTGTGCAGAAGCTCTTTAGTTTAATTAGATCCCATTTGTCAATTTTGGCTTTTGTTGCCATTGCTTTTGGTGGTTTAATCATGAAGGCTTTACCCATGCCTATGTCCTGAATGATATTGCCTAGGTTTTTTTCTAGGGTTTTTTAATGGTTTTAGGTCTTATGTTTAAGTCTTTAATCCATCTTGAGTTAATTTTTGTATAAAGTGTAAGGAAGGGGCCCAGTTTCAGTTTTCTGCATATGGCTAGCCAGTTTTCCCAATACCATTTATTAAATAGGAAATCTTTTCCCCATTGCTTGTTTTTGTCAGGTTTGTCAAAGATCAGAGGGTTGTAGATGTATGGTGTTATTTCGTAGGGTTCTGTTCTGTTCCCTTGGTCTGTCTATCTGTTTTGGTACCAGTACCATGCCCTTTTTGTTACTGTAGCTTTGTAGTATAGTTTGAAGTCAGGTAGCATGATGCCTCCAGCTTTGTTCTTTTTTGCTTAGGATTGTCTTCACTATATAGGCTCTTTTTTGGTTCCATGTGAAATTTAAAGTAGTTTTTTCTAATTCTGTGATGAAACTCAGTGGTGGCTTGATGAGGATAGCATTTAATCTATAAATTACTTTGGGCAGTATGGCCATTTTCACAATATTGATTCTTCCTATCAATGAGCATGGAATATTTTTCCATTTGTTTGTGTTCTTTCTTATTTCCTTGAGCAGTGGTTTGTAGCTCTCCTTGAAGAGGTCCTTCACGTCTCTTGTAAATTGTATTCCTATGTATTTTATTCTCTTTGTAGCAATTGTGGATGAGAGTTCACTCATGGTTTGGCTTCTGTTTGTTATTGGTGTATAGGAATGCTTGTGATTTTCACACGTTGATTTTATATCCTGAGACTTTGCTGAAGTTGCTTATCAGCTTAAGGAGTTTTTGGGCTGAGACGATGGGGTTTTCTAAATATACAATCATGTCATCTGCAAACAGAGACAATTTGACTTCCTCTCCTCTTATTTGAATACCCTGTGTTTCTTTCTCCTGCCTGATTGCCCTGGCCAGAACTTCCAATACTATGTTGAATAGGAGTGGTGACAGAGGGCATCCTTTTCTTGAGCCAGTTTTCGAATGGAATCCTTGTAGCTTTTGCCCATTCAGTATGATATTGGCTAGAGTTTGTCATAGCTCTTATTATTTTGAGATATGTTCCATCAATACATAGTTTATTGAGTGTTTTTAGCATGAAGGGATGTTGAATTTTATCAAAGGCCTTTTCTGCATCTATTGAGATAATCATGTGGTTTTTGTCACTGGTTCTGTTTATGTGATGGATAATGTTTATTGATTTGCATATGTTGAACCAGCCTTGCATCCCAGGGATGAAGCCAACTTGATCGTGGTGATAAGCTTTTTGATGTGCTGCTAGATTCGGTTTGCCAGTATTTTATTGAGGATTTTCGCATCAGTATTCATTAGGGATATGGGCCTGAAATTTTCTTTGTTGTGTCTCTGCCAGGTTTTGGTAGCAGGATGATGCTGGCCTCATAAAATGAGTTATGGAGAATTCCCTCTTTTTCTATTGTTTGGAATAGCTTCAGAAGGAATGGTACCAGCTTCTCTTTGTATCTTTGGTAGAATTCGGCTGTGAATCCATCTGGTCCTGGGGTTTCTTTGGTTGGTAGGCTATTATTACTGCCTCAATTTCAGAACTAGTTACCAATCTATTCAGGGATTCGACTTAGAGGAGTAATTTTTATACAAAATTAAATTATCCTGAGGCATGAGTATCTTGTCATAGATATTTAGGTTAGAAATATATTCATTAGTAATTATTTTTATTTGAGGAGAATCTTATCTTGCCTCTGGATATCATTATTACTCTATAGGAATAGCATGCAACAGAATGACATATTTATATGTAGGGAGAAAAACATGCCACATCTAATTTTTGACAAAAGACAGAAGATTGGAGATGGAAGAATAAAGGAGTAATTGTGATACAAAGAGGTCACATCCTACCATCTCTTGAATCTAATTTTGGAAGCTAATCTTTTTGCATATGTAGCTTTACTACAGTGATGTTTGTTGACACATGCTTAAAATAAGATTGAAAATTTATGTACAATCATTCGAATATGGATACATGTATATATAGTTGAATATGTAGAAATATATATCTAGGATGCAACTTCAGAAGTGATATACAAAGCAGTATAATTACATATTTCATATTAGACATTTTGTGCTAAAATTTTTCCGAATTCCAAGTAAATTATTGTTTTCAAAGGCCTATAAAATGTGAGAGAATGAATGTGTGATAATTCATGAGCTTGTTGAATATAAAATATTAAAAACATTTATGAGAGGATTTGGACTTCTAAACATCCCTACTGCTATCCTACTACTTCTCACCAGTTAACTGTTCCTAGTGGTTTTGTAAAGTAACTCTTCATCATTCATTTGGCCTATCTGAGTATCCTTAAATATGTTTCATATTAGAGAGACAATGTAAATGTTTAATATATTTTTCTCTTTGATAACCGATTTTCCATTTTCAGAGTAATGAATTATTAATACTGCCTTTGTAACCAAACATTGTGTCCAAAATATTTTATTTCTCTATTTCTCTGTCTGATCAGCCCACTGGTCACTTTTAGATCCCTAAGAGTGAAACAGCCAGACTTGATGTTCCTATAGTATGATGTGATATGAAGTGTACAACACCAGCCATAAAGTATTCTTTCCCCCACAAATAAATTAAACATGAATGTATATAAGCTTTTACATCCAACTTCTCATCAGTACAATATGTGAGGGCTAAAGGTAATTAACATGTGCAGAATACAGGACATTTTCTAGTGCAATTGGTTCAGTTCCAATAGGTTTCTTGCAGAAAAAAAATTTAAAACAGGAGAGTGGGTCTGTTTAATAAAAAGGACTTGAGAGATATAACAGTCATATACAGTGAGTGGATTTTGTTTAGTTCCTGATTCAAATAACTCAACTATATAATGACCTTTTCATGACAAAATGGGATTTTGAAAATGGACTAGCATTAAATGATAGTAAGGGGCTATTTTCAATTTTGTTCTGTGTGAAAGCGCCATTGTGGTTACATAACAAAGGGTACTCATTTATTTATTTTTATTTACTGCAACTTTCAGAGAAGAAATGACATAATGTTTGGGATTTGTTTTAAAACAGATCAACAAATATAAAAACTGTGAAGAATAGGTGAAATAATGATACAAAAAATGTTGATTGGTGTTGAAGTTTGATGTTGGTTTTGTTACATTTTTATATGTTCAGAAATTTTTATATTGAAAATTGTAAATTTTAAAAAGCTTAACAATGGTTAGAGTTGCATAATCTTCCATCAATATGCCTACTATGCAATCATATAAGTGATGTTGGTGATTAATGTAACAAAATTGAGAAAATATGACAGAGAAGAAAGAGCAAAACTTTTGAGACATATCTGGATGTGATTATTTGCCTACCTAGTGACCTTGGGTAAGTTTATTAACCTCTTAGAGTTATAATTGCCCCCTATATGAAGCAAATACATTTTTCTATAAGGCTAAAATAGAATAGGCATTAAAAATGGCCAAGAAAATGTGTGGCATATATATTAAACCCTATAAATGTTTCCCATAATAATTGTTTTTGTGATGATGATGTTGCTCTTGTTATTATTCTCATTTCAGAATTCTTATTGGTCTTGGTTTAAAACTCTATTCGGGGCCAGGCGCGGTGGCTCACGCCTGTAATCCCAGCACTTTGGGAGGCAAGGTGGGTGGATCACGAGGTCAGGAGATTGAGACTATCCTGGCTAACATGGTGAAACCCCGTCTTTACTAAAAAAATACAAAAAAATTAGCCAGGCTTAGTGGCAGGCGCCTGTAGTCCCAGCTACTCAGGAGGCTGAGGCAGGGGAATGGCCTGAACTGGGAGGCAGAGCTTGCAGTGAGCCGAGATCGCACCACCGCACTCCAGCCTGGGCGACAGAGCGAGACATCATCTCAAAAACAAACAACAACAACAACAACAACAACAACAACAACAAACAAAAAGCTCTATTAGGTCAAATGACTCTAACACTTTATCTTAACTTTATTGGCATTGGTGTCTTTAGAAAAGGAATCATTTTACACTCCTTTCCACCAAAGCTAATGGTCTCAAATAGTCTTTTGTTCAACAAATGTGTTTTAAGCATCTACTATATACAGGCACAACCCTGCTTTAACAGCTGAAAATACAACACTGAACAAGATACAGAATGCTTCTGTCCTTGAGCAATTAATATGCTACTAGGAACATTACACTATGATTGGAAACATATGAAGATTTGTGATAATCTGTACAAAAGCATTGGGATGAAAAATTTGAATATGACCTATCTATACCAAAGTCAATATTCTCAACTAAAATAGTATGTTCACTGTATTTTTCTAAATATCATAACCAATAAAACTCATTTTCTATTTCTTTTATAATTTTTATTACATGTTCTAGTATTCATTTCTACATGTTCCATAAAATAAATAAGTGCAGTAAACTCTTTGTAAAATATAATAGATTTTAGTTATTTGGTTAAACTGGATCACTTTATTTTCATTATTTATTTTCTAATCTTATAAATAACTTTTTACGAATATTGCTCTCTGTGTTCAAAAAAACCTGAGATATACGGCATAGTTTTAAAGATATATATAATTTTAAACATGTGTGTTTAGATAGGATACACATATTTACAAGTAATTAAATATTAATAAATTAATAATTTATTAAATTTTCAAATAATTTAATATTAGTAATTAAACAAAAATATAGCTAATGGTTTGTTTCCTCCCTTCACATCTACTATAGTCAGATAGATAAGCAAACCATCAGTTAGACCAGAAAGCTCTGCGTTATCATTTTCAAATTTCTGCAGCAAAATTGTTCCATTTCTTTAGTTCTGCTTATGTCACAGCATTTCTGGAGTAAGAAGGGAGGCCAATATTTAAAACTCTGACCTGTGGCAAGCTATTAAATTATTAATGTAACCTACTGGATAATGTGGTTTTTCCCCCATAAAGTAATTTCTTCCTATCCCTCCTACCCCTGCAAAATTTTAAGAAAGCCATTACATTTTCTATTTTGAAGGTAGGTGTTACATAGTTTTTGTTGTTGTTATTGTTGTTTAATTATAAGCCTGAAAGACAAATGTATTTTAAAAACCCTCTCACATTCATTTTCAAATTACTCACATTATGATCCCGACTAATAGTATATTATTAGCCTTACTGATGTCTTTTTTTTTCTAAATTAGTTTTTATCTTTATAAGTACAATTGTTACTGTTAAGTCTTTATCATTACAGGCAGTTGTTTATTTTTAAATTTTAAATAGATGTTGTAATGATCTTTGGCTACATTGACCACTCAAGGGTTTTCTGTCTTTGGTGATTTTCAGAAGGCTATTTTGTTTCATCTCCAATGAGAGACTAGATAGAGAATAATCATGACATCAGTCCATGTGCTCATCAGTTCATCTTATTTATTATAAGTTATGATAGACAAAAGTAGTAAAATAGAAGAAAGAGTACAGATCAATGACTTTTGGAAGTGCTATGGTAACAATCTTTTGTTTTATCACAGACTCCCAGGAATAAAGATACGGCTATAAAAATATGAAATTATTACATTAATTCATAAACTATTTATTGAGTGACAGGTGCCAGCACTAAGCCTGAGGCTGAGAATTTAAAGATGAATAAGGAAATATTTGCCCAAGATAGCTCACAGTTTAGTAGAGATCACAAGATTCAGATCGAAAGGTCACAGGGGAACTAGGGGAAACTATAGATAAAAATCTTTTTTCTGTCTCTGAAATTGAATAGCATGTAGTGCGGCCTTATACATAAAGTTTCCTATTAGCTCACAAAATAGTTAAAGCCTCTGCCCTTTCTGAAATATTGTTGAAAATATGTTAGATTCAAGGATCTAAGTATGTTTTATTCTTTGCTCAAATTATTTGAAGGGGGGCATCTCTTTTTCTTAATCTGGTTTTTATTCCCAAGAAAGGCTGAAAAGCCATGTCCATGCTGGGTAGCCAGGAATTCAAGGGGAAAATAAAATAAGATTTTCATTAGTGGGCATGGAATCTGATAGACTGCAAAGCTGTTCATAGACTTGCATACACCTCACAGCTTGGGTCAGGAGGTCAAGTTCAGCAAGGGCCTGAGCTGGCACAGACTATACTTTCCCTCTCCGCATGTGCCCAGCAGAGTGACTGTGCTGGGACTAGGGCAAATGCACAGGATTGTTTTGGTGCTTTACAAAACATTATGTGTTTACCAAAGTTATGAGAACATTCAAATAGATGTGCCAAATACTGTAAAGAGACCTGTGTATGCAATTCTTGAACATTTTCCTGTGCCGATGTATATTTGCTCTTTCAGCACATAGCTTCAAATTACCTACATGTGCCAAAAGACAGAGTAAAATATAGTAATTACCTTCTACCACCATTCAAATCAAACCTTGAAATAACAAATACATTAAGAACTGTCCTGGATAAGTGAATCCTTCATTATTTCAATTCATAAACCATACCACGGGGACCACAGACTTTCTAACATAGCCCCCACTCATGCCTCAGGCATCACATTTTCCTGTAAACACAGACATTTCAAAAAAATGAATGATAAAATAGTCCCAATTTAGCTGAAAAACTGAATATGTAATGTTGATTTTAGAACTATTAAATGTAAATGAACTTTAAACAGCAGTATAATATTTACCATTATACATAGATTATTTATAATAAAGTACCAACTTCAGAATGGCCAGGAGAACCTTGCAGATGAGATGAGCTCTGGACTGCACTTTGACAAAAATTCTTATATACACTAAGGTGTGTAAATGAACTTAACTCCTATTTTCAATTTGACATTCCTAGAAGACTTAGAAAGGAAAAATAAACCACCAACATAAAAATTTAAAAAATTAATCAGTTGTGGCCAGGTGCCATGGCTCATGCCTGTAATCTCAGCACTTTGGGAGGCCAAGGCGGGCGGATCACCTGAGGTGAGGAGTTTGAGACCAGCCTGGCCAAAATGGTGAAACTCTGTCTCTACTAAAAGTACAAAAATTAGCCTGGCCTGGTGGCACGAACAAGTAATCCCAGCTACTTGGGAGGCCGGAGCAGGAGAATCGATTAAACCTGGGAAGTGGAGGTTGCAGTGAGCCAATATTGTACCATTGCACTCCAGCCTGGGTGACAAGAGCAAAACTCCGTCTCAAAAAAAAAAATAAAAAAAAAAAAAAATCAGTTGTGATAGTTGCCTTTAAAGGGCAGCAGTGAAAATGCTACACAAATGAAATATTTTACGTATTATTTAATTGACTATTCCCATTTTCAAATTATTTCAAAAAATTATGTTCAAGAATATCAAGAAAAACATGAGCTGCTGAAAGTATCAAACACTGCCTAGCCATTCAAAGAATTGTTTTTCATATTTTAACTACCACCTGGCAGTACAATTAAATTATTTCTCTGACTAATTGAGTGCCAGCTTCTTTTTCTATTTTAAATTGAAGCAATGATGAGTTAAAGTATGCAAATACCTTAGAGTTCTCAGAGGAAAATACAACGTACATATAATCACAATTTAAAAATCATTAACATTTTAATGTAATAAAGTGTCTTGCATTAAGCTAATCCTTAGAAAGTTATTGATTTGACAAATGATACTCTCATGTTTTTTTTTTTTTTTTAATCAAACATTTCGGATTTGGTGATCATTTGTAGTTTTAATTACAATTGAAACTGGGTCCTAAAATTTAGCTCACACTGTACTCAGATGTATAAAGAGAAATATAATATATTTATTTTGTGTTTAAGCTAATTTGGATTTTCTGATGGGAGGAAGTATAACCAAGTGCTAAACCTATTTTAATTTTGTTTTAAATGCAGTGTTAGAATCAGTTCCTTCATGTAGTGATCTAGTCTTCTGCTTGCCTCCCCCTCCCCTTTTAAGATAACCTGCAGATGTACCAGTCAATGGAAGCGGCTTACATGGTTTTTGACATCAGAGGGAATACTGGGAATACAGAGGGAATACATCAACACTGGGAACCCTATTGTGTCTTTGTGGTGTCCTTTGGTAGGTGATCATCTCCCTTGTCTGCCTGGTTGCTAGGGACCTCTTAAGGGCAAAGCATGGAGAGGGAAAATTAGGGACATACATATCACTCTCTTACTCTCTTTTTCTTGCCAATCCTCAGGCTAGAAAATGGATAGCCCTTTTGTTTGGTTTCTTTATGGTATCTTCCTTCCACTATGCAGCAAGCCCTATGCTTTCAAGCTCTAGGTGAAAGAGTTAGCAACCCTTTTGGAGAACACTAAGATCTGGAAACTCCAGCTTTGGGCTTTCATATGTTAAAAAAGGCAAAGTGACCACAAAGATACTTGGGGAAAAACATCTTAACACAATAAGCTGATCTGCAAGACTATCATAATCTTGCTAAATAATTCTGCCTTGCAGAAATTGAATACTAATATATTCTTTCTCTTTTCATTTCTTCTGTAAGAAATCTTGTTTTCCCTGTAGATAGAGGATGCCTCAGGCCAACAAAGTGAAAGTCAAGTACACAGAAAAGTAAAAGAGAAAGCATATTAATATTTTTGATATTTTAAATTTTTTTCTAGCCAACTCTGTGTCACACAATTCTTTGTTGTTGTTGTTTTTAAAACTTGGTTTAATTGTCGTGAGGTATACTATATTGAAAATGTTATAACATAGACATTTAATTGAGGCTGCAACAGTTAACGTGTATGTACTCATTTCTCGGTACAACGCATGTCTCTGAAAACCATATTCTTTATTATGTAATTCAAATTGATATTTATGTTTTCTTTTTGAACACATTCTTCTTCCTCTCCTACTTTTCTCCTTATGGTTTTACCCTTTTGCTTGGGGGTCTAAAGTCTGCATTGTTCTCTCTGCTTTACATACCATCCATCACTTAGGATAGCGTTAAAAGCCCAGTGACATTTTTTCCTCCTCTATGTATACTCCTTTGTAGCAATACCTTTATAATTTAGTCTGGTGAATATATTGACATTTATTACTTACAGCGTCCTTTTCTGTATACAATGTCGTAGTTTCAGGTTTTGTTTTTTACATTCTTGCATTCTCCCTAACTTTATTCATCCATCTATGATACAAACTATACCAAATTTATTTCTAATCTCACTTTCTCCAAGAAGAGTTCACCAATTAACACTAGTCCATTATAATCTTACTTTTATTCTATTTACCTATATTAGCTATCTGATTCATTATTTGTTTCAAAAGATAAGATCCAATTTATCTTTTAATAATGTTGATGAAGTATTTTTGATTAGTCAAATTAAGATCTATTTCCATAATTTACAGAAAGACATACTATTTGCATATTGGGTGTATTTCTATTAAATACATTCCTATTTTTAAAATATCTACTTGCAACTTGCTTTGGTTTGATCTTTGTATATTTTTATTTACTTCATTCTTTACTTAGCACCCCTCACTTCATCTTATTGGTTCTCAACAGTTCTAAGAACTTTTTGTGATAGCAAAAATTCTTTTTGATAAAACAAATGAATGTGTTTTCCATTTGAGCCTCTCTTTTGTGATTCTGCCCTGCAATGCTCATGCTGTTTTCTCTATCATCCCAACTCCCATTATTCAGTTTGTTTCATTCTTTTCATTTTTCATTCAATCTGTGTTGTTTGGTTTCTTATTCATCTCTTGTTTATAAATCTTCCTAAGGTTTTTATAATTTATTAGATAGTTTATTATAATCTCAGTCAAATTTATTTTTACCATCCCTATACTAATAATAGGATTCTATTTGACATTCAAAATTTTGATATATAATTGGTATTTCTTTATAATTGTGATATTGTTATTGCTGATTTGAGTAGAAACCTTATTAAGGCATTAATATCATCTATTTATTTTACACATTCACAAACATTCATGGATATCTCAAATTGCTTTTCAGACTGCCTGGAAATATTTGCTGCTATCAACAAAGCAGGCACTCTGGGGAGTTAAAAATTCATCATCAGGCCGGGCACGGTGGCTCATGTCTGTAATCCCAGCACTTTGGGAGGCCAAGGAGGGCGGATCACGAGGTCAGGAGATTGAGACCATCCTGGCTAGCACGGTGAAACCCCGTCTCTACTAAAAATACAAAAACAAAATTAGCCGGGTGTGGTGGCACGTGCCTGTACTCCCAGCTACTCGGGAGGCTGAGGCGGGAGACTGGCGTGAACCTGGGAGTTGGAGCTTGCAGTGAGCCAAGATCATGAGACTCCGTCTCAAAAAAAAAAAAAAAAAAAAAAAAGAAAAGAAAAGAAAAATTCATCACCATTATCAAGAACAAAATACAAAGATCATTCAGATTCACAGTTCCTAGTTTCAAAGAGCTCTTCCCACATTGTTGCTTCTATCTGAAGTCCCTTTCCAGCCATGCAAATATATACAATTATCCCTGAAGACTCAGGACAGTGCCATTTCCTTCACAAAACCTTCTCTTGTTCACCTCTCTCCCAGCAACCAACCCATGTTTTATATCCTCCCTCTGATTAATGTCCAATGCTTGTCAAGGTTTATCCCCTAATATTGTATATTCTGTAATGAAATGCATTTTTCTGAATGTGGATCTTCTCTTCCTCTGAGACTAGAAACATTAAAGCCAGACACTGTAGTGTTAATTCATCTTTATATCATTAGTGACCAGAGAACAGTAGATATACAATAAATACTGAAGAAATCATTGGAACCCACATAAAATGATTTTTACAGGCAGGATTTGGTTACAGTAAGTGGTCAAAGAAACTTTGCAAAATGAAATCTACTGGGGATTTTGTCTCCTCATGTGTACAGCTGGTCTCCTTCACTGAATCACATTTATACACACTCATTGTACTATTTCATGCATAGTTTGCCCTTAGCTGTATAAATCTGTTTGGAAGCACAAAGCAGTACCATGATGGTGGGTAAAATAGTGCTCATCATTTGACTCCCTTTTATGATTGACATATTCTTGGTGAGATAGTAACATGAGCTAGGCAATTCTCTATGGATATTTAAAATGTGCTACCTGGTCACTGTGGAATACCTGAAAATATATAGATAGAGTTTTCTTGCCTTTAGAAATTCAAAGAAGATTATGTATAAAAATCAGGCTCAACACTTTTTCTGAACTTTGTTATAAGACTTACATATTAACCCTTATAAGAAGGATTAAGCTATAAATGCTAGCTATACAATATCTTATTTTTTTAATGACAAAGATTTTTATAAAAATAAAACATACAGTAATGTTAATAATATGTAAAGTTTGGATGTAGAAAAGATATGTTTCCAGCAATATTGCAAACTAGACTACCTGAAGACTTTTTTTTTTTTTTTTTTGAGACAGGGTCTTACTTTGTTGCACAGGCTGGAGTGTAGTGGCACAATCTCAGCTCACTGCAGCCTTGACCTCTTGGGCTCAAGTGATCCTCCTGCCTCAGCCTCCCAAGTAGCCAAGACAATAGGCGTGTGCCACCACAGCCGGCTAATTTTTGTATTTTTTGTTGAGACCAGGTCTCCCTGTGTTGCCCAGGCTGGTCTTGAACTCCTGGGCTCAAGTGATTCGCCTGCCTCAGCCTCCCAAAGTACTGAGATTACAGGCATGAGCCACCATACCCAGCCAATTACCTGAAAATCTAACCAAAAAAACAGAATGATAGACAAAATATAATGTGTAATATATATGAAATGAAGTGCCCAAACATTTAAATAAAACTGGGACTGAATTTACTAGGACAGAAGGGACAGCCTAAGTACCAAAAGAAAAAAAAAAAGAAAATAACTTGAGAAGAAAATATGTAAGTTGATGCTGAGGCTGGCTTGTGCTAGCCAGCCTAGGTAACTAGGAGGTTGGGTCTAAGACCCATAAAGAAACAGAAAAGAGAATTATAACCGAGGCCCAGTTTAGTTTACTTAAGAAAGCCAGAACTCTCAACTAGCTACCTGTTAGTAAAGTGGTGTACTAAAAAAGGCCCAACCTCTGGAGAGAGAGATGACTAAAAGATTGACTTTTGGGCCAGTTCTACAAATAGATTTTTTTCCTGTGATAAATATAGGTTTGGAATTTGAATTTACTCTACCTATGTGCTCTAGCAACATCCAGATAAGGAATTAACATAAAAATGTTCACATTTCATAATACCCATAGGGAGACTTTCAAAGGAAATAAAAAAAAACTTACTGAAGATTCATTTTCAACCCATGCTATTGAAAGCACAAAAGATAAAGCCCCACTCAAGACTGATTGAATCCAAAATACAAGACACAACACAAAGAAACAATCCCATATAAGCAAGAGTCAGTAGATACAAACAAAGTAGCACAAGTCTTCTGATCTTGTTACATAATAGAAATATTGGAGAAAAGGGACTAAATAAATATTTTTTAAATGATAAAAAGTATAAGAAAATGATGGATAAAAAATGAGAAGTGAGCAAGATACTATGACTAAAAATCAGATAGTTTGGAAAAAAATCAAATAGATCTGAAATTTTAAAAAATATATTTTCCTTAATATTACACATTGATAAGATGATTAGCTAATTAGAATTGTATGTTTGAAGATATTACTCAGAAAGAGAAATATTGAGGTAAACACACTGAAAACCTAAGGCATATATAAGATAAACTAAGAAATCCAACATTCAGTTCACAAAAATTTTATGAAGACAGAAAATAAAAGTGGCTATTCAAAAGATAATATCTGAGAAAGTCGAAATATCATTTGAGTCTTCTGATTTAGGAAACAGAAGCAGGATAAGTGATATGGTTTGACTTTGTGTCCCCACCTAAATATTATCTTAAATTGTAATACCCAGTTGTTGAGGGAGGGACCTGGTGGGAGGTGATTGGATCATGGGGGCAGTTTCCCCCATCCTGTTCTCGTAGTAGTCAGTGAGTTCTCATGAAATCTGACGGTTTTATGTGTTGGACAGTTCCTCTTTTGCAGGCGCTCTCTTTCCTACTGTATTGTGAGAAAGGTACTTGCTTCTTCTTCACCTTCCTCCATGACTGTAAGTTTCCTGAGGCATCCCCAGCCATATAAAACTGTGAGTCAATTAAACCTCTTTCCCTCCTAAATTACTCAGTCTCAGGTATGTCTTTATGGTAGTGTGAAAACAGACTAATACAATAAGTAAAATAAAAATTAACATCTACGGATTCAAATAGAAGTAAAACAGAATATAAGAGAAAGAGAAGGTCAGAAAGCTGGCTAGAAGAAAAATACATTGTTTACTGAAAAAAAAAACAGCAATTAAACTGATAGCATTGAAAGAAGCCAGACTATGATGGGATATTCAAAGTGACGGTACTATCACTATAACTAAACAGAAACGATAACTGCAAATTTAGGTATCTAAGCTATCTTTTAGAATGAAGACAAAATTAACATTTTCGGACAAGAACAAAGAATCTTCCATGATCAAAACCTTGCTGAAAGAACTTTTTAAAAAGAATATTCTTCAGAAAGAAGTGAAAATGACCCAGAAGTATGGTGTGAGATGCAAAATAAAATGGTGATGTTGGCATAATGTTTGACAAATAGAACAATAAGACCAATAGAATAGAGAATTTTAAAAAAACATATTGCAGGAATATACTAACCTGATTTATGATTAAGGTGACATTGCAGTACAATAGAAAAAGTGCTGAATCAATATCCACACGGAAAAATTGTACTTGATACCTACTGAACACCATGCACAAAATTCAATTCCAGATTAATTGCTCATGTAAAAGGTATAATAATAAAGTTTTTGGAAAAAAATAGGAGGATATCTTTATGACCTTGGAGTTGGCAGATTTATTAAACAGAACATAAAGTGAAAAAGAATAAACTAGACTTCCTTAAAATTAAACATTCCTATTCAACAGGATTTTACTCTCTTAACGTTAAGAGACTAAACAGACTAGCTACATAGTAGAGGAAGTAATTAGCAATACATATATCTGGAAAAAAATCTCATATTCAGAATCTATAAAGAATCTTTATAAGTCAATCACAAAAGACAGAAAACCCAATAGAAAAAATGGCAAAGGAGCACTTCCATAGAGGATCTCCAAATGATCAAAAAAGCATATTAAATGTGCTCATCTTCAGTAATCATAAGTTCACTCAAAATTAAAGCTGCAATGAGATACCATTACATAAATCCCCAGAATAAAATGAATAAGACAGATATAGCAAGTATTGGAAATAACGTGAAGCAACTAGGACTCGTACAGTGCTGGTGGCAAAATAAATTATTGTAACTACTTTGGAAAATTGTTTGATGGTAGCTATAAACATATAAATATAAACAAGCTGAATATATGTATAACTTAGGCACCAGTAATTACACTGTCCAATATTATACCCAATAGAAATGATTACATATAGTCCCTACGGTAAATGCACAAAATTATTTCCAGTGGCCCTGTTGCTAACAGCAAGAAACAACGATGAAAAAGAGGATCAACCTAAATTTTTGTTTACAAGAGAACAGATAAATTGTGGAATACTTATAAAATACCATACAGCAAAGAGAATAAAAGAGCAAAAGCTACTCTCAAAACCAAGAATATGTACCTTAAACACAATAAAATAATATTGAAAAATTAAAAACAGACACGAAATAATAAATACTGCATGATTCCACTTATGTCTAATTCAAATACTAAGCCAGTGAGCTAGAAGCAATTAAAACAGTGCTTACCATTGGGGAATTGAAGGGATCAGAAGATACACGAGAAAGCTTCTAAAATTGTTCATGTGTTTTAGTTTTTGATTTGGATGCTGGTTACATAGGTATGTTCACTTTATCAATCTGTACACTTATATAAACTTCAATAATATTTGCCAAAACAAGCAAGCAAGCAAACAAACAAAAACCTGGTAACTGGGCTTACATACTTAACTACTGTGCATTTCATAAAAATACAGAATATATTTATTTTAGAACATTGAAATTTTAATATAGAACAAGTTCAGCCAGTGGTCTTTTGAGTATTAATTGTATTTCATTTTCAGCTCTATCTGTCCTTTTGTCTCCTTCCTCAAACTAATCATTAAAACTTAATTCTTTCTTTTATTAGAATCACATATGCCTGCTTTCTACACACTGCATCTTGCTTGTTGGCATCTTTCCTGGTATAGGAAAATTTGTTTTCTTATCAGTAAATCTACACAGATGATTTTGTTTTTATTTTGTTTTTCTTTTAAACTATGAAAGACCTGTAATTTTTTTCAAAATTTTTATGGCATACCTTTTCTGATTAAGCTATACTGTTTTTCATCACTTAGATATGTGTTATACCTATCTGTGGCCTTCTGCAACTTTATTTGTATTATTAATTTCTCTTCTCCAAAAACAATAGAATCTATTTCTTGTGTATAGACTTGGGTGTAGACTACTGGAGCAAAGTACAGGTTCAAGGGAGGTCCATACTTGCTGCTTTCATTTTTTTTTTACTTTTATTGATATATAATGGGTAAATAAAATTGTATGTATTTAAGATATACTATTTAATGTTTTGATATTTGTATGCACTGTGCAGTAAGTGTCACAATCCTATCTTCCAATTTTACAGCTTTGTGATTTTGAATAATACTTAGTTTTCTTATTGCTAAAATGAGGATAGGATAATACTTCATTAGGTTAATGTAAATATAAAATTAAAAGTGATTATATGTATAAAATAGAAAAGCCCACAGTATTAGTTTGCTTTACTATCCACCAGTGTAATTACAGATTTTGCAGACTCTGGGTGCTTGAAGGTTGATTGAATCAAATAATTTCTAAATACTTAAAGAATTTTTTTTCTTCTATTAAACCATAGAAGAGACAAAACAAAGTTTCCCATCTGTAAAGAATGGAGTGAAAGTTACTAGCAGCGCAAGTCTCTGAACTATTATTTCCCAGTGTCGTGATTATGTGCCTAGAACTTAAACTGGATTCAAATCCCAGCTCTGAAACTTTCTAGGGTTATGGTTTACACCAAGTTACTTAATCTTTCTGGGCCTCTTTTTTCTTCTTGTCTCTATAATAGAGATAATTTGGATATACATTACAAGTATTCAGCCAATATTAATTTTTACATTTTTGGGGTACAGATGACTATCATAAAGTTTTAAATTTCCAGGTTTATTATAAGAAGAAAAAATAAGTGTCATAATCAATGAATAAGCAAGGAAACAAACAAAAAACCGGAAATACATTGCAGTATTGAGATCAGATTCCCAGAAATCATAAAAGATATACAATACATTCAGCTTTAAGTTATATTTAATAATAATTTATAAACATTCAATATACGCATAAAGACATCTTTAAATGGATATTTCTCTAAATTTTGATTTTTCTTCTTGTTTCAAATCAGAGATTTAATCTAAATCACAGTATGTTTCAGTAAAGAGCTACAGGTTTTTTGTTTTTGCTGTTAGTGTGATTGAGTGGGTCATAAACTTTAATTAATTTTTAATAAACTATGTTACTGCCTAAACTTTTTACCATCAAATGGAATCATTGTCATGTAATGATGGCTTTCAGATTTGCTAATGTAATGCCTTGGTGGTAGAAGGACAACTTTTGAGGAAGCTATTAACTAGTGCTCCAAGAAGTTCTGTGAAATTCATTTAAACACTGAGTGGGGAGGGGTTGGAGAAGCATGGGCAGAGTCTCAGTGCTCACTCCCAGTGCAACTAAAATGACCAATACTGTTTATACATTGAACTTTCTTAAGTAATAGGAGATGGGGGGATGTTGCTAGCTGCTTTTTACAGTACAATGTGTTTAGGAACATTCAGCAGCTAAGAGAAAAGAATGCTTAATTATTCTGTATAATGAGCAAGATACTTTTGTGCTATAGAACAGTCTGCTAAGGATGGATGAAAGATGAAAAGGAAGGACAGAGGAGCAGAAGAGAAGCTAAGATTGTGTGAAAGAGGGTCAGTACAGCATTTCTGTCATGGAAAGACCCAACGGTCATGCCTTTGCTTCCACTGGAGATTGTGTTGTTTCTGTAACATAAGACTCTCCTTTAGCTCTCCCCCATGTAGTAAATAGAATTTGTTAAGTCGTGAATGCTCTTTATATTGCTAAGAGGGCTGAAAAAAATGTTTGAAACCATGATTAGAAGCAGTTTCCTTGGAAAGGGGCATTGAGGAGATAGAAAATTCCATAAAAATATCATCACAGAAATTTCTATAAATCCAAGGCATAAGGCCCAGCTTTCATGAGATCTAGAATTTTGGGGGTTGAAAGTGCTGAACCAACAGGTTTAGAATGCCCAACTGGAATCTGGAATGCATGGATATTATTTCACTTACAGAAAGGATTTGTACTTAGTTTGAAAAGCATTCCTGTAGGTGACTGTATTTTAAATTTATATCTTGTTTTGAGTGCACAAATGGCTGTATCACTTCCCATACACCATGAACATTTCTATGAAGTTGAATCTACTACAAGAAAGACAAAAAAAAAAAAAAAAAAAAAGGTTTAACCCAACCCTGGATTGGAGGCAACATCCATGTGGACAGAGTGGAAATCACAATTACAAAGGAACAATTAATTGATTTCCAAAAGCTAACTCAATGAGGCCAAAGAGGGCCCTTGGCAAGGGAACCTTAGCTACTTCATATTTCAGTACATGTTTTCTATATATTATGCCTTTCTCTAGGATGCAGTATTAGCTAGTCAATACATGGCTTCACCATTCTAAGCCACTTCATTGATCAAAACATGATTCCCTTCTAGAAACCTCCCAAGGTCTAACACAATACCACACAAAAAGTTGTCATCAACATTCTTTTTGTTGAATGAATAAATGAATGAATGAATGCCCATTTAGAGGTTTTTAAATACCATTTTCTCTATTGCTAAAATTTTTCAAATCTATTTTCCAGATTTTTTATCATGAAAGGAGAAATATAAATACCAATCTTATAATAATAGTACTTTATGAACTGTGAAGGTAATAATAATAAATATTTAATAATGTCATCTGGTAGTAGTAGAATTTGAATCTAAATGATAGTCACACAAAGTCACCTGTGTGTGATTATGATTGGAGAACCTGTAGAGCCTATTCACATGAGTATCAAGGAGACTTCCAAGGAGAAGCTCATTCTAAGAGACAGTCAGAAAAGTAATCTGTAAGTAATAGGTTGGGGTTAAAGACTATGTTGCAATTTGGGCCTTTGTTGATTGTATTAACTTTTAGTCCTAATTGCTTCCCTTTCCCCTGTTTCTTCTTAATTTGTGCCAGAGTAGAGGAGTGAAAATATAGAAAAAAAATTTTTAATAGCTACTTAATTAAAACATCTGTTAGGCATTGGTTACATAAGTCAGCACTATCCTGGGATCCGTATAAGAGAAACATGGGCAAAAAAAGTATAGTGTTATGCTAGGAACAGACCCTTTTACTCAAGGAAGTGTTGTGCCAAACAGGCAACTAGATAGATAATTCCTCAACACTGTGAAAAAGGAATGCATTCTCATTTAAGATCATTTGTGTGGGCACAAGAGACTATTCAGAGGCTTCTCATATCAGAGTAATGATCTGAGCATTAAAGAAGGAGCAGAAGCCAGTTAGAAGAGCAATGTTTCATGGCAGGGAGAATAGGAATAAGGAAGCACACAGACATGAGACAAAACTCAATTCGCGTGACACTTTGGCAAACTATATGCAATCATCTACTAAATTATTTAGGTTTATCTAAATAGGTCATTAAAAGGTGTTAATTCTGAACTACTCAGAAGAAATAGACTCATTTATTCAAGTTGGCTTGTTAATTCCTTTGAACTTCTTATGCCTCTTACATTGCACTTTTTAATGTTGACTCTGGTTATTTCTATTGGTTGTCTCTCTTTTCAGCTGGGTTTTTATAATATCTTAGGTCAGATTTCATCGTGCCAAGCAATGGCTAAGAATCCTTTTCTTGATTATACAAAAGCTCCAAAACTTTTTGTCCTCATATCACCTCAATTACAGTCTTTGTATAACAGAAACCAAGTTCTATATTTTTATATAAACTTTCCTAGGACAAAGGTTCACAAATCAAACTGGGTATTCTTTTTGCTTAGATGGTCTTGGTAGCTGGATGCCTCAATCCGCCACCTCACAAGTGTGCAGTTTCTCATGATAAACTAAAAAAAAAACTTTCATTTAAAACTTTACGATGTGCTCCGATATCCATTCCAGGTGCCTGTGGTTCAGATAGATATTTTTGGCAATGTTCTGCAAAGTGGGAAAAACATTTCTCTGTAGGTTTCTGTGAAATACTTGTGATTTTTTTCATGTGCATCGTGCTAATAGCAACTTCTAATCAGCAGGAAACAGGGGGCATGAAAAAATTATCCATTAAGTGAGTCATGTAAGGTAAGCGAAAGACAGAGAGGTTTGCTGATGCTTAAAAGTGATATTTTTACATTTTTGTCAAAGACTATTTCTCATAAATGTTTTAACATATGCTAAGCTGAAAGCATTTTGGTTCAATTGTTAGTGAGGTAACAAAATCTCAATATTTTTAACATGAATGTTTTTAAAGAACTCAAAAATAGCTATGGGGTTTTTCCAAGGCTTACTTAAAAATCACTTTTGAGTTGAGATGCCAAAACTTTAAAATCACTTTTGCAAAACAGGAAATATACTTAAATTTACCAATTAATACAGAAATAAAATTTAAAAGCCAAAGAATAAAACCAGAAAAAACCTAAATGTTAGAAATAGTATCATTTCTAAAGAACTTTAAAAACTAAACTGTTAAAGTACAATTCTATTTATATTACTACCTAGTTTTCTGATTTTTTAAAATTTTATTCAAAAAAATTTAAATCTATGTGAGTTGTTAAGAATAGTGTGTTCACCAAAGGGTAACAAATTTTTCACATTTGCTTTGACTTTCTCAAATACTTTAGCATGTACCTTCAAAAAACTAGGGTACTATCCTATATTAGTATAATAAAATTATCACACTCAGGAAATGCAACATTGAAAATATAATTTTTATCATATAGTTTATATTCAAGTTCCTCGATTGTCCCAATAGAATCCTTAATAGATATTTAAAAATCAAGAATACATTAATAATATATTTAGCAGTTATTCTCTGTAGTCTGTTAATAAAGATTAATTATTAATAAATTGTTAAAATTGTTAAAATTTTGCAGGAGTGTCCTACTCTAATATTTGATTCTATGGCATTAGATGGCCATATTTCATTATGAGGGGTAGAACGTTGTTGCAGTTGTAGATTCATTATTTTCTTTGCCTTTCCATTATCGGTCTTAGAAAATGTTTGGGATAATTTGTTAGCCAGATTAATTAAATCAGTGGTGAACACTGTTAACTTGGACAACTCTTTAGCTATGCTTCTTACGTTTGATTTTTGTCCAGGGTCCATGGGGAGTGTTTAAGAGAGTGCCCTCATTATTTAGATGGAGCTTAAAAGGGTGAACAGGTTTAGAGGAAACAGGGGAATCAAGGCAAATTTTGAGTTCAGAAGAGTAGAAAGGAAGTTCAGCAAGTATAGGTTATAGACGCAGGAAAGCAGAAGTGGGGGAGTGAGCATTGGAGAAAGAAACCTGAGACTTTTTAAAACTATTCATTGACTCAATGGTCATTCTGAAGCATGTTATTTAATTTTTCACTTATTTTTACAGTTTTCAATGTTCCTTTTGAAATTGATTTCTATTTTTATTCTGTTAGTCTGATAAGATACTTGATATAATTCTAAGTTTTAAAAATTTGTTAAGATTGTTTTATTCAGCCATCTTTTATTTTGATATAATTTCAAACTTAAAGTAGGGAGATTAATGCCAAAAACTTATGTAGTACAATGGTGTATACACTATATACTTTATATTACAGTATAATTATAGAAATCGGGAAACAACATTGATACAATACTACAATAGCCTTCCGTTATGCATGGTTTCATTTTCTGTGGTTTCGGTTACTCATAGTCAACTGTGATCCAGAAATATTAAATGAACACTTCCAGACGGAAACAATTTATAAGATTTAAATTGCATGCTGTTTTGAGTAGTGTGATAAAATCTTAAGCCATCTCACTCTGGGGTGTGGATAATTCCTTTGTCCAGAGTATCCTTACTGTACACACTACCTGCCTGTTAGGCATCTAGTAGCCATCTCAGTTATCTGATTGAAAACACCTAAGAGTTCAGATAGGGTTCAGTACTATCTGAAGTTTCAGGCATCTACTGGGGGTGTTGGAACTCAATCCCCATGGATAAGGGGCAACTCCTATGTGATCTAACATATAGTCCACATTTAAATTTCTTCAATTGTAGTAATAATATCTCTTCTAGCTACCTTTTTCCCCCAGTCCAGGCTCCACTTCAGGATCACTCCTTATATTTACTTGTCATCTTTCTTTTGTTTAATTAAAGGTGGAATTGTTCCACAGAATTTCTTCATGCTTTATAAGTAGGAGCAGGAAATACGAGAAAGAGGAGAGAATACACATTTTTAGCTTACAGCTTGATGCAGGATTGACAGCATGGTATGTCTTGACTTCAGCCGTGTCTGTATTTGACAAACTTCCATGGTTCTTTCTGGTCGCTTACTCTGTTTCCTGGTGATCCTCTGTCTCAGTGGTCTTCCACTTGTGACATATAACAGTTATTTTTATGCTTTTGTGTCCCAAATTTGTGGGTTCTTGGTCTTACTGATTTCAAGAATGAAGCCGTGGACACTCGCGGTGTTACAGTTCTTAAAGGTGGTGTGTCCGGAGTTTGTTCCTTCTGACGTTCAGACGTGTTCGGAGTTTCTTCCTTCTGGTGGGTTTGTGGTCTCGCTGGCTTCAGGAGTGAAGCTGCAGACCTTCGTGGTGAGTGTTACAGCTCTTAAGGCGGCACATTTGGAGTTGTTTGTTCCTCCCATCAGGAGCTGTTCATTCCTCCCTGTGGGTTTGTGGTTTCACTGGCCTCAGAACTGAAGCTGCAGAACTTCGCAGTGAGTGTTACAGCTGATAAAGGTATTGCGGACCCAAAGAGTGAGCAGCAGCAAGATTTATTGCAAAGAGTGAAACAATAAAGCTTCCACAATGTGCAAGGGGACCCAAGTGGGTTGTTGCTGCTGCTGGCTGGGGCAGCCTGCCTTTATTCCCTTATCTAACCCCACCCACATCCTGCTGATTGGTCCATTTTGACAGGGTGCTGATTGGTGTGTTTACAAACCTTGAGCCAGACACAGAGTGCTGATTGGTGCATTTACAATCCTCTAGCTAGACATTAAAGTTCTCCAAGTCCCCACCAGATTAGCTAGATACAGAGTGCTGATTGGTGCATCCACAAACCCCGAGCTAGACACAGAGTGCTGATTGGTGCATTTACAATCCTCTAGCTAGACATAAAAGTTCTCCAAGTCTCCACTAGATTAGCTAGACACAGAACACTGATTGGTGCATTTACAAACCTTGAGCTAGACACAGAGTGCTGATTGGTGCATTTACAATCCTCTAGCTAGACATAAAAGTTCTCCAAGTCCCCAGCCAACTCAGGAGCCCAACTGGCTTACCCTAGTGGATCCTGCACCGGGGAGGCAGGCAGAGCTGCCTGCCAGTCTTGCGCCGTGTGCTCACACTCCTCAGCCCTTGGGCAGTGGATGAGGCTGGACACTGCGGAGAAGGGGGTGGCACCAGTCGGGGAGGCTCGGGCCACTCGGCAGCCCAGGATGTGGAGGGGCTCGGGCATGGCGGGCTGCAGGTCATGAGCCTTGCCCCACAGGGTGGCTGAGGCCCCACGAGAATTTGAGCACAGCGCGGGCGGGCAGGCAGTGCTGGGGCACCCAGCGCACACTCCGCAGCTGCTGGCCCGGGTGCTAAGCCTCTAACTCCCTGGGGCTGGCGGCACCCGCCGGCCGCTCCGAGTGTGGGGCCGCCCAGCCCGCGCCCACCCAGAACTTGCGCTGGCCTGCGAGCGCCCCGTGCAGCCCCGGTTCCCGCCGGCGCCTCTCCCTCCACACCTCCCAGCAAGCAGAGGGGGCAGACTCCCGCCTCGGCTAGCACAGAGAGGCGCTCCCACAGTGCAGCGGCGGGCTGAAGGGCTCCTCAAGCACGGCAAGAGTGGACGCCTTGGCCTGAGGAGGTGCCGAGAGCCAGCGAGGGCTGCTAGCATGTTGTCACCTCTCAGTTTCACTGCCCTGTAATATTCACATACAGCTCTACTTTCCTGGTATTTTTAGGGTAAGTTACTCTGCCAGTAGGGTATTTTGAATACTTTGTTAGATATCTTAATGAATTAAAATGATTTTTTTAAAATTTTTAAAATCATATATTTGCTATTTAAAAACCAAATAGGCTATTTTCCAGGCTTTCTGTGTGGTAGATAAGTTTTTGGCAAGTTTGGGCCAACTTGTATTCTGAGGTAGTGTTCTCCAGCGTCCCACTATCTCTAAGCCGATACTGCTTCTCATATCTTCTAAACTTTCTCTAACTGTGAAGATCTAAGTATTGTTGGTGTATTTAGCCACAACGCTGATGTAGAGGCCAGAAGCAGAAATAATGGAAGCATTAATCAATTCATTGCCTGCCTGGCGAAAGCATGGAAGTGGGTTTTGGGAATTTTAGGAAGACAAAGGGCTCTAACACCAAGAGACTATCTAGCTCAGAAAGTGCTTGTGGCAATTTTGCATTGGGTAATTTAATTGAAACAGAATTTTCTATTTATTCAAATGTAGGGAGACTTGAATTAAACACATTTAGGTTTGTTATTGACTTCTGTCAAAGGAATGAAAATAAAAGGCATAAAACAAACAAAAAATAAAAAAACAGAAAAAAGTACAAGTGAGACATTATTGCACATGTGAGTAGATAGGGTTATTTGCATATTTTTTCTCCAAGTTTCTGATCATTTAATTTTTCTCTTAACTCATATTTTTGCTTTCTATGAAGTTATTAATCTGTCATATCTATTTGTAACAGTCACTTTTTATAAAACTGATTATTCAGATGGCTTGCAATTTTGAAGCCATCTTTTTGTAGTATTCAGAAACTTTTTTTTTTATAGGATGATGTTACGATTTTCTCACACCAATGTACATTATTTCTTATATTTTTGAACTGACTTTTCTTTACATTTGCGATTTGACATTCAGACACATTAAAGTTAAGTGGCCGGGACATTTGAAAGAAATTGGAGGTTATCATAGAAGTGCCTTTCTACTGGTGAAGCACTCAGATACCAGAGACATTCTTTTGAATTTATTTAAAAGTTAAAAACACAGTATTGCTATTTAAATAATTTTTCCATATAATAATTCCTTAAAAAGTTGTAATTGCTTAAGTTTTACTACTGATTGTAGTCATTTGTGTGATTGTATCTGTGATTTATGCGCTTTAATGTTGCAATTGTCTGGCATTTTTCTATGATTATATCCATGACTGGTATTCTTTATGGTGCAATTGTGTGGTAATAATCTGATTATGTTGCTATTAAGATTTTTACATAACTTTCTCTCAGGACACATTTGAAGAATAGAGGCTTTATTTCCCAGAGTGTAAGCTCCTGTGTAAAGCAAATCAGTTCACCTGGCTTGATAAATTGTTTTTTTCCAATTCAACAGGCTGAATGATTTTCAGAAGAAAACCACCATGTTCACTTTTCATATTATAAATTAAGAGAATGTAAGTTAGAAATACATATTTTACTAAAATTCTTAACTTCTTAAAATGAAATCAGAGAAAAAGTTCTAGTAATAAAGAATACAAATGAATGGCCAGAATATTTGGGAATATTCTGATACTGATCAAAATCAGTATCCTTTGACTCCATTGAGAGCAGATTCAGTGGAATTATGGGGATAGAAGCCAGGAATCAAGGAGAGACAAAGAAAGGCACACAGTATGGGTAGGCTATTTTGCAGGGGGGCAATAGTGAAGAAAAGGAGAAAGATAGGATAATATACACAGGGTAATATATGTTGGGAGGTTCTTATTTCTTTTATTTTTTAACACGGGGTAAAAGATTATAAAACATATATAAGAAAATTAAAGAAAAGATAAAGGTCTCTGAAGAGGTTCAGAGCTTTACTGTTGTTCAAAGTTTACTTTGGACAGACACCTAGGCACTTCTTTTACTGAGATACAAAAGTAGGAGGTAAGGTGATGTGTATGGACAAATTCATTTGTGAGTGGAGGTACAAAGTTGAAGAAATTTCTGCTTGGTCACTCCATTTGCTGTAGTTTATGAAGATACATTTTTGTCTATCAAGGAAGAGCATAGAGGTGTACATAAGCATGAGGATGGACTGGAGAATTAGAAGAAAATATTGAACTATAGGAGACCTTAGAGTGGAGAGGCTGATGGCGTTTGCAGTTGGGAACAAATAGAAAGATTGTTGACTGACGTTGGACAGAGAAGATTTGGTTTGGGACAGAGGTATTTTTGTTGTTGTTGTTTGTTTGTTTTTCAGTGCTTAACATCCTGTATGTAAAAGCAGGGAAAGCAAAGGAGTGATTTCTTAATGGTGATTTATGGATCCAGTGTAGTAGAAGGACAAAATAAAAGTGATTGTGAGTAATGGCTGAAGAGTACTTGAAAGTGATGGAGTACAGTGTCTGGTTCAAACAGGGATAGAAATGTAGATGTTAGGAGGCTGATGACCAAAGTAAATAAAACGACCAATGTTCTGGGGTCTTGATAAAATTTACTAACTTGTATTGTGAGAGTAAGAAAGCAAAAGTGTTTACATTGTAAGTGTTTTAAATAAGAAAATGAGATTTTAGATTGAAATGCTCTGAAAGTACTGTTAGTTGGCAGGGTGACAAGAGAATTGATTTTAAGACCAACAACATGGTTCATAATTACTCAAGTTAGTTTATATATTCTCTTGATTTTTTTAAAGTTTGAGATATAACTGCATAATTCATTGGTTCTCAACAGTGTCTCCATGTTGAGGGAGATATTTTCCTGATCAAAAATATATCTTGGACCAACACATTTCCAGCAGTAATATGCAACCTCCATTGAAAACCACTAAGTTTCATCATCAAGGAGGGTTAGAACTGTGTTGTCCAGGATGTTAGCTACTAACTACATGAAGCTATTGAGCATTTAAGATATGGCTAGACCAGTGGATAAATTAATTTTAATTTTACTTACTTTTAATTTAAGTTTAAAAACCAAACTGTTGTAAACCTATTTCTATTAATAAATCTTTACTGTTTTGGTGTGGTGACATTTCTCTTTAACCATAAAACTATGTGAAATATTATTATGTATTACACTGAGTATGACAGGTATATTATTCACAGTATTTCATCAGTAATTTTTTATGTTGATTGCATACCAAAATAAAAATATTTTACAAAATATATTATTAAAATTAATTTCACCTGTTTCTTTTTTGCTCTTTAAAACTTCGTTACAAAAATATTTAAAATTATGCATATAGTTTGTATTATATTTCTATGGACAAAGCAAACTTGGAGTTTGCATGATTATAGCTTACTTTTGGTAGCTAATAATCAAAGAAAAATAATACAGATATCTTTGTCTCTACAAATATATAGAGACAGAATACATTTGCATGCATTCCTTTATGTTTAGGAAAGCAAACATTTGGAAATATAATATATTTGAGGATAAGCTGATGACTCAGAATTTTTGTTGTCAAATTTTACTTGTACATTTAGGAGAATAACTATATATTTTTTTAAATTATATGTTACTAGAAAAATAAAAATTATGGCAAATGTGAGAGGCCAAGTTTCCAAAGAGTACAGAAACAGAGTTTGGCCTCAACATATTGCACATTGCTTTTCGCTTCACCTTTATTCCCCAAGGGACATCTGCTTATTTTTGGTGGAAGAGGGCAGACTGACACAAAAGGGAAGCACAGAGCAGTAATCCAAACATTACACGTTTTCTCTTGAGACATTTTCTGATAGCTAAGCTCGTCAGGACAAGCAGCTAAAATTAAGATGCCTCAATCTCCCCAAATTCCCATCTTTGTATCCAAAGTCAGCAAGCCTGCTATATTTTGCTTAGGTCCCCGTTCCTGAACTGGGTCTGGTAAATGCTTTCCTATAAACAGCTTAAGTGATATTAAAATTTTATTCCTTTATTTTTTTTTAACCAAGGATCACAGCGCTTTCTAATACCTGAAAAGCGTTGTGGTTTTTTTTTTTTTTTGCATTATTTTTCAGTTTCTTTGTAAAAAGATGTCTTGGTCTATTTTGTGTTGCTATAACAGAATGATACAGAATGAGTAATTTATAATAAAAAGAAATGTCTTTCTTACAATACTAGATGCTAGGAAGTCCAAGGTTGTAGAGCCACATGTGATGAGGGCTTCCTTGCTGCATCATAACGTGGTTGAAGTGCAAGTGAGCACGTGAGACAGAAAGGGCACCAGGGTCCAGATTTGCTTTCTAATGACCCACTGCCACTATAAATAACCTGCTTCACAGTAACAACATTAATCCATTTATGAAGGTTCTGCCCTCATAACCCAATCATCTCCTATTAGGCCAGACATCCCCACAATGTTGTATTGGGGATTAAGTTTTTACACATGAATTTTTGGGGAACAGTTCAAACCATGGCTTTCCACTCGAGCACCCAAATTCATGTCCTTCTCACAATGCAAAATACATTTGTTGTATCCTAATGGCCACCAAAGCCTTGATGCATTCCAGCATTAACTCAAAAGTCCAAAGACCAAAGTCTCATCTAACATGGGTGAGAGCATGACTGATTTCACCTTGAGGCAAATTTCTTTCAGCTGTGAGCCTGTGAAGTTGAACAAATTATTTACTTCAAAAATTCAATGGTAGGTCCTGGCTAACATGGTGAAACCCTGTCTCTACTAAAAATACAAAAAAATTAGCCAGGCATGGTGGCGGGCACCTGCAGTCCCAGCTACTCGGGAGGCTGAGGCAGGAGAATGGCATGAACCCGGGAGGCGGAGCTTGCGGTGAGCCAAGATCAGGCCACTGCACTCCAGCCTGGGCGACAGAGCGAGACTCCGTCTCAAAAAAAATAAATAAATAAATAAACAAATAAATAAATTCAATGGTAGGACAGGCACAGGACAGGCATACTCCTTCCACAAAGGAGAAATAGGCAAGAAGAAAGGAATTACATATCCTAGGGAAGCCCAAAATTCAGCAAGGAAAACAACATTAAGTCTTAAATCTGGAAAAGAATCTTATTTGACTCCATGTCATACATCTTGAGCACTGGTGTGGGGGTTTGACCACTAAGGCCTTGAGCACTTCAGCCCATGTTTCAGCTCTCATGTTGGCCTGGAATACTGGTAGCTCTACAGTTTATTCTATTCCACTAATTACTTGGCCACATCATTAGTATTCTGTCCCAAATATTTTTTTTTGGTCTTTATGCACTGGGCTGTGAATTTTCTAAATCTTTCCATTCTGTTTCTCTTTTAATTATAATTTTTGTCTTTAAGTCATTTCTTGCCTCTCACATCTCATTGTATGTGGTCAAACATAACAATGCAGCAGCCTGATTGCTTTGCTACTTAGATATTTCTTTCACCAGATATTCTAGTTTATTGCTCTTAAATTCTGCATTCCACAAACCATTGGGCCCAGACACAGTTTAGCTAAGGTCTTTTTTTTAATAATAAGAATGGCCTTTACTCCACTTTCTAATATCTTATTGTTTATTTCCCTCTGAAACCTCTTCAGAATGTCCTTTACTGTCCATGTTTCTACAGATATTCTGGTTATAGCCACTTAAGTAATACCTAAAAAGATTCAGGGTTTCCTTTGTTCTGAGCCCTCATCAGAATGCTCCATTCATAGCAATACAGGTGTTTTCTAATTTGCTTCTCCCAATTCTTCCAGCTTCCAACCCACTTCCAAAGCTGCTTCCTCATTTTTAGGTATTTATTGTAGCAACAACTCTACTCCCAGTACCAATTTTCTGCTTCAGTTCATTGTATGTTGCTATAACAGAATAATGCAGGCTAGGTAATTTAAAAAATATTTCTTATAGCTCTAGAGGCTGGGAAGGCCAAAGTTAAGGGGCCAGCATCTGGTGAGGGCCTTCTTACTAGGTCATGACGTGGAAAAAGGGCAAGGGAGCACATTAGACAGAGAGAAAGGCACCAGGGTTGGACTCACTTTATAACAGCTCACTCTTGAAATAACCCATTCTGAAGATGATGACATTAATCCATTTATAAGTGCTCTGCCTTATGACCCATTCACCTTCAACTGGGCTGTACCTCCCAACACTGTTGCATTGGGAATTAAATTTCTAACACATGAACTTTTGGGGGACATATTAAAACCATAGCAGAAGACAGGTAGAGTACCAAGACAGGTTCTGTCATGGCTGGAAGTAGAAATAATTTTTTATTTAAAAGTTTCCATAATTAAAGTAATTTTTCCATGATAGTTAATAGAGCATCTTTGAAAATATTTTTGTTTTTTCAGATTTTAGTTAGAAATTACCATAATCTTAGGTTCTGTATAGTTATTAAAATTTAAGCTCCCAAACTTGAGATGATTCATAAATCAACATAGATATACACAGGTAAATTCAGAGTAGTTTAAGCATTCAAGGGAGTTTATCAATGAATATCAAACATAGTTGTGAATAGAAGCCTTTCAAAAGGAAGTTATTTTCAAGAAGGCAACAAGCATTTGAAGCTTTCTTATCAGGAGGAAGAATAGGTCAGCATATCTGATACTAGTTTTATTTTAGACCCCAAAATATTTTTTTAAGCTTCTGGATCAGTTGCAATCTTATTTGTCATGTTTTAATTTGAATATTTATTTATTAATTATTTAATTATTACTGTATTCTCATACATTAATATAAATATGTACATATATCGTGTACACGTATATATGTATTCAAAAAGCAACATGTATGTGTTGCTTGATGGTGTTTATACCACTCTTCCATCACCTAGTAGCAAAGTAGTCAAAGCACAGGAATAATGTGTCTAACGGATGAGAATCAAGATTTAGAGTTTCTGAAACTGGAAATTTAAAGTTCGCCATCCTTTTAAATAAAAGTAGAGGAATTTCCTGGATGTAAGACAGTACAATGAGAGAAATAAGAAGGGAAAGATTTACTATTTCCTTAATAGAGCACCACCTCAGAGCTCCTCCACTTGTATTATCTGGTTTGTTCCTCTACCTATTCTAAGAAGTATAGCATAGAAGACAAAGAAGAAAAAGAGGCTCTAAGAGATACCAATGTTTGGCCCGAAATATGTTATATCAAACACATCCTTCTAAAACCAAACTCAAAAATACAATCTGTAAAAGACACAGGCATTGGTATGTATCTGTATCCGTATCTAAATCTAAAATTATATTTTATTCACATCTGGAATGGAAACATGCTGAACTAACAAATAATTATACCAATTCTTCTTCCCCAATGCCAATATTCTGTTAATTTCTGTCTCTGATAGATGTGATGATGGGAACTAGTAATTCAGATAAATGGAAGTTATAACTTGGTAAGAATGAAGAAAAATGATGACTAAATTTAAGAGGCAATTATGACTGACTTATTGCCAATTTTAAATTTATTTTTTAATAAAGAAAATTTCAGAAATTATATTTATACTAAAGGAAATGATTTATTTCCTAAAGTCTTCTTAAGAATTAGCTAAAATGGTGTAAAGTATTCTGAAATTCAATAAGAACTCCATTAAAACTGTTATGAAATCTACTGCTACTATGTTGTGCCAAGACAATTGTATTGAATTTAGGTTTCTTTGATTTATTGCAAGAGCTGTAAGGTAACCAAAAATGTTTAAATTAACAGCTCTGCATTTTGGGTTAAAACCAAAAGATGCATTAAAAATGTAACTGGCCTTCTATTTTAAGAGTCATAAAAATAGCATCAGCAAAAAAGTGCAATGTATAATTATACTCTTCCCAGCATGTTTACATTCTTGTTCTCATTGTCCTGCTTTTGAAAACAAATCTGGGCACCACATATTAAAGTATTTAATTGTTAGGCAAGCATTTAGAAAACATCCAACATAACAAAAATAATTGTTTTAACATCTGTTTCTTTTTCAGTGAAGTCCCAAATTTCTTAATCTGTAAAATATCATAAGCTGCTCATATTGAATTTATATTATCTTTTAATGATGTTACTGTTTAATAATCATTCTTTTAAAATCATGTCTTATTTTGAATACTAAGAGGAGAAGTCTGCTTTAGGTCTTGAAATCTTATTAGTCCATATTTCAAACCCTACCTCCTTCCTAAATGTTCTCTGTTTTTTTCTATCCACGCTAATCTTCCTCTGTTCTGAATTCTTATATCATTTTTCCTCTTTGCATAGTCTCATTTACTCTTCACTTTTGTATGGGGGTATACCAACTACACTTTAACATCCTTGAGGATAATAATTGTATTCTTTTATATCCCTCAGTACAGTGTTAGATATATAGCAAGTGTTCCAAAAATATTTGTTTATTCACCTTTGGCTTTCAGTAACAGAAGTTTCTCCTGGTACCTCAGTTATTGATATGTGGTGTTCAGAATATCTAACAAGGAATTAGATGCCCCTGTAGTCATATCTCACAGCCAACCCTGTCTAAGCAATTGCTAAGAGAATCTACATGGTAAAAGGGAAGTTGAGGAGCTCTGGGATTATCCTTGGTTGTCATAGGTGAAGTATCTTGTTCTCATGGAGGCCCTGCCAGGACCCCTTTATTTCTGCACTTGACTGTTGCATTATTGTCAGATACATATCTAAAACTTGTGATCTAAGATATTTTACAGTGTAGTGACTGAGAAGCAGTTTTTTTTATAGCAGCTTCTGTTGTTAAAGGTGATCATAACATCTAAAACATGTCAATGTTTGAGGAATATGATAGGCCAAATATGACCAAAAGAACCAAAAGGAGAGGAATTTAGAGGAAAATTTTGAGGAGAAAAGAGATAGAGCACATTCTTTCTTAAACTTTAAAAAAATTGAATGAAAAGAAGGTCTAGATAAAGAGATATCTATAAATCTATACAATACCAATACTATTCCTTAAGCACTGCCTTCCTTAGCTTTGATTTTCATAACCCTTTTAAGAAACCAAAAAAGAGTTCACATAAACAAGACAATGCTAAGAGAAAAGAACAAAGCTGGAGGCATCATGCTACCTGACTTCAAACTATTCTACACGGCTACAGTAAGCAAAACAGCATGGTGTTGGCATAAGAACAGACACACAGACCAATGGAACAGAATCAAGATCTCAGAAATAAGACTGCACATCTACAACCATTTGATCTTCAACAAACCTGATGAAAACAAACAATGGGGAAAGGATTCTCTATTTAATAAATGGTGCTGGGAAAACTGGCTAGCCATATGCAGAAAATTGAAACTGGACCCCTTCCTTATACCCCATATAAATATTAACTCAAGATGGATTAAAGACTTAAATGTAAAACCCAAAACTATAAAAATCCTAGAAGAAAATCTAGACAGTACCATTCAGGACATAGGCATGGGCAATTATTTCATGATGAAAATGTCAAAAGCATTGCAACAAAAGCAAACATTGACAAAATAGATCTAATTAAACGAAAGAGCTTCTGCACAGCAAAAGAAACTACCATCTGAGTGAACAGAAAACCTACAGAATGGGAGAAAATTTTTGCTATTTAGGACAAAGGAGTGATATCCACAATCTACAAGGAACTTAAACAAATTTACAAGAAAATAAAACCCCATTAAAAATTGGGCAAAGGACAGGAACAGACACTTCAAAAGAAAACATTTATGTGGCTAACAAACATATGAAAAAAGCTCAACATCACTGATCATTAGAGAAATGCAAATCAAAACCACAATGAGATACCATTTCATGCCAGTTAGAATGCTGATTATTAAAAAGTCAAGAAACAACAGATGCTGGCGAGGCTGTGAGAAAGAGAAACACTTTTACACTGTTGGTGGGAGTGTAAATTAGTTCAACCATTGTGGAAGACAGTGTGGCGATTCCTCAAAGACCTAGAACCAGAAATACCATTTGACTCAGCAATCCCATTATTGGGTATATACCCAAAGGAATATAAATCATTCTATTATGAAGATACATGCGTGTGTATGTTCATTGAAGCACTATTCACAATAGCAAAGACATGAAATCAACCCAAATAGCCATCAATGATAGACTGAATAAAGAAAATGTGGTATGTATATACCATAGAATACTATGCAGCCATAAAAAGAAAAGACCATGTCCTTTGCAGGGACATGGATGGAGATGGAAGCCATTATCCTCAGCAAACTAACACAGGAACAGAAAACCAAACACTGCATGTTCTGTCTTATAAGTGGGAGGTGAACAATGAGAACACATGGACACAGGGACAGGCCTGTCGGTGGTTTGGAGGGAGAGATCATCAGGATCAATAGCTAATGCATGTGGGGCTTAATGCCTAGGTGATGCATTGATAGGTGCAGCAAACCACCATGGCATGCATTTATCTGTGTAACAAACCTGCATGTCCTGCAGATGTATCCCAGAACTTAAAATTAAATTAAATTTAAAAAAGTATTTAAAAAAAGGAAACAGTTTGCAGGGAACATCTTACTTCTTGTTATATTCAGTTGACTTAATTTTACAGATACAATTTTGATATATTTATCATGTACACAAAAAGCTAAGCAATATAGTATTTCTAAATTCTACACCTAGAAGTATACTCTATGGGTTTCCATTAGTCACCAGTTCCTTTTGAAAAGGAGCAGCAAATACATCTTAATGACTCAATCTGATAATGGAGTTTAAAGACTTCTTCATTTTATGATGGCTGTCCTTTTCTCAAGATTATCTTCTCCAGCTCAATGGCAAGTAAAAAGGCCTTTATTTGCTCCTTGCAAAACAGTACTTTCAATTGGGTTAGTGTGCCCTATTTCATCTTTGTAAAATCTTGGGAATATTATATTAAGGAAGTTCATCATTTTCCCTGATAGCACAGTTCCCGAACTTGACGAATAACCTATTGACTTGAGAAATGCATTGCTTTTCCAGATAATCTAAACTCATGAAACAATCAGAAAATTTCCTTTAAATTATGTTCCATAGTGATATAACCTCTTCCATTCTGTGCAAGCATGTGTGGAGTTTTGTTTCCATGGTTACTTGTTACTAGTCCTAAGCTATTTGTGGGTCTGTGCTGGGCTGGACCAGAGATCAACGAGCCTAGAGTGTCATTATAATGAAGCAGAAACTGAAAAGAATGCTTTACTTGATGGCTGTGCAACAGTTTAAAATACACACAAAATTAAATTTACAATTGTAAAAAAAATTAATAACATAGGATAGTTTTCCCATAAGACTAACTGCTTGTTTAATATTGCCATAGAAACAAAGAAGAAGAAAAAAATGGAAAGTATAACTATACTGATTATTTCTATATCTACCTATCTTTATTTTCTTTATGTGACTAAAAGAATATATTCATCCAGAAAGCTGAATTTTTCCAAAAATATGAAATAGTTTAAGAACGAAATTATAATTGATCTGTTTGTGTGTGTGTGTTGAAAAAAAATTTGAGTTTACTAGGGTGTAGTAAATATTTTGACCTAAGGTAAACAAAACAAAATAATTTTACCTCCAGGTAAAATGTTTAGTAACACAACTTCTATTAAAAAAAAAAAGTCAGCTAGGCACATAAGGAAAAAGAAGATCTTCAATGATACAGACAAAAGGAAGAAGAAAAAACAACACATTATCTATAAAAGAAGTACTCTAGCCTCAAAATTCTCTGTAACATTAACTGCCAGAAGTCAGAGGGGATGTTTATGAAACTTGAGATAATTTTTTGTCCAAATAAATTTTCTTAGAAATAGAACAAGTGCTCGAAAATACAAAAATTACACTGTATTAGTCTGTTTTCTTGCTGCTGATAAAGACATATCCGAGACTGGGAAGAAAAAGAGGTTTAATTGGACTTACAGTTCTACATGGCTGAGGAGGTCTCAGAATCATGGCAGGAGGTGAAAGGCACTTCTTACATGGCAGTGGCAAGAGAAAATGAGGAAGAAGCAAAAGTGGAAACCCCTGATAAACCCATCAGATCTCGTGAAACTTATTCACTGTCACAAGAATAGCACGAAAAAGACTGGCCCCCATGATTCAATTACCTCCCACTGGGTCCCTCCCAGAACACATGGGAATTTGGGAGATACAATTCAAGTTGAGATTTGGGTGGGGACACACCCAAACCATATCAAGTAATGTACAGATTACTTTGAAAACTTGAAACAAGATGTTTGTCCAGTTGGGCCAATTGTATCTGATAAAGAGATTACTTTGAATTTTCTCAACAATGTAGTGAAGTGATTTAGTGGTTTAACAGTCTTGTATTTCATGGACCGAGTTTTTTTTTTTTTTTTTTTTTTTTTTACAAATGATGAAATTGTGTTAACATTGATGGTCTTCAGAATTATCTAGGTCACATTGATACACTGGCCTCAATTCAAATTAACCAGAGTAATAAAATAATATTTTTAAAACTTCTTAAAAGTAACCAATAATAAAAATAACACCATTGTGATCTTTGAATGTATAATTACAGCAGGATAAATATATTTATGTTTGTTTAATGAGATTATATACCTTTCAAAATATTAAAAAATTTTGCAAAAAGAGTAAATGCTTAAAGTATGAACTATGTTGATAAAAAAGGACTCTCAGCTTGAGTAAAAGTAGCTACATCCTAATATGTGATGTTTACAGGAAACATACATAAAATAACAACAACAGTAAATATACTTTAATGGACAAATGTTGAAATGGCAAACACAAATTTGAAAAAAAAATCAATACTTATTTAAGACAAAGTAAAAGTCCTGGAAGGGCAAACAAGTAAATTTTAATAGAAAAAAGAAACAGTCCTTGAATAATAAAATTGTATTCCTTATATAGTAAATAGTGCAGAATGAAAATTTATAAACGAAAGTTTTGGGAACATGAGAATATATAAGCAAAAAGACAATTTTAATATATCAACAATTCAGCCTTTATTAGAATAATCAGAAAAAATTACATGTAGATTTTCAGAATTATAAATAATCTACTATAAGTTTTAGTTATTGGGGAAACATGATTGCATGCTCATTCACCAGTATCTCAAGCAAATTCTATAAATAGAGAAAGCAAAATTATATGGGAAATATCGTATTATTTGATTGCAGTGCAGATGTAATACAACAACAACAAATTACAACCATTATTTTATTAAGTTAAGAACTATATAAACTGTTCCCAAATAACTTTTGAGTCAAAATAGAAATTACAACATTTAAAAACATCATTAAAAACAATGAGAACACCATTAAGTTTTCATTAATTAGCACATAAAATTAAAGGCAAATTAACTAATCAGTAGTTTGAGAATTCAGTATCAGGCAAATTAAAAATAAAATTAAACCAAGCCAGAGAAAGAGAATGAAAACGATACACAAGGAAAATTATGATTGTAAAATAGATAAATGGGGGATTAATTTTTTGTAAATATTTTTCCATGAATATTACGTCAAATATTTGCCAACTACATACCATGGATCATGCAAATTAGTCCTCACATCCACCCTTGTTGGGAAAAGGGCTTGTGGGGTTCCTGTATAAACTGGCCATAAAAATATGGGACAATAAGTTGTGGAAAGCCACAAGAGGCCTGAGGAGGAAGGCCTTCTTACTGCCATTATGTTCCCATGCTCTCAGTGAGACTTGTTCTCTTATCCATAAACACTGTGTTCAAGGAGAAAGACACTCTTTTGAAGCACTGAAATGTGGCCAGACATGCAGGCTCCTAGTTAAGCCCGCTCCCACTAGCTACTCTCCGATAAGTTAAAGATAAGCTGTTTGAGCACAAAGGAGATTCATTTAAACCGCTATTGCTATAGAGTACGCCTATGATGCACTGCCTCCCTTTCACTCTTTCGCCCTGAACGTCTGCTTCTTAGATCTAAGTGATTGTACTCAATAAATAGTGTAGAGACCAGAACGCTGGGCATTTGCAGCCTCTGATTTGTTCTGGCCCCCTGGCCCCACCTTTATGAACTCTAAACCTGTCTCTTCTCATTCCTTTGTCGCCACTGGACTTCGGGTACCCTACGGGTGGTGTTGAGGCTGGTCCCCAACAGCCGCCATGGGGCAGTTACTATTATGCTACTTTGTAGATGAGGAATCAAAACCTTGGAGAAATTATACTTTTGTAAGGCTACACAGTTTACAGAGAGTGAAGTTGTAATTTGATCATTGTTCTCTCTGACTACAAAGTTCATTCCTCAAACCACAAACTTGATTTCAACACAGATGTTGTTTACTTTTATTGTTCAGGAGGTCAGAAGTCTAAAATGTGCCTCATTGAGCTAAAATCAAGGTGTTGGCAATGCTGTCTTTCTCTCAGAGGCTCTCTGGGACAATTCATTTCCTTTCCTTTTCTGGTTTCTAGTGGCCTATGCATTCCTTGGCATCTGGTCCCGTTTCTGTCTTTAAAGCCAGCAATGACCAGTCTTCTTCACATAACATTGTTTTGATAGTGTTCTGCCTGTCTCATCTCCTTATAAGGACTCTTCTAATTACATTGGGTACACATAGATAATCTGATATCATTTCCCTACTTTAAAGTCAATTGATAAGCAACGTAAATTCTATCTGCAATTCTATCGGATTTCCTCTTGCCGTGTTAACATATTCACAGGTTCTAAAGATTAGGATGTAGATATCTTAGAAGGGCCTACCACAACAAGCATGCTATATTGCTTTTCCACATATTGACCCTTCAAATGTGAAATATGCAATTAATTGTGATGTGAAAAAATATAGAAATTAGAAATGAAAATTTCTAAATTAGTAAATTAAAATTTCTAAATGAATAAGAAAGTGTTATATGAGTAAGGTTCTTGGTTACATAAAGCAGAAGATACTCTAGCCTGTATAGGTAGAAAAGGATTTAGTAAGGGATAGATCTTACAGAATCTTTGGGAGGGTTATAGTCATACAGCCAAACAGAATTGTCCCAGAGAAGCTGCTTCATCTCAGTGACGTAGAAGCTGCCTGCAGTTATGCTGCCTCTAGACCATTCGACCCTGCTTTTCTTTCTTCTAGTAAGATGGGGTCTCCATGCCTTGCCTGGGTTATCATGCTTCTAAACCCTAGCTGGGTTACAACTTCTGAACACAAAAATAGTGTGTTTAGTTTGATTACGAAAGGTGAAATATATTATCTGCACCACAGTGATACAGATGTGAATAAACTTAGTGATCATATTTATTTGTTTGGTTTTAGAAAGTGAGATCATTTGTGGAGATTATCGCACTGTGGGAAAGATTTGATATATTTTAGGCAGTCACAAAAGAAAAAAGTGTGTAAAAGAAATATGAAAATAAGTGCATTTTATTAAAATCTTATTAATTTAAGAATTTGGGGAAAATTAATGAATCATCAAGAACTTATTAAAGTAGACTAGAGTCATTATGAAAAACCTGAGAAAGTTAAACGTGAATGCTGCCTTCTTCCCAAAGAGAGTAAATGCAGGTTATTTTATAGATTTTCTTTTAAATAGCTAAGGAGCAATTTTCAGCCTATGTAACTGTTTCCAGAACACAGAGGAAAAAGAAAAGCTACCCAGTAATGCTAATAACAAACTTAACAGAGAGAGCATATAAAGAAAATATCAATCTTAATTGTGAATACAAATGCCAAAATAGCAAGTAAATTATCAGCAAATGATATCCAGCTGTAAAGTACTTAATCCATCATGGCCAGGGGGATTTACTTCATGAATGCAAGAATGGATCAATACTAAGAAATCTATTAATCAAGTCCTTCACATTAACAACTCTAAATGGAAATATATTTAACTATCCCTATGTGAAATTTCATTGAATGTAATAATCATTTCTGGCTCAAAGTAAGAAACTAGAATTTTTGCTTTGACACAATGAAACTATCTATAGCATATATCTCAGACTCACAATCTGCATCGCATTTTGTGTTTAATCTTAATTTGATTGGTTAGCTAGTTCATTAAGAACAAATTAATAGCTACATATATTCTAAAACAGAGGCAACATTTTCATTATTATAGACAGTTACTTATGTCTCTCTGGGCAATAGAATTGCCAGAAAAACTAAAAGACATGCAGCATACAGAGAGATGAGTATGTCTTTGGGCTCTGACATGTAATGGAGCCATTTAGTGCCTTGCACAATTGTTTACTCTTGGACAATAGCTTAACTTCACCAAGTCTCACTTTGTATAGATTAAAGTGGGATGCTACTTGTGTCTATCCTTCATGTTGATAGGATCAAAACAGATTACACACGTCGAGTACTAAGCATGAAGCTAACACAGTGTGAGTGCTGGTGCTGCTGTTCTTTATTATTTCTATTATTTTTAGGGCACATTGCATAATAGTTAAAGTAGGTATAAAAATCAGTAGATTCCTTATATACCAATAACATACAGTCTGAATTTTAAAAAATCAAATTCAACTTTCTTGTTTTATTCATAAACACATAAAAATATAATCATTACTTCAATCATCAGAAAAGAAACCCATAAATTCTATATTAACACATATAAGAAACAAACTAAAATAAAACATAAAATAAGAACAAAAATACATCTTGATTTTTTTGTTTGTTTGTTTGTTTTGTTTTTGAGACGGAGTCTTGCTCTGTCACCCAGGCTGGAGTGCAGTGGCGCAATCTGGGCTCACTGCAACCTCCGCCCCACGGGTTCAAGTGATTCTTCTGCCTCACCCCCCAAGTAGCTGGGACTACAGGTGCATGCCACCACACCTGGCTAATTTTTATATTTTTAGTATAGATGGGGTTCCACCATATTGGCCAGGCTGGTCTCGAACCTTGATACCTTGATTTACAGTTTGATTGGCTTGAAGTTGAAAGACTTAATTGACTAAAACAACTTTTTTTTTTTTTGCCCACAAGTTTTTACTTAACATTGGCAATTTTGTGGAAGAGTAGGTGGTGACTATTTGACTTCAGATGATTATTCTAAGTAAATCTGTATTGGCACCATAACTAGCATCATTGTTGAAAAATTAAGGAGTCACATATAATCTCTGGGACCTCTGAGTTCATTCAGTTGATCCTCCGAGGCTAGGATGTCCTGTACATCTCTCTAATACAAATCAATTTTGTTTTGTGATTTCATACAAGTGAACAATATATAAACATATTAGAAGGCAGTCCAATACAAATCTTCCTGCTATTTATTCTGTCATTTTTCTTTAATTTCATGCATATATTATTACTTCATAGATATCTTCATTAAGATTTTGAAATTGATTCTATCTTTCTGATTCAATTGTCTCAATATGAATAAAAATGACTTCTAATTCACTTATCTATTCAGTACTTCATTTAGATAACGCATCTTTACTGAGTGCCTACTCTATGTCTGGCACTGTACTAGATGCTTAGAATACATTAGTGATCAAAAATGACTTTATGTGGCTTATATTCTAATAGCAATTTTCTTCTATTGCTGATATGTAATTCCTGGGGCTTTTGTGGATTAGAAAAATAAATTATGGTATATCTGACAATCTCTCATTAAAAGAAGTCATTATTACTTTGCCAGTAGAGGTCACATTTGAATATTTTTAATATCTTTCCCGTATTTCTTATCACACTAAACTGTCCCTGTGCAACAGACGATAATAATAAAAAAATGTGCATAACCTGTGTCAGATTCAATTTAGAAGATTAACCATAGATATTCATCTCCTAGATCATTTTCAAAAATCATAACAATAGTTGTGATTATCCTACCATACCGTATAATAATATGCTTTGACTCATGACAGCATTTAAATTTTCTCTTCATTATAGCAAAGTGAATATTCAATTCAATTCAATGAATACTTTTGAACAGGTACGATTGTGTTAGGTCTTATTTGGCTTTGAGAGATATTTATCTAGAAACTCTTTTCTCAGAGACCTTACAGTTTCCTGGGTGAAATTATCCAAAACTAATTAACTTTAATTTAAACGAAGGAACATAGGTGAAGAAAAAACAAAGAAAAAAAAGCAAAACAAATAAGGGCTAAGAATATAGTCATGAACTTCTTCCTTAAAAAAAAAAAGGCAAATTAAATGAATAAGCAGATAGAGAAGAAAGGAAGAAAGACAAGTCCAGTATGAGGGAACCGGATAACTTAAGTCACAGAGGTACCTGATTGAAATATATATTTGAAAATTGAAAAGTGTGGAGAATTTCGAAGTGGCTGAAAAGCAGAGTAAATGGAAACCATTGCAATAGATGAATCTGGCTGCATTAATGATGAAAGGCCTTAAACAGTGGGTAAAGTAAGCATTGTAAACTTTATCCTTTCAGTAATAGAATATGGTAAAAATTTTTTGAAGGCATGAATAGCAAGACCTAACCTGTTTTTGTTTACTAATGGTTGATATCATGGAGTTAATTTGGGAAAAGGTAGAGATCACAGGTATAAGACCCAGTCAGTAGGCAATTACCATGGTTCATTTGAAATGTGATTGGACCTGAACTAGGGTATTGGAAGAAGGAATGGAAAAGAAGGAGTTGTGTGTCCATTTTTGAAGTAGAACTTACAGATTAGATGTGGATAATAGAAAGAATTGGAAATGACTTCATTATTACCCAGAATAAATTGTGAGGGTGGGGATACCATTAATCAAGAAAGAGAACACAGGTGAAAAAGGAATTATTAGTGTCAAGAAAACTGTGTTGCTTTTAGCTTTGGTTATGTTTAATTTGTGTTGTGGGAGGAGTTTAATGTGGAAATGTAAGCTGCCAATAGTATATTCAAATGTAGACAGATCTCATATTCAAAATTCTACCTTATATAGACTTAATCTTTTGAATATCAGTGATATTAGCTAAGCCTTTTGTAATGCTATTTATAATCACAAAATATTTTATGTGTTGGTAAGAATTTAACATGTAACTACTTCCCTCAGCGTTGGCTGGATTGGAATTGAGTGTTAACATTTCAGTAATTGTTAGAAGGGAGTTAAGATAGAGAGAAAAGATGGGGAAAGGCGGGCAATTAATATTCAATCTTTTCCAAAGAGAAAGTTGGATTACTTTTGGTAATTTCACTCAAATTGTGAATCAACAGGAGCACAATTTTTACTGCTTATCTAAACATATCATTAAGATCATATTCAATTATTCTAGCATGCCATGTTCAAATACTCAGGGGAGCTGTGTTCACTAAGACAAGTACTCATAGACTTGTTTTATTTGCAAAAGTAGCAAATTTTAGATCATTGTGTCTCAAACTTTAATTCATACAAATCTTATGCACATTAGTGTTAAAATGCACATTCTGATTTAGCAGGCCTGGAGTAGAACCTGGTGTTCTGCATTTATGACAAGTGCCAGGTGATGCTGAAGCTACTGTTCTATGCAATGCACTTTGCATAGCAAGGCTCTAGTATCAATTTAGGAGGAAAAGAGATGAATTTGACCTTTAAAATTCCCCCCAAAATGTTTCAACAATCCGTGGAATAAAAGAAAGTGTGAGGCTTTTTGTGTTAAATTATTGAACTCAGTTTTCATACCTAGTTGGAGTTGATTCAATTTGTGAACACTGGTCATGTTGCTAGAAATGACTGATCACATTGCAGAATGTGAAGTCACAGGTCTTTTTCAATCTCAGTTACCTGAAAATTGAATTTTGAATTGCGACTAATTCTTAATTTTGGCTCAGCAAAAGATAGCCTTAGGTATCCACAAGTCCCTGGAAGCAGTACTTCCTGTTCTAATGTTGCTGTGATTTTCAACAACCCTTTTATTTTTTCCTCTTTGCTTTGAAGTTTCTTTGATCTTTTGGCTACTTGAAGAGAATGGGAAAAATTTCTAGCCTATCAAGAAAATATCTCTCAGTTACTCCTACTGCAAATAAAAACAAAATTAAAAAATCAAATATAGAATCTTTTCTTTCTCTCTCTCTCTGGTTGTCTTTGCTGAGTATTTGAGAATGAGTTCAGTCACAAAGTTGTTGTGTTAGGCTGTTCTTGCATTGCTGTAAGAGACTGGGTAATTTATAAAGACAAGAGGTTTAATTGTCTCACCATTCGTCAGACTATACAAGAAGCATAGTGTCATTGTCTTCTGGGGAGCCCTCAGGAAACATACAATTATGGCGAATGCAAGAGAGATGGCACATTACCATGGTGAAAGCAAGAGCAGGAGAGTGAGAGAGGGTGCACACACTTTTAAACAAGATTTCATGAGAGTTCACTCTGTTGAGAGGACAGCACCAGGGAGATGGTGCTAAAATATTCATGAGAAACTGCCCCCATCAACTAATTACCTCCCCACAGGACTTATCGCCAACATTGCGGATTACACTTCAACATAAGATTTGGGCAGGAACAGGTTCATGCCTGTAATCTCAGCAGTTTCGAAGGCTGAGGTGGGTGGATCACTTGGGGCCAGGAATTCAAGAACAGCCTGGCCAACATGGCAAAACCACGTCTCTACTAAAAAATACAAAAGAATTAGCTGAGTATGGTGGCAGGTGCCTGTAGTCCCAGCTACTTGGGAAGCTGAAGCACGAGAATTGCTTCAACCCTGGAGGTGGAGATTGCAGTGAGCTGAGATAGAGCCACTGCACTCCAGCCGGGATGACAGAGTGACTCTGTCTCAAACAAACAAACACTGTGCCTCCCCCCTCCGCCCCAACAAAAGCCGAAACAAACAAAAAGCGAACAATATTTGGGCAGGGAAACACATTCAAACCTTATCAGTGGTGAAGTAGCTAAAATTTAACTTAGATACCTTCTCATCCTTCAATGATCCCTCCTTTATCCAACCCTTGGGACCCATAATCTTTATTGTATTTCCTCTACTTGTTAACAAGATATTTAGTTGAATTTCTATTCACATGAAGGTATATATACGTAATGATCAATTAAAGCAATACTTCTCCATTGAAGAAGTTACACAGTAGTTACGATAGACGAAGTTTTAACAGTTAAATTTCAGATATAAAATCAAGAATGCTAAAGAATTAATTTGGAATATCCAGCTTGTTCTCTGTGGTTCTTAAGTCACACCCATTTATTTTCAAAAAGGTAGATAGTAAAATATCAGCCAAGGCAGTGGCATGAAAAAACTCATGCACATGTATGATCTGTTGATGATGACTTAGTGAGCACCCAGGTAAAAATCAGAGGACAGAAGTTGTTTCTGTCAATGGAGGACAAGGAAATTTGGAGTCCTCAATATGCAATATTATCCCAAACACAGGTAACTCTGGAAATACAACAAAAACAAAAACTATTAGGATATTTAGGTATATACTCAAGTCAGTTATAGTGTCTTATTTCACTAATTTGGTAGTTTATTAAGTGAGAAAGGCCTCTGAAATGCTGTTTAGGCAAAATGTTAACTCAGTTGCACTGTGAGAACTGCCACCTTCCTCCTGAATGTCCCTGGTTGGTTCCTAGTGTCTGAATATAAACATGACATTTTTCTGTTCTCTACCTATCCTTACTTACAAATTCTTACAATACTGCATTTAGCAATATTTGGTCTATAAAGCTATAAAGCTGTTAGAACAATGTTTTAAAACATAATTTAATAATCTATTGAACTATGACAGAAGGTGGGAACTTGTTTATTCTTGCATATTTCTGTCTTAATTTCCTGAATAATTCTTGTTCTAATTGTGACTTTGTGTTTCTGAAAACCAAGATGTTAAATCCATAACAATTAAACTGGTTCAAGAAAGTTTAGATATATAGGAAAGGCTACATGTATATTTTAGGACAATAGAGTAGACTTCTCCAAAACATGCCTTTCTTATAACAATTTCTTAGTTATCTGAAAGACAATACAATTGTTTTCATCCAATAATTTTGAAAACACTGGGAATATTTTTTCTAACATATATGCATGTTAAAATATCTTGACTCGTTATTTTGGATGTTTTTTGGCTACTCTATCTCATGCCTTTGTATTTAAAATGTATGAGTTACTTGTGTTTCAATAGAATATTAGTTGTCTTTCTTTTGTTTCTTTGTACTTCATGGAGATAATTATCATAACACAAGTAGAAATTTTTAAGATTTTATATTTTTCCAAGTTTTGGTTTAGTCTTTTTTGTTTTGCAAACCACAAGCATTTTACTCTCTTTCACTACATATGCTATAATTATCAGATAATTAAAATATGTAGTAAATACAGTAAAGGAAAGCAAAGCAAGGCAAAGATCTGCTAGAAATTTACTACTTTAAAAAAAGAGATCAAGATCACTATTTCTATATTGTGTGAGATTAATGATTCATTCAAGCCTGTGTCTTGTCTCTAAAGGAAGTATGTGGGATCTTTTGAAAAGAAGAGGGCATTTTGATGCTAATGTCAAAGTTACAATATTTCTGAAGTTACTCATTAAGTTACTATTTAAACACTCTAAACCATTTCCCAGTTATGTATTTCTTTTGATTCTGCAGGTGAAGTATTTGGGTATATGGTATTGTAGAAACAAACAAACTCACTTTATCTGCATTTACAGAATTCTTCATGAAAACTTTGGTTAATCTTTTCCTACCAATCTCAGTTTTATAGCTTCCTGTTATCATTCAAAGTGAAAACTCTTACTTTTTTTTTCTGTTTTCTCCATCTTAAAATTCTGTTGCCTTTTCCTGAATATTGCTTTGCTTGACTACTAGAATAAATAACGCAAATAATAAATACATCATTATATATTATAGTATTAGTTAAAATTTTTAAAAATGGAATTTTAAAAGAGGTCAGTTAGGGGACCTAATATACATTTGGGGATAAGGAACATCACTTCGATTAAATGATATTTAAGTGCAATTTCTCCGAGACCAAGAAAATAGGTAGAAATTAGATGGATGTAGAGTATAGAGGAATCATTTTTTAGGTAAAGAAAATGCATATGCCAAAATCCTGAGCTCAGAACATACTTGATGAATTAAGAGATTGAAATGGTGCCAGCATTTTTAGAATGCAGTGAGAAAACTGTGAGCGGGACATGAGATGACATTGGTAGTTATTGGAAGATGACGTTGGTAGTTATTGGAAGCTGACAAATATTTTGGTCCTTACTCAAAGGTCAATTAGAAGTATGAGTGGTTTAAACTTGGGTATTGATAAGGAAGGGGGTGAAGCCATATTTTGGAGGAAAAGTCTCCAGGACACGTGAAGATAGGAGCTAATTCATGAATGATTCCAAGTTTCTGGCTTGATGCTTTTTTGTTGAAATAAGAGAAACTGAGTGAACTGCAGATGTCTAGGTAAGGAGAGATGATTAATCTATTATTAAGTCATTATTAAGTTTGATTTACCTATGTGACTGTTTAATGCTGAGTGAAAAATATCAAATGGACAGTTTGAGAATGGATGCAAAAAAGATACCTCACTGAAGTTGTAAGTTATCAGCCATTGGTATAAAGATAATATTTAACATTTGAGTAATAGATTGGATGAAATCATCATTTTAGGAGTCAGTGTAGATAGAAACCGTAACAGAATCCAGAATCTAAACCTGAGGACTCTAATATGTAGCAGTCAGGGATAAATGGAGTTGACAATTTTAAAAAGGCAGAAAATGTGGCCAGGGAACTAAATGTGGCAGGAACTTGAGATAATATGAAAGGTAAAAATAATAATAGTAAATTATTTTGAATGCTGCTAAAAATGTACTTTAATACAACTTACATTACTTTAAATACAATTTAATACAATGAAGATTTTAAGATGCCATACAAGATTTTGCATCATTAAAGTGCTTAATGCCTTCAGCAAAATTAGTTTCACTGGAGGATGGTGACAAGCTGCAGATTGGCCTGAGAAGTGAAATATTGAGGAAAGAAGATTGGCTTTTGTAGATATGTTGGTTAGACAACAAAAATGTTTCTTATGAAGGGCCTCCAGGATACGAGATGTAAGAAAGCATCCTAGAAGCAGGATCCAGAGTGAATGTAGAATAATCAATAATGTACTGTAGGATATGTGCTAGAATTATATATGCATTGTCAAGATGAAATAGTGAAGTGAAAGAATAAAAATATGCATATTTTCAGAAGACAGTTAACCCCCTGAACATATATATTATCTGCAATCATTAGAAATTGAATTTTAAAAGTGGTTGAAGTACATAGTTTTCATCAAAAATATTTACTTTTTCAGAGTCCTTATTAAAATTCTTAAAAATAATTTTCAGGCAAACATAAGGTCTATTTAATGAACTATAAGATCTTCCTTTAGATGCCCTTTTCTCAAAAATCTATCCAAATGCTTTCTTAACCACTTTCCAGCTAATTAAAGGAAGTGGCAGTGTCGTAAGGTGTTGCCCTTTCCTCAATAAATACTAAGTAAGAGGAATTCATACATGAATATTTCTTTGTCAGTCAATTATTACACCAATATAGCGTTTGGTAAGTATCACTGAAAACATTATCAAGATGTATGTCATGACACATAGAGCACAAGTAATGAACTTTTCAGGAAAGAAGGAGATTTTTAAAAATCTCCTGTACCTAAGAAGTGAAGTCAAGCGATTTTGTTTTCTTTTCTTTTGTTTTTTTTTTTTTGTTTGTTTTTTTTTGGGACAGAGTTTCACTCTTGTCGCCCAGACTGGAGTGCAATGGCGCGATCTTGGCTCACTGCAACCTTTGCCTCCCATATTCAAGCGATTCTTCTGCCTCAGCCTCCTGAGTAGCTGGGATTATAGGTGCCCACCATCATGCCCGGCTAATATTTTTTGTATTTTAGTAGAGACGGGGTTTCGCCATGTTGGGCAGGCTGGTCTTGAACTCCTGACCTCAGGTGATCCACCCGCCTCAGCCTCCCAAAATGCTGGGATTACAGGTGTGAGCCTCTGTGCCCGGCCAAGATTTTCAACATGAAGAAAATAATAAATAGGCAGCTATGAGAAAGTGTAAATTTTAAAATGGGAGGTAGAGTTGAGGTGAAATAAAAGTGGTTCTATGAACTAAACATTTCTTAGAGGAGGTTTGCTAGAAATAAATTTACCTAGTTTTTGTTGTATTCTGAGAAAGTTTTGTTTTTTCTTTATTGTGAACGATATTTTTACTGGATATGTCTTCTGGGTTAGCAGGTCTTCTTTCAGCACTTTAAAGATGTTACTGCAATTTCTTCAGGGCCTACATCATTTCTGATGAAAAATTGTCGTAATTATTATGTTTTTCCTCTGTATATAATACATCTTTTTTTCTCTTGCTTCCTTCAAGATTTCTTTTTTTGTTTTTCATTTTAAGAAGTTTGAATATGACATGCCTGCATGTGTGGTTACTTATTTATTTTGGATATTATCTTTGGTGATCTCTGAATTTCTGTGGGTTAGTGTCTATCATTAACTTATGGAAGCTACAGGCCATTATTTTTTCCAGTATTTCTCCTTATTCTACTTCATTTCATCTGGGATTTCAATTACATATATAATAGATCATTATTCAGCTCTTGGGTGCTTTGTTCTAACTTTTTTCACTCTTTTTTTTTTCCCTTTGTGTTTTAGTTGGAGTAACCTGTTGGCCTGAGTTCAATTTTAATGATTTTTTTCCCTCAATTGTGTTGTGTGTACTGTACTGAAAAGGGCATTTTTAATCTGTTTTGTGTTTTTTTATTTCTAAAATTTTGATTTGGTCTTTTTTTATAGTTTACATATCTGTGTTGAAGTTACCTGTGTAAATTTGCATTGTAACTTTTCCTTATTTAAATTACCTGTGTAATTTTGCATTGTAACATCACTATCTTTTAATAATCATAATAAAATAATGATTATTATGTAAAGGAGATGTATATGTATAAAGATATAGATACACATTCATATATGTAGGGATATATATGATAGGAATCATATATATCCCTATATTATAAGGATATATATCTTTATACTATATATATGTATAAAAGATAGGGATCATATCCATACCTGTATATAAGGGTATATAGAGAGTATAAATATATATAGTATAAATATATATAAATATATGAATGTATATCTATATCTTTCTACATATATATTTCCTTCACATAGTAATCATAATTATTTCATTATATTTATTTATATAGTATATATAAGCATATACTATAAACACAATTATTTATATATTTACGCATACATGTATATCTCCTTTAACATAATAATCATTGTTACTTTAAATTATCTTTCAGTTGTGAGTTCTATGTCATATCTGATTATGGTTGTGATTATTTCTTTGTCTCTTGAGCATATGTTTCTTCTTGCTTTTTTGGTATGACTCAATTTTGTTAAAGTCTGCTGTACTCTTTGTGTAGGACAACAGAGACTGCAGTAAGTGATTTTTATGCCTGGAAGTAAATACACCTTGTAGATCATATAGGCCTTTAGTTCGAGACTTTGAGCTAATCTAGTTGGGATGTGGGTTTGGGTTGAAGTTTGCTGTTGCTATAGTTACCATCAGTGTACCATGACCTTCACATCTCCGTAGTAATAAAATGTATTTTAGGTGGGGCTGGTGTAGGAATACCTTGTAATTAAGTTGGAACAATGTCTGTTCCACCTACAACATTAGGTTGCTCCTTTCCTCTGTACTTCAGAGAAAAAATTCTTTGCATGAGTTGTTCCTCGGCTAGTCCTCTACCAGAAGAATCCATTGTTAGGTTTTACTCAAGAATTGCCAGCTTGGCAGTGGTGGGCAGCAGGTGGGAGGTTTCTCTGTTGTTCACATTAAGCCTTAGTCTTAGGCATTCCATTCCATTCTCCTATCATTCCCTGACTGTAGATCTGGATGTTGTCTGTCTTTCTGCTCCTCCTTTCTGCTTTAAAATTTATTTTTCCTCTTTCATTTTTCTCAGCTGCAGTGAATCTTAATTAGTGTCTTAAGATGACAGTGTTTATGCCTCTCTCCCCTTCCCCCAAAATTAAGATGTTTTTACCATGGTAGAATTAGGGGAAAAAGGTCTGTATTCATTCCTTCTCAAGCTGTTATAAAGAACTGCTTGAGACTGTGTAATTTATAAAGAAAAGAGATTTAATGGACTCAGTTCTGCATTCCTGGGGAAGCCTCAGGAAACTTACAATCATAGCAGAAGGTGAAGGAGAAGCAAAGGCATGTAGAGAGTGTGTGTCAGCACAGGAAAAACTACCATTTATAAAACCATCAGATCTTGTGACAATTCACTATCATGAGAACAGCATGGGAGAAACCACTGCCATAATCCAATCACCTCCTGCCAGGTCTCTTTGTAAACACCTGGGGATTACAATTCAAGATGATATTTGGGTGCGGACACAAAGTCTAACCATATCAGGATCCATGCAAGTTGTGTGCTTCATCCATAGCAGCTGCTATTTCTCTCCTCAGGTCTCCTCCAGAACGTTCACTTTCTTAGTGCTCCCTCTCTCCTTTTGTATGACTGACCAAGGTGGGTTCTGAGGGAAAAAAAATGCAAGAGTGTGTGGGCTTCCTCTGTTTATTCATAATATTCTGTCAGCCCACACTTGACCTTCACCAATTTGTCAACCCTTGAAGCTAAACTCTTTACTCGTGTCTAGCTGCATCTATTTCAGAAAAGCAAATGCTCATGTCTTCTGTCTCCCTGAAGGTACAAGTCATTCCACTAATTTTTGCACGTTTATTGGTCTGTGCCTTCAGTTCTTCACTGGGCTTGAAAAATAATTAATTTTCAGATTGTTTGGCTATTTTTTATTGTAAGGGTGGGAGCTATAATCTTGCTACTCTTTACAGCTGTTCTACATCCTAGAAATTGATCAAGTCACCTCCTTTCCATCCTGGAGACATTCATCCAGTAATGAAAGAGAATGAATTACTGGTCTCTTGTTCAGTTCCTTCTTTCTTAATATGTTTGTCATAAGTTTGCGTGTATATCTTTATTTGTTTTTGAATTGATTTATATTTTGCATTTTTAACAAGAAACGTGTATATGTATATATGTAACTGCTTTTGTCTAAGTTTTACTTCTAGGTACTCCTAAATATATGCATGACATATATATTGTATATCTTATAGTATTTCACAAAGCTTCAATATCAGGCTACTTTCTGAAAAAGCAGTGAACTAAACAATAAGAAGTCAGAGAATAAACAATGGATTGCTTAATAATGAGTGAATATTCAGATGGAGTTTTTTTCTTTCCTCAGGTTCCCATATGGTAAGTTCCATAAGAGATTTTTAAGAGCTCTCTTCCACTAAAAAATAATGTAGATTTCTGTGTTCTATTGCTGTATTTATTCGTATTTATTCTTGCCATATATATTTTTTAAAGATATATATGTGTGTAAGTAGAAAATATAACTCTCCTTCCAGTTTTGGAGTATTTTTAGTTTTATCATTTTATAAGCATTACTCTTCCAATATAAGGAATATCTGCAAAATACTATGACTGATTATTGAAACGAAAATGTCTTCTTCCTTGACATATTAATGATACCAAAAAGCTACTTCATTAGAAGAAAATATATCCTCACTAATATTTATTCTATACATATTAATGCTCTGTTGGAATGCTTTGTTCTCTTTTTGGACTACTTAGGCATTTCATTAATGTGATAATTCACTTCATAGAGCTTGGGGTTGAGATGTATTTTAATTATGCCTTATGCTTCAGGATGAACGGAGTTATTACAGATATTATTAATTTCTAACTTTTATCACAATTGTTCCAGTTGGAAGGCTTTACATGAGAAAAGGATGCAGAAAAAACATAAATAGTGATAATAAGAATGTACCCATAAAATCTTTGTTGCATTAAACCTTTTTAATTTTAACTGATTTAGGTGTTGGACTTCTGCCATTTTGCTTGGGACGATAACTTAAAGCAAAATACTTTTTTTATATTATCAGCAAATATAAAAAATATGGTCCACATGTTATATAATTTCAAATTATCTTCTTGGCCAGTCAACAATCCTGAAACAAATCTTCCTTAAAAAAATTTCTAACACATTTTAATATGTAAGCATTTTAGGTGCCTTGTCTTTAAACAGACAGCATTTTAAATTATAATTAGTATACATTATTATACTTTATTGTTATGAATAATTTTGTTGCCCTATAGCAGTTTTTAATCTTCAGATTTCTTCTAGTTATCTGTTTATCATAATAAAGAACCAACTGAATGCTGAATTGTATCTGATGACATATGGAAAATACACATGATACAACTTCTTGTTCTTTTGATAATAATGTTTTGATTTTTTCTCAACACCATTTCTCTTTATTTTGGTCTCAAATTCATTCTTCTTTATTGTTTCTTTCTGCTGTGTTCATTTATGTTATTATCTTTAATTCATATATTTAAAAGTTTTACCTATTTTGTAAAGAGTTAATATTATAAAGTGCCCATTATTCTCTGATAGATCTATAGATGCAATGCAATCTCAATTAATACTGGACCATTTTTATGTGCATGCATGAAAACTGAAAGCTGATTTTTAAATTTTGTATGGACCAAAGACTTTTAGACTAAGTATAATAAAAACTCTTAAAGAGCAAAAACAAGGTATCAAAATATTTTGTAACACCACGGTAAAATATACACAATATTGTAGCATTCCCATTACTAACTAGTGGAATAAACTAGAGAATACGGAAGCATACTGACAAAGACAATGCAGCAGAATATCAGTAGAAAAAATTTAATTTGTTCTTTTCAAGACATAATGTTGGGTTGGTCGACTATCTATTTAGATAAGAAACAAATCTTGACTTTTATCTCACTCAAAATATCATTAAAGGTGAATTGTATATCTAGACATGAAATGTAAAACAACAAGTCTAGATGATAGGTGAATATATTCATGATACTGGAAGTTTGCAAAGATTTCTCAAACAGGCTATTAAAAGCATTATCCATAGAATAAAAGTTTAATAAACTAGACTATATTGAAATTGATAATTTCTGTTTACCAAGTCATAGAGTAAAATAAAGTACTTTTACTACATATAAGTGACAAAGAACTTGTGTCAGAAATATCTAAAAAAATATCTAAAAATCAATAAAACAGCAACAGGAGCTTCACAAGGGAGACCAGCACACTTCCAATAAACATATAAAACCTTTGCCATCAAGCAAAATATCTAAAACTTAAAAGACTGACACTACAGACTTTGGGCAAGACTGTAAATCAAGTGGAAGCCTAGTTTACTGCTGGTAAATTGGTACAACCACTTTTGAAAACTATCTGACAGTGTTTACTAAAGTTGAACAACTTGCCTTATCACCTAACAATTACACTCTTAGGTATTTTCCAAAGAGAAATGAATGCACCAAAATATACACATATATATGTGCTTATGTGCACACCCACACACAAATATACATGCATTTGTGTATGTATATATTTCATATGTATATATATGAAAATTATTGAATGACTACTATTCATAATAACATGAAGGAATCTCACTAATATGATTTTAAATAAAAGAAGACAGAAACAAGAGTTTACACAGAAGGTAAGTTCATTTATATAAAATTTAACAGAAAAGTAACCTGTAGTTGTCTAAATTATGTTGGAGGGGATACTTGGAACAGGGAATCATACCTAGGAAGTTATGTAAAGTACAATTCTGGGATGCAAAAATATTTGATTTCTTGCTATGGTTGATGGTTGCATGTATGAATTCACTATGTAAAAATACATCAATGACTTCATTACTTACAATTTCAGCACTTTGTGCATGACAGTATGCTGAGAAGTTTAAGCACTACACAAGTAATTTTCATTTTTAAAAATATAATTTAAAAAATTAGGCCCGGCGCGGTGGCTCACGCCTGTAATCCCAGCACTTTGGGAGGCCGAGGTGAGCGGATCACGAGGTCAGGAGATCGAGACCATCCTGGCTAACATGGTGGAACCCCGTCTCTACTAAAAATACAAAAAAAAAAAAAATAGCTGGGCGCGGTGGCGGGCGCCTGTAGTCCCACCTATTCCGGAGGCTGAGGCGGGAGAATGGCGTGAACCCGGGAGGCGGAGCTTGCAGTGAGCCGAGATAGCGCCACTGCAGTCCAGCCTGGGCGAAAGAGCTAGACTCCGTCTCAAAAAGAAAAAAAAAATTAAAATTAATGATAATAGGGAATTTGGGGAAAAAGAAAAGAGAAAGGAGGAGGAAGTAAATAAATTAGAAGTTGCAATATTTATTTCTGTGTTTCTCATGATGATTATTTTCATTGTAATGTGTTGTGAGAAATAGAAAATAAATTAGATATTTTCCCTGCTCTAAGATAAAGATTTAGCTGATATGATGTGTAAAAGTAAGACTAGACTAAAGTAAAAGATAATTAAAAATTTAAGCAAATCTTGATGGATATGAAAGGGAGGAAGATTCTAACTGCAGCTAGGAATCAAGAATTCTGGAGGAAATGGCATATGCCATAGCTCTTGAGAACCAGTAAGATACAGAAAGGTGGTATTATATGGGAGAGTTTCTACCTATGGAAGTAGGAAAGTGTAGGGCAAATATGGGTAAGTAACAAATCAGAGATTACTGGACTGAAAGTGCTTAGAAGGAAAAAATGGTAGAAAATGATGGAAAGGTAGGTTGGGTTCAGGAGTTATGGTTTAGTGTTAAATACCATTCCAAGTAATTTGGACCCTTTTTCTGTCAACATCAAGGCCTGTGAAAGGATTTGTGGGGGAAATTGACATTTGATCTATGTTTTGAGAATGTAATTGGAGGAAATGTGAAGGGAGGATTAAACTGGAGAAAATAATATTAGTTTAAAGCACGTTTGAGAGCACCCAGTCCTACTATGTAATGCGTGATTAAAGAGACTCATACCAGTTGATAGCACAGCAAATTACAGAAACCAGGTTTCTAAATTTTTAGCTAAAGATTATTCTCTGAAACAAGAATTAAAGAGAACAGGTAGCCAGAACAGGTTATCTGTTGACTAGTCTAGGTGAGAAGAGATGATGGCATAAACTAGGGTAGAGGGAATATGAGCAAGTTGACATTTGATAGGGACATTGAAAAGTTGTGACTGACAGGATTTAGTAACTAATTAAATGTGGAACAAAAAAGAGAATATTTTTGGATTCTGACTTGAGTGACTGGAAGAAAAAGTTTTTACTGAGCGAAGAGGAGAATGAGCAGGTCTGGGTGGGAAGAAGGGAAGAGGTTTAATTTATTTCTGAATATAAATCACCAGTTTTAGTCAGAAGCCAGCAATAAGTTCAGAAGCTCAAGACTCCTGTATATGGCTGCGATGTCAAAATGACTGACTGGTTCAGCCATTTTAGTGATTTGCTCAAGCCAATTGCTAGGAATTGCATTGTTTGAACAACCAGACAAATACATGCATTTTTAAATTTTTACTTGATTATTTTAACATTTTAGAGACAAATCAGGAATTTCCCCCCATCAATGTGCTTCTGATGTTTGTTTCTTTACACTTTATTTTGGAGTTTATCTGAACTAACTGTGCTGGGAGGGGGAAAACAGGTGCCTTGTTCAGCTGCAGCTAAATTTTTCCCAGTAAAATAGTTTGAAAAAAATCACCATTAAGAATTATCTATTTAGGCTGGGCACAGTGGCTCATACCTGTAATCCCAGCACTTCTGAAGGCCAAGGCAGGCAGATTGCTTGAGCCCAGGAGTTCAACACCAGCCTGAGCAACATGGAGAGACCTTTTCTCTACAAAAAATAAAATAAAATAAACTCTCCTGTCGTGGTGGTGTTTGGCTGTACTCCCAACTACTTGAGAGGCTGAGGTCACTTGAACCCAGGAGGTCGAGGTTGCAGTGAGCTGAGATCATGCCACTGCTCTTTAGCCTGGGCAAGAGAATGAGACCCTGTGTCAAAAACGCAAAATAAAAAACCGAAATTCTCTGTCTATAATGATTCATTTATTTGAAAATAGTAATTGAGTTCTTAATATGAGCCAGGCACTGGGCTATGTATGCCTGAGCATACAAAGATGAGTAAAAACAGATTCATACTTTGCACTCATAGACCTAACTGATTAGTAGAGAGGATAGGTATCAATCAATTCAAAACCAAGTATAATTGTTTAATCACAAATGCTGGTAAGTGCTCTGAAGGAAGTTATACTGTCTTCCATCTATAATCAATATATAAAAAATAATGTTTGGGAGGCCGAGGCGGGCGGATCACGAGGTCAGGAGATCGAGACCATCCCGGCTAAAACGGTGAAACCCCGTCTCTACTAAAAATACAAAAAATTAGCCGGGCGTAGTGGCGGGCGCCTGTAGTCCCAGCTACTTGGGAGGCTGAGGCAGGAGAATGGCGTGAACCCGGGAGGCGGAGCTTGCAGTGAGCCGAGATCCCGCCACTGCACTCCAGCCTGGGCAACAGAGCGAGACTCCGTCTCAAAAAAAAAAAAAAAAAAAAAAAAAAAAAAATAATGTGACCAGTGTTTGAGACTCTAACTTAAATATATTTTTTGAAAGAATGTAAATAGTGTCACATTAAGAATCAAAACTAAGTGTTGATTCAGATCAGTTAAGTTTGTCATTAAATATTGTTCTAATATAATTAGCTAGAAGCTAAATATATGGGTCATAGCATACTAGGAAAATTAGTATAAGATTTTTTTTTTTTTGCTTTGGATGAACTTTTGAATCTCAAGATATTTAATTCATTTACATTTGTTTTGTATGTGAAGTAAAAATCTTGGCCAATTTAATTAATTCTAATGATACTTGAAAAACACCACTTTCTAAACTTTACTAGATATATTTGGTTTCTTTAATCAATACTATTTTATTGTCATAGAATTTTAGTAACATAGAAAGAATATCTGTTTATTCTAATAGAAAATTTTAAAAATAACATATAATATTTTTGTCTTGGTGTGTTCATGCTGCTACAACAAAATATAAAAGACTAGGTCATTTATAAGCAATAGAAATTTATTTCTTACAGTTCTAGAAACTAGGATGTTCAATATCAAGATGCCAGCAGGTTCAGTGTCTGAAAAAGGCCCAATCTCCACTTCCAAGATAGTGTCTTGAACACTGCTTCTCGGAAGGGAAAGAACCCTCACACATGGAGGAAGAGGTTGAAGGGCAAAAGAAGGCTAGCTAGTTTCCTCAAGCTCTTTTTAAAGATCACTTAATAACCTCTTTAAGGCCCCACTCTTAATATGATCACATTGGTGATTAAGTTTCAGCACATGAATTTTGGAGGACATTCAGATCATGGTACTCCCTAACCCAAAACAAAATATTTTGTATTAAATTCTGGATACTTTGGATTATTGGAAGTCGTAAAAGCTTGGTGTCCTATCTCTGGGCTGATTACTCATCTCCTTTGCTGGTTTTCTCTTTTGCTAACCTCTACTTAAATCTGGTATCCTTGAGAGTTTAACCTCAGCTTACTGTGCTGTACACCTTATGTAACATCATTCATTTCTGTGGGGTAATTATCACCAGTAATATAACTCTGTCTTCATTTCCAGAACATGGAAATTTGCTGATTAGATATCTTTAGCCAAATGTCTCCTGGGCATCTAATGATGAAGAGCCTAAGCTCTGAATAAGGTGTAATGCCTTGCTTCAGGAATTACTAGTTACGTGTCCTTTAAAGATATTACTTAACTGCACTGTTTCTTGCTTCTTTTTTATCTTAAAAATGATAGAATAATAATATATATGGCATAGAGTTGTTTTGAGGCTTAAATGAGGTACTATACAAAAAGTGCTTAAGAACACAGCAGTGCTGGGGCTAAGGCACAAGCAAGGTGCTGGCTACTTCAGGTTTGGGGAGAATAAGCTGGTGCCACTGAAATCAGCCCTGCCCTACCCAGTGGCAGGGCCACTGCCATCCTCCACCTGAGCCTGAGCTTTCTGCCAGGTGTCTGGAAATCACACCTCCCTTGCCTAACAAAACTGGAACCTGCATACACCATCAGGGTGCTTTAAAGGCAAGCCTCCCCAGCCTGGCTTTGTCTTCACCATGCCAAAGCACATAGTCTAGAACCTGGAGATTGCCCAGGTAGCCCACTACAACTGGCATGTGAGCACTCCTGGGATCCTGAGGTTGAGCCTAACCACTCTGCTGCTACTACCACAGCTGGCACCTATGTGCACATGCCACCTATTGGCCTGGAGACTGGCCTGTCCAGTCCATTGCAGCCACTGTAAACACCAGCACATACTGCTTGAGATCCAGAGACTCATCCTGCCACTGCAACTGCCATCACCTCTGCCACACTGCTTACCCAGGGGCCCAAGAACCCACCCACCCACCCAGTGTACCATCACTGCTACTGGCAAATAAGAAAGCACCAAGAATTGGTCCACTTAGATCAGCTGTCACTGGGCTCAGCATACATCACCCTGGGGCCTAAGAACAGGCACCTCAGACCATCACTGCTACCACTAGGGCCTGAAGACTAGTCCAGCTGGTACCTTAGTTCTCAGGAAAATGTCACCACATCCTCCACTAAAAACCACATCCTAACCCACTTAGGAAAGCACAGATACCACTGATGCTATTTATAGCTCAATAAATCATATAATGACTACACTATTGCACACACCCGGAATCAAAGCCAAAGTGCCCTACCCAACCAACACCATAGATACATCTTCAGGGAAACGTCCTCCCTTACAAAAACAAATTAAAAGAACAGGAAGAAGCACATGTTATACAAGATATGCAAAAAACAATGTAAGGATGCAGGAAATATGAAAAAGCAAGGAAACATGACATTTCCGAAGGACAACAATAATTCTCTAACAACAATTCCAGTAAAAGACAGATTTATGAAAGCCCAGAAAAAGAATTCAAAATGTTGATTTGAAAGAATCTCAAGTGAGATACAAGAGACTACTGGTAAGCAGTATGAACAATTTAGAAAAAACAATATAGGATATGAGTGAGAAATTTACCAAAAATATAAAGATCATTAAAACAAACAAACAACCAAACAAATTCTGGAACTGAAAAATTTATTGAATGAAATGCAAAATACATTTGAAAGCTTCATCAATAAACTAGATCAAGCAGAATAAATCTCAAAACTTGAAGACAGGTCTTTAGAAATAACCCAATCAGACAAAACTTAAAAAATCAGAATAAATAACAGTGTTCAAAACCTACATGACATATGGGGACACCATAAAATTACCAAATATTTAAAATTTTGAAGTCTCAGAAGGCAAAGATAAAACAAAAGGGTTAGATAACCTATTTAACAAAATAGTAAATGAAACTTTCAAAGTCTAACAAAAGATTTAGACATCAATATATGAGGCTCAAAATCCCCAGATATAATGCAAAAAGATCTTCTCCACAGTACCTTGTAATCAAAATGTCAAAAGTGAAAGACAAATATATAATTCTAAAAATAGCAAGAGAAAAATGTCTAGTCACCTGTAAATGAACTGGGTCAAAGGCAGAGGCTGGAACAGTTTGGAAGTCTTACAAGACAGAAAAACATGGGAAAGTTTGGAACTCCCTAGAGACTTGTTGAATGGCTTTGACAAAAATGCAGATAATTATATAGACAATTAAATTCAGGCTAAAGTGTTCTCAGATGGAGATGAGGAACTTGGTGGGAACTGGAGCAGAGTTGATTCTTGTTATGTTTTACCAAAGAGACTGGTGGCATTTTGCACCTGCCCTAGAGATTTGTGGAACTGTGAACTTGAGAGTGATGATTTAGGGTATCTGGTGGAAGAAATTTTTAAGCAGCAAAGCATTCAAGAGGTGACTTGGGTGCTGTTAAAGGCATTCAGTTTTAAAAGGGAAGCAGAGCATAAAAGTTTGGAAAATTTGCAGCCTGACAATGTGATAGAAAATAAAATCCCATTTTCTGAGGAGACATTCAAGCTAGCTGCAGAAATTTGCATAAGTAACAAGGAGCTGAATGTTAATCCCCAAGACAATGGGGAAAATGTCTCCAGCACCTGTTAGAGGTCTTCATGGCATCCCCTCCCATCACAGGCCCAGAGGCTTAGGAGGGAAAAGTGGTTTTGTGGGCCAAGCCTGGGGTCTCCAAGCTGTGTGTAGCCTAGGGACTTGGTGCCCTGCATACCAGCCGCTCCAGACATGGCTAAAAGGGGCCAAGGTATAGCTCACCTGTGGCTTTAGAGTTTACAAGCCCCATGCCTTGGCAGCTTCCATGTGGTGTTGAGCATGCGAGTGCAGAGAAGTCAAGAATTGGGGTTTGGGAACCTCCACCTAGATTTCAGAAGATGTATGGAAACACTTGCATGTCCAGGCAAAAGTTTGCTGCAGGGGTGGGGCCCTCATGGAGAACCTTTGCTAAGGTGGTGCAGAAGGGAAATGTGGGGTTGGAACCCCCACATAGAGTCCCTAGTGGTTCTGTGATAAGCAGGCCACTGTCCTCCAGACCCCAGAATGATAGATCCACCAACAGCTTGCACTGTTTGCCTTGAAAAGCTGCAGACACTCAATGCCAGCCAGGAGGGAGGCTTTACCCTGCAAAGCCACAGGGATGGGGCTGCTCAAGACCATGGGAACCCACCTCTGGCATCAGTGTGACCTGGATGTGAGACATGGAGTTAAAGGAGATCATTTTGAAGCTTTAATATTTGGCTGCCCTGCTGGGTTTTCGACTTGCATGGAGCCTGTAGACCCTTTGTTTTGGCCAATTTCTCCCATTTGAAATAGCTGCATTACCCAATACCCATACTCCCATTGTATCTAGGAAGTAACTAACTTGCTTTGGATTTTACTGGCTCATAGGCAGAAGGGACTTGCCTTGTCTCAGATAAGACTTTCGACTGTGGACTTTTGAGTTAATGCTGAAATGAGTTAAAGTTTGGGGGCACTGTTGGGAAGGCATGATTCGTTTTGAAATGTGAGGACATGAGATGTGGGAGGGGCCAGGGGTGGAATGATATTGTTTGGCTGTGTCTCCATCCAAATCTTATTTTGAATTCCCACATGTTGTTGGAGGGACCCAGTGTGAGGTAATTGAATCATGGGGACAGGTCTTTCCCATGCCGTTCTCATGATAGTGAATAAGTCTCATGAGATCTGATGGTTCTATAAGGGGGAGTTTCCCTGCACAAACTCTCTCTTTGCCTGCTGCCATCCATGTAAGACATGACTTGCTTCTCTTTGCCTTCTGCCATGATTGTGAGGCCTCCCCAGCCACGTGGTACTGTAAGTCCATTAAACCTGTTTCTTTTGTAAATTGACCAGTCTTGGGTATCTCTTTATCAGCAGTGTGGAAACAGACTAATACAGCAATCAAGAAAGAGAAATAAATAAAAGGTATTCAAATTGGAGAAGAGGAAGTCAAATTTCAGATGATACAAACTTGTATCTAGAAAAATCTAAAGATTCCATGAAAAACTCTTAGATAAGAAGTAGATTCAGTAAAGTTGTCATATAAATAATAAACATACATAAATTAGTAGCACTTCTATACATCTAGAATGAACTATCTAGTAAGAAATCAAAAAGGACTCAGGTGTTGTGGTATGCACCTGTAGTCCCAGCTACTAAGTAGGCTGAGGAGGGAGGATTGCTTGAGCCTAGAAGTTTGAGGCTGCAGATTGCACTACTGCATTCTAGCCTGAGTGGCAGAGCAAGACCCTATATCTAAAAAAAGAAGAAGGAGAAGAAGAAGAAGAAGGAGAAGGAGAAGAAGGAGAAGGAAAAAGACAATTTCATTTTGAATAGCTACATTGAAAATAAGAACACCTAGGAATAAATTTAGCCAAGGATGTAAAAGACCTCTACAAGGAAAACTACAAATCACTTATTTAAAAAATTGAGGGCACAAACAAATGGAAAGACATCCATTGTCTAAAGCAATCTATGGAATTAATGCAATCCCTATCAAAATATCAACATCATTTTTCCCTACAGAATTAGAAAAAAATTCTAAAATTTGTATGGAACCAAAAAAGGAATTCACATAGCCAAAGCAAATCTTAGCAAGAAGAATAAAACTATCACACTACCTGACTTCAAAATATATTACAATACAATACTAACCCAAACAGCATATAATTGGTGTAAAAACAGACACATAGACCAATGGAAGAGAACAGAAAACCCAGAAATAAATCCACATACTTAACAGCCAACTGGTTTTCAATAAAGGCACCAAGAACATACATTGGGAAAGGATACCCTCTTCAATAAATGGTGCTGAAAAACTTTGATATTTATATGCAGAAAATGAAATTGGATCTCTGTCTCTTAACATGTACAAAAATCAACCAAGATGGATTGAAGATTTAAAAGTAAGACCTAAAACTATAAAGCTATTCAAAGGACACTTAGGGAAAACATTACAGGACATCTAGACATAGATTTTATTGCTAATACCTCAAAAGCACAGGCACAAAAAGTGAAAATAGTCAAATGGAACTAATTAAACTAAAAAGCTTCTATACAGAAAATGAAACAATCAACAGAATGAAGAGACAACCTGTAGAATTAGAGAAAATGCTTGCAAAGTAATTATCCTATAAAGGACTAATATCCAGAATATACAAATAAATAAAACTACTCAACAATAAAAAATTAAATGATCCCATTAAGAAGTGGTCAAAGAACATGTATAGACATTTCTCAAAAGAAGATATACACATAGCCAACATGTATATAAAAAATGCTCAACACCACTAATCATCAGGGAAATGCAAATCCAAACCACAATCAGATGTTGTGGCTAGATTGATTATAATTAGAAAGTTAAAAAATAGATGCTGACAAGGATGCAGAGAAAGGGAACTTTAATACACTGTTGGTGGGAATATAAATTAGTACAACTACTATGAAAAACAGTGGAGAGATTTGTCCAAAAACTAAAAATAGAACTACAGTATGATTCAGCAATCCCACTACTGTGTATTTATAAGAGAAAGAAGAAGTTGGCATATCAATGGGATACTGTAAACCAAAAATAAAATTCTAAGCCTCCCCCAACCATCTGAGTGGACCCCTCTTCTCAGCAAGGGCATTCCAACATTAACCTGAAAAACTAGTTCAGGCCATGATGGGAAGGGAGACCCAGAGATGTCTCATTATATTCTCCTCCCTTTTGGAATTACTGATAGAACAGATGTTTAAAATCTGATAAGAGACATTTATAATCTATTCTCTCTGAAGCCTGCTACCTGGAGGCTTCCTTTGCATGATAAAACCTTGATCTCCACATCCCCTTATCTTAACCCAGACATTCTTTCTATTGATAATACCTCTCTCAACCAATTGCCAACTAGAAAATCTTTAAATCTACATATGACCTGGAAGCCCCTGCTTCAAGTTGTCTCACCTTTCTGGACCAAACAAATATACATCTTACATGTGTTGACTGATGTCTCATGTCTCCCTAAAATGTATAAAACCCAGCTGTACCCTGACCACCTTGGGCACATGTCATCAGGACTTCTTGAGGCTGTGTCACAGGCATGTTTCTGGTTTTTTTTTTTTTTTTTTTTTTTTGATGGAGTATGGGCACTCTGTCGCCCAGGCTGAAGTGCAGTAGCGTGATCTCAGCTCACTGCAACTTCCACCCCCTGGGTTTAAGCAATTTTCCTGCCTCAGCCTCTCAATTAGCTGGGATTATAGGCAAGTGCCACCACCACTAGCTAATTTTTTTGTATTTTTAGTAGAGACAAGGTTTCACCATGTTGGCCAGGCTGGTCTTGAACTCCTGACCTCAAGTGATCCACCCGAAGTGCTCAGCCTCCAAAACTGCTGGGATCACAGGGATGAGCCACCATGCCAACCCACAGGCATGTTCTTAACCTTGGTAAAATAAACTTTCTAAGTTGTTTGAGACCTATCTCAGATACTTTCAGTTTACAGATACCTATAGTTACATGTTTATCACAGCAATATTCACAGTAGCAAAGGTATGGTGTCAACCTATGTGTCCATCAGTGGAGGAATGAGTAAATAAAATGTTGTATGTATACACAATGGAATACACTCAGCCATAAAAGGAATGAAGTCATATCATTTGTGGCAATGTGGGTATAACTGGAGGTCACTATGTTAGTGAAATAAGCCAGGCACAAAAGGACAAAGACTGCATGCTCTCACCCCTATGTGGGAGCTAAAATACTTGATCTCGTGGAGGTAGATAATAGACTGATAGATACCAAACGCTGAGAAGGTATGTAGGTGGAAGGAGCGATGAGAGGTTGATTAGTGCTTAGAAACATACAGTTAAATAGAAAATAATTTTCTAATGTTCAACAGCAGTGTACAGTGATTATGATTAGCAGGAATGTATTATGTATTTCAAGGTAGATAGAAAAGAGTATTTGAAATGTTCCCAACACATAAAAATGATAAATATTCTCTGTCTAAGTAATTTTGTTTACAGATGCTATTATTTGTTGTAGTGATGGTCAAGACAGTATTATACTATTTATCATTTAATGCACCTCACAGATATTTTAGGACAAAATGGTGAAACAAATGTTTAGATAAATTTAAATCTAAATGCCAATAGCAGAAAAATAAGAACAAATAAAAACAAATGCAGTTGTATAGGAATATTTAAATATAAGGTACATGTATTCACAGATCAGAATTTGAATGGTGTGAGCAGAGCTGAGCTCTGAGTTAATAAATGCATGGTGGAAGCCAGGAGTTTAACTCCTGTAAGTAAAGAGCATTAGAAGTGGTTTATAAATATTGGGTTTTCAAATAAAATATTTCATTGGTTGAAAACAGAGATTTAGGTGTGGTACCCTGCTCACAAGACATGGCTGAATAAAACCTCCTCCCAGTTCATTTTAGAGTTATGTTGATCTCCAAGAGCCCAGTCAAGGTATCTGCTGTGGGTTCTGGGTCTGAATCTGCCATATCTTCTGATATATTGGGAGTAAAGATATATTCTTGAGAGTTAGGGTTAGCTAGAGGCATCCAGAAAAGAGCTAGACATAGGAGAGTGACACATAGAGAGACAGAGTGGGAGAGAAATATAGACAGAGCATATGCAATATTATTAAGACCAACAAAATTATTTATTCAATGTGAACCTTAGGTTAAAAATTTAAAGCCTACTTAATTACATGTTAAAAGAGACAAAAGCAACAATTTTCCTAGATTAAGACCATTTTCTACTATAATCTGATAAAAACTTTAAAGTAAGTATGTGGTGGATGTTTGAAGAGGAAAATTCATACCTAGCTTCTATGAAACAAAACAAAGGAATTATATTCGTAAGCCGTATATCCTAAACACTCCAAGAGTGTATCCTGCATAGTAACCACTCAATCAATCTTCTGTGAGTAAATGAATAAAAAGTATAAACCAATGTGCTTTATGGACTTAAGTGTAAAGATACGAAAGAAAATATTAGCAAGCAGAACTCAGCAGTTGATAAAAATTATTAAATGTTAGCAAACTGAATTAATCAATGTATATAAAAATTATGTTGTTTTGTGATAAAAGTTGGTTTACTGCAATAATGTGAGGAAGTGGAACATTACAAAATCTATTGTTGTGGTGTATATTTCATTGATACTGTCTTATGCCAATGGATACTCTTTCTAGATTCAAGAACTAGTTTCCTAGTGCCTGGGAATACTGCTAGCAATAGCCCTCAGCTATCTGTCATTTTCGAGAAATGACTGAATGAAGAGAGACCCCTTGTCCAAGTTCAAGCCCCCTGTTTTACATAACTTGCATCCAGTGATTTTCATATGGAAGTTTAAGGGCCTGACTGCCTCCCACCAACTCAGAAAATGTTTAATAGACCATATCATTTCAGCTTTTGAACTCCTTGTGGTATTGGCTGAGGCTTCCCTTGAGATTGTAATCCAGTTTCTCCTTGTGCTCATCTTACTTCTTTTTCTTTCCTTCTGTGGGTAATTATTCCAAGAATTGACCCTTGGTCAACTTCCTATGTGTTAATTTCTATCTCAGAATCTAAATCCTGGGAAACCCAACTAGGGGTGGAATAATATCAATATATTAAAAACAAATATGCAGATAAAATATTTGAAAAATTTAACAGTTATTAAGATATATCTCTTAGGAAACTAGAAATTGAAGGGCAGATTCATCAAGTGATAAAATATGTATTAAAACTAGAAGCAAATCCAAGAAAATCCACAAAACGTCACTGGAACAAATAAGAAAATTAAGCAAGTTGTCTTTGATATAAAAACATGCAAAGGCTCAAGAGCATCTCTACAAAACATTAAAAACTAATAGAGAATATTATTTTAAAAACTAATAGAGAATATTATTTTAACAAAACACCTGAATAATAGTAGTTAACAGCTTCTGAGTGCTTAGTGTTTGCCTGGCACTTTTACAATGGCTTTACATACTCCCAAGTAAAGTATGAATAGGTATCTAAGAATAAACATAAAAGATGGCAATATGCACCTGGAGAACATTGTAGAATAATATTTAAGAATAGAAAATAAAATACGAAAAAAATTAAGAATATGCCATCTTTAGAAATCGTAAGATCTAAGAGCCAAGGTGAGCTAAGACATTTTTGCAGAATTGGAGGACTTACCTTATCACATATAAGTCTATCGTAGATCTATGAATTTAAAACTGGGTAGCATTAGAGTGGAGAGAAATAAAAATAAATCAGTGTGAAAAAATAGGCTGTGAATATATGGAAACTTGATATATGACAAATTTAATATTGTACAACAGTAAAGAAAGGAGGCAATAAGTGGTTTTAGGACAATTGACTATAAAAAATTTAGATTCCAATTACAGCATACACAAAGATAAATTCTAGATGATTAAAAGATCTTAATGTAAAAAGCAAAATTTTCAAAAGTTTTAGAAGGAAATATTAGCTGTCATATTCATGATTTAGTATGTGACGAGGATAATTAAAAAAACCCATAAAACAACCAACGGATGAATTGACTACATTAAAATTTAAATATTCTGCATATCAACAAATATCACATGACTTCATATTTTATTTGTTTCTATATTATATGTTTATGAATTTATGAACATTATATAATATTTTGCAGTTTTTTGAATATTTAATCTGTTTTTCTTTTCACTTTATATCATATACATATGTACTTAAGATGATAGATGTAAGTAGCCTTAGTTCATTCATTTTTATTAATAACTTCTATAACATATTGAGTTGGAAGACTATTCCTCAACTTATTTTTGTATTGATAGAAACGTAGATTGTTTATAATTTTTTTCCTTTTATAAATAACATGGCTATGAACACTGTTGCAATATGATCTTGTGCACAAAGTTTTCTCTAGAGTGAAGGTAACTAGAAAGGTAAACAAGAGAGACAGAGAACAAGAATCAGAGAGAACACAGAGTTTAATACCAAACAATATAAAAAGAAAGAAGAAAGGAAAAAAGGAAGAAAAGAAGGAAGCAGAGAAGAAATGAAGGAAAAGTTGAAGCAATGTGGCATAAAATTAAGATTTTTCAGAAGTTGAGTAGAGGGCACACAGCTGTTCACACTACACTATATGATTTCTTAATATATTTGAAACATTTCACATATAAGAAAGAGAGTCTTGTTTTCTTAATGCTTCCTTCCATGAGTTCATCACTGTATGGCATTGATATCATGAGCTCTGCTTTTTGTTTCTCTGTAATGTACCATTGTAAGTAATCTGTTACAATGTTTCTGAGCTATTTTCTTTCAGATGCAGTTTTAAAATACTGCTTAAAAAATCGATTTTGTTTCTTAATCCCATCTGGCTGACCTTTTTCCTTCCAATAAATAGATGGAATAAATATGTTTCTCTAGTTTTTCCTATTCAGGACATTTTATGTATATAAAAGCATACAATATCTGGTCTTCTATGTCTGGCTTCTCTCACTTAGTGTAATGGTTTTGTGGCTCATCTACCTTATAGTATATATCACCACTTAATTCCTTTTTATTGCCAAATAATAGTCTATTGTATGAATAAACCTCATTTTATTCATCGATCCATAAGGTGATAGACATTCAGGTTTTCAAAAATCAATTGACAAAAATCCTTGTCAAAAATCAATTGATGGCTGGGCGTGGTGGCTCATGCCTGTAATCCCAGCACTTTGGGAGGCCAAGGTGAGCAGATCACTTGAGCTCAGGAGTTCGAGACCAGTGTGGCCAACATGGTGAAACCCTGTTTCTACTAAAAATACTGAAAATGAGCCAAGTGTGGTGGTGCATGCCTGTAATCCCAGCTACTCAAGAGGCTGAGGCAAGAGAATTGCTTGAACCTCGGGAGGTGGAGGTTGCAGTGAGTCGAGATTGTGCCACTGCACTCCAGCTTGAGCATCAGAGTGAGACTCCGTCTCAAAAAAAGAAAAAAAATCAGTTGACCCTAAATATAAGAATTTATTTCCAGGCTTCGATTTATATTCCAGTGATCTGAACATTTAGTCTAAACCTTTAGTCTTATGTCAGTACCACACTGCCTTGATTACTGTAGCTTTGTAGTAAGTTTTGAAATTGGGTTTGAGTGTTCCAACTGTGTTCTTCCAATTCATAATATAGATATTATCTATTATAATTTTATATAATAATGTATATTTCCTAATTATTTAATATGTATCAACTATTAAATATATCATTATTAATATAACTTATTTTTATGTTGTATTTTTATTTTAAAGATCCCATCACTTTCTTCTGTCTTGCCTGTTTACTATTATTGCTGTTATTCTATATATGCATCTTTTTAAATTTAATCTCTAAGGTAATCTGTAAAATACCCACTTTTCACTTTTCTTGACTTAAATTTCATGTGCTTTCTTTACAGTTTGATTTTGTATAACTCCCAAACAGCATATTGACTAATATTACAAATGACTGTATACCTTGCATACAAAAAATCTTTAAATTTTTTTTATTTTTAGCCTCAAATTTTTGATAACAGAAATGTAAATTTGCCCCAAAGTTATAGTCCTTTTGGATCCCTCCCCATAAGAAAGTCAAATGTTCAGCACAGCCTGTGAGAATATATGTATTACTTCTGTCTCACTCTGTCTCACTCTGTTTCTCTGTCTCTCTGTCTCTGGCTCTTCCTGTCTCTGTTCTTTTCTCTTCCTGATTCTGTCATTCATCCATTTATTCACTGGTTAAGTATATATTGAATGCCAATAAATTCTGAGCATTATTCCAAATGTTAAGTATATAGTACTAAAAAATATAGGAAAATTTCCTCCTTTCACATTGGAACTTTCTAGTAGAAAAGGTGGTAAACATGATTTTGGATATAATTAGCGCTATATGAAAAACAGCAATTAGAGGGATGAAAGGTGATGAGATGTTTGTACATGTGTATGAGGAGTATTGATTGTGATAAGTTGGTCAGGGAGGGTAGCTATGAGTTGGTTATATTATAGCAGAGACTGAAATAACACAAATCATCAAGAAAATAAAGAAAATGTAAAGGACTAGCATCCAAGCAGAGATGCCTCTTGACTTTATAGCACAGCTGCCAGCATTTTGGGCTATTGATTTTCTGCTTGTTTATCTCTGCTGAACTGACTCTGGTCAACAACTATGTGGTGACTGTGGCTTTTCCTCTCCCTTTTACTCCTTAAGTCCTTGCTATTTCTGATGATTGAAGGTTGAGTCACAGAAAATGAAAAACAGCATGTTGGAGTTTTATCTTCCCTTGCTCCACTTTCCCCAAGGACTGATTGGAATTTTCCCTGATTTAGTCACTGGCCTGTCAACAGTTTTTGCCACATTGTTTGGAGAAAAGAGGCGTTGTTAGAGTTTTCTTAAGATTTATGTAAATTATGTTTAGTCATAATGCATGAGAATAACACATCTTGGCAAACATCTTGGCTGATATATGTGAGAATTGGTGTTCTACTTGATTTATATCATACTTCATTCCATGTGGTAGAAAATTACACATTTTATTTGCAGGTAATATCTGTTGCATAATTAAATTATTTTATTTGCATTTTATTTATTTATTTATTTTGAGATGGAGTCTTGCTGTCTTGCCCAGGCTAGAGTGCAGTGGCGCAATCTTGGCTCACTGCAACCTCTGCCTCCCAAGTTCAAGTGATTCTGCTGTCCCAGTCTCCTGAGTAGCTGGAATTTGTTTCACCTTGTTGTCCAGGCTGGTCTCGAACTCTTGACCTCAAGGGATCCACCCGCCTCGGCCTCCCAAAGTGCTGGGATTACAGGCGTAAGCCACCGCACCAGCCTGCATTTGTTTTAAAATTTTATTGATATTTTTTGAGAATAATAAGAGAAATGGGTGAAAAGACTTTGATGCTGACATCTTTTATAGAAAGTTCAAACATAATCTATTGAGATTTTCTTACATATAAATTATATCTCAATACTAATTTGCCTTAGTATGATTACTGTTAAACATAGTTGATATTTTTAAAGAAGTTTTAAAACGTATATGGTAAAACCATTTTCTTTTTCTGTTTTTACCTACGATATTTTTTCCCTTATGTTACTACTTAAAATTTAGGTCATTTATTTAGGTTATTAGCTATCTTGATTAATGCCTCAAATACTTCTAATATGAAACCATTACCATCTGTATGTCATATGCTGTATGTTGAACTTTTACAAGTAACCAAAATTGTTATTAATAGCTTCTTGTATTCATTGGGGCTTTATTTTTAAACTAAATTTATTGTTATTTGAAACTAACATGAATACAGTGGTTTTTTATTGCTTACACTTTTAAATACTAGCATTTTAATGCATATTGGTGGTGAGAAGAACTTTAAAATGTCTCCCATGACCTTATTCTCTGGTGTTACTTCCATGATTATGTAATTTTATGTGGCAAAAGGGAATATTTCCTATTGGGCCTAATTTAATCACATGAAACCTTTAAAGGCAGAGAAGTTTTTCCACCTGAGTGAATCAATGCCTGGAGAAGGGATCAATGCCTGGAGAAGGGATCAATGCTCCTTTACTGGCTTTGGAGATGGAGGGGGCAAGTCCAAGGGTCGAAGGGCACCCTCTAAAAACTGAGAGGGTGCATTGGTTGACAGTCAGCAAAGAAACTGGAACCTTGGTCCTTCAACCACATGGGATTGGATTCTGCTAACACTAGACTGAGCCTGAAAGTGGATTCTTTCCCAGCATAGCCTACACCTTGATTTTGGCCTCGTGAGGCTCTAAGTGGGGAACCTAGTTAAGAAGACTATCCAAACTTCTGAATTACACAGCAGTGAAATAATAAATTGGGTTTAAAGTGCCAAGTGTATGGTAATCTGTTATGAAGCCATAGAAAACAAATACAATATTAAAACATAAAAATTCATAAAGTCTATTCTTAACTAATTAAAATGATTCAAATTATTTAAGATTTTTAAAAAGATATGTTTTAGCTTTACACATAAGGCAATAGAAGTTGATTTTTTTTAAAAGGGTTTCTATAAGGAGGGCCTGGAAATACAAGTAGACATATGATGCAATTTCTGTAGAGTTAAATTCTTAAGCCATGTTTATAGGCTTAAGTCCAACCCAAACACATCTGATAATATACTGAGCCTGGACAAGTCAGTCACTTTCTTGGAGGGAATCAGTTTTTCTCAGTGTGAAAAATTAAATCTTGTAGAGCAGGATAAACTATTTAGTAAAGCTTCCCTTTCCTTTAACACACTCTAATGTTTAGAAAGAGTTTGACTCATTTCACATGTGGGATCAGTTTACCACTGGCTTCATATAAATCAGAGTTGTAAGTAACTTGCAGTGTTATGCCTTAAGGTTTCGAAATTCTTTACATTTCTCTACTTTACTTCTTTATAAAAAAAAGTGCCTGAAAAACAGTATTCCAATACAATTTTATTTATATGAATTATTTCAAAGGATTTTTTTTCACATTAAACATATGCATATATATGATGTAAATATATCATCGATTATAAACGTCAAGGTAACTCCTACCTCAAGAGCATCTTTGGCCTTGGCTAACACCTATAATGTATTACCAAGTTATAATGTTCATACATTTATTCATTGAATGTCAAATAAGTGCCATGCCCTGTGCTAAGATTGTATATATATTGAATAATTTATGGTCTCTGCCATTCAATAATAGCATACAAACAGATGAGAAACATAAAAGGTGACCAATTTTATGGGAAATATGCCAAGATAATTCAGAATTTTGATTCATTGCCTATAGAAATTTATAGAAAAGGGAATACTAAAGAGGTTTTATTTTTGCTGTATTTGTTAAATGCCCCAGGCAATACTGTCCTGAATTCCATCTTCATTACAAACAGAAAAATAGAAATGGAGTACAATTTAATTTTTAATCTCTTCCAATAAAAACTGAAACAATATTATTCTTCATTTATCTTTCTATGTTTTATAACTTTTAAAGTAGTGAAAATAAAATCACGCCTCTTACAGTTCATGGAAGTATTACAAAATTAATTTTTCCATTGTGTCAATTATGCCTGCATGGGCAGAAAGATTCAAGGATTTTTCTTAAATATATATTTTTTCTCTCAGTAGAATATTTGTAACAAAAAGGGACAAAGTTGTTAGTTTGATAACATTTATTACTATTATTTTACAATATTTGATACTTGATTACATAGCTTATGTCATAATTTAAAAAGTCATAATCACCAAGAAGCCATAGAAAAAGAATAAATGGTTTATGATGAAAATTAGATATACAGAGCAATTGTGATTTTTGATAAATATGGTTGATTAGTAAAGTTTAGTCAGTCTTAGGATGTTAGCTGAAAATGGAGTAATTGTAGGTACAGAGTGAAGGACCAGGTTTAGTTAGAGTCAAAAGATCACACTTTGAATCCTAACTCTGTCAAAAATAACTTTATTTATATTTTTCTTATTTCATTATTTACTTTTACTTTGAACATGATATTTAAACTCTCTTGGCCTCAGCTCCTTCTGTTCAGATGACAATGATGATGTCTTTCTGCTGAGGCTGTTAGAATTTTCAATAACAATAATATATGTGTGATTTAATTTTAACCTATAAGATATACCAAAGTAATAACAGTAATTCTTACAGTTATTTATAATGATAATATTAAATAAAAATAGATAATTGTTACTGTTTAAGACCAAATACTTATGATGTATTTCATTTCTCAAAGAATTGGCCATAGTCATTGTTCTTTATTTATTTACCTGGAGATTGAAAATGATGTGAAGTCATCGCCCCTCCAAGTTCATGTGTTGGAAAGTTGATCCCCGGTGTGGAGGTACTGGGAGGTGAGATCTTTAAGAGATGTTGAGGTGTCAACCTAAACACCTGGATTAATGCTGTTAATCATTAAATCATTAAATATCTGATTAATGAATCAATGCCACTGTCACAGGAGTGAGTGAGTTCATTATCACAGAAGTGAGTTCCTTAGAAAAAGATGAGTTTGTGCCCCTCTTGCTGTTCCTTGTGCTTTTGTGCCTGCCCACCTTTTGCCATTGGATGAAGCAGGAAGAAGGCCATCACCACATACTGGCCCCTCAACGATCTTAGACTTTACAATCTTTAGAACCATGACCAATAAATTTCTGTTCATTATAAATCACCTTGCGTCAGGTGTACTGTTAGAGCAGCACAAAATGGACTAAGACAGAAAAAGGGTCCTGGAGCATGGGGTGTTACTATAACAAGTACCTGAAAATGTGGGAGCAGCTTCAGAACTGGGTAATAGGCAGAGGCTGGAATTATTTGGAGGAGCAGAATAGAAAAAGCTTGTATTGCTTTAAAAGAGCATTAAGAGCAATTCTGGTGAAAGCTCAGAAGAGGAGAACTATAGGGAATGTATGGGTGTTCTTAGAGATTACTGAAGTGGTCACTATCAGAATGTCTGTAGAAGTATGGACAGTAAAGACTATTCTGATGAAGTTTCAGATTGAAATGAGAATGTTTTATTGAACACAGGAGTAAAGGCCATCCTTGTTACAAAGTAGCCAATAATTTGACTGAATCATATCCAGGCTCAGGAGCTTCATGGAAGGCAGAATTTAGGAGTGGTAAACTAGGACATCTAGCATAAAACATTTTAAGCAAATTGTTGAAGGAGGTGGTGCATGGCTTCTTTTAACTTCATGCAATCAAATGAGAGATGAGATAAATGATTTGGACATAGAGTTTGTAATTAAAAGGGAAACAGTGTAAAAATTTGAAAAATGTGCAGCCTGACAATGTAAGGAATGAAAAAGTGTGTAAGGGTGTTGCCAAGTAATACTTTAATAAATGGATTAGCATGGATAGAAGGAAACCAGGTACTATTTGTCAAGATAATGGGAGAATGATCCTGAAGACCTCTGGGAAATCTTCGAGGGTACTCCTCCCATCACAGGCCCAGAGATTTAGGAGAGAAGAATGGCTTTAGGGAACAGGCTCAGGGGCTCAGGGTACCCTCTATGAGATTGCTGTCAAGGCTGCCTTGGGATTCTGCTTCCTGCATTCCAGTGCAGCGATCTTTGGCCACCGCAGGCATGCCTCAAGCAGGCAGAGATATAGCCTATGCTGCTGCATCAGAGGGCAAAAGCAGTCATCCCTGACAGGATTCCCATGAATCCTTGTCCTAAGAACAGAGCTACTGTAGAGAGTCCCCACTATGGCAATGCCCAGGATAACTGTGGGGTTGGTGCTGCCACGTAAGCCCTAGAGTTGTAGAGATACCAGTGTGCAACACCAGGCTGGGAGAGCTGCAGGCACAATACTCCACCCCATGAGAGCTGTGGCATGGGCTCAGCCCAGCAAGCCATAGGAGCAGGGTTCTCTGGGGCCTTGGGGACCGAACTTACACCCTAGTATGTCCAGGAGATAGGACATGAAGTCAAGGAAGATTGTTCTCCAGCTTTTAATATTTGATGTTGTTTTCCCTGTTGGGTTTTGGATTTACTTGAGACCAATTGCTTTTTTCTCTTTTTAAATTGCACCCTTTTGGGATGTGAGTGTTTATTCTATGTCTGTTCTACCATTGTATTTGAAAGCAGATAACTTGTCTAATTTTATAAGCATGCAGCTGGAGGGAAATTTGCCCCAGGATGAATCATGACTTGAATTTCACCCATATTTAAATGAGACCCAGATTTAAATGAGACTTTGGACTTTGGACTTTCGAACTGAAGGTGGAATGAATGAAGCCTTTAGGGTTATTGGGACGAAATGCATGTATTTTGCATATGAGAAGGACATACCTTTGGGGAGCTAGGGGAAGAATGTTATGATTTGGATGTGTCCACCAAAGTTCATGTGTTGGAAACTTTATCCCCAATATTGACGTGTTAGGAGACTGGACATTTCAGAAATGTTAAGGTGAAGAGGGCTGTGTTCCCATGAATGAATGAATGCTGTTATTGTGAGAATGAGTTTATTAATGCAGGAGTGGATTTTTTATTGAAAGATGAGTTTGGCTCCTTGCTCCCTCTCTCACCCTCTCTTGCCCTTCTGCCTTCTGCCATGAGATGATGCAGCAAGAAGGCCCTGACAAGATCCTGGTCCCTCAGTCTTAAACTTCTCAGCATCCAGAATGAGAAGTAAATTAAATGAGAAATCAGTTTGTGGTGTTTATAAATTACCCTGTCTCGGGTATTCTGTTATAGTGGCACAAAACAGACTAAAATATCAATATCATAGTGGACATATGCATGACATTCAGAGTTTGTAAGTTTGAGGATACATAGGACAATAAAGTGTGGAATATAAGTGACAAACAATATGGGCAGGTGGCACATAAGAGCCTTATTGATGCAGCATCTTTTTCTTATTCCAATAACAAAAAAGATTATGGGAGGATTTTGTTAAACTTTTGTGTTAGACATGTCTTAAGCCTTTTTATACTCTAATATAGCAAGAACTTTTTAATATACATTTTTGATTGGCTGGGTGTTGTTTGAATGATAATGCATTCGTAGACAAAGTAATCAGATTACATTGTTAGCAGTTTTGAAGGCAAAGAGACAGGGTTAAATTCGCAAGGGTTAGCTCTGTGTAAATGGTCAATCTGTTTCCATGGTTACAGGCTGGCTGAGTAAACTATAAATTGTAGGTATTGGTTTGTGCCCTCTTATCTTAAAGAATCTGAAGAAGATTGTTTCTATAAATATGGTTTCCATCTCTGGGCTAAGTACTGGTCTGAGGACAAATTTAGGGAAGAGACAGCTTTTAAACTGTATCAATAGCAGTTCTTAAATATACCTTTCCCTGCATCTTGCCCCATGTTTTCAATATTAAACATGATCATATTGTGTTGTTCACTATTCTAATTATAAAGAAGAACACGTTTTTACATCTTTTCTGAAGGCATCCATTTTTATGATTTTCCTGGCCACAGGTGCTCATGTACTTCTCAGTAATGCAGAAGACTGTTGCTTTAAATACAATCAATTACCTTCTTTTCAAGACTATTACAGCAACCAATTTTAGCAGACACAAAGAGGATTTTAAAATGTGATACAGAAGAGATATTCTGAAGTTCAAAATAAGATTTGGAATCTTGCAAGAAACAAATGAACACATTTGGATCTTATTTAAAATAATTCATGTAAGACAGTACACGATTGCTTTTGTTTTTAAATTTTAATATCTTCTTTTTAAGCTTATTTTTTCCTTTAAAATAATATTTAGAATTACATCACTTTTAGTCGAAAATAGCCATCTTGCCTCATTTTTCTTAACTTTGAAATCATTGAACTGTGTTTTTCCTTTATACATCTTTTATTCTATTCAATGTTATGGTGCAATTTCTCCTTCTTCCTTACACCCTTCATTCCCCTGCCGAGCTGAATTGATTGTGGAGCTCCCATAGATTTCAAAGGGAATTCCAAACCCCAAATACCTCCCTGGCTGTGTGTGTGTGTGTGTGCATATAGCAAGTGATAAAGTGGCTGAGAATTACTTACACCATGTGCAAGGTGAAGATTAGAATAATAATTTCATCATTATCATATTATTGCTACTTAATATTTATATAGCACCTTTACTCCGAGAAGCTCAAGAAACTTTATGAATTTTAAATTATCCAGTGGGCTCTAATCTTAACTACACCCCTATGTGCTGGGTAAGGTACAAAATTAGTAATGGATTTGAGTGACATATATTGCTAGAGAAATCTAATTCTGTTGCTATTTAGCTCTCTTCTATTATAGAAAAATGGCATTATATATTTGCCTAGAAAGCTTGATAGTTATCTTATTATCTTAGTATTGGGGGTCCATTTGCTATTTATTTTGAAAGAATTCCAGCTGACAGCTTATTCAAAAGTAAAGAAGAAATAAACGGACATTCACATGCAAAGACAATTTTTATTTATTCTTCGCATTAGTTTTCCAAAAAAAATTCTGTGAAAAAACAAAATTAGATTTCTACTTATTTTACAAAGACATAAATACTATTCTAGTTTTACACTCATTGCTTAAACTTGGGCACATCTGATAAATTTTCTTGGGCATTCAGGGTAAGTAAAACTATTCAGTGTTCTGTCTTTGTGCCTCTTTTACACAGGGAAGTGAATTTCAAATTATTATGATAAATTATTTGATTCTACCTTTCTAATCTAAAACTATAACAGAGTGTAAACATCATGCATCTTTTGTGACCCTAATATAGTTATCCAAAATATTAATTTTCTCAATAATCCTTCACCAAAAAGATCTCATTTCTGAGACTATCAGACTATAATTTTAGCTCTACTGTACTTAGAAGCAAATTTTGAATACTTTTTCTTATGTAATATACTAATACTTTTACCTGAGACTTATTTTTCTTTTTCCATTACATGGTAATCTAATTGCTTGAAAAAGCTTATTTAGATTTGGTTAATTCATATCTAGAATGATGTGAAACAATACACATAAGCAAATAGAGTAAGAGCTCTAATATAGTTCTGGACACATTTTGAAATTTCATTAGAAGAAATAAATTTCTTTTTAAAAAATTTTTATTTACATAGGTTTTTGGGGGAGCAGGTGGTATTTGGTTACATGAGTAAGTTCTTTAGTGATGATTTGTGAGATTTTGGTGCACCCATCACCTGAGCAGTATACACCAAACCCAAATTTCTGATTGCAGTACAATCAAGAAAAGAAGGCAATTTTGCAAGAGACTGGGGTACCCAGTAGGAAGTGGTGTGAATAGGGATGGTGGAATAACAGTATGGATTGCTGCGTCCTTTGTAGATATTACCTCATTTAATAATAATACAATTCTAAAAATACATGACTTAACTCTTTTACAAATGTGAAAGTTGAAAATGAAGAAAGTTAAGTAATTTAATAAAGGTCATATGTCTGGTGAATGGTGGAAGAAGTAAAATTCTCAAAAACTTGTGCCTCAAAACCTGTGGCCTTCTTTTTCAGGCAGGTCGGTAATGGAATATATTTTGACATTAAGGAACATATATTGAGGGCTTCTCAAAAACTCAAATGTGTGAACACTAATGCAACATGTAATTTGACCAAGGGACTACTATTATATGGCTTATAATCATTACTCTCTTTGGCTTTATCAAATATTTTTACTTCTATAACAACTCTCACAGTTAGTTTTCATTGCTAAACCACTTTACATTTTGCATAAACAAATTAGGTTTGCAAGAGTTTACTATGTGAATAAGTAAATATAATCTCAAATATTTTAATTACTATTACACCTGCATTAAGTGGTGGTTTGGGGCAAGCAGTTTTTCTCATTTACCTGCCTGCCAGGAATGTTTTTCAGATTTCATGTACAGAAAAGCCACAAGTTTTTCCAAATGTCAAGACATGTCGCAGACATTCAAAGCCTCTCAGGTAGAATCTCTAAGCAACATATCTACTGCAGCCAAGCCTCTATTAGAGTTATTCATTTGGGTTTTTATTTGCTTGTTTTTAAGCCTTGCTGTTAATTCTTTGAAAAAATAAGTATACACACATACATATATGTACATATGTATGTATACATATATATGCACTTATACTGTATGTCAGTTTATTTTTGTCTTTACTTTTGAAAAATACAAACCCAATTACCTCCCACCAAATATACTTTTCCATGCATATACACACATATGTATGTATGAGATGTGTGTGTGTGTCACATACTTTTCCATGCATATATACACATATGTATGTGTGAGATGTGTGTGTGTGTATGTATATTTATGAGATATGAGGTTGCTATATGATATGATTAGGCTTTGTGTCCCCACCTAAATCTCAGTTTGAATTATAATCCCCATAATCCCCAAATGTCATGGGAATGATGAGGTGGAGGTAATTGGATCATGGGGGCAGCTCCCTGATGCTGTTCTCATGATAGTGAGTGAGTTCTCAGGAGATCTGATGGTTTTATAAGTGTTTGGTAGTTCCTCTGACAGTCATTCTCCTTCCTGCCACCTTGTGAAGCAGGTGCCTGGCTTCCCCTTTGCCTTCTGCTATGATTGTAAGTGTCCTGATGCCTCCCCAGCCATTCTGAACTGTGAGTCAATTAAACCTCCTTCTTTTATAAATTTTCCAGTCTCAGGCAGTTCTTTCTAGTTGTGTGAAAACAGACTAATACATTGTATTTTATTTTAAACATTTAAAAATAGTTAAGTTCTACCTTTGTGTTCATAATAAAATGTGGAAGTTAAAGAAAGGGAGAAGCAGAAACAATAATCATGCAGTTGTTGCAACAGCCTAGGTGAGAATTGTTGCTGGATTGAAAAAAGGTGATAGCAGTAGAATCAGTGAGAAATAGGTAGATTTTAAATATATTTTGAATACGGTTGTGAAAAAATTTATTGATGGATTAGTCTGTGTTAGCTAAACAGATTTGATGTTGGATTAGAAAGAAAGGAGTAAAAAATTACACAAAAGTTCCCTGAATTATAGAGTGAATGGTGTGATTAAGAATTGAGATGGGGAAGAGGAGGAGAAACAGAGTTAATTGGAGTTTAGGAAGAAAAATCAAAAACTCATTTTGGATGTTTCAAGATTAAGATGGATGTTAAATAGGCAAAGACATATGCTTATCAGACAGTTAAATATGTGAGACTTGAGTAAAGACTATAGAGACAGTATTTAAAGGCATAAGACTGCAAATAATTGTCAGAGGAATTATAGATAGAAACATAAAAGAAGACTGAGTGCTGAGAGCTGGGACATGTCAAAGATTAGAAGAAATTACAAAGGAGACTGAGAATAAACTGAGGTAGGAGGAGAACTAATAGTGAGTGATGTCTTAAAGATCAAGTGAATAAAATGTTTCAAGAAGGAGAAAGCAGCCAACTGAGACAACACCACTAATAGGTTGAGTGAGAAAAAGACTAAACATTGACCATTGGTTTTGGCAACAAGAAAGTCATTTGTGACTTTGATAAACACCATTCTGATTACTCTGTGACACCACTTAGTGTAATGAAGACTAACTGAAGAGGTTTTAAGAGAGAATAAGAGGCATATAGTGAAGAAAGCGAACATAGACCCTTGGTTTCAAGGTATTTATATGTTTGCTAGTGGGTCCATCTGCAGATATTGTTGTCCACTCATTACTTTCGCTAGTCACTAGGCTACTGTAGTAGACACAAGATGTATCACCAGACCCCACTTCAGGAAAGAACTTGATTAAGATTGCAACCAGAGGGCGACCTCCAACTGTCACTTCCTCTATGGTCTCCATCAGAAGCAGAGAGCTGCTTCAACAAGGTCGTTCTCTTTCCAGGGAAATCCGTATATGGTGATCGAGTGAGGGAAGGGTGTAAATACTTGGCCATTTCAGCTTAATACCAGCAACTGTGTTGGTAATACTTACTCCCAAACTCTCTACTGTTTAGGTCAAAGGTATGGTAGGCCTGTGTCATTGTTTGACTTTTTCCTCTGCCCAAAGCTGGCTTAGCTTCCCTCCTTTCACAGGCATTGGTCTCTAATAAACCCATCAAACCCCAAACTTCTATCTTGGCACTTGCCTCAGAAGAACCCAACCTGTGACAATTACCTTGATATTAACCTGTTGTACATGTCTCTTCATGGCTCATAGTGTTAACTCACACATCAATTAGCAGTCCAGTACAATGTAGAGGCAGAAAATAACATAATTAGAAGCTCTTTTTTGGTTTTTCTATGACTGGACTGCCATTTCCCTTTATCAAAGGGACACAAATATGAAAATTCTCAAAAATTTCCTATCAGTTTCTTAGATCCAAACATTTCTTTGTTGATTCTGTCACTTGCCTAGGGTTAGGTTTAGGAAAGAGTACCAGTAATCTACGTTATTTCACCTTCTTGCTAAGAACTACTAGTGGGATATTAAAAACTGATAGAGTGCTACATATCTTTCAATGGCCATTAGACAGCAGGAGGCCTTTGTATATTTTGCATTTCAATTATTAAAATACTAAGGGCTTTTTGAGTAACAGTATTGAGATCCAAAAGTGTTCTTTAAATTTTAGCTTGTAAGATTTGCATTGAATAAATGCTCTACACCGTTTATTCCCATGAGAACAGTAGTCTTAATGGTTATTTGCCTAAAGACGCAGGTTTAGTAGATAATCTGTTTTCTAGCAGTTAAAATTTAATTGGATAATTTGAACTAAACTCACTTGAGGTTGACATTTTGTGTTTTGTTGTCATTCTTATCAATGAAATTTTGCCATAATAGCTCAATGTGACATCAAATGTATAATTGTAAGGCTGCAAAATAAGTACTTCATAAAATTGAAGGTACTCTCTTTAAGCATATACTCTTCAGTAGAGCTCTAAGTGTATCATTAACCTCAGTCTACCACTCTGGATTTTCAGTGTCAAATGTGCAATTACTTGATAAAGGTGCCATGAAGGAAACTAAAACCCTGATAAAACTTTCTTAACAATCCCCATGGTGTAGCAGTGAGGCAACAATAAAAGCTTTGCCCGTAGACATTAATGGGAGTAAATATCATACAGCTAATTCCTGGAAACAAGGCTGAGAGATAACACCAGGTGTGCCATTTAAATGAGATGGGCATGCCAGTTAACTATTATTAGGAGTCATTTAAATGCACTGAACTAAGTCTCTGCCTTGCTGATTATTGCAATTAGGCAGGCATGCCATTTAACAGGGTAATGAGTAAGTGGAACTCTCTTAATTGGGGCATTCAATTTCTTAGTCCATTCTGCTCAGCGAATTGTAGTGTAAAAGTTTATTTTCTTCTTCTCTCACTCTACCAGTTTTCCCAGTATGGATTCTGGGACCTTGACAATTATTTATTTGGAAATGTTTTCTTTATTTTTATGGTTCTGATTTCAATTTGACCACTAAGAATATGTAGCTAAACAATCCTTAACAGTGATCCATTTTCAAAGCCCTTCAGTACCACTTGATAAGCCAATATGTGGGAGCTTATTTCAAATTTCATATACATACTCCTTTACAAAAATGTTAACAATGGTTAGGTCTGGGTGATAGGATTATAGATAACTTATTTTCCTTATGTGAGTCTTTGAATTTAAAACAACGAACATGTAGTGCTTTTCAAATAAGGGGGAAAACAGTAATATGATTTTTAAAAAATGCATCTTCTTTAATTGACATATTCAAATGAGGACAATGCAAATGAAAACTTTAGAATCAGGAACTAATAGTATAATTACTTAAAAGAAGTAGCACAGAAAGAAAAGCAAAATAACTAGATTTCCTTCTTCTATAAATTGTTTAGATACCATTACTACTGACTTTTTGTTTTCTTTCACATTTCCCCCAGCACAAGTGCCTGTTATCCGTCTGTTTCTCTTACAATAAACATAGATAATAGATACAATCTTACAGTTAAAAGAAACCTTAAATTTCAGCAGTTCTCATATATTTATTTTACAGATGATGATACTTGATCTCCAAGAGTTTATGTTACAGTGTGGAGTTGTCTCCTGATTTGTAGGCAGGCTCATTTGACTGCAAGAGATTGCACTGTAATCAATTACATTGATTACAGGAGATTTAGAAATCAGGCACTTTAGATAGCACAGTACTCTTTTTGTAATATGGCGTTATTGCTTTGACAGTGTTAATGTGGCCTCAAAATTAATTTCTTGATTATGAACTCATGGTTCTGTTATTAACCCTTCTGGAGGTCACATGCTGACATGGGTAAAACACTTGAAAACACTTTTTTTAGTCAGAGCCTAAAATCTGATGACTTTTCTCTTCATTCTTACCTATGACAAAAGGTCTATCCACTTCATTTTATCATCTTTAGTAAAATTATGTTTTCCTTGGCAGCTCAATAAGAAAAAAATATGACATTGAAGTATAAAATATGAGTCTGAAGATTTAGAAGTAATAGAAGAATGAGTGAGAAGAATTGCTTGTCATTTATCCTGGGCTCTGTGCAGCTGCAGACCTATTCCAACAGATGCAGCTGTTTAGGCCTGCTTTGCCTTGTAATTTCTCCAGTAGCAGTTTCTGTAAAAAGTGTCATCAACTATTATGATCATCTATCTTATGTAAAATAGAGTGCTATTTAATTTGAACAAAGTTACTCTTCATAATGGTCTTCACACAATAGCAAAATGAAGTAAAGGCAAATTTTGTTTTCTTGTAACTATAGTTTTGCCTGTAGCTTTTACTAGTTGCACTTCATTATCTCACTGTAGTTTGATGGTTCCAGCAAGTGCAGACACAGGTCTTGCCAACCTTCATTTGTATTAATCCATCAGATTTGACCTGGCATTAAAAGACAGGAGAGATCTATAGTTTTTTTCCCCCTCAAGTGGCAGAAGGTATTTTCCTGCGTTTACCCATTAGAAAGGAGAAAAGAAAACTACAGTTGACTCTTAGGTAACATGGGAGTTAGAGGAACCAATCTCCTGCACAGTCGAATATTCCATGTAACTTGACTCCCTGAAAACTCAATGAAAACTTATTGAAAAAAAAATCCATGTACAAGTGGATCTGTGTAGTTCAAACCTGTGTCGTCCAAGGGGCAACTGTAGTCACTGTGTTAAATCTCCAAGCCGATGGCTTCCTCATTCTCTCTTTTTCTCAGGCTTATTGAGCTGCACTGTGAGGTGACAGCCAGCAATCTCATTTATTTCCAGACTATAGAAATGTGAGAGAGAAAATACTCAAAAATTGTATTTGTAAATTTGTATTTATTATCAGTGAAGTTGGAAATGCCAAATGTTGAGGCATTAGAGGGTCCCTAATAAATAGTATCTTTCTCTACTGATATCTTGAACCAATTGAGAAATAAAATGAGAAGGTCAGCATATAGAAGGCAAAACATCACCTTTATAACTGCTGAAGGTTAGATAGGGGTATGCGGTTTGTATTTATGGAGAGTATTGAACCTGAGAGTTACAACAGGGCTTGCTGGGGCAGACCTTTCCCCATCCGCTCTGGGAGGCTTCCTTACAATTTGCGACATGGAGAAGCAGACTGAAATGTAGGTTTCCTGAAGGCAGATCACTTCCAAGAAGGCCAGGTGAAAGATCTGTTCTATTCACATGTAATTCTCCTTTTCAAATTCATAATTAGATAAAAAAATGAGAGAGGGATGAGATAAACTATGATAGTTATAGCCAGTGAACTTCTTTCCCATGGAAAGAAATAATAGAAATGGGGGATTTTCCACACTACCACTTTGTAGAAATGATCCAAAACTAGGATATGCTATTCTAAAAGCAATACTTCACTATTCTATCCAACAATATTTATATTGTGCCCTTTTATATACAACTAGTACATACCCTTCATTTGTTTTTTATTTTTATTTTTATTTTTGCTATAGCAGAAGCATGGTTAAAGATATTTTGGGATAAAAACAACAATAAAACAATTTCTTTCCTTTGACTGACTTCCAGGTAAAGCGGTTTGTGCCAGTTGGCAACAATATCTTATATGTCATTATTTTATGATATAAAGAATTAGGGGACATTCTGATCATATCCAGAGTTGCAGCAGACATCTGAATCTGTTTTATTTATCTTCTTGAGAACTGCAGATGGTCAAGTCTCCCTTTCATTGCCTTTGGGATCAATCCACTTCCTGAGCTGATGGAACTAACTAGCCTGATCTTCTTAGTACACCTGTCCCCATTGACTAAAAAGATTGCTGATTTGCCATCAGCATTCTTTGTAGGGTCTTATGGCAGATGTTTGTTTATTCTACCTGTCTAAGGTTAAATTCTCAGGAAAAAAAAAAAGACCTAACAGGAAAATTTTTTATGATGGATATGCTTTTATATAAAAAGCCGACATTTTCCCATTAACTTTTACTTCATATGAGCTTTTATCTTATTGTTGTCTCATAATTGTAAGTCAAATATAATCCAGTAACAGCAATTTCACATGTTACTATCTGAATTCATTCAGAATTCACAAGCGCTATGTACATGCTCTAAAAAATCTTGAATGTTTGTGTAGATAAATAGATATTTGTAATTACATATATGTATGTAATATTTAAGGTATATACAGTATATATTACATAAATATGTGTACACATAACATTCAGAGTTTTTAGAGCATGTGCATAGCCTATTGTGAATATATAAAACAAGGGTTTCTTATACTTTAAAAAGAAGCTTGTAACTTTTTTTTTAACTATTATTTTAAGTTCAGAGGTTCAGGTGAAGATTCGTTATACACGTAAACTTGCATCCTGGGGTTTTGCTTTACAGAAGATTTCACCACCCAGGTATGAAGTCTAGTACCCATTAGTTAGTTTTGCTGATCCTCTCTCTCCTCCCAGCCTCCACTCTTCAAAGGCCCTAGTGTCTATTATTCCCATCTATGTATCCATGTGTTTTCATCATTGAGCACCCACATGTAAGTGAAAACGTTGGTTTGGTTTTCTGTTCCTGTGTTAGTTTGCTAAGGATAATGGCCTCCAGCTCCATCTATGTCCCTGCAAAGAACATGATCTTGTTTTTTGTTTGTTTGTTTGTTTTTTGAGATGGAGCCTCACTCTTTCGCCAGGGTGGAGTGGAGTGCAGTGACACAATCTCGGCTCACTGCAACCTCCGCCTCCCATGTTCAAGCGATTCCCCTGCCTCAGCCTCTCAAGTAGCTGGGACTAGAGACTGCCACCATGCCCAGCTAATTTTTTGTATTTTAGTAGAGACAGGGTTTCACCATGTTGGCCAGGATGGGCTCGATCTCCTGACCTCGTGATTCGCCTGCCTCAGCCTCCCAAAGTGCCGGGATTAAAGGCATGAGCCACTGTGCCCGGCCGATCTTGTTCTTTTTAATGGCTGCATCATATTCCCTGGTGTATATGTACCACATTTTCTTTATCCAATCTAGCATTGATGGACATTAAGGTTGATTCCATGTCCTTGTTAATGTAAATAGTGCTGCAGTGAACATACATGTCATGTATCTTTATGATAGAATGATTTATATTCCACTGGGTATATACTCAGTAATGGGATTGCTGGGTTGAGTGATATTTCTGTTTTTATCTCTTTGAGAAATCACCACATTGTTTTCCACAATGGTTGAACTGATTTACATTCCCACCAACAGTGTATAAGCATTCCTTTTCCTCTGAGACCTCACCAGCATCTGTTATTTTTTGACTTTTTAATAATAGCTATTCTGACTTGTATGAGATGGTATCTCATTGTCATTTTGATTTGCATTTCTCTAATAATCAGTGATGTTGAGGTGTTTTTCATATGATGCTTATAACTTAAAGGTTAGTTACAATATGGAATCCAAAACCATATCAATAAACTTTTATACTTTGTGCACTCATGAGACAATGAGAATTTACAAATAATATTGTGTCTTAGTATTATTATGAATATAGTTTTGAATTGCAGTACCCCTGAGAGAATCTGGTAGTTCGCCAGAAGTCTTTGGATCACTCTTTGAAAACCCTCACTTAATAAAATATGCTAATATAGTGGAGTGTAATAGGTGTGTGTGTGTGTGTGTGTGTGTGTGTGTGTTGTTTATGTAGAGTAGTCAGAAGAAGCTTCTCTGAGGAAGTAAATTTTGGACCAAGGGGTAATGATAAAGAAGAGCCAGCCACATGGCCACCATGGAGAACATTTTCTGCAAAAGGAGCAGATGCTCTGAGCAGAGAGGGGCTGAGGAGTTTACATTATTGAATTACTCAGATAATTAGATAATCTCTTCATTGAAAGATACATGTTTATTCCCAGCACTTTGGGAGGCCAAGGCAGGAGGATTGCTTAAGGCTAGGAGTTTGAGACTGACCAGGGCAACATAGCAAAGCCCTGTGTCTACAATAAACAAAAAAGCCAGTTTTGATGGCATGTGTCTGTGGTCCCAGCTTCTCAGGAGGCTGAAGTGGAAGGATCCCTTAAGCCCAGGAGGTCAAAGTTACAGTGAACAATGATCATGCCATTGCCCTCTAGCTTGGGCAACAGAGCAAGACTCTGTCTCAAAATTAAAATGAAAGAAAAAGAAAGATGTATGTGTACATTTTAGTCACTCTTGAAATGACTTCAGTTTTGACTTAAAATATTTTACAGAATGAGAAATGGGACTTTATTTTAGGAAGATGTATTAATCTTACGATAGTGCTACTTTATATATATAATAGCCATTCTGTTCCTGCTTGTGGAGGCTAAAGGGTGGACCATGCCTCTTTTTCTACTAACTTTGAACATTTAAAATGCATGAAATATTTAAAGTAGCTAAACAAGTTGTCATTGTTGTCCAAGCCAACTGAATAAAATAGTTAATAAAGAGATGTAGTAATTAAACAAATAAAGTATATGCTTTTTTTTTTTACTTAAGCATTATGCTTGTGGTAAAAGTAAAATTGGCTAAAATTAACCATATGTGGAAGATTTAAATCTGTTTATTTCAAGTAGGTCTCTGATATAATTATAGTTATTTATCTTAATAAATTATCAAGTAATATTTGCATTTGTCATTCAAATAAGTGGTTGGAAAAATGTGACTTTTATATGTATTTTATAAATCAGAATTTATAAATAGTTTTCTATGCCTGAACGTGCCTGAAAAAATATTTTGGAAATATAATGTATTTTGTATTTATGATCTACTCGAATTTACTTCTTGTTCCACACACTAACTTTAGAGTCTTGCAATAAGAATGCTTATTGGTGATGCCTTTAAAAAAATCTATAAAGCATGTGTGTATTTGGAATACTCTTAGTATGAGAATTTGTGAAATTTTAATTCAAAATAACAAATGAAGATATTCCTTAACTTGCCTTTGCAATTTGCTTCAAAATGTGGCAGTTTATTCTATTAGAGAAGGCCTTAACCTGTTATATATCTTAACATTATCATTTACTGACACCATTTTATTTAAGTGCTTCTTTCTGTCCTCAGCATATATGAAGGACAGATAGTCCACTCTTCATCTACCCAAAGGCACTTCTCTAGATTCCTGCAGACCGACAAGTTCTTGAGGAATGCATTAAGTCTTAGCTAGTACGAATTTGATCAACTGCCTTCCTTGAAATGTCACCAGAGTTACTGCCTCTGCCAAGTTATCTGTGACAGTTAGAAATGTTGTATAGGAGGACTGGGCAGGATGTGTGAACCCTCTCTGATTGTGAATATAGTACTTTCATGGCTTTTGTTTCTAATATGATCCTTTGTGGTTTTGCTCCTTATGATTCATTTCTGAGTCTTTGAGTCATTTCAAGATCTCAGTCCAACTCAAATACCACCTCCCCTGGGAAAGCTTTCTGAATCCTCTTTTGTGATTCTCTAACATTGTTTTAAAATCAGATAGAATTCTACTGAAAGATGCTGGTTTCAAAGGACTCCTGCCACGCCATATGTTTCCTTTTATTGTTACGCCAATCACATTCTGCTTTGTGTTACAGTTATTCGTGGACTGCTGAGCTGCTGAGGTGTAGGAGATAGTGAAAATAATGTACACGTTTTGTATTCAGACAGCTCTAGGATGAAATACAGTTTGACTTTAGGAATCTTATTATTATTATTATTATTTTTTGAGACAGAATCTCGCTCTGTCGCCCAGGCTGGAGTGCAGTGGTGCGATCTCGGCTCACTGCAAGCTCTGCCTCCCAGGTTCATTCCATTCTCCTGCCTCAGTCTCCTGAGTAGCTGGGACTACAGGCACCCGCCACCACGCCCAGCTAATTTTTTGTATTTTTTTTTTAGTAGAGACGGGGTTTCACCGTGTTGGCCAGGATGGTCTCGATCTCCTGACCTCATGATCCACCCGCCTCGGCCTCCCAAAGTGCTGGGATTACTGGCATAAGCCACCGCGCCTGGCCGACTTTGGGAATCTTCAGCAACTTCTCCAATTCATAGTTTCTTCAGTTGTAAAATAGGTTAAAATACATGTTTTGTCATTTATTTGGTAATTATGTGAGACTTTTACCTATAATAAATATAGGATATATTGAGTACTCTACAAATGGTTCATCTGTTTACCTTTTCCTCCCTATCTGGAGTTAGGATTATTATTTTTTTCATCATATAATCTCACAAAAGTGTCTATTATTTTTGGTTTCTGGAAAAAAATAAATTTTGCTTCTTTTTTCTAATATTGGAAGCATTGTTTTTAATATTTAGAAAAAAGTAATAACTTTTTTTGTGCTCCTAATCTGAGAAACATTAGATTCAAAATATTACAGAATTGAATGAGTAAGAGTTATTCAGGAAGAGGAGGGGGAATAGGAAGGTTCCGGGAGCATAGGTCTCCCGTCCTGAAGGGAAGAGAAATCATGCCACTTGTGAGAAACTTAATCAGGTAGAGTAAGAGTAACTAAAGTAGTTAGAGAGAAGGAAGAAGTAGGAAAGTAGCCAGAACTCCAGCACAGATGGCCTTTGCAGACATATTAAGGTTTCCCATTTGATCGTCAGGGATAAGGGAGGATACTGAAGTGTTTTAAATTTCAGGATAACATAATCAGATATATATATTTTAGATAACTCATTTAGTTACAAAGTGAAGGAAAAATGGGTGTTAAATAAGCGTGACAATAAGGAGATCAGTGAAACTGACATAGTACTAGTGCAGGAGACACTGCAAGTGTGTATACATATATAAATACATACATACATATATGTTCACACATATATAAATATAAGCATAAAGTATCTTAACTTCAAGTACTTCTCTCTGAGTGGTGCTAAAACAACAGTCTATTTACACTCTTTTCTTTAACTTTCTTTTCTGGTTTTCCCATAATAATTAGTTATCATAGTCATAATAGTTATATTTTTGTGATAAAATCTTATAACTTTATATAGAAGACCACCTTGTACAGCTTTATTTTACTAATAAATATACTGATCTAATATTGTTTTTGACAATTATATATAACTATTTTAGTTAGATATACAATATTTTATTTAACCTTTTCCATGTAGGTTTTTTTTGAGGATTTCTGCTCATTTTTAAGTTTGCTCTTCTCTTAATATTTCCTTTTATTATTATTATTTATTTATTTATTTTTTGAGGCGGAGTTTTGCTCTTGTTGCCCAGGCTGGAGTGCAATGGCACGATCTCGGGTCACTGAAACCTCTGCCTCCCGGGTTCAAGCAATTCTCCTGCCTCAACCTCCCGAGTAGCTGGGATTACAGGCACCTGCCACCACGCCCAGCTAATTTTTTGTGTGTGTTTTTAGTAGAGATGGGGTTTCACCATGTTGGCCAGGCTGGTCTCAAACTCCTGACCTCAGGTGATCCCTGCCTTGGCCTCCCAAAGTTCTGGGATTACAGGCGTGAGCCACTATGCCACGTGAAAAAGAAAAATTTTCTCTTAATACTCCAAATGGTGCTCTGAATTTCTCTTTTCCTGTGTTCTTTCCCAAGATACCCTTTTTCCTTTTGCTCAATTTGAATACAGCTATATTTATTTATATTTCAAATATTTATCTCCTTTTCATTTGTTTTTCTGTGACAAATTCTGCTCTCTGCCCAATGATACAGTGCTCGAATACTCTTCTCAGATGTACTTCTCTATTCTACTGCAGTTAAGTGTTTGCGTCTTTCTTCCAACCAATGTTTAGTACTAAATGAAAACCTATAATTACAGCAAACACTTTTACAAATGTTATCTATCTTACTAAGTACCTGCAGTAAGTTTCCTGAGTGGGAAATAAAGAAGCCATTCCCAAAGAGGACTAGCCACCAACACCAGCGCATTTGTTTTAATAACATATATTTTTTGACTCTACCTTGCTGTTTCTAACTTAGTAGGTCTGGATGGACCTGGAGCTAAATATTTTTAACAGTCTTTGCAAATGATTTTCGAGCTCATTCCCTTATACAAATCAGCAGATTAATTTATGTATCAGGCATCATTTTAAGCACTTTAAACATTTTAACTCATTTAATCCTCACAACCTTATTAGTGTTGCTATTATTACTATTGCTTTGTATTTTGCAAGAAAGGAAATGAAAGTATAAATTTCACCCAGCTGATAAGTAAGGGAGCTGGGGTTCACATTTGGGCAGGTTGATTCTGGAGTGTCAAATTTTTAACCACTATTAGATCTGACTCCTAGAAAGTTCCTTTCAATAATGTATTAGGCTACCAAGAATGTTCTCCTAATATCTTGTCAGGTGTTTTCTGGATTTTATGGTTTTACATAGAGAAAGTTGCTGGTGAAAATTATTAAGGAGGCAGAATGCTAGGTTGACTTGGTAGAATAAAGGTCAGAGAAATAATGTTCTGTCATAACAATAAACATCTTTTGAGGGGTTTAGAAAGTTAGCTGCTGTTTTCTTATGTGTAGATACATCTTGGAATCTGGGGCTATATGGTAAGAAACTTATAAAACATTTTCTTGCATGTTCAAGCAGTTTCTATTTCAACATGTAAAGTCCATCTAGGATTCAAGCATAAATATGAAGGTTTGTGTATAAAAATTTTTAGCTTTATTGAATACTTACTATGTACGGGGTAGGCGTAAGTACTTTCATATATTTAATTTAATGACATAGATTACCAAGGTCCTCTACAAGTCAGTTATCACGCTTCATTTTATTTGACAGATCAGTAGCATTTGACACATATGATAACTCTCTTTTTTATTATTTATATTGCATCAAGAACACTAGTTTTCATTTATGAAGTGGCTTTTTGTTGTTGTTGTTGTTGTTGTTCTTTGCTAGTTCCTTCTCATTTCTCCAACATGATACCCTGGAGCTCGCTGCACTCCTTGGGCCTGGTTCCTATCCATGCACATTCATCCCCTTTGTCATTTCATCCAGTGCTATGGCTCTAAATGCCATTTATGTACTATTGACTATCTTATTGTATTGCCTTTGCTTCTTTGTCAAAGACAGTTGATTGTATTGATGTGGGTTTATTTCTGGACTATTTTGTTCCTTTGATATGTTTGTCTATTATTGTCAATACTAGAATGTCTTAAGAACTGTCACTTTACATTAAGTCATGAAGTTAGGTAGTATCAGTTTTCCATCATCTCCATCACTATTGTGTTGGAGCTTCTGAATCTTTTGCTTCTCTGTATAAAATTTTGGATCAGTTTTTTGATATCTACAAAAGTAATATTGTTTTCATTGGGATTATGTCAGATCTACAGATCAAATTGCGAAAAACTGAGACGTCTTAACAATATTGGGTCTTATTGTCCATGAACATGGAATATATATCCATTTATTTATTTATTTTTTGATTTTTTTTATCAGACTTTTGTAGTCTTCCTCAAGTAGATGTTATATATATATTTTGTTAGATTTATACCAAAATATTTTATTCTTGTGGGTGACAATGTAAATAGTATTGTGTTTTAAACTAAAATTCCATTTATTCGTTGCTAGTATGTAAGAAAATAAAGGATTTTTTTATATTCACCTTGTATCATGCAACCTTGCTATAATCAGTTATTAGTTCCAGGAGTTTTTGGCTGAGTACTTCAGGTTTTCTCTACAAACAATCATGTCACTTCTGAACAAAGATAGTTTTATTTCTTCCAACCCAGTCTGTATTACTTTTATTTCTTTTTCTTCTTTTAATAGATTATCTAGGACATCCAATGTGATGTTAAAAGCAGTGATAAGAGAGAACATCTTTGCCTCATTCCTGATCTTAGCAAGAATGCTTCTAATTTCTCAACATTAAGTATAATTTAGCTGTAGGTTTTCTGTAGATCCTTTATCAAGTTGGGGAAATTTTTCCCTCTTTCTAGTTTGCTGATGGTTTTTTTTTTTTTTTTTTTTGTCACAAATGACTGTTGGATTTTATCAAATGCTTTTTCTGTGTCTATTGATATTATCATGTGCCTTTTCTTCTTTAGACTGTTGATATAATGAACTGCATTAATTGATTTCAGAATGTTGAACCATTCTTGCATAACTGGAATAAGTCCCACTTGGTATATAATTCTTTTTATGCATTGATGGATTTGATTTGTTAATATTTTGTTGAGATTTTTTTTTACATATATGCTCTTGAGAGATATTGGTTGTAGTAATCTTTTCTTGTAATAACTTTGCATAGTTTTGGTATTAAGGTAATGCTGGTTTCATGTAATGAGTTAGGAACAATTTTCTCTGCTTCTTCCTTGTGGAATAGCTTGTAGAAAATTTATATAAATCTTTGACTTTAAAAATTCTCATGTTTGGTAGAATTCACTACCCATATAGGGCTGATGCTTTCTCTTCTGGAAGGTTATTTACTATTACATTTATTTCTTAAATAGGCATAGACCTATTCATTGTTTATTTTCTATTTGTGACATTTTTCAGATTGTATCTTTCAAGGAATTGTTTCATTTCATTCAGGTTATCAAATTTGTAGGTATAGCATTGTTCATAGTGTTTCTTTATTTTCCTTTTAATAAATATGGAATCTGTAGTGATGTCCCTTCTTTAATTTTTGATGAAACTTGTGCCATATATCTTTTTGTCTTAGTTCGCCTGGCTAGATCTTTATCAATATTATTTTTTTTTTCAAAAAACCAACTTTTGGTTTTATTTTCCCCCCATTGATTTATAGCCAAATATACCCCCAAAATTACAGCAAAATTTTAATTCTGTAAACATATGTAATTTTTATTATTTATTTTTAATAAAATAAATTTTATTTTATTTTTAATATTTATTTTAAAATATTAATTTTAAATATTTGCTGTAATTTTTAATAATTATTTTCTTCTGCTTAATTTGGATGTAATTTGCTCATCTTTTTCCAGTTTCCCGAGGTGGAAAAGTTAGATTATTGATATTATATCTTTCTTCTTTTTGAATACATGCATGAAATGCTATACATTTTCTTCTAAGTGCTGGTTTTGATGTACCCTACAAATTTTGATAATTTGTGTTTTCATTTTCAATTAGCTTAAAATATTTTAAAAATTTTCCTGTGTTTTGGGGGATCTGTATGTTAGTTAGAAGTGTATTGTTTATTTTTCAAGTATTTTATTGGTTTCCAGTTATCTTTTTTTGTTATTGATTTCTAGTATATTTCCATTGTGGTCTGAGAGCACACAATGTATGATTTCTACTTAAAAATTGTTAAGGTGTATTTTATGGCTCAGAATGTGGTCTATCTTGGAGAATGTTCCATGTAAGATTAAGAAGAATGTGTATTCTGCTGTTTTTGGTTCAAGTATTCAATAGATGTCAATTACATCTAGTGATTGATGGTGCTGTTAAGTTCAACTATGTCCTTACAGATTTTCTAACTGCTTCTCTATTTCTGATTAAGAGATGTTGAAATCACTAGAAATAATAGTGAATTCATATATTTCTCCCTGCAGTTTTTACCTCTTGTATTTTGACACTCTGTTTTTACGTGCTTACACATTAAGGATGGTTACATCTTCTTGTAATATTGACTCCTTTTCTATTATGTAATGCCCCTCTTTATCCTTGATAACTTTCCTTTCCCTTAAGTCTTCTCTGAAATTAATATAGCTACTTCTTTCTTTTGATTAATTTTATAACTGTACATCTTTCTCCAACCATTTAATCATAATTTATATGTATCTTTAAGTGGTATTTTTTTACACAACATTTATTTGAGTGTTGTTTTCTGATCCACTCCAACAATCTCCAACTTTTAATTTTTATACTTAGGCCACTGATGTTATAAGTAATTACAGATATAGTTAGGATTAGTATCTATCAATTGTTTTCATTCCTTTTGTTCTTTGTTCCTATTTTTGCCTTCTATTCATTTTTTGCCTTTTGTGAATTTATCAGTCATTTCATATGATTCCATTTTTGATCCATTCTTAGCATACCAGTTATATTTCCTTTTTTTACTTTTTCTAGTGGTTACTCTAGAGTTTGCAATATGCTTTTACACCTAATCCAAGTACACTTTCAAATAACAGTAAACCACTTCATGGGTAGTGTGAATATTATATAATAACAAAATAATTTTAATTTATCTTTCCTGTATCGTATATACTTGCTGAGTTTCCATCACTTATTTTATTTATGCATAAACATACACACACATTAAATAAATTACATAAACATTAAATAAACATACACACATATTAAATAAAATTAATTAAATATTTTATTTATTAATAAAATAATAAAATAAAAGTAAATAAAATTACTTTTATTGTTTTGAACTATTATCTATTAGATCAATTAAGAATACAAAGTTTTTATTTTATCTTTACTTATTCCTTCTCTCATGTTCTTAGTTTCTTTATGTGGATCTGAGTTTTTGACTTATATCATTTTTCTTCTCTCTGAAGAATTTCTTTTAAAATTTTCTGAAGGACAACTCTGCTGGCAATAAACTACCCAATTTTTGTTTGTTTGAGACAGTATTTCTTCTTCATCTTTGGAAACTAATTTCACTGGGCATATCATTCTAAGTTGATTTTTTTCTAACACTTTAAATATTTCACTGTATTCTCTTTTTGCTTCCATTTCTGAGGGGAAGTTGGTTGTGATTTTAATCTTTGCTTCTTTATAGGTAAGGTTTTTTTTTTTTCCTGTGGCTTCTTTCAAGATTTTTTTCTTTATATTTGATTTTCTGTACTTGGAATATAATATCCTTAGAGGTAGTGTTTTTGGCATTTATTCTGCTTGGGATTATATGAGTTTCCTGAATCTGTGGTTTGGCATCTGAAATTAATTTGGTAGAAATTCTTTGTCATCATTGCTTCAAATATATTCTCTGTTCCTTTCTCATTTTTTTCTCCTAGTATTACCTTCACCTATGTGTTACACATTTGTTGTTACCCTGTAATTCTTGAGAATTCTCAGATATTCTGTTTTGTTTTTCCTGTTATCTTTGCTTTTTATTTTTAGAAGTTTCTATGAAAATATCCTCAAGCTAAGCAGAATAGTTCTCAGCTGTGGCCTAATCTACTAATGAGCTTATTAAAGGCAGTCTTCATTTTTATTAATGTTTTCGGTCTCTAGCATTTCTTTTTGACTTTTTTCTTGTAGTTTTAATCTCTCTGGTTACATTGCCTATCTGTTCTTGCATACTGTCTGCTTTATTTATTACAGCCCTTAACATGTTAACTATAATTGTTTTAAATTTCCAGTCAGATAATTCCAACATCCTTGCCATTTCTGAGTCTTGTTCTTATATTTGCTCTGTCTCTTAAAATTGTTTTTTTGTTTTTTTGTTTTTTTTTTTGCCTTCTACTATGTCTTGTAATTTTTTTTCCTGATAGTTGACCATGATGTACTGTGTAAAAAGAACTACTTAGATAGAGTTTTAGTAATGTGGTGGCAAAGTGTGAAAAAAGGGAAGCATTATATCGTTCTGTCATTAGGTCTCAGTCTTTTCAGTGGTATTGTGCCTCCTAACTTTAAACTTTACAAGTTCTTAGTTTTCTTCCCTCTCTGGTGGAAGACAATTGCTGGAGTGGGCTAAAGTTGGATATTTCCCTTCTTTCCAGTCAGTTAGCTTCTGAAAAAAAGCCAACAGTTTGAGGCTCTGGTAAAATTGTTTGGAGGGCAAGTCTTGTTAAAAAGAACAGAAACCCTTGGGTTCTTTTTCCTCTTCATGCTGCTGAAAGCACAAGAAGACTTCTCTCTAATGTTCTCTATGAAAATCTGGTGGAGCTCTGAGGTAAAACTCATAATAATGTTGGAGGCCCCTATGACTGTGCCCCATGGAGTCTTAATGATCAGATTTGTCCACTCTGAGCCACCCAGATTTTCCTACCCTGGTAATGTTTCCTGAAGAGGTTTCTGTGTTCATCTCTCTCTCTCCAATTTGGGAGGTAGCGGTTTGTCCTTTGACCTCACCTCTCTGACAGATCTCAGAACAGCTGATTTTTCCAGTTGAGATTTTTACTTGCTGTTAGGATGGCATGATGACTTCCAAGCTCATTGCATGTTGGGCCAGAAACCTGGAATCTGTATTTTTATTTATTAAATCTGGTAACCCAAGGTAGTTTTTAAAAAGTCTTTCCAACTATAATAGAAAAAATATAAATAATTTCGAATCAGTATTCATTTCCGAAAAAATACAACTGACAATATGGAACCAATAAAAATAAAAAAGAAGTCAAATGAGATCTGTGTATTTATATAGCATTGTGAGTTTTTTATTTTAATATTATATAAATGTATTTTTAAATGCAACATGAGGAAAATCCTTGACTAAATGGTTAAAAAATCCATCCCTGGGGATATCAGGACTGGCTATATAATTTGAAGGGCTTAGACCAACATGAAAATGCTTAGCTCCTTGTTCAAAAATGGTTAAAATTTAAAGACAGAAACAATAGAGCACTTCACAAGCACGTGGCCCTTCTGAATGTGGGACCCTGTGTAACTGCTCACGTTGCATGCCCATGAAGCAGATGCTGATGGTCAGACAGAGCTGGGACATATGAGGTAGCTATTACTGTAGCTATACTATGATTGCCATTTTACAGATGAAAAGTGTGAGGTTTTAGAGGTTAAATTGCTAGCCTTCAAAGAAAGAAATTGATTTAGATTTTAATCTAGGTCATCTGAGACCAGAGTGTTTTAAAACATGAACAATACTAAGTTTTGCAACATTAAATCCTGGAAAATATTCAACCAAAGGAGAAAGTTAATTGATCCTGTTTTGGGGAAATAAGTGTTTAGATAGGATTTACAAATTCAAATGATGGGGTGGGGGATCAGGGAGATCAAATAAATGAGGAAGGCAATTAAAAGTCATTATAGCAAAATTGGTGGGGACTGTGGCAAACTGAAATGCTCATGTAATGTTCAAAGCCATTTAAACCCAAACTGATGTAGCAAGTTTATCAGCTAAATTTGACCAGGGGTAGAAAGCATTTTATGATCCTGTAATCTTTGATTTAAATATTGTGAATAATAATATTCATTACCTTTTTTTAAAAACAAAAACAAAAGCAAAAACCTTACCTTTCTTAACTAACAGTCTTAGATACAATATAAGTGTGTGTTCAGGGAACCTTCTAATGGGTGAAAATAGCAGATGCATGTATACACACACACACACATGAACACACAGATACACAGACACAGAGGCAATCTTCTCATTAATGTAATGAAAGGAAACTTATAACATCAGCTCTAATAATAAAGAATAAAGTATCCTGGTTTAGTGTATACTAATTCTATAAAGGCTTTCTACTTTTGGTGCTTTTAGGCATTTATCAATTGATTTTCACAAGGGATAACTGACTAGGTGCTCAGAATCTCCACCTGCTTTTCTTGTACTTCAAATATAAAACCTTTCTGGCACCCAAAGCTAGGATCTGAAAATGCTAAGCATTAAGCAAAATGGATTAGCCTTCAGAAGGGGAGCTTCCGACTGTCAGTGCCAGAGGGGTTAATGGAAAACAGTGTTTCATATTTGCCATTTCCCCTATATTATCTTGCCCAGAACACCTGCTTAATGAACTAGACATCAATTATCATACTGTAAGCACATTCTTTAATAACAAAAGCCTTGTGGAAGCATTCCTTCTTGTTGAAATAATAAAAGTGATTTTGACGGAGCTTTTTAAAATGTCACATGCAAAAAATGTACAAACATCTGATGATTCTGCTGGATTTTTATTCTTTATGTGGGCATTAAAATGGGTTTATTATTTTAAGTGATTTATTTCAACTGGAATTTACATATTTCTTTGTTAGAGTCATAGGTGTGTTTTGGTTTGGTCCAGTCAGAAGCATGGAAATGGTCCTGTAAAGATCTCCTTTACTCTTCCTGTTTTTCTTAGTTGTAATAATTGCTTTGCAATTTTCTCCTTTGAGATATACATAATGTTGCTGAAACATCATCAGTTAGAAACAATTTTTGTTGATTATAAACATACTAATAAGAAATCGTTGTCTTAAGTCTAGATAATGCCAACACATGATGCTGTTTTCTTTTGTTTTGATGTATTACTAGAATTGCAGAAAATAGGTAACACTAAATAAAATTATCCAAACCAATAGTTTGGATTTTTTAAAAAACTGCTTAACTTATATAAGGAATGAATTAGAATCCACCATGTAGATTAATATTTCCCATTCTTAAATCCAAAATGTCTTTCCAATTCATTGAGCAATTTTTTTCCATTCATACAGCTCTATCTTCCTCATTCCTGCTGCCTTTTCTTCCTGTCTGCTAAAAAACTCTTCATTATGCAGCTTGGATGATATAGGAGCATCAAAATCAAGGGAGAGAGGATTCTTAAACAATTTGTTCAGATTTTGTTTTGCACTGAGAATTCACAACTAATCATCTTCAAACAAAATATAAAGAAAGATAGAAACATATTTTTAGAAAGCCCATGAAGCAATAAAAAAGTAATAATAGCTTTCTCTTCTGTTTTGTATTGTTTTACTTCTAGAACTTTCCCTAGCTCAGAATAAATTTGATCCTAAGTGCTTCAGCTGCCTTGATGACCAGATTCCACAGATTGGCATCAAAATATAGTGCTACTTCATTGAAAAGCTCTTATACAAGAATCTGACTTATATTCTTAAACAGATAGAAGACTGTAATTTCAATAAACTAGTAATGTATTTTTTTTTTTACTTAGAAAAACTCACTTTATTGCCCTCTTAAATTGAAAGTTATTGGCTGAAAAGGTGCTAGCTGGTATTTTTAGATCCATAAAGTAGGAGATCATGGACAATAATAGCTATGTCATAAAATTGGGTATTATTGCTCTGAAGCTAGCAGCAGAGGGGGCTGAGATCAAATTATTTCACCAAGGTTACAGAGAGGAGCTTCTATGGAGCCATTATTCAGTGCTGTCTTCAAAATGTGCATATAGGAGGGACCTAGGGCCTAGGACTAGAACTTCTTCTTTACATTAACCAGAAATAGAAAATACTCTAAATTTGGTTGGATAATTATTTAGTCTGTTTTAAACAAGTCTTTGCACATCAATTAATTCATTTTTATAAATAATTTTTCGGTTTATTTTGTGTTGTTAGCAAATAATGGAAACCTGGGTAAGAACTTAAAAGCGTTCCTTCACAGCCCCCTTTCTGATTTCACTGGTAATCACAGAGCAGAATTGCGTTTCAGACCCATGTCCATCAAGTCAAATAGTTTCCTTGGATAACAGAGCAAATATATTTTTACTCAATTAGAAAACAAAGCAAAATTATGTATGAATTTGATTTTCTACTCACTTTAAAAGACATTTGAAGTACTAATTATGTAACCTAACTTTGGGAAATATAAATTGAAGTGATCTCTGGGTTATTTACTAGGCTTGCAAGGGACACTAATTGAAATTACACAATTGATTAGTATTGGGAATCTAGGCAAAAGAGTTACACATTTTTGGTTGATTTATCCAGTGATTCAAATAACTTAGAATCTAATGAAGAACACGTATGAGAAAAAGAATGTGTAAAGAGAGCTGTCAACTCAAGCAACTGATCAAATGGGTATTTTATTAGGTACATTAAATAATTTGAGAAAATATTTTGAAATGACAATGAGATTCTATGCGGTGCTGGAGAAAGCTTGTTTGTTTTTGTATTTATTACAGAAGTTGGAGTATAATGAAGAAATAATAATTAATATAAATTAATCTGACCCAACAGGGGCTGGATTACAAACATTCATGTGAATACAGAACTTAAAATGTAGATAAAAGGTCTTTGTTATTGAACTGAATAGAGGTTATATGCTCAAATTGTCAAAATTAAGGAGGGAAGACAACTTGTCATCCCATTTTGCCAGTTTGAAAGACAAAGCTCTATTCTCAGTTTGATCCGTTAACCTGTATCAACACTACCTGTGGCAAAGACCAGAATTTTTCACCAAGATGAACTTTGCATTCTTCTAACCTATATACAGAAATTTGTGGAGACCTCCAAGTTGTGGTGCATATAGGAAGCCTTTTATTAGAAGTTCCAACTTACGGATTTGGAAAGACTTTATATTTTCTACGTTTTTCTTCAGAATTAGTATATGTGCTTAGAAATGCATCCCACAGTGAGAATTATGATTTATTAATTAACACATGGTTATGATACTAGCACTTGCCAATATATCACAGTAGGTGAGAATAAATATAACAAACACAATTCAATCCCTTTTTTTCTTCTTTTGGCTTATATCATGCTGTTCATTGTACAATGTAGAAACAAAGATCAATATAATCATTATTTATTCTTTCTCATTTATTCTACTTTCTTTTGTTCCTTCCCCATTATGTCTGTTTTATTTTCTATTTTTTTTTTAAATTTTAGTGTGCTAGACTATATGTTTTTAAGCCATCAATTTACTTTTTCAAGATTAATAACATTAAGTCTTATAGGTCCTTTATACACAATCATTCAGTAAAAGTTTAATTTTAATATGAGAATTTACTCACTGACAAATATGTGTATCTTTAAACATTTGACTACCTATGATAAATATTTTATATTCCCATTCATCATTTGATGTACCCTTTTGTTTGAAAATCCCCTATAATTGCTAAAATGCTACACACACTGGGAATAACACAAAGAATCTCATTGTTAAGTCAAAGCTACACAAATCAGAAATCTTACTGAAGGTCAAACTTTCCTAATAATTATTCAATAGTTAAGAGGCACAGGTGAAGCAAGGTTTTCAGGCCCCCCAAGGTGATTCCCCACACCTTTCTTCTCTCACTGGATACACTCTAGTTCAAGTCAACAGATGAGTTATAAAGATATCTCAGCTAGAAAGGAGGAGTATTTTACAACTCAAAATTTCATACTCATATAGTTGCGCAGCTTTTGTAACATTTTTCAAGAAGTCATTATCAATACATTTATATATTCCAGACTTTTTTCTCCCTTAAACAATTTCTGAAAGCCAGGTACATTCTGCTAAAACACTACTGAAAAAAAAAATAAATCTGCTATAAATAAAATAAAATAAGCATATTTAAAAGGAGGTTAGACTGGATCACTTTCCTTCTTTTGTTTCTAGGAGTAGTCCCCACTACAATCCTTCTCCAGGTAATAGGTATAAATAAAGACTCGTTACTTTAACCCTTTATTTCATGACACTGTTCATACTTTTATTCAATTAAGATATGTTTGGGATATGTTTATCATCAGAACATACATAAGTAACACTTTTTAAAATGGCTAGTTTGCCAATTATATATGAAAATATTACTCTTTAATATATTCTAAATTGAACATCTCAAGTATTTGCTATTATACTTTGCTATATATTAATAGAAACTGCTGCAATGTGTTTTGTATATTTACTGTACAGTAGTCTATCTACTTATTATTAAAATGTATTTACTCTTTTTATCCCATATTCGTGGATACAGCATATTTTCTTCTTTTTCATTTTGCGTTCGGCCACATGACTTTGGTGAATAGAATGGGCCAGAGTGACTGTGAATCAATTCCAAGCCTAGGCCTTAAGAAGTTTTGCATGTTTCTCTCTTTGTGCTTTGAAGCATCTGCTATCAATATGGGAGGCACAGTTAGTACTCTGGATCCAGGAGAAGGATGAGATATGTGGAGCAGAGCCACACAGTTAGTTCTCTGGATCCACAGTTAGTACTCTGGATCCACAGTTAGTACTCATCCACAGTTAGTACTCTGGATCCAGGAGAAGGATGAGATATGTGGAGCAGAGCCACAGCTGTCCAGTGAATCCCAGACTAGATTAGACAAATAGACTCTCAGATGCAACTGTGGGGCTAGTTGGGGTCAGCAGAGCTGCCCAGGTAAGCTCAGTCTAGACCAGTCTTCCCTCAGCCAATACACATTTAGATGGGAATAAATAAATTGTTGTTTCAAGTAGCTGAATTTTGGAATTTTTTTTAGAGTATTTTCATGGCATTTTTTACAACATGTATGTTTATTGAAGGATATCTTCTTAGGCCTAGAATTGCTCTGACAGTGAATATTTCCCTAATTTAGTGCATTATAGATTCATTCTTTATTAATGTTTAATTTTTAATGGTAAAAATACAACCTAAGTCATTTAAGGTCTCCATCTGTAATATCTATATTGAAAAATCTACCCAACCAAATTACCATCCAGAAAACATTAATCCTTATAGTTAATTCTTACCTTATTTGTTAATAACATTTATTTGTATTAATTATAGATATGGACGTTGTATTTTTATCAAAGGATACAACTCAATGTAAGACAGTCAGAGAGAGGTGGAGCAAGATGGTGAAATAGAAAGATCCACCAATCCCTGCCCCTACAAGGACACCAAATCAACAACTAAGAAATAAAACGCCTTCATAAGAACCAAAAATCAGATGAGCACTCATAGTACCTGGTTTTAACTTCATATCGCTGAAAGAGGCAATGAAGAGAGAACACAGCAATTATGAGTCATTGAACTCAGTGCTGTCCTGTTAGAGCAGAAAGGAAAACCAGACCAAACTCAGCTGATGCCTGCCCAAAGAAGGTGCATTTAAACTAGCTGTAGCCAGAGGGGAATTGCCTATGTAAGTGGTCCAAACTTGAGTGCTCACAAACCTCACCACTCAGTGCCCAAGTTCTCTTGGTCTCTAAGTAAACCTGAAAGGCAGTCTAGGCCATAAAGGCTGCACCTCTTAGATGAGTCCTAGGGCTGAACTAGGCCCAGAGACAGTGAACTGGTTGGGAATGGAACATACTGAGACATCAGCTGGGGCAGCCAAGGGAGTACTGGCATTACCCCTCTTCTAACCCTAGGCTGCACAGCTTGCAGCTCCAGAGATCCCTTCCTTCCACTTGAGGAGAGAAGAGGGAAGAGTGGGGAGAATTTTGTCTTGCATCTTGTATACCAGCTCAGCCACAGCAGGATAGGGTACTGGTCAGAGCCATGAGGTCCCTGCCCCAGGCCCTAGCTCTTAGATGACATTTCTAGACATACCCTGGGCCAGAAGGGAGCCCTCTGCCTTGAAGTAAAGGACCCAGTCCTGCCAGCATTCATCAACTGAAGAGCCATTTGGCCCTAAATAACCAGAGATACTACAGATAACCAGACACTACATTGAAGACCTTGGTGAGCCTCCGAGACTTGCTGGCTTCGGGTACCAGCACTGTCACAGGGGCGTAGAGCACCAAGCGGGCTTTTGGGTCCCTGATTCCAGGATTTTATTCTTAAATGGCATTTCTGGACCTGCCCTGGGCCAGAGGGGAGCCCACTGCTTTGAAGGGTGAGTCCCAGGCCAGGCAGCATTCACCACAAGTTGACTTAAGAGACCTTGGGCCTGAAGGGAACATCAGTGGTAATATGGCAGTACTCCTCATGGCCTGGGGTGGTGGTGGCTACAGCATGAGGCTCCTGTGCCTTTGGAAAGGGGAGGGAAGAGTGAGAAGAACTGCATCTTATGATTTGAGTGCCAAGTCAGCCACAATACAATAGAATATCAGGCAGAATTCTAAGGTTTTTGACTCTAGTCACTGACTCCAGGATGACACTTCTGGACCCACTCGAGGCCCAGAGGACCTCGCTGCCCTGAAGGGAAGGACACAGGTCTGGCTGGCTTTGCTCACCTGCTGACTGTAAAGTCCCAGGGTCTTGAAAGCACCTATGCAGTAGCCAGGGAGTGGTTATAGCAGGCCTTGGGTGAGACCCAGTGCTATGCTGGCTTCAGGTCTCACCCAGTGCAGTCATAGTGGTAGAGGCCAAAAGTGGAGCTTGTGTCACTCCATCCCCATCTTTAGTTTAGTGGCTCTAAACAGAAAGAGAGAGAGAGAGAGAGAGAGAGAGAAACTATGTTTGGGAAAAAGTAAGGGAAGAGAACAAGAGTCTCTGGTAATCCAGAGAATTCTCCCAGATCTTGTCTAAGACCTTCAAGGTGGTACCTCCATAAGTCTTCAAGAACCATAGTGTTACTGGGCTAGGGCGCTCCCTAAAGCAGAAACAGCTTAGATCACAACACCCAAGTCTTTTGTAATATCTGGAAATTCTTCCTGAGAAGTACAGCTGCAAATAAGCCCAGACAGTGAACACTGCAATAAATAACTAACTCTTTCAATGCCCAGACTCAGAAGAGCATCTACTAGCATCAGCACCATCCAGGAAAACAAGACTTCACCAAATGAGTTAAATAAGGCATCAGGGATCAAACCTGGAGAAACAGGGATATATAACCTTTCAGACAGACAACTCAAAATAGGTGTGTTGAGGAAATGCAAAGAAATTCAAGATAACACAGAGAAGAAATTCAGAATTCTATCAAATAAATTTAACAAAGAGATTAAAATAATTTAAAAAGAATCAAGAAGAAATTGTGGACCTGAAAAGTGCAATTGATATACTGAAGAATGCATCAGAGTCCTTTGATAACAGAATTGATCAAGCAGAAGAAAGGATTAGTGAGCTTGAAGACAGGATATATGAAAACAAACAGCCAGAGGAGACAAAAAAAAAAAAAAAAAGAATAAAAAACAATGAAGCATGCCTTCAGGATCTAGAAAATAGCCTCAAAAGGGCAAATTTAAGAGTTAATGACCTTAAAGTGGAGCTAGAGAAAGAGATAAGGGTAGAAAACTTATTCAAAGGGATAATACACAGAGAACTTCCCAAGCCTAGAGAAATATATTAATATCCAAGTACAAGAAGGTTACAGAACACCAAGCAGAATTAACTCAAAGGAAACTATCTCAAAACATTTACTAATCAATCTTGCAAAATTCAAGGATAAATAAAGGATCCTAAAAGCAGCAAGAGAAAAGAAACAAATACCCTACAACAGAACTCCCATATGTCTGGTAGTAGACTTTTCAGTGGAAACCTTACAGACAAGGTGAGAGTGGCATGACAATTTAAAGTGTTGGAAGAAAAAAAAAACTTTTACCCTAGAATAGTATATCTGTAAAAATATCTTTCAAACATGAAAGAGAAATAAAGACTTCCAGAGACAAACAAAAGCTGAGGGATTTCATCAACACCAGACCTATTCTACAAGAAATACTAAATGCAGTGCTTCAATCAGAAAGAAAAGGACAATCAGAAGCAAAAGATAATCATCCAAAAGTACAAATCTCACTAGAAATAGTAAGTACACAAAAAAACCCACAGGATGTTATAACACTGTAACTGTGGTGTGTAAACTACTCCTAAGTAGAGAGACTAAGCAATGAACCAATAAAAAATAACCACAACAACTTCTCAAGATATGGTCAGTACAGTAAGACATAAATATAAATAACAAAAACTTAAAAGGTAGAAGGAAGAAGTTAAGGCAAGTTTTTATTAGTTTTCTTTTGTTTGTTTGTTTTTTGTTTATGCAAATAGTGTTAGGTTGTTATCAGGTTAAAAAAAATGGGTTATGAGATAGTATTTGCAAACTTCTTGGTAATCTCAAACCCAAAAACATACAATGGATACACAAAGAATAAAGAGCAAGATGCTGAATCATATCACCGGAGAAAATCTTCACTCGAGGAAGACAGGAGTGAAAGAAGGAAGAGAAAACCACAAAACAACCAGAAAGCAAATAACAAAATGACAGGAGTAAGTTTTTACTTATCTATAATGACACTGAATAGTGAGTCCCAATATATATTATATATATATATTAAATTGTTGGCTGGGCACGGTGGCGCATATATATATATATATATATATATATATATATATATATATATATATATATGCACACACACATACACACACACCCAGCACTGGAGCACCAGGATATTTAAAGAAAATATTATTACAGCTAGAAAGAGATAGGCCCCCCTACAGTAAGAGCTGGAGACTTTAATTCTCCACTTTCAGCACTGAACAGATCTACCAGACAGAAAAACAACAAAGAAATATCAGACTTAATCTGCACTATAGATCAAATGGATCTAATAGATATTTACAGAACGTTTTATCCAAGAGCTGCAGAATACACATTCTTTTCCTCAGTCTGTGGGTCATTCTCAAGAATAGAGCATATGTTAAGTCACAAAACAAGTCTTAAAACATTCAAAAATGGAAATAATATCAAACATCTCATCTGACCACAATGTAATAAACCTAGAAATTAGTATTAAGAGGAATTTTGGAAACTATGCAAATATATGAAAATTAAACCATATGCTCCTGAATGGCCAGTGGGTCAATGAAGAAATTAAGAAGGAAATTGAAATTTTTTTAAACAAATGATAAGGAAAACACAACATACCAAAACCTATGGGATACAGCAAAAGCAGTACCAAGAGGGAATTTTATGGCTATAAGTGCCTACATCAAAGAAAAAAAAGGAAAATCTTCAAATAAAAAAATCTAATGATGCATCTTAAATAACTAGAAAAGCAAGAGCCAACCAAACCCCAAATTAGTAGAAGAAAAGAAATAAAGATCAGAGCAGAAATAAATGAAAATGAAAAAAAGATCAATGAAACCAAAAGATGTTTTTTTGAAAAGTTAAACAAAATTGACAAACTTTTAGCTAGGCTAAGAAAAGAGAAGATCCAAATAAATAAAACCAGAAATGAAAAAGAAGACATTACAACTGATACTTCAGAAATGCAAAGGATCATTAGTAGCCATTATGAACAACTATTTGCCAATACATTTGAAAATCTAGAACAAATTTCTAGATACATACAACCTACCAAAATTAAACCAGAAAGAAATTCAAAACCTGAACAGACCAATAACAGGTAATGAGATCAAAGACATCATACATCATCTCCCAGTAAACAAAAGCCTAAGACCTGGTGGCTTCACTGCTGCATTCTACCAAACATTTGAAGAACTAATACCAATATTTCTCAAACTATTTTAAAAAATAGACAAGGAGGGAATACTTCCAAACTCATTATGCAAAGCCAGTATTACCCCGATACCAAAACTAGACAAAAAGAAAACCACAGGCCAATATCTCTGATAGATATTGATGCAAAAGTACTCAACAAAATACTAGTAAACGGAATTCAACAACACATTAGAAAGATCATTCATCATGATGAACTGGGATTTATCCCTGGGATGCAAGGATGGTTCGACATATGCAAAGTAATCAATGTGATACATCATATCAACAGAATGAAGGACAAAAACCATATGATTATTTCAATTGATGCTAAAAAAGCATATGACAAAATTCCACATCCCTTGATGATAAAAACCATCAAAAAAACTGAGGATAGAACGAACATACCTCAACATAATAAAAACCGTATGCAACAGATCCACAGATAGTATCATACTGAATGGGAAAAAACTGAAGATCTAATATCTGGAACATGACAAGGATGCTCACTCTTACCCTGTTATTCAACATAGTACTGAAAGTCCTAGCTGGAGCAGTCAGACTAGAGAAAGATATAAAGGGCATCCGAATTGGAAAGGAAGAGTCAAATTATCTTTGTTTGCAGGTGATCTGCTCTGATCTTTATTTCTTTTCTTCTACTAATTTGGGATTTGGTTGGCTCTTGCTTTTCTAGTTATTTAAGATGCATCATTAGATGTTTTTATTTGAAGTTTTGCCTTTTTTTTTCTTTGATGTATGCACTTATGGCCATAAACTTCCCTCTTAGTACTGCTTTTGCTGTATCCCATAGGTTTTGGTATGTTGTGTTTTCATTATCATTTGTTTAAAAAAATTTCAATTTCCTTATTAATTTCTTCATTGACCCACTGGTCATTCAGGAGCATATGGTTTAATTTTGATATGCTTGATATGATGTTTTATTTGAAAAACCTGAAGACTCCACAAGAAAACTATTAGAATTGATAAACAAATTCATAGTTTCAGGATACAAAATACACATACAAAACCAGTAGTATTTCTATATGCCAATGGTGAAGAATGTGAAAAAGAAATATAAAAAGTAATCCCATTTATAGTAGCCACACATAGAGGGATATGGCAATTATAAATGGGATTATTTTTAAAATTAATTTACTTAGAAATTAACTGATCCAAAGAAGTGAAAGATCTCTATAACAAAAACTATAAAACACTGATGAAAGAAATTGAAGAGGACAACAAAAATGGAACAACATTCTATGTTAATAGATTGGAAGAATCAATATTGTTAAAATGTCCACACCCAAAGCAATCAACAGATTCAATGAAATGTCTATCAAAGTACCAATGGAATTCTTCATAGAAATAGAAAAAAAAAATAAAATTCGTTTAGAACCACAAAAGACCCAGAATAGCCAAAGCTAGCCTAAGCAAAAAGAACAAAACTGTGGGAATCACATTACCTTACTTCAAGTTATACTGTAGAGCTATAGTAACCAAAACAGCATGGCATAAAATCAGATACATAGACCAATAGAACAGAATAGAGAATGAGGAAGCAAATCCACACACTCCTTTTTGACAAAGATGCCAAGAACATACACTGGGGTAAAGAAAGTCTGTTCAATAAATTGTGCTGGGAAAAATGGATATCCACCTGCAGAATAATGAAACTAGACCCCAATCGCTCACCATTTACAAAAACAAAATCAAAATGGATTAAAGACTTAAATCTAAGACCTCAGACTATGAAACTACTATAAGAAAGCACTGGGGAAAATCTCCAGGACAATGGTGTGAGCAAAAATTTTTTTAAGAAATACTGGATAAGCACAGGAAACCAAAGCCAAAATGGACAAATAGGATTACATCAAGTTAAAATGCTTCTGCACAGCAAAGGATACAATCAATAAAGTGAGGAGACAACCTATGGAATGGGAGAAAACATTTGCAAACTACCCATCTGAGGGATTAATAACCACAGTATATAAAAAGCTCAAACAACTCTACATGAAAAAAAATTTTTAAATAGATGGGCAAAATATTTGAATAGACATTTCTCTAAAGAGGACATATGAATGGCAAACAGGCATATGAAAAGCTGCTCAACATAACTGATCATCAGAAAAATGCAAATCAAATCAAAACTACAATGGTTTATAGTTAAAATGGTTTAACCTCACCTCAGTTAAAATGGTTTATATCCAAAAGAAGCAATAACAAATGCTGGCATGGATGTGGAGAAAACGGAACACTTGTACACTGTTGGTGGGAATATAAATTAGCACAACCACTGTGGAGAACAGTTTGCAGGTTTCTCAAAAAACTAAAAATTTAATAATATACGATTCAGCAATCCCACTGCTGGGTATAGAAAGGACATCACTATATCAATATGTATCAGTATATCAATGAAATATCTGCACTTCCATGTTTGTTGTAGCACTGTGCACAAAAGCTAAGATTTAAAAGCAACCTCAGTATTCATCAACAGATGAATGTATAAAGCAAATGTGGTATATGTATGAAATACAGTAACATGGATGGAAGTAGAGATCCTTATGTTAAGTGAAATAAACCAGGGAGAGAAAGACACACATTACATGTTTTCACTTATTTGTGGGATCTAAAAATCAAAACAATTGAACTCATGGATATAGAGTCTAGAAGGATGGTTACCAGGAGTTGGGGAAGGTAAGCATGTGGGATTTATTTGTATCTTACTGCTCAAGGTCATCACCAAATTCTGATTTTTCACTCATGCAAAAATTCAAAAAATTGTAACCTCTGGCATAATTAATATATTGAGCTAGATATTGGTAATTAACTTATTTTGTGAGATAATTCTGGCATGTTTTCTGGTCAAAAGACACTCACAGATTTTTGTTTATTTGTTTGTTTTGGTTATGTTTGAATTACAGACATCTTTGAATGGCAGAGACAGATAATTTTTTTGGAGCAGGATTATAAACATAATAACCCTGTGGGGCAAAGTTTGGGCAGAAAAGTGGGGGCAATTCTATAAGACATTATAACTACAAACTTGTTATTGGTGACTTGTAGGACAAACCACATCACCTGGGCTGCCCAAGATACCTTGCAATGTGAGTTTCATTCAAGGTGGGAGTATCCCCAGGTGCCTTGCAGAAGCAAATGCCAATGTGCCATGAAGGAAGGCCTGCTAATATGACCTCAAAGAATTCCTAAAAATAAATGGCCAAGGAAAAAGGGAAGCTGGCTACGAGCAAGGAAACAAAATAAGACAAAACAAAAATACTAGAAAGAGGAAATGACCTGCAAAGATATCAAATTTGGGAGCTATCAGGAACATATTATTAAATATAGTACTTACTATGTTTGAAAGAAAATGTACTTGAAAAGATCTTCATGGTGCAGAAAACTACAAAAGGACCAAAGAGATTTAAAAATTAATAAAATTGAATCTCTAATAAATAAAAGATAAAATAATTAAAAATAAAACTTAAAGAGTTAATGAATACATTTACCATCTACTTAGATGAAGTAATGAGAACATTAGTGAACTACAAAATTGAATAAAATAAATTGTCCAGAGTATAAAATGGAGGTATGAAGAGAAGGGAACTCTAAAGGAGATAAAAATCCACAGAGTACTATCATAAGAAAGTCCAACATATGTCTAATTGGAGTTCCAACAGGTGACAAAAGAGAAAAAGGAACATAAATTATATTGTAATAAATAATGCTTGAGGATTTTCTGGATATAGAGAATACATCAGTCCTCAGATGCTAGAAAAAAAATACACTTATAACTTGCTTCTGAGTACCAACAATAGCATCAGTGAATAGTGAAATGATATCCTCAATGTGCTGAATGAAAATGTGTCAACCTAGAATTTTATACTATGTAAAAGTAAATGTCAAAAATTAAGGTAAAGCAAAAACATCTTAAAACAAACAAAATAAAAAAAAATTCCCATTACCAGATTCTTATTAAAGGAAAATCTAAAAGATGTACTTCAAGGGGAAGCAAAGTGATTCTGAGGGAAACAGTAGATATTGTGAGAAAGAATGAATAATAAAAATGGTAAATATGTAGTAAGTCTAAATTATCTTTATACACACATCTAATAATGTTTTGATATTAAAAGGTACAAGATATAACTAATACAAACAACAACATATAAGTGAGTAGTAGTAGTAACTGAAATCCTTGAATTGTCAAAAAAAGAATATATTAACTGATTAATTTTTGACATTGACAAATTATGCATGTGTGTCATAATTTGTACACTAAGTCTAAGCAAAAATAATTTTCTTAGCTTGGTTTGTGCTGCTATAAAAGAATTCTACAGACTAGGTAATTTGTACAAAACAGAGATTTATTTCTTACAGTTCTGGAGGCTGGGAAGTCCAAGATGAAGCAAGGGCTGTTGTCAAGCAAGGACCTTCTTGCTGAATCATTCCATGGTGGAAAGCAGAAGCACAAAGTGCAAGAGAGCTGGGCAAACAAGAGGTGCTGAACTCCCTTTTATAACAAACCCACTTTTGTGATAATGATATTAATTTATTCATGAAGGCAGAACCTTAATTATGTAATCACCTTTTAAAGGTTGCACTTCTCAACCCTGTCACATTGGGGATTAAGTTTTCAGCACAAGAACTTTGGGGGACACATTCAAAACATAGCAATTATAGAATCAGTGTTGAAGAGAAAAAAATAAACCATGAGAAAGATGTCTATTTAAACAAAAAACAACAACCAAAAGGAAAGAAAGAAGAAAAGAAAAACAAACAGGAAAAATGCATTGGAAGTGTGAAGTAAGATGGTATATGTAGACACAAATATATTAGTAATTAAACTAAATGTAAAAGGAATAAATATTTCATGTGAAAGTTAAAAAGAGTCCTGCATAAAAGTATAAATTCCAATTATATACTATTTAAATGGTGGTATCTAAAATATCAGTAATGAAAAAAATTAAAACTTAAAAGATAAAATATAGTACAATGCCATCTAGTATAACTATGTTAAGATGATAAAAAATAGACTTAAGCAAAAATTATTGCTAGACATAAAGGAGGTCATATAATAAAGCTACAGGAGTCACATTATTAGAATTACATAAAAATTGTTATTTTATGGACATTATAACATAGTCTCAATAAATTCTTAATTGACAGAGCCAATAACTTGTAAAACATTTTCTCAAGTCATGACATCTAAATGAAAATGAATTCTTTATATGACATATTTATACTTTGAAAATTTTTTCATAACTTCAGAGGTTTATGATATTACATATATCATTAATCTTATTGCTAGGAAATATAATGAAAATGCCTTCCACTTAATTCATTAATCTTTGTTATTTATGCATATCAATCACAAAATTAGCTGATAAATTTTGCTTAAAACGATAATAAATTGTTAGAGTTTTTTTAGTTTGTGTTTTGTTTTACCATTGCTGTAATGACTGGCCACATCTTGCTCTGCTGTAATTATGCTGAGTTAGCTCTTTTATACTGATTTCCCTTCCAATTTGCTATGAGTATTTGTTTCCTCTTATTCACAATGTGGTCACATATTAATTATTTTGTTTCAAATAAAGGCATTTATTTATCCAATAATTGAAGTCAGTGGAATAGCATTGTAACAATAGATTAAAACTGGACACAAGGAGGAGAACAACACACACTGGGGCCTGTCAGTCGAGGGGGAAGGAGAGGGGAAGCATCAGGACAAACAAGTAATGGATGCAGGGCTTAAAACCTAGGTGATGGGTTGATAGGTACAGCAAACCAACATGGCACACGTATACCTATGTAACAAACTTGCACATTCTGCACATGTATCCCAGAACTTAAAGTAAAACGACAACAACAACAGCAAAAACTGGATTTGGGATTTAACAAAAACAGGTACTTTAGATTTGGCAAGCTGTTTGATTTTGAGCGAGACCTCTCTGGACTACTATCACTTGAGATGCAAAATAAACATAAAAATGATTGCTGCCGCCGCCAATGATAAGTACCTCTACCCTCACTCCTAGGTCTATTTCCACTACCACCGTATACTGAGTTTCTGCAAGGTTTTTAAAAATTATTATTGATTCGTAAACATTTTAACATATTGTAGATACCATATCTTTATCATTTATAAATCTCAAAAATGTCTGCTTGATGTTTGTAAACTGTCTTTTATGGGGTCATTTACCAAATGAATCGTTAATTTTAAATATAATTAGTTGTATTGGCTGGGCGTGGTGGCTCAAGCCGGTAATCCCAGCAATTTGGGAGGCCAAGGCGAGCAGATCACCTGAGGTCATGAGTGTGAGACCGCCTGGCCAACATGGCGAAACCCCGTCTCTACTAAAAATACAAAAATTAGCTGGGCCTGGTGACATGTGCCTGTAATCTTAGCTACTTGGGAGACTGAGGCAGGAGAATCACTTGAACCCGAAAGGCAGAGGTTTCAGTGAGCAGAGATGGTGCCGTTGCACTCCAGCCTGGGCAACAGAGCAAGACTCCATATCAAAAAAAAAGAAAATTAGTTGTGTTATCATTTTCTTCTAGAGTTTGTGTTTTGTACCTTGTTAAAAGAAACTACATGAACTTTCTGTATTCCCATTTATTTTATGAAATTTCCATTTGTTTAATATTTTTCTCTTCAAGTTTTTCATTTTTTTCTATGAAATATATCTTTAGTGCTAGAATTATTCCAGGGTTCTTATAATTTATATTTAGGGAATATAATCTTTTAAATTTTGTGTTCTTTCCTCCCTCTTTCCCCCAATTTATTGATACTCTCATTATTTTAGGATATTGATCTTGTTATCAGTCTTCCTGAACTCATTTCTAATAATTGTCTATACATTATTTCATGTTTGTTATATAGATGATCATATGATCTAAACATAATACCCTTGTTTACATTTCTTTCCAACCTTTATGTCTCTTATTATTGTTTAATTTTTCTTATGTAACTGTATTGGATAAGACCTCAGTACAATTTGAAAACAGGTGGTCATAATCAACATTCTTGCTTTCTTTTTAAATTTAACAGAAATGCCCCTAACAAATCACTGCAAAGTATTAGGTTCTTGAGGGTGTTTGGCAAATCTTAGGTTTTCTATTATATCATACTGCTTTAAAAATTCACGCATTTATATTTATTTTAAAGAAAACAGGCAAACATTTTTGAGAGTGAGGTCATGGTGCCCTTTGGAAATCTGATGAAATACAGATTTCGTACATCAACACAAACATTTTGTGTATGATATAGGGACTCATAGATCTATTAAGTGTCCTCTATTGACTCAATGTTAAGACATCTTGATTTTAAAAAATTGTTAAAACATCCAAGAAACACTTATTAAACACCCATTACATGGGGATAACTGTAAAATTCATGATCTGTATATATTTTAGGATATTGATCTTGTTATCAGTCTTCCTGAACTCATTTCTAATAATTGTCTATACATTATTTCATGTTTGTTATATAGATGATCATATGATCTAAACATAATACCCTTGTTTACATTTCTTTCCAACCTTTATGTCTCTTATTATTGTTTAATTTTTCTTATGTAACTGTATTGGATAAGACCTCAGTACAATTTGAAAACAGGTGGTCATAATCAACATTCTTGCTTTCTTTTTAAATTTAACAGAAATGCCCCTAACAAATCACTGCAAAGTATTAGGTTCTTGAGGGTGTTTGGCAAATCTTAGGTTTTCTATTATATCATACTGCTTTAAAAATTCACGCATTTATATTTATTTTAAAGAAAACAGGCAAACATTTTTGAGAGTGAGGTCATGGTGCCCTTTGGAAATCTGATGAAATACAGATTTCGTACATCAACACAAACATTTTGTGTATGATATAGGGACTCATAGATCTATTAAGTGTCCTCTATTGACTCAATGTTAAGACATCTTGATTTTAAAAAATTGTTAAAACATCCAAGAAACACTTATTAAACACCCATTACATGGGGATAACTGTAAAATTCATGATCTGTATAGTAAAGGTCATGTTGAAACCTCACACTCTAGATGCTGTTAGTATAAAACATAAACTAAACAAATGTTAAAATATGATTCATGCAATCTTTAAAAGGATATATGAATTCTTATCTCAGTGACTTTTTACAATGAACATTTTAGTAAAAGCTATGGTCTAATTTTAAACACCATTTAAAAAATTTTGTAAAAGTTTCAGATAACATGAATAAACACAAGGCTGACCAAATGAGAATGACTTCATTTACTAATAAATTACTTTGTATCTAACCTCTCTATTTCATTAGATTTTTTTCTGAATTTCACCATATTTTATCATATTACTCTGGTATATAACTTGAAAATCTTTATTTTGGTTCAGCTGGCATAATGGCACTCAGAGCTTTTTTATTAGCAGTTTTGCAAAACATGTCTCCAGGTCATTTTTCTCAAAATAAATAACAAATCCCTTAGGCTTTTTAAAAGAAGCTTTGTCTCCCTTTGCTTTCCAAAATGTCGTTGACAACTTGAAAATAAATAAATGGATAAAATGCTTTGGTTGAACTGATTGTAGTGATGGACAAGGCACCTTCTGGAGGGAAGTATGGCCACAGGCCTGCTACACTAAAGATGGATTGAGAGTCTGGAACTTTATCTTACCTACAGTGCTTGTTGCCTCTCGGCATGAAGAGCAGATGATTATTTTTGCTGGACCTCTTAGCTGCTTCTCAGGCCTCTTGCACATTTCACCGGTTTATATATGCTCAGAGAAGGCACTCTGCCTGAGGCTGGGTTAACCTCACTTTTTCCTGAATATTTAAAAAGAGGATGTCAAATTGGTCAAAGTTTCTTTGGATATATTTCTATACCATTAATCTTTTGAAGTGAAATTACTTACACCTGTTTCCATGGAGGTTTCAGGAGAGAGTTTTTATTTCAAATGATTAATATATTCAGTGTCTTTATTAACATCGAAGGCTAAAAACAATACATAGATGACTCACTTTTAATCTAAATTTGCAGCAAGTTTTGGGCAAAGAATATCACTGAATTTGCATATTTATCTTTGCATATCAGTTCATATTTAATATGTGCAAGAAGATAAAAGGTTTGGGGGAAAGAACAAGTATTACTACAATATAATGAGAACAATCAGTGCATCTACTAAGAGGTAACATTAATTTCTAGAACTTAGGGAAACTCATCAATTGATTGATTCTCAATATGTGGTCTTTGATATAGTTATGTTCAGTGTCAATCAGTTTTTTATCCAGAATTGGTAAAATTAGCTCTGTCAATTACAATGGAATCCATTTTAAAGTATAATTCTGAGTTATTCCTCTACTAAATGTTTAATATTCATATAAACTATTGGATCATTAGTTCATGCCCAGTCTTGAACTTGATCTAAGACGTGAAGCCTTGATCTTTTGTTTCATGAATATTTAATTGGACTGAATTCTTTTCCTTTTACAGTGTGAGTGAGAACGAAGTGTATTCTTTATTGCTAAAGTTATCCGTTGTGCTTGGCATTTTAATTTACTTTTCAAAACTTTTAACCAAGGACCATTTCAATTCCAATGAGCAAACTTTATCACACTTTTTCAGATGATTACATTTTCTCTTTGAAGTTTTTTTTTTTAAATTCTTCTGAAGCTTGAGAATATTTCCCCTCTAGTTCTAGCTTACTAAACATGTCATTGAAGTCATAAAGAAATCATCCTTCTATGATTTGAGGACTAAGGTTGGTAGATGACTAACTACGAAAGAGTGTATCATACTACTAAAATATCTACTAGAAATTGTCAAGCGTGAGTCATCTTGATTTCTCTGATTAATAGTATATGTGACTTAACTAGAATTAAGCATATAAATATAAATTACTGTATCTTAGAAAGCGTTTAAAACAAGTTACCAGCAAGGTAATAATTACCCTTTCCACCAATTTTTGTCTATGAGGTCATAACTACCCTTTCCCCCAATTTTTGTCTATCTTCATGAAGTGCTGAGGCGGAATGGGAGGCTGCTCATTAAATCGAAGGGTCAGGAGAGAAGATGAATTTTTACTGTATACTTCTTTATAGACCATATACACAATGATATGAATTATAAAGAACTACATTGAAGTTACTGATTTCAAATTAACATTATTACCAATACAATTTAGTTATAATTTCATGGATTTTAGTATACTATAACTTCCCAAGTATCTTGTGTTTCTTGTTTTATTCTTATAGATGATGAGTAAATACTGTTCATAAATTTATTAAGTAATATAAGGATGAAAGTATAGGTCTTTTCAAACCCAGACTGATAATCTTTCCACTATATTACCATATACAAATTTCAGTGTTTCACATGTATATTAAGAAAACCAGCTTATATTTGAAATTTTACTAACTTAAATCAGGTATTTCCATACCATTTTTAACACAGACTTTATCTGTGTAGTATAGAGATACCACGGTCAGAAGGCTATATTTTGCCTGGATATATCTTTTGTTTGTATTCTGCATTGTTAAAAATTTTAAACTGGGAATTCAAAAAAAAAATCTGGATTTCCAGCTTCTGGTAAGAATTGGGATAGCTCAGCAACAAAGACTCCATCTCTGTGTAGACATTATCAGATGGAGCTAAAGAGTTGCTACCTCCTTGATGTAGGATATTCTGTTTCAGTAACCTAATCCTTTGAGTTTTCCTGACAATGAGACAAAGTGTCAGCTGCAGAACAAAGAACAAAATATGATTATACTAGCAGCAGAATTCTTACAGGAGGCCCCCTTTCCTCCTTTATGTTAAATACCTGGCAACCATAGTTAATTGATTTTGTGATTCATGATTAAATTATTTTTTTCCATAGGTTATTGGGGTACAGGTGGTGTTTGGTTACATGAGTAAGTTCTTTAGTGGTGATTTGTGAGATTTTGGTGCACCCATCACCTGAGCAGTATAAACTGCACGCTATTTGTAGTCTTTTATCTCTCGCCCCTAGGCCACTCTCCCCCAAGTCCTCAAAGTCCATTGTATCATTCTTATGCCTTTGCGTCCTCATAGCTTAGCTCCCATATATCAGTGAGAACATACGATGTTTGGTTTTCTGTTCCTGAGTTACTTCACTTAGAATAGTCTCCAATTTCATCCAATCTCATCCAGGTCACAGCAAATGCTGTTAATTTATTCCTTTTTATGGCTGAGTAGTATTCCATCATCTATATATCACAGTTTCTTTATCCACTTGTTGATTGATGGGCATTTGTGTTGGTTCCACGATTTTGCAGCTGCGAATTTTGCTGCTATAAGCATGCATGTGAGAGTATCTTTTTCATATAATGACTTCTTTTCCTCTGGGTAGATAGCCAGGAGTGGGATTGCTGGATCAAATGGTAGTTCTATTTTTAGTTCTTTAAGGAATCTCCACACTGTTTTCCATAGTGGTTGTACTAGCTTACATTCCCACCAGCAGCATAGAAGTGTTCCTTGATCACTGCATCCATGCCAACATCTGTTTTTTGATTTTTTTTACTATGGCCATTCTTGCAGGAGTAAGGTGGTATCACATTGTGGTTTTGACTTGCATTTCCCTGATCATTAGCAATGTTGAACATTTTTTCACATGTTTGTTGGCCATTTGTATATCTTATTTTAAGAATTGTCTATTCACATCCTTAGCCCACTTTTTGGTGGGATAGTTTGTATTTTTCTTACTGATTTGTTTGAATTCATTGTAGATTGTGAATATTAGTCCTTTGTCAGTGTACAGATTGTGAAGATTTTCTCCAACTCTGTGGTTTGTCTATTTACTCTGCTGACTGTTCCTTTTGCCGTGTAAAAGCTCTTTAGTTTGAGTCCTAGATATTTATCTCTGTTTTTATTGCATTCGCTTTTGGGTTCTTGGTCATGAAATCTTTGCCTAAGTCAATGTCTAGAAGGGTTTTTCCAATGTTGTCTTCTAGAATTTTTATAGTTTCAGGTCTTAGATTTAATTCCTTAATCTATCTTGAGTTGATTTTTGTATAAGGTGAGAGATGAGGATACAGTTTCATTCTCCTACGTGTGGCTAGCCAATTATCCCAGTACCATTTGTTGAAATGTGTTCTTTCCCCCACTTTATGTTTTTGTTTGCTTTGTTGAAGATCAGTTGGCTGTTAAGTATTTAGGTTTATTTCTGGGTTCTCTATTCTGTTCCATTGGTCTATGTGCATATTTTTATACCAGTACCGTGCTGTTTTGGTGACAATGGCCTTATGGTATAGTTTGAAATCCGGTAGTGTGATGCCACCAGATTTGTTGTTTTGCTTAGTCTTGCTTTGGCTATGTGGGCTCTTTTTTGGTTCCTTATGAATTTTGGAGTTGTTTTTCTAATTCTGTGAAGACTGATGGTGTTATTTTGATGGGGATTGTGTTGAATTTGTAGATTGCTTTTGGTAGTATGGTCATTCTCCCAATATTGATTCTACCCATCCATGAGCATGGGAAGTGTTTCCATTTGTTTCTGTCATCTTTGATTTCTTTCAGCAGTGTTTTGTAGTTTTCCTCGTAGATGTCTTTCAACTCCTTGGTTAGGTGTATTCCTAAGAATTTTATATTTTTGCAGCTATTGTAAAAGGGGATGATTTTTTGATTTGATTCTCTGCTTGGTTGCTATGGGTGTATAGAAAAGCTACTAATTTTTGTACATTAATTTTGTATCCAGAAACTTTGCAGAATTCTTTTATCAGTTTTAGGAGCTTTCTGGAGGAATCTTTAGGGATTTTGAGGTAAATGATTATATCATCAGCAAACAGTGACCGGTTGACTTCCTGTTTACCGATTTGGATGCCGTTTATTTATTTCTCTTGTCTGATTGCTCTGACTAGGACTTCCAGTGCTGTGTTGAAGATGACTGGTGAGAGTGGGCATCCTTGTCTTGTTGCAGTTCTCAGAGGGAATGCTTTCAACTTTTCCGCACTCAGTATCATGTTGGCTGGGGGTTTGTCATAGATGGCTTTTATTACATTGTGGTATATCACTTGTATGCTGATTTTGCCAACAGTTTTAATCATAAAGGGATCCTGGATTTTGTTGAATGCTTTTTTCTGCATCTATGGAAATGATCATGTGATTTTTGTTATTAATTTTGTTTATGTGATATGTCACATTTATTGACTTGCATATGTTAAACCATCCTTGAATCACTGGTATGAAACCCACTTGTGGATTATCTTTTTGATATGTTGTTGGATTCGGTTAGCTAGTATTTTGTTAAGGATTTCAGCATCTATGTTCATCAGGAATATCAGTCTGTAGTCTTCTTTTTTGGTTATGTCCTTTCCTGGTTTTGGCATTGGGGTGATGCTGGCTTCATAGAATGAATTAGGGAGGCTCCCCTCTTTCTCTATCTTGTGGAATAGTGTCAGTAGGATTGGCACTAATTCTTTTTTTTTTTCAAGAGAATTAAATCGTTTATTGATTACATACGATAATGGATGATACACAAGCTTCATTCCCATCTATAATTTTATCTGGTACCATTATTCAATTTAGATATATTGCATAGGATGTACCAACAATCACTTTTATAACCAATAATTCCATGATTTTGCTTGGATAATCCCTTTTAATGGTGAACTTCAGGTCACAACAGTAACTATCAGTTCAACTACACCAAGGTTTCCGAAGACAATGGCTTCTTCACCCAAGCAGGTTGTATATAAATTCCAAATAGAACCTGGCATCACCCTGAAGGAATTCTAACTTCACACTGTTGGGGAAATTTACCAAGATGGCTTCAGAGTAGACTAACTTTACACAGCACATTAAAAAAAAAGACATTTATTCAGTGTCACGATCAGACTATTACATTTAGCAATCAACAGCATGGGTGCAAAAAAAAATCTACATTAAAACCCTTTGTTGGAATGCTTTACACTTTCCACAGAACAGAAACTAAAATAACCTGTTATACAATTAGTCACAAATACAGTCCTCGAGTTTTTTGCCCATACACATGAGTATTTGTCTAAAACATGTCTTCTTTGTAGCAGCTAGGCCCTGCCACCACTGTGCTTGGCTGAGTTCACAAATCTGTTGTAACCTGTAGCTTCCCTGTTACTTCTCTGGCTCTCCTCTCCTGCTGAGCTTTGTTTCCTAATTAAAATCTTCTGCCACTGCCATAGCTACTGCTGCTGCTGGAACCGCCATAGCCACCTTGGTTTCGTGGTTTTGCAAAGTACTGGCCTCCACCACCATGGGGGCCAGAGCTTCTGCCTCCAAAATTTCCTCCCTTCATGGGTCCAAAATTTGAAGACTGATTGTTGTAATTGCCAAAATCCTTGTAGCTTCCACCACCTCCAAAATTGCTTCCATCATTACCAAATCCATTATAGCCATCCCCATTGCCACCATATCCACCACCACCATGGCTGCCACCAAAGCCACCATGACCACTGAAGTTTCCTCCATGACCAAAGTTGTCGTTCCCACTGAAACCACCTCCACGACCACCACCAAAGTTTCCAGAACCACTTCGACCTCTTTGGCTGGATGAAGCACTAGCCATCTCTTGCTTTGACAGGGCTTTTGTAACTTCACAGTTGTGGCCATTCACAGTATGGTATTTCTGAATGACAATCTTATCCACGGAGTCATGGTCGTCAAAGGTTACAAAGGCAAAGCCCCTTTTCTTGCCACTGCCTCGGTCACTCATGATTTCAATCACTTCAATTTTTCCATACTGTTCAAAATAATCTCTTAGGTGATGTTCTTCAGTGTCTTCTTTAATGCCACCAACAAATATCTTTTTCACAGTTAAGTGGGCACCTGGTCTTTGAGAATCTTCTCTTGAGACGGCTCTCTTTGGTTCCACAACTCTTCCATCCACCTTGTGTGGCCTTGCATTCATAGCTGCATCCAATTCTTCTTTGAATGTCTGGTAGAATTCTGCTGCGAATCCATCTGGTCCTGGACTTTTTTTTGTTGGGAATTTTTAAATTACCATTTCAATCTCAGTACTTGTTATTGGTCTGTTTAGGGTATCTGATTCTTCCTGATTTAAGCTAGGAAAGTTGTATTTTTCCAGGAATTTATCCGTCTCTTCTAGGTTTTCTAGTTTATGCATGTAAATGTTCATAATGACCTTGAATGATCTTTTGTATTTCTGTGCTGTCAGTTGCAATATCTCATTTTGCTTTTTATTGAGGTAATTTGGATTTTCTCTCTTCTTTTCTTGGTTAATCTTGCTAATGGTCTGTCAACTTTATCTTTTCAAAGAACTGGTTTTTGTTACATTTACCTTTTGTATTTTTGTTTGTTTGTCCCAGTTTTATTTAGTTCTGCTCTGATCTTGGTTATTTCCTTTCTTCTGCTGGATTTGGGTTTGGTTTGTTCTTGTTTCTCTAGTTCCTTGAGGTGTGACCTTAGAATGTCAGTTTGAGCTCTTTCAGTCTTTTTGCTGTAGGTGTTTAGGGCTATGAACTTTCCTCTTACCACTGCCTTTGCTGTATCCCACAGGTTTTGATAGGTTGTGTCACTATTGTTCCTGATTAAATGATTTAATATTATCTTTGGGTTGTTCATCTGCAGTTAATTTAATACTCACTTTGTGTTGTTTATATTCAGTTCTTATTCAAACCCCCCATCACCTGTATATCCCTTAGATGATGGTGTTTCTGTGTGGAAAATAGGAATTGCATTATGTAAAGCCTTCTTCTCATCCTATAATATCTTTCTAGGAGGCTTCTAATCCTTTTTTTAATTGTCCTAAGACTAAAATATTTGTGACTAATATGTTCATAAAAATATTGAAATGATAGTAAATTTTATCAGAAAAATAAAATCTCTGAAAATAATCAAATGGAAGATACACTAACTGATACTAAGAACTCAATATATAAGTTTAAATATAAATTATACCCAGCAAAAGCAAAGATAAATAAACTTAAAGAAAGTAGAAGATGTCTTTAGGAAAGCATGAAGAGAAATAAAAAGATAAGATATGGATGTGAGTGTAAGAAATATGTGTGTCATGGTGAAAAGCATTAACATATATGTGATTTGAATCCCAGTAAAAAAGCATGACAGAATAGACAAAGGCAATTTTTGAAGTGATTCTAGTTAACAATTCTCCAAAACTGATGAGAGACATAAAAAGCACCAGTTCAGTAAAGCCTAGGAACCCCAAACACATAGGCATATCTTAATGACACAGCTAAAAATAAAAGAGAAATTATACTAAAAGTGCAAAGACAAAAAAGACTTATAATCTTCAAAAGGTTAACATTCAACCATAGCTGTCTGTTTAACAGTAAGGTTATAAGACAGAAAACAAGACTATGACAACTTTATTGTGCAGAAAGAAAACAACTGCCAGCATTGAATTCTATAGCCAGCAGCATTATTTTTCAAAAATTAAGGTGAAATAAGAATATTTCAGACAAACAAAAATTAGATTTCCTAGCCAGTGGACATGCACCACATAAAATAATAAATGAGCTTTATTAAAAGAAGGAAAATTATCTCAGATAAAAACACAAGAATTGAAGAAAACAAGGAATACAGGAAAAGATAAATAGATGGGTAAATATAAATGAATGGAAGAAAAAAGGACTACAGAGAATGAGAAATAGATGGGTAAATATAAATAAATATGGAACACATAAACCATAATCATATCATCTGTGGAGTTAAAATACATAACAATAATAATATAAGACAGGAGAAGAATAAAATAAAATGATGAAAGACCTTGTGAATTGTTTTATTTATTTATGCTGTGATCTTTATCATTTTCTTTCTAATTTTTATGAGTTTAATTTCTTCTTTTTCTAGTTTGTTAAGGTGAGCTTGCAGGTTATTGACATGAGACCATTTTAATTCTAATATAACCATATAGTGCTATAAATTTCTAACTTGTTTTAGTTGTATCCCAGAGATTTTAATATATTGTGTTTTCATTTAGTTCAAAATACATTATTACTCTTAATTTAATTTTTTTACCTATTGATTATTCAAAAGTCCATTATTTTGTTTCCAAATAATGGAAGTATTCAGACATTCTGCTTTCTGAAGAATACTGTAGACTTGTTTTGCTTATATATATGCATTCAACATATAGAGAGATGGATAATAGATAGATAAATAGATATATGATAGATAAATACATACAAATGATTCTCATTATTTAGAACAGTTATGTTCTATAAAGTTGCCTTAAGCCCTGAATAGGTGAATACTTAACTACTGCTCCTAGAGGAAACACAGTTAAGTTCCTGTGAGTCTCTGGTCATATCTTTGCTAAAGAATCAATATATAACATTATTTTTCTTGTGGTTCTATTTAAAGTCACCTATTTAGTATATATTGGTGATCCATTTACTTTGAACTTATTGCCAACAGTGCTCTAACTCATGCCTACAGCTTACCTAACACACATATTGTCTCCATAAAGCACACCATGGCCCTCTTGTGCTTAGGAACACTAAAAAGCACTTCAACACTACATTTGGAGCATTTTAAATGGCAAAATCACCAAGAAAAGGCACAAAAATGCTACAACTGTGGTACTAAGTAGACTGTGAAAAGAATACTTGTTTATAGTATGAAAACGGAAAGAAGGAAGAGGTGACTCAAAATTTTTACTGCTCTGCACATCCCTATAATCACTGAGAAAGAGCAACTCGTATTAATGTTAGGGTTACAAATAAATTTTAGTAAGTAGAAAAATTTGCAAATATTCAATCTGCAAATAATGTAGGTCTGCTGCATGAATATTGGAAGTATCATTGAACTGAGGCATATGAAACTTTATGGTTGAGACTTGCAGTTGTAGAATTCAGGTTCCCCATGAATTCTGAAACTGCCTATTCTGTCACCAGATACATTGACAGGGCTCTTCCTGGACAGAAGACGTTTTTTGCTTGGATGGCTTTTCTTGGTTTAGCTTATAGGATTCTCTGTGCCTTTCAGTAATTCTCACAGTTTGCTTTCCTCTTCAGGGTTTCTAGACAACCTCTACTTTAATCCTTTTTATTCCTAAACACAGAAATAAAAAATACATTCTTGTTTTGTTCTTTCACAATGGATTTTGATGTCCATTACTCATAAATCATTAGGAAAATAAAAATTAGTATTCTTTTTCAGAAGAAAAGGACACTTTAATCCTTCAACTCTCACAGCAGGGTAATGGCATTACTTATTTTCTATCTTTCAATGCAGCAAAGAAAAATAATAAAAAAGAAAAGAACTAGGTTTCCATATAAAGCACAATGAATATTTATATCTTGAAGCACATTTTCTTTTAGGGAAATTCTAAAAGTCCTTATAAAAAGAATATATATATATATTTAATATATATATATATTCATCCACACATATATACACACATATGTATATACTTTATTTTCAATAAAGATTTTTGGAAAAATAAGGTATAACCTGGAAGACAAGGTTACACTAATAAAATGAGAAAGATGATAAAGTCAGCTTGTAATATATAAAATGGTTAATTTGAATTTGCATTAAATTCTTGGGTAATCTCGAATATATATATATATTTTTTTTTTTTCAGAGGAGGATTGTTTTGGGAGTATCATTTGATCATTTGTAATTCCCAAATTGCTGTTCAAAATGATTTGACTAGAAAACCTCCCTTCAAATCACTCATAGGTAAATAATTGAAACTTTCTAGTTTTCTTAAAATAAAATAGAATGTTTTTACCAATGTTTAAATATCAATAAATGTTATATTCCCAGTTATATATGTTTAATGGAAAAATAACTACAGTTCAAAGAAAATATTAATGCCGTGAATAATTACTTTTTCTTATAACATATGTTTAAAAAATCATTTGATACCACTGGAACACTCTACTTTACTTTTGGACTTGGTCCCTGGAAGCGTTACAATGGGCAGCACTGGCTCAATATATATTCTTTCCTTTTAAGGAAATTGAATGATCTTAAATTTACAATGTATAGGCAAATTCTAGTCTTAGCAGATATTCATTAATCTGTCAACATTTATCTTCATTTATTTGTACATGCAAGAAAATTAAACTGGGTGTCTTATAAACAACAGAAATGTATTTTTTACAGTTATGGAGGCTGAGAAGTAAAGCAAGCAGAGAGGGTGTTAAAATGCAGATTGGAGAGGAATGACTATGTCCTCTTAAAAGCAGCTTTTAGCATGAGCATTAGTATATCACCAAGCGTGAACTACGCATCCTTGAATATTATATAATATTACTCAAGCTCTTTTGAGGAATTTGTAACTAGCATTTTTTTTTTTTTTCTGAGATGGAATCTTGTTCTGTCACCCAGGCTAGAGTGAAGTGGTGCCATCTTGGCTCACTTCAACCTCCACCTCCAGGGTTCAAGCGATTCTTGTGCCTCAGCCTCCCTAGTACCTGGGATTACAGGCACAGACCACCAAGCTCAGCTAATTTTTGTATTTTTAATAGAGATAGGGCTTTGCCATGCTGGCCAGACTGGTCTTAAACTCCTGACCTCAGGGGATCCACCAGCCTCGGCCTCCCAAGGTGCTGGGATTACAGGCATGAGCCACCATGCCTGACCATATTTTTTTAATCTCTTGATATGCAAATATACTCTTGGTAATCCCAATTGTCTTAGTTTTCTCAGGCTGCAATACCAAAATACCATAAACTGCATGGCTTATAAACAACAGAAATGTATTTTTTACAGTTATGGAGGCTGAGAAGTTCTAGATCAAGATGCTGGCAGATTCAGTGTTTGGTGAGGTCCTGCTTCCTGGTTCACAGATGGCACCTTTCAGCTATGTCCTCCCATGGTGGAAGGAGCAAGGTAGCTCTCAGAGTCTCTTCTATAAGGGCGTCACTCTCATTCATGAGGACTCCCTCAGGGCCTATTTACCTGCCAAAGATGCCACTTCTTAATACCATCACATTGGTAATTAGGTTTCAACGAATGAATTTTGGGAGGATACAAACATTCAGTCTATAGCACCAAGGGCTTATTTTTCTTTATATAGCCAATGTTTTGTTGATAATGAAAGCACATAAATACATGTACATGTACATATTAGCAACAATAAATCAGGCATTTCACCAAGAAGTAAAATCCTGCATTTTACATTTTAAAAAACATACGTTGTCTTTATTATTTGTTATAAGAAAGTGTCATTTTACTCTCGCAGTATACAAATAGCAGTAAATGAATGATTCATAAATCAGAAACATTCCAAGAAATGACTGTTGCAGTTCTTCAACAATCAATAGTCAAACATATAGATCTGTCAAATAAAATGCTAAAGCAGAGTTTCAGATTGTGAGACAGTATCCTTAGAAAGCCATTATAATGAAGTAGCTTTTTAAAATTAGTTTTTAAAGAGCTTAGATTATTTAATTAGTTTAATTCTTTTCCTCTACATATAAAAGAAAGCTCTGTTAGATTTGCTTTTATAACTTTTATAATTTACATTTTACAAAAGAAATGCATATTTGCTGCAGAATACTTGAAAATATGCATAAGAAAATGAACTAAAGTCTTCTATAAGTCCATTACCTGAAAAGAGACCCTCTTAGAATCAGAAATATATAATCTCATTCTATAAAAAGAGCAAGAAAGAGAAGAACACATTGTTTATCTACAATTTTCCTTTTTTATAGGCACATATGCTACTGTGTGGCTATAATTTATCTGGAAAATACATTTATTATTGAATAGTTGTTTTTAATGTTTTACTATTATCAGCAGTGCTCCAATGAATATTCCTGTTGCTAACACTTTGACTATATTTGTGATGATTTCCGTATAGACCACAAAGCAAAGCATTTAAAAAAGTTGTTGATATATTTTGATACATATTGCCAATTACATCCATTAATATATATTTCAAAATTGCTTTCTCAGCAAACTACATTGTCAGCAAAAATAAAAAAGACTCTCCTTTTTCACAAACACTTCCCAAAGTTTTATATTAGTATTAAAATTATTTTTAAAGATATTTTAGTAGCATTGATTTAAGTAAACAAGAGGTTAAGCATTTACATGTTTATTCATTATATTTAATATTTCAAATTTTCTAATAGGTCCTTTACACATCATGATCCAGTTTCTACGGGTGTTAATCTAGTCCTTATAGCTTTATGTAAAGTCTTTAATTATAAGTATATTGGTTTTTCATCCATTATACTTTGTGCTGCTTTCTCTAGCCAATAATTTGGCTATTTACTTTTCATATCATGTAAACTATTTCATAATCTAAGAAAAAATATATACATATACACACAAAATTATTTTTTTCTCTCCCTTTTGCTAACTTCTTGCTAAAAAGATTCTCATCTAATTATGCAATTTCCTTTTATGTTTTTAAAAATATTTTCAAGTTCACATCAACATTGCTAATTGAGCTGCAATTTATTTTTGTGTTAGTATTATGTGGAGATTGAAATCTGTATTTTTATTGAATAATCCACCTATTTGTAATAGAAAATGTGGGATTTGTCCAAAATTGTAAATATTCCAAGGTCTATTTTTGAAGTTTTAGTTTTGCTCCATAGATGGATATACCAGGTCACACAGTCCTTTCTCTATCCCCTTTCTTAGCATTGTAGTTTCTTTTATATTTAAACAGGTAAATACTAATAAGAAAGAGTCTTTTAACCTTATTTGACTACTGGGAAAGGGCACAGCTTTGTCAATGAGTGCTTACATTGGAGTAAAGAAAATTAAACATTCAGATATTTAAAATTATCAGAGAATAAGCTTGAAAAGTTAGACTAATTAGCTCTGTGTTTCCACTAAGCCTCATATCACAAACAAATTACTTACTTAAGAAAATTCAAATTGATACCAGGATTTTCCCCACCTTGCTGTTACTCTGCCTCCCACTCTCTTTTTCATTGCTCTCACAAGACTTTCTCATTTGTGGGCCCCAAAGATTAGCTCTGAAAAGCTATATTGCCTCAGTGTCTTCTCTTGTCACTTTTGACACTGACCACTAAGGCAGTGGTGATACACTGCTTTAGTCTTATTCTTTTCATTGCTTTCTCTGTGACAAAAGAAAAGATTATGACCTTCTTGATAAAAGTTTGAACTAGTGTCTGTGTGGGCAAAATACAAAACTAGAGAAAAATCGCTCAACATACTTTCAGGATTTTCCTTTTTCTAAAGGGTTCTGTGCTTAAATACATGAATTGTACTTTCTCATTATGCTCATCATGGTTATTGCATCTGCAGAGATGTGTATATATGACTTTCCAGGATATTTTATCTGGGAAATATGAATAAATAAATCTGATAAAAAAGGAGCTACTGCTTTATAACACTAATGGACTCAATTAAATGAAGTTTTTGTGTTAAATAGCATACATTTTAGTTCTGTTTTCTACCTATGAAATTGTTAGCGCTATAGTCTTAACAGTACTTATCTAGTAACTGCTTACTGCAAAATACACTAGGACAATTAAGTATTACTTAAAAATAACGAATCACCTATTTGATACTTAGTTCTGATGTTCTCTTTTTATTGATCAATTGCCAAAATTAAGAGAGTATTCAGAGTGAAAGAAGCTTGGGGAGTAACAGTTCAAGGGGAGAGCACAGTAGAAAACCACTCCCATGCCAGGTTCAGTGAAGTTCAGTCTGTCTGGCTTTCTTTCCAGGTTGCTACTTCTCCCCTATCTGACACTCTTTTGCACTCCTCCTAATTCTGGTTCTTGAATCCATTTTACCCCGGCTTTAGAAAATCCTTCGTAGCATGTGGGTTGTCTTCTCCAGCTAGTTCTCGGAGTCTGTGTTGCTGCTAGCCAGACCTTTGCATTTGCCAATGACTCAGTTGCCTTTCTAGACTCTAGCTTATTGGTGACTGTTTTCCTCTAATCCTCCTCCCTGTAGTAGTCTTCAGTGTTTATTGTTCCCTTCTTTGTGTCCATGTGTAGTCAGTGTTTAGCTTCCACTTACAAGTGAGGACATGTGGTATTTGGTTTTCCATTCCTGTGTTAATTTGTTTAGGAATATGGTGCTAGCTGCATATATGGTTCTGTAAAGGACATTATTTCACTCCTTTTATGGTACATAGTATTCTTTGGTGTATATGTACCACATTTTCTTTATCCAGTCCACCTCTGATGAGCACCTAGGCTGATTCCATGTCTGCTATTGTGTGAATAGTGCTGCAATGAACATATGAGTGCATGTGTCTTTTGGCATAATGATTTATTTTCCTTTTGGTATATACCCAGTAATGTGATTGTTGAGTCAAATGGTAACTGTTTAAAGTTCTTTGAGAAATCTCCAAACTTCTTTCCACAGTGGCTGAACTAATTTACATTCCCAGCAACAGTGTATAAGCATTCAGTTTTCTCTGTTGACTTGACAGCATCTGTTATTTTTTGATTTTTTAATACTAGCCATTCTGACTAGTGTGAAATGGTATCTCATTGTGGTTTTGTTTTGCATTTCTCTGATGATTAGTGATGGTAAACATTTTTTCATATGTTTGTTGGCTGCATGTATGACTTCTGCATGTATGAGAAATGTCTGTTCATGTCCTTTGCTTATTTTTTATTTTTATTTTTTTTTAAATTTTTTTGCTTGTTGATGTGTTTATGCTCCTTATAGATTCTAGGTATTAGACGTTTGTTAGATGCATAGTTTGCAAACATTTTCTCCTGTTCTGTAGGTTGTCTACTTATTCTATTGAAAATTTCTTTTGCTATGCAGAAATTCTTTAGTTTAATGAAGTCCCACTTGACAATTTTTGTTTTTGTTGCAATTGCTTTTGGGGACTTAGCCATAAATTGTTTGCCGAGGCCAATGTCGAGAAGGGAATGTCCTAGATTTTCTTTTAGAATTTTTACAGTTTGAGGTCTTACATTTAAATCTTTAATTTAGTGGTTTTAGGTGTGTGGTTTTATTTTTGAGTCCTCTCCTCTGTTCCATTGGTCTGTGTGTCTGTTTTTGTACCAGTACATGCTTTTTTGGTTGCTGTAGTTTTATAGTACAGCTTGAGGTTGGGTAGTGTGATGCTTCCGGATTGGTTCTTTTTGCTTAGGATTGCTTTGACTATTTGGGCTCTTTTTCATTCCCTATGAAGTTTAGAAATTTTTTTTCTAATTCTGTGAAAAATGATGTTGGTAGTTTGATAGGAATAGTGTTGAATCTGTAAATTGCTCTGGGCAGTATGGTCATTTTAATAATATTGATTCTTTTAATCCATGAGCAGGGAATGTTTTTCCAACTCTTAGTGTCATCTCTGATTTCTTTCAGCAGTGGTTTGTAGTTCTCCTTGTAGAGATCTTTCATCTCTTTGGTTAGCTGTTTTCCTAGGTATTTCATTTTTTTGTGTGCTATTGTAAACGGTATTGTGATTTTGATTTGACTCTCAGCTTGAATGTTATTGCTGTATAGAAATGCTACTAATTTTTGTACATTGATTTTATATCTTGAAACTTTGCTGAAATTGTTTATGAAAATGCCTCCTTTTCTTTTTCTTGAAAAGATAGAGCCCAACAATCCTTTTCAGAATTATTTTGTACATAATTTAAATTCTTTTGATATTTTTAACTAAGCTAGTTCTAAGAGTATTAGAAATGGAAGAAATATGAACTATTCCCATCACACACAAAACTGAATATATTAGATTTCAAGAGAAAAATTGATGGCTATGCCTAATACTTGGAAATAATATTGAAAAATAAAATAATCTGCAGTTTGTCTGTAAAAAAGGAAGAAACCATGCTCAAGAAAGCTATTTCTGTCATCTAAATTAAATACTATATGTTAAAAATTTTAAAACCTGTAAATTTAATAACATTCACTTTATATCAGAAAAGTTTATAGAATAATGTTTAATTTATTTCTTATTTTTTCTCTAGAACTTTTTTTTCAGTGATTCAGGATACTTCATCTCTATATTCATTTCGTTTATTTCTAATATATCTTTTATCAAAAAGTATAGAATTCATTGTATTGACTTAATGTCATATCTCATTAGTTATACATTTTGATTTTTTTCTCTATTAGAGACCATACTAGCTACATTTCGACTAAATATTTAATCTATTTTTGTATTTTTAATGCAGTCTTTTTTTACCCATAATTTTTTAATTTTATGAAGTTCAAGATTATAATATAGTAATTTTCTTCACCTAAACTGTAAACTATTGTACTTTCATCAACAGAGAACATGAGGTAAAATACATGTCAGTAGTAGTTCCATTGTAAAGAATTTTTTTTTTGCATGCAATAGGTGAATATGTATCTGTATCTACATCTGTACCTGTATCTCTATCTCTCTCTTTCTCCAGATATTTTACCCTGTTTTACTTTTTTTTTTTTACATAACACTTATAACTTTCTAACATATTATGTACTTTACTTATATATATTTTTTTTATTTACTGCTTTTCCTGCTATGAAAATGTCTCTATGTGAGCAGGGATCTTTACATATATAAATTTTTGTATGTCTTTCTATATATACACACCACTCTAATGGCTTCTGGATTTAGTTTTGCAGTTTTTGGGATTCAAGGCAAAATTAAGGAAATTATTTAAACAGTTAAAATTCCCTTTCAACTCAATTTATATTCATTTGGTTATCAAACAATGACAGAAATATTAAGAATTTTGTAACATTAGAACAACTAAGAATGAGAGAGCAGATAGGAGAGAAAACTGTGTGAATTGATAAAAAGACCATTCAAAATCAGCAAAACAAATTAGACTAGGGAAATTACATAGATTAATCAAATTGGAAAAACTTGATTAATGGAAAGCAGAGAAATCAAGATTATCTTGTCTTATAATATGTGTTTAAGAAAAAAGAATGAGTTCGATGGGTATAATGTATTAGGCGTATTCAACATGACTATACCATAATATTCATATTCTCACTATATCCAACATTTATATGTACTAACTTCATTATAAAAATTTTTAAATGGGGCTTAAAGAGCCTTCCTTTTCAAGAAATCACTCTTTATAATAACATATTCTCTAAATTTAAAAGTAATCATATAAAAATGAGATAAAAATAAATAGGTACTTTATATAAAGTGTTTGATATGAAAAAGAAAATTTGCACTGGACAAGTTAAACAGTCAAGGAAGATTGCTCAAGATTGCTGCAATACAGAAGAGAAATTGAACTCAACTCCACTGAATCAGAGGGCAGGAGAGCTTTTAAGTACTGGAATGAGCCAGTGGAAAAGTACTAGATGATATTGGAGAGGAGATTAGTCAATGTGACTATGCCATCTGTATTTGCTAATCTGCATTTATCTATCAAACTTAGACTCTTAAACTCCCACAGAGACTGGGAGATGAGGATGTTATTGTCCTTGATGATTATATATTTCAAAGTGTTGTCTCCCAGTTCCTTGAGAAAGACATTACTGGACTGTAAAATTGTCAAGCAACTAGAAGGAGATTTATATTTTAGAGGGGCAGAGAAAGAAATTACAATAGAAACTTTTCTAAAGCAAATGCTCTAAGAAAAGGGTGGCAAGGGACATATATTTGTGAAAATTTTCTGAAACTTAGTCAAGCTGAGGGGAGCATTTAGTCTGTCCTGGTCAGTTGTATGATACTGTGGCTAGGATCCCAGGTACTTGTCACCACAATTATGTCTGTCTGTCTCTCCTTTTCTCTTTTTTCTTATAGTAGCAAATATTTGCAATTCAGAGAAAACCATTCCTTTGCTGTGGCCCGTTCAACAGCTGAAAACGTGAATATGTAACCTCAGTGCAGGAGTTATATTCAAGGCAGTTTTAATTTTTTCATAGTGTTCAGTGTTACACATGAGAGATACAGCACATGGACATGCCTGGTTAGAATCCTCAAAAACAAAAATCTTAAAGGGTTCCATAATGCCACATATTACCAACATAGGAAACTCCATTATTTATGGTGGAAATTTAAAGTACATATATGTATGTGTGTGTGTATATATGTGTGTGTGTATATATATATATACACACACATAATTATATATACACACATGATTAAAATGTGTATGTATATATATGCACAATTATATATGTGTTAAGTATATATAATTACCTATATGTATAATTTGTTAGACATCAACATTCTTTTTGCTATCTCAAAATAATTTGGAAATGTTAAAATAGCCAACGTAAGGACTATATCCAAAGAATTTGCTTACCTGGTATTCAGAGTTGGATTTTAGAAATAACTTGCCATATGTGGTTCAACTGGACAAAAACAAGCAAATATGTGATATAATAGTACAATATAGTACATGGCCAAGTAAGAAAATGAATTATATCTTTCTATGCAATTGTATATGTATAAATATCTACCTATCTATATAATTACGTGCTATTCATTATAAATATGTATAATTATATATAACATATATTTTCTTTTAAATAGTTACATTACTTAAGGAGGAATGTATAAACATATAATTTCCAAATATTAACATTTTGTTTGCCTTTTGTAAGTAACTTGCAAATATTATATAATCAATGTAGGTATCTACTATGAAAATGAGATTTTAATTAAAAGTTTGCCTACTTATAGAAGGAAACATGCATATTTTATTTCCTACTTTTGCTTTGGTTGTTCAGAAATTCAATTAGTTCAATTTAATGTTTAATCATTACTCTTAGGAGTTGATATATTTGCTTGTTTTGCATCACTGATTCTAAACAGTCAAGGAAAGGCAAGCCACCCTTGGAAGGTCTTAGAGTCTCTGTGTTCATGAAATTTGTCATCAAATTATTGCATCAGTAAAAAGCTTGAGAAACTTTTTTTTCTGTTTTGTTATCTAAACATTTAACAGCCTTGTTACGTATATGACTTGTACTGATTTATCTTATTTTCAGAAGATCAATTTATGTTGTGTATTCTTTCTTCAATAATATATACTTTCCCTTTGAAATGTTCAACTTAATTTAAAAATAATATAATTTAAAAAGTGGAGCATGGTTTAGCTAACGAAATATATTTATTGAACATTATAACGTATAATGTGATGTAGATAAAAATATTAGTGACTGGATTTTTCCCCTGGTGAATCACAGTGGGGAGATAAGTATTTGAAGGAATCATTTCAGTACAGTGTTGTATGTATCAAGTAGTATCCACAGAGATGTAAAAGCTAATGGAACTCTGGAGTCAGACCAACTGAATTTGAATTCTCAGCTTTGGAACTGACTAGTTGTGCAGTCTTTGGCAAGTGAATTAACCTTTCAGTATTTCCATTTCATTAAGCACAAAGGCATAAAGATACGAACAATTTTATATGGTAGCTGTCTGGATTACATGATTAATGCATATAACTTGCTTAACCTAGAGATAGAATTATATTGTTAACTAAATATAATTTATGACTGTGACTGAGAGCCTGGATTGGTGAGGAGGGTTGAGGATGATTTCCTGAAAAGCTGCTTTCAGAGATGATTCTGGCTCTCAGAAGCTGAATAATAATTCTCTGAAAGAAAGGGGTTGTAGAGAAGTCCAGGAATGGAAAGGGACCAGCAGTTGATGAAGACAAATGGATGTGATGTTATAATCTGGAAATGTCTTCAGTTTTCTATGACTGAACTGTGAAGTGTAAGGTTGGGAGTGGAAAGCGGGCACTGAAGAGAGAAGCAAGAAGTTGATCATGAAAAAAACTAGTATTGTTTCTTAAAGAAAGTTTGGCTTTATCTTGTAAGTGATGAATTTAAATTAACATTTTTTTTAAAAAGAAGGTGAATTGGTGAGGTTTAATTCTGCATTGATCTTTTCAGGGCAAGAGTTTGAGAAAGATAAAATGAGAGGCAAATAACAGATTAGGAGGCCATTGAAAATAGCACTTGATAATATAGAATAAGTTGTCCTATAGTCAAAAGTGTTAATTTAAAGAGCTACTATTTTTGAAATAATAATACTCATTTTTCTTACTTATTTTATGGTTTAAAATTTCAGTGAGAAAAAAGTAACCACAGGGGTACTAATTCTCATGAAAATACTATAAATGAGAGAGGGAAACTGACATTGTTAGCTGATAATATTTCTCAGAAGAAAATGGTTGCTTGCATATTACACAAATCATTACAATGATTGCTGTATATTTTTGTAAGAAGTTTATAAACATTCTATGTGATAATTATACACATAGAGGTAAATTTAATAACATGATTTTCCCCATTTTCTACCTGTAATAACAGTAGTAGTAACAGTAGTTGTAGTAGTAGTAGTAGAGGTCTTATTTTACAACTTATTTGGTTAGAAAAATTGGGTTAAATTTTTGAATTAAAATAATAAAATTTAAAAACATCTAGGTTCATGTCTGTCCATTTGAGTAAGCTCTTTCATCAATAATTATTTTCCTTTCTACTCTCTACATCTTCTTATGCACATTGATCGATGTAATATCATTATTGTTTTTACCTTTGAAATGTAAAGATACTGTTATTCAATAGGAAATATTGGTGTGCTTTCTTTCCTGTATAATCAATGATCCTTGTTAAAGTCATAATGCATATGTAAACTGGGAGAGTTAGAATGAGATATACAACAAGTCCAGGTACTTCCATAAGGCCTGCACTAAGTTCACAGCTCTTTTACAAACATCTTCTACTGTAATGTGGAGATAGGTAGAAATATCTTTCTGAGGTAGAAAGAGCAATGTTTTCGTATTTGAGGAAACTGTGACATGGGCTAGTTAAATGACTTGCCCAAGGCGGTGAGACATTGAAGCATGCCTGAAATTTTTCCAGGCTTTTGACTTTGCATATAATGTTTATTTTATTTGTTGTATTTCTGTATATCCTGAGAACAGCATAGGAAACATAATTTGAACTGTAGCTCAGACTCATACATAATTGAATTTAAACACTATTACTGAGAATGATAAAAAGTGGTACTTTGGGCAATTTGATAATTTACTGTGAGTCAAGAGAGTTTGTCGACCCATGCCCTGAGTCAGAGCAAAGCAGGCAGAAAAAACTTCAAAAAACACAATGCCCTGGCATGACATATGCTTAATTTCTTGGGTACACTGTTTAATCTCTTCAATTGTCCCTTAAAGCAATCTATCCAATGAGTTACAGTAACAATTATCTGAAAGTTAAGAAGATTAAATAATGAATATACACAAAAGGCTAAGTATACGGCCTAGAAAATTAAGTTCTTAATACATATTTGGCCTTTTCTATTTATTAATCAACGTATAGCTCGTTGGCTTCTTGACAGATGCCAGAAGTGCTTGGCTTTTGATAGGTTTGTATTTCAATATAAAAATATGGCCTAGGGCCAGAAGGGGGCAGCAGAGTACCAGTCCCCAATCCAGAAACCTGGGAGCTACCTCCTGAAGGATTTACAGTGCAGGTGAGACAAACGCCTAGCCTTTTTGCCCGAGGTCCAGACTGGTTGGGAAAAGGATAGAAGAGCTAAAACGGTCGTAAAGATGCTTACTCAACTACACGTTAAGATATGAGAAAGTAGACATCTAAACTGAAGACTGCAGAGCCAACTAAAAATAAGGTGGTTAAGCCATGTCCTGCTGCAAATTAAGGTCATAAAAAATAGTTGATAAGGGGCAGGAATAAACCTGAAATGGGTAGGATCAGGTTCTCAGTTCTTGGCCACAAGATTCTTGTGGTATTGGAAGACCCTACACTTGCTCCTTAAACAGGGCTCCACCCTCCCTACTGAGGACAGGCTATTGTGTTGTTCAATGTGTCCAAGTCTCTCATGCCAACCTCCCTTGTGCAGTGCTTCAGGTTTGGAGTGGACATTGCACTTACTAAAGCATTATCAATAAAGTTATGTGAGAAGTTGAGACACATTTTGGGGAAGCACGGATTCCCAGGTCAGTTTTTAAGACATTACCCTCCCAATACATTAAGTGCTAGAGATTTTACTCCTGAGGAGGGGACTCTAATGTTATAACTATTTTAATTTACATTGCTTCCTTCTTGTTTTCTCAAAGTAAATTGCCGTTGATTGACATGATGGAGACCTCTAGAGTCTAGAGTAATACATATGATGGGTCGGAATGGGGCAACACTAAGGGTTTTGACTCAAGCAATGATAAGGAAGCCTGAAAGGTATTTGAGAGACAATGGGGAAAGTAGGGGGCTCTAGGAGTTAGGTTTAGAGTGGAATCAGTTTCCCTGACTCCATTAAATCAAAGTGCTTTATGTCTTTCAGCTCTCTTGATTTAGCAAGACCAAACAGGTCATAGAATAAAAATTAGGTAAAAATAGAATGCCAGAACTCAGCCCCTGCCACACCACGGCGCTTACACTCTAGAGCAACATCCTCCTCTGGAAATTGAAGAATCTTAGCTTCAATTCTATTATTTGCTAATTTGACTCTATGAGATCAAAGGATGGGTAATTTTAGTTCTTTTTTTTTAGTGTGACCACATTTAACTACCTCCAGAAATATATAAGCAAAAAAGGTAGACAAACTTTTCTCCTGAGGGTTATATGCTGTGTTCAAACAGAGCTGAGAAAAGGAGGTATCAACAGTTTTGGTACTATTTCTATTACCAAAGTTTTCTATTACCTTAAATTCTTTCCAGTATATGAGATACTGAATTTATTTTCCTTAATAGAAAAACAATTTAGAAAAAATATTTTTCTAGAAAAAAATAGAAAAATATTTTGAATGACTACGTTCTGAAACACCCTCTCAGGTCAAACGCAGTGACTTGTTACTTGAGAGTAACTCTTACCTCAGATTTTTATCTCCAGGAAAAGTGTTCATCGTAGGTCTCAAGCCATTCTACTCCTAAAGTGATGATGACTTGTAACTTGTTCCCATCATATTGCAACCACTTCTAAGGTGCTTCTGCTCTTGGTCTTGTGGGTTGAATTGTGTTCCCTCAAATTTCCTATGTTGAAGTCCTAACTCCCAGCACTTCAGAATGTAGCCTTATTAGGTATGGGGTTGTTTCAGAGATAATTAATTAGGATGAGAGCATTAGAATGAGCCCTAATCCAATATGACTGGTGTTCTTTTAAAATGGGGATACTTGAATACAGAGACAGACACCCACACAGGCAGAATGTCGTATGAAATTTGGAGTTATGCTGTCATAAGCCAAGGAACTACCAGAAGCTAGAGGGAGACCTGAATAGACCTTCCCCAGCACCATCAAAGAAAGAATGGCCATTTGCTGTCAGACTTCAGGCCTCTAGGAGTGTGAGAATATATTTGTGTTATTTAAGCTGCTCAGGTTCTGCGACTTTGCTACAGCAGCCCTAGAAAACGGATTCAAAAGGGAAGACCATATCGCCAATGAACGCTCTATTGGCTGTTAATGTGGTTTAATTCTCATGACAACATTTTCCGCAGGACTATCCCATTTTAAGAAATTGTTCCTTGATCATTGAAATAGCACCAAAAATATAACTTTTCCATTACGTATAATTTAATTACCATTTTTGTCTTCTGATCACTGAGATAGTATTCAGCCCTATCAATGTTCCATTTAAGATTAAGTTCACGTTTTAATAATATATAATTTATAATAATTATAAACAACTTAAAAAATATATAGATCAAAAGGTATGATGTGAAGACTGAATGAAGCAACGTGTCATCACTCTACTGATATAATTATGGCACCGTGTCTTATAAGCATTCATGGGCAGCCAACTTCACTCAACTATTCTGGGAGGCTTGGCCCAATGATACTGTCAAATTGACTGAAAGTTTGTGTAATTGTTTTCTGCACTTACATATTGATTACTTTACAAACCTTTCTTCCATATTTCATTTGATGACTTCTGATTTGCTCATCACCACAGTTATGAGACACGTGAAAAACAGTTGAATATCTTTAAGATATCTTTAAGAATTGTAATTGCAAAAAATAAAAATATGCAAGAAAATAAATTCAAAAAGTCAGTAAAGACAGTTATCTCCAGTTTTAGGAATATATAGGTGTTTATATGGTGAATTCATATATTGAACTGTGAAAGTGTAACTCTTAATTTGTGAAATTTAACATCCCGTCTGAAAAGTATGGACTATGAATACTCTATCAACAAAGTGAATATGAGAAAGGGCTTAGTGCATCTCTCTTGGGTGGAGGAGGAATCACTCTAGGTACATTAAGCATGTCCCCCTGTGGTCCCAACAACTTCTTTTGGCTACATAACCCCAATTTACTGAGATGGCAGTCAGCCAATCTGAGATGATTGAAATGTTTACTTACTGCATAACTCTCTTTCCAATATAAAAAGGTTAGAATTTAAAATAGAAATGACATGAATCAAACCTCATCACACTTCGGTGTTAGGGTTAGGAGTAATACAAGTAATTGGCATTTTAAATGTTGGTAATATTTAAAATAATTTTGCGTATTGGATTATCTGAGATTATATTAAATTAAAATTTAAAATTTAAAGTGCACAGTTCATTTTAGTCTTGTAATTTCCACATGAAAATGTAATTTGACCAACACTAAACTATACTGTGATAATCAAAAGAATTTAAGTAACTATTGTTGTAAGTTCAATCTACTAAATTCTCAAAAGTTATTTGTAAGCACTGAGGAAGGTTTTGCTTAAGTCATGCATTTGAAGAACATTAAAAAAAGTAGAATTATTAAAATTTGACACAGATTTAAATGTAAATTATAATTGGGTTATAAATGAAACTTTTCTGAAGGTGGTTTAGTCTGTTTATTTTGAATTAATCAAACAAGATTATTTTATTAGATTAATAAATTTTTTAAATTATACTTTAAGTTCTAGGGTACATGTGCACAACCTGCAGGTTTGTTACATATGTATACATGGGCCACGTTGGTGTGCTGCACCCATTAACTCGTCATTTACATTAGGTATATCTCCTAATGCTATCCCTTCCCCCTCCCCAGGACAGGCCCCGGTGTGTGATGTTCCCCACTCTGTGTCCAAGTGTTCTCATTGTTCAGTTCCCACCTATAAGTGAGAACATGCGGTGTTTGAGATTAATAAATTAAATAACATTATTTGGACATTGTAATTATAGGAAAAGTGATGTTTCCAAGTTTTTTCTTTAACATTTTGAATATTAATTTTAAACCTAAGAAACGGTAAATATAACTAAGAATAAAACCACCATGAACGTTATGAAATCCATTCTGACACTATGCTATAGCCAAAGTTTTATTATGAAACAAGTATTTGAAACCTAATACTCCAGGCTTTTAGTTCTTACCTTCATAGTAATATCAAATAATGAAAAACCATGACAGATGCTGTTGTCAGGCTCTGTCAGTTTCTTCTGGGGAAAAACTTTTGAATATCAAAGCACACTCAGTTCCAGCACCTTATTTTTAGGAACTGTTACAGAACTTGTTTTTTTGACTCTAAATGTGGGAACTATTGTGGTTTGAAAAGTTGTACGTTAGGGTTTATTGCCCTGTAGCAAGATCTCTATTCTTTATGTTCTCTGAAGTATGGTTTTGAAGGAATATTATACAGCTTTCTGAAGTGACATTGTCAATCTTACAAGGTTATCTTTTTTCCTGGGATAAGAAAGAAATTATTTTACTATTTAGTATATTGTGTGTCAAATAGACACTTGACACTCCTACTCACAGAACAAGAGGTCTGTGGCATCAGCGTAAATTAGGAATTTTACAGAACAGTGAGTTCAGCCATTTTTCTGTTGGCCGTGATTCTTAAACGACTAAAGATGCCACTTAATGGAGTTTGAAAAATAATCTGCTTTGAAATTCTATGGTATAGTCCTACTTCTTGAATTAACTAACTCCACGGCTGAGGGTAAGCTACTTATTGATAACATTTGCTTTCTTTATCTATAATATGCATCAGTTAGACCAAGAATCAACGTGGTTTCTTTGAGCACAACCTTTTATTACTCTTGAAATTCAGAGATGTTTATGTACCTATTTTAACTCACTGTAGTTAGTTTTGAAATTCAAGACATGCATCATATATTTAATATTGGGTTTTCTTGCACACTCTGTTTTGTTTCATTTGCATTTAGTTTTCCAATTCCTACTAACTAATTGTGACTCCACTTGGCTGCCTCTCTGGAAAGAGGAAAACCAATGTAAGGAGCTTTTGTTTTGTCTGTGGAATAGAAAATCCTCTGGGCCAAGATTGGACAGTTGATGCTGGTTCATAGATATGTTTTTCAGCAAATTAATTAATTAGCTTCAACATATCTTCAAAGAAGATAAAATTATAATAATCACAATGCATTTATCCAGGTTACTGAGGGAAATTTCTTTTCTTTGTGTTTTCCTAAGGATTTCACAAATGCTGCTTAGTTGAAAATAAAGAACTACAGCAATGGGGCTTTTACATTCAAGCTCATTATAGTATAGTATGACAAAAAAGCATCTTTTAGTTTTCATTTTATGCTTTTATCTTTCTCAGTGAATTGTGTGTTTCTTTATCTTTGTCTTCAACTTTTCAGTCCAGTGCCTGGTACAAGATACTCCATAACACTGGACAAATGAATGAATTTGTCACCATTTTCTACTTATTATTATAACATAAAAAAGTATCCCAAAACTTATGGTTTAAGCCAACAATCAAGATTTATTATCTTAGATAGTTTTTGTGGGTCATAAATTTGGACTTGGCTTAACTTGGTTGTTCTGGCTCAGATTCTTTGATGAGGTTACAATCAAGATGCCTGGATCTCTCCGTAGGACTATTTATGTGTGCTCATGTCACAGAAGCTGGCTTCTCCTAGAGTAAATGATCCCAGAGAGATCTAGGCATAATTTGTGATATCTTTTATAATCTAACCTTGAAAGTCACATACCAGAATTTCACAGTATAGCATAGGTTAAATAGGTCAATCCTCTTTAATATCGAAGGGCACCACACAAGGACATAAATATCAGGATAAAAGGATTATGAGGGCCATCTTGGAGGCTGGCTTATAAATATTTATAGACACTTTATGTGTTACAAATATTTTCATGTTTATTAAGTCATTTTCTCATCTAACTTAAATCATCTATATTATATATGAGGCAACTGTAGCCCAAAGAAAGGTAGTCAGTTTATTATCATTCTTAGGGGTCAAGAAGTACATTCTTAACAATCTGTGGAAATACACGCTGAGCTGAAGAATGATATTAACAAATATTTAACTTTTTCCAACAGTTTTCCAAGCACCTGGCTGTAAAATCCTATGCATATCCAGATGAAGTACAGAATATAAAGCATCTTTATCAATGTGAGATTTGCTTGGTTAAAGTCTTAGCTCTCAAAGGAATGAAACAAACTCAGTTAACATCAGTAAATCCTCTTAGCTTAAGTGCAAGAAGTCAATCATAGAAAAATCACAAAGCGTAAAGTAACCCATAAAATAACGCTGCCAATCTGATCTCTTAGGAAAAATAAGCAGTGGAAGGTAAAAGATGCTTTCTGAAAGCATGTGCAAACTCTCCTAGCAAAGCAAGAACAAAAAACAAATTACAGTGTATGTTTATGCTAGAATGGCTATTACCTTAAGAAAATTCAAAGCAATTTTCCATGAGAAATCAGGTCATCACATCCAAAGTAAGAACAATCGCTAAACCGATCTCAACCTTACTGATAAATAAAGTAGAGGAGGAGACCATATTCTGAACATTTAATAAAACCACACAATGAAAAGTTATATTTACTATAATCGTCATGAATTTATGAGACTCCCTGTCTGTAAGGCAGAATATGAAGATTTTCTTACCATCATAACCATCATCAACATCACAAGATCATGGCTGTACTTATTATTGATCTTTTTGCATCTTACAACTTTTCAGAATTGCAGAACATCAACACTGTCCTTTTATGAAGTGACCAATTCAGGATTGAAGGAAAGAGGTAAAACCTGACAGAAGTTTCTCAGTGTCTCAGCAGTATGTGCATGTGCATGCACAAACAGAACCTGGACCAGTAAAAGTCCAAATAGTTGTTAGGATTAGCAAAACAAAGTCCATCTTCTTGCCAGAGAGTGTGGGGTAATGAGGTAGGGGAATCAGACACAATGGCACCAAATTTGGTGCTGCCTGTTTCAGTGCTTTTCACTTTTTTATAAGTGTGTAAATCACCTGGGGATCTTGTTAAACTACAGATTCCATTTCACTACTTCTGGGGCAAGGGCTGAGAGTCAGAATTTCCTAGAAGTTCCTAGGTGATATTGACATTGGCTCACACTTTTGAGTAGCAAGAACTTGGTTAACTCTAACTTTGAAGTTTATTGTCTTTTTGAGTTTTTTTTTTTTTTCCCACAAAATAAAGTGGTTGGACTCAATGGTGTACAGAGAACTTCTTCAATCTTAAAATGTTTTGAATTGTGTAACCCCTCAATACCTCTACTAAAGGTATATCAAACTATATATATCATTTGGTGATTTTGTTTGTTTAAATGTACTTAAAAAGATAAGTTGGTCCCATGCCTTTTGATGCCCCAGATAAAATTTGAATCACAGTTAAGGAAATATTTGGAATTTATGATATGTTTTCTTTTCATAATGAAACTACAAACCATAACTTCCTATTAAAGAAACATACTAAGATAATAATTGAATAACTGTACAGCAAATGCTTTGTAAATATATATGGTCTTTGTTTTTTTATTATTTTTTCTTTTTAAATTATACTTAAAGTTCTGGGGTACATGTGCAGAATGTGCAGGTTTGTTACATAGGTATACATGTGCCATGGTGGTTTGCTGCACCCATCAACCCATCATCTACATTAGGTATTTCTCCTAATGCTATCCCTCCCCTAGCCCCCAACCCCCAGACAGGCGCCAGTGTGTGATAGTCCCCTCCTGGTGTTCATGTGTTCTCATTGTTCAACTCCCACTTATGCATGAGAACATGTGGTGTTTGTTTTTCTGTTCTTGTGTTAGTTTGCTGAGAATGATGGTTTCCAGCTTCATCCATGTCCCTGCAAAGGACATGAACTCATTTTTTTTGTGGCTGCATAGTATTTCATGACGTGTATGTGACACATTTTCTTTATCCAGTCTATCATTGATGGGCATTTGGGTTGGTTCCAAGTCTTTGCTGTTGTGAACAGTGCCACAATAAACATATGTGTGCATGTATCTTTATAGAAGAATGATTTTTAATCTTTTGGGTATATACCCAGTAAGGTAATTGCTGGGTCAAATGGTATTTCTGGGTCTAGATCCTTGAAGAATTGCCACACTGTCGTCCACAATGGTTGAACTAATTTACACTCCCACCAACTGTGTAAAAGTGTTCCTTTTTCACCACATCCTCTCCAGCATCTGTTGTTTCCTGACTTTTTAATGATCACCATTCTAACTGGCAAAAGAAACTATCATCAGAGTGAACAGGCAACCTACAGAATGGGAGAAAATTTTTGCAATCTATCCATCTGACAAAGGGCTAATATCCAGAATCTACAAAGAACATAATGAAATTCACAAGAAAAAAAAAACTACCCCATCAAAATTGAGTGAAGGGTATGAACAGACACTTCTCAAAAGGAGACATGCAGCCAACAAACATGAAAAAAAGCTCATCATCACTGATCATTACAGAAATGCAAATCAAAACCACAATGAGATGGTCTTTATTTTTAAGAATGTGTTACTTATGTGTGAATACATATATATAATTTAAAACTACATATATACACAAACTATATATATTTGATATATGTATAAGTATTTTGCTTTTTTACTTTTAAATGTCTTCTTATGAAAAGTTTGCAAACATAAACATGCAAAATGAACCTATATAACAATCGCCTAACTAAATATTCACAAATTTATTAATTTTGCTTTGTTTACTCCTTGTTTACACTGCTAGCTAATTTTTAGAAGGGTTAGATCACTTTAAATAAATGCCAGTTGACATATAATTTATGAATATTATTTTAATTCATGTATTACTACATTATAACCTTTTTTCAAAGACTGCTCATTCAAGACTGCATTTCATTTGTGTGAATAATTCTGTAAACAACATTGATTAAAAGCAGTGATGGGCTGGTAAATGTTTACCAGCTGACTCTGAAACAAAACAAAAACAAAACAAAACCCATTTGTTTGTGACAGTTACCAATTTCTGTGTGTAAATACTCCCATCACTATCAATTTGGCATCACTAAACATCGATTTGAAAAGAGAGGCTAACAACAGTTCCCCTGAGCCAGTACAAGCTGGCTTCAGCACAGCACTGTATCAATCTGCTTATTTAATTACATGGTTTGGACATAGAAATGTATATTTCCCTCTGTAACTCAAATATTAAAGTCCTGGGTCATTCTGAATGTGGAATAAATATCTCCTGTAAATATTTTAATTTATATTAGCAAGTTAACGAAGTGTTTCTATCAAGTGCCTGTGTGGGAGGAGTAGAATATGTTGAGTAATGATTTCTTAATTAAATTAAACAATGCCATATATTTCTACATGACATCTTGTACCAGTGGACACTCAATAAAAATTAGTTCAATGAGAAAAATGATATATTACAAAATATAAATGAAGTTAGAATTATGCAAAAATATATATTATTGCTCACACATAATCAAGGCCAGAGAATTGGATATTTTATTTAAAATAGCATTTTAAAACTATATAGGTGATTTATATTCAAAACTTAAAATGCCTGAGGCTGTTCTGTTTTCCGGCATGTGAGTCATCTAAAATCAGGAGATGGAAATTCAGGGGGTATGATGTTAAATAATGCATGAGTGATATAATCTTATTGTGTATCTCATTAGTAAAATGCTACAGGAAACTAATTTTTTTTAAAGGAAAGCTTTCTTTTCTTAGACACCATTTTTCAGCATCATCACATTTAAAGAGTCAATTTTCAGACAACCTGATGGGAAATCATATGAAGTTATAATGCAGTACAGACAGTTGATATTGTGTAGATCAAAAGGAAAATCATGAATCTCATTTCTGATTCAAGCTTTAGTCTCTTTCCCTCTCTTTATTTCCCTTCTTTTTAATCTTCTGCAACAAACAATTTTAAATCTCTTCCACCTAATAAAATGTAGATTACCACCTCTTGGGTTCAGAGTTATTAAAGGAGTTTTATTAGCTTTTGAACTACGCAGCATTCTGGTAAGGAACTGGTTATATAAATAATCATCTTTTTCTTTATCTCTTGGCTTCCACCTATAATTAATGATCTCCATCACCTTATCTTACACACAACCATTTCTTCATAAACAAATATGTGGTCTGGTGCAGATGCAGCTGAGTGTCCTAAGAAGCCAATATAGCAATCTTACCGCATTTTAAAGCCTGCAATTTCATGCCTAACACTTGGCCTTGTAACCATGGTATCTGCAGTGAGATGCTGGATCCAGAAGCATCAAACAGAAGGATTATTTCTTGGGTATGTTGTACACAGTCAAGAACTCTAAAGAGGACAAATTTTCAGAGCAAGTAAGAAGACTGTGTGTAATAAAAACATGTACGTTATTTAAAAATATTGTTTAGAGAATGTATTTGAAGCTCTTATGAGAAAAATAGTTATTAGCAAGATAGTATACCCTATATGTGATCATTAGTTGTTACAGTTTCTCTTCAAATAAAAATATATTAGCTGAATTTCCTTATGTCTCTATATTCAGAAAAAGAGGTGCCCCAAGGAGTAACTGAATTGTATTTTATCAATTTGTAAATTATGATATGCTTATGCACACATACACGTAAATGCAAACATATAAATGTATTTTTTGAAATAATATTAACCTTTTTCAGATTTCAAAGCATTTGAAAAAAAATTCCAGTATGTTAATTAGACTCTGTTGGATATTTATTTTTATTTTTTGCTGCTTAGCACATATTTCGCCTTTGTAACAGCTTTCCAGTCTACCTTTAGGAATGGTTTCCACTCATTTTGTAGAGGTTTGGTAGGGTAATTAATCTAGGTGCTCTACCTACAATTAACAGAAACCAGAGGGGTCATTACAAACTCCTTCAGCCAAATATCCCATATCAATTGCCTTGTTTTCTCCGAAATTCAACTAGGGCGAACAGTAAGATGATCTAATCTTAAGCAATAAGACTAACTCTCAGGTTATGAATATTATCTCTTACAAGAGATTGAAACATAGACCAAATTTTGTTTGTTCATTCATTTGTATCCTTTCCCAGTTTTCCTGGCTTAAAGCTTGAGACTTAATTTTTACAATAATTAAAAGACCCCTTCAATGAACTTAACTAAACCAGATGCAATCTATTCAGGAGGGAATTTTAACTACTTCCTTGGGGAGCAAAAATGTAATAATAATTTTAAAAGCTGCCTTGTGATTTAAAGTAATGCCCATCAGTTCTTCTTCTTCTTTTTTTTTTTTTTTGCTCTCTTTTGTATTATTCATGGGTGTTATAATAGAAAAGAAAAGATGGAGAATTTCTGTCGTGGATCACAGGTCTCTGTTACTGCCATCTGAAGACAATATCTGTCTGGAGACCATTTATGAAATGAGATACCCAGGAGTTATTCCAGGATGCTTTGAAACTGTATGGGGTCAGAGGCTGGGGCTGTGATAGCTGAGCCTAACCAGGCTTATGTCAATAGGTTGTTGCCTGAAATATTCTATTAGACACCATTCTCTGAATCTTCTGTAAGAACCACGATTCTAAAAAAAAAATCTTCTTTAAGAGTATTTATATTATTAATTACAGAGAAAACTTGTGGTTTTTCTTTGGTTCAGTTTTGTAAAAAAAAATGACTGAAAGTCCTGTATTCTAAGCTCTAAGCTATTATTGACTCAGACCAAGAACAAGGAATATTCTTGTTTCACCTTGGATAAGTGGCTTAACTTGGACCTTAGTTTCCTTACCTGTAATAAAACCCAGGCTAATTATCCATATAACAATATGTTTGGCCCATGAGTTAAAAAGCACTTTGCGTTTTCTAGTTAAAATGAAATATGTGGTATGTAGTAAGATTAAACAATAATATAATGATTATTAATCATTTTTGTAATTTAATTATGCAATATACATGACTAATCATTATAATTTAAAGGGTATAGTAAGCAAGTAGAATAACTATTGTTATAGTTATATATTCCAATAACTATATTGGAAGAATAGCTATATTGCAAGTATAATGGAACATCAGGTATAGGTTAAAAGGTATATATTAAAATTACTCATAAGTGTCCTGGAAATATATTAAATATTACTGAATATGCCTTTAATGCAATTAGTTTCAGAGTTTTATATGTAAAAGGCAGTCATTTCCCTCCTCTTGTAGCAAGCAAGGAAGCTTTCTCTTGTTTTCCCTATCTTCTTTTTCCAGCTGAGTGTATATTTTTGAGTGTTCTGCATGTTTTTATTCAAGTCTTCTAAAAAGGGAACAGGAAGAGATCTGAGGCTTTTGGAAGGACAGACAGGGTCAACTCTCCTGGTAGAATCTTTAATGCTAGTCCTCATTTGAGCAAGCCATTTAAATATAGGCAATTTATATCATGCTAGCATCCACTCTGTAATTGCCTGATTTCTGGATGAGTTTATCTGCATGATGTCAAAAAAGGTTAGAATTTTTTAAAATTTATTTTGGCAAAAGGGAAATAGTTAATAAGAGTTTATGATCCAGCATTCCCTATGGTTCTTGCTGCTTGATACTGGAAGAGACAATTATTAACTTTTTTTCTCTGCCATGGCACATAAGGGAAATGATATCTGCTCACTCATTTACTAATTTATTCATTTAGCAATTATATGGGTTGTGGTCATGCTTTATGTTTATCCAGTGGATGAAATCTACAATTATGAAATCTCCACAGGGCTATCATCAATGCCTTCCCTGGTAGGAAGATAAGTTCCCAGTATTCCAAACTGAATCTTGTGTTATAACTGTTGATCCTGTTTTCAGTCGAGTTCACTAAACAAAAATTATCCTGAACCTAATTTGCTGAATTAATTTTACCTAGAATATTTTTAAGCCTACTCCAGGAAACGAACTGACATTTAAACATCTTTCAATCAGAAAAGATGTTCCAGATTCCAGACAAAGGACTCAGAGTTAAACTTTGTAATGCAACTTAGCTGTAATTTAGGGTCTGGCTCTTCTAAGAAACAGACTACAGAGATCATCATATTATGACAGGAGTAATAAGAATAATGTAAGTTATATTTTCTTGCTTTACTCTCTTGAAATCCCTAACCCACATTAAGAGTAGTGTTTGATGAAAATCACTGAACCAAAAAAAAAAAAAAAAAAGAATTTGAAATGCAAGTGTCATTTGTAATGCCTTTAAGGAATTACTCCTTAATCCCATGCTTGTAAATAACTCCTGGCAACATCATTAAGAATTAAGCGTGTCTCTGGAGAAGGACTTAAGCAATCTGAGGTGACAGCACCATAGCTGGATCTGCTATTATGTATTATGCTGAATCATAGCTAGGAAGTGCATCAGAGCTGAGAATGCTGGGTAAAAACTGCAGACAATGCATCTATCTGGAGGTATTAGCATGGCTCCTTGGAGAGGTGGTCATATGCAGTGAGATGGGGAGGAAGGGAAATAGGAACTGAAAAAGGAGACGAAACAAGAGCAGATGTGGTAAAACAGAGTTGGCTGCACATCAAGAGGCAGTTGCGCAGGGCTACAAAGAATGTATTGATCTCTTAACCTGTTTCTATTCATTTTGCCATCAGGTGGTCTTAAGAGTAAAACTGTATGAAACCATTCTTTTTGTTTGATAGGGACCAGTGTGGTCACAATCACTTTTGACCTCAGGTATATCTAGGGGATTCAAAATTGCACATGCATTCATTAGGCTGGAGGGATACTTCTAAAGATGAATGTATGAGAATTGCTAAATTAGTGCTATAAACTTTACCTGCTACGGAAGCCCAGAGCAAACTGCCATCTAAGCAAGATTAACTTGCAAGCAGTGCTTAAATTGAGGCTTCAAGGAAGGATATTATTTAGGCTGCAGAGGACAATAGGCTATTCTAAAGATATGACACTGAGTAAAGTTCTGAGGTGTAATATGTAGATTGAATTTGGGAGATAATAAGGCCATCATTTTGATATACCAGAATTCCTCTGGACAAGAAACTAGTATTCCTTTTTTGGCTATATTTTGGTAATTTTTAGTTTTCTCAAATTTCTCCTTCCAGTTACAATGGCTTATCCTCTGCAATCTGAAAAGTAGACTTGCAAGTAAATAAATTTTAGTTAATTAATTATTTATTCATTAATCGTTAATTTATTCAACTTGGAATGTGTGAGGGTCAGTTTTATGCTTCAGTTTGACTACGGTTTAATCACTAGTTGTTTATTCAAACACTAATCTTGGTGTTACTGTGAAAGTATTTTGCTGATGTGATAAGAGTATATAATTAGTTTATTGTAAGTAAGATTGTCCAGATAATCTGGGAAGACTTAATCAAGCCACTGAAAGGCCTTAAGAGCATAACTAGCTTCCCAGAAGAAATTCTGTCTCTGGATAGCAGCCTCAGTTTATGCCTGAAGGTTCCAGCCTACCTTTCCTGATGGCTGATTTCAGGCTTTAGATTTACCTAATCTGCTCATAAATCACGTTAACCAATTTCTTGCAATAAATCTTTACATATGTATGGATATATGTATCCCATTGGTTCTGTTTTTCTGGTGGAACCCTGACTGACACAGAATGCCTTAACAAGTAGATTTTTGGGGTGTTTTAAAACGCTTAAATTTTTTAGTTGGAAGATACTATGTGAAAATTAACCAAAAAAGAGCCCGCATTGCCAAGTCAATCCTAAGCCAAAAGAACAAAGCTGGAGGCATCATGCTACCTGACTTCAAACTATACTACAAGGCTACAGTAACCAAAACAGCATAGCACTGGTACCAAAACAGAGATACAGACCAATGGAACAGAACAGAGCCCTCAGAAATAATGCCACATATCTACAACTATCAGATCTTTGACAAACCTGACAAAAACAAGAAATGGGGAAAGGATTCCCTATTTAATAAATGGTGCTGGGAAAACTGGCTAGCCGTATGTAGAAAGCTGAAACTGGATCCCTTCCTTACACCTTATACAAAATTAATTCAAGATGGATTAAAGACTTAAATGTCAGACCTAAAACCATAAAAACCCTAGAAGAAAACCTAGGCATTACCATTCAGGACATAGGCATGGGCAAGGACTTCATGTCTAAAACACCAAAAGCAATGGCAACAAAAGCCAAAATTGACAAATGGGATCTCATTAAACTAAAGAGCTTCTGCACAGCAAAAGAAACTACCATCAGAGTGAACAGGCAACCTACAGAACGGGAGAAAATTTTTGCACTCTACTCATCTGACAAAGGGCTAATATCTAGAATCTACAAAGAACACAAACAAATTTACAAGAAAAAAACAAACAACCCCATCAAAAAGTGGGCGAAGGATATGAACAGACACTTCTCAAAAGAAGACATTTATGCAGCCAAAAGACACATGAAAAAATGCTCATCATCACTGGCCATCAGAGAAATGCAAATCAAAACCACAATGAGATACCATCTCACACCAGTTAGAATGACAATCATTAAAAAGTCAGGAAACAACAGGTGCTGGAGAGGATGTGGAGAAATAGGAACACTTTACACTGTTGGTGGGACTGTAAACTAGTTCAACCATTGTGGAAGTCAGTGTGGTGATTCCTCAGGGATCTAGAACTAGAAATACCATTTGACCCAGCCATCCCATTACTGGGTATATACCCAAAGGATTATAAATCATGCTACTATAAAGACACATGCACACGTATGTTTATTGTGGCACTATTCACAATAGCAAAGACTTGGAACCAACCCAAATGTCCAACAATGATAGACTGGATTGAGAAAATGTGACACATATACACCATGGAATACTATGCAGCCATAAAAAAGGGATGAGTTCATGTCCTTTGTAGGGACATGGATGAAGCTGGAAACCATCATTCTCAGCAAACTATTGCAAGGACAAAAAAACCGAACACCACATGTTCTCACTCATAGGTGGGAATTGAACAATGAGAACACATGGACACAGGAAGGGGAACATCACACACCAGGGCCTGTTGTGGGGTGGGGGGAGGGGGCAGGGACAGCATTAGGAAATTGCCTAATGTTAAATGATGAGTTAATGGGTGCAGCACGTCAACATGGCACATGTATACTTGTGTAACAAACCTGCATGTTGTGCACATGTACCCTAAAACTTAAAGTATAATTAAAAAAAAAAAGAAAATTAAAGTTTTGTTTGTTTGTTTGTTTTTAAAGACTAGATCTACTGAGAGTGCATGGGGTAGATGGCAGGCAGAATGTATTAAATTCCCTCTGTTGACAGCAAATATGCCTGAGATGTTGATTGGTGTTTATTCAAATGAGAGATTTAGGATTTAGTTTTATATAATTTGAGATAGAGGATAGAGTATGAGATTCCCACTGAAAGAAGTAAGGGGCCTGAGAAATCGGAGTCAAAATTGTAGTTAACATCTGTTAGAAAAAAAACTAATGATTGATAATATACTCAGGATACCAAGTCTGAGTGCATTCAAAGTAGGGGGGTTTGCATCTCCATAATGATTAGAGATGTTGAGCATTTTTTCATGTGTCCGTACATCATTCATATGTCTTTTGAGAAATGTCTATTCAGGCCCCTTTCCCATTTCTTAGTCAAATCATTTGTTTTCTTTCTATAGAGTTATTTGAGTTCTTTATATATTTGAATACTAATTTCTTATCAAATGTATGGCCACAAATATTTTCCCCCACCCCATAAGTTTCTGCACTCTGTTAACTGTTTCCTTTGATGTGCAGAAGTTTTTAATTTTGATGTAATCTCATTTATGTTTCTTTGCTTTTGTTGCCTGCACTTTTGAAGTCAAATCTAAAAAAAAAAAATCATTACCCAGGCCAATGTCATATAGTTTCTCCTCTATATTTTCTTCTAGTAGTTTTATAGTTTCAGGCCTTATGTTGAAGTGTTTAATGCATTTTGAGGGTTTTTTTCTATATGGTGTGACATAAGAGTCCAAATTCATTTTTTTTTTGCATATTGACAGTTGTCCCAATACCATTTATTGAAAAGACTATCTTTTTCTCATTATACATTCTTGGCACATTTGTTAGAAGTTAACTGGCTATAGATGTGTGAGTTTGTCTCTGGACTCTCCATTTTGTTCCATTGGTTAATGTGTCCTTTTTTATGCCAGTACCATGCTGTTGTAATTTCTATTGCTTTGTAGTATAGTTTAAAATCAGATAGTGTGATGGCTCCAGTTTTGTTCTTTCTGTTCACGATTGTATTGGCTCTTTGTTTATTTTTTGTGGTTCCATATGACAATAGTCAAGTTATGGAATTAACTTAAATGTTCAACAAGGAATTAATGGATTAAAAATGTGATTTATATACACAGAGGTATACTATTCAGCCCTAAACAATAAATATATTCTGTCATTTGCAATAACATGAATAGAACTGGAGAATATTATGCTAAGTGAAATAAGCCAAACATAAAAAGATGAATACTGCATGTTTTAACTTCTATGTGGAATCTAAAACACTTGAACTCAATGAAGAGTAGAATTGTGCTTACTAAATCCTTGGGGTCAAGGGGAATGAGGAAACAATAGTCAAAGTGTATAAAGCCTCAGTTATATAGGAGAAATAAGTTTGATTTTTTAATATTGATAGCATAGCATGGTGAATATTGCTGGTAATTGAGTGCTGCACATCTTAGTATCACTGAGAGTAAACTTCTCATGTTCTCATCATGAATAATGTTAAGTATTTGAGGTGCTAGATATGTTAATTAGTTTAATCATTCCATGTTGTATTAAAAATCATAACATGATTTTGTACTTCATAATAAATACAACTATCATTTGTCAATATAAAATATAATTTTAAAACAATAATAAAGATAAAAAGAAGCAAAATATCACCGTAACGTAAAAGTCTTGGTGGCAGGTATTTTAGAGCAAGCTGGAGATAAAGTCAGAGCTAGAATAGATCAGAGGTGAAAAAAGCCGCAGTTGGTGTGGTTCCAGGAAGATTCGGATTGGCTTCAAGAGCCAAAGATGAGATACCATAAAAAGTACTAAGGCAGCTTTGGATGCCATAGCAATATATCGTAAATAAAATAACAGATGGCTTAATCAAGCCAGCATGGAGCAGAATGGAAAATAATGACATAGAGGAAGGTAACATTAAAAAGGAAAACATATTTACATTTGCAGGAGAGTTAATGTGAATACAAGGAAATGGAAGTAATATGCCCCTGAAATCACAAAATATTTAACACACGAGACCAAATGTATACAGATATATGCCATTTTATAAATCTTAACAGAGCAACGATCAGCTATGACTCAAATATTCTAATATTTTCTGATTTCAGTAAAATTGTAAACATTTTAACTATTGGACAGTGAGTTTAGACTGCTTTATTTAAATCTAATTTTTCTTTATTTTATTTTCTCTCCCTTTAAAAAAATTTACCAGCGCTCTATTTCCCAGTACTACACTAATTAAGAGTAAGCATGCTAGTATATGGCCTTGATTCAGAGACGGTCTGCTTTTAAAAAAGTAGATCTTATGGCCTGGTGCGGTGGCTCACGCCTATAATCCCAGCACTTTGGGAGGTCGAGGCAGGAGGATCACTTGAGGTCAGGAGTTGGAGACCAGCCTGGCCAACATGGTGACACCCCATGTCTACCAAAAATACAAAAATTACCCGGGTGTAGTGGCGGGCACCTGTAGTCTCAGCTACTTGAGAAACTGAGGCAGGAGAATTGCTCGAACCCAGGAGGCAGAAGTTGCAGTGAGTGGAGATCATACCATTGCACTCCTGCCTGGGTGACAAGAGTGAAACTCCATCTCAAAACAAACAAACAAAAAAACAAACAAACAAACAAAAACAGATCTTCTAAGAATTGAGTCAAGTTTCTTTACTCTCATTTTGACAAATCAAGGCAATCAGATTTCTGGAGCATCACCTCTTGTATGTGACTTCAAGGTTTTGTCCCTCAAACTATCAATAATTTAGCAAAACATCTGGGAAAATGTGACAGACATTATATGTTTGGTGGTAGTCATCTATTTCACACCCTTTAAAAATGAAATAGGCCTAAAATTTAGCAAAAGGAATTGGGATTGGATGGTAGAAGGAATATTACATTTGCAAGGCATTGGTTGATGCTACTAAGGAAGAAGCATTTAAGAAAAGGTTATAAAACTTATTTTTCTGAGTTGGTTTAAGTCAAATTTAGTTTAGAAATGGGGTGTTTAACTCCTCCCCTCTTAAAGTATTTGGCTAACTATTAATACAATGTTTGATATTTGGAGTCAGACAGACTAGCCTTCCAATGCTAGCTCTACTACATAGTAGCAAGGTGATATTGAAAAAATACTTGACTTCTAAACTCCTATTTTCTCACCTGTAAGATGGAAAGGGAGGGTGATAAGAGAGTCTACTTGCTCAGGTTCTTTTAAGTGATAAATGCAATTAAAAGGCTAAATACTGCCACGTTTATTCTTCTGTTATTGTTACTGATGGACTCAACTACACTAGTTTAGCAGGTACATTTTATTTGGTTGACAGTTATCATGAACTAGAGTCTGGAAGAAAGAAGCATGTCTGCTGTTTGCAGTTCAGTATATTAAAATTTAAATATAGTCATGGTGTCACTGTAAAGTGTGTATGGTTCATATTAAAGCAGTTCTTACATCTCTACAAAAGGATATACTGACAACAGGCAAATGATGTCCAGTGTGACACAGGCATAGGAGTACTGCCTTCTACATTGAGAATTTTTACAAAATTACCCTCAACCCCAGTGGACCTTGGAAGCAGTCTTTCTGAGTAGATTATTTGTACAATACTTTACCATCTAGCTATGACTTCCTGAGGCCCTCAAGCTTGGTTTAATGGTATAAGTTTCAGGTCAGCCTGAGTGAGTAGGAGTTACACTTTAGAGCATTGGCAACCTCAGGCAACTGAAGCTATTCAGACGGACTGCATCTAAATGAGTGAATGCCCTTGTTAGGGTTTCAGAGCAGCTGTCACAGAGTCCTTACATTGAAATGAACAAACTTTATATGTTTAAAATGAGAGTATAATTTACCAGGAAGAGCAGCATAAAAACTGTAGCCAGAAAAGGATAAGAAAACATTTCTTTTGGCCTCAATAATATTATATCAATCATAGTGCATATTAAAAATAAATGCTATAAACCAAAGAGTGGATATCAGGAATAGTCACTACAGCGATGAAACGGCATATCTAAAATCCTTTCTCAGAAAATCCCCTTGCTTTAATAATCTGATGAGCAAGACATAAAACCTTATTTGTTATCAACATTAAAAAAGCATTTGCAATATACCAAACTGCATTAAATATGTTCATTTAAAATAATTAAGCTAAAGTATATCATAATTACTAATGAGCACCATATGAAAATAATAAAGAAATGGAGAGACCAATGGAGCAAAATTGAAATTTGAGGCATAAATATAAGTACTATGTATGCTTCATACCAGGCATTATTTAGTATATGCTAGATCTGGCATTTCAAATTAATGAAAAAATGTGATTAATGGATTGGAAAGGGTATTGAAAATTGTATTTGCTTAGAAATAAATGGAAAATTTTCTCATGATGTATCAAAATAAATTCCACATAGGTTACAGTTAATTTTTAATGGTGCCATAACAATAGAAAAAAAGTGAATATTTGTTTGATTTTTGTTATGCAAAATTCTTTCAAATGATGGATAATAGTTTTAGAATTTTTTTTCCTTTTCCACATTTAATTCTTTTCTATCAAACATACTAAACAGATAGCTGGCTCTCTAGTATTCTGGGAAGGACTGTGGCACAGCAAAACATTAAAATCATTCACATCTATTGTGGAGTTTTTCTTTCTCTGTGGCCAATGCCCAGCTGGGAACATATTGATAGATAGTTTAAGGAGGAGGGAACTTTCACTCTGCTACTTTCATTTGCTTCTTTCCCTCTGAATACAGCCTGGGAACTGTGGCACAACTCTGGAGAGCAGGCAAAGCTCTACAAGTAGAGTTTTCAGGCCAGTTAAGCAACTGAAAGAAAGGCAGCACAAAGGAAAAAAAATGCAGTATTTCCCTGTCTAAATATGGGGAAAACATTCTCTAGGTCACTAAATATTTTCTTAATTACTGAATACTATTTTATATTATATACTACATTTTATTTAATCATATACTACATTTTATTTAATCATTTACCTATTTTTGAAAATTTAGTTGTCTTCAATTTGTATTATAATAAATGCTACTTTAAGAAATGATTACTTATTTTCAAACATAGTCTCAATTATTTGCTTAAAATGAATTCCTACTTTTGCCAATCCAGAGTCAAAAGATATACATATTTTTAAGTCTCTTGATATATATGGGCATATTGCTTTATGGACAAGTTTTGCCAGTTTTGAAGCTGACACAAAATATGTGAGATGGCTACCTCATGATACCCCTGTCACCATTATCTTTTTTCTCCATTTTCTTCCAATTTAATGGGAAAAAGCTTATATTCTCATTATAGTTTGTATTTTTACTACCAGAAGTGATGCATCTTTTAAAAACATGCTTTTCTATTTGCATTGATTTTTATTTGGAAAGAAGTGTTCATTTTTTATGTGTTTAAATGCTTTTAATATTTTGTAAGAACTTTACATACATTAAAATATCACTTTGTCTATCACATTTGTTCCAAAAATATTCTGCATTAGCCTTCTACTTTTAGTTTTATTGTAATTTTTAAAATGAACATTAATTTTACATTTTGATGTAACCCATGCTATTTTTAATTTCCTTTGCATTTTTTAAATTAATATGATTTAATTCCATTTTAATTTGTTTAAAAAGTTGCATATATTTTATTCTATATCTTTTATGTCCTCTGATTTTACTATCAATTCTAATTGATATGGAACTTACATTGATAGGTTACAGTCTAAAATAATTTTCCCTATTTATTTATTCAATATTTCTATGCTGACATCTATTATCAGCTAGTCATGTGCTGTTTTCTGGGTCTAAAATGGTATAAGAGACTATGCTCTCAAACATTTTATTCCTTTAAGCATGTTCCCAAGAAATGAAGAAGAAATTATACTATGGTAATATAAATGCTATGATGGTACTGAAGATACTGTGCTGTGGGGAGTACACGCCTATGGGAAGTAAAGGGGGTTTCTTCTAGAATCCCAAGAGGTGTTGTCTAGGCTGAAACAAATAATATTTATGGAGCTTGTTTACCAAAAAATGACAGGAAGGAAATTCTATGAGAGGAGCAAAGTACACAGGAATGCCTGTAGTTGCTCATAAAAGAAGTCTGAAGGTGTATGAGAGCGTGGCCCATTTCAGGAGACTGAAATAGGTCAGTCTGGGTGATGCAAAGAATATGAAGAAAGTCACAGAATAAAAGCCAAGAATGGTAATCAAAAGGCAGATTGTGGAGAATTTCTTGAGAGCCTTAAGGAGATATGATTCATTTACCAATGGCAAAAAAACATTAAAGAATGTTGTAGGGATGAAGCATCTGAGATTGTTCATCAGCCTAAGTTTCTGAGGAGTGAAGCTGGACTAGAGAATCACACCCCACCTGTGACTTGTGACACCCATATTGGATTGCGCTGTGAGTGAAATACAAACGCTATTTCTGTTCAGCTACTAAAACATGAGGGTAATTACTAGAAAGCAAGCAGTTTGCTAGCCACACATAGTGAATAAAGAGTATTTCCATTGTTAAACTGCAAATCATTCATTCATTTTTCAAAATAGAATGACTGATTTTTAAATAAAAATCTAAGTGGTAAGCCTTACTGTGATTGCAATAAATAAGATAGTATCTGAATTCTAGATATATAAACAGATTTGAGGGGATTTTACAGTGATGGGTGGAGGAAATGTTAAAAAGGAAAAGAAAGTTAAACTGTAAAATAACTTTATTTAAAAAATTGGTATCTGGAACTGAAGTTTGGGAGTTTTCTCTCTTTTTGGATAATCTTCCCTTATGTTCAGTACCTAGTTTCAAACATGAATAAAATCACTTTAATGGTTAAGTAGTAAAATGAGTGTGGTGAAATAGTGAAATGAGTGAAAGTTTGCTTTCAAAATGATCAAATATATTATATATAAAATATATATAACATATACAATATACAATATAATATATAGTGAAGAAATATTTCAACTCTGCCTACCAAAGAACAAAAATTAAGTGTGTTATAAAATTGTATGCTTATATACAAAAATGGCTGTTTTTAAATTAAAGTTACCTGCACTGCTCAGGAGTAATAGTTACTGAGAATGTTGATATAGTTTAGTAGAATTGCAGTACTTTAAGAACAAAGATATTTTTGACTGTTTTTCCTCTTCTCTCTAATTTTCTTCTGTTTATCTCTAAAGCTCTTACAAGAATTGAAATAAACCGTAAAACAATAAAAGACCCACTTTTAATATAACATTGCTATGATATTATACAAATAGTGCTTCACTTATTAATAATCAATAATCTAAATGCCTAGTTTCAAATTTTAAAAGATGTACCTGAAACCATAATTTGAAAACCCAAATTCTTACTTTTCTTTGGGTTTCTTAGTGTTTTGTTTTGTTGGTTCTATCACCTAATAAATATAGTTATGAAAAATTAAGTGTTCAGGACTAAACTCTATTATCACAGTGTCCTTAATTAAACGAAATGGTAATGGGTGTCAATAGATTGTTTTATTTTTAGAAGGTGCTCATACTATCGATTGAAATGGTGGTTGAATGAAGAGTTTCCCTTTTTAGTGTCTACTAATAAGCAGTGTAAACAGAGAAGTCCACTGAGGTTCACAGATTGGGGAATAGGGTTGAAGTTTATGCCATTATCTGCAGAAACAAACTCTATAGGCAGAAGCAATCAGCATAGATTAATTTAGCCTATGGAGTTGAGTTTCTGTTAAAATACTGCTCTACATTTCACCTCCATTTATAATTGCCCTACAGGTTATTATTTATTATTGAGCATGATTACAAATTCTTAAGGAGAGTAGTGTAATTTATTTGAAATAATGCTCTACTATTGGGTGTGCTGTGTATTCAAATTCTTGAAATTACTATTCTGACTTAACAGGGTAACAAGATATTATTCAAGACTCACTTCTTCTGGTTTTAACATCAATATATTCATTTATTTTTGTTAACACATTACCCTTATTTATAGTCAACAAGAAAAATAGTTTTAAATTAAGTAAACTCTATGAATTAATATCTGAATAATTTGTACATCTGTTGTAAAAATAACTAAGCAAAGTGATTAGCTGGATATAATATGTAAAAAGCCATGAACTATTTTGGGCTATTAAGTCTTGCAGAAGTTTTCATCTGAATAAGATTTCTATAGTTGTTACAGAATGGGAATCAACATTATATAAAATTTCTGCATCATATAGCTATTACAAGAATAATGTCCTGATTTTTTATATTGTAAAATGAAGTTTGCATAATGTATTATACATTATTACTATCAGAAACAGACCCTGTGTTACCTAACAAAAAATTCGTTTAAAAAGTAAGGAAAGTATAGAATAAATAATCAGTAGAATTGAAGTGAATGCCTGTGGTATAACTTACATTAAACTAGGAAATATGCAGTATAAAATTTAGGTACTATGCATTGTTCCTTATAGTTGGAAAGACCAAGGTAATGCATGAAAAGTAACTAGCTTAAGAAGACAAAGTAATAAATCACATAGTGACTGAATACAGTGGAAGTTCATAGAAAGGTAAGGTAAGTACAGTCTTTATTATTCAGAATATTTTATTAATCAGTTTTAACTTAATTTGGGGTGACAACACAGCACAATTATTGTTTGGATTATTAAAGAAAATGGTCCATGCTCACTTGTAAAAGATAAAGAACATGTGCATTTTAGTCGATTGTAGCTTTGTCTGTTAATAGAATCAAAGGATGGATGAAACATGTTTTTCAGTGAGAAAAAAGTAGACTAAAGCAGGCAAGATTAGAGAAGACTTTAAAAAGTATGGAACAAATATATAAAAATCCATATGTATATATGTATGTATCCCTTTCTCTTTTTCTTACTCATTTCATAAGATTCTGAACTCCTGGGTTAATGGTGGAAAATCCTTTGTGAATGTTGACTTTGATTTATTTTTCCTCCAAAGACGTAGCCCTTTCCATCCTAAACCAGTTTTTCTTAATCACTTAAATAATGTATTCAGGAATGAATGATTTGTCTTTGGGCTTAAATTAACTGGTTGATTGATAGCATGGAAAGAAAGCTACCATTATTTAAATATTATATTTTACATATGAGACCGGGCACATCACATGTTTTATAATATAAATCTTCATGGCAATGCTTAGCCATTAGGCATTTTTATAATTTAACATTAGGAATTATGAACATTTTAGAAATAAGTGATCAAGCAAATCCAGTCGCCTTTAATGCCAAAGTCTATGGTTTTTAATTTTTTTTTATAATCAAGCTGCCATGTAAAGTTGTCAGTTGTTGGATCTGTTACGTATATTCAACTTTGCCCTACTCTCTTATTTCCCATAGCTCAAACCGGCATATTGGTACTAGGTGTCCTTATGCCTTAACTGCCAGTTGATGGAATCAAAGATAGGGTCCAGATCCAGGCTGAATCAAATAGTTTCTCTTACTATAGAAATTTGAACCAAGATACACAGAGACCAATTGAGCTGATATTGATCTTTGGAGCTATAAATGATGAAAAGGTGAGGCCAAAATCACTGGAAAAGCCATGGCATGTTGCAAATGAAAATTATGTGGAAGCATAAAATATAAGCCATACAGAGAAAGCAATTCCCCAGGGAGGAAAATGAAACCGATATGGACTGAGAAACAGAGGCATGTTAAGAGTCTGTGTCTTTGTATGATTAAAATATCTTTATTAGATCCTCTGCTTGAATAGGTACAATACTCTAGGTTCAAAATTCCATTTTCATTGCAAGTTGTGAATTTTACATTATTTTACAGAATCTCATGGTGCAGATGAAAAGCTGCATCCTAGGTTGGTTTTTATCTCTTTGTATGCAACCTGATTTTTCTTAGTGGAAGCTTAAAACTTTTCTTGTTGTTTTTATTTGTTTGCTGTTGTTGCTGAGGGCAAATATCTCAACAAGCAACTCTGATTCAGGTAAGCAAAATGACGCATTTATTTAGTTCTGTTTAACAAAACTATGATCTAATAATTTTCAGGGTGAATAGAAATATAATGAGCTTATAAATAAATAAAAAATTGACTATATGTCAAAAAATTGATCTTCTTCATGAAAGGATATTAATAGTAAAATAACTAAATCGAAGTTTTCACTTGCTGATTTTTTTCTGTGTATCAGAGAGGATAATAATATTATTTATAATGAGTGAAGAGTGAGTAATAATTGCAAAGTCCTATATTCTTTACCTTTGCAATCGATAAGGAGAACAATGGGAGGAAAAGAGGCATAACTACTTCAAACATACTTTAAGAATATCTTAAAATACTATTACAATAATATGGGTATTAGATTTGGGACCAATTCTCATGGAAGCAAAGAGAAATTTATGGGATTCATTACCACATGGTTACTTAGGAGGAGTCTGAAGACAGAGACACCTACCAGAGTTTCTAAAGCCCATGCGAGATGAGAATATCCCATTAGAGAAATAAGTGATAATTATACATAAGGGGTGTCTAATTGAATTCCCTTCTAAGAAGGCTTCTGTCAGAAAGAAAAAGCGAGGGAACAATCCTTAGGATCAAATTCAAGTGATAAATAGGTGGAATGAGATTTGCTAGAAACTTTTTCTTAAAGACTATATGAATTTGATTTCTTTACAGATTCGTGTTAGTGACTATTTTTTTCTTTAAAAAATGTTAATAGCCAAAATTTACTGTGACTTCCACAGCCATTTATTCTTCCTTCTGTGTAGAACCTGACCTCAGCCTCTTGCTAATATCATCTTCTTTAAATAAAGGGTTCAATCCTTCCTGTTTATAATCTGGGTAAATGGTGATGTATACTGACCACCAAAGGGCTTAGCTGCTAATTGTGAGAGCAGAAGGATTGGAGTCTAGACCATATCAAGAATGGTAGTCAAGTGAACTTGACTGGATAACTTGTGCCTTTAGAAAGCTAGAGGGCACTGCATGTTCAGTGGCATTGGGATAACCATCCTCAGGTATGAAATAACATATTTTTATAGGTTATTAAGACAGATTTCAGTGCCTACAAAAATTCACATTTTGTAAATGGGATGGTAGTTGGTCAATTTCAATCCAATATTCACCAAAGTATAAAATGAAAATTTAAAAATGTCAGCAATCAAAACCAGCTTCCACATATAATGAAACCACCTTGTTCTCAGATTGAAGTGGTAAAATAACAACATATTAAGTGGTGAAATAAATTAAATCTTATCCTTGTTTGTGACACATTATTTATCAATGCAAATCATCTAAGATAATATTTTCATTCAAATTAACATGGTGATCAATAGAATGACAGATGTTACAACAGAATTTCACCATATATACTCAGTAATTTATAGATTGAAAAATCATTTGCTGAACTTCTGAGTGTTAACTTTTATGCAACCAGTTTACCTTTCATTTTGACTATGGGCTGGTTTTGCTTAGGCAGACAGCATACAATCAAGATGTTTTATTGGATTAAATATAAATAAGCAAGGGCTAAGGCCTTCTTTTCATAGTAGGTAAAAAAATAGTTTATTCAGTGAGTCTACCTGTGAAAAGTATAAGTCCATCATTTATATTTATGATCCAGCAGGAACACAAAATCTAAAGGCCTTCATCAATAAACTGACAAATGGTAAAGAAATGAACACAGCAACTTTGACAACAATGGTGACACTGCATTTTTAGTGTTCAAAGAGAATCCTAGTGTCATGATTTGAAAAGTGAGAAGGAAGCAAAACCAAAGAAGAAGCCAAAAATTTAGCTGCTTTGTCTATGGGAACTGAGTTGATTTTGTCTTTAATTTTACTTTCTTTTACTTGACCTATCTCTCAGTTAGAGATAAAACAATTCATTTGCCATCCTTCTAGAATTATTGATTACTAAATTTAATTTTAATTTGTGGACTAGCTTTATTTTAAATCTCTATTTCAAGATAAAGGCTCTGAGTCTATATATGAATAGCATTTCTAGCATAAAAATTGAGCAGCAAAAGCTTGATCCAGCTCTCTACTCCTATCTAGCCCTGATTCCATGTTTCTAAAGCTTTTCCGGTCTTTGCAATCAGGTCATGTCTTTGATACTCATATCAAGTATAACACAATAAGCTTATAACAAAACAAGTGTTACTTATATGAAAGGTATAACACCTCTGTCAAGTCCCTTATCTTTTCAATAAACTATAGAATTTATTGCCTGTGTTTTTTTTCTTTAAGAGAAAACTCGACCTTGTTACATACCATACATTGTTGACACTTAAGTTGTAACAAAAGGGTTTCTTTTCTTTTTCATAATCTCTTTCTTTAAAGAATTAAATCTTGTGTAAGAAATCTTCTCACTAAGGGCATCTAATTCTTTATTTTTATTTTAAGTTCTGGGGTACTTGTGCAGGATGTGCATGTTTGTTACATAGGTAAATCTGTGCCATGGTGGTTTGCTGCATCTATCAACCCGTCACACAGATATTAAGCCCAGCATGCATTAGCTATTTTTCCTGATGCTCTCCCTCCTGCTGTCCCCTCAACAAGTGCCAGTGTGCGTTGCTCCCCTCCCTGTGTCCACGTGTTCTCATTGTTCTGCTCCCTCTTACAAGTGAGAGCATGCGGAGTTTGGTTTCCTGTTCCTGTGTTAGTTTGCTGAGGATGATGGCTTCCAGCTACAACCATGTCCCTGCAAAGGACATGATTCTATTCTTTTTTTTTTTTTTTTTGGCTGCATAGCATTCCATAGTGTATACGTACCACGTTTTCTTTATCCAGTCTATCATTGATAAGCATTTGGGTTGATTCCAAGTCTTCGCTATTGTGAATGGTGCTGCAATGAGCATATGCAAGCATGCATTTTTATAACAGAATGATTTAATTCCTTTGGGTATATACCCAGTAATGAGATTCCTGGGTCAAATGGTATTTCTGGTTCTAGATATTTGAGGAATCGCCAAACTGTGTTCCACAATGGTTGAACTAATTTACATTCCCACCTACAGTGTAAAAGCGCTCCTATTTCTCTGCAACCTTGCCAGCATCTGTTGGTTATTGACTTTTTAATAATCACTATTCTGACTGGCGTGAGATGGTATCTCATTGTAGTTTTGATTTGCATTTCCCTAATGATCACTGATGTTGAGCTTTTTTTCATATATTTGTTGGCTGCATAGATGTCCTTTTTTGAGATGTGTCTGTTCATGTCCTTTGTAAGGGCACCTAATTCTTAATCTTTTTGTGCTATTTTTTGTTATTTTCAGCAAACATATTTTCAAAGCTGTATCCAAAGTTAAATTCATGTAGAAAGCCTTTAACTTTATACAGCCATGGTATAATTTTGTGTGTTCTCTGTACAACTGAAAAGAGAAACAAAATTATAGACTAAAGAAATATAAAATTTGTTTTATTTCAAGAGTAAAACAACTAAAACACATTGAGCTCTTATTATGGACCGAAAACTCCTCTAAATATTTTACAGACATTGCTATTCAAATCGACACAGATGAAACAAAAGCTTATAGAAGAGAAGTGACTTGCCCCAGGTCATCCCGCACTTAGGTGACAGTCAAGAATTGAATAGCTATCTACTCACAGACCTAGAAACCTCAAGGACTATACTACACTGTTTTCAAGTATTGCTTTAAATACTCACTTTCTAGGACAAAAGCTAGATAAATGAAAGATTTAAAAAATCAAAAATACAAATTTATTTTTATAAATAAAATGTACTTTTAAAGTGTTTAAAATTCAAAGGAATTTTAACAGCATATAAGTAAACTTGTACCATTCTGTTCTACTCAGCCATTTTATCAAAGTTCTGAAAAAAGTAACGAAGATTTTTGTTTGGCTAAACTTTAGTTAGGAATCTGACCCTACTCCAAGGCTCATCTGTGTACCTGCTTGTAAAATCCAGTTTTAGTAAAGAACCTTTTAAGTCAGTTTAGCTAGAACCCCCATCCTTGATATCTGATCATCTTTGATTAGTCTGATCAGTTTCCTCATCCTCCATTATCCCCCAGGTGATGTATGAGAACACTGGGCTATCTTCAGCAAGAACACTCTAAGGTTTGGTTTAGCCAAAATCCTCCTTACCCTTGACGTTTCCTCTTAGCAATTTTCCACTGACCCCCACACTGCTCCTTGGCTGTAAATTCTCACTTGACCACATGGTATTCAGAGTTGAAACCAATTTCTCTCCCCTACTGCAAGACTTCATTGCAGTGGTCTGTATATATTTAATGTGAATATAGTCTTGAAAACGGTACTTTAAGTGAAACAATGTACAGCAGGTTCTTGAACAACATCGTGTTGTTCAACGTCATTTTGTTCAATATCGTTTCATTATAACATTGATAAAAAAAGTTTTGTCATACACCATTTCTCTTAAATTCGCAATTTCCAAGAACCTATAGATGACGTTAAGTGAGGACTTACTGTATATTATTATAGGGAATTACACTTTACTGCACTTTCAGACTGAAAACTAATTGTAACCAGACAGCTATTGTTGGTTATTTAGAATTGCTCCTTTTAAAAGCACTTCCATACAAGTTATAAATAGTAAGCCAGTAACCTTCACTATTGCAAGGGCCTAAAGAAATAAGTTGTTAAATATGCATTAAAATTTTATTATTATCAAAAGCCCTGGAATATATATGTCCAATGCTGAACTGCATAAAAAGCATTGAAAAAACATGTACTTGCTCTAAAAAAAAAAGCCACTTTAAGCACCATCTATTCCCATCCTGGTAAAAGGCATTCAGCAAATGGCAAAATGCTCTTCAATTTTTATTCAGTGAAAACTTGCTCTACAGTGTTACCTTCTGAATTCAGTATCTTTTTCTGAATGATAGCTTTCCACTGTCACCCAAGTACAAAAAGCCAGCGGTAATTGTCATAGTGTGTGATTCATTATCCATAGTATCATCATGTATAGATTTAATTAATTCTGGAAAGGTTCCCTTCCACAGCTGCCCGTGGCTCAGAATTTTCAGGTTGCAATCTTGGTATCCAGACTATAATAGTGTCTCTTGCTGTGTTAAGAAGCTATTCAGTATGTGTAGTTGTTGGGCTTGACCTTTTCGTCGTCTAGTGCAGATTAACAGAAGGTAGAGTGGCTGAGAATCTCACTGATGAAATTTTCGTGCTTGATTCTTCGTTCTGAATATGGTGGTAATAATAGTTCTTGGCTTAAGCACAATCCATTTTAAAAGTTCTGTAATTGCTAAATTATAATAATCATAATGATGTGAGATGTCTGCAAGAGAAGAGATCAGAAAATACACTTTTCTGTCTTAAAAGGATTTTTATTTCTTCCATTTCAAAGCATGCCTGCTTGCAGCAATATACAGCCAGTATTTCAATTCTGAAATCTTTCAGAGGCTATCACTGCAATGACTTACTTAGAAATAAAGAAGAACTTCCCATTCCATCACCTCCTGCAATATGAGAGTGTGTGTACCAATCTTTTGGATCTACTGGCAATCAGTAGCAGGATAGTAGCAAATTATTTGATTTGGTTAAGCAATGACTTAAAAAGTAGATGGGAAAAAAGTATATTCCATCTATTTAAAAAAACTATGAATAATTATGTACATTTATACAACTTTACACTCAACTTGGAGATCATCTTCCTTCATGCAAAAATGACACTTTTATGGATTAATCATATTAAAGTTTGTGTATGATCTAATTTACTAAATATGACTTTTAACCCAGCACACTTGCCCACTTTTTTTTTTTACCTAGTGTAAGCAGAACTAGAGTGTAAATGTTTCGTCATCATAATCCTTTGTAGCATCTTGGAACAATTACTCAAATATTTAATTCATATTTTAGGTTTATAGCTTTGAAAATATTTTAAATATTAAAAAATGACAGTTTTCAAGAAGTAATTCCTAAGTGGAAAGATAATTTCACCTAGCAGCAACCTAAGCTTAAAGAGGATTAAAGTCTAAATACAATAATAATGTAATAATAATGTGGGCTGAAAAAGAGTGATGTCCTGTCAGATACATGTTAGTGGCTCCCATCAATATTATGAGATGATTGGCCGGGCGCGGTGGCTCACGGCTGTAATACCAGCACTTTGGGAGGCCGAGACGGGCGGATCATGAGGTCAGGAGATCGAGACCATCCTGGATAACACGGTGAAACCCCGTCTCTACTAAAAATACAAAAAAATTAGCCGGCGTTCTGGCGGGCGCCTGTAGTCCCAGCCACTCGGGAGGCTGAGGCAGGAGAATGGCCTGAACCCAGGAGGCGGAGCTTACAGTGAGCCCAGATGGCGCCACTGCACTCCAGCCTGGGCGACAGAGCAAGACTCTGTCTCAAACAAACAAACAAACATATATATAAAATGAGATGATTAAATGAGCATATTTGTGCAACCTGGTAAATATTGATAAGCAAGCATAACTCCAAAATATAAAGCAATAGATATATTTATGCATATATTATAATAGTCATACATGCAACAAGTCTTACTGAAAAAAATCACACATTTTGAAGCTTAAGTAGATTTTAGAGATTATTTTACTCTCCTACGTTTTCTTAATGACTAAACTGACGTTCACAGTTGTTAGGACTGTTGCCAATGGTCACAAATCTAGATCACAACAGAACAAAGAATGTCACCCTCACCCATTCTTCAATTTCTCATTTGTTTTCTGGCCAGAAAGACCTAGTTTTAATCCCTATGTCTACCATCCAATATTTTTGGGACCTTGGACAATTTACCTAAGCCATATAGGACCAAGGTTTCCTTACTTTAAAGGATGAAAAAATAGTAGAAGAGTTAATAGATGTTTTCAAATTCATGGTCATATTGTATATAATCAAAATTAGTAGATATTACTATTGAATGTTATTTTTATGACTTTGGTTAGGTGGAGTTAACTATCCTAAGCCCTAGTTTTTATATTTATGATTAGCAAATAAAGCAAGAAGCATGAACTCCTCGGGGTTTCTCTGAAGGGAATACATTTTTATACAATGCCCTTTGTGTGTATAGCAACTAGAGTTCTAGGAAGTCCTGTCTAAGTATTAGGTGACTTAAAAGAAAAAGTCTAATTCAATACTGCTTCAGTCTTTAATATTACTCAAGGGTAGAAAATGTGCAGAAGTATCATTTTTCTTTAGCAGAAAAGCTTAATGAGCAGCAGGTGTGCAGATTTGAGACTAGAATTAAACTTCCAGTAAAAAGGCAAAGCCTATAAAGAGCACTCTCTTCAAGAGAGAAGGACAGAGGATTTTGGAGTTTAAGGTATTCAGGTTAAAAGGCACAGAGCATTGACTTAGGTGAATGAAACATAGTCAACGAGGGAAAATGCAACCAGCAAGGAACTTCTGATGTCGGAAAGGCTTAATGATTTTCGGAACACATCTATCTAATACTAAATTTACTCTAATGAGGTATGTTCAATACTGCCATAAGTAAACACTGAAGTTAATTTGGTTCTTTTTTTTTTAGATGGAGTCTCACTCTATTGCCCATGCTGGAGTGCAGTGGCATGATCTTGGCCCACTGCAGCCTCTGTCTCCCAGCTTCAAGCGATTCTCCTGCCTTAGCCTCCAGAGTAACAGGGATTATAGGCACCTGGCACACACCTGGCTAATTTTTGTATTTTTAGTAGAGGCGGGGTTTCACCACTTTGGCTGGTTCTTTATTTAACCAAAACTTGTTATCAAGACTTAAGCTACATAGAGTTATACTAACAAAAAAATTAATATATTGATGCAATTAGAATATTTTTAGCAAACTGAAAGAATGATGTCTAGCCATAATTATTTCAAAGCTTACAGTCTGTAGGTCTGTATTTTCAAAATCATTATCTGGATAAAGGCCATAGTGGCCAACCAGGTGACTGAAAAGGGACTGGTAAAGGGGTTACAGAAAGCTCTCCACTGTGAACCATTGGTATAATAGTTGAGCAACTTAACTCAGGGATGTCACTCACAGAAGAACACATTATCCCAAATAGAATGGCCCTGTTCTACTCTGTAAGAGCCTGTCAAGTTGCTGAACTTTTCCAAGTCAATGAATGGGAATACTCTCTTAAATAGAAGAACACAAGCTTAAGGTCTCTGACAATAAAATACTTAACAAATGTAACATGCTCTGTTTATGTTATTTTTGTTCTAAGATAACATCAAGTGCTATACACTGCAAAATAAACAAACTCTATATCCTAATCAGGGAAAGCAAGGAATACCTTCATGGAAAAAGTGACACATACAATGAGAAGCTGGTAAAGACAATAAGGGAATATAATAGAATGTTCCAAGTAGAGATGACATTATGTGTCACATATTGCATCCATGAGAAATGGAATATGCCTGAAGCAGTCTATTAGGAAGTGTTTTGGCATTAACATCTGTTGAAAGAAAGAGACAGAAACAGGAATGAGCAGAAGAGAAGTCAAGCTGTGATGCCGTTGCAACAGAAGTCTCATCCAGCTGTATTGGGGACTCTGAAGGTACAATGACTCTTCAGATTTGCCCTAAGTTGAGGCTAGAAAGCCAAGCTTGTGTATGTCTTGTCAATAAGTAATTGGGCACAGATTGTTTTCTGCATCCCACCTGAAAGCTTGAATAGCTTTGGGTGAGGCAATTCCCCTTCCTTATACAATCCCTGAAGGGAGCTGACAGTTGAGATATATCTCTTGATGGCAATTACAGAAGCTGGAATAATAAGTCCTTCATTCTTGGATTGGGATCTGGGCAACACTTAGCATACACCACACCAAGTTTAAAATATTGGAAGTGAATCTGAGACGAAAGAAATCCAGGATGACAAAAAGAGAACCTAAAGGATGGTGGTAAAACATAAGGTGGTGTTTCTGGCCAGAAAACAAATGAGAAATGGAAGAATGGGTGACATTCTTTGTTCTGTTATGATCTAGATTTGTGACCATTGGCAATACTCCTAACATAACTAGCTCAATAATCCTATAATTTTATCATTAGAAACTTCAGCTAGTTTTACAATACTGACCAATGTGTGTAGAAACAACACCTAAGGCTAGATCAAAAAGGATCGGAAAAAACATTTCAGGACTCTGGACTTCAAATTAGGGACAAAGAGAAATCACTTGGGCTTTTCAGCACAAGGCAAGATGAATAGACTTGAATTGAAAGATCCGTTTAGCAGCTTTGTGGAGAATAGAGTGGAGAAAGCCAGTAGCAGTTCAGAGCAACCAAATAGAAGAAGGAGTCTGGGCAAACACATGGTGCCCTCGAAGTAACATGTGCGTGAGGGAATGGTACAGCTCCATACATGGGTCTGGAATTGATGAGCACTTTTATAGAGGTTAAGATGTGAGTGTGAAGTCAAGGAAATGGATGAGATGATGGTGGGAGTGAGTAGAGCGTCAGCAATGTAAAGATCCTAGAAAAGAAACCTTAAAGTATTACAACCTTTATTAGCCAGCAAGGGAAAGAGAGGCTGACAAATTAGAGAGAAATTGAAGAAGCTGGATGGAAGAAATCTAACACAGTGTTTCACTGAAATTAAGGGCTATGAGCCTTCCAAGAGCTCAAGAAAGGGTACCATTGCTATGTGCTGCTGAATGATCAAATACAATCAGGACTGATACACATCGATTATATTTGGCAATATCACAAGGGCAATGATTAAGAGGTAAATCAGGGAATGGTAGCTTTAACTGTTTAGTTTTGAGAACTTGGAATTTTTCTTGACTTTTATTTTCTCTGTAAAGTTAGCACAGATTGTCTATTAGGAAAGTAGAGGGAAATGTTAGATTTGAAGCTATGGGAGTTTAGCCAAGAGATTATAATGGCAGCACTCCAAATTGAACATGGCAGACCGTATATACTTGTTTATGTCTGTTAGCTTTGAGATACCGTGAAAATGACAGTAGCAAGAATTTTCATAAATGCGTACCTCTAGAAAGACAAAGAGAACCTGAGGGGAGAGGTAAGAAATACTTCTAGTAAAGATTTGAAATATTTTTGGGAGAGATGAAAATGAAAAATATTGAAAAGATGAGTTACACACATTGGTCAGTGTTGTAAAACTAGGTGAAGTTTCTGATGATAAAATTATAGGATTATTGAGCTAGTTATGTTAGGAGTATTGCCAATGGTCACAAGTCTAGATCATAACAGAACAAAGAATGTCACCCATTCTTCCATTTCTCATTTGTTTTCTGGCCAGAAAGACCTAGTTTTTTTTTTTTAATTATTTAATTAATTTTTTTCTTGAGACAGAGTCTTGCTCTGTTGCCCAGGCTGGAGTGCAGTGGCATGACCTCGGCTCACTGCAAACTCCATCTTCCAGGTTCACCCCATTCTCCTGCCTCAGCCACTTGAGTAGCTGGGACTGCACAGAAAGACCTAGTTTTAAATCCTATGTCTACCATCCAATATTTTTGGAACCTGGGAAAATTAGTGTATTTATTCTTTTGTTTTTATTTTTTAAATTTATTTTCTTATTTTTCAATTTTATGAGTACACAGTAGGTGTATATATTTATGGGGTATATGTGATGTTTTGATACAGGGATGCAATGTGTAATAATCACATCAAGGTAATTGGGGTATTCATCACCTCAAGTATTTATCATTTCTTTGTGTTCGGAACATTCCAATTTCACTCTTTTGGTTATTTTGAAATGTAGAATAAATCATTATTGACTGTAGTCACCCTATTGTGCTATCAAATACTAGATCTTACTCATTCTACCTTAACTATATTTTTGTACCCATTAACCATCTCTACTCTCCCTTGCCCCCTGCAACCTTTACCAGACTATCATTTTCTTTGTAGTACCTACATCACTTCTCAGCTTAGGTGTAAGCAAAAAGAAAATACTGGTGTTTAGCTGGATAGATGCTAACAGAGTATAAAAACTAAGGCGTTTTGATAAGACAGTGGTTGGAATGATGGATAAGATAATCAAAGCTGTATAGAGAAGGAATTTAAGAAATGGTATAATTATATTCTGTAGCAGAGACAGCTTCCAAACTGCAAGTATAGACTGTTGAAACTAATGGTAGCACTTCAAATTGAACATGGCAGACCAAATATACTTGTTTACCTCTGTTCTCTTTGAGATACCATGAAAATGACAGCAGCAAGAATTTTCGTAAAGGCATAAGACTAGAAAGGCAAAGAGAACCTCAGAGAAGAAGTGAGCAATATATTTTGGAAAGCTGGAAAGTGTAAGATTGAGTAGTAACTTGGCAGACTGAGGAAATTGCAATTATGTCAGCCCCAGGGACAGTGCAAAATCAGGCTGATTCAGGAACTCTGCAAGACTCAGAATTTGGATGTACAAAGTACTTCTATAAGTAGGACTTTAAATAGATCAGAAAAGAGGAATATTGGTTAAAATTTGTCTATGTGCTTATGTCATTATCTATATGGATACTGTTTATAGACTGTATCTCTAGACTTCCTACTTTCTGTGATAAGAACATTGTCACTCTATCCTTTCTGATACCTGTACTTCCTCACTTTTACTTTTCCACATTTCACACTTGCATATTTATATGTTACCTTTATTTATTTAGTTTTTATTTATTTATTTTTTTGAGATGGAGTCTTACTCTGTTGCCCAGTCTAGAGTGCAGTGGTGCGATCTCAGCTCACTCCAACCTCCACCTCCCTGGTTCAAGCGATTCTCCTGCCTCAGCCTCCGGAGTAGCTCGGATCACAGGTGCCCGCCACCACGCCTGGCTAATTTTTTGTATTTTTAGTAGAGACAGGGTTTTGCCATGTTGGCCAGGCTGGTCTCGACTCCTGACCTCAGGTGATCACCCGCCTCAGCCTCTCAAAGTGCTGGGATTACAGGCGTGAGCCACTGCACTCGGCCTTACCTTTATTTTTATATTAAAATTCCACACATTTGATCTGTTAAAAGAAAACTTCAAATTAAATTTTACAGACTTAAATTGAGCAAAAAACAAACAAAGAAACAAAAAAACCCCAAAAAACAACAAAGAAACGATTCACAAATCGGGCAGCCTCCAGAATCACAGCAGATTCAGAGATACTCCAGGGGTTCCTCGTGGTCAGAATAAATTTATAGACAAAAGAAGTAAATGGATGTACAGGAATCAGAAGTGAGGTACAGAAACACCTGGATTGGTTACAAGTTAGTGTTTGTCTTATTTGAACACAGTTTGAACACTCAGAAGTCTATGAGTGGTTGCAGTATGGCCGCTGGGATTGACTAATACCCAGCTATCATTACAGGCGCATACTCCTAAGTTAGGTTTTCAATTTTGTCTGTCTATTAAGCTAGCCTACGTTTGGCCCACAAGGACTCAAATATAGAAGTACGGAGTCTTTCTCAGATCATATTTAGTTCGTTTTGACAGTACTTTTATGTTACATTTTGACATATAGAATAGTGATTCTGAATGATTTTATAACTCTTCTGAGCTTGGAACCAAATGAAAGAAAGAGGGAGAGAGAGAGAGAAAGAGAGGAGGATTATATTTCTGCTTTACTGCTAATAAAAGCTGAACTGGAAAATAGGAGGCCAATACTAATTAAATTAGCACAGACTGACCAGAACATGGCAGACCTTCCCTGAAAGGACAGAGACTGCTTCAAAATGAGAAAATTACACAGAGAGAAAGAAATAGCAGACCAAGATGTACCTTCTTAGAAAGTGGAAAGGTGGGGGTATAGGAGAAAGAAAAAAATACTGGGATAAGCATTAGCAATTTCTTTTCTCTTAGGCTCACCTAACAGATAAGTTACAGAGCAGTGAAGAATCTTAGAGTAAATCTTGGAGTGTTTCTTTGTTATTTTTCCTCTTAAAAAGTCAAATGAGAATTCCCATCACCCTATGGCAATGTTAGGAGTAAGAATAAATGTCCTTCTAAATAATTATAAAGATCAATGGTGTTTATATACTGCAGCCATTTAAATATTGTTTATTGCAGGGTGAAGTAGTGTGAATGTATTTCTTTTCTTTCTGCCTTTATCATTTTATTTTTGTTTCTATTTCTTCTTATTCATTTTTTTTAGCGTTCTCAGATTCAAACTGACTGATTTCAAATCCAAGCTTCTCTGCTTCCCAGTTGTATGAATTCACTTTCCTGATCTGAAAAAAATAGTGATACTAATAGTACATTCTTCATAGAATTATTGTTCTGAGTAAATAAGTTAATGCACACAAAATGACTACAACTGTGCCTAACATATAGTAAAGTATTTTCTATGAAAGTATTTGCCATATTTTTTCTTTTCTTTCTTTTTTTTTTTAATCTTGAGATGGAGTTTAGCTCTTGTTGCCCAGGCTGGAGTGCAATGGCACGATCTCGGCTCACCACAACCTCCACCTCCCTGGTTCAAGCAATTCTCCTGCCTCAGCCTCCCGAGTAGCTGGGATTACAGGCATGCTCCACCACGCCCAGATAATTTTGTATTTTTAATAGAGACAGGGTTTCTCCATGTTGGTCAGGCTGGTCTTGAACTCCCCACCTCAGGTGATCTGCCCGCCTCAGCCTCCCAAAGTGCTGGGATTACATGCTTGAGCCACTGCGCCCGGCCTATATTTTTTTCTTTATTACAGTGTTTTATGTCCTTCAAGTTTCTCAAATAATATTATCTAAGTAATATAAATGTAAATAAAAGTTTTTCCCAAAGATTTCTTATGAAATCTTTTATCCTTCTGCCCAAAACTGGACAGATTGTTTTAAATGCCTGCAGACCGGTAGCCATTCTGGGTTTACCCTGTTGGGATTTGTACATTGGGCCCTCCATGGTCTTTTTCTTTATAACCTTCGTTGTATTAAAGTACACATTTAATGATACCAGAAGGTAGGTGTGTAAGATAAATTTTTGGAGACTTTCAGGTAGAAAAAGTCCTTATTTTCTTCTCAGTTTATATTTCTCATATACTGTAGATTTTCTATTATTTTCTCTCTGATTCTTTTTTTTTTTTTTTTTTTTTGAGACAGAGTCTTGCTCTGTCGCCCAGGCTGGAGTGCAGTGGTGCAATCTCGGCTCACTGCAAGCTCCGCCTCTCGGGTTCACGCCATTCTCCTGCCTCAGCCTCCCGAGTAGCTGGGACTACAGGCACCCACCACCACGCCCGGCTAATTTTTTGTATTTTTAGTAGAGACGGGGTTTCACTGTGTTAGCCAGGATGGTCTCGATCTCCTGACCTCAAGATCCGCCTGCCTCGGCCTCCCAAAGTGCTGGGATTACAGGCGCCCTCTGATTTTTAAAGGTATAACTTTCTTCTGACAGAGATGAGTGGTCTGTTTGCAATCTATTTATTTTTTTCTTTTCTCTCTAGAATCTTTTATAAATCTTCTTTTTATCACTGGTAATATAAAATTTCTGGGTGTGGGTAACTAATTTTTTATTCATCCTACTCAACAATTTGTTGAATCCTTTTTTTCACCTCTCTTAAATTTTAGTAAATTATCTTCTATTATACCCCACCTTCATTTTCTGTTATTTTTTTTCCTTGAACTCCTGTTAGTCAGCTGATATCTCAATTAAAATATTTTATATGTGAAAATATATATAAGAAATATATTGTTTATATTAGAAAGATATATTGTTTATATTAAGCAATTGTTGCATATAGCATAATGCTTAAATTAAGGGGATTTCTTCAGCTCTATCCTCTAACATGCTTGTGAGTAGTTTCTTTTTTTATTTTAGCAATTTTATCTTTTATTTTTGTAGGGATTTTTCTTGGTCCCCAAATGTACTTCTTGTAAGCATCACGTTTACAAATTAATTTTCCTCAAAGTTCTATTTGTTGCATTATGTGTATCTCCTCCAGTCAATGGTTTTTTGTTTGTTTGTTTAGATCATCCTTTTCCATGATGCAAGCTTTCCTGAAATATCTAGCAATTCCTGGTCATGCCTCCATATATAATATAAGGAAAAGCAAAGGATGATTGTAGTTCACGTTTGTGTGGACAGAATTTTCAACAGACTGCCTTCACTTTGGATAAAGCAGGATATTTTACTGAGGCGATTAAGTGCAAAAATTTAGAACACTTTATTCTGGGATTTTAAAATTGCCCTAGCTTTCTCCATATAGTTTGTTCTAGTTTTGACTTAAAAAAATATGATAATCATTGTTTCAGCAGGGACTTAAATTTCTATGGCTTTCATTTTTCTCCAGAGCCTAGGAGAGTGGTGGCATCATTGTCTCTTTTCTGTTTAAAGTTTCAAGCTTGTCTAAGCCGTGGCCTGTGGCCTGCGTGCGGCCCAGGATGGCTTTGAATGTGGCCCAACATAAACTAGCGAAGTTTCTGAAAACATTACAAGATTAATGTATGGACCTTTTTTTTTTTTTTTTTTCTAATCAGCTATCATTAGTGTTAGTGTATTTTATGTGTGGCACAAGACAATTCTTCTTCCAGTGTGGCCCAGAGAAGCAAAAAGAATGGACACCCTTCAAATTAAACCTTCAGATAATACCTCTCTTTTCATCTCTGTTCTTCACTCTTAACTTTCTGTTTTTGCATTTGTAGTTTTCGTGAATATGTGCTGGGTGAACTGACTGCCCACCAGAATTCTAGGTGTTTTCTCAAGCGTTCTTCACCAGAATTTGTGAAATCTCTTTTCTATTAATGACTTTCATTCTATTTTCTTTATTATAGGGTCATATTGTTGTTTGTATATTTCTTTATAATAACTTTATTACCTCACGAGAAATATAGTGTGAAGATATGTCTTCATTCTGCCATCTTGACCCAGGCCCAAATTTAGTTTTAAAATGCTCAGGGGAACATGGAACATATATTAGGGTATAGGAAGGATAGAGAGTCGAAACTAGTTACACACCTCATTTAGGCGAAATGATAGTATCTTGAATTAGACTGGCTGCTGTGAAGTTAGGAAAATGCAGATGAACTCAACAGTATTTTGGAAGTGAAATTAACATGACACTATTTATTTTGTGGTAAATAAATTCACATTTATATAGTTTAGTTTTTTTCATCGTTTCAATAGTTCTCCAACTTTTATTTTAGAGTAAATAGGTGATTCTAATCTTTTAAATCTCACTTTATGAAGAAGTAGTAATATGTCTTTTATTATTTTTGTTAAAAATCTATTATTCCTTTTAAACTCTATTATATTTTTAAGAATTGTAATCTTAAATTCACATAGTGTTTGAAGCATTGAGATATACTACACCTGAAAATTATTAATATGTCAGTCTCTATTACCTATACTATTCTATAAGTAGAGGTAATTCCTGAACCAATCTAGGCCAGGTCAAGGTAATGTAAGAAGTGTCAGTCAGAATGGGGCTTGGAATACTCTTGGAATGTATTTCATTATTCAGATTCAAATTTATATAGCTGTTATTCAGATTCCCTAAATCCTTAGTTGTTAAATACCACAAATATAAATATTCCTTGGAAATATATATGCTTATAAGATAAGGCCAACAAAAGATTTTATAAGTACCTCAAATTTATCTTTACAACCTTGATGAGAATGCATCAGTCCTAGTGATCTGTAGTGTGCCACCTCAGAGTATATCAAGTATCAATTTTGCATATTAGGCCTATATTAGGCCTATACTAAACAAATCCTGACAACCTTCTAAAGGGCTTTTCCTGAGTGGAAGCCTCCACAGATCATATTTTTGCATGAGATTTACAGATAACAACAATAGGGAAGTAATTCAAAATGATAATTTTTGAAAGGATTGAAGACCAGAAGTAGGCCTGATAACAATTATTAAAGGAAAATATCTCCTTTTATTACTTTAGTTTATTAAATGTTGTTGTATTTGACCCATCTATATGTGAGTTCCACTTTTATAAAGAAACTCTTAGAGACAGAGGATTTAAGTCATGTTAGAGATAGATGTATTCATAAGGTTAGCATTGATAGAAAAAAATTGAAGCCAGAGATATAAGAGAAGTGATTCATAAGCCAGCTGCTCATTAGAACACCTTTAGAGTTTCTAATCTTGGACATAGGTTTCAAGGAAGAAGTGGTTCTTGAAAATTCCCAGGTTGAAAGTCCATAGATGTTTTGGATAAGGTTAAATTTCAAGGCTTGGATAAAACATATTTTAGGATGTGACAAAATGGGATTGGTATTACATTTGCTGATGATCTTTGAGAAGCTGTGAAAAAGTAGAACAGGACTTTAGAAAATTCCAAGGGGAATGAAGCGTAGACGAATGTACTGGATATTGTTGTTTGCCGGGTTTTATTATAAATTATTCAAGTAAAATTTATATAGATATAGAAAAGAAAGAAGTAGTCAATAAGAACCAGAAAGTTTCACTAAAACTTAGATTCATTTTCTTTGATTGTGTATGTGTATATGAAAATTACATTCCCTGATTTCATCAAGTCAGTTGACAGATTTTAGCACTTATGTACATTTATAACCAGTTAATTCACACTTTAATACTGTTGACTAATGAACTGATATCAAAAGAGATAAAGGTGCTTAGTTATATTTAACAAAATCTTTATCAGTGACCTCAGAAAAAATATAAAATTAATAGTTTTTATATTCTAAATGTCAAGGTTCAGTGAAGATAATAGATATTTTAGTTGTAGAAAAATGATAAAAAATTAGCGATATACTAAATCTTAAAAGCACAAATTTAATATGATAATGTTAGGTTATTCTCTTGGGTCTAATAATACAGTTTTTTAAAAAGCAATGTAGATGTAAAGAATTGCAATGAGTTTAACAGAAGCGTACGTGGGAAGATAATTAAATGCCCAATTTCAGCATTTTACCTCATAAGCTTCAGTAGTAGGGCACATATGACAATTATATGTGGGGTTCCACCATTAAGTATAGAAATATGGAACATGGAACAAGGGTAGAAGGCAAACTTGAAGTATTCTTTCCATGTCAGGCTTTATGTAATGTGTTCTCTTCTGGATTAAGAGGAACTCTTCATATTTACATTCATTTCTGAAAAGAGTAAATAAGTTGTTGATAGAAGTAGAAAAATTCAGATTCAGAATCATTTTGAGAAACATTTGACTCCTTTAGAGGTTCATGAGTTATATAACTAAATTGCTTTGCATCATTTCCAGGAATGATTAGAAATCTGGGCTGTTTAGTATAAGCAACATTTGGTTTAGTAGAGAGCATGGTAGAAGTCTAAAAATGTTTTCTTGAACAATTTTTATGTATATAACTCCTTTCAGCATCACTGTAGTCAATGACTTTAAATTAAGGGAAGACCTGCTTAACAGGAGAGAGAATTTGGGTCCATGCAAGGAAGAATTTTTCTAACAGTCAATTATTTAAAATTAATTAATAATTAATTATTATTATTTTTTGTTTTTGCAGAGACGGAGCCTTGCTCTGTCGCCCAGGCTGAAGTGCAATGGCACGATCTCGGGTCACTGCAACCTCCGCCTCCCAGGTTCAAGCAATTCTCTTGCCTCAACCTCCCAAGTAGCTGGGATTACAGGTGCACGCCACCATGCCTAGCTAATTTTTTTATTTTTTTGGTAGAAATGGGGTTTCACCACGTTAGCCAGGCTGGTCTCGAACTCCTGACCTTGTGATCTACCTGCCTCGGCCTCCCAAAGTGCTGGGATTACAGGTGTGAGCCACCACACCCAGCCCAGTCAATTGTTTTAAATACATAAATGGAGATCTTGGCAAGTAGAGTTTTTTTTTTTTTAATCACTAATGTTCTAAAATATAGGTTGAACTCCAAGTTAAGGATGTCATAGATTTGGAGTTAATTCTAGGTTTAGTTGCTGCTTGTAATATAAACTTTCCAAAGATACTCAATATGGAGATATCATACTTTAGTCAGGTATTACCCTTTTTCCTCTGTTTCAATATGTCCAAAAAAACAAAACAAAAAAAAGTTTGAGTAGTTTCTATGTTCAATAAGCTTATATGTTACATTTCACTATCTCCTTTTTATAGAGTACGAAACTCAGTTTAATAAAATTTAGTGTGTAGTCCACATTCACACAGTTAGTACATGAAAAAGAAAAGATTTGAGCAGGTTTTTCTGGCTTCCAAGTGCATGCTTTTCCCACTAGACAACACTGTCTTACCTCACGATAAATTCCCCACCTCCCTATACTGATAGAGATTCTTAAAAGCAAAACAAAACAAAACAAAAAACAAACCAAAACAACACAGCTCTAGAACTATCTCTATCTTACATTTCCTTTCAAAATATATCCAACTGTTTGTTTCTTTGTTTGTTTGTTTTTGAGGCGGAGTTTCGCCCTCTCACCAGACTGGAAGTGCAGTGGCATGATCTCGGGCTCACTGCAACCTCCTACTCCTGAGTTCAAGAGATTCTGCTGCCTCAGCCTCCCAAGTAGCTGGGACTGCAGGCACACACCACCATGCCCCGCTAATTTTCGTAGTTTTAGTAGAGACGAGGTTTCACCATGTTGGCCAGGAAGGTCTCCATCTCTTGACCTCGTGATCCGCCCGCCTTGGCCTCACAAAGTGCTGGGATTACAGGCGTGAGCCACCGTGCCCGGCCCAACTATTTTTCAATTTATATAAATGCAATCTGTATGATAAGTAAATGGACTACAGAGTCAGCTAGATGGGACCAAAAATAGAAGAGCAGAGGAGAAAGAGTGATCTAGAGTGTATAGAGCCAGAAGAATAATTGTGCTACCTTTATATATGCTGAGTTTGTGGGGTTGAGTGGGACATTCAGATGGAAAATTATTCATCAAGTGTTAAAAAATACACAAATGAGGCTTAAAATAGAGTTGAAAACAGCAGATTTGGGAACCTCCATTTTCAGGGTACACGTCTGCAATTGGCAAGCAGATTATAGGAAAACAGAAAAATAATAGGAGAAAATGAACAAGATATTTACTCAGAAACTAAGAGATAAATCACATTGAGTAATGCTATGGAAAGGTCAAGAAAGAGAGATTGAGAAAAAGCCCTCACAGTAACCCTTTTAAAAGTTAATTGATGGAAAAATAAAGCAAAACTACTTATCACTTAGAGACTTTTTAGGTTGATGCCTTCATTTTTTTTCCCTCTGAATGACTTTTCAAAAAGTAATTGTAATCATATTTAACATATAATTTTAGTGTTCTAATTTTCCCTAAATATTGTATAATATGTAGTTTATATAAACAAATAAATTTCCTAAATACATACATAATAGTGGCATAATATTGCATTGAATGAATAAATCATACTTGAAGACTCCTGAAAATAAACAATTGATGGGCTTTCAATTTTGGTTACAATTGCTGTTTCAATACTTGTTTTGGTATATGCTGGTTTTGTCTATTGAAGATTATTCCTTCAGGAAAAAATCCTGATTCAGTCTTATTTCGAGAAATATTTAACTCCATTAGAGGTTCATGATTTATATCACTAAAATGCTTTGCAAATAGATTACATCACTTATAGTGCCTTGAGCAATGTGCATTGTTACATCTTTAATAATACTTTTACAACTGTAGTGTATCTTACTATTTTAAAATCTTTTTAAAGTTATGCATTGAACACTTTTTTAATTGGGAATGGGGAAAAGAGAAGTACACTACAGACCCTTTAGATTGGCTACCACAAATTTTTTTTTTTTTTTTTTTTTTGAAACAGAGTCTCGCTCTGTTGCTCTGTTGCCAGGCTGTAGTGCAGTGGCGCGATCTTGGCTCACTGCAACCTCCAACTCCCTGGTTCAAGCGATTCTCCTGCCTCAGCCTCTCGAGTAGCTGGGATTACAGGCATGCGCCACCAAGCCCAGCTAATTTTTTTATTTTCAGTAGAGACGGGGTTTCACCATGTTGGCCAAGATGGTCTCCATCTTTTGACCTCGTGATCTGCCTCGGCCTCCCAAAGTGCTGTGATTACAGGCATGAGCCACCGCGCCCGGCTAATTGTTAGGACTTTTACAGAAGTTAGACTCGAAGTATGTAATTAATAGGAAAAGAAATGTGGACTATAAACACTTCATTTTAATATCTAATAAATTATGTCCCCTTCTCCTGCCCTCTGCAGGTATTGTATACTTATTTAAAGCTGTATTTTGTTTCATGCAACAAGTAATTGCTGTAGGAAAATACATATCTTTGGAAATTTAGGTCAAATTACTGGTAAGTTATGTTTTAGGAAATGGAGGTGGGATCTTAAAGTTAGTAACAGTTGTGTAGGCTACAAACAGACCCAAGTATTAACATGTGGGGAAGGATTTGTAAATCACTATACAAATTTGGTATAGCTTACAGAAACATAAGTTGGTATTCATCTATTAGTTGCTATTATGAATAAAAAAGACAATAAGATTCACAAATGGGAAAAATTAAAGAAAAAAGGAGATGAATACTGAAGAAGGGAAAGCAATTTTAGGTCATAGATATTAGCAACTCATGTGACTCCACTATCCTAATCTGAGATGTATGTATTTATTGTCTAAGCAAACTCAAAGTTTCAGATTAAACGTTAATTATTGATGCTTTGCTTTGGGACCACACTATTGAAATAATATTGGTATTGTGTTGGAGGCAAAATATAGGCTCAATAATCACCTAAAAACAATCCTGACAGTGATAAAATATTGTTCAGCACTGACATTTTCCTTAAGGTGATGATTTTCCCCATTCAAATTCCTAAAAATGTGTGAGACTGAACAAAGCTAATATATTTATGGGTGATTTTACTCAGACATCTTCCATGGAATCTGTTGACAAGAAAAATAGCTTAATAAAATAAAGGGAGGAAGGAAAAGACTGAGGGAGAAAGATATTAAGTGAAAATGAATCCTAAAAGATTAATCAATGGTTGGATCTAGAAATTTAACTGAAGCCTTTAAATTAGACTTCCTTTAAGCCACTGTCAAACAAAAATGACCATATATAGTATATTGCTTTAATATCAGATGGGCATAAAGTGTTTTTTATGTAGTGTTTATGCTATTAGTTTTTATTAATTATCATCTCACAAATACTTTATTTTCTCAGTATAAAAGGTCTTAGGTATTTGTCTTGCGCTGTTGAATTTTATACTGACTCTTTTTATTTTCCTATTCTTAATATCAATGAGATGATTCATTCTGTAGTATATATATGTATATATTTACACACACATATATATACACACACTATATATATTCTCTAGCTAATGAATGTATGTGTATATATATTTTATATATAATTTTCTTTAAATTTGCCTACTAGCACATTTTGAGGAGAAATTAAAAAATAAAACTAAAAGTTTTGCGTATGAGGCATTGTACTATATTAATAACTGACATTTGTAAAACAAACATGAATTCTTTACCTTTGGAAGCTTGAGTTTCAGTGAAGAATATTTTCCATGGCAGAATTTTTACATACATTACAGATTATTTAAAATTATTATTCCCAGCACTTTGGGAGGCCGAGGCGGGCGGATCACGAGGTCAGGAGATCGAGACCATCCTGGCTAACACGGTGAAACCCCGTCTCTACTAAAAATACAAAAAATTAGCCGGGCGTGGTGGTGGGCGCCTGTAGTTCCAGCTACTCGGAAGGCTGAGGCAGCAGAATGGCGTGATCCCAGGAGGCGGAGCTTGCAGTGAGCCGAGACCGCGCCACTGCACTCCAGCCTGGGTGACAGAGCGAGACTCCTTTTAAAAAAATAAAAAATAAAAAATTATTATTGATTTTGAATCCATTTTTTAATTCCATAAACATATACTAGAAATAATATACTATGTGCTAGAACTGAGCTAAGAAACCAAAGTGAAATAAGATGCTATTTCTGTACTCAAGAAACTTAAGAAATTTGTTTTTGTCAAAATAACCAAGGAGGAGTTTGCGAGGAGTTTGGAGGCATGTGAGATCCTGATCAGCCCAGGACCAGATAAATTGAGATACTTTTCCAGGTCCCATTTTTCCCACTCCAAGGCATCCCTTCCTATTTAAATGTCCACTGAACCCTCCTTACCACATTGTTTCATGCAAAGCGTAATTTTTTGGAAAGACTAGATATTAATAATAAATTCCTTAGAATGGATTGATATCATTATATTACTTCTTTAACTTGAAAGGTGGTATCCTAAAAAAGTAATATACTGATGTCAATCTAGGCATTAATTACTATTAGAAAAATGGGCATTGTAATGATGTCGTAAGCTTTAGGGCTGGCCTAAAATTTTATCACCTCTAGCCTTTGTAAACACAGCAAAGTAGGAGTGGGCATGTATTTATTTCCTGCCTCTTACCCCTTCCTTAAATTATTTTATATCCTGAGTCCTGGCCTACCTCCAGTTTCCCAATTAGTATCAGATTTAGAAAAGACAGCAACACACACACACACACACACACACACACACACACACACAAACACAGGAGTTTCTTACAAATTGGGGCAAAGAGTCAAATGCCCAATGCCTCCATACTTCAATATTTTAAATTAACTCTTAAAAATTATAGTGGCTGGGTAAACTGTATTCTTTCATGGTTTTCCTGTGATCATGGAAAGAAAATCTAAGATGAATTCTATTTGTATGAAATTACCCGACTTTTAATTTGATTCTTCCACTGATAAGGTTGACTGCATAGTTGATTCAAACGAAGAAAGTGCTACCAACAGCCATCAAGATGAGCAAAAGACCTAGCTCAAATGAAGGAGCTCCCAGTGGCCAAATCTGGAACAATTTAAGGGAAGAAAAGAAAAGATAGTTTTATTATATTTTTATTGTGGCCGTAACAGAAGAGTATGAACCTACTGACTTAAAGCAAATTTAGTATCTTATAATAATGTAAGTCAGAAGTCTGACACAGCTACATCACGCATGCCTTTCTAAGGGCTCTAAGGAAAAATTCATTTCTTTGCTCTTTTATGTTGTTGTTGTTGATGATGTTGATGAAAGAATTTGGTTCTTTGACATTGAAAGGCCAGGGACCCTATTTTCTTGCTGGTTATCAGTCAGTGGCTGATCTGAGCCTCTAGAGGCCAGGCCATTACTTGGCTTCAGCTCCTTTCCTTTATCTTCAAAAGCAGCAATAACAGGTCAAGTCCTCAGGTTGTATCCCTGTGACCCATCCTTCATCTTTTATTTTCCACTTGTAGGGACTCCTGTGATTAGACCATGTCTATTAGACAGCCCTAAACAATCTCCCTATCTCAAGATCTGTCCTTCCTTAAGTTCCATTTGCAAAGTACCTCTTTTAAAAAAAAACATATAAGACAACCGGTTCATAGATCACAGGTGAAACCCCGTCTCTATTACAAATACAAAAATTATCCAGGTGTTGTTGCACACGCCTATAATCCCAGCTACTCGGGAGGCTGAGGCATGAGAATTCCTGGAGCCCTAAAGGTGGAAGTTGCAGTGAGCAGAGATCGTACCACTGCCCTCCAGCCTGGGTGGCAGAAAAAGATTCTGTCTTTAAAAAAAGAAAAAAAAAGTAATGGGGGAAACAGAAATACCACAGTAGTCATCGTTGCAAGCAAAATCAACTAATGAATGCTAAATTTAAGAGCCAAAATTTAAGAAAAAGATATGATTTGATATTAAATGATATTATTTGAATAATTTCAAAATAATCTTCCCCAGCATTTGTGTCGATTGCAAACAGAAAATGCTAACTTTATAGTGAAGAAACCTTGCAAACATCACCTTAACCAATGAATCAAGATTAACTTTCCAGCAGTAAGATATATTTACACCATGATGTGATGAACTGAGAAGGGCACATCATTTCTGTCATGTTCCTGACAAAAATGCATTACCTCATCCTGATCAGCAGAAGACATCAGACACACCAAAACTGAGGCACTTGACCAGTATGCTTCAAAAGTGTCGAGTCCATGAAAGACAAGGAAAGACTAAAGATCTGTCACAGATTTGAAGAGACTAGTGAGGCATGAAACAATACATTATAGGATCCCTTATTAGAACCTGAAACAATAAGAAAGCATTAGTGAAAAAATTGGGGTAATAACATCTGCTGTTTAGTTAACAGTATTGGGCCAATATTAGTTTTCTTGTTTTGAAAATTGAACCATTTTTAGGATTTTATAAGAGTAGGGAAAATAGGTAAAGGTGATCTGAGATTTCTCTATGTACTAATTTTGCTACTCTTTCCTGTCTAAAATTATTTGGAAAAAAAAGTTAACAACAATAAAAATCTGTGCACGGTTATGGATAATTTAAGTTTTCTTATTTTTGTTTATCTGTATTTTTCTATCATGAGTATGTATGTATTACTTTTTACTTAAATAAAGTGTTTAAAAGGCCAAAAAGGAAGCCTGGCTCAAGCAGGGATACATAATATTCCTGACACAAATACATAAATATACAAGATTTCTAGGGGAGGTAGCTCATTAACAGATAATCCCCACAAAGTGCACGGCTTCATGAAAGACACTTCCACCTTTCAGTTGATAGAGGAATATGTATTCATACCAAGATATACAAGGATATGTTTTAAAGCTGTTTGTTATACTGAAAGTAACACATGTAATCTATTACTTATTGGTTGTCAGTTGAACTTTTTCAAATTAGTTAACCTCTGGAGCACCATTTACTCATCAATTATTTAAAATTATCTTTGGTCATGGCTTTTGCAAGGATTAAATGACACAAATCTGGTAATGCGCTCTGATAGTTGTAAAATGTTCTTTTACTCATCCATTACTGTTACTGTTTGGTATGTTCAATTGACAAGTGAGCCACAGGCAGACAGGATTCTTTCTGATAACTGATCTGAAAAAGTTAACTGAACTTCATGCAAAAGCCTATTTTACCCTCACTTAACTGAAATGTGGCTGCAGGGAAGGCTTTGGAGAAGAGAGAGATGAGTGAGCACTTTTCTCTTTTGAGCCTGGACTTAGGATGAAATATGTATGGAAATTAAGTCATTTTCAGTTCATCTTGATTTTTGTTGCTCTCCTCATACCTTCCTGACCTTCGTTTGCCCCTGAGCTTTTTCAGTGCTGAGTGATGATCATGTAGGTAGAAATCATATGGAAAGCATGCCATGCGTGCAGGATGCACAGGGATGCAGGAATTTAATTTTCTTTCAGTGCAAAGCAGCCCTGACTGCTTAAGACTGATTTCCCTTTACAGCAAAATGTACAAAAGAGTATTGGGAGAAAAGTTTTCCACTTTAAATAAATTCTGCTGCTTGTGCTTTATGTGAGGAGATTTATGAAGTTCATTTAAAAAATTGGCTAAGTAAAGGGAGTTTTCAATCTGAAATGAAGACAAACTAAGGGAAAAAAAAACAAAATATATGGGGATCTGACTCATCCTAGCCCATTAGCTCGGCACTGGTGCACACATACATAATGTTAATGCAGGAGTACAGTTTTAAAACCTGATTAGAGTAAAGACTAAGAATTTGAAAAATAATCAAGTGAATCAACATTACAGTACACAACAAAGAATACTCTTGGAGCAGATGACAATGGAGAGAAGCAGAGAAGACTATCTTGTATTTAATCCCTGATTATCAGGGCAAGTGTTTTAAGGAAACAGATAAAAAGTTAAAGTGCATATATAATGAGAAAATTACATAAAGTTGTGGCCTGGAAAAAAAAAGCCTTTCATTTTTAACTTAATTCCTAGTTAGGAATAATCTAACAGTCTAATAAAAGCATTAATAGAAAGTTAACATAACAAATTATTAATTTTTATTTACATTCTTGTCATTAGATTTTAAATTTGTAGTTACAGAGTTCATAACACAGCCCCATTCCAGGAAAGTTAAGGCAAAACATGTTTATTAAAAAAATTTTATTTCTTTCTTTTTATTGCGCAGTAGCTATAACAAGGCATTTCCTAACACAGAGGACAGAGAATGATGTAGTACCAATGGATGCATAAGCCTAATATGATTAGCATTTCTTTGCAGGTAATTTTTTTTTTCCTCATAAGGGAAAAACATTCCCCATCCTTGTCACATTTCTCAATTTATATAGAGGAAAGTGAGTCATTAGGGATGAGTTATTGTCTGTGGGTGAGACAGTCCACTCATCTTGTAGTTGTATGCATTTTCCATTTCACGTTCTACACATTGCTCTTAAGTTACCACGCATTGCCTGAGAAATTAAATGTCTTTCTTTGCACTGAAAAACAAATGCAGAACAGCTCATTTTCCTTTGCTGAGAGGCAGAGCTAGAACATAGGTATGCAAAGAATTATTCTTAATATAGATGAAAAATATTTCCCCAAAGCATTGAAAATTCCCTTTTAGTCTAAGCATAGTGGCTCTTAAATAGAGACTTGCACAATCGTTAACACCAATTTATGTAACAGGCAATTTGAAAAGACTTTTAGAAATCCTGGGAAGTTACGACTACAACACATTTGTTCATTAGCTCTCAGTCTAATTACCACAAAGCCATTCACCCTCACCTTCCTGAATCAATGTTCATATTAAATGGAGGGTGTCCTTCTGTGGACTCTGAGGAACGTGGCCTTGCCAAAACTTAGAGCGCACACAAGGAGCCCTACTGTTGAGGTCTAACATCTGATCTATCACTGAAGAGAGTCGTAAAGGTATTCAGTATTAATGACTATAAGGACTGAATCTAATAACTGCAATTTTAAGTAGGATTTGAAGTTGTAAATGTCAGAAGAACAGAAAATGATGTGTCCAATTGTAGTGCCTACTGTGACTCTAATTGGCAAAGTCATTGATATAACAGGTCATTGTTTATGGAGCTCCTCTGTGGGGAATTAAGAATAACTGAATACTATAGTTTATGAGCTAGATGCAATTTGGGGAAGAAAGAGACAGCACGAGTGGGTCTTTTCTGTAACAGATTGCATTCGACAATCTCAAAATTCTAGGTTATTATCTGGGAAAAAAATCTTTAAAAAAATATTCAAGTGATGTGTGTTCATTAAATCTGAGTGTTGACAAAGTGCTCAATTCGTTAAAGGTTCCATTTATATTATGCATCAATTTAGGTTATAAAATACTTGGCAGATAATAGTGGTGGTGGGGAGAGGAGTGCTTACCACACCTGCTCAAGAGAGATCTGGAATATATTAATTTAAACAAGAAAGTAAAATTATTTAAATTGGTCTTACCTCTTAAGATTGGTCTTTCAGTACAAAGAAACTTGCTATTTGAAATTGTTTCATATGAAAGGTGTATTTTCTATGATGAATGACTGAATATGACATAAAAGTCCTCTACAGTGACAGTTAATTGTTCAAAATATTTCTCTCTTGTTCTTTTGGTATATACTTCATTAGACATTAATCATTTACATTCTCGATATTTCCCGTGAGAGTAATTGAATCATTTCTTGACTCAGTCTTAAATCAATTAAAATTGGATAGTAAATTATTTGAGAAATTATTATAAATACATTTTATATTCTTTCAAACTAACCAAATTGTACAATATTCTGTACATCATTTTTGAACAAAGATTAACATTTTGACTTAAGTGAGTGACAGATTGATACTCTGATGGGTGATAAAACAGCTTTCAATTATTTGGAAGAGCAAATTTGAGTTGCTCTTAATGCTCTGTCTCTTGTGTTCCATCAGCACTCACCATATGAATAGGAACCAATGCCAATTTGGCATGCTGAATTGAGGTTCCCAGAGGTATATTTTAGGAATAGTTGATATTGGTATCAATATGTGTAAATGCATGTTAAACTGTGTTTCAAGCATTTCTGTAAACTGATGTTGCCAGTAAACCATATGTTTCCAAATCTGAAGTCTATTATATAATAATAGAGCACATTTACTGGGTAGTTACTATGTGTTAGGCCCTATTCTATGTTCTTTTGATGGATTAGGTCATTTAATTCTCAAAATAACCCCATGAGAAGAAGCCTGTCATCCTTATTTTATAAATGAGGAAAGTGAGGTACACAATGGTTAGGTAATTGTCAAAGCCGCACATCTAATTTAATTGTGAAGTTGAGGTTCAAGAATAACAATCTTGTCCCAGAGCTCAGGTTAGAAAAAAATAAAATAATATAATTATTGTTTTTACATATTTATGAATATAATCTGCCAGTAGTAGCATTAGAGTTTTGCAAAATGTATATACAAAAACATTCAGGAAAACACATAAAAAGATGACTTACTGGGGTCAACACTGACATTATTTATTTATGACAATTTTCAGAGAGTACGTTCTTATTTAAAATACAGTTGTAGGCCGGGTGCAGTGGCTCATGCCTGTAATCCCAGCACTTTGGAAGGCTGAGGCAGGCGGATCACCTGAGGTCGTGAGTTCTACACCAGCCTGGCCAACATGGCAAAACCCTGCCTCTAGTAAAAATACTAAAATTAGCCAGGCATGGGGGCGCACACCTGTAATCCCAGCTACTCGGGAGGCTGTGACAGGAGAATTGCTTGAACCCAGGAGGCAGAGGTTACAGTGAGCCAAGATCATGCCACTACACCCCAGCCTGGGTGACAGAGCAAGACTCCATCCCAAAATTAAATAAATGAAATACAATACAATACAATATGTCATAATCCAGTAATTTCAGTCACTCAATTAAATCCAATGATTTTTAAATTTGATTACATTATTATTATTTCATTAAACTTCAATCTCACTACTAGGTGTTGTATTAGTCTGTTTTCATGCTGCTGATGAAGACATTCCCTGAGACTGGGTAATTTACAAAAAGGGGGTTTAATGGGGAACTCACAGTTCCACGTGGCTGGGGAAGCCTCACAATCTTGGCAGAGGGCAAGGAGGAGCAAGTCATGTCTTATGTGGATGGCGGCAGGAAAAGAGATCTTTTACAGGGAAACTCCTGTTCTTTTTGTTTGTTTGTTTTTGTTTTTTGTTATACTGTAAGTTCTGGGGTACATGTGCACAACGTGCAGGTTTGTCAGAGGTATACACGTGCCATGGTGGTTTGCTGCACCCATCAACTCATCATCTACATTAGGTATTTCTCTCAATGCTATCCCTCCCCCAGCCCCCCACTCCCCAACAGGCCCTGGTGTGTGATGCCCCCCCACCCCATGCATATGTGTTCTCATTGTTCAACTCCTACTTACAAGTGAGAGCATGCAGTGTTTGTAAGTGTTTGTTTTCCTGTTCTTGTGTTAGTTTGCTGATAATGACGGTTTCCAGCTTCATCCATGTCCCTGCAAAAGACATGAACTCATCCTTTTTTATGGCTGCATCATACTCCATGGTGTATACGTGCCACATTTTCTTTATCCAGTCTATCATTGATGGGCATTTGGGTTGGTTCCAAGTCTTTGCTATTGTGAATAGTGCTGCAATAAACATACCTGTGCATGTGTCTTTATAGCAGCATGATTTATAATCCTTTGAGTATATACCCAGTAATGGGATGGCTGGGTCAAATGGTATTTCTAGTTCTAGATCCCTGAGGAATCGCCACACTGACTTCCACAATGGTTGAACTAGTTTACAGTCCCACCAACAGTGTAAAAATGTTCCTATTTCTCCACATCTTCTCCAGCATCTGTTGTTTCCTGACTTTTTAATGATTGCCACTCTAACTGGTGTGAGATGGTATCTCAATGTGGTTTTGATTTGCATTTCTCTAATGACCAGTGATGGTGCGCTTTTCTTCATATATTTGTTGGCCACATAAGTGTCTTCTTTTCAGAAGTGTTTGTTCATATCTTTTGCCCACTTTTTGATGGGGTTGTTTGTTTTTTTCTTTTAAATTTGTTTAAGTTCCTTGTAGATTCCTTGTAGAGGATGATGTTACTCCCCATACACCAGAGGGTGTACAACCCCCTATGGTATTGTTTGTAATTTCCAGGAGTGGAAGAATGATGTTACTCCCCATATCGCAGGGGGTGTACACCCAAATGCGATATTGTCCATAATATTTAGGTGGGGATAGGATAGTGTTAATCTCCATATCCCAAAGGGTGTACACCCCCCTCCATTTGTACACCTTCTTGCGATATTGTTCATAATATACAGGGAAAGAGAGGATGATGTTACTCCCTGTATTGCAGGGGGTGTACACCCTCATGCGATATTATCTGTAATAACCAGGGAGTGAGAGGATGATGCTACTCTTCATATCACAGGGAATACTCATGCTACTGCGATATTGTTTATAATATTCAGGGAGGGAGAGGATGATGTCAGTTGCCATATAAAAGGGGATATACCCACCCCTGTGATACTGTTTGTAATATTCACGGGGAAAGGAGATGTTACTACCCATATCACCCGGTGTGTACACCCTTCTGCGATATTGTTCATAATATTCAGGGGGAGAGAAAATGATCTTACTCCCGAAGTTGCTGTGTATACACAGCCCTGCCATGTTGTTCATAATATCTAGGGGGAAGAGGGTAATAGTACTCCCCATATCACAGGTGTTGTACAGCCCCTGTGATATTGTTCATAATATCCAGTGGGGGAGAGGATATTACTCTCAATATTACGGGGCGGGGGGTACACCATTATATAATATGGTTTGTAATCTGTAGGGGATGACAACATGATATTACTCCCAATATCACAGGGGGTGTACAACCCCCTCGAGATACTGTTCCTAATATCCAATGGGGGAGGCGATGATATTACTGTCAGTATTGCAGGTGGTGAACACCTCTCCTGTGATATTGTTCCTAACATCCAAAGTGGAGAGGATGATATTGCTTCCAATATTACAGGGGGTGTACACCCCTCCTATGATATTGTTCCTAATATTCCGGGAGTGGGGAGAGGATGATATTACTCCCAATATTGCAGGAGGTGTGCACACCACTGTGATATTGTTCCTAATATTCTGGAAAGGAGAGAATGATATTACTTCCAATACTACAGGGGGTGTACACCCCTCTTATGATGTTGTCCCTAATACTCAGGGGGAGAGAAGATGATATTACCCCCAATATCGCAGGAGGTGTGCATTTCTTCGTGATATTGTTGCTAATTACCATGGGGTGAGAAGATGATATTGCTCCCAATGTCACAAGGGGTGTACACCCCCCATGATATTTTTCCTAATATCCAGAGGGGGATAGGATGATATTACTCCCAATATAGCAGGTGGTGTACACTCCCCTTGTGATACTGTTTCTAATATCCAAAAGGGGAGACAATGATATTACTGTCAATACCGCAGGGGGTGTACGCACCCTCTGTGACCCTGTGATATTGTTCTTAATACCCAGGTTGGGAGAGGGTGATATTACGCCCAATATCACAGAGGGGGTACACCCCGTTTGTGATATTGTTTCTAATACCCGGGGGGGGGGAGAGAATGTTATTACTCCCAATATCGCAGGGGGTGTACACCCCCCTGAGATATTGTTCCTAATATCCGGTGGGAAAGAGGATGATATTACTCCCAATAGTGCAGGGAGTGTACACCCTTCCTGTGATATTGTTTCTAATATGCAGAAAGAAATAGGATGATATTACTTCCAATAGCTCAGGGGGTGTACACACCCCCTGTGATATTGTTCCTAATATCCAGGGTAGGAGAGGAATGATATTACTTCCAATATCGCAAAGACTGTACACCCCCGCTGTGATATTGTTCCTAATATCCAGGTCAGGAGAGGACAATATTACTCCCAATATCGCAGGGAGTGTATATCCCGCCGCGTGATATTGTTCTCAATATCTGGGGCGGGGGGAAAGGATGATATTACTCCGAATATCTTAGGGGATGTACACCCCTCTGTGATATTGTTCATAGTATCCAGTGAGGAAGACAATGATATTATTCCCAATATTGCAGCAAGTGTGCAACCCCACCCCCCATGGTATTGTTCCTAATATCAATGGGAGAGAGGATGATATTACTTTCTATATCGCTGGGGTGTACTCCCCACTTGTGATACTGTTAATAATTTCAAGGGTGGGAGACGATAATATCACTGTAAATATCGCAAAGGGTGTACAACGGCCCTGTGATATTGCTCCTAATATCCGGGGGAAGAGAGGATGATATTAATCCCAATATAGCAGGGGTTGTCCACCCCCTTAGTAGATGTTGTTACTAATACCCAGGAGACGAGAGTGTGATATCATTCCCAATAACTCAGCGGGTGTACCTCCTGTTTGTGATATTCTTCCTAATATTCAGTGGGGGAGAGGATAATAATACTCCCAATATCGTAGGGGATGTAGGACCCCCTGTGATATTGTTCCCAATATACAGTTTTGGAGAGGTTGATAATACTCCCAATATCGCAGGGGTGAACACCTTGCCTGTGGTATTGTTCCTAATATCCACTGGGGTGTATCATGATATTACTGCCAATATCGCAGACAGTGTAAAAACCCCTATGATATTGTTCCTAATATCCAGGGGAAGAAAATGATATTACTCCCAATAGTGCAGGGAATGTACACCCCCGTGTGTTATTTTTCCTACTCTCCAGGAGGGGAGAGGATATTACTCGCAATATCGCAGGAGGTGTACAACCCCTGGTGATATTGTTCCTAATATCCAGGGGTAGAGGATGATATTACTCTCAATATCGCAGTTGCTGTACACATCTCCTGTAATATTGTTTCTAGTATCCAGTGGGGGAGAGGATGAAATTACTCTTAATATCTCAGGGGGTATACACACTCCCTGTGATACTGTTCCTAATATCCAGAGGGGGAAAGGGTGATATTACTCCCAATATCAAAGGGGTTGTACAACCACCCCCATGATATTTTTGCTAATATCCGGGGTGGGGGGGAGAGGATGACATTACTTCCAATGTCGCAGGGAGTGTACACCCCCTCTGTGATATTGTTTTTAATATTCAGATGGGAGAGCATTATATTACAATATCACAGGGTGGTGTACACACCCGTCTGTGATATTCTTCCTAATACCCAGGAAAGGAGAGGATGATATTACTTTCAATATCGCAGGAGTTGTACACATCTCTGTGATCTTGTTTTTAATACCCGGAGAGGGAGAAAATGATATTACTACCAATATCGCAGGCAGTGTACACCCCCCCCCCCGTGATATAGTTTCTAATATTCAGGGAGGAAGAGGATGATATTATGCCCAATATTGCAGGGGTTGTACACTCACCCTGTGACATCATTCCTGTGATATCACCCTGTGATATCTAAATTTCCAAAGAGGGAGATGTTGTTACTCTTAATATTGTAAACACGCTGTGTAGACACCCTCCTGTCATATGGCTCGTAATATCTGGGGGGGCGGGGAGAGAAGATGGTGATATTACTCCCAATATCACAGGGGGGTGTCCACCACAGACATGTGGGGAGTAATATCACCCCCTTCTACCCCACCCTGGACATTATGAGTCATATGACAGGGTCCTCCACCCCCCACCATATAGGGAGTAATGTCACCCCCCTCTCCCCTCCTGGATATTATGAGCCATATGACAAGGGGGTGTCCACCCCCCGCCATATGAGGAGTAATATCACCCTCTTAAACCCCCCTGGATATTACGAGCCATATGACAGGAGGGTGTCTACACAGCGTGTTTACAATATTAAGAGTAACAGTATCTCCCTCTTTGGAAATTTCGAACAATATCACAGGAAATTGTACAGCACCTGCGATATTGGGAGTAATATCATCCTCTCCTCCCCAGGGATATTAGGAAAAATATCACAAAAGGGATATACACCTCCTGCGATATTGGGAGTAATATCATCCTCTTCCCCCCCACCCCGGATATTAGGAACAATATCACAGGGGGTGTACACCCCTGAGATATTGGGAGTAATGTCATCCTCATCCTCTCCCCACCTGGATATTAGGAACAATATCAAAGGGGAGATGTACACGTCTTGCGATATTGGGAGTAACATTGTCCTTTTCCCCCCTGGATATTGGGAAAAACATCCAAAAGGGGTGTACACTTTCCGCGATATTGGGAGTAATAACATCCTGTTCTCCTTTGAATATAAGGAAAAATATCACAGAGGGGGTGTACACCCCTGCGATATTGGGAGTAATATTCTCTCCCCACCTGGATATTAGGAACAATATCAAATGGGGTGTACACCTCCTGCAATATTGGGAGTAATATTGTTTTCTGCCCCCCCCCCCCGGAGTATTAGAAAAAAATATAACAAAAGCACAAAAAGGGTGTACACCCCTCTGCGATATTGGGAGTAATATCCTCTTTCCCCCACACAAGATATAAGGAAAAATGTTACAAAAGGGGTATACACCTTCTGTTGTATTGAAAGTAATATCATCCTCTCTCTCTTTGAATATTAGGAGAAATGTCACAAGGGGGGTGTACACTTTCTGCAATATTGGGAGTAATATCACCCACTGGATACTAGGAACAATATCACAAAAAGGGTGTACACCGCCTGCGATTTTGGGAGTAATATCGTCCTCTCCCACTTTGAATATTAGCAAAAATACCACAGAGGGGTTGTACACCCCCTGCGATATTGGGAGTAATATCATCCTCTTCTTCCCTGAATATTAGGAACAATATCACAGGGGGGTGTACACTCCGTGACATTGAAAGTTCTGTTATCCTCTCCGCACCAGGATATTAGGAAAAATATCTCGGAGGAGTGTGCATTTCCTGCCATATTGGGAGTTATTGTCGTTTCCCTCCATAAATATTAGGAACATATCACAAGAAGGGCATACACCCCCTGCGATATTGGGAGTAATATCATCCTCTCCTTTTGTGAATTTTAGGAACAATATCACAGGGGGGATGCACACCCTCTGCTATATTGGGAGTAATATCATCATCTCACTCCCTGGATAATAAAACAATGTAACAGTCGGGGCGTGCACCTCCTGCAATAATGGGAGTAATATCATTCTCTCCCTTCCTGGATATTAGAAACAATATCACACGGGGGGTGTGCATTCCCTGCGATATTGGGAGTTATGTCATCCTCTCACCCTGTGGATAGTACAAACAATATCACAGGGGGGTGTACACACGTGGTGTTTACGATATTGGGATTGATATCATCCTCTTTCTGCCTGGCTATTGCAAATAATATCACAAGGGGATGTACACTATCTGCAATATTCAGAGTAATATCATCCTTCCCCCCGCCCCAGATATTACACAATATCACAGAAGGGTGTACACCCCCTGCGTTATTGGGAGTAATATCATTTTCTCCCATTCTGGATGTTACGAACTACATCAAAGGGGAGTGTACACCCGTGCGATGCTTGCAGTAATATCATCCTCTCTCCCCCTGGATATTACGAACAATATCACAGGAGGGTGTGCCCTCCCTGGGATATTGGAAGTAATATAGTCCTCTTTCTCCCTGGATATTACGAACAATATCACGGGGGTGTACACTCACTGCGATATTGGGAATGTTATCATCCACTTTCCCCGTGCATATTGCGAACAGTATTACAGGGGCTGTACAGCCCCTGCGATAGGAAGTAATATCATTCTCCCCCTGACTGGATATTAGGAACAATATCACAGGGGGCTGTACACCCCCTGCGATATTGGGAGTAATATCATCCTCTACCACCCTGAGTATCACGAACAAGATCACAGGGGGGTGGACACCGCCTGACATTTTGGGAGTAATATCATTTTCTACCACCCTGAATATTATGAACAATATAACAGATAATGTACACACAGAATATTTACGGTATTGGGAATAATATCATCTCACCGCCTGGATATTATGAAAAATATCACAGGGAGGTGTACACCCCCTGCGATATTGGCAGTAATATCCTTCTCTCCCCGCTGGATATTAGGAACAATATCACAGGGAGGTGTACCCCCCTGCCAAATTGGGAGTAATATCATCCTCTTGCCCCTGGATATTACAAACAATATCACAGAAGGGTGTACACCCCCTGCGATATTGGGAGTAATATCCTCTACCTTTCTGCATATTATGAACAATATCATACAGAAGTAATATCATTCTCTTCTCCCCTGCATATTATGAACAATATCACAGGGAGGTGTACCCCCCTGCCAAATTGGGAGTAATATCATCCTCTTGCCCCTGGATATTACAAACAATATCACAGAAGGGTGTACACCCCCTGCGATATTGGGAGTAATATCCTCTACCTTTCTGCATATTACGAACAATATCATACAGAAGTAATATCATTCTCTTCTCCCCTGAATATTATGAACAGTATCACAGGGGGGTGTACACACCCTGCGATAGGTGGAGTACTATTATCCTCTCTCCGCCTGGATATTATGAACATTATCACAGGGAAGCATGCACCTGTGTGTAATATCCTCTTCCCTTCTGAATATCACAGGGAAGTCTGCACCTTCTGCAATATGAAGAGTAGTGTCATTTCCTCCAACGCCAATATTACAAACAATATCACAGGAAGGTGTACACCCTCTCTGATATGAGGTGTAATATCATCTTCTCCATACCGGAATATTACGAACAATATCGCAGAGGTGTGTATACCTTCTGCGATGTGGGGAGTAATATCATCTTCTCTTCCCCTGGATATTATGAACAATATCACAGACGTTGTAAACAGACGGTGTCTATGATATCGAAAAAAATATAATCTCCCCCCCCCCAATATTATGAACATTATCACAGGGGCATGCACCCCCTCTGATATTGAGTAATATCATTTTCTTCTTTCCTGAATATTAAAAACAATATCACAGGGGAATGTACACCCCCTGTGATATTGGGAGTAATATCATCCTCTTCCCCACTGGATATTAAAAACAATATCATAAAGGATGTACACCCCCTGTGATATTGGGAGTAATATCATCCTCTTTCTTCCTGGATATTACAAACAATATCACAGGGGGGTATACACCCCCTGCGATATTGAGAGTAATATCATCCTCACCCTACTGGGATATTATGAAAAATATCACAGGGGGATGTACACCTTCTGCGATATTGGGAGTAATATCATCCTTCTCCCACTTGGATATTACGAATAATATCACAAGGGGATGTACACAACCTGCGATATAGGGAGTAATACCATCCTCTCCCCCTCCCCCAGAAACTACGAACAATATCACAGAAAGGTTCACACCGCCTGTGATATAGGGAGTAATGTCGTCCTCTGCCCCCTTGGATATTATGAACAATGTCACAGAGGGGTGTATACCACCTCGATATTGGGGTTAATATCATCCTCTCACCACCTGGATATTATGAATAATATGACAGAAGGGTGTATACCCCCTGTGATATCAGGAGTAATGTCCTCCTCTCCCCTCCTGGATATTAGCAACAATATAACAGGTGCGTGTACTCCCCCTGCGATATTGGAAGTAATAACATTGTCTCCCACCCCCGGATATTACAAACAATATCACGAGGGGAGTGAAAACTGCCTGCGATATTGGGAGTAAGATCATACTCTCCACCCCTAAATATTATGAACAGTATCACAGAAGGGTGTACAATCCCTGCGATATTGGGAGTCACATCATCCTCTCCTCCTCTGAGTTTTACAAACAATATCACAGGGTGGTGTACATACCTTGTGATATTGAGAGTAATGACGTTTTGTCCACCTCTGGATATTACGGACAATATCACAGGGCGGTGTACACCCCCTGCCATGTTCGGAGTAATATAATCCTCTCCTATCCTGGATATTACAAACAATATCAAAGGAGGGTGAACACACCCTGCGATATTGGGAGTCATATCATCCTCTGCCATCCTAGATATAACGAAAAATATCATAGAAAATGTATAAAAAGGGTGTTTTCGATATTGGGAGAATATCCTCTCCCCCCTGGATATTACGAACATTATCGCAGTGGGGTACACACCCCCTGCATTATGGGGAGTAATATCCTCTCCCCCCCGGATATTATGACCAATATTGCAGGGGTGAGTACATCCCCTGTGATGTGTGCAGTAATATAATTTTCTCTTCACTTGAATATTACGAACAATGTTGCAGGGGGCTGTACACGCCTGGCAATATGGGGAGTGACATCATCCCCTCCCCCCATGGATATTACAAACAATATCGCAGGGGTGTCTACACCCCCTGCAATATGGGGAGTAACATCATCCTCTGTTCCCGCCGTGATATTATGAACAATATCGCAGGGGCGGTGTAAATTCCTTGCGATATAAAGAGTAACATCATCCTCTCCCTACCTGGTTTTTAGGAACAATATCGCAGGGGGGTAACATCATCCTTTCCCTTTCTGGATATTACAAACAGTATCGCAGGTTGTTTATGGGAAGTAACATCATTCTCTATTCCCCTGGATATTACGGACAATATCTCAGGGTAGGGGTACACCCTATGTGATATTTAACATCACCCTCTTCTTCCCTGGATATTACAAGCAATAATGCGTGAGGGTGTACACCCTTTGAGATATGGGGAGTAACATCATCCTCTCCTGATCTGGACATTACAAACAATATCATAGGGACGTGTAAACCCACTGGGATATGGTGAGTAACATTAAAGTCTCCCCCACCAGATATTATGGACAATATCGCTGGCGGGGTGGTGTATCTCCCTTGCAATGGGCGTATCCCCTATCAATGTCTGGGGTGGGGGAGTGGATGATATTACTTTTCAACATCACAGGGAGTGTACACCTCCCTGTGATAGAGTTCGTAATATCCAGAAGGGGAGAGGAAGAGATTACTCCCAATATCGATGTTACTCAATGTCGCAGTGGGTGTACACCCTCTGATATTATTGTTGGTAATATCCAGGGGGGTGAAAATGATATTACTCAGAATATTGCAGAGGGTGTACACCCCCTGTTATATTGTTCGTAATTTTCAACAGGAAAGATCATATTAGTCCCAATATCGCAGGGGATGTACACTTCCCTGTAATATTGTTCTTAATACCCGGGGGGCGAAAGGACAATATTACTCCCAATGTCTTAAACACCGTGTGTGTACACCGCCCTGTAATAAAGTTCGTAATGACCAGGGGAAGGGAGAGGATGACATTACTCCCCATTTCGCATGAGGCTTACACTCCTCTGTGATATTGTTCATAATCTCCAGGAGGAGAGAGGATGTTACCACTTCCAATATTGCTAAGGGTGTACACCCCCCTGTGATATTGTTCGTAATTTCCAGGGGAAAGAGGATGATATTACCCCCAATAGCAGAGGGAGTGTACATCCCCCTAAGATATTCTTTGAAATATCCAAGGGGAAAAAAGATTATATTACTCCCAATATCGCAGGGGTTTTACACCCCCCGTGATATTGTTTGTAATATTAAAGGGAAGAGAGGATAATATTACTTCCAATATTGCAAAGGGTGTACTCCCAACTGTGATATTGTTTGATTACAGGTGTGGAGAGGATGATATTACACATGTTTGATTCAGGTGTGGAGAGGAAGATATTACTCCCAATACCATAGAGGGTATACACCCTTCTGTGATATTGTTCGTAATATCCAGGGGGGAAGAGTATAATATTACACTTAATATCGAAGGTGGTGTACACCCCCCTGTGATATTGTTCGTAATATCCAGAAAAAAGAGAGTAATATTATTCCCTATATCAAGTGGGTGTACACCCCGCTGTGATATTGTTCATAATATTCTTGACGGGAGAGGATGCTATTACTCCACATATCTCAGGGGGTGTACATCCCCCTGTGGTATTGTTCGTACTTTCCAGGAAGAGAGAGGATGATATTACTCCCAACACTGTATGGGTGTACACTCCCCTGTGATATTGTTCACAATATCCAAAGGGGGAGAGGATAATATTACTCCCAATATCGCTATGGTTGTACACTCCCCTGTAATATTGTTCGTAATATCCAGGGGGAAAGAGAATGATATTACTCCCAATATCCCAAGGAGTGTACACCACTTTGTCATATTGTTCACAATATCCAGGTGGGGAGAGGATGCTGTTAGTCAACAATATCGCAGGGTGTGTACGCCTTCTTGTAATATCATTCCTAATATCCAGAAAGGAAGAAAATGATACTAATCCCAAATTCCAAGGGGTATACACCCCCCTGTGATATTGTTCTTAATAACCAGAGAGAGAGAGAATAATATTACTCTGAATATTGCAGGGGGTGTACACCCCCTTGTAATATTGTTCGTAATATCCAGGTGGAGAGATGATGATAATACTCGCAATATCCCATGGGGTGTACATGCCCCTGAGATATTTTTCGTAATATCCAGGGGCGGAAAGGATGATAGTAATCCTAATATTGTAAACACGCTGTGTGAACACCCCCACCCCCCAGTGATATTGTTCATAATATCCAGAAAGGGGGAGGTTGATATTTCTGTCAATATCACAGGAGTGGTTCACTCCCCTGTGATATTGTTGGTAATATCACGAGAGAGAGAATGATACTACTTCCAATACTGCAGGGTTGTTTGTAGTAATAAAAGATAGTACTCCCAATATCAAGGTGTTGTACACCCCCTTCTGATATTGTTCAGAATTTCTGAGGAGGAGAGGATGATATTACTCCCAATATTGCAGAGGGTGTACATCCCCCTGTGATGTTGTTCGTAATATCCAGGAAGGGAGAGAATGATATTACTCCCAATATCACAGGGGGTGTACACCCCCCGTTAATATTTTTCATAATAAGCAGGTGTGGAGGGAGGAAGGTACTACTCCCAATTTCGCTGAAGGTATACACACCCCTGTGATATTGTTCATAATTTTCGGGGAAGGAGAGGATGATATTACTCCCAATATTGCAAGGGGTGTACACCCCCCCCCCCCGTAATATTGGTCTTACTATCCAGAAGGAAAGAGGATGACATTACTACCAATATTGCAGGGATTGTACACCCTCCTTTGATATTGTTCATAATATCCAGGGGGTAAGAAGATAATTATACTGCCAATATGGCAGGGGGTGTACACCCCCCTGTGATATTGGGATGACTCTATATCGCACAAGGTGTAGTCCCCCCTGTGATGTTGTTCGTAATATCCAGGGAAAAACAGGATTATATTACTCTTAATGTATCAGGGAGTGTACACCCTCCTGTGATATTGTTCATAATATTCACAATGGTAGAGGATATTACTCCCAATATCGCAGGGGGTGTAAACCCCCCTGTGATATTGTTTGTAATATCCAGGGGGAGTGAGTATGATATTACTCCTAATATCGCAGGGGGTGTACACCCCCCGGGATATTGTTTCCAATTTCCACAAGGGGAGAGGATGATATTACTCCCAGTATCGCAGAAGGTGTACACCACCCTGTGATATTGTTCATAATATCCAGAGGGAAAGAAGATGATATCACCACCAATATTCCAGGGAGTGTACACCCACCTGTGATATTGTTCATAATATTCAGGAGGGGAGAGGATGATTTTGTGCCCTATACCCCAGGGGGTGTACACCCACCTAAGATATTGTTTGTAATTTCCAGGAGGGGAGAGGATGATATTACTTTCCATATCGCTGGGGGTGTACACCCCCAAGCGATATTGTGCATAATGTTTAGGCGGGGATAGGATAATGTTAATCCTCATATCAAAAAGGTTGTAAACCTCCTTGTGATATTGTTCGTAATATCTGGGGAGGGGGAGGATAATGTTACTCTTTATATCACAGGAAAAGTATACCCCCCCTGCGATATTGCCCGTAATATACAGGGAAAGAGAAGGTGATGTTACTCCCCATATTGCTGTGGGTGTACACACCCCCGGGATATTTTCAGTAATAACCAGGGGGCAAGAGAATGATGTTACTTTCCATATCGCAGGCAATATACATTCCACTGCGATATTGTTCCTAATATCCAGAAAGGGAAAGGATGATATTACTCCCCATATCAAAGGGGTATACACATCCTTGTGATATTATTTGTAATATCCACGGGGAAAGGAGATAATGTTACCACCCATATTGCTGGGCATGTACACCCCTCGCGATATTGTTCATAATATTTAGGGGGAGAGAAAATAATATTACTCCCGATATTGCAGGGGTGCACACACCACTGCCATATTGTTCGTAATATCCAGGAGGAGAGGATGATATTACTCCCCATATCGCAGAGCGTGTACACCCTACTGCGATATTGTTTGTAATATCCGTGGGGGAGATGATATTACTCCCAATGTCGTAAAACATCTTGTGTGTACATCCTCTGTGATACTGTTCATAATATCCGAGGTGGCAGAGGGTGATGTTACTCCCAATATTGCAGGAGCACAGCCCCCCCACCCCCGTGATATTGTTTATAATTTTCAGGGGGGAGGATGATATTATTCCCAATATCGCAGGGGTGTACACTCTCCGTGATATTGTGTATAATATCCACGGGGGGAGACAATGATATTACTTCCAATATCGCAGGGGGTTGTATACCCCTCGTGATATTGTTCATAATATCCAGGGAGGTGAGAAGATAATATTACTCTCAATATTGCAGAGGGTGTACACCATTCTGTAATAGAGTTCGTAATATTCAGGGGAGGGAAGGATGATATTACCCCCAATATCACAGGGGGTGTACACGTCCCTTGTGATACTGTTTCTAATATCCAAATGGGGGAGACGATGATATTACTGTCAATATCGCAGGTGGCGTTTACTTCCCCCGTCATATTGTTCCTAACATCCAGAGGGGGAGAGGATGATATTACTCCCAATATCGCAGGGGGCGCACACCCCTCCTGTGATATTGTTCCTAATATCCAGGTGGCAGAAGATGATATTACTCCCAATATGGCAGGGAGTGTACATTTCTTCGTGATATAGTTCCTAAAAACCATAGAGTGAGAGGATAATATTACTCCCAATGTCGCAGGGGGTGTACACTCCCCCTGTTGTATTGTTCCTAATATTCGGGGCGGGGGGAAGGATAATATTTCTCCCAATATAGCAGGCGGTGTACACCGCCCCTTGTGATATTGTTCCTAATATCCAAAAGGGAAGACGATGATATTACTGTCAATACTGCAGAGGGTGTACACCCCCTCTGTAATATTGTTCCTAATATCCAGGTTGGTAGAGGGTGATATGATGCCCAATATCACAGAGGGGGCACACTCCCTTTGTGATATAGCTCCTAATATCCAGCGGAGAGAAGATGTTCTTACTCCCAATATCGCAGAGAGTGTACACCCCCATGAAATATTGTCCCTAATATCCAGGGGGAAAAAGGATAACATTACTCCCAATAGCGCAGGGAGTGTACACCCTTCCTGTGATATTGTTTCTAATATACAGGGGGAAATAGAATGATATTACTCCCAATAGCTCAGGGGGTGTACACCCTACTTGTGATACTGTTTCTACTATCCAGGGGGAAGAAGATAATATTACTCCCAATATCACAGGAGGTGTACACACACCCCCGTGATATTGTTCCAAATATCCAGAGTGGGGGAGGATGATATTACTTCCAATATCGCAAAGGCTGTGCACCCCCCTGTGATACTGTCTGTAATACCCAGGGTGGAGAGGATGATATTTCTTCCCATATCGCAGGGTGTATATATACCCTGTAATATTGTCCGTAACATCAAGGGGTGGAGAGGATGATACTATTCTCCATATCACAGTGTGTACATCCCGCTGCGATACTGTCCATATCTCCTATGGGGGAAGAGGATGATATTACTCCTCCAATCACAGGGGGTGTACACCCCCGTGTAATATTGTCCGTAACATCCGGGGGGAGGGGATGATATTACTTCCCATATTGCAGGGGGTGTTCCCGCCCCTGTGAAATTATCCGTAACATCCAGAGGGTGAGGGGATGATATTACTCCCCATATCGCAGGAAGTGTAAAACCCCGTGTGATATTGTCCATAACATCCGGGGGGAAGAGGATGACATTACTCCCTATATCGCAGGAGGTGTACACCTTCCTGTAATATTGTCCTTAACATCCAAGAGGAGAGAGGATGATGTTACTCCTCATATTCCAGCGGGTGTACAGTCCCCTGCGATATTGTCCTAAATATCAAGAAAGGGAGAGGATGAAGTTACTCCTCATACCGCAGCGGGGTGTACATATCCGTAATATCCAGGGTTGGGGGGAGGATGATGTTACTCTCCATATCGCAGAAGGTGTAAACTCTCTGGCAGTATTGTCTGCAATATCCAAAAGGGAGAGGATGATGTTTCTCACTATATCCCAGTGGGTGTACACCCCGCTACGATATTGTTTGTGATATCCATAAGAGGAGAGGATTATGTTACTCCCCATATCGCGGGGGGTGTATGCAATATTGTTTGTAATATCCAGGGAGGGAGAGGATGATGCATATCCCCATAACGCAAAGGGTGTACACACCCCCTGCGATATTATCCGTAATATCCAGGGAGGGAGAGGATGATGTTACTCCCCATATCGCAGGGTATGTACACCTCCCTGTGATATTGTTCGTAATATTCAGGGGGAGAGAAAATGATATTACTCCACATATCCGAGGGGATGTACACACCCTGCAATATTGTTCGTAATATCCAGTGAGAGAGAGGATGATATTACTCCCCATACTGCAGGGGGTGTACAACCTACCGTGATATTGTTCATAATATCTGGGGAGGAAAATGATATTACTCCCAATATCGTAAACATCCTTAGTGTACATTTTCTGTGATATTGTTCATAATATCCAGGGTGGCAGAGGATATTACTCCCAATATCGCAGGGTGTGTACACCCTCCTTTGATATTGTTGGTAATATCTAGGGGAGGAGAGGATGATATTACTCTGAATATGGCAGGGGATATAACCCCCTGTTACATTGTTCATAATATTCAGGGAGTGGGAGAAGATGATAGTACCGACAATATCGCAGCAAGTGTATACTCCTCTGTTATATTGTTTATAATTTTCAGGGGGCGGGGAGAGGTTTTTTTTTTAAACCATCAGATCTCATGAGACTCATTAACTATCACGAGAACAGTGAAGGAAAGGCCCACCCCCATAATTCAGTCAACTCGCACTCGGTTCTTCCCATGACATATGGGAATTGTGGGAGTTAAAATTCAAAATGAGATTTGGGTGGAGACACAGCCAAACCATATTCGGTGTCAATTTACTTAGGAATTTAATTAAAATTTCTAAGTTTAAACGTTAGAGAAAATTTAGCGTAGATAAGAGGTTTCATTAGCAATCATGACAGTAAATTCCATAAGAGAAATACACGTAGCTTATTTTTAATTTTTCCTGACTGCTAAGTGGAGTAAGTTCTGTAAGAAAATATATCAAGATTATTGTGAAAAAATAATAGTTAATATAGTCTTTCTGCAAGGATTTAGAATAGAAAACGGGTATTATATTTATTATTTGACAAGTTAACAAGATTTGAGGTGTCACTATATTCAAGACATTGTTTTCCATGCCGAAGATAAAGCAGTAAACAAAATAGACGAAATATCTTGCTCTCAATTTTATGTTTTATTGTTTATAGACCTATGAAAACTTCTCCAAGAAGGAACAGAAATATAAATACTTATCGTCGCATAGAAGATAATATACATATATATGTAAATAAGACAGGGTTAAAATATCAGGGAACAGTGGGGCCTATGTGAGCTGAAGTGCTCATACCAGCCCAGAGGTTTGGGGCTTCATTTCCTTAAATCATAGAACCAGCCAACCAAATGTGTCTGCTACTTACAGTGACACAGATTTCACTCTTTTCCTATCATCTCAAAGAGACTTTAAGCAATCTATATTCTAGTCTTTGTTCATGTTTGAATACCCACTGCAATGTATACTACAAGGGGTCAATCAAAATTAGTTTCAATCCTTCCAGGGTTGGGAATCTCAGTCCTTGCCACTCGTTCTGCTTGGCCCTTACCTTATGCATAGATCTGTCACTTGAGTTTGTTTGTGTCTGCTCAAACTCAAATATGTCTGAAACCAAATCACCTCAATATCAACTTCAAAGCAATGAATTAACGAGCATTTCCTAATAATGTTTATGTATTATTCCAAGGATAACCAGAGAAGTGTAAAATACACAGATGCATGGACAGGACTGACACTGCTGAAAAGTAATAAGTAACTGCTAGAGACTCTGTAGAAATTAACATAATTTAAAATTAGGATTAAGAGATAACATCTATAAAGTTGGTAGAAATGTGAAGCAGTGTTTATTTCAATGAACAAGTTTACACACCTAATCAAATTAGTTTAGTATCTCCTCACTGTTTATATTCTAACATTTTTTCAAAAATTCATATTATTTCTTTCATATTAATGATTAAACATAACATATATGTATGCTTGTTTATTTTATGTTGCAAAAATAATGACAGGTTAAGTGTAGGAAATTTAGAGACACAGAAAAGCTCACAAAGGAAGACAAAAATTACAAATAAGCCTTTGTCAAGTAATAGCCACTGTTAGTATTTTCTTTATTAAATATTCAATTTGCATGTAGAAATATTTATGATATATTTTGTGCTACAAGTACAACACAGGTTTATGGATTGATAATGTATAATTTACCATGCACTAAAAATTCAGTTAATTTCTCCATAACCTCTAAGAGTCTTCAGAGTTTATTATTATGCCTCTCTAGTAAAAATACTTAAAAATTTTTAAACTATGTGTATTTTAATGCTGCCTAAATAAAGTCAGGAAGTAAATGTATCCAGTTTATTAAAATGATCACTTTTAATGTATTATATTTTCAAAAAGGAATTTGTTTATATTTCCTATAATAAATACCCAACAACAACATTTTGAACCAACATTTTATCCTATAATAATGCAATTGAAAAAATCCCTACTTAACACTATTTACAACACGTAAGTTACTAAAATAGAGACACTGTTTTGTATGCAGAAAATAAATAATTTTGAGTTCTCCATTGCATAACAGATAACAGATAGAAGTTTTTAAAGAAAATTGAAAAATAAAAAATCTAGCTGAATATTACTGAGTCAAAAGTCCCTCAATGTGCTATTCAGAATGCAAAACGATTTATTATAACTGATAACATTTCCTTATAACTATGCATCTCAAATAAGACCAGGGAAAAACAAACTTGCTATTTGTTTTCTAGCTCTTTTCAGTTGAAATGACTTACTTTCTCTTTATAGTGGATTTTTCAGGTAAATGCTCAATCTTTGATTATCCTTATTTCTTTTCCATATAGCATCTGGAAACATAAGGAGCTTATGAAGTCCTTGCAGCAGAGTTGAAGGAGCCTCAGATGTGATTGGAGGTCATTGGGAAACACTGTGGGTCTTCTCTGTCTGGCCTTGAAGGTACGAGCATTACTATTACTTGTCTGTCTAGCCAAATCTTTCCTTGTCAATGTTGGCAGCCTGCCTCTCCCTTTTCTTGCTCTCTCTCTCTCTCTCTTTCCTCAGTCAGGACTTGGGGGTCCTCCCAACTGACTCAACCTCACTACTTTTTTCCTGGTGTTGCACATTTTACCAAAGCCTGGCTCTCATTTAGTTTCCAGCCTGCCTAGTTCACTTTCAACCTTTACCCCTGATCTGTGTTCTGGATGAATCAACCAGACAACTCCATCACCAGCATATACCTCCTTCTGACTCTTGAGAGGTGGACCCTTTGCCAGGCAATGTTTTCTGTGGCTCTCAGTGGGAACTGTAGCAAAACTCCCTAAGCTTTTAGTTCTCCCCTTTAGGTATCCACTGAATCTCTTCCAGTGGGAACTTTGGCAAGGCCAGGGAGGTTAAGATATACTTTCTCATTCCCTTTCTTCTCTCCATAAATTTGTCAAGTCAGGGCCTTTTTCATCTCTTTCTGTCTGTTTTTACACACTTCTACTTGCTGAAGTGGCATTTTTCAACTTCTTGGGGACAATGATGGACTACATAGAGCAGAGGGAGACAGGCTGATTGATACTTAAGGAATAAAGTGTTACAAAGCATATTATGCCTTTTACATCAACCTGCTGTAATATGAATTGATAAAACAAGGCAAGAAATAATTCTGGTTAACCACCCAAACATTTGTCAATATATCACAATTTCAATAAACTTTCATCTCTTTTAGTTTCATTTAGCGAGCTTTTAGTTATCTAAATGGATTGCACATTGCAAAGTATTCATTGCAATATATTGTTTATCCTATTTGTTAATGCCAGCTTATTTTTCGTCTCTGTGTATACAACATGCATTCTCAGGAACAGAGATTTTACATATCACAGTAAATCTAAGAACCTTGGCTCCTAAAACAATGTTCAGAGACCATAGACACTAAATTATTTATGGAAGAAGTAAATAAGCTGAGAATATTTGTAGAACCATTCCAACATGAGATTTTTACAGTAAGAAAGAAAAATGATTAATCTGGAACTTGTATTCTCCTTCAAAATGTTCTGAATTAATGTGTCTTAAAAGACTGAAAGTATCCTGTTAACATCCAGCAGCAGCCTCCTTCAGAACATTGAAAACCTGAATAAATTCAACATATAAATGCTACAAGACATGTCCATCAAGCTGTCTTTAGGGTAGCTATTGCTCTGAGACCTTTTATTCATTTGCAAAATTTAACTATTTATTTAGGTATTGTTCTTGGATTATGAATAAGGACTCAAATGGAAATTAGTTATTATTATTTATAGAGAAAAATTATTTACATGTTTATTTGTATTCTCATCCTAACATGGTGACCAATGCATAGTACATAGTGGTTCGTAATAACTGTAGAACATATATTTTGGAGTTCATATAACTTTTTTTTTTTGAGATGGAGTAAGGCTTTGTCACATAGGCCTGTGTGCAGTGGCGCGATCTCAACTCACTGCAACTTCCACCTCCCAGGTTCAAGCGATTCTCCTGCCTCAGCCTCCTGAGTAGCTGGGATTACAGGTGCATGCTGCTGTGCCTGGCTAATTTTTGTATTTTTAGTAGAGACAAAGTTTCACCATGTTGGCCAGGCTGGTCTCCAACTCCTGACTTTAAGTGATCTGCCCACCTAGGCCTCCCAAAATGCTGGGATTACAGGCATGAGCTACCGTGCCTGAGCGAGTTTATCTAACATTTCAACACACACTATTTCATTTGTTATTCATTGAAGCTTACATATTAGTCATCATTCCTTAAATTAAAAATAAAAAATAAAACAAAGAGTAACTGCTACCACACAACTCCTTTGAAGTTGATCAAAGCACACAGTGCAAATATTTTAATGTAAGAGTTGTAATGAATAAAAGAGAAAAGCATGACTAGGCATACTGAAGAAGAACTGTGGAGTTAGAAAATGAGGGTCGTTAAAAAAAAAAACACTCATTTTTTTCTTTTTTCTCCAAGACGTATTGAAGTATAGTTGGCAAACAAAAATTATGTGGATTTATAGGGTATAATGTGATGTTTTGATTACATGTATACATTGTGAAAGAATTAAATCAAGCTAATTAGCATATCTATCACCTCACATACTCTTTTGTGGTAAAAACATTTAAGATTTACTCACTCGGCAATTTTCAAGTACACATAGTCACAATACTGTATAATAGACCTACAAAAATGATTCAACCTGCCTAACTAAAACTTTATACCCTTCAACCAACATCTTTACATTTACTCCCCACTCCATAGCCCCTGGCAACTACTATTCACTCTGTGCATCTACGAGTTCAATGTTTGCAGATTTCATACATGAGTTAGATCATGCAGTATTTGTCTTTCTGTGTCTAACTTATTGAACTTAGCATAATGTCTCCCAGGTTCATCCATATTGTCAGAAATGAAAATATTTCCTTTTTTAAAGGCTAAATATATGGAATACTATTTATCTTCTTAAAGTTTATCTTATTTGTTTATGCCTGTTCATTTTTTGTCTTTGTGCCTGAAACATAAATTCTCAAGAGCAGAGATTTTTATGTATCACAATGAATCTAAGAACCTTGGCCCCTAAAACAATGTTCAGAGACTATAGACAATCAACTGCTTATGGAGGAAGTGAATAATATATATTTAGATGTGTGTGTGTGTATGTATATTTCTAACTATGATATTAGAAAACTTTATTTTTTAATTTTGTAGGTAGCCAATATATGTAGGATTCAAAGTAAAAAATGTATTAAAAATTATATAGTGTTCAGCAAATATCAAGTATAAAATAATTCACATAAATATGAAATGATACCCTAAGCAAACCTGCACTAGTGCACTGGTAAAGGCTAGTAAGTGATTATGTATGTTTATTCTACCATGCTTGTAGTACTAACTAACAAATGCTATTAGAAGTTTAACATCTACAAAAAGGCAAGGTATATTCCATTCTTGACACTGTTTCATAATTTAAAATACATTATAAAACATATTTTTGTTAATGCATTAAAATAATTATTAGTTTTTGTTTTTGGACACACATTGTACAAAGATGTAACTGAAAGGGATTGGTACAGAGCTGTAGATGAGCAATTTTGTATGTTATTAAACTTACATTACTATAAATTTCAAATAAAGCCAACTATACCCTCATGAAAACCAGTAATGTAAGAAATAAGAGTCAAAAAAAGCAATAAGAAGCTATATAGGAAACAAATAGCAAAATGACAGAAGTCACTAGTAATTACTTTAAATATGATTAGATTAAACGCTCCAATCAAAAGAGAGAGGTTGATAGAATGGATTTTTAAAAAGCATGAGCCAACCATATGCTGTCTACCAGAGAATGACTTTAGATCCAAAGAAGAATAGGTTGAAGGTGAAATTATGGAAAAATGTATTCTATGCCAATAGTAACAGACAAGGCAGGGGTAGCAAATAGTAGCCTAAAGAGGGGAGGAAAAAGATATTCTATTCAAATAATAACCAACAGTCTGTAATGTGTGTTACAGACTTAAGGCATGTCAAAGAGATGCTAGTCTTTATTCATAGCTTTTTAAAAAAATATTAGTTGCTCTATGGTAAGTAAGTTTTTGGAATTGCCATGTTCTATGTGTGGTGGATGAAGTTTCATCCTCTTTAGCATTATTTTCCTTGTAGTGTAGCTTCGATCCTTACTCATAGTAAATCCCAAATAAACATCTATTTTTTTGTGTGAGGGAATGTTCTGTCTTTCCACACATGTGCCAGGGAAAACTAAAAATCTTAAGAATGATTCTGAAAGTTAAAGGTATGGAAGTGTTGTGTTTTTCAATTCTTGCATGAAATCATTGACTAGCACTGGGCTTCTTCTCTTCTAGATTATAATAACATGCTCTGTCAGCTAAAGACAGATTTGTTAAGTCAGAAATGCATGAATGAATAAAGTATGACTATAAAGATAGAATATTTTATCATGCAAGTGTAAGTGGAAGCCTCTGACTTCCAGTGTTGCACTATTCCCTGAGGCCCAATAAATGTAGAGAGATGGAAAAAAAGAAAAGGACCAGGGGGAATGATTTATAATAACATATTAGAACGATTTTATATAGATGCTTTGGCCAGACTTGAAGTAATGTGGGAAGTGAGTAGAAATGGATCATATATTTTATTCCATCCAATGCCAACTCAAATGTTCACATTAAAATTGCTTGGGAAAATGCAAAATTGGGGACTCCAAAGCTACAATAAGAATGATCATAGAACTGCCATATTTAAAATATGATTTTAAGTGACATTTTGCCATTAATTTTAGATGTGCTTTATCTTGTTAGCTACATTTTAAACTGTGGCACAAGTATGTATTTTCTCTTATAGTCTGGGGTTTAAAACTTTCTTTGTCTTTGATATAGTCAAGTCTTGCTAATCTACACTACTTATAATTAAATTATTTTATATCTTGCCTTACAAAGTCTTCTAATTTCAATTTCAATTGTCATTGAAAGTTCTTTTTCTATTTATTGAAGTTGAATTGAGGTGAAAATTTTAAAAACTATCAGCCTGCATATTGGAAATATTCTTCTAATTAATGCTTATTTTGTGCCCTCATTTTTAAAAAAATATGGGAATACTTTCTATATGTTTTTTGGTTGGGACGTCCTCCTTTGGTTCAAAATATTCCATAGATAAAACATATTTTATGTTGGCTGATAGAGTTTAGCCAGATAAATGGTTTGGCACAGCTTAGCACTAAAGGGATAAAACTCTATGATTTGAGTACCTGAATTCGAATTCCAGCCACACATTTCCTAACTCTGTGGTTTGAGGCATTAATTAATTTCTCAAAGCCTTCATTTCCTCCTCTGTAATATAGAGATAATTCTACTGAATTCTAAAATATCATTTAGATACTTATAAGAATATTTAGCATGTGTAAGCACTCAATAATAAAAGTTTAGCTATTATTAAATGAGTTTCTGAAAGTCAAATCAAGTTGAAACAGTAGTAACAGGCTGGTAGTTTTCCAACTATACCTTACAAAGGAATAAGTCTATGGAAAATCTCTCAGTTCAAATGGACAAAGATTGTATGTAAGAGATGGAAATAAATTAAAGAAGATTGAGTCGCATCCAAGAATTGGGGCTTGTGCACTGTTCACTGGGTTTATTCAATTGGTACTCCAATCCCAAACTTGACACTCTTGGTTTTCCCATAAAAGCACAAGCTCATCAATTGAATACAGAGTCACACAATGGCTAAGTTCTGATCTACATAGAGTCATTAATGTGATCTCCATCACCAGCTACATTCATAATGAAAATAATGAAGAGGAAAATCTACAGAGTGAAAATGTACCTTAGGACCAGAGGTGGAAATCTCAGGAGACATGTCTTTAGCACCATTACTTTACTGATGTTCTTTTTATTAGTAGTATTGGTGTATATTCATACAAATGTTATCCTCTTCCTTTTTGAGAACTTGAACATCATGCGTGCTTTTATTATAGATAAAGGAGATAGATGGAATTGAAATAAGATTTTAAAAAGTCCCTCAGAGTAGCTCATAAACCATTTTTAAGCATGCCTCATGACTGGTTTCTTAAAACAGTGTCATAATTGATATCCTATATTTTCTAAATTCTCCCATATGACTGTGGCTTAATTGTAATCCAGCCATTAATCTCAAAGTCAGGCATTACAAAGAGACTATCATACTTAGTTTTCCTCTGTTAAATATCCTTATGACCTCAGAATATTTTTTCATCTCCTCTTTGTCCCCACTTTTGAAATAGACAACTAATGGTGTTGCTGTTGGAAATTTGTACTCTTCCAATATGTTCAGTAAACTCTTATCATGGTAGTTTTTCAAACGCCGTCCTGAACAAGGGTTATTCTCTCATTATAAAATGCTTAAGAGTTAAACAAATTTATAGGATAAAGTATAAACAGCATAGCCAGGAGCAGTGGCATATGCCTGTTTTCCCAGCTGCTAGGGAGGATTCCTTGAGCTCAGGAGTTCAGATCCCGCTTAAGCAACATAGCAAGGCCATGTCTCTAAAACAACAAAACAAAACACAAACTCCTTATCATATGAAACTAAATCATTGTTTATTAGTCTCATCCCCATGTATCAGCCTCATTTCCAAATATGCTCTTCTTCTTTGGGATTTATTTTTAATTTCCCTAAGAGATGCCTGGATATTTTAATGACTTTGAGTCTCCGGTCATTCTTCTTTTGGTGTGAATGCTTTTCGTTGTGCCAGAAATTTTAACAGAGATGCCTGAAGCTAGGAACTTCTTTGGCAAGTGGGTAAAAATGGCAGGGATGTGCCAGTTTGGAGTGTCTGCCTTGAAATTAATGAGCAGGTGCAGAATAGTAACTGTCAGTTTAAGGTGCTAGTACAGTAAGCCAGTTTTTTTTTTTTTGACTGGTTTACTGGCTAATCTGAGGAAATAGTAATCACCTTTTAAGACTCTCCTCATGCCCTGTCTTGGTATCATTTTTTTCTAACATGGTACAACCATCCATAGGTTTGGTCACTAGGACATTTGAGTCCCAGCCATATTTTAATAGATGTTTCAAAGCATTTCCTTTTATGTCTTTTTTTTTTTTGTAGGAAGAGGATAGTTAACTTGTTTGATTTCTAGATGCAATCATGAACTTGAGGGTAAGATATTCTATTTTCACCTTTTTATCACCTAGCATGCTGTTATTTAAATTGATAATTATTTACTTTATAATCTATCATTCATTTTAATGACAGATTAATAACCCTAATATTCAACTTCTGTCAAATATACTCACTGATCAATTATCTGCTCATATAACTACTAGCATCTCTTCAATGGCATCTTATTGTGTGAGGATTAGATGGGAAGCCCTCTGTCTTATATTTTATATCTATTAAACTAATGTCCCAAAGTACTATATGTAGTGCCTTCTTTCCCACTTCGGGAACACTATTCTCTGAGAAAACTGGATTGTTCATTGTTCCTCCAGCATATTTTGTACATTCTCTACCCTTGCCTTTGCTTAGGCCATTGCCTTTGCTTAGGCCATCACCTTTGCAAGAAAATTCTCCATAACATCTATCGATAAAATCTTCCCTCCACTTAATCCCCACCATCTCTGAGATATTTTCCATATTAATTTAATTGTAAAGACCTGTCTTCTTGCTGTTCTAAAAGCCTTTTTCGAAGACATAAATTTAACATATCATTCAATGCCTTGTATTGTTGGTTGTTCATTTTTCTTTCTTTATGTTCCTCATGTTAACCTGTCAATATAGGGGTATGTGTTGAAAGTTAAAAATGTGCAAGTCTAAAAGAAGATGAACAAACAACATCTTTTTAAAGAATTTGGAAATTCTGAATAGAGTATCAATGGCTGATTGTAATTTGGCTTTGCTGTTAATGTTATCTTAAGTGTTTAATAGATGTATATTGGTGGTTAGAATTATTATAATTTACTTTTCAAATCCTCACTAGAGCACTATTTAAGTTTTCTTTGCTTGTGAAATTCTTTCATTTTTTTCTAATTGTTATCTCAGGTTCAGGAAGCTAAAAGTATTTTGTCTTTTTAAATCATAGTCTTCAAGGGAAAATGAGAAGAAAGAGAGGAAGAGGGAGAGTGTGTTTGGCTGTGTGTGTGTGTGTGTGTGTGTGTGTGTGCGCGCGTGTGTGTGTGCCTGTGTGTTTGATGCTTATGTATTTTTTTTGCTGAAAAAATCAGATTTAATTATTCAAAACAGGGGTAAAGTTCAAAATCAAAGGTACAATAACAAAAGAAATATTTAAATATACCCACAAATATATTTTAAATGCCATATTTAGTATGACAAAATGAAAATGAAGAAAAAAATGGATACTACTTTTAAGTAAAGAAAAATATTTTAGTGGTATGGAGCAGTGTTCAGGTTCACAACTTTGAAATATGAATGCTAGATGCTTTTGCCATCATGTTGGACTCACATCAGAAACTATACAATATGAATGACATTCAGTATTTAGTAACTAAACAATGAATAATTTCATAAAGTGAAGACTGGAGTACACTTTATATTTTATGGGGGCAAAATTGGAATAGACAACTTTCCTCTTTAAATTTAAGAAAGTATAGAGAAAACTCTGAGGAGAATAAAAGACTATGGAGTAGTCGATCTCAATCTTGGCTGCACGTTAGATTCACCTTGAATAGGTTAAAAATAGAGTGGTACTTGGGCATCACCCATAAGGAATTACAGCAGAGTCTCTGAGGATAGGGCCCAAATCTGCTACTGTTTTAAACTCCCCCAGGTGATTATAATATATTGGCATATTTGGGTCCCACCATTTCAGAGAATGAAAGCTTATAAATATGATCATAAGTCAGAATATTCTGGAAAGATTACTCAAAAGTTTCCGTTTCTTCAAAGGTACTGTTTCACTAAGGTTAGATGTCCTAAAAGCAGCACTGTCTCACAGCATTAGATGCTATCACTGCTCTCCTGTAGCGGTAGCTGAGGAGAAGTCACTGTGGCTTCCTTGTTACAACTTATATAGAAAAAAATAGATTTAGACAATTATATATTCTGAAAGCAATGTTTAAATATCCCAAGTCACTGTAAGAACATTCCCCTCTGTGGTTCTTGACAGTAATCACATCCTCTTTTTTTTTTTTTTGCCCCACCTTATTGATCTTTACAGCTTTCAGGTACATTCTGAAAATGTTTTTTTCACCTAACTTATACACTGTAAATTTGTTTTCTCTCGTTTTAGTTAGGAAATTTTAATTAGACTCTGTAAGTTACTGTGGAATGTGATCTCTGGAAACTACTCCATAGAAAATAGCATAGCACTATTTAATCCTGCCTGTGTATTTGATTAAAAGCTTTAGATCTTTATCTTCTTGAAAATAATAAAGTGCAACAAAATTTTGAGAGATAGCATTTGAGAAGCTTTCTTGTTCTCACCCATTTACTTTGCTAATCAAGAGGGAAAAACAGAAAACACAATATTGTATTTTAAATTCTCATCTAATCACTACTGAATCATTTTTGTCATTGTCATCCTATCATTATTTTAGATTCTTAGTTGTATAATGTAAGGCTAGGAAATCTTGTTTTATAACTTTAATATTTTCAGAAAGTTATCTTTTGTGGAAGAAGAAGAAGGCTGGTCAACATTTCAGGTTTCTACATAATTAAATGTTAGTTCTCCAGGTTAAAGAGGATGGGTTCGATTCGGGGAAAACGTTAATACTAATGTTAACTAAGGCCAATTATTCCTTTCCAGTCTCAGACAAAGCAAGTCTCTGAGAGTTGATTTAGTTACTCTTTGAAATACTACAAGTACCTGCCTCATCCTTCTTCAAGCTCTCTTTCTCTTTTCCCTCCTCACTCTCCTCCTCTTCCTCCACCTTCTTTTTCTTTATTTTATTTTATTTTATTTTGTTATTATTATACTTCAAGTTTTAGGGTACAAGTACACAATGTGCAGGTTAGTTACATATGTATACATGTGCCATGCTGGTGTGCTACACCCATTAACTCGTCGTTTAGCATTAGGTATATCTCCTAATGCTATCCCTCCCCACTCCCCCCACCCCACAACAGTCCCCAGAGTGTGATGTTCCCCTTCCTGTGTCCATGTGTTCTCATTGTTCAATTCCCACCTATGAGTGAGAACAAGTGGTGTTTGGTTTTTTGTCCTTGCGATAGTTTGCTGAGAATGATGGTTTCCAGCTTCATCCATGTCCCTACAAAGGACATGAACTCATCCCTTTTTATGGCTGCATAGTATTCCATGGTGTATATGTGCCACATTTTCTCAATCCAGTCTATCATTGTTGGACATTTGGGTTGGTTCCAAGTCTTTGCTATTGTGAATAGTGCCGCAATAAACATACGTGTGCATGTGTCTTTATAGTAGCATGATTTATAGTCCTTTGGGTATATACCCAGTAATAGGATGGCTGGGTCAAATGGTATTTCTAGTTCTAGATCCCTGAGGAATCGCCACACTGACTTCCACAATGGTTGAACTAGTTTACAGTCCCACCAACAGTGTAAAAGTGTTCCTATTTCTCCACATCCTCTCCAGCACCTGTTGTTTCCTGACTTTTTAATGATTGCCATTCTAACTGGTGTGAGATGGTATCTCATTGTGGTTTTGATTTGCATTTCTCTGATGGGCAGTGATGGTGAGCATTTTTTCATGTGTTTTTTGGCTGCATAAATGTCTTCTTTGTTTGGAGTATGTTTCCTTTTATGGCTGAGTAGTGTTTCACTGTGCGGATGTACTACAACTTGTTTATCCCTTCACTGATTGATGAGCATTGAGATTATTTCTATTTCTTGAAGATTATGAGCAAAACTGCTATTAAAAAAAAAAAAAAGATCTAGCTACTCTTCCTGGAGTCGACATGCACTTCCGGTTCTAGATAAATACCTAGGAGTGAGACAGCTAGATCTTATGGTTGGCGTATGTCTAACTCTTAAAGAAACTAACAAATTGTTTCCCAAAGAGATTGTATTAATTGTATTCTTAACAGCCAGTGTAAAGAATGGCAGATGTTCCACATCCTTGCTGGAAGTTTTTTTTTTTTTTTTTTTGGCCATTCCAATGGGTGTGCTATGGGATTTTATTGTGGTTTTCATTAAATTTTCCTAAAGTCCAATGATGTTGAACTTCTTTTTATACACTTATATGGCTTTCATATTTCTTCCCATTGAAGTGTGTGTTCAAATCTCTGGCCTATTTGATTATTTAACTTATTTAACTGCTTCTTTTTATTGTTGTTGTTGGGGGGTTTCTCTATAGAATTTATTTATCAGACTTTTTTCAAATTTTTTATTCTAGTCTGTGGTTGCCTTTTCATTTTCCTAAAATTCTCTGTGAGAAGCAGAAGTTATTTTCCCCCATTTTTTAAAAAAATACAGTTTAAATTTCACATATAAGTGTCTGATTTATTTTCATTTATTTATTTTTTTCGAGACGGAGTCTCACTCTGTCGCCCAGGCTGGAGCGCAGTGGCGCCATCTCTGCTCACTGCCAGCTCCGCCTCCCCGGTTCAAGCGATTCTCCTGCCTCAGCCTCCTGAGTAACTGGGACTGCAGGCGCCCGCCACCACGCCCGGATAATTTTTTTTTTTTTTTGTATTATTAGTAGAGACGGGTTTTCACCATGTTAGCCATGGTGGTCTCTATCTCCTGACCTCTTGATTCGCCCGCCTTGACCTCCCAAAGTGCTGGGATTACAGGCATGAGCCACCGCGCCCAGCCAAGTGTCTGATTTATTTAAAGTTCATTTAGTTTATGGTGCAAAGTTTGAATCAAGGATATTTTTGCATACATATGTCTAATTTTCCCAGTAAAGTTTGTTAAAAAAAATCTTTTCTCTTCATTGAATTACTTTATCAACTTTATTAAACACACACACAGACACACACAATTCTCTATCTTCCATTAATTTATATGCCATAATTCTTGATTACTGTGGCTTTATAGGAACTCTTGAAATCAGATCATGGGCATCATCAAATTTGTTCAACTTTTCAAAATTGTTTTAGCAATCCTAGCTCCTCCATATAAGATTTGGAATTAAACTTGTCAATTTTTACAAATTTGTTGGCAGATAATTTCATTGTTACATATTAAGTCTACATATCCTTTTTAACAAAGCCGGTATCATAGCAATACTGTGTTTCAATGAATGTACACAGTATTTCTAAATGTGTCCATCTTCTTTGATTTCTGTTTTTTCAGTATATAAATCTCACACAAATTTTATTAGTTTTAAATGTATTTCACATATTTTGATGCTATCTTTAACATTATCAATTTTTTTATTTTGTAAGAAAAATTTTTAATTATTATGGATACACAATAATTCTATGCATTTATGTACATGTGAAATTTTGATATGCATACTTTGAATCATATTTTGAATCACATACTATGTGTAATGATCAAGTTGTGTAATTAGGATGGCTATCACCTCAAGCATTAATCATTTATTTGTGTTCAGAACATTTCAGTTCCACTCTTAGTTATTTTGAAATATGCAATAAATTATTTTTAATTATCAACTATTGTGTGATCAAATAACAGATCTTATTTGTTATAATTGCATTTTTATACCCTTTAAGTATATGTTCTTTATCCATCCTCCCCATTATGATAAAAAAGACACATAATATAAAGCAAATCCTCTTCATTTTTTTTAAGTGCATGGTTGAGTAATGATAACTATATTCTGATTGACCTATAGAAATTTTTCATCTTGCAAAAAGGAAACTCTATATCCATCAAACGAACCCCCATTTCCCACCTCCCTAGAACATAACAACCATCATTCTACTTTGTATTTTCAGTATTTAGGCTAAACTAAATATCACATATATGTGGAATCATATAATATTTGTCCTTTTGTGTTTGGCTAATTTCATTCAGAATAATGCAAGTTTCATTCATATTGTAGCACGTGGCAAGATTTCCTTCTTTTTGAAGGCTGAGTAGTAAGCTATTGTATGTACTTACTACCTTTCCTGAATCAATTTATCTTTTTTTTTAACTTTTAAGTTCAGAGGTATATGTGCAGGCTTGTTGCATAGGTAAACTTGTGTCATGTGGATTTGTTGTATATTTTATTTCATTACCCAGGTGTTAAACCTAGTACCCATTTGTTATATTTCCTGTTCCTCTCCCTCCACCCACCCTCCACCGTCAAGCAGGCCTTGGTGTTTATTTATCTCTTATTTGTGTCCATGTGTACTCAGTGTTTGACTCCCACTTACAAGTGAGCACATGGAGTCTTTGGTTTTCTGTTCCTGTGTTAGTTTGCTGAGAAGAATGGCTTCCAGCTCCATGCATGTCCCTGCAAAGGATATGATCTTGTTCTTCTTAATGGCTGCATAGTATTGCATGATGTGTATGTACCACATTTTCTTTATCCAGTCTGTCATTAATGGCATTTAGGTTGATTCTATGTCTTTGCTATTGTGAATAATGCTGCAATGAACATATGTGTGCATGTGTCTTTATGATAGAATGATTTATATTCCTTTGGCTATATACCCAGCAATGGGATTGCTGGATCAAATGGTATTTTTGTCTTTTGGTATTTGAGGAATTGCCACACTGTCTTCCACAACGGTTGAGCTAATTTACACTCCCACCAGCAGTATATAAATGTTGCTTTTTCTCCACAACCTCACCAGCATCTGTTATTTTCTGACTTTTTAGCCATTTTGACTGGTGTGAGATGGTATCTCATTGTGGTTTTGATTTGCATTTCTCTAACAATCATTGATATTGAGCTTTTTTTCATGTTTGCTTGTATAATTTAAATATAGTATATATGACCAGTATTTATCAAAGGTAAATTAAAATATACATATGAACAAAAATTTGCTTAAAATGTTCTTAGCAATTTAATTCGTAACAGTAAAAACACTGGAAAAGTATCCAAGATTCATTAACAGTTTAATGAATAAAATTTTGGCATATGTCTACCACGAAAATCTACTCAGCAATAATAGAGAGAACTACTGTTACATGCAACATGTATCTTTCAAAACATACATGCTGAGTGAAATCGCATACAAAATTCTGACAAAGGCAAAATTAGTCTACAGTGAAAGATAGTAGAACAATGGTCTCCTGGGACCTGGATGTCTTGTTGGTGATGAGATAAACGCTAAAAGAGAATGAAGGATCTTTTGATGGTGATGGAAATGTAATATATCTTGAATGGGATGGTGGCTTCATGACTATATATATATTTGTCAAAAATCATTTATACTTATAAGGGTTGTTTGTTATTTTATGTAAATTATACCTCAATAAAACTTGAATTTTCTAAAGATATGTCTGCAGGCATTTTAAACAATTAATTGGTTGTGTAACAGATGTGTATTATGCCTCGTTCAACAATCACTAGTGAAATTTACTCATGTAATGAGCCTTGTATTTTATGAGTCTGATTCACAAGTTAGTCCTTTATGAATTTTGAGGGGGTGAATGAATGAGAGGAATGTATCCTATATGTGATAGGGTATCTGTGATGATTGTGGACCAATATGGATATTACATTTAGTTTTTTTATAAATATAAAAATTTTAGACATGAACTTTTAGAAACATAGTTGACTAAATTCCTCTTCTGTGTACAAACATGTCAAATTGCTAACTAAAATACAGCCAATACTAAAAGTTCATAGTTGAGATTTTAAATAAAAAGAACAAGAATGCAATTTTGAGATAGAAAGGAATAGGAAACTTAAAACAAGGTTTGCATATTCAGGATGTCACTGTGGTGGTTCACAGGGTATTACATCCAGTTACATATTCGGGATAACAGAAATGAGGGACTTTTACAGAATATTGGCCTTGCCTTTGCACACAGCAAAGACCTGGAATTGTAACAGCTTTATCCATGAAAATAGAATAAACAAAACTAGTTCATTCACCTGAAATGAAGAGTTTTCACAGAGAAAGCCTAAGAGAGCAAACCTGGAAAGAGGAGGAACAAAATTAAACAAAACACCATCAAATTCAGGGACCTCTGTTACATACAAAACTTTTAAATGGCTTTTGGGATCTCTAATTTAAAAGACAATAATTTAAATGTTAGTTTGCTTCTCCTCTTACACGGAAAAATGTACTTTCTAAAGGAAACATGCATATATAATACCCACATAGATGTGCACACATGTGTATGTGCATAGCGTACACATGCATGTACACTCACATGTGCAAACACATGTTATTACTAAGTAATAAATTACTTAGTATGAATAATTAATAAATTAAAAAATGACAAATTCCTGGGTTGGTGTTTAATTTTATTAAAGTTATTTTTTCTTGCAATTTCATCATATTTCAAAGGATTAATTTTTCTTTGTAAATCTTTAGGTTGTAAATGTATGAAACAAAATTGTGGCTGGATGAAGAAGGTGGCAAAGGTATATAAATCATGTGTTACAGAAATCCAGTAAGAACATTTATTTTACGTTAAATCTATGGAGAATGGAACATAAAATTATGATTATAATAATATATTGTTGAGAAAGAATTTGCTATATGTTAGGTTGTAAGGACTTTTATGTAATAATTCCATCCTTTTAAGAAATTGATGAAATAGATACTATTATTATCTCCATTTTACATGGGGAAGGTAAAGAATATGAAACATGAACTGGTAAAATTACTTAATTTAAATAGCTAGTCAGTGTGGGAGGTGGAATTTGACACATATATAAATTTTAAATTCTTTATTTTTAAAATATATTTTATTTTGTATATTTGAGGTTTTAAAGTTTTTAGATATAAGGATTTTAAAATTTATATTTTTGTAATAGAATATTAATTTATTTGACAGGATCAGAATGTTTGCACTTATGTAATATTAATTCTGTGATATTTGTGCAAACATAGTTTATGGTAAAATATGTACCCATCTTTTATAAATGTTCTGAGTGCTCCTGAGATGTTTATTTTGTCATTGTTTATTGTGTAATTTTAAGGGAAAATTATATATACATCCATTGGAAAAAGCAATATAACATTTTGTTAGAATATTTTGTATCTTCACATATTTTATTTTTAAGTGATCAAGTATTATAAAAGGTATGCTAAAATCTCCCAGGAAGATTGCAGATTTGTGAATTTCTCTTTGAATTTGGAAATGTTTGCTTGGTAGGCTTTGCAGCTTTATTATTAGGTGAATAAAAATTTAAAAATTTAATTCTTTCCAAAGAGAAAGACCTAAACATCACTACAGAGGTAGCTTTAGTTATTCTATACTATTCTGACAATTTCTATTTTAAAAAATGTGCTTACATTTTTTAAAACCTTTGCTGTTACCCTACTGTGTTCTTATGGGCTTATTAAGATTTTTACTATTCTATTCTTTTCTTGTATTGGGTTCGAAATTATCTTCTTTCTCCTCTTTCATGGCTAACCTTAAAATGTAGTATATATTTTCTATATTCCTCTTTACCCCAGAACAACGCAACATGCATTAACTATATCTATATTATATCTCTATCTAGATCTACATCTGTATCTATATCTGTATCTGTATTTATCTGTATCTGTATCTATATCGGCACCTGTCCACTCCAATACAAAGTAAAATTCTTGAAACACTTTACATTTGATCATCCCCTGCTATCTTCCAGGATATTTGAATACCATATTTTATGTATACCTTGTATTTACTCGCTCCAAATTAAACACCTCATTACTTTTTTATATAGTGAATATTACTATAGATTTACATTAAAACTATACCTTCTGTTAGTTCAGACTTCATTTTGGAATCTTCCTCAGAAGTTCCTTTTTGAGGATTATTAGAGATAAGTTTTCATGTGGAAATGCTTCTTTTTCATGGTGTTCCTTTGCGTGATCATTTAGCTGTTCCTTTGCATGCTTCGTTGTTTTGTATTACCTCCTCTTATGTGTGAGTACTCTAGATGTAGAAATCTTATAAGGTCTGTGTTAAGGGAGTAATCTTCCACAAGGCCTCTGCTTTTGCCTCTTCAACATGTTCAGGATCCTTCTTACAATTCAATATTCCTGTACTGGATCTTTGATATTATGCTGGCAATCTTTAATACAAATGCAAAAACCCTAAGGAGTTATTTTTCCCTTTTTTTGGTGGCTGGATTTGCCTACTGTCACCTCCTCTTCACTGAATTTGTAGCCCTTCAGGAGCATCAATTTCAAAATGGATTTTTTGGTAGAAACACCCAACTAACCAGCCCTGTGACCCTGTGCCTCAAGTGAAAATCCAGCTTTACCCTCTCTTTATTACTCCAGCTTCTAGCCCCTGGGACCTTCCTTTACTTTTTGCAGGCTTATTTCTATATTCAAACGGACTTTTGTATGTCATTCTTAATGTTTTTGAACATGAATATTACAAGGGATCAATTTTGCCAGTTAGATTGAATGTAACAATCCATTCATTTGTTCTTTCAGCAAAGATCTGTCAACATGATAGATTTGCTGCTATAATTCAACAGTAAATAGAGGACAGGGTTCACATTTCAAAGTTTGGCCCATTATGACTACATAACTAACATTTTAGAAATTTTCTGAATTTCAAATATTTTATCTTGTTTTCAGTTTAAACATCCCTATCTGTATTTTCTTCAGAAAATATTGTGACCTTGTATCATGCTAACCATTTTTAAAGTGCACAATTAATAATTGCTTGATTATTTCACTTCTTCTCTGTTCTGACTGCTTCGTTTCAGGAGCCAAACAGTGTCACTACTTCAACAAAAATTTATTGAGCAATTATTTTAGCTCTAATGCTAGGCGCTGTATATGCAAAGAAGAAAGAAATAGATACTCCTTAGTACAAAGATAAATTAATATTTAGAGCAATAACTAGAGGCTAATTTAAAAATGTTTATAAAGTATGAGAATACAGAGGAAGAAGTCCCTAACTGCAACTACAAAGGCAAAAAAAAATCCCACAGAGATAAGTTAGCTGAATCTTGAACAAGTCAAAATGATACCTCTTGGTATCATAGCAGTGGAAGAGGAGAATGTCAGGAAATGAAAGATGTTAGGTAAGATCAAAATCTTAAATGCATCTGTAAGACACTGAACTTTACCTTTTAAGCAACTAGGAGAAATTATCTGGACTCAAGCAGGGAAATACAAAACCATATTTGCATTTTCAAAAGACATGAAAGATGGATAAACAGTGATGAGATTGAATTCGGAAAGAATTTAAAGTAGTCTTTATAATTTAAAAAAGGTCTGGAGTTCTTAAAATTTTGAAAATATGTGCTCTGTGAAGTTCTTGTACCTAGAGCAAGAGTCACATGGGGATATTGCTACTTAAATTTTGAATCATTTTAATCATTGGTGTTATCATTCATATGCTTAAAAATATTTAATAAAATTAATCTTTAGCTCTGTCCCTCTCCCACAAAAGGAAGCCTCCAAGCTCTATAGAAAGTATTTCTATGTTAAATGCACACATTTCTTATAAGCCTATATAAATCTCTAAATGTGTTGGGAACTTTATTTCTCTTTCTGATATTCTACCATGGGCCCCCAAATTGGATATATATTTTTTTCTTTGTGTGAAGACATTATATCCCCAACAGTCCTATTTACCATAATTAATATCTTTAAAAAGCTGTATTTAATGCTGAAAAATTTAAACCTTGGATCTAAAAGTATTTTTCAGAAATTATTTGCTTCTTTATAAATGCCCAAAGACAGGAATTTGTCATTGATAATGAGAACAAGGAGAGGACTATAATAATGGATATTTTGGAAAGGATAGCTTTGGGTGAAGTGTTGATATAGCTGAGGTGAAACCAAGGGAGATATTAGCTTAGCTTGAGTGCTAAGTAGGAGAAGAAAGTGAAACTGTGGTAAAGTATCATTTTCAGACCCAAAAGAGAAAGGCTCCTGCCCTGGGTTCCATGCATTACAGGGTTACCTGCTTTGGTCCTACTGCGGCCAAACTGTCCCTTGGGACAAGGCATCCACAGGTCAAGAAAATGATTACTCTCTAACTCTGCGTAGCTTTCTTTATGTCTGTCTTCCTGAGAGGACTTCCTTAGGCCCAATATGAGTGGCCAAGGAGTTGATCTTCGTGAAAGGTGTGAATAGAGCATATATGAAGTGCATATAGGAAGTGCATATAGGAAGTTTTGCAAACCTGTCCATAAGGTACCTCATGGTATGGAATAGATAGATCCGAATGAGAAGACAATAGGAGGCAGTTGGCTCCACCATCTGGCATAGAGTCTGACCCTTCAGGTTATTTTTATTTTATTTATTTATTTATACAATTTATTTATTTATATAATTTATTTATTCATTTATTTATTTTTGAGACAGTGTCTCACTCTGTCACTCTGTCGCCCAGACTGGAGTGCAGTGGCGCGATCTTGACTCACTGCAACCGTCTGCCAGGCTCAAGCGATTCTTCTGCCTCGGCCAGGCATGCACCACTACCGCCCAGCTATTTTTTTTTTTTTTTTTTTTTTTTTTTTGTATTTTTAGTAGAGACAGGGTTTCACCATGTTGGCCAGGCTGGTCTTGAACTTCTGACTTCAAATGATCCATCCGCCTTGGGCTCTCAAAGTGCTGAGATTACAGGTGTAAGCCACCACATTCGTCCCCTTCAGGTTATTTTGAAGTTATTTTAACAAAGTAAATTTAGAGAACATATTTGATGTAACAGATTGGTAGCTGGATGCGTAACTTCAATGTTTAGATATATTGAGCATGGGCTTTTTTTTTTTTTCTTAATCTCTTACCTTGCATCCTAAAATGTTAGAGGCAGATATATGGGGAAAACAAAAAACACACTTTTTTTACTATACAATTTGTTTCTGTATGCTTTCACTGTAGTCACCTTCAAGCCAGAGAGTATAATTAGAATAATGAAATCAGGAAAAACTGCTAGAACGAGAAAGTTGAAACTGAAGGAGACCTTAGATTCTTTGCCTCTAATCTTAAAGGGTGAGACAACTGAGGGCATGAGTTTTGTCTCAAATCATCCAGAAAGGTAGTGGCAGAGCCAAGATAAAAACCTAGGTATATATGCAGCTTTATTTTTCTCTTTGCAATTAAAAAAAATAATGTGTTGGCCAGGCGCGGTTGTTCATGCCTGTAATCCCAGCACTTTGGGAGGCCAAGACGGGCGGACCATGAGGTCAGGAGTTTGAGACCAGCCTGGCCAACATGGTGAAACCCTGTCTCTACTGAAAATGCAAAAATTAGCCAGGCATGGTGGCGCATGCCTGTAATCCCAGCTACTTAGGTAGCTGAGGCAGGAAATCGCTTGAAACCAGAAAGCGGAGGTTTCAGTGAGCTGAGATCATACCACTGCACTCCAGCCTGGGCAACAAGAGTGACACTCCATCTCAAAAAAAAAAAAAAAAAAAAGTGTTTATTTTATATAAGAAGATTTTTTTTAATTGCAAATGACTCCTCCTTAGGTCTTATCAAACGTTCAAAATATCAAAATCATGTCAGTGCATGTTGTAAAGTTTAGACTAACTGGCTTGTTTTTCATTTGCATCTTTAATTTTGTAAATGACCAATGTTATTTCCAATGATTCAGTGGCTGAGTTTTTTAAGGACTGTTAAGTGGTCAGATATTTTATTAATGTTTATAGAAAATACACTACAAAATTAAACTTCTGATTTTTAAAATGTAGTTGTTTACATAAATTTAGTTGTCTACATAAATTTAGTTGTTTACATAAATTTAAAATTTAGTTGTTTACATAAATATTGGAAATTCTAAGAATACATGAAAATGTGAACAACTAAAAACTGTGAGACCTTATTTGGTAAATAATATGCATATTCCAAATGTGGGAAAATAATATAGACCAAATAAGAAAGTTTAATAAATGAATTAAATCTGTGCTAATGTGTTATACTGGTTTTAAAATTGATTTAATAGCATTGTTTCAAATTAAAAAAAAAACTTCAGTACACATAATTTGCAGTACGAATATCTAGATGAAGTTATTACTGTGTGTGTCTTAACATTTTACAATTCTACTTTGGGTATCGTATTACATATAATAGAAATAAAGGACTAAAAATTACTACCCAGAAAGTGTTTGTTTATTTTCAGTGCAAATATCTCCTAACTATGTAACCTATATCTGATTATCTCATTCAATTAATTAAAAGCTAAGGTCCACTAATATTCATCGTTTTCCAGACTCTCATTTAAATTACAAGGAATAGGGGAACATTGTCATTTATTCTGGAAAACGCAGCTGCTCAATGATGGGCAAGAGGTCATAACTATAGAAAAAGTGCTTAAAAATGCATCACAGTAAAAATGAAGAATAAACTATTTTCAGAAGTTGTTACCCATATTAAGGTATTAGAGTATAAATATAAAATTTTACTGTATGTATGACCATACCTAATACCTTTTAGCACACATATCCAAGTTTTATAAAGCTGCTCAACCTATAACTTTAATGTAGTTTCATATGCGATCTCTTTGAATTCTTTGAGGAAGGCAAATGAGCCAGACAAACAAGACAGGAGGTAAAGCAAATGTTCCCAGAGTCAAGGAATTAAATATGCTATTTACAGAATGATAATCTACTTTTATATATTTATTCCTCTGTTGCATTCATGTACACTCCACTAATTTCCACACATAACATAATTGAGAACTGATTTTAACAAATTGATTTTAAATCAAAGAAGTCTAGATTTTTTCCATCAGTATTAGCTTTTTATTTTATTAAATACCTTACCTTTGCTTTTATTGAAGATAGAAGGCAGCAGTTGGGCAAAATCTTTGAAAAAAATTTTTTTTTCTATCATGTCGTGAACAAATGGCTCATGGTAACTTACACAGATAGAAAATAAGAAAACCAGTCATTAACTCCAATTGGTGGTAGCTATACTGGTTTGATAAAGGCATGCAAATCAAGCCAATTCTTAAACCCTGGGTTAGTGAGCTAAGTAGGGTCATTCATTGATTGGAGTAACTGATAAAGAGGTAGGCGGGTGGGGCAGGGAAGAAGTGGTTACTTTCACCAGTTCTGGAGGCCTGACTGATTCCATTGATAAAACAGTAGAGACTGCAACCCATTGAAAGGCAGAGGACCAACTTGCCATTAATATGTCAGAAATGACTCTCAGGAATCATTACAGAAATGAGACACGGTTCATGAATTTGATTTTAGGTAAAGAGCTTTCCTAGAGGTTAAGGCAAAAGTTTATCATGTTATATGTCCTCCTGAGAAGTTACTTCATTGCTATGAAATCAGTCTATCAGGAGCCATTTCTTGTGACCCATGCATGTTTAGATGCACAGTACAAAGAAAATAGAAACTTAGAGGAAAAGTCACCAAACAATGCAAAATGTTCAAATGTCACCAGAATATTGAGATGTTGTGTCAGATTAAACAGGGCTACAAATTCTTTGACATCTCTCCTATCAAAAACAGTAGCCCTCAATCAGTATAATTGTTACAGCTAATTGTTGCATATAATTTTTAAAGTCTAGAAGTTTTTAAAAGTTCAGATGGCTCTCTCAGAAAACACAAAGATATTAAAAGTACATTCAGAAATTGATAAAGATCAAAACATGAAATAGGCAGTGAAACTTTTGATGTAACCTCAAAGATTTTAATTGACTGAGTCCTCATATAAGATATTCATTAGGTGACTTTTATTTTTATTTTATTTATTTATTTATTTATTTATTTTGAGATGGAGTCTTGGTCTGTCGCCCAGGCTGGAGTGCAGTGGCACGATCTCAGCTCACTGCAACCTCTGTCTCCTGGGTTCAAGTGATTCTCCTGCCTCAGCCTCCCAAGTAGTTGGGATTACAGGCGTGAGTCACCATGTCTGGCTAATTTTTGTATTTTTAGTAGAGGCAGGGTTTCATGATGTTGGCCAGGCCGGTCTTGAACTCCTGGGCTCAAGTGATCCACCTACCTCGGCCTTCTAAAGTGCTAGGTTTACAGGCATGAGCCATCGCGCTCTGCCTAGGTGGCTATTTTTTATTACTTCAAGTGAACATAGTTACAATTAAACAGATAACCTTTCAATTTCAAGATGGCTTATTCAGACTATTTGCAATTATGCCTGAAAAGGTCACCTTTACTCATCCACTAAATGAAAGATGCTCGTACATCATCCCTGCCACTGTTTCAGTTTTATCTTGGAAATTAATCAAATGAAATTAGTCTCTAAAGACACACACCAATTGCAGATGGAAAGTTTAAGATTTCATGGTCTAGGTATAGTTAAGAGAAAACAGATATGACATCTGCTTGAAAGATTCTTACAGTAAATTCATTTGGAATATTTAATTCATTTGGAATATTTACTCATCAAAACCTAAGAGTTTTCGCCATGCGATCGGCTGGCTGGAGGAGGAAAGTGTACTCTAGCAAAAGCAAATGATACTGCTGGCCAGGTAGAATGGTCAACCTCAGTTGCTACACATGATTGTTCAAGCTGTGCTCTGCACACAGCTTAGAGTTGAAAGTAGGGTAAAACCCGTTTGTGCTTTGCTTGTCGATTTGCACACAAAAGTATAGTCTCACCCCCTCCCTTCACTTCCCCCCCACCCCCCTCCCACTACGAAGACACAGAGATGTCTTTTTCTTGTAGGTCTGCTTAAAAGAGATGCCTTTTTCTAAATATCACAAAGGTGGCATTTTAATGGCAATGTCCCCACACCTGAGTGTTCCCAATCACTGTGTCCAAAAGGCACAGTGAAACTTAAGGCATTTTTAGTCTGATGTAAACTGAAGCAGAGAGATAGTGGCAGTTTGTAAGGTAGAAACACTTGAAATGAGTTGGGTTTAGAATTAGTTCCTTGAAGCTTTGTATATCTTAAAGTTATTCTAGTCAGCAGCTTGATATTCCTAAATTGAGATAAGATTAAACTTTAAGGAGCAAGAGAGAAGCAGGAGCTACTTTGAGGACTGGCAACCAAAATTGCTAAGAGGTTTAGAGCAGCATGTGTCACCAATCCCAGCAGAAATGATGGCAAACGTGTATCCTGAGGCTAACTAATATAGCATGACTAGGTCCTTACTTACTCAGAGACAAGGTGGGGCTGAGTCTGCAAGTTGCTTCTCTTAAATGAGACATTAAAAAGTAGATGAATATTAAAGCTGAGCCAAGATTTATTGTGCTATGTTCCTTTAATCTCCACCCCTGCATGCCATAAGAGTAGGAATTTACTATCCCTAAATTGTAATAATTGTTTATTAAAAATATTAGCCAATACCAATTTATAGTATTTTCCATGCCCCAAGGACTATGTTAAGTACTTTATGGATTTTATCTCATTTAATACTTACTCACTTTGTCTCTAGGAGGTCAATAATATTTTTTTCTATTTTCTAATTTAGAGATCTGATTGAGGTTTGGAGACATTAATTCACTACATACAGACACACAGAAGTAGCAAAGAAGAGATGAACTCAAGACTAATGTGTTTTTGTTTTTTTGAGATGAAGTCTCTCTCTGTCACCCAGGCTGGAGTGCAGTGGAGCGATCTCAGCTAACTGCAATCGCCACCTCCCGGGTTCAAGTGATTCTTCTGCCTCAGCCTCCTGAGTAGCTGGGACTACAGGTGTGCACCACCATGCCCAGTTAATTTTTTGTATTTTTAGTAGAGACGGGGTTTCACCATGTTGGCCAGACTGGTCTCAAACTCCTGACCTTGTGATCTGCCCAGCTTGGCCTCTCAAAGTACTGTGATTACAGGTGTAAGCCACCGTGCCTGGCCAAGACTAATGATTTTTAAAATGTCAATCATTATACTAAGTCACCTCTTCTCTATGATTAGAGGTATTTTGGTGAAAAGATCAAACCACAGTAAGTATTGGGAATCTTGTTCAATGATTCTACATTGCATAAATTATAAATATTGGACAAGTTCATATCTTAGTTTGGATTATCTGAGAAACAGACAAGGACTCAAGTTCACATGGTTTACCTGTATGGTGATCCCAGGAAAGAATATGGGAAAATAATATAGGAAGGTACAGAAGCCAGTAAAGGGCGTGTTAAAAAGCAAGTTACCCCTATGGACTACTGGAGTTTAATCCCACTGGAGAACTCAGGGAGTTAGTGTAAGAAATATCCTGCATGTGGGGTAAGAGAGCTGCATTAGGCACTCATCAACTTTCATTAGGCACTGGTTGGGCATATTTCCAGGAAGCATCACTTCCCCTGCTGTTCTAGCTTGTCATGAGCAGGTAAAGCAGGCTCACATAGCCAGAGAAAGCCCTCAGTGTGAGAGCTGAAATTTGGGCCACATGTACCGAGATTGTACTATTTGAGATGTCGATAGTAAATACTACAATTAATATCCATGTCTCTTACCTCTTATGTGAAGATTTTCCTGATTAGCTTCTGAAATTTGTAATCTTTTTCTTCTAAAGGTCTGTAGTATTTTATTTTTACCATTCTCATAAAATGCATAATTTACTGATATGATTTTGTTATTGTTTTGTACAATGTTTAGCTCGTGAAAAAAATGAAAATGAGTTAAAACTAGGTAAATAAATCATGTATAAATCGTGTATATGTCACCGACATGGCTTTGTGTCTTATACTTTTTAACCCCTTAATATATATTATTTATCTTCCCTTAGTCCCCTTTTTCAAAAACTTATTTGGAAATATAAGCCAAGGTTAAAATAAAAAAAAATTAAAAATAATTAAAAAAACTTCAATTCTTATACTGTATTCTGCACTGGAAAATGTCATACCTTTTTTGGGTTTTGTCTAGCCTTTTACTTAGATGGCTACTAAATGGTTTCACACTCTGAATTCATATATGAGAATCAGGCTTTCATTATTGTTCAGCATCTGTCTTTTAAAACTTTTAAACTTATGATCTAAAATCAGATTGGTCAACTCATCTGAACTCTGCTGGACGTTTTACTCAACCCTTCTCCAGAAGGGTGTTTCTCCACCCTTCTCTCCATCTTGGGAGATTGATATGTGAAAAACAAAACAAAAAAAAAACAGAAAACCCCCAAAACTCTACATATATTAAATATAAATTAAATTAAATACAGTTTGAGCAAAGAATGAAAAACATGACTCATTAATCAAGCAGTACTGAGAATTAGGAGAGGTTCAGAGAGCTCCACCCAGCAATGTGGGCAGGCAGTATTTATAGAAAAAAAAAAAGTAAGTAATGTAAAGAAACAGCTTGATTGGATACAGCTCAGCATTTTTCTTATTTGGGCATGGTGTGATGAGGGATTCGCCTTATATGGGCACAGTCTAATCAGCTGGTAGCCTGTGATTGGCTGAAGCTTTGGTGCTGTGATTGATTGAGACCCAGCTACTTGTTACGAGAATATATTTTAAGTTAGGCTTCATTTTGTTTATATACTAAATTGGGTTTTACTTAACTGCATACAGAGGCAAGTTTAGGTCAAAGTCATTTTAACTTAACAATTTCCTACTTTTGGTCAGCCTCTCAATTTTGAGAAATTAACCAAAACCTTGAATATGATACCACTGTCTGCTATGAGTCATAATGGACTTGTTTGGCCTCAGTATGGAATTCAGAATTCACAACATCAAGTCAGTTGGGCAATTTTTTTATACTTTTGGTGTTTTCTTTATTGTACTCTTAGTGAGACCATTTGACATATAATGGATGGCTGCATACAAACACTTAAGACTCTTAAGAGGATATAGCATACCAGAGATATTATTATGATGGTTATCAGGGGGATAACACTAAGTGACTAAAGTATAGTCCTTAACAGGAGCTCCCACAAATCGAAATGATCAAAATAAAGTATATCAAATACGAGCTGGACAAGGAAGGTACTTGTTTTATGTAAGTAGCGGGTTTGTTGATTTCTTGAAAATGATTTTCTACTATGCAGGATGTATTTATCCAAGTGAAGCAGGAGGTGTTAGTTCTTGCACACACTCACCTTTGTTCAGCCAACAGAAAATCCAAAGAAATCTTTTCATCTAAAACAACTTTAGCAAGAGAATTTTAGGAAGTTTGTTGGGAAACTAGAGTCTTTGCAGTAGTGTTAGCTATAGTAGCTTATGTTTGAGACAGACTTCTAATCATAAGTTTATTTAAATTTTTGCCAACCTGAGAAAGGAGCATTTTACCAAAAGATGCCCATTTAGAGTGATTTATACCTGCTGGAAAATTATTCTTTATTCCATAATGCACATTAAGATGTGTAGACCTAAACTTTTACAAAATTTTAAAGTTCTCCACTCTCAACATTCTGTTTTGAATTGGGTATGGAGTGACAGTAGTACCATTAAAATCCCTAATCCACACTGGCCCTTTATTTTGCACTTATTGAGGCATGGAGTTGTCCACATATATGGTGGGTTGTTAAATCCTTAATGGATAAAAATATATCCTAGTACATTCTGAATATATCCTAGGGCAGACTGTTCCCTATGGGGTGCTTTGGATATTAGGGTGTCTTCAGTAGGAAAGCATTAGTAATATTTGTCTGTAGCTCCATTATAGAATCATTGTGTTGTTGAAGGCTACCAACAATTAAAAAATAGGTTTGTATGTTTGTCTACAATTGTCAAATTATCTTTCTTTTGGTTTTTAATTCAATTTCTGACACAATTTAACTATAAAGCCTCACTATAAATTTTGCCTACACTTAGAATTAAACAAGGAATCCAAATACATTAATCTAAATACCTAACCATATAGAAAGGGCCAGACATGCAACTTGAACAAATAGGCACATTTGGAATATCAGTAATATTTGTTACACGGTGAACCAGAGAACTCTAAAATCTTGTAGGAGTTTACATTTAACATGACATATCTGACATCCATTTAAGTTCTCTGCAAAAGCTATCAATAATGAAATCTTCAATATCATATTACTATGCCATGTATAAACAGAAAAGAAACACGGAAAAAGAGAAAATGAAGATATTATAAAAATGTTTACATTAGTTCAAAGGAATTGAAGAGCATTTTTTTTTTTTTGCCTAACACTTAACATTTCTTATCTTTACAGATATTTATCATCCTAGAGCAACTGTTCTTACTTTTGACTGCATATCAAAATCAAATGGGGAGAGTTTGTTGCATTTGCTAGTGGTTTTGAATTTCTATTTTGAAACTTTTGTTTTCAAAGTTTTAACCTCAAATGCATTAATAAAGAAAGTAAATAAGAGGAATCCAATAAGGTCCACCAAGAATAAGATCCACCAAGAATCCACAGCTATTCATTTACCTACATCTATCTAGCAATATAGTTTTGAAATATATCAAATAAAAACATACAGAATTATGAACAGAAAAGGATCAATCCACAGCCATATATAAAACAAATAAAGTATTACAAGCAAAAACTTTATGTACATCTCCAGTAGATGAATCTAGCTGTGTTTGTCTGTTTTTAATTGTGATTTCATGTCACTGTTGCCAGAAATTTGGATTAAATAGATATAAAACGGGATCTAATATCTGTAATTTTTAAAAGGTCCTTTAGTGTATGTGTACAGCCTGGTTTGGGAATCTGTGCTCTGTTATGAGTCCTTAAAAGCCTAGGTGCTGAAAGCTGCTTACAATCTGACCAAGAAATCTTAGTTACCTACTCAGTTAAAATGATGTTGGGCTATGGAGATGGTGACTATAGTCTCTTTTATTTGCTTAAGTTTTAAAGGTATACATATAAAAGCAAAGTGAGAAGATTTGGCTTATAACTAGGCACTCCCAAAGATTGTGTGCAAATTTAACATTGTTCAATTCAAAGGTTGAGTGTTATGTTGTTGTTGCTGATTCTTGAATGTTGATGGTATTGAATAATAAGGAGGATGTATAATAAGTGTACAAAATGGAAGCTTCAAGTTCTAACTATATTGCTGGAATAAACAGATCAGGGACTATTTCCTGGCATGACACTCTAGGAAGTTTTGAGTACCATGGGAAATAATGCCCCCTATTTGCAGGGTTTGAGAGAGAATATGTATAAATAACTGGCTCAGAGTATATGATGAAATTGTCATCTCTTCTACAGAAATCTCTAACCTAGTTAGGGAGACACACACAGAAACATGAAATAGTTTCTTATAACATAGTCAGGGGTCAGTGAAGGGTTTCTCATTGTGGGTACAGCAAGCCTGTCCTTACACCTCAGTTTCTCACATCTGTGTAGGGGAGATAATCACAAAAGGCTGACTTCAACAATAGATTTTCCTACTGTTTCTATGGCAACAACATGAAAATAATCATAACACTCTACTTCAATCCTTAATGCAATTTAGTCAGCAACATTTGCTGAACACCCACTGTGTGCAGAGAAATACACTGGAAAGCTATGGAAATAAGAATTTTTATTGTCATAAGTGGAAACTGGGAGAAAATAACTTTCTCTATAATGTGTCTCTGAAACCAAAACAAAGTCTGCCTCATTATTTGACATTGGGATTTCCAGACTTACCTAAAGGTATAAGTGCTTCTTTGTGAACTTCTGCACAGATAAAATTACCAAGGATGGAGTGAAATGTGTCCTCTATACTGAAAATTATTTCAGAAAGTGGAGACAATAGCTGAGCACTATTCTACTAATATTAGCAGATTTCTCTTTAGAATTTTCTCTTGGTAACTTATAAACAACTTTTTCTCTTAATACAAACATAGGTAAAAGTTGTTTTCCCAGAGTTTTGCCTTTTAGAGAATGTAAGGTTACTGGGGAATGTAAGGTTAAACAGAAAGCATGTCATCAAATAATGGCAAACAAGTAAAACAGTTATGGACTTTCTCATAAAAGCAAGCTATCTATTGACCAGTTAAATGAGTTGGACAGAACATTAAATAAGAAACTCGGCCGGGCGCGGTGGCTCACGCCTGTAATCCCAGCACTTTGGGAGGCCGAGGCGGGCGGATCACGAGGTCAGGAGATCGAGACCATCCCGGCTAAAACGGTGAAACCCCGTCTCTACTAAAAATACAAAAAATTAGCCTGGCGTAGTGGCGGGCGCCTGTAGTCCCAGCTACTTGGGAGGCTGAGGCAGGAGAATGGCGTGAACCCGGGAGGCGGAGCTTGCAGTGAGCCGAGATCCCGCCACTGCACTCCAGCCTGGGCGACAGAGCGAGACTCCGTCTCAAAAAAAACAAAAACAAAAACAAAAAACAAACAGAAACTCAAGGCCAGGCGCGGTGGCTCACGCCCATAATCCCAGCACCTTGGGAAGCCAAGGTGGGCGGATTGCCTGAGGTCAGGAGTTCGAGACCAGTCTGGCCAACATGGTGAAACCCCGTCTCTACTAACAGTACAAAATAAATTAGCCAGGCGTGGTAGTATGTGCCTGTAATCCCAGCTACCCGGGAGGCTGAGGCAGGGGATTGCTTGAGCCAGGGAGGGGGAGGTTGCAGTGAGCCCAGATCATGCCAGTGCACTCCAGCCTGGGCGACAGAGCGAGACTCTGTCTCAAAAAAAAGAAAAAAAAAAGAAGAATCAATATTATGAAATATGCATGTAATTTTAGAGAAAAATAACTGATATTTTAGCAGACCCCAATTAAAATATATATTTTATATAGGAAGAAAAAAAAACTCAAAACATATTTCTTCTGCTTAGCCACAGCTGTATATGTCCAGTCCATAATAGGTTAGGACAAATAACCAGGTGTCTCCCACTGACCTTTATATCGCTTAATAAATGGTGTTTTTGCCTTAATACTCATCTCTTTAATACAGCATTTTCTGGAGCAACCTTCCACTGAGATTTTTTTCACTCAGATTATTTTTACACAGATGATGTTATGTTCATTTATAGATCAGCATATTGCTCAACTATCCTAAACCAGGAGAAGTGGTGAGTACCATGATATGGCATACTGATCATGACCATGATAAATTAATAAACAATTAGTAGAATTGACATTGGGATTTCCAGACTTACCTTAAGGTATAAGTGCTTCTTTGTGTTTATTAAACAATTAATAAACAATTAGTAGAAGTTCTTTATACCAAAAACAGAAAATATGATGAGCAAAGTAAGACTATTAAAATAATGCCTAATTTAATACCATTGGACATCAATTATTGACATCCAGGTGTATAAGTTTTTTGCTTTTATTTTATTGTTAAAAAATAAAATTTTTGAAATTTTTACATAATTGAGAATTTCAAAAAGGATTTCATTTTTCATAATTTTTACATAATTTTCAACCTCCCTTTATATTTACTAATTTCTCATAATCATCTTTCCCTATTGTTATTAACTGAATTATGTCCCCCCACCACCCACCAAATTCATACATTAAAGCCTAAACATGCAATTTGACTATATTTGGAGATAGGGTCTTTAAAAAGGTAATAAACAGTAAATGAGGTCATAAAGAAGGGGCCCTGATCCAATAGGAATAATGTCCTTAACAAAAGAGAAAGAGGCCTGTCTATGTGCATACACAGAGAAAGGCCATTTGAGAACACAACAAGAAGGTACCTGCAAGCTGAAGTGAGAGGCCTCATCAGTAACCAACCCTGCAGACACCTTGATCTTAAAAATCCGGCCTCCAGACTGTGAGAAAATAAATTTCCATTGGTTAAGCCACCCAGATTGTGGTATTTTGTTATGGAAGCCCAAGTTGACTAATATACACATAAGCAAATGTTTTTCCATGATGACATTTTAATCATCACAGCATATTATCTGTGTATAATTTATTTTTACTTTCTTATTATTGGATATTTCAATTAAATATATTTAAATTGTAATAATTGTTTTCATAAAAAAATCTCAGAAATATTTCTAAATGTAAAGCAAGCACATTTCTAAATGCCTTTGACCCACAGTGGTAACAGTCAGTCCAATTTATACTTCTCTAAGTTGTGTCAGAGGATGATCATTTTACAACATCACCACAGCAAAGGAATTTTATTTTGTAAAAATCTCTATAAAACTGGTAGTCAACAACTATATATAGTATAGTTTTTATTCAATTTCAATTTTTTGATTTGGAGTAAACTAAACTTATTAGTGACTTATTTATTAATTTAATTTATTATTAGAGACCGGGTCTCCTTGCATTTCCCAGGCTGAGTATAGTGGCCTGAACTCAAGCCTGAAATCATGGTTCACTGTAGCCTCCAAGTCCAGGCTGCAGCCTGTATAGACAGTCTTGCTGTTACTCAGGCTGGTTTCAAATTCCTGGGCTCAGGTAATCCTCCCACCTTGGCCTCCCGAAGTGCTGGGAGTATAGGTGTGAGCCGCTGTGCTAAGCCTTTGTCTTTTCATGTTTCTATGTTTGACTTGCGTATGCATGTCCTCACAGGTATTCATCTTTAAAATTACATGAAAAATATGTTTGTAAATATCTAGTTATTTTTCTATTGCAAAAGAGATTATTGTGAATGGTCCTGATTTCAGAGACATGAGAAAACAGATTATCTGTGATGAGTTCAGCACTGGGTGGTTGTTAAGATACAAAGCATGGGAAATTTTTGGTTTTCACATCACCATTCCCTTATGCTTTTTATTCTAACTGCTGCTTCTCATAAAATGTTCACTTCCTCTGCTGATCCCTTAAGTAGTAGTATTCCCCTGGAGAGAATCCTCATTTTACACACTGGTTAGACAACATTCTACATCCATGTGCTGATTAATATTTCAACTCTGCAATTTCTTATAACCATCAACCATCTGACACCAAATAGTTTCTTCCGATTTCTCCCAAAGAATGACCTTATCATCCACTTAGGTTTTTATATCAACAACACAGATGCCATCTTAGACTTATTTATCTTTACAACATCTAATGAACCTGTATTAGTCTGTTCTCATGCTGCTAATAAAGACATATCTGAGATTGAGTAATTCACAAAGGAAAGAGGTTTAACGGACTCACAGTTCCACATGGCTGGGGAGGCCTCACAATCATGGCAGAAGGTGAATGAGGAGCAAAGTCACTTCTTACATGACACCAGGCAAGAAAGCATGAGCAGGGGAACTTCCCTTTATAAAGCCATCAGATCTCATGAGACTTATTCACTACCACAAGAACAGTATGGGGGAATCCACCCCCATGATTCAGTTATCTCCACCTGGCCCTGCCATTGATATGTGGGGATTATTACAATTCAAGGTGAGATTTGGATGGGGACACAACCAAACCATATCAGAGCCAATACTTTGATTATGTCAACAAACATTTATTTGTGTGCTACTCTACTGTAGACACTATTCTAGACTCGTAGGATACAGCAGAAACAAAACTATGTCCTTGTTTTTATGGAGCTTATATTTTATGTATGTATTTGGTTCCAGTCAGAAGACAGAAATGAACATAAAACATTCAACTGAAAGAATTAAATTGCAACAGATGACCAACTAGTAGAGGTAATGAGAATCCTAAAGAATACAAGAATTGCATGTATAGGGAGTGGCCATTATTTCTATGGCTGACAAAATATAACAAAGGAAGAAAAAAGGTTGAAAAGACTCCTCTTTTTCAAAGGCTGAGATTTAGGAAAGGGTATAAATGACTCAGAAGTGGAAACTGCCTGCTGGAGAATGATGTGCTTAGAAGTCCCCCACTGATATACCAGCCAACTTGGGATGCCTTCTGCTGGTGTACCACCAAGACTTGCTGAGAGGCTGTTCACTGGAGATCTGGTAAGTCTTGTTGGCAAACGAATTGGGGTGCTGTTAGGAAGTGCTAGGGTGCTGTTGGGACCTCCTCCCTCCCTCTACTCACATTATCAAGAACCTTATGGTAGGAATGGGTGCCACTGGGTGTCCTGCATACCAATGCAGCTAAGGCATAGAGAAGTCACATGTCAGTTCTATTACCTGCATGTTGTTTGTCCTTCTCTTCTTCATGGAATGTCTTTATACCCCCAGCTTCTCATCTATAAAATATTGACTTTAACAGTTTCTAAAAAGATCTATTATAAGAAATTAGAAACATAGACTATAAGCACTCAAAAATTACTTTCTTCCCTCCCCTCACTGAAAACTTGTCTGCTAATATAGAAATTTCAGGCAATAGTGTCCTATCCCAAATCATGAAATACGTCCCCATTTGCTCCCACTATTTTCTGTTTTTATTAAAATTAATTTTCTCCATGTAGGTTTGCTAACTCCTAGGTTTTTAATGGATTTTGTGGTTATAACAAATTTTGCCTTATTGTTATTTTGACATTATTATATTTTTGTATTGTTGAATGCTGAAGTAGATAAATCTTGTTATTTTTATAATGGCTGTTTTTTAATACTTCTATATGATCTTAAGGCAGTACTGTATAGGGAAAGAAAGAGATATCAGGTTTAGTCAAGTTACTTTACATCTCTGTGCCTCAGTTTTCTTACCTATAATCCAGAAATATTAATAGTACCTTCTTTTACTAAGAAAGCAGTGATGAGTATATAAATGATACATAGTAAGTTTTCAAGACTGTGATTCACACTAATACAATAAATATGAACTATTATTACTATTGTCACTTCACTATTATTGCTTAATATTAACAATTAAGACAAATAAATTCTGTTATCGCTGTAAAATAAAGTTAACCTTAGAGAAGTTAAAATTTTGAAAAGTTGTGTTGAAAGAAGAACAAATCACTGTTCATCACCATTGGCAGATTGCACCTTTGAGGACTGATGTATTATTTCAAATGACAACTTAATCCAGAAATATGACTTATGATGTATTATTTCAAATGACAACTTAATCCAGAAATATGACTTAGCCGGGCTTGGTGGCATATGCCTTTAATCTCAGCTACACAGCAAGTTGAGGCAGGAGAATCACTTGGACCTAGGAGGCAGATGTTGCAGTGAGCTTAGATTGCACCACAGCACTCCAGCCTGGGTGACAAAGCAAGACTCTGTCAAAAAACAAAACAAAACAAAACAAACAGATATATGACTCAAAATTCTACATTTTAAGTCATTCTGAGTTGTGGAGGTTAAGTGAGTGAAAATTCTCTTTCTTTTAATCAGAAAGAAATGGTTAAAATAGATTGAGATCCTCTCATTATTCATAAAAGTCAATGGCTTATAAACTAGATAACGTTATTTTGTTTTGCAAAGTTCACCATTAGCTTAAAGCTCTTCCATTCAAACACTCTGCAAACCTCATATGTCATTACTTTACTAATTTTGATGGCCAGTTGATGATTTCTAAATAAAATTAAGAATGAAATTATCACTGACAATAATTTCTTTTTTTTTTCTTCAAAGTCAGAATCTTTTACAGTGGCTTCAGTGTTAGGAATTAGCTTGAAAACCTGAAATAACATATCAGATTCTAAAAATGCCTATTTAACAATATATACATCTGTGGAGCTTTTTTAAACAATTTCACAATTTTTTTCTTAAATAATTTCATGTCAGTGACCACCACTCCAAGCTCAGGGCAAATTAGGTATGATAGGAAAGAATATCAAGCAGTTGGTAGTTTAAAACTTCATTACCTATGTTTAAAGAAACTTCTTGGCCCTTAAGAATGTGGCAATGAATACAATTAGAGAATTCTAGAAATATTTTTGTACATGAAATGTAGCAAAGAGCCTCTATCAAAGACTTATAATAGAAATGCATAAATCAGCATAATCATGATCATTATACACTTCTCTGAACCCCTCTAATACTCAAGTTGCTCAGAAGTGTTGGGAATGAGGCTGAAAGGTGGCTAGAAGTGAAGGCAATACTAGTATTGAGAAGACCTTTTGTGTACTCAGAACTGACAGCATACAATAATCCATCTTCAAACTCTTTGAACTCAAATATTTGACATGATACTTAAAATTATTCAAATAAAATTCATACTGAATAATTTTTAAAGGACAAGAAAGAAGTATACTTAGGAAGAACCTACTCTAAACGGGAAACATGATAAGATTCTAATTAATTTAATAATGGAATATGATCTATATGTTAAGGTAAATACTGTACACATGGTGTGGCTAACAAATAGCAACAGTAAAATAGATATTATTTGTAATTGAAATGAAAGACCTATATATTATGTGAATACTCTCTACTCCAACATTAAAATTTGTAACAAATGTGCTCTTACTCTCTGACAGTGTTTTCTTTTTAGCTGGTAAGTATATGCCTGGTTTTTGTCATCGTCTTTAGCAAAAGCTTGATACATTGAAATACTTAACTATGCAACCTCTCCATCAAAGAAACACTTATATAATGGAACCTAAACCCACACTTTTGAAATTGAATTGAATTGTGCTTAATAAGTACATTTACAAAAATGTGATTTTTTTCTGTGATGACAATATTGGGTAAAGGCAAATACAGCGTAAATAAGACTGCTAAAATAATCTTCCCTCAAATTAAATCTGCAGACTATATATTACTTGAAAATACAGCTAAATATTTTCCACAGCAGGTGTAATAGTGCTCTCAGAAACTACAAGCTATCTGCAACACAGTCTTTCCTACTTTTTTTCTAAAATAGATATTAATGGAATACAATAGTTGCTAATGGGCTATTGAACAACAGGATAGAAAGGAAGCTAGACCAGACTAGGGTGATATATGCCAATTAGCAAGTTCTTAAAGTAGCCACATAGAGCTACACTGGTTGTTCCAAGCATCAATCTAAGAAGCAGTAAAAGAGGATTTGACTCTGAAATAAGTCACACCTGATTTTCTGCCTAATAGGAGATTTCAGGTTGTTCAATCAACTTGTAATCAGCATGACATATGGCAGAAAACTTTTCCATTAAAAAAATGAAAAGTGAGTCTGAACATAATTGCCTTACAAGAATTTGTCTAGAAAATCTAAACAGATTCCCAAGTGAAAAATAAAACGTGACCATTAGAGAGAGTGAAAGGAGTTTCAGAACATTTCAAACTCTAAATTTTATGGAGCAATAAAAACTCAGAGGAGAGCTGGCTAACTTCATATTTGCATATGAACTATGACCAATGATTCAGTCTGAAAACAATGTGAAAATAAATTTATAGTTTAGCTCAGGGTCTGATTAGTATGGTATAAATGAGTCAAACAATATACAATAAATTCTATGGACAGTTAAGTTTTAGTTCTGGTGGTGTAAATCACAGGTTGGCTCCCATTATAGATAGATATATTGTTGGGATGATAAAAACAGTGAAGTAAAAAAGTCTTATCCCACTTTAAGTATCTGAGCTTCAGAAGAAAGAGAAACACAGTGGGAGAGATAACGAGTGGTGATAGGAACAGAAAAGAACTAATCCCAGTGCCAAAAATAAAAGGAAGAATCAAAGCAAAGCCACCTGTGTGACCTTTTGAACAATCCCAGGGTGAAATGAATCAATCCAACTTCCAATTTGTGGCTGAGCTGTAGAAATAGATCTAGAAAAATCAAAGAGGATTGGTTAGGGGAGGAGGGCGGGGGAACCTGCTGGGTAGTTGTTTGATCAAGCTCAGCTTTGCTCCATCAGATGAGAAAAAAATCAAACGTTTTACTGTGCATTGGTAGAACTTTTATGGATTTTAATTCTGCTGGAATGCACATATTCATTTTGGCTAGGAGTTGAGTCAGAAAGACTATATTACCTAATATATTTAATCTGTATTTAACAAACATTCAACTCAATTCTTTTCAATGATCTGAAGAGCTAGAATTTAGAATTGATAACGTTTAGCAAATCAAGTAATTAAAATTTGACACAGATATACTTCCTAAGTTTGAAGACAGATATACCTTCAAAGCCTTAATAAGCCTTTATGAAACCATTTAACAGAAAAACACAATGGAATCCTTTCAATGTTAGGTTTTATTACAGTTTCTAACCCCCCTCGTTCTCCGCTCTCCTCAGAAGAAACTAATATTTCAGCACAAAATTCGTATGTCTATAAATCTTCTGAATTTAGTGAAAATTTACCTTTTAGTAAATCTGCAATTACATAATAAAGCACATTTCCAAAGCTGATGAGCGATATATAGCTCAAGATAATTCCACTCATTATTGTGTGTCATTAAATATTATAGTGTTCTCACTTATAAGTGGGAGCTAAGTTGTCAGAATGCAAAGGCATAAGAATAATATAATGGACTTTGGGGACTCGGGGGGAAGAGTGGGAAGGGGTGAGAGATGAAGGACTACATATTGGGTACAGTGTACCCTGCTTAGGTGACGAGTGCACCAAAATCTGAGAAATCACCACTAAAGAACTTACCCATGTAACCAAACACCACCTGTATCCCCAAAAACTATGGAAATAAAAATACATAAATAATAAATAAATATTATAGTGTGGTGTTAAGAGGTTTCTTTTCATTATTTTCAGTAAAGTTTTTATCCAAAGATGCACATTCATGAGAGAAATCTTCTCTTTCAGAATTTTCTCAAGATTTATAGACTAAATAGTGTATAAAAGGCATGTAAATTGGATTGTCAAAAACATTTTTTTAATAACAGTGTGGGCATTTAAGTGGGAAGAAAAAAAGAAGGGTATAATAATTATTTTTGAACAAAGACATTCATTTTGATCTTGTGTCCATAGAAGAGATTTTGAGATTCAGAATCTCTATAAAGTAACTACTTATCTTTTTCAAGGGTAATCTTCATATGCACTATAGAAATAGCTTAAATGTTTACACTCACTGTTTAAGTTTAAACTTAAGCACTCAACAATTGATCATAATTAAGAATAATATCAAGACAATGAAGATGCCGTACCTATGCATTTATAATTGTTGAATGTTATTATTCAGTTAACTTGGTAGGACAATAATGTCAATACTGGGGATACTTTCATTAGATAGTTTTTACCTGTAAATGAATATTATGAGATAAATGGATCTACAATCAGATATCAGCTCTGCCAGTGTCTAATTGCATAAGCTTGAGAAAGTTACTACTTAGCTGAGTTTTAGTTGTCTCATCTACAAAATGAAGATGTAAAAAATTAATGAGTAACAAAACTCAAAGCCTTAGGCATACTAAGCACACACTAATATTTAGTTATTATTAATGTTATTTTTATGCAATCACAATCACGAATAGCAGTATATATATTAACTAATTGAAGTACAATGAATATTATTAGATATTACTGAGAAGCCATACATCTCATTATTAACCATTTTAGGACAATTGATAATAACTAATACTGATGAGAAGAACAATTTTATTTACTTTACTTGGACAAGTATTTATACAATGTTGTAGCTAGTTGAGGCATTCAGAGTTAATGTCAACCTATGAAAAATAGCGGAGCTTTATTTATTTGATGAGTGCATACTAATTTGAAGTGCTTCATTAGAAGAACTTTGGTAAATTATTTGCAAGAACAGCAGGATTTCTCATGCATAAACTTAATGAACTAACGAACAAACACACTGATAGGATTATTATTTTTTTTTTTTTTGAGACGGAGTCTCGCTCTGTCGCCCAGGCCGGACTGCGGACTGCAGTGGCGCAATCTCGGCTCACTGCAAGCTCCTCTTCCCGGGTTCACGCCATTCTCCTGCCTCAGCCTCCCGAGTAGCTGGGACTACAGGCGCCCGCCACCGAGCCCGGCTAATTTTTTGTATTTTTAGTAGAGACGGGGTTTCACCTTGTTAGCCAGGATGGTCTCGATCTCCTGACCTCATGATCCACCCGCCTCGGCCTCCCAAAGTGCTGGGATTACAGGCGTGAGTGATATGATTATTAATGAGATGCTTTTCTAAGAATTCTTCAGTGACTTGTCTACAGAACATTCAGAAGATTTTAGTGAATTTGCTCAGATTGTCTGGTTTTACTTGTCAAGAGTGGCCTATGCAAGATGTAAAAAAAATGTGATTGACATGAGTATATTTTACATTAGTTCTTGTAAATGATACTATATGTAAAAAGCATGATAAAATCTAGTACTAGTTAGGAAGAGTATTTCTATAGTCTAATCTGACTAGAATTAAATCAACCATGTTTAATTTGTCTTACCTGATATGGTTCCTTGAATGATCAACATTTGATTTCAGCAACAATTGTGAACTTAGTAAAAAACTCACCAAGGTGAATGCCATGTCATTACATTTTCTTTTTTTACAAGAGCATTAATTAAACCCATGCACTGTATCTGGCATTTTGCCAAACCTTTGAAATAGAACAAGTAAGACATATTTTCTTCTTCCCTATCAAATACAAAAGATAGACAAGGAATCAAAAAGTATTTACATAACCTTCTAAAATGCTGCAAGGCTGTTTTGAATAGTGTCTACGTTGTATAAAGATTTGTTTATCAAAAGGCAATTTCTCAAGAGTATGAAATTATTAAGTACTGGTTAAAATTTGAGATATTGTTCACTGCAAGCACACTGAATCTCCAAATACTTTTACCATTGCAAAACACTAAGTAATCTGGACACTATTATTTAAGTCTAGATTTTATCCCTATTATTTTGTGAACATAACATTACAGATGCTACAACAAATTCAATGAGACTTAAATGACATATGAAATATTTTTGCTATTCTAGGCTGAGTTTCTAGTCATAGGATATAACTGGATGGTAGAATTTTTTCTTTTTTTAATGATTAAAAAAATTAACGAGGTATAACATACAGAAGAGTGCACGAATCATAAATGTTTAGCTTGGTGCATGTTTACGAAGTAAACTCCCCTTGTTACTGATCTGTTCAGGTTTTGGATTTCCTTATGTTTTAATCTTGATAGATTATATGTGTCTAGGGATTTATCCATTTCTTCTAGGTTTTCCAATTTAGTGGCATATGGTAGCTCACAGTAACCTCTAACGATCCTTTGAATTTCTGCAGTATTGGTGTAATGTGTCTATTTTCCATCTCTGATACTACTTGTGTCGTCTTTTTTCTTAGTTACTCTGGCTAAAGGTTTGTTAATTTTGTTTATATTTCCAAAAAACCATCCTTTCATTTTATTAATATTTTGTACTGCTTTCTTCATTTCAATTTCATGTATTTCTTCTCTGATCTTTATTTTTATTTTCTTCTATTAATTTTGGCTTTGGTTTGCTCCTGCTTTTCTAGTTCTTTGAGGTGAATCATTACATAGTTTATTTCAAGTCTTTCTACTTCTTTGATTTAGGTGCTTAGAGCTATAAACTTCCCTCTTGGAACTGATTTTGCTGTGTTCCATAGGCTTTGGTATGTTGTGTTTCCATTATCATTTGTTTCAAGAAATTTTTAAACTTTCTTCTTATTTTCCTTCCTTCTTAATGACCTATTTGTCATTCAGGAGCATATTGTTTAATTCCCATATGTTTGTATAGTTTCCAAAATTCATCTTGTTATTGATTTCTAGTATTATCCCATTGTGATCGAAGAAGATACGTGTTATAATTTGAATGTTTTTTAATATTGTAAGACTTTTTTGTGGCCTACAATATGGTCTATCTTTGAGAATGATCCATGTGCTAAAGAAAAAAGTCTGTATTCTGCAGCCATTGGATGAGATGTTCTTTAAATTATCTTTTAGAACCATTTGATCTATACTGTAGATTAAGCTTTAAGTTTGCTGATTTTTCTGTCTGAATGATTTGTCCAGTGCTAAAAGTGGGTTGTTGACATCCCCAACTATTATTGTATTGGGGTCTATCTATCTCTTTAGCTCCAATCATGTTTCATACCTATATCTGGGTGTTCCAGTGTTGGATGCATGAATATTTACAATTGTTATATCATCTTGCTGAATTGATCCCTTTATAATTATATAATGACCTCTTTTGTCTCTTTTTATAGTTTTTATCTTGAAATCTATTTTTTCTTTATAGCTATAGGTACTCCTGCTGTCTTTTGGTTTCCATTTGCATGGAATATCTTGTTCCACTCCTTTATCTTCAGTTTATGTGTGGCTTTATAGGTGAAATGTGCTTTTTTTTATAGGCAACAAATCATTGGGTCTTTTTTTTTTTTTATCAATTCAGCCACTGTATCTATTTTGATTGGAGAGTTTAGTCCATTTACGTTCAATGTTATTATTGTTAAATAAGGACTTACTTTTGCCATTTTATTATTAGTGTTCTGATTGTTTTGTGGTCTTCTCTTCCTGTGTTCCTTTTAGTGAAGGTGTTTTTCTCTGGGACAATATTTTAATTTCTTTCTTTTTAATTTTTTGTGTATCTGCTGTGTATTTTTTGATTTGAGATTACCATGAGGCTTGCAAATACTATCATATAACCCATTATTTTAAACTCATAACAACCTAATACCAATTGCACAAACAAAGAAACTAACAAGCAAGCACAAAAGAATGCCTATTTGACCATTCTGCAGGCCAAGATATATATTATCATCAAACAAAAAGCACCTGTCAGGCCCATTTCTGGTCACTACCCCCATCTGTCTCCTTAGAGGTAACAACATTCTTACCTCTCATACCAATGGCTTTTGGTCAGTGTTGTGTTTGTGATACCATTATTTTGTATGTAGCAATACATTGTACACTTTTCTTTTCTTTTCTTTTTTAACACAGATTTTCGTTCTCATTGCCCAGGCTGGAGTGCAATGGCATGATTTCGGCTCACTGCAACCTCTGCCTTTTGGGTTCAAGTGATTCTCCTGCTTCAGCCTCCTGAGTAGCTGGGATTACAGATGCCCACCACCATGCCCAGCTAATTTTTTGTATTTTTAGCAGAGGTGGGGTTTTATCATGTTAACCAGGCTGGTCTCGAACTCCTGACCTCATGTGATCCACCCCCTTGGCCTCCCAAAGTGCTGGGATTACAGGTGTGAGCCACCACACCCGGCCAAATTGTACATTTTCATTGCTATAGAATAATTCATTGTATAAATATGATCCAATGTAATTATTAATTTCACTGTTGTTTGATATTTAATCTGTCTACTTTGGGCTTATTATAAATAATGATCTTCTGAATATTATTGTTATGCATTTCTTTCAGGTATCTATCCTACGGTAGACTTGCTGTGTTATAGGTTTTTGTATGTCAAATATATATGTATGTAATAAAAATGTTTTTTGGTTTGTAATATTTCACTGTTAAAGTATTATCTTTTGAAATACGCAAGGTCAAATTTTTATATTAAGATTTTTGTTAAATTAATAGACTAATTTATTCTTTATCAATTACTATATCCTTTTTGTTTGGCCAGATTTCAGTGGCCAAAACCCATAATAACAGGTTGAATCCATGTGTTCAATTAGGGCCTGCTTCGCTTGTTCTGAATATAAGTGAGCTGGGGTAGGAGACAGGTAGTTCTGAAATTTGATATGTAGTTTCATTGTGTATATGATTTTCTTTTAAATTTTGTGTAGATAACTGTCGTAGATTAAATATAGTTATTTCTATTTCTAATTGCTAAGTCATATATTGGTTTTAGACTTATTAAAAGTATTTCTTCAATTATTGATAGAATTATGATTGATAGTTGAATATTTATCCAATAATGAATTCTTTAAATTAACTCATATTTTTTACACATTATCTTTTTATGATTAATGCATTTAAATGGCTATTATTTTAGGACCATCATTTCTTTCATAAACTTACGGAAGATTGACCTGCAATTTTTATTTCATGAAATGTCCTTGTGAGATTTTGATATCAGCCTTATGCTAACTTAAACAATGAGTTGATATGGATTTTCTATTTTCTGAAACATTTTTATAAAGGTTTGCACTATTTCTTCCTTGAGTGTTTATAAGAATTTTGTCCAGGCCAGATGTGGTGGCTCATGCCTGTAATCCCAGCACTTTGAGAGGCTGAGGTGGGCAGATTGTTTGAGCTCAGATGTTTGAGACCAGTCTGGGCAAACATGGTGAAACTTCTCTACGAAAAATACAAAATTAGCTGAAGGTGGTGGTGGGCCGCTGTTATCCCAGCTACTTGGGAGGTTGAGGCAGGAGAATCACTTGAACCCAGTAGGTGGATGTTGCAGTGAGCCGAGATTGTGCCATTACACTCCAGAGCCTGGGTGACAGAGTGAGATGCTGTCTCAAAAATAAACAAATAATAAATAAATAAATAAAATAATTTTGTCATCTGGCCTAATATTTTTCTATATGGTTGGACTTCTTAATTATTTTTTAAGTTGCTTTAGTACATGTTGGGCTATTGATATTTTCTGTTTTTTCCTGAGTTAGCTTTCCTTATTTTTTCTAAGAATTTAAAATTACATACATATTTTCAAATTTACTGGTATAAGGTGTTTGTATGTTTGTTTGCGTGTTTTGTCATTTAGTACTGTTATATATATACATACATATACATATATATACATATACATATATATATATATATACACATATAATAGACTATTTTTTAGAGCAGTTTCATGTTCACAGGAAAACTGAGCCGAAGGTACAGACATTTCCCATATACCTACAGCCACACACATCTGTAATTATCCTCATTATCAAAATCTACCATCATAGTAGTACATTCATTATAATTAATGAACCTACGTTGACACATCTTTATCATCTAGAGTCCATTGTTTACATCAAGGTTCACTTTTGGTGTTGTTCATTCCATAGGTTTGGTCAAATGTATAATGACATGTATCCAATATTATATTACCATAGAAAGTACTTTTGTGGCCCTAAAAATCCTCTGTGCTTCTCCTATTCATCCTTCCTTCCCCCAACCCCTGACAACCACTGCTCTTATTGTCTTCATATTTTTGTCTTTTCCAGAAAGTCATATAGTTGGATTACCCTATGGAGGCTTTTCAGAGTGGCTTTTTTCACTTAATTATATGCACTGAAGATTTCTCCCAATTATTTCATGGCTTGACAGCTCACTCAATTTTAGCGCTAAAAAATATTTCATTCTCTGGATGTATTACATTTTATTTATCCCTTTACCTACTGAAAAAACATCTTAGTTGCTTCTAAGTTGTGGCAATTATGAATAAAGCCATTATAAATATCCCTGTGCAAGATTTTGTTTAGGCCTAAGTTTTCAACTCCTTTGGGTATATACCAAGGACTGTGACTGATCTTATGGTAAGGGTCTCTTAGTTTTATAAGAAACTGTCAAACAGTCTTACAAAGTGGTTGTACCAGTTTACATGCCTACCAACAATGAATGAGAGTTCTTGCTGCTCCACTTCTTGTCAGCATGTGGTGTTGTCTTTATTCTGAATTTTGGTCATTCCAATAGGTGTAATTGTATTCCATTATTGTTTCAGTTTGTAATTCTTTAATGATTTAAGATGTTGGCCATCTTTCATATCCTTCTTTGCCATTAGTATGTCTTCTTTGGTAATGTCTCTGTTAAGATCCTTAGCCTATATTTTTAATAATTTCAACTTTTATTATATATTAGGGGGTGTATGTGCAGGTTTGTCACATGGGTATATTGTATAATGCTGAGGTTTGGGGTATGAATGATTATATGACCCAGGTACTGAGTATAATATCCAATACAGTTTATCAGCTCTTGCTGCTCCCAGCCTTCTAGAAGTCTGCAGTGTCTATTTGTTCCCATCTTTATGTCCATATGTATCCAATGTTTAGCTGCCACCCATAAGTGATAATATGCAGTATTTGATTTTCCGTTTCTTCCTCAATTTGCTTAGGATGATGGCCTCCAGCAGAATCCATATTAATGCAAAGGGCATAATTTTCTTTTTTTTTTTATTGTTGGCCCACTTTTTAAAATGGGTTGTTGGAATTTAGAATTCTAAGTGTATCTTTTTAGAATTTTACAAAAATTCACAGAATATTAATTAAGTAAATTCAGTGCTATTGTTTTTACAAATGACATGCCCAAAACAAAGTCAAAGAGACATCTTGAAAGTAAAGGCTGCAAAGGAAAACATCAGGCACGTAACTGTAATGGGAGCAATTGCATAAATATTTACATCAAATATCATTAGTAGATAAAAAAGTATTTATATAATGACAAATGAATGTCAAAATATAACAATCGTGAAGTTGCTTACATTGAACAAATGTTATATACAATATATATGTAGATGTAACATTATATATATACACATGCATATTATATATGCATATTTTATATATATATAAAGCTTTATATAGCATTAATTGTGTTCCAGGCACTATTTGTATAATCCATATAACAAACCTTTTCTCCAGGTATTCTTATTGTCATCCTTTTATGGATGAGGAAACTGAGGGATAGGGAGGTTAAGTAACCCACCCAAGATCATGCAACTGGCAAGTGGAAGAACCATGATGTGAACCCAAGTAATATAACTCCAGTGACCCTAGCTATTATTCTAAGTGAGTTCATGCAACATAACATATAATAGACTATATAAAAGCAAAAAATAAAATACAGTGAAATAATCACAGGAGGAATTTAGTGAGATGTTTTGCAAAAAAAGAATTCTGAAATCAGCTCAAAAAGGCTACAGTATTAAAGACATAAGACTAGAAACAACTTACTTAATAAGACTGTTCTAATAGTAATATCCATAAACTTGAACATAGTCAATTATAAAGAACCATGCTTTTTAACTTATTTGGAATATTGAAAAAACTGATTATGTCATAGAAACTTGATTATGCAGACCCTATTTTCTGACTATGATATCGAATATTAGGTATGAAAGAATATATATAGCCCCAGTATTTTAAAAATTTGCTTAATAAAATCACACTTTGAATTATTAACAGACTTTTAAAAGTCACAAATTATGAAATATTTAGAGCTACACAGCATGTGAAATGCTGCTAGACTACCAATCAGATAAATATTTAAATCATCATTAGATTTACTTGGATATAAAGTTTAAAAATAAGTTAGAAAGTTATTCAGTCTTTAGAATATAGGAAAAAAGAAAAAAATGTCCAAGAGATGTAGAAATATGGAAATTCAAGTAAAAGAGCATTTAATAGAAAACCAAGACCAAAAGACACAAAGAAACTAATGGAGATTATTAAAAAAGAAAAAAAAGAAAAAAAAAACAAAAAAGCAAAGCCAATAAGCGTGTGGGAATAGACAACTTCAAGTCAGAATGATCAGGAAGAAAAATGAAGACTGCAGATGATATGTATTAGAAATATGTTAAAAGATATATCTGTTTATGAAAAAAGGAATTTAAATATCATAAAGTATTATGAACAATTGATGGTAATGTAAAAACTTAAATGAAATAATCTAGAAAAATACAATAGAAGCTTGTTTATTACTAGAACACACCAATAACTATGGAATGGAACCAATAGTTATAAAAATTTCTAATAATAGTAATGGAAACAGAAATAAAACAGGTTAAAAGCAGAGAAAAACATCTACTTTGTAGAACTATTCTTGAAAATACTAAAATAGGGGAAGTTAATTATTACAAAATCAAATTTGTGAGTGAATTAAAACTCAATCTTGACAAAGTTTGTTTTATTAAATAAATAGAAAGATGGCCCAACATTTAAAATTCTCATAGTAAGAAAGTAAATGGTGACATTGTGACTTAGCTCAGGTTGCTGATTTCTACCCTAAAAATCAACTCTGAAATATATATAGAATAAGAGTGAAGTATGGCTCTGAGAAACTCTCATAACTATTGTGGGAAACCCTTAGGAGATCTGAGGCTGTTTTGAATTGAAGTATGTCAATATTGATAGAGTCTTAGTGAGGTAACAGTTTGAAGAAAAAAATTGGATTTTGGTATTGACTCTTTTTTCTCATTCTCTTGCTTTGAGCATGACCATTCTCTCCAGTTGGTATATTGAAATAGCACAGATGGATCTAATTGATAGATTTTTAATTTTGAACCCTGAAAATATAAATTACATGATTTCAAATGCTTATGAAGATTTATATTTAAAATAATCTGAATATATTACAATTATATATTTTTCACAGAAATGGTACATACATTGAATACCTAGATACTAATATTATGAAATGAAAAAATAATAAAAGCTACAAAAAACAAAGCACTTCAACCATCTAAATAGTTTGACCGTCTTGGGTAAAAAAATACAAACATATTTTAGACTACTTAGAACATCATAAAAATGTAAAAATAAAAAGTCATAATGAATGATATGTGACTAAAAACAACACTCAGACAATATGATAGCTTTATTGAGGTATATTTTAAAACTAGAAAAAAACAACTTACGCATTCAGCTGAATAAATGTGTCATAAATATATAATGCTTTTCAAATTTAAATAGTTTTCATACACATTCAGACATATACAAATATGTATGTATGAATTGCACACGATACATATTTTAGGTATACATACATAATTATTGAAAGTTATTTTATGCATTCTTATGCATAAAAATATAGCATGAGAATGCTAGCCAACAAAAGCACTTTAGAGATCATCTGTGCAGAAGAAAGGGGGATACACTAGATGATGGTACCTCTTCAACTCTATTGATAATGTTTTTTGGCTTAAGCTACATGGTGTCTTTGCAGGTGATGTTTTTATTGCGTTATGTATTTTTACTATCTTAAATATTTAATAGTCATTTAAGGGCATCAAAATAAATGTGTCATAAGAGCATATTAAGTTTTGAAATAATTTGGTCTCATTTTCTACAGTCAGATTTTATTTTCTGTCTGAAATGCAGAGCACATCTGGTCAATCAATCTTTTCAGTAGCCAAGCACATTTTATTATGCCCCAGAACTGGGAGAGAGAAGGCTCCTATTTGACTAATTTGGGGCCACTCATGCTGTATATTTGGTTTAGTTTATATGGTACATCACTCATTATAACATAGATAACTAACTACTGACAATTCTGAGCATTTCAGTTCAGGACAGATGGCTTTAGGGTCAACAAATTTAACCAAAATAAACTATGTAACCCTTTTGCTAGTAGTTATTAATGTGTTCTCATACATACTGTGGAATGATGTATGAGAGCTTCAGCCTTGCTTATATCAATAAAAGATAATATGTGTACTCAAGAATGTTGGATTATATCACCCTGAATAATTTATTTTGGTAAACATTAATGTCCCTATCAAACTGAATTTCAAATATTTTACATTTTAATGATGGAAGCAATTAAGAAAGTAAATACATTCCATTCTATAAAAATGTATATCTTATTTTACTAATACAAACATCTATATTTTGGTAGAGAATCAGATAAGTGATTTTTGTGGGTTATCATAATTAATCTTTTCAGTAATCTTATGCAATATATGTTCTTATTTACATTTTATAGATGAAGAAACTGATTTGAAAATAGCAAATTTATATTTTATATAAAACTTTGCCTGAGTTCACATAGATAGTAAGTATACAGCAAGAGCCATTTATTTTTTGACTTATTCAAATATAACATACAGGACAGTATATAAATCATGAGTGTGAATTTCAATAGATTTTCCCAAATTTAACTGAAACATTACAACTACCTTCTACATCAAGAAATAGAATTTGTCAAAAATGTCAGTCTCTTTATAACCCCTCAAAGTTATTACCTGCCCCCACTGCTAGAGGTTCATTCTCTTTATTTCCCTTATTAGGGATTAGTTTTTTTTCTTCTGTTATTGCTATTTATATAAATAGAATCTTGCAATCACCTTATTTTGCATCTGTTTCCTTTTATTCGATACAGTGTCTGTGATTCATTCACGTTATATGTATCAGCAGCTTATTAATCATCGATGTACAACGTTTTATTCTGTAGATAAGATAGAATTTATTCATAGTTTCTGACATGACATTTTGTGCATGGATTTTGTCATACATAAGTAAGAATTTAATGCAGGCATATAACTAGGAGGGATGTAACTGTGTCATGCGGTATGCTGTGATCAGTTTGATCAGTTTAGGTAAATAACCAAAAAATTGTTTTCCAAAATGACTATCCTCCTAGCCATTATGTAGGTTACTCCCGATCCTTGTCAAACCTTAGTATTGAGTCTTTTCTTAGTGTTTCTGCTCCATGAATAGTGATATTTCTTTATGTTTTTAATTTGCATTTCATTGATAACTAAAGAGATTGAGTACCTTCTCAAATGTTTCATTTTTTTGGCCATCAGAGTATTTTTATTTTTCTGATATGCCAGTTCAAGTTTTGTTTTTGTTCTCTCTCTCTCTTTTTTTTTTTTTTTTTTTTTTTTTTGAGATGGAGTCTTGCTCTGTTGCCCAGGCTGGAGTGCAATTTCACAGTCTAGGCTCACTGCAAACTCCACCTCCTGGGTTCAAGCGATTCTCCTGCTTCAGCGTCCTGAGTAGTTGGGATTACAGTTGTGTGCCACCACACCTGGCTAATTTTTATATTTTTAATAGAGATGGGATTTCACCATATTGGCCAGGCTCCTCTCAAACCCCTGACCTCGTGATCCGCCCGCTTCACCCTCCCATAGTGCTGGGATTATAGGCATGAGCCACCGCGCGTGGCCTGTTCTCTTTTTAAATGAGATTTTTAGACTTTCTGTTTAATTTGTAGTTTTTTATATATTTTGAATATTAGAGTTTAAATACATATAGAAGGAATTAAATGTACATGGTATTATATATGTTATATAACATGCATTATATAAACATATATAGTAGATGTATAATGCGTCTGTATAATATATTACACATTATATATATTATACTATGTTTCATAGAAAAACACATTAAACCTGTTTTAATAAATTTAATAATTTATAATAAAATACATATTGTATTTATAAATTATGAATTATACATATGACATCTGTGATTTGCTTTCTCACTGCCTTTTGTCCTATGATTAAGAAATGTTTCTAATTCTTATAATGTCCAACTTATCAGTTGCTTCACTTATCATTGGTACAATTTGCAACCACTTCACTCTTTGCTTATCATAAATTTATGAAAACCTTTTACTGCATTTCTTCTAAACGCTTTAAGGTTTTCCTTTTGTATGGTATGTATCATGTGCATTTAGGTTAGCTTGTATGTTGACTTTACAGGTGGATGGTTACAATAGTCTCAACCAGAACATGGAAACAAAGAGACTCTTTTCTTTCAGGAGGTTGGTTTCCTCTAGAAGGTTGCCTGACTGTGTACTCACAACAAACACAGAAAACCAGAGAAATGGTTTTCTACCGAACTCTAATATTCAGCCATTAATGCACTTGGTTTACCATAGTCTATGTTTTGACTCTAATTGTTAACTTTTCTCCAAATGCAGTATCAAAAAATTAAAAGATTTATTGTCTTTAAAGTTACCCAAATGAATTATCTAATCATGGCATCAAGCTGAAAGACTTGACTATCATATCAGGTTGAAATGAGTCTCCTGGGAAGCTACCTTTCTTGATCAGGAGAACACTCAAACTTAAAAAGATAAGTTATCTGTTTTCCACGTAACTAATGTGCAGTGGTTTTATGGTATAACCATCCATAAACAGGAAGAATTGGAAGCATGCAGCACTAGGCTGTAGTGACTCTAAAATGCAGCTGAATGGAAGCTGCCACATCCCCACGACTTTGGGGTTGGGGAATTGTCTTTGATTTCAGCCACAGTTCTGCTTCTTGTGACTCCAGGTTCATTGTTCTCCATGGTTCTTGGGTCGGCTCGCTGATACTCATTTCTGTTCTATCACACTTCTTGTCCTTTTTGAAGAAATTCCTGAAAGGATTACATTTTCCTTTTGGCTGGCAGTTTGAATAGGACACAGAATTCTTTAATATGAGATTGAGTTGATCTGAAGCTGATATCTTTGAAGGACCAAAGACCAGTCTTTGGGAGGGCTGATCTACCTCTGTTTCACCATTACTAATAAACTACAGTTCTTCCATGATCCTATTTGAAAGTGTGAGATATTTTTCATGGCCTCTCAATATACTGGGGATAAACTACAATTTTTAATTTCCTTACACCAGGAGACTGCCAAAAGCTAATCCTCCTGTCAGCCTCTTGGCTTCATACCTAGACATCCACAAATGCCTCCAGGGAAAAGTGACAAATATATTCAGCTAACTTTAATGAATACCATTTCTCTCTCGAATCATGGCCTTTTAACAACTGCCTGCTTTGGTAGCCCTGAACTCTACATTTTTATGTTCCTTCTAGCTTCATGAAACTGCTGAAAATTTGATTGAGATTTCTACCTGCTTAGCCACCACATTTTGTTCATTTAGTTTTCCTTGGTGGGGAGGGTTTTGAATTAAGGCAATGCATCAAGGTCAAAAGTAGAAATTTCTATTGTGCCTTTTTAGGTGGTATTGGGAATGTTATTCTCACTGTGAAATATAATAAAATTCATAGTTGCAAAACAATTTACTTGTTATATAAATAAGAGGGAAAAAAACGCACATTAAAACCTTTCATGAAAATTTAAGCCTACACTTGCATTTCCGCAGTCTGCAATAAATCAAGTGTTTTGCACTTGATTCACGGAAGTTTTACAAAAAAATGTATCTCAAAAACCTGTTAATCTGAAAATTCTGTTTGAAAATGTATAATTAAGATTTAAAAAATGAGAATGGCAAACATGTCTAGATGCTTATTGTTTTCTTGGTTTATAAGAAAATGAGTGTCTTTATTAAAAATAACAAGAGCTAAGCTGGAATGAACATGGGCCACATTCTGAGTGCTGTTCTAAATGTACTATTTAAATGTTCACAATAGCTACATGTTGTTAGTCTCACTTTTCAGATGAAAAAAATCAGGCATAGTGAAAAGATATTTATTGCTCAAGGTTTGCCATGCTGAAGAGTAGCAGTTGAGATTCCAACTATCTTAATACATTCTCAGGTACTGTCAGGCCTTTCAATTAATGAAGGTCCAAGCCATTCCAACCACAACTTTTGGACAAACTGTTTTGCCAGAATGTAATTACAAGAGTGTATCAGAAAGTATTCACATGGGTTTGTCAGACAGTCCATTTGTGTGGTGTTTATTAAGAATATGGACTTACTCTTCCTGTAGAACTTCTAGGAATATTTCTAAATAATTCTGCCACTGATTATGTCGACACCATGTAATTTAAACATAATTTGGAAAAGCTGTTATATCTTCAGTGCCTTATAACTATTATATCTCCACTGCCTAACATAGTACCTTGAAAATATGAGGCAATGATTAAATATGTATTCCTTGAATATAATATTTATTATTTATATTATGTATTGAATTGTTAAATGATCACTTGGCCTAGAAATTATAAATTTGAAAGAAAAAGTTGAGATTGCTGGCCCAATATTCTTTATTTATGAAAGGGTATTTGTGACACAAGGAGTTAGTTAATTTAAATAAGTGTGGCTTATGTACTAGTTTTTTATCTTAGATTGCGGGTATTAAACATGGTATTTTTAAATCTTGATACTAATAATTAGAAAATACTTGCATTTCTTAATGTTCATATTAACAGAAAAAGTGAGAGAGGGACAATTAGTCAATATTCTAAACTATGAGACACATTAAAATATACTAAAATATAAGAATTATTAATTAATGTATTATTTTAATTAACCTCATATGAGATAAGATTGGTATTTTAAAATGCAGACTATTCACTGAAGTTTGTGCTACTGCAACGAGATAAATGTTTAAAAAATTAAACTTCAATCTTTCTCTTTTTTTGAGATGGAGTCTCACTCTGTTGCTGAGGCTGGAGTGCAGTAGCGTGATCTCGGCTCACTGCAACTTCTGCCTCCCAGTTCAAGCAATTCTCCTGCCTTGGCCTTCCAAGTAGCTGGGACTACAGGCGTGCGCCACCATGCCCGGCTAATTTTTGTATTTTTAGTAGAGACGGGGTTTCACCATATTGGCCAGGCTGGTCTCGAGCTCCTGAGCTCAAGTGATCTGCAGGCCTTGGCCTCCCGAAGTACTGGGATTACAGGCATGAGCCACTGTGCCCTGCCTAAATTGTAATCTTAATTCACACCCTACTGTTTAAGAAATTACAGATTGATTAATCTATAGAAATATATGACCCAAAATAAACTTAAAATATGTAATGGCAATCTCTTTAATATTGGATTGGAGAAGGCCTTCCAAAGGAAGCAGCAGAGACAAATTTCTAGGAAAATATTGGTATAAATAACTATATACATATCTAAAATAACATTATGCCAAAACAGGCATTGGCAACGTTAAAAAGCAAATGGTAAATAAAAAATCATTTGCATTATATGACATTTAACATTTTAATAGCTCATTGTTCACTTTTAAAATCTATAAACCAAAGTCAAATTCTCTAACATATATGCCACAGCATAAATATGATAAAACTCTAACACTGTCCTATTTTTTTCCCATAGCACTGCCATTATGTCTGCAGCACTTCCACTGCTGGATCTTTGAAATTTTGAAGAGCTTCTGGGTCATTCTCTATGAAGTAGTTTGGATATTCGTCCCCTCCAAATGTCATATTGAAATGTGACCTCCAATTTTGGAGGTGGACCTAGTGGGAGGCGTTTGGGTCATGCGTTGGATCCTTCATGAATGGCTTGGTGTCCTCCCTATGGTAAAGAGTGAGTTCTTGCTCTGTTAAGTTCATGTGAGAGCTGGCTGTTTAAAATTTAAAAATTAATTAAGTTTAAATTATATTGTTCTCTCTCCCTCCATGTGACATGCCAGCTCCCTCTCTGCCTTCTTCGATAAGTAAAAGCTTCTTGAAGCCTCACTAGAAGCCAAGCAGATGATGGTGCCATGCTTGTACAGCCTGCAGAACCATCAACTCAATCTCTTTTCTTTATAAATTATTCAGCCTCAGGTATTCCTTTATAGCAACACAAAACATACTAACGTGCTGTACAACCTTCCATTTTAGCTATACCCACACCCAATACTAAGTGTTGTATATGCCCCTACTATATGATCTAACCACTGCACTCGTAACACTAACCAAAATGAAAGCATATGTCTTTACAAACACCTGTGCAAATACATTCACAGAAGCTTTATTTGTAATACTTAAAAACTGGACACAACCCAAATGTCATCAAAAGGCTAATGATAAATTGTCATATATTCATGCAGTAGAATATTACTTAGCAATATAAAATAGAAAAAGATACATAGTAAAAAATAGATACATATCAAACTATGCAAGTCAAGGAAGCCAAACAAAAAATAGTACCTATGGCGGGGTGTGTTGGCTCATGCCTGTAATCCCAGCACTTCAGGAGGTCAAGGCAGGCAGACCACCTGAGGTCAGGAGTTCAAGACCAGCCTGATCAACATGGAGAATCCGTGTCTCTACTAAAAATACAAAAAATTGGCCAGCATGGTGGCACATCCCTGTAATCCCTGCTACCTGGGAGGCTGAGGAAGGAGAATCATTTGAACCCAGGAGGTGGAGAGGAGGTGGAGGTTGCCGTGAGCTGAGATCACACTATAGCACTCCAGCCTGGTCAACAAGAGTGAAATTCTCTCCAAAAAAACAAAAAAAAAAAAAACAAAACCCAACAACAACAAAAAAAAAAAAGAAAAAGAAAAAAGAAACAGAAACAAAAACAAACAAAAAATAATATCTATGTATGACTCTTTTATACAAAATACTGAAAATGCAAATTAGGTAAGTGTTTTGAGAAGGAGCAGGAGCTAGGGATTACAAAGGGACACGAGGAAACTTGTGAGTGACGTAAATGTTCATCACCTCGATTATGATTGTTTCATGGGTGTGTCCATATATCAAAGCTTATCAAATTATATAATTTAAATATGTGCAGTGCATTGTATGTTCATTAGATATCAATACAGAAAAAACTAAGCATTTGTAAAGAAAAAATTAGTGAACTACTGCAATATATGGAAACATAATGAAGTCTGAAAAATGTAGTCCCAAAACACCAAATACTTCATAAACAATATTGGTAAAGCTCAAAAACAAGCACATCTAAGTATAGTAAGTTATTGACAATGTTTTGTTCTTGATTTAAGTAGTGTGTCTACCGGTGTTTATTTATTTTTTACTTTAACACAGGTATGTTGCATACATTTTTGACATTTTGCATACATTCTCATGTCAAATATTCACATGAGAGTAAAGGAGAATAAAATAACCAAGTGAAATCAATAATATAGCACAGGTTGTAATAATTATTATTCAGCAATTAGTTGATTTTGGATATTAGTATAGTAAGAAGAGCCTCAAAGCATTAATGATGATAGTGATATAACATCATATCGAGACAAAACTTCTAAAGGGACGTATTATTTAAATAATATTTCAATATATATTTATGCCATCTTAATGGCTAGTCTATACTAAGATTTCCCAATATTAAATATATGACACTGTGAAGTATCAATATTGTTTTTGATTTACAGTAATTGAATTTGCTTACAGACAACTGTATAGCCTGTATATTTTTATTCTCAGGCTTTTCATGCTATCTCACTGAAGCATCTTGAATATAAGATATATGAAAGACATAATAAGAAGAGATAACTAAGAATCAACCATTAATAGTCTTTTCAAGAATTAATGGTGCAAAACAGTGAATAAATCTGTTCATATTAATTAAAAAATGCTACCATTATGGCAAAAATTTTCATTATTTTTAATGTAAATAGAGAATTACTCTAGTAAATTCTTTAAATTTAATTCCAATTTTAGATAAACAAAGAATGTTATTTGCATGGCATACAACAAGATAGAAACATCTGGTGTTTATGCATTTTCTGCTAAATCACAGATGACTAATTATTTTCCATGTGTCAGGGAAAAAATTGATTAATCACCCATTCTTGTTAGCCTAATGTTCTGCAACTTACATCTATTCTGTTAAGTCTTTAGCCTTCTCTGTACAATCTGTGACCAGCCTTAACTGCAAATGTGTTTATTTCTTTTTTTGTTTTGTTTTGTTTTGTTTTGTTTTGTTTTTTGAGAAGGAGCCTCGCCCTGTTGCCAAGCTGGAGTGCAATGGTGCGATCTTGGCTCACTGCAACCTCTGCCTCCAGGGTTCAAATGATTCTCCCGCCTCAGGCTCCCTGGTAGCTGGAATTACAGGCACCCGCCACCATGCCCAGCTAATTTTTGTACTTTTAGTAGAGACAGGGTTTCACCATGTTGACCAGGCTGTTCTTGAATTCCTGACATCGTGATCTGCCCGCCTTGGCCTCCCAAAGTGCTGGGATTACAGGCGTGAGCCACCGTGCCTGGCCTAATTTTTTTTTTTTAAATTTTACTTTAAGTTCTGGGATTCATGTGTAGAACGTGCAGATTTGTTACATAGGTATAAATGTATTTATTTCTATATTTAAAAAATTTCTTCAGATATCCTTGTACATTTTTGTTTCTAGATTAATTTGACAGAGTCTTGCTCTGTTGGCCAGGCTAGAGTACAGTGGCACAATCTCGGCTCACCGCAACCTCTGTCTCTCAGGCTCAAGCAATTCTCCTACCTCAGCCTCCCAAGTACCTGGGATTATAGGTGTGTGCCAACATGCCTGGCTAATTTTTGTATTTTTAGTAGAGATACGGTTTCACCATGGTGGCCAGGTTGGTCTTGAACTTCTGACCTCAGGTAATCTGCCTGCCTTGGCCTCCCAAAGTGCTGGGATTACAGGCATGAGCCACTGCGCCCAGCCTAGATTAATTTTAAAGTCATTGGACAAGCCCATGGAAATCCTTTGTGCTTTTCTTAAAATTTTTATTTCATTTTTATTTTTGTGGAAATTAGGTCTCACTGTGTTTCCCAGACTGGTCTCCATCTCCTCATCTCAAGCAATCCTCCTGCCTCGGCCTCCCAAAGTGCTAGGATTACAGATGTGACCCACCACACCTGGCCCCTTTTGTGCTTTTGATTGTGTGAACATGGATTAATTTGAAGAGATTGGATATCTGTATATTGTTAAGTCTCCCCATACTGAAAATATTTGCTAATTTATCTGTGGTTTTACATATATTTCAGTAAAGTTTTATAGTTGATTTATTATTATTTTTGTTGGTTTTAAATATTGATACATAATATTGATACATATTTATGGGGTACATGTAACATTTGTTTACCTGCATAGAATGTGCAATGTAATTATTGTCAGGATATTTGGGATAGCTATCACGTCGTGTATTTTTTATTTCTATGTGTTAGGAATATTCAAGTCCTCTCCATATATTTTAAAATATAAAATACATTGTTGTTAAATATGGTCACCCTATTCTACCATTGAACATTAGACCTTATTCCTTCTAACTATATGTTTGTACCCATTAACCAACCTCTCTCAACCCCTGCCACACACACCCTTTCCCACCTCTGGTAATTATCATTCTACATTCTACGTTTATGAGAGCAACTATTGTAGTTCTCACATAAGAGTAAAAAGGTGGGATTTTTTTCTTCCTGTGCCTGGGTTGTTTCACCTCACATAATGACCTCCAGTTCCATTCATGTTGCTGCATGTGACACAACTTCATTCTTTTATGACTGAATACTGTTCCATTGTGTATATAACCACATTTTCTTTATCCATTCGTTTCAATAGACAAATGGGACTGTCTTACACCAAAAAGCTTCTGCACAGCAAATCATTGTAGTCATCTTATTTTCTTTTTGTTTTATAAGTAATCAGACCACAAGAACCACACTCAGAGCTGATGGAGAAGACCCAGAGATCCTGAACTCTGAGCTGGATACAGTAATTGGATAGGACCTGGGCTGGACTTTCTTGTGGGGGTGTGCATATATACATATATCGGTATTTAGTATAGACTATGGCAGAGGTAGTTAGTTGTTTCTTTACATCATTCTCTATTTCTGCCATTATTAAAAGGATCCACACATTTTAGCTAGGCATATGTTATCTCCATCTTTGCTAAGTCTGCAATTTCAAATCTCCCTTGTATCTAGGTAAAGTATTATGACTTAAGTTCCGGGTAATAAGATATGAGAGAAAGGTACATGTATGACTCTCAATTATGCCTATAAGAAAAATTGTCCATATCTTCCACTCTTATCACCTTTCCATTAGCCAAAATATACAAGTGATATTGTGAACTATAGTACACATCTGAGACCATGATATATGAAAGCCAAACCTTGAGCATAACTTGGGAAAAGGACCTGGTTTTCAATACCACACAGCTGCCATTCCTGTCATTGACAGTTTATGCCAGGTAGTTACTTAAGAGGGGAAGAGTATCTATTTTACTTAAACATCTATTTCTCTTAAAACAACTGAATCTGTATGCTAACCAATTTTAATTTGTATCTATTGAATGTTATCATTTGCTACAATATTAAAACTGACTAAATATACATTAAACATTTACAAATATAGTTCTGTACATCACAGAATCACAAGAATTAAGCCAAGGTTTTTGTTCATTTGTTTAATTATAAGGTATATTCAATCACATTGCTCTCCTAAACATATTACCAATAATATTGATCCATAAGTAATAACACAGTGAGATTAAAATGTTTTATGCTATTAATACATGTTATTTTAAAATTAGAATATTTATGGCCAGGTACAGTGGGTCACACCTGTAATCCCAGCACTTTGGGAGGCAGAGGCAGGTGGATCACCTGAGGTCAGGAGTTCGAGACCAGCCTAGGCAACATGGCGAAACCCTGTCTCTGCTAAAAACACAAAAATTAGCTGGGTGTGGTGGCTCAAGCCTTTGATCCCAGCTATTCGGGAGTCTGAGGCAGGAGAATCACTTGAACCCGGGCAGGCAGAGATTGCAGTGAGCCGAGATCACACCACTGCACTCCAGCCTGGGCGACAAGAGCAAAACTCTGTCTTAAAAAAAAAAAAAATAATAATAATATTTGTTTTGTCCTCTTTAATTTCAGTTTTTGTGTATACTTTATACTATTCACATAATATATTAGTATGTATTACATAAACTATACTTAAGTCACAGATAAAGTAAAAGACATCTAACTTGTTTGGTAAACTTTTCAGACCATGCCAAAACTTAGATGTTAATATTTATTAGCTTGCACAAGACCAGCGAAGCTGGAGATAAGATAATTATTGAGTAAATCAGGAAAGAAACAGAGCAAATACTTAAAGGCATGCATTATTGAACTGGTCACAGCTAGGGAACAAGCTTATCTGGTGCTTGATCTCACGGGAAGTCTTCAGAGAGACAAAGGAAAACTGCATCTCCAGACAGTTGGCTAAAGGTGAGAAACAGATATCATTTATTTACCAGTTATCATATTCCTTTAAACAAAATTGTTCTACGGAACATCACGTGTGCTCTAATTCCAGATGGTGCTACCTGGCCCCTTCGAGACAGGTTGGCTCCCACCAAAAGAAACAGCACAAAGGGAGAGGGAAGGAGCTGAGACAGTCTGTTTGTGTGTGTGTGGCTGAGAGGTGACAGCGTGCTGGCAGGCCTCACAGCCCTAGCTCGCTCTTGGCGCCTCCTCCGCCTTGGCGCCCACTCTGGCCGCGCTTGAGGAGCCCTTCAGTCCGCCGCTGCACTGTGGGAGCCCCTTTCCGGGCAGGCCAAGGCCGGAGCCGGCTCCCTCAGCTTGCAGGGAGGTGTGGAGGGAGAGGCGCGGGCGGGAATCGGGGCTGCGCGCGGTCCTTGCGGGCCAGCTCCAGTTCCGGGTGGGCGTGGGCTTAGCGGGTCCGCACTCAGAGCCGCAGGCCGGCCAGCCGCCCCGGGTAGTGAGGGGCTAAGCACCTGGGCCAGCAGCTGCTGTGCTCCACTTCTCGCCCGGCCTTAGCTACCTCCCCGCTGGGCAGGGTTCGGGACCTGCATCCCGCCATGCCTGAGCCTCCCCCTCCGAGCCGTGGGCTCCTGCACGGTCCGAGCCTCCCCCACCAACGCCGCCCCCTGCTCCGTGGCGCCCAGTCCCATCGACCACCCAAGGGCTGAGGAGTGCGGGCGCACCGGCGCTGGACTGGCAGGCAGCTCCACCTGCAGCCCCGGTAAGGGATCCACTGGGTGAAGCCAACTGGGCTCCTGAGTCTGGTGGGGACTTGGAGAACCTTTATGTCTAGCTAAGGGATTGTAAATACACCAGTCGGGCACTCTTTATTTAGCTCAAGGTTTGTAAACACACCAATCAGCACCCTGTTGTCTAGCTCAGGGTTTGTGAATGCACCAATCCACACTCTGTATCTAGCTACTGTACTCTGGTGGGGACTTGGAGAACCTTTATGTCTAGCTAAGGGATTGTAAATACACCAATCGGCACTCTGTATCTAGCTCAAGGTTTGTAAACACACCAATCAGCATCCTGTGTCTAGCTCAGGGTTTGTGAATGCACCAATCGACACTCTGTATCTAGCTCCTCTGGTGGGGACTTGGAAAACCTTTGTGTCCACACTCTGTATCTAGCTAATCTAGTGGGGATGTGGAGAACTTTTGTGGCTAGGTCAAGGACTGGAAAGGCACCAATCAGCACCCTGTCAAAACGGACCAATCAGCTCTCTGTAAAACAGACTAATCGGATCTCTGTAAAATGGACCAATCAGCAGGATGTGGGTGGTGCCAGATAAGAGAATAAAAGCAGGCTGCCGGAACCCCCAGCAGCAACCTGCTTGCGTCGCTTCCTGCACTTTGGCGGCTTTGTTCTTTAGCTCTTTGCAATAAATCTTGCTGCTGCTCACTCTTTGGGTCCACACTGCCTTTATGAGCTGTAACACTCACCACGAAGGTCTGCAGCTTCACTTCTGAAGCCAGCGGGACCACGAACCCACTGGGAGGAACGAACAACTCTAGACGCACTGCCTGAAGAGCTGTAACACTCACCGTGAAGGTCCACAGCTTCACTCCTGAGCCAGTGAGACCATGAACCCACCAGAGGGAAGAAACTCGGAACACATCTGAACAGCAGAAGGAACAAACTCCGGACACGCCGCCTTTAAGAACTATAACACTCACGGCGAGGGTGCGCGGTTTCATTCTTGAAGTCAGTGAGACCAAGAACCCACCAATTCTGGACACATGGCCACTGAGCACTCCCTGCTCGGGGCTGCACCTCAGCAACAACAGAGGCTATGATACCGGGCTGGAGGGCGCTGAAACGTTAGGTAAGTTGCTGCCCAGTCATGAATATGAGTGACGTCATAGACCTGGGAAGCCGTTTAGATAATTAAGGATGATTTACTTTACACCATGAAGTTGTCAACAAAGCTTTTTGGAGTCTTTCCCCCAAGAAGATCTTGAGGCTTGCAGAAAAAGCTTTAGCAACAAGCAGTCTTCCTGGAGTGTCCACAGTAACATTAAGCAGAACCCATCCCAAGAGGCAAAGTACTAGATTCAAAAATGGGCCCGCCACGGTGGCTTACGCCTATAATCCCAGCGCTTAGGGAGGCCGAGGCGGGCGGATCACGAGGTCCAGAGATCGAGAGCATCCTGGCCAACATGGTGAAACCCCGTCTGTACTAAAAATACAAAAATTAGCTGGGCGTGGTGGCGTGTGCCTGTAGCCCCAGGCTACTCGGGAGGCTGAGGCAGGAGAATCGCTTGAACCCGGGAGACAGAGGTTGCATTGAGCCGGGTTCGTGCCACTGCACTCCAACTTGGCGACAGAGCGAGACTCTGTCTCAAAAAACAAACAAAAAAGTGGCCTGGAGACCAGTTTAGTAGATACGGAAATTAAGAAGCTGTAAGTCCCCCCACGAAAAACAAATACTAGAAGCTTCTTTTTAAGTACTTTAGCATTTTATAAATAATTAAAGTTAAGGGTATTTTTTAAGCTTAAGCATCTGAAAATGATCTATAGCCACTGGAAGAGCATGATACTTGGGGGAGTGGAATGAGTCACTGAGTCTGAGAAGCCCTGAGCACCCAGGGGAGCCCTCTTGTGGCTACTTGTGGAGTGCGCAAGGCACTGGTGACATTTAAGAAGGGTAAAACTAATTATAATATTCAGTAAATACGTAGTAAACCTAACTAGATGGCATCTCAATATATCGAATATATTTATTTACATGTACTCTGCTCCACTCTGCGTTCATAATCACCAGAAAACCCTATTAACTTATAGGGAGCAATCCTACCTGCTCCTAATACATTTGCTGCTGTAATTGTTTTTTCCCTGAAAAAGCTGTAAACAGCAGATAGATAAATTTATAGGCCATAATTTTGGATAAGTTATATGAGTATTGACCAGTTCGACAAAAGGTACCTGTCAGTTTAGTAGAATAAAATCATGCAGAGAAATTGCTTAGTTAAATTTACAACCTCCACAGGTTAAAGAGAATTAAGCCTGAAACTTTTGATATGCAAGTTAAATTCAGGCTCATTTGTTTGGTTATTTTAAAGCATAATTTTTTTTTGCAAATAGAAGAAAATCCCTTTAAAATAACCACTTGATAATATCCCAGTGGAATTCATGTTCATGATAGTATATATTAATAGTGAATAAACCCATTATCTACTTTTACACATTTTCACATTCTGAGACTACAGCACTGTGATTAAGCTGTTAAAAGAAAAACTTCAGCCGAACTAAATTTAAAGGAGTTTAGTTGAGCAATGAACGATTCACGATTCGGGCAGCTTTCTGAATCACAGCAGATTCAAAGAGATTCCAGCATGGTGGAAGAAGATTTATAGACAAAAAAAGGGAAATGACGTGCAGGAATTGGAAGTGAAGTACAGAAACACCTGGATTGGTTACAGTTTGACATTTACCTTATTAGAACACTGTTTGGTTGGCTACATTTAATTGGCTAAAACTCAGTGATTGATACAAGCGTGGGCCACAGTCGGTTTATACTTCCCCTTGTTATAGTTCACAATGTACAGAAAAACCTTTAGGCTGAATTTAAACATGTAAGGAAGCAGCTTTAGGCTGAACTTGATTAACAAAACAAATTCATGGCCTGGTAATTTTTGTCTATATTTATAAGAAAGCTTATAGCACTGTAAACTAGCATGGCTCTATTTTGGAAACATGAGAATAAAACATCATCAAACTAGTTCTCCTAAGATATTGTATAATATGGTTATATAGCTGTTGAATCACTCTGTGGTGCTAGAATAAAAAAGGCCTGTGATGTTTAATGCTTTTGGTTAAAATCCCATTTTTTATGGTTCAAGAAATGTATTTTGACCCATGCGCTCCGTGTACTGATTTATCCACTTTGCATCTAGTGAACCTAAAGCAGTTTTAAAGAGTTCTGAAGATGCCAGTGAACATCTGAAAGTATTCTATGATACCTATACTTAAAAAAAGATTTCCCATTACGAAATAGTTTAAATTGCCCAAACTATAAAAGAATTATTTTTCTAACAAGTGAACTTGTGTGCTGTTCCTTGTGCCCTTCCTGTATTCTGTAGACTGTTTCAATAATACAAGATCAATTCTGCCACTGCCCAGACAATTAACTCTTTGGCTACAGTTCACCTGCTAACTTGATATCCTATCCTCTTATTAGGTGTTGGGACTTGAATTTCACCTACCCTAGATAGGTCTTTGAACTCAGTGTGGTGTTGTTATATGAACTAGATTGTATCTGGTTTAAAATTGCTCAGTGACACACACAGAGGGAGAAAGGCAAAGGGTTCTTCAGCAGGAAGTCCATGTTCACTGTAGAAGTACTTCATCACTTTTTGAAGCCATTCTTTGTGTTTGAAGAAAAGTCATTTATATTGCTTAGTCAGAGAAAAATCTCCTCCAAAAATGTTACATTTAATATATTAATCAAAATATGTTAATAACAGGCTTAGGAATTTAAAGACTATTTTTACTCAAGAATACGAAGAAAGTAATGGTTTAAGGCTTTTCCACAATAGTCTGAGATTCTTAGTTTTCTAATATAATGCAAAGAGGTATGAAGAGGATAAAACAATGGTTTATTATCTGTTTCTCCAAACACATATATATTTATTTATTTATGTAAAATAAATAATGCATAATTATTCAAAAAGTTTCAAATAAATATTGACCCTTGAGCATCCCCCAAAACCCATTCTGTTATTTTTCTCAGAGATGGCAAGTTTCCTCAGAGAGAGAAACCTGCTTTCTAGTGGTAAGGACAATGGGAGTTCCAGCTGTGGTTAGACTCTAAGTTCTGAAATACAGCCATTGTTCTCATCTGCTGTAGAAGGCAAAGATGAAGAATACATAGTAGCTTAATGTATAGAATATGTAATAATTGCTTTTCTCTCCTTTTAACTTTGAATATTAAGTGGTAGCTTTGAAATAAGGGGTACTTATTTAAAGTAGTGGTGAATAAAATAAAAATAGGTTTAGAGGATGTAAGTTTTACGTTTAAAAATATATGTATTTTTTAAGTTTTATTTTATTTTTTAACTTTTATTTTAGGTTCAGGGGTACATGAGCAGATTTGTCATACTGGTAAATTGTGTGTCATGGGGGTTTGGTGTACAGATTATTTGTCACACAGGTAATAACCATAGTACCCAATAGGTTTTTTGATCCTCTCTTTCCTCCCATCTACCACCCTCAAGTAGGCCTCAAGTAGGCCTTGGTGTTTTCTTCTTTGTGTCTATGTGTATTCAATGCTTAGCTCCCACTTGTGAGAACATTTGGTATTTGATTTTTTGTTCCTGTGTTAGTTCATGTAGGATAATGGCCTCCAGCTCCATCCATGTTGCTGCAAAGGACAGGATCGCATTCCTTTTTATGGCTGTGTAGTATTCCATGGTGTATATGCACCATATTTCCTTTATCCAGTCCATCATTGATGAGCATTTGGTTGATTCCAAGTCATTGCTATTGTGAATAGTGCTATGATGAACATACATGTACATATTATTAATGGAAGAATGATTTATATTCCTTTGGGGATATACCCCAAGACAGTTGCTGGGTCAAATTGTAATTATATTTTGAGTTTTCTGAGAAATCACCACACTACTTTTCACGATGGCTAAACTAATTTACATTACCACCAGCAGTGTATATATAAGTGTTCCCTTTTCTCTGCAATCTCACCAGCATTTCTTATATTTTGGTATTTTAATAATATCCATTCTGACTGGTGTGAGATGGCATCTCACTGTGGTTTTGATATGCATTTCTCTAGTGATTTGTGATGTTGAGCATTTTTTCATATGCTTGTTGGCTACGTGTATGTCTTCTTTTGAAAAGTGTCTATGCATGTCCTTTGCCTACTTTTTAATTGGGTTGTTTGTTTATTGCTTGTTAATTTGCTTGAACTCATTATACAAATTAGATATTAGACTTCGTTGCATTCATAGTTTGCAAATATTTTATCCCATTCTGTGGATTGTCTGTTTACTCTGTTAATACTTTCTTTTGTTGTGCAGAAGCTCCTTAGTTTAATTAGGCCCCACTTGTCAATTTTTGTTTTTGTTGCAATTGCTTTTGGCATCTTCCTCATGAAGTATTTTGCCAGGCCCTCTGTCCAGAATAACCTAGGCATTTCCTAGGTTATCTTCCAGGGTTTTTATAATTTTTGGTTTTACATTTAAGTCATTAATCCATGTTGAGTTTATATATATATATATATATATATATATATATATATATATATATATATGTATATTGTAAGGAAGGGGTTGGTCCAGTATCAGTCTTCTGCATATGGCTAGCCAGTTGTCCCAGAACAATTTATTGAATATGGAGTCATTTTCCCATTGCTTTTTGTTGCTGTTGATTTTGTTGAAGATCAGATTATTGCAGGTGTGTGGCATTAGTTCTGGGCTCTCTATTCTGTTCCAATGGTAAATGTGTCTGTTTTTGTATCAATACCATGCTGTTTGGCTACTGTAGCCTTGCAGTATAATTTGAAGATGGGGACTGGGTGCCTTGACTCAAGCCTGTAATCCCAGCACTTCGAGAGGCCAGGGCACATGGATCACTGGAGACCAGCCTGGACAACATGATGGAACCCCTTCTCTACTAAAAATACAAAAATTAGTTGAGTGTGATGGTGTATGCCTGTAATCCTAGCTACTCTGGAGGCTGAAGCATGAGAATTGCTTGCACCCGGGAGGCCGAGGTTGCAGTGAGCCTAGATCTCACTACTGCACTCCAGCCTGGGGCACAGGAAAAAAAAAAAAGGGTTGAGGGGGAGGTAATGTGAAGCCTCCAGCTTTGTTCTTTCTTGCTTAGGTTTGCCCTGGCTATTTGAGCTCTTTTTCAGTTCCATGTGAATTTTAAAAACAGTTTTTCTAGTTCTGTGAAGAATGTCATTGTTAGTTTGATAGGAATAGCATTGAATCTGCATATTGCTTTGGGCAGTATGGCCATTTTAACAATATTAATTCTTGCTATCCATGAGCATGGAATGTTTATCCATTTGTTTGTGTCATCTATGATTTCTTTGAGCAATATTTTGTAATTCTCTTTGCAGAGATCTTTCACCTTCCTGGTTAGCTGTTTTCTAGGTATTTTATTTATTTTGGGGCAATTGTGATTGTGATTGCATGCCTGATTTGGCTATCAACTTGAATGTTGTTGGTGTATAGGAATACTACTGATTTTTGCACATTGATTTTGTATCCTGAAATTTTGCTGAAGTTGTTTATCAGAACTAGGAGTATTTGGGCAGATACTATGGGATTTCTAGGCAGACAATCATGTATGTCGTCTACAAACAGGGGTAGCTTTACTTCCTCTGTTCCTATTTGGATGCCCTTTATTTCTTTCTCTTGTCTGATTGTTCTGGCTAGGACTTCCAGTAGTATGTTGAATAGGAGTGGTGAGAGTAGACATCCTTTTCTTGTTCCAGTTGTCAAGGGGAAGGCTTCCAGCTTTTGCCCATTCGGTATGATGTTGGCTGTGGGTTTTTCATAGATATCCCTTATTATTTTAAGGTATGTTTCATCAATGCCTAATTTTTAAGGGTTTTTTTTATCATGAAGGGATGTTGAATTTTATTTAAATTTTTTCTGCATCTATTGACATAATCATGTGGTTTCTGTTTTTGTGATGAATTTATGTGATGAATCAAAGTTACTGATTTGTGTATATTGAAGCAAACTTGCATCCTAGGGCTAACACTTACTTGATCGTAGTGGATAAGTTTTTTGATGTGCTGCTGAATTCAGTTTGCTAGTATTTTTTGATGATTTTTGTACTTAAGTTCATCAAGCAGATTGTCCTGAACTTTTCTTTTTTGTTGCTGTTTTTCTACCAGGTTTTGTTATAAGGATGATGCTGGCCTCATAAAACGAGTTAGGAAGAAGTCCTTCCTCCTCATTTTCTTTGGAATTATTTCAGTAGGAATAGTACCAGCTCTTCTTTATATATTTGGTAGAATTCCACTGTGAATCCCTGTAGTCCTGGGCTTATTATGGTCGGTAGGCTTTTTATTACTGATTTGATTTCATAACTCATTATTGGTCTGTTCAGGGATTCAATTTCTTCCTAGTTCAATCTTGGGAGGTTGTATACATCCAGGAATTTATCCATTTCTTCTAGATTTTCTTGTTCGTGTGCATAGATGTGTTAATAGCAGTCTCTGAGGGCTTTTAAAATTGTTATTTCTAAAGGGTTGGTGGTAATACTCATTTTGTCATTACTGGTTGTGTTTATTTGGATCTTTTCTCTCTTTATTTCTTTATTAGTCTAGCTAACAATCTATCAATCATATATATTATTTTAAATAACCATCTCCTGGATTTATTAATCTTTTGAATTTTTTTTTGCATCTCAATTTCCTTCAAGTCAGTTCTGATTTTAGTTATTTCTTGTCTTCTGCTAGCTTTGGGCTTGTTTTTCTCTTGTTTCTCTAGTTCCTCTAGGGGTGATGTCACGTTGTTAATTTGAGATATTTCTAACTTTTTAATATGGGTGTTTAGTATTGTAAACTTCCCTCTTAACACCGTTTTTGCTGTGTCCCAGAGATTCTGGTATGTTTTATCTTTGTTCTCATTAGTTTCAAATGATTCCTTGATTTCTGTCTTAATTTCATTGTTTACTCAAAAGTCATTCTGGAGCAGGTTAATTAATTTCCATGTAATTGTATGGTTTTGAGCAATTTTCTTAGTACTGATTCCTGTTTTTATTGTGATACGGTTTGAAAGTGTTATGATTTAGGTCTTTGAATTTGCTGAGGGTTGTTGTATGGTTGATTATATAGTCAATTTTAGAGTATATGCCATGTGACAATGAGAAGAATGTATATTCTGTTGTTTTGGTTGAGGAATTCTGTAAATGTGTATTTGGCCCATTTTGTGAAGTGCTGAGTTCAGGACTCGAATATATTTATCCATTTTCAGCCTTGTTGATCTGTCTAATACAGTTACTGAGGTGTTGAAGTCTCCCATTATTATTGCATGGGTGTCTAAGTCTCCACATAAGATCTCTAAGAACTTGTTTTATAAATCTGGATGCTCCTTTGTTGGAAGCATATATAATAAGGATAGTTAGATCTTCTTGTTGAATTATACCCTTTGCCAATATGTAATGCCTTTCTTTGTCTTTTCTGATTGTTGTTGGTTTAAAGTCTGTTTTGTCCTAATTTAGAATAGCAATTCCTGATTTCTTGTATTTTCTGTTTGCTTGGTAGATTTTTCTTTATCCCTTTACTTTGAGCCTATGAGTGTCATTGCATGTGAGATGGGTCTCTTAAAGATAGCATACAGTTGGGTCTTGCTTCTTTATCCATTTTGCCACTCTGTGTCTTTTAAATGGGGCATTTAGCTAGTTTATATTCAATGTTAATATCGATATGTATGGATTTGATCCTGTCATCATTTTGTTAGCTGGTTATTTTGCAGACTTGATTGTGTGGTTGCTTAATATTGTCAATTTTCTATGTACTTAAGAATGTTTTGTGGTGGCTGGTAATGGTCTTGTCTTTTCATATCTAGCACTCCTTTAAGGACCTCTTGTAAGGCAGGTCTGTTGCTAATAAATCCCATAGCATTTGCTTATCTGAGAAGGGTCTTATTTATTAGTTTATGAAGGTTAGTTTGGCTTGATATTAAATGCTTTATTGGAATTTCTTTTGTTTAAGAATGGTGAATAAAGGCTCCCAATCTCTTCTGGCTTGTAGGGCTTCTGCTGAAAGATCCACTGTTAGCTTGGTACCGTTCTCTTTTTAGGTGACCTGCCCCTTTACTCTAGCTGTCTTTAACATATTTTATTCCTTTTCAACTTCAGAGAACCTGATGATGATATGTCTTTGGGGATGGTTGTCTTGTGTAGTATTTTTCAGGGGTTTGTTGCATTTTCTGAATTTGAATGTTAGTCTCTCTAGTAAGGCTGGGGACATATTTATCAATGAGATATCCTTAAATATGTTTTCCAAATTGCTTGCTTTCTCTCCCTCTCTTTCAGGGATGACAATAAGTCATAGATTTGGTCTTTTTACATAATTCTATATTTTTGGAGGTTTTAGTCATTCTTCTTTATTGTTTTTTTCTTTATTTTTGTCTGACTGAGTTACTTCAGAGAACCTATATTCAAACTGATTTTCTCTCCTTAGCTTGGTTGATTCTGCTGTTACTACTTGAGATTATATTATGAAATTCTTCAAGTGAGTTTTTCCGCTATATCAGATTAGTTTGGTTCTTTCTTTAAATGGCCAGCTTTCTTTTATCTCTTGTATCATTTTATTGTATTCCTGAGATTCCTTGGATTGGGTTTTAACTTTCTCCTGGATGTCAGTTATCTTTGTTCCTATATATATTCTGAATTATATTTCTGTCATTTCAGACATTTCAGCCTGGTTAAGAATGATTGCTGGGGAACTAGTGTGATTGTTTTTAGGTAAGAAGACACTCAGGCTTTTTGAGTTGCCAGAGCTTTTGCTCTGGTTCTTTCTCATCTGTGTGGGCTGATGTTCCTTCACTCTGAAGTTATTGTCCTTTTGGTGGCTTTTTTTCTTTTTTCTTTTATCTTCTATAATGCCCTTGGGGGTTTAATTTTGGTATTTCTGTAAGATATTAGGGGGCCAAGGCTCAGCTCAGCACTCTCGGTTTGCATGCTCTAACTCCGGGCTGTTACCAGGACCATGACTTTGTTCTCTGGTATTTCAAAGTTAGAAATCTGCTGCACTGGAGGGGCTGAGGTGTTCCAGTTCTGCTGGCCCCAACACTCTGATATTATAGATTGTGCCACCCAAGGACTTTGTTGGGGCAGTGCCAGTGGGATCCGTGCTTGATTGTATGTGCTAGGAGCCCTGACGGCATGGTGGGGTGCATGGTATTGACTGGGGCAGGTTACTGGCGGAAATGGGACTGAGGTGTTCCTGCGTGAATTTGCTCTGGCAACAGGGTGCAGGCTAAGGTGGGGTTGCTGATGTCCATGCTTACACCTGTGCCATCAGCACTGGGCACAGGGCACTGGTGGGGGTAGTGCTGCCTGCGTCAGGGTGTGATTTTGAACCATCAGCGGTGGCAGCACAGGAGTGTACTGGGTCGCAGACAGTTGTGTGCACATTTGCACTGGCAATGGGCGACACGGCTGAGTGCCTGCACATTAGCAAGGGAGGAGAGGACAGTGGGTTGCGCTCACGCTGAGAACAGCAGTGGGTTGCTCCTGCACATGAGTGCCAGCAGAGGAGGGGAGCTGGGGTCTTCTCGTATAGGCAGCAGCAAAGAGGTGGGAGGGTAGCCATGGGTATGTGCCAACGAAGTAGCGCAGGGAAGACTATGGTGGGAAGAAGGTGCAAGTGGACTAATGCTCATGGGCAGGGGCCCCTCTGCTGGAGCTCTCAGGCAGGAGCAGTCTGCCAGCGAAGGAGCTATGATGAGGGCCCGAGGAAGCACCCTGTTTAGGCAAGCACCAGGTCCAGCAGCTGGGGCCCCGGGAGACAGGGTGGCACTCAGATTGGACTGGCTTCATCTCACAGGCAAGACAGCCCTGCTCTGTACAGATCCAACAGTCACCCTATGGCCAAAGTCTCCTAGAGGAGCATGGCATGCATGCCTCATTATTTCAAACTCACTATTCTCCCTGTCATACCTGTAGGCCAATTCTATTTCTAGCAAGTAATGGGAAATATTGAGCAGGTAAATATTCCAAAAATAATAGGTTTGATATCCTTATTCCATGATGATTTATACTTTTTCAGCCACATGTTGTTTTAATTTTACAATTTATTAAGTGCCTACTGTGCAACACATGTGTTCAGTACTGAGCCAAGCAAAGATAATTAAGTCAGGTATTCTCCATAAGGAACCTTCCACTGTAGAAGAGAGGTACATGTGCTGCTTTTGAATAGCTGTAGCTACAAGTACACCATGAACCATGATGAATAACTTAGGATGTGAATTGTAACTTTAATATCTCAGTACTTTTCCACCAATGCTTATTTTTTTTCAGGAAAATTTAAGCATTTGTTTTCCAGTCCAGAAGTCTACAATGTGTGATGTAAAATATACACAGTAACAAGGATTTTGAAAATATGAAGAGGTGCTTTTTTTTTTTTTTTTTTTTTTGTGAGACGGAGTCTTGCTCTGTCACCCAGGCTGGAGTGCAGTGGTACAATCTCAGGTCACTGCAACCTCCGCCTTCCCGGTTCAAGCAATTCTCCTGCCTCAGGACCCACTAGTAGCTGAGACTACAGGCGCACATCATCATGCCCAGCTGATTTTTGTATTTTTAGTAGACACGGGGTTTCAACATGTTGGCCAGGCTGGTTTGTTTTTTTTTAACTTTACTAAACATCTATCTTTCTCAAGTTATATAATAGTCAATTCTCCTATATAAGCAAGAAGCTTGATAACTATGATGTTTTTAATTCATTTTTCAAACACTAACTCCACATTATGATTTTTTAATTCTTTCTCTGTATCTGATACTTCTATTATTTATTAGATCTCAGCCAACTTATCCTTAGTTCCTTTAAAATAGAATATCATTACTTATGCAATTGTCAATAACACAGTTTTGTATCCTACTTTATATAGTCTTAAAATAATTCTCTCAGGAGATTTCTCAAACATTCATTTTATCATTTCTTCAAATATGACTTTAAGCCTGCAATTTTTACCCTGAAATTGGATTTCAAATTCTAATTAAACCGAGGTAAACTTATGTGACCTTAAAAACTACAATACAAAAGGAAACAACATTTCCTTCTTTTTATTTCATGTTAGAATCAATATTTAGCATGTTCGAATCTCTACTTGTCTAATAGATTATCATTGTTTCTATATGCAATTCAACTGGAAATATGCAATGATTTTATTAGTTAATATGCTATCAGGTTATAGTATATCTTTTTAACTCAGCGAATACAGTTCTATATAATATAAAGACATTGTAGCTATAAATGTAAATGTTTAATTAGATACATCTGCATTTAAAGAGAGAAAATGTATAGTCATTGTGAGGTTTGAAATGCATTTCATTATTTTGTTTTTATACAAATTTGTAGAGTTCTCCTAAAAGGAAGGCTGGGTATTTATCTTTTTGATGTATTTATTCCTGGAGCTCTTTTTATGGATAATTAAAATAGTAAATTTCAAAGACTTCTATTTAGTGTTTTTATTAGTCAGAGTCCCAGCTGGAAACAGACTGCCGTTAAAATTAGGATAATTGATGGAAGGCTTAATAAAAGAACTAAATATAAAGTAAATAAGATATAGAGGAACTACATGAGACGTCCTGGGATTCTCAGACTGGTAGGAATCATGTCATTTTCAGCCCTAGTCCCTTTGTTATGAATTTAGGAAGAGAACATTTTTGGAACCTCAAAAGTAAATTTCCTGTTGAAAGAGTTTCCTTAAAAAGAGCAGGTTCATTTGGTTGAGGGACATAGAAAACTTCAAAGTAAGGAAGCAAGGGGATAAATATTCAAATTTCTTCTTTCACAGATCTTTTCAAGCATCTCCCTGTTAACTAAATCCAGCCAGGACCCTGAGTACCTGGGTGTCCTTTAATGTGGTTTATACAATCTAAGCTCAGAGATCCAAGTGAAGGATGGCTCTCGAGAGGCCAATAGAAGATATCAGACATGATAAATGTCAGAAAACAGTCAAACTCTTGGGTCAAATACACAATTCACAGATGTTCTATAGTCCATCAGCATATTTCAAGGAAATTAAAGATTATGTTAGTAGGACACCAGCCTAATTACATACCAGTTGGTATACAGCAGTGGATAAACAGAACAAAATTGAAGTAATATTAATTTACTCTCCTATGAAATTCATAAGCAGTGTCCCAAAAGAACTCAGGCCAGAAGAGAGGTGAGAATCATTTGAAAATTTTGTAAGTCAAATGAAAACCCACAGATACATGAGACAAAAGATTATTGTATGTTTTGACTGCTTAAAGCCCATGAGCAAGAGCTGGAAAAAATTTCTGTGGGAAATTAAAACATTCAAAACCATCTCTCTAAATGGGGAAATTTGGAAGCCCACAAGCATGCTCACAGCAAGAGGCATTCTCAGTAAAGACCTTGGAGGATCCTAAGCTTTCACATCAGGCCGATCCCTAACCTCAGTGTTGAATGAGTGCCCAAGACAGAGAATCTGCAAAGACTGAATAAAGGTTTTTGTTTGTTTGTTTTATTATTTTTAGTACCCAGTGTTTGAAGAAATCTCTGTCAAAGCACTGGAAGTTAAGTAACAGAGACTTTACTGTCCACACATGATAAGAAATGTCCACACATGACCAGAAGTTAAGTAACAGAGACTTTAATGTCCACACATAATAAGAAATACAGTCTTCAGAAAAAAATAATTTTGGAAACTCCCAAAATAAACGGATGAATACAGCTTTCAATAATCAAAAGCAACACAAGAGATATAAATCAAAAATCCCTAAGCCAGAAATCCCAGAGAAGTGGAAAAACCTTATTTCCAATATTTGGGCATTATAATCTTCAAATACTCAGATGTAAACAAAAATAAAAATCACAAGGGATGAAAAGAAAGAGGAAAGCATGGCCCATTAAAAGAAAAAATAATAAATTGATAGAAAGCATTCCTAAGAAAATACTGACATGGGACTTACTAGACAAATATTTTAAAGCAGTTGTCTTATATATTCTCAAAGAGCTCAAAGAAACCATAGACAAAACATAGAAACAAATCAGAAAAAAATGGTGCATGAGCAAAATGAGAGAGTTGATAAGAAATAGATTACAAAAAGAAATGAAGCAGTAGTACTGGAGCTGCAATAAAAGAAATGAAAAGAAAAATTTACTAGAAAGCTTGTACAGTGAATTTAAGCAGGCAGAAAAAAACATAGCAAACATTAAAAGAGGAGAATTGAAATGATTAATTCTGAGGAACAGAAAAAAATGAAATAATGAAAAAAGTGAACAGAGCTTAAGAGATCTGAGGCACACAATAAAAAGAACAATATACACAGTATGGGTGTTCCAGAATGAGAAGAAAAAATGGACAGACATGATATTTGAAAAAATAATGGCCAAAAGCCTCCCAAATTTAGTAAGATATATGGATTTATGAATCCAAGAATCTCAACAAACTCCAAGTTAAATAAACTCAGAGATCTGCACCAATACACATTATAATTAATCTATAATCAAACTAGAAAGATAAAGGAAGAATTATAAAAACAAAAGAGAAACATCTTGTCATATACAAGGGATCTTCAATAAGATTCACAGCCAGTTTCTCATCAGATTATGGTGGCTGAATGACACTGGCGTAATATATGTAAATTACCAGAAAAACAAACAGTTAATCAATAATCCTCTATCTGGCAAAACTGTCCTTCAAATATGAATTAGAAATCAAGACATTTCCAGATAGATAAAAGCTTGAGGGAATTCATTACCACTATATCTGCCCTACATAATATGCCATGAGCAGTTCTTCAGGTCGAAATGATAGGATATGAGACAGTAACTCAAAGCCATATGAATGTCACTGGTAAACGTAAATACATGGACAAATACAAACACCAGTATTATACATATTTTGGTTTGTAACTTTATTTTTTTATTTCATACAGGATTTAAAAGACAAAGGTGTAAAAATAATTATAAATCTATAAGAGCTATAAAATATATAAAGATGTATTTGTAACAACAAAAACATAAAGGGGGGGGTTGAGCAGTATGAGAAGAAAGTTTTTGTATGATACTGAATTTTGGTTGTCATCAATTTGAATTAGATTTTTATAAATGTATGATTTTAAATACAATGTCAACAAAAATCTAAAAATATACATAAAGGAAATAATAAATGAATAAAATGGTTTATTACAATAAATCATAAAAACACAAAAGACAGTAAAGGAGGAAATGAGGAATAAAAATGGTATATGACATACAAAAATTAAAAATGCTAGAATTAGGTCTTTTATTATCAGTAATTACTTTAAATGTAAGTATATTAAACTTTCCAAACAAAAGACAGAGATTTGCACAATAGAAAAAATAATAATTCAACACTATGCTGTCTACAAGATGCTTTTTATCAAAGACACAAATAGATTGGAAGTGAAAGGATGAAAAAAGACATTTAATGCAAATAACAATGAAAAAAGAGTGGGGTGGCAGAAAAAAATAGACTTTATATCAAAAACCATTACAAGAGACAAAAAAATTCTATAGATAACATGGTCATCAATTCATTAAACAGTATAATAATTATAAATATATACACAAAAACAATAGAACGTTAAAATATATGAAGCAAACATTTACAGAGTCAAAGGGAGAAATGGACAGTTCTATAATAAGAGTTTGAGACATTAATAAACCACTTGAATAATAGAACTTTTAGAGAGAGCATTGGTAGAAAATAGAGGACTTGAGTGGCACCATAAAGCAGCGCTGTAAAGCAATAACAGTCATATTTAGAGCACTTCATGTAACAACAGCTGAATGCACATTCCTCTCAAGTGCACATGGGACATTCTCTATAATGGACCACATTTTACTTCACAAAACATGTCTTAATAGATTTTAAAAGATAGATATAATGCAAAATATCTTCTCTGACCCAAATAGGATGAATTTAGAAATAAGTCACAGAAGAAAAACTGGAAAATTCTCAAATACCTGGAAATTAAACAACATAATCAATGGATCAAAGAAGAAATCACAAGATAAACTGGAAATTATATAGAAATAAATACAAATGAAAATATACCCAAATTTATGGGATGCAGCAAATACAGTCCTTAGAAATTTATAAGTGTACATTTTAAAAAAAGATTTCAAATGAATAATGTAACTTCCTGGCTTTTTTTATTGGAACTCTTCCAATTTTCTTTCTTTCTTTTTTTTTTTAGTTTTACTTTAAGTTCTGGGATACATGTGCAGAACGTGCAGGTTTGTTACACAGGTATACATGTGCCATGGTGATTTGCTGCACCCATCAACCCGTCATGTAGGTTTTAAGTCCTGCATGCATTTGGTATTTGTCCTAATGCTCTCCCTCCCTTTGTCCCCCACCCCACAACAGGCCCTCATGTGTGATGTTCCCCTCCTTGTGTCCATATGTTCTCATTGTTCAACTCCCACTTATTAGTGAGAACATGCGGTGTTTGTTTTTCTGTTCCTGTGTTAGTTTGTTAAGAATGATGGTTTCCAGCTTCATCCATGTTCCTACAAAGGACGTGAACTTATTCATTTTTATGGCTGCATAGTGTTCCATGGTGTATATGCCATATTTTCTTCATCCAGTCTGTCATTGATTGGAACTTTACTTCTTAAGGAACTAGAAAAAAACTAAACCCAAAGCTAGCAGAAAAAAAAATTACAAAGAGTATAGTGAGATAAATAAAATAGATAATAGAAAAATAATAGAGATAACCAATAAACCAAAAGTTAGTAGTACAAATCTCTTGTATTTATTGCATAATTTCTAACTAATCATTTTTAATAATTGGATCTTGCCTATTAATACAATATATGCTTCTTTTTTTTAAGAGAAGAAAAAATTGGAACACTGAGGCCTGCCACATAGTACATTTCTCAACACATAGGTTGTCATCAAATTAATCTTTAGATTATTACAAATAAAACTTTATAAATTCATCTACAGTAGGAGACTCCACTTACCAAAGACTGAATTCAAAATTACCTGTAAGATTGTTCTCAAATATTCCATATTGTGATTGATATGACATTTATGTTAAATTGTTGAAATGTTAAATACTATGCATTGAATAAATAAAGAGTGATTTTTCAAAAGTATAGAACAAATCAGGCTTTGGAATTAATTTCACTATTTTAGACTGTATAGAATATTACATAGAGAGCAGAGTAGTTTGATAGACAAATATACATCATTTTTGAGGGTGGATTTTTTGGTCAGAATTCTGTTTTCATCCTTAGAATTAAATGTCTACTCTGTACCATTAATTAATTTATTTATCTAAGTGCTGAGTAACAATGTTAAATTACAAGACATAGTTTCTTTTCTCCAGTATACAAAGGACTAAATGTAACAAGATGGAAAGTTGGTATTAAGGAGATTATGGGAAAACTAAGAAAGAGTGTTACTGGGGAAAGGGGCACAGATACAACATTTTACATAAATACACATCGAATGTCCCCTTATTTATTCCACTAAATATTGACCAGGTACCAGCAAGAAGTGACTCAAGGAGGAAAAAGGCAGATGATCTTTTTGCTCTTATGATACCAATAGTCTAGAAGAATCAAAATTCATGAGGAGATAATTATGTGAATAATTCGACCATCCCAATTGGAGCCAGAGATAAAAAGGCTAAGTAGGCTCTGAGAAAGTTTAGTGAGGTACATAGCCAAGTCTGAGAGGGAAGAGAAGACTCTTTTGGGAAAATGGTATTTAAGTTGGGAGCTAGAAAGGGATTGGAGGAAGTGAGGATCTAGGGGAAGATAACATTTAACAGACCAGAGTGCAGGAAAAACCTGTCCTGAAGAGAGGCAGTAACATCAGCTGGGAACTAGACTCTGTCAGGCCTTTTGAACAAGATCATGGACTTGGGCCTTTATCCTAACAAAAATAAAAAGCCATTGAGGGATTTTAAGACAGATCATCATGCTCAGACTTGAATTAAAAATATTACTGTATTTTTAGCAGGGGAAATATATCAGCCTGCAGGAAATTAGTTAATAAGCTATTTTGAGAAATACTGCTTTAATGGCAATTCCTTCAGAAAGCTGATTCTGGCACTGAAATCCATAGTAAGGAATCACAATCAGTGGTCCTTAACACTGGACATTGAAATTGGAAAGGAATGAATTTTGTGTCTGGCAAAAGTCACCATAAACATAGGCACCTGCTAAAGATAGACATGGGACAGTCATAAGGCATTGGGCAAATATCTGGGGAACCTGATTAATATATGAGGAACCTTACATGTTGACAAGAAAAAAAAGCAAAAAACAACCTATTAAATATATGGACAATATATAGTAAGTATATTTTTGCTAGCAAATGCATAGTAAATGGTGCTCTAATTAATAAGTAGCCAAGAAAATGCAAATTCTAAAACTCAATTGAATGCTAGAATATTATTATTTTTAAAGTAGATGGCAATGGTCAACTCTTACTACAAAATAAAAATTAGTAAGAATGTATAAAACCATGATTGGTGATATCTTAGATCTGTGTTACAAAATTGTCACAGTTCTGAAATTTAAGAGAAAATATTAGAAACCATAATCCGTATTCTCTGGAATAAGTCTGAGGAAGACACATAGTAAGGGTGAATTAGAGAATAAAGACAAAAACTTGCTAAAATAAACATTCCAAAAAGGTTCTGAATGTGTAATATTATTGGTTCACCAGGAAACATACTCTTGCTGGAAACTAGGATGCTACCCTATTAGTATATAATTTTGCTTATCAAATTAAACAGGGACTTTTTGATGGTAATTGATAAAGTAACATCAAAACTTATTCTAGTGGAGACCTCTATGATCCTACATTTTAATGAGACCACAGTGCAGAGGAAGAGGGCCACGTAAATCAACCCAATATAACAGAATTTAAGTAGTCTGAACTCCCATAAAAAAATAAGTACTAGTATCAATATTTTGAAGAAATATTTAAAAAGAAAAGATAGCATTTTGTTTGTTTTGTATTGTATTTTAAGAGTAGTGTAGTATTTTTATTCTTTTGTTCATGAAACATCAATATAAAAGTGCATTAATCTGAACCTTCAGAAAGCAGATCAAGAAATGTATATATATAACCTAATGAATTTCGTTCACCTGTCACATGGGTAAATCTATACAAGTTCCTTGACAGTATTATGTCAAGAGCTTTATAGTGTTGTGCAGCTTTGGTCTGATAAATGACTCAAAAAATGTAGTTACACTACAGTTGCTGTTATATCATCCTAAAACACTGTAAGATTAAATGCTCTGTTAAGTATACCCTGCCCATAGGGAATAATACTATTATTCCCTTCATTAAAACCCTACAGAGTTATGAAATGTTACATAACTGTGTCCCAAGAAAGCCTGAAAGCAAGGCAGTTGTTAATTGGTTATGCTTTCTTTTCCTGTAATACACAAATAAAAAAAAATCTTCTTCCATATTCATTGCAATTAGAGTAACTAAAAAATAGTTTCCTTGACCAATCCTACTGATTTCAAATATTACTTCATCATAGTGTGGTGACTTGGATATGTTTTCTTAATAAAATTAAATTTAAATGAACTATAATCGAAGTTTTTGTTGTGTATATAATTCATTATTTAATCTGTATTCAGAAATAGTAGAAATTTAGTTCATAATACACAAAATTAAAGATTTATAAAATAAATTTTATTTTATTTTTAATTACAATTTTTGGAGATGTAAAGAATCATTAGAACTATGTGCCAGAAAATTACATAACAATAATGAAAACTACATACTGGCAGAAAAGTATCAAGATTAAATGGACTGAAAAAAAATCTGAAAAAAGTAAGTGCAATTTATCTTAATTCTGACCCTGATTTGCAGTCTGGAGAGGAGCATATCATTTGGAGCCCTCTTGATGGGACTTTTCACCTGAAAATAAATGTCATCATTATACCCATCATGTACCAATATGACATGATAACATAAAGTTTAATGAGTGTACTTGTAAAATATTTTGAGTGCTTAGAGGGAAGATGCTTTATTACCTTGAGAACTTTTCCTTGAGGCTTGAAATAATGTGAAAATAATTTTATTTTAAAATTTATTACATCTATTTTAAAGTGCCACACTGTTTAAAAACAAAAACAAAAAGCAGTTTCTTGTAAGATATATAACAGCCAACCATTTTAATAGTATGATATTAGGATTGAAATTTTTTTAGAATAGTATTTATGATCAATAATAATATATAGCATTCCCAAAGTAAGCAAAGAAAACAATATAATAATAAATGTTAAATACATTTAAAATTAAATAAATTGTTAACTAAGAAAATTAAATATATTGTTAACTAAGAAAAATTAATGCTAAAAATCAGTGGCTTTTGTTTAATTTCAGTAAATTCATTGAAAACAAAATTTTGTTTAGATTTGAAAACCCATAGCATGGTGAATGATTATATACTGGGTTGTGTCTCAGAATTGATATAAAAGAAAAGCAATCTGTAAATAGCGATCTGTAAATCTGTAAATAGCAATCTGTAAAAATCTAAAAAATAGTTTTTTAGTTTTAAAACTCATTTACATATATATTTTTTAAAGTTAGACCTATGGAATTTACACTCTGTATGTGATGTTTGTGATCAACAGTCTATCTTTCCTTTTACTTAGTAAAGGAAGATTAATACTGCACTCATATTTCCAAGCATATAGACTCTTCTAAAGTTCGGTAAGAAAGTTGGCTAAAAAAGGAAGAAATTTTAATTATTTGATAGTGAAAGCCCAAGCTACAGATTATTTTATTTTTAATATTTAAAGTCCTTGAGATATGTCTTATTTCAGTGGCATGCCTAAGTCAAATCAATGAGTATGTTTCAAAATTACATGTGTTGCATTAGTATAATATTTTTAAAAATTTGACTAAGATGGCAATGCCATTAACAATAATGGGATATGTAAGATTTGTTTAAATTTACTTTCATTCATATAAAGCTTTTATTTCTTCCTTTGATATTTTATCTAAATATTCTTTTTAAATACTTGAAAATAGCACTTTAATGCTCTGTTCTCAGCTACACATACTCAATTATTTGAACTCTAATTTCTTACATTTAAAGTTTTGCTACTTTTTTTCAGTTTAATTTTATTTTAGTCATGCTAAAGCTCACTTTATAAGTTAAATTGCGCTTATGGCAAAGCAATGTGAATGGTAAAAACTACAAATAAATACACCAGAGAGTTCTTTTTTTATGGCTTATTTAATGTTTTAATGATTATAAAAAAGTCTTAAAAGACATTTAAAGGTAGGTGTTTTTCAAATTACCATCCAATATCTTTGTTTTCTGAATTTATGGATAACTTCAAAACATTTGAATTTAGTTGCCATTCAATTTTTAAGACTTTGGAAATTAAATGGATATATTAAAATGCATACATCAATTTCAAAATAATTCTCATTTTCATAGCTTTAAAACAAAATATAGCATTTATGTATCTTTCCAGAAATCATACACTTTTGAATTTTTAACACATGGCAAATTTCATCAGGTATGCATTAATATATCATCAAGCTAATTGATGTTTGCAAATATAATTGAAATCAAAGATTTATCTGATTTATACATATGCAATGTCATTTCACATTCCTATCTGTTCGTGAGTTAAAATATGTAAATATGTCTAAGAGAGAAGTAGGTGATGGAAATATGGTTTGAGGCATTGATATCGTATCCTAGTATACCTTTGGTTAACTACAATGTAGAATCAATTGAGATAATTAAATATTTTCCACTTTTTTTCTAATATTAAAAAGTTTAACATTGTTGATAGTAGAATGAAAATTCACTAGATCATAAAGAACTCAGGGTTAAGAATCAGACTGACAGCCAAATGCAGCAAATGTCATAATGATGACCTATTTGTCAGAGTTGTAAGAAAAATGTGAGATATGATAGATGTAATTTCTAGAAAAATATTGGTTTACAAGTATGCATTAGTATGTATTCAATTTATTCGGGATATATTTTAAGTGTTATTTTTTTCTGCAATTGCTGATGGTTCATTACCATTAATGTCTGATTCCTTAGAAACAGAGTTGCCTAATAACAGCCATTTATTTTGCTTACTTGACTGTTTTACAATTATGAAATCAAAGACATTTTAAGGCAGCCCAAATAGAATCTTTATTTTCCCAGAATATTTCTGATAATGTTGCTTAAGGATGCACATAAAATTAGCTTGAAAATCGAGAATGACATAGGCATGACATAAATTTTAAAAATTTCCGTATCATCTTAGATTCCCTTTACTGCATGAACTAGGCTGTTAACGAATAGTCTTTTAAGGAAAATATGTTTTTGCACAGAATTTGCTTTCAGTGAAGTAAGAGACATTTTCAGATGCTTGTGGCTATATCAGCACAAAACTAGCATGTTTATTAAACAGACAACATGCTTGGGATATCAGTATTTACTCATGTCAATTTGGGTGTGATCAAGGAGGTAGAAACACTGTGAAAGATATGGCATAAGGTACTCATTAAAGAGTGTATAATTTTTGAGTTATTTTTTTAAAAATGATTCTGTGAGAACCTATGGTTTCTGTAATTGGTGGAGGACCTGAATTTGCTCTAGAACTGTGGGCTAGTGCCAAGAAGAAATGTCCCAAGTGAAGCAGAGGTGAGTGAAGATAAAATAGAATTCAAGAAGATAAAATGAAATTTGTATCCTTCACTCACTGCAGGCACTCTTTGCCATGGTGCTACATGCAAACCTGTCCCAAGACATTGTTGAAGGAGGGTGTCCATTGGGACATTAAGCAATTATACGTGGCTGCTTCCTAATGCTCCAATGTGACACAGCACATCAGGGTCAACAGGGAGAAATTCAATAGGTCCTGGTGCTCATCATTGATCTTCAGAGCCAGATGGTTCCTGCCACACTCTGACTTCCAACTCAAACCTAACCTGTCATCACACAGGGAAAGGGATTTGGGGAATAGCTCAGTTTAGCTAAATTGAACTAGTACACAAATCAAAATATATGGACTCCTAAAAGATATGGCCCTAGGCTTAGAGAATTTAGCTTAATACAAGTATTAAGTATTATTAATAATAAGGCATGTGTTGCAACAATTGTAATATAAAATAGTGTGCTATGGCACACATAATTAGAGCCTTACATCTACAGTGTCATTACAGCCTTAGAAATTACCGCCTTCTTTCTGAGTGCTGAAGAGAGAAATTATCAATTGTTTTTATATATTGAATTTTTTACACCCCATCTCTTTTAAGTGTTGACTTATGACCATTTCATCAGCAATTCCTGTTTTTTTTTTTGGAATAGCAACAACTAAAACTAGAAAGGAATAGATTAAAAGTTTCTGGTTTAGATTTGACAACGTTTTTAAGAAATTTATTTCAATACATGTTCATATGTCTCTGATTCCTGGAAGTCATTGAAACCTTATCCACAAAGGACAAAGACCAAGGACACAGACTTCACAGTGAGCCATTTATAGCAGAGAAGTCCTGCAGATTTAGAAAAAGTAAGCAGGCTTTCCTTTTCTCCTGAGTTCCTGCCAGTCAATGCCAGTGTGACTTGCTCACTGGCATTGAGCTCAGCCTTAAAATCAAGAAGCATGAGGATCAAATTCCTTAATGCCAATAATTGGGATGTTTTGGAGAACTTAAAATGTTAAATATTAGAGATGAAAAAATTTAATAGCATTTAAGCATTTTTTAGCTCCTGTCATACCACTATAAATCTGTTTATCTGTACTATAATTTTAAAATGGTGCTTTTCCTAGGCATGTTTTAAATAAAATTTGTTAACTGGTTGTTGAACAGTTTGAACTCAGTAGGGCACAAACATGAAAATCAATTAGCATATTCGAAGTGACTATTATGTGCCAAGCTTCATAGGAAGCACCACAAGTGATATAAAAATGAATTAGGCATGACCCCAGCCTCAGAGAATTTAGCTTAGTAGAGGAAATAAGGCATGAGTAGCAACAATTGTGCTATAAAATAGACTGTGAAATGTCGCAAGACTATTAGAATCTTACATTCAAGCTATTATATGACTTTAAAGATCAATCACCAGATTCTTTCTAAGGTTGGACAAGAGAAGAAGCGTTGTTAGAGGTTGAATTTATTTAAACTCAAATGTCAATTTGTGGGCATTGTTATCAAATGAAAAAATATACACACATTTATTAAAAGTAGACTGCTTCTGACTGGCAGAATTTAAAAGTGGCATCTTAAAGGAGAGTATAGTATGGGAAAATAAATACTAGTTTTTGTAACTAAGTAAATTTAGATATTAACTTATTAATAATATCTTTTGGCCAAATGACCTAGACAAATTTAATTATAATTTTTTGGTCATCAAAAGTAGTCAAGAGCATTATATGGACTATCCAATTAATAATAGGACAATAACTTTTATCTCTAATGTGGTTATTATAAATATTTTAATGAACATTTATATTTTAATAAAATTCTATATATTCAGACTATTTTATTTTATTATATGTTATTTCAGTAGTTTTTGGGTAACAGGTGGTGTTTGGTTACATGGATAATTTCTTTAGCAGTGATTTCTAAGATGTTTGTGCACCTCTCACCAGAGCAGTATACATTGTACCCAATGTATAGTCTTTTATCCCTCACTCCCTCCCACCTTTCCCCCCAGGTGCCCAAAGTCCATTATGTCATTCTTATGCCTTTGTATCCTCATAGCTTAGCCCCCACTTATAAGTAAGAATATATGATATTTGGTTTTCCATTTCCATTCCTGAGTTACTTCACTTAGAATAATGGTCTCTAACGCCACCCAGGTCTTTGTGAATGCCATTATTTTATTTGTTTTTATGGCTGAGTAGTATTCCTGTGTGTGTGTGTGTGTGTGTGTGTGTGTGTGTGTGTGTAGGTATGTGTGTGTGTATATATATATGTATATATATATATACACACTGTGTTTATACATGTACTGTATATATACACACATGCGCTGTGTATATATACACACACACATACTATATATATATTATATTTACATATACTATATTTTTACTCATTGGTTGATGAATATTTAAGCTGGTTTCATATTTCTGCAATTACAAACAGTGCTGCTATAAACATGTGTGTGTAAGTGTCTTATTCATGTAATGACTTCTCTTCCTCTGGATATATATCCAGTAGTGGGATTGCTGGATCAAATGGTATTTCTACTTTTAGTTCTTTAAGGTATCTCCATACTGTTCTTCATAGTGGTTGTACTGGTTTATATTTCCACTAGCAGTGTAAAAGTATTCCTTTTTCAACACATAGACACCAGTATCTATTTTTTTTTATTTTTTAAATTATGGCCATTATTGCAGGAGTAAGATGGTATCTCATTGTGTTTTTAATTTGCATTTCCCTAATAATCAGTAATGTTGAGCATTTTTTCGTATGTTTGTTTGCCATTTATATACAAAAGATCATTCAAGGCTACTATGCACACACTCAAGGCTACTATGCACAATCTCATGACTGAATATGCACAGATCTCCTGATTGAATATTTTCATGAATTTATCTCCTCTGGATTTTCTGGTTTGTGTGCATAAGGTAAACATTTTCAATCAGGAAGAAATAGAAACTCCGAACAGACCAATAACAAGTAGCAAAATTGAAATAGTAATTAAAAAATGCCCACAAAAAAGTCCAGGACCAGACGGATTCACAGCTGAATTCTATCAGCCATTCAAAGAAGAATTGGTACCAATCCTATTGACTCTATTCCATAAGATGGAGAAAGAGGAAGTTCTTCTAAATGATTCTATGAAGCCAGTATCACCTTAATACCAAAACCAGGAAAGGAGGTAACAAAAATAGAAAACTGCAAACCAATATCCCTGAAGAAGATAGATGCAAAAACCTTCAACCAAATACCAGTGAACTGAATCCAACGTCATATCAAAAAGAATACACCGTGATCATGTGGGTCTCATACTCGGGATGCAGGGATGGTTCAAAATACCTGTCAATAAATGCAATATAGCACATAAACAGAATTAAAAACAATAATTATATGATCCTCTCAATAGACACAGAAAAAGCATTGAAAAAAACCCAGCATCCTTTTATGATTAAAACCCTCAGCAAAATTTGCATAGAAGGGACATACCTCAGAGTAATAAAAGCCATCTATGACAAACCCGCGGCCAATATCAAGTACTCAATCAAGACTCAATCCCTTTTACAACAGCTGCAAAAAAAAAATACTTATGAATATACCTAAGGAAGTGAAAGATCTCTACAAGAAAAACTACAAAACACTGTTGAAAGAAATCAATGATGATACAAACAAATGGAAACATATACCATGCTCATGGATTGGTAGAATCAATATAGTGAAAATGACCATACTGCCAAAAGAAATCTACAAATTCAATGCAATCCTCATCAAAATACCATCATCATTCTTCACAGAACTAGAAAAAAAATCCTAAAATTCATATAGAACCAAGAAAGAGCCACATAGCCAAAGCAAGACTATACAAAAAGAAGAAATCTGGAGGCATCACATTACCGAACTTCAAACTACACTACAAGGCTATAGTTACCAAAACAGTAAGGTACTAGTATAAAACAAGCAGATAGACCAATGGAAGAGAATAGAGAACCCAGAAATAAAGCCAAATATTTACAGCCAATTGATCTTTGACAAAGCAAACAAAAACATGAAGTGAGGAAAGGACACCCTATTCAACAAATTGTGCTGGGATAATTGGCAAGCCACAGGTAGAGAATGGACCTGGATCTTCATCTCTCACTTTATAAAAAAATCAACTCAAAAAATCCATCAAAGATGGATCAAAGACGTAACTGTAAGACCTAAAACCATAACAGTTCTCAACGATAACGTCAAAAAAACTCATCTTGACATTGGCTAAGTCAAAGAGTTCATGACCAAGAACCCAAAAGCAAATGCAACAAACACAAAGATAAATAGATAGGACCTAATTAAACTAAAAAGCTTCTGCATAGCAAAATAAATAATCAGCAGAATAGAGAGATAACCTACAGAGTGGGAGAAAACATTAACAAACTATGCATCCAGGAAAGGACTAATGTCCAGAAACTACAAGTAACTCAAACAAATCAGCAAGAAAACATCAAACAATCCCATCAAAAAGTGGGCAAAATACATGAATAGACAATTCTCAAAAGAAGATATTTAGAATATTTAAAGGAGATTTATTTATGTATACGTTATATGCAATTTAAACTTTATTTTTTCTTTCAAATTGCAGCTTTTCACAATGACTTTTTATTTTCAATCATTTATATTATTATGTAGTACCTATACGCTTTAAAAGACATGAGCAGATAAACCTCTTAATTTTAGAGAATACTCTAATGCAATTACACCTTTAGCAATTAAATTATGTAAATCTGTGGTCAAATTATAGTTTTAATCATCCTTTGCATTCTGTACTTCAATTTACCCCTCTAAGAAAATAATTATATATTACCATTTTGATAAGATCAACAGTTTTATAAGCTGCTGTGAAGAAATTGGGGGCAAAGTATATTTTTGAAACAGAGGTATGTGTTTGCAAGTTTCTAAGGAAACTAAATTTTTAAATGCAGTAATAACAACAGCAAAAATCAAAACAATCTGGATCAAGTTTCAAAAACCAAAATTTTACCCAAAAATATCAAACTATAATTCCATGTACTATACCTTTTGCAGAGATTTGCTAGAAATACAATGGATTTTGGGGGTTTTAATAAATGTGATGTTACATCTCAAATTAAATATGCCATATGTAGAAATAATTTAGCAATAATATTTTAAAACTCCTTGCAATTTTATATTATTTTGTTTATTGGTTTATATGGACAACATTTTGACTTTTTTTTTGCATAGAAACATAATTATCTCCTGCTTTTATTTAATATTTTATTTATCAAATATCAAACTAAATGTTTAAATATTAAATAAAACAAAGTATTAATATTAAGTGATTTTTGTAAGCCATAAATTTCTATATATGAGTATGTGTATATATGTATGTAATATTGTGTAATATCAATTGAATGCTAATGGTTATTAGTATCACTGTGATTACCATCAAATTCATTACATTACTCTGTTTGGAGTTCGGTATAATGCATTATTTGGAAGCTTATAGGCAAAAGGCAGAATGCTCTAGAAAGAGATGGGCTTTGCATGTTATCAGAGCTGTATTTGCACTTATTATTTACAGGTGTCTAATTGTTGACAGTAGATGCCAATAAAAGAAAAATGTTGAATATTGCAAAGTTATTTCATTGTTCCCAGGAAGACATGGGTTTGAATTTAAGCTCTGCCACCCCTGAATCATAAGGGCTTGGGAAAATTCCTCAAACCAGAATTACCAACTCTATTTTGGTAATGTTAAAAAAGTTACTGGCAGAATTTTTGTAAATACTATAAAGATAATTCTATAAAGGTAATAATTATGATCATCATCTATTCATTCTTTTAATCTTATAAAGGTGTAAAGACATAATATTTTATGGAGAGAATAAGTACATGCTTAATAATGTTATCCTGTTATGAATAGAAAACTCAGTTGCACTTGTTGTCTATAGGCGATTCTTATTAATTAACAGAAATATACTGGGTTGCAGTTGAAATGAAATTAAAGAATTTGCCATTTGTGTTAATTTATGCACCAGTCCCTGCAAGAATCAAGAGTTAAATGCAGAGGTCCTGGCACCCAGGCCAATGGCATCTAAAAAATAATTTTCAAAATATTTTTTGAATAACAGTGGTTTCAAAACTAGGTAATTATCTTCTCATTTATGTAAAATATCCAAGGTAGGTAAACCCATAGACACAAAAATAGTTTGATGGTTGCCAAGATCCAGGGGAAATAAGAAATGGAGAATGACTGTTTAATGGGTACAAGATTTTGGTGGGGGGAGGGTGATAAGATATTTTGGAATTAGATAGTGCTATAGGTTGAATAACCTTCTGAATGTACTAAATGGAACTGAATTATTTACTTTAAAAAGGTTAATGTTATTATATGTATTGCACCTGATTAAAGAAAAACTAGATAACAATAACATAATTAAATTTATGGGGGAAAATGTTTAAAAATTTCTTCAGAAAAAAAGATAATGGTCATATACAGGGTTCAGATACATTTTAATATGCATTTTTGTCCTATAAAATCAATGGCAGATCCTGAAGTTCCCAAAAAGAAGCAATGTTTCATTTGTTTGAAAGATAGGGAGATGAATAATATCTAAAATAAGCTACTGTACATTTTGACCAAAAAAAAAAAAAAAAAACCCCAGCAAGAATGGTATCATAATAACTGAATGGGGGACTTCCAGTTGAATGAAGGCATTAACTTGATTTGTCTACTGTTGGAAGAAATTATTTCAAGGCAAAAAATGACAAAAAGAAGCAAAATATAAATTAGACATCTAAGATTTTGTCTTAGTAAGTATGGGCTGCTATCACAAAGTATCACAGACTGGGGTCCTTATAAACAATAAAAATGTATTTCTCACAGTTCTGAGGTTGGAGGTTGGAATTTATAAGATCCACATGCCAACATGGTTGAGCCCCTGTGTGGGCCTTTTTCCAGGTTGCAAAGTGCTGTTTTCTTCTTGTATCCTCACATGATGGAAACAGAGCCAGCTATCTATCTGGCCTCTTCTTGTAAGGACATTAAACCCATTAATGAGGGACTGCTCCTCACAATCTAATTACTTCCCAAAGGAGCCACAAACAAGACCATCACATTGGGATTCAATTTCAACATATGAATTTTGGGGGTCACAAACATTCAGTGCATAGGAGGTACTAAACTATAAATTAGGACGGTTTGGAAAAATAAGGATATTCATCTAGAGGTTTCTGCAAGAGGAAGCCAAAATAATTTCCCAAAACTTTTCATATAAAAAACACCTAATGATGCAACTTTTCAAAAGTGACAGGCTAAGAGAAACATTGTAGAAGGTACAAAACATGGAGTCATATGAATATGTCCCTGTGGCTCTGGGGATAAGAGAGACTTTGCATTGCGAACAATGCTGCTGCTGCTCATTTCCATTATTCAGTGAAACTAAGCACTCATGAGCCAACAGATGAAAACCTTACCGTCATAGGAGAAACCTTTTAGTTTGGAACACAGTTCTCCACATAAACTACAAATTTACCACTCTTTCTTCAATGAGCAATCACAAACAAAGCAATACAGGATCTGTATAATGTTACAAAAAAGGAGGAGAAGAGTTAAAAAATAAATGGATAGTAGATGAATAATATCAAATAGAAGAAATGCATATTGTCAAGAAGAAGATAAAAATTATGCTCAATTGGCCAGGCACGGTGGCTCACGCCTGTAATTCCATCACTTTGGGAGGTCAAGGTGGACAGATTGCTTGAGGCCAGGAGTTGGAGACCAGCCTGGCCAAAATGACAAAACCCCATTTCTACTAAAAATACAAAAATTAGCCAGGTGTGGTGGCGGGCACCTGTAATCCCAGCTACTCAGGAGACTGAGACAGGAGACTCACTTGAACCTGAGAGGTGGAGGTTGCAGTGAGCCAAGATTGTGCCATTGCACTCCAGCCTGGGAGACAGAGCAAGACTCTAAAAAAATAAATAAATAAAAATAAAAACTCAATTATTTTTAAACACATTTAATAAAGTAATTGAAGCAAAATTAAAAGCAGAGTTACGAGAACTCAGAGAAGGCCCATTTAAAATAGCTACAAATGAAATACAATACCTAGAAATCAAGTTAACCAAAGAAATCAAAGATATCTACAAAGAAAACTATAAAACATTGATGCTAAAAATTTAAGAGGATACAAAAAATAGATATTTCATGTTTATGAAGAATCAATATTGTTAAAATGTCCATACTACTCAAAGCAATCTAGAGATTCAACATAGTTCATATCCAAATATCAATGACATTCTTTGGAGAAATAGAAAAAATAATCCAAAAATTCTAAAATGTATATGGAATCACAAAGAACCTAGAATAGCTAAGGCTCTCCTGAGCAAAAGGGGATAAAAAAAAAAAAACCCAAATACTGGGGTAATCAGATTACCTCATTTCAAATTATACTACAAAGCTACAGTAACCAAAAAAGCATGGTACTGGCCTAAAAGTAGAGCGCTATACCAGTGGAACATAATAGAGAACCCAGAAATAAATCTAGTTATCTATAGTGAACTCATTTTAGATAAAGGTGCCAAAAACATACATTGGGAAAAGAAAACTCTTTTTAATAAATGGTGCTAGGAAAGTTGGATATCCGTATGCAGAATGAAACTAGAGCCCTATCTCTTGTCATATGCAAAAATCCAATAAAAATGAGTTGTAAACTTAAATCTAAGACCTCAAACTATAAAACTACTAAAAGAAAAAAATGAGGAAACTCTCTAGCATGTAGAACTGGGCAAAGATTTCTTGAATAATACCCCACGAACACAGGCAACCGAAGAGAGAATTAATAAATGAAATCACATCAAATTAAAAACCTTCTGCACAGCAAAGGAAAGCAATCAACAAAGTGAAGAGACATCTCACAGAATGGGAGAAAATATTTGCGACTATCCATTTGACAAGGAAATAAGAACCAGAATATATAAAGAGCTCAAACAACTCCATAGAAAATAATACCCTGATTTAAAAATAGGCAAAGATTCTGAATAGATATTTCTCAAAAGAAGACATAAAATGGCTAACAAGTATATGAAAATGTGCTCAACATGAATGATCAGAGAAATGCAAATCCAAAAGTACAATGAGATATCATCTCACCCAAGTTAAAATGGCTGTTATCCAAATGGCAGGCAATAACAAATGCTGGTGAGGGTGCAGAGAAAGGGGAACTCTTGTACACTGTTGTTGGAAATATAAATTAGTACAACCACTATGGAGAAGAGTTTGGAGATTCCTCTATGGTAATAATTGACCTACCATATGATCCAGCAATCCCACTGCTGGGTATATAACCAAAAGAGAGAAAATCAGTATACAGAAGATATATTTGCAGTCTCATGTTTACTGTCGCACTATTCACAATAGCCAAGATTTGGAAGCAACCTAAATGTCCATCAACAGTCAAATGAATAAAGAAAATGTAGTACATATATGCAATGGAGTAATATTCAGCCATAAAAAAGAATAAGATCCTGTCATATGAAACAACATGAGTGGAAATGGAAGTCATTGTGTTAAGTGAAATAAGCCAAGAACACACACACAAACTTAGCATGTTCTCACTTATTTGTGGGAGCTAAAACTTAAAACCATTGAACTAATAAAGATAGAGAGTAGAATGATGGTTACCAAGGCTGAAAAAGATAGTGGGACAGGGAGGGAAACAGAGATGGTTAATGGGTACAAAATAGTCATATAGTCATAGTCATATAGAATGAATAAGGTGTTTTATTTGATAATACAACAAGGTGACTCTGATCAACAATAATTCATTGTACATTTTTAAATAACTAAAAGATTATAATTGGATTGTATGTAACACAAAGAAAGGATAAATCCTTGAAATGATGGATAAGCCATTTACACTGATATTATTACTCATTGTATGTCTGTATCAAAATGTCTAATATGCCCCATAAATAAATATACCTACTATGTACCCATAAAAAACTTCTATAGTAGATATAGAAAAGTATAACAATGAGATAAATAGTGAGCTGAAAGTACTCAGGAAATATGAATAAAATCGATACATCACTATTCTCTCTCTTAGCTGGTCATGAGATGAGGCATTCCTTTAAAAGATTTGGGATGCTGATATTTTGGGGGTTACATGTACAGAGGAGAGGATGATTATGAACTCTCTTCTTTTCCCTCTTTTCCTAGGGAGTTCTATGAAGTGATGGGGTTTCTCAAGACTAGAAATCATTCCAAACATTCATATTTTGGCATCATCTTTATTTTAGGCATGCATCAAGCACAGTATTTTTTAACATCTTTAACAAGTCATTACACAGAGAGAGATATAAATATATTACTTAGATGTATATGATTATAGAGGCATTATGGGAGAAAGGTATAATTTGTTGCCTAGCTTTTGAAAAGATTTGACTAAAATGTTTGTCTCTTAGATGCAACCATGTTGGCAAAGACATTTAGAATGAGATTTTGAGAACAGTTTCAACCTGCATATAAGATATATGATTGGAGGGCACAGGAATATTTTCTATTCTAGGTATTTTAAAAATTGATGTTTATTGTGTTTTCTACTTATCCAAAGTTATGTGGCAAAGAAATGCTCACAGATATTTTGAACACAATAGCATTCTACTATAATTGCAGGCACAAGAAGTGCATTCTTGAAAATCTCAATCATTGTTATAAATTGTTATTATAACATAGTGAGTATATCCAAGGATAAGATATTCCTACAAGGGTTAATGTTTGTCTCTCTCTCAGCATATTTTTAATATGTATTGAAAAAAATCTTTAACATTTATTCCATTAAGAGAAATGAAAATATCAACAGAAATAGTTTGAGACAGTCAGAAACTAAGAATATAATAGCATTAATTAACAGATATAAAGCATTAGAAATATGCTATTCTCCTTTATCGTAGAAAAATAAAATAATTAAAGAGGCATGTAGGCTATTACAGTCTAATCTCTCTCTCTTGGTATCTCCCTCTCACTTCTTATGTTTTTCCCTTTGGTAAGACTGAAAAATAATGCAAAAGAGCAATTTGCTAGGTTGAAAGAATTAAATTGATAGGTTCTAAAAATTTAAGAGACAAATCAATACAGAGCATCACTTCAAATCCTTAGACTAATTTGATTTGAAATCAACTCTTCTTTGTTCCTTGGCACATTTTTTTCCAGCATTTTCCACTGGGATAATGCTGTTTTATTAATAAAATTGAACTTGCATAAAAACACAAAGAATGAACATGTCTTCAATTATAGTGTCTACAAAGAAGTAGTTGAAACTATTCTGGCATAGCAACATCCTAAACTGTAATAGTGCAAACATACTTTGTAGCTCTGAAGTCACCCACTGACTTAGGTTATCTGTTCACAACATTGTGAATATCTTTTTCCTCACAGGTTCGTTCTTTATTTTTTCATTGCAAAATAGCCAAAAAGAAATACAGATGAAGGGTGAAATTCCTGCTTCCCAAGAGTTTATATGAGATGGGCAAATTGTTAATTAAATCAAAGAGTAATAATAGCTCAAGTATTGTAGGGATTCTGAAAAAAATAAAAAGAGAACTACCATATGATCCAGCAATCCCACATTGGGGTATTAATTATAAAAGATTGAAAACAGGATTTTAAAGACATATTTACACTAATGTTTATTGCAGCACTCCATACTATAGCAAAGAGCTAGAGACAACCTAAATGTTCACTGACAGACAAATGGATAAACAAAATGTAATATATATGTATATATATTTTATATGTTATATATATTATATATAATATATATAATATATGGAATGGATTATATGGAATATTACAATGGAATATTATAAAGCCTTTAAAAGAAAGGACTTCTGCTATATGCAGAACATGATAAATTTGAGGATATTATGCTAAGTGAAAGAAGCCAGTGACAAAATGACAAATAATGCATAATTCCACCTATATCAGGTTTCCGGAGTAGTCAAAATCATCCAAACCTAAAGTAGGGGTGTGGTTGCCAGGGTCTGCAGGAAGAGGGAAATGGGAAGTTGCTTTTCAATAGATATAGAATTTTAGCAATGCAAGATAAATGTTCTAGATATCTGTGGTACAACAATGTGCATATTCTGTTATGTTCTGCTATGCCCTTAAACATTTGTTAAGATGGTAGGTTTTATGTTATGCCTTTTACCATTTTAAAAGGAATAGCAGAATGCATTGAGACTGTGTCTGAAAAAATAAATATTTGCATGTTCTATCAAGAAAAAGAACAAAAACTACGCTAGGCATTCTAAATTCTGAATAAGGCCCACTGCAATTTCTGTTGGCTCTGTACTTTTAATGATACCTTTCGGCTGTATTACCGTACACCTAGCAGTTAACTCCTAAAACGTGTGTTATCTGCTTCTAAGTCAGAAACAAACATATAAGCCATTAATTGGAATTATAAAATGAAAATGTTTTCCCCTTTCCAATAAAGGACACATAACAATATTGGTAGTGCAAAGTGTTTTTGTTAAGTCGGTACCTATAATTCTGTGCCCAGTATCCTCTTCTGCCACATTTCCCCAAAACACTCTCTGTATGTCAAGTGGTAAAATATAAATTACAAGTGGTAAAATATAAATTACATAAGCTGACCTTCAGTAATAGTCATTTTATGTGAAAACAAAAACATCGTTTCTGCCTTTTTTCCCCTTTCTTCATCTCATATTCTTTTCACTACAGATTTATATCAATAACATAAAGTAATACACTAAAAAGATTTCAGTCATGAGAACTAATTAAAAATTCCTCTATATGAATGCAACACTGTGTTCATTATTTTGCAGATTATATGAGATATGCCCTTCTTATTAATAGGGGTTATTTTTAACTTAATCACTATCCTTATAATCTCTTTTTCATATTTTGGAAGTTCAACTAGTAATATTTTGTTAATATAGTATTTATATGCTATGGGTAAAACATGATATATTCTTATAGAGCATAAGATTCTAAATATAATTAATGTACATGTTTTAGAAAAACTAAAATACTTTTACTTTTACACTTCTATGATTCATCTAAACTTAGCAGCATGTATTCATGAAAGTTGCCATTCAAGAAGATGAAAACACTGACAGGTTACATAAAATAGATTAATATTGTCTGGCCACTATTGTAACACAACCATTATCCCAACAGCTAGGAATCACTAAAAAACAAATATAAAAGAAAATTTAAAAATCAAGCCTTGACTGTCAGAAAAAAATTTAAAGTAGAGTGGCTAAGGAACGGAAAGAAAAGTACTGCCTGATTTCATTCATGTGACGTCTAAAGAAGTTGATTTCACTCATGCGACATCTAAAAAAATTGAGCTCATAGAGATAGAGATAGTATCATGATTAACCAGAGGCTGGGGATGAGGAGTTGGGGAGAAATTGGTCTAAGAATATAAAATTTCAGTTACTTAAGAGAAATGAGTTCAAGAAATCTATGATACAACATGGAGACTATAGTAAATATTTATGTATTGTACTTTGAAAATAGCTGAGAGTGTATTTTAAGTATTCTCACCACAAAATTTTATGTATGTGGGATAATGCATATGTTGATTACCTTGAATAATTCTATAATGTATACATATTTCAAAATATCATTTGTACACAAAATATATATACAATTTTTATTTGTTAATTAAAAAGTAAAATTTAAAAAAAAGTCAGGTATGTTTATATCCCAGCTTGCCAATTAAACCTGTTGTCTCTGAGTAATCATAGATAGCACTTCTTTCACTCTCAAAAGTATCTTCTTGAAGGTTCATCTTTCTGCCTTTGAAAAATTGGAATGTAATATACTGGTTCATCTTTCTGCCTTTGAAAAACTGGAATGTAATATACTGAGCCAGTAAAACATTAAATAAAATGCTATTCCCTGCTGTATGAGTTAGACAAATTCTTAATGGTTTCTCTGAAACTGTGTTTCTTATTAAGGCTGGCATAATGTCTGACATCTACTAGAAATTATAATATTTAAACACGGAAACTTAATTTAAAAAATCCACAAGAACTGATATATCACAGCTAACCCATTAGTACTAAAGAGAGATACACCGAGAAACTATATCATACTTTAGCAAGATTTTCACCAAAATGATAACTCTAAATTTTACAAGAACACCTTAGTTCATTAAAAATATTCAACAATTGCTTTTGATTGCCATATTTGATTGTTATGGGCTGACATTGGGAGTAAAGTTTCTTAGGGGATGCAAAGAATCTTTGGGGTCCTCAGCAAACCCTCCACAATATCACTAATGCTCTATATGCCAATAAGTGCTCATTCAAACTTCAATGTTACCATTACATAAATTCTAACTTGCAAAAAAGATGAACAAGTAATAGGTATAGTAATGAAATGGCAGTTAATACATTAGATTATTTTTTAACCAGTTAAAAAAATTAAAAGTTCAAAATATGATTTAAAGAGGAAAACAAATTTTATCATTCTTTTTTTTAATTTATCATTTTTTCGAGACAGGGTCTCACCCTGTTATCCAGGTTGGAGTGCAGTGGTGCAATCTTGGCTCACTGCAACCTCCTCTTCTCGGGTTCAAGCAACTCTCCTGCCTCAGCCCCCTGAGTAGCTGGGACTACAGGCGCCTGCCACCACGCCCAGCTAACTTTTGTATTTTTAGTAGCGATGGGGTTTCACCATGTTAGCCAGGATGGTCTTGATCTCTTGACCTCGTGATCCACCAGTCTCAGCCTCCCAAAGTGCTAGGATTACAAGCGTGAGCCACCACGCCTGGCCTCATTCTTAAAACTACACAGAGGATCGATCAGTTTTAACAAATGTACCACTCAGGTGTAGGATGTTGTTGATAAAAGAGCCTAAGCATGTATTGGGGCAGGTGGTGGTCTAGAATTCTCTGTACTTTCTGTGTAATTTTGCTATAAACCTAACATTTCTCTAAGAAAATTAATTTTTAATAGAATTTAATAACAAAAACAAAACAATAAACCCCCATATATACATAGGAATAGTAGCTCTCAATCTTTATGTGCACCAGAATCACCTGGAGGCTGCTTAAAATAGGCTGTTGGGCCTATCCCTAGTCTCTCCCATTTGGTTTGGATGAGGCACAATGATTGCGTTCATAAAAAGTTCCCAGGTGGTACCAATTCTGCTGGTCCTCAGAGCACGCTCAGAATGAAAATGTTTCATCTCCAACAAGCAAAAAATAATGCATGCAAAAAGCATTTCTGTGTAAGTAACTGCTAATTTTGAAAGACTGGTTAGCTAAACATGAAAGATTATAGGATACCAACCAGGTAAAGACCTTTTCCAGGAATTCTACTTAAAATTATTTTCTGAACCATGATTGGTCTCATTCTTTTAACTGAAACGGCTAGCTCTTCTCCAAGTTAGGTTTATAAATGCTGGCTGAAACATAACATAGTTTTTAAAAAAAAAAATAAGGTGTTTTTCTATTTAATATTTATCAAGAATGAATCAGTAAATAGATAATATAATAAACAATCTCATATTAATAGTTTTTCCAAACAATGATTTACTATCCTAAATGATATGTACAATAATTGTAATTTTAGTAAAGTAGTGTAGAATTCAAAGCTTTTGTCAATAAATTATGATTGAGGAAATGTATACCCAATATTTCAGGGTCATAAAATGTAATTAAGTATTTTATCAACATCATTGAATTAAAAGAAAAAAGTATTTTACTGACATTTGAAAAGACTAAAAGTAGCAATTACATAGATGCATTGTGTTGTACAGATAGATTATTATTACACAATTTTATCATGTTAATGCCACTTAGACTTCTCTCAAGAGTCAAGAGAAAGTAATGAGAATATAGGCTGACACAATTATTTATCATTAGCATGATTATTAACATCATTCATTACTACATTTATCATTTCTAGATAAAGCTTGAACTCAGACATTCTACAACTTATTAGGAACATTTTTCAATATTTTAGATTTTCTGTCTTACATGTTGATTCAAACTCATATAATTATTTAAATACCTAAGCATAGATATTTTAGACTGATTAGGAACATTAGAGTGATTAGGAATGATCTAACAATTTTAGGTCACAAATAAACAGAGGCACAGAGAAGTTTTGGTGGTTCTTCCAATTTGTTATCGTCAGTGGCAGAACCCAGAATCAGAACTTACACCTTAGCACTTTGCTCAGTGATCTTGCCTTAGTACCTTTCTGCCTCTCTGCCTTTACAACCTGATGAGGCAAATGAAAAGAATAGTGGCATGTATCATAACAGACACCGGAAAACTAACTAATGAGAACCAGCTTGTGAATGCTTCTCCACCTGAAATTCCCCTCAGGCAGCTAAGGTTAACAAAATACCTTCTGCTGAGAGTAAAAAGACAGAGAATTATTCTCTAGGACAAGGGCAAGGTGTTTCCAGGAAAGGCCATAGATCTGGAATTTCTCGTTCATTTATGAACTAATGGAGCATGATTTCATCAGTTTTCAGGATGTTGTCAAAAACATTTAACTGACTTTTGTGTAAATTTAGACTTGCCACCTATTCACAGTCTTTCAGAATTGTATTTTCATTCCCAAATATTGTTTACCTGTTAGATTTAATGATGTTTTGGATTTTAAAAGATAAAAATTTAAATAGGAAAAGGAAATTTGAAAGGATAGTTGGTAAGGATTTGAAATAGTATTAGAGATTCAGGAAACTGCATTTTACAATGTAGCTCTTTTCTATGTTACAAGAAGCGGTGTCTGTTGTACTCTGTGTGGAAGTTAGACTGCTGTGTGCACAAAATATCTGCCGAGTCAGAAAATTCATTTTCCTGACCAGAAAAATCTGTTCAAATCCATTGATACCAAAGAGAAAGTAAATATTCAAAAATGAAGAGAACACAGGCTGGGTCAGAAAGAAAGATTCAAATTCTTGACATTTCACTTTGTGAGACTGGGCAACAGCACAGAGCACGATGAGGGCCCCAGGACTCATTATTTATCTATTCAGGTTTTCTATTTCTTCATAATTCAATTGTTGTAGGTTGCATGTGTCCAGGAATTGATTCATTTTTTCTTAAGTTTTGTAATTTCTTGGCACATCGTTGTTCATAATATTATCTAATGGTTCTTTGTGTTTCTGTAGTTTCAGTTGTAATGTCTTCTTTTTCATCTCGGATTTTATTAATTTGCATCTTCTCTCTCTCTATAGTTAGCCTGGCTAAAGTTTTGTCAACTTTATTTATTTTTTTTTCAGAAAAACAAGTCTTCATTTCATCAATCTTTTGTGCTTTTTAGTCTTGATTTTATTTATTTATGATTTGATTTTTCTTATTTATCTTTTCCTACTAATCTTGGATTTAGCTTGTTCTTTTTTTTATTTTACTTTAAGCTGTAGAGTACATCTGCACAATGTGCAGGTTTGTTACATATGTATACATGTGCCATTTTGGTGTGCTGCACCCATTAACTCCTCATATACATTAGGTATATCTCCTAACGCTATCCCTCCCCCCTCCCCCAACCCCACGACAGGCCCCAGTGTGTGATGTTCCCCTTCCTGTGTCCATGTGTTCTCATTGTTCAATTCCCACCTATGAGTGAGAACATGCAGTGTTTGGTTTTTTGTCCTTGCAATAGTTTGCTAAGAGTGATGGTTTCCAGCTTCATCCATGTCCCTGTAAAGAACATGAACTCATCCTTTTTTATGGCTGCATAGTATTCCATGGTGTATACATGCCACATTTTCTTAATCCAGTCTATCATCGTTGGACATTTGGGTTGGTTCCAAGTCTTTGCTATTGTGAATAGTGCCGCAATAAACATATGTGTGCATGTGTCTTTATAGCAGCATGGTTTATAATCCTTTGGGTATATACCCAGTAATGGGATGGCTGGGTCAAATGGTATTTCTAGTTCCAGATACTTGAGGAATTGCCACACTGTCTTCCACAATGGTTGAACTAGTTTACAGTCCCACCAACAGTGTAAAAGTGTTCCTATTTCTCCACATCCTCTCCAGCACCTGTTGTTTCCTGACTTTTTAATGATCACCATTCTAAATGGTGTGAGATGGTATCTCATTGTGGTTATGATTTGCATTTCTCTGATGGCCAGTGATGATGAGCATTTTTTCATGTGTCTGTTGGCTGCATAAATGTCTTCTTTTGAGAAGTGTCTGTTCATATCCTTCACCCACTTTTTGATGGGGTTGTTTGTTTTTTTTCTTGTAAATTTGTTGGAGTTCATTGTAGATTCTGGATATTAGACCTGTGTAAGATGAGTAGGTTGCAAAAATTTTCTCCCATTTTGTAGGTTGCCTGTTCACTCTGATGGTAGTTTCTTTTGCTGTGCAGAAGCTCTTTAGTTTAATTAGATCCCATTTGTCAATTTTGGCTTTTGTTGCCATTGCTTTTGGTGTTTTAGACGTGAAGTCCTTGCCCATGCCTATGTCCTGAATGGTATTGCCTAGGTTTTCTTCTAGGGTTTTTATGGTTTTAGGTCTAACATTTAAGTCTTTAATCGATCTTGAATTAATTTTTGTATAAGGTGTAAAGAAGGGATCCAGTTTCAGCTTTCTACATATGGCTAGCCAGTTTTCCCAGCACTATTTATTAAATAGGGAATCTTTTCCCCATTTCTTGTTTTTGTCAGGTTCCTCAGATATCAGATTGTTGTAGATGTGTGGTATTATTTCTGAGGGCTCTGTTCTGTTCCATTGGTAGAATGTCTTTTATATATTTTAATCATGAGCAGAAGAAATCTTAGGGAAAAAAGAATATTTGTTAATTTTTAAAGGTGCTATGTGAGAAAATGTGCTGTTTGTGTAGATACATATCTTATACTGAAATGTCAGGGCAAGAAATCTAGAGGGAAAATAATGCAATAAATAGTGTAAATCTATAGACAACCTGAGATATGGTCATACTAAGAAATTTTTTTTTCAAAATAAAAATAATAAAAGAGTATTCAAGGTACATAGAGGCTAAGTAATGTTTTCTTGAAAATCCATATAAGAACAAGAATACTAGAATTTTCACAGCTAAATTTAAAGAACCTGAAAAATGTATGTAAAATATTTTAATCACCTTAATACTTGTTATTGCTTCACAAATCAAAGAGTTAGGACAGCAAATATTAAATAATATTTTTTATGAACAAGTTGCAGAAGAAGATCTCTCTAAAAAAAAGTAAATGATTGATAACTCACATTTCCAATCTATACAATTTATATATGGATCTTTTTTTTCTCTGAAATGACTCAAATATTCATGAAAACAGTGGGCAAACAAATATACACAATTAAGAGGATATTCTTATTTTCTAATCTAGATGCAACTTTGGGGAATATTGATGTAGCTTGGAATATCAAATTAGACTTAAGATGAGCACTCAAACTCTAAATCTAAATGTCTGAATTTTTGTACTAGTTTGGCAGCTTTTAAATCTATGAGCCTTGAATCCAGCAGCACATCAAACAGCTTATCCACTATGGTAAAGTGGGCTTCATCCCTGGGATGCAAGGCTGGTTCAACATACGAAAATCAATAAATGTAATCCAGCATATAAACAGAACCAAAGACAAAAACCACATGATTATCTCAATAGATGCAGAAAAGGCCTTTGACAGAATTCAACAACCTTCATGCTAAAAACTCTTAATGAATTAGGTATTGATGGGACGTATCTCAAAATAATAAGAGCTATCTATGACAAACCCACAGCCAATATCATACTGAATGGGCAAAAACTGGAAGCATTCCCTTTGAAAACTGGCACAAGACAGGGATGCCCTCTCTCACCACTCCTATTCAACATAGTGTTGGAAGTTCTGGCGAGGGCAATCAGACAGGAGAAGGAAATAAAGGGCATTCGATTAGGAAAAGAGGAAGTCAAATTGTCCCTATTTGCAGATGACATGATTGTATATCTAGAAAACCCCATCGTCTCAGCCCAAAATCTCCTTAAGCTGATAAGCAACTTCAACAAAGTCTCAGGATACAAAATCAATGTGCAAAAATCACAAGCATTCTTATACACCAATAACAGACAAACAGAGAGCCAAATCATGAGTGAACTCCCATTCACAATTGCTTCAAAGAGAATAAAATACCTAGGAATCCAAATTACAAGGGACAGGAAGGACCTCTTCTAGGAGAACTACAAACCACTGCTCAATGAAATTAAAGAGGATACAAACAAATGGAAGAACATTCCATGCTCATGGGTAGGAAGAATCAATATCGTGAAAATGGCCATACAGCCCAAGGTAATTTATAGATTCAATGCCATCCCCATCAAGCTACCAATGACTTTCTTCACAAAATTGGAAAAAACTATTTTAAAGTTCATATGGAACCAGAAAAGAGCCTGCATCGCCAAGTCAATCCTAAGCCAAAAGAACAAAGCTGGAGGCATCACACTACCTGACTTCAAACTATACTACAAGGCTACAGTAACCAAAATAGCATGGTACTGGAACCAAAACAGAGATATAGATCAATGGAACAGAACAGAGCCCTCAGAAATAATGCTGCATATCTACAACCATCTGATCTTCGACAAACCTGACAAAAACAAGCAATGGGGAAAGGATTCCCTATTTAATAAATAGTGCTGGGAAAACCGGCTAGCCATATTTAGAAAGCTGAAACTGGATCCCTTCTTTACACCTTATACAAAAATTAATTCAAGATGGATTAAAGACTTACATGTTAGACCTAAAACCACAAAAACCCTAGAAGAAAACCTGGGCAATATCATTGAGGACATAGGCATGGGCAAGGACTTCACGACTAAAACACCAAAAGCAATGGCAACAAAAGCCAAAACTGACAAATGGGATCTAATTAAACTAAAGAGCTACTGCACAGGAAAAGAAACTACCATCAGAGTGAACAGGCAACCTACAAAATGGGAGAAAATTTTCATAACTTACTCATCTGACAAAGGGCTAATATCCAGAATCTTCAATGAACTCAAACAAATTTACAAGAAAAAAACAAACAACCCCACCAAAATTGGGCGAAGGATATGAACAGACACTTCTCAGAAGAAGACATTTATGCAGCCAACAGACACGTGAAAAAATGCTCATCATCACTGGCCATCAGGGAAATGCAAATCATAACCACAGTGAGATACCATCTCACACCAGTTAGAATGGTGATCATTAAAAAGTCAGGAAACAACAGGTGCTGGAGAGGATGTGGAGAAATAGGAACACTTTTACACTGTTGGTGGGACTGTAAACTAGTTCAACCACTGTGGAAGTCAGTGTGACGATTCCTCAGGGATCTAGAACTAGAAATACCATTTGACCCAGCCATCCCATTACTGGGTATATACCCAAAGGATTATAAATCATGCTGCTATAAAGACACATGCACACATATGTTTATTGCGGCACTATTCACAATAGCAAAGACTTGGAACCAACCCAAATGTCCAACAATGATAGACTGGATTAAGAAAATGTGGCACATATACACCATGGAATACTATGCAGCCAAAAAGAGGATGAGTTCATGTTCTTTGTAGGGACATGGATGAAGCTGGAAACCATCATTCTCAGCAAACTATTGCAAGGACAAAAAACCAAACACTGCATGTTCTCACTCATAGGTGGGAATTGAACAATGAGAACACATGGACACAGGAAGGGGGACATCACACACTGGGGACTGTTGTGGGGTTGGGGGAGGGGGGAGGGATAGCATTAGGGGATATACCTAATGCTAAATGATGAGTTAATGGGTACAGCACACCAACATGGCACATGTATACATATGTAACAAACCTGCACGTTGTGCACATGTACCATAAAACTTAAAGTATAATAATAATAAAATAGAATAAAGAAAAAATAGCATAATCCTTTTGGTACCTACTTTCCTTATATATTAAATGAGGAGACTAAATAAAATAATTTCCTCAGAGGAGTTTACAAGTCTTCTGCTGTTAGAAGTCTACCTGGCTAAGTCTTATAATGTTTAGGAGATTAATCATCAAGGAGATTTCCTATCATGCATTACTGCTTCATATATATTCTAGCTCCAAATATGTGAAAATGTGGGAAGAAAATGGGATGATAGGATTATAAAGTCACAGGTTTGGAGTAGCTCTCATTGAGATAATACAGAAAGAGGTAAAAAGCAAAAACATATCACACATAGCCCAATTCAATGCCGGTTGCTCTGAAAATGAATATTCACTATCCTCAGACAACATAAATCAGCCCTCCTCTGGTATACCCTGAAATTTAGTATACTGCACTTTACTCAGTCCCCTGCATGAAAGTCTCCTCCATTAGACTGCATACTCCTCTAAATAAGAAACCACTAGTCTGTATTTTCACAGCATCTAGCAAAATGTCTAACACCCTATAAGCCAGCAGTAGTGTTTTCAATTCTATTGAGAATTTAAATTTAAATGAACCTAGTGTACAATGGAAAACTTTTAAAAAGTCTTTCTCAGACCCACTGTCCCCATATATAAAGCTACACGGAAAAAATTAGGAAAAGCCTAACATGACAATATTTAGATAATTAATGAGCTGCTTTTTAAAATTTAGTGAAGCAAGTATTTTGTACAATGACTGTCACTGCAGATATTCTAATATGATATGTATATATATTGCATAACTCATTTTGTTTTACATATATGTAAAATTTTCTAAATCTATGTAAATCTAGAAAAACTTTAAAACTATTATTGAGCTAAATTATATTTTTATACTCCGATTTATTAAAATAAAAACTCATCTAATTCCTCTAATAACTTGCACATTTTATTTACTTTAGAACATTTTAGTTTAATATATATTGTAAAGCAAAATAGAGCTCATTTCCTAAGAATATGTATGATTTGACAGTATTTATGTTTTGGTTAAAGTTTGTGCTGACAAAATGTAAAATAGACAATAAAGGTATATTTTAGGATAACACGGTAAGATGCTACAAAACAACTTCATAAATTAGATCCACATGCCTAAATTTAACTTATAAAAGCTTTATTTTGAAGTAAAAATATAAAAAAATTTTACTGGCAAGGTACTACCTTATTTTATGTCAATATTTCCCACTATGTAAGTACATATAGATTAGTAAATACAAGGGCCTCTTTTTAATAAAAATTATAATAATAACAATAATTTTTATTGGAGTAGCAACAATTTAATAATTGTCAAACATTATCTTCCTTTGGGCAGTATGAATGTATCTATCTATAGATATGGATATAGATATAATAAACCTTAAAAAGAAATCACCACAAAGACTGAGGATTTTTGTTTTTTTAAACTTTTATAGATCAATAGTGGTTCAATCTAATGGTGTACATAAGAAGATATAAAATTTACTTTAAAAACTCAGTTTTATATTTTATAATTTGTATTTCTCATTGGGTCACTTTTTAAAAAATATAAAACATATGTGAAAGGAGTATTGCTATTATTTTTTAAGACTTTTTCTAAGAACTACTTTGCTTAATTAAGGTAATAGAATTTTGAAATATTTTTAGAAGATTTTTTAGAAGATACTACTCTATTGGAAATATTATTATTAAAATATCAAATAAAATCTATACAGGTCATTACTTGAGAAACAGAAAAGTCTACATTTGTGAAGGATTTTAAAAAGTAATTACACAACTGATGTATTATTTCTAATTTTTCTTGCAGGAACAAGCTCTGAAGTCTTGATCCAAAACAGACAAGGCTTTAATATGAAAGCATTTTTCTTTGAAGAAGTTCACCCTGAAGCCTTGGCCCAATGATCTCAGAAGATGAGAGAGAATGGCAAACCAAAAAGTAAGATAGATAAGTGAGGCAAGACCAAAAAGTCATTTAAAGGTCAAAAGAAGAAGATAAATTCAGTTACATTATTCTTTGAAAAGTGGCTTCCGCTCATGCATAAATGCCAACATTTGAAAGTCATTATCAAGAATATCAAAGGAGAAAATGTTCTTCTTTGTATCTTTCAATTTACTGAACAAGAAGTTTCTTTGCTATAGAATGCTAAAACAAGAAAGTATGCAACTGAAAATTTTTAGGTTATCCCTCGGTAACATTTGATAACCTGTCATATTCATGACAAATACATTCTTTAGTGGTAGCTTGGGCACATTTGTTTTGGCTTTGGATGGGAAATAGTACCATAAACAATACTCAATATCTCTGTGCCATTCAGCCAGATATGGCAAACCCAGTATTTATTAAGGGCTGCCTCCTGCTTCTCTAGGTTTTTCTAGACCAGAGGTGGAACCTGATAGAGCCTTTTTCATATGCCCACAGAAGTAGCTCTAGTTTAAGGGTAGACAGTGGTAATCCAAATTCCTGAATTCAGCCCATGTCCAACTTGAGTGAGAATCACTCTTATTTGGGGTGTCAACACCATTCTGGTGCCCCAGTCTTGCAGTTCTGGGTGAAATCATGAAGGGAATCATGTCAGCCAGTGGTGGTGATGGTAATGTTGCATGTGGGGTCTGTGGGCAGGGTTGGTACAGTATTAGAGAACCTCCTGCAGAGGAGATCAAAATCAGCTCCTTACAGGTATCTATCCAGGTTTGAGGTGCCCTGCCTACATGGCACTGCAAGCTCTAGTTTTTGAATAATAACAAATAAAGTGGATTTAACTGTGGTTAATTTAAATAGGATATTGGATTTTTGTTCCTAATCACGAACTTGGCTAGCTCATAATTTAATATTTACTTGATGTCTAATTAGGCAAGTGTCTTGTTAACTGTTAAATTAAAGTTAGAAATGGAATATATTTGAATAGTCCCCTTTGTTATAAGGATGATATCTTATTCAGATCACTCAATTTCTCTTCATTCTTGAAGAACTTATTACCTATTTTTATTAATTATTTTCAATGAGCATTTTTTAAGAAAAAATTAACTGTACAAATTTTAGACCAACAAAAATATTGTACTCAACCCATTTCTGCTAAGGTTAACACTTTACAAAGCCTAACAATTGTATCAATATCAGAATATTAACATCAATGTATTTTTAAAATTTTTTAATTAGTTTTTTTAAATTATACTTCAAGTTCTGGGTTACATGTGCAGAATGTGCAATTTTGTTACGTAGGTATACACGTGCCATAGTGGTTTGCTGCATCCATCAGCCCGTCATCTACATTAGGTATTTCTCCTAATGTTATCTCTCCCCTAGCGCCCCACCCCCTGACAGGCCCTGGTGTGTGATGTTCCCCTCCCTGTGTCCATGTGTTCTCATTGTTCAGCGCCCACTTATGAGTGAGAATATGCGGTGTTTGGTTTTCTGATTTTGTGATAGTTTGCTAAGAATTATGGTTTCCAGCTTCATCCATGTCCCTGCGAAAGACATGAACTCATCCTGTTTTATGGCTGCATAGTATTCCATGGTGTATATGTGCCACATTTTCTTAATGCAGTGTATCATTGATGGACATTTGAGTTGGCTCCAAGTCTTTGTTATTGTGAACAGTTGCCACAGTAGACGTACGTGTGCATTTGTCTTTATCGTAGAATGAGTTATAATCCTTTGGGTATATACCCAGTAATGGGATTGCAGGGTCAAATGGTATTTCTAGGTCTAGATCCTTGAGGAATCGAAACACTGTCTTCCACCATGGTTGAACTAATTTACATTCCCACCAACAGTGTAAAAGCATTCGTATTTTCCCACATTCTCTCCAGCATCTGTTGTTTCCTGACTTTTTAATGATTGCCAGTCTAACTGGCGTGAGACGGTATCTCATTGTGGTTTTGATTTGCATTTCTCTAATGACGAGTGATGATGAGCATTTTTTCATATGTCTGTTGGCTGCATAAATGTCTTCTTTTGAGAAGTGTCTGTTCATATCCTTAAATCAACTCAAGATGGATCAAAGACTTAAACGTAAGACCTAGGACCATAAAAATCCTAGAAGAAAACCTGGGCAGTACTATTCAGGACATAGGCATGGGCAAAGACTTCATATCTAAAACACCAAAAACAATGGGAACAAAGGCCAAAATTGACAAATGGAATCTAATTAAACTAAGGAGCTTCTATTCAGCAAAATAAACTATCATCAGAGTGAACAGGAAGCCTACAGAATGGGAGAAAATTTTTGCAATCTACCCATCTTACAAAGGTCGAATATCCAGAACCCACAAAGAACTTTAACAAATTTACAAGAAAAAAACAAACAACCCCATCAAAAAATGGGCAAAGGATATGAATATTAATGTAATTTATTAATTGAACTACAGACTTACTAAAATTTTACTAGTTTTTTTATTAATGTCCTTTTTCTGTTCCAGGATTCTGTCAGTGGTTCGATGTTGCATTTTGTTTTTGTGTCTTTCAAGTCTCTTTCAATCTGTATCCATTTCTTGGTCTTTCCTTGCTTTTCTTCACCTTGACAATTTTGACACACTTAGACTAATGATTACTATACTTGTTGCCATAATGCCCATCAGCTTGAGTTTGTCTGATGTTCCTTATAATTGGAATGAATTTATGCATTTTTGCAAGAATAGCACAGAAATAATGTTATGTTCTCAATGCATAATATCAAGGACTTTATGATATCACTATGTCTCATAAACAGGGATGTTTACCTTGATCACTTGCTTAAGGCGATTTTTGATAGGTTTTTCCAATATAAAGTTACTTTTTAGTCTACTTGCATTGCTATAAAGGAATACCTAAGACTGGGTAATTTATAAAGACAAGAGGGTTACTTTGGCTCACAGTTCTGCAGGTTGTACAGGAAGCACAAACCGATATCTGCTCCTGGTGAAGTCCTCAGGAAGCTTTCATTCATGGTGGAAGGTGAAAGGAGAGCCATTGTGTTACCTGACAAGAGAAAGGCAGAGGGGTCCCACTCTTAGACACCAGATCTCACATGAATTCAGAATGAGAACTCATTCATTACTGTGAGGAGGGCACCAGGACATTTATGAGGGATCTGCCCCCATGACCCAAACATCTCCCACCAGGCCCTAACTCCAATATTGGGGATCACATTTTAACATGAAATTTGGAGGTAAAAACATTCAAACTATATCAGTTATTATCTTTTCCTGTGGAGTTAATAAATATATTGGGAGAAATACTTTGAGGATATGTAAATCCTGATTCTCCTCATACTTTCACACACTAGTTTTATAATCCATTATCTGCAACTAGGTAAACATTCTTTGCTCTCTTTCTTTTTTAACTCCTAGGAAGCTATACATTAGGTTGGAGCAAAAGTAATTGTCGTTTTTGCAATTACTTTTAGTTTTGCTCTAGTGGTTGCTTTTGGACTTATATCTTCACTAACACCATTAATGCTAAGTTTTATTATTTGGCTATTTCATATCTTCTGAATAACTTACTGCCTTGGTAACAATTATCTTTGTCTGTTTATGCTTTCCTCTCATCTAGTGTTTTATCTGCATTATTACTACTTTGTCAGAATATATGACATTAATCATCCACCTTCATCTTTACCTTTGTTTTAATTGTATATGTATATTTACATGTTTTATAATGCTCACCATCAGTCTTCAGCAAAAGTTTTCTCCATTATCAACTGGATGCCATTATCTTGTAGTAGATCCTCTGAGAAAGACTAATAGGCACAGATTCCTCTAAGTCTTGTATATTAAACACTCTTTTTCTAAGAGTTGATATTCTAAGGCATCTTGCCTAGATATAAATCCCTGGGTTCAAACTGTCTTTTACTGAATTTTTAAAAATTGCTGCTCCATTGGTACCTTGCTTTGTATGTTGGTTATAAAAAGTCTGCTGCTTGTTTAATTCTTTTGCTTTTGTGAATGATTTGGTCTTTTTATCTAAAGACCTTGAAGATTTTATCTTTATCTTTGAAATGTAATTGTTTTACTGGGAAATGTCTAGGTAGTTATTATTTCAGGATAACTTCCTCAAGTGTTTGGTAAGTCTTTTCAATGTGTAGTTCTTTTCTATCTGAAAATTTTTGTTTATAGTTTTAAATATATTTAATGTTTTCACTTTTTTATGACTCCAATCGTATAAATATTATTCATTCTTTGTTGGTTTGTTGGTCTTCAAATTCCACTACTTTCTTTTTAACAATTTTGCATTGTTATGCCATTTTCATTATTTTGGTTATATTTTTCTTTTTCTGCTTTCTTTTTTTTTTTTCAGGATAGGTTTACTTAGTTTATTTGTGTAAAATTTTGTGTTTTGATTTTTAAAAATATTTTTCTCTTAACTCTACATTTCTTTTATTCATTTAAGATGTTAAGTAATTTTACTAAATTCTTATATTAGTAGTATCTTTTACTGCCAGACTAGGATAATTCAAGTACAAAATCAGAGTTAGTTTGCCCATTTATTTGATCATCTGTTGGTTTGGCTGGTCTGGATAGGTGGTAGGTCTTTCAATCTGATGTACGGTTTTTCTTACCCTTTAGCCACAGAAGACTCTAAAACTTTCCTTTTTTCTTGTTTCTGTCTTTACCACCCAATTGCCAAAAGACACCTTCTCCTTCCTATTTGTCTTTTCATTTCAAATAAATTATGTATTTAGAATCCTGTCCCTTATGTCTTGCTCATAACCTTTAAACTAAAGTTGTGCCATAAGCTGTACACTTGGTCCTTTCCATAGCATCTATGTTTTTAAATGGCACCTTCTCTGAAATCCCTTCTCTGTGGTCTGCACTCTGACTTGCGAAAATACTATTTTAGTATTTTAAATTTTCAGATATAATAGTTTTAATTTTTCTGGTGGTTGCTCGAACTCTTCCCAAGGAACCTCCTTTGTCTTCCTTGCAGTTTTGCTCAATTGGCCTTTCCTCAAAGCCTTGCGGAGGTGCAAAGTTGGAGATGACACGTTAGACCAAAATGCTGGGGTTTCGACTTTTTTATTTCACTTACACCTTCCAGTTTTGGCATTCTCTGTCATCTAGTAATGCCTAGGGTATAATTTTTTGTAGAATTTTCTTACTTGTGAGGTTATTTCATACTATTTGAGAAGGAATTTTGAGGAGGTGAATTATACACCTACCATTGTCTTAAGCAACCTTAAAAGCCCCTTTTGATAAGTGGACCTTTTATACTGATTCTCACTTGCTCAGAATTGTGTCACAAAGTGGAAGCTAATATTTCTGGGTCCAGCAACACTCTTAATATATCATTAGGAATATTTTATATATTTCCATAATGTATGATCTAAAGACAAACTGATGGAAGTAATTAACTCAGGTCATACTAGGTTACATTGCTCCATAGAAAATATCCTTCTTACTCTCATGTTATCTTACTATACATACGCTAAATTCTAAGGTACTTGTGACCAGTAATATACTATATATTTAAATTTTACAGTATAATATAGTATAGTACTGACAGTAGTAAAAGAATAGAAATTAAAATTGATACACTTACCTGAAGAAGGCTTTCATCACAGTAGAGTAAGATAATTGGATATAAGATAAATGGAGTGAGTCCATGACAGAATACACTTTCTGTGGGCACTTAAACTAAGACAGGAATAGCTATTATTAGGTTTTACAAATAGCTCACTCTAGGTGGAAGGCAGACCACTTCAGTGTCTACCTCTGGGAACCAAAAGACCTAAGATATATGAGGCCTATGTTGTCTAAAGATGTTCATGTAGATTCATAGCTCCAAGTATTATGATTGAAAAGTGGTGCTTCTCCACTAGGGACACCACCAGTAAATATGCAATCCAGATAATTTCACCTCAACCTATATATTTTAACATAACTCCCATTCTATAATCAATCATCCCTCTATGTTGTATATCTTCCCTTCTATTAAAGTCTTTGTGTATGTATGTGCACATGCATGTGCGGATGAAAGGCTCATAAGCCTGTTCTGACTAAAGCATATATGGTTAAGAACATGGAAATATAATCTCATTACATATTTTTATTTGTAATAGGTAAAAATACCCATGTCTATATTGGTCCACTGAAAAGGCTTTTTAATTATATAGTTTCCTGTCTGAGAAATAAGATAGGGGAGGAGGATGCATTAAAGAGCGCAGCTTCTTTTACACATTGAAAGCATAACATGCATATACGTTTTTGTAGACATGTATATAAAAATGTATATTAATTTTTCCCGTATTTGTCATGTTTCTGTTATTGTTACTCTGTGAAACTCTGAAAATATTATTTTTGGCTGAAAAAGAATTTTTAAAATTATTATTAAAGTCATCAAAGTGGTTTTATTTTAGCATAACCACATTAAAAATTGTTTATTTTTGAAAATGCCCTATTTTTATGAAAACATGAATTTAACTTGCTTTAATTGTATTTTATACATACAGGCAAATATAAATCTGTTTACACATACATATATTGATTTTTGCCAATATAATTGTATGTCTACCCCCTACACACAAACACATGTATACAGCCATACTATATATACATGCTTAATTCTATTTTATAAACATTAACTTGCTTTTGTACCCATGGTAGTTGGTCTTATTATCATTTTTCCAATACAGATAACATTTTCCAACATACAATTTGGTAGGACTGTGTCAACAGGCATTTTTATAATAATAATAATACAAAGTAGAAATGACAGGACACTTTTGTAGACTAATCTCGATACAACCAAAATAGTTGGTGTCACAAAGGTAAAATGCCTTTGTTAATCATGAGCATCATCATCCTTTATAAAAAGAATTTAATAATACAGTAATTTATAATATTAATTATATTAAAAGCATATTTTTGTTACTCATTTTAATTTAGTATTTTGTACTCTTATTTTAGTGTAATGATATATGTTCTTCTAAAGTGGAAAAAACTTAATTAACATAAAAATCCATGACTCTCTGCTTTGGATCACTATTTCCCACTTTATATCACCCCTTGTATTCTACTAAATGTTCCTTTGAAAATAAGGTTAATGTGCTAATATGTTAAAAAAGTACTAAATAATGTAAAATTCCTTTGGAGAGTCATGCTGCACATAAATCAGTTATAGCTTCTGTAATAATACTAAACATAGTCAACTTACATGAAATGTCACAATCTTTAAAAGGGCAATTTTATATGCTAATATGCAAATTGTGAGTAGGATTTCAATGCATTCAAATATTATTTATTAAAATTATTCACAATATATGTCATAAAAAATTAATGGGAAAGCTTAATTTTTAAAATTCAAGTACTCTTGAATTCAATAAACATGACTAAAATTGCCTGTGGGGGGAAAAACATATTCTTTTATCTTGAATAAAATATTTAAACACTTTTTATGTATCTTAGGAGCTGAACCTGGGTATGGAAATTTTTAATTCTAAGGAAACTTCTTGTGAAAATTATTATTTGATTAAGAAACGTATTAGGGAAAAGAAAGGAATATTTATGTCTAGTGATAAATTTTCTTTTAGTGATGTATTTTGCTTACATAGGAAACATAAAATTAAAACAGTGCTATTATGGAAAAGTCAGAACAAGAGTTAAATAATGTGAACTTGTCATATGCTTGGCATGAGACCAAGGTCATGACTATTATCAATACATATTGTTGGATTCCTATTACAGGTAGCACAAGTTTACTTACTCAGTTTTCTTGGAAAATCTTGAATTGATAACAAGGAAAACTAGCAAAATCAAATAACAAGTTGTCAGATGAAAGAAACATTCCTGATTTCACATAGAAGTTTCCAGCATGAGTACAATTCACACAGAGGTTTCTAACTTGAATTTGAGATACAGCATAGTGGAGAATGAGGATGTGCCGAGAAAAGAATATATTTTAGGAATATGAGTCAAGTGATCAATGACATTTTCATGAAAAAGTTTCAGCAGGCATTAAGAAATTTCAAGACTGTCTAGATAGGCAAAAAATCACTTTTTTTTTTTTCAGAATAAAATCTATAAGAAAAGTCCAGAAATAAAATGAGTGATAAAGCAAAGTAGTTGACAAACTGTGTAACCAAAACAGTGTAAAGAAGATGTCAGTGAGAGAGATTGGGTGATTTGTAGATCAAAGTGGAACAAGGAATTAAAGAGCAGAGATTGAACAAAGAAAAGGACGAAAAAATGGTATCTATTTAATGAATGAAAGTGAAAATCAATCAGCTGAGTGCAGTGGCTCATGCCTGCAATCCCAGCACTTTTGGAAGGTGAGGCAGATTGCTTGATTCTGGGCATTCCAGACAAGTGTGGGCAACACAGCCACACCCTGTCTTTACCAAAAAAAAAAAATTGTCAGGCATGGTGGTGTGTGCTTGTAGTCCCAGCTACTCCAGAGGGTGAGGCAGGAGGATCACTTGAGCTCAGGAGTTTGAGGTTGTAGTGAGCTATAATCGTGCCATTGCACTCCAGCCTGTGTAACAGCATGAGATCTTGTCTTGAAAAAAATAAAATAAAATAAATTGAGAAAGCGTAGAGCTTTTAGTAGCAATATATGGGCAGATTTAATTCAGAATGCAAGTACAGTCATGCATCATTTAACAATGAGAATATGTTCTGAGAAATGGTTAGGTGATTTTGTCATTGTGAGAACATCATGGAGTGAATCTTCACAAACCTAGATGGTAATAGCCTACTGTATACCTAGGCTATATGGCCTAGCCTACTGTTCCTAGGTTATAAACCTGTATAGCATGTTACTGTACTCAAATTTAGGCAATGGTAACATAATGGTATTTGTGCACCTAAACATATCTCAGTGTAGAAAAGGTACAGTAAAAATACAGTATAAAAGATAAAAAAACACCTGTATAGGGAACTTACCATAAATGGAGCTTGCATATTCGGAAGTTGTTCTGCGTGAGTCAATGAGTGGCTAGAGAGTGAATGTGAGGTTCTAGGACATTATTGTAAACTACTGCAGACTTTATAAACACCGTACATGTAGGCTTCAATAAATTTATTAACAATATTTTTTCTTCAATAATAAAGTAACATTAACTCATTATAACTTTTTTACTGTATAAATTTGATTTTTTAAGTATTTAAACGTTTTATACTAATAAAAACATTTAGCTTAAATCATACATTGTACAGATGTATGCAAATATCTTCTTTGTTTATATCCTTATTCTATAAGCTTTTTTAAATTTTAGAGTTTATTTATTCTTTTATTTTTTAAACTTTTTAACGTTTTTTGTTAAAAACTAAGACACTGTATTAGTCCATTTTCACACTGCTATAAAGAAATGCCTGAGACTGGGTGATATGGTTTGGCTCTGTGTCTCCACCCAAATCTCACCTTGAATTGTAATCCCCATATCACCACATGTCAAGGGTGGGACCAGGTGGAAATAATTGAATCATGGGGCCTGTTCCCTCGTGCTGTTCTCATGATAGGGAGTGAGTTCTCATGAGGTCTGATGGTTTTGTAAGGGGCTTTTCCCTCTTCACTCAGCACTTCTCCTTCTTGCCACCTTGTGAAGAAGGTGCCTTGCTTCTCTCTTGCCTTCTGCCATGATTGTAAGTTTCCTGAGGCCTCCCAAGCCATGCAGAACTATGAGTCAATTAAACCTTTTTCCTTTAATAAATTACCCAGTCTTGGGTATTTCTTTATTAGCAGTGTGAGAACGGACTAATACAGTACATTGGTATGGGGTAGTGGGGTAATGCTATAAAGGTACCGGAAAATGTGGAAACAACTTTGGAACTGAGTAACAGGCGTAGGTTGGAACAGTTTGGAGGGCTCAGAAGAATATAGGAAGATGTGGGAAAGTTTGGAACTTCCTAGAGACTTTTTGAATGTTTTTGACCAAAATGCTGATAGTGATGTGGACAATGAAGTCCAGGCTGAGGTTGTGTCAGATGGAGATGAGAAACATGTTAGGAACTGGAACAAAGGTGACTCTTGCTATGCTTTAGCAAGGAGTCTGGCAACATTTTGCCCCTTCCCTAGAGATCTGTGGAACTTTGAACTCAAGAGAGATGATCTGAAATTGGAACTTATATTTAAAAGGGAAACAGATCGTAAAAATTTGGAAAATTTCCAGCCTGATGATGCAGTAGAAAAGAAAAACCCATTTTCTGGGGAAAAATTCAAGCAGGCTGCAGAAATTTGCATAACTAATGAGGATCCAAATGTTAATCACCAAGACAATGGAAAAAATGTCTCCAGGGCATGGCAGAGGTTTTTAGAGCAGCCCCTCCCATCACAGGCCCAGAGGTCTAGGAAAAAACATGGTTTCCTGGGACAGACCCAGGGCCCCACTGCTGTTTTGTGCAGTCTTGGGACTTGGTGCCATGCGTCCCTAACTGTGGCTAAAAGGGGTCAAGGTACAGTTCAGGCTGTTGCTTCAGAGAGTGCAAGCCCCAAGCCTAGGTAGCTTACATGTGGTGTTTGGCCTGCAGGTGCACAGAAGTCAAGAATTGAAGTTTGGGAACCCCCATCTAGATTCCAGAGGATGTCTGGAAATGCCTGGATGTCCAGGGAGAAGTTTGCTACAGGAGCAGAGCCCTCATGTAGAACCTCTGCTAGGGCAGTGTGGAAGGGAAATGTGGGGTCAGAATTCCCACAAAGAGTCATCACTGGGGCACTTCCTAGTGGAGCTGTGAGAAGAGGGCTCCATCCTCCAGATTTCAGAATGGTAGATCCACTGACAGCTTGCACCATGTGCCTGGAAAAGCCACAGACACTTAATGCCAACCCATTAATGCAGCCAGGAGTGGGGTTGTACCCTGCAAAGCCACAGGGGCAGAGCTTCCCAAGGCTGTGGAGCCCACCTCTTGCATCAGTGTGACCCAGATATGAGACATGAAGTCAAAAGAGATAATTTTGGAACTTTAAGTTTAAAGACTGCCCTATTGCATTTTGGACTTGCATGGGGCCTGTAGCCCCTTTTGTTTTGGCCAATTTCTCCCATTTTGAGTGGGAGAATTTATCCAATGCCTGTACCCCCCCTTGTATCTAGGAAGTAACTAACTTTCTTTTGATTTTACAGGCTCATAGGCAGAAGGGACTTGCCTTGTCCCGGATAAGACTTTGGACTGTGGACTTTTGAGTTAATGCTAAAATGAGTTAAGACTTTGGGGGACTGTTGGGAAGGTACAATTGTTCTTGAAGTGTGAAAAGACATGAGATTTGGGAGGGGCTAGGGGCAGAATTATATGGTTTGGCACTGTTCTCACCCAAGTCTCACCTTGAATTGTAATCCCCATTATCCCCACATGACAAGGGCAGGACCAGGTGGATATAACTGAATCATGGGGTGGTTTTCTTCATGCTGTTCTCATGATTATCAGTGAGTTCTCACAAGATCTGATGTTTTTATAAGGGCCTCTTCCCCTTTCACTCAGCACTTTTCCTTCCTGCCACCTTGTGAAGAAGATGTCTTGTTTCTCTCTCGCCTTCTACCATGATTGTTAAGTTTTCTGAGGCCTCCCCAACTATGCAGAGCTGTGAGTCAATTAAACCTCTCTCCTTTATAAATTACCCAGTCTTGGGTATGTCTTTATTACCAGCATGAGACCAGACTAATACACTGGGTAATACACTTTATTACCAGCATGAGACCAGACTAATACACTGGGTAAATTTATTACCAGCATGAGACCACTAATACACTGGGTAATACACTGGGTAACTAATACACTGGGTAAAAGAAAAGGGGAAAAAAAAATTCTACATCATACCTTAAGGTTGACAAATCTAAAAAAAAAGAGGTATAATTGACTTATGGTTCCACATGGTTGAGGAGGCCTCAGGAAACTTAGAAACGCTGTAGAAGAGGAAGCAGGTACGTCTTACATGGTGGCAGGCAAGAGAGAGCAAGTGTGAAGGAGGAACTGTCAAACAGTTATGTAACAGTTATATAACCATCAGATCTCATGAGAACTCACTATCATGTGAACAGAATGGGAGAAATCTTTCCCATGATCCAAGCACCTCTCTCCCTCAACATGTGGGGATTATGGGTCCCTCCCTTGACACATGATTACAAATCGAGATGAGATTTGGGTGGGTTACAGAGCCAAACCATATCAGACACAAACACACACATTAGTCTAGAACTACAAGGTTCAGGGTCATTGATATCACTGTCTTCCTTCACCTCCATATCTTCTTCCTCTGGAAGGTCTGAAAGACTGGAATGTCTTCAGGGGGCAACAAAAAACATGGAGCTGTCACCTCCTAAAATAATTCTTTCTTCTAGAATACCTCCTGAAGGACCTGCCTGATATTGTTTTATAGTTAATTTATCTGTATACATAGAAGGAGTACAGTCTAAAATAACAATAAACAGCATAGTAGAGTAAATACATAAATTAGTAGCAGTCATTTATGATCATTATCAATTATTTCATACTGTACATAATTGTATATGCTATAATTTTGTGCATGACCGGCAGCACAGTAGGTTTGTTTATAGCAGCATCACTACAAACACATGAGTAATGCACTGACCTATGACATCATGATGACTGATGTCAACAGGTGATGGGAATTTTTTAGCTCCATTATTATCTTATGAATTTTTTTAGCTCCATTATTTACCATTGTTGTAAATGCATCCATTGTTGACTAAAACATTGTTATGGGGAGTATGACTGTATTTTAAAAATGAACGAAGGGTAAACTGATGTTTGGAACTTCTTCACTTTTATATAATTGAAATAGAAGATATAAGATAGCAAGGCCTAGAAAGTTTTTGTTTGTTTGAGTTCAGAATAGTTGTTGGTTTTCTTCTCTGTTTATTGACATTTTAACCAGCAGGGGGAATTGAAAATGTTTAGGCCAACAAGAACAAATAGTTTAAGAGAAAATTTGGTGCCACCCCCACCTTCCAATAAATAAAAGATGTAAAAGACAGAAAAAATAAGGCAAGTACAAAACACAGGGAAATACAAGGCTAAATGCCAAAGGGAAAATGGTCAGCTTCTTAGTAAATCTAGAGGAACAAAGTAGAAAATGAACAAACTTATTAGTAATTTAACAAGGGCATACATTGTTTTTCATTCTTTTCACTGAAATAGGATTGTTTCAGAATTTAGTTACCCACAGTAAGATTGAGGGTGTGGAGACAATGGGAAATTGCAATATTCCCATTACTTGCGGGAAATTGCCAGTGTTTTTCCTCAAGTGTTACTTATGCTCTTAAATAATTCACTAATAAATGTAAAGATATATTGGTAGATAATTTGATGGAGTGCCAAAAGAGTCAAAACAAATGATCTAATAAGAGGAAATAACATCTGCCTTGTTATTTTCCTAAAAATCTCTTCAGTTTCTTTCACCATCAAAATGTGTGTGATAACTAAAGCTACTTAAAATGTAACAATGGAAGAGCCACCCACCCTTCTGTGTATCTACTAGATGTTCTCAAATCTTCTGAAAACTTGGAAATTGTCTTTAAGTAAATACGTCAGATACCTCCACATTAATTTCTAAGGTTTCCTGGGGGACTTAACCTTCTCATGTTCACAGTTCACACAAAATTTATTGTAAAATATTACATTATTTCACTTGTCTTCTCACCAAATAGAGTATAAGAAAGAATGAAGTTTTTCCTAACACAGACCAAAGAGTGACTGAAGATTGGCTGCTAGGTATCATGTTCCTGTGTTCTCTAGTCACTCCTCTTGTCAGAAACAGATCATCCTGTTCCAGAGCCCTACCGCAGACAGCCACATGTAGATGTACAGACTGTGCCTTGAAAAAGGACACTAAACTGAATGAATGAATGAATAAAGTGTGAAATTCAGCTCTGAGCTGTGGCCTAGGGTTAATCTCCGACATCAGCTAGTTCCACAAAAGAACCCTTTGGGGTAGTACCAACTGTGCCTCTTCTGGATTCCATATCCCTTTCAATTCCCTTCTCAATAAAAATCTTTCTTCATTAACTTTCTGTTCTTTCTTAAATAAGCCTTTTCATCTCCTGCTACCCATTGCACACTCACTGAGTTACAATTATATTATTTTAATATGTGTAGACTTCTATTTAGGCTATATGCAGTGGCTTCAACTTTTCATTTAAGCTCCACAGTAAAATGATTTTCTAAAAAAACTTTCTTTCCTCAATATGATTTTTGTTTTCCTGCAACTCTTAAATACCCTTTTCCTGCCTCTGGCATTCAATTATTTTGTGTCCTTGTAAACAGGAAACAATATTAATATTTATGCCTAAATTTTAAAGAACCCCTTTAGGACTATATAATAGTGGAAAAGGTTGAGCTTCCTTACATGTATTGTCAATGCTATACAACCCTTCTTCTAACTGCTTGTTGACATAGTTATTAACTGTTTTGAAATAAGGAAAAGGCTTAAATAGTAGCAGAAAATAAGCAAGGGACAATTAATTCCAAGAAAAGGAAAAAGCACACACAGAACAATTTCCCTGAGTATTAGAGAACATCTTGCCCAGGAAAGAACACATATTTCTTTGAAGATAACTAGAAAGGAATGGACAGTTGACTGATTCAGAACAGCATTAGAGTGAGAATAAAGATCAATTCAACCTGGCCTTTGTCCAAAGGAAACTTTTCTAATATATGTTAAAGCAGTCCTAAGTAAGATATCTGATTTTCCTGATCGTTTAGAATCATCAGAAATACAATAACAAGGTAAGGAATTATCCATTAGTAATTTAATGAAACTGCATCAGAGCATTGAGAGAACATTTTTGTTTTGCTTATCTACAGCTGTGAGAAGAGTCATAGACTCTGTCTTCTAATAGATGTAAATGCATTGGTATCTAACACTAGGTAACGTTATAATTTATTTTAAAAAAATATTGAATCGAGCCAATTTTGCCACATGCTTTTCTATTTCCTAGAGGTGGTATTAAACCACATTTTTGATTGGGCTGGTGCCTCTTGCCTGTAATCCCAGCACTTTGGGAGGCAGAGGCAGAAGGATTGCTTGATACTAGGAGTTCGAGACCTGGGCAACATAACAAAACTCAGTCTCTACAAAAAATTAAAAAATTAGCCAGGCGTGGTGGTGCACGCCTGTAGTCCCAGCTACTCGAGAGGCTGAGGCAGAAGGTTGCTTGAGCCCGAGTTCCAGGCAACAATGATTTATCATCACACCTCTGTACTCCAGCCTGGATGACAGAGTGAGACTCTGTCTCTAAAATAAGCAAATGAATAAACCACATTTCTATACCTAAAAAGAGATTTGCATTTGCTCTAGAAAACTTTTCTGTATACATTTTATTAATAACTATCGCAAAAAAGAGAAGATTCCACGAATTTATATTAATCATTTCCATGTAGATTATCTTCTCCAAAATAGAATAGACTTATATGTATCAATACATTTAAATTCTGTTTCATTATTTCACAGAGTTTGCAGTAAACTTATTAAAGAAATAAATTTTTCCTTCAATTACTATAATACTGCAGAGATAATTATGTTATCTAGTAGTTTAATGTTTTTAAATCATGAGATAGAATGAGATGCTTACATTGTATAAGAAAATGGAAGTATATCTTTACATCAAATAAAGATAAATGGGAACTCTAATAAAACGATTATCATAACCTTGTAGAAACCAACAAGTTGCAAAATAGTTCTCCAAATACTTAGAATATTTTAGGATATCATTCTATAAAAAGCTCAACTTAAACTATTCAATTCGTACTATTTCTTTCTTGCAAATGTTGGGTGAAAACCTTAACAGCTTCTGGTTGTTTTCATTATTCCTCTGTACTTCCAGGTGGAATGAAAGATTGAAATCTAATTGAAAACCAAATCCCGACATCCCAAGCTTATCTCACCTGTGCCCCTAAGTGAATGATTAGAAATGACAGAAACTTGAACCCCTGAGATTCTTCTAATATACAAATCTACATACCTTCCAAAATCAGAAATATTTTTCATACTGAGAGGTTATTAACATTTTCCATGGAGTCTTTATTCATAGGGTATACAGGGTTCCATAATGTAAAAGGAAAATTAAAGAAAGCTGATTATCGTAAGACAGAGTGCATCAGTGAAGAGATTTGAAAATTAAAACCACAGAATGTATCTATCTTCTGTTTGCACAAAGCACATAGAGATACATCTTTTGTGTTCGAACAGAGGGAAATGTAAATACTAAGCTAGTTATTTATATCACACAGGGCACAACTAAATATGCTTTAAATTTTAAGCTTCCAACAGTTCCCTGATACAAATCTAAAGCTGCTGAGACAATAATCTATAACAATCGGCTGACCAACTGATCTTATAATGGTAAGCCATCAGAATTCAATTTGGCTATTGTAACGCCTGTAATTTAAATAGAACAATGCTGGGATTTTCATAATTTGAATTTACAAGTAAGTGCCAAAAGAATCTTTATCATTTACACATTGAGTTTTGGATGATTCTAATTTCTAAAATACAGTTTATTATTATCGTTTTTTCTACTCTCCTACAGTCAGAAATCAATCTTTAATGGAACTTTGTAAAGATATCCCTTTGTTTAATAAGAAAGCCACATATAATTAATTTTTTCTAAGATCAGAATGGATTGCTAGAAGAAAATTCATAATTATTTTGATAGTGGGTTTAAATATCTTGATTTTCATTATCTATATAGATGTGTCTGTCAAATCATTTCTAAAATCAAAGGGCTGGAAAGCCTGTTATGTGCACCATCTTACATTTACATTTCTTCTGCCTAAATGGAAATAAAAAGTAGCCTAAAACTCCATAGAAAAATGGGTAGAGATATACATGATGATTATTGGAAGAACAAAAATATCCAATAAACACATGAAAAATAATAAAACTAATAACTTATAAATTTTATTGTATCATTAATGCCCATCAATTTATCAAATATTTTAAAAATGTAATATTTAGTACTAATAATGCTAGACAAGTATCCTTATTCTTACCTGAAAAGCAGTCTATAATAAGTACTATGATAGCCTTAAAATTTGTTGTATCTACTTTTACTTAAAATATTAACTTCCAACCCTAATGAAATAATCAGAAGTTTACACACAAATATTTATCCAATATTTAATAATGATAATAATAATGATTATGAAGACAGGTAACATTTTATGAACCATTGTCATGCTAACTTATTAATTATTACAACAATCCTAGTAAATATGTACTATTAGTATTCCTATTTTACTTATAAGAAAAATGAGGACCAGAGGGTTTAAGTAACTTTTACACTTTCACAGTTGTTTAGGAGTGTATTCAGATTAGATACCTAGGAAGTTCTTGGAGACTATGTGCTGTTACATACTATGTTATGTTAGGGATAACAATAATAACTGAAATAGCCATAATACCTTATAAGGGTGAAATACTTTACAAAAACTAGGAAACATATGACGAAGTGATGTGCAACAGTTGAAATTAATTTTATTTTATTTTTTTATTTTTCTTTTTTGAAAAGGAGTCTTGCTCTGTCGCCCAGGCTGGAGTGCAGTGGCGCGATCTCGGCTCACTTCAAGCTCCGCCTCCCGGGTTCACGCCATTCTCCTGCCTCAGTCTCCCGAGTAGCTGGGACTACAGGCGCCCGCCACCACGCCCGGCTACTTTTTTTTTTTGTATTTTTAGTAGAGACGGGGTTTCAAGATGTTGGCCAGGATGGTCTCGATCTCTTGACCTTGTGATCTACCCACTTCAGCCTCCCAAAGTGCTGGGATTACAGGTGTGAGCCACTGTGCCCGGCCAAAATTTTTTTTTTTGAAAATTTCTACTGATAGGACAAAAAGCTAGTGTTTTATAAAATAAATATGAGATTAAAAACGCATCTAAATATATTACCGATTATTTATAAATGTATGCATGTATAAAATAGCAAGAAACTTATCTTTAGCAACTATTATTTATCCTCAAGATGGAATGGTCTTTGTCCAAGAAAGTACCCTGATAATTGTCTAAGTATAGATTATGAGACACTGATGTCATTACAAGGTAGAGGCCAAGAAAATGATTGGTAAATCACAATACAGAAGACAAAAATTAATATGTATTTGTATTTATATATTCATGTATAGGATTTTAGTGTGGGAGAAGAATGACATTAAAGGAAAGAAAAGCCAAGATAAAAGAAGTGGAAAAATAATTGGAAAAATAAGAATAAAAGAGATGAAAGAGAAAGAAAATGAAATCAAAACAAATAAAAGGCAAGGGAGACTTGCAAGAGGCTAGAGTCATGTCAATGAGAATTTTTTAATAAAAAGTAATATTTAATTTTAATGTTTTCATTTTGTGGTTGCTATAGTGAAATCACATCTACTTCTCCTAAAACTAAAGGACAAAAAAGTCAAAGCACAGCTGCCTTGTACTAGTTTTGTTTTTGTTTTTCTTCTCATTTTAGTTTGATAGGAAGAGTTAGCAATAAGAAATATCCTCAGACCCGACAGATCCACCCAGGTGTTTGGTCAAATGCCACTTTTTCAGTTACATCTTCCCAGATAACATTTTAGGTATCTGGCTGGGTGTGGTGGCTCACACCTGTAATCCCAGCACTTTGGGAGGCCAAGATGGGCGAATCACTAGGTCAGGCATTTGAGACCAGCCTGGCCAACATAGTGAAACCCCGTCTCTACTAAAAATACAAAAAATTAGCTGGGCATGGTGGCGGGTGACTGTAATCCCAGCTACTCAGGAGGCTGAGGCAGGAGAATCACTTTAACCCAGGAGGCAGAGGTTGCAGTGAACTGAGATGGTGCCACTGCACTCCAGGCCAAGTGACAGTGCAAGATCCTGTCTCAAAAAAAAAAATTGCAGCCTCCAATTCTGTAACTGTTCCTCTAGTCTCCTGTTTTATTTTTCTCTATAGTACTGAATGTCATGTGAAATATGAGTTACTTACACTTGTTCATCTTTTTTCTGCCCCACATCCTTTTCACTACCCCTGGAAAGTAACTTGACAAGGATGGGATTCCATCTATCTTTCTTACTGTAGTTTCCCTAGTGTCTTGAACAGTGCCTAACACAGCACTGGAATTCACTGAATATTTTTGGAAATAATGAAAGGATCATTATCAATACTGGGGTGAGCAGATGCAGGGTAGAGAAAATGAACTCAACAGAAGGCACTAATCAAAGCCAGAAATAACTAGAAAAAGAAAAGAAAGACAGTAAGAAAAAAAAGAAAGAAAAATAAATTACTCCTAGGAATTCACTAAACTCTTGGGAATATATCATCAGATATACCACAGAATAGGGGAACACTGTTTGCCATATTCTTTCCTGAGTCTGATGATGAAGGGTCAATCTAGGTAGCATATGAAATGGAGATATAACTAGAGGATATAAAAAAATGTTGATAGTCATTACCTCTCTCTTATGAGACATTTTTACTCCATTTTTCTCTCTGTATATATTCCCATTAAACATAAACATATACTTTTAAACAGAAAAATATTGAGAAAGAGAAAATATCTATAAGCATCCTCAAATGTGAGATAAAGAATTGAAACCTTTCTCTTTATCTTCTTCATTTTTATCTGTGTGAAAATTGAACTTTTTTTTTATTATTATACTTTAAGTTTTAGGGTACATGTGCACAATGTGCAGGGTAGTTACCTATGTATACATGTGACATGCTGGTGCGCTGCACCCACTAACTCGTCATCTAGCATTAGGTATATCTCCCAGTGCTAACCCTCCCCCCTCCCCCCACCCCACAACAGTCCCCAGAGTGTGATGTTCCCCTTCCTGTATCCATGTGTTCTCATTGTTCAGTTCCCACGTATGAGTGAGAATATGTGGTGTTTGGATTTTTGTTCTTGCGATAGTTTACTGAGAATGATGATTTCCAATTTCATCCATGTCCCTACAAAGGACATGAACTCATCATTTTTTATGGCTGCATAGTATTCCATGGTGTATATGTCCCACATTTTCTTAATCCAGTCTATCATTGTTGGACATTTGGGTTGGTTCCAAGTCTTTGCTATTGTGAATAGTGCCGCAATAAACATACGTGTGCATGTGTCTTTATAGCAGCATGATTTATAATCCTTTGGGTATATACCCAGTAATGGGATGGCTGGGTCAAATGGTATTTCTAGTTCTAGATCCCTGAGGAATCGCCACACTGACTTCCACAATGGTTGAACTAGTTTACAGTCCCACCAACAGTGTAAAAGTGTTCCTATTTCTCCACATCCTCTCTAGCACCTGTTGTTTCCTGACTTTTTAATGATTGCCATTCTAACTGGCAACTGTAGGTTGCCTGTTCACTCTGATGATAGTTTCTTTTGCTGTGCAGAAGCTCTTTAGTTTAATTAGATCCCATTTGTCAATTTTGGCTTTTGTTGCCATTGCTTTTGGTGTTTTAGACATGAAGTCCTTGCCCATGCCTATGTCCTGAATGGTAATGCCTAGGTTTTCTTCTAGGGTTTTTATGGTTTTAGGTCTAACATTTAAGTCTTTAATCCATCTTGAATTGATTTTTGTATAAGGTGTAAGGGAGGGATCCAGTTTCAGCTTTCTCCATATGGCTAGCCAGTTTTCCCAGCACCATTTATTAAATAGGGATCCTTTCCCCATTGCTTGTTTTTCTCAGGTTTGTCAAAGATCAGATAGTTGTAGATATGCGGTGTTATTTCTGAGGGCTCTGTTCTGTTCCATTGATCTATATCTCTGTTTTGGTACCAGTACCATGCTGTTTTGGTTACTGTAGCCTTGTAGTATAGTTTGAAGTCAGGTAGCGTGATGCCTCCAGCTTTGTTCTTTTGGCTTAGGATTGACTTGGCGATGCGGGCTCTTTTTTGGTTCCATATGAACTTTAAAGTAGTTTTTTCCAATTCTGTGAAGAAAGTCATTGGTAGCTTGATGGGGATGGCATTGAATCTATAAATTACCTTGGGCAGTATGGCCATTTTCACGATATTGATTCTTCCTACCCATGAGCATGGAATGTTCTTCCATTTGTTTGTATCCTCTTTAATTTCATTGAGCAGTGGTTTGTAGTTCTCCTTAAAGAGCTTCTTCACGTCCTTTGTAAGGTGGATTCCTAGGTATTTTATTCTCTTTGCAGCAATTGTGAATGGTAGTTCACTCATGATTTGGCTCTCTGTTTGTCTGTTATTGGTGTATAAGAATGCTTGTGATTTTTGTACATTGATTTTGTATCCTGAGACTTTGTTGAAGTTGCTTATCAGCTTAAGGAGATTTTCGGCTGAGACAATGGGGTTTTCTAGATATACAATCATGTCATCTGCAAACAGGGACAATTTGACTTCCTCTTTTCCTAATTGAATACCCTTTATTTCCTTCTCCTGCCTAATTGCCCTGGGCAGAACTTCCAACACTATATCGAATAGGAGTGGTGAGAGAGGGCATCCCTGTCTTGTGCCAGTTTTCAAAGGGAATGCTTCCAGTTTTTGCCCATTCAGTATGATATTGGCTGTGGGTTTGTCATAGATAGCTCTTATTATTTTGAGATACATCCCATCAATACCTAATTTATTGAGAGTTCTTAGCATGAAGTGTTGTTGAATTTTGTCAAAGGCCTTTTCTGCATCTATTGAGATACCGAAAGCCGGGCAGAGACACGACCAAAAAGGAGAATTTTAGACCAATATCCTTGATGAACATTGATGCAAAAATCCTCAATAAAATACTGGCAGACCGAATCCAGCAGCACATCAAAAAGCTTATCCACCATGATCCAGTGGGCTTCATCCCTGGGATGCAAGGCTGGTTCAATATATGCAAATCAGTAAATGTAATCCAGCATATAAACAGAAAATTGAACTTTTAAAGAGGTGTGGTAATTCCATCTTCAGTAATGGAGGGCTTGAACATATGATTATTAAACAGCACACCCACACATAACTTGGAGCCAAAGAATCTTCTTCCAAATCCTTATAAAATATAAGAGGAACGATTGGCCTGCCACAGAGAATTCTGTGAGAACTAGCCTAACCCCTCACAGTATTTTTTTTCCTAATTCGTAAACATTACTCTGCCATTAATCCTTCCAATTATAAATCTGTTTTTGTTTTCTTCTTCTTTACCCCTATTATATTGATTATTTTCCTTGAAATTTACTTAATTTTCTCAGAAGATTCTCATAAAACATACAAAGACATGCAGTCTTAATTTAATTAAGTATGGTATATCTAAAACTTTGAAATCTATTGAGTCTAAATACTGCACGATGACAACTTAGAAGGTATGGTAATTGGGCTTTATTTAGCTTCTATGAAAATTTTCTGTCATGTATTTACTTTTTGGATTAGTCTGTTTAGGCTGGTATAAAAAGTACCATAGACTAGGTGGCTTATAAACAGCAGATATTTATTGCTCACAGTTCTGTAGGCTGGAATTCACCATCAGTCTTGGCAGATTTGGTGTCTAGTTTCCTTGTTCATGGATGCTTCTCCCTCTGTCCTCACGCAGCAGAAGACGTTTGGGGGTTCTTTGAGGTCTGTTTTTTAAGAGAGCATTATAATCCACTCATGAGAGCTCCACCTTCATTACCTAACCATCTACTTAAAGCCTCATCTTCTAATATCATCACGTTGGGAGTTAGGATTTCAATGTATAAATTTTAGGAGGACACAAACATTGTTTATATAGCACTCTTCATTTTCAGAATATCATTCCACTAGCTTGGTTATTTGTTCTGTAGTTGCCCATTCATTCAGTTATTTATTAAATGAGCCAATATTTGTTGAACATGTTCACACAAAATGAAGTAGAGGAGCTCATATTCATTATGAGTATTCAAGATATTCACATATGAAGCAGTTAATCAAGACCAGTAATAGTGTATTGAGCATCATTACGACTGTATAAATAAGACTTAAGTTTCAATGCATCTGTCATCACATCAAACAAAATGGATGAAAATATTTAAGCCACATTTTGGAGAGTATTTCACTAATAGTATGTCTTTAAATATAGGCTATGTGGTATAGGGGAACTCGGAAAGACTTTGAGGCAGTTCATAGTGAAGTACAGTCACATAGTGAAATGATGATCACTGAAAATACAGAAAGACGCTGTGTAATTAATAATTCAAAGAAGTGGTTTAAACCCCCTTGGAAGAGAAGACACACAGTTGTTTCCACGATGAGTTCCAAAGCAATCCATAAGAAGATTCACTAGGAATTGCAGGTGTTGATTTGTTCCCAAGGCGCTTTTTGCCTGGGCAACTCTAGGGAGTACGCTAGAGCAGCAGGGGTTTCTTTAGGCTGTGGTTATAATTCATCTCAGTAGGGCTGGGGAGGCCAGGAAGCAGATAATAAGCAGTAGGCTTTCCAGGAGGAACAGGGTTGGAGGCGGTAGGATCTCTTAACTATCCAAAAAGAATGCAAATAGAAGCACAGAAAAAGCTCTGAAATATGTCAGATTGTGTTAGATATTGGCTTTAGAATTCACAATGTATCTGTTCTTGAAAAAATTATTTGAACTCCTTGATCCTTTTTGTTGCTATGTGAAAAGAGGATATAGTTTTAATTTCTCAGGGTTCCCATTTGGTAAGTATCTGCCTTCAGCACACAGTAACAATGATGACTATTGTTATTACCAGATTACATGGCAATTTTAAAATTGTTATCCATATGTAGATTTCAGAGGAGTGAATCAGAGGTTCTGTTATGGAATAACATAGAAGTGACCTGTCTCATACAGAGGAAGTGTCGATTCCACTGACGTTTCTTTCTAGTAGATTCAGATCAGTTTATGTGTCAAGACAAGAGCATTCATTTTTGTTGAGCTGCAGCTTTCTGACACTTGAAGAGTCTACATATCCAGACTCATCACATATGGGATATGATGATTAATTTTTACTCTCTCTCTCTCTCCACCAATAGGACGGATATATGCTTCTAATTGGTTGAATCTGTTTATCTGGAGAATCCTGAAATAGGAGGAAAAGTAAGAGAAAATGATGGGTACAGCATTAGAACTTTAATAATTTTAGTAATTAAATTTTATAAATTATTGAAGTTACATCTTTTATTAAAATATACATCATAGTCATTATTCTCTCATTATCTTTTCCTGGAATCTGATGGCTAAGAATGACAGTATTTTCAGGTTGGAAAGTACCCAGAGAATTATCTTATCAACCCATTTTTTTTTTTTTTTATTGAATAAAGGCAGTTGAGTGGACAAGATTATGAAGGTCTCCGGACTTTCTATCCATTAGCTCTTGTAAGACCTGACACCTAAGGCCTGATGTTATTGGCAAAAGTAAAGCATGGCATAGTTTGACTTTGAGGACTTTAAAAGTGCTTCAAAGGGTCACTATTTATCAACTTATTTGCTGACTTATCTTGGCTTGGCTGGAAGGGATATTTAACTGCTGAAGCACACAGCTGAGGCAATTGAAATTTATGATATTTTTGTAGGTCACCTTTAACATAATTAAACAGGAGTTAATTATACATATATTTTATTCTACAGGTAATAAAGACAAGTAAAGTAGGTAGTCCATTCATTACACTTATAAATTATTTTTGGGCTGAAAATATCAAATGTACATATCACTTCTTAAAGCTTCCATTACATTCGGGTTTAGATTAGGCAGCTGTCCAAAATCTACAAGGAGTATGAAGAAAGCTATTGGATTTTATTATTAGCTTTTTCATTTCCTGAACAAACTTAATCTTTCTGCTTCTATGTACATCTTAACCTTAAGAGAAAACATATTTCAAGAAGAAAAAAAAAATCATGACCCTTCAAATAAAATTAAACCACAATAGCTATATTCTTTTCCGTACTTATTTTTTGATAATAAATTAAATTCTTAGTATAATATTTTCAGTTTGACTAATTTCTAGCTCTTTCCTGAAAAGAAACTAAACTTACTGTTTTTATTTTTAATTTTCACTCATCTCTTAGATTTCTAAAAGCACTTCAAAATTCTCCTATATGACACCCACCTAAGAGGTTACAATAAAGTTTCCTTTTCTACCTGATCCTTATTCTTAGACGTAATTTCTTTATTTATCCTTTTCATACAATAACTCACAATAGAACACCGTATGATTTTTTAAAAGCCTATGTGTCTATGTGTTCATTTTAGCAAAGAAAACTGCCGCCTTTTATTTTGAAGTTTGGCCTCATTTATCATCATCTTTTAAGGTTCAGATATCTTCCATAGCATAAAACTGGTATTAATTAAGTTGGAGTAGTAAAAGCAAGAACAGATGTTGTGTCCAGGAGGGAATTTTGATTAAAAAAAAATAGAGTGGGGTAACATCATTAAATTAATAGAATTAATAGTTCTCTGAAGTCAAGTATTATTGTTTTAATCTATGCCTCAAAATAACATTTTCCCTTTGTTACAACATAAGTTGATAGTGCAAGGATCATAACATATTAATAGAATTTTAATAAGTAGAAGTACAAAGTCATTATTTTATCTACCCAGAAAACATACAGTATCATTGATGAGAAAACTATTTCAATGGAAGTTTTGTATTTAAAATAGGTTTGTGACGGTATAAAGACATAGTATTTGCTACCAGGATTCTTAAAATATTATTGTTATATTTTATAATTTGGGCATGATATGGGATATTTAGTAAGTAAAAATATAATTGATTACAAAATTAAAATGCTTAATTTAACATGATTGATAAATTTGTGGACTTTAAATCTATTTTTCCTACTTAAATATTTAATATTCATAAGTAATTCTTTTTATGTAATTCCAATTACATTTGCTTCAAATTAAACTGATTTACAATTATTTTATCTTCAACATACAGAGTTATTGTTAATATAAAATAGGATTATTTTTATGAATCTGAATGGTCTTATTATATCATGGCTAAATAACTTTCACCTCTTTGTTCCTGAATCCCCTTAAGCCCTGTGTTCTCTGGTTCCAATTATCCAAATAAATTAATTAGTTCATCTCTAATTGCCAAAGTAATAAAAGTCACAAGCCATAGAAGAGATCATGGGGCATATAAGTGAATCTGTTAATTTATTTACTTTTGAGTTATTCAAAAAGTTCTTGATGATTGTGGAGAAAGTTTCAGACCTGTTTTATGTTCTGTCTCTTCAGAGAAACTTTTCAGAGACCTCTCTGATTACCCAATGGAAATATATAGGAAGAATTGAAAGCTTAAATAAATAAAAATTAAAATATTCTTATGCCAAGCTCACTGCTTTTCAGTGTTGCACTAAAAGAATAGGAGGCCTGTGCTGAGCTTATAAGCCTGGTATAATATTTCCCTTACCTTCATGAAACACAAAACACTTTTTATTGGGCAACCAAATCATACCAATATCTTAGATTGCATTGGCAAACTCTTAGAATAGGGTTTCCACTTGTATTTCAGCAACTGAGAATTTGAACTTCTAGGTAAGAACACAAAAGAATCCAAAAGTTAAAAAGTTTTTAAAGTTTATGAAATAAAGAAGTTACACTAAGATAAGGCTCATGTATTATTTAATAAAAAGGGTTTAAAAATATATGTTATGTAGCCTAACCATGCAGTGTTTATAAAGTTTATGGTAGTGTACAATAAAATCCTAGGCCTTCCCATTCACTCACTGATCACTTACCCAGATCACTCACTGATCACACCTGGTAGGCTGTGGCAAAGAGAAACTCAACCTGCCCAAACTAAATCAAGTCATCCCCTCCTATTATCTCCACAAAGTGACCTTTTTCCAGTGTGTCTTGTTTGCATAAATGTCACAATAATCCACTCAGCTCTGTAATGAAGAAAATGTAGTCATTAATGACACCCGTGTCTTGCTCATCACCCCTTTTGCTATATATTTTTTAGATCTGCCAACTTCTTTCCCCAAATGTTTTTTAAATATATGTATTTCTCTGCATATCCATCACCACTGTGCTTGAGAAACTATCATTATTCTCTTCCCTGGATAACTGAAATAGTCTCCTAGTTGGTTTTATCACATTATAATATGGCACTCAAGCCAGAGCGATCTTTCAAAATCTAAATGTGACTATTTCAGATCTTAGTGTCAGCATGTTTCAAAGTATGACAAGAGGTTAAATATCTTTCTTAAATGAATCCCAACAATCAAGCATAGTTTTGCCTCTTAATTCCAAGTGAGAGAAAATAGTTTGGCAAAAAAAAAAAAAAACGTATGAAAATATATTGGGTAGCTCATAGAATTTTCCAAAGAGACAGACAGCCAAGCCCACATGCTATGCAACTTGCAACAGTAACCAAAATCACACCACAGGATTGATGCCACGAAGACACTTTTGCTGCCAATGCTGAGAATAAAGATTTTATTGTCAGATACAGGACACAATTGATAACTGATCATGAGATACTGATTTCAAAACTATTCCTGGAAACTAGATATAGCTGCTACTGTTCCCATCAGTCTTCAACTAGAAAGAGGTCTAAGACATTACAAATTTTTCCTGCCCTGGCTTCTGATTAAACATCAGTGATGGATACTGATTGGTATAATCTAACTCATATATACATGTCCCCTAGATTTGAGAGAGTAGGGAAATTGTATGGAATTATGAACTTCTATGATGAGAAACAGGATTATCCCAGTGAGATTATTTCACAATTGCCATATATTTCAGATCAGTTGACAAAAGTATTGGAAAATGTCCAGTTAATTTATATACCTCTTTTTTGATTTATACAACCATTTTACAGACATTGTCAATATCTTATGGTCCCTCTTATTTGTAATGATCCTTATCGTCTCAAATGCTTTGCACATTCTTTAAGTCTTCAACCTTCAATTTTATACTTGGTGAATTCAACTGACCTGTTAGGTTCAAGCTTAGGCATTAATATCTCACAGTGATAACTTCCAGTTAGTTAAAGACCCTCAGAGATATACTCTCACTCAAACTTTTGTCACAACTTTAGTTTTACATTTTCTGTCACATTCTATTAACATACTATACATTTCATAATTATCAGGGAACATAGTTGTGATTACACAAAGTGGGTGTTGTCAGGATGTAGATTATTGTGTGGCAGAGAGAAGATGCTCAATAAATATTTGTTGAATTAGTTAATGAATCAATTATTTTCTAAAAATTAATTTTTAAGTTCTTGACTACAGTGTCTGCATATATATTAGTTATCTAGAGCTTCCTTAACAAGTGTCCACAGACTTAGAGGCTTCAAACAATAGAAATTTATTCTCTCAGCTCTGGAGTCCCAGAAGTCCAAAATCAAGGTATCAGTGCAGGGTTAGTTCCTTCTGGTGGTTCTTGGGGAGCATCTATTTAATACCTCTCATCTAGCTTCTAGTGGCTCCCAGAAATCCTTGACATTCCTTGACATATAAACACATGACTTCAATCTCTGCCTTCATTTTCACATAAATTTTGTCCTCTGTGTGCCTCTGTGTCTCAAATTCCCCCCTTCCATTTTCATACAAGAACACAAGTGATTGGATTTATGACTCACGCTAAATATAAGATGATCTTATCCTCATATTCTTAATTCAATTATATCTGCAAATATACCATGTCCAAATTAGGTCATATTTACAGGAACTGGGGTTTCTGAATGGGATATATCTTTTTTGGGAAACATCTTCCAAACCAATGTAGTCCATCTTCTGTCCCACAATACTTCATATATGTCCCAATGGAGTGAAAAATAAATCCACTCAATTCAACAATCCTAAAAGTCTTAATTCATTCCAGCTTCAACCCAAGTGCAAAATCTCAGATATCATCAATTCAAAATGTCCCATATGCCATTTAAGTCAGGTGTAGGTGAGACTCTGGGTATGACCCATCTTTGGGTAAAATTCCTGTTCATCTATGGACCTGTGGATTACAAAACAAATACCTAATGCTAGATGACGAGTTAGTGGGTGCAGCGCACCAGCATGGCACATGTATACATATGTAACTAACCTGCACAATGTGCACATGTACCCTAAAACTTAAAGTATAATAATAAAAAAAAAAGAATGAAAGAAACAAAAGAGAAAAAGAAAAAAAAAAACAAGTTATATCCTCCCAAAATGGAGTGATGGAGAGGCATAGGGTTAAAATTTTCATTCTATTAGGGAAGCAGTAGCCTAGGAGAGCCAGGGTGACACCATCTTAAAAATGACCTCATCTTAAATTAGCAAAACACATTATTTGTTGTTCATTACCAATGGTCATAAGATGTTTACAGTTAAAGAAGTAGCTTAATAATGCCTGCAAGGACAAACTCCTACAATAGCAAAATGTCCAGATGTCCTAATATCACAAAATAATGTATGCTTTTAAAGATAATTATAGTCATGTTTGAAGTGCTTGTTCACTAATATGCCAAGGGTAACTTACTTTAAATCAACAAAGTAATAAATTTGGTCACAATCTCAGTCCACTCTCACACAGACGGAATTTAGCTTTTATATAGATAAGACCCCAATTTAAGACGTTAAAACCGAGACAGTACATTCTTCTTGCTTTCTGAGGATGTTCTACTCTGTAACTGAGTAGCTTTCAATAAATTATGTCTTATCACTGCACTCTGCAACTTGCATGAATTTTTTTTCCTGTATGAGATTCAAGAACCCTGTCTTGAGGTCTGGATTGGAACCCTTTTTTTTTAGCAACAATTCCAAAAGGGAGAAATCAGAAGAAATTTTAAAAATTCCCTGGTCCTAAAGGAGTGTGAACTCAGAAGGACAAGTTCTAGTAGGTTTCAAGGACTGAAATAATCCTCCGTGATTAGTCCTTTATCCCCTGAGCTTGTGGAGGTTCCCTTGGCCCCTGCTTCTGGGCATGCCTCTCTGCCCTTTGCCTCAGTGTCTGCGGCTCTGCTTTTGAAGTCATTATTTCTTTTTCTTGAAGGTTAGTACATGCTCACAGCCAAATAGCTCTATCAGCCTGTTTTCTGCCTGTAGAATCCTAGAAGTCTAGCACCTTTCCTTTATTATGTCCCATCTCTGCCCCTTTCAATAGAGCTTGGCAAAGTTTTTGTAGGTATAACATTCCATGAAACATTGTGTGTCTTCTGTGCATGTCAAAGTGATATGTAACAGTAGACAAGAGGGTCGCCCAAGGATCCTCCCTAGATAACCCCATCTCTATCCCTGGCTTATGTTGAGATGGCTGATGGGATCCTTGAGTCATACACCTAGTTTCTTCAGCAAAAGGTTGTCTGGGAACACAATTGGCCTTCTGGCCAGAGCACACTTTCTCAGCAGTGAATTTCCTAACTTTAGAATCCCTTGCAATCCAGATAGGCCAAGAACTTCCAAAGTCATCAAGTGCTGGTTCTTTTTTGCTTATGGTTTCTTCCTCAATTCATCTCTTTCTTCTCAGACTTTATTATGAGTAGCAAGAAGAAACCAGAGCTTCCACACTTCGATTGGAAATATTAGCTAAATATCCAAATTCCCTGCATACAATATATGCTTTCCATCCAACTCTGAAATATAATTCAGGTAACTTTTGTGTAATTGTATGACAAGGGTTGCTTTCCCTATAGTTTCCAATAATATGTTCCTCATTTTATTATGAGATCTCACCAAAAGCATCTTTAAAATCCAAATTTCCACCATTAGTCCCTTCAAGCCAATCTATATATAATCTTTTATCACGTATCTCAAAATACTTCCATCCTCTATCTATATTGTCCAAATTCATACTCACTTCCATATTTTCGATATTTGTAACAAAAGCTCACCTTTCTTTGTACCAAAATCTACTCGTTTCCTAGGACTACCATAAAAATGTACCAGAAACTTGGTAACTGACATTTTTCATGTCACTGTTCTGGAAGCCAGAAGTCCAAATGCAAGGTATTTATGTAGGGTTGTTTCCTGCTGGAAACTCTAAGAAAGAATTCGCTATATGCTTTTCTCTTAGCTTCTGGTGGTTGACAGAAATCCTCTGTGCTTCTTGGCTTCACATCCCTTTAATTTCTGCCTCAGTCTCCACCTGGTTCTCTCTTCTTTTTGCCTCTTTATTTCAATTCACCCTCCTTTTCCTTTATAAAAACACGTGTCATTGGATTTAGGGCCTATTGTAAATCCAAGATGATCTTATTTGGGGAACCTTGACTTAATTATGTATGTAAAGATTCTGTTTCCAAGTATGGTCACATTCACTACAGAAGATAATACTTGAAAATGTTGTAACTGTTTTGAAAAAGAGAGTAAAAATTTGTAAATACATGTAAGTATACTCTTATAACTATGTATATATACACACATAAAACTATATACATGGATATATATGCAAATGTATCTGTGCATATATATGTGTACATACATATGTGCTTATGTATATTATATATAGAACATTCCTAAGAAGAATTATATTTTATATTTTAGCATTTATAAATTAAATAATGTTGTATCATAGATGTGCATAGTTAATTTGGTTATAGGCTTATTTTCTTTCCAAAGTCTGTTATTAAAATGCAATATTTATTTGAATTAGGGAAATAAGATAATTTAAATAATCTTGACTCATTGGTTAATGGACCAAAATCTCAGCAAGAGAAAAATTATTAAAAATATAATGTCAATTGCATGTTTGTTTGTGGAATAAATGTGTCTACATGAGTGTTTATATAGGTGCAATTTTAAAAAGTCAACTGATCATTTTTAGAATGGAATGCAGTAGTTTAGAGAAGTTTATGTGAGAAATATCCAAAGATATAACTTGGGCACATGTAAGTATGTCAACCATGTAGAAAATCTTCCGAAAAAAAAAAAAAAAACCCTTGCATTGTTATAACTTTATACCATAAGTAGCAGATCTTTCTGAGTTCTTATAAGTCAGTTTACTTCTGAATCACTGTGTTTAACACAGAGCACCAGAGTTTATGATGGGCATTGAGGAAGCATGGCATATGGAAATAAATTAATTAATGCTTTTGAGGAGGGGTCTCACTCTGTCATCCAGGCTGGAGTACAGTGGCACCAACACAGCTCACTGCAGCCTCAGCCTCTTTGGCTCAAGCGAGCCTTCCACTTCAACCTCCCCAGTAGCTGGAAACACAGGTGCATTGTCACCAAGGCTGGTTAATTTTAAAAAATTTTCTATAGAGATGGGGCTTGCCATCTTGCCAGGCTGGCCTTGAATGCCTGGGCTCAAGCAGTCCTCCTGCCTTGGCCTCCCAAAGTGCTGAGATTACAGGTGTGAGCCAGTGCGCCCAGCTAACATTAAGTTATTTTTGAAAATTTGAAATGATTCCAGGCAGTTGGGTGGAAAGTTATAGATATTCTATGTTGGGCCAGAGGAAAGAACCACTGAAAACTGTGTTATTTTGTATTGCTGCCATTTTTGTTTACCACAAATTTAACACCTTAAAACAACATAAATTATTTTATAATTCTGTGTTTCACAAATTAGGGTGGGCTTGGCTGTTTCCTTTGCTTTGGTTCTCATAAGAAAGGTCACTGTAGGCTCTTATCTGAAGGCTCTGGAGAGGAAACGCACTTAACAGACTTTTTCAGGTGGTTTTCGGAATTCATTGTCATGCAGTGTAGGACTAATTACTTGTTCACTCACTTGTTTTAACTGGGTACTGTTGTCAGGCGCCAGGGGCCTCCGGCACTCCCCAGCCTATGGGTTCTTCATCTTCAAGGCCAGCAATGACAAATAGAGCCCTTTTTATGCTTCAGATTTCTCTTACCTCCACTTTGGCTCCATGTCTCTTGCCTCTAGCTAGAAAAAGTTCTCTGCTTTTAAGGCCTCATGTGATCAATCATCTACAACCTACCCATCTCAAAGTCCTGAACCTTAATCACACCTGCAAAGTCCTTTTTCCCATGTAACAGAACCTATTTACAGGTTCTACGGATTAGGATGTGACTATTTTTTTTGCAGAGTCATTTTGCTACCACAACCATAAAGATGAGTTGCAGAAAAGCAGTTATTGGTTTAATATGAAAAAAAGCTTTCAAAAAAAGAATTCTATCCAACACTGAGAATTTATTTGCTTTAAAGTGAGCTTTCCTTATCAGAATTGTTCAAGAACATGGTAAATGTCCATTTTTCAGATTCTGAGATATCAATATTTCTGTTTTCAGACCCATAAGTAAGGCATTAATTCAATTCTGTAGTTTATTAAGCACATTTAAAGTCCCTTCTAATAAATATTTGCTTGCTTCAGTATTGCAATTATTTGGAAATATTCTCACATTTAGAAAAATGTATATTTCCGAAGTGTCTCTTGAATTTGTTTTCATACTTCTGCTATACTTAACAGATAAGAAAATTGTTCTTATTTTTCCAGTCGTAGGCCAGGGCTCAAAGCTGGGTGGGAATCCAAGGAGTTCTCCCAGGCTAATTTACTTCTGCTCTGAGAGTGACTTTAAATTTAAATTAGCTGTCTCCTACATTAAAAAGGAAGTGAAGACTTGCAATTTTGCCATGAATTTAGCTTTTATCTCAACTTTCAGACCTTTAAACTCTACTTTATCTAAGCTTTATCTTGCATTACATGATTTCAGAAGAATAAGCACAGAATAATTATATGTGCAAAAAAAACCAGACTCATATCACCTACTGTTTATATCACTGTGTTATTTCTTAAAATGACACTGAAATAAATCTGTAAAAGATGAACTTCTAACTTATTTCTATTGTCAATACATGGGTTTTAAAAAATACTTTATTGACACTGGAAATAATTATCCTGGGAAAGAAAGCGATAACCTTTAAAATGTCAAGCTATTTAAACTTTCGAACATTAAAAACATACCATTTGTGAGATTCTGCCAAGAATATTTAACTAATAAGAGTTCTACTATCATGTGCTGACAGTAGGCTAGTAGGCTGACAAGCTGTAAGCCAGAGCAGGATCAAGGCTGCTTAGAACCTTGTGGCAATTATCTGTGTAAGTCATATAATGGTCTCCTAAATGTCATGTTTGCAGGAAGAATGGGAGGAGATACCTTAATGAGATGTGAGGTGCCAGTGTTAGAGGGCTTTAAATTATGAGTGCCATTAATAAGTGGTGGCAGATTAATAGGATATATCACCAAACCAGAATTAGAAAAATTTTAGCCATTTTTCAGTGGACTTTCAAAAATGCCTTTATCTTTAAATAACAAGAATCCTTGCCCAACATGTAAATTTCTCTGGTTGAATCATAGCTAAATTTCATTCTGCTTTTTTTTTTTTTCACTTTGGTAAGGAATTTGATATGTTGCATAAGTCAATGAACAGTTGAACTGAAATGAACACAGCCTGTCGCTTCAAGAATCCATCTCCATGGAAAATAATGAAGCCGGAATAAAAAAGGAAACAAAACATATTTCCTGTCTGTCAACTGTCAGGATGTTTATTTGTTTCTTTAAGCATAGCACTCAGATAATAGCAGGGAAAACAGATTTTCACTTATAATGTTGTTTAATAAAGAATTTGGGCCAACTGAGCATATTTTCCATTTACCTCTCAGGCAATTCCAAAATAAAATTCTTTCATAATGTTAAGGAAGTGAGAAAACCTTTTCTTCAATTGTCCTATTCTTATCAGAAGGCAAAATAAGCTAAAATATATTTGAAAAAGTCAACTAAATGAATATACTTGAAAGAAATAAAAGATACTAACATGCTTTTCTGCACTTATATTTTTAGGCCTATTATGGTTGATGTCAATGAAAGCAAAACCATGTTGTTTAACCTAAAATATCTTCTATCATTTGTTTTAACTGGCTTCAAACCTAGTAATTACTTAAATGGGAGAGCAACATGATTTATGTAGGCATTCTTGTCATGTGAATGAAAAATCAGTACTAAAGTTCAACCATCCTCACATATTTCCATAACAAAAGCCACCAAAATGAACTACTCAAATCATCCCACTTGGAGCCCTCTATTCCTTCAGGAAATACTTTATGGTCTAAGAATCTAAGGGTACAAATTAGGAACTGGGAAACAAATGAGGTAACATATTGTAGGCAGTAGAGGTGATTTTCTTGTAAATTACAATCAGATTCATTGTACCAGGTACTCTGCCCTCGTTAGGATGCAGCTTTGAAGACAGCCAGGACTTTTGTGGCCAGTTTGCACGTAGAATCAGCCCTCACGTCTGTGGGTTTTGCATCTGTGGATTCAACCAACCACAGATTGAAAATATTCTGGAAAAGAAAATGTTTTTGTACTGAAAATGTATAAACATTTTTTTCTTGTCATTATTTCCTAAACAATACAGTGTAACAACTATTTATGTAGAATTTACATTGTGTTTGATATCTTAAGTAACCTAGTGATGATTTAAAGTATTTGGGAAGATGTGCTTAAGTTCTATGCAAATATTATGGCATTTTATTTGGGACTTGAGCATCCTTGAATTTGATATACAAGGATTTTGTCATCTGCAGAAGGTCCTGGAACCAATCCCCTGCTAATACCAAGGAATAATGTAAAGGTCCTTTATCCTGTTGAAATTTCTCTATCTGCAGAGATTTGGCTTTTGAACTGTATGCTCAAAATTATCTTTCTGCATGTCTTCAGAATATATCAAGCTCCATATAATGCTACTTTAAATCCCACTTCTTGCCCTTCTTAAATGTAGATTTTGTTGTTATAGTCACTCAACGTTTCCCTCCATTTCCTAACACAATACTACCTTTTCTTCTTTTTTTCTCCATTGCTTTTCTACTCTATCAAGGCGTAACATTTGTCTGATTATTCTCTCTTGGTTTTCTAAGTTTTATCCTAATTGTAACATTAAATTGCAAAGAAAATAATGTTTTCTACTCTATCTTAAAATATATGGCTAATACGCATTAATAATTAATGTAAATGTATTACTTCTCTAGACCGTTCTTAGGAATGTCTCAGAAGCTGTTTGTTTATGTCAACATGAATATCATCTGAGATTTCAGAAGAAAGAGAATACATAATTTATACCTTTAGTTTTGAGTTAAATTAGTATCATGTTCACACCCCGTAAACAATTAATTCTCTAAGGAGTAGGCTCTCTCATTGAAATGGTAGGTTAGAAATAAACCACATACAGGAATCTGTAAAATAATTCTGTTTGTTATTTTTATTATATCTAAATCTTCAAATAGTTTTCTTTTAATTAAAAAAATTTGGTTATTCTAGAAAAATACTTTTTTTCCATCCAGTTAAATCAAAATAAAACTATATAATAAGTATGTAGTTTGTGATTCTATTCTCTTTAATCAGAATGATGCTACTGCTTTCTTTTTAAAAAGTCAAGCAGCCAGGCAAGAAAAACCAGAAACCACATTGTCAACTTTACTGTCTAATGTGAAGGACCTCAGGAATTAGGAATTACTCTAATTGTATCCAGAGGTTAAATATATCTCATCAAATACTCTACTGTGGCTGCTTCTGTGAAATGTATACATTTTAGGATCATTGCACTGCATCATATTGCATTATACACTCATTTCTTGAGAAGCAAAATGCACATTAAGATATTAAAATACCTGAGAAGACCTCTAGTAAGGAAATCTTGCTCATAATTCTACACCTTATTTTGCCTCCATAAATATGGAAAATATTGTGTGAGATAAATGTAAGAATTATGAGAGGATCTTGTCTAACGACACATGGACTGAATCAATAGCAGCCATTATTGAAAGTGTTACAGTAAAAGCATATATTAGGCAGGCTTAGTAGGTATTTTAAGAAGATTAATGATACATCTAATGAAAGAATACATCAGAAACCCAAAGAAGGTCAAAGATAAACTTCAGGTTAGACTTGTATGTTTAGTTACATGTTTAAAAAAGTGATCTCTCAATATTAATTTCCTTAAGGTCAGCTTAATTTCATCTGTTTCACGGAGTCATACTAATTTTCATGTTTCAAGTTTCTATATTTTTGACAAAGTTAACGAAAGGGTAGTGAGATGCATCATTAGTACAGTAGTGTTCCCTTATCCATGGTTTCATTTTCCCTTGTTTCAGTTACCTGCAGTCAACCTTGGTTCAAAAATATTGCAGTCTTTTGAGAGAGAAGGAAAATGGAGAACACATTCACACAACTTTAATGCAGCATATTCTTATAATTTTTCTGTTGGTTATTGTTAATTTCTAACTGTGCCTAATTTATAAGTTAAACTTTATCATAGATATTTATGTATAGCAAAAAGCAGTATATATACAGTTCAGTACTATCCTGGTTTCAGGCATTCACTGGGAATCTTGGAATATATATCCCACAGATAAGGGAAAACTACCATAGCTGCCCTCAGAAGAGTACTTTTACCAGATTTACTCACAGGACTTTCTCATTCAAAGAGAAAATTTAAAAGCGTATGCAAAGATGCAGCTTAGCAAAAAAAAAAAAAAAAAAAAAGAAAAAGTAAAACCAAGATTGACTTAACGGTCAAATTATATTAAAAATGAATGTAGAGAAAATATAACTTTGAGTTTGCAAAGTTTAAATAATAATTTCCAAGTTTGTAAGTAGAAATTTGGAAAGTCTTTTGGCAAAGTCATTGCTGGGCCTCTTTTCTTGAAGATTTACATTTTCAATAACACATAGGATACAGAAAAAGTGGGAGGATGTCATTTATCAGAAAGACAGAGAGCAGATGTATGGTGTATAGCCAGAAAAATTAGCTGGAGACACATTAACATTAAATATCTTAAAAGGAAGTACTCAACAAGAGCCTCAGAATTCAGTGTTTTGTATCCTATTAAAGTAATATTTTGTACTTTGCAGCAATTTTATACTTGGATTTCCAAATCTTTACAGGCAGAAGATGATCATTATCTTTATTCTATCTGTGTGAAATTGACTATGGCTAATTTGGGAAGAACCTTTAAAGTAATACCTATATAAATTCAAGTTGGAATGAAGCCAAAAACTGCAGAATTCAGCCTTGGATCTGTAAGACAAAAATACATTTATTTTAAGTCAACTCATGCCTTTCTTTGATCATGATGAACAATCAAACACCATAGAAGAATAATCTTTCAAAGATAAGAAGTGACCTGTTTTTATTCAAGGGATATTTTGTTTTCTCTATTCAGTTATGTTGAATTTTAAATATTCTAAAATTTTAAAGAAAATGCTATATGGCCATTCTTAGAAGAGATATATTTCATTATGATCAATATATTGTCCATGATTATTTTATATTGTATCAGTGCAGTCATCTGAATATAATCAATTTTCAACTGTCTTGTGAACAATAAAACCCCAGATGTTTCTCATTTTCTATTTAATACTGCATTATATAGAGCCTCTGAATTAGTCTTTTAAATGTCATATAAATTGTCTTTCCCTATATTGTTATAATTGAACCTCTAATGTCTAGAAAGTCCCATAAGTAGAGCATCAATTACAGTTATCAAACTAAGCCAGTTTGTCATTGTGGCTATAAATATGTGTGCCAGTCAATTTTTACTGGTCTGAATGTTGAAAGCAGAAGTTTAAGGAGATAGTTAGGAGATAATTAATCAAAAGATACAATTATCAAAATTCTTAATGGAAGCCACAATTGAATACTTCTTTTCACTCCTCAATCTGACTAAATTTTGAAGGATTGAAGGATGGGCCTGAATGATGTCAGAGAAGATCAGAAGGTAGATAGTAAGAGATATTGGTTAGAGGGCCATCTTCCAGAAAGAGATAATAGTATATTGGTGAAAATGGCTGTGGAGATAGTAAAAAATAAGCAAATTCAGGAAATACTTGGAAAGGAAAGGTGACAATTCTGACACCCTGGTGATCTTTTACAAAAAAAAAAAAAGAGAATACCTAATGATTATTGCTTAATGAAATAAAACATGCATGAATTCCTCCCTCCTGACCAGATGTCCTCCCTTTTCTGACTAAATAGAATCCTATTATTACCACCTTGATTTAGTTTTCTTCTCCTTCATGAAAAGCATGGATATTCTCTTGTTGAAAATTAGGCTAATTCTATCTTGATAATTAAATACTGCAAGGAGTGGATTGTTGGAAGAGGAAGTAAAGCTCAAAGTGGTAGGCAGAATTCCAACATAGCCCCCCAAGCTCTCTCCCCGTGATTTGTGTACCTTGAATAATCTCCTCCCATTGAGTGTGGAAGAACCTGGCCTAATTTAGTTATACCTTTTAAAAAGATAATTTAGAGGTCAGAGAAAAGAAGTCAGAGAGATTTGAAAAAAGAGACATTCTTCTGTTGGCCTCAAATAAACAATTTGCTGTGTTGAGAGAAAACCACAAATCTGCAACCTGAAGACAACCTCTATGAGCTGAATGCAGCTCCTAGCTAACAGTCAGCAAGAAAACAGGCACGTAAGTTTCACGACCACAGGAACAGGACTCTGCCAACCTCCAGGTAAGCTATGGATGAGAATGCAGCCGGGCTGTCACCTGGATTTCAGCTGTTTGAAATCCTGAGCAGAGTGCCCAGATATGCCATACCTGGACTTCTGAATTTTTTTTAAGCTATCAAGTTCATGGTAATTTCTTTCATGATAACAGAAAACTAAATAGATGGTAAGGGTGGGATGAAAAAAGAAGAAAGATGCAGTCTGTTGGAGAAATGTGGTGTCAAAAAGTCAAGGATTGCATTTGTATAGCATATATAAAAATAAAGTTTATGACCATAATAGCACAATTCTAAAAGTGGATATTATAAAACCTAGGGTAACCACCAAAAATTATTCCAATAACAAGCCTTAATAAGCCTATAATGGAGATAAAAGAAAAACAAATTTAAAGCTCAATTAATTCAAAGTATTGCCTGTAAAATGAAAAAAATACACAAGAACAGACATAAAAAAAGATGAGTGCTAGCAAGATGGTAGATTTTAACAGAACATCAATTATTACATTAAATGTAAATGCTCTTACATCAATTAGAAACTAGAGATTTTTCAGAATGGTTAAAGACACAAAGCCTAACTATATGCTGTCTACAAGAAATTCAATGAAACACAAAGATATAAGTAGGTTAAAAAACAAAGAATAGAAAAAGATTTACCATGAAAACAATAATCAAAAGAAACCTAACATAGCTATATTAAGTACATTTCAGAAAAAGAAACATTACCAGAGATGAATAGGGGAATACATAATGATAAAGAAATCAATTATCCAAGAAGATATGACAATCTTAAATGTGTACACATGAAAACAAGAGACCTTTAAAATACATCCTAAAATTCATAGAAATAAAAGGAGAAATCAAAATATATTTGGAAAGTTTGGGCACGCATTTCTCAATAATTAATATAAAATATTGACTGAATATCAGTAAAGATACAGAACACTGAAGAAACGCCTCCAAGTTGACCTGTTCACAGAGGCATGCATGTGTAGGTTTTCTGTAATTCCTACTGAGCTGATATTTTTATCAGTAAAAAAATCTCAGTTTCTATATATGTTACATAGTCAACATTTTCTTCTATAAATACTTTGCATGCTGCATTTGTTCCTCATCCTTTTGCTTTCAACATATCTATGTCTTTATATTTGATCTACATATATTGTAGGTATCATATAGTTTATTCTCTTAATGTTTTATAAATGTGTTTGCCTTAAACTTGAATTTTTATTCAATTATTATTTCATGCAAATATATATATTTTCATGGCTATTTTTACTGTTTATCCCATCTATTTTTGTTCTCTTGTTCCTGTTTCCTCCTCTCATTTGGGGCAAACATTTTAGGCATTTTGCTTTAATTTACTTGTTACCTTATAATTGTGAAGAGTTTCTTTTTTGTGTTTTTAGTGGTTGCACTAGAAATGAATATGTGCATCCTTAAATTAATGCAGTCGACCTGGTTTTATTGTGGCACTCGGTGTAAAATATGAGAAACTTATAAAAGCATATTTATATTTTTTCCCACACTATTTGTAATATACTTGTGGTCACACGTTTTACTTCTACCTGTTATAGACTTCATAGCATACAATTATGTATTTATTTATTTTGCTTTGAGCAGATTCTTTTTTAAAAAATAAGAGAAAAAATTAATATATACACATATATTTTCAATTCCTGGGGACTTCTTATTCCTTCCTAGAGATCTAGTTTTCCATTTGGTATTATATTCCTTTGGTGTGATTATGTTGATGCACTTTTTGTAGTGTAACTCTTTTGACAATCCTTTCAGCATTTATTTTATAATGTCTTCAGCATCATTTTTGAAGGATATTTTATTCTGATTACAATATTCTACCTGATAATTTAATTATTTTCAGCATTAAAAATTGTTTTTAAACATCATTTGACTTTGATGTCTTTTGTTTCTGAGAAGTTAAATGGCTTTGTATAATTTTTCTTCTGTGTGTAATGGGTTTTATCCTCCTGTTTTGTTTTGGTTTTTAGAAATGTACTTTATCATTGTTTTTTAGCAGGTTAGCCATGATGTGCTTCGTGTGATTTTCCTTTTATTCATCTATTTAGAGATGAATTGCTAGCATCAAGATGATTGCTAGCATCTTGGATCTGTAGGATAATGTTTTCAGCAAATATTGGAAAATTTTAAGCCATTATTCTTTCTAATACTTTTTTTCTACCCCGCTGTTTCTCTTTCTCTCTCTTCTTTCCTTCTGAGTCAAATTACATGTAAGTTATTGTGATTATTATTGTCCTACTTGTTTCTAAGGCTCTGCTCATTGTTTTCAATTTTTTTAATGTATTCATCAGATTGGGTATATTTTACTGTTATTTCTTGAAGTTTATTAGTACTTCCTTCTGTAGTGTCCAATATATTGCTATTGAGCCTTTTTCCTAATTCAGGTAATATATTTTCAGATATATATATATATGATATTTATATACCACATACATTTCGAAAACGGTCTTGGTTAAGAAAAATTGAGTGATTAATAAAATAAATATATCATATATATATGATATCATATATATGTATACTTTAAGTACTGGGATACATGTGCAGAATGTGCAGGTTTATTACATAGGTACACATGTGCCATGGTGGTTTGCTGCACCCATCAACCTGCCATTTACATTAGGTATTTCTCTTAAGGCTCTCCCTCCCCTTGCCCCCCACCCCCCAACAGGCCCCAGTGTGTGATAGTCCCTTCCCTGTGCCCATATGTTCTCATTGTTCAACTCCCACTTATGAGTGAGAACATGCAGTGTTTGGTTTTCTGTTCCTGTATTAGTTTGCTGAGAATGATGGTTTCCAGCTTCAACCATGTCCCTGCAAAGGACATGAACTCATTCTTTTTTATGGCTGCATAGTATTCCATGGTGTTTATGTGCAACATTTTCTTTACCCAATCTATCATTGATGGGCATTTGGGTTGGTTCCAAGTCTTTGCTATTGTGAATAGTGCTGCAGTGAACATATATGTGCATGTGTCTTTACAGTAGAATGATTTATAATCCTTTGGGTATATACCCAGTAATGGGATTGCTGGGTTAAATGATATTTCTGGTTCTAGATCCTTGAGGAACCAACACATTGTCTTCCACAATGGTTGAACTAATTTACACTCCCACCAACACAGTAAAAGCCTTCCTATTTATCCACATCATCTCCAGCATCTGTTGTTTCCTGACTTTTTAATGATTGACATTCTAACTGGCATGAGATGGCATCTCATTGTGGCTTTGATTTGCATTTCTCTAATGGCCAGTGATGTTGAGCTTTTTTTCATATGTTTGTTGCCTGCATAAGTGTCTTCTTTTGAAAAGTACCTGTTCATATCCTTTGCCCACTTTTTTATGGGGTTGTTTTCTTTTCTTGTAAATTTGTTTAAGTTCCTTGTAGATTCTGGATATTAGCCCTTTGTCAGATGGATAGATTGCAAATATTTTCTCCCATTCTGTAGGTTGCCTGTTCACTCTGATGATAGTTTCTTTTGCTGTGCAGAAGCTCTTTAGTTTAATTAGATCCCATTTGTCAGTTTTGGCTTTTGTTGCAACTGCTTTTGGTGTTTTAGACATGAAGTCCTTGCCCATGCCTAGGTCCTGAATAGTATTGCCTGGGTTTTCTTCTAGTGTTTTTATGGTTTTAGGTCTTACATTTAAGTCTTTAATCCATCTTGATTTAATTTTTGTATAAGATGTAATGAAGGGGTCCGGTTTCAGTTTTCTGCACATTGATAGCCAGTTTTCCAAACATCATTTATTAAATAGGGAATCCTTTCCCCATTGCTTGTTTTTGTCAAGTTTGTCAAAGACTAGATGGTTGTAGATTTGTGATGTTATTTCAGAGGCCTCTGTTCTGTTCCATTGGTCTATATATCTGTGTTGGTACCAGTACCATGCTGTTTTGGTTACTGTAGCCTTGTAGTATTGTTTGAAGTCAGGTAGCATGATGCCTCCAGCTTTGTTCTTTTTGCTTAGGATTGTCTTGGCTATATGGGCTATTTTTTTGATTCGATATGAAATTTAAAGTAGTTTTTTTCTAATTCTGTGAAGAAAGTCAATGGTAACTTGATGGGAATAGCATTGAATCTATAAATTACTTTGGGCAGTATGAACATTTTCACGATATTGGTTCTTCTTATCCATGAGCATGGAATATTTTTCCATTTGTTTGTGTCCTTTCGTATTTCCTTGAGCAGTAGTTTGTAGTTCTCCTTGAAGAAGTCTTTCACATCCCTTGTAAGTTGTATTCCTAGGAATTTTATTCTTTTTGTAGCAATTATGAATGGGAGTTCAATCATGATTTGGCTCTCTGTTTGCCTCTTATTGGTGTATAGGAATGCTTGTGATTTTTGCACATTGATTCTGTATCCTGAGACTTTGCTAAATTTGCTTATCAGCTTAAGGAGTTTTTGGGCTGAGACAATGGGGTTTTCTAAAAATACAATTGTGTCATCTGCAAAAAGAGACAATTTGACTTCTTCTCTTCCTATTTGAATACGCTTTATTTATTTCTCTTGCCTGACTGGCCTGGCCAGAGCTTCCAATACTATGTTGAATAGGAGTGGTGAGAGAGGGTATCCTTGTCTTGTGCCAGTTTTCAAAGGGAATGCTTCCAGCTTTTGCCCATTCAGTATGATATTGGCTGTGGATTTGTCATAAATAGCTCTTATTATTTCTAGATGTGTTTCATCAATGCCTTGTTTATTCAGAGTTTTTAGCATGAAAGGCTGTTGAATTTCATTGAAGGCATTTTCTGCAGCTACTGAGATAATCATGCGCATTTTGTTATTGGTTCTGTTTATGTGATGGGTTATGTTAATTGTTTTGCGTATGTTAAACCAGCCTTGCATCCCAGGGATGAAGCTGACTTGATTGTGATGGATAAGCTTTTTGATGTGCTGCTGAATTCAGTTTGCCAGTATCTTATTGTGGGTTTCTGCATCAATGTTCATCAGGGATATTGGCCTGAAATTTTCTTTTTTTTTTTTTGTGGTGTCTCTGCCAGGTTTTGGTATAAAGATGATGCTAGCTTCATAAAATGAATTAGGGAGGAGTCTCTCTTTTTCTGTCGTTTGGAATAGTTTCAGAAGGATGGTACCAGCTCCTATTTGTACATCTGGTAGAATTCAGCTGTGAATCCTTCTGGTCCTGGGCTTTTTTTGGTTGGTAGGCTATTAACTAGTGCCTCGATTTCAGAACTTGTATTGGTCTATTCAGGGATTCGACTTCTTTCTGGTTTAGACTTGGGAGGCTGTATGTGTCCAGGAATTCATCCATTTCTTCTAGATTTTCTAATGTATTTGCATAGAGATGTTCATAGTATTCTCTGATGGTGGTTTGTATTTCTGTGGGACCAGTGGTAATATCCTCTTTATCAGTTTTTATTGTGTCTATTTGATTCTTCTCTCTTTTCTTCTTTATTAGTTTAGCTAGTGGTCTATTTTTTTAATCTTTTCAAAAAACCAGCTCCTGGATTCATTGATTTTTTGAAGGGTTTTTCGTGTCTCTATCTCCTTCAGTTCTGCTCCATTATTTCTCATCTTCTGTTAGCTTTTGAATTTGTTTGCTCTTGCTTCTCTAGTTCTTTTAATTGTGATGTTAGGGTGTTGATTTTAGATCTTTCTGTCTTTCTCATGGGCATTTAGTGCTATAAATTTCTCTCCAAACTCTGCTTTACCTGTGTCCCATATATTCTGGTATGTTGTGTCTTTGTTCTCATTGGTTTCAAAGAACTTATTTATTTCTACCTTAATTTTGTTATTTACCCAGTAGTCATTCAGGAGCAGGTTGTTCAGTTTCCATATTGTTGTGCAGTTTTGAGTGAATTTCTTAATCCTGAGTTCTAATTTCATTGCACTGTGGTCTGAGAGACTGGTTGTTATGATTTCTGTTCTTTTGCATTTGCTGAAGAGTGTTTTACTTCCAATTATGTGGTCAATTTTAGAATAAGTGCTAGTGGTGCTGAGAAGAATGTATATTCTGTTGACTTGGGGTGGACAGTTCTGTAGATGTCTATTAGGTCTGCTTGGTCCAGAGCTGAGTTCAAGTCCTGAATGTACATATTGATTTTCTGTCTCATTGATCTGTCTAATATTGACAGTGGGATGTTAAAGTCTCCCATTATTATTGGGTGGGAGTCTAAGTCTCTTTGTAGGTCTCTAAGAACTTGCTTTATAAATCTGAGTACTCCTGTATTGTGTGCATATATATTTAGGATAGTTACCTGTTCTTGTCGCATTGATCCCTTTACCATTATGTAATGCCCTTCGTTGTCTTTTCTGATCTTTGTTGGTTTAAAGTCTGTTTTATCAGTGACTTGGATTGTAACCTCTGCTTTTTTTTTTTTTTGCTTTCCATTTGCTTGGTAAATATTCCTCCATCCCTTTATTTTGAGCCTATGTGTGTCTTTGCATTGAGATGGATCTCATGAATACAGCACACCGATGGGTCTTGACTCTTTATCCAATTTGCAAGTCTATGTCTTTTAATTGGGGCATTTAGCCCATTTACATTTCAGGTTAATAGTGTTATGTGTGAATTTGATCCTGTCAGTAAAATGCTAGCTGGTTATTTTGCCCATTAGTTGATGCAGTTTCTTCATAGTGTTGATGGTCTTTATATTTTGGTATGTTTTTGCAATTGCTGCTACCGGTTTTTCCATTCCATATTTAGTGCTTCCTTTTTTTTTTAGATGGAGTCTTGCTCTGTCACCAGGCTGTAGTCCTGTGGTATGATCTCAACTCACTGCAACCTCTGCCTCCTGGGTTCAAGTGATTCTCTTGCCTCAGCCTCCCGAGTACCTGGGACTACAGGCATGCACACCACACTCAACTAACTTTTGTATTTTCAGTAGAGATGGGGTTTCATCATGTTGGCCAGGATGGTCTCGATATTTTGACCTCGTGATGCACCTGACTTGACCTCCCAAAGTGCTGGGATTACAGGCATGAGCCACCATGCTTCCTTTGGGAGCTCTTGTAAGGCAGGTGTGGTGGTAACAAAATCCCTCAGCATTTGCTTCTCTGTAAAGGATTTTATTTCTCCTTCACTTATGAAGCTCAGTTTGGCTGGATATGAAATTCTGGGTTGAAAATTCTTTTCTTTAAGAATGTTGAATATTGGCCCTGACTCTCTTCTGACTTGTTGGGTTTCTGCCAAGAGATCACCTGTTAGTGTGATGGGCTTCCCTTTGTGGATAACCCAACCTTTCTCTCTGGCTGCCCTTAACATTTTTTTCTTCATTTAAACCTTGGTGAATCTGATGATTATGTGTCTTGGTGTTGCTCTTCTTGAGGAGTACCTTTGTGGTGTTCTCTGTGTTTCCTGAATTTGAATGTTGGCCTATCTTCTAGGTTGGGGAAATTCTCCTGGATAATTTCCCGAAGTGTGTTTTAAAACTTGGTTCCATTTCCCCTGTCACTTTCAGGTACACCAATCAAACGTAGGTTTGGTCTTTTCACATAGTATCATATTTCTTGGAGGCTTTGTTCATTCCTTTTCATTCCTTTTTCTCTAATATTGTGTTCATGCTTTATTTCATTAAGTTGATCTTCAATCTCTGATATCCTTTCTTTTGCTTGATCGATTCAGCTATTGTTTCTAGTGTATGCTTCACAAAGTTCTTGTGCCGTGTTTTTCAGCTCCATCAGGTCATTGATATTCTTTTCTAAACTGGTTATTCTAGTTAGCAGTTCCTGCAACCTTTTATGAAGGTACTTAGCTTCCTTGAATTGGGTTAGAACATGCTCCTTTAGCTCAGAAGAGTTTGTTATTACCTACCTTTTGAAGCCTACTTCTGTCAACTTGTCAAACTCATTCTCTGTCCAGTTTTGTTCCATTGCTGGCTAGGAGTTGTGATCCTTTGGAGGAGAAAAGGCATTCTGGTTTTTGGAATTTTTAGCCTTTTTTGTGCTGGTTTTTCGTCATCTTCATGATTTATCTACCTTTGGTCTTTGATGTTGGTGACCTTCAGATGAGGTTTTTGAGTGGGCGTCCTTTTTGTTGCTGGGTGATGTTGATGCTATTGCTTTCTGTTTCTTAGTTTTCCTTCTAACAGTCAGGTCCCTTCTCTGCAGGTCTGCTGGAGTTTGCTGGGGGTCCACTCCAGACCCTGTTTGCTTGGGTATCACCAGCAGAAGCTGCAGAACAGCAAAGATTGCTGCCTGCTCCTTCCTCTGGAAGCTTGGTCCCAGAGGGGCACTGGCCAGATGCCAGCAGGAGCTCTCCTGTATGAGGTGTCTGTCGACCCCTGCTGGGAGGTGTCTCTCAGTCAGGAGCCATGGGGGTCAGGGACCCACTTAAGGAGGCAATCTGTCCCTTACCATAGCTCGAGCACTGTGCTGGGAGATCCACTGCTCTCTTCAGAGCCGGCGTGCAGGAAACTTTAAATCTGCTGAAGCTGCACCTACACCTGCCCCTTCCCCCAGGTGCTCTGTCCCCAGGAGATGGGAGTTTTATCTATAAGCCCCTGACTAGGGCTGCTGCCTTTCTTTCAGAGATGCCCTGCCCAAAGAGGAGAAATCTAGAGAGGCAATCTGGCTACAGTGGCTTTGCTGTGCTGCAGTGGGTTCCACAACCAGTTCAAACTTCCTGGCAGCTTTGTTTACACTGTGAGGGGAAAATCACCTACTGAAGCCTAAGTATTGGTGGATGCCCCTCTACCCACCAAGCTTGAGCATACCAGGTTGACTTCAGACTGCTGTGCTGGCAGTGAGAGTTTCAAGCCAGTGGATCTTAGCTTGTTGGGCTTCATGGGAGTGAGATCCGCTGAGCAATACCACTCGGCTCCCTGGTTTCAGCCCCCTTTCCGGAAGAGTGAACGGTTCTGTCTCGCTGGCTTTCTAGGTGCCACTAGGGTACAAACAAAACAAAACAAAACAAAAAAAACTCCTTCAGTTAGCTCAGTGTCTGCCCAAATGGATGTCCAGTTTTGTGCTTGAAACCCAGGGCCGAGGTGGTGTAGGCACCAGAGGGAATCTCTGGTCTGTGGGTTGTGAAGACCATGGGAAAAGCATAGTATCTGGGCCAGATACTGTGCCTCACAGCACAGTCCCTCATGGCTTCCCTTGACTAGGGGAGGGAGTTCCCCGAGCCCCTGTGCTTCCTCACCCTGCTTCAGCTTGCCCTCTGCCATCCGTGGGCTGCACCCACTGTCTAACCAGTCCCAGTGAGATGAACCGGGTACCTCAGTTGGAAATGCAGAAGTCACCCACCTACTCCATTGGTCTCGCTGGAAACTGCAGACCGGAGTGGTTCCTATTCGGCCATCTTGCTCAAAACTCCAAGTCAAGGGTTTTCTAACCTTGTCTCGTTCTCCACTCCAGCTTGTCTTGTTCCTTTAAGTGCAGGAAGGGACTCTGGAATTTTCTTAACTGACCAAGAATGTCTCTTTCCAGAAGAAATGCAATTGTCTTTTTTTGTTGTTGTTGTTAGACAAGGTCTTACCCTGTTAGTTTGTCACTCAGAATTTAGTGCACACTTTTTAATTCTATAAGTTTCATTTGGTTTTGTACATGGTTTATATTTCTGTGCTAAGATTCCCTACTTTACTACTTATGTCTATTTTTAAAACTTTACTAAAATATTTCTAGTAGAGATTTTGAAGTTTATATCTGATTATTTCAACATCTTTGTCATCTTGGAATCTGTTTCTATTTACTGCTTTTTTGATTCATTGTGTGTAACATATTCTAGTTTCTTCTCATATCTAGTAATGTTGATTGAATGATGGACAATGAGGATTATATTAATTATTGTGTTTAATTATGTTCTCTTCCCATTATGTTTTCATAGACAATCATATTACTTGATGATCCTGCTAATGCTCTCATCCTTGACTTTATATTTCTGCTATTTTTTCTTAGGGAAGATCTGGCTCAGTTTTGGTTTTTAGTTGCAGTGTGTGTTCCATTCACCTAAAATGTTTCTGGAGACTTTATTTTATTTCTAGGGTGTCAAATGAATGCTATGCATGCTCATCAAGGTCTCTACCATCTGACTTGACTAAAACTGTAAAACCTCCCAACACTACACAACCTTCATCTTCTTTTGCGTCTCACGGAAGTTGATTTCTGCTAGGACTCATGAAAACTTCATTACACTTGTGCATATTTCTCTCAACCAAGAACTTGTAGAAAACCCCCACCCAGACTTCTGATGCCTCCTTTCTGCTCAGCTGTTATTCTCTGCAGCATCCTACTTCACAAACCCCAGTCACCTTGTCAGTCCCAATCTCCAGTATTAGTCTAGCTCAGCAAAGCCATACACTCTGGTTGGCCTTCATTTCTCTGCACCAGTCTGAGAATGACTCTAGGCAGAAAGTTTAAACAAATATGGGGCTCTTTTTTATATTTTTCCCTCTCTCATGCATCGAAGTTCTGCACTATGTTTTCAATATCTGAAAATAGTTTTTTTACAGCTTTAGAAATTCATATTATAAAGGTGTATATTATATATACCTAATAGCAGGAAATCAAGCCACATTCCAGTTACTCCAACATGGTCAGAGGCTTCAGAAATTTCTAGGAATTCCAGGCTGGGAGCTGTGGCTCACGTCTGTAATCCCAGCAATTTTGGAGGCTGAGGTGGGCAGATTGCTTGAGGTCAGGATTTCGAGACCAACCTGACCAGCATGGTGAAACCCCGTCTCTACTAAAAATACAATAAATTAGAGAGACACTTTGGCACATGCCTGTAGTCCCAGCTACTCGGGAGTTTAAGGCAGGAGAATCTCTTGAACTCGGGAGGCAGAGGTTGCAGTGAGCCAAGATTGCACCACTGCACTCCAGCCTGGGTGACAGAGTGAGACTCAGTCCGAAAAAACAAATAAAAATTCTAGGAAATCCCAAAGATGCCACAGGAAAGAGTGGATGTGAGTGGACTTGCAGAAAGTTCTATACCTATAAATTGTAATGTGTTTGACTCTGCCTACAATTATGTATTATGGTAGCCTTCTACAGATGTTGAATTATTGGAGTGTTATAAAAGACAAGGGAGATGATATATTTAATTTTAAAATTCATTTAGTTCTCTAAAAAAGTTGTACTATTATTTTTTTTTTAAAAAAAAGACCTGCTCTTTAACAAGAGAAGGATTTTAACTGCACCCACTGAAATGCTTGGAAATGAAATCTGATTAACAGAAAAGGCTAGTTTTCATAATAACACAAAAAACTAAGGATAGGTGTCTTTTCAGTAGTGAACAGTCCTACTTATTATATCAGTGGTAAAACTGAAATGAAAAACTTCCAAATACAAGTTATTCTTAGAAAACTATTTCATGCAATGTACTTATTATTCAAAGTTTGTTTCAAGATATTTCTAGTATTAATTGAATTCTGATTCCATTACAGAAACCAAACTAACAAATAGCCCATTTCAGTAATTAGATAACAGCTTGATGAATGCTTCCTCAGTTTAACAGTTTTCCAGAATAGACATGTACTATAAGTGAAAAAAATTAAATGTGGATGGTTAAGACCATTTTACTGATTTTTGTTTGCTTTTAAAATTTAATTAGTCCATCATAAATGTTCTTCTATATGCCAAGCCTACTGACAAAAAATCAGTTAGCTGTCAAGTAGAGTTCATGTTACTGAAGCAATGTGAATTATTATTTTTGTATATGAGGAAAAAGTAACACAAATGGAAAAGAGCTGTCAGGCATAATTCAATTCATTATTGTTTAATGCAATATACAGAGATAGAAATCTTATAAAATATTAATCCCACTAAAAATAGAAGCACAGTTGTGAACATTTCTCTTAGTTCCTGATAGCACCAGGGGAGCCAACATAAAACTGTGTGATTGCCATAAAATTCTGGGTTATCCAATTTTCACCGTGTCTCAGGAAGGATTTAAGAATGGTCATATATTTGTGGGCAGTGATGTCAGATGTTTCTTTTTTATTATAATGCAAACAATATAATTAGTATGCGGTGTTTGAAAAGATCACATATTTGAAACCTTTAAGATATCATAAATCAATTACAAGATAAATTTCATAATCAGTCTTAAAGAATATCTGCTTTTTATGAGCTTGTTCTGATCTGGTCAACAAAGTAGTTGTTAATTCCATAATTTAATATTTTTCCCAAATAATTTCCCAAGTAAGGCAATGGATCTCCACTCTTACCAAGCAAAAGGTGAGCAGTACTAATAAAGCTATGAACTGAATAGTCTTCCACTCTTCTAATGCATTCTTAATCCTGAAGAACAAATCTATTTAAAGCACAATTTTACTTATTTTCCTACCTAACATCTGTTAATGGCTTCTGCATTTTTAAAAAAATAATTACAAAGAATAGTATCATGACATGTGAATAAGATTTAACGTGACTTGACCCTTGTCTGTTTCTCCAGGTTCACCCAAAACATCTCACTTTTCAACTGGATTTTGTGAATTTTTTTTTTTTTTTTTTGAGATGGAGTCTTGCTCTCTTGCCCATGCTGGAGTACAATGGTGTGATCTCGGCTCACTGCAACCTCAGCCGCCCAGGTTCAAGCAATTCTCCTGCCTCAGCCTCCCGAGTAGCTGGGATTACAGACACCCGCCACCACGCTCAGTTAATTTTTACATGTTTAGTAGAGACAAGCTTTCGCCATGTTGGCCGGGATGGTCTCAAACTCTTGACTGCAGGTGATCCATCGGCCTTGGCCTCCCAAAGTGCTGGAATTACAGCTGTGAGCCACCATGCCGAGCCCATTTTGTGAATTTTCATTACAAAATTTTTTCACATTATACTCCTCTGTCCTCAGAATCTGTGAACACTCCTCACCACCTGTCTGTCCACCACACCCACAAACTGTTTGGTTCTATTATGACTTGCTTACTCATTTTCATTCTCTAAACTTCAAAATTTCAAACCATCATTTACTTTCAGGGGTCGAAGGAATTGTCTAAACTCCTTCTGCTCTCCATGATAAAATAAATAACCTATTATTTTTTTCTTCCTCTCTGAATTTTTTTCAGCACTCTTATTTTAAAATCAAATATATAGCATAATTATTTGATTAACATACATCCCTCTCATTATAGTGGAAGCTCCATAGGGCCAAGAACTATGATTGTTTTGATTGATCTCTTTATAGAATGTATGGCAAGTAATAAGTGCTAATATTAGTTGGATAAATAAGTGAAAGTATTATACTAATTCATGAGCCACAGATTGGCAGTGACATAAAAGGGAATGTTTTTTGGCTAGCTATATCATCAGTAGAGTAAACACAAATATTTTCATCTGACCGTAAGGCAACCGATATCACACATATGGAGAATAGACATACTAATTTGCAAATCATTTGGTCTTGGTTTTATTCAGTTCATGAGTTCTTCACACATTTTTAGTTGTTTAATTCATGTAGAGCTATCTACTCAATAAGGATTGACTACCTTATCTGCAATAATAGGTGCCCTGCTATGTCTTTCTTCCACATATTTTGTGGATCCTACTCCTGTTTTTAGTACCATGTAGACATGTAATGAATAGTTGACTTATCACATTTAAACAGATTTCACATCCCTGTATTTCAATATAAAAAATGGTAAATACAACTGAGGAAAGTTATAAAAATATACAAGCTGATTATCTGTTTCCTCATAGACAGAAAAATAGTTTATACTTTAAAATTGGACTTTAAATCTGTTGCTTTGGCACTTTGCAGACACATATATAAATAGTGCCTTGAACATCCCCTTTGCAGTGGCTCTTCTGAAGGTGGTGAGGGAGAGGAGAAGATGGGCAAGGAGCATCATTTTCAGGCTACTACTTAATAATTTCTGATTTGATTTATGGTTATTTGTTGGGGAGAAGTAATTCATGACAATCAGCAACCAGGCTTCAGAGGAATGTATGGAGGTCTGTTTTGAAGGAGTGTGTGATGAGAAAATGGTAGGCATATGATGATAAGTAAAATTGAGTCTCTGCCTAAGGAAACAATTTTAATGTTGAACTATACATTTTGTGCTGGCACAGATGCCTAAGAAGAACATAGAAACTAAAACTAAAATCATATTACATGTACAGAAAATCAGAGAATTAAATTAATTTTAATTAAACCATTTCCATTTTTTTCTTTATTCTATAATCTATCAGATCAGTTTCCATATGGGTTTAGAAATTATAACAACTGCAATAATTAAATATTCTACATTTTACATAATAAGAATCCTACTTAAAAGTTCATGATATTCAAAGTGGCATTTCTGTCAGAGTAATTTTCTCTCAAAAAGCAGAAAGATTATTGTGAGGAACATTTCGCTTGGTTGAAAATGAGAAAATTAAAAGTGCAATTATCTTTCCTTACTTTCAAATTAAACTACCATAGGTATAAAATTGTCAATTAGACAAATAACTATAGGTTACGAATTACATTTTGGAGCCCACAAAATACCTAGTGTCATTAAATTGGATTCAATTTATTGCCATAAGTTAAACAGTAGGTTTTTTCTTTTGTCAGACAAGATTATTTTCTTTACCCAAACATACTTAGAGCAAAATATTTATTTTTCCAATTCTACGTTTATGTCTTATATAGTAACTAATTTTTTACTATCATATAGTACCAGGATAATAAAATATGTGAAGTGGGAAATGTTTGTCTGTGTCTTCAATTCTCTATCTCAAATCCCCTCATGGTATCTAGGCTTGAATTTTAATCATTCAGTTCTCAAACAGTTTCTTCTCTCTCTCCTCACAACAAACTTACTCCAAGAGAACAATTTTCTCTCAGTCATGTATTCTTTAATATATGTTTTCTTCTTTTTCCTCTCTCTCTCTCTCTCTCTCTCTCTCTGTCTTTCCTAGAAAGTAATTTACATGCAATATCTCAACTGTTTTTTGTTGGTTGAATATAAACCTAGTGGGCCAACAGTTCTTTAAAATTAAGCTGCTCTGTGAGCAACTTACTCTTAGTTAAAACTTTTAAAACTGTCTCTCAGCAAGCTGTACCCCAAAGTGTCTGGAAATACCCAGATGTGTAGGCACATTTTCCTGGGTTCTCAGTACCAAGTGCTATGGTGGTATGTGGGTGTGTGTGTCTGTGTGTGTGCATGTGTATGCAAATCTTTGTATACTCATGTGAATTAGACTTAGACTGGCAGCTTTCAGCCCAAGCTCTCTCTCCTTTTTGACACATATATAACCCGACATTTTCTTGCACACTGTCTTTTTTCATAATAAGAAATTTACACTTGAGGAAATACACAATGAGCTCATTCTTGCATTTTTAAATTTCCAGTCAATGATGGGCCCTTCAGTTTTTAAAAGAAGGAAACGCTTCTTTCTGTTTTCCCCTTTCTGGGCATTAATTAAAGTGAAATTTATCATACAAATGTGTGACTATTTGTACAATAAGAAAAATTGTGTTGAAAATACCACATTATTTGAGATAAGATATTAACACATTAAATATTAAGTTCATATTAAATATGAGGTTCTGTGAGGTGAATTTTTAGTCTTTGTTCTTTAATTTGGTTTCATTGTTTGCATAATGTTTCATGTTCTTTTCTCTCTTAAAAGAAATTACCTTGCATCTAAGTCTTTAACTGCAAAAAACGTATCTATTTTCTACGTTTGTGTATCCATTAGAAATATGTGCAATCTTACTTCAGACCTGGAAAGATATAGACTGTTAACTTTTCAAATGTTTGACTTAACTTGGCGTCTCCTATAGCAGCTAGCACAAAATCTCCTTTCAATAAATATTTAAGAATCAAAGTATTGAAAGATGAACCTTTTATAGGTGTGAAATATAGTGTTCATCTAGTAAATGAAACATATGTGAGCTAAGTGATAATAAACCAAAATTTATGACCATTTAGCTCTGAAATGTGATTTTACACTTAAATTAGTTAATTCAAAAGCCTGTAACAAGTGGCATTGATCACCCACTAAAGGATTAGCATGTGGTATTCAAAAAGGAATAAGACCTGAACTATGACCTAATGGATCTTCAACCTAATAACAGAAAAAAAGTTAATAAATTACTATTATAAAATTATATGCCACATAAAATCTAGAATAATGTAATATGGGTATTCAGGGGTGATAAAAGAATACCTTAAGTTGGCTTTGACACTTAAGAGATTAGAAGTATTTTCTCTTGATGATATTTCAGGTATATATTTTTTTAATATCCCTATTTTTTCCTGACTTTCAAAAATAAAAAAAGACATCTCATTATATTCAAGTTGAGATGAGCAGAAAACCGCAACATTTGGTAAAACACATCCATTATTCACAGTACAGAAACATTTCAACATAATAGCAAAACATTGTTTCAACATGTAATCAAGGTACATTATTAATGAGATATTATATATTCAATTTTTTATTAAGCCTTTGAAATCCAAAACTATGTATTTTACACTTACAGCACTCCTCAATTTGGTATGCTCAATAACTACATGTGGGTGATAGAAAATATTGGACAACATAGCACTATATAGAGTAAATATTTATTAATTTCTTTGTGTTTTCCAGAAGTCATAAATAACTAGAGTTTAAAATATGCTACAATCTTTTTGTTTTTGTTAATTTACAGTAATGACTAGTAATGTTTTCTGCTAGGCTCTTCAGCTACAAAACCTTTATGGCCTTTATGAATGTCCTAGGTACTTTTTAAACTGTTATATAAATACTTTGTTTTCATTTAGTCAATTATGATTTAAATTTTACTTCAATTTTTTAATACTCAAGTTTTTCCTTTGATTTCTTTTTTGGCCTAGAGTATTTAGATATGTGATTTTTAAATTTCCAACTATTTAAGGGTATTTTATTTATTTATTTTTAACTTTCAGTTTAAATCCATTGTGTTCTAGAAATTATACTTTCTATGATTTGAATCCATTTAAATTTATTGCGACTCTTTTAATGGCTTAGTATATATTCTGTCCTGTAGAGTAGTCCATGTGAAACTGTGAAAAATGTGTATTTGTAGTTTGGAGAATTCTATATATGTCAATTAGGTCAAGCTAATTGATAGTATTGTTCCAGTCTTCTACATCTTCTTGACTTATTGTCTAATTATCCTATCAATAATTGTGAGATGGTCAACCATTGTGGCTCACAGCTGTTGTCCTAGCTTCTCAGAGGTTGAAGAGGGAGGATCGTTTGATCCTAGGAGTTAGAGGTTACAGTGAGCTATGATTGTGCTGCTGCACTCTCCAGCCTAGGCTTAAAAGTGAAGTGAGACCCTGTCTCTAAATAATGATAATTGTCTCTAAATAATAATAATGCTATCATTATTATTCTGAGAATTGAAATCTCCAACTTCTATTGTGGGGTTGTCTATTTCTCTTTTCCATTCTGCAAGTTTTTGATTTATCTATTTTGAATCTCTCTTTTTAAGTGTGTATACTTTTATAACTTTTATATATACCTGATTTGTGACCACTTTATCATTATGGAATATCCCTCTTTGTCAATAGGAATATTTGTCTTAAGTCTATTTGGCTGATAGTAATATTAAAGTTACTCTTCCGTTTGAGATTTACATAGTTTACTTTTTACACTCAATCTATTTTGTTATTGAATTGAAGTCAGTTGTTTTACATAACAGCATATAGTTAAATCTTGGATTTTTATTCAGTTTAACAATCTATGCTTTTTAATTGAGGTGTCTAAGCCATTCACGTTAGTGTTATTATTTATATAAGTGGATTTATGTTTGCTATTTTGCTGTATGTTTTCTATATATCTCCTTTCTTGTCCTTCTGTTCTTATTTGACTACTCTTTTGTGATAAATAATTTTAAGAATATCATTATAATTCTTCTGTTATTCACTTTAACTGTATATTTTGGAGGTTTCTTTATTGGTTGATTGAGGGATAATAATAGACATTTTAACTAATCACAGACTACTTCAGATTAATACTACCTTAATTCTAGTTAAATATGGAAACCTGTCCAAATATAGGCCTGTTCCTTCCCTCTCCTTTTGGATATTATTGTCACATATACTAATCTTTATATGATATGCACCTAATAATACATTGTCACAATTATTCACATATGCTATCTTGTATTTTTAAAGTGTTAAGACAGTAAATGATTTAAAAATATTTGGCCAGGTGCTGTGGCTCACGCCTGTAATCCCAGCACTTTGGGAGGCTGAGACAGGCAGATCACCTGAGGTCAGGAGTTCGAAACCAGCCTGACCAACATGGTGAAACCCTGTCTTTACTAAAAATACAAAATTAGTTGGGCATGGTGGCACATGCCTGTAATCCCAGCTACTAGGGAGGCTGAGGCAGGAGAATCGCTCGAACTCTGGAGGCGGAGGTTGCAGTGAGCAGAGATCGCACCATTGCACTCCAGCCTGGGCAAGAAGAGTGAAACTCGATAAAAAAAAAATTAGAATATTTCATATTAACCCATATATTTACCATGTCTGGTGCCCATTCATATTCTCCTTTTGAAATTGAGTTACAATCTGAAGTCATTCTATTTCATTTTATAAGACTTCATTTAGTGTTTTGGGTAAGGTGGTCTATTAGTAATGAAATCTTTCAGTCTACATATGACAATGCCTTTATTTTACTTTCATGTTTAAAGAATGTAGATTTTTGTTGGATATTTTATAGATATACATATATATATGCACAAACATATAGATGTATGTATATATGTTCATTTGTCCTTGGTTCTCAGGTTTTGGGATTTTTTCCTTTTTTTCTTCCAGCACTTTAAGTATGCCTTCTGGCCTCTGTTTTACTTAGAGCAAAAGTTGGCTATTAATTTCACTGATGCTCTCCTGTGCTTAATGAGCCCATTTTCCTCTTGCTGCTTTTAAGATTTTGTATTTATCTTTGGTCTTCAACAGTTGACTATCATATGTCTATGTATGGTTCTTGGATGTGGAGATTGTTCTTATCAAATTTGGGAAGTCTTCAGTCATTATTTCTCCTGATTTTTTTCTCCCTTTCTCTACCTTCTCTCTTTATGTAATTCCCCTTACACATAAGTTGGTACATTTTATTGCTACTTCACAGGTCTCTGAGGCTGTCCTTATTTTTCTTCAATCCTTTTTATTTTGTTCTTCAGATTGTATAACTTCTATTTATTTGTCTTCAAGTTCACTGATTCTTTTTTTCCTGTCAATTCAAATTGAGACTCTCTCATGAATAATTTTTGTATTTATTATTGCTATATTATAGCTGTATATTTTGGGGGTATATGGAATTTTGATAAATGTAGACAATGTGTAATGATTAAATCAGGGTAACTAAATGTCCATCACCTCAAACGTTTATCTTTCTTTGAGTTGTGAACATTACAATTTTTCTGTTCTAGCTGAATTGAAGAATACAATAAATTATTGTTAACTACAATTCTATTAATATTAGCATACTTTTCAACTTGAGAAGTTCCATTTTCTTATTTTTCATAATTTTTGTCTTAATTGTTGTGTTTTTTCTTTAATTCTTTAAACTTGGTTTCTCTTAGTTTTTTAAATACATTTGTAGCAGCTGTTTAGAAATGTTCATCTATTGTCTATTAAATTCACAATATGAAGGACACTCAGAAATTGATTCCATGAACAATTTTTATCCTAGAGTATGGGTTACACTTTCCTGTTTCTTTGTCAACTGAATATTTTAGATAACATGTTGTAGCAACTGCGGATTTGATTTCCCCACTGATACCTCTTTTTTGTTGTTTTGTCTTTATTTCTTTGTCTAGTAACTTGTTAAACTAGATTTATGAAATTAATATTTCTTGAAGTGGGTTACTGCTGATATACTTGTTCAGATTTTTGGAAAAAAATATTTTTTGTTTTATTTTTAAACCTGGCTTCATATATGTCAACCCTCTGTGTTTTTAAATTAGTAGTCAGTTCGACAGTGATTTGTGGTCAACCATTATAAACTAGCAAGGCTTCTTTCTAAAAGATCTGTTAGGAAACACATTGAGAGTTCAGGCCACCTTTAAGTCGTCTTAGCTGTTACTTTCCATTGGGCCCTTTTGAATCTTGTATTCACATGTGTACAAGCCAGGATTGGCCAGGAATATGAGTCTGACTTAGGCTTTCTCCATTCTTGGTTGCACATATACACAGACTGAGACACGCATATGCTTTTCCCAGTCATGCAACTTTTGATGATTAGAGCTGTTGGCCCTTCTCACTTTCTGGCCTCAAAGTTGTCAATTCCAGCAACAATGGCACTGGGCATGGATGTAATACACCACTTCAATCAAGTGTGTCTACTTCCAAACAACAGAAAACTTAGTATTCCTATGGCCTTCTGAGTTCTTATAGAACCTCCACATCAGGGTAAAGAAAATGTGGTATATATACACCATGGAATACTACTCAGACAAAAAAAATGAAATAATGTATTTTTCAACTTGGAAGGGGCTGGAGGCCATTATTCTAAGTAAAGTAATTCAGGAATGTAAAACCAAATACGGTATGCTCTCACTTATAAGCAGGAACTAAGCTATAGGTACGCAAAAGCACACAGATTGGTATAATGAATACTGGAATCTCAGAAGCAGAGATGGTGGGAGGAGGATGAGAGATAAAAAACTGCATATTGGGTACAATGTACACTACTTGGGTGATGGGTACACTAAAATCTCCGACTTCACCACTACAAAATTTACCCATGTAACCAAAAACCATTGGTTTGGAAAGCTGATTTTTTAGGAATAATGTGAGCCCTAGAATGATGTTATGTTTTTCCAGAGACTACTTGCTTTTCTTCTCTCAGTTGCCCAGGTAGAATAGCACTCTGGATTAAAATGAGCTGAGGTTGCTTTGATATCTTGCTTGTAACCCAAGTGTACACCAAGGTTGGAGTGCTTTACCACTGTTTTCTCCTGCCCTCACTTCTTTGTTAGAACAAATCTTGTTGTCTTAAATCTTTGATGGAAGCAAGAGTGCTGCTCAGCCTCCGGGTCTCCTACCATTCATTCTTGGAAATCATCTAATTTTCAAGAGTAAAAAAGTGGCCCCAAACGTTGCACTGAAATCCATGACCTTTTTATGGAACAGTTGTTTTCAATTACTTAGTATCATTATTAAGCATTTTTTGTTTAATTTTAGTCATTTTCATTTTAAGCAGTATGTTTCTCTTTTTAATTCAATTTTCTTTTGTATGCTTGCTATTTAGGTTATTATTTGATTTGAGTGTTAGGCATCTAGTTTTTAATTCTACTAATAACTATCTGTGCACTTGTAGTGATTATAGTTAACATATATTTATCCAATGATGATGTCCAAGGAAAAAAAAAAAGGTGTTCTCCACCAGAATTATTATTATTATTATTATTGAGGTGGAGTCTGCTCTGTCACCCAGTCTGGAGTGCAGTGGTATGATCTCAGCTTACTGCAACCTCCACCTCCCAGGTTCAAGCAATTCTCCTGTTGCAGCCTCCCTTGTAGCTGGGACTACAGGCACATGCCACCATGCCTGGATAATTTTTATATTTTTAGTAGAGATGTGGTTTCACCATATTGGTCAGCCTGGTCTCAAACTCCTGACCTCAAATGATCCACCTGCCTCGGCCTCCCAAAGTGCTGGGATTACAGGTGTGAGCCACTGCGCCCAGCCTCACCTGGAATTATTTTAACTGCTCTTGAAATCTACCTATTTTCCACTGTCTAGAGGACTGCATTGTTTTAATCTGGACTTGTAGAAAATGTAATTACACTAACATTTTCAAAAATATTTCTTGGATTTTGCCTTTAAGTTTGCTTTCACATCTGTAACAGTTCTATTTTGCTTCATAAGTTTCACTGGTCTCGTTTCTTAGTAGTCCTTTGATACACTGATTTTCTTGTTTCAAAAGACTTAAACATGTAGATAAACATTCTATATGCAGACAAGTTTTCATCCATGCATGAAAGCAACAGTGAGATAATTTTACATATGCAATGATGCGAAGAAAAAAAAAGCACTCATGAGCTCCTCAATAATAAATATAGCTGTTAATATGCTTAACCAAACATATTGTATGTGGATGTATTCATTCATGTTATTTTTTTTTTCAATTCAGTGATGAGCTGTGAATATTTACATCTGTCATTAAATATTTTTCCAAATTATATTTTGATGACTATGTTGGATCAAGGTGCATAGACACATCACAATATATTTAACTATTAATTTATAAAGTAAGGCAAAGGAGTAGCTAAGCATGTTGGCTCCAGGGACCTGTTTACCTAGTGTTGAGTCCCAGCTCTGCAAGTTAGTAAAAATATGAGTTAGTGGGTAAGTAACAGATTCTCTGTTCTTTTTATAAGAATATCTACTTCATGGTGTTACAAGAACTAAATAAGTAAATATATGTAAAGTTCACAGAAAAGTGCCTGGCAACTAAGAAGTAATAATGTTAAGCTTTTCATTTCTCACTAAGCATATTGCTGCCCTTAGGCTATCAAATTAGAGTATCTCGTTCTTATAGTATCTAGCAGAAATTTCTTAAAATTTCTAGACCATTCATGAATGGCATTCTTCCTTAGTGCTTATGCTGATTTGATTCCTATTTTTTTAACATTATTTTGACCATTACAATGAAAAATGTTAAATGTGTGTGTGTTCATATCACCATCTCATCTGAAAGTCTGCCTTAGCCTAGCTTGCATTTAAGTAGTTCACCATTTTTTAAATGTCCTATCATTTTCCACTGTTATTTTTGGAATTCGATGAGATTTTTACTTTTAAATAGGTCATCAGTATATCTCCTTCATTAATAGGCATGTGCTTATTTTGAATCGTGACACAAATTGTAATCTTACATGCCAATTTTCACTGAGGCTTTTCTTTAGAAAATGTTAGTCTGGGGTAGAATGCAGTACATTGAACTAGGTTGAAGTGAAGAAATTTATCCACCCAGTTGCAAGTTGAACCCAGTTTCAGGCAAAATATTAACTGTGGTACCCTCAGTTCCTATTGAAATTATATTGCCTTTTTTTGAAAGCAAAATGAGGTTAGTAATATATAATGTACATTTTTAAAATAGAGAAATGAATTTCATGAAGAAGGAAAACATTAACTAGAAATCTTCCACTCAGATGAAACATGATCCTTGACATTTAAAATGTTTTTTTATCATATTATGTCATATTATTTTATTCATTCACCCTGTCTATAATTGTTTATCAGGCACGTACTAGATACCAGACCCTTTTCTTGGTATTAGGGACCTAAAAAAAAGTTAAATAAAATAATACCACTATGCTCATGAAGTTTACATTCTAATCGTGACCTCATGTCCAGATTTTCACAGGGGGGTTTTGCTTCCTTCTGTTTCATTCCCAGGTTCTGAATCTGGCTGACTCTCCAACTGACTCATTTTTGTTTGACCTGTTAGTATTCTTTTACAGCCATAATGTCTGTTTCCCCAGAGGCAATTTCTCTATGATTAAAAAAAGGTGACATATTTGGAGCTTGTCATTAGACTTTTTGGCATAACATATCCATATTTTTCTTTCTAGGGGGTTGAGCTAAAGTACCTGTAAAATTCTTATATGTAATAAAAGTTGGTTACTTGTTTGTTGAGTGGTATTGGATAAAATTGATCTTCCAACAATGCACAGCATAAAAAAAAACTGTAATGAGAATATTTGTGAAACCCAAGGTCGGCATTTCTCTATAACTATGTAGAGAGATAACATGTAAGATTTTGTTTGAATACAGATACATAGGATTTTATGGGATATTTTCATCATTTATGATAACAAGAGGAAAAATATTGAAGATCTGGGATGTTTTTGCAGTATAGATTTTCTGGTTAACATATATATATAAAATATATATATTCTAGTATATATCACATATATAAAATATATATATTCTAGTATATATAATATATATAAAATATACATAATAGTATATATAATATATATAAAATATATATATTCCAGTATATATTATATATAAAATATATATATTCTAGTATATATAATATATAAAATATATATTCTAGTATATATTATATATAAAATATATATATTCTAGTATATATAATATATATAAAAGATATATATTCTAGTATATATGATATATGTAAAATATATATATTCTAGTATATATGATATATGTAAAATATATATTCTAGTATATATGATATATGCAAAATATATGTTATAGTATATATGATATACGTAAAATATATATGTTATAGTATATATGATATATGTAAAATATATATGTTATAGTATATATGATATATGTAAAATATATGTTATAGTATATATGATATATGTAAAATATATATGTTATAGTATATATGATATATGTAAAATATATGTTATAGTATATATGATATATGTAAAATAGATATGTTATGTATATATGATATATGTAAAATAGATATGTTATGTTTACATGATATATGTAAAATATATATGTTATGTATATATAATATATATATTCTGGTATATATATAATATATATAATATATATTATATATATATTATACATTATATATATAATATATATAATATATATTATATATTATACATTATATATATAATATATATAATGTATATAAAATATATATAATATATATTTTATATATATTATACATTATATATATATAATATATATAATATATATTTTATATATATTATACATTATATATATATAATATATATAATATATATTTTATATATATATAAAACAAAACACAACATCCAGAAGATTCAAGATTAAAATGAAATGTCAAGTCAGGGGACAGGCGTGAATCTGGATGTATCTATAAACTTGCATGTAATAGATTAATCATTAAAGTTAGAATATCGTCATGGATAACCTCTGTCCCCAAAAGAACTACTACTTACTATGCCATTTTGCTATTCTGCAAGTAATTTCACTCACTGTAGCCGGCATATCTAGGCACAGAATTATCAGAAAAATATCCTGATTGGAAGTGAAAGTGCAAGCATCTTAAGATGTGATATATTAAAATGAAAATTTTCTCTTTCAAGAGAAAGGTGAAAGAGATTATACAATTAATATAGTTGTAGGTTTCAGTGAAATCCTGGAATGAAGCTGAAAAGTGATGACAAATAAGGCAAGTAATCCAGGTTTTTATCCTGGGTCTGGCACAACTAGACATACAATCCTAATAAGTCACCTAACATTTCATTTCAAGACTTCATGGTTTTACTTATTAAAGAGAATTGTGATTAGACAACCTATGTGGCCACTTCTTCTGCCTCTAAAACTCTAAAAACAGTCTTTCTCATCTTCTCAAATTGTCTTCCAGTAGACACAATGTAAGTATTCCAGATTTAACTTTTAAAATTATCTTTTTGCACAAAAAGTAACTGTGTGAGATAATAGATATATTAGTCTGCTTTACCATAGTAACAGTTTTACTATTTATATGTATCAACCTAATATTATGTCATAAACCTCAAACATACACAGTAAAATTTATTTTTAAAAACAAGATACTAGATACCTAATGAATTGATATATTGTAGAAGATAGCATTTAACAGAAGAGATTTTAATAGAACTCTGATATCTGCCAATTTGAGCCATGTATAGTCTGTATTTCACAATCTATATACTTGAAAAATTTTCTGAATGAATATGGGCCATGGTATTTTTTGGCACACAAAATAATTATACTGATTGAAATATTCATCAAATTATAATGGTAAGAAACTCATTAAATGCAAATATCCAAATGTATATACTCAAAGCCCCTAGGCCACAAGATTATGCCCTTATTACCCTTTTCCTCTCTAGATCCCCTTCCTCCTTAAGTGATAACATTAAGTCACATACCTGGAATTATTATTTATTCACCAATAATCTGAACTTTGACTTTTCCCTAAATTGTATAAAATCAAAAAACATTTCTCAGAAGAAATAGTATGGAGCTAAGTCTTCAAAAATTAGTAGAGGTTAACCAAAGAAGAGAGGGACTCTGAAGCAGAAGAATCAGAATTTGCAAAGGCATAGAAAAAAACTCAATTATTAAAACTAAATTTAAGAAATCGATGTTGTATGGGGTTTTCCCAAAAACTAAATACAAGTTATGGAAAAAATTAAACACTGAATGAAAGTTTTTGTAAAATGCAAGTTTAGATTACCAGCTCATTTGTAAAACATATAGATTTAAAATTGTCGTGATTTAATTAAAATGATTTCGTACTTCCTGAGTATATTTTCTTAAATGTGTACAAATTCTGCGCAGAAATACACTTTTAATATCATCCTTAAATAAATCTTAGTCATCATTCCTGATCATACTATAGATGCTGCTCTTACTGGCTTGAATTCAAACACGTATGATTAGTCAATATAACCAATTCATTGCCAGCCCTAATGTTCATTAACTTAATCTCATTTTTTTGCAATGAAAAACACCACCTACTCTGCTGCCAGGAAACTGACTCAATCTCATTTATATCATGCATTCCTTTTAATTGGCCTTCTCTCTCTAGATAGATGCCTGTGACCCAAGCAGTAAATGCCCTGAGACTACTCCTTCAGGTCATAACCCTTTGATAACTTATTTCTTGAAGCAATGTATCCCAGCACAACAAGGTTTATTGCTTAAGCACATGTACACCTATATGTTTATTCACTTGGTTCTACCCAGGGAATCAGATTTTACTACTTTTCTGCTCAAAGCACACCTACGACTTTTTATCACACCTAAAACCACATACATATTATTTCCCTGGCTCTTAAAACCCAAGTGGCTACTAGGTGCATCTGATCCTTTACCACAACCCTGCTGGCTTTCTTGAAGTTCTTCAAATACACTGCAGCCCAGGGCCTTTTCACTTTCTACTTTCTCTGCCTGGATGCTCTTTTCTCAGATATTCATTGGATCCATTCTCTTACTTCATTTAAACCTCAACTTCAATGTTAGTTCCTCAGAACTAACCTTTGCTAACCACACTATTTGAAATAGACAGTGAGTCTCTTTCCAGTCTTTCTGAGTCTCTTCCAGAGGCTCCTTCTGAGTCTTTTTGCAGTCTTATTTGCTCTGCTCCATTTTTCTTAGAATTTGTCACAATCTAATATTGTGTTTGATCCTTTGTTTATTGCCTCTAATCCTCACTGAAATATAATACACTCTATAAAGGAAGACACTGATTTCTTCAATAGTCTAGCCTCAGTGCTTAAAACTATGCTTTGTATGAATACACAGTAAGAATTCAATAAATATTTGCTGAATGAATATTTGAATTTAATGACCTTCAACAGGAAACAATATTCTGAGTGAAGTAGCATAGCAATTAAGAGAATTTTACTAAAGAGAGGTTAAGAATGAGTGGGAAAGGATAATGACTGAACAGGACCTCTTAAAATTAAGGAGTCAGGCTGATGAAAGTAACGACAAAATATTCATGAAAAAGCCATGAATCAGGCTGACTACACACTTTAGCTTTCAATCATCAGAGGAAGCATATCTGCTCTGTTTAGTTAATTCCTTTACCCAATGATCTTATAGACATATTCCATTCTTTCATTTTATTTCAATTTATCTGTATTATATTTAATTAATATTTATTTCATAATTATATTTATTTCATTTATTTCAATTTATCCATATTATATTTGGACTCCAAATTTGGTTCATGAAACAATATATATGCATCATTATATATGCGATGATTAGTGTAATATGCTTTCAATTTTAAAATCCTATTGAGAAAGACATCTGAAAATGTTTTTTAATGAAAAATAATGAACCATATATATATATACACATTTTAGGTATTTTATTTATATTTTAATAGCATAGTATATTCTTCATCATAATGTTTCTATTCTTTTAAATGTAAGTATTTTGTTTTGTAAAATTTAGATTGTGTCATTTGCAGAATTCTTTAAATGTGTTAAAAATTAGCAAATTGCACATTTATTAAGAGTGAATTTTGTGTGATACCTTGATACCTTTATAAATCACTTTGAAAAATTAATACTCATGCTTGGTATTAGATCATTACATCAGAATTCTGAGGTCATTTTCTTCTTGAATCTTGCACATGGTTTGACTGTTTGCACAGACACACACAGAAATACAGATTAAATTTCTCAAAAATGTCAGTTAAAACAAATTTTTACTATTTCCCTAAATAGTGTGAATTGTGCCAGAAATTGAGTGGTTTGTTTATTAACTTATGGTTTCCTCTGGATGGCTGTACTGTAGCTACTATGACCTGATTTCTAAAAGAGAAAACTTTAAACTAGTTCAACTAAAGCCTTACTTTCTTCAACTGATATTCTCTCCAAACTGCCTTTCTCTGCTTATACACCAGTGAGCTGCTTGTCCTGATGTAGCATTTCCAGGCATCAGCTATTTAGTATTTTGTCTTTTAGTTCAAATTCTCACTCACAGGGATCTCACTGACTCCTGGCTAAAGGAGGAGGAGAAATCACAAGCACATCAATTGCTCCCTCCTGATCCAATCAGTTTGTGTCTTGATTGTGGCTTCCTATGGCCTCTTAAGCAAGATCTTCAACACAGCAATGTCATGAGGGCTGGCAGACACTCCAACTGTGTCTACGCAAAGATGAGTAAACCATGTTAGAGTTTAAAAAATCTTATTTTCAGGCAGTGTGAGATAATTTGCCCTCAATCAACATGGACTACCTTTACATAGAGAAATAAATTTTAGAAATCATCTGGCGTATTAAATCAATGGAAAATAGGATCTGATAACAAAGCATTGTCTATTCCAGCTGAAAAAAAAAAAACAAAAGCTTTAAAACTACAAAATTTTTGTAGCACTTATTATTAGTAGCACAAATTTTACATTTCTCATACCGTAATTATAATATTTATCTAATTTGTCTTATAGTTTTGCAAATTTACTACCTGCTATTTTGCAAAAAGTATTACATATTATGCTCATTTTTTTCTAGAAAATGTTGTTAGAATAAATACCTGCTTATTAATGTACTCATCATGACATGTGTATGGTGACTATTTACATGTCATTCTTTTGCCTGGTAAATAATTCTCACTTCTTCCTTTCACACTGTGGTAGGTAATCTTTTTTTAGGAAACAGAGTCTGTAATAGTAAGAAGTAAATTTTCTTCCACTTACATTTATATGTGATTTAATTATGCTCATAAACATTCATGAGATTTATAGGATGCATCACATCAACTAAGCAAACTGCAGTGTCCCCTGCCTCATTTAAGAATGATTTTTAGTATATCATCAAGATTCAAATTACTGTAAAAAAATAAAAAAGTGCCAAGAAAAGAAATCACTGCTGCAGGAAAAGGAATGCTTATTTAGACAATAATCAGTACTACAAAGAAAGAAAAATCAAAGATAAATTACACAGGTATATCTGAGATCTTTGAAACTAGAGAAGAAAAATGAATATCTTATGGGATGAATATAGGGCACACTAAAGGGCAGTTTAATAAAACATATTAGAAATGGTCTTGGAATTTTTTTACCTAAAACATTAATATTTTAAACAATAATTCTAAACATATTTTTGTATAGATTTTTTTCCTGCACTGAAATAGATTCCCTCCTTCATCCTGTTTATCTTTCTAATAAAAAAAGGAAACAAAAACCAAAAAATGTAAAACCAATTTTTTTTCTTTTCTTTTGGGTTAGCAGTAAAATATATGCATATTTGGTGGTTAAGTGACCTAAAAAATAGGAAATTATTACTAAAATGGATCTAATGGAGACAAAAGTCTTTTCAGTTTGTCTTATTCATCTTTCTCACTAAATAAGTGCTCACAAATTCAAATATTAGAAGGAAACCTATTCAAAATGTATGTAGATTTGTTTTGGAGGGCATAGAATAGTAGTTGATAGCTGAGCATCATCAGAATTCAAGCAAACCTGTACTAGAATCCAACTTTTATACTCTCTGTAACTGTGACCTTACTCAAGTTACTAACTCTTGCAAGCCCATGTTTTCCCAACTGTAAAGAGGAAATTATAATGATCCAAATAGCAAAAGTTAATTAGAAAATTAAACAAGATAATGCATGTGTGAGAGATTGATTACAAAAATAATTGTGATTTTTCACTCCATCCTGTATCCTCTACAGTGTGATTTTGAAACTCCTCTCATTAGGCTGTGTTGTCTCTTTCCCTCTCCTTGAGTGGGCCAATACACTGTGGCAAAAGTAACTGAGTGCTAGTTTTCAGGTTTTGCATAAAGAGTCTTGTAGACTTCTTTCTCTTGAAACCTGGCAAACTATCATGAGCATAAGCCCATGCTAGACTACTGGATAATGAGAGAAAATTTGCTCATTCATACCACCCCAGTTGATAACCAGCCAATGACAAAATATGTTCATAAGGCCATCTTAAAACTGCCAGTTCCTGGATGACCACTAGGTGACTGCAGAGTGTATCTACTGTAGACGGTAGCATGAGCTCACCCAGACTCTGGTGTGAATTCTGAGGAGAAGAACCATCCAGTTGAAACTATCTCAAATTGTCCATTAACAGAATTGTACACTACTACTAAATTAGTCTATGATTAAATTGCCATTGTTTTAAGTCGCAAAGATCGGGGTTATTTGTTATGTAGCAATAGCTAATTGATAAATCAAAGTACTCAGAACAGTGTATGACACATATTAAAAATGCAAATATTCCACCTAATACTATCAGAAGTTAAAATTTGCGTTTCAGTTGTTTTCCTAATGAGTAGAAAATGCAAACTTTTTAAATTAGTATTTACTAAAAAGTTAACACACACACTTTGGGAGGCTGAGGTGGGCGGATCACGAGGACAGGAGACCGAGACCATCCTGGCTAACATGGTGAAACCCTGCCTCTACTAAAAATACAAAAACAAAATTAGCTGGGCATGGTGGCAGGTGCCTGTAGTCCCAGCTCCTTGGGAGGCTGAGGCGGGAGAATGGTGTGAACCTGGGAGGCAGAGCTTGCAGTGAGCAGAGATTGCGCCTCTGCACTCCAGCCTGGGCGACAGAGCGAGACTCCATCTCAAAACAAACAAACAAACAAACAAACAAACAGCACACACACACAAAAATAAAAGTAAAGGTTTCTTAAAATTTGTCCTGTACTTCATTAGAAATCTCTTTGTGTTGTTATACATTAGTAATTAATTGTTTGCAAAGCTTTCTTTTTGATGTTTACATTTTTAATATCCAATGCTGCATTTATTTAATTGAAGTTAATTTTAATGTCTGGATTAACATTCTTACTTCTCTGGGTAAAGCTTCAGTATCCTTTCATCTCAGATAATACTTTAACACATCACTCTGACAAACACATGTGGTAAAAAATTTATATTTAGTCCTTCATATCAACTAAGAACTTTCAGTTTTCAGTTGTTTCATGAGTAAGCAGATATCCCAAGGGACCAACTACCAAAGGAACAAAAAAAAGGATAGATTCTGGAACAACAATCTACTTTTCGAAGTTCACCTCATAGGAAGCTTCAGATAATGTCAAAGCTTCTTCGAAGATCTGAAAGTAAAATTAATCCTTAAATTTAAAAAATCTGACATTTAACTAAAGTTAAAAGTGAAAAAATTTCCCAAGTTTTATAAATTAAATGTGTCATTTGTGATTCTTAGGGCTCATTGTCCTCAGCTAACTTGGTTAATTGATTATGAAACTAAATGCAATGTTGACAATCTTTTCAATAATGAGTTAACTCCTACTGTCCTGTTTGAGTCATTTCAATGTTTACTATTCACCCTACATTTTCATTGACATCCCTGAGGACTTATTTCAAGGTGAGAATTATATATATATATATATATATATGAGATGGGAATAAAAAGAAAGCAGAGAAAAAGATGTCAAAAGATATCTTCAAACTTACTATTAGAAAAGGACTTTTACAATTTTCTGCCACCTTGACATTTCTGTTTATAAAAATAACATAAGCAGCACATAGTGGTATTTATCTTGAAGGACTATAAAATTAGTATAACTTTTATCAATCATAATTAAATAAGTGAAGATATATAATTACAGGAGGTCAAGTAAGGGCTAATAATTATCCATAGCTTGTAATGTTAAGCTTTTTTCCACATAAGGGCATGGGTATAAAAAGTTGCGTATTTTCAGTGAAACCCTGTCTCTACTAAAAATACAAAAAAATTAGCCCAGTGTGGTGGCGGGAGCCTGTAGTCCCAGCTACTCAGGAGGCTGAGGCAGGAGAATGGCGTGAACCCAGGAGGTGGAGCTTGCAGTGAGCCAAGATCACGCCACTGCACTCCAGCCTGGTGACAGGGTGAGACTGCATCTCAAAAAAAAAAAACCAAAAAAAAAAAAAAGTTGTGTATTTTGAAATTTGGAAAGTTATATTAGAACAAATGTGAAGACTCTGAGATTTCATCCTATTTACAACCTAACAATTTAGCATGCCATGGTTTCATAGATGCTGGTTTCATAAATGCTGGAAGATAGCACAACTTTTTGACACAAGACTTGTTGCTTACGGAAATAGTAGTTTGTGTACCAGCATTTTTGTACCAGCTTTCTGAGTCCCAAATTCATGGACAATGTGAGGAGGGTGAAATGGTATCTACATAATAGTGGATTGTGTGTTCCTTGAGCTTAGGGAGCCCAAATCTTTCATAATGGGCAATAACTTGCCTGCCTGTATAGTTTTCTGTAATACTAACAAATTACCACAAATTAAGAATCTTGAAACAACAGAAATTATAATTTCACAAGTTTTATAGGTCAGATGTCATGGCATAGAATGGATGGGTTCTTTGTTCTGGGTCTTACCAGGTTGAAATTAAGGTGTCACTTGGGCTGTAGTTATTATTTGGGGTTCAGAGGTCTGTTCGAAGCTTCTGGCTATTGAAACAATGTGTTTTCTTGCAGTTACAGGACTGAGGTTCCCATTTTCCTGTTAGTGATTGGTAGGGATATATCTCAGCTCCTAGAAGCTGCCCACAGTTTCTCACAGTGTGGTCCACAGAGGCAATTCAAAAAATGGATGTTTGGTTTCTTTCAGGTCACCCACTATGAGTTTCTCTGATTTTTTTTGTAATATCTGCATTTAAAAGGCTTACCTGATTAGGTCATACTTGTCCAGGATAAAGTCCCTTTTGCCTCATAATGTAACGTGATTGCAGCAGTGATATCTCACTATATACAGAGGCTCTTCACACACTCAAAAGGGAGGAGTTCATAGAGAGAGATGTGTCATCAGAAGACATCTTAGAATTTGGCCTGCCACATTGGCTTTTTCTCAGGTAGGAGACACTATCTATATCTTCCAAAGAGGTAATCAAGCATGTCCTTCACTTCTTGGGGAGAATTATGTATATCTTCCAGTGTAGAATTTGTCTACATCACTGAAAGATGAGGAATAGCAATGGCACTGGGAAAGAAAGCTGCAGACACTGCAACATGTTTACATGGCAAGTTTAGATTTTAGAGCCATCCTTGCTTACTTTGATAGACTTATGAGAAAAGTTAACATAACTCAATCAAATCATTACCAGTCATCTGACAATTGACGGCTGATCTAGATAAGTCAATTAAATTTAAAGCAATTGAGACTGTTTAGGAGAGATATGCCAGGTCATTTTCCTTAATGAGGAATGTTCTAAGGCAGTTAACAATTCTGGATGATAAATGTCATTAATACGCCTCTCTCCTTGATAAATCTTGGTATCTGAGATGTTAAGTTCTAAGATTGTTGTTCTTCTACTGTAAAAAAAAATAGTGTGTGCCATTCTAGTAGCAAATAATTTGCATATTGTTTCCAATCGACCCTATATATACCCAGACACTTTGTCCAATGTCAAGTGAAGGAGAGACAAGGGAATTTTTACAAAATTCATAAATACCCATGTAAGCATATGTAGAGATGCATGGTGCACAGTATACTCAAACATAAAATTATTATCCTTATGATCTAGGACCATGAGAATTCAATAGGAAATCCAGGTAGTAAACTGGAATTAAGTCATAATTTTCTAGGCTTCCCTCTGGACAGCCTGCCACCCAGATGGTATTTGAACAAGTCCAACCAGGGATTGTCAGTAGGTAAGAAAGATATATGATGCCCCAAAATAGTCTGAGCAGAATCTCAAATTCATAAAATAGATGTTTTATGAATTCCTATCACTTTTGTTGTGATTATTATTCAGAAACCAGCCGATATAATGTGTTCTCTTTCTGAGGACATCCACATTTAGTGACCAACTTGCCTTACTAAGGTAGAGAACCAGAAGGAAATGATGAAGGTAGAATCAGAACTGTTTTTGAGTCAATTACTGAGAAAGCCATTTCAATACTCCACAAGACTGGATGACTGTGGAAGGTAGGAGACATGGACAATTTGCCTATAACCCCATTATTGTGGTTTTTCTTTGTTTTTTGTTTGTTTTGTTTTTTGCAATAAAGTGTTAGATTACAAATAGTCTGTGAAGCAAAAACATGACAAAGATTAGTTTTAAGGGCTACAGTGGTGTAGCCAGAATCAACCAAAATTCTAATGAATGCTGGTAGAAGACATGAGACTCTTGAGTCAGAGAGGGACAGCTTATTGCTCAGAGCAAAAGCAGTAGTCATAGTATCAGGATTCTTTTTCTGGTTTCTTGAACCCCAGTGACTACAGAGTGAGGTAAAAGCCAGTTAACACCTGCACACACAGTGAGTTGCTTTACAGGGAAAGAACACTGATCTTGGAGAACTCATAGCTTTTACAATATAAATTAAACATTTATTTGCCTTCAAGGAATGCATTAGCTGTAAGATTCTTGATAGTAGCCTTTGCCTTTTTACTGGAGGGAGAGTGTAACTCCTCTAAGACTGCAGGAAAACTTGTTTATTTTTATAAGTCACTATATAAACATTACGTCTGTAACTCAAGTTTGTTCACTAGAAAGATATCCTTGAAGAGATAGTCTAGGACAAAAGGGAGCACATGTCTTCCTTACAAGATCTACCAGGCAAAAAATAAAAACAAAAACAACAACCAAAAACAAAACATGATAGACCCATGTAGAACTGTCTTCCAACACTATTTTGAAATAATATAAATTAAGGACTCAACTCTTGAGCCTTTAATCAGTATTTGGCTAGGTAAATACATCTACATGTTTTCATGTAGCAATTTCATCACATTTAATTAAATCCAATTTGCAATTTATATTATTATTTTTATTCAGCTTTTGCAATCGGTTGTCAGAATCGGTTCTCATGAAAACATCTATGAATAAAGAAAACTATTTAGTATCCTCACAAGTGGCTGTGCAAAAGGCAAGTCTGGATCATGGCAAATCCATTCACTGTAGGACAAAATGATGAATATTTTGGATGGCTTCCTGTTATCTGTACTAATTGAGTTGTCTAACTAGTTGAAAATGCAGAACTCATTTTTTTATATATGATCTTAGAGCTGACAAGCTCATTCCTGGTTTTTCCAGAATATGTTTCCCTTTTTTTTCTCTCAACAGGAAGTATTACCAAGTTAAAAAAAATGAAATTGATATATTCTTCAAATTTGTAGTTTAATAGAAGATCTGTAGTTATTGGATCACAACACTTCAATTCCAATCTACTGCTTTATAATCCATCAGGAGTACTCAGTTATAATAAATATATCCTAGTAACAGATGACTGTTTGTCTATTATTTTATTATATTGGCCCCAAACTTCACTTCAGTTACCATTGACAAAATAAGTGTTAACTATAGAATATATTTTCCCATGGTATGATACATTTCAAGTGAATTTTTAAACATGAATAAGTCAAAACTTATATAAAGCCATAAAAAGCGAGGGAAATTTTCTGATAAGAAAATTTGTTTATTTAATGGTAGTACCAAATAAGCATAAAAACTGCCCATTGCACACAGATAGATCTTGGTACAAATGCAATTCTTTTGTCAATTGAGATCTGGATAATGTAAGGGACTCAGGTGGGAGAAGGAAAGGAAAGAATTGACAATGACTTGTGTCAGGTTAGCCTGCAGTCTCCTTGGGGGTTCTGTAACTACTCCTTGCAGAAATATATTTTACTAAGTTTCTTTTGAAGTAGAAGCAAGCACTCAGCACTTCAGGAGATAAAGAGAGATTAAAGAAAGGTGGAAGATGACACCTCAGAGTGAGCAGAAAGAAAAATCACTATGGCAACTCTTTTTAAATTTAGCATATTCTTGGACTGTTTTAAGTCAGGAAGTCTTTTGGTACTTAATGCAAATCAATAGCAGTGGAAGAATCTGAAATTTCAAAAATCAAATGTACAATTATAATTATTTCAAGTGGGATGATTTTTCAGAAGTATAAAGATACATCTTAAGAATGCAACATAATAACCCAGTCATTTAATGAATTATGTGTGACCTGACTATTGATTTATGATCAACATTTAGACTCAGTAGTATAAAAATATTTAAAATGTAGAATATTAATAGTATTCCCAATTAATCGTGAAAAATATGAATATATTTACATTTAAAACAATATTCTATAATACAGTGATAAAATTAAAATGTTAAAATAATAATAACAATGCATTCATGAAGGGAAAGGAAAGGATGAGACAATCACAGCATTGATAAAAACAGAAAATAATTTAAAAATCAGAAAAGAAAAAGAGAAAACCCATTTTCTAAGCTCTAATATGGAAGATGATCTATGGAACGTACAAGACAGAAAGAGCAAGGAGCAAATAGTTCCTCATATAATCACAGAAAACTATATTACTTCACCTCTTCTTGTTCTCATTCCACTTGCCAATAATGCCTAGGAGAAGGAGAAAAAAATTATAGAGATACAAAGTACACCTTTTAATGTATTTAGCACTTTTATTCTAAAGTGGATATAAAATAATCTAGCCTCTTAATGGAGCATATCCTGATATGATAACCTTCATTTGGTGTACAGAATAAGACATATTTGAGAAGATCATGACTTATAGAGGTAGAGCAAGTTTTCTAATCTTATTTTTCTTAAAGAAAATGCCTTGGTCAATTTTAGCTGTTAGATTTCTGTAGAAATTTTAGGATTGTCACAGCCATTTCCATGAAACATCATGCTGTGTTTTTGAATGAAAATTGACTGACTCTAGTTAGGGGGTGGCCATATAACCAGGCTTGCCTGGAACATTCAAAATTTACTCTATTGTCCTGGTGTAAGTATTTATAGCATCACATTTCACTTTTTAGAAGTTACACAGAATATAATAAATCATACTGATAATTCATCTAATTACTACATAGTAATAAATCAAAATAATTTATAGATTATTTTGACAATAGTTCACATCTTCACAAAATTGGTGTTCTAAAACATGACATCATATTTCTCATAACTGAGTATTCAGATATTGCTCAATATTTTTCTCAATAATTTATTGCAGTTTTTTATGGTGGGATCTTGTTAGATTTCTTCCAACATATATGTTACATGAAGTTTTGAATAACATAAATTATATGCAGTACTGAATAAAAATAGTGATACCATATTGTGAGATTTCCTAATGCAGGGAAATTGATTTTGAATTTTAAGTATTATGTTTGATGTTTTCCATAAGCTTTTTCTTGTACGTAACGTTCAATTCACTAAAGGACGTACCTCCTAGAAATGACAGTTTCTGTGAATTTGCTATTACTATGAATTTGAATTTTATCAGATACTTGTATAAAATGGAGATCACGTGAATTCTTATGTTGTGATATAATTTATGTATTGAGTTTTGAAAACTAACTCAAACTCGCAATAATGGGATTAACCCATCATGGCATATTATTTTTTTAATCTAAAACTGTATTGGCTTGATAACATTTTATTTAGCATTTCTGCATTTATATCCATAAGTGAAATTGGCCTCAAAACTTTTCAGAGGTCAATATTTAGAAATATTTTACAAATGTTCTATCTTCGTCTGTTTACCAAAGAAATTTGCATAATACTGCTCTTATTTCCACCTTATATATTTGAAGTAACTTACTGATGTAGTTGTCTTGGCCTGGAGATTCATTTTGTGGTAGAGAGCAAATTAAAGAAAAATTTTGCTTAATAGATCTAGGAATATTCAAATTTTCTACTTATTTTTACAGTTTGAATTTTTCCAAAAATTTGTTTATTTTACTTAAATTTTCAAATTTACAAGCACGACATTCTTGGTGATATTATTTCATTCTTTTTAATGTCAGTAAAATCTTCAGTAATATTTCCGTTTTAACTTCTGCTACTACTAATTTCCTTTCTCTCTCTCTTCTCAGCTAATCAGAGGTTCATTGCTTTGGCTCATTTTTCCAAGGACAAAGATTGTTTGTGGCATATTTATTTTATACTTGAAAATTACTGAAAGAGTAGATTTTAAGTGTTCTCACCACAAAAAATAAGCATGTGAAATAATAAATGCATTCATTAAATTGATTTAGCCCTTAAGAAATAATCCAATTAAAATGCAATAATGTCTAAAGAAATTTTACTTTTAATTATAAACTATCTTTAACAAACTTTAAAGATAATTAAAGAGTTTGAAAGTAAAAAAATACAGTGACGATAAATTTGATTTAAATATACAAATTCATTGTTTTCTCTTTGTTCTGTTTTATATTTCGTTTTCTTTCTATTCTTGTCTTTATTTATTTATTTATTTTGAGATAGAGTCTCACTCTATTAACCAGGCTGGAGTGCAGTGGCACTATCTTGGCTCACTGCAACCTCCACCTCCCAGGTTCAAGTGATTCTCCTGCCTCAGCCTTCCAAGTAGCTGGTACTACAGGTGCACCACCACGCCCAGCTAATCTTTTATTTTTTTTTTTTTGTATTTTTAGTAGAGATGGGGTTTCACCATATTGGTCAGGCTGGTTTTGAACTTCTGACCTCGTGATCCATCCGCCTTGGCCTCCCAAAGTGCTGGGATTACAGTTGTAAGTCACCGTGCCTGGCCTGTTGTCTTCTTTTTAATTAAAATTGTATTTTTATTATTTCATTTTAATCTTATGCACTTTTAGTTAAAATATGTTGATGCACTTTTAATAGTAACACTGAAAATTACAACATGCATCTTTGGCTTATAAAATATTAATTTGAACACTTTTAACACTTCCCAGGCCGTACAAGACATTAGAAACACCTAAGATCCATATACCTCCTCCTGCATTTTCTGCAATTGTTGCCATGCATTTGAAAGTCCATATATAATTGTATCTCAGTATCCCGAGGAGATTAGTTCTAGAACCCATTCCCATTGATATCAAAATCCATGGATGCTAAAGCTCTTATATAAAATGGCATAATATTTACATATAACCTACACACATCCTATGGTTTACTTTAAATCACCTTTAAATTGCTTATAATACCTAACACACAAGATAAATGCTTTGTAAATACTTCTTATACTGTACTGCATTATTTTTAATTTGTGTTATATTTTATTGCAGTAATGTTATTTTGTTTTTTTGCTTTGTTTGTTTTTTAATATTTTCATTTCATGGTTGGTTGAATCAGCAGATGCAGAACCCATGGATAGGGAGGGCCAACTGTATAGTTGAATTCCACAAAACATTATTATTTATGTTTTAGGCAGTCAGTGTTCATTTATATTTACCTAAATATTTATTTTTTCATTTATCTTCATTTTTTTATTGCATTAAATGTTTCCTCCTTTGATCATTTGTCTTCTTTTAGGAGAAAACAAAATTCTTTCTTATACCTTACTGTTGTTTTTCATGAGTCTTCTCCTTAATTTTAAAAGTTATTGAGTATTTTTATTATAACCACAATTCCATCACCACACCTATTTGATATTTAACAATAACAACTTAATTTCATCAAATATCTACCCATTGTTCATCTAATTGTTTCATAAATGTCAGAAATACCTTTCTGACCAATCATTTGACTCAGAATACAAATACACTGCTATTGTTTAGCTGCATTTAACATTTATTTCAATATATGGTTGTTCCCTCCATCTCTCTTGATTTTCCTTGCAATTTTTTTATGAGTAAACTATTTATTTGTCCAGTAGAATTTTATATATTCTGGATCTTAGTGACTGCATCCCATGGAAACATTAAAAAATATCCCTCTTCTGATCAAGACCATCCTGGCCAATGTGGTGAAACCCATCTCTACTAAAAATACAAAAATTAACTGGGCATGGTGATGTGTGCCTGTAGTCCCAGCTACTCAGGAGGCTGAGGCAGGAGAATTTCTTGAACCTAGGAGGTGGAGATTGCAGTGAGCTGAGATCGTGCCACTGCACTCCAGCCTGGTGACAGAGCGAGACTCCATCTCAAAAAAATAAAATAAAATAAAATAAATCCCTCTTCCTTTTTATGTCTTCAAAAGTGTTACATTCATTATGATTAATCATATGTAGATCTATTATTAGGTTGGTGCAAAAGTCATTGTGATTTTTGCCATAATCATTATCTTTGATTTTTGCAAGACAACTGTATCAGCAGTGTAAGATTCTTTAATTAGCAGACACATAATCTCTCTTTGTGATTTTAGCATCAACTGATATGTAGTGCCTATTAATTCACTTGAGGTTGAAAAATAAAAGTATTGTAATTCTATTATTTTTATTCATTTATTAGCTGGAATACTTCTATAACGAAAGCCTACTACTCAACAACTATTTCTTGAATAGAAAAGGCTCTAGAGAAAAATGGATTTTTCTTATCATTTTTGTTGTTGGCAGAATTCAGTTTCTTGCAATTATTATATAAGACAGAAAGTCCCCGTTTTCTGGCTGTGTGCAAGTCTTTTCCAACCTCAAGAGACAGCTATCACTCATGGTCCACTTCTTCCATCTTCAAAGCCAGCAACAGCATGTAGAGTACTTCTCAGGCCAAATCTCTTTGAACTCAATGGGAAAGGTTTTCTGCTTCTTAGAATTCATGTGATTACATTGGACCTATTCAAAGTGTCCAGGATAATTTTCCCATCTTTAGATCCATGCCCTTAATCACATCTGCAAAATTCCATTTGTCACATAAATAACATATTCACAGGTTTTAGAGATTATGGCATGGGTAAATTTGTGGGGCCATTATTCTGACTAGCATACACTGAAAAAAAATCCTCCTCAAAATTATGCTTCAGGACATGTGGAAGAACAGAAACTGGATTTACCACACAACAATGATCAACAAGAAAACCAGGCAAAACATATAAAAAGTGGTTTTTAGCCTTTAGTCAACAGTTGGTACAGGGCTATGATTCCTAGTTGTAGGTGAATAAACAACATGAGCGCAATGCAGTATAAGTCACCTACAGGAAATTTCCAGACTATAGTGCAGAGAGAAGGAACTCAGATAGATCCCAGATTTCTCAATGCAGACACAAGACAGAGACTGGAGTTCAATGAAGCCAAGACAATGAGAATTTTTAAGCAAAGTATTGGAGAGGAGGAAACCGGATAGATAAATGTTCAAAACGGCCACTCAAACTGCTGACTCAGAGCTGATCTTCACAGTAATGAGAGGAGACTACTCAAAGCACAGAAAAGAATCACTGGCAATGACTAAGCTGAAAAGTATCCAGGACAACACAGGACTGGGAATAGTTTAGATTTCCACAAGACAGAGGAAAACACTTCCTAGTTATGAGGCATTTAGGTATTATCCTCTGAAAGATATTTTAGGGATGCAGAAGGAACAGTATCATTAAAGTAAAAGCTGCATGAGAAATATTTAGAAAAAAATAATTTAAACTTAATTCTTGAAAATATCCAACAGATCCCAAGAAAATTAAATGTGAAAGAAAAAAACATATAACACTGTTTAAAGAAATGCAAAAATCCAGCAGCTAAGGTATAAAATTCACCACTTCCAGGTTTCAGTGGTAATTGGAATTGTCAGGCACACAAAAAAATAGGAATATATGACCCTAAACCAGAAGCAAAATAATCAATAGGAACAAATCAAAATGTGACATAGATGGTGAGACACACAGCAAAGACCATTGTAGTATAAATTATAAATATGTTCCATAAGTTCAAAATGATACAGGGCATGATAAGAAATAAATGTAAGATATTGTAAAGGCTGAATGAAGCTTTTTATGTTAAAGAATAAATATAAAATTTAAAATACATCGTATATCACTAGTAGCAAAATAAACACTGCAGAAGAATGATTCTGAATATAGTAATAGAAATTTTCCATACTGAAAGATGCAGTGTATAAATACATTTACAAAGTGTATTAATTGCCCAGAAAAAAACTATTAAGCATTCCAATATACTTGACCAACTGAAACTAATTATGAACCAACAAATTCTAGACTCAGCAAAATAGTTTCAAATTGAAGACAAAATAAAGACACTTCGGGTAAACAAATGCTCAGAAAACTCATTGTTAACAGACTTGCGCAACAAAAAAATACTCACGGAGTCATTTTAGGCAGAAAAGAAATGATACCAGACGAAAATTTGAATGTACATAAAGAAAAAAAAAGTTGATGCAAGTGGCATAGATAGATGAATATAAAACACTTTTTCCCCATGTCTTAAATTTCATAACAGATAATTTACTATTTAAAGCAAACATAGTAACAACATATAGAGGGATTTATAGCATATTATAAAAAAGCAAAAAATATAGAAGGCTTGAAATGAAAATATGCTGTTAAACCTTCTATTAGACATGGAATAATATATTATTATTTGGTGATTGAGTATTATATCATAAATTGTAGAGAAAATAATTTTAAAAATCATAGAGGTATAGCCAATAAATAAATAAGGCATATAATTGTATATAACCATAAAAATATTATATGTGTAAGGCAAATGTAAGGCAAATAATATCTAAATCAAATAATCTATAAGACAAATTTAAGGGAAATAATATCTAAATCAAATAATATATTAGATGAATGTAAGGGAAATAATATCTAAAATAATCTATAAGACAAATATATATTTATTATGATAAATAATAAATCTATAAGACAAATGTATATTTATTATGATAAAAGAACTAGAAGCTCCATTAATAAAAAAGGCAGAAAAAGAAAATAAAAGGAGGGTATTAGTAGCTAATTAATACAAAACAATAGATGTGAAACTCAATTATAATATAATTATATTAACTATAAATACCCTAAACATACTAATTAAAAAGCATAGAAGTTCAAACAGGTTTAAAAAATTCTGTCTGAAAAAAATGCCTACTGATGGATGGCTTAAAAGAATTAAAAATAAAAATATATGCAGTTTGTAACTAAACGAAACATGAGGGAATAATTTGAACATCAGTTAAGTAGACTTCAGAAAAATATCAATGACAAAGACAGGTATCACCAAATTGTAAAGAGTTAGCACATCACAAGGACATAATAAGCCTAATACGTATGGATCTAACAGCAGAAATTCTACTTACAAAAAGACAAACTGTTAGAACTAAAAAGAGAAATACCAATCTACATTCATCTCATAGTAATTGACAAAATAAGCAAGCGAAAAACTAGCTAATATACTTGAAAATGCTATGAACCAATTTAACTTGATAAGTTTAAAAAGCTCTTACCAACACAGACGCATAAATATTTGGTTTAAGTGGACACAAAGCATTCACAGATACAAATCATTTTCTGGAACATAAAACAAATCACAATACCTTCAACAGGATCAAATTATACAAAGTATATTCTCTGACTACAATGAAATTAGAAATAAATAACAGACATATATCTGGAGAATCTGATAATATTTAGAAATAAACAAGCACACATCTAAATAACTCATGGATCAAAAGATGAATTTTTAAGAGATGTATGAAAATACTTTGAACTGAATAAAGATGAAACCAAGACATATGCAAACTGTAATATACAGATAAATCAGTGCTAAGATGAAATTTATATCATTAATGTATGGATAAAAATAAAAATTATTTGAATCCCAAATTTGAATATATAGATAAATAGAGAAAAAAACGAAAATTAAACCCAAATTACATATAAAAATAGATAAAGCTATAAACCAAAGCAAAGGAAAACAGAAAATCAAGATACAAAACAAATAATATAAAAATAAAATGTCATTTTAAAATAATGCATAAACTTGATAAATCTCTAATCAAACTAATCAGGAAATCGGAATAGAAAGAATATTCAGAATATCTATATATATGGTGGATGAAAGTCAGAAATATTGCAGATCCTTCAAATGTGAAAATGATATAAAAAACATTATGGGGAAACTGATCCCAATAAATGTGACATTTTAGATAAAATGCTTAAATATCTTAAAACACACAAGCTACCAAAGCTCATTAAGGAAGAAATATGTATCTTAAACAGGCTGAATGGACTTAAAAGAATTGAAATTATGGACTTCACTGCATAATTATAACACATACTTAAATATGAAAATAAACCTATTCTACTCAAGCTCTTTCTGAAAGTTAAAGAGGAGATAATGTTTCCTGACTAATTTTATATTCACAGCATTGCTCTGGTTCCAAAGCGAGTATGTTATAAGAAAAGAAAATGAATCCAATAACTCTATTGACCATAAATGCAAAAATCCTTGAAAATATTTGCAAATCTAACCAATTAATATATAAAGTTTATCACATCCTGTTCAAATATGGTTCATCCCCAAAATACAAGATTGGCTTAATCTCAAAAATCAATTGATTTCACCACATTAACAGACATTACTTTATATACTTTTATTAGATGGTTGAAATTTTCCATAATAAAAGTTTTAACACATAAGTTATTTCACAGTAATGAGATCATGTGATCTGTACTTCCGGACATTTTTATGCTGCTGCCTAAAATAAAGATTCTGCATTATTTGTTTAGAAACTTAAGACTATATTAATGTTTTTTAATCTGCTCAAATAGGAAAGAGGGGAAATAAAAGTAATTAATATTTATTGATAGCCAAGCCAGAAAAAAATTACTTCTCTAAGCTTCGTAATTATTTTAATTCTTCTATAAACTCTTAAAAAAGTCTTCTTCAATTTTTAGATGAAAAAATAGAGACTCAGAGATACCACCAAATAGCAAGTGTGATTTCAACATAAAATAATACCATGAAAATATGATTTCCAGCCTTGCTAAAAAAATAAATTTTATTTATCTTATCATATATGAAAACATCAAATTAATAGGGGATTTACTTTATATTATTTTTGGAGCTCAATAAATTGTATTAAAGTTTAGAGGATATTTTTGAAAAAGAATAAAAAATTATTTTCTCTAGGATATCTCATGCACATAAGAGGAGTTATCGTGACTAAGTAATAGAAAGGTTTTACTTTATGACCATGCACAAAATCTGTATTCTATTTTCAAATTCTTTGATCCTTCCCTGAAAATATAAAAGTGATGACACAATGGAAAAATTTGCACATCTTCTATATTTTTTTCTGAGATTTAATAGTTTATTTACTCCTTTCTTATCTCTTAATCAGAATTTCCATCAAATCCTGCCTCACTCAAGTAAGATTTTGTTTGTTTCTTCTTCTCTCTCTAGTCAAGAAAACTACTTTTGAATTAGGAATGTTGTTAAAACATGTATTGACAATTATTTCTTACTCTAACATAAAACAGCGTTGGCAACATTTAGAATCTCAGTAGTTAATCTTGCTTAGTAGATGTTCTTGTACTTGCTATTGATTAATTCTTAATACGGGTTTTCCTCTTGTGTAAATCTTTTCTCAATCATTAAGAATAGTTTATTTGATTGTTTTGGAATGGATTTAATTCTGTTTTTCAAATTTACCATATCTCTCAATCTTACCCATTAAATTGAAAATTGGTTTTCTCTTCCTTAGTGAATATGTTATTGTTTATCTTTAAATTTTGGTGAGAGCAGGGAGTTAATGCTTCTTTATATCTCTGAGCTGTGAATTCAAAACTTATGTAAAAGTCTGATAATAGTCTCTGGTTCATTTAACAAATAGATGCTTAGTTCTGAATTTTCCTTATAGACTATTTTAAGAACTAGAAATATAACAAAGCCCTTAACCTATATGTCTGTGCTATGTCATTATGTATATAATTTATTTTTTATTCAGTAAATTATTTTTAAAACCTACTATAATCAGGGTACTGTCCTTGCACTGTTGTTAAATAAGACAAGATATGGTTCATATCCAGATGAGGAAAAATATTAAGAGATCTACTTGGTAAGGTAGATGTAATATGAGTACAATGATGCTATGGTACAGTATATGTGTTATAATTAAGTAGTTCCAAAATGTGATATCAGCACTTAGAGAGTAGCAATTATGTGTGTGTGTATGTGTGTGTGTGTGTGTGTGTATGGTGGGTTTGGTAGAGGAAGTTTGAGTCGAAGAAGTTGGCTATTGGCAAAATTTCTTCCAGCAAGAATTCTAGGCTGAGGTACTGGCATGGGTTGCAATACCTGGAAGAATCAGTGTGTTTCACAAAGGTGAGTACCCACACCCATACTTCTTTCTCTACTGCTCCCTTTTTTGGCAACTTAGAAGTATTAAAGTAGCAAAAGTAAAACCTCACTTTCCTTCCAGAATGTTACATTATCTTCTCTTTTACAGCAACATATCTGCTTCAATTTTCTCAGTTCTTTGTCATCTTTTATCTCCAAATAAATCTGTATTCACATTTCCCTGTTTCTCTGACCAAGGATAGCGTTCCCACTCTTCTCTAGATTCCTTATGATCTTGCTCCCTTTACTTCCTCTGGGGCCTTGCCTTCATAGCGGCAACAAATCTTTTCAGTATGCCAGCCTCTTTTCACCCTGTCTTGTTTCCTATGCCTTTTGTATATTCAATGTATTTCTATCTACAAAAGTGAATTATACTCCTAATATAAATCCCTCTCTGATGAGTGTACTCTTTGTTAACTTGCACAGCTAAGTTTCCTGAAAGAATGGTCCAAATGCACTACTTCCATTTCATTATCTCTCATTAACAATTACATTCATTTTAAAAAGACATATTGAGTGCATATGCTGCTCTAGTCACTGTTATGATGCCAAGGACACAGACATAAGGCACAGTCAGATTCCCCTAGAGAGAGAGAGAGAAAGTAGATCGATAGCTTTAAAAAGATCTGTTTATGTTACAAAGGTTTAGAAAAGAGACATTTAAACCAGAATACAGGATTTAAATTGGATAGCCAGTGAAGGTAACATTTGAATTGAGTTTAGAAAGATGATAAGTGGACAGTAAATAAGGGTGTTTGCTGAATATAATAAATAACCATAGTATTGAATTATTACATAATAATAAAATATCCATTGATTCATCCTGATATAAATAAATTAATGAATAAATAAATGAGAGAATCCTTCCTTACAAAATAATTTTAAATGATAAATATGTGGAATCAAGGACACAGAAAATCACTATTAGAACACCATAGAGATAATCACCTTAGGCAAAGTCCACTGATGAATGCTAAAATTAGAGATGGAACTTTTAAAGAGAAATGAGATACTCAAGGCCTCTCCTCTGAAATACTTATAACTTACTGTGGTGGTGTAACACATGTTCATACACTTTTTGATAATTTTTTTTTTCTAGAAGGTAAAGCTTAATTTTCTCCCCTCAAGTAATGTCTGAATTTAGTTACTTCCATGAATTAAGTATGGAAATAAACTGTCTTGTTTTGCTCTAACTGCATAACAAAATGCCATAGACTGAATGACTCAAATGACAGAAATTTATTCTCACACTTCTAGAGGCTGGAAGTTTGAGATCATAGTGCCAGCATGTCTGGTTCTGAGCAGGGCCTCTTCCTGCCTTGTAGATGACCACCCTCTTACAGTATATGTATGTGGTGAAGAAAGGAAGTTCTGGTGTCTCTTCTTCTTATGAGTGCACTCATCCCGTCACAGGGTCTCTACCTTCATGACCTCATCTAAACTAATTACCTTCTAAAAACTTCATCCCTTAGTATTATCTTATTGGGTATTAGGTGTTCAACATACGAATTTTGAGGGGACACAAATATTCTGTGTATGGCATTCTGCCCCTGACCTCCCAAAATTCAGATCATTCTCACATGCAAAGTGGATTTATTTTGTTCCAAAAGCTCCCAGTCTTAACTTGTCCCAGAATGAACTCTAAGGCCTGAAGTCAAAAGTCTCACCTAAATATCATCTACATCATCAGATACAAATAAGAGTAGAGGTATGGTTCATCCTAAGGCTTTCCCTCCAGCTGTGAACCTGTGAAAACAGGTAAGCTACACACTTCCAAACTACAATCGTGGACAGGCAAAGGATAAACATTCTTATTCCAAAGGACAGAAATCAAAAAGAAGGGAATAGTAATAGTAAGAGGTCTCAAGGAAGTCCACCACTTAGCAAGGCAAATACTTAAGGCTCGGAATAATTCTCTTTGGTCTGATGCTCTGCCTTCAGAACTCACTCGGGTGAAGGGTGATTACTCCATAACCCCACTAACCACTTCATCTCTGAAGCTGTCCTTGGAACCATATAGTATTTGAGTTGCCTTAGGGGCATTTCTTCCCTTGTCTTGAAGAGTAACACTGTTTGAAGCCAAATAGCACTCCTATAGGCTCTAAGAAGTCTGGCAGTCTTCCTTAATTTTGTTCGTTCAACTCAAACTGACAGTGTTTCTAAAGTGCTGGCTTTTAGGTCTATGGTTCATATTTCTATTAATCTCATCAAAAGAGGGTCTTCAGTCACACGCTTGATAATTTTTGCAACATAGGCTGAGAATTTTCCAGATTTTTAACTTCTGGTTCCGTTTTGCGTAACAATTTCATCTTCAATTAATTTATTTCTTCTTGCATTTTACTATAAGCCTACAGGAGAAACTAAGCCATTCCTTCAAAAATTAGAAATCTTAGAAATCTCCTCAACTGAATATTCAATTTCATCACCTGCAAGTTCTACCTTCCCTGAAACACTATAACATAAACAAAATTCAGACAAGCTATATATCACTTTATAACAAAGATCACTGTCTTCATCTGTTTCTTATACTATCACTAAATACCTAAGTCTGAGTAATTTATTTTAAAGAGGAATTTATTTGTTCACAGTTCTGGAGGCTGGAAAATCCAAGACCAAGAAGTTGTCATATTTGGTGTTTGGCAAGGGTCTACTCTTTGCTTTCAAGATGGTACCTCTTGCTGCATCCTCACATGGTACGAGGGACTGAAGAGAATCAATCCTTTTCCTCAAGCCATTTTATGAGGGTGCTAATCCTAGGGATCCACCCTCATGAAGGACTTACCTCTTAATATTATCACATTGGAGATTAAATCTCAGCATATGAATTTTAAGGCATATTCACACCATAAGCAATCTCCTTTTCTCCGTTGTCCAGTAACATATTTCCTATTTCCATCAGAGACCTCATCAGAATGACCTTTACCATCTATATTTATATCAATATTCTGTTCATGATTATTTATCATCTAAGAAGTTGGAGGCTTCCTGTCTAGCTCTCCTCCCTTTTTTTTCTGAGTCTTCACCAGAATCACCAAGTAATGTAGGCTTTTTCTAGCATACACCTAAAGACTCTTCTAGCTTCTACCAATTACCCTGTTTCAAAGCTGCTTATCTAATTTTACACACATATTACAGCAGCACCCTACTTCTCATTACAAATTACTTGGTGTGCTCAGGCTGCCATAACAAAATACTATAGAATGGGCAGCTTAAATAAGAAAAAAAATTATGTTTTTGTAGTTCTGTAGGCTAGAAGTCTGAGATCAATATGTTGGCATGTTTGACTTCTGGTGAGGGATCTCTTCCTGATTTACAGATGCCTCCTTCTTGTGTATACTCAAATGATGGAGAGAGGAAGCTCTGATTTCTCTTCCTTTTTAAAATTTGTTCTTCCTTTTGGTATTAGGGTGCAAATTACGTCATGGATGCTCCACTCTCCTGACTTCATTTAAACTTAACTAATTCCAAAAAGCCCCACCTCCTAATACCATCATGTTGGAGGTTAGGGCTTCAACAGATGGAGTTTGAAGAGACACAACTCTCAGTTCATAACAAAGATGAATTGTAATTTTACAATAGAGAAGTGTTTCAGACACCACTATAATCAAATGATTAAAGTTAAAATTACCAGTAATAAATTTGTTGATATTATTTAATATGATGTGGTGAGAAGGGCATTTGACATCTCTGATATTGTTCCCTAAAATTATATTCCTTGTGTAATCATAAGAAGAGATATAAACTTGAGAGATGTTTTACAAAATGCTTGACTAGTATTCTTGAAAATTATCAAATGTATAACACAAGAAAGAAAGACTGAGAAGCAGTCATAGATCTGAGGAATCTAAGGAGCCATGATAACTAAATACAACCTGGCATCTAGGATTAGATGGTGGAACAGCAGAGGACCTTAGTGGAAAACTGGTGAAACCTGAAACAAGTCTGTGGGTTAATTAACAGCATGGTACATATGTTTGTTTCTTGGTTTTGATAAATGTATTGTGGTTATTCAATATATTAATATTAAATGAAGCTCAGTGAATAATATATGGAAACTATTTGTATTCTACTTGCAATTCTCTGAAAAATATAAAATTATTTCAACATAAAAGCGGGCATCAAAAGAAAGTATGTGTACAACAAAGAATATTTTAAATGGGAACAGAAAATCAGTAATCTCAACAAAAATAATAACAACAACAAACAAAAACCATGACCCAATTAAGGGGCTTCAAGATGGCTGACAAGATACATTTGGTACTCACACATTCCACAAAGTAAAACCAAAACAGCAAGTAGATAATCACACCTCAAATAGATCATATAAAAGAGAACACTGAAATTCAACAGATAAGTGACAGAAAACACCTACAGGAGAATAAAAAGAGGAAAGTGAGGCAGCCTGATTGGCCAGGATCAGCTGGAGGCATGAGGAAACTCTTCAATGTGGAGAAAGAATAAGTGAGATACCCCCAGTATTCCATATTCTCACTGTGGACTCCCAAAACCCTAGACATGGGAGAGCCCCTTGACCCTTACATGCCCTGAAACCAACATAGGTGTATGCCTGAAGACTGTACAACTGCATTACTCCAGAGAGAGAGCTCATGCTGAGTTCCACAAACCTCCAAGTCCTGAGCAGCTACAGCATGGCATCATTTTGACAGCTCAGCACCCCGTCAGATTGTATCCTGCTCTGGAGCTGAAGAGCCCCTGTATCTCCACACCCCTGTAGCTCCATTGACATTCCCTGCCTACTGCCAGTGCCACCAGAGCCAAAACAGGAATTGCCAACAGCAACCTCCCCCTCCAATAGAGTGGCAGCTGTGACTAAAGGCTATCTTGCCTGCAGCCACTGATACTGCTGCCAGCAGATGTCACCCCAGGGCCAAAGAGTGAGCCATCACCAGCAAACCTGACCCCAAGCAGAGGGGCAGCTGTGAAGGCCACCCCATTTATAATGGCCAAAACTGCCAGTTTTCCCAGTGCTAGGGTCCAAGAATGAACCACTGGAAGCAACCCTGATCCAAGCCCCCAAGCAGACAATTGACTGCGCATTTTTACACAGCTCAAGGAAGAACACCACTGCCTGCAGCCACTGCTGATACAGGCTGCTGCAGCCAGGGGCAAGGCAAAAGCAAAATGTGCCATTCCCAGTCGCCTACCTGTGGTTGCAGCCACTGAAAGCAACCACTTTCATCCCAGTAGCAGGGCCACAGTGAAACCACTGCTACCTTCGCCTGAGCTTTACACTGGTAGCCTGGAACCATTTGCCCCTCCCTACCACAGGCAGCATACGCACATGTCACCATGGGGCCTCAGAATGGGTCCACTCAACCCAGCTCTGCCCCCACAGTATCCAAACACACCTACAGCCTGAAGATTACTCAGTTCAGCCCATCAGCATTGATATCTGAGCACTCTGCTCAGGGGCCTGAATTCAGGTACATCCAACCTGTCACTACTACCATAGCTGGCATCCATCCACATGCACCACCTCTGGACCTAGGAACTTGTCTATCCAGCTCATTGCAACCATTGCCCACATCAGTGCAGACCACTTGCCACATCCACTGCTCAGGGTCCCAAGAACCTGCGCATTCTCCCAGCCCACTGTTATCATACTGGCACACAAGCAACCCAACTAGGAGCCCAAGAATTGGCTAACTAGATCTGCTACACTGGTGCCAGAATATGCTACCTTGGGGCTCAAAAACAGGCATTCTCTGCCTAACACTGCCACCAAAGGGATTCAAGACTGACCTATTTGGCATCCTAGTCCGCAGTAAAACTTCACCACAGCCTCTACCAACAACTACATTTTAAGCCACTGAGGAAATCACAGAAACGATTGACCCTGTTTACATCCGAGGAAATCATACAAAGACTACACCACTGCATACACCCAGAATCAAAGCCAACATTCCCTACCCATCCAACACCATAGATACATGTTCAGAAAAGAGTGTTCCCCTAAGAAAGCAAATTTTAAAAGCTGGATGAAGCAACTGTTACAGTAGATGTGCAAGTATTAACATAAGGACACAAGAAAAATTAAAAAGCAAGGGAATATGGCACCTACGAAAGAACACAAACTTTTCTAGCAATATTCCAATTAAAAGGAAATCGTGAATTCTGAGAAAAAGAATTCAAAATAATGATATTAAAGAAGCTCAATGATATACAAAAAGAATACTGAAAGACAATATAAATAACTCAGAAAAAACAGTTCAGGACATAAATGAAAAATACACCAAAAGAATGGATGCCATAAAAAAGCATCAAATAGAAATTCTGGAACCAAATAATTAATTGAATAAAATATAAAATATATTTGAAAGCTTCAATAATTTAGAATCTATCAAGCAGAAGAAAAAAATCTCAGAACTTGAAAACAGGTCTTTTGAAATAACTCAATTCAGATAAAGATAAAAAAAAAGAAAGAAGAGAAAAACCTACATGACATATATGACACTATAAAGCACCAAATATTCAAATCTTAGATGTTCCAGAAGGTAAAAATTAAAAGATTGGGAAACCTATTTAACCAAATAATAGATGAAAACTTCCAAAGTCTAGCAAGACCTTTATAAACATAGATACAGAAAACCCAGAGAATCTCATAGATACAATTCAACAAGGTCTTCTCCACAGCATATTATATTTAAAATGTCAAAAGTGAAAGACAAATACAGAATTCTAAAAACAGCAAGAGAAAAGCTTCAAGTCACTTATAAAGGAATGCCTATCAGACTAAAAGCATTTTTTTGTAGAAACCTCCTTGGCAAAAAAAAAAAAAAAAAAAAAGATACATTAAGAGAGTTGAAGGAAAAAAAGCCAGCCAAGTATTCTATACTCAACAAAATTATTCTTTATAAATGAAGAAATATTTTTTTCTAGGTAAATAAAAGCTGAGGAAATTCATCACCACTAGATCAGTCCTGCAAGAAATGCTTCAGAAGTCCTATACCCAGAAGCTAAAGAACATCATCTATCATCATAAGAACACATGAAAATATAAGATATATTGGTAGAACAAACACATAGAGAAAAGACTGAAATGATACAACTAAAGGAAACCACAAAACCACAATAATAAATAAGAGAGAAAAAGAGAAACAAACAATATACAAAACAATCAGAAATAAATTAATAAAAATACAGGAAAAAGTTCTCACGTATCAGTAATAACCTTGAACAAAAAGAGATTAAACTTCACACTTAAAAGATACAGACTTGCTGAATGAATAGAAATATGAACCAACCATATGCTGCCTACAAGTAACTTATTTCACCTGTAAAGGCACATACAGACTGAAATAAAAGAGATAAAATAATATTTCATATGAAATAGAAATAGTAAAAAAAGACAAAGAAGGCCATTATATAATAACATAGGGATCAATTCAGCAAGAGAATATAACAATTCTAAACATACCTGCATCCAACTCTGGAGGACCCAGATTAAAGGGAGAGAAAGTCTCCTTCAACCAAAAACATAAAAGGCCTCTAAAAGAAAAACTACAAACCACAGATGAAAGAAAGTAAAGACACAAATATATGGAAAGACATACCATGCTCATGGATTAGACAAATTCATATTGTTTAAATGGCCATACTGCCCAAAGTAATCCATAGTTTAAATGCAATCTGTATCATAGTATCAGTGTTATTTTTCATAGAATTAGAAAAAAATCTAAAATTTTGTATAAAATAAAATAAAAGCCTGAATCATCAAAACAACCCTGAACAAATGAAGAAAGCATCACATTACCTGACTTCAAAATATATTACAAGGCTATAGTGACCAAAACAGCATAGTATTGGTGTAAAAACAGATGCATAAACCAATGGAACAGAATAGGGGACCCAGTAATAAAGCCACATATTTACAGCCAAAGGATTGTAGACAAAGGCATCGAGAACATACACTGGGGAAAGAATGGCCCCTTCAATAAGTATTGCAGTGAAAATTGGATATCTATGTAGAAGAATAAAACTGGATCTCTGTCTCTTGCCATATACAAAAGTTAACAAAGATGAATTAAAGACTTAAATAGAAAACCTTAAACTATAAAACTGCTAGTGGGAAACATACAGCAAAATCTTCATTGATATTGGCAAGGATTTTATGACTAAGACCTCAAAAGTGCAGGAAACAAAAACAAAAATAGGCAAATGGACTGTATTAAACTAAAAAGCCTCTACAAACCAAAATAAAAATTTAACAGAATGTTAACTTTCTGTCTCATTGATCTGTCTAATGTTGACAGTGGGGTGTTAAAGTCTCATATTATTATTGTGTGGGAGTCTAAGTCTCTTTGTAGGTCACTAAGGACTTGCTTTATGAATCTGGGTGCTCCAGTATTGGGTGCATACATATTTAGGATAGTTAGCTCTTCTTGTTGAATTGATCCCTTTGCCATTAAGCAATGGCCTTCTTTGTCTCTTTTGATCTTTGTTGGTTTAAAGTCTGTTTTATCAGAGACTAGGATTGCAACCCTTGCCATTTTTTGTTTTCCATTTGCTTGGTAGATCTTCCTCCATCCCTTTATTTTGAGCCTATGTGTGTCTCTGCATGTGAGATGGGTTTCCTGAATACAGCACACTCATGGGTCTTGACTCTTTATCTAATTTGCCAGTCTGTGTCTTTTAATTGGAGCATTTAGCCCATTTACATTTAAAGTTAATATTGTTATGTGTGAATTTGGTCCTGTCATTATGATGTTAGCTGGTTATTTTGCTCGTTAGTTGATGCAGTTTCTTCCTAGCCTTGATGGTCTTTACATTTTGGCATGTTTTTGCAGTGGCTGGTACTGGTTGTTCCTTTCCATGTTTAGTGCTTCCTTCAGGAGCTCTTTTAGGGCATGCCTGGTGTGAAAAATCTCTCAGCATTTGCTTGTCTGTGAAGTTTTTTATTTCTCCCAGGAATTGAACTCAGCTCTGCACCAAGCGGACCTAATAGACATCTACAGAACTCTCCACCCCAAATCAAGAGAATATATATTTTTTTCAGCACCACACCACACCTATTCCAAAATCGAACACATAGTTGGAAGTAAAGCACTCCTCAGCAAATGTAAAAGAACAGAAATTATAACAAACTATCTCTCAGACCACAGTGCAATCAAACTAGAACTCAGGATTAAGAAACTCACTCAAAACCACTCAACTACATGGAAACTGAACAACCTGCTCCTGAATGACTACTGGGTACATAACGAAATGAAGGCAGAAATAAAGATGTTCTTTGAAACCAACGAGAACAAAGACACAACATACCAGAATCTCTGGGACACATTCAAAGCAGTGTGTAGAGAGAAATTTATAGCACTAAATGCCCACAAGAGAAAGCAGGAAAGATCCAAAATTGACACCCTAACATCACAATTAAAAGAACTAGAAAAGCAAGAGCAAACACATTCAAAAGCTGGCAGAAGGCAAGAAATAACTAAAATCAGAGCAGAACTGAAGGAAATAGAGACACAAAAAACCCTTCAAAAAATTAATGAATCCAGGAGCTGGTTTTTCAAAAAGATCAACAAAATTGATAGACCGCTAGCAAGAATAATAAAGAAGAAAAGAGAGAAGAATCAAATAGATGCAATAAAAAATGATAAAGGGGATATCACCACCGATCCCACAGAAATACAAACTACCATCAGAGAATACTACAAACACCTCTATGCAAATAAACTAGAAAATCTAGAAGAAATGGATAAATTCCTCGACACATACACCCTCCCAAGACTAAACCAGGAAGAAGTTGAATCTCTGAATAGACCAATAATAGGCTCTGAAATTGTGGCAATAATCAATGGCTTACCAACCAAAAAAAGTCCAGGACCAGATGGATTCACAGCCGAATTCTACTAGAGGTACAAGGAGGAGCTGGTACCATTCCTTCTGAAACTATTCTAATCAATAGAAAAAGAGGCAATCCTCCCTAACTCATTTTATGAGGGCAGCATCATCCTGATACCAAAGCCTGGCAGAGACACAACAAAAAAAGAGAATTTTAGACCAATATCCTTGATGAATATTGATGCAAAAATCCTCAATAAAATACTGGCAAACCGAATCCAGCAGCACATCATAAAGCTTATCCACCATGATCAAGTGGGCTTCATCCCTGGGTTGCAAGGCTGGTTCAACATATGCAAATCAATAAATGTAATCCAGCATATAAGCAGAACCAAAGACAAAAACCACATGATTATCTCAATAGATGCAGAAAAGGCCTTTGACAAAATTCAACAACCCTTCATGCTAAGAACTCTCAATAAATTAGGTATTGATGGGACGTATCTCAAAATAATAAGAGCTATCTATGACAAACCCACAGCCAATATCACACTGAACGGACAAAAACTGGAAGCATTCCCTTTGAAAACTGGCACTAGACAGGGATGCCCTGTCTCACCACTCCTATTCAACATAGCGTTGGAAGTTCTGGCCAGGGCAATTAGGCAGGAGAAGGAAATAAAGGGTATTTAATTAGGAAAAGAGGAAGTCAAATTGTCCCTGTTTGCAGATGACATGATTGTATATCTAGAAAACCCCATTGTCTCAGCCCAAAATCTCCTTAAGCTGATAAGCAACTTCAGCAAAGTCTCAGGATACAAAATCAATGTACAAAAATCACAAGCATTCTTATACACCAATAACAGATAAACAGAGAGCCAAATCATGAGTGAACTACCATTCATAATTACTTCAAAGAGAATAAAATACCTAGGAATCCAACTTACAAGGGATGTGAAGGACCTCTTCAAGGAGAACTACAAACCACTGCTCAATGAAATTAAAGAGGATACAAACAAATGGAAGAACATTCCATGCTCATGGGTAGGAAGAATCAATATCGTGAAAATGGCCATACAGCCCAAGGTAATTTATAGATTCAATGCCATCCCCATCAAGCTACCAATGACTTTCTTCACAGAATTGGAAAAAACTACTTTAAAGTTCATATGAAACCAAAAAAAGAGCCCACATTGCCAAGTCAATCCTAAGCCAAAAGAACAAAGCTGGAGGCATCACACTACCTGACTTCAAACTATACTACAAGGCTACAGTAACCAAAACAGCATGGTACTGGTACCAAATCAGAGATATAGATCTATGGAACAGAACAGAGCCCTCAGAAATAATGCCGCATATCTACAACCATCTGATCTTTGACAAACCTGACAAAAACAAGCAATGGGGAAAGGATTCCCTATTTAATAAATGGTGCTGGGAAAACTGGCTAGCCATATGTAGAAAGCTGAAACTGGATTGCTTCCTTACACTTTATACAAAAATTAATTCAAGATGGATTAAAGACTTACATGTTAGACCTAAAACCATAAAAACCCTAGAAGAAAACCTAGGCAATACCATTCAGGACATAGGCATGGGCAAGGACTTCATGTCTAAAACACCAAAAGCAATGGCAACAAAAGCCAAAATTGACAAATGGGATCTAATTAAACTAAAGAGCTTCTGCACAGCAAAAGAAACTACCATCAGAGTGAACAGGCAACCTACAAAATGGGAGAAAATTTTCGCAACCTACTCATCTGACAAAGGGCTAATATCCAGAATCTTCAATGAACTCAAACAAATTTACAAGAAAAAAACAACCCCATCAAAAAGTGGGCAAAGTATATGAACACACACTTCTCAAAAGAAGACATTTATGCAGCCAAAAAACACATGAAAAAATGCTCATCATCACTGGCCATCAGAGAAATGCAAATCAAAACCACAATGAGATACCATCTCACACCAGTTAGAGTGGCGATCATTAAAAAGGCAGGAAACAACAGGTGCTGGAGAGGATGTGGAGAAATAGGAACACTTTTACACTGTTGGTGGGAAGGTAAACTAGGTCAACCATTGTGGAAGTCAGTGTGGCGATTCCTCAGGGATCTAGAACTAGAAATACCATTTGACCCAGCCATCCCATTACTGGGTATATACCCAAACGATTATAAATCATGCTGCTATAAAGACACACGCACGTGTGTGTTTATTGCAGCACTATTCACAATAGCAAAGATTTGGATCCAACCCAAATGTCCAACAACGATAGACTGGATTAAGAAAATGTGGCACATATACACCATAAAATACTATGCAGCCATAAAAAATGATGAGCTCATGTCCTTTGTAGGGACATGGATGAAACTGGAAACCATCATTCTCAGCAATCTATCTCAAGGACAAAAAACCAAACACTGCATGTTCTCACTCATAGGTGGGAATTGAACAATGAGAACACATGGACACAGGAAGGGGAACATCACACTCCCGGGACTGTTGTGGGGTGGGGGGAGGGGGAGGGATAGCATTAGGAGATATATCTAATGCTAAATGACGAGTTAATGGGTGCAGCATACCAACATGGCACATGTATACATATGTAACAAACCTCCATAATGTTCACATGTACCCTAAAACTTACCCTAAAACATGTACCCTAAAACTTAAAGTATAATAATAATAATAAAATAAATAAATAAATAAATAAATAAATATTTAACAGAATGAAAAGACAACTGTTTAATGGGAGAAAATATTTGCATACTCTTCATCTGATGAGGGACTCATATCCAGAATATAAAACAAATTCAAACAACTCAGAAAAACAGCAAATATTCCCATGGAAAAGTGGGCAAATGAAATGAACAGACATTTCTCAAAAGAAGAAAAATAAGTGGCCATCAGTTATATGAAAAAAAAAAAAAATGCTTAACATCACTAATGATCAGGAAAATGTGAATTTAAATTACAATAGGCCGGACTCAGTGGCTCACGCCTGTAATCCCAGCACTTTGGGAGGCCGAGGTGGGTGGATCATGAGGTCAGGAGTTCAAGACCAGCCTGACCAACTTGGCAAAATCCCATCTCTACTAAAAATACAAAAATTAACTGGGTGTGATGGCATGCGCCTGTAATCCTAGCTACTCAGGACGCTGAGGCAGGAGAATTGCTTGAACGCGGAGGCAGAGGTTGCAATGAGCTGATATCATGCCATTGCCCTCCAGCCTGGGTGACAGAGTGAGACTCCATCTAAAAAAAAAAAAAAAATACAATAAGATATCATGTTACCATATCCCAGTTAGAGTGGAAACTATTAAAACACAAAAAATAACAGATCCTGGCTTTGAAACAGAGAAAAGGGAGCTGTTCTTACACACATTTGGTTGGAATGTAAATTAGTACAGCCACTATAAAAATAGTGGAGATTTTTCAAAAATCTAAAACTACAACTACCATACAACGCAGGAATCCCACTATTAGGTATCTATCCAAAGGAAAAAACATCAGTATATCAAAGAGCTACCTGGGCTTACATGTTTATTGCAGCAGTGTTCAGTGTCAAATATAAGCAATTCACCTAAGTGTCTATCAACAGATGAGTGGATAAATAAAATGTAGTATCTATACACAATAGAATACTATTCAGCTATAAAAAGAATAAAATTATGTCATTTAGAGCAATATGGATGGAACTGGAGGTCATTTTATTAAGTGAAATAAGCGAAGCACAGAAAGCCTAATGCCACATATTCTCACTCATATGTGGGAGCTAAAATACTTGATTACATGGAGGTAGGAGTAGAATGAAAGATAGCAGAGGCTGCAAAAAGCATGTGAGTAGGAGAGAGGAATGAAGAGAGGTTGATTAATGGGTACAAACATAGAGTTAGACAAAAGTTATTAAGTGTAATATTTAATAGCAGAATAAATTGACTATAATTAACAACAATATATTGTATATTTCAAAGTCACTACAAGGGAGAAAATAAATTGTTCCCAAAACATAAAAATGGTAAATACTCACATGTATTTGGATACCCCAAATACCCTGACTCTATCATTAAACATTCTATGTATGTAACAAAATATCACATATAGCCCACAAATATGTAAATGTTATGTATCAATAAAATTAAAATAAATAAAATAAAATAAAAATGACCCATGAGAGAAAAAAATAATGTGGACTTTATTAGAAATTAAAAAGTAAAGAATTCTACTCTGAAAAAAATAAACAGTGTTAAAAGAATGAAAACAGAAGCCACAGAATGGGGAAAAATATTGCAAAATACAAACCTGACGATGAACTCATATCCAAACTATACAAATCCACTATGACTCCACCATTATAAAATAAATAGCCCAGTTGACAAATGGGCAAAAGATATGAAGAGAGAGTTCACCAAATAAGATACACATAAGGCAAATACGCATTTGGAAAGATGCTCAAAATTACATGTAATTGGAAATCGCAAATTAAAGCATACCTGTTGTAATGACCAAAACCTAAAACACTGATGACATCATATGTTCTTGAGAATCTGGAGCAACAGGAACTCTGATTCACTGATGGTAGGAAAACAAAATGATACAGCTGCTTTAGAAGACATTTTGACATTTTCTTACAAGTGTAAAGATTGGCTTATCAAAAGATCTAGCAATCATGATCTTTGTTACTTTTTCAAATAAGTTGAAAACTGATGTCCACAAAAACATGCATATGAATATTTATAGTAGCCTTGTTCATATTTGCCCCAAATTGGAAACAACCAACATGCACTTCTATAAGTGAATGGGTAAACAACTGTGGTACATCCAAAAAATGAAATATTATTCAACAATTAAAATAAATGAGTTATTAAGCCTGGAAAAGACAGGGAGAAAACTTAAATGCATACTACTAAATGAAATGTCAGTCTCTAAAGACAACAGAGCATGAGTCCAGCTATATTCTGGAAAAGGAAAAACTGTGGAGACAGTAAAAAGATGAGTGGTTTCTAGGGAAGCAACCTGAAAGGGGAAGAAAGGAGAGATAAATCAGTGGATCATAGATGATTTTTAGGGCAGTGAAACTATTCCATATGATAATATATCACTTACTATCTGACATGCATTTCTCAAAACCCATTGAACTGTATGACATAAACAGTGAACTCTAATATATAGTATGGAGTTTGTTTAATAATAATATATTGATATTAATTAATCAGTTTTAACAAACACACCACATTAATGCAACATGTTAATAATTGAGGAAACAAAGGGTGATGGGGAGGGAGGTAGTATATGGAATTCTGTATACTTTCTGGTCTTTTTTTCTGTTAACTTTAAAACTCTCTAAAAATAGAGCCTATTTTTAAAAAATCAGTAGTCTTTCAACAGGAAGTTGAATAGGAAAAATGGTGATTATTTCCCTTTGCTTTTTCATGGAATGTGGAGAATGGAAGCTTAAATAAGGAGGAGAACACATTTGTTGGTACACAACAAATGGGAATGAATTGCAGGTATAGTATTATATATCGTGGAGAGGAGTTTATGAGAGAGGACACATTGGCTCATAGAGGTGTGATTTTATTGGAAACCAAAATACCATGAATAGTGTTATTTTTCTGTGTATTGAACAACCCCTTTTAAAGTTCTGAACAATACCAAGTATAATCTTCCCTTGATTTATTTATTAAGGCTACCACCAAAATCCAACCTAATAACTCTTGGGCATTTTTAAAATTTCTGTTTAACATTGAAAATTATTTAGCAAGGAAAATAGAGCCCCAAACAAATAAGTGACAATAAAAGGAAAATTGCAGATTATTAAACACACTTCAAATAAATTATAATCCTTCTAGTAGCATGACAGCCTTAACTCCTTGGATTTACTGAATCTATATGCAGCTCCTTCGAGGGGGTGAAGGGAGCTGGCACACACAGAATGGTGACTCCTAGTTAGAGGCCAAATCATCTGCATTTGATACCTGAGGTTCCTGTCCAATGACTCATCAACACAATGTTCTTGCATTTTGAAGAGATGTCATGTGTGTTTTGTGCAGGTATCCCCAAAGTTAAGAACGTACAGGCGAACTACAGAATAGACAAAATATAACAATGTATATATAGAAATTTCTCTCCTTGTCAAACCAACCATTGCTTTTTGACTGAAAATGCCCTTGGTTCAATCCTAGAAGAACCATGTATCTTCTAGAACACTAGTTCTCTCTCACTGTCAGAGAAATTGTTGTAAATAATTTATGAATTTTAATAACACCTCATTACTTAAACAGGAAATATTTCCTTTCCTTCCAAATTAGTAATAAAAATATATCTTAAATGTACTGAAGTGTTATTAGAGCTTTATTCTGAGAGTTTCTTATGCTGTATCTGAATATATTATTTGTGAATGATAATTTCGCTAAGCTGCTGTAGTGGCTGTATGTCTTAGGAATGCAGCAAGCTTTCTGGTAAATCAATTTGTGTTAGCTGTGCAGCACAGATTTGCAGCAGCATAATTCAGACTGACTTTTCCAAATAATACTTCCTCTGACAACACTTTCAAAGTGGTAAGATAGCTTGGAAAAGTACAGAATTGTCTTGAGATATCACATCCCACAGCAGAATAGTTGCAAAACTGACAAAATGGAACCTAAATTGTAATGTGATATAGTAAAGTAGCTGATAGATTGCACTCTGCACCGAAAATTGCTAACTCAATGCCCAATAGAGAAATCACAGAACTGTAGCAACAGTAAGAGAAAAGTTGCAACTCTATGGGGGAAAAACACAAATGAATATGGGGGTAAATAAGTAGTATTTTCCAACTTGGTTATATATACAGTCATTCTTTAAATTACCAAGGTGACATAGAATGTTGAAGAAAATATATATGTTACCAGTTGAAACATTGTAAGTACTAATTAAACTCTTGGTCATTTGTTTAGTGTGTTGTATAATGTTATTTTAAGATTAAAGGGAAAATGGTTTTGGGGTGTGAATGGCTAGATGTTATGTTTACTGTTAGTTGAAGCCTACAGATAATTTACAATGTGATTTAAAAATCTCATACTTCCTTTTGTAAATACCATTTTTTCCATAGGTAGTTATGCTCATGACATAAGGTGTTAAAATATCACAGAGTATTTTAAAAGACATTGGAATTTTTTTCATATCTGTGATGGGAAGTGATTGCATTTTTGGAAAATTTGGGGGAAAATAAAGGTTCTCATGAGATGACACATCACATATAAATTATTTTGCCCTTCAGCTAACTTTATATTTATTGTAATCTGACATTCCACTTTATATAGAAAGGTTTAATTTGAGTTTCACTCAATACTACTATTTATTTAGTTATTATTGACAAATATTTTATTGCTGTGCAACCAAAAATGCTTTGGCTACTGATGTATACATGCTTTAAGATGGATGTGCCTATAGCTGCTGAAAATAATGCTAGACACATAGTAGATCTTTAATATTGTTGATTGAGTCATTGATTGGATTTTTAAATCAATACATAGAAAAGAAGCAAAGTGAATTGTGAATCCTTAGACGTTTAGTTTGTCTTATAAAAGAGGCTGGTGACCTTTGCAGCTCCCATTTTCATTTGTATATCTTACAGTTTTGAAAGCAGGTTTTGACCACTATGCTTAAATTCCATCTTACATTAAAGATCATTTGAAGAATGAGAACTCTTGTTTCATAAAATATGATTGACAATTACTCTTCTGCATCCATCTCAAATAAATGTTTTATCCTACCTTTTCCTATTGTCCCCAAACCAGACCATCTTAAAAATCATGCTGTCAATACATGACTGAATGATTTTTATATTACTTTTTATTTAAAGCACAAAATTTCATACTTTGAACAATGAGTGATAAGGAAGCTTTATTTCCTACCAAGAGTGATTTTAGCCTTGGGGGGAAAATAAGTCTCTCAGTTTTAGGAAAAAGGAAAACATGTTTTGCCATTTTAAGGAGAAGTATTAAGTATTCACATTTCTATATTTTGAGCCTTTGGAATAGAGAACTTACTATATTTTCCAGTAGTTCACATATATTTTTCTTGTATTACAAAATAAAAACAAGGCGCAGCGTGGTGGCTCACGCCTGTAATCCCAACACTTTGGGAGGCTGAGGCAGGCAGATCACTTGAGGGCGGGATTTCAAGACCAGCCTGGACAACATGGCGAAACCCTATCTCTATTAAAAATACAAAAATTGGCCAGGCATAGTGGCACTTTCCTGTAGTCCCAGCTACTTGGGAGGCTGAATCATGAGAATCACTTGAACCGGAGAGAGGGAGGTTGCAGTGATCTGAGATCGTACCACTGCACTCCAGCCTGGCAACAGAGAAAGACTCTGTCTCCAAAAAAAAAAAAAAAAAAAAAAAAAGAAAAGAAAAAAAAAGTATAAAAGAATAGAAATAAGAGAAGTATAGTCAACAAGATGAATAGAAACCTATAAACAACCAGTCAAAGGAAGAGAAATACATGAGCTGTTAATGTGAAATAATTCTTGGGATTTGTTCTGATTATTAATAAGGCATGCTTATTTTTACATGTCTCAGTCCATTTGGGCTGGTATAGAAATCGTAAACTGGGCAGTTTATAAACAACGGTAATTTATTTCTTAGAGTTCTGAAGACCCGGAAGTCCAATATCAAGGAACCATCATTTTTGGTATCTGATTCAGAATGGTGCTTTCTATCTACGTCCTCACATGTGGAAAGGGCAAGGAGTTCAACTCGTTCTCTTTTATAAGGGCACTAATGCCATTCATGAGTGATCCACTGTTGTGTCCTAACCACCTTCAAAAGGCCCCTAATACCCTCCCATTGGTGATGGTTCCAACATATAGGTTTTGGGGGAACACCTACATTTCAACAATAGAAAGACATAAATGAGATTAGGAATTTCTGGTGACTGTCCCCTGAACTGGGTCAAACAAAGTTCAGTGCTGTTTTGTAAACTGGAAATTATCTTCTCCTGCCTTAGATTTAAATCTATAGTAATATTGAGAAGTGTAGTAATGTAACATTATTTTTAATGTGTTAGCATTGCAAATAATAAACAGCAACACCAAATTATACTGAATGAAACAGTCTGTTTCTGAGACTCCTCTGAAAACTTCCTGTTGCCTTTTATTTGGCAAGTTCAGCTATACATATCTGTGGGTTTGTCATTATTGCAATTTATTTGTTTCTTTTTAATTTTTTCCTATTTTTATCTTAAAATTCATCAGTTTCTTCAACATTTATTTGTATAGACACTCTGTAGCAGTCTATAAACATTTGCTGAAATCTGTGGTATAAGGCTTATAAAAGAAAAAATATAAAATATTTGTAACATTATACTTTTAGTAAAATAAATCTTGTCTGGCTTTCTGATAGTAGTATGGTTTTCTAACATATCACACTGAGAAAATGGAGAGATAGTTATTTGACTTTTTTTTTTTTTTTTACAAATTCCTACTTTATTATAAACTGTGTAAAACTTTACTGACTTACTTGATAAAATTTTGCTGCATGGACACATAATTCGATACGTGCTGAATTTTCCCCTGGGCATATTAGTTATTAAAAGATGGTGAAGAGCATGGGCTAATTCCAGCTGTGCTGGGTTGATCACATGCTTATCTTCAGATTTGTGTGAAGAAACATGATGGTGAATTTTGGCTAAGAATATATAGAATGTATCAACTAGAGATCGGTGATGTTCTATAATCATGAATCTGTTAGCTCTTTTGGAGGGAGGATGCATTAGCATGTCAGCATTTTTTGATAAGAACAGCTAGATTTGTGACTGACTTTGGTAGAGCTGGGAGTTCTTCTACTGTAAAAGCAGGTCAGGCATTTCTGCAACCTGCTTTCTATAAGAGAAGTCCAGCAGGAGAGGACTTCTGGTTTTCTGTTCACAAGGGGCTTCAAGACCTGGAGCCAAAGTTTGTCCTGTGAGACCCAGTGATATAATGAAGGCTGCACCTGCTCTCTCCAAACCATTTTCAATGTATGTCCTTTCCTTGCTGGTGCTGTTGTGTTTCGTTGCCTATAATAAATCTCTTTCGGAATAATAAAAACAAAAACAAACAAACAAAAACCAGAGTCTTGTTTTTCCAGCAATTGAACACTTAAGGCAATTACTATAGAATTAATATCGAGGTAAACAAGAAAGCCAAAAACCAGCAAAAACAAAAATCCTAGCAGTAAAGTAGAAGAGTGGACCAATGATATGATTAAAGAAACTGTAAAGATGTCTTTATAATGCTGCAAGTTAACAGTGGTCTTTTTAGAATAGTTTAATTGAAACAAGTTGTGGTATGGAGGAAGAGATGATCAAAAACTAACTGGCCTTTTAGAATTGCTACTACGTAGTCCTCTGTATATCTTTTATTTTATTAGTATACTTGCATGTTTATCTCTTAATTACCTACTCTTAATTGTATATTCTTAATCTCAGGGTTTATGTTATTTTAACATGGAGACCAAAGTGTTATTTAATTAATAATACTGCACATGAGTGAATTTAAATTACTCTCTTTGTTATAGAATTATTAGAGTGTTCATTTAACTAGGGCATCTCCTTCTTCAACCTTCATTGTGGAAATGAAAGTAAAAAGGAAAATTGACATCCTTTGAATAAATAGGGTAAAGAGAGAGACCGCCTTGCTTACAATATCCATGTTTAGGGTTGGTGCTTGCTATGGATTGAATTGTGGTCCGCCAAAAATCTGTAGTGTATTTGTCACCCTTGATTTGTTGGTACTTGGGGATGGGGACTTTGGGACACAATTGGATGAGGTCATGAAGGTAGTACTCTAATATGATGGGTTAATGGCTTTATAAAAAGAGGAAGATTTCTCTCTCTTTCTCTCTCTCTCCTCTCTCTTTCTGCTATGTGAAGATACAGTCAAGAAGAGATTATATGCAAGCCAGGAAGAGAGCCTTCACCAGACTCACCCATGCTGAAGCTCTGATCTTCACTAGAACTCACCCATGTTGGAGCTCTGATTTTTCACTAGAACTCACCCATGTGAAGCTCTGATCTGGGACCTCTAGCCTCCAGAATTCTAAGAGATACATTCCTGTTGTTTAAGCTACCAAGTCTATAGCATTTTGTTATGGCAGACTGAATAGACCAAGACAGCCTTTTTAATGTGTTCACTGTTAGTGTTGTTTCAGGACACCAAATTCTGAAAGAATTCCTATTTGAGCCTGAGCTAACTTTAGGAAAGTTGAATGACTAAGAATGCTAGCATGCTTTAAGTATGACTTGTTTGAGACTACTTGGAATTTCTTCATTTATGTAAGCCATTCTGAGGAAAAAGAGGAGTCAGTTAAAGAAAGCTTGACTTAACAATGGGTAGTCACTGCATGGCTAATTTTTTTAACTTTATAATGGAAATACTACTCAAATTCACCTCAATCACTTCTCCATGTGTATCTTATAATTATATATGCAATTATAAAATATATATTATATATTAAATGTACATAATTTTATATATCATTTATATATTTATACCTATATTAATTTTTATATAGATGATATTTTAATATAATTATAAATATTATTTGTATTTCTATATATTGTATATAAATATATATTATATAAATAAATTATATTTTAATTCTGACAGCGAGAATTGAAGAGAGGAGGACAGGGCAGTAGTATACAGTAATGAAGATGAGAGATGTTTTGGAGAAATAGTTTTCTAATTCACACTTATTGCTATCTAAGGATTAGGTTTCCAAGAAATGCAAAACATAAAACTTCTAAGCAGGAAAAGAGAAATCTGGAATTAACATTATGAATCTAAAATGAAAGTGGCCAAGCTACTTTGTATCTTTGTGCCTATCTTTGCTCAAATGTATTCGTTTCAGAATGTGAATGTATGTAATATACTGAATAAAAGTTAATACAATTATCATCCCCATATAATACCTATTTATTTCACCTGTACAGTTTTGATTTTGTGTGTGTGACATAATTTGTTTGCCATAAGAAGGGCAATTTTTCTGCTATTTGTTTGTATAATTTATTTTACACGAAAGAGAAAATGTCATCTTATCATTCCTTCAGTATTAATTTGTATTATATGGCATAAGCATATATGCTCATTTATGTTCTGATATTATTTACTTGATTCTGCTACTCTCATTTTCCTCTTTGGTAAGGTTAGCCCATAAGCAGCAGGGATTCTCTTCTGATTCTCCATGCCATACAGCTTACCTGGGCAATCTCTCCATGTGATAAAGGCCCACCCCATTTTGGAATTGTGCTATTTAGTTGAATTTATATGAAACATTTCATTTAACTCTCAAACCAAATTCCCTGCAACTTTTACTTTGTTACAAATGAAAATGAGTTCCATTTGCCATTCCCACCTTTCCCCCCTTAATTTTGGAGAAAGAAGACATGTTCTTTATTTGATTCGTTTTGAGACAACTTTTTAATTTTGTCAGTTTGATGCCTGTGTGGTGCATCTCAATGCTATGCTGGCTTGCATTTCACTAATTTCTGTAGTGATCAAGTATCTCTTCACTTTTTCTTTTCTTTTTCTTTTTTCTTCCCCCCACCCCATGCCCTGAGATGGAGTCTCGCTCTGTCACCCAGTCTGGAGTGCAATGGCATGATCTTGGCTCACTGCAACTTCCACCTCCCAGGTTCAAGCAATTCTCCTGCCTTGGCCTCCCGAGAAGCTGGGATTACTACAGGTGTGCGCCACCACGCCCTGCTAATTTTTGTATTTTTAGTAGAGATGGGGTTTCACCATGTTGGCCAGGCTGGTCTCGAACTCCTAACCTTGCGATTCACCCGTCTCGGCCTCCCAAAGTGCTCAGATTACAGGCGTGAGCCACTGTGCCTGGCCCTTTTTTTCTTTTCCTTTTTCTTTTTTTTTGTAATTTTGGATTGGTTTTCTGTGTCTTAGTATTTTCAGGTGCTACAACAAATGACCATAAACTGGGCGGCCTAAATACCAAATTTAGTTCTCATGGTTATGGAAGCTGGAAGTGTGAGATTAGGGTGATACCATGGTTGGTTTCTTGGTGAGAGAGAGAGAGAGAGAGAGAGAGAGAGAGAGAGGAGAGAAAGAATGAGTGGGCATGGGGAGAGAGAGAGATATCTACTGCCTCTTTTTTTTTTTTTAATAAGGCATTAATCCCATTAGGGGACCTAACTAGCTCTTATTACCTCCTAAAGGCCCCAATTCCAAATACCATCACATTGACAATTTATTTTACACGAAAGAGAAGATGTCACTTTATCATTCCTTCAATATTAATTTGTATTATTTGGCATAAGCATATATGTTCATTTATGTTCTGATATTATCAACATATCAATTTTGAGACACAAACATTCCTTCAGTCCATAGCATTCTGAAAATCAACTATTCTAATCTTTGCAAGTTTTTTTCTATCATTGTCTCTTCATGATTTTCATGAAATTCTTGTGTATAAAAATTATTTTTCTTCAGAGTTGGGTGCAGTGGCTCACACCTGTAATCCCAGCACTTTCGGAGGCCAAGGCAGGCAGATCTCTTGAGTCAAGGAGTTAAAGACCAGCCTGGGCAGCATGGCAAAACCCCATCTCTACTAAAAATACAAAAAATTAGGTAGGCCTGATGGTGCATGCCTGTAGTCCCAGGTACTGGAGAGGCTGAGGTGGGAGGATCTTTGAGCCCAGAAGGTCAAGGCTGTAGTGAGCCAAGATCATACCACTGCACTCCAGCTTAAGTAACAGAGTGAGACATATTCTCAAAAAGATATATCTGTGTGTATATATATATATACACACATATATGTGTATATATATACACATCTGTATATATATACAGATATATATGTATGTCTGTATATATATGTATATACAGATATATATGTATGTCTGTATATATATGTATATACAGATATATATGTATATATATACAGATATATATATACACAGATGTGTGTATATATATGCACACACACATATTTATACACACATATATATATACATATGTATGTATATATGTAAGTATATATACACATATATGGATATATATCTATATATAGATATATATGTGTTTATATACGTATTTTTTCTTCAGTCTATGTTACACATTCAAACTATAAATGTTTTTAATATATTAATTTTAACTTTCCCTTCCCTCTTCCTGAAAAACAATTCTTAATTTTCATTAAATCAAGTTTAGCAAATATTTGACTAATACTTTGTTTTGTTTTGTATTATTTAGTAAGTCTTTCACATTCTCCACATCCACAAAGACATATTTTCATGTTCTCTTTATTTGATTAGATTTTTAAAATTTATAGTTTGCTTTTCCTTTAGGCATATAATTCATATGGTTAACTTTTCTATGCAATGTTTGTAAAGAGAGTTACGATGTAGCTTTATTATTTTATATATGTCATTATCTCCAATGCCATTTATTAAACATGCCATTTCTCCATTGATTTGTGATACTTTTATCATACATTATATTCCTATACAGATAAATCAGATTTTAGTCTTTTATATTCTATTATTCTGATTGTATTTTATCCACAGGCATATTTTGTTTGGTTTTGTTTTACTTTTTAAGTCTTTATACCAAAATTCTTATCTGATGTGAATTTACCATCTGTGCTGTTTTTTCTCCAAACTTATTTACCTATTAATGAAAATGTAGTGTTGTATATAAATCATAGGATGTGTTTTATATATATACATATATGTGTGTATATATATATATATATGTTATTCATAATCCAGGTATTTTTATTTGGATTTATTTTCATGAATAAGTTAAGGTGTAGAGAACTGAACATGAACATATTTGGTTATATCTGTTTTATGAAGTGTGTTTTCCCCAAATGCAAAGGAGTACTTGGCATGTAGTAGACATTGAATATATGCTGAATTTTTTTTTACATTTGTTTTTCATGTTTTTGCATTTGTTTTTTACATTTACTCAGGCCATTTACTTTTGTTAATAAATTTTTTTTCTAAAGATCTTGAACAGTTAAATCCAAGAAAATTCACAGATTTTTCTGAAAACATAAGCATTACTATTTTCTAACATAAGTTCTAGTGTGCTACTATGCTAGAAAGAAACAGTACTTTATGGTTGATCTTGTATTTTAGAGCATTGTTGATTATCTTATTTATTCTAAGTTTTTATTAATTATTTGTGTTAGCTCTTTCTCTGACATTTTCTCGTTCAGTCCTTATTTCTCTTATTTCTTTTCTTTGGCTACAGATTTTTAGTATTGTTGATAATTGGTGACCTCCCTTTTTAAAACGATCTTTAGAGAAATATATCTACAATTAAATATAATGTCTACCATAGGTTATCTTTTCTTTGTTGTTACATTTCTATTTTTTCTTTCTTCATTTTTGACTTTCTTACATAAATAAATTTTCTTGTAATTCAGCTTGTTATTCTAGCCCATAAAATGAATTATACTTTGAAAAATATCTTTTAGTTCATTAATATAAATTGTATTGACAGAGTTTCTATACCACAGATGTCCTTGCATTTATTTTTGTTTTTTTTTTGTTTGTATGTCTTGTGTCCTTGCATTTCTGTGATACTTTTTTCTTTACCTTTATCTAACTTATATGAATGGATTATAATTATATAATAGATTGCTAGTTATTGTTAACTTATAGACAAATATATACACTGTATCACTTTACTTTCATATGTGAATAGGACTTTTAACTTATTTCGTACACTCTCAATGTGTGGATTTGAAGCCAATATTTTAATAGACACTAAAAATGAAATGGAAAATTTTCTTTTTTATTTTTATTATAAAATATATAATGGAAATTTTAATGTTTCTCAAAATTGTGCACAAGTTGATTACTAACTCTGACTAGTGTGGGGATATTTAAGAAAATTTAATTTATATATAAATTTTACTAATTATTGTTAATCAATTTTTTCTTACACTATCTTGAAAGTTAATATTTTCCCCAAAGTATACATTTTTAGCTAGGTTTTCTAATTTATTGGTGTGTAGTGATTTATAAATAATTATATTTGAAAGGCATGTTTGTACTCGGTGTTTTCTCTTAGTCACTCCATATATTGTTTTACTCACAATCCCTTTTTATTTTTTCAGTCTTGCCATGAAATATGTTTTATTCATTCATTCAAATGTCATCTTTCATTTACTAACCCTTTCAACTGTTGTTTTATATTTCATTGATTTATGATCTTAGTTTTTGCTTCATAGTTTTTAATTAAAGCTGCTTCCTTTGTTTAGTGAAATATTTGTCTTATTGTTACCCTTTTATTCTTTTTTTGGTTTTGTTTGTTTGTTTGTTTGTCTGAGACGGAGTCTCGCTCTGTTGCCCAGGCTGGAGTGCAGTGGTGCGATCTCGACTCACTGCAAGCTCCGCCTCCCTGGTTCATGCCATTCTCCTGCCTCAGCCTCCTGAGTAGCTGGGACTACAGGCGCCCGCCACCATGCCCGGCTAATTTTTTGTATTTTTAGTAGAGAAGGGGTTTCACCGTGTTAGCTAGGATGGTCTCAATCTCCTGACCTAGTGATCCGCCCACCTTGGCCTCCCAAAGTGCTGGGATTACAGGCGTGAGCCACTGCGCTGGGCCGTTACCTTTTTTTTCTATGGTTTTGTTTATAGCAGCCTGTCATTTGGCATAGAAGATACTCTATCTTTGTCCACTTATTATCAGCAAGTTTTAAAAATATGTCTTGATATGAAATATGTGGTCATAAAATTGCAAGGTACATAATGTTAGCTCTGAAGTAAATATATTTAGTGAAATTTAAATAGCTGATTAAGTGGAAAAAATAAACAGGTATATGCATTCTGTAAAACCATGTTGAACACTTCAGACCAGCTCATCTGTCAGCTGACAACTCCATGAAGAGAAAAACAAGCATCCCAGCTGAGTCTGTGTACATGCCTGACTCACATAGAATCCATGAGTTAAAATACAATGGTTTTGTTTTAAACCACAAAAAATTATGGAATATTTAATTCAGCAATAGATGTATGGAACATAATTTGTAACTGAAGGTAAGGCATTTACAAATAAAACTTAAAATATTTGGCGTTGGCTTTGGGACTGAGCAGCTGAAAAGCTAGCAGGGCCTGGAGGAAGACTTCAGAAATTTGATGGTTCTCATTATGTCTGTCGGTGAAAGCTTAAAGAAGGGAGGGAAAAAAATAATAATTGGAAGCTGAAGGAAAAGAAGCAGTGTTATATAGTGGCAGAAATTTTAACAAAATTTTCAGCTGTGATAACATGAAAAGTGGGAAAATGTACCTAATGAATAGATGGATTTGACCAAGACTATTTCCAGGCAGGATATAGAAAGCGTCAGTTGGTTTCTTTTAGTTGAGATTTGTAAGATGCTAATAGAGATATGATAAAGGAAGAATTATTCAGTTATAGAGCAGAATGTAGAGGAAATATAAAGGAATAAGGTTAGCTGGGTTAGAAAATACAACTATATATCATCCCAACTCTCTCAAGCAGAAGTTTCTGTAACTTGGAAAGGGCCTCTGGTTAAGGAGGAAATCGCTGCTGTTCTCAGTAAAATATTCTTCAGATAAAGATGAAACCAAGTGTTTACCTATTACACCGATTTGATCCTCAGAAAAATTTAAAGTGGTTCCTAATAGACCATTTCCAGCAGAGAAAAGGGCTTTCAAGGTTTGCTTTGGCCCTCGGGTTAATCTTTGGGTTGAAATTTAGAACTTCAAAGATTCTCTCATGTTTTCTCCTACAGCCATCTCATAGCGACCCCAAGGTAGAGGATGGCTCCCAATAGAGAATGTGCATGTGTCCTTTCTCTCGAAGAGAGTGGATTATAAATTGCTTTATAAAAATCACACAAGGTTTTTGAAAGACTTGTAGAATTGAACTGAAAAGGACAGAGACAGTAAATAGTAGATAATTAATAAAGATCTGTAGATCACAGATTTTTTTTGGACAGGAAGCACAGTTAGAAAAGTACTCAATTGTAAAGATGGGTTATTTCTTATGGAAAATAAAAGAGGATTTAATGAGAGAAAATAAGAGCTGAGAGGGTGGAACCAAGTCATTCAAATGATCTCGAGAGAGCAGTCATGTGTCTGCTTGGATGTCAGATATTGTACAGAACAGTGACATTTATTTCCATTTTCAAAGAAAAATGCCCTGCAGTTGCTATGTCTGTACCTTTGTTGTAGAATGTGAATATGAAGCAGATAATTTTAATCTTTAGATCATAGGTCTTTGGCAGAAGGGCAAATGTATCTGACAAGACATCAGACCTCCAGAGCCTATATTTCAATGCTAAATAGATGTGTTGAGAGAGGTAATCCTTGCTTTGCTACTGATACTACAGGGAAATGATGCAGTCTTTCAATATTTAATGTGATATCAACTGTAGATTCATGGTATATGCCCTTTATCAGGTTGAGGAAGTTTGTTTTATTCTTAATTATATCATGATTGGGTGTTGAATTTTGTCAAGTGCTTTTTTTTTCTGCATCCATTATTAATCCAAAAATAGAAAAGAGGAATGTTCTAAGGTGCATTATTTTCTTCCTTCTTCACGTTTTTAGTTAAGATTGCTTTTCTTTTTCTAGTTTCTTGAGGTTGAAATTTAGATCATTCATTTAAACAATTATTTTCTAATAAGAGTATTTAGTTCTATGAATGTCACTCTGACAGATTTTATAAATTTTGATATGGTCTATTTTTAGTTTCATCAAATTTAAAATATTTTCTAGTATCTTTTATGATTTTTGACTTATTAGACATTAGACATATTGGACTTATTAGACATGTTTACTTACATTTCTGATATTTGTGAGTTTTGACAAATATGTTATTGATTTCTAGTTCAATATACTGTGAATAATTTCAGTCATTTTACATTAATTGAAAATCATTTTGGCATTAAATGTTTTATCTTGTTGAATATTACTTGTACAATTAAAATGAATATGTGTTCTAGTGTTTTGGGGTGGAGTTATCCATAAATAATTGGATTGGTTTGCTTAACAGTTGTGTTCAAAAGTTGTATATCCTTACTAAATTTCTCAGTAAGTAATTTTAATAAATTATTGAGAGAGGTATTAAAATAGTCCATTATAAATGATATTATTCTATTCTTTTAATTGCCTCATTAATAATTTCAATCTCAGTTATTAGGTATATACACATTAGTTTTGTTTTAGCCTCTTGATAAATTGATCTCTTCATCATTATGAGAAGTACTGCTGTATCCCTGGAATATTCCTTGCTCTGACGTTTACATTGCCTAATATTGATATGGATACTCTAATTTTTCTATATGTATTCAGTGTTCTCATAGTATAACTTTTGCATGCTTTTGCTTTTATCAGAAAAGTATATTTACATGTAAATACATTTCTTAAAGATAGCACATAATTGAGTCTTTAAAAAAAAATTCTAAAGCCGGGAGCAATGGTTCATGCCTGTAATCCTAGCACTTTGGGAAGCTGAGGCAGGTGGATCACTTGAGGTCAGGAGTTTGAGACCAGCCTTGCCAACATGGAGAAACCCCGTCTCCACTAAAAATACAAAAAGTAGCCAGGCATAGTGGCGCATGCCCGTAATCCCAGCTACTTGGGCCGCTAAAGCAGGAGAATTGCTTCAACCTGGGAGGCGGAGATGGCAGTGAGAGGAGATTGCACCACTGCACTCCAGCCTGGGCGACACAGTGAGACTGTCTTAAAAAAAATACAAAATAAACAAAAATATGTTTGAGATCTGATAGTTTAAAAATATATATTATATATGTGGAGAACACATATGAACTATGTTCACCAAGAGGAGATTTACTACAAATATATTTTTTATTTCTTGTTTCCTTCAAGCTCTGAGTGAGTTTGAAAGTGGATCTTCTGAAGCCTTCCAACAGTCATGTGTGGAATCTGGAAGTGCATTTTTGAGGCTTTCCCATAGCCATCTGAGTGAGCTGGTAAGTGGATTATTTACAAAAACTTAGGATGACTGCAGCTTCAGTTGATGTCTTGATTGCAGGCCTGTGAAACCTATTAAATCAGAAGCACCCAGCTCAACTATACCCAGGTGATTGACCTACAAAATATGTGAGATTTTTAAAAAAGTTTTTTCAAGCTACTAAATATGTGATAATCTGGTATACAACAATAGTTAATGAATTTACAGATTTCTTCTCATATTTTATGATAGAGTTTATTCAAGACAGTTCAGGACTTGACTGAACACTGTAAGATTAAAGACAAAAAGGATGCCATACATATGTTGTATGTTGATAAATTTCTCATAAAGGTATGAGTTAAACATTCAAAAACAGTTGTTAGAGAGAGACATTATAAATAAAAAGTGGACAGGCTAGAATAAATGGTGTGGTGCTAGATTGGAGTCAGTGGTATCAATATGTACTCATTTTATGTATAAAAATACAGAAAAGGTGGAATAAGTACATGTCTGTGTATAAGCATGTGTGATTATACATGTGTCTCTTCTGTGAGTAGAAGCAGTGACACCACAATAGCATTGAGCACACCTGGCACCAAGAACATAGTTCCTAAATACAATTCTCCAATTAAAGAAGTCAAGATTCCTTGGAGAACTGATTGATTTTAAGCCCCAGCAGGGAAAATACTAAATAAACTTGAGGAAAAAGAGCCTGTTGGCAGGCTTCAGGAGGTCCACTTTCAAACTCAATCAGGGCTGTTGGAAGGCCTCAGGTCCTTGGTAAGCATTAGAGCTACTCACTGCATGTTATTTGCTTCCCTCTTGTTTGCCTGAAGGAAATAAGATATACTAAAAGAAATTCTTTTTAGAATGATGAGCATTGAATGTAGTATATTTGAGGAAAAAAAATTTATGCCGGGCATAATAAGTGGCATATTAAAAATATGGACATTATGAGAAAACCACTGAATTTGGAGTAAGTCTGTGCTTTAGTAAATAGTGCTGGGCCAAGGTTAATTGCTTACGGTTTTTAAAATATTTTATTGTTATATAAAACATCAGTGTAAGTAGAAGCTGGAAGAAAGATAAACAGAAAATCTCTGCATTGTTTTTGTACATTTCTGTAAGTCCAAAATTATATAATTACTCTCCCCCAAAATTTAACATCAATGAAATTTTATTTAAAATTGCCTTTTATTTCACAAAAACTCTTCTTATAAAAAGTGAAACTTAAAATAAAAGAAATAATCTGCCTCATATAGGAGTCAATGAAGAGACTTAATAAACATTGCTGTTGGCTGCTATAGTAGCGTGTTACAATATAATTAACTATAATATTTCAGATTGTTAATAAGGAAGGTGGCAAAGATACTCAAGGATTTTCAGATATAAGCCTGATAGATGCACAGAAGCATCACTGTGTAAATTGAAATTACTGTAGCAGGGATATGCAGAACAGATTCTAGCAATTCTTTCATCGAGGTATGTGGCAGATGGACTCATAGTGTATGTGGCTTAGTGCAGGGGAGATTCTGTTAATAGACCAATAGTTCCAACAGCTGACACGTTCCGGAGACATAATGGTCCATCATATCAATGATCAGTGACCTTAAAGGCTATAAATATACTGTAACTGTCTTTTGTGTCAAGAATCTGCAAGCTAAAGGATGCCCAAGAACCATAACTTGCTTACAGTCCCTAAATATGACTCTACGTGATGGACTGTGACTGCTGAGAATGAGCCGTCATCATCTACTGGATCAGTAATCGGCATTGTTAATATTCACAGGAGTTGTGCTGCAAAATCCTCCATACTTGCCAGTAAAGGAAAAATGCACCCTTTGTCCTTCCCTTGTCTAGGTTAATTGTTTTTAAAAAATGTAAACTACCATGTCTTGAAATGCTGTTACCAAAGTTTATCAGTAACGTCTTCATCAAAGGAGATAAAATAGATTTTAGAATCTCTTTAATAGTATACAGAAAGAAACTTTGTTGAGGAAATCTTTCTTCCTTCTCGCATCATTCCCACAATATTTTATAATCCTAAGCATGGCAATATTCAGCAAAGCTCTTTCATTTCCTGTCTAAATTATAAGTACATTATTATCTTTTTATTTGGATAGTCACAAAATGGAAGAATAATGGTAACCTTGTTGAACAAGAACAAGCATAAACTTGTGTCATTTATTTCCTTATACTGTAGAAAATTGCCTCAATTTTTTTATTTACATACAAAAAATAGGTTTTCTCATGGGTAAATTCCCATTATTTCAGAATCGCATTCCATCAGTTAGAAAAATTGTTAAATTTTACCTAGAGTAAAAAGGAAAAATCTAGCAGACATGTTTGGAACTATAAAAGTACTGGACCCCATTGTTCTGAGCTCCAAATATATACACACATATACTCATACACTGACTCTGATGAGTAGCCATAGAAACAAAGGACTGATATTCTCAGAAACACTGAGATTAGTTGCCAAATATATACTAAGAATAAGTTATTATGAAGAATGTGGATCTGGACTAAATTTAAAATGCTTTTCTTTATCTTTCTTGTTGGCTCTTTAGTTTGAATTATTCAAATATCATTATAGCTTACTGATACCATTTAAAAAACACATGAATTGGTTGCGCCTATTAAAACACACCTGAAGAAGCAGACAAAATAATAGAATAGACATAACTTAAAAATGAGGTATGCAACAAAGTAGTTATGTTGTATGAAAATGATCACAAAGTAAAAATCAGAGAAACAATGATTTATTTTTAATGCAATATTGCATTAAATAATTAATTATTATGGAAAGAAAACTTGCTTTCATCAGCTTATGCTTCTAAATGATTAAAGGTAACATCATCATGTCACAAGCTTGCTTTTAGCAATACGGTAAAAGCAATTTTGACTACTACACCCTGATAAATAATGTAATGATACTTACCTAAAAATATGTGTTGTGCATACTAAATTAGATGTTAAAACTTCAAGGCATTTGTGGAGTCAACAGTGCTTTTTCTACTCTGAATAATATTTGGAATACATTAAATGTTTGTCAAGTTGGCAAATATAAATGTCCTTTAAATCATTGAAAAATACAGAGGATAATTTAAAAATAAGAATTATCTCACGCAATATAGTTTCTTTAATCATATAAATTGTTTCACTTGGTATAATAAAAAGAACAGTGGATTCAGAATCAAAAGAGCTGGGTTTGAATGCCAACTTTAAAAATATTAACTATATGATGTAGATAATATGAATTTGTTCTTTTAATCTCTGTTTTCTTCTGGGGTAGAATTAAACATTGTGAACAAACATCCACTTTACAGAACTTTACTAATATAAAGCAATATTATTCTTGTCACTGAAGTTTTTTATTTACAAAAGGTATAATTTAGACTTTGATGCATACATTTCTGTGGATTTTAGCAAATTCATAGAGTCACACGTCCACCACCATAGCTGTTATGTAGAACAGTTCCAGCAATTCAAATATTCCTTTGTACTGCTCCTTCATAGGCTCTGCTATGCTTCTATTTTACTGTTTGATTATTCCAGATGTCACATAGATGGAATCAAATAACATATAGCAGTTCAAGTCTGCTTTCTTTTACTTAAAAAATGCTTTTGAGATCCATCCACATTTTTTCATATATCAATGACTCACTCTGTTCTTTTGCTTAGTAGTATTCCAAGTCTTTTATACTATTAATATGTATGTGTATACCAAAGTTTGTCACTCATCAGTCACAGGACATTTGGGTTGTTTTCTGCTTTCTGTGAGTATAAGTCAAGATGTCATAAATATTAACATATAAGTTTTGGGTAAACATACATTTTTATTTCTTTGAGTTACATATGTAGGCATATAATACTATTATTAGTTATATGTTGAATTCATAAGAAACTGCTAAACTATTTTCCAAAATGATTCCATCAGCTTTCAATCCCAACAGCAGTATGAGAGTTCCAGTTGCTCTGTATCCTCTCCAGTACTTGATATTGTCAGCTATCTAGTACAATGCTATCATTATTATATTTTTGCTGGGAAGATGGCATGTTAATAGGTGTGCAGTGGTATCTCATTGCAGTTATAATTTGGGTATCTCTAAAGGTTAATGATATTGAAAATATTTTTATATTATCATTTGTTATTCAGACATCTTTTTTAAAAAATCATTTCAACTTTTATTTTAGATTTAGGGGTACATGTGCAGATTTGTACCTAGGTATATTGTGTGATGCTGAGGTTTTGGATATGATTAATCCCATCACCCAGGTACTGAGCATAGTACCCAATAATTAACTTTTAACATCTCTTGTCTCCCTCCCTGCCTCCTCCCTCCAGCAGTCCCGTGTCTATTGTTCCCATCTTTATATAAGCCCCCATTGTTTAGCTCCCACTTACAACTGAACATGCAATACATAGTTTTCTGTTCTTGCATTAATTCACTTAGGATAATGGCCCCTAGCTGCATCCATGTTGCTGCAAAGTACATGATTTCATTCTTTTTTATGGCTATGTCATATTCCACGTAGTAAATATACTACATTTTCCTTATCTAATCCACCATTGATGGGCATCTAAGTTGATTCCACGTATTTGCTATTGTGAATGGTGCCACAATGAACATATGAGTACATGCATCTTTTTGCTAGGAGAGTTTGTTTCAGTTTTGTTTTGTTTTGTTTTTTATGTATAACCAGTAATGGATTGCTGGGTCAAATGGTAGTTTTGTTTTAAGTTCTTTGTGGAAAGAAATCTCCAAATTGCTTTCCACATTGGCTGAACTAATTTACATTCCCACCAACAGTGTAGAAGCATTCCCTTCCCTTTTCTCTGCAGCCTCGCCAATTTCTGTGGTTTTTGACTTTTAATAATAGCCATTCTGACTACTGTGAAATGATATCTCATTGTGGTTTTGATTTGCATTCTCTGATGATTAGTGATGTTAAACTCTTTTTCATAGGTTTGTTGGCCATTTGTATGTCTACATTTGAGACGTATCTGTTAACATCTTTTGCCCACTTTTTATTTTTTATTTTTTGCTTGTTTAATTAAATTCCTTATAGACTGTGGATATTAGACCTTTGTCAGATGATGCATATTGTGAATATTTTTTTCCATTCTGTAGGTTCTATGTTTACTCTATTTATTGCTTTTTGGCTGTGCAGAAGCTGTTTACTTTAATCAAGTCCTACTCGTCTACTTCTGTTTTTGTTGCAATTGCTTTTGAGTATGTAGTCATAAATTATTTCCTAAGACTGATGTCCAGAATGGCATTTCCTAGGTTTTCTTCTAGGAATCTTCAAGTTGTTGTTATTACATTTAAATCTTTAATCCATATTGAGTTAATTTTTGTTTACAATGAAAGGTAGGGTTCAGTTAGATTCCTCTGCACATGGCTAGCCATTTGTTTCAGCGCTAATTATCAAATAAAGAGTTGTTTCTCTATTGCTTATTTTTGTTGACTCTGTTGAAAATCGGATAGGTTTAGATGTGCAGTTTTATTTCTGAGTTCTCTATTCTGTTCAGTTGGTCTTTGTGTCTGTTTTTGTACTAGTTCCGTGCTATTTTGGTTATTGTAGCCTTTAGTGTAGTTTTAAGCCAGATAATATGATGCCTCTGGCTTAGTTGTTTTTGCTTAGAAGTGCTTTGGCTATCTGGGCTCATTTTTGGTTCCATATGAATTTTAAATATATTTTTCTAGTTCTGTGAAAAATAATGTCGGTAGGTTGATAGGAATAGCATTGACACTGTGCATTGCTTTAGATAGTATAGTCAGTTTGACAATACTGATTCTTCCAATACATAAGCATGAAATTCTTTTCCATTTGTTTTTCTGATCTGTGATTTCTTTCAGTAGTGTTTTGTAGTTTTCCTTGTAGAGATGCTTCACTTTCCTGGTCAAATATATTCCTAGGCATTTTATTTCAGTTTTATTGCAGTTATTGTGAATGGTGTTATATTTTTGATTTGGCTCTCAGCTTGAATGTTATTGAGGTATAGAAATGGTTCTGATTTTTTTACATTGATTTTGTATCCTGAAACTTGACTGAAGTCATTTATCAGTTTCTGGAGCCTTCTGGCAGAGTCTTCATGGTTTTCTGTGTACAGAATCATCTCATCAGTAAAAGAGTTTGACTTCCTCAGCCGGGCGCGGTGGCTCACGCCTGTAATCCCAGCACTTTGGGAGGCTGAGGCAGGCGAATCACGAGGTCAGGAGATCAAGACCACCCTGGCTAACATGGTGAAACTCCGTCTCTACTAAAAATACAAAAACTTACCCAGGCGTGGTGGCGGGTGCCTGTAGTCCCAGCTACTCGGGAGGCTGAGGCAGCAGAATGGCTTGAACCCGGGAGATGGAGCTTGCAGTGAGCCGGGGTGGCACCACTGCACTCCAGCCTGGGCGACAGAGCTAGACTCTGTCTCAAAAAACAAACAAACAAACAAACAAACAAACAACAAACAAAGAGTTTGACTTCCTCTTTTCTTTCGAATGCCGTTTCTTCCTTTCTTCTGCCTGATTGCTCTGGCAAGGACTTCTAATACTACGTTGAATAGGAGTGGTAAGAGTGGCATCCTTGTCTTGATCCAGTTCTGAAGGGGAATGTTCCTAGTTTTTGCCTATTCAGTATAATGTTGGCTGTGGGTTTGTCATAAAGGGCTCTTATTATTTTGAGGTATGCTTATCATTTTGAGGTATTGCTTATTATTTTGAGGTATGTTCTTTCAATGCCTAGTACCTTGAGAGTTTTTATTTTGAAGGGATGTTGGATTTTATGAAAAGTTTTTATGTGTTGGTTGAGATGAACATATAGTTTTTATTTTCAATTCTATGCCTGTGGTGAATCACATTTATTGATTTGTGTTTTTTGAACTGACCTTGCATACCAGGAATGATACCAACTTGATCATGGTAAATTAAGTTTATAATGTGCTGCTGAATTCAGTTTGCTGGTATTTTGTTGAGGACTTTTGTATGTATATTCATCATGGACATTGGCCTGTCATTTCCTTTTTTCATTGTGTCTTTTCCATGTTTTAGTATCAGGGTGATGCTGGCATTGTAAGATGAGTAAGGGAGAAGTTACTCCTCCTCAACTTTTTGGAATAGTTTTAGTAGAATTGGTACCAGCTCTTTTTTCACATCTGGAAGAATTCATCTGTCAATCCTTCTGGTCCGAGACCTGTTTTAGTTGGTAGGTTTACTAATGATTCAATTCTAGAACTCAATATTGGTCTGTTCAGGATTTCAATTTCTTCTTTGTTTGTTTGCATAAATGTGTTTATAATAATCCCTGGGTATCTTTTGTATACCTGTGGGATCAGTTGTAATGTCACCTTTGTCATTTTTTCATTTTTGATTGTGCTTATTTGGATCTTTATTTTTTTCTTTGTTAATCTAGCTAGAGGTCTATCAATCTTATGTATGCTTTCAAAGATTTAAATTTTGGTATTTTTGATTCTTTGTATGGATTTTTTGGTATTAATTCTGTACAGTTTGGCTCTGATTTTAGTTATTTCATTTCTTCTGCTGGCCTTGGGATTAGTTTGTTCTTATTTTTATTTTATTTATTTATTATTATTATTATTATTATACTTTAAGTTCTATGGTACATGTGCACAGTGTGCAGGTTTGTTACATATGTATACATGTGCTATGTTGGTGTGCTGCACCACCCATTAACTCGTCATTTACATTAGGTATATCTCCTAATGCTATCCCTCCCCACTCCCCCCACCCCATGACAGGCCCCGGTGTGTGATGTTCCCCACCCTGTGTCCAAGGTTCTCATTGTTCAGTTCCCACCTATGAATGAGAACATGCAGTGTTTGGTTTTCTGTCCTTGTGATAGTTTGCTGAGAATGATGGTTTCTGCTTCATCCATGTCCTTACAAAGGACATGAACTCATCCTTTTTTATGGCTGCATACTATTCCATGGTGTATATGTGCCACATTTTCTTAATGCAGTCTATCATTGATGGACATTTGGGTTGGTTCCAAGTCTTTGCTACTGTGAATAATGCTGCAATAAACATATGTGTTCATGTGTCTTTATAGCAGCATGATTTATAATCCTTTGGGTCTATACCCAGTAATGGGATGGCTGGGTCCAATGGTATTTCTAGTTCTAGATCCTTGAGGAATCGCCACACTGACTTCCACAAGGGTTGAACTAGTTTACAGTCCCACCAACAGTGTAAAAGTGTTCCTATTTCTCCACATCCTCTCCAGCACCTGTTGTTTCCTGCCTTTTTAATGATCGCTATTCTAACTGGTGTGAGATGGTATCTCATTGTGGTTTTGATTTGCATTTCTCTGATGGCCAGTGATGATGAATATTTTTTCATGTGTCTGTTGGCTGCATAAATGTCTTCTTTTAGAAGTGTCTGTTCATATCCTTTTCCCACTTTTTGATGGGGTTGTTTGATTTTTTTCTTGTAAATTTGTTTAAGTTATTTGTAGATTCCGGATATTAGCCCTTTGTCAGATGGGAAGATTGTAAAAATTTTCTCCAATTCTGTAGGTTGCCTGTTCACTCTGATGGTAGTTTCGTTTGCTGTGCAGAAGCTCTTTAGTTTAATTAGATCCCATTTGTCAATTTTGGCTTTTGTTGCCATTGCTTTTGGTGTTTTAGTCATGAAGTCCTTGCCCATGCCTATGGCCTTATTTTTCTAGTTCTTTTCTTCTATGGTTCTTATTTTTCTGGTTCCCTTAGGTATGACGTTAAATCGTTCATTGAACTATTTCTAACTTTTTGAGATAGGCAATTAACTGTATAAACTTTCCTCTTAATACTGCTTTCGCTGCATCCTAGAGATTTTGATATGTGTCTCTATTTTCATTTATTTCAAATGATTTTTTTTATTTCTGCCTTAATTTTGTTGTTCATCCAAAAGTCATTCAGGGTCAAGTTATGTAATTTCCAGGTCATTTTGTGGTTTTGAGATATCTTCTTGGTGTTGATTTCTATTCTTATTCCACTTTGGTCTGAGAGTATAGTTAGTATGATTTCAACTTATTTTGTATTTATTGAAACTTGTTTTAAGGGATGCATGTGGATGATCTTGTAGTATGTTCCATGGGCAGATGAGAAGAATGTAAAATTTGTGGCTGATGGATGGAGCCTTATGTAGATGTCTATTAGGTAGAGTTAGTGGCATGTCAAAGTTAAGTCCAGAATTTCTTTGTTAGTTTTCTGCCTCAATGATCTGCCTAATGCAGTGGGGTGCCAAATTACTCCACTATTATTGTGTGGCTTACTAAGTCTTTTCATAGGTCTAGAAGTACTTGTTTTATAAATCTGGGTTCTCAAATATGGGGTGCATGTACATTTAGGACAGTTAAGTCTTCTTGTTGAATTGAACTCTTTGCCCCTTTGCCATTATGCAATGCTCTTCTTTGTCTTTTATTTTCACTATTGTTGGTTTAAAGTCAGTTTTATCTGACATAATAATAGTGACCCTTGCTCTCTTTTGAATCTGCTTGCATGATAGATCTATCTCCAACCCTTCAGTTTAAACCTATGGGTGTTGTTACATGTAATATGGGTCTCCTGAAAACAGCAGATGGCTGGGTCTTGTTTTATTTATTTATTTATTTATTTATTTATTTATTTATTTATTTATTTATATCCAACTTGCCACTCTGTGTCTTTTAAGTGGACTGTTTAGACCATTTACATTCAAGGTTAATATTCACATATGATGTTTTGACCCTATCATGAACTTGTTAGCTGGTTGTTTTATAGTATATATTATATGATTGTTTATAAAGTGTAAGGAATATATATGTACTTATATGTGTTTTTGTGGTAGCAGGTATTGTTCTTTTGTTTCCATGTTTAGAAATTCCTTAAGAATGTCTTGTTATGTTGGTCTAGTGTTATCCGAATATGTTATTTGTCAATGTTTGTTTACATATATAGGGTTATATGTTTTCTCATGTCTGAGTTTTGATGGTTTGTTATATATTCTGAAAAATTTGTTTTCCAGTAATGTGATTTACAAATATTTTCATTCTTTCAACATTCTTTTTTTGTATAGAAAAAGTTTTTATTTTTGAAGTCCAATTTATTTTTATTCTTTCTTTTTTTTTTTTTTTTTTTGAGACGGAGTCTTGCTCTGTCACCCAGGCTGGAGTGCAGTGGCGCATCTCGGCTCACTGCAAGCTCTGCCTCCCGGGTTCATGCCATTCTCCTGCCTTGGCCTCCTGAGAAGCTGGGACTACAGGTGCCCGCCACCACGCCCAGCTAGTTTTTTTTTTTATTTTTAGTAGAGACGGGTTTTCACCGTGTTAGCCAGGATGGTCTTGATCTCCTGACCTTGTGATCCGCCCGCCTCAGCCTCCCAAAGTGCTGGGATTACAGGCGTGAGCCACCGTGCCTGGCCAATTTATTTTTATTCTTAAAGGACGCCATTTTTATAGTGTATCTAAAAATTATTTGCTTAACACGTTTGCAAACATTTTCTATGCTGTTTTCCTCCAGAATTTAAAAATTTATAACTAGGCTCATGATCCACTTTGAAGTGATTTTGTATAAATTGTGAGGTCTAGGTCAAGGTTAATATTTTGCATATGGACATCTAACTGTTCCACCACCATTTGTTTAGAAGAGGCTATAGTTTGGATATTTGTCCCCTCCAAATCTTATGTGACAGTTTGATCCCCAGTGTTGGAGGTGGGGCCTAATGGGAGGTGTTTGGGTCGTGGGAGTGGATCCTTCATGAATAGATGAATACGTTCTCTGGAGGTTCAGTGAGGGATTTACGTTCTCTGGAGGTTCTGGAGGCTCAGTGAGAGAACTAACTCTGTTAGTTCTCTCAGTGCTGATTGTTAGAAAGAGCCTGGCATTTTCGTTCTCTCTCTTGTTTCTTCTCTCACCATGTGATCTGTGTACATGCTGGGTCCCTTTCACTTTCCCTCATGAGTAGAAGCAGCATGAATCCCTCACCAGAAGTGTGTGCTGGTGCCATGCTTCTTGTACAGCCTGCAGAATCCTAAGCCAAATAAACATTTTTTCTTTGTAACTTACCTAATCTCAGGTATTCCTTTGTAGAAATCCTAAACAGACTAAGAAGTAAGACAATCCTTTTGCCATTGAATTGCTTTTATAACTGTGTCATAAACCTGTTGACTCTATACGTGTGGGTCTATATGTGGAACTCTCCTTTTCCATTAACATATTTATCATTCACCAACTTCACACAACTCTGATTACTTTTAGTGAGCCTCGATTTGGAGCACAGAGTCTCTTAACTTCAACCCATCAAAACTGTCTGGCTATTCAAATATTCTTGCCAGTTCTAATACTTCTGCCTTTCCATATAATGTCCAGAAAAATGTTATTGATAAAATATTTATTGATGAAAAGCCTGCTAGTATGTTGATAGAAATTTTACTGAATCTATAGATCAAATTAGAATGAATTGATATTTTAGCAATAGTTGAATATTTCTCTAATCCATAAACATGGTATATCTCTGTATTAAACTGGGTTTTATTTGATTACTTTTATCAGTGTTTTGCAGTTTTCAGCATGCAGATCCTACCTTGATATTGGTAGGGTTACATCTAGGAATTTCAAAATTTTAGTGCTATTATAAATGGTACAGTTTTTTAAAAAAAATTAAATTATAGTTATTCACTGCTGGTATATAGAAATATAATTGCTTTTTATATATTGACATTTATTATATAACCATGCTAAATTAAGTCATGTGAGATTGTAAATTCTTTAGTATTTTCTGTATAGACAATTATGTCACCTGCAAATATTGTTGTTTTAAAATTTTTTCTTTTCAGTCTTCTTGTATTTTTAAATAGTCAATTTTTTAAATGATTTTCTGTGTTTATTGAATACTATTCACATTTTCTCTTTAGTTCATGTGAATTATATAGATTGACTTTTGAATGTTGAACTAGCCATGCATTCTTAAGAAGAACTTCTCTCATTTTCTTGGTCCATTCTCCTTTTTTCATTTTATTATATCCAATTTTCTAATACGTTTTTGAAGATGTTTGCATATATGTTAATGAGGGATGGTTGTCCGTGTTTTTTGTCTTGTAATGTCTATTCCTGGATTTGGTATTTGGCTAATGCCAGCCCTATACAGTATGTGGGGAAGTGTTCTCTCCTTCTATATTTTTGGAAGACAATGTATAGAATTGACTCTCTTTTCTAAAATATGTGAGAGATTTAATCAGCAAAACCTTCTGGGCCTGGAGCTATCTTTGTTGCACAGTTTTAAGCTATGGATTACATCTCTTTAATATATTTAGTACTATTAAGATTATTAATTTTTTCCTGAGTTAGTATTGATAGTTTAAAGAAGTACTCTATCTGAAGTGTAAAAATTATTAGAAGAAAGTTGTTTGTTTCATTCCCTTATTATCCAGTTAATATTTGTGGTGTCTATAATGATGTTCCATTTTTTATGATGATTCTGGTAATGTGTATCTTTCCTCTTTTTTACTTGTCAATCAGGCTAGATGTTTAACAATTTTATTGACCTTTTATTGGAACCAGTTTTGGGTTTAGTAATGCAGCCTATTGTTATTCTGTTTTCAATTTCATTGGTTTCTGCCCTTATCTTTATCATTCCCTTCCTCTTATTTTATTTAAGATTAATTTGCTCTTATTTTTCTAGTTTTTAAAATATATCATTTGATTACAATTTGAGATTTTTCTTTTATCCCCAAATTTTACTTTATGCTATAAATGTACATTTACATTTTGCTTTAGCTGTGTCCTTCATATTTTGATATGCTATATTTTTATTTTTACATGAATCAAAATAATTTCTAATTTTCCATGAGACCCTCTGAGTTATAGGTATAAATACATGTCTTTTACTTTTAAAATATTTGGAATTTCCAAAATACCTTTCTGATATTGATTTCTAGTGTAATTCTGTAGTGGTGAACTGAAGGACATAGTTTGTATGAATTATTTTAATTTGTTAATTCAGGCTTTACAGCTCAGAATAGGATATATCTTGACTGTATATTGTTCACTTTTAGAAAAAATATGTATTCCTTTTTTTTGGTTATAGTGTTCTATATATGTCAATTAGGTTGATAATGTTCAGATCTTCTATACCTTTGCTGATTTTCTACTTGTTTCACCAATTACTGAGAGAAGAATGTTGAAGCATCCAATTATATGTGGATTTTCCTATTCCTCTTTTTAGTTCTAGGAGTGTTCTTCCTATACTTTGAAGCTCTGTTTTCAGATGCACACACTTTACAATTATGAGAATGAACTATTTTATCATTATACAATGTCCCTCTTTATTCCTGTTACTACCACTTGTTCTAAAGTCTACCGTATCTCATGTTAATATAACGACTCCAGCTTATTTTTACTAGTGTTTGCATATGTATGAATGTGTGTGTTTATATCCATGTATATGCATATATATTCTATTATTTTACTGTTATATATAGCTTTGGCATAATTTGGTTTAATTTCTTCATGAGTAACAAAAACACTAATGTCATAAGGTTTTGGTGATACTCAAATAAGATAATCTACATAAAGTTATTAGTTCAGTGCTTGGCATATAGAAAGTATTTATTTAATATTGCTAATATTACAGTGTTATCCTCCAATATTTGAAAATGTAACCTATGTATCAGTTGACATTAGTTATCTTAAAATTATTTATTGTGAAACATCTTGAAGAGCTTATTACTTTAAAGGCATCTTTAGCTTCAGTATCCTAAGTTTTCTGATTATTTTTCTTCTGTCTGTCCTTTATTGTGATCTGATATTATTCCAAATCTCAGACCAAATCTTCCTTACTTCCAGCTTAATTTCCCCTTTATTTCTGCCTTCGCCTAATACTTAAAGAACTACATACAAATGGCTTTCAAGTATTAGAATTTTATATTCTCATTAAGTGTTTGCCTTATTGAAATCTTTCTGAACACCTTATTCTCAGAGATTTTTCACAGAATAAGCTGCTACAAAAAGTACTCTATTCATCTATAGCAACTTACTCTTTTTCTATCTTGATCTTCTTCATTATGTTATTATATTCCTTATGAATTACAAGTTTATTATGTATTTTGCAGTTGTTCTCTTAGAACTGTCCACAAATAACATGAACACCCCATATTTCATATATTTCATATGTATATCCTTGCTACTCAAATTGAAAACAAACAAGCAAACAAATTACTCTCTTAGTCACACAAACTATTAAGAGTCATACTAAGCTTATAGGAAGGACGGTGACTTGGCCATACAGTGTTTTAATCTAATTTTCATATGTTTGTTTATTATCAATAATTTGATATCTTAATTTTCAAATTTGTCTTTAGAGGTCAAATGGAGATAGACGTCTACAAAAATTCTGCTAATCGCTTATTCAGAACTAAACACATTTAGATAAGATTTTAATTTGAGAATTTTCTCTCCCTACTTGCATTTAAACTAATACCAATTAGCTCTTGTGCAGATTGAAAAAAAAGAGAATTCAAATAATGTATTATTCCTGTGAGTTGAATTGAATAATAAGTTACTTTTAGTCTTTTCCGTAAATCTAATTGATAATATATTTGAAAATTAACTAAATGTATCTGCCATAGTGTGTTGGAGTGTTGGTGGGTATTGGGAAGTTGATTCCTCTCAACTTATATATACTCACAAGAGATTCCCATGCTGGTTCCATTCATGCCAATTACTTATCTATGAATTAGAGAATTAGTTGGAAAATTAGAGATTGCCTCTCATGCCAAAATTTGAAATGCATTTAATAGTAAATATAAATCCTAACATAATGTATATGCTTTTCCAGATAATACTTTCTTAGGGCAATAATTGAGATGTTCATTGGCTATCATTTTGTCTTAACTGTTAGGTTTAACTTTTCTTATCTTGAGACACTGCAGACAAAAAAACAAAAGAGTAAATATGCATGCCTGTATGGTCTTGTGTTTATCAGCGTTTGTTCTCCAGTGAACTGCAGGTGCAGAGATGAGTAATTTAATTTGCAGGAGAAGTATGAGGAAGCTTATGTCAAAAGATGCAATTTTCAAGTAATTGCCATGTTACTAACAGTGTGAAAACAGTTACAGTAACTATGTGTTTATTCCTTTCCAAAGTTAACATTATATTTGTTTTCTTATTAGCTTTTCTTATTTAGTTCTCTTGAGTCAAAGGGATTCCAATTGTGTTATCATGTGAATGGAACATAATACGGCAATTCATTTTCATTAAACTCAACTTAGAGGATGGCTTATGGAGCCTAGCAACAAGGAATAAAGGAAGAATTAGCCAGAAGCATTTTTGTTTCTGAATTTTCTGAGCCAAGTAGTCATGTCATTTCACTCTGGGGAAAACCAATAATTTATTCAATTTTTCCAATCAGAATCACTTGGTGCTTAAAAGACAAACTTGGTGCTTAAACTAAACTTGAAAGGCATTATGTAGGAAAAGGAAACATAACTAAGACAATATACATTTTAGAAGAAATATTATTTTTAGTAATAGGTTAGTCAATGTGCAGCCGTAACTCCCAAAAATGTCTACAAGAAAGGTAAGTTTTTTAGTGCACAAACAATGCAGATGGCTTACATTATCATGTTAATATTGTGTTCTTGGCAGACATCCAATACTTTCTTTTTCCTTTAATATTTAGGTTGAAAATTTGCAAAAATAAAAACAAATCATTATTTTGATTCTGGAACTCACATCATTTAACTTTTTTCTCTTTAAATATGCTTACTTCCTAATTAGTCTTCTGGCTCTTAACCTTAATATTGTAGTTTATTATAAAAAAAAGAAGCTCCCAGAGTAATCTTTAAAAATGAAATTTGATCATATGACTCCTCAGCTCAAAGACACTTAAAAGGCTTCCCATCACCTGAGGAATAAAACTCCAAACTTGACCAAGCCAGAACACCCAGACCTGATCCTTGTTTACCTCTCTGATATCTGATCAAATTATTTTCCACTTGGCTCACATCACTTAATTACCTTTCTTTTTGTTATTCATACATGCATGCCACAGAATTATGTCTTTCTGATTGCTTTCCCTCTTAGAAATTTCTTCTCTTATGTCTTGGAATAATTATTTCCTACCAAATGTGACCCAGTATATAAATCAACTCAGGAAACACCTTCTTCCACTCAGGTACTATGTATCATGTTACTGCTTTATTTTTTAACAGTACTTATCACAGTACCAGCAGATGTTATTTTACTTATTTATTTTCTTCTTCCCTTCATTGCAATGTAAGCTGTAGAGAATTAATGAACCAGGAAGAGAAAATATTACATAAACCTGAGTCAGAGCACCTGTTGGTTCAGTACTTATGGAAGATAATGGGCCCAAAAAGCAAGTGAGCTCAGCCCTAGAATAATTACATACTTAATTAATGCCTTCACCAATACGTATGAAGAAGTCACATAAATACAGATAATTGAGAAAAAAAGAGTAATTCACCTGGTTAGAAAATATACAAAGACTTTGAAAGTTATTGGAAGTAAGATGACCAACATTAATGTTTCTATAGATTGAATATCTACTCTTTGTGAGATGTTCAAAGCCTCATAGTCATCAGAGTGTACTCACATTTTGTGAATGATATATGTCAGGTCAAATTATGAAAACATACTTGAGGGAAATGTGGCCTGGATATATTGACTGATTTCAGGTTATAGAGAAATACATTAAAGTAATGGGCCTGTGATCACTTCTCTCTAGATTATGAGAGTGGGAAATGTCCACAGAGAAGGAATGGTAGATTATGGTCTAAACTTCTAGTAAATACACTGATAACTGACCTCCTGGTAGGTAGATTAACAATATTTTCTAGAAGGTAGGTTCTTATTTATGGAATATTCTCAGCACAAAGTTAGTAGTTTAAAATATTTTATGGTTCACAAACGTAAGTTCCATAGATTTATGGGGCATGTCTCCCAGGACCCCAGGAATGTCTAGAAATCTGAGTGACAATCTGAGATATAAAATAGAGACATTTAATAACCTAAATGCTCCCCACTTTGTGAGATGATTCCAAAACTTCCCTTAGAGAATCCATCTGTTACTCTGGGTCACTGCAGGTGAGTGATGAGTAAAGGAAGGATCCACATAGGATGTCCCGGATTTCCCTTTCTCTGCCTGGCTTCCTTGGTTACTTGTGTCCTCAAATTTATTAGTAAAATTTGACACAAGGTGGGATCTCTGTGAGTTTGATTTGATCATGTCACCAGCTGTGCTAGTTTAACCTTCTACACAGATCATTCTTATTGTAGTACTCTTGTCTAGGTAGAGCCTTGACAAAAAGGATCTCTGTATGTTCATGTAACCATGTTTAGTACCAGTTGATAACATTTCAACTGAATGTTACCTTTCATACTCTGTACATGCAGTCAGAGTAAATTAACATGCAGTTACAAATGAAAACATTAATACATATTAAATTTTATGTACATCGTTGGGGTTTTAAATGAATTGTGTTGTTACAAAATTATTTGAAGTAGGGATTATTAGTTCCATTATAAAGGTGAATTAAGTGAAGTTCAGTTAACTTACTGGAGCCAAATAAAAAAGGCTAGAAGTGTAAATCAGTCACACTTTATTTTAAAATCTATTCTCAAAAGGCAATTTTACATGGATGATTCATTCCCTGAGTAAATAAAGGCAAAGTAATTTTATTCATAAAGTTAAGGTTCATAGATGTTACAGCTTTATCAATTGGCAAATTTTATGTAATTATATTTTATGGTCTGTGTAGCTAAAACATGGTGGAATAAATCAAATCAGTTCAATCCACTCTATCTCTTATTGTTATAAAATCACATATAAATAGTGAAAGAATTTTAGAAGTGTTAGTAAAAGACCCTTAATATATCAATAAGCAAAACTTTAAATATCTTCAGTTTGGTGTTGGATACATATGACCATTTTCTCACTCAGGTCCATGTCCTGGTAATAGAAGATGAGGAAGAATATTTATGTGTGACAGAAAGCTTGAAGTTTGGCTAAATTTAAAAAAAATAATAATAGTTAAGACCTTTAAACTTTTATTTTAGGTTTTGGGGTACATGTGAATGTTACATAGATCAACTCATGCCATGGTGGTTTGCTGTACAGATTATTTCATCGCTCAGTTATTAAGCCTAGTACCCAATATTTACTTTTTGTGCTCCTCTCCCTCTTCTTTCCCTTTGACCTCAAGTGTGCCCCAGTGTCTGTTTTTCCCTTCTATGTGTTCATGAGGTCTCATCATTCAGCTCCTACTTCTAAGTGAGAACATGCAGTATTTGGTTTTCTGTTCCTGCATTAGTTTGCTAAGGAAAATAGCCTCAATATGTGTACTTTAAAGAGCTAAATGAACAAATCTCAACTATTTTATGTAATAGTTACAAAATTCTCATAGCCCTTCACAAATATCCAGAATTATTAGAATAGAAAAATAATTTATATAAATTCAAAGATACTGAAAATTTTGTTTGAATTAGAATGAACTGTTTCTCCATCTCAGCTCATATAAATTTTGATTAACATACACTGTTCTGTTCTAGGTGAATAAAAACTAAAATATTTGCATCGACACTAAATGGAGCAAATAGCAGAAAACTCTTTTTAAAAGATTAAAAAATAATGTTTTGCTTCTTGCTGGACTTATTGGCAACAAGAATAATAACATGGAAAAATTATTTATCTTCATAGGGAAAGTCTCAGGCAGAAGTGCTCTGTTCTAAAAAATATTTGAAGATGTTTTCCAAGTAATGTATTTTTCTCAAATTATACAGCCAAAGTCTTAATTCTTTATTTTCTCTTCATAGATATAGACCTTTGGCGTGTTCTTCTTCCCCTGGGGATTCTCATACTTCTATGTACTCCTTTGTACTTAATTCTGTTAATACTGGAGCTTATGACACAGTGCTTATCTATGCAGAACCATGAGTAACATGAATATGGCCTAGAGAAAGGGTAAAATTGAGTTAAGACTTCATGAAAGCCACATTAATGTTACATGAAATAAATATTGGCTGACTTGGCTCCTTATTGACTTAAGTTTTTGATAGTAAATTCTCTGTCTGCAAAAATGTGCTACAAAAATGTGTGTGTATTTCAGAACATAATATAGTTTAGAAAAATGAAAGCTGAACTGGAACCTAATTTCATTTTTTTTACTACTTTAAATTTGTTTTAATTAGGTAAATTGAAATTGTGAAACTCAAAGAAAAATGTGTAATGCTAACCTAAGACAAAACGTACTGTCTGTAAGAAATGAAATAATTTTACTACTAAACCTGCAATTATTTTTTTAAATACTAAATTATTGCTATTTTTTAGGAAGGAAAAGAAAAATGTTCTGTGTTCTTACAGTCACAAATATTTTTCTTTTCTGTATGAAGAATACTGAGTACAGTAGGTATCCCTTATGTTTTAAGTTTTATAAAATGAGTATTACTCAGAACTTTAAATCACAGCATAATGGTAATTTTGTCATTAAAATATTTACCTCTAAGAGAAACTTGAATTAAAATGTTACTTAGGCTTTCAATTTCGCTTATAATCAAGGGTAGTTTAAATTATCACTTTATCAAAGTTCTCTTATATTATTTAGATAAATTTATATACCATAAATATATTGTAAATCCTATGCATTTGTGATCATTTGTCTAAACAACTATAATGTAAATAACGAAGTCATAAGTGTGCTTTTTTTTTTTTTTTGAGATGGAGTCTCGCACTGTCCCCCAGGCTGGAGTGTAGTGGCACAGTCTTGGCTCACTGCAACCTCCACCTCCTGGGTTCAAGCGATTCTCCTGCCTCAGCCTCCTGAGTAGCTGTGATCACAGGTGTGCACCACCATGCCTGGCTAATTTTTTTATTTTTAGTTGAGGCAGGGTTTCACCATGTTGGTCAGGCTGGCCTTAAAGTTCTGGCCTCATGATCTGCCCGCCTCAGCCTCCCAAAGTGCTGGGATTACAGGCGTGAGCCACCATGCCCGGCCAAGTGTGCATTTTTATTTCGGGAAACTATTGATTGCTAAATGCAGGCCACATATCTCAGAACAGAAGTAGATACTTAGAATTGTGATTTCAAGTTGCCTAGAACACTTTTCATAAATTATAAGCCTTCTGTTTCCTTGTTTGTCTTTTGGTATACAAAATTTGCCTAAAGCAAGGGTTGAGTTCCAGAACTCTTAGAATTTCTGATTCTTTGTATTTTCCAGTTGCTGAATTTTATCAGCTATTTTTCTGGCAGTATAGAAGAATTTGAGCAATCGTAGCTGAATCTTTAGTGTTTGTTTTTATTGAAGAAAAACGTTTTTCTTCAATGAAAATCAAATAACTACTCATACTGACTAGAGAACTAATACCTATTTCTTAAAACTAATCCAATGCCATAAAACTTTATATTTCATTTAATAAGCATATATTGTGTTATTATGAATGTAACATTTATAGACATTGTGGGAAAGTTAAAGACTTATAAGGAAAATGTACTCATGTTCGAAGAATGTAGAAACTAGTTAAGCAGAAATAGGTAAATATGAATCTTTTTAAATTTTTGTTTGTTTTGTTTTAAAGATGAGGTCTTGCTATGTTGTCTAGATGAGATTGATAAGGGGTCAATACCCAAAGTATATAAGAAACTCAACTCAATAGTAAGAATACAAATATACCTATTAAAACATTGGCAAATGATCTGAAAAGACACTGGCCAAACTAAGACACCCAAATGGCCAACAGGTACATGAAAATATGCTTAGCATCATAATCATTAAGGAAATGCAAATTAAAACCACAATGAGATATCACCTCACACCCATTATAATGGCTTTTTATCAAAAAGACGAAACATTACAAGTGTTGGAGATATTGTGGAGAAAAGGCAACTCTCATACATTGTAGTGGGAATGTAAATTTGTATAAAACCGTTATAAAAATAGTATGGACATTCCTCGAAAATTTGAAAATAGAACCATTATCTGATCCAGCAATCTCGCTACTGAGTTTATGCCTGAAGAAATGAAATCAGCATGTCAAAGAGTGTCTGCACTCTCATTTTCATTACAGTATTTTTCATAACAGCCAAGACAAGATAGTAAATCAGCTGAGTGTCTGTCAACGAATGAATGGAAAAGAAAATGTGTTTATATACACAATGGAAGACCACTGAGGCTTGAAAAGGAGGAGATCCTGTCATTTGGAACAATATGGATGAATTCACATTATGCTAAGTGAAATAACCTAGGCACTGAAAAGACGAATACTGCATGATCTCACTTATATGTAGGAATAAAAAAGAAGTTGATCTCACAGAAGTAGAGCGTATAATGATAGTTACCCAAGGCAGGGGGTTAGGAGCTGGGGAAGGAATGTACAGTTGCTGATGAAAGGAAGTAAAGTTTCAGATACACAGGAAGAATAGGTTTTCAGATCTATATATAATAATGTACATTTCAAAATAAGAGAGTAAATTTCACATGTCTCACCATAAATAAATAGGATTTGAGATAAAGAATATGCTAATTAGCTTGATTTAGTCATGCCACATTGTGTAAATACATCAAAATATCACATTGTACCCCACAAATTATATACTTGTTAATAAATTAATAATAAGAAGAAAAAATTAGGAAGGGAGAGATTTGTACTTTTATATTTCAGGCTTTAACATGGGAAGTAGATTTCATTTAGAAAATTAAACAATAGTAACTGAATAATTGAATTGAGTTGATGACATTTACACCTCTAGTTTTTTACATAGCTGGCATTTTACCTGGAGTTACTAGATTGTAGTTGACTCACTGTATATCCCAGTTTGGACACTGTATATTCCATGTTGGACAATATAAGTTGGCATAATTTAAGATAGACAATGAAGTCAAGCATAAAACTTGGGGGAATAGGATCATTTTTGTTAATTTATTTATTATTTCTCATGAACCAGTCTTACGTACTTCTGGAAGTGATAGTAGAATACCAATAAGTATTAGGTCCTTTTCAATTATCTACATTAAAGTTTTCTTAAAAATAGATGAATTTGTCTAAAAATTATTTTCTTGTTTCCAACAGGAACAAATTCAAACGCAATCTCATGGTAGAGCCTACAGACCAAGTATATTAAAAGCCTTTTTAAACAAAACTTAATCATAAGATACTTTTTCACATAAGTTTCTTTATGAATTTATATGCTCAATACCCTGAAACCATTTTTTTATAATTGTGTTTGGGAAGAGATACTATAAATATTTCATTTATAACCCTTTATACTATACACATAGAATGAATACTTTGTTATAAAATCATGAGAAACATAAAAAGACATAATGCAGAAAATTAAAAGCCCATATGTGTTTTGTATATTCAATTAAAAATTATAGTAGTTTTACTTATTTTAACAAAGATATGTTATATAGCATATCATGCTTTGTTCTTTGAATGTTATTTTGTAACCATAATTTATTTGTATTAATGGTATTTGAATACATGATTTAATAGCCACATAAAGGTTTACAATATATTTGCACAATATTATAATTTATTTTACCATTCTTCTGGTGTGTGATACTTTGCTAGTTTTCAACTTTTTAAAATAATAAATAATGTCTTAGAAAAACCGCTTTGTACATTAATCATTGGCTATTTGTTTTATAATTTCTTTCATTTATCACCTTTTCATTAATATACACATATAATCTCATGATTCTAAATTTCAAACTTTCTTGTTTTCATTGCTTAATGAAACAGTCTAGTTTGTCAAATAGTAAATGAATATCTGTCTCTCTCTCTAGCTATCTTTCCCCAGTATAGTTATCTCTTTAATTCTTGTCAAAACAAACTTGGGCAATGAAATGCAAGTGGACCAAGTGGTCATGGCTTTTTAATATTTATGATATATTAGAACATAGAGTTGAATTTATTCAGTTTTAAAGTTTTATTTTTTAATCAGAATGTTTAATTAATTTTCACACAAGATAAGGAATAATATGGTTGGAAGTCTCCCATCTTGGCATTTGTTTTCTATCTGTACCATCAGTTTGTTTTTGCTGTGGTTATTGTATAATGGTCTGTCTTCCCTGTCTTTTCCTGGTGAATTAATGTTTTTCACATTATTTTCAACTATTTTATTTAATGTGAAATAGAACCTTTTGTACTCTTGTTAATTTCTTTGGAATTTTCAATATGACTATGAATTATCCATTATTCCTTTACACTATATTACTTCACACATACACACACATGCACACATACATACACACACTGACACACCCCCACACCACCACCACAATATATACTTTATGACAGCCTCCATGTCAGCTTTCATCAGTTTATTTGTATGTTAATTGTCAGCCATCCCTTGTGATCACTGCACTAAATTTTACATCTATGAATTATAAATTTACCCTCATGCTAACTGAAATATAATTTTGCTCTTTCTTTTTCATCATAACGTATATTTAGCAACATCTAAAGTGTTAATATTTCTGTGCTGAAGATGGCAAAATTCTTGAATAGACAGAGGAAAGAAAGTTGCCAAAAGAATTAAGCCATGATTTTACATTCATGTAATACAGCTTGATGTACTTTGGTTCATCTTACCATCTCTGAAGGAAACTTCGTGGTCAGAGAGATCTGTAAATATGATTCCTAGGGCTTCTGTCATTGGTCTACCCTCACTACAGAGAGAGGTAGAGTTGGTCCTGCCTGAATCCCATGAAATTATTTTCCATTGAGAGAGCAGCCTTCTGTTTACAGAAGAAGGTGAGGAACAAGTGATGGGCAGATGAATCTCACAGATAAGTTCCATACTTGGTGAATGTAAAATCAGAAAAAAGTGGTAACAGCCATATCCATCTTCTTGGAGTATTCTAATCAAAACATGCTTTTGCACATTTACTCTTCTCTCAAATTTGCTCTTGCTGGTCTAAAATCCCTTTCTCCAAATTTGTGGATTAATCAGGTCTATTTTCTTATTTTCAATAAAACACTGATTCTAATTTTCACCTGGATGAATTTCTTCACCCTGAAATCTAGTGTTATCCAAAATCAGGGACATCAGATAACTATATATGTTATGTGAGATAAAAATTAGGTTGTGCCTTTATATCTATTTGTATTAGAAATATATCATGCATCTCTAATTGGTCATCATGATTATTCTCTTTCCAGGCATTTAACTTGATTTGAAGTTTCATTTTAAAAATGTGTAAACAGTAGAGATACACTCAAATATAGCAAATATTATAGTGTAATAACTCACTAATGATGGATATTATGAATTACTCCCTGGTCTAATAAATGTAATATTCCTCTGTGCTTCCAAATCATTTATTACTCTAATATAATTTCTCTCCAATGAATTGTAGGTTCCTTAAAACTGATACAGTATTTAATTAAGTTTATTCACAATTCCTGCTACATCATAGGCTTTCAATAGTGTTTGTTGAATAAATAAATGAATAATGAATGCACTAATGAATGAATTATATCTACGATCAAGTCAATTCAGTGCAATTGACACACTATATGTCCCCACACATTATATTATTTAAGATTAACTTTCTCAATTTTTTTCTGTAATCACTGTAAATTCAGCCATGGTTTTGATTGCCAGAGAGTTTTAAATATTGGGTAGTAGAGCATGAAAATGCCTAAATAACTGCCTTTGAATCTGGAAGAATAGTGTGTTTTTGAGCAGAAATGATAAAAGATGTCAAATGAATGTCTAGGACTAATATTTATTAGATATTCTGGGTGTTTTATTCACTACCTCTGTGCTTGAATAAATCTTTAGTTTTGGCAATGAAGTCAGTAATTTTGTTTTTTAACTAAGTAAAATTATGGAACTGTCATTTTATGTGGTACATTTTGTTTAACTGACCCTACTGCTGTCAAGTTACTTTAACACACCAAAGGTTTTGCTTCTCAAAATTAAGCTTCACACATAGTTCCTCTCTCTATTTATAGAAAATTGATATTTATTAAGTATGAATAATAAGATTTGACAAGTTCCCAAACTTTCACAGGTCTATACATGTTTATTAAGATGTTGTCTACTTTTGAACAAACATTTTTTCCTCAACACCATGCTTCAATATAAAAAAGCTATTTCTTACTAAGGTAACCACCATCTACTCTTTTATACACTATATACACTTTATTAGATTTTATGCCATAAAATTACAGTCCTTTTTTTGACCCAAACACAGATACACAAAGCGATATATACTCTCACCTGGTTACCTCTTCGTCACTCCTCTTCCTATACCTGAAGATTTGACATAAATATAAAGTGCAGATTTAAAGTGTTTTTTTAGGCCGGGCGCAGTGGCTCACGCCAGTTATCCCAACACTTTGGGAAGCTGAGGTGGGTGGATCACCTGAGGTCAGGAGTTGGAAACCAGCCTGGCCAACATAGTAAAACCCCGTCTCTACCAAAAATAAAAATAAAAAAACTAGTCGGGTTCGTGGTGCATGCCTGTAATCACAACTACTCGGGAGGCTGAGGCAGGAGAATTACTTGAACCCAGGAGGTGGAGGTTTCAGCTAGCCAAGATTGCACCACTGCACTCCAGCCTGGGTGACAGAGTGAGATCTGTCTCAAAAAAAGTGACTTTTTGTTTTCTAATTTATTATTTTTATTTTTAAATATTTTATTTTATTTAAAGTCCTGGAATACATGTGCAGAAATTCCATTTTTTGTTTATTTTAATCAAATATATGCAATTTGTATCATGAAAAGTTCATAGAGAAAATAATAGCTAAATAACTTCAGTGGTTTAATTTTCCAACTAACTGTTAATTTCCTTTTTTTAATAAAAGAGAAAATTAAGTTAATTTCATGTAACTGCTGTCTTTTACAACACATTTAATAATCCTTATTTTTTATTATTATTAAAATGAGACAAAATACAGACATCTTGTGGCAGTTATTTGGTATGTAATTAGTAAATAACTATAGGTTACTCAAGTTATAAAATTATAAACAATATTTTATATTAAATTATACATGTGCATTTAAACATATATAACATTTTATATTAATTATTATATATTAATATTCAGTATTATGTGCAGTATATAAAATTATAAGACATTTAACTGATAAAATATTGGATATCTAATTAGAATATAAAACAAAAGTAAAGTTTGAAAATCTGGTTATTCAAAAAATTCTCAGGTACCCACACCCTAATGGAATTATATTTATTATCGTTTTGGTTTTCCAGTGTTTGACACCCTTTCTGTATTGAGAACATTTCCTATCCTTGTTAGGAAAGGGAACTCCCTTGCCAAATACAAGTGTTGAAATTGTCAGATACTTACTTTCCTATCGTTTCTTGTACATGGAGCACAGCACATAACCTGGTCTCAGCCTACAAAATACATCCTCCATAGTAGTGGCTGGTGATGCAAAGAACAATGTAGAAATATTCACTCTGAAAAAAGGCAGTACCAGTTATGCAACATCTGAATTTCAAACCGCAGGGGCATTACATTCTCCAGTGGCCTGTGCTCACAGTGTTGGCAACCATGACAGTGCCTAGATTTCAGCAGAGATAGCAGTAATGACTTCAAGGGACAGATTCAGGGTGCCATTGTGGCTAAAACTCTGGCTGGCCTGCATCTGACTTGGGTTCTTCAATTATAACATACCTGAATTCCTTTTTCTTTTCATTAGCCAGAATCTACTTCCTGCAGTTGTAACTAAGAATCCAAAATTTATAGTCAACAAGACCACATGTATTCAATGGATAGAGTCTAATTTCATACTAATTTGGAGACTGTACTTCATTTTCCTTTGATATACACTTGATGTAATGCCTACGCTACCTATTTACATATATCAGTTGTTTGTCTTTGTTTTCACTAAAGCTCTTTCTTTATGGCAAATCACATCAATACTTTCAAAATTACATTGTAAAACTCACAGTTACATAATGTATGTTCATATTTCCATGCATATCTTTGGACTTTTTAACTATCTATAATCAAATTTTCAGTAAGTAGAAACAAAAAAGGCATAGCAACATGCTTAGATTATAATTTTCCCTCAAAATACTTGGTACGATCCACTGTGATAAATTTATATGCCTTTTTTTGTTGTTGTTCTTGAAGAGACAATGTATCCTGTCGTTGGCAAGTTAGAAGAGGATATGGAAAAGGCAACTACCAAATCAATTGTTGTTGATTTTCAGATTTAGAAAGTAGCTTTTAAAATAAGCATACTTTAAAATAATTTGTTTTTATGTTAAAAGTTAGTAATCTCAAAGACCTAATGTTAAGCATTTTTATATTAAGCAAAAATGTTGGTTATAATTTTAAAAACATCAAACCAACCAAAACAAGTTGAGAAATTATTTCAGCAACTAATTTTGTCCCTCAACCAGCATATTCCCTATATAAATTAAAGATATTTCAAGATTAGTAAACAAAGTCATTTAAAATAAACCATGTATTTTATAAAATATGGGGAAGCAGCAATGTAAATTGACTAAAGGGAGAAAATATGCTTCCTAGCACAACATACAAAGTCACCTGGAAAATATGAAGCTACTTGAGATTTCTGCTGGGCATGTGCTCTATCCATTCCTGCCTTCCTTTGCCTTCACTTTAGCAGTAAGCTGCTTGTTGCAGAGATTTTCTATTTCCCTTTCTAGTAAACTCCCTCCTTTCTCCGCCCTACTCTGTACCCTGAGAAGCTGACTTACAAAGATTTCATAAATCAAGTCCTTTGCCTTCTTTCTTCCAACTGGTTTGACCAGTGAAAAATACTAGCAGTAGTTCAAGTGAGCAAGAAGATGAAGTCATGGTGCATATTCCACCACTTCCTCCCTGTAAGTTCACATTAGATGGCTTCATTCCTCTCCTGAAGGCCACAGCTCTTGTTTGGTTGGTACCTCAATTGCTGCCCTTTTGGGCTTTGGTAACTGCTCTGTCTCCTTGTCTTCTGAGGTTTAAGGTAAAAAGAGTTTCTGGCTATTTCCATCTCTGAGGTCCTCTAATATCATTATCCAGTTGCCCTTAACTAGCTTTGTAAATAGACTCTCAAATTACTAATTTGAATGTGTTATATAATTATTGCCAAGACTCTATCTGATATAACACTATTGATGCCTAGGCAAATGTCTTACCATTTATTTATGTTGGAAAAAAAGAACAGTTGAGATCCATTTCTGTATAGATTTAGGTAATTCAATCTAATGTACTTCATATAGCATTACTGTTTTTAGCATTATTTTATCATTGTTAAAAAATTAGAAAGCTTTAATTTACTTTAAATTAATTCATAAATATGTAATTCCAGTGAGAATTATAATACCAAATGCTTTGTCCCCCAACCAGCATATTCCCTATATAAATAGATCCACACAAGAAGTCAGATGATCATCAGGTGTCAGATTTGCCAACAGGGAGTAAGAGGGCATTAGTTATCCACCGTAAATAATAACCAAATATTAAAATTGGTAGAATCTGAAGTGAACCAAAATTTATGAAGATTAATTTCCTGTTAACTAAGTAAATATAATGAGTGATAAAGGCAAGATTATAGAATTTTTGTGAGGAACTGTGAGAACATTTTCTCTCTCTTATTTCCTAGGCCTGCTGAAACACTAAGTATTATTCTTTCATTTTCTCTTCTTATTTGTTGATGTATGGACTTCCCAGCTTCAGAAATAATTGAGAAGAAATATTTAAAAAATTAGCACTATGTTCCCCTGCTAGAGCAGGTAGTTCTGAGGCATACTATTTTTTTAGAAGAGAAAAATTTGTTTCATATGTGTATGTATATAAATATATACATACACATACATATATATACACAGATATATATATAAGAATCTTTTACATAGTCTTATGGACATTATACATATTCTTACCTACATTATTTTATTAATGATTGTTTTATTGGCCCAATTCATTTTATATTCGTTAACAGAAATCATAAATCGGACAGTTTCTTCAAGTGGCTCTTTTGAACATCTCGTGAAAGTAACACTACCTAACTGAAGCAAGAAAACAGTATTTATGGGAATGGTCATGGATAGCTCACGGTAACAGTGGATTATGAAAAATAAGACCTTCAGAAGAACAGAAACAAAAGAATCTCTAGTTATTTAAGAAGCAGAAACTTGAACACATTTTCCCAAGTACATTGGCATAAAAATTGTCTGATGATGCTAATACAAGATCCGACTACCTCTTACGCTAAAGTGGCACAGCTTATGATAACAATTCAGCCGATTACATCCTACCACTCTGCTTTTGGTGAAGGAAGACTGTGCTTTCCCATGGGTGATTATCCCACCATAATTTCAAGGGTGAGGAAGGGGCAGTTTCCCCAAATCATGCAATGCTGGAGAAACAAAAAAATTAAGGGTTCACAAAAATAAATCTGCTAATTTTAGAAAAAGAATGCCTCTTTTTAGTAATGATAAACATTTCACAGGATATCTTTTACGTTTTCTAATGTATCAATTTTTGTTTCCTAAAGAATAGCAATTGACTGATTTTTAAGGAGATATTTCACATAATTGGAAAAGTCACATCTGTTACTACCATGTTTGATTTTCATATCTGATTATCAGCATATATGTTCATATTGGATTTTATGATAGGTTAAGATAGATGGAAGACAAACAGATAAAAAAATATTTTTCAATGGAACTTTCAAAATGATTTATGTTTCAATAAATTTCAAAAACAGATTTTTTTTCAAATTTGGCAAAGAGTATAAAATAGAACCTACGTTAATGGAGCCCTCATGCAGATTTCCTAAAGTTTATAATAATAACATTTGATTAATTACCTGAAGTAATCACTCTATGTGTGTCAAGAAAAAAATGTAATTGTTATGACAATCTTATGAAGAAAGCACAATTATAATTTTCTTTTATATAGGAGATAACTGAGGCACAGAAAATGTAAATAAATTCCCCAGAATCCAGAGATGATACATCACATTCCCCAGTCTGCATTGTTCTTAACTACCTCCACCTATACTGCCGTTCTCTTGGACAAACGTTATTAACATAAGCATCTGTTGACTAAATGCTAAAAATTTTAAGTTGAAACTTAGGTAAGCAGGAGACAAATATTGCTGTTATTTTACTTCAACATACATATTCTTTGATATCTATATTTTACTTAAATCCTATTCATAATTATCAGTAGTAGTGACATGGGTAATAGTAGTGTGGTCATAGCGAGACAGATTAAGAGTAATCGTGATAGTAATAGCAGTGGTCATAATAAAAATAATGATGCTTACTGGTAGTACTAATAGTATTAGTGATAATTTCAAAAACACCAATCAGGCTGATGCTGCATTAAGTACTTTATATACACTAAGATTTCAGAGTTTAATTTTATTTCATGTGTAGATGGCTATGATGATATTAATGGGCTATCTCACATCTCTGGGACTGTGGGTGTACAACCTCATTGACTCTGTTGCTGGTTTTCTTTCATTGTTGCACAAGCTAGCAGCTTTTGTTCATTTGATAGATGGGCAGATTCCAGGAGAGGGAGGCTAGGTATGAAGCTGGCAAGTGCTTCTGCCATGTTGTTTTGGCCAAAGGATGGTCATAAAAACAGCCCAAATATAAGAAGAGAGGAAGTGGATTTTAACTGATTGGTAATTACTGAAAAGTCAGATTGCCGGAGCCATGATTATTGAGACAAAAATAGCTGTGAGCATTTTTTGTTCTCTAGTATACTCTGTCTTTAAGGTCTGAGCATGCACTGTCCAATATGGTGGTCTAAGCCATATGTGGCTGTTTATTGTAAGTAAATAAAATTAAAATTTAGTCACACAAACCTTATGTTAAGTGATCAATGACTACATATGGCTAGTGGCTACTTTACTGGACAAAATAAATCATAGAATTTTTCTAGCATCTCAGCAAGTTCTATTGAAGAGTTCCATATAACAAGATACAACTATAATTGATGTGTGTTTCTTCTGAGCTGAGGCTTTTAAGTGGTTTGCCCCTCACGTAGCCATCTGCTGATTGAAGACATTTAATAGAGCTAAGCTGAGACCAAAATTGCCCAGCTGAGCCCAACCTAAAGGCAAATCCAAGGAATTATAAATTTAATAGATGCCTTTTATTTGAAACCACAGTTTGGGCATTGTTTGTTTTGCAGTAAAAACTAATTAATTCACATTCTTGAACCTAATTTCAGTAGACGGTTGGGAAATACAATCCAGAAGTTTGATATGAGAAGAAGAAATGGATTTTTGTGAACAGTTTTCAGTCTGCTATCTTATAGTAGGCACTAATGTAATCCTTTATGTTATTCATGTTGGTTTTTTAAATTCACTAATCCCAACAAATATGCTATAACTTAGATATTATTAACTATAATTTATGCATGATAAAAGTGTGACTGAGATGCTTTAATTTATTAAAAGATGTCAATTTATTTGGCAAAGATTTTATAGTTAGCCATAAGCACATGGGTCTATCCTTAAATTCAGGTTCTGTATGCTTCCACTTTCCACAGCATGCTGCCTCCATCCTTTATAATTTAACTTTTTTGTTTCATTTTCCATATAAAGCTAAAATTTGGAAAATACAAAAATAAAACACCTAAAATAAACTTATACTCTTAGCACACAGAGAAAGTTGTGTCTAACATTTTGCTAGGTTCCATTATACTAATTTCTCTAGGTAGGCATATTTATCTCATGTAGTTTGATCACAGGGTAAGTCAAGGTTTGTGCTCTGTTGTTGCTCTTTTGCCAAAAAAGACTAGCTTATAATATTTGAATCATATTGGTAAAATATTTATCTTAAAAAAGGCTGCCTTGGCCTGGCACGCTGGCTCACGCCTGTAATCCCAACACTTTGGGAGGCCGAGGTGGGCGGATCACGAAGGCAGGGGTTGGACACCAGCCTAAGCAATATGGTGAAACCCCGTCTTTACTAAAAATACCAAAATTAGTCGGGCGTGGTGGCGCATGCCTGTAGTCCCAGCGACTGGGGTGGCTGAGGCAGAAGAATCACTTGAACCTGGGAGGCGGAGGTTGCAGTGAACCGAGATCTTGCCACTGCACTCCAGCCTGGGTGACAGAGGGAGACTCTGTCTGGAAAAAAAAAAGGCTGCCTTGAGTTCCTTTCCATGGATTACTGATTTAATTTTGTCACAACTCTAATTTGTACATAATCTTAGGTTTTCAATTTATTATATATTATATATAATGTATATTAAAGTGTGTGTGTATATGTGTGTGTGTATGTATGTGTGTATATATATATATATATATATATATATATATATATATATATACACATACACTCTTACTCTCAAAAGAAAAGTGATATAGCCTCCAAAGTTCAGAGTAGTTTCACAATGTGTCCAAGTTCACAATGCTTGTATATGGTTTGGGGCCTGTGAAAACTGGGGTACATCTACATTCCTCCTCTGCTTTCCTCTTTCAAAATACAGAGGAGCTAACTCCTGTCGCTGCATCTACTTGGCTCCAGGCTGGCTTCTGGCTGTGTCTGGCCAATGAGCTATACTAGTGAGAGTTTGGATGGCAGCAGAGGATAGAAAGGAGAGGGTAGAAAGCAGGCAAATAAGAGGGAGTGGCAACAACTCTTTCCTCCCTGGGTTCATATTCTGTTAGATTATCCTTGACTTGGGGCTCTGTTAATGTCTCCTTCTGCTCTTCCAAACAAGCATTGGCAATCCCTTCTAGCTGTTAAACCACGGTTTGTTTCAGCATCCTTTGTTTGATATCTCACCTATTCCATAGTCTGCCTGTATAAGCATTTAAGGTCCTTTATTTTAAAACTCAAGTGACTCTTGCTTGTTTCCTGGAGCCTGCATTTCTAAATATTGTCTTTAATATATATTCTCAGAAGTGACATACACTTCTAGATCAAAATTTCTGTAAAAATTTGATTAGAATAATTTTTTAAGTATTAATGGGAAGAGATTACTATAACATTTCTGGCTTCCTGGTAGATTTTTGTGGCCTGATCACATTAAGAAACTGACTAATTATGCCTCCCAGGATGACCTAAAGCTATGTGAAACTTTTAATAAATTGCAAAATCTCCCAGACATTTAATGTATATTGAGGAAAGTAACCCAACATGCTACAGGCTTTTGGTCAACAGTTTTGTTTTCTTTTCCTCTAGGCCTATTGTGTATTCAGTATTACTGAACTCTTTAATTATGGTTATTCCAAAATTTTCAGAATTCTTTCATTTCCAATTTCCATAAGTTGATACAAATAGTTTTATTTATCTCTGATATGAGCAATTTATTAGATATAATGCTCCTGTAAAAATTCTAGAATTACCTGAAATTTGCAGTTCCCATATTTGATATTTTTCTGTATTATTAGAGTTTCGATCTGTACTCAGACTGTATTATAAATGTCCTTGTATTGCTCAACCAGTTTAATAGTATCATACAACTATATTGCTCATTTCCCTTTCAGCTTTCTCCATCAGAATAGCCCATAAAGTATTTTCATTCCCAGAATAATAGAATTCTAGACAGGTGTATTATATCTTCTTAATATAAAAAAAATTCTACTTTACCTAGTAGTGTGAATAAGATCTCTTTTTTCACATAAAGTAATACAGCCATGAGAACTTTATTACCACATCTTGGAATTCTTATGTTAAACTATCATGTTAATTTTGTTACTGTCATGTTTGGTGCTGAATGAATAGTGCAATGTTCTTCATACTATCAATATTTAAATTTTTATCTGGATATCTGGTTTGATTCCTACAATTTCACTTTAAGTCCTCTTTGATCAAGTCAGCAAACCTGTGGACAAAAAATATATGCTCTTTCTTCTTTCAGTGTGATGAATTTCATCCTTATCCAGCATCTAACATAAAGATATAAACTATGTTATATAAACTATATAATATATAGTTATATGTTATATATATAACTATATTTATAAAAATATATACTTTATAACATGTAAAATGTATATTAATACATATATGTTTACATATATCTATCTTTTCCAAACTTAAGTTACTCAGTTGGAGAACAAAAATGAAACTCCAATTTAACCACAACTTCTGTGATTTTAATTCAGTGTTTTACTCATTCATCCATCATGCAGGCAAGAACAAATTCATTCATTAATGCACTAATTCAGTAATTCATTAATTTTTTCTATATAAATGTATTACATTCTTGCTGTGTGAAATGTTCCTTAATTTACTCTTGTTTTCCAGCTCTCTTTTTTACAGAGTTTTTCATCCACATATTAAGCAGCACATTTATAAATCAGTTGTAGGTACTCCAATAAAAAATTACATTGCACAGCTTAAAAATATAAATAATTTTGTAGTTGTTTTTGTTTCTCAAATTATAAATGGCCAGAGATATCTTTTTTAATCATATATTTATAAAAGAGCTGATAATATTTGGAGAGCTACCATCTACACGTTTAGCATAGTATGTGATCATGAAGCTATAAATTAACTAGCCATGGGACCTTATGTATGTAATGGTAAAAGTAAACAACTGAAACATCTTCTTTAGTAAATACACACACTTCTCCCATAAATACACTTAGGTACCATGCAAAGATAACAATGGAAGCAAGTACTTGGGGAACATGCTGTGATTAGCATTTGTTGTAATAAACACATGAAAAACTTAATCATTTATTAATAGCCAGGAATGTTATTTATGGAACATGAAGTAATTACAAAGTTGGACTTTATAATATCACATTTTTAAATACCACATATAAAATGTAAAACAAAGAATGCTAATGATAACATTTTGCTTTACAGTAGCTTAAGAATTAGATACTGACACACAATACAATCATAGGATTGATGAAATTTATATTACAGTAGATATGAACTGGCAAAGAAGAATGATAAAATTTGTAGCAATATATGCTCTTACATGAAATGTATAATTTGATTTTTAGCCACTAAGCTGCAATAAATTTTGTTTTGTTTCATGTTATCTTGTTAAACCTGATAGCAATAATTGGTTTTTATGTCATTTCTTCAATTTTATTTCTTGTAGCCACGAGTTTCAACAGTTCTCCAATATGTGTATTGATTTTGAAGCTTTGCCAGTGCTTTTGCCTTTTGTTACTAGGCAAAGGAGTACATGTTAACCTTTCAAATTATTGATCCTTAGAAGAAAGAAAGAGAGAAAATGCCTTTATTTAGTGTTAATGTAAAGTTTATCATAATACTTTTCCGACATTTGTTCATGTTTCAAACATCATATCTAAGCTCTGGGCAAAATTATTTAAAATGTAGATATATATTAGGTTTCCAAAAATATATTTCCCTCTATATCTCTGTCACTAACGCAATTGAAAGATGTATTCATTTTTACCAAATTCTATAGTTAGTGATCACTATGAGATTTTTAAATATTCATATTCCATTTAATCAAACTAATATTTACTGAGCACAGAAGATATGACAGGCATTATGCTGAGAGAAGATAAGGTAATTCTTCCTAAATATATAATGCTCAACTTCACAGACCTTGGTAATAATCAATACACACACACACACATAACATATCATACTTATGTTTGTGTCTTTTTTCTTAAAATGAAAAGAAAAATCTTTTACAAAAACATAATAGTTTATTAAGAGAGTAAATGCTGATGAATTTAAAATATATGATAAGAAAATAAGATTGGAAAAATGTTAAAGAATATGTCAATTAAAATTCTTGTTGCAAATAATATAAATCTGTTATGAATTTGCTTCTGGGAAAAATGGGAAGGTATTTGAGAAAACTGGGTTAACACATGGAAAACCAGAGCCATGATGACTGATTTTTAGTAAGAACCATAAACTACAAAGTAGAAGCTATCTACATTCATGTCAAAAGTCATTTTCATCACATGGTCTCTTGTAGCTATAATCTTTTTCCTGCATGTCTGCTTTCTTTTCCATTTCTGCTGCATGCCTTTTCTTCTCCTTAGAGCTGGCTGTCTCAGAGCACTAGCGTTGAAATCTGGGATCATTCTCCCCGTTTCCATTCACCCCTCAGGCTTTGGCCTTTCCGAGGGCCTGCCACCATCTGTTATGACGGCAAGTACATAGGACTGGGAGAAAGGATGTGAAGTAGAGGCAGGGAATACTTGGAGGCTGACCAGTCAGGCTACATTAATTGTTATTTCCTATCTAGGGCTCTTCTAACTACATTGATGTAGTCATAAAATTATTTATTTTTTTATTTTTATTTTTTGCAGTTGCAAGATTTAATAGAGTGAAATAGAGTGGAAACAGAGCTCCCATACAAAGGGAGGGGACCCAAAGAGGGTAGCCCAAAATTATTTATTAATATTACTTTTGTTTTATATAATAAGAAACTGATGTTTCTATAGATGAAGTGACATTCAGAAACCATACACCTAGGAAGTGGCAGAGCCAAGCTGATCTGACTGCACTATTAACCACTATATTCCAGTTCTTAGAGAACAAAGATGAAGACAAGAAATGGATACTAAAGCTTTATTTGGGAGAAGAAATCCCGGACAATAAAGGTGTGGAGGAAGAGAAGGAAGGTCAGGGAGAATGAGAAAAAATGCAATGTGTTGTGTTGGAGCTCTTTCCAATTTACAATGAGCCACAGGAAGACTTAATGAATGGCTCTGCACGTGAAATTTTGCAAATCACTGAAGAAACATCATAGAAAATATTTGCCTAGGAACACTCCAAGGGAGAAAAATAACTCATCTCGTTGGTTCTTTCCTATTTCCACCATCCCATTGGAGAACAATTTGTTTCATTCAGAACTTTTGGCAGATGCTTAGGATGGTGGATCTAAAGCCCTGTGAAATGGTTTCTCAATGAAGTCAGGAAGTGGACCAGAGAGGTAGGAAAATTGTTTGTACCATTTCAGGTGAAGAAATGGTACAATTGTTTGTACCATTTCAGGTGTGGGCTTGTCCAGAAGCAGCATGCTGTGGTAGATACTGAGGCAAACGGAGGAGCTGAGAGTTCAGCCTCAGATAAAACTGATAAAATCTGACCAGCCACCTAAGATATAAATAGAACCAACAAAAATATAGTAGAAGAGGTTAAGAAAGGTCGACTCAGCTTCTGTTTCTCATGATTTTTCTGGAAAGCAATTAAAAACAACCCTTCCAATAAATTTAACTAAAGTTCATAAGGAGACAGATGCCAGGAGAGTCAACACAGCCTGTGGGAGGTAACGCAGACTTGAGGGGATCTATGGGGCCAAGACCAGGTAAAAGGATTATTATAGCATGGTTTATGCAACAAACAGGAGCTGTAATTAGATTTAATTGTAGATTCATGGGAGAGCCTGAAATATAGGGTTAAGTGGAAAATGAAGCACAATTACTGGTTACAGTGTAGGAAAGTAGCAAGAGATTGTCACTTTCATTTGAACCAGGGGAACAAGTCATGTAAGCTACAGAATGCTAACATTAAAAGAAATACATAGCTGGAAGCACAAACAAATCTAGAAGAACCAAATACTAAGTATTAACACGTGTTTTCTACTAGTTGTTTCCATCATTTCATCATTTACAGTGTGGAAGTAAGATTATAAAGATAAATCCAACATTGGCAGATAGGTTTAAGGAGAAACCAGGTGGGCATTTAATAGGTAGTACATGTGGATTTACATAATGGATTAGAATCCCAAGGAATATAAGCCACAGAGTTGCAACTGCCTGCCCTTTTTTCTTACCTATTTTCACTGAGTCCCCAAGGCTAGTAAACTTATGACTGGAGACAGGGTTTGAGATCTGAATAAGGAGTATCCTAAAGCATTCAGGGCTTCTCCACAATACAAGACAGTGGAAATACAAAAATTTGAGAATCAAAAACTAGAGCAAAAGTAAAAGGGCTAAGAGAATTCAGCTCCAGCCTGTGACGGCTTCATTGAGGACTGCATATCTGAGCTTCACTGAATACTGTGTAGCCACCCTTTGAAGACTGGAGGCAGGATTACAAAATGGTTAGCTACCACCGAGGAGCAGAACACAAGGGGTACAACTGGAGGCAAGGATGACTCTCCAGTGATGCCATAAGCTAGCAGTTGGCATATAAAAAGGCAAGGATGACTCTCCAGTGATGCCATAAGCTAGCAGGTGGCATACAAAAAAAGAGATATGTCTCACAGCTTGGGAGGCTCTCATATTATTTGTGAAGGAGTACAATTTCAGCTGAACATAGACTTAATAAATTTAAAAGTCATATAGTAAATTATAGAGCAAATCTAAAGATACAAAAGATACACAACTAAAAAGACAATTCAAGGAAAGAATATTACCAAAATAGCCAGACCACCGAAAATAAGCAAGGAAAGAAGATATGTAGGAACAAGAAAGAGATTGAATAAATAGAAAACAAATAAGTGGTAGACTTAAACCCAATCGTATTAACAATTACATTAAATGAAAATAGATAAACTTCCCAATTAAAAGGCCGAGTGTGGTGGACTGGAATTTTTTTTTTTTTGAGAACAATAAACAGTTATCTGTTGCTTACACAACACCTTTAAAATAAAATGACAAAGACAGGGTGAAATTTAAGAGGTGGAAAAAGATGAACGAAGGAAACATTAAGGATCATAAAGTTAGGAGAAGTAAAAAAGGACATTTTTGGCGAGCCAGGGTGGCTCACGCCTGTAATCTCAGCACTTTGGGAGGCTAAGGCGGGTGGATCATGAGGTCAGGAGATCGAGACCATCCTGGCTAACACAATGAAACCCTGTCTCTACTAAAAATACAAAAATTACCTGGGCATGGTGGTGCACGCCTGTAGTCCCAGCTACTCGGGAGGCTGAGATAGGAGAATCACTTAACTTGGGAGGCAGAGGTTGGAGTGAGCTGAGATTGCACCACTGCTCTCCAGCCTGGGTGACAGAGACTCGTCTCAAAGGGACATTTCCATTTACAAGGATCATTTCAGAAGAATAGATAAGAATCCTAAATGTGTGTGTATCAGATAAAAGATTCAGTTCATCAAAACACCTAACACTTCTCAATGTGTACATACTTAACAATAGAGCTTTAAATTATATGAAACAAAAATTTACAAAACTAAAGTGAAAACTAGACAAATACATAATCATAATATGGAATATTAAATCATCTTGGTAATTGTGTAAAACAAGTACAAAAATATCAGTCAACATGTAGAAGATCTAAATAACATTATCAATCACATTTACCTAATTGAAATTTGTAGAACACTATATCAAACAAATACAGAATAGACCGTTTTTTTTCAAATGCACGCCGAAATTTTACCTAAATAGACCATATGATGTAACATAAAATAAGGCCTGATGAAAGTCACAACTCAATTTCAGAGTATGTTCTCTGACAGCAATTTATAAATCAATAAGCATCATATGAATAGAGAATTCCAAGATATTTAGATAACAATACATTATAAATTACTCATGTGTTGAAGAATAAATACCAAGAGAAATTAGGAAATATTTGGAATTAAGTTATATTAACCAAAACAACATACCAAATTGTGTAGGATGACCAGGTGTGATGGTTCATGCCTGTAATCCCACAACTTTGGGAGGCCTAGGCAGGGGGATTACTTGAGGCCCAGATCAACATTCTGAGCTGTTGATCTCATCTTTCCAAATACAATTTAAAATAAATTAGCTGGACATGATGACATGTTCTTGTAGTCCAGCTATTCAACAGGCTGAGGCAGGAGGATTGCTTGAACCCAGAAGAATGAGGCTGCAGTAAGCCATGATTGTACTACTGCACTCCAGCCTGAGCAACAGAATAAGACCCTGACACAAACACACACACACACACAATATAGGATGGAGTTAAAGCATTGCTTAGAGAAGAATTTATTTTCTAAGTGCCTATATTAGAACAAAATAATGCTTTATTATTGATTCAGGATAGGCAAGCCCCAAAATCATGGCTTAGCCTGGGAGGGTTCTTAGCTTCACCCAGGGAAGAATTCAACAGTGAGCCAGTGGTGTTAAACTACTACTTGTATTGAAGTGGCAATATATAGCAGCAGAGATTCTACTCCTTGTGGAGCAGGGCCTCATAGGCAGTGTGGCCATAATAGCAACCCAGAGGCAATTCTGAAGTCATATTTATACCCAGTTTTAATTACATGCAAAATGCCCCAGGGTTGTCATGGCAATGGTAAATTGACATTGCACAGTGGTGAGTGTATCATATGGAAAGCTGCTTCTATCCCAGCCCTGATTCAGCTAGTCCTCAATTTGCTCTGGTGTCTGAGCCCCATCTCCAGAATCGAGTCCCACCTCCTACTTCAGTAACAATGATTAACGTTTCACTTGAAAAGGCTAGAAAAAGAAAAAAAAAAAAACTAAAGCTCAAACAAGTAAATGAAATAAAATAAATAAAATATGTGCAGATTTTCTTAAAGTAATAAAATTTTTTTAAAAACTATAGAGAAATCAACCATGTTAAAGCTGGTACTTTGGAAAGACTAGTAAAATGTTTAAATCCTAATAATAAAGCTGAGAGAGAGAGAGAAAATATACTAATTACCAATTACCAAAATCAGAAATGAAAGAGGAAGCACCATTACTAAATATACAGACATTTTAAAAAAGATTATGCAAATTTATACTTCATAAAATCACATAAAAATATACATGTACACGTAAACACATGTGACAACATCAATGTTATACTGGTAAATCTGAATAAGTTCTTTGTATTGTATCTATGTCAATTTTATAGCTTTGATATTTTATGAGAGTTATTTAAGATATTACTATTGAGTAAAAATAAAGAGTACATGGAACCTAATTGTACAATATTTTTGCAACTTCCTTTGAATCTGTAATTATATAAAAAGAAAAATGTTTAAAATCTATCAAGACACATGCTACATAGTTGTTTCTCAATAAATGATAAATATAATAATGATAAATATCATGAAAGAGAAAATAGGAGATATTATGCAAACATGTCAACAAATTTAATAACCAATTAAAATGACACATTTCTTGAAATCAAAACTGTCAAAAGAAACACATTAGGAAGGTTTCTATTTGAAAAATTAAATTTGTTATTAGCAATCTCTCAATTAAAAAAAATATATATATAAGCCCTAATGATTTTGCTGGTTTGTTCAAAAAAACTTTTAAGCAATAGATAACGCCAATTACCCATAAGCTCTTTCAGAAATTAGAAGAGAAAATGCTTCTAAATTTTATTCATTAGTTGCATATACTTAATACTACAACTAGATAATTGCATTACAAAAAATAAGTAAACAAAAAACAACTACAAACCAGTGTCCCTTATGCAATAGATGAGAAATTTATCAACAAACTATTAGCACACTAAATTCAGGAATATACACAAAGGAAAATATAAACAGCAGAGTTAATTGAATTTTACAAAATTAGTTTAACATTTTGAAATTAAACAATGAATACCATTACATTATTGAAACATATTTTATCATCTCAATAGAGAAAAATTTTTTTACAAAATTCATTATTAATGCATGTTTACAAACAGAAAACAAAAGAAAAAAATTATCAAAAAAAAAGTCAGACTTCTAAATCTGACAAATCCATTCCACCAGAATTTAACGGCTAACATTATATTTGGTGCAATATTGAACACTTCTGCCTTATGATAAGGAGCAAAGCAAGATTGTCTCCCTTCCATACTTTTATTAAACACTTTACAGTAAACTTCAGAAAGAAGCATGAGTCAAGAAAAAGAGATAAAAGATATAAATACTGAAAAGAGCATAAAAATTTGTCATCATTTGCAGCTTACATTGTGGTGTATTTAGAAAATCCTGTGCATAGTATCATACAATCTAATAATATTAATGAATGATTTGGGCAAGTTCAAAGACAACATGGTCAATATACAGAAATCAATTATATTGGTATAGACAGGTATTCAGGGAAAAACTCTTTCCAACCATGTTTTTCCTCTGCACTCAAAGCCCACTGAAACAACAATCATCAACACAGAACAAAATGCCTGTGATGAAAAGCGTGAGGACTTTTCCCCACATACCAAGCAGTGGCCACCAGCTGAGTGTCCTCCAATTCAAGTCTGACAGTTTACCTGGAGATGGTGTCAAATCCCACAGGTTGGGGGCTGCCACCTATGCCCCCAGACACCAGTTGCAAACCTGGGTCTCCGGAACTTCTGACCAACAAGCATCAAGTTGTGGTTTCCAACAATCCTCTCTTTGGGTTTGAGTAATTGCTTAAGCAGCTCACAGAACTCAGGGAAAACTAAACTTACATTTCCTGGTTTATTATAATGGATATTGCAAAGGATACAGAGAGAGATGCAGATGCATAGGGCAAGGAATAGGGGAAGGGGCAGGGAGCTTCCATGCCCTCCCTGGGTGCACCACATCCAGGAACCTCCGTGTGTTCAGCTATAAGGAACCTCCCTGAACCAAGTTCTCTTGGGTTTTTACAGAAGCTTCATAGCATTGCAGTCCTTCTTTCAGGGTATAAGGTAGCACCCTCTCTGGTCAGGGTCTTACAGCTCACAATCAGAAAAGCAAGGGAAGATTAGAGTCCTGCCTTGGGGAAAGTGAAAGGAAGGCTGGAGAAGGTCAGAAATATTCTGTTTTGTGATTCCTGGTCCTGAGGCCTAACACACCTAACATTACAAAAAAAGAATGTATGGGAGTTATGAACCAGGTACCATAATACTACAACAGGTTAAAAAAATTAAAATTTAAAAATATATTTTTTAAAAATTGTATTTTACTATTATGTTTGAAAGATGCATTAATTTTGAAAAACTTTCTGGCTGGGCCCAGTAGCCCATACATGTAATCCCAGCACTTTGGGAAGCTGAGGTGGGAGGGTTGTTGAGTCCAAGAGTTCCTGACAACATAAGCAAACTTCTTCTTAACAACAAATAAAAAAAAAGTAATTAACCAGGGGTTGTGATGCACACCTGTGGCCCATCCTACTTGGGAGGCTGAAGAAGGTGAATCACTTGAGCCGACAGGGTAAAAGTCAACTCAACAAGAGAATATAAGAATTGTAAATACACATGCACCTAACACTGGAGATCCCAAATATACAAAGCAAATATTACTAAAGCTAAAGACAGAGATAGACCCTTCAATATAATAATAGCTGGAGACAACAACACAACGGTTAGAGAATACACTTTCTTTTTCTCAGCACGTGGATTATTCTCAAGGATAGACCATATGTAGAATATAAAACTTTTAAAAATTCAAAAAAAATGAAATCATATCAAGTATCTTCTCTGACCACAATGGAATAAAACTAGATATAAATAATAAGAGGAACTTTAGACACTATATAAACACATAAAAATTGAACAATATGCTCCTGAATGACAAATAGGCCAAATAAATAATTAAGAAGGAAATTAAAAATCTCTTGAAACAGTTGAATGTAAAAATACTTCTAACCAAAGCTGTGAGATATAGTAAAAGGTATACTAAGGTTCATACCAATAAATGCCTAAATTGAAAAACATAGAAAAACTTCAAATGCATCTTAAAGAATTAGAAAAGCAAGAGCAAAACAAACCTAAAATTAGTAGAAGAAAATAAATAATAAATATCAGAGCAGATACAAATGAAATTGAAATAAAAAACAATAGAAATAATCAATCAAATGAAAAACTAGTTTTCTACAAAGATAATATTAACAAACCTTTAGCCCAACTATGAAAAAACAGACAAGACAAAAATAAAATTAGAGGCAAATAGGAGATATTACAACTGATAATGCAGAAATTCTAAGGACTACTAGAAACTACCATAAGCAACTCTATGCCAATAAATTAGAAAACCTAGAAGAAATGGATATATTCCAAACAATAAACCTACCAAGATCGAACCATGAAGAAATCCAAAACCTGAATATACCAATAACAGGTAATGACTTTGAAGCCGTAATAAAAAGTCTTGCAGAAAAGAAAATCCACGAACACGATGGCTTCATTGCTGAATTTTACCACACTTTTAAAGAAGAACTGATACCAGTTCTACTCAAATTATCGTGAAAAATATGTTAAATGACGAGTTAATGGGTGCAGCACACCAACATGGCACATGTATACATATGTAACAAACCTGCACATTGTGCACATGTACCCTAAAACTTAAAGTATAATAAAAAAAATATATAGGAGGGGCAATACTTCAAAGCTCAGTCTACGAAGTCAGCTTTACTCTGATGCTGAAACTAGACAAAGAAACATCAAAGAAGAAAAGTATAGGCCAATAGCACTGATGAAATATTAATGCAAAGGTCTTCAATAAAATACCAGCAAGCCAAATTCAACAACATGTAAAAAACATCATTTATCATGAAGATGTGGGGCTCATCCCAAAGATGCAAGTATAGTTCAACACATGAAAATCAATCAATGTGATACATCATATCAACAGAATGAAGGACAAAAACCATATGATCATTTCAATTGATACTTAAAAAGCATTTGATAAAATTCAACATCCCTTCATGATAAAAACCCTAAAAAACGGGGTATAAATGGAACATACCTCAACACAATAAAAGCTATGTATGACAGACCCACAGCTAATATTATACTCAACATGAAAAAACTGAAAGCCTTTCCTCTAAAAAAGGACGAGGAAGAAGACAAGGATGCCCACTTTAATCAATGTTGTTCATGTAGAACTGAAAGTCCTAGGTAAGGCTCTACGATAACAGAAACAAAAAAGGGCATCCAAATTAGAAAGGAAAAAGTCAAATTATCCTTGTTTGCAGATGATATGATCTTATCATGAATTATATTTGGAAAAACCTAGACTCCATCAAAAATATTATTAGAACTGATAAATAAATTCAGTAAAGTTGCAGGGTACATATAAAAAATCAATATATAAGAACTAGTAGCATTTATATATGCCAACAGAGAACAATCTGAAAAATAAATTGATAAGATACTAGGAATATATTTAACCAAAGAGGTAAAATATCTTTACAATGAAAGTTATACAAATATTGGCTAAAGAAGTTGATGAGGACACACAAAAAAAGGAAATATATTCTATAGTCATGAATTGGAAGAATTAACTTTGTTAAAATATTCATATTACCCAAAGCAATCTGCAGATGCAATGCAATCCCTGTCAAAATACCAATGACATTCTTCACAGAAATAAAAAAGGAATGCTAAAATTTATATGGAACTACAAAAGCACAAAAGACCCAGAATAGCAAAAGCTATACTGAGGAAAAAACAAAAAACAAAAAACCACTGGGTTAATTGCATTACCCGACTTCAAATTATTCTACAGAGATATAGTAACCAAAACAGCATGGTAATGGCATCAAAACAGACACAGAGACCAATGAAATAGAATAGAGAACCCAGAAGTAAATCCATACATCTACTGTGAACTCATTTTTGACAGAGATGGCAAGAATATACATTGGGGAAAGGACAGTCTTTTTAACAAGTAATGCAGGGAAAACTGGATATCCATATATAGATGCATAGCTTGCTAATATTTCATTCTAGTTTCTAAAATAAGCTTGGATTCTTATCCCTTGCCATATGCAAAAATCCAATAAAAATGGATTAAAGACATAAATAATAGACCTCAAGCTATGAAACTACTTAAAGAAAGCATTGGGGAATCTGTCCAGGTTTTTGATCTGGGCAGGGATTTCTTGATTAATACACTAAAAGCACATATGGCCAAAGCAAAAATAAACAAATGGAATAATATCCAGTTAAAAAGTTTATGTACAGTAAAGAGAATAATCAACAAAGTGAAGAGACAACCCACAGAGTAGGAGAAAATATCTGCAAACTACCTATGTAACAAGGGATTAATAACCAGACTATATAAGAAGCCCAAACAACTCAATAGAAAAAAAAATTAATTCAATTAAAAAACAGGCAAAACCTGTGAGGTGACATTTCTTAAAATAAGGCATATAAATGGCAAACAGGTATATGAAAATGTACTCAACATCATTGATCATCAGTGAAATGCAAGTCAAAACCACAGTGAGATATGATCTTACCCCAGGTAAAGTGGGTTTTATTCAAAAGACAGGCAATAGCAAATGCTGATGAGGATGTGGAGAAAAGGGAGCCTCATCTGGTGTTGGTGGGAATATAAATTAGTCCAGCCACTATGAAGAGCAGTATGGAGGTTCCTCAAAAAACTAAAAATAGAACTACCATGTGATTCAGCAATCCCACTGCTAGGTATACAGCCAAAAGAAAGGAAATCCGTATATTGAAGAGGGATCTGCACTCCCATATTTACTGAAGTACTGTTTACAATAGCCAAGATTTGGAAGCAACCTGTGTCCATCAGCAAACTAATGAATAAAGAACATGTAGTACATATACACATACATATACACTATTAATATCAATACACACACTATACACTATGCATAATATACAAATACACTATTCAGCCATAGAAATGAATGAGATACTGTCATTTGCAACATCATGGATGGAACCAGAGAACATTACATAAAAAAAGTGAAATAGGCTATAACAGAAAGACAAGCTTTGCATTTTCTCACTCATTTATGGGAACTAAAACCAATTCAACTCATGGAGATAGAGTCACCAGATGCTGGGAAGGGTAGTGGGAATGGGGGGAAGTTGAGGATGGTTAATGACTACAAAAATGTAATTAGACATAATGAGTTAAGTTCTAGTATTTAATAGAATTACAGGGTGATTACAGTCAACAATAGTATATTTAAAGATAACTAAGAGTATAATTTGAACATTTGTAACACAGAGATGTGATAAATGCTTGAGGTGATGGATACCCATTTACCCTTATGTGATTATCATGCATTGCATGCCTCTTTCAAAATATCTCATGTACCCCATAAATATATACTCATACTATGTACCCATAAAAATTAAATATTTAAAATTTAAAAGAAAGCAAACTATGAAAATGTTACTTTAACTCATTTCCTTTTACCAAAATTAAGCAGTCATGAGGGAATATGCTTTGGGTTATACATTATGAGTATAAAGCTGAATAGAATATTCCTGTCCTGGAAGCACACACACACACACACACACACACCCACTACACATACACACATACAATTACAAATTTATTATGTACAAAAGCATAAAATTACAGTTATCCTTGATATTTAAAACATACATATCAATGCATACAGACCTCCTTTTTACTAAAATAAAAAACTCATTAGGTGCTCTCTCTCTCTCCCCTCACCACACTCCTCTACCTTTTGAACATGCCAGTAAAAAGAATACTAAAGGATATAGAAAGATTAAATTGTCTCCATATTAAATAATTAAATGAGAAAGGAGAGACCACAGTAAGACATCTGGGTTTAAGTAAAGTTTTCAATGATAGTTAGAAGCGAGAAAGCATGACATATGCCTCCATTAGGGAAACATTGAAGGTGATGGAGAACAGTCGAGTTAAAGTACTTAGCTTATGCTAAGAATTCACACCACTCAGTTGTGATGTCTCAATATATTGAGTAAAGGTTCAAACTTCTTCAGTTATAATTGTTGTTCCGATGTGGTTTTATTGTATTATCACATAGAGCCTGGGCTATAGAGGGTGACGGTACAAAGACATATAGTACATATTATAGTAGAGGTAATGTGTATTGGTGTTTTCTGTTGCTTTTAAGAAAAATACCTGAAAATGAATAATTTATAAAGAAAAGAACTTTATTTCTTACAACTTTGAGGCTGAGAAGTCTAGGTTGAGGGGTCTCAACTTGTGAGAACTTTCTTCTTGGTGGCGACTCTATGAAGTCACAAGGCAGCACAGAGCATCATGTGACAGAGGGGATGAGTGTGCTAGTTCAACTCTCTCCTCCCCTTCTTATAAAGCCACCAGTTTTACTCTCATGAAAACCCATTATTCCGTTAATTCATTAATGAGTGTGGAACCCTTATGATCCAACCACCTCTTAATGGTCCCACCTTACAATACTGCCACTTTGAGGATTATGTTTCCAACACATAAAATTTGGGGACACATTAAACCCATAGCATTATGTGAAGGTGCTGAAGAAGAGTTTAAGTTCTCCAAAGAATTTCAGGTAAGCGTTCTTAGAAGAGGCAGTGTTTCACTGCTTTTTGATGAATTAATAAAACTTAGGTTGGCAATGAGAAGGGAGCAGAAGGAGCAAGGAAAGCATTATGGATAAACAGAGAAGCATTAAAGATCGCAAGATCGCAGCTCATTTGAGAAAAACATGTAATTCAGTGTGGGCAAATAAGGCAAAGCAAGTGGAAAAGTAGAAGAAAATTACTAGTGTTTTTAGTCAGAAACTGGATCTGCAAGAGATTCTATATGAAATGAAATATTACTTACAATCTATTTCATTCCTCACAGCTTTGCTTTCAGAAAAAATATTATTCATTACATTTCATTGAAAATTGATCTAGAAAATTTGAGCTTTTCAAAGAAGCAATTTGATTTAAATCCACAACATCTAAATTTTTTTAAAATCAAAACTACACTTAGCTAGGTGCTGAAAGCTATCCACAATAAGACACTGGAGGTCTTGCTCTGTGGAAACTACAAATTTGTAATGGATAATGGCAGGTATACTTAGGAATATCACTTTCATTTTGAATTTTTCATATTATCTGAATGTTAGCAATAAATAAAAAGGGAAAATTACTTTAATGATGAAGTAGATCTATAGATGTGTTTTGAGAGAGAAAGAAAGTTTAGTTTAAGCGGGGTTTTCAGAGATAATGAAATATATAAATTGGTTTTCTGAATAAAGGAACTGAGAAAAGAATTAAAGGTGAGAGAATATAGACTAGAACAGTAAGTAATAAGTAGCTGTACCACTTGGCTAAAGTGTGACTGGAAAGTAGATTTGAAAATGTAAATGAGGACCAATTCATGACACATTTGAAGATTTGAATTCCAGGCAAGTTTGAATGACTACCAGGACACTGAGGTGATCAAGACAAATTGAAAATATGGAAAGAACAAATTTTAAATAAAAAAAGATGATGTTTGTGATTCTGAAGATATTGAGTTTGAAGTGATAGCAGGGCATTTGCAGGAATATTTGAGTTAGTAATTTGTTAAGAGATGTGGACATTGATTTCGGGGAAATGCCAGCTCTAGGATTGGATTGAAAAAAAATAGCCCATGAAATGAATACATATAACTGACTCACTCCTTCCCTACTGAAAGTCTCATTGCAGAAGAAAATAAACAACTTTGATCACACGTCCTTGGAAAAGTACTAATGGTAGTACTAATGAAAAGTTAACTGAGGTATTTTTTTAAAAAAATGCTCTTTAGCAGTATATGTTTGATTTGCCTATTATTAATAAAGATCTGGATTAGTGGGGCTTGGATGCGTGATTAAAAGGAGCTTGTTGTTTAGGAATTTTCTGTATAAGAGCATAAAACTAAGGAGCTCAAAACTGGGACAACTTTTTTGAGAATAATATATCTGCACACATTTTTCAGGATCTTCAGTTATTTTTAAATCAATTTGGAAACTGAGGAAACTGTCTGACAGATATGAATTTCTACAGAAACAAGAGTTTCACCTAGATTTTTACATTACTAATGTAGGTTGGTGCTAGGTAAGGTCTGATTTATGTTGCAATCCAAACCCTTTTGGTAAAACAATGACATATTTTGATGACAGGAGTTTCATTGAATAGGAGGAGAAGTGATGAAGATATGAAAGTGCTGATGAGGTGGGAGAAGACACAAGAATAGTAAAGGTTGCAGAAACAAAAAAATCAGAATTAAAATCAATTATTGTCAAAAGTGCCAAATTCTGAAATAATTTCTAAGGAAGACAACAGAGAAAATGTCCATTTATGATGATATAATGAATTTATTTGTAATAGTTCCAACTAGCCATCAAGATATTGAGAAAGCATTAGTAATAAAAATATAGATTCATTCTGAAAATACTTGAAGATGAAACTAGTGAAATGATCATAAGCTAGTATATATGGTGGAGGTTAAACATGGTAAAGATATTTTATATGCTAATAATGTCAATTAACACATATTATTTGTCAGCCAACATGTTTTAATTGAATTGTTTCATTACATTGCTTTCACCAACTTTATATGGTTACTACTGTTATTTAATCCATTTTCACACATGAAAGAATTGGATTTCAAAAATTATTTAACTCCCAAGAATACAAACATAGCATATTTTAAAGCTAAATTAGAAACCCAGACATTCTTCTACAAAGTCCTGAGAAAAGCCTAATGCTGCACAAACAGGGCATCATTAAAATTGTGGTTCATGTGGTTTGGACTTAATAGAAGACCAGGTTAATTCAGAGGACAGCCTATAAACTAGAAAACAGGGAAATAAAGCAAGCACACCCTGTTGCATAGGAGTTAGGAAGTGAGAAAAATACAAGTATATGTGGCTTTGCTCAGAAAGGAAATTTCACAATGAAAGTCCTAGAATATCTTGAAAATTTTGAGCAATGACTAGGCTTGTCTCAGTTATTAAGGAAGGATCACTGCAAATTCATAAATATTGCTTTGAATTGTTCAAATACTGCAGACCCTTGAGAAGTGCATCCACCAAACAAGGCTGACTGTAATGACAAGTGAGTGGGCAGAAACCATAATGCAATTAATTTACAGATTGTGTAAAAGGAACATAAACACCATGTTAAAATGGGTTTATCAGTTGACTTCGGTATAGGTATAGATTTTGAAAATGTTGTCAGCACAACTGAATTAAAAGTCACACAAAAGAAAAACTCATATGTGTTTGATTGATATTTAAAAGTAAATCAGGTACTGGGCTCTTTTGTCTCTGCTGTGTCTCTAAGTTGCCGTGACCTTGGTCAGGGTAATTGATCTCTTGCAGTATTTTCATTCCCTGTGTATTAAATTGGGATAAAAATAAAACCTACCACCAAAGTTCTTATGCATATTAAAAGAAATATATACAACTTTTAGTGCATTGACTCATATTATATTTAATCTATATTAGTATTTATATTAATATTAACATTTTTATTAATTTACTAGCTAACGAATACTAGTTACTAACTTGTATTAATATTTTAATATACATTTTATGTCTGTGTTCTTAGTTAACTCTTGTAGTGATTTTCAGTAAGACCATTATTCTCAAAAAGCTATTATATACTATACCCCTGAAAACAAAGCAAAAAATATACTTAATATAATTTTATCCTATTATGTTAGATGTTGCTACAGTATCCACACCTTTACCCTTTACTTTTCTTAGGGAGCTATTACCTTGTCAGGAGCCGTTAAGATGTCAATACACCTGCATTAACCTTGTTTTGACTCTTTTAAATAAGGTAGATACTAGTATTAACTGCTCAACAATTGAAATGACTTTATTTTTTTAATGCAGTTGTTTGTTTAAAAATGTACGACAAGTAAAGGAAATCAATTTGAAAGGCTGAGAACAGAATGTTAAAATATTACCTTCACATTGAGGCAAATTTAACAAGAGTGCATTTATTTATTGTGCCTGGAATTCTCTATATAATTGCGTTGTATTTCCTGACTGCTATTTGTGTATGAATAAAAGTCTCGCTCTCGCTATGCAGTGCCTCCTCTCTCCTATTAGACCTTGGGTTTGAGTTATAATGGTAGATTAAGTTTTAACTGCAGACATAAAGCTGCCTCCCTATCTGAAAGTGTAGCTTTATGCACCCACAGTTTCACTATGCAGCTTTCAGTATCCCTTTATGCTCCAATTTCCTTTTTTTCTAGAATTCTCCAGGTGCTTGAATGTGATTGTTTGTATGAGGTATATTTGGTCAGTGAAACATGTAATGCATTTATAAATTACATAGTCAAGATTTTGCACAGAAGAATTCTAGGCTTTATAGTACTTTTAAAAATCATACTCTTTGTTACAACATAAGATCAGGACTAAACTACAAAATAAAAAAAAATAGCACTAAACCTAGTTGAAAACCATGGATCATTGTATTTCGTTCTCTTTGTAACTTGCCTCCAATAAGAGTAGCTAACCTTAAGTTTGACTTCCTGTGTTTTTTGTGCCATTGGGAAAACATATAAATTCATTTAGGGATTTTTTTTAAATTTATTATTATTATACTTTAAGTTTTAGGGTACATGTGCACAATGTGCAGGTTAGTTACATACGTATACATGTGCCATGCTGGTGCCCTGCACCCACTAACTCATCATCTAGCATTAGGTATATCTCCCAATGCTATCCCTCCCCCTTCCCCCAACTCCACAACAGTCCCCATAGGGAATTTTTATGGTGGCTGGGTGGAGGGTGAAATAACATGCAAAGTTTTAGGTTGTTCATTTAATTCTTACAACAACCCAATAAGGTAAGTACTAATAATATCACCCCATTTATAAACGAGAAAAGTGATGTTCAACAAGTTTAAGGAACTTGATAAAAGATACTCATCTAGGAAGTGGCAATCTAGACACAAACTCAAGTGATGACGCTCTAAAGTTCACACACTGTGACCAATAGGTGCAATGCTACATTTACAGAAGTAATGATGATATCTATGACATTTCAGAGCCTACTATGAGCCGACCACCATTATTATATTCTTACTTAATCTTTACAACCAATCCAAGAGTGATCTCTCTTCTACATAAAGATCCCCGGAGAGGTTAACTAACGCCGTCTTTACAAACAGGCAGAACTCCTAAGTCTGTCTCAATATTTTTTAACTTCAAAGACAGTAGTCTATTTATGTCTTTTGTAATGAGTGAAAAACCCTTGGATATGCATATACCTGGCAGTTCAAGGAGACTTCTTTGAGAGTTGTGATCTAAAGAAGGAAAGAAGGCATAAATATAAAAATCACAGGAGAGTGTTTTCAGTTATATCTGGCTTTTCTAGTTCTGTTGAATTTTTTTAATTGAAAATGGCTTTTTTGCCTGTTACACTTAGTGCACAGAAATACCTTTCCTTGTTTGCTAAGCATGGCTGGGTCAAAAGGAAGTTCTTGAAAATATATTGATTTTATGTTAAGCCATCTCAGATAAATTGACAGTGAGTTTGAGAAAGGATTCTCTTTGTTTCAGAGTTCTAAAAAGTTTGTTGTTTTATCTGGGAGAGTGTATGAAGTGATTAGAGAGTAAAATGTGCAATAAGAAACAAAACTATATTTAATGCAAACAATCACAGTGATGTGAGTAGAAAGGTCTGTAATATAGGCCCTGCTGTAACCTCTGAACACCTGTGGGAATAGAGGGAGCACTCTACCTCTCTGAACCTCAGTTTCTTCATGTATAACCTGTGGTAATAAAATGCTGGTCTCAGAGGTAACTGTCAGCTTTAGTAATATGTGAAATCATAGAATCTGGTGGAACAAAGGATATTATTTTTAGGAGAAAATATTTAATATGGTATTAGATATAAGAACCATTTAAATGGGTATATTTGTCAAATGTTGCCAGCAAAATTTCTTCAACTGATGCTGTTTGCCAAGAACCAAAGGTGCAAAGTGATTTGTGCTAAGCAAAAAAAGAAGATACAAATGCAAATCTTTAACTTGGGTGCATTTATCTGGAAAATAAATTCTCTGTCAGCCAATAAGAAGACTTCAGCCTATAAAACACATTGAAATAAATGACATATATAATAGCAGATGCAGCCCTATAACCTTTCTAAGGCATATTTTCAATATTTACTCTCCAACAGCCACAGCTTCTATGATTTTATATTTTATCTTCACAAGCATATGCAGTCAGTTCTGCTATAATGCTTGTTTTAAAACAATTTACTCCATGCAATTGATATATTAGTCAACAATTTAAATATAATGAAAATTTCATGTTTGCTTAGGCATGATTTGTTTCTGATAAACCCTAGTTGAATGCAGATAACTACATCCAGCTGAATTGAGCTGTGTAGGAATACACAAAAGACACACATGCATAGGCCTCAAACATCTGCCACCTACCTCAGTCTTGGTTCATGTTGCTTGTTATTCAACTAAGGTGTGTTTTGCAATTCTTTTTCATTCGTGAGAGATTATGTATGTTTATACACATATATATAAAATACATATGTATATACTTGCACACAAACACACACATATATGATTTAACACTAAATAGGTATAACACTTCCAATCCCAGAACACCAAGCCGTGAATGAAAAAAGGAAATCTAGACAGTAAGAAAGAGATTGGAATAATAAAGTATTTTGGGAGAAACTACATTATATGTGGTATCTCCAGCTGTAGGTATAAAGAAATCGGCATCGTAGAACATCAGACAATGACACAAAAATAAAAGAACAACTTCAAATGCTGCGAAGCCATAAGAACACGATCTAAAGAAATAGTAAAAGGGAGACCATTTTGAGCCTAAGGATGGACGAATTGTAAAAATTTTGGAAGCACCATTTTCACAATTAAAAAAAAAAGCATTATGTATATATGAAGACTTTAAATTGCTATGCCTACATTGTAGAAGGGTCTCATTTGAGTGGTGGAAGTGACTGGTTTAGTGATTTCAAACATTGCTATAATCTCCTACGTATTTAGCTTTTGGGTCAAGCCATTAGTGCATAGGAGAAATTTGAGGGGCAAAAAAAAAAAAAAAAAAAAAAAAAAAAAAAAAAAAAAAAAAAAAAAAAAAAAAAAAAAATTCCCAGGCATTCTACAGAAATTATTTGAAGAAGACTACACATTTGATCGACTTTTCAATTTTGATGAAATAGGCATCACTCAGAGATGCATGACTCAAGAGATTACATCCCGAAAGAATAAAATCATGCCTCAGTGTCAAAAATAAAAACTATTTGCTGCAATTGTAATGTTTGGTACTAATGCAAAGGACAATTAACCATTCCCATCCGCATGTGTTGGATGTGTTGAAATTTCACATCCAACTTTAAGTAATGCTCCTTCCAACATTTCAGAAAAATGAGCCACCTAACATCAGCACTTCCTGTAGCAAGTGTCAGGTCTTTTCCAAGGCATTCTAATATATTTATGTACTACTTTTGCATTTCTTAACTACTTAACATAAATAAAATTTGCTGTAATTTTTATTAGGATTCTACCTTTTAAAAAGTATGTCACTGAGAAAATTTTTGTGTTGTTTCTCCATATTTCCATAATCCTTGTGATTTTTATTATGCAATATTGTGTAGCAAAAGAATTGTTTAAAATGCACATGTCACGTTATAGCAGAACTGACTACCTATTCAGCCAAGGGAAAATGGCTTAGCTGCTTTTCTGTTTTCTTCTTTCCATTCTCCCTCTTTTTCTTCATCTTCTTGCTTAATTATAAAGTTAATGTGTTTATTTAAACACTATTTTTTAAATAATGAAGAATTGTATAAAATTTTTTAAAAGTAAAAGAACTCCACAACCACAACCACTCTACCACTTAGCTTTTCTCAGATCTTTGCATTGTTATCAACAAACAAATCAAAGTGTATATATAGATTGTTAATCCAGGTTCAACTCCCTTGTTCATGGGGAGACAATAGCAGTTATAAGCAACTGAAAAATAGAGTAGCATATCCATTTACTTCATTTACTGTGTAAATAATTAGTCTAGATCCATAGATAATTGATTCAACTATATCACACCTAGATAAATGAAGAGGATGTCTATAGCATTGTTGAAACCAGTGGTTTTGATAGTGTAGTCTTGGGTTGGCAGGATTACCACCTAAAAATTTGATAGAAATACACTTTCTCTGACCCCACCCCCAGTTTACTAATTGAAACACTCTGGGAGTGGGGCCCAGCAATGTGTGTTTTAGCAAGCTTCCCAGGTACTTCTGATACATGTGCATGCACATATGTGAGAACCACTGGAATAAACCTTCTCCAAATTAACTAACAATAGAGATTCTGAGATCAGATTGCCTGAGATCCAAAATGTAGGTTCTGGTACTTTCAGGGAGCCATATAACTTTGTTCATTACTTTAAATGCCATATTTCTCTTTCCTCAATTGTTTTGCGGATTACATTAAAAAACTGATACCAATAGAATACTTAGAAAAATGGCTGGAACATAGTAAGTACTCAACAAATGAAACATTTTAACTTCATTCTAAGCAGCTCGTCTTGTGAGTACATAGTAAGTCAAATGAAGAAACGCTCATTTTCCTTACTCTTAATCATAGTTAGTAGCATTGAGTCAACCTATGCTTTTGCATAATGAAAGCATACTGGAATTGAGAACATGAATAAAATGTGAAAAATTCTTACCACATTTCATGGGTTAAGTTCTCTGGGAAGGAGACTGGGATGGACTCTGAGATTGTGGAAAGGAGAAGTAGGAAGCAGGGTCTGGCAGTGGGAGTAGTTGAGTTTCTGTCTCTTTTTTGTTTAACTTTTATTTATTTTATTGTATTTTAAAAATAGTTTCAACTTTTATATTAGAATCAGGAGATACATGTGCAGGTTTGTTACATGGGTATATTATATGATGCTGAAATTTGCGATAAAAATGCTCTTGTTAACCAGGTAGTGAGGACAGTATCCAAAAGTTAGTTTCTCAAAACTTAACTTTCTTCCTGCTCCTGCCCCCTGACCAGCAGACCACAGTGTCCATTGTTGCCGTCTTTATATTCATGACTAAACAATGTGTAGCTCCTACATATAAGTGATAACATGCCATATTTGGTTTTCTGTTATTCACTTATGATAATGCATTAATTTGCTTAGGATAATTGCCTTCAGCTGCATCCATGTTACTGTAAAGGACATGATTTAATTCTTTTTTGGCTGCATGGATTTCCATGGTGTATATGTACCACATTTTCTTTATCCAATCCACTGTTGATGGGTATGTATGTTGATTTCTTGTCTTTGCTATTGCGAATTGTGCTGCAATAAACACATGACTGCAGGTATATTTTTGGTAGAACAATTTATTTTCTGTTGAGTATATAACTGGTATGGAACTGCTGAGTCAAATGACAGTTTAAGTTCTCTGAGAAATCTCCAAATTACTTTCCACAGTGGTTGAACTAATTTACATTCCTACCAACAGTGTATAAGCATTCCCTTTTCTCTGCAGTGTTGCCAGCACCTTTTTTTTTTTCCTTTATGATAGCCATTCTGACCGGTGTCAAATGATATCTTGTTGCAGTTTTGATTTGCATTTCTCTGATGATTAGTGATGTGGTGCATGTTTTCATGTTGGTTGCCTTCTTGTATATCTCCCTTTGAGAAAGGTCTGATCATGTCCTTTGCCCACATTTTAATGAGCTCATTTGCTTTTTGTTTAATTGTTAAGAGTTCCTCATAGATTATAGATACCGGCCCTTTGTCAGATGCATAGTCTGTGAGTATTTTATCCCATTCTGTAGGTTGTCTGTCCACACTGTTGGTAGTTTCTTTTGCTGCGCAGAAGCGCTTTAGTTTAATCAGAACCCAATTGTCAATTTTTGTTTTTGTTGCAATTGCTTTTGAGGACTTAGTCATAAATTATTTTCCAAGACTGATGTCCAGAATAGTGTTTCTGAGGTTTTCTTCTAGAATTTTTATAGTTTGAAGTCTAACATTGAAATCTTTAATCCATTTTGAGTTGGGTCTCTCGAAGGCAGAAGATGGATGGGTCTTTTCTTTTATGCAATTGGTAACTATACCTTTTAAGTGGGGCATTTGTACCGTTTACATCCAAGGTTAATATTGATATGGGAAGTTTTGAAATTGTTAGCTTCTTGCTTTGTAGTTTATATTGTGTGGTTGCTTTATAGAATCTGAGGGCTATGTACTTAAGTATGTTTTTGTGGTAGCAGGCTTTGATCTTTCATTTCCATGTTTATAACTCTTTTAAGACTGTTCTGCTGGTAACAAATTCCCTTAGCACTTGCTTGTCTGGAAGATATTTTACTTCTCCTTCATTTATGAAGTTACTTTGGTGGAATAGGAAATTTTTGGTTGGAATTTCTTGTATTTAACAATGATGAAAATAAGCCCCCACTCTCTCCTGGCTTGTAAGGTTTCTGCTGAGACATCTGTCGTTAGCCTGATAGGGGTTTCCTTTGTATATGATATGACCTTTTTTATCTAGCTGCCTTTAAGATTTTTTTTTAGCATCGTCCATTGCAGTCTGGTGACTATATACCTGGGGAATATTTTTGTCTTTTATAATATCTCACAGATGTTCTCTGAATTTTTGTATCTAACTGTCTACCTCTCCAGCAGGATTAGGAAAATTTTCTTAAATTCTTCCCTCAAATACGTTTTCTAGGTTGTTTACTTTTTCTCCTTCTCTCTCATCAATGTCAATAATTTGTATATTTTGTCACTTTACATAATCTTATATTTCTTAAAGGCTTTGTTCATTTTTTAAAAACATTTTTCTTTATTCTTGTCTCACTGGGTTAGTTTGAAAGACTGGCCTTCAAACTCTGAAAATCTTTCTTCTCTTTGGTTCACTCTATTGCTAACACTTTAAGTTGTATTATGAAATTCCTTAAGTGATTTTTTTCAATTCCAGTAGCTCTGATTCATTTCTTTTTAAGATATTCATCCCTTCCTTTTCTTTCTGGAATGATTTGGAAGTTTCTTTGTGTTGATTATTTTCAACTTTGTTTTGAATCTCATTCAACTTCTTTGCATCCACACTTCGAATTATTTATCTGCTATTTCTGTGTTTCCATTTTTGTTAGGGACCATTGCTATAGGACTGCTGTGACCCTTTGGTGGTGTCACTACATTCAGATTTTTCATGGTGCCGGGATTCTTGCCCTGGTTCCTTATCATCTGGAGATGCTGGCACTTCTACTAATTGTAATTATTTTGATGTGATTAAGATTTTTTCCTTTTCTTTATTTTTCTATTTTTTTTTCTTTCCTACTCTCTCCCTAGTGGGTGTGAATATAGAGAATGATGGATAGGGTCTTTTGGTTTTGCTTCTATAGCCCTATGCACTTATGTTGGCACATTTTATATTGAGCCATGTGGTTTGACCTACAAGACAGTAGATGGCACTTAAGTGTAAGAGCCAGCTGCAGCCAATGTGGCTGGGTTTCTATGTGATCCTTGTTTACTGGGAGAAGCTCTCTCTTGCCTCAGCAAGGGGCTGATTTGTGGAATGCACAGAGGTCTGAGTTTCCTGCTCTGCCTCAGGGGCGATAGGGGGAAAGATGGGCAGGGCTGGACCAAGCAGGCCTACCTGCAGGTCCCCCAATAGCAGACATAAGCACCAGTGCCAAGGGAGAATCCAGTGGGTAGCCACCAAGCAACCAGAGGTGTGCCTAGGCATGGAGCTGGGAATCCTCCTTGGCCCCAAGTTCTCTGCAGAGTGAGGGCAGCCTAAACTCCTAATCAAGGAGAGTGGGTGCTCCAGATTCCTGGAGATCTGCCTGGGAAGTGAGCACAGAGGGCCCGACTTTACCACAATCTCCGCACAGGAAGCGGAGGGTGTTTCAGGCTGCTGATCTGGATGAGCAGGTGCTCCAAATACCTTGATATCTGCCTGGTCATGAAGCAGCAGAGAGGGCTCCCCTGCATCACGATCTATGCCCAGGAAGGGTACAGTGGCTCAGGCTGCTGGTCCAGGTAAATGTGTGCTCCAAATGCCTGGAGTTCTGCCTGGGAGTGGAGCATACAGGGTCTCACTGCACCACTATCTCAGGAAAGGAGGCTGGGGCATACAGCAGTAGTGCATGCAAATGGGTTCCAGGTTGTCAAACTGGTCCTGGCTGCAAGTCTTGCTGCCCAGTAGAAACTGTAGCTGGAGCAACTCTCCTCCTACCTCAGACCTGCACCAGGAGAGAGCAGAATTTCAGCATCTACTGCTGAGGAGCTTTCTGCAATTCTGCCTGTGGAGGTGCCTGTCCCACTCCAGAGCAAGCACTCCAGTTTTTGGCCCAAGAATAAAATGCCTGTTTAGCCACGCTACTAGGTTTCCAAAGAATAGCTGACTTTGTATGTACTCGGATGAAAAATGTCATCCTGCTCTTCGTCCCACGTTTTCCCACTAAACACCTCCAAGTTTCTTTCCAAGTTAGCTCTAACACTGGGGAAAAACAAAGTGCTATCTCTTGGCCTGGATTATTGCTCAGATTCACAGTGGAAAGATGAGTCACAGAAGGAGGCTCTTTGCTGCTCTCACATACTGGGGCTTCACTCACTTTTATCAGTCGGATCCATCACAGGGGCTGTTTGCCCACGTTCTCCTCGCAGGGATCTGGAATGTCCTTCCTGATTCCGGTGGATTTCCATTTTCCTTCTTGAATGAAAGCTCACAGAATTTATTTTTATGCACTATCTTGTTATTTCCAAGTGGCAGAGGTACACTAAAAGCCTCTAATCTGCCATCTTGGAAAATAAAGCAAAATAAAAATGACAGTAGTTGGGTTCTGATGCTGATCGGGTGTGTCAGCCTCAACCAACCTCACGGAGAAGCTCTGGATCTAAAAAATCTGTTAAAATTGTCCAGTCCTTAAAAGGGCTGCAATGGCCTGGCATTTACATAACCCCCTTCATCCATCAACACAAAGAAATGATAAACATTTGAGCTGAGGGATATCCCAATTACCCTGATTCGATCATTATACATTGTAGGCTTCTACCAAAATATAATGTGTACCCCATGAATATGTACAAATATTATGTACATATAAAATTAAACATAAAAAGATTAAAAGAAAAGGGACTGTAATACTTTCCGTAAGGGAGGTAGGGACTTGGATATTAGAGAGTATGTGATGTTGCTTTCTGTTCTGTTGTGCTCTGCCATGGATTTAATATGATGGGAGTTGTATTTGTATTGTGAGTTAGTACTGACGTATTGGCGATATATCTCCTAGGGTAAGTGGAACCCTGCCTCCTTCTACTACACTGAACTAAATAGTACAGTAAAGATGTCTCTCTACAGAAAATGAGGCTTTTTGCTGATGTGCCATTTTTATTATACAAAAGGAGTGAAGTCAGGATAATTTTTTACTAGATATTAAACAGTATAAAATACAGAAAAAGTTAAAATTTCTCTACAAAATATAGTACTTTACTAACATTTCTAAATGTTATGGCTTAGTAAATTTAGATTTATATAATAAAATTTAAAGTTAGGGAAAAAATTACATTTCTGTACTCCAGGAACTTAGCTGTCAAGTGCCTTATAGTCTACGGTCTTTATCAAAATCTTGACCCAGAGCTTAATGGCCAGGGGGCTACACACTGTATTACTATTTCGAATTCCCAGAGAACAAAATTCTGTCCCTTATATCTGACCCAAGAAAAATCTAGGCGTGAATTTCTGAATAATTCCACTGTATGTGAAACTTGATGCTTTTGATTAGATGTTGCTGTGAAAGGTTATCTTATCAAACTAATAAATGAACTGCTGAACAAGCTGACAGACTGCGGCTGGAAATGGCTTTTGCCCCATGGCTCAATTACAAACCAGCCAATAAGAAGTCAGGATGGAAAGCTAAATGTGATTAATTGATTGCAATGTCACAGTGAGCTAGTTAACTCTCACTGCCCTAAATGTAAGTTGACAGTATAAATGAGAAGAGGGGAGAAACAAAACAGTGAGGATAAAAGCTATCATACTGCAACAGAGAAAAATTGAGAAACAAATAGGGGCTCAATTAAAGAGAATGAGCACATGCTTCCAGAGGAATATATTTTTATCCCATTTGATTTGATAACAATCCCTGCCTTGGCTCCTCCTTTCCTCTGTTTTTTTCTAACTTAGAGCTATTCTAGTATATGAAGAAATAGACTACACTAACAAAATTACTTGAAAAATACATACAGAAAGGTTTGAATTTTATTAATAATTTTATGGGTTTTAAAATAATCAGATGGATAAAATTATAAACTGTTAGTATTTTTAGAGGTCGATCACTCCCCACTTTCCCCAAAGTGGGGAAGAATCTGAAAGCAGCAGCCTAGTGTTTTGTTCTACAAAGGATACTTCTTCAGACATTCCCATTTCTCTACTTAAAATGAAATCTGCTTTCTAAACAGTAGCCAGATCAATGTGAACTACCTACTGAGTAATCTAGTGTCAATATAAGAAGACATTTGGAATGAAAACCAAAAGAAAAAAAAAAGAGGAGAAATGAGAAGAAATGGGAAGAAAAGGGATCAAAGCAACATTAGAATGCCGTGAAAAGAAGAACAGAGAACGGATGTGTTAAAAGCCATTTGTAATAGGAAGATTTTTTAAACCTGAACAGAATGGTGAGGAAGCTGCCAAAGAAATTGCAAAAGATGGTGACAGTGACGAAAGAGGAAAAAAGAAAGATTTAAAGCCTCTTCAAAACACAAAGACAAGGAGGAAATCCTGAGAACAAAAATTCAAACTCGTATTATATGAATTACATCGAACTGAGGTTGCTACTTTCTTCCTGGGTCCATATATCAGCTCAAGTTTTGACAAGGAAAGCAGAACAAAAAAGGAAAATAAACTATCCACATTGTGATTAATATATACAGATCTAAGTTCCCCAGAGTATGAGGATCTCGGTGAACATTTATCAGGCACCAGATTTGTTAGGAAATGAAAGAGAGTCAAACCACTTTTTAAATCCAGAGCAAGTGAAAAATTAAGGACACGCCAAAGGAAGAAAGACTAAGGAAAGGAAAAAAATCTAATTTGGATGTACTTCACTACATTTAGAGATTTTCATTTCATTTTCAGAGGAAAAATAATTTGCCCTTCGTTAATATTGCTTACTTTTAATCTTTTTTTTTTTAAATCTGAAGTTGGGTTATATATTTTAAAGCAATATGCTTCAAGCTAGCCATATTATTTCACATTAATCTCAACTATATGAAAAGTATCATTTTACTTGATAACTGTAATGTGTTTCTTATCCAGTGTTATAGATTATTAGCTGCTGTGTATAATCTGAACAATCAGCAATTTATTCTTTCTGTCTACCATTCAGTTAGGACATAATCATGACTTTAGACAAAAGGCTTTTTCAAACAAATTTGTCACTTATTTGCAGTGTGCTTATTAGTATAGTGAGGTGTGACTTTTGCAGTATCATACAATGACTAATACTGTTCTGAAAAAATGAAAAATAAAAATAAACACTTTCTACCAGGTGGTATTGTACTAGTATATTAAGTACATATTTTAAAATTTTTAAATAAATATTTTTATATTTTCATTTCAATTTAAAACATATTTTAAATAAATATTTTCAAATATTTTATATTAATTTTTAAATAATTATTTCACAGGTAAATGTTCCTCAAACATTTACCTGTATGCAAGCTTTTAAAACTTTTGTAGACATAGAAGATGAAGTGTTTTGTGTTAGGCAAAGAAATTAAACATTGTATCTTAGAAGCTTTATTTTAAAATCTTAATAAATATGTACAATGACCTCTATAGAATTCCATTCATAATATTGCCTTATGAATTAAGTCTTTCATAGTATGTTGCATACAAGATTTTTATTTAACGAAAGGAAAATTATTTAAATATACCATGTATAGAGAGATTTTTAAATATTCTGACAAGAACAGATAATAGCTATCAGATTATTTTAAGATTACAGTTTAGGGTCAATTCATAATATAGTTTTTCATTCAAATCTAGTATACACAAAGACTGAAAAGACAAATTGTCTTCATTTTTTTCTTTTTCATTTTTTCAATAATTTGTTAAGCTGTCAGTGATACATTACACTGAAGAAAGAAAATTTGCTAAGCCAATATTATGAAGTATAGAGTTTAAAGCATTGACATTTTATTATTATTTTTGCAACTACTCTAGTTCTAATATATACATGTCAAACATTTAAAAAGAGTATCATTTTATAATATAACAATAAGTTGGATTTTTTAAAAAGTGAAGTAGATACTGAGAGAAATTAAAAACTTGTCACAATTGTACAGGTACAAATTGTAAGAATAGGGCTTTTTATCAAATGTTTTTACCTGCTCAGTCCATCCAATTCCTCATTTCATACTGTGACTAATAAATATAGTTTGCATATTAGAAAATTATATTGTCTTTAAATGAATTTAGATTCATAATTACATTTAATCTTAGTAGAACAAACTACCAATTATGTTCTAACATACTAATAAAACGTTTCCATCACTGTATGCTTCCATATTCTCAATGCTTATTTGAGAAGTCACCAAATATAAAATCTAATTTATTTTGCTTGCTTGTTTGACATGACCCAATAACATCAAAACAAAAAGAAAAAAATAAAAAAAGTGAATTCTTTAAAAATAATGTTATAGATAAATTTGGCCAGATTCTATTTTTCTTTTATTTTTAATTGACAGGTAATAAGTATACATACTTATGGAATACAGAATGATATTTGGATACATGTGTGCAATGTATAATAATCAAATCAGGGTAATTAGCAAAACCGTCACCTCAAACATTTATCATTTATTTGTGTTGTGAAGATTCAAAATCCTCTTTTCTAGCTTTTTGAGAATACACAATAAAGTATAGCTAACCATAATCTAGCTGTAGAACACCAGAACTAATATCTCCTATATGGCTGTAATTAACCATTAACCAATCTCTCCTTAGTCTCCCTTCCCTTCTACCATTCTTGGCCTCTAACCCACAATGCTACTCTCTACTTTCATGGGCTCATTTTTTTTTAGCTCCCATATATGAGAATATACATTATTTATCTATCTGTGCCTGATTTATTTTGTTTAACATAATGTCTTCCAGGCTCATCTGTTGACCAGATTCTTAAATTAAATAGTTGATTTTGCTTCATTAAGAAACATTTAACTCTTAATCTTATCCATTCTAAAATAAAAGAGAACATACTTATACATAACGGTTCTTTATATAGAAAGAGAATATAACACAATGCCTATTCATCCCCTAAATTAAACAAATTTTATTCAGCACTCTTTATGTCTCAAGCAGTTTTGTAGACACTGGAATAGACCCAATAATACATATAAATCTTATTAAGATAGCCAATTCAATTTCAATAAAATATAATTAGCACTATAATAGAGTATGCATCAGCTACTCTTAGGATATAAAGTGTAAGCACTAAATTAAATTTTATATAATTAGAAAACCTTTCCAGAAGTAATATTTGGGATATTGGAGAATGAGTAGAAGTAGGTAAGAGTAATTTTTATGAAAACAAAAGAAACTCTGAGTTCAAAGAGCAGCAAAAAAAGAGCGTGATAAATTATAGGAAATGAAAGATGCCTTCCAACAAGATACTAGGTTCTCCACTAGAATTTAAGTTCTGTGAGGCAGAGATTTTTTTCTATATCAGCATACACACAGTGTTTTTTTATTCGATACTCAATAAACCTTTGCTAAGTAAAATTTGAAGTCATGTATGCAGAGATAATCTTGAGAAATAGAGTATGGATATTCATTCTATTATTGTATTTAAACCTCATCCAAATATGGCCTATTTACCTCTTAATCCATATAGAAGAGTAAATATATGATTTTTAAAATTTTGCTTCTGTATGTAGTGGTAAGTCCATAGGCTATATTGAATTATCTGTTGCTGTTGAAGAAAAGTTTTATGTAAAAAAAGCAAAGCTATTGGGATAATTTTCCTTATTCTTATTCTATAGAGACTTATGTTTCATTTCAGCCTAATGAATTCTCACTTTAAGAATGAAATGATTGTGAGCTTCTATTAACAGTACAAGGCACAAGGTAGTATCACAAATCAGCTAGGCATTTGTTTTGTATGCAGTATCTCATCTCAGTCACTGGGCTTTCCATTCACTGCTTCCTGTCTCTGATTGTAAATCAAAGATTACCCATTTCAGGCTTGAATTACCCTTTGTTTCTTAACTCAAAGCTATAACATGACTTTATCTCTTTCTTCTGTTTTAAGTATTTAATGTTACCGAGGTAGCCTGCCTGTGGAATGCAATGGTTAAAATATTAGTTAAATAATGCCATGTTTGTATAAATTTGTTTTTTAATGTGTTATCTAAGCATAGTTCTATGAAAATAAATTATTAAACAATATTTATTGGTAGTATAGCAGTAGTTGCAAAGCATGCATAAGGAACATAACAATAATCTTTCATCATCAAAGTCACTTGTCCATCCAATAAAATGCAACTCTCTAAGGCAATCTCTAGCCAGTGCTTCACTATGACTCTAATTCCAGAAATGATCCTTGTAAGTGCAAGATGTTGTAGTGAGTGGATCAGTTTTTCACTGTGTCATTGTCATTGCTTTAACATGAGATTGATTAGAGCATTGAGGATGCTGTAGGTGTGAACTCAAATTATGTTATAAGGCAAGGTGTGATTTTTAACTTCTTTGTGACAATTGATATGTGTGTGTGCATGTGTGTGTGCACATATATTTATATTTGCATGTGTGCGTATATATATATACACACACACAAATATATATATTTGTGTTTATAACTGGTCTTCCATACCTCTGGGTTCCACATTTATGGAATCAACCAACCACAGCTCTGAAGTATCTAAATATGTACAGACTATTTTTCTTTTCACTATTCTCTAAACAATATAGTGCAATGATTCTTTACATAGTACTTACATTGTAGAAGGTATTATAGGTAATCTAGAGATGATTTAAAGTATATAAGTGGATGTGGGTAGGTTATATGCAAATTCTACACCATTTTCTATAAGCAACTTGGGCATCCATATATTTCAGTATCTACCAGGTGGTCCTGGAACAAATTCCCCATGGATACTGAGAGACAACTGTACCTATGTGTGTGTGTGTGTGTGTGTGTGTGTTTGTGTGTATGTGTCTGTCTGTATAGGTAGTGTGTATATATATGTATATATACACACACCTATATATATGTAGAATATATATGTCTACATACATATGTAATATATATGCACACCTAGGTAGTGTGTGTATATATATGTAGTGTGTGTATATATATTTAGTGTATATACATGTACAAACACACACACACTTTTGTACCTCATGGATACATTGATGGTCATTACATTCTCAATTTTCTTTTATTACCAAATGCCAATGTTTAGGCTTACTTGGAATTTACTACCTACTTTCATTTTCTTTCCCAAACTCTCAGTCTCTTGGATGCACTAAGCCTATATCTGAGTACACATTACTGATTTCATAGTTTACAGAACATAATTGAATCAAGACTTAGAAATATTGCCAGTGAGATAAAGAGAAAGTTTGACGGAAGCTAATTACCTAAAGTTACACACAAATTTACTACCTTTTCATTGTCATTATGTTTGCTTTGAAAAAAAATATAGACAAGTTGCTCAGAAAAAAATACATCACTATATGGCATGAGCTTCAAATTATGCCTCCTTGATCATTGTATTCCAGGACCATTTTAAAAAAATTTTAGTCAACTGCAGCTCACAAAAAGGCAATAAATTATCAAAAGGTAACTAATCATTGTTGTCTTTATGTATTTCAAGCAAAATTACACACTAAGTTTCAAGTAGACTCCTAGAGATAGCATTGCTTGCTTATTGTGTATACTTGAATCTGATATTAGATACATAGATGACAATGTTATCTTCTATAAGAAATATTATTGTTACTGTAGGAATCTGGGGAAAATGTACTTCTCTACAATCCTCTTGTTGCTTTATTGAATGCTGCTTAAAAGTAGCTCATTATTTTAAGCTAGAGTTATTTGTAAAACAGAGATAAATCATATACAATTACAATATACGAAATTAAAAATAACCACAAGCACTTTATGATTTTTCTAAGCTATAGATTAAACTGCTAAATATAGGACATTAAATGGCTAAGAGCAGTAGCTGTGCATTATGTATCACTAAAAATAATAGAAATAAATACTCATTTGAACAATAAGTAAAGTGATTGGCTCGTCTACAAAATGTTCAGAGACAGGGTGAGCTTAAGAATATTGAACCAGTCATTCTGCAGTGTTATCAAATACTTGGATTTGCTTTTCTAATTTCATTTCTGCCACACACAGTGTTAGCTTCATCCTTTGACTTTCTCCCATAAAGAACACAGGATGCCATCCAAGGGCAATTAGATTTTTTTCATTCACAAAGGAGGGGGATAGTTTTCCAACTTCCCTTTCTTAAGATATAATCTCTATGCTATCATAAAGATTCACTTATAATTCATTGGCCTTAATTTAATCAAATTGTTTTTTAGTCAATTACTACAAGCAGATATAATTAGGACCATTCCTGAGAATGAGGGAGGAAGAGCTTCCCCTGAGATATATGACACCAAGGAAGATTTTCCATTAGGAAAGAGGGAAATGGATGTTGGGGAGGCAATCAGCAATGCCCACTATTGTTTGATACGCCTCAGACAATACACCATGTATTTTATTGTTCTGTTTTGTTTTGTGTTTAAATCTCAGAGTGGAAGTGGTTAATCTCAGATGTCTAAGATTATTTCTAAATTGACTACAATTATTTTAAACAGGTGATGTAGAAAATTAAAATAGTTGCTGAATATGGAAGGCCGAAATGTAAAATACTATATTGATAGACTGCTTAGTGATAACTGTAAAGAAAATGGCTCTGTAAACAATTTTTATATCAAAAATAATATATAATTATGAATAATTTTATTTTAGATTTAAATAAAGATACAGATTTTATATTTAAAAGACATATTACATATTTTTCTAGAAATAAAGATATTTTCAAAAGAAAAATCTTAAGAGGTTCTTATGCACTTAATTTAGTTCAGCTGAATGTAGCCAAAAGAATTGCATTCTTGCATTTATGAGACAATATGGAAAGTAGAGGGTTAATTTATTAAAATGTTAGAAAGTAGGCCATCTTGAGGATAGCACATTTGAATAATTTTGGGATGAAAGCTGTTGTATTTTTATTACTTTTCCTAAATAGGTTTATAAAGACATTGTGTCCAAAACATTGTGGATTCTGGCATTGCTTTAAAACATAACATGTGATGTGCTGAAGCTATGCTAAACCCAAAGTACTGTTCAGCTCTTTACAAAAAAGATGTATTTAAATTGACATATATATATATATGTGTATATATATATACACACACACACATACATTGAAAAATAGTTTCTTAAATTTTAAATCAAAAATAAAAAGAAGAAAGAATGCAGTGTAAGCAGAATATTGCTTTATTCAATTAAAATTTATGAAGCAATTAGTTAAAACTGGCAACCTTTTAATAAGTTAAAAAATACTTATTTAAAACAGCAAAATAAATAAATACTACTTGTATTTTCAAATTAGATAAGCTTAATTTTTTAGAGCCGTGGTGGTAGATATTTTTTCTGGACTCTCAAGAATCTATTCAGTCTTGTTTTGGTTTTCACATCTGTATTTCTATACTATAGGCTGAACATGCACAGTATATACCCCTTTGCATCTTTTCCTGTGTCCCAAGAGCTAACTACTTCCAACTGCAATCCCTTGTGACTTTGATTAAGGCCTTTCTCTAACTGCCTGACCCCACTTTGCCCTCTTACCAACCAAGTGGAAAGGTCTATGGAGTTACCACCCTTTTGAATCGGGCATCAACCAGTAATCAATACGTTTTTCTTCCAAAATTTTCTAGTGAGATTGGTCACCAGTTGCCTACATAGAAAACTGCTTAAAACTTCACCCTTTAGAGACTTACTGCTTCATCTCCCAAGGTGAGATAAACTGTATTCACATCGTTGTTTTAGAGTCCACTTCTGTGGGAACATAACTAAAGACCTTTACTCTCATTTTTTGGGGGGTGGGGGCAGGGGGACAATTTATTCCTTTGAATTCATGACTATGATTTGGGCAGGGATAACCCTACTCTCAAATCTAGGAATAGGTCCTCATTCACTTAAGGCAACAGGAGCAGCACATTTTCCTGTCCATAGCAATTGGTTTACAAATAGCCAAGTGATATAATTTTGGATAATCGGAAAAAGCGAACCCAGGGATTAGTACAAATCATTATAAGTGACTACTATTATTTTATTTTCCAGTGTGGTACAAAATGAAGATGTTGGCAGCTGCCAAAACACTTTTGTAACTACAAATGGAAGGCTAGAGATATATTAGAAAGGTAAATACCCCACTTACAATAATTAATAGAACAGCCAGACAGAAGACTAAAATGAAAGTCAAGGTCTTGAACAACAGTAGAGACCAACTGAACCTAGCAGGCTTATGCAAAACACTCCACTCAACAAAAACAGAATACATATTCTTCTCAAGTAAATGCAGATAATCCTCCAGGACAGACTATATCTTAGCCCATAACATAATTCTTAATAAATGTTCAAAAGATTACAATAATGTAAAGTATCATCTCCAATCACAATGGAATGATTTGAAATCAATAACAGAGGTAAAACTAAAAGGCTAGGGAGGAGAGCAAGATGGCCAACTAGATGTAGCCAGGTGGAACAGCTCCCACAAAAACAGGTTGATGACGAGCGTTCCCCTAACAGATCTTCATGGGAAGCCACTGAGAGCAGATGGAGGGAAGACACAGAAGCTAGGCTGAATGGGAAAAAAACTGGGAATTCTATCTGGGGTTACAGCATACCCAGACTAATTCCTGGTCCCCAAAGGCTCTGGAGGAACAGGTGAGTTGAACTGGCAAGGAGAAACCTGTTATCCCCACGGGCCTCTGGAATCCCACCAGGAGACCGCTCAACCACCATGGACATGCAAGTTGGCAGAGAGAGCTGCTTAGAGAACTCGTAGGGGCAGCAAGCCAACTGATGTGGAGCCCAGAGGGTTTGGTGTGGGAGCACCTGGGGTGGAGCATGGCCAGGGACGGCCATCCCACTAGGCTCAATTTGCTCCCATAGGAGACTTAGGCTACAGGAACTGTGGTTCTCAACTCTGCAGGGTGGTCTTGCCCATCAGACCAGTTCCTATGAACTGAGCACCTCTTGGTCTGTTGACCTCTCCTGGGGCCCTTGCGTGACCATGCCTGCTTGCAAGGCAGCCTCAAGTGCCTTGGGGGCCTGCCCCATAGCTTCTGTACTGAAGGACCATGCCTGACTGATGGAGAGCCCCAGCAGGGCGGCCCCTAGGGCCACGTACCAGTCTGCAGGCTCCCTCTCCACACTGCAGCTTCCCTGGGCCCCACCACATTGCTTTGCTGGAGTGTGTCTGTGCAGATGGGTTTTGTTTCTCTTGCTCTGTCAGCCTGCGCAAGAGCACTTCACCCCCACTGCCATTGAAGACAGAGCCTTGGCGGGCACAGATCCAGGAAGCCCTGCCCTACCAGCACCCCGCCTTTACTCTAACACTAGGCAGAGAACAGCAGATCCTCCCCTACCCTTAGCGACCACTCCTGCTTGCAGGGCATAGAAGAGGCACCCAGACCTGCAGCAGCCACTGCCCTGTCCCCATGCCAACACCGCCACCAGCAAGGCCATGTGCACAGTCACCAGCAGGCTCCGTTTACTCCCCTGAGCTGCGTTGCCTCTGACACTGGTGAACGCTGGCAGGGAGGCAGGCACCCCAGCACCCACTAGCACTCTGTTGCAGCGGCCGTCACCACTGCTGCTAGCACTTGAAAATGAGGGTGGATCCTGCTGCCACTACGCTATGAAACGCTTTAGCTGACACCACCCATTGGAGTGTAGTGATCAGCGGTCCCAGAGCACCTCACCTCCTCCTGCACAGTGGATTCCTAAATTCAAAGAGCCAGTAAACAAGGTCAGCGCCCAATACAAGTCTCCTGGAGTTAGAGCATAAAGTCTAGGAGTTGGGAACTGAGCACTGACCTGCTAAAATCTTACAGAAAAAAAGCGAATTGGCTGAACTCACCTTATACTACAATCAGCTCCTCAAGGGCATCAAATAGGAGAAAAGAAAATAACACCCATCCAAAGATCAGCACCTCAAATATTGAATGAAAATAATCCCACAAAAATGAGAAAGATTCAGCATAAGAAGCCTAACAACTCAAAAACCCAGAGTGCCTTCTTTCTTCCGAACTGGGCTGAGATGGTTGAAATGACAGAATTAGAATTCAAATAGTAATAGGAACAAAGATCATTGAGCTACAGGACTACATTAAAAACCAATCCAATGAAGCTAAAAATAATGATAAAACAATGCAGAAACTGACAGACAAATAGCCAGCATAGAAAAAAAAAACCATAAACTGATTTCATAGACCTGAAAAAAATTAAAAAACACTACAAGAAACACTATAATGAAATCACAAGTATTAATAGCAGAATAGAACAAGTGGAAGAAAGAATCTCACAGCTTGAAGAGTGACTTTCTGAAATAAGACAGACAAGAATAGAGAAAAAAAGAAATAACAGGAACAAACAAAACCACTGAGAAATATGGAATTATGTAAAGAGACCAAATCAATGACTCATCGGTGTCCCTGAAATAGATGGGGAGAATGGAACCAACTTGGAAAACATATTTCAGGATATCATTCATGAGAACTTTCCCAACCTTTTAGAGAGACCAGCATTCAGTTTCAGGAAATGCAGAGAACCGCAGTAAGATACTTCACAGGAAGATCATTCCGAAGACATGTAATCATCAGATTCTCTGAGTTTGAAATGAAAGAAACAGTGTTAAAGGGAGCTAGAGAGAATGGTTAGGTCACCTACAAAGGGAAGCTCATCAGACTAACAGTGAACTTCTCAGCAGAAACCCTACAAGTCAGAAGAGATTGGGGGCCAATATTCAACATCCTTAAAGGAAAGGATTTTCAACCCAGAATTTCATATCGAGCCAAACTAAGCTTTACAAGTGAAAGAGAAATAAGATCCTTTTCAGACAAGCAAATACTGAGGGAATTCATTACTACCAGACCTGCCTTACTAGAGCTCCTAAAGGAATCACTAAATATGGAAAGGGAAGACCATTACCAGCCCCTACAAAAGCACAGGTAAGTACACAGATGAGAGAAACCATAAAGCAACCACATTCACAAGTCTGCAAAATAACCCCGCTAACATCATGATGACAGGATCAAATCCACACATATCAGTACTAACCTTGAATGTAAACGGGCTAAATGACCCAACTAAAAGGCACAGAGTGAAGCTGGATAAAGAACCAAGACCCATTGCTATGCTGTCTTTAAGAGAACTATCTCACATGCAATGACACATACAGGCTCAAAATAAAATGATGGAGAAAAATCTACCAAGCAAATGAAAAACAGAAATAAAGCAGAGTTTGAAATCTTAGTTTCAGACAAAACAGACTTTAAACCAGCAGAGATTAAAAAAAAAAAAAAGGGCAAAGAACATTACATAAGGATAAAAGCTTCAATTCAACAAGAAGAACTAACTAACCTAAATATATATGTACCAAGCACAGGAGCACTCAGATTCATAATGCAAGTTGTAAGAGACCTTCAAAGAGACCTGCACTCCCACACAATAATAGTGCAAGATTTTAACACCCCACTGACACTATTAGGCAGATCATTGAGACAGAAAATTAACAAAGATATTCAGGACCTGGAAGCCAGCACTGGATCAAATGGACCTGATAGACACCTAAAGAACTCTCCACCCAAAAACAACAAAATATACATTCTTCTTATCACCACATAGTACATACACTAAACTAGATAACATAATCAGAGGTAAAACACTCCTCAGCAAATGCAAAAGAATGCAATAAACATATACGTGCCTGTGTCTTTATAATAGAAGGTGACTCTGACGTGATACCAATTTGTGTAGTCTGCAGAGTGAGACTCTGCCTCAAGAAAAAAACAAATCAACAGCAGTAGCGTGAGTCAGGAAAGATGACTGCACTATACAGAACTTCACTGAAGCTTTGCTCACAAAAGTCACTTTTACATTTATAAAAATAATTTCCTTATCCAAAGAACAGCTAAAAGACAGTTCTTTTCACAAACTGGCTCATGTCTCTAAATAATTCAGAAGTTAAAGAGAAAGGAAATACCTGAGATGATAGGTAGTTAAAGAAATCTGGAGTGCTGTCCTGTGAGAGATGTAGGCTTTGCTTGTGTGGGCCAAAATTAAAGAAGAAAGGTAAAATGCAGATCACTTTGTCTAGGATTCCACTCGGAGGCACACCCATGAAACAATGTCATCCTACATTGCTATATTTCAGTTACTGAATTAATACCCAGTGGACTGAGCTAAATGGAGTCATTTTCAATGTGAGAATAAGAATGTGATGAGATGTCCCCCCTCTTCAAAATGCTACTAATTTGCTCATCTAAAATTTAAATTAAAATGACGCCAAATGACAATTACCTAGACACCTAGACAATACATGATTGTTGTAGGCAGTTTAAAAAAAAAAGCAAAAAAACAGAAAAACTATGTTCTGTTATACAACTTAAAAAGGAAAAAGCGGCAATTTTCTGCACTTCAATATAAACAGTTAGCCTTTGCAATATTTCCTAATGGACAGTTTCATTTTAGAATTAGGAAGCAGTGAATAGAAATGTGTAGTATTAACTTTGAATGAGATTTATCCAATATGAAATCTTTCTATTTTCCACAAGGTGTTCAACTTTTTCTGTAAACAAACTTGTACTTATAAAAATACAAGTTTTAATTCTTTATCACAAAAAAAGCATCTGGATGAAAAATGCTAAGATATCAATCTAAATAAGTCACTGTAGAACAAAGAAAGACTATATTCTAACATTCATATTTTAAATCTGGAGCTGCATAGACATTGCATTTAGTTGAATCAAATATGAGAAAGCATATTGCTGAGGCTGAGAGGTCAAGGTAAAACTGTGCAGTTTGATTTAACTTATTGCTTCTTTCCCTAACAAAAACAGGAAAACATTTTAATGTGTATTTCTTTAAATAAAAAAGGGATATTATTTCTATGATTAAATTGCAAAATATTTATAACTTACCAGAGCCATTCAAATTGGAAAAAAATAAAATACATTGAACAACCCTTACCAACCTTCATATTTCATAATTGCAGAGGCAAACAATAAGCAATGAATCTGACTAAACTCTAGCTTTCCATTTAGATCTACATCATGGCTGACAGTTCAAGAAAATTGATTTAAGCTTCTCACTGACTATGTGCCAAGTATGTGAATTTCTTGAATAATTTTATCCTTTTACCATAACAGTTTTAGGCTCCCAATTATTAAAATTGCACAGATAAGAGGAAAAGTGAGAAATAACGAGACACCACACCAGCTGTGCTGAGCTATTTAGGCTTACACAGCTTGAATATTAAATTATACAGAAGGTGAAACAGTGTAATAAACATGAAAAGTATCTTAGTGCAGAGAACTGTTCCAGTCTCTGAACTAATAATGGTATTTTTGCATCTCTGGCCACTGTGGTGAGTGGACAAATCACATGGTCATGTGCTCAGTGTATCTGGAGATTCATCCTTCATTGGACAGATAGCACAACAAATGTTATATGACCAGATTCCCCCAAAGCTTTAACTAGACTGTGCTGTAAATTAAGAAGCTTTGGAAATTGTTTTGAATCTCAATGATCATCAGGGTGTCAGCTCATTTAATATGAGGAAGTAATAAATTGTATTATGCTCTGATTGAATAATTTTTTTTGAAGACGCATTACTGCTAGTGTGCTAAATAGGAATGTGGAGAAAAGAATGAGTGAAAATATCTTTTGAAAATGTCTAATTTACAGCAAGGGCATAGTTTAGGCACAAGAAGGATAACTGGAGTTATAAAAAGGCAACAGTGAAATTTTATCATGCAACTACTTAGTGGGGTGGCAAGGGTAGAATTGAAAACTCATTTAAAAATAAAATCTTTTCATAACTATGTTTGCTTGCTTTTTGAGTCTTATTTTAAATGTCACTTTACCCTTCCATTCCTATTTGTGTTCTTGTAGTCTCTAGTGCTTTTTGTTGGTCCTCAGACTCAGCAGGAGGAGAAATTGAGGCCAGTTTAGTTGATGGTAGTCAGACTTCTTAATCCAAATCCAGTTGAAGGTGTTGATAAAATAATAATTAATGACATTCCTCTGGATATTTCTTAATGTCAGTCCTAAGAACAAAGAACATTAAGGATTAGACGGAAAGGAGGAGGAGAAAACAGAGAAAAAGGGAGAGGAAGAAGGTGAGAAACAGGAGAAAAAAACATGAGAAAGAAGCAGCAGAAGAGGAAGAAGAAAGAGGAAGAAGAGGAGACAAAGGGAAAAGAGCAGATGAGGAAGAGAAGGAAGATAAAGCTCAGAAAGAGTAAAGGGAGAAGGTGAGGGAAGAGGAGAAGAAGGAGGAGGGAAGATATTTCTTACAAGTACCCTGAGAAAATGAGTAAATTTTAGGTCCAGCAAGAGGAAGCTGCAACGAAAAGGGGTAAGTAGAATGTTTAAGACTGTATTCATGACCTTAGTCTGGAAAATTCTTCCCACTCTTTTCTTGAATTACAACTCCTTTACACATTTACCTTGATTAACTCTCGAACATGGTATAAATATCAGCATACACATTCCTTCCACAAGGAATTCTCTACTCCTCAAAGATGGGATAGATACTCTCCTCGTATTTCAATTTTTCTGTGTCCCCACTAGATATTACTTCCCTAACAAAAGAGATTATGTGATTTTTGAATGCTGCATTCCCAGAAATTTTGAACACTTCTTGGATGTAAATCATTAGTTTCGCTGTGGCTTTTGTAGAATTGTAGTCTTCTCTAGATGTCTTTTTTTATCTGAAAGTGCTTAATAAAGGTTTAATTTTAGAATAGTTGTAGACCTACAGAAATGTTGGGAAAATAGTACAGGCAGTTTGCTTATATCCGCAACTCAGTCGTGACAATTATTATCATCTTACATTAGTATGTTATAATCATCATGATTAATGGACCAAAAATGATACATTATTATTGACTATAGTACATATATTATTTAGATTCCTTCATATTTTACCTTACGTCACTTATTGATTACACAATTTCATTGAGAATGCCATATTACATTCTGTGGCTATATCTTCTTAGGCTGCTATAGACTGAGTTTTTCAGAATTTCCTTGCTTTTGATGACCTTGACAATTTTGACGACAACTCTTCAAGTACTTTATAGAATTCCCTAGGTTTGTGGCTTGTCTGATGTTTTTCTTATAATTACTTTGAGGTTATACTTTTGGGGAAGGAAGATTATAGAGGTAAAGTGCCACTCTTATCACATCATATCAAGGGTACATGCTAGCAACATGGCTTATCACTGTTGATGTTAACCTTGATCACCTGGCTGAGGTAAGGTTTGCCATGTTTCTCCACTGGAAAGTCCCTCTTCCTTCCATGCTACACTATTTAGAAGAAATTCACTATGCACAGCAAACACTTATGGAGCTTGTTTTTATTTTAGATTCCTCAGGGATTTTCACATAGTCATGTAATCATGAATAAAACCAATATTAATTTTCCTTTCCAGTTTTTATAACTTTCATTTCTTTTTCTTATCTCTTTCCACTCAGTGGGCCTTCCAGTACAATGCTGACTAGGAGTAGTGAGAGAGGACATCCATTTTATTTTATTTTTTTATTTTGTTTTATTTTATTTTATTTTATTTATCGTATTTTATCTTATTTTATCTTACTTTATCTATCTTATTTTATCTTATTTTATCTTATTTTATTTTATTTTATCTTATTTTGAGACGGAGTTTTGCTCTTGTTGCCCATGTTGGGCTGGAGTGCAATGGTGCAATCTCGGCTCACTGTAAACTCCGCCTCTCGGGTTCAAGTGATTCTCCTGTCTCAGCCTCCAGAGTAGCTAGGATTACAGGCATGCACCACCACACCTGGCTAATTTTTGTATTTTTAGTAGAGATGGAGCTTCACCACGTTAGCCAGGCTGGTCTCAAACTCCTGATGTCAGGTGATCAACCTGCCTCAGTCTCCCAAAGTGCTGTGATAACAGGCGTGAGCCACCAAGCCGGCCCCTTGACCTATTCTTGATCTTAGAGAAAAACAGCTTGGTCTGTCACCATTAAGTACAACATTAGGTATAAGTATCCATAAATCTTTATTAGATTAAGAAAATTCTCTACCAATTCTAATATTGTGCAATACTTTATCATGTAGGGGAATTGAGTTTTGTCAACTGCTTTTTCTGCGTCTATTGATAGGATCTTTCTATTTTCTTATTTATTCTGCTAAGATGATGAGTTACATTGACTGACCTATGAATGTTTGATCAGCATTCTTTGTTGGAATGAAATCCATGTAGTCATGATGTATTATCCTTTTTAGGTATTGCTTGATTAAATTGATAAGATTTGCTATGGATTTTGGTGTTTAGTTTCACAAAGATTATGCCCTGTGGTTTCCTTTCTCATAATGTCTTTAACTTTTTTGGTATTAGTGTAATGCTGGCCTCATGCATGTTCACATTCCACTGCTAAGTGCATACATATTTAGAGTTGCTATGTCTTCTTGAAGAATGGTACTGCCCCTCTTACTCTCTGATAATTTTCCTTATTCTGAAGTCTGCTTTTCTGAAATTAATATAGCTAGTGTCATCTTTCTTTTGAATAATGTTAGGAAGGTATATTTTCTCTTCCTCTTTACTTTTAACCTACCTGAACCATTATATTTAAAGTGGTTTTCTTATACACGACAAAATAATTGACTCTTTTTTTCATAATCCATTCTGACTCTTTTTTTCAAAACCCATTCTGAGAATCTCTCTTGGTATTTCGTATGATTTCACCATTCACATTTAAAATAATTTCTACTATTATTTGATTACTATTTATGTGCTTTGTAACTATTTCCTTTTTAAGTCAAGGAATAAAAGAATGGACACTTGATAGCAAGAGTGGCCTGTTTGTTTCTGTTTTCTGTTCATTACATTTGTAAGTTTCTTTTTTCCATTTCTACTTTTAACTAAATATTTTATCTTTTCATTTTTCTTGTCTCTTAGATTATCATTTAAGTTTAGAAAACTCAGTGGTTACTGTATTGTTTAAAATATAGTGTGAAAATAAGTACACGCACTTCCGAATAATGCTATGTGACTTCACGTGTACTATGAGAAATTTATGACAAAGCATTCCCAGTTCTTCTCTCTCTTTCCTTGTGATATTATTATCATTTATTTATTTATTTTTATGCTATTCTGATTCAGTACATTGCATTTATTTATGTGTTTATACAAATAGTTTTCTTTCAGATCAATTAAGAATAAGAAAAATAAAATATATTATTTTACTTATTTTATTACATCTTTAATACTCGCTTTTTCTTTATGTATTGCCAAGTTTCTGACTTATTTCATTATTCTTCTGCCTGAAGCAACTCTTTTCATATTTCTTGCATAACAGGAAATCTGAGAGAATCATAACACTTCAGTTTTTAGTTATCTGAGAAAGTCTTATTTCTACATTTATGAAGAATAATTTTACTGAATATACAACTCTAGGTTGATCAATTCTTTGTATTTTTCTTTCAACACCTTGAAGATTCCATTCAACTCTTTTTTTCCCTGTAGAGCTTCTGATTTTTTTTACCTGAATTTACAGTAGCACATCTAATATAATTTTTACCCGTGTTTTTGGATAGGTAAGCTTCTCTCCTCTTCTTGTTTAGATTCTGTCAAGATCCTTTTGTTGTTGTTCATTATTTTCTAAATTTTAAATATGATATGTATAAATGTTTTGATTTTGTTTTTGGAATTTATGCTTCTCAGTGTTCTCTGAGCTTCCTGGATCTCTGGTCTGGTGTCTGTCAATATTTGTGGACAGTTTTCAGACATCATTACTTCCAATATTTCTTCTCAGTGTTTTTCTTTTTCTTTCACTGTGGCATTCATATTAGGTGTTTGCTATACCTTTTGATATTTTTCCATAGTTCTTGGAGGTTTTATTCTGTTTTTGTTTAAAACAAATATTTGCAATAGAGTTTGAGAAGTTTATGTTGACCTATGTTCAAGTTCATTAATTTTTTCCTCAGCAGTGTCCAGTCTACTGATAAGCCTGTTGGAAGCATTGTTCTATGTTACCACAGTTTTGATTTTTAGCATTCCCTTCTGACACTTTCTTAGAGATTCCATCTTTCCTAACTTTACCCATCAGTTACTGCGTGTTGTCTAATTCTTCCCTTTAACATATTAATCAGTCATAGTTCATTTAATATCCTTGTGCGAGAATTTCAACATATGTGTCAAATCTCAGCCTGGTTTCGATGATTGCATTGTCTCTTGTCATGGCTTGTATTTTTTTCCACAGCTGGATATGTTGTGTTAAGTTACAGAAACTCAGACAAATAGGCCTTTACTGTGAGGACTTATGTTAGTCTGAGTACAAATTGTGGTCTCTTTTTGATGTAACTATGGGCACCAGAGCCTTTAAATTCCTCCAGTGTCTTTGATTTTGATATACCCTCTTGAATCTAAGTCTTGCAGCTCTTTCAGTTACAGTCCACTGCTCTTATTCTGGATACCTGTTGGTGTGATAAGATAGGGGAGATGGGAAACATTCTATCATCCTCCAAGTAAATCTCAGTCTTTTAGTAGACCTATTTACTAAAAGATTGTGGCCTTCACAAATATTTCCCCATGGTTGTAACTTTTTGCCCCCCATGACCAGTCAGCATTGCATATCTTTTTCCTTGAGGCCCTATCTGCTGTTATGCTGATTTCAGTTTTGTGTAATTTTGTGTTTCCTATTAAGTGTCATAAGAAGGCTGGAAAAGACTGGAGTGATGAGTTATTCTTTTCTTCCAGTTGGGATAAAATTTTAGAATTGTACTCTGACAAAGCCCTTTCCTCTGGATAGTAGCTCTTTTTTATGGAGAAGGCACTGAGCTTATTTCACAAAAGTTATGCTTCCTCTCTGCCTGCTAGGATTGTGGGGGGGATTTTATCAGATCCTTGGAATGGGAACCTGGTGAGGTTACTAGAGGAAAAGTCCATGCAAGTGAGAATACCTGTGTAAGACTGCAGTCCTAAAGAGTTACTCTGCCTCACACTATTCCACTCATAGCCTCTAACAATTCTTCAAAACTTCCATCTCAGTGTCCCAATCAACCTATGGCTCCAGTGGCTTCTCTTCCAGATATGCTGCTCTCTCTTCAAGTACCTCTCTGGATGCTCATGATTTGATGGGTGCAAGAAATCATTAATTTTTGGTTTGCCCATTTTTTGTGTTTGTTTGTTTTTGGTAAAGACAGAGGTGACAACTTCTGTGCTGATACTGGATATATCTTATATTTCTTTTTGAAAGGAGAAAAACTCCCATTTTTTTAACTAATATCTGGTTCATGTTTGTAATCTAGAGCCAAACTGTCCTTATAAACAATGACAGATCTTTGACTAACAGACATGGGGCTGCTTGTAGGTGATGCCATGTTTTTTTCCTGATAGAGAGTGGTCAAAGTTGGGGCAGAGGTTAAGAAGTTTTTGTAATTTGTATAAAGTACACAGCTATTTATAGTTTTATTATGGTTCTAGGAATACACAGGGTGGAGACTTTTTTTTCATTTTTCAACTCCATCAGATGTTGCTTCTCTGATCTTTTCTTTGATTTCCCCTTTGATTTCAGAATTAACTGTCTTGCCATCATTAGAGGGTTTCATAGAAGTGCTGAGGAATAAGAAATTAACTATCTCCCTTGATTTCCAGAAATGGTTCTTCAATTAAAATAATGTAAGAATCATGCTATAAAAAATTAGAAGTGTTCACTTCTCCACATCCTTCTTCACTTATTAAATATTGTTTATTTAGTTAACTTCAAAGTTATTAATGCATTCAAATACCAACATTGCATGCACTAATGTGCTTAGGTTGAGTGCAATGACTTTCTTTTGCTAAGAGTTAAAAAAATACTTATAGCACTGTATGTCAATATTATGAAATATAAAATTGAAAAAACTATTGAATATAAAATTGAATAAAATATAGCTACATGAAGGGAAATAGAAGGATGAAGGCCAAAATAATCTGTTTTATAAATAATTCAAAATTTGACAAATATATGCAATATCTTTTCTACATCCTGAAAACTAGAATATTGTCAAAATATTTATTTTTGCGTCCTGGGATTATGTGCTTTAGACCATACTGTATCATAAAGATCATTTATAAACTGTAGAACATGTGAGGATATGAATTCTAATCATACGTTTACTGTTTGTCATCAATTACATCTCCAAAAAATGTATGTGCTCTGTTAATTTTCGTACGTATTTTGTTTTCTCCTCATAATAGCATTGGGAGAGAAGTAATATTATTATCATAATGTTATAGATGGAAAAACTGATACATGAATTTTGAACATGTTAACAATTACTCTTCTAGTAAATGATAAAGTATAATTATATTTAATAATTGGCATGATTGAAATCCATATTCTCATCTTCTCAGCACTCAGAATGGAGGCCAAATGTCTGTCATTTTAGTAAAGTAAATGACTTTAACCCATCTACATAAAGAAAAAAATGTTTTTAGACTGGGTCAAAAAGCAAATCTCAAATTAATGTTTTATATTAAGAATTAGGCCTTCTTTTTATTTTTGGCTTAGCTCAGTCACTGCTTTAGTTATATGCTAAGTGTTGATTCCTGCTAATGTTTTACTTTTATTTTTCTTAATATTAGACAAGAAAGAATTTGACCCAAACAGTATTAAATGTTATAAAGCAGTAAATATTAAAATTCACATATTTTTGATTCCAGTTATTAAAATGACACACTCCAAACTTTGCAAGTAACACTGAAGAACAAATAGGTATAAAATATATGCCTCAAATATCACAGCAGCAAATTTTGTAAAGCAGAGACTGTAGAAGATACAAGGAAAATTAGAGATATTTTAATATTAGGTTGGTTGTGGTGGTTTACACCTATAATCTCAGCACTTTGGGAGACCGAGGTGGGATAACTGCTTGAGCCCAAAAGCTTGAGACCAGTCCAGGCAACAAAGTGAGACTTTGTTTCTAAAAAAAAAAAATTAATTAGCCAGCTGTGGTGGTGTGCTCCTGTATTCCCAGCTACTCAGAAGTCTGAGGTGGGAGGATAGCTTGGGCCCAGGGAGTTGAGGCTGCAGTGAGCCATGATTGTGCCACTGTATTCCAGCCTGGGTAACAGAGTGAGATGCTATCTCAAAAACAAACAAACAAACAAACAAAAAACAAACAAAAAAAACCCAGAAAAGTAAAGGCAACATATTAATATTAGAAGGCAATTAATTATTTACCTCCCTAATTAAGAAAGATGAAGTAGCCAAAAATAATGAAGGTTTAATAATCAAACTTTGAAACATGAAACATTGAGAATACAACTTTCTGCTAACTATACCTTGAATACTTATGAAAATTACTATATATTAAAATAATTGAATGCCTCGATATTTTCTAAATTATGAAAAGTGCAGATATAATTCTGATCTTAATGTATTATACCTGGAAATTAATGATAATATAAGGAAACTAGCTTTTTTCCCCCTTCTTCAACAAAGTTTTATTGTGGCAACACAGCCAGGGCTTAGAGCTGTTTCTAGAGTTCCCTTTTCTTGTATGTTTCTGTGTAACATCTAGCCAGAAATGGAACTTTCATAAAATTTGAAAGGGGGGAATGAAAAAGGAGCCAGTATTATCACAAGGTTATGATAGCCTGACAAGGTCAGAGGCTTTACTCTGCTACAGGTCTAATTAGGCTTCTGGACTGCTGATCCTTCTGATTAACAGCCCTACCCACCCTACCCTTCCAATTGGTGCTGTACACTAATCTATGCAGGAGCTACACCAAAGACACAGCTCTCCAAGAATTGCCAGCTCATATTAGTTTTGTCACAATTGTCTATTTTGTGGTCCCATTTGGGCAGCTGGCCATGCCTGGTTTTTCACATTTTTCCTTAAGCTCCAACTTTTCTTTCTGTACTACTGACTTAGGATAACTGATTGCTTACTTTTTACTTGATTCTCTCATTTATTTTTCAGATTTTTATTTCCAATTTTTAAATAAATTCTAAAATATACCTTTTATTTCCATAATTCTTATCATGGATCTAGAATTCTTATCGTGGCTCTGTTTGTCTGACAGAACTCTGGACCATACGCAAAAGAAAATTGCCTACTTTCTCTTAAAAACAAATATCAAAACAAAACACAAATCAAAATAGAAGGTATACCTATATTTATATGTGACAAAATAGACAACTTAAAGACTGTAAAAAGAGACAAGGTCACTATATAATGATAAAGGTTTCAATTCAACAAGAGGATTCAACAATTATATATAATCTATGCACCCAACACCAGAGCACCCAGCTATATAAAGCAAACACTAATAGATCTGAAGAGGGAGATAGAGTAACTGCAACTCAATAATCGTAGGGCACTTTAACATCCCACTCTCAGTAATGAAGAGGTCACTCAGACAGAAAATCAAAAAAGAAACATCAAAGTGAAACTATACTGTAGCCCAAATGGACTTAACTGATTTTACAGAACATTTCACCCAATTGCTATAGAATACATTCCATCTACACATGGAACATTCTCTGGAATAGAGCATATCTTAGGCCAAAAAAACAAGGCTTAATAAATTCAAAAAAGTAGAAACTATGTCAAGTATCTTTTCTGATCACAATAGAATAAAACTAGAAATTAATAACAACAGGTCCTGGAAACAATAGAAATATGAGGAAATTAAACAACATGTAATTTAATGACCAATGAGTCAATGAAGATACTGAGAAGATTATTTTAAAATGTATTGAAACAAATGAAAATGGAAACAAAACTTACCAAAATCTATGGGATATGGCAAAAGCTGTGCTAAGAGAGAAGTTTTAACAATAAATGCCTACATCAAAAAAGTAGAAAGACGTCAAATAAACAACATAATGATGCATCTCAAGGAACTTACCCAGAAACATACGGGAAAAGGGAATTCTGGAACTAGAAAAATAAGAACAAACCATATCCAAAACTAGTAGAAGAAAAAAGTAATAAATATTAGGGTATAAATAAATAAAATTGAGACAAAAAATACAACATATCAACAAAATTAAAACTTGCTTCTTTGATATGACAAACAAAACAGGAAAACCTTTAGCCAGACTAAGAAAAAAAAAAAGAAAACCCAAATAAATAAAATCAGAAACAAAAAGGAGATATCACAGTCAAAACGATAGAAATACAAAGAATCATTAAAGATTTATGGATGACCATATGCCAACACACTAGAAAACTCATTAGGAATGGTTAAATTTCTGAACACATACCACCTACCAACATAGAGCCATGAAGAAATAGAAAACCTGAACAAACCAATAATGAGTAATGAAATCAAAGCCATAATAAAAAGTCTCCCATCAAAGAAAAGCCCAAAATATGATGGCTTTACTGCTGAATTCCACTAAACATAGTAAAAAGAACGAATATCAATTCTACTAAAACTCTCCAAAAAAAACTGAAAAGGAAGAAATATGTTCAAACTCATTCTACAAGGCTATTATCCTGATACCAAAACCAGATGAGGACACAGCACCAAAAAAAAAAAAAAAAAAAGAAAAGAAAAAGAAAATAATAGGCTAATATAATTTATAAACATAGATCCAACAATTGCCAATAAAATACTAGCAAACCGAATCCAACAGCACATTAAAAATATCAGTCACCATGAATAAGTGTGATTAATCCCAGGGAAACAAGGATGATTAAACATACACAAATCAATAAATGTGATATATCACAATAACAGAAACAAGAAGAAACATCATATGATTATTTCAATAGATATTTAAAAAGCATTTGAAAAAAATTCAACATCCATTTATGATGAAAATTCTTATCAAACTGAGTATAGAAGGAACATATCTCAAAATAATAAAGGCCATATAGGACAAACCCACAATGAACATCATACTAAATGGGGAAAAATTGAGAGTCTTTCCTCTAAAATCTGAAACAAAAAAAGATGTCCATTTTCACCAGTTTATTCAACATAATACTGGAAATCTTGGCAAGAGCAATTAGGCAAGATAAAAGAAATAAAGGGTATCCATATTGGAAAAGAAGAAGTCAAATTAGCCTTATTCACGGATGACATGATTTTATATTTGGAAAAACACAGTCTCTACAAAAAAAACCTCTTAGAACTGATGAATGCATTCAGTAAGGTTGATGGATACAAAATCAACATGCAAACATCAGTAGAATTTATGCACACCAAGTGTGAACTATCTGAAAAAGAAACTGAGGAAGTAGTCTCATTTACAAAAGCTACAAAGGACATAAACTGCCTAGAAATTAATTTAAACAAGGAAATGAAAGATATACACAAGGAAAACTGAAGAAATACTGATGAAAAAAATTGATCAGGAACCAGAAAATAAAAAGCTATTGAATGCCCATAGATTGGAAGAATTATTATTGTTAAAATGTCAATAACGACCTAAAACAATGTGCAGATTCAATGCAATCTCTACCAAAACATCAATGGCATTGATCACAGAATTTTTTTTTAAGAAGTTAACATTTATATGAAACCACAAAAGACCCCAAATAGCCAAAGGAATCCTAAGCAAAAAATCAAGAACAAAAACAAAAACAAAAAAAGCTAGAGGCATCATACCATGTGATTCAAAATACACAACAAACAAAGCTATAGTAATCTAATCAGTATGGTACTGCCATAAAAACACACATAAACCAGTGAAACAGAGTCAGGAACCCAGATATAAATGAATTCACTTACAACTAACTTTTATTTTCAACAAAGGTGCCAATAACAGACAATGGAGAAAGGGGAGCCTTTTCAATAAATTGTGCTGGGGAAACTGCATAACCATATAGAGCAGAATAAAACTAAACTGCTACCTCTCCTATATACAAATACCAAATCAAAGTGGATTAAAGACATAAATCTAAGAAGTAAACCTATGAGACTATTAGAAAATAAAACATTTTTTGTGGGGGAAATTCTGGGACATGCTCCAGGACATTGGTCTGGGCAAATATTTTTTGTATAAGGCCAGAAAAGCACAAGCAACAAAACAAAAAATAGACAAATGAGATTACATCAAGCTAAAAAGCTACAGCACAGCAAAAGAAACAATCGACAAAGTGAAGAGACAGCACACAGAATGGGAAAAAAAATGTTTGCAAACTATCCATCTGACAAAGGATTAAGAACCAGAATATATTAGAAGCTCAAACAACTCTATGGTGAAAAAATACTTTTATTTTTAAATGGAAAAAAGATATAAATACACATTTTTTTGAAAGAAGACATACAAATGGCTAACAGATATAAAAAAAAAATGCTCAACTTGACTAACCATCAGAGAAATGCATATCAAAACCACAGGGAAGCCAGACTCAGTGACTCCACACCTGTAATCTCAGCATTTTGGGAGACCCAAGAGGGAGGATCACATGAGGCCAGGAGTTGGAGACTAGGTCTCTATGAAAATAAAAATAAAAAACATTAGCTGTATGTGGTAGCACATACCTGTAACCCCAGCTACTTGAGAGGCTGAGTTGGAATGGTGGCTTGAGCCCAGGAGTTCAAGTCTGCAGTGAGCTGTATTATGCCACTGCACTCTAGCCTGGGTGACAGAGTGAAATCCTGTCTCTAAAACAAACGAACAAGCAAACAAACCACAGGGAGATATTATCTCACCACAATTAATATGACTTTTATCAAAAAGAGAATGATGAAATTCTCACAAGGATGTGAAGAATGAGGAAACCTCATGCACTTTTGGTAACAACATAAATAAGTAAAGCCACTATGAAAAATAATATAGAGGTCCTTCATAAAACTAAAACTAGAACTACTATATGATCCAGCAGTTCCACTACTGGTTATATATCCAAAATAAAAGGAAATCAATATATGAAACAGAAAGCTGCGCTACCACATGTGCACACTTCACAATAGCTGAAACAGGAAATCAACTTAAGTGTCCATCAATGGATGAGTGTATAACAATAGTGTTATATATACACAACAGAATAATATTTAGATATATAAAAGAATGAAATCCTATCATCTGTGACAACAAGGATGAGCCTAGAGGACATTATGTTAAGTGAAATAAGCCAAGCACAGAAGGACAAATATTGCATGTTGTCACTCATATGTGGGAGCTAAAAAAGTGGATTTTTTGAAGATAGAGTAGATTGCTGATTACCAAAGACTGGGAAAGAGAAGAGGGCTGGGGGAAGGGGATGAAGAGAGGTTGATTAATGGTTACAAACATACAATTAGAAGACATATAAGACCTAGCATTCATCAGATCAATAGAGTGACTATAGTTAACAATAAGTTCTTATACATTTCAAAATAGCTAAAAGAGAATAATTTAAGTGTTCCTAGTATAAAGAGAAAAAATATTTAAGGTGATGGATATCCCAAATACCCATATTTGATCTTTTTTACACATTACATGAATTGTCAAAATATCACATGTATCCCCAAAATATGTATCACTATGAAAAACAAATAAAGCAAAACACAATAAAAATAATAATGAAAACACTACTTACGAAAACCTACAAGATATTGCTAAAGCAGTATTTAGAGAAAATATTATAACTTCGATCATTTCCGTAGGAAAAAAACCTTAAAAATTAACAATTCATGAAATTCCAGTAAGGGAAAATATGTTTAAAAGAAACACAGGAGGAATGAGGAGTTGATAAAGATAATAATGATTTAATAAATAAAAACATAATCATAGAAATAATTTATCAACATATTGAATAATATTATAGTACATTGTAATCAGTTGAATTGTGTTTCAGGGATAGAAAAGTGGCTAAATGTTAGTAAATCTCTCAATATAATCCATCATATATAATTATCCATGATATAATGATCATTTTTACGACAAAATAATACGATGTTCATAGAAGCCTTCTTTATGCAGAGGTCTTAAGTGAATGTAAGCTTAAGAAGACATGAATCATTGGGTATTAAAAAAAGATACAGGGTCATTACAACCCTGAAGGTACATGTGTTTCAGCAAAAGTAAGATGTACAGAACTCTTATAGAGCAGTTCAGAAATGATGACACTTCGGCCTTTTATATGGAAAAATGTCCATGTAGGGACAAGTCAAATGTGTGTGTTTTGTGAGTGTGTGTGTTTTATTAGTGTGTGTATCAGCATGTATGTATATGTGAGCATGTATGTGTACACATGTATATTTGAGTTTGTGTGAGTGTATGGATGGGTGTATAGGTGTACATGTTGGCCTGAGTGAGATCAAAATTTGAGGTTAAGGAACCCACAGGGAGAAACTAATGTATACTCAGGAACTGTTCTTGAAATTTTAAAGACTTTTTCCTGTTTAATATCTATAAGATATACATGAAAATGTTGTAATTTATGTCTATTTTACTGATAAGAAAACTAAGGCTCAAAAACTTTGAAGCACCTTAATCACATCCACAAAGAGGATAAGTACCAGAAAGATTTTGTCAAATTTAAAATTAGTAAAGCATTTTCATATTTGCATTCTTCAGAAATTACTTCTTGAATTGTATGGACAGATTGAGGTACACTTATTGAATTGGTTATAATTCAACCATTCAGTTTCAATAAAATGACTCAATTTTATCAACCTTTATATTAGCTAAGCACAGTTTTTGGGCAAACTATGTTAGTTAACATATCTTCACAAAATTTCTAGAAATATTTTTAATATCCTGTTTTAGAAATATAATTATGTTCTAAATATGCTGAAGTAAGAAATTTGCAAATTTCTTACTTCAGCATATTTAGAACATAATTATATTCAATAACATTTTTATGTCATTAAATATAATAAAAAAGATAATTCTGTGATTTTTTGATCCACTAACAATAACTGGTAAGTCAAACTAGTAATATACCTTTTCATTAGTCAGCAAGAAAACCTATTTTATATTTATTTATTTGACTTTTAACCTCACTACAGGGCCTCTTATTTCTTTCAAAGCAAAATTAAATTGCATTTCAGGTTGAATTATTTTATTTTTTATTCAGTATGTGAAAAATATCATCTTGAATTCTATGTAACTGCAGCCCTGTGAAAATATCTAAAATGCTATATTTGGAAAGAACAAGGATCAATTGTCACTAGAAGCAGTGTGGGTTTTATTTCATGACTTTTTAAATACAAAAAAAAAACGTATAAAGAATAATATAATAAACACCAATGGATTCACCAGAGAGTTTAAGTTATAATGTGTAATTTGACAGAATTTATATTAAATGAAATGTTAAGCACCTGGCAGACATTTAAAATGCACATTGATACTTAAAAACAATTGGTTCTTTTGCCTTTTTAACAAAAAAATGGAAATGGGATTTCACCCTCAGACTTGCATAGATCTTTTTTACACAAGAGACATATGGTTTTGTGTGCCAAGTGTCAAACTGACTCTTCTTGTCAATTTGGGAAATGACTATTTGAAAATTTACTATTGACCATCTGTTCTGCTGACAGAGTGGCAGGTGTTCCTATTTTGCTTTACCAAATCTTAATAATTTATTGAAGTTTAATGATACTCATGGAGATATAAAGATTGTTGTTTTGGTTCACTAGTTGCACAGCATAAATGTTTTCATAGGAAAGACCTACATGATTTAATTCTAATATAATTATCTGTCTTCAGTAGCCTTGTTTACATGTGGAAAAGTACAAGTAATCATTTTTAATGAATGCCTAATATAACCAGATTTTTTAGTTGGATACAAATTAGAAACGTTCCAGTTGATTTTTGTGTGAATATGTCTATAGCTTCTTTGCATCTATATTTGCATCTCTCAATATTTCTTAATTATTGTATTATTTTCTGATAACTTTATTACAATATGTTTGAAATGCTTATAGATGTAAACTGTCATGCAGGCAGTTCTCTGAAAAATGAGTAGACAAATAACAATGAATTCCCTTAAACACATAGTAGACTGAAGTGTTACTTAACCACCTATGTTATTTTCAGGCACTGAGTAATATGAAAATTTGCACTACTCTTTTTAAATTCATAATGAAAATTTAATTAAACCATGTAACAGCTAATAGTGTTACATACAATAGGATTTCTCACTATTCACAAAATAGGATTATAGTAATATTTCCAACCCTAAAAACTGGTCTTATTTTTAATAATTGCATTATTTTTATAGTTATATTGTTATTTTTGTTTGGATAAATGTAAAGGGTACAAGTGCAGTTTTATTACATAGATATATTGCATAGAGTCTAAAAAAAGAATATACCATGAGTATATACTTGATAGAAATATGATAATTCTCCTTCTCATATAAAAAATATATGTTCACTCTGGGTAGGGAAATACATTGGCTCTCCAAGAGAAATCTTCCATGCAGTTCAACTAAAAGTTCAAATAAAAGTTCAAATGTCTTTTATTTGACTCACAACAGTATCCTTTGGCTAAAGAACAAAAAAAAACTCACCCCTAAGGAAAGGCTAGATTATGTCCCCTCTCTGAACCTTGTGAATTGGTTGTTACAATGATCATAATGACAGCATTAACTATATTACCTAAGAAAGGGAGGATACAAATTATGTATAATATGCATAAATTAAGCCTTTATCTTTCTCAGCAATTGCTGTAATGTGAAATAAAGACAAAGATGAGATTACTATTCGTTTTTTCTTATGTAAGCCTTCTAACCTAAAGAATGTTGCAATACTGTTACATACTTATAAACTATCAAGGCCATATGGCAACAAAATGTTTTAAGATAAAACAAAACTTTCACATATAATGTCCAGAAAACTGGTTAACACAGTATGATTTGCCTTGTTTCTATATTAGTTTCTTGTTTATTTGTTTTTAATATTCACCAATCTTAAAATCAATTGGGAACCAGAGGCTGAATTTTTTATTCATTTATTATTATCTACAGTTCTCAGTACACATTAGGTAAATGGCACTGGCTTAGGGACTGGTGATTATATAACCTTTGATATACATGACTTTACACAAAACCGTGGTGGCCGAAGAATAAAGAGTAGCTACGATTTTTGAAAGGTGATGCATGCATAATGGATTTTAAAGAACATATGTATCTAATCTTGGATTTTTAAAAAATAACATTTTCTTACACAGTAAGAGATTAGCATTATGAATTCCCATATACTTAGCATTAAAAACTTATCATAGTTTGACTAGACTTGCTCTAGTTACCCGTCTTATTTTATATTTGCTAAAACATTTTAATCAACTCTCAAACATTATACCATTTTTGTCCTAGGTATTTTAATATTCATCTCTGAATCCTATGCCAATCTTCTTACATAATATTAATGAAATTAACAGTGTATTTGGGGGAGTTATCTAATCCCAATCCATAGTCAAATGACTACACTGTCAGAAAAAAAAAAAAAACATGTCTTTTCACCGAATTTTGTAAAAATCGGGTTCAAAACAATGCCAACATTGCATGTAGTCATTAGATTTCAAATGCCATTTAATATGCAGCAGCCCTTTTGCCCCTTTCTTATCCCATTATCTTTTAAAAGAAACTGGATTCATGATATAATACCCTAGGATCTGGATTAGTCTGTTGACTTCTTTGAAATGTTATTTCACTTGAATTTCTTTTCTAGTTTCGATATTTCTAGACAATTGAAAGTTATCTCCAATGACATGAATAGAATCATGCTCATTCTTTTTCTTTTAACAAAAATCCTTCAAGCCTGGGCTTCATATAGCAGCACATCAAGAGTTTTAAATGTCTGGTTTTCCCACTCTAGGGTTACCAAGACTGAAGACTATTTAGTGAGTCAGGTAGCAACTGCCTGATCTGTCCTTGGTAAAGCTCCACACTGATTTTTTCCCCCTAAGGATTTCGCCTACTCATGATCTTTCCTGAATAAAGCATTTCATTTAATTGGAATTTTTATTTCTCAAAAATCAACCCTCCAAATGGCTTGCAAAATTTCTGTATTAAGTTCCAGGGTAAGATTTCCTTTTACTCAACAATTTGAGATTATTATACTTAATGGTGAATGTCGATCTTTACCACATATTTTGTTTTATCAAGTAATTGAACATTTTACATCTGATATCTAGCTGGGATAGAGTAATTCCCAATCCTTAAATATGATAATTTTGATACTCTTCTCAAAACATAGACTTACTATCTTCTTCGATATACTATCCAAAATATTTACATGCCATTTTATTATTGACAAATCGCAGTCTTACAAATTGGACCCTAGACAACACTATTCTGGCAGTGGCTATTTTTATAATCTTGTGGATAAATCTGTAAGTAGTGATAAATATTGACCTTTTCTTTGCCTTTGATGCTCTGTACAGGAAAAATTTATCAACAATGCCACTTGAAATAAACAGATATTCATCCAACTGGGGTTTTCAAATATATTGTATGTCAATCTACAATAAAAATTAGGGACATTTATTAACTTATTCTTTAGGTCATTTAGCTAATATTTATCTAACTATTATTGTGTGCTAGGAACTGCTGATGAATAAGGCACAGTCACTTTCCTCAAGCTACTTGCAATAAAATGCGGTTGACTGACACATAAAAAGGCAATTTAATATGAGTGTGGTAAGTGTTATAGTAGGAGCAAGATAAGTTTCTGTTATAAACACCTAAAAGAAGGACGTTACCTAGCTTTAAGAAATAATGAATAGGGCCGGGCACGGTGCCTCACGCCTGTAATCCCAGCACTTCGGGAGGCTGAGGCGGGCGGTTCACGAAATCAGGAGATTGAGACCATCCTGGCTAACATGGTGAAACCTTGTCTCTACTAAAAATACAAAAAAATTGCCGGGCATGGTGGCAGGCGCCTGTATTCCCAGCTACTCGGGAGGCTGAGGCAGGAGAATGGCGTGAACCCGGGAGGCGGAGCTTGCGGTGAGCGGCGATCGCGCCACTGCACTCCAGCCTGGCGACAGAGCGAGACTCCGTCTCTACATAAATAAATAAATAAATAAATAAATAAATAAATAAATAAATAAATAATGTTATACAATGAGTTAAGTTATTAAATCATCTAGACATATATTTTGTGATGACCTTATTTGAAATGAAGCTCAAAGTGAAAGCGCATTTTACAATAGTGATTTACTAAGATTCTAGATATTATGTGATTTTTTTTTAATAGAACAGACATAATGTCTGCTGTGTGTAAACCCCAAGTATCTGTTTTGTTTGTTTATTTGTTTGTTTTCCATTGGGAGGGGTATCATACATTCTCAACTATCTTTATGGAGAGACTCATAACTCTTCCAAATGGTCTTTCCATGGTCTTCCCCCAAGTAAAAGTAGGTTGGCCTTTCATTTAAGCAAATACCTTGTCAGGCTGTTCCATGTATTGTATTAGAAGATCTCAACTTCACCTTATTTCAGTTTCCTCTCCTCATCTGCAGCTGATGATATTCACTACCTTGTAAAGTTATTTTAAGAATTAAACAGAAAAAAAAACCAAGGAAAGTGTTAGTACAGTGCTTTGTACAGAGTAACATTTCAATACAAATTATGTATTTATCATCATGTTGATTATTTGATTATTAAAGTTTGTGGCTCTGGTTATCTGCAAACAAAGAATTGTTATATTCTCTATGTATTTCCTTCAGAAAATATGGCTTCACATTCATTGCCACTTAAAATTAATTAGCTTGGCAGTAATCATATGTATGAAAGATTGGCTAATAATATCTAGTCAATTTATTTTTCTAGATAGGGACTGGCGCATGTGTTTTATCTCGGATGGAAGCTGAAACTATTTAGTACGGTCTGCCTCCTGCACTGTTGAGGAGGAGTCTGAGGCCACAATCAAGTTCAGAAGAAAAAAGAGAGAATAAGCAAAAAGCATGTCCCCTATGTGCCATTCTAACATCTAAATACTCTGAAATGAAGTCTTGTAATAAATCAGAAAAGAAAGGAACTACAAATTTGAGTTCCCTTATTTTGACACAGAAGAATTAGTTTTTGCTGAAGTTATCTATAAGCTGATGCCCTCTACACTAAGAAACAGGTATTTCCAGGAATAGTCCTAGATGACTCATTCTTGTATTTACTGGCAGAAAGTTTATAAGTACATTGTTCAGACATTTATACAACATCTAGCTTCACGAGAAGTGCAAGGAGAAAAATGTCTTTCTCTTCTTGTTGCCAGGAGCAACTGGGCTTATCCTGGGCAATTGGGTTGATGCTAAGAATCTTGTGAATGTTGATGACTCCCTTTTTATTTTTACTATTAGAAACTTTTGAGACTTTTTTTTTTGTTCCCATGCTAGCAAATGTATTGGGAGAGTTTTGCAGAATTATTTTTGTTTTGTAACTTCATTCTTGGCTTCACTTTTCTATTTCCTGTGCTTATTTTGCCTTTGTTTATTATTCTTTATTCATTTAATACTTATTTTATATCATTTTCTTGTGTGTGTATGTATGCATACATGTATATATGTGTGTGTATTCATACAGACAGACATATACATATATGCATATATAGACATTATATATAAATGTATCAACTTAATTTTCCCTGGAATAAGGCAGAGTTTGCCTAAAGAAGTACAAAATTAACAAATTTAAAATGCTTACTGCAGGCATTTTTCTTGTAGCATGGGTTTTTACAACTCTTTGAAAAATGTTTGAGTACCTATCATCTTCTAGACACTTTGGAAAATGCTCGGAAGCCCGCAGTGAACTAGTAAAGGGAAAATAATTGCTTTAAAAGACAATAGCAATTTAGAGGTAGTGTTGGAGGAAATAAAATAAACTTTGTAGGAATAACTCTAAGTGGCTTTGTTTTAGTTTTCATAACAATGGGTGCCAACTTGATAAAAATAGATATGTATAGCTGTGATAATGGTCCTCAAAAAATTAAAACACTAGAAAAGAAAAATAAGTTGCTTTTGTACAAAAGTCCATTAACCAACAGAGGCTTGTCGAAAGTTGTTTATTTTTGCATGGCCATATTAAGAAAACACTTTTGTTAGAGGAATTACTAAAAGTTGAATAACTTATCGTGGGTATGAAAGTTTCTGGGACTTAGTCTTTTATTTGGTTTTCTTGTTGAAACATTTTTAACACAATGTTTAATACAATGCTGTTTATTAAGAATGAAATTATCATATCAAATTGTGAGCGAAAGATCTATTAGTATGAAATACAATTACCCATTTTTGGGGAGTTGCTACTCAGTATGAAAATATTTAAGAAGGAAAAAGACTTAAATATTTAACATGCCAGTATTTGCTTTTCAGTTCAATGATGAATCACATTATTATACTTAGTGTGTTTGAGTCATTTTTTATTTTAATATTTAAATTATTTTTAGAATAATTTTAGATTTACTGGAAAATCACAGAAACAGTACAGCACATTCTCACAGACCTTTCATCCAGTTTCCTCTAATGTTGATACCTTATATAATCATAACACACTGTCAAAACAAATAAATTAACATTGGTATATCGTTATTAACTAAACTACAAACTTTATTGAGATTTCCACTAACACCATTTGTCCCATGATCCAACCCAATATATTGTATTCCATTTAGATTTGGACCATTTGGAGGAAGTAGAGTGAGCATTTGAAAAAATGGTATTTATGTCAACCAGACCTGGAGTTCAAGGTCAGTAATTGTATAATTTATACATTTGGTTATGTAGTTTAACTACACTGAAACTTCTTTTCTTCATTTTCAAAACAAATTGGTATAGTATGTAATATATTTTTCAAAGAGACATTGTAAGGATTTAATAAAATGAGTGATGTAAACTTTTTATTTACACAGTGCCTGACATGTAAACTCTAAATCTGTTCAATCCCTAGTGGAGTCTTAAGTTTTATTTTCACAAATTCAATTGTAAATTAAAAAGGACTTATAAAACAAAATGTTCTAAAATGGACCTGAATTATATGATTTTATTTTACTAAAAACAGAATAATCACATACGATGTGGAGAGTCACTTGGTGATTGTAATAACTTCATACTTACTGGGTTTGAAGATTGCTTCATGTGTCTGTTTGAGGGACAGTATTGCAAAACATAGGTGAAAGTCACTACCGAAGGAATGATCTAATAATGGTTAAAGTTAGAGAAATAATTCATTATTTGATCAAAATAACTATTTCACTTATAATTCTAATATAACAACTAAATGAAAAACCAGTCCTCATTTACCTGCAATATTACTAGCAATTTATTCAAAGATGACGTTACAAGTTGTAACTTAGATTTTGCACTAAAAATTGTTCTGTACCGTGAATTGTAAAATTGCTACTTTGAATAAGAATACATTTTCACCTTTCATAAAACTGATAGTTATTATTTCAGCATAGCTACCAATAAATCTAGTTCATTTTAAACTACTTATTTTTACTTATTTTGTTTTTTGCTTCATCACAATAATAACCTTTATTTTATTAAAATCAGTCAGACTGTAACAGATACATGAAATTTCATTATATTAGAACACATTCCTGCGTGATTTTCATAATGATCACAGCAATTTTTCTAGTTATTCCAAAAGATTGCTTGCTCTAGCATACTTACCAAAAGGAGCTGTTATTGCAATAAATCTGTTATATGTTCAGAATGACAATTAATGTGATTTGGAATAATGGGAGAAGAGAGTTAGTTATAAAAGATGCATTTTGAATAATGACTGCCTAACCAATATCGGGAAAAAGGGAGAAGAAATTGGTGAAAGAAGTATCTGGAATTATTGTTTTAGGAGGCAGTAAAACATGATAGTATAAAGAAATCATAAGAAAACCCCTATTTATCCTATATGCATTTAATTTTTCTCTTGATTACAATGTGAATATTAAAAACTATCATCTCTAGACTGAAGAAGGTAGATCATTTATTTTCCCTATATATCTTTATATTGTTTGAATTATTATTTTGTTATTATACTTTAAGTTCTAGGACACATGTGCACAACTTGCAGGTTTGTTACATATGTATACATGTGCCATGTTGGTGTGCTGCACCCATTAACTCTTCATTTATATTAGATATATCTCCTAATACTATCCCTCTCCCCTCCCCCCATCCCACAACAGGCCCCGGTGTGTGATGTTCCCCTTCCTGTGTCCAAGTGTTCTCATTGTTCAGTTCCCACCTATGAGTGAGAATATGCAGTGTTTGGATTTTTGTCCTTGCGATAGTTTGCTGAGAATGATGGTTTCCAGCTTCATCTATGTCCTTAAAAAGGACATGAACTCATCCTTTTTAATGGCTGCATACTATTCCATGGTGTATATGTGCCACATTTTCTTAATCCAGTCTATCATTGATGGACATTTGAATTGGTTCCAAGTCTTTGCTGTTGTGAACAGTGTCACAATAAACATATGTGTGCAAGTGTCTTTATAGCAGCATGATTTATAATTCTTTGGGTATATGCCCAGTAATGGGATGGCTGGGTCAAATGGTATTTCTAGTTCTAGATCCTTGAGGAATCGCCACACTGTCTTCCACAATGGTTGAACTAGTTTGCAGTCCCACCAACAGTGTAAAAGTATTCCTATTTCTCCACATCCTCTCCAGCACCTGTTGTTTCCTGATTTTTAATGATCACCATTCTAACTGGTGTGAGATGGTATCTCATTGTGGTTTTGATTTGCATTTCTCTGATGGCCAGTGATGATGAGCATTTTTTCATGTGTCTTTTGGCTGCATAAGTGTCTTCTTTTGAGAAGTGTCTGTTCATATCCTTTGCCCACTTTTTGATGGGTTTGTTTGTTTTTTTTTCTTCTAAATTTGTTTGAGTTCTTTGTAAATTCCATTGTCTCAGCCCAAAATCTCCTTAAGCTGATAAGCAACTTCAGCAAAGTCTCAGGATACAAAATCAATGTGCAAAAATCACAAGCATTCCTATACACCTATAACAGACAGAGAGCCAAATCATGAGTGAACTCCCATTCACAATTGCTTCAAAGAGAATAAAATACCTAGGAATCCAATTTACAAGGGATGTGAAGGACCTCTTCAAGGAGAACTACAAACCACTGCTCAATGAAATAAAAGAGGACACAAACAAATGGAAGAACATTCCATGCTCATGGATAGGAATCATCAATATCGTGAAAATGACTATATTGTTTGAATTATTAGTGTGATCAGTTGTTGCCTTTGTAAAGAAAAAATGTTAAAGTCATTCTCTTTTCAATAAACAGGAATTTGTGATCATCTATCTGAGATACTTTTAGAAAGATTTCTAGAATTAGGAAATGGCATGACATTATTTTTAAAGTCCCTTTTCTAATATAATATTTGAATGCTTTATTTTTCTGTAAAATAATAGCAGAAAGAATAAACCTTTCAATGGAAATCATCCAACATATTCTCACCAGCACCATACCAGATGCTGTGTGCTCAATGGTTACTAGGACAAATTCCCTGGCCCTCAATGTGTTCATAATATGGAAGAAAAGGATTATGACAGAATTACCTAAAGTATTATAACATATAGCCAGAATACAACGCATTCTGCAAATATTACTTGGCACTTTTAGCTTGTTAATACATAGCTACCAGAAATAAAGAACATATTAATCTCTTCAACTTCATTCATATATACATTTTTACTTTAGGCAAAATTATAGAATACTCAAAATTCTTTCAGATAAATTACAATTTATATTTAGAAATATAATCTGTAAAGAGACAAATAGGAAATGCAGAATTTGACTGTAGTATATTCACCAAAATATTTAAAGATTGCCAGAAACAATTGGAAAATGGTTAGCATCCAGTACAAGTTTTGGGAGAGCTTATCTAGATCTGGAATCTCCTCTGACCAGGCAAAGCCATTCATGCTCTGTGACTTGCACTTCAATGTCTTTCTCTAACCCTGTGTAAACACATCACTGAAGTGATGTACTAGTGAGGAATGTATCACTCTGGCTATATCCCCAAACCTAGCACAGTAACTAACACTGAGTATGCACTAAGTCAATATTTTATAATTGATTGATTAGTGAAACACTGAGTTATAGTTTGATACCACTAGCATTAACAATTTACCAGATGCCCAAATACACTTGCCCTGAATCTGAGCTAACTCACACAAACACTTGATTAAAGGATGTCTTCTTATTGGAATTCCTTCAAGGAGAAAAGTTTTTCACAACCATATAATCCATTAGCCAACTTTCTCCTTCAAGATAAATAATTAATTGAAATTATAGTTCATATATTGAGCATTTCTGAATTTAGTTGATATGAAGCAGATTTTAAAAGACCAATAATTATCTCCTTGCAAAGACTAAAGATCATTTTTGAGTCTGTGGAGTCAAGGACCACCGGTTATGTAAATGTTCTAGTACAGGGATTATTACTTTTCAGAGCCCTGATTCAGATACCAGCTTTATCACATCTAATAATTTTTAAGTCAATATCTATCTTGAGAACCAGAAGAAAGCTCTTGAAAGTGTTCTTAGGGAAAAAAATAGTGTGTTGGAACATACATGTTTGTGTGTGTGTGTGTGTGTGTGTGTGTTTGGAAAGGCTTTATAAACTCTTGATTGTCATCTACTGAAAATTATTAATGAGGTCATTTTGAAAATATTATCAGAAATAAGGCTAATTATTTTTAATTTGATGAATTTTCTTTCAAAGACAATAATGCTAATGATGTTATAATACATTGTAAGTGTAAGGTTTGTAAATTATCTTTCGTACTCAGAAACCAAACAGGCTAATATGAATAACTGAGAGTCAACATTTTCCATTTGCAAACCCTTCTCTTGCCAGCAGCCAACACCATCTCTAATGGTAAATCAACCAGAAACAACATTTGTAGGTTTTATTTATTGACATAATATATACAGAATAAATTAGCTTGAGACAGAAATAAGTTAATTTCAATGCATGTGAAATGTATGAATAACTGACATAGAAAGCAGAAGGATGGTTATCAGAGACTGGAAAAGGTAGTGGGGGACTCAGGGAGAGGTGGGGATGTTTAATGGGTATAAAAAATAGAAAGAATGAATAAGACCTACTATATGATAGCAAAACAGGATGACTATAGTCAATAGTGACTTAATGATATATATATATAAGTAACTAAAAGAATGTAATTGGATTGTTTGTAACACAAAGGACAAATGCCTGAGAAGATGAATACCCCATTCATTCTCCATGATGGAATTATTTCACATTGCATGCCTGTATCAAAACTTCTCATATACTCCATAAATATATACAACAACTATGTACCTCCAAAAATTAAAAATTATAAAACAAAATAAAATCAAAATAATTTGACCATAGAAAACTGTCGTGGGTTGAATTTTGCTCCCCTCCCCCACAAATTCATAATTTGATATTCTAACCTTCACTAGCTCAGAATGCAATTGTGTTTGGAGATAGGATGTATAAAGAGGTAATTAAAGTAAAATGAGGTCACATGGGTGTGTCTATTTCAATATGGCTGGTGTTCCTATAAGAAGAAAAAACTTAGCACCCAGATCCACAAGGGAAAGACTGTATGAAGATGAGGAGAGAAGACAAGCCAAGTAAAGAGGACTCAGAGATTCCAGAAAAATTCTTTTTCAAGTGAATACTCTATTAAATGATGATTATAAATATTAATGGAGGATTATTCCATTACTGGATTTGATCCATGTCGTCAGATGCTTTATGAAGCAGCCCAGATGTGTTTCTCTTGATGGGATATTTAAAAATTGTAAACAACTTTAAATTCCACTCCCCAAAGAGAGTGAGGAACCTGCATTTATTCAACAACCCCTGCTAAAATTCAGAAGAACATGGTGGACACTTCCCTTCATTCAGTGGATTCCTTTACAATGGTGAGATTTCCATTAGATACAATGCCCAGAAATACAAAAAAAAAAAAAAAAGAAAACAAAGAAAGGAAGGAAGAAAGAAGAAAGAAAGAGAGAGAGAGAGAGGGAGGGAGGGAGGGAGGGAGGAAGGAAGGGAGGAAGGAAGGAAGGAAAGAGAGAGGAAGGAAGGGAGGGAGGGAGGGAAGGAAGGAGGGAAGGAGAAAAGGAAAGAAAAGAGAGAAAGAAAGGTTTATTTGTCTTCAACCAAGCAAATATCTGCTTACATTCAAGGAAGAAGAAAAAAAATAAAATAGAGGTTGACTAGAAAAAAAAATGGCTAACCTTCTTGAATCTCAAAACCAATTTCTTCACTATTTCCTCATATATCTTTTCAGACAAAGGGGGAAAAGGGAGACTTTATCGGTTTGCATTTCTTGATTTTGTCATTTTGCATTTTAAACCTGCCCTCTGACTTATTTATAAATGTTTCTTGAATTATTTGTATCATTCTATTTGCCTTCAGCCTACTCACATTATTTCAAGGTTAGTCTCTCTGAATTCATTATTGTTTATGTTCAGGATAATCATTTTCATTTCCCAGATGTAGACAAAGAGTCTGTTCCATTTCTTAATGCCCATCAGTATCACATTTCTCCAAGGTTTTTTGGTAACTGCTAGGGAGATTGAAAATAGCTACGATTATATTCTTCTCTAACCCTTAATTGCTTAAGAAAACAGCTTCAATTATGAAAACATTTCAGTTTCTCTGGATTCCCTTCAAGGAGCATGTCCAAAGACAACTTTATGCATTTTCCATATGGGTTGAAAATCTACATTTATGAATTGATTTAACAGTTATTCACTGAATACCAATTTTTGAATCAAGTAGGGGTACAGAAAGATCCTTGGAGTTTCTGCCGTCAAAGAACAAAAACAATAGAAAGACAACCACAATCTGTCAGATAGGATTTAAAGTGGTGTGCAATTTTAAATTGTATGCCACACTATTGAAATGAGGAAATAACCTTGCCTCAGTGGTCTCTCTAACGTTTTGTTGTTAATATCATGAGTATGCATAATGTAGCCTGATTTTCAAAGCATTTGAAATCTTCTTGATTTTCAAAGCATTTACAGCATATGTACCCTGGTTTTTCTACAGTTGCTAGTTTTATAATAAAAACGATTTATTTTCATCATTAAAAAATGAAGAATATAATGCCTGACTTGTAGATTTTATTAGACATAAATGATATATGGGTGTTTATGTATACGCACACATATATGTGTATATGTATACATATTTGTGTATATATGTATACAAAATACACATATATGTGTGTATATGTATATAACATACACACACACATATATACATACACAAATATATGTGTATATTTTTTTCTGGAAAGTTAGTTATACACACACACACACACAGACACACACAAACACAGTGATGCTCTGGTAAATGTCTAACAACTAGCTTTCCAGAAAAAAAAAAAAAAAGCTGTGATCTGTAGTATTGCTGATTTCCATGGTATAAGGACTCCCAACATGGTTGATTTTAAGCTACTAATGTGACCTCTACCAGCTCACAAAATCTCTGAAAATTAACAATTGGATGTGCGATCAGTACAAGCCAGTTTTGGCACGTCATATACTATGATCTAACCACATACTATAGCACTGCGGATACACTAAATGTTTGATAACGGTAGTTTTTATTCATGACTGAACTATGCAAATGTATAGGAAGAATAAATATGTTAAATGTTATGTTGGCAGGGCATGGTGGCTCACGCCTATAATCCCAGCAATTTGGGAGGCCAAGGTGGGCTGATCACTTGAAGCTAAGAGTTCAAAAGCAGCCGGGCTAACATGGGGAAAGCCTGTCTCTGCTAAAAATAGAAAAATTACACTAGCTGTGGTGGCACATGCCTGTAATCGAAGCTACTCAGGAGGCTGAAGCATGAGAATTGCTTGAGTCTAGGAGGCAGAGGTTGCAGTGAGCTAATACCATGCTGCTGCACTCTAGCCTGGATGACACAAAAAGATTGTCTCAAACACAAAATACATAAATGAATAAAAGAAAACTTAAGTGATCTTTGCTTATTAATTAATGTGAGATTAGAGATTCATTTATAGTCACTCCCTTTGATGTTTCCTTCTAACAGCAAAGGTAGGAGTGGGTTAGAGAACATTAAAAGGCAATATCTTTTAAATAATCAAATATAATGTGACAATGTTCTCAAACTTTGAAGGGTGCAAAATTCATAGATAAATACTAAATAATAGATGTACTTATTTTTAGGTAGGATGCGCAGCCAAAATATAATACATTCAGCCAAGTTTTTGTTTATTTGTTTGTATTTGCCCTGAAATCTTATACTCTAATTACCCCTTTTTAAGGGCCAGAAGGAAAAGGGATGGGTAGAGCCATTTCTCAGCATTGTCAGTTATATGAAGTTTATTGTACAGAGTCATAAAAAACAGTGGACATTTGGGTTCATGTTTAAGCAGATACAAAATAGCAGTAAAGGATTTCATGTATGAAGCAGGCTGTGTTAGAGACAGGATTTATTTCAGAAAAGCTGACCCCTAAGAAAGGAAAACTATATCTTATAGGAAAAGCAAACAAATTATTTAATTTGGGGACTTTGTTTTCCCTAAAAATAAAATTTGAAAATAGCCTAAACTGATAGAAGCAAACATGCCCTGTGGAGAAAATTGTATTATTATCTGTTCAAGATACACTTGTGTATTTATAAACACGTGGAATGAGGTCAAGAGGTTTCTGCCAACAGGGAGCCAGTTTAGTTTCCAAGACATAAACTTTTTCAGTTAGTTACAATAGGAGCAGAGGTTACCAATTTAAACTTTCTATTGTATAGAAAAAGTCAATTCTAAATCATGTAGTGCATTGAGCAGAGAACCATTCAAACGTAGCAGGGCAGCAGGAAAGAAATCACGTATTGCTTAGTTCTCGGGATATAGATTTCCTCCTCCCGAAAATATTCCCTGATGTTTCTAGTTAGCATTAGGTGACCCTTCTCTCTGGGCCCATAAAATCCTGAATTACTCAAAATGCATTTATTAAACTTTATCAAAATTAACTTTTAAGTGGTCTCTATCGTGCATTTGGCTGAATTCCTGAAAACAGTAAGGCTGCTTGTCTTGGGAGTAGGAATGGGAGTTGTTTATATCCAAGAGTTGAGTGGATAGGTCAGTAAGTCATAAAATTATGTTCTCCTCCCTTCCCATATTTCCTTGTAGTGTTCATCAGCTTCCACTTTATAGATATGTGCAGCCACTAAGGCTCATACCTGAGGGGTAAGATCAATGTAGCACAAATTTCTATCAGGACAAGGAATTGATGCAACAGGTACTTCTCTTAAGCATTCATTTCCACATTGCCTTCTCCTGAAAATTAGAGCTCACAGATTAAAACTTAAGGGGTTTGTCTACTGTACTGGTGCTTCTTCCTCATGCTCTAAAGACAGAACCTATTGTTTTAATCCATTCGCACAGCCATGAAAAAAATCTGTGACTGGATAATTTATATTGAATAGAAATTTATTTCTCACAGTTCACTCAGCTGGGAAGTCCAAGATCAAGGCACCGGCAGGTCCAGTTGGCTGATGAAGGCTGCTCTTTGTTTCTAAGATGGTGTTTTTTTGTTGCATTGTCTGAATAACACAGGGTCCTCATGTGGCAGAAGAACAGAAGAGAGTGAATTAAACACTGTGTATTCACTGACCTCTTTTATAAAGATTTTAATCCCATTCAGGAGAGAGGAGCCCTCATGGCTTAATCAGCTCTTAAAGGCCCCACCTCTTAATATTATCATGTTAAACATTATATTTCAACGCTTGAATTTTGTAGGGATACATTCAAACCATAGCGCCTATCCAGAGGTCTTCTGTGGTAGATTAATTAGCAGTGTATCTTGGATGCCTGGGATACACTGAGAGACAATGCTTACATACTTCTTATGTCACTAATGGGCCAAAGGCTGGACTAGAATCTATCCATTAGCCATTGCATGACATTTATTATTTACAGAGTAACTGATGGTGAAAGAAATGTGAGCCCACAAGCTAAGCTCCTAGATATCTCTAAAGTACAACTGATGCATGAGAAACACAACATGCTAACATTTAACTAATGATAAAGATAATGAAAGAGATAAAACACAAACTTAAGTATATCTGATGTATAAGATAGAGATGTAAGACAAGATATTCACATGTAACAAGAACAATAATATTTTAAAAAGCCAGGTGGAAATGTGAAGTCTGAAAAATATAATACTTAAAATAAAATGGTTTTAAAAGCTCAATAAGTGGATTGATATTGGAGAACGCATAGTTTTTCTGGAATATTCTTTTATTCCTCTCTCTAGACCCGATATCCAGAGTTGTCCACCTTGTTCTTACTCTTTGAATTATGTCCTCCAAAAATGTACCCTCTTACTTTTTCTCAGCAGGAATTGAGTTTCGTAGCAGGATCTCAGAGGAAGAAGAGATGATTCATACATTTCTGTGGCTCATTTACTGCCTACAACAGTTCTTCAATGGCCGTTTTCCTTTATTAAATTAGACTGGGTTCTGGTAACTACTCCCTTACCTTGTCTCCTCAGGTACCGAGCTAGCTGTTACCACAACTAGGGTGCTCCACCATGCCTATTGCTTCCCTTAACCTTGTCTACACTTTTGAAAGTGGTCCCTTCATTATACTATGTTCAATCACCTCTTGGAAGATACGCTTATTGGCATCTTGGGGCTCCACCAATATATTAGATGGTATCTTTAGTGACCCAGGAAACAGTCCTTGAAAATAGAATTTTGAGATTTCGGTTTTACACATCTGAAGAGTTCATGGGTTACCTCCTTACTGGGGAAAATGGACACTTTAAACCATCCACAGAGTGGCATGAGATGAAATCCAAGTGGAAGACAAGGTGATGGGAGAAACCAAATGTCTGAGGCACTTGGATAGTGTGGTGACACAGTAGTTTAAAAGATTGTAATGAGTTGCTGCTGCATGTGCTGGCCCTAGAAAGAATACACAGAGTAAAGGCAAATTTAAGTCATGCTGGTTTTATGGCTGCCTTGCTTGTCTGTGGCTATCTCACGTAGCTGTTGAAAAGATATGACTGAGGGTTATGAGTCTTCATGGCATTTTAACTGAAGCTTGAAAACCAAAATAGCCTAAACTCAATAAGGATAAAATTTTACATATTCTCAAATTCTAATGTGCATATGAATTATTGGTATTGGTCAGTAGTTTTGATCCTGAGATTTTTCATTTCTAACAAGATACCAGGGATTATCATGGTTGCTGAACTACAAACTACAAAACTGTAGTGGAAACAGTCCAAAGATGCAGAGCAGGGGAATGTTAATTTGGAACTTTCATATGCAATCTACTCAGCTTCTCTTCCCTAATCATTCCTCCCATTTAAATGATGGTTTAATTACTTGTTTTTTCTCGTTTTTCTTTCATCTTTCATCTTGCAGATATCTCACATCTCTGACCACTTATTTCTCCAAATTAAGAAATGATCTTTGCTCATATCATTGCTATATATATATACACACAAAAAAATATATATGAATGTATGTATATCTTTTTGTATGTATATATACATATATACATGCACATGTGTGTGTGTGTGTGTGTGTATATATATATATATATGTTAGAATAGTAAAAATAAGGTGAAGTGAAGGAAGTAGATGATATCCATGACGTTTAAGATTAGATGTGCACAGCAACTCAGGAGGCCGACAGGAGAATTTCTTGAGGCCAGGAGTTCAATACCAGCTTCTGCAACATAGCGAGACTCTGTCTCTACTAAAGAATAAAAACTTACCAAATATGATGGTTTGTGCTTGTAGTCCCAGCTACTCAGAAGGCTGAGGTGGGAGGGTCACCTGAGCCCAAGAGATTGAGGTTGCAGCGAGCTATGATCATTCTACTGTACTCCAGCCTGGGCAACAAAGTGAGATCCTGAGTTAAAGAAAAAAAAATTACATGTTCCAAACTGAAAATCACAACTAAGGGAATAGTACAAGAAGGTAAACAAAGCATCCGTGCATGAAATATAGTTAAATAGGCACAATTTAATTGAGTTTTGTATACTGCATCATAATGAATATATGTGCTGTAAAAATAAAATACAATAAAGCTGATACTGGAAATTCCAGATTACAATTTCTGACATATGAAGTCTGTACATTGTTTTTTCTTAAAGCCTCATTGACATAACTTTATTTAGATCTGCTATGACCTCTTAATAAAGGGCACTTTATATCTTTGACATTTAGAAATAAACTACAATTCTTATATTAATAAGGTAAAGTTTTCTTTATCTTATTGGAAATAACCACATTGTTCCCAATAATTCGTTTTTGTTCTCAGCCTCCCTTTGAAGTTTCTAATAGAACACAAGTAAGACTGTATAATGTAGAGATCTGGTGTCAAATTGTCTAGGCTTAAATCTTGGCTCTGTATTATGTTCTTTTACTTTAAAAAGTGACCTAACCTCTCTGGGCTTCAGTGTTTCTATCTGAAAAATGGGGATAATAACTGACTAATCCGTTTTTTAAAAAATTAGTGGAAGTACATAAAAACTACTTAAGATAGTGTTTAACACACAATGTTCACTTTGTAAATCTACAATATTTTGGCACTATGATACCTGCTGGTAACACAAGGATGAAATGAAATAAGTTCTGTTCTGATTTATGGATTCTTGGAGAGCAAGATGTATTGTAGGTACAAACCAATATACTGGATGGAGAGGAGTCAAGTCTGAGTCAATACTGAGATGTTGAACGTAGCTCAGTGGAAAACTTTCCTGTTGGCTAGTAAAATGGATGAAGAAATCTATGCTGAAAATAATAAGAGGCAGACAGCATTACTGTTTCCCATCGTTGATTTCAGAGAGGAATGAGGACTGTAGTTTGCAACAAGCTTTGAAAAACCATTATTATCTTAAATATATGAAATTCAAACAATACATGTGCTGGTTGGTTTAATACATATAAAAAATTAATAGGAAATGCCTTGTCCCACAGTTCCAAAGAACCAATATTCTATAATTTTTTTCACAATGTTTGAACTTAATGACTTAGATATATAGATATATAATAGTGATTGTCTAAGCCTCCCAAAAATAATAGTGGCATTTTACTATTTTCACTGTATCCTTAATCTTTTGCTTGTAATATCTGTATCAGTAATACCTGAGAATATATTATAACAAATAAAATAGTACATAAAGAGATATTTGAAAAACAGTTTAATTTTTTTCTCCATCTCCTCCCTTAGTAGTACTCTATTACTGTAACTCAATAGCACTCTATTACTAAATCTTCCATGCTTTTTTCTGGGATTATAAATTAATTTGCAAACTTGACTCATAGAAAATAGTCATACAAATGCATACATATAGTATTTTCTTTATTTTTTAGTTTGTTTTAAAAAATTAGGATTATATCTCATATACTATATTAATTAAACTTATTGGCATATCAAGGTGTGTTTTAAGGAAAATGTAGTCAGACCAGAATGCTCTGTGCTTTGAAATAACTTTATTTTTCTTTTTTGTTTTGTTTGTAATGCCAACCAGAGCCCCTGAGTAGCACAAGGTAAAAGCTGTCATCACATCTAATTGATAGTATTCTGAACAAGAGAATAAACTATTTGACATTTATAATACAATTTTTAAATTGTTCTATCTTACAGAAATATTGAAACTAGCTTGAAGACCATTATTAATTTTTCAGTCTTTAGGTGTTTTTACATTCAAACCATGTACACAGATTTACCTATTTAACTCTTGAAATGTATAATGAATAACGAGCACTGGAAAAGGAAATTGTTAACTTGAAGAATTCTATCAGAATCCCTGCTGAGCAATATAAAAATTTTAAATATAGGAGCAGTCATGAGCGTTACTTCTTCAAATAAGCTCTGGGAATCGTTCTTAGAGGATTATGGTGATCATGTTTTCTTAAGGGAGTGGTTAGGTGACAGGAAGGATAAAGTGACAAACTTCTCCACCCTCTGCTGCTTCTTGTTAAGGCCACAACTGGTATTCATCTCCCTTTCCTACTACCCATTCTGGATGCTAATCACACTCGGCTAGCAAACACCTCTGCAGGTCTCAGTGACTTACTTGGTGAAGGATCCCAAACTGTCACGCCTGTGCTATGAACCCTTATCCTCCGTGATTTTTTAAGCCAGGGGCACTCCACTTGTCATGGATTGGAAAAAATAAATAAATAAAAGGTGGTATCGAAATAGATCACAGAAGTGCCAAACATTTAGGATACCAGATTAGACAACTTAGATTAAATAAACAAATTCCTAGAATGACATAAATTATCAAATATCGACCAAGAGGGCAAAGAAAATCTGATTATAACGAGTAAATATAATAAATAGGAATATTATTTAAAATCTTCCCCCATGCTGATAAAAAAAGAAGCCCACAACTTTGTTTCTTTTATTTATGAATTGAATAGTGAATTATAGCAAACATGTAAATAATAAATAATAATAATCCTTCACAACCTATTTTACAAAATAGAAGAAAGAATACCTCTCCTCATTCTATAAAATTAGTATTACCTTAATATTAAGGCTAGACTTAGACACTGCAAGAAAAAAGAGAGCTGAAAAACACTCATGAACATATATGCAAAAATAATTTTATTTAAATTTTGTTTCAAAGTGCATTGTTATATACTGTAGTCACCATATTGTACAATATTTATCTCTTGAACTTATTTCTCCTAACTCATATTTTGTATCAGTTCTTGAACATCTCTTCAACTCCTTCTGCTCAGCCCCTGGTAACCATCATTCCTTGTCTACTTCTGAGTTTGACTTTTTTGCATTCCACATATAGGTGAGATTATTCATTATTTGTCTTTCTGTGCCAGTTTTATTTCGCTTAACAAAATGTCCTCTAGGTTCATCGGTGTTGTCGCAAATGATAGAGTTTTCCTTTTTAAAAATACTGAATATGATTTCATTATGTATATATACCACATTTTCTATATCCATCCGTTTCTAGACAATTAGGTTGATTCCATATCTCAAATACTGTAAATAATGCTGAATGAGAATGGGGTGGACATATCTCTTTAACATACGGAATTTATTTTCTCTTAATATGTGTCAGTAGTAGAATTAGTGGTTCTACTTTTAATATTTGAGAAACCTCCATATTATTTTCCTGTAACGGCTGTGCTAATTTACATTTCCACCAACAATGTGCAGTGCTTCCCTTTTCTTCACAACCTTACTAACACTTTTTATCTTCCATCTTTTAATAGTAGTCATTCTAACAGGTATGTGGTGATATTGTGATTTTTAATTTGCATTTCTCTGATGATTAGTGATATTGAGCATGTACTTCCTGGCCATTGTATGTCTTCTTTTGAGAAATATTTATTCAGGTCCTTTGTCTATTTTTAATAGGGTTATTTGTTTTTCTACTATTGAGTTGCTTGATTTCCTTAGTATTTTGGATATTAACCCTTTGTCAGATATATAAGTTGCAAATATTTTCATGCAGTCTGTAGAGGTCCCTCCACTCTGTTAACTTTTTTTCTCTCTTGGCTGAGCCAAAGCTTTTCCTTTGGTATAATTCTATTTGTCTGGTTTTGCTATTGTTGTCTGTGTTTTGGGGTTTATATCCAAAAAAAAATTATTAACCAATGTCATGGAGCTTTTTTCCTAAATTTTCTTCTGACAGTTTTAGAGTTTCAGGTCTTATGTTTAAATATTTAAACTACAGGAATAAATCTCACTTGATCAAGGGGCGTGAACCTTTTTATTTGCCATTGAATTTGGTTTGCTAGTATTTTTTTGAGGATTTTTGTGTCTATGTTCATCAGGAAAATTACTTGTAATTTTCTCATCTTATAGTGTCCTTGTCTGACTTTAGTAGCAGTGTAATAATGCTGACCTCATAAAATGAATTGGAAACTATTTCTTCCTCTTCAATTGTTTGGAAAAGTTGAAAAGGATTGGTGTTAATTCTTCAGATGTTTGATAGAATTCAGCAGTGAAGCCAATTGTTCCTGAGCATATTGTTGTGAGGAAGCTATTGTATACTGATTTGATCTCTTTACACATTTTACTCTATTGGAAAAGGAAACAAATATTTATTAAAGAGCAGTAAATTACTTATTAAAAATGAGAACTTGTCCTATTAATGCACCCTATTGGCAGTATTGGCATAAATATCTTTGTACATTAGGTTCATGTGAGGGTCATTTATATCACTTCATATTTAATTAGAGTTTTGGCCTAATTATGCCAATATATGAAGCTTCACAATTAGGTTTTCAGGAACGGGATTTTTTTTTTTTTTTGGTGAAAACCTTTAAGTAAAAAAAAAAAAATCTACAATATAATTATAATGTAATCCAAAAGTAAATCAGATTTATGTCAAACTATTCCAGGAAACATTTTATTAAATATTTTTATTGTTTTTGGAAGTAATATGACAGTTTCTAATACTTTCAGATAGCAATAAAAAAGCTTTTGGTAGTTTTCTTTAGATATCAGACAGCACCTTTAATAGGAATGTGAGCTCAACAATTTTGACTAGTTCAGCTTTTGCAATGTATACAATTATCTAAGTCCCTATTTCAGAGGAAAGTATTTTTTAAATTAAAGATACCATGCCAGCCACTGAAGATTGATAAATTATGCCTTCATTATGAATAAGTCTAGAAATATCCCTTTAAAATGATTTCTATTTCTCAACCCTGACCTTTCCTTGGAAATAAGATTTTTGTTAAAGGTGTCCTGATCATTTAGCAGCCATATGTGAACAGTCAGAGTGATGTGTGGAGTTGAAATAACAGTGAGTCTGTGAGTGCTTTTTCCAGAAATAGTAGAGCTTCCAATCGGTGAGCAGGGACTGCTTCAAAGACACTTATTGGAAATCTTTCTGGAAAACTGTGATATGGACGATGTTCATAAGATTTGTTTTAGGGTTATTGTGCTAAAAATGTTCGCAGATTTTGAAAGCTGTAAGTTTTGAAGATTCAGACTCTGGAATGATATTCCATCATGTTTATCATGTTCTATTTGTTAGAAACAATTCACTAGGTCCAGCCTGCATAAGAGATAATAGGATTACGAAAAGGAGATGAGGATTATTGGGCAATTTTACTGTTCAACACTATCCTTTTTCTTTTCCTCTTAATGAGAACAAAATGCAAATTTCTACCAATGGTGAATAAGGACTTCCATAGTCTGAAATCGTCTTCCACCCACCATCTCTTTGACTACATCTTTTAACCCTCTCTCTCTTAGTAACACTACTCTAATTATTCTGACCTCCTTGTTCTCTGAAAATGCCAGTCAAGTTACTGTCTCAGGAATTTTTCCATTAAGTTTATTATCTGTCTGAAAATTTCTTTCTGCAATATCAAATTGCTGTATTATATTTCCTCAATTTTTTTCTCAAATGCCAGCTTAACAGAAAATTTCTGTGCTGTGGTTTGAATGTGTCCCTACAAAATTCAAGTGTTGCTAATGTGGTAGTATTTAGAGATAGGGCGTGTAAGAGATTATTAGCCCAAAAGGGCACCTGCCTCATAAATGACAGTAAGGTCCTTATAAAAGAGGCTTCAAACAGGTTCTAAAGCTTGCCTTCCAACTTCCACCATTAGAGGGCACAGTATTCCTCCCCTCCAGAGGAAAAGAAAGGAAGGAAAAAAGGAATGAAGAAAGGAAGAAAGTAAGGAAGGAAGAAAGGAAGGAAGGAAACGAAATGCAGCAAGAGAGAAAGAAAAAAAAGAAAGAAAGAAAGGCAGAAAGAAAGAAAAAGAAAAACTAAAAGGAAAGAAGGAAAGGAAAAAAGAAAGAAAGAAGAGAAAGAAGAAAGGAAGGAAGAAAGAAAGAAAGAAAGAAAGAAAGAAAGAAAGAAAGAAAGAAAGAAAGAAAAGAAATAGGAAGGAAGGAAAGGAAGTGCCAAATTTACTTTCAATACACCTTATACTGTTTAAATGGACACAATACCAAAACTACATTCTGATTACATATTTCTCAGGACTGATAACAGCTTTCTAGTCTTTAGATATCATCCTCTGTTTCTTTCTTCCTCCAGTACTATTCTTTTTTTTTTTTTTTTTTTTTTTTGAGATGGAGTTTTGCTCTTGTTGCCCAGTCTGGAGTGCAGTGGCACGATCTGACATTTGTCTGGGCAATGATTTTTTAGATATAAACCCAAAAGCACAGGCAACAAAAGCAAAAACAGACATGTGGGATTACAGCAAACTAAAAAAAAAAAAGCTTCTGCACAACCAAGAAAACAATCAACAGAGTAAAGGGACAGCCTATGGAATGGAAAAAAAGATTTGCCAACCATACATCTGATAAGGTTTTAATATCCAAAATAGCTATGGAACTCAAACAACTCAATAGTATTATAGGAAACAAAAAATGGGCAAAGGATATGAGTCGACATTTCTCAAAAGAACGCATTAAATAACCAACGGGTTTATGTTCACCGTCACTAATCATCAGGAAAATGCAAATTAAAATCACAGTAAGTTATCACCAGAAACTTGTTAGAAGGCTATTATCAAAAAGATGAAAATAACAAGTGCTGGTGAGGATGTGGCATAAACGGAACCATTGCACACTATTTGTGAGAATATAAACTAGTGCCACTGTTGTAGAATACAGTATAGGCATTCTGCAAAAAGTTAAAAATAGTACCACTGACCAGCAATCTCACTACTGGGTACATATTCAAAGGAAATGAAATCAGTATTTCAAAAAGATATACGCTCTCCCTGTTTATTACAACGTTAGTCGCAATAGCCAAGACATAGAATCAATCTAATTGTCCTGAAGCAGATTAATGAATATAGAAAACGTAATGTGTATGTGTGTATACACTCACACACACACATACATGCAATGGGATATGATTCAGCCTTATAAAAGAAGAAAATTCTGTAATTTGTGATGACATGGATGAATTTGGAGGACATTATGTTAAATGAAATAAGCCAGACACTAAAGGCAAATACCACATGATCTCACTTACATCTGGAATCTAAACATGTACCCTAAAACTTAAAGTATAATAAAAAAAAATTAACTCATAGAAGTAGAAAATAGAATGGTGATTATCAGAGGAGGAGAAGGGTGGCATTGAAAAGATACTGGTCAAATGATACAAAGTTTCAGTTGAGTAGGAGAAATTAATTCAATCTATTGTACAATATGGTGACTATATTTAATAATAATGTATGATATTCTTGATAATTGCTAAGAGAATAGATTTTAAGTGTTCTCATCCCATAAATAGTAAGCATGTGAGATAATGCACATACCAATTATCTAGATTTAGCCATTTCACAATGTATACATATTTCAGAACAACACATTATACAAAATAAACATATAAAATTTTTGTCAGTTAAAAGAGAAATTTAAAAAACCTTTTTATCTAAAAATAACTTTTGACAGTAGATCACTGTGATTTATGGCATTCAACCCAAACCATGTTCAAAAATTAGGTGAATTTTAATAACAAAAGTCCATTCACATTTGCTTATATATAACTTGTTTATATAAACAAAGTGTATAAGTACTTACAACTACAAAAAGAATAATAGAAAATGAATGTAGTCCCCTAATTTATTTAGAAATAAGTAATTTTGATCACGGATATATTAATTAATGAAAAGAATCACCATTTTTCTCATTTTTGCTTTTCAAAATTATTAATGTTTTTATCATCTTTTGAATAATTGTGGTAGTCCTTTTCAATATTTAAGACTTAGAAATTTACAATCCATACATTTTTCTAAAGAATATAGAAACTTTTGCTGCAAAGTAATATATAGTTGGATTACTAAAATTGTTTTGACATACGTTACATAAGAACATAATTACATAAGGATTTGAAATTGCATACATGTGTATGTATACATATGTGTATTATATATATGTGTAGATATATATTATATATGTATGTGAATTCAGGAGTCAGAAATAATGATATAATTTTTGATTAATTCAAAAATGTATCAAAATCATTGTTTTAACTGTATTGTAGGCATCAAATCTCTGTGATATTTATTTTCTATTGAATATATTTAATTGTTTTTAGTTACTAAGTTGCATATACTGCTGATTACATACTTGGAACTGCTAAGTTCATGACAATGATTTTCATTGTCAGTAAAAAGATGGTGAACAGACACATAGTTTAACAATATTTGAGATGTTTGTTATCAGTGATGACTGAATGCAATTGATATTATGTCCAATCTATTTCATGGAAATGTGGGACCAAAGCCTAAATTAGCTTAAGGATGCTTAATTTAAAGCTTGTCAGCTTATAAGACGTCACTGAAATGATACATAAACTGGAGCAAAAGAACTAATTCCAAGAACTTTAACATGAGCCAATGTATACACAAGTAATACAAGCTCAGTAAAACAGTAGCTCAGCATGATTTGAACTTAAATATAAGAAAGTGAAGATTATTTTTCTTTTTTTTAAAATCTGATGCACCCTGGGGTATCCATATGTAAAATAAGATTCACTAAATAAACAATTCTTATCAAAACATAATTTAAAAAATATATTTACCTCACTTCAAAGGAAAACTATTAGAGGCCATTAATTAATAATCTCAAATTAGTCTTCTGCTTATCATAGGATAAAACAATATATTGATGTTTATCTACTTTACTGAAAATATGACATTGTGCCAATATTTTAATTTTATAAAGAGAAGTGCCATATTGTATTGTAAATGGACATTATGCTATAGCATGTAATGCCAAATCCAGAAGTGATTAATTTAATTCTGTTATCGGCTTCATGACGAAATTGTTATAAAAATGAAACTATATTCAAAAGGCAACAAAATAACCATGGAGAAGAAACAATAACAAGATGTTAAATGAAAGGTATGCAATGACTGAAAAAAAGTTCCTTGTTTGCAATGTTTATTTGGAATAAAATCTTTGTCCCTGAAATAAGTAGAAATTAAAAGGAGCAAGATGTCAAATTTAGGTTGACATGCCAATGCCAGCAAATGCAGTAATTAGTTAAGGGGCAGCCAAGTTAAACACAATCCAATAAGCTGAAACTAACTAAAATGATGCAAGACCAAGAATCGTCTGAAATGTTTTGTTGTTGTTTTGTTGTTTTCTACCAGATCATAACTATATTCTCACTGAGGCCAATGAAAAGAAAAACATTTCTAATTGGGTTTTTAAGTGACATTATCATCGAGCAAGTATTTGGTCTGAAAAAGAAAAACATAGGTAGAAGGTTATGGGGAAAGGAATTAGATGAACAGTAAGATGTGTTAGGCAGGCTCAAGACATATAAATGTACAAAGTAAATTCAGAGGAATGGTGAAAGCATGCATGTGTGCACCTGGGGGTAAGAGTGATGCTAGGCAGTATAGGGATTTACATTTTAACCTACATGGCATAAACTCAAACTAGGCAGTCACTGTAGACTTTTTTTTTTTCAGGAGATTAAGCAGAGCCAGTGTTCTAGGAGCTTGTTTAACTTCATGTCCCCAATAATGGATCATAATCTCTATCACCCAGCTTCACTCCTGTACAAAATTCTCTTTCTCTAATGTATCTGACAGATGCACAAAAGTTTGCATTAAAAATTTCCAGATACATACTTCATTATTTCCAACTTCAAGTTAATTTTTCAAACTTACTTCCAGCAGAAAATATATAAAATAAAGAAACATTTAAATCTATATAGAATGGGGTTCATGAAGTCAGTTTCTAAATCTGCACAAATACAGCATTTAACAAAATCACCAGTGTCATCAAGAAAGAACATCTTTCATCTGCGTTGTCTATTTTTGTAATGGGGGCATTTTATTTCCACAAAGAACAGATCCAGTTAGCTAATATATAGTAAGCAAAGTAATTACATTGAAACTGACACATTTTCATTATCAAAAATGAGTCTGATTCAAACTGGTGGCCTGAAGGTGAAAATTGTGTGTATTATTTTACTGAACACAAGATTTTTTTAACTTTTTTTCTTAATCTTTATTTTTCACAATAAGTGCCATGAAATATTGTATATTTATCCTAAAGCTACATTACTGTTATTACTATATGTTTCCTATGTTAATATAAATGAAACATGGCAGATGTTATATTATTAAGGTTTATATTGCAAATACTCTTTCATTTGTCCATCTTAGATAGGTTCAGTCGGTACTCCATGAGGCAAATGATTCTGCCTGTCGGCTTACCTCACAGATCTAGAAATCACGAACACATAAGATGCTGACCTCAAGCAATATTCCTTCTGATTTGTTCCCTTTCACAGCACACTTGGCTTATGCCCCATTACTTCCCATGTATTGTTTCATCTCAAGAGTTTATCAGAAAATGGAGAGGTGGGGGAGAGGGAGAAATAGAAAAGAAGATGGATTTTAAAGTTATAGAAAAATTGCTTTCAATACGAACCAAATACGTTGAAAAGCTAAATCCACAGCAACTCTTTGAATAAAAAGTAGATCTCATAGGTTTCGCCAGGCTGATTTGATCTTAGTATTTGTTTTCTACACTATCTAAACTACACTATCTAAACTAATCCTGAATATTACAAAATCCAGTGGCCCAGATTAATACTTTTTTGTTTTGAATATTTATATCTGTCACTGCTTTCTCTTATTTGAACAGTCTCACTATAAAAACAAATACATCATATACAAAAATTTGAGAAATATTAAATTCAGTAGGCTTTTGAAAATGTTATTTAAAACCTTTAAATGCAAGTGTAACTCCTTTATAACATATGTTTACTATTTTTTAAAAGCTAAAGGAATCTATCCTGTCTTTTGCGTATTGTCATCCTATTTCCATTGTGCATCTATTTCCCCTGCTTTTCTCTTCATTCCTATGATTCAAGATTATCTTCCAAGGCCAGAGTGTATGAGAGGCCAATAACATTAGACCACCCAACTTTTAAGCAGCATAAATCAGAAAAAAACGAACATGGTGGCATCAATGAGGTTTTGCCCTATGGCTTTATCTCTCACTTCCTCATGCCAAATTCCTTACCTGCTTTCCCTTCTTAGCAGAAGACCCACCATGCCAAATCCAGTTTCAGTTCCAGCCGCTAATTGAGATCTTAGCTCGTGAGAAGCCAAAGTCTTGTTTTCAGGCACTTGATCTTGAAGACATTATTATTATTATTATTATTATTATTATTATTATTATTATTATTATTTACAAGCTGTATGTTTTGGACCAATTGTTAGCCAGGTATATAAATTTTATTCATCCTTTTGCCTTTGAGTATTTGTTCTATTTTCAATTTCCTAAACTAAACAAAATTTCCTAATATATTAGGAAAAAATATATCTATTATAGTCATAAAACTAAGTGAGATAAATCCACATAAAGTGTACTGCAAGTGGATTCAAATTATATCCTAACTCTCTGCTTAATAGAAAAGATATGAAAACTGAAAAAGCAATATATCTAAAAATGATTGAAAAATAAAATAATAGAAAATAATATGTCAGATAACTTCTGTTATTAATGGAAAGTGAGCTGTGGTTGTATTATTTTTGAGAAAAGGAAGAAAAAAATTATAATTTTGTATCTTGAAACCGCCCAATATTCTGTAATGATATACATAATCATGGCAATGCTAATTTTAAAAATGCGGGAAAATAGTGGAAAGATAATGCAAGAGCCATGAGACATATTTAAAGTACAACAAGTTTGATTTGATTCCAGAAAGCAAAGCATGGGCAACGTCCATAATATATGTAAACAGAAAACAGTGATGAATTTACTAAAACTAATGAAAGACAATGAATGACAGAACTATGGTATGTGTGGAAGGCAAAACATGACAATTAGGAGGAATAGCACAAGTAAGCACTTAAAGAAGGCATAATAAGGGCAGATGTTATATTATTAAGGTTTATATTGCAAATACTCTTTTACTTGTGCATCTTAGGTTCACTCGTTACTCCATGAGGCAAATGATTCTGCCTATCAGCTTACCTCATAGATCTAGAAATAATTAAGACAGAGACACCAGACAAAATATATTAATTACACAAAGTTTATAAAATAGATCATGCACAGATAATAAAATAATCTCTCCAATTTAAGTTCATGCTAGATATTCATATGATTTAATTAAGTCAGGAATGTGGAAGCAAATCCATTGTTTTCTACTGGTTATAGTGGAGAAATATGTAGAGCTATCAGAAAATGGTGCTATTAGACACTATCAATTTCTTTGAAATGACAGTATCATTTATTATGCTGGAAGAAGTGTTCCATTCTATACATCAATTACATTATGAATATACATGGGAATATTCCTCTTCTCATTTAATGTTAGAGGTAGGAAATGGACTCTGAATCTAACATATCCTAAATAATTTCAAAGTCAAAAAGCACAAGCCAAAATGATACTTTTTGCACATGTCTCCCTTGCTGGGGTTTGAGTTTGTCAAGCTCAGCCACAGGAGTTAGTCCTTCCTTTCTTCAGTCGGAGCTATTGTGTCTGGCTCTGTTTATTTTTGAATAAGTTACTGGACTGTGCTACGTTTAAACAATACAAATTCAGCAAATAATTAGTTCATAATTTGATATGATTGCACATTTTGCCAACAAAGATGAAACCTTGATAAATATTTAACTATTCAATCACAGTAAGATTGAGTTCCTGGGCGGGGTGCAGTGGCTCACACCTGTAATCCCAGCACTTTGGGAGGCTGAGGCGGGCAGATCACAAGGTCAGGAGATCGAGACCATCCTTGTTAATATGGTGAAACTCCATCTCTACTAAAAATACAAAAAAGTAGCCTGACATGGTGGCAGGTGCCTGTAGTCCCAGCTACTCAGGAGGCTGAGGCAGGAGAATTGCTTGAATCTGGGAGGCAGAGGTCGCAATGAGCCGAGATTGCACCACTGCACTCTAGCCTGGCGACAGAAGGAGACTCTGTCAAAAAAAAAAAAAAAAAAAAAAAGAGATTGAATTCCTGGTGTTTACACAGAGCAAGTTAGAAATTGTAGGGCACAGTCACTTACATTAGTAAAATGCCACTTCTTCAAGTCAGTTTCTATTATCACTTGACTGGACTGGCATAACAACCGTCTAACTGTTCTCTCTGCATATGTTATTGCCTTTTCTGATCTGAGCCAAATTAGCTTTTCAAAATTGTGTTTTGAGTTGTGGCTTAAAAACTTATAATGATTCCTTATTATTTTCAAGGTAAAATCTTAAATCTTTAAAATGGGTAAAATATAAACATTTGACCTTTAACGTCTACAGTTTCAATTTTTATTGAACTCTATTTTAAACCCCTTGCTTCCATTAGTCAAGTGCTGTTCACAGTTCACAGAGAGTGACTTACTCCCTGGTATGTGCACAGATTTTTTGTTTTGTTTTGTTTTGTTTTCTCATGAGGCCTGTCTTCTAACCTTCACCCAGAAGTTGGCTATTTCCTTTACATATTCTCCCATGCAAATAAATTCTATATGTATTGCAGCAAATATTAAAAATACCTGTTTGTCTCCTTCACAAAACTAACTTTCATAAAGAAAGAGACCTGCATTCTAGTCATCATTTTTCCTGTCATTTAGTAAAGTTCTGGCATGTTATAGGCACTTGGATATTTAGGAAAAGGATGAAATCGAGGTAGGAAGAAAGTATTAAAGTGTAGACATCCTGAGAGGTGGTTTTGGCTACATGCTGTATCAGAAGTACTGAATGAGTGACACAGGAAATCAGTATGAGTGGGACAAGTGAAAGGAGAGAGCCAAGCATCCCAAGCTACTGAAAACCGAGGACACTTTCTTCTTAAATATTTACTCCCAAAACAAAGGTTCAAGATGTATTAAGATAAAAAGGCCTGTAACCATATGGCTTTTCTTCTAGAAGACAGTTTTCAATTTTGAAGTAAGGCAGCGTTTGGTGAGGGATTAATACTAAAGCTCCCATCTGGAACTTGTGGGTAGATTGTACAGAATCTCTGGCTTCCAGACAGAAAAGCAAGCTGTGTCATTCACCTCATCTCTTATTTTTTCCCACCTTCCATGGTTACAGGATAAATAAACACTTTAATTATAGGAACTCTGTAATAACTTTGGGAATGGATTCTGCAGATTTAATATTTGTCCCATTAGCAATTTTGTATGTTTTCTATTCAATATATCAAGATTTTTCAACATTTGGGTATGATAAAATTGTCAAGTACATTAGAACATTTCCCTGCATGTTTCCAAAATCAAAACAAAGCAAAACAAGACAAAACAACAAATCAAAGAAACAATCTAACAAAAAAACCCAGTTATTTCTTAGAGTGGTAGGAAAGGATGACATTATATGGGACTACAAGATTATATTAGTAAATACAAAATTCTGAGGGATTGTAAAGCAATGGTCAGTGTCTCAGAAGAGTTGGTATTTACAAGCTAAAAAGTTAGATACATAGATTTAAAAAGTTAGCCTCATTTCCCTTTTCTTCTACAAAAAGTAACTGAAATAGTTTGGAAAAACTCCTCTAATGAGGATACTTTTACATGTGAAATTTAGTGAAAATTATAAATTTCATAGAATAAAATTTAGATTATTTGAATTATTTTAATATTTATGTTTATTGTATTGGAAATAAGTCATTAGTATGAATTGTAGAAAAGAGAGAAAAGAATAAATTAAGAGCAAGTCCTAGCTAGCGCAATCAGACAAGAGAAATAAATAAGATGCATGCAAGTAAAAATAAGTCAAACTATCTATCCTTGATGACAATATGATTCTATACCTAGAAAACCCTAAAGACTCTGCCAAAAGGCCCATAGAACTGATAAACAAAATCAGTAAGGTTTCAAGATACAAAAATTAGTAGTATTTGTATACACCAGTAACTTTCTAGCTAAGGTCCAAATCCAGAACACAATCCTCTATACAATTGCCACAAAGAAATGAAATACCTAGGAATTCGTCTAACTAAGGAGGTGAAAGATCTCTACAAAGAGAACTACAAAATACGCCTGAAGGAAATTAGAAAAAAAAATATTTCCACAAATAAATGGAAATATATTCCATGCTTATGAATAGAAAGAATCAATATAGTGTAAAATGACTAAACTGCCCAAAGAAATTTACAGACTCAACAATATTTGTATCATAATACCAATGTCATTTTCCACAGAATTGCAAAAATCTATTATAAAATTCATTTGGAACCAAAGAGCCTGAATAGCCAAAGCAACATGGTAAAAGCAAAAAGAAAAACGCCAGAGGCATCACATAGCCTGACTTCAAAGTAAATTATAAGGATACAGTAATCAAAACAGCACGGTGCTGGTACAAAAAAAAGGCACATGGACCAATGGAACAAATAGGAAACCCAGAAATGAACCTGCACCCTTAAAATCACCTGATCTTTGACAAAATCAACAAAAATAGACAATGGGGTAAGAACTCTTTATCAAATAAAAGATGTTGGGATAACTAAATAGCCATATGCAGAAGAATAAAATATGACCCCTACCCTACACAATATATGAAAATTTACCCAAGATGGATTAAAAATTTAAATGTGAGGCTTCAAAATATAAAAATCCTGGAAGAAAACCTAGGACATACCCTTCTCAACATCAGTGTTGGCAAAGAATTTATGGCAAAGACCCCAAAAGCAACTGCAATGAAAACAAAACTAGACATGAAACCTAATTAAACTAAAGAGATTTAGTACAGCAAATAAATTACCAATGAGTACACAGACAGCCTACAGAATGGAAGAAAATATTCTCAGCCTATGCATCTAATAAAGGTCTGATGCCTAGAATTTATAACAAACTTAAACCTATCAACAAGCAAAAAACAAACAAACGAAACTCCAATCAAAGAATGGGCAAAGGACATGAAGAGACACTTCTCAAAAGAAGACAAGTGACTAACAAACATATTAAATAATGTTGAACTTCACTAATCATGAGAGAAATGCAAATCAAAACCGCAATGAGATATCATCTCACACTACTCAGAATGACAATTATTTTAATTGACTTTTTAAAGTCAAAAGAGAACAGATGCTGGTGAGGCTATGGAGAAAGGGAAACTTTTATACACTGTTGGTGGAAATGCAAGCGAGATGAGCCACTGTGGGAAGTAGTTTGGAGATTTTTCAGAGAACTTAAAGTAAAATGACCATTCAACCCAGCAATCCCGTTACTAAGCATATACCCAAAGAAAAATAAATCATTCTATCAAAAAGATACATGCACCCATGTGTTCAATGCAGCACTATTCACAAAAGCAAAGACAAGGAATCAATCTAGGTGTCCATCAATAGTGGATTAAAAAACATGTGGTACATATACACCATGGAATACGATGCAGCCATACAAAAGAATTAAATTATGTCATTTGAAACAACATGGATGCAGCTAGGGGCCATTATCCTTAGTGATCTAAAACAAGAACAGAAAACCAAGTACTGTATGTTCTCACTTATAAGTGGGAGCTAAACACTGAATACGCATGAAGGTAAAGACGGTAACAATAGACATAGACACTGGGACCACTAGATGGAGGAGGTAGAAAGGGGCATGTGGGCTGAAGAAACACCTGTTGTGTTCTATGCTTAGTGCCTGAGTTATGGAATCATTGGGACCCCAAGCCTTAGTATCACAATTACCCATGTAACAAACTTGCATGTGTACCCCTCAATCTGTAATGAAAGTTGAAATTAAAAAGGGCAAGTATTAAATCCTCCAACATTCAACATAATAAAGTTTTAGAGGTAACTTTCCATTTTACCACAGGGGCTATGAAATAAATAATTTCAGTTTTAAAAAAATCTCTATTTGATGTATATTTTTATCAGCCTTATTCTTATAACGTGTGCTTCTTAGAAAAATATCTGGTCTAAAAAGCTTATGAAAAATCCTAACTGTCCTTGAATGCAGTGCCCATATTTTGTCAAACCAGTAAATTGATCTAATCCTTAATTTACCACATTCTAAGAGAGGTAATAAAATATAGTGCAAATGCAGGAGTAGGGGAGGGTGTGTGAACAATATAGAAAAGAGTCTGACAACCATGTCAGGGTACGGCAATGCTTAACTTGGTGACCAATAACAGAGAAAGATCAAAATGAATACCTTCTAATCATTGGTCTGTACCATGGAAGAAGACATAGATTGTTACATGTAGCTCCAAAGGGCAAATCAGGTTATGATCCTTCTTAAAGTTAAACACAAGGAAGGGGAATATCACACTCTGGGGACTGTGGTGGGGTGGGGGGAGGGGGGAAGGATAGCATTGGGTGATATACCTAATGCTAGATGACGCGTTAGTGGGTGCAGCGCACCAGCATGGCACATGTATACATATGTAACTAACCTGCACAATGTGCACATGTACCCTAAAACTTAAAGTATAATTAAAAAAAAAAAGTTAAACACAAGAAAGAATTCTTCAATAATGAATGCAATAGATTAGCCCAGTGACCCAGGATGTGGTCTCCAGGACTATCCTGCTGGGGTTTGAATCCCTATATCTTGATTTATGAGCTGTGGAACAGGCACATTTCTTCAAATCTCCTTCCCATCTATAAAATTGGAAATTACAATAAATACCAAGTCATAGAGTTGGCGTTTGAGCTAATAAGATAATGTTTAAAACCATTTATTAAAATATTAATACCATGTATAACCTTTGGATATTATTATTGCAACTGGACTGATAACTTTGTAATGAAATCAGTTCTTTGCGACTGGAAGAAAAAGGTATAGATGTATTACCTTAGTTAAGAGAATTGAACCATGTGATCTTTAAGATCATCAGAATTCACAGAATCTAGTACTCTCTGGGTAAATGTTCTGAATGGGTTGCCTTTTATGTAATAGTAATCTATAATGTAGTTGGTTGGAAACTGAACTATATTAGTTATTAAAATAAATATAATGTAAGAAGTTTCCAGTGTAACAGAATGTGTAGGGTAGATTTTAGTGGGTTTTACTAAATTGCCTTTCGTTACATTTAAGTATAAGTAAAAAGCAATTTTCCGCTCCATTATACATTCTTAATAAATTCTAGTTGAATTATTGAATATCATAAGATAAACTGAGAGGGTCACAGCTTTGAATCACTTCTCTTTTTATCTCCAGTAGTGTAATCTGTTATTTTTCTTTCTCTCTGAATCCTGAAACGATAAGCCAATACTGCTTGCAGTTAGGATTTAGACATTTTACATTGAAGTCAGTGTGAAGCTCAATAACCTTATTGAGAGAAAACAACCAGAAATAAATTGTTACAAAACCAATTTCCCAAAAGAAAAGCTATCAAGTTACTATGTAGCAGAGCAAACCAAAAATGCCAGCAAAGCTGTATCTCCATTGAAAGTTAAGTTTGCTGTTTCTATAAACTGTTTATCTATATATCTTACTGAAAACTTGAAAGCTGAAAACTTGAAAACTGTTTATCTATATATCTTACTGAAAGCTTGATCCAGTCTGTTTTATTTCTTATCTGAGAAAATAAAATTTCATTTGGTTTTAAATTCCACATACAAAATTCACTAGGCAAATATTTTCAAGTTGGAATTGCTGTCTGAAATTAAAAAAAATAAAAGCCTAAAAAACAATGAAAGTATGTAGTGGGTACTCTATATTTTTGTGACCATGATTTAAATAAAAAGTGAATATTTTTAGATCCTAAACATATTTCCAACCTATCATTTTTCAGTATATTAGAACTGATGAAAGAGTGAGAACATTTTAGATTGGTGTATATTGTTAGACATTTGATTATCTAAACAAAACAAAAAAGTCTGAATGTGTGGTCTTACTTTTCCTCATATGGGACTCATTGATAGGCAATCACATTATTTCTCGTACAAACTTTGAAAGAACAGTCCCATTCAAAAACTTAAGAAACAACAAAAAAGACAAATTTGTCCAGGCATTTCTTACCAGGGAAAGAAAGAGCAGAATTTCAAATTCACAATCAATGGTCTTATCTTTATAGAGTCATCAATTGTTTCCATGAAATATTAACGTGATCTTGTTACACAGTTTTCCTTCCACTTTAAATCTTCTCGGTGGGAACATGTATATTTCAGGAGATCAAACTATACTATTCTGCAAATGGCTGTGTGTAAAATATTTTCTGAAAAATATATTTAAATCCAGAAAGCTATAATTGTTTAGATAATCAGCTTTGACAATAAAAAATATTAACATTAATTATAGGCTAGACTTCTAGGCAATAAATGTGACATTTTCATTTATGTTAATAGGGCTTTTATGTTTTAATGTTCATTGCTTTGAAAATATTTCTTATATAAAGGCCATGTTTCATTTTATTATGATTGCTAAGTATTATTTTTGCCTTTAGTATCATAAATCAATAGTATTTAGGCAATGATCATACAATTCAGCCCAGAATTTTTTTAAAAAAATTATTTCTACCTATTACATTAGAAAATAAAAAAGGAAAATCAAACAATGAGAAAATAATGCCTTTATAGACACACAGCACATACATAATTTACAGAATAATAACTTGCATTGGCTTACATCTGTAGTAAAAGAATTAGCATAGTTAAGAAGATAACCCAGGTTACATATACATCATCTCTTTCTATTTATAAAAGTAAAAATAATTATAAATGTGTGTGTGGTTTTGTGTGTGTATGTCTGCATAGCGAAACCCCTGATTTGGCTTGTTTTCAGATTGAAGCAACTAAATCATCCCACTTTTTCTGACTCATCTGCTTCCAGTCCCCTTATTGATTATATTTCTTCCTTTGAATTTCACAGGACACTAGAAACATGGTTTATTTTTATGGAGTTAGAAAGTCCTTGTTTCAACTACTGCTGAGATGGTTGATGAGACATGCTTTATTTTAGAAGAAAATAATTTATCAGAAATAACATGCTGTGCTATGAGCTCTGTAAGGGCAGGTACATTATGCTATTCACAGTTTGTCTGTCTATTTTCTTAAATTTATCTTCTCATTTTATTAACATATTCGAAGCTATAATTTCCATGGAGGCAGGGACTGTATCTTTTTTTCAGATGCTTGTATCTCAGCCCCATGGGTGCCAAGCTTTTATTCATCTATTCATTCATTCAGCAAATATTTGAGTGTCTACGAACACTAGGTATATATTTCAAAGCAATGAACAATACCCAAAAAGCCTCCTCACTATTATATTCTAGAAGGCACTAAGGCTATTTTTTTTATTGAACTGCTATATTTTCCCTTAAAATAAAGGGAAAAGTCCAGCAAACTTTGATTTGCTGTTTGTTAAAAGTCCAGCAACCATGTGAGGCTGATATTATAATACATATGTCATGGATGAGGAAATTGAAGCAAAGACAAGTTATAATAAAAACCCCATCCATGGTCACAGAACAAACTGGTGGCCAACCATCAGAACTTATGTATTAAAGATACCCCTCTAATGCTTTGTCAATGTTGTTAATTATTAAACCTTTAATTACTTTATCTGAGGGGTATTTATATATTTAAATTTAAGGTATTTAATATAAATTGTTGTATTAATAATACTGAAAACTTCAGGAAGATAGAGGCATCCTGGAGAGCAAAGGCTAAGCTGGGTAAGGGAGCATCAGAATATCAAACTTTAGTTTCAAGTCATTTTATTACCTTCATGACTTAGAGCAAAATAACTGAATTTTACCTATATTTATAAAATGAGTGTTGGATCAGAGGAACCAAAAGGTCCTTTTAAACTCTTTAGAGCTATATATTTAACTTTATTAAATAATAAAACTCATTGTATTTAATATGATGCAGTCTTACCTCCTTTAATGGCATCTTGGAATAAGGTATTCTACATTAGGGGATTTTTTTGAATAGTTCAAATTATCCTGGTCAATCATCAATGCTTTAATTTATAAAATTCTTAAAAAGTACTTATTGCTATACTGATCTTCTGTGATTCTTTTCACTCATTGTAGTTAACTTATATTACGGAAAACTATCTGAAGTCATCTTAGCATGCTCTGTTTTGTTACTGTTGTGATTTCTAAAAAATTTTTTCTGACCTGTTTCTCAATATTAGGCTATTACTTTTGACAACTATTTCTCTTCTCTATGGACAATTCTATCTTTGTATTTTCTCCTTTTCTTTTTGTGTAGACTTGAGGAAAAAAGAATAACATTTTTTTAAAATCATATCTTTAAGAAAAGAATTATATGAAATTTTGAATTGTATAAAATTATATAAAAGCTATAAACTTTCTCTGTGGAAAAAGTGGAAGAACATCCATGTATATCCTTTGTTCTACATTAGTCAATTATAGGAAAATTTTGCTTTTTTTCCCTGCATTTTACATTACATTTCAGGAGACTGAGTACTTTAACTTATTAATCAGAATCTGTGTTGGAAATTAGATTATAAAACATTTAAAATGTTTTTTGATTCTATGGATGCATTCATACTTGAATAGATAGAGTATCATGTATAGCAATTTATTTGCCTGTTAAAACTTAAAGACAAAAGTGGAAAAAAAATACTGTTGACTATAAGATTGTAGACTGATGTTACTATTGCATACAAGCTACATAAAGAACCTTCTATTTATCTTTGTCTCTTGCAAGGCACCCATCGCCATGGAGATACTTTGCTGTTGCTTACTTCATTTTCGTTGTGTCACGAAATATAAGTGTAATTTAAAATCGTGAAATATATCATATTTATTCTTTATTTCTACTTCATAACACAAACAGGGCTCACAAAATAAAATACAACAAAACTGAATAGAATAAATTGTTTTAAACAGGATGGTAATAACCTTAGCTCTAGGGGTGTTGAAATATCTACTTCGCATGTTAGTAATCAAATGTGGAAAAGATGATAAATGTGTGTATGTGCAAGTGATTGTGAAACACATGACAAATTTACATAAAGTTCAACTTTAAGTGTTTTGGGGCACTCACAAGCATTTCTTTGCTATCCTTTATATATGTGACTATAAATCCTATATTCTTCAAGTTTTACCATGTTAAATTTTTTATGAAAAAAATTAAATTAATTTTATAGGTTTATTAGAAACAAAATAGCATCATAATTTTAGAATTCATCATTGTAGTTGTTCATTAAAATAAACAAAATTTATTAACATATTTGCTTCTGTTGGAGCTATTTAAGTTAATATGACAATATAAGAATGAAATGAACTTCGTTCCTGACCTTACACTATTAAAATATCAAAGCATAATATTTCATAGCCTTTGCCTTTCTTTCATTATGTCTAAATATAGATTTTATTGACCATAAAACTATGTAACCTTTTTTAAAAGCTAGCCATATAAACTCCTGGAGCAATTTCTTTCATTTTATCATTTAAGCAGTCCGTAAGATTTTATCTTTTCTCAGAAATATTCTTAGAATAATATAGCAATACATTATCCTTAGAAAAAAGAAATGTTCTAATCATAATAATAGGTTAATGGAATAATTAAGTCCAATTCAGCATAAACCTGAGAATATACTAATTAGTCAACAAATAGCCAAAGGAAAGCATTTTCCTTTGGACATCTGCTTTCTAATGTCTCAATATCACTATGGACATCAATGCCTTCGAATTTGCATATTTAATTTTCAAAACAGAATTAAAAATTGAATCTTCAATACTATAAAATACATACTATACAACTATAGCAATATGTATTTAATAATAAATATATATGTGCAGTTGTAATAATTCCTGTATCATATCACATTGAGAATACATTACCAGTTTGAAAAAGCAAACAAATGGTTTCTTGTTCATTTGGTTTAAACTCATCAAACATTTTCAATAAATCATTTTGCCTCAAGAATTAAAAGGAGCACATTCTTTTTTGTACACTGTAAAATTCAAACCCACCTTAATTCAAATCAGCACACAGTTGTTTTTAATTTAGAAATACTCTTATTTATGTACATTAATTTATCTTAACATGGTAAATTGTCTTCTCTTACAATGCACTGTGGTACCACCAATCCTCTTCAACAATAATGCACATAAGATCAACTTTAAATTTTTAGATGTTGTCAAAAGGAGGAAGCTGTTATTTCAGTATTTTGCCCACTTTTTCCACAAATTCACTTAGTTTACTCCTCAATAGATTATATAAACCATGAAAAACAAAACTGAAATTAGTTAATCCAAAAATTTTTTATGGTTCAAAATAATAGAGGATTTGTCAGAGGAAGGTTGAAACTTCATTACTATAAAATTTAAAGGTTATCTGTGGCTATCATATAGTCAATACAATTCTTAAATCCTAAGCATAGGTTATTAAAGTTTTAATATATAATTAGATTTTTCCATGTAATAAATCTATAGGACACATCCCAATAAAGTGAGAAGCATAAATAGCATGCCATTTTCCCTAAATACCTAAATAAATTAATCTACAGTAAACTTAAAAACTAAAGCATCTTCTACATGTAGGCTGCCCTTATAAATACATAAATACATACATTTATAAATACATAAATAATGTATGCCACCATTATTTATGTCATAAATGATAATTATAAATCACCTGTGAGGGCACAATGACAAGTAGATTATGGATTTGAGAGTGACTGTCTTTCAAAATGTATGCAATTCCTTTGTGCTCCCAATTCCTAACTTTCCTGTATTCTAATTTCGATTATTCTGATATATAAAGAGAAGTGTGTGTGTGTGTGTGTGTGTGTGTGTGTGTTTTCCAGTCATTAAAAATCACCTTTTAGAAAACAGGTTGATATGGTTTGGCTGTGTCCCATCCAAATCTCATCTTGAATTCCCACGTGTTGTTGTGGGAGGGACCTGGTGAGAGGTAATTGAATCATGGGGGCAAGTCTTACCCATGCTATTCTCATGATAGTGAGTAAGTCTCAAGAGATTTAATGGTTCCATAAGGGGGAGTTTCCACACACAATCTTTCTCTTGGCCTGCCACTATCCATGTAGGACGGGTCTTGCTCCTCACCTTCTGCCATGATTGTGAGGCCTCCCCAGCTTTGTGGAACTCTAAGTCCATTTAAACTTTTTCCTCTCAGTCTCGAGTATATCTTTATCAGCAACATGAAAATGGACTAACATAGTAAATTGGTACAAGTAGAGTGGGGCATTGCTGAAAAGATACATGAAAATGTGGAAGTGACTTTGGAACTAGGTAACAGGCAGATATTGGAACAGTTTGGAGGGCTCAGAAGAAGACAGGAAAATGTGGGAAAGTTTGGAACTTCCTAAGAAATTTGTTGAATGGCTTTTACAAAAATGCTGATAGGGATATGAACAATATGTTCCATGCGGAGGTGGTCTCAGATGGAGATGAGGAACTTTTTGGGAACTATAGCAAAGGTGACTCTTGTTACATTTTAGCAAAGAGACTGGGCATTTTGCCCCTGTCCTTGAGATTTGTGGAACTTTGAACTGGAGAAGGATGACTTAGGTAACCTGGCGGAAAAATTTCTAAGAAGCAAAGCATTCAAGAGGTGACTTGGGTGCTGTTAAAGGCATTCAATTTTATAAGGGAAGCAGAGCATAAAAGTTTGGAAAGTTTGCAGCCTGACAATGTGATACTAAAGAAAATCCCATTTTCTAAGGAGAAATTAAAGCTGGTTGCATAAATTTGCATAAGCAACAGGGAGCTGAATGTTAATCAAGACAATGGGGAAAATGTCTCCAGGGCACTTCAGAGGTCTTCACAGCAGCCCCTGCCATTAAACACCTGGAGGCCTAGGAGGAAAAAGTGGTTTTGTGGGCCAGGCCCAGTGTCCCGGTACTGTGTGCAGCCTGGGGAGCTGGTGCCCTGTGTCCCAGCTGCTCCAGCTGTGATTGAAAGGGGCCAATGTAGAGCTCAGGCTGTGGCTTTGGAGGGTGTAAGCCCCAAGACATGCAGCTTGCATGTGGTGTTGAGCCTGCGAGTGTGTAGAAGTCAAGAATTGGCATTTGGAAACCTTCATCTAGATTTTAGAAAATGTATGGAAATGCCTAGATGCCCAGGCAGAAGTTTGCTGTAGGGGCGGGACCCTTATTGGGAACCTCTGCTAGGCAGTGCAAAAGGGAAATACGGGGTCAAAGCCCCTACACAGAGGCCCTATTGGGGCACCACCTAGTGGAGCTGTGAGAGGAGGGTCGCCATCCTCCAGACCCCAGAACGGTAGATCCACCAACAGTTGCACGTGCACCTGGAAAGCCACAGGCACTCATTGCCAGCCCATGAAAGCAGCTGGGAGGGAGGCTATACCCTGCAAAGCCACAGGGGCAGGGCTGCCAAAGACCATGGGAACCCACCTCTTGAATCATCATGACCTGGATGTGAGACATGGAGTCAGAGGAGATTATTTTGGAGCTTTCAGATTTGACTGTCCCACTGGATTTTGGACTTGCATGGGGTCTGTAGGCTCTTGTTTTGGTCAATTTCTCCCATTAGGAATGGCAGTATTTACCCAATGCCTGTACCCCCATTGTATCTAGGAAGTAACTAACTTGCTTTTGATTTTATAGGTTCATAGGCAGAAGGAACTTGCCTTGTCTCAGATGGACTTTGGACTGTGTACTTTTGGGTTAATGCTGAAATGAGTTAAGACATTGGGGGACTGTTGGGAAGGCATAATTGGTTTTGAAATGTGAGGACATGAGATTTGGGAGTGGCCATGGGCCAAATGATATGGTTTGGCTGTGTCCCCACCCACATCTCATCTTGAATTCCTATGAGTTGTGGGAGGGTTGGTGGGAGGTAATTGAATAATGGGGGGAGGTCTTTCCCATGCTGTTCTCGTGATAGTGAATAAGTCTCAAAAGATCTGATGGCTCTATAAGGGGGAGTTACTCTGCACAAGCTCTCTCTTGGCATGCTGCCATTGATATAGGACATGACTTGTTCCTCCTTGCATTCCACTCTGATTGTGGGCCTCCCAAGCCATGTGGAACTGTAAGTCCATTACCACTCATTACTTCCAGGCTTGAGTATGTCTTTATCAGCAGTGTGGAAACGGACTAATACACAGGGTTATTATATATATATATTTATGTTGTCACAAGTTCTAAGACAGAGATTTTTCATGTAGATAGTTATATAAATTGCAGAGTGAATACAATATAGACATTATGATTAAAATAAATTATATATAATGGAAGACAACACATTATTTAATATAAATTCTTAAAGACTGAGTAAACAAGATTTGGAAAAAGTTCCAAATTAATCTCAGCACTTATTAACTTTGCATCTTCTTCCTTCAAAATAAACTGTAGTCTTATAAGTTTACTTTTTTTTGTTACAAAAATTATTTCATGATGACTTAGTAATATTTAAAGTCAAATTGATTCCTTTAACTTCACTGAGATATGAGCTAGTTCCTAGAGAATTTATGTTATATGAACCATTCTTAGACTCAGTTTTCCTTTAAATCTAGAAGAAACAAGTGCTAGCAAGAGCTTAATATCCTTAATCCTGTGACATATTGGAAGAGCTTCTGCATCAGCAGCAAAGCATCAGCCCCAGAATATCTTTGGGTGATGATTGAGAGACGAGTTCCGAAATAGATTTAGGGACAGCTAGTGAAAGTAACCTCAGACCCAACAGACAATGGATAAGGGGCAAGTGTCTCCTTAACATTCCTTTTTATTGACCAAGATTATGTGTCTTCCTTGAACTGAATAATAATGGTGAATACTACATGATAAGCAGCCATGTAGAAAAATCTCTGTTTATACCGGAACTATAAAGCATATTACCAAATTTTGTTGTTTTCTTAGGTAAATATACAAAACACTAGTCATGTAGGCCTCATTTATTAGAAAAACGAGGCTAAAAGAGGCTGTCTTACATATGGCAATCATTCAGGCATTTTAGAACACTTTTGAACTGGAAGAGGAATTAAAGTAGAACAGAGTAATTAAAATGAACTAATGACTCAAATACCCAAAAGGCTTGACTTAATATCACAGAGCACACAAGGCGTAGGTAGAAATTTGTTCAATTTGTTTGCATCTTTGTGTGTTATATTGTGCAAATGAACATAGTTCGTAATCTCCTGTACTTGTTACTTATTCTCTGCTGTTATGGGCTGAATTGTATGCCCTAAAAATTTATACATTGAATGCATTGAAGCCCTCACCCCCAGTGCCTCAGAATAATGCTGCAATTGGAGATACAGTCTTTAAAGAGATGACTAAGGTTGAATGAGGTCATTAGTGATGGCACTAATATGACTGGTGCCTTTTGAGTTTGGTATCGTCATTGACATTCTTGTACCATCACCCATCTCTGCAAAACTGCATAATCCCCTGTAAATTAGGGTTCTCAGTACTTTAGGAAATTAGTGTTGTTACTAGAGTCATTTTTATTGTAATAACCCCTGTAGAACATTAAAAATACAATGGGAACAAAAATGGAAAAAATTGCATCATGCTGTTTATTATGAGATATTTACTACCTTCGTAGGTGAAAACCGGAGTCCTTTAGTTATTCATCACAATCTGGGGTTTCCAGTACCAATTAACTCTTTCACAAGACTTATAATCATTCCCTTTTTGTGGTTCAACCTCTGTTGTTTCTAGATTTCTAGATGTTTACATGATGATTTCTGGGAAAAAAAATCATTTCTAGAAAAAAGTGTTATATTATATTTCAACTATACTAATTTCATTTCCTTAGATTAGCAGAAATAATGTTAACTGTATCACAGTATTTCAATTAGGTAAATACAACAGATTATAAAGGTAATATAAAATGGCTAAAAGAACTAAAAACATTTCTCCCTAAGATGGAAAATTACTTGGAAATTTTAGACATACACGCTTTATTTGAAATTTGTAGCGTATCTACCCATATTAATTAAATATTCAATACATCTCTAATATTTTAGTAATAAATATATACTATATACTAATAATTAGATAAATGTCCAAAAAAAAAAAAAAACAAAAAACCTTGAGGACCATGAAGGGTCATAAAACACAATTGAATTGACAAAACACTTGGAAAAGACCCATGAAGAAAATAGGAACATCAAGTTAGTGTGATTTATGATGAGCTAGACAAACGGAGGAGATAATAAAGTTTAAAATAATCATGAGCTGGGTGTGGTGACTCATGCCTGTTATCCCAGAATTTAGGGAGGCTGAAGCAGGATGACTGATTGAACCTAGGAGTTTGACACTGGCCTGGGCAACATAGTGAGACCTTGTCTCCAAAAAATATTTGCAAAACATTTAGCTAGGCATAATGTCTTATACCTGTGGCCTTAGCTACTTCGGAGGCTGAAGTGGAAGGATCACATGGGCCTGGGAGGTTGAGACTGCAGTGAGCCATGATTGACTCCCTGCACTCCAGCCTGGACCACAGAGCAAGACTTTGTCTCTAATCATCATTATCATCATCATCATCATCACCATCATCATGAGATGTTCACATTTAAAACTGACAATGTAACTATTCTGGATTCTGAGTTATTAGATCAAACACATTTTAATGGAGAACCATGCCTTTGGATTAGATTTTAAAGACTGTATTTAGAACAGATTCTCCATTTCCCCTCACTATGGGAAAAAATACATATACCCTCAGCTTTTGATTAATCAATTCATTTGACAAATATTTAATAATTGAATATTTTAAAAGTGAAGACATTTTAGAGCTAAAACTACAAATAAATGATATCTCATAGACCCTACACTTGAGAGATGATTAAAATCCAGTAGGCCCTTTTCCTAGCTATCAGAGAGCAGAGGGAAGATGGTGTGACCACAATGAAAATAGATGTATTTTGGGGGAGGGTTACTGTGTTTATTCACTCAAACAATCTTTACAGAAATAAAATCTTTACAGAATAAAATAAAATTACACATAGGTAATATTTCAGAAATAATGTACATACATGTAAACAGCTTAGATGTAAGAGCATTGCCATATTTTGTTATGTTCATTTTTGGTCTGAATCTGCTGAACATTCTTTCTCAAAATTTAGTAATGGTTGGAAAAAATCAGTATTTTTGAAAATATTTTAGGAAATATCCCTATAATTTACTGCACAAACAATAATCTGTTCATGGTAGCATTTAACAAAAGATAGTATGTCTTTTTTTTTTTTTTCTTAGTGGAGCTTTTTTTTTTTAACTTTTCTAGTTAGGAATATAGCAATAACAAGAATTATTCCAACTAAATAAGTCATTTGTATTGTTCTACTCACTACTCACACTAAAATAGTTATATATTAAAAGCCATTCATCTTCGGTATGTTGTTTAAAGTATAAAAGGAATAGAACTGAGAGGATAAAAAAGCATTAAACACAGTAGTTCTTAAACTGAAATCTATGTCTCCAAATACTCAAATTGATATAACAGCATTTTTTGACATTAGGAAGCTTAGTTGAAGCCTCTCTGAATGTTTCTCCCACAGCTAATACTCACCCCAAAGAGCACTCTTTTCAATTGCCCTTTTTAAGTGCACCTATAAATCAACATTATGAGAAATGTCTTCCATGTATATGGAAGAGCACTGTGTATGAATGGTAAACAGTGATTTGAGGCCTTTCAGTTGACCTCAGACCTTTCCTACAAAGGCTGCCAAAGAAAGCAGTGTCTTTATTCACTATCTTAAGTGCAAAATTTTTGATTTACTTAGATGAGTTTTTTAAAGAGCAACAAACTCCTCAGATATATTTTGTTTTCCTATCTACCATATTTGATGTTTGCTGATAACTCAAGTTTTTATTAAAATTTAGAGATGTCTGTCCGTGTACCTTTTTAATAATTGAAAATTTGGAGGTTTATTATAAACAGATTACATCAAAGACTGGAAAGTCCTTTTTTAAAAAAAGAATCAATTTTGTTGAAATTGAATTCTGCCAGCAAAATGCAAGAGCAATCAACTAGTTTAATGGGGTTGTTACTGGCTTTATGCTTTACCCCAAGATGTCCTACTGTCTAGATTTTCAAACTGACTTTTTTTTTATTATACTTTAAGTTTTAGGGTACGTGTGCTTAAAGTCAAGAAAAACTATATGAAATTACAGTTTTATGGTCTGTTATCTGATTGGTCACATCAGAATAGGGAAGTCAGATTTGATTTATACTTACCCCTACTAAGAGTGCTTTTTAAAAAAAGTTAATAATAATAAGGAAACAACAAAAGATACTATTCTACTATTTCATGACTGGGTCTACTCAGCAGGAAGCAAAGTAATAATTTTTGTAATGCTTTAGAGATCTAGCCAAACTAATTCCAAACATACTGGATGTTAAGGCTTAATAAATCTGGTTTGATTTTTGTCATAAATAAAATTTGAATAAATATCTGTAAATGTTAATTTTGCTTCATGTTTGTTGATATGCAAAAGATTTAATTAATCTTTCACTTTTAATGAAAATCCATTTACTTGCTTGTCAATGTTAGCGCCAGAATACTAGATCATAGAAAATGTCTCAAAATTAATATTTTTATGCAATCTCAAAAGAAAGAGGCAAATACAATCTTAGATCAGCTTGAGGCTTGGGGGAGTCAATAATAATAAATACATTGGAAATATATGAATTTAAATTATATACAGGTAGTAATAAATTTAATATAATGCATGCATAAGTATATGAAAAAACACCATCAGATACTAATAATTAAAACTAAGAAATAGACATAAGTAGAGCAGTAATCTCAAAAAATAAAAGAAATCCTAAAAATTATATTACCAGGCAAGTTACCACATGGTCAACTAAAACTTACTCTTCTGGTATCTCTGGGATACAGTGAATCAAAACGTGCCTCAGAATTACCCACCTGAGGAACAAGGGAGCTGTGGTATTTATACACCAACTTTATCAGTTAGTGATTGAGGGCTCTTAGAGTGAACAGTAGGGCATTAATTTCCAGGCACTCCTCATCTGCTCAGATCCTAATCTGATCCTATCCTCAGAAAGAGCAAGATCTTTTACTCAGAGAAAGCTCAGGAAAACTGATGAAGGTACTGTCTGGAAAGAGAGGCAGGAGTGCGCTATAATGATGAGGGTTATAGGGCAAGGCACCAATAGCACTTGCTAAAAATGTGGAAAGTGTTTGTGTTCCAAGATAAAATATGCATACCAAAGAAAACCTCAGGAACAGTACCAGGCAAGCCCCTTCAAAAATGACATTTACATTATATGTGGAGATGCATGGAAATACACTGCAAATATATATGTATTTCCTAAATGAAGCCTCATCTATAGGCCTGGCATGAAACAAGAACTCGCTAGAATAATCAATGATTGAATTGTTGGGTATCCAGTTAATAGCAACATTGTACCTTACGTGCAGAAGATTTTGCATTTTGTAGAAACTGCTCTTATATATAAGAGCATTTTACTTTGAAACACAATAAGACATAAATATGACATTTATTGTTTCCCAGTAGTTATTTAATCTTTTCATCTGTAGGCAGAAATTTATGGAAGTCATCACTGAAACTTATAGACACACACACACACACACACACACACACACACACACACACACACACATTCCTTGGTACTCATTAGCACTAGTCTGACATTTAACCTTGGATTATCATACTAAATAAAACTAATTTGATGACATTCAAACTTTCATTGGCACATCTGTGTAACAAGGGTGTATTAAACATGAAGGCAATTTTTGTCCTACAGTAAGTCTCAGAGATTTTGCATAGGGCACTTGGAGGTGCTTGACTGTAATAAATATTTTGCAGATAATGTTGTCATGAATATGTTACCACAATTAGGATATGCTTCGATTTGGGAAAGTTCCTAGTAAAGAACGCCAACTAATTAGCACAAACTCTTGAGAAGTATTTTCTCTTGGCTTCTTAAAAAATTCCAAAGAAATATGATATTATGGTCTTCCTTTTACCTTTGCCAGTATTTAAAACCCTTTTATGTATGACTACTGTGTAGTAAAAACTGTTTATGCTGATCTAGAATTCAAATGTGTTTCCTCAAATTATTGAAGTAAAGTCGAATAGTGGTAGTCTCCATCAAATAAAGTGGTTTATAAATTTGAGTTTTATTATTGAACTGTACCAAGTATCTTACTTGCTTAAATTGATTGTTTAAAATTTGTTCACAAGAAATATTTCTCAAACATTCTATTCTGTCTTTATTATCCTGTATATGCAACCACACACTCATTATATGATGAAATAAAATAGATATATGCTCATAAACATGAGAAAGAGTAATGTATGTACTGTTGGTCTGTGATGGAAAAAGGGATTAAAATATCTTTATTCTCAATATTTTTTGTGATTTACTAAACCCTTCTATCTCTATGTCCTTTCACCCATCTAAAAACTTCCATGTCTGTAAAGATTCAGGTATGCTATATTGTAGGAGGGTTGTGATCTTACATTAATAGTCACTGTCAGCATTTGAATGTTATTTTAAATGTCAGTATTTTTAATAATAATTGCTTTAACAAGAATTTTGCTATAAAACAGACTCCACACAATTTTTAAATTGGACAAATGACTTTTATTGTTACTATCTAAAGCTAAGTCCTGAATTAGGGAATAACTTGTCATAGCCAATAATGTAATTTTAAAATGTTCACAAAGAAAGCAACTAAAGCATTTATAGGTTATTCTGCCAAAGAAAACTTTTTCTAGGTATTCTGTATTTTCTATTAAAAAGCACTGTTTCATATTATAATCTGCTTTTTTCCTATTACATATTAGAAAATCTCCATGCTCTATATTTCCTCGTTGTATGCTACATATTCAGTTGTGTACTTTAATGATTAAAATACCATAATTTCCATGTAAAATTAATATTATTTCTACCTTGACTTTGACACACTTTATTTTATACTGAGAGGTAACCAACACAGTAATGAGCCTAATTAATGTATCTGCATGGAGTTCAGGAGTGGTAGGTGAGGTGGTGACAGAAACGTACCAAAATCTCCCTTTGAACTTGTCTGAACATCTGAAACATTATGTAATCAGTAAGATTTGACATTTATTGTTTCCCAATAGTTATTTAGTTTATCTTTTCATCTATAGGCAGAAATTTATGAAAGTCATCACTGAAACTTATAGACACACACCCACACACACATAGAGACATACTCCAAAATTCCAACCCTGAGTCCTTCCTCACTGTAGCGCACCCTTCCTTTCTAGGGATCTGTTATTTTGGATCTATTTAATGAAAGATAGAAAGAAGTATCAATAAATGCATTCATATAGAAAAACATGTATTTAATATTTACATTATATAATGAAATTAAGAAACTACAAAGAATTGATAATATTTAATGCAAAAGAAGCACAGTCAGTGTATTTTTGTTATTGTAATAGGGTCGTTGAGTGCATACTGAAGGTGTGGCACTATTTTAGATAGCAATATTGTTAGGAATTACAGGGAAAAAGCAGCACTTCTTATTGGGGTGTAGTTTCATCTAAAGTTTGAGGTTTCTGCTTGTGTCAATCACTTAGCGAAGAGATGGTCCTTAGGTCTTTGAAATATTTGAGAATAGGTACATCAGTTCAAAAGTGAAAGAGACCTTTTGTGATCTTTTGATCTTGGTCTAAGAGTCCAGCACATGACTTGAGAGAGATACAAATGCCTGAAACCAGAAGCAGAGGGAAATGCTGACATAAAAGGTCAACAAGACCTGAGAATAAGCCAGGCCTTTTAATACAGATTATCTACCTTTGCACTTATCTGGGTTAGTTATCCTGTATGTTTAAGGTGTTTTTGAATAAACTAGCTTAGGTTTAGCACTTCCATGGCAAATAAATGATAATCAATGTGTCCTAGATTATTACAAAGAAAGTCATCCCTCTCTATCCCGAAGCCACTATAAAGTGAGGGTAGCAATAACCAACTAGTGGATCTCAAGGGAGAGACAATTTTAGACACAAAATGAATGTCCCAATAACCCAGCAGCTGATTTTATCCAGATATTGTCTTATTAGCGACAATCTTGAGAAATGTAAATTTTAACGTAATTAATAAAGTAACTTCAAGCCTATTTATACTGGTGGGCTGATTTTCCGGATGCCACTCAAATTTTTATATGTAGGCCTATTTAATTATGAGCATTGCTGCTGTAGCTGCTGCTACCATTACCACTACTGCTATGGCTGCTGCTGTGACTTTTACTTATTAATGCTGTGACTACTCTGAATACCATGACCTTGTAAATATACAACACATCATTATTTACTAAGTGCTTTTAAATCCATTGACAGCTCCACCGGTGTGCATCCTACAGCTTAGCAAGAGGTCCAAAGGAGGGCCTGGAGGGTCTGGCTTCCACAGTTCCTCTGACTCTTCCAGTGTAGTCTTAGCCCTACAACATGTACTAACTTCAGCATGGAGCAGAGTAATTGACTTTTGTAAGTCAGGCAAGCTCATGATAGTCTAACCCTCTCAGATCTGGGATCACTGGCAGAATGAGCATCTCTTGAAAAAGTTAGATAGCTGTTTACCTGTTCCTTGTGTGCTTTCAAATGATCTGGCTTGGACTGCAGCTTGCATTTCTCATGGCACATGCTGAAGGCCGTAGGAAGTAGATAATGCCAAATAATATGCTGACATGTTTATAGTCAGTTTGCAAAAGCCCTATCCTAGGAGTGAATTATTTTTAGACATACCAATAATAATTTAGGAAACTGTTCAATATTAATATGTGTAACCTGTAATATGGATTGCTATCTTCATATCTGGGATGAACAAATCTCATCCTGTGGCCTAGCAGTTTTCCTATTTCCAGATCCCACTTTCTAAATTAATTAGAACTATTTATGTTACAAGCAACAACAATCCAACTCAAATTCATGTATGTGAAAGACAGGGTTTGGGGCTCATAAAATCAATTTTGCTTGGAGCAAAGGTATCCAGGCATATGGTATAACCAGTATGACTTGTCTCAGAATTGGATCTTTGCTTGTTAGGTGTGCTGGTTTTATTCTGTTCTCTAGCTATCTCTGTGTACACATTGTGATGGATGGCCATCAACAGCTGTGGGATCATGTCTCCAGTTAAACCACTTGATACAAAAATGGGCTTCTACCTGACCCAGACCCATCATGGGCATATGTTTACCCTGGAGTAAGCACTAAATGCAAAGGCAATTGGTATTATGAGTGGCTAAGGTTACTTATTCCATTATTTTTTAAAGAAGGAAAATCATTTTTGACTGGAAACTCTAAGTAAAAATCTCATGTTTGGAAGGAGGTTCAAATTGTTTTATAGTGAGAAGAGAGGGAGAGATGTTGTTCTTCCCAGAGAGAAGGAGGAGGGCTAGACAAAGGGAGCAAATAAAGTTTATTTTATGAAAAATTATATGTACATATAGTCATATTCAAATGCAATACTGCTATTCAAACACTTTACACCTGTGGGTAATTTGTAATTTATCTCTGTGTCTTCAAAGTGAGTCATGACCGGGATACACTAAATACAATGCCATTCTTTAATATGTGCTGAATTTCATGGTTTTTCTGGACATTTTCTTCAATCTGTAAATATTAGCAAAACTGAAAGTATGGTGGAAAATAAAGTGGAATGGGGTAAAGATTGACTTTATTTTTTTCCTTTTACCTTTCATTAGCACAGTATAATTTAGTATGTTAGTATTTTTACATTTCAGCTTAAGGTAAAATATTGATTGAACACAATCCTTTCTCTTCTATATACTCACCAAAATTTAACTTCTAATGCTCATCTAGTGAATTATAAGTCCCCTTAGACTCAAAGAAATGTGTTTTAGTATTATACTAAATAAATATAAGAAATAGAAGTTGTTGGCCGGGCTTGGTGGCTCACGCCTGTAATCCCAGCACTTTGGGAGGCCAAGGCGGGCAGATCACTAGGTTAAGAGATCGAGACCATTCTGGCCAACATGGTGAAACCCCGTCTCTACTAAAAGTACAAAAATTAGCTGGGCGTGGTCGTGCTCTCCTGTAGTCCCAGCTACTCGGGAGGCTGAGGCAGGAGAATTGCTTGAACCTGGGAGGCAGAGGTTGCAGTGAGCTGAGATTGCACCACTGCACTCCAGCCTGGTGACAGAGTGAGACTCTGTCTCAAAAAAAAAAAAAAAGAAAGAAATAGAAGTTGTTTTGAATAGACATTGAATATGCGTAACACACACACACACACACACACACAGACATACACACATTCCTTGGTACTCATTAGTACTATTCTGACATTTAACCTTGGATTGTCATACTAAATAAAACTAATTTGATGACATTCAAACTTTCATTGGCACATCGTGTAACAAGGGTATATTAAACATGAAGGCAGTTTTTGTCCTACAGTAAGTCTCAGAGATTTTGAATAGAACACTTGGAGGTACTTGACTGCAATACATATTTTGTTGCAGAGAAGTTGTTTTATCATCTATTAACAGATTAAACAAATGTAATTGTCACTAGAACTTTCTTGCCTGCCATATCATATAGGGAAAATAGTTTGAAAGCTAAGGTTTACATTATCTGTTTTGATCTACACTAGCCAATATAAAAATGTAATTGGCCTTTGTAACACTTTCTTTTTTTGTCCATTTTCTCACCTATAAAATTTATGATAGTGACCAAATGCATAATAACTCTGATCTTGATTTAATGATCCAGCAAGCCAATGATGAACTTTAACAATGTATGTGTGTTTAAATGAGTGATTGAAGCCTGCCTAAACCAACACCATCTGATGGGGGACACCGACTTGGAATAAAAGCCTTAAAAGTTGTCATGTGGGCTGGGCACGGTGGCTCATGCCTGTAATCTTAGCACTTGCAGGCTTAGTTCAAGACCAGCCTGGCCAACATGGTGAAATCCCATCTCTACTAAAAAATACAAAAAATTAGCCGAGTGCAGTGGCATGTGCCTACAATTCCAGCTACTCGGGAGGCTGAGGCAGGAGAATCGCTTAAACCCGGGAAGTGGAGGTTGCAGTGAGCCGAGATCGAGCCACTGCACTCTAGCCAGGACTACAGAGCAAGACTTCATCTCAAAAAAATTGAAAAAACAAGTTGTAATGTGTAGAGGTAAGATTGTGGGCAACTGCTACGAATTTTGAAAATACACACACACACACCACGTTTTAGAGGCGAACATAGGAGAAAAATTATAAATGTGTTTGCTATATCTAGATGCAACATACTCTGTTTTGGTTAGATTCTTTTTTTGCATGTTAATATGTTATATCTTGCATATTTGTTTCTTTGAAGACTTCAATTTGGGGTTGTTAACTTTTATTTTTAGCAGTCACTAAAATGCTTTAGATATGTGAAGTAGACAGGATCGTGTTGCTAAGGTAGAAAACTCATTTTCTTTTATTAGAAACTATTATCCTCAATGAAAAGGGAAAGTTGCTGAAAATCATTGAAATATATTTGACACATTCTATTAAAGTATAAAATAGATATATAAAAATGCACACACCACAATTGTGCAGTTTAATTAATCACTACAAAATGATCACATACATGTAACCACAGTTCAAGTTAAGACAGAAAGCATCAGCAGGCCAGGAGAACTCTTGTGTCCCCTCTTTGTTAATATATTTATCTTCCTCCCTGAAGGGAAAATCTATACTAATTTCTGGAAGATAGTTTCACTTTTCCTGTTACTTCTCAAATATAAAATAATACAGTATAAATCCTTTTTAGTCTGATTTATTGAATTTGCATTACTTTTGACATACATTTATATCATGTGATATAGTACATTCTGCTTAATTGCCATATATTTTATATGATATACATATGTTTATATATTCATTCAACTGGTTATATACATTATTGTTGTTTCTAGTTTTGTTGATTTTGAATAATGCTGTTATAAACAACTTTATAAATAATTTATAATATTTATATGTACATACTTTGGCTATATAAATTGGAGTTGAACTACTAGTTCATAGAGTAAATATAAGTTTATGTTGTAGTGAACACTGTCAAAACATTTTCCAAAGTGGTTGTAATAATTTAAATATATCATGCTACCCCATCAGTGTATGAGTTTCAATTGCTTGAAATCATAGCTTCAATTTGATGTTGTCACTGTAAAAAACAACAACAACAACAAACTTAGCTACTCTGCTCTTAGTATAGTGATATTGAATTGTGGTTTTAACCAGCATTCTACTAATCACAAATGTTGAGCACCTTATCATATTTTTATCCTCTATTGGAATGCTCATTTTATGAAATTCTTATTTCGTCCTGAACATTTTTTATTTCGTTTTCATTCTCCTTCTGAATGATTTATAAGAGGCATTTACATATTCTAGATACAAATATTTTATTGGTTATTTGTAGAATGACAACAATTTATTGATTAAGTGATGAATGTTTGAGAATGATAGGAAGTGATATAGTTGGATCTGCCCTCCAAATCTCATGTTGAGATGTAATCGCCAGTGTTGGAGGTAGGCCTGGTTACAGGTGTTTAGGTTATGAGGCAGATCCCACATGTTTTGGTGATAGTGAGTTCTCCTGAGATCTGGTTGTTAAACTGTGTGGCACCTTCTCTCCACTGATTCTTTTGCTCATGCTCTTGCCATGTGACATGCCAGTTCACCTTCTGCCATGTAAAAAATCTCCCTGAGGCCTCTCCACAAGCCCAGCAGATGCCTGAACCATGCTTCCTGTAGAGACTGCAGAACTGTGAGCCAATTTAACCTCTTTTCTAAGTTACCCAGTCTCAGTTATTTCTGGGTTTTTTTGTTTGTTTGTTTGTTTTTGTTTTTTTTGAGACAAAGTCTTGCTCTATCACCCAGGCTGGAGTGCAGTGCCATGTTCTCAGCTCACTGCAACCTCTGCCTCCTGGGCTCAAGTGATTCTCCTGCCTCAGCCTCCCAAATAGCTGGGATTAGAGGCGTGGGCCACCACACTCAGCTAATTTTTGTATTTTTGGTAGAGATGGGTTTCACCATGTTGGCCGGGCTGGTCTCAAACCCCTGACCTCAGGTGATCCACCCACCTCGACTTCCCAAATTGCTGGGATTACAGGCGTTAGCTACCGCACCTGGCCAGGTATTTCTTTATAACAATGCAAGAAGGGCCTAACAGAGAAGGCTTTATTTATAATTACACCAAGAAAATTGGCAAAACTCAGACTTAACCAAATAAAACTAGAATGTATGATGATCCAAGTTATATGTATATCAAATATATGGAAATACATATTTAAATATAGAATTACATATTTCTTTCAGTGGCTTACTATTTTCCAATTATTAAAATTGTCTTTTAAAGAATAGAAGCCCTTAAATTTTATGTAGTCCAACATTTTTTGTGTGTGTTCTTTGCTTTTAATCAACTCTATTACAAAACTCTTTATTCTGTTGGTCTGTTTTTCTACCCATCCACACAGTCTTAATTACTGAAACCACAGTAGGTTGTAAAATCCAGTAGTGTAGTTCCTTCAACATTTTCTTATTTTCCATGATTGGCTATTTTGGGCCTTTTGCATGCTTCTATACTTTTAGATTCAGTTTGCCAATTTTCATAATAAACCTGCTGGAATTTTCATTGATTTGGTTCACATGTTTATTTCAGAGAGACTTCCAATCAATAAGCATAATGTATCCCCTATTTTAAAAAACTTAATTTTCTTTCAGTAATGTTTTATAATTTCTCTGTATGCAGTTCTTGCACAACTTTCACATGACTCATTTTTAGGCATATGATTATTTTTACATAGGTATAAGTGATATTTTTAGAATTTTAAGTTATTTTTAATGTTCTACATATAATGATATTTCTTTTGTGAATAAAAATAGTTTCATTTGCCCCTTTTCAGTCATTTTATACTTGTTTCTTCTTTCTATTCTCTTAAAAATATAGTACAAGTTTGATTGAAAGTAGTAATATACATTTTTTTCTCATTTCTATTGTCTGGGAGAAAGGTCTCAATATTTTAGTTTTAAGAATGATGTTTCTTAAGGTTTTTACAATGCTATATTTCCTAAGTTTAAGGAAGCTCATTCCATCTCCAATTAGCTAAGACTTTTTAAATATTAAATTTATCAATTACTTTTTATATATTGCATTGGTGCAAAAGTAATTGTGGTTTTTGCATTGTTGGAATTTGCTGTTTGATATTGTAATACATTCTTAAATGTGGTTATATTATACATTATCTTAATGTGCATTTCTCGCTCTACGTTTTTTTGCTAACGACTTGTTACTTGCTGTTTATTTCATATTTATTTTAGACTACGGAAATGATGTTAGGCAAAAAGCAAATTCAAGCAATTTTCTTATTCAAGTTCAAAATGAGTCATAAAGCAGCAGCAATAACTCGCTACATCAATAATGCATTTGGCCCAGGAACTGCAAACGAATGTACAGTGCAGTGGTGGTTTAAGAAGTTTTGAAAAGGAAATGAGAGTCTTGAAAATGAGTAGCATGGTGGCCAGATATTGGAAGTTGACAATGGCCAATTGAGAGCAATCATTGAAGGTGATCCTCCTACAACACAAGAAGTTGTGGAAGAGCTAAATGTTGACCATTCTACAGTCATTCGGCATTTGAAGCAAATTGGAAAGGTGAAAAAGCTCGATAAGTAGGTGCCTCATGAGCTGAGTGAAAATCAAAAAGAATTGTTTTGAAGTGTCATCTTCTCATTCTACCCAACAACAACGAACCATTTCTCAACTGGATTGTCTCATGTGACAAAAAGTTGATTTTATACAAGTGGTGATGACTAGCTTAGTGGCTGGACCAAGAAGAGGTTCCAAAGCATTTCCCAAAGCCAAATTTGTCTCAAAAAAAAAAAAAAAAAAAAAAAAAAAAGGTCATGGTCACTGTTTGGTGGTCTACTGCCTACTGCCAGTCTGATCCACTACAGCCTTCCAAATTCTGGTGAAACCATTACATCTGAGAAGTATGCTCAGCAAATCGATGAGATGCATCAAAAACTGCAATGCCTGCAGCCGGCATTGGTCAACAGTTAGGGCCCAATTCTTCTCCACAACAATGCCCGACCACACGGTGCACAAACAGTGCTTCAAAAGTTGAACAAATTGGGCTACCAAGTTTTGTCTCATCTGCCATATTCACCTCACCTCTCGTCAACCGACTACCCCTTGTCCAAGCATCTGGGCAACTTTTTGCAGGGAAAATGCTTGCACAATCAGCAGGATGCAGAAAATGCTTTCCAAGAGTTTGTCAAATTCTGAATCATGGATTTTTATGCTACAGGAACAAACAAACTTATTTCTCATTGGCAAAATGTGTTGATTGTAATGGTTCCCCTTTTGATTAATAAAGATGTGCTTGAGACTAGTTTGATTTAAAATTTATGGTCCAAAACCTCAATTATTTTTGTGCCACAATTTAGATGTCCCAATTTTTTCATTAATTCTGTTATTGTGGTGCTAATTAAGAATGAAATTTTCAATTATTAAGTCAACTTTGTATTATTAAAATAAATCCAAACTGATCATGGTGTTTTTTTCTATTTATATATTGCTGGATTCATTTTCCTGATACTTTATTAGGATTGATACTTTATTGTCTTTTGTGAGATTTTCCTGCAATTTTACTACAAGTTAGTAAATTTTGCAACAAATGGAGTAATTATACCACAACATAGGGTTTGGTGTTGGTATCAGGGTTATGAGAACCTTATAAAAAGTGTTGGAAAATCTTTTTTTGATCTGTTTTGTTAAAGAAAATCAGAGCCTGACAGTAGTTAAGGTGGTAAAATCAGATTTTATCCAGGAACTATAACAATATAGAAAAATAGACCTCCGTATAGTACTGGGTTCAATTCTGGATATAGCAAGAACAAGTAGGGATTTACAGCCCAAGGGTGGGATGCGGGGAGGGTCAGTGGATCTGAAGCTACTAAGAGAAAACATCAACTGTAGGGAGAATTTTTTGCTAAACTGACCTAACAGGATTCTTGCTGAAGGCAGGCCAGAGTTTTCAGATATTAATGGTGGAGGATGAGAAACTTGATCCGAAATCCAGAATGATCAAGTATCAAGGGTGGTGTATTTTTTTCTAAGCTGTTGTGGCAGGACAGAAATCTTGCTAAACCGGGACTGTGCAGGCCCAGCAAGAACGGGGACCACTGTCAAGGTCTAGTTGAGACAAAGGCTGAGAGGGGCCTGACTAAAGTTTGGTTAAGTAGTCTATCAGTTCCTCTGAAATAATTTAGATAATGTAATTGTTATTATTATGATGTGCTGGCTATTACTCCCATACCCTAGCCTTGAAATATTGTTTCTGGGAAGGTTTTAATTAGAGATTTATTTAATAGAATTTTACAAATCAGAATTTCTTATTTTTCTTATTTTGGTTTTAAAAAGTTGGTGCTTTTCAACATTTTAAAATTTTATCTACATTGTTCATTATGTTGACATAAAATGTTAATGCATTCATCTGGCATATTTTATGCCTAGTTAATTTTTACTGAATGCTGGTCTTTGGTTACTAATTAGTATAGAGCTGCTTTGAGCTCTGGCTGAGGCTGTTTACATTCATAGAGTATTTATTTAGTAGGTAGCAAGTAGTTAGGGTAGGATAAAATCATTTCATCCAATCAAATATTGAGCTGAAACAATGTTGGTTGTCTACTTTTTTAAGACCTTGCTTATGCACCATCTAACCTTGGTTCTTGCTGGCAGCTCTGTATGGTCCCACTGGAAAGCATGCAATGATTACCTGTGCCCTGCTCATTAGTGGGACTTGAATTCCCTAATTGTATGAGATTGCCAAGAGTGATGTTATCTTCTCAACCTTTCGGTGCCCCTTAAAGAAGCAGTAAACATCTCACGTGGAAAAGCGGTTCAATGTATTTAATTGATATTCTGGACTCCTCTTCCCTCAGGAATGTTGGCCTACAAGTATCCATTGCCTTGGTAGCTCCTGATTTATTCAAATGCACGAGAATGACATTGCCCTCAATTTTGACTATTCAGAAACTGTAGAACAAGCTGACAATGGAAATACAGCAATAGAGATGCTTAGGCAAATCCAATACAGGTGATATTCTTTATTTTGTCTTCAGTGTTGTACCTAGGTATGATACATCCTTTCAAACCGTAAAGAAGAAACAGATTAAGTAAGATATCAATTTCTAAGTTTGTTACAGGGCATGTGTAGTGAGATTTTTCTAATCAGATTATAATTTAACTTCAGAGTGTCTGAATTTATACAACATTAATTTATTAGTAAAAGATATTAAAGACACATTAGAGTTAATGTAGAGTACTGAAAAATTTCTAGGAATTTAGTTATTATTGTAACATTATAATAACAAAGAAGAGACCAAAGAAAGTTTTTTGCTCATATATTCATAATTCAAAATGTTGTCCAATAGAGCTTGTGAAGAGCTTTAATTAAAAGAAATATATAATTTCCAGAAAAAAGGTCAAATATGTGTTAAGGAAAAAAGACGTAATAGATAAGCTTTTAAAATGTGATGGTATTTTAGGCAACATAAATAAGGGTGGAGTTTTCCCTAAATTAAAAAAAATCTTCTAATTTTAAAATATTTTAAGAATATGAAAAAGGGTGATTACGGAAATAAGAAATAAATTATAAAATATAAAATAAAGTTTTATTATCGGCATCGATAACTAGTTAAAATCTCAGCTCATTTACCAGATAGATAACATTGGACAAACCACTTAATCTCTTGGAATTTCAATTTACTAATCTTTAAAATAGGTCTAATAGCACTGATTTCATGTTACTTCTATAATCTTAGATGTGATCATACATAATAGCAGCATGTGCATTCAGATCTTGGTATATATTAGTGGCTTGACACTTGTTTGTTGATGATAACATATTTAGTGTACATAGTAACATTAACCCAATGCACAGATTATTAATAATATTAAAATCGGTTTGTTGAATCAAAGCAATGTAAATTTTTGCATAATTTCTACAACATATGTAGGAGCATGTGAAGGAAGGATTGGCAAGAGGAGGAGTTGAGCTCTGTGACATTTCCACAAGAGAGTTCAGCCAACCCTACAGAGTGTAACTGAGATAAAGGAGTCAGGCCTTTGCACTCCACATCAACCATTATTGATTATGAACAGCACTCAGCGAAGGGCCAGGGCCTCGGGCAGTAAAGTTCTCTCTGGTGAAAGGCAGCTACTGGATAGAGACTCAGTCAGCCAAGGATTATCAACAGCCACCCAAATCCCAGTAGTGGTCAAAATGAGTGCTGGGACAGTTAACATTAGGTGTCAACTTGACTGGATTGAGGGACACCTAGATGACAGGTGAAGTATTGTTTCTGGAGGTATCTGTGAGGATGTTGCTGGAGGAGCTTGAAATTTGAGTCAGTGGACTGGGTGAGGAAAACCAACTCTCATTGTGGGTGGGCATCATCCAGTCAGGCTGCCAGCATGGTTAGAACAAAGCAGGTGGAATGAGGTAAGATAAGTTTGCTTGTTTTCTGGCTTTTTTTTTTTCTTGTGCCAGACACTTGCTTCTTCTCCTCCTGCCCCTGGACATCAAACTCAAGGTTCTCCAGCCTTTGGACTCTGGGACTTGCACCAGTGGTCTCCCGGAGGATCTCGAGTCCTTGGCCGCAGACTGAAGCCTGCACAATTGACTTCCCTGGTTTTGTGGCTTTAAGACTTGGACTGAGCCACTGCCAGATTCTCTCCTTCCCCACCTTGCAGACGGCTTTTTATGAAACTTCGATTTGTAATCCTGTGAGCCAATTATCCCTAATAAATCTCCTTTTATATCTACATATATCTTATTGGTTCTATTTCTCTGGAGAACCCTGACTAAAATAAATCCTTTAATCCAAATCAAATAGGAACTTATTGACATTGTAGCTCTCTCTCTCTCCCTTTCTTTCTCTCTCTCTCTATGTATATAATATATATAAATTTTACAATTAAACATGCTAAGTATGCTTTGTAAATAAGCTTGAACTAATTTATGATGGTAAACCTTTAATTTAGTGGATTTTGATCTAAGTTTATTTTTACAATAAGAGCAAATGAGAGTATAAACTAATAATACGTTCACTAGATAGGCAAACCTCATATTTTTAATACCGAATTCATAAAATTGTAAAGCATCTCAATTCCTGTAGAGAAAATTATTCCTCTGGCAACACAGAAAACAAGCCATTCTGAAGGTTCCAATAATATCAGGCATTCAGCCAGATTTCAACAAAAACATACATTTCTATAAAACTATTTGACACATTCTTTGAGAAGGCTTTTCTTATCTGTTTGAAATTCACACCTATTCACATACATATCAAGATCATAATAAACATTTTCTCTGAAGACAAAGAATGTAGGGCAGAATTCAGAGAGTGAAATTCCTCCCAAGACATTAAGTAAAAAAATATAAACTATTAAGTTTCATTTTACTCTGAAGAATAAATAATTTGTAAGATAAAGAAATACTCATGTGCTTATTATTTTATAAAGTACACATTTTATGTATTTTGAAAATAATTGGACTTTTTAAAAAGAATTTTCTATTTTTACACTGGAAACACAAATATTGTAGAATTTATATTCAAAGCTGAAATTCTTAGATATACAAACATAGGTTGTTTAGAAATTCCTTATCTCATATAATCCTTGTGTAGAAATGTGACCCTTAACATTTGGAGACCTTTCATCTGTGGTGAATCTCAGATTGCTTCTCAAAGGGTGTGAAAAGTATTTCTCGAACAGTATTTCTAACAGGGGATGAAATGTCTGTTGAAACAGAAACTGTAGAAAAACATTTGATATAGCGATGATATATCTATGGCTATAACAAACAAATCAGGTCACTAGTAAGTAGAACTAGAAAAGAGTCTGATTCCTTAATATAGATTTGTATTCTTTTGTTCTGAATAATAAAATATGTCCACAATTAGGTACAGAAAGAAAGGGGGTGGGGAGGGAGAGAGAAAGAAGGAGAGAGAAAGGAGAGAGCAAGAAGAAACACAAATGAGATAAAATCTCAGAGTAGCCACTTAAGAATCTTGTAAATATATGTATGAATTTGAAATCTCAGGTAATTATATATGGATTCCACAACTATTATGTATCTTATTACTTGTCTTGGACAATTTATTGATATTGATATTGTTCAATTTTATTTGGGTAACTGAGAATAGTAAATTATATTTTTACACAAACATTATGCAAACAGAAATATGTTATTCCATGTAAAATCCTTTTTCCAAGAATGACTTTATGAATACATGTATTATAAATTATTATTAATATTATTAATGCAAGTATATAGTATCATATTTTAAGAGAGAGATGCTTACAACTGAGGACTGAATTAGATGAATACCATTTATAATTCAATTACTAATTTGAAACAATGAAATATACTCAAAGGAAAATCAGCAATACTGAATTTATTTAGACAAATTGGTTTCTAAACCTCTTCATCCAGCTGTATGAGATTTGTAATTTTTTTAGGGACCTGTTGCTTAACATATCAACCATTCTTCAGCAATTCCTTGGATTCAGAGACTTACCTAATATTCTATATGTATTGCTGGAATATCTGGAAAAAATGTTTACCTCTATTGGATTTTGTACTTCATTCTCAAATCTTAACAATATGAGTTACATATTAATTTAATCAACATATTATAATTCAATTAAAGTTAATAAATATAGTAAGAGGAGCTCAAATTCAAGAAAACTCATTTGTTTCAGTAAGTTTAGCACACAATTTACTCAGTCTTGGGTACTAGGATAAACACTGTAAATTAGATGATGAAGGAAATAACCAAAACTACTGACACAGGTTTCTTTCAGTGCACCTTCAACCAGCCAGAAATCTCCACAGCCAGCATGGCCTCTGCCTGGGCCTCACTTGGCTCTGGGCTTGCCATTTGGCTCGCTCTACCCTCTTGGCCCAGTGAGCTGCACTCCTTTTATGCCCCAGTCCGGATCCCATGCTCACCATGGGATCTGTGCTCAGCCTGCAACTGGGTTGAGTGTGCCACCACCTGCTTCCACCTTGGGATACAGCATCACCCCAAAAGTCAGAGATGCCAGCAACTGCAGAGCCCCAAGGGGTATTATGGCTCTTGCATGGGGAATCACAAGTTCTGAGCCTCCAAGAACTGTTACAGCTCTCTCTCCTTCCCGTGGCCTGCAGCATGGCAAATGGGAGCATGTTACAGCTTTGGCTTGGAGAGTCCCAATGTCTGGACCCCCAGAAGAGTAGCAACTTTTTCATTCCCACTACCCACAGCTAAGTAAGGTGGCCCAGATCGTGTTACAGCCCTTTTTGCTCCTGCCTTTGGCAAGTTCCCAGTTCTTGTCCTGCGACCAAGAAAAATGAGGTTACACAGACACCTAAGAGTGAGCAAGGCTGGGAAGAATTTTACTGAGCAAAAGAAAAGCTCTCAACAGTCAGAGGGGATCCAAAGTAGGTAGTCTTCTATGTGAGAGGGGGACCAAAAGCAGACAGCCCAGTGTGTAGCTGAGTCTGAGGTTTTTATGGGCTCAGAATATAGACTGCATGCTGATTGGTCCATGGACAGGACTGGAAAAATGCCATGTGATTGACTAAAAGGCATCAAGGAAGTTCTCACTCTGGTCATGCACTCTACCGGAAACTGACAGCTCACTATTCAGGCTTCAAACTGTCTTTGGTTTTAAGTTTGGGTTTCACCGGGGACCCATGCCTATTTGCCTAGGAATTTATCTGCCCCCTGATTCTATCACTACTTTATGAAAATCAGAAGCTAATGGAGGAGTCATGGGTGGTTAAGGTGGTGGTGGGGGTGGTGGTGATGGAGTGGGCAAAGATGTACTTTGCTATGTTAATAAAGATGCATACAAGGGTGAGAGAGTGCAAGGAGGAGAGTACATAATTCTACAGAGTGAGCAACAACATTAAAATGGAAAAAAAGTCAAAGGAAAGGATGGCAACTTAATTAAAACTTAAAAAGTGTTAAGAGCCACTTACCAGATAAAAGTGAATAAATATTCACATTTTCTCTTGCAATTATAAAATTGGATATTAAAATGGCATTGTTTGTTATGGAGAATGGTCTGAATAAAGAAATGAACAAATAAAATTGTATTGTTTCCATGAATAAACTATGTTTAAGCTTAAATTATATTTCTGACTGTTTAAAAAAGTCTTTAGGCTTTAAGCTTCATTTAAATGGGTCATACTGATACATTATAAAATGATATTAATAGAAACACATACAAAATACTCATCCCAGTATATACCTTTTCTACTTTCAAGAATGCAAATCATATTACAGCTTGCATATGTTCAATTCTGCTTCTAACTCCAAAGATAAGCACGTAACCCTTTTAATCTACAGGAAATATGGAAGTTAACATACAAATCTTTGAAATGACAATTTTTATAGGTATTCAAAACAGATTATATCTATCAATTATCCAATCAAAAATCCTCTCAGTAGTATATTTACAGCAAAAGAAGTTTTTAAGCCAAATATATGTCATGTCCTTTTTAGCCATGACATTCTAGAATATTTATTAATTTACTTTTCAGTTTAATAAACACCTTTCTAAGTATTGAGCTAAACCTTAGTTAAGTAACTGTATGTGTGTTATAAAATATGTATATAATAATATATGTAATTAGATATGATTTGTTTTAGATACAAAATGTAGATACAATTCTTTTTTTTTTTTTTTTTTTGAGACAGAATCTCGCTCTGCCACCCAGGCTGGAGTGCAGTGGCGTGATCTTGGCTCACTGCAACCTGCTCCTCCCAGGTTCAAGCGATTCTCCTGCCTCAGCCTCCCGAGTAGCTGGGATTACAGTTGCCCGCCACCACACCCAGCTAATTTTTTGTATTTTTAGTAGAGACGGGGTTTCATCATGTTGACCAGGCTGGTCTCGAACTCCCAAACTCGTGATTCGCCCACCTCAGCTTCCCAAAGTGCTAGGATTACAGGTGTGAGCCACAGGCTTTCATAAATGTATACTACAGACATTTATATAATTGCTATGAAAAGTAATAAATTGAAATGGAGGCTTGTAATGTATTTTGAGGTTTTAAAAAGTATTCCTGTGGAGATTTAGGAAGGCTTCACAGAGATCAACTGTAAAATGATTCTTCTTAACCTCAAAGAATTACAATTTTTCTTAGATGAAATCCAAATGGAAAGGATTATTGTAAGAAAGTATTTGAAGAAACATGTTGCGAAGTGGGTATAAATACATCATGAATAGAACCTGGAGTCAGACTAGGTCTTTGGTGTAAAAAAAGAAGCCCAGTGAGTTGGAAGTGACCCAGTGGTTTCTATGGGAGGGAGTTATGCAGCTTTCTGTTTACAATCAAAGTCTGTGGAGTCAGGTTGTCTGTCACAATTTACTTTTGAGCCTTTGACAAGTAGCTTAAACTTCCTAAGCTCATCACCTGAAAAATTGCAATTACTATAAATAATAGCTACAATTTACTTTGTTACACTGTACCTGAGATTATTCTATGCTTTCCTATTCAATTCTCATTGAATTTAATCCTTATTTAATTCTCACAACACTTTATGAATATTTTTCCCTAATAAGAAAACTAGCACTTAGAAAGTTTAAGTAATTTCCCAAAGTCAGACAAGTTAATAAGATTTTAGGTCAATTTCCTTCAGTTTTGTTATTAAATGCAATAATGTATAAGAGAAGCAAAAACTTATATAAAAATATAAAAAGTAATTTGCAAAATTTTATGAAGTTACCTATCTGCTTAAATAAAAAGGGAATCCTAGTTTGGTAATATTTTTATGGTAATCATTTAATGTATGCCATTAGATATTTTCATTATATAACTGCTTTTAAACCAAAATGAAGTATAGAGTATTTTTACTGTTCTAAAAATTATTTTTTCTCTGTCTATTCATCTTATTCTTCTCCTTAAGTTTTGCCAGTTAAAGTATGTAAAAAACTAACAATAATGAGTGAACAGATGAGGCATCTCATCAGAAATGGACCCAATGGATTGGAATTATTTCTAATTTCAAAAATATTTTAGCATATTTTTGACAGTTAAGAGGTTATGTAGTCATGTAATTAGTATAGAAATACTACAAAACACCAATTTTTATGGCAAAGTATTTTACCAATAACAGGAATGAGGCCAGGATGAGGCTTTACCACATCTATTAGACATTGAAGTGGAGGCCTCAGCTAGTTCAAAAACACCAGAAATCAGAAATAAAACATAGAAATGTGATAAGGAAAAAACCCAGTAATATTTGCAAATGAACTAATTATGTGAGTAGAAAAATTAGAAAATTTCTGAATACATTTAGATCATTAGACACAAAATAAATATACAACAGTTTTATTACCTTTCACTACCAAAGGGCAGTTTGAAATAAAATCTTGAAAGTGAAACCATTTAATAGGAAGTAAACATGCCTAGAAATAAATCTAAATAAGAGATATGTGAGACTAGCACAAATAAAATATAACACATATTATTGAATGAAATTAAAGAAAACTTACATAGAAATAAAATATTTTACCATGTTCATGGAGTAGATTGAACACTAAAGATACAATTTATCCCCAAATTCACCTATAAATTCAATGATTCAATGCAAACCTAGTTGATATCATAAACGACTTTTTAGAATTTGTCATGCTACTTCTAAAATTTACATAAAAATGCAATGGACCAAGAATAGTAAATAAAATATTGTAAAAGCTGGAGGACTGAAACTACATAAAAAGCAAAATTTATTATAAAGCTACAGTGAGGAAGATGCTGGGGTATTGGCAGCAATAGAAAACCAGATCAATGAAACAGAATGATGTGTCCAGCAACAGACCTACACACACACACACACACACACACACACACACACGCACACAAATACACACATATATACACATACACACTTGACAACTGTAGCACTGTAAAGCAAAGAGAATGAACAGTGTTTCTAATAATTAATCTAGGTCAACTATATGTTTATATGGAAGAAAACATATATTTTGACCTCCATTCTATGCAAATATCAAGCCCAGGTAAATTTCAGGACTAATATGAAATTAAGAACAATAGATTTTCCAAATGGTGACACTGGGAGCTCTTTCTGTGAAACTGTGATAGGCAAATAATATAAAAACATAAAAAATATATCAGGAGAAAAGAGATGGATACCTTTGTCTATATTAAAGCTTGGAACTTCTTAATAAGAGACTTAACAGTTAAGCCATAAAGTGATGAAAATATTTATAATACAGTACTTATAAACTGCCTAGTCACTAATAAACTAAGCACATTTTAGTATATTTAGCCACCAGTTGAAGATGTTCCTTTGTGAAATGTCATTTCAAGGTTTTTTTTTTTTTTTTGGCCCATTATTTGACAAAGTTGTTTATCTTTTTTGTATTATTTTGTAAAGTTTTTTTTTTAAAGATCAAAGATACCAACGTTTGCAAATTGTGTGTAATTTGGTCATATAGTTACTCATCCAAAGTAAGACAGGTTTAAGAAATGTAAAGCCATTAACACTTATGCTGGAACAAAAGGTCTATGGGAGCTGTACTACGTTGAACAAAATGAGATATAGGCTTAGCCATGTGATATGTACTGTACAAACATGAGATAACACCAAATACTCAACAGAATGACAATTCATAAAAAGTCTGATGATGATAAGTTTTGAAGTATTGTTTAAAAGGTAAATTCACAAAACTCTCATACAAAATTATGAGGTGAGCAAGTTGGTACAACCACTGGAAAACTGGCAGTGGTATCTCCTAATGGTAATAAGCATTGGATTTGTTTTTTTTTTCTTTCTTTTTTTTTTTTTTTTTTTTTTTGAGATGGAGATGGAGTTTCGCTCTTGTTGCACAGGCTGGAGTGCAATGGGGCGATCTCGGCTCACCGCAACCTCCGCCTCCTGGGTTCAAGCAATTCTCCTGCCTCAGCCTCCTGAGTAGCTGGGATTCCAGGCATGTGCCAACATGCCCGTCTAATTTTGTATTTTTAGTAGAGACTGGGTTTCTCCATGTTGGTCAGGCTGGTCTCCAACTCCTGACCTCAGGTGATCCACCTCTCTCGGCCTCCCAAAGTGCCGAGATTACAGGCATGAGCCACCACACCTGGCAAGCACTGGAATTTTTAGAAGTGTATTAAATCTATACAGTGGTATACAATGCAGCATTTTACTTTTGGTTAATCAATGATGTTTATGAACTAGAGTATCAGGGGAGAACTGTCTTCTATTATTTTCCTATTTGGTTTTATTTTTTAACCTTGGCTTTAAGAAAAATTTGAAAGCCAAAAGCTATCATTAAGTACCTGACACTCTGCTTTCCCTTTATCTAGAATTTTCTCACTTAATCATTAATATAAATCATGGAAGTATGTATCACTAACTCCCTTGTACAAGTGAGAAAACTGAAAAACATAGAAGTTAATTAATGTGCCTAATGTTGCATAACTAGAAAGAGTCATATCTAATATCCACATATGGTCTGGTCCACTTGAATCATTTTGCTATAATACCCAGCAGACTTACGCAATGGAACAAATGATAATATTCTGAGTGGCTTTCAGAAATGAAATCCTCTTTCACAGTTCTGAACTATAGAACTTTCTGTTTTCAATTAATACTCTCAATTCAAAATTTGAGTATCTAATCTACATTTCGAAATTGACACAAAAGGAAGGTGTAAAATTTGCATGTATATTTTAGCTTAGAAGGTAATATTATATTTTAAAATAGAATTATTGTATCATTTAATGAATTACCTTTCTGTTAACCAGGCTTTTAATTGTTGAATATACTGTAGTTTTATTCAATTAGGATTGAGTTAGTTTGAAACTGGTCTATTTATGGTTCATCTACATCCCAAGCTTGTGGTGGGAAAGCTTAGAAACATTGTGGTGTTCACTAGGACTCTCACTGGTGGGCCCAGAAGCTCAATGTTGAACACAGAATTCAGTGTTATGAAATTAGTTGAAACTCTGTCTGGTGTTTCAACCAGCTGCCACTTTTGCCCATCATTTTGCTTTTCAAGTACACTAGAATATTGGTAAAAGGTAAAAAAAAAACCAAGGTTTCCAAGTTTGTAATCTTTCCTCAACATTGAATTCTCAAGTTCTGGCTTCTACAGTATTTCTTTAATGACAAGACAAATTCCTTTTAATATGCTTTGTCAAATTTCCTAGACTGCCAAACCAACCTCAAAGACAGTAAGTATGCCTTGGCTTAGTCTGCTATGACCTGAGGTTGGTTGACTATTACCAATATATTGGTATTTTTAATAAACTTGAAAACAATAATATAACATGAGAATAGACTATTCAGAAAGTATATCAAGTTAGTCACAAAAAAAAAGAAAAAAAAGAATTCTTAAGATGCAAAACATACATGAAAATTGTCATGAAATAAAGTCTCACAATTTAATCTCTGATGTATTTCTAATAATATTAAAACCTTAACAAATGTATGTTCTACTCATATGTGAACTATTCTTTTTAGCGAGAACTAAAAATGTTTTATACATTGGCATCCTTAATGCACAATTATACCCCTCTCCCCTTATTTGACAGAGAACCACCTATTGAGAAGAGTTAAACCAATATCATCTTGTCCTTAGATACATGTTGCTTTTTGGCTACATGTCACTACAGAACAATAAAATCTAGGAAATATGTGTGTGTGTATAAATATGTGTGTATATATATATATATATTGTGTGTATATATATGTGTGTGTGTGTGTGTGTATATATATATATATATATATATATATATATATATATATATATTACAGGCAATGTAGTCCTTGTGGAAATTCCTTTAGCCTGAGGAAATACTGCAGAATTAAAGATAGAAACCCCAAAACCCATGCTGTCCTTTGAATGGATATTTTCTACTCAAACATGTTTATGGAAAGCAACCATAACAGTTTTTGACTAGGGTTAGCTGTGAGTGAGGGAAGCAGGTGATAATAGACCCGGGAAGACTCAGATATGTTTACTGTCTTTCTTTTCAGAAGCACTCAAATAAAATTGCACAACAATTTCTTAATATGAGGAGGCATTTACTTTTGAATACTCAAGGAGGCGATTCCATTTTGAAAGTTAAGAACAGATGTATTATATATTTGAAGAATCGTTTTGAGGAATCACCCTGTGTCATTCATTGTGCAAAGCACTTTAACCATTATACCTCATTCCGTCCTCCCTAAATATTAAGCCTTAAGTAGTGTATTAACCCCATATTATAAAGCAGAAACAGAGACTTAGACAAGATTATTATCATTTCCAGGTTTACAAAGATAGTCAGGTTTGGACAAAAGCCAGAGTTTAGAATTAGATCTTTATTGTCTCTAAAACATATGCTGCTCATAGTTATTTTATTTTGCCTTTTAAAATCACATTATTTCATGAAATGGGTTAAAAACAAAACAAATAACTTCTTTATCAATTTTAAAGCCTTACTTCTATGGCTATGAAGTACAAACAATTTTGGTTGATAAAAGAACAACTTACTTTGTGAAATCGGCATCTGGCAATAAGCAGAGTTCACAAAGGATCAGAGTTCTGGGCTATTGCAATGAAGGGAGTTTGATTTATTCAAATCCTGCTATAATTGTTTTAAAAACTAAATGAAAATGGAATCATCTATTATCATATGGAAGGATTAAGTTCTAAATTGGATTTCTGCATTTAAGATGAAAAAGGTAAGCTAACCTCCAAAATGGCTTAAAATTGAACTTTATCTGTTGGTATGGAACAATAGCTTTAAGAGATTTAGAGGAAGAATGAGCTCTATAATAAATCTTTTAAAAAGTAGCATAGTAATACAAATGATGGTTTTATAAGTAAATTAGGCCAATATTTTATTTTGCCCTTTGACCTAATATTACTATGAACTATGATACTTTATATAATCCCTCATTAAAACTCCCTTTTGCCACATATTAATTCCTTATAGGTTAGATACAGAATCCTGGGATAAATGCTAAAATCACACACACACACACACACACACACACACCCCACACACACACACAAACACCATAATATGAATAGCTTACTTTCCTAATTTAGAAAGATAATCATAAATATATTTTTGCATGTGTATTTCCTTCTAATTAGAAAAATAGGAAGCATATTTATTCCTCTCAGGGTAATATCCTTGAAGGTTTTGTTTGCCCTATGGGAGCAGGGGCCTTTATAGATTTTCTGGTTTTGGCAGTCATTTAACAATGCTCTGCACCAAATTGAAAGAAGTTTAGGAAAAATCCAGAGGGACAGAGTTTTTCATTGTTTCTATCTTTAAAATATGAAAAAGATTAGAGATTCTTCACTGAAGGTAATTTCCTAGCCCTGATTCTAGATACATTTGACATTGAGACATTTTTGGTTGTCACAAGTGTAAGGGAATGCTACTGGAATCTTGTAGATAAAGACCAAGCATGTTGCTAAACACCCTACAATGCACAGGACAGAACTGCACCCATGAACTTGCAAATTGTTTGCTTCTTGGGCTTATAGTCAGTTCACATGGAGACCTGTTTGAGGAAATGGAGTGAAATTCCTTTGGAACCAAACAACTGTAGTAGTATATTATACAGCAATCTATATATTTATACCTGAAAATCTTTGATACGATAATTCAGTGTAAATGAAGAAGTGTGATCTATGGCACAAGGATAGAACTGCACACATGAACTTGAAAATTGTTTGCTTCTTTGGTTTATACTGGTTTATATTAGGTTCTGACTTCTGATGCAGGGATTTAAAATAAGCAGAATACTGTTGCATTGGAGTCAATACCTCTACACTTCAGAACATATACATAAAGTAAATACTTTTTACTTTGGTAAGAAAATAAAAATACCAGCTTCTCCTAAATTATGTTTGCAATAGCAAAGTAAATGCTAAGTTTCAAATTTATATTTCTGTCTATTTCATGATTAGGGAGGAACTTATGTTATTAAGACAATCAGTTCCCAAATTAAAATGTTTGAGACATATGTAATATATTCTCAAAATACCTGTGTATAAGAACTGCCTGGGATGCTTTGGAAAAAGACATGTGTCCAACAATTAACTCAAAATTCTTTGACTTATTAAGTATAGTTAGGGCAAATAAATAAGCATTTTGTCAAGAATCCCATTTGATTTTGATGTAGTCAGTTCACTTGGAGATCTGTTTGAGGAAATGGAATAAAATTCCTTTGGAACCAAACAGCTCTAGTGACATATTAAACAGCAGTCTATAAGTTTATATGTGAAAATCTTTGATAAAATAATTCAAAGTAAATAAAATATGATCTATGGCTTGAAAAGTACAAAGAAAACATGGCAAAATAAATCATGTTGCTACAGACAAATCCTAATGCAAATACTGTCACCTCAAGCATTTCAAAACTTAGCCTCATATTTGACATATACTGATGCCCCAAATGAACAAATAAAAGAATTTTAAATAGATTCAATTAAGTGTATATGTGAGTTTATATTTCTTTCCATCTAGACAGAAGGCAATCAACTAGAGATAAGGAATATAGATATCTTGCAAACGTGATGGAATGGTCCATTCACAGGAAAAAAAATGAGAATGCGAATACATGTTGTCATAAAGCTATAGTTTCAATTATTGCCAATTTTTCTAGTCAAGTTCAAATTGTTTGATAAAGTCTTGGTTTGAAATATTCAATATTATTCATAGAGGCTCAGAAGACAGCATACTACTCACCAATACAGTGAGAGACAAAATGAGTGAATATCCATGGAACAAGGGCCTGTTTGGGTAACTGTCAAAAAAATTGAAAGAGAAAAGTCAAAGCAAGAGCAAAAAAATCAGGACCCTGAAAAATATGCCAGAATATTCTTTCTATTCTACACACCTTTTGGCCCAGCTCCATATTCACTTCTATATAATACATCCAAAATCTAAGTCATTATGAGAGAGATTAATATTAGCAAGTATAATTTTGCTTTGTAAATAATCAACTATACAGAATGCAAAGATTTAAAGAAAATGTGAATTTAGAAAAGAAAAAGAAAAAAAATCCAATACAGAAAAGGGACTTACAGAAACTGGCACCATCATCAATAAAGGAATATTTATCTCATTCTGTGAACTGCAAGTATACTCTTAATTAGCTACAAATACTACTGATTCCTTTCTATGGAAAGACTGAGGCGGTAGGCTTTATTCCACTTACAAGGTTATAATGAAATCTAAAGAAATACATGAATTTGACAATCAAAACCCTCACATGTAAATACATACATAGTCACATACTCAAATACTTGCCACTGAAATGGACAGTGTATGTCAGTGTTTAACTTCCTCTGCACATATGACTGTAGCGGATTATAAATGGCTGCACAGCCATTGACACTCCTCCCATTGTTAGATGAGTTCCCTTTCCTCTTCTCTTGGGTCTGGATAAACTCAGTGACTGCTCGACCAATAGACTATGATGGTAGCAATGTTATGATAGTTTCTAGATATGGGCTTCACGAAATGTGCAACTTCAGCTTCCAGTCTCTTGGAAGGCTCTCTCAGGGAGCCCTGAACCACAGTGTAACAAGTCCAGCTGTCCAGAGACTAATGCTGAAGAAGCCCCGCAGGGACCAGCCTTCTGGCCCCTTCCAAAAGTACCAGATATGTAAGTGAAGCCCTCTTGGACCCTCCAGATTTAGTCCATCCATCAGCTGAATACCACCAAAGAACATCAGTTGACATACTTGGAGCAGAAGAATCTCCCATGTGGAGCAAAAGAATACTTGCCCAAATTACCAACACAAAAAATTGTGAGATATAATAATTGTTTTAAGTTTTCATGTTTTGCAATAATTTGTTAAACAAAACTGGATAACTGGAATACAGGCATCGTCTCACTATCTGTTCCTAAATAGCAATCACCTTCGCAATTACTCTGCCTCCGCTTAGTGTGATTCATTTTCTGTATAGCATTTATCCATATATGATGCTTCAGTTTTTTTTGTTATTCATTATCTCTTTTCCTCTACAGAATATAAACTTAATAAAAGCTGAGACTCCATTGGATGTCTTCACTTCTGTATATCAGCCTCTATAACAATGCTGAGCACATCAGAGGCACTTAAAATATTTATCACATTGTTAAAACAAGTAAAATATAGCATATTTTAGCAAATACCTTCAGAAACTATGTCTGCATTCAAGTAAATATTCTCATAAATGAACTAAAGGAGAATCTCTTAAAATGTCTACATCAAAGCATCAAGATCAACTGAAAATAAATTGGATATTGCATATATTGGTAATTTCCTATGATTAGACTACAACTTAGAAATAAGATAAATGGGATGTGAGTCAAAATTTTAGTGTTTTGAAAGTCAGTTCTAATCATGACAAAAATGTTTAAATATGGACCCCAATATTACATAAGGTTGTTTTTTATTTTGAAATACCCTTGTGTACATAGATGAAATAACACTTTTTTGTTTATTTTTCCTGTGTTTGCTCATTCAGAAATACAATTTTATTTATTATTTATTATTTTGCTAGTGAATACTTCAAAGAAATTAGAGATTTAATAAAATGACTAATAAGGAAGAGGAAACATGAAATATGATTCATACCTCCTCTGGAACATCAGTCTAAATTTTTTTCAACACAAAACTACTATGACTAACTACTTAAAAGTCTCAAACTCATTCAGTAGTCTTATAGAGTAGCTATGAACTAAGCTTTAACCTCATAAAATCAGTTTTGTTATTAAATCGATCTTGTACAATACACAGCAAACATGTTTACTTGCTCAAAAAAGTTATCTAAATACTCAAGGGCAACAGTGTTCAATTATTCATTTCAAGAAAACCCTTCAGAGTTACTATAGTAAAATAAAACAAAAATAAGACTATAAGTAAAATAGCATAAATAAAATACAACATAAATATTTGATTATATGTATTAGAATCAAAATTTAAGTGAAATGTATTTTAAGTCCAGTCTCTTTCTAAGAGTTATTCAATATAAGACATACATGATTGTACTAAAATTGGGGGGCTATAAATTCAGAAAATACTTTTTTAACTTTTATTTTATGTTTAGGGGTACATGTGAAGGTTTTTTACATAGGTAAACAGATGTCACGGGGGTTCATTGTACATATTATTTCATCACCCAAATATTCAGCCCAGCACCCCATAGTTATCTTTTCTGTTCCTCTGCGTCCTCCCACCCTCCCTCCTCAGGCAGACCCCAGTTTCTGTTGTTTCCTTTTAAGCTCTTATCATTTAGCTCCCACTTATTAGTGAGAACCTGTGGTATTTGGTTTTCTGTTTCTGTGTTAGTTTGCTAAAGATAATACTCTTCAGCTCCATTCATGTTCCTGCAAAAGACATGATACCATTCTTTTTATGGCTGCGTAGTATTCTATGGTGTATATGTAACACATTTTTCTTTATCCAATCTGTCATTTATGGGCATTTAAGTTGATCCAAGAAAGTCATAATTTTGAATTCAGGTTTTACCATGTTAAAATTTGTAATCTTGGAAATACAAAATTTCTCTGGTCTCTGGATTCCTCATTTGTAAAATTTGAGTGACAATAGTGTGTACCATTGTATAGTTGTGAAGGTTACATGAGATAATATAGTTAAAACTCCTGGACCATGGGATGTGATTTTAAAAGTTATTATTATTATTAAAAATAAAAATAATTGTATGAAACTATGCTATATTTAGGCTTGTGATATCTAATCATTTAGAACTGCTTAGTAATAAAAAGGAAGAGCAAAACAAATTTCTTCTTGGCTTTCAGATGTGCTAATGAAGCTGTTAACCAGTTATTGTTAGAATATACTCAGAATAGAAAAAAACGATTTTCAAGTTTATGTCTGCACAATTATAAATTTATTATTAGTGAATTTTTTTGCTCAACACAATAATATTATCATTTGTTTTATTATACAACATTTTAATCTAGGAAATCACTAAGAGGTCATATGTACATACATATTATGTTTTGTGTTTCTTTAAAAATATTTATTCATTGTTTTTTGATCATTGAATTTAATAGACTATTTCATAACATTTTAAAAAAGAAACTTAAAAATTTACTTCTTCAGGTACTCGCCACATTTCCGGTGTTTTTCATGAATCTTTTGTTGGTTGGGGTCTAATTGCTGCCACTGCTAGTCAGTGATTCCACATGGGTTTTACTAGTCAGATCTTGAGGACAGGCTTAAGAATTTTTTTTTACTGTTTGTAGTTAAAGAGAAATTTATTTCTGTTTTTCTGGTTAAACAATAGTATCCTATCCTGAGGAAAAATTCTAATGAGTAATTTTTTAAAAAAATTATTAGCTTCATTGAGATGTAACTTACATACAACAAAATGAATACAATGAATTTTACACTTTGAAATGCTTAATTTGATGAATTTTGTCAAATGTGTGTAGTCATGTAACCACCACCAAAGTCATGATATAGAACATTTCGATTTTAATTACTAGCATGATTTTTATATGTAACATCTCACTGAACCTGCATCTTTAAAAATCTCCACAAATATTCTAATTTTTCCTTATTGAGATATCATTGCTGGCATATGCATTAAGGAAAAAGATGATAATATTTCTGTTAAATATATATTTATAAATCTATATTAATCTATCAAATTCCAAATTTATGTTGAAATTACAAGACAGTATAGGCGCTTATTTCTGAACAAGGTTAGTAGGCTTTAGTTATTTTAGGAGTTTGTGAGAAAAATAATAACTGATTCCAGAAATTAGCTAATACTAATTTCTACAATAATGGTCATAATGAACACAGCAACAATGATTATATCTGACATGCTAAGTGCTATACATTATATATTGGCTGCATTATTGCACACACTTTATAAGTAAGAAAACATGTCAGATAAATAACCTAAGTTTACACAACTTTCAAGTTTCTGTTAAAAGTTGAGAGACTTCCCTTAAATAAATAGATTGAAAGTAAGACAGGTTGGGCGCGGTGGCTCATGCCTGTAATCCCAGCACTTTGGGAGGCCGACGCAGGCGGATCACGAGGTCAGGAGATCGAGACCATCCTGGCTAACACGGTGAAACCCCGTCTTTACTAAAAATACAAAACAGCCGGGCGTGGTGGCGGGCACCTGTAGTCCCAGCTACTTGGGAGGCTGAGGCAGGAGAATGGCGTGAACCTGGGAGGCGGAGCTTGCAGTGAGCCCAGATCGCGCCAATGCACTTCAGCCTGGGTGACAGAGCGAGACTCCTTCTCAAAAAAATAAATAAATAAATAAATAAAAAATAAAAAATAAATAAATAAATAAATAAATAAAATAAGACAAGCAGGCAATTGACTCAATGTTATAGCATTATAATCACTATCCATCATCCATTTTCAGTCTTATTTCTCTCTTTAATTAACTAGTAGTTCAAGTCTACATCTACTCAGCCCTTTAGCCCAAAATAGATGATGGAGGAAAAAAAAAAGACACTCACACAACCGTGCTGACCATTGATAATTTAAGTTTATGACTACAAATTAGAAGTGAGCCTCAACATCGTATCCCTACTCCTTAATTTAAATGTCCTCTCTCAGACTAAATCACATTATCTCTTCTTTCTTAAAAACTTCAATACTCCCTTCCTGCTCACATAGTATTGTCTCTATTGCCAAACATGTCAAACCATCTTCACTTGTCCCCATCTACTATGCCTTCCTCCTGTGTCACCCTGCTCGTACTACTAAGGACAACAATTTCCCTTTGCTCTAGGTCCCATGCCATCTTGTTAAACAAAGTGAGTGAGTACTATGCTTTATCCTTCCAATAATAACATCACCAACGTTTTCTTTTCTACTAGATTTTTCACATTATTCCATAAGCATAATCCCCTACATTTAAAAAGAAAAGTTCTTTTGGCACCTCATTTCCCTATATAATCCAACTTTATTCATTTTTATAGCAAAGTTCTACAAAATTTTGCTCATAGTCTTTGATGTTCATTGCACATAAGCAACATTTTTTGGTGCTTTTTAGTCTATTTCAACCATTTTTAAACTAATTGTCAAGGTCACAAGAACCTCCAGCTTTATAAATGTAATAGTCAATTATTAGACCTCTCGCTCTGAATCATTGACACAAATTATCTTCTACTTTTATTTAAAACGTTTCTTCACTTGGATTTAGACACACTATACAGCTTTCCTTTTGCTTCACTTAAATTTTCCTCTCATTTTTCTTTTAGATTCCAATTCCTAAAGTTAGATATTAAAATGCCTCAGATCACAGTCCTCTTCATTTTTCTTTGCTTTGCTGTCCACAACCCTATTTGTCTAAAGAGACTATAAAATGCTATGGCTTTAAATACTCTTTATGAAGAAATGACTCTTAGATTTACATCTAAGCACTGACATCTCCATTGAGGTCAAAATCTGTTCATCAAGAGCCACCTTCATGTCTCCAGTAGGATGTCCAAAAGAACTTGCAGATTTCATACATTACAAAGAGAAAACCATTTTCAGTCTTTATCAGATTGTAATTAGTTCACCATTCATCCAAATGGTCAGGGAAAAAACAACAAAAAAGTTACGACTTTCCTGTCAGTCTTTACTTCCCATGAACTGCTCATCCAATCTCAACAACTTGTTGCCCACAATGTAGCAACCTCTCACGCTCTTACCCTCTACCCAACTCTAATGCCAGCAACCATAGTCTTTAGTCTGGACTACTATATTAACCTACTAACTAATCTCCTAACTGGTAATATTGACTCTTCTCTTGCCTCCCTCCAAATCATACATATTATATTATATTCAAGTTGTTGGCTCTAAGACCCTTGATAATCTGGCATTAATCTAGTCTTCTTCTATCACATATCCTTTCTCTCCATACCCCCACAAGTTCTACCCTGGCCCACCTGGTGTTTCTCATACTTCTCAAATACTCCAAGAGTTTTCTAGACTCAGAGTTTGCATGTAGTATTCCCTCTCCCCTGCAGTACATTGTTTCATATCTCACATGACTTACACCTTCACATTATTCAATCTCTGTTCAAATCTTACCTCCTCAGGGTGGTTTTCCGTGACCATCCTATCCCTATTTTTCTAAAGTCCCTCTGCTCTGTTTTATCTTTCCATTGGTGTATCACTTATTACATCAAGTACTTGCTATTGCTAGCCTACTGTCATATAAAATAAATTTCATAAAATTAGGGACTTTGTCTATTGTTTAATATTTTGTCACCAGTGGCTAGAACAGTTTCTGGAACATAGTAGTGGATATAGATAGATAATAAATTAATTAATACATTTGACCATTATTTCAACATAATTTAAACCATGTTTTAGTGGTGGAATCAAGCACTGAATAAATGTTGCCCTTAAAAATTCCTGACATCCATTAAAAAATTTAAGAGTAAAACCAGAAAGTATAATAGAAATATGATGCAGATTATCATCAACAAGTATTTATTCACAAGTAAATATGTAGACACATACTGAAATTTACCTCAACGTAAGAATCTTGAGTTGAGGAGACAAGCCACAAGTTAATGAAAAAGGAATGAAGTAACCAAGATCACTTTTCAAAATAAATAGATTGCACTGATTATTTTTTCTACTTCAACAAATGTTTAAAATGATATACAATAAACTAAAACGTGTCATTTTTAATTAGATGAGATACATTCTTCTCATATTCAAAATAGATTTATCACGTTAAAGATTTTCTTTTACAAGATGTTCCAACATCCATTTTATTAATATTTAAAGTTGAAGAAAATTTGTCTCTTCTGGGCTTACCTTACATTCTGAAATATGGAATTTTAAACTAATAAATATTATTTTACTCTTCCAAGTTAATCTATTATGTATAAAGAGGTGGTAGGTTGTAGTAAAGAACCTCTTCAACCTGAACGGTTTCATTTACTTTGTTTGCTTATGAGATGTGTCAATATTTACACAGTGAAGGATGCCTAAATGTGTGTTTCTATTTAAATCAAATTCATCTTCTCCAGAGTTTATGGTATATTCAAGGAATGAAATTGAATTCTCTTAGAAAACTAAAATCAGTTACCATTTATTTCAGGCAAGGAGGTAATCAGCATGCTTGACTGGAGAAACTATTCAAGACTTGAGATTTCCTAAACTGTTTTTGCACAAACATTCTAAAACATAAAATATTAGGATATCTACTAAACTAGATTTTAGAGGAAAGTATATTACACACAATTTTTGACTCCAGCTCTTACATGCCCTACATAAACCTATTAAGAAAAGAACCCTAGAGCATTATAAAAAATAGGAAGTAGATAAAACTCCAAAAAGTGAGTTCATCAGCTCATAAATTTAATCTGTTTAATTTTCCAGATTCTTACCTTTGAAAATAGAGAATGACTGCATTACTCTAGAGAAAGGTAGTCAAAATCAGATTGCTGCATGTCCTGTAGTTGGCTAATCTCTCTGCAAGCAGATATTTTTTCCTTTCCACTAGCACATATTATGTTAGGAATTCCTCTAGAGGAATACTTCCTTCCAGAAAATAAAAGAAGTGAAACAAAATTAGACTTATACTACTTTTCCCTGTAATTCTTATTAGGATGTATATTGGAATGACTATTGATGTTACGTGATCATTTCCCCAAAATTCTAATGCAACTTATAAACTACTGAGCCAAATTCTTTTAGGACCTTATATGTGGATTAATGGCTCTGTACAAACTCAGGCTAAAATATGGATAAACATATTTGTCAAAACTCAAGAGTTGCAGTTGGGTTGCATATAAAGAATAAATTATATGCAAAATCAGTTTCATGATATTAGTTGGAATATCTTGTTTAATTTTTAATAAAGATTCCTAAGTAATCAGGCTTTCTCTTTGCTTCCTTCCCAGTACTCTACTACCTTTGCCATCTCTTATTACACCTGTACATTATCTCCCAAATATGCACTCAATAGCTTCTTGTCTCTCTCTAATTTCACAAAATACCACACTATATGTCTGTCCTTACTCCTTCAGCTTCCAGATTAACGTATACATATACCTACCATTTGTTGAACATCTGCTATTTCTAGAAACTGTGCTAAGCCATCACAAGTTCATTTAGTCATTACAGTAATCATGAATATTCCATCTCCATTTCACAAATGAAGAAATGAAACCTCAATGAGATTTGTAAGAACAAAATCTAGTTTTTTTCTATTAAAATAAAAATGTTTTCCTAGTTGTTAACATACTATTTCATTTAATGCATTACATCAAACTATTTTGGGATGTACAGACTGTATAAGATATAAATTAATTAGTTAATTGAAACTATTTATAATGCTGCCACCAAATGACAATTGGTTTGAAATTTTAAAATAATTCAATCAAACTTTCACACAATGATATGGTTTGGCTGTGTCCCCAGCCTAATCTCACCTTGAATTGTAGCTCCCACAATCCCCACGTGTCATTGGAGGGACACAGTGGGAGGCAATTGAATCATGGGGGTGGGTCTTTCCCATGCTGTTTTCGTGAGAGTGACTAAGTCTCGTAACATCTGATGGTATTACGTAGAGCAGTTCCCCTACACAAACTCTCCTTCTTTGTCTGCTGCCATCCATGTAAGATGTGACTTGCTCCTCCTTGTCTTCCACCATGACTGTGAGGCCTCCTCAGCCATATGGAACTGTGAGTCCATTAAACCTCTTTCTTTTATAAATTACCAGTCTTGGATATGTCTTTATTAGCAGTGTGAGAACAGACTAATACACACACACACACACCCACAAAACTATGCACATGTGATGCAATCCCACTCTGAGGGCTTTAGTATTATCTCTACTAATTTATACATTTAAGTACATTTCAATAAAGTTGCTTACTGACTTCATTCCAAATTTCTAACTACCTGCCAAATATTTGTTTAGAATTATCAAACCAACACACAAGTTGAATACGTTTAAAACTGATTTCATAATTAAACAACCATCCCAATTTTTTCCCTGTATGGACTTCCTCACAGAATACTCCTAAATACCAAGGCTCAACATTGTGGTATCAACTCTGACTTCTCTTGTTCTTCATCCTAATCTGTTGATTTTCATGTTTTTATTTGCATTTGTCCTTTTATATCCTAGTGTGTCTTCTTATTTGAAGAGTTGCAACAAATTGAGGTGATTACCTTGCTTTTCGTTCACCCAGGGATATCCACAGCATGATACAACTTTGATCAAAAGCCTTCAATTTCATATTCATGTCAAATAAAAACCAAACTCTTTGGCTGTAATGAGTGTTAGATATTGTAATGATATTCTATATCATTACACTAATTAATTAATTTAAAACAACAGCAACAAAATATCAACTTTCCTTTTCCAGATGCTTTACAAAATATTCATGATATTGTGTAAATGAAAAAATCATGGTTTTCTATTTTAATGACTATTCACTCAGTGAGGCAGACAGACTAGTAAAAGTGTATGTATGTGACAGTGTAAACTGTGAAACGATGGAAAAATAAAATTGTGGAGAAAATAAAATAGAAAAATCAGAGACTTGGGATGAAGGAATATTTACAGTAGAAAATTCTATTTAGATTGTGTACCAGTTACAGTTGTGTAAATGCATATCACTCTATCTATCATCTATCTATCTATCTATCTATCTATCTATCTATCTATCTATCTATCTATCATCTATCTATCATCTATCTATCAAAGTGAGCAAGACGAGGGCAGAATCTTACCTTACACAATTTTGAGAGAGCAGTTAAGCAGTCTCTCTAAAGCTCTGTCTGCATTTCTAATTCTCATTATGATACTGGAACTTGAAGTCCACAGTGTAGGTGATTGTGAAGGTATGAAGGATGTAAAGTGTGGATAGCAAAAGAAGTATTCATGAACTCAGAAGCATGAACTCATGAGAATATAATGAGGCCTCTACCTGTTCTTGTTGCCTCTGGCTTCATGACATGAGTGTTCTGCAGAAAAGTGTTTCCTCATAGGGAGCAAAGCACACACAACTGCTTCTAAAAGTTGGAGAAGCTTAAAGAGAATTTAGGGAAAGATAGAAATTTTAGTACTAACTGCTGCCCAATTAACAGGCAAAAAATTAAATTTAATTAAAAAAACCCAAATATTTGTGGGCCACAAATGGCTGCTGCTGCTTCATTTTTTTTTTTTTTAAATCACACTGGAACCTCTCCTGTATCCAACAATATATTGAAAAGAGATTCTGGGAAATGTAATTTAGTCTAGTCAAGTTGACACATACTGTGGTCACAGTTTAGTCTAAAGATTGATTAAAAGTTAATCTGGAATTATTAACCACTGAATTTTTTCAATTGAAAGCCAGAACCGCCAAAAACTATTACCTTACTTTTTATAACAAAGGGTGTAAATAACCTGTTTTGAAGCCAACCCAAGATTTATAATCAAAATTAAATACTGAGAATAAATAAAATTAACTAATCTTCTATCAGAAAAAAATAGAGCTGACTAGGAGAAAAAGAATTGTTCAGGCTAAAAAAAAACATGTAGAAAAGCAAGGGATTTTTACTAATAAATTCACTAAGATCTGGTTAGATCAGAAAGTGAATGAATTGCATAAGTAGTGAGAACGGAAACAATGGAAATAAAAGACTTTCAATTTTTAAATAATATTTAGTGTTTTTTTTTCAGTTTTTTGAAGGTATGATTTACATCCATTAAAATTTATCCCTTTTAATGAACAGTTCTGTAAGTGTCGACAAAGACATCTACTCTGGTAGCCACTTCAATCATAACATTGAAGAGCTCCATCACAATTAAAATTCTGCCATGCCTCTTTCAAGTCACCTCTTTCCCCAGTCTCAGGAAACCACTGATGTTTTCTGTATCCATAGTTTTACCTTTCCTGAAATGTCATATAGATGGAATTGTACAGCATGTAGTCTTTTGCATTTGACTTCTTGAACTTAGCATAATGCATTTGAAATTCATTCATGTTGTTGAGAGTAGCAACAGTTTATTCTTTTTCATTTATGAGTAGGATTCCATTGTTCATTCAAAAGTGAGTTTGACTATTGAGCAGATTAAAGACATTGTTTGTTTTCATTCCATGCTGGTTATTAAAAAAAACAGCTATTAATATTTGCATGCAGATTTTTGAGTGAATCTTTTTTTTATTGCACTTGGGTAAATAAATAGGATAATGTGCATCATGTGATAACAAAGTGTCTAACTTTATAGGAAACTTCCAAAATTGTTTTCGAAGTCTATACCTTGGGTCCACCAAAGCTATATGTCAAAGAACCAACCATCAATGAATGAGTTCAAGTTGATTTGCATCCTCACCAATATTTGACACTGTAAGATTTTCATTTTAGGTAATCTAACTGACATGAAGCTATGGTTTACATTAAAATTGCCCTAATGATTAATGATGTGGGACAGCTAAATTTCTATCTGTATATTTATCTGGTGAAATATCCCTTTAATATTTAAATCTTTTCCCATTTCTATTTAGTCATTTCCTTAATACTTAATTTTGAGACTTATGTATATATTATAGATGCAAATTTTTTATCAGCTATGTGATTTGCATATATCACACGCCCTCACGCACATGTGATTTACTATTTAATCCTTTAAGCTCTTTTCTATCCAGTAGCAGAGATTCTTAATTTTGATATTCAATTTACCAAATTCTTTTCTTTATAGATTATCCTTTTGTTGCTGTATCTAAGAAATCTTCGTCTAACTCAGTGTCACAAAACTGTTGTATGTTTTGTTCAGGAACTGTTATAATTTTAGGTTTTTTTTTTTACTAAAATCCAAATCTGTGTTTAGTCAATTATTATAAGCAGTAAAGTTATGTGTTGAAGTGTATTTTTTAAATATATGGATACACAATTTCTGTAGCAACAACAGATGATAAGACCATTCTTTCTACATCCCATTTCCTCAGCACCTTTATTGAGAATCTCAAAATTCAATAATACATGTAGCAATTTATATGGGATACAGGTAGGAATACTTAACAATTTTCTTATTTTACAAATTAGAAAATAGGTTTGAATCTAGTTTACCATCTTGCCCAAATTTTGTTTCCACTTAACACAGAATTGGGACCCATGTTTACGTCTGTTGATTCAAAGCCAATGTTAATTTTTTTATAGAACAACAGCTTCCTTATATAGACGCATTACATTTTCCATCACAAAATTTTGAAAGATTTAGGTCAGGTTAATAACGATAAAATTACCATAAAAGATTAGCTTTATTTTTATATACATTGCTTACCATTAAGTAAATCTAAGATTGTTTATGCTTTACATCATATACTAGGCTGCTTTCATACTTATATAATAAAAAGAAAAAAATGTGATCACATTTTCTACAAACACCAACTCTTACAAATAACAAAATATCAAGGTAACTTAAAGTAAAACAACTTCTTTTTCTTAGAACCAAAGAGAAAGTAATTTGTAAGGAAATACCCTTTCTGACTGTCAGGAGAAGAAGAAATTACAGTCATGAAAAACATATTAATAATTTAGCCTTATGACTTCAAAGTATATCAAGTATAGTGCCTATGTTTATAAAGTTTCAGCTGGAACCTTGGTGATTACCATGTATAAAATTAGCATGTGTTTGGGTCATAAAATGAAGTTAATGTATCTTTTGTGTTTAGTCATTCCTAGAAATAGAATGTTCCTCTATACACCCTTCTCTAAATTAGATACATATTTTGTTCAAAATAGTTTTCTCTCTTTATCTCCAACAATGTTATTTGGGCTATATTATCCTAACCCAATTTGAATCACTATATAATTTATTAAAAACATAAATAATAGTCTATTACATTAAAAATAAATAAAAAGCACAGGCCGGGTGTGGTAGGCTCACACCTGTAATCCCAGCACTTTGAGAGGCCCAGGCAGGCAGATCACGAGGTCAGGAGATTGAGACCACCCTGGCTAACATGGTGAAACTCCATCTCTACTAAAAATACACACGCACACACAAAAATACTAGCTGGGCATGGAGGCACACGTCTGTAATAACAGCTACTCGGGGGGCTGAGGCTGGAGAATTGCTTGAATCCGGCAGGCGGAGGTTGCAGTGAGCCAAAATCGTGCCACTGCACTCCAGTCTGGGCGACAGAGCAAGACTCACCAAAAAAAAAAAAAAAAAAAAAAAAAAAAAAATACTTTACAAAGCAGTAATTCGTTCTTCATTCTTTAAATTTGAAGAAATGTGTAAGAAACTTTTCTGAGGAAATTAGTTATATAGATTGTTGTCATCACCTAATAATCAGAACTTCAGTTACAATCTATATATCTAGACAGATAAAAGTCTAACATAATAAACTTAGAAAAAATATGTATTTTTTTATTTTTAAAGAGTATTATCATTTTATCTTTCACACACACACACACAAACTTAAAGATAAAAAGTAATCATTGGAAGTGGTTTCATTGGGAACAGTAATTCGGAAGAAACTAATGAGTAGTTACACCAGAGAACATACATATTTAAATAGTCAAACAGCAGAAGGGGACTTTTCAGAATGGGAAGCAATATTTTTGAGGGTGGGGATATGCTGTGCAGGTGTTGACCCGTTTTACCTCAAATCTAATTAAACAGAAAGAGTCTGTATCAGGATTAGGATGCATGGAGGTGCACCTGTGCTAGAAATATCATTGATTTTACATTGGACTGTGAAAGAGAAAGTGTATAGTACCATCATGCATTTTGAAAGAACAGATTGGAATGCCATCTTCCCAATTTATCAGCTACACAAAGACATCTCATGTACATTTTGTGCAGTTTCCCACAATGGTAACAAGTGGAAGACTATAATATAATATCACAACCAACATACAACTTTGACACAACCCACAATATTGTTAAAATTAACTCAGGTTTTTTTTTTCAGAAGGAGTTTCACTCTTGTTGCCCAGGCTGGAGTGCAATGGCATGATCTGGCTCACCGCAACCTCTGCCTCCTAGGTTCAAGCTATTCTTCTGCCTCAGTCTCCAAAGTAGCTGGGATTACAGGCATGTGCCACCATGCCCAGCTATTTTTTTTTTTTTTGTATTTTTAGTAGAGATGGGGTTTCTCCATGTTCATCAGGCTGGTCTCGAACTCCCGACCTCAGGTGATCCACCCACCTCGGTCTCCCAAAGTGCTGGGATTACAGGCGTGAGCCACCATGCCCGGCCTAATTAATTCAGTTTTTTTTAATGATATATGTATCATAATCTGGAAGTGGAAAAGAGAAAAGGTGAGACACAGAAGGGGAAATGCTTTATCTCCCCTTGCTTTTTATATTGGTAAGCCGAAAGATAATGGTTGTAGTTCATAATCTTCTAGCCATAACTAAGGACAATAAAAAATGCACGTACTTCTAAAGAAATTCTGAAACTGTTATTATTATAGGATTGACCTCTGGGTTAATGTAAAGATATTTTTTCAGAGACAGGTTGTAAAAGGGAGTAAATAAAGACTGAAGGAGAGAAGAAGAAACCCTGTGGAATGGACTGGAATTAAACATATTCATTGGTGTAAATTCATGATTTCTAACACAAGTGTATATGCATCCTCATGTATATGTATATGAATATGTGGCTCATCTGACAGAAACAAAAGCACTCAGACAAAAAGCAAGAAAGAAACACACACATCTACACACACAGGTAAATGGAAGTTTATTATAGCACTGCTTCTAGGGAAAAAAAATAGAAATAATGTGAATGGTCATCAGAAAAGAAATTGTTAACTAAATTTTGCAGTAAGCATACAATAGATTATAAGACAGTGTCCATTTACCCAAAATATATTTCATTACGTATTTAGTGAAAAGCAAGCTCAGGTTTTGAGGGCATTAATATCTGTATTATTTTAAATGAAGAAAGGCAGGAAGGAGAACAAAAAGGAAAGAAGGAAAGAAGGAGAAAAAAGAAGGAATAAATGGAGGAAAGAAGATAAAGAGAAAGGAAAGAAGGAAGAAACAAAGGAAAGAAGGAACTAAAAATTAAATATATTACATAATGTGCTTCAAACCAATACAAGATAATTTTTCACCATATCAAAACTCTAAAACATCCCATTAAAAATAAAATAAAGAGTTAAAAACAAAATGGAAGGACTGAAAAAGCAGGTCCTTTAAAATACATAAAAGGAATTCATATGTGTGAAAACCATGGTGGAATTATTATTTTTATTGTGCTGAATAATACTATATTAATATCAGTTCCATAGTTAATTTAGATTTTGGTATTTGCATCTCATTATTTGAAATTCATTTTAGTTGAGTTTCAAACTTTATCCCTAACACGGCCTATTTTACTATTGTGAACTAATAACACTTTTAGCCTATAAAAGTACATACCGTTTTCATATTCACCTCATTTTTTTCAATGGTAAATTTAGTAAGTCCGTATAAATTATTCATGAAATCGTAAACAAAATTCATGGATTTTTAAAAAATGAAAACAGAATATTCAGTCAATTGATAAACACAATTTAAAATAAATTCAATTAATACAGATAAGTGCAGTTCTCAAAACAAAGTAATAGTTGAATGATTTAGGTTTCTCAATGATATTTTAAAATATTTCATTATATGTTTCAATGAGTGGAACAGTCAGTCTCATTTTGTTAAACTCTACACACATTATCAAAAGTTAAATTATCCTTTGCATTGTCATGAAATTAAATTCCATCCAGGTTTTAATATTTATGGGAACAGTATTACTATTCTACACCACTCTTTGGCATGTTCATTTATTTATTGAAGGCTCTGAAAAATTGACATGTGATGGCAATATTTTTTTAGACGTTTTTCCAATTTTATTATCACAAAAATCATTTTTGCTTTTGTTCTAAACACCTTGTTTCTGAAAAGCTTTTCACTTTTTGAATGTAAGAAAAATCCCTGGTTAATTGGAGTTCTAGTTTATTGATAAAAAGTTATTAAAATATAATTAGAGAAATAATTGATGATTTATATTGTGATAAGTTTCATGAATGAAATAATTCAGTAAAAACAAAATAGAGTCAATCGCCTATCTCAGGTTGTGGCCGATTGAAAAGTGGTAAGAGGCTGGGCACGGTGGCTTACGCCTGTAATCCCAGCACTTTCGGAGGCCAAGGTGGGCGGATCACTTGAGGTCAGGAGTTCCAGACCAGCCTGGCCAGCATGGCAAAACCCTGTCTCTACTAAAAATACAAAAATTAGCTGGGCATGGTGGCACCCGCCTGTAATTCCAGCTACTCTGAAAGCTAAGGTGGGAGAATCACTTGAACCTGGGAGATGGAGGTTGCAGTGAGCCAAGCTCGGGCGACTGCACTCCAGCCTGGGCAACAGAGCAAGAATCCATCTCAAAATAAAAAAAAAAAAAAGAAAAGAAAATTGATAAGAAAAACTCTGCCAAAGGAAGTGATATATAAAATAATACTTAGTAGTATTAATAGGCAGGCTGGAAGTTAGCAGAAGGAGTAAAGATTCCAAGCAAAGGCAATATATTTTGGAATGTTTTAATGAGAGAACAAACATGACATTCTTAAGGAAATTAAAGGATGACATTCTGGAAAAATAATTATAGCAAGAAGTAGCATATCCTGGAGTGAGGATGGCAGGTATTGGGGAGCAGATAATGCAATGTCTTGAAAGCCTGGGTAAATAGTTTAGGCTTGAAAAGCTTTTAATAAATAGGAACAGTTAAAAACTAAAGGGCACCATAAGATTTGCCTTTCAAATAATTTCTCTAATTACTGTAAGAAATAATGACTGTAAAAAAGAAGAGCTCTATGGGTATATGAAGTGAAAGACATTATAATATTGTTGTTGGGGAGTAATCTACCAACTTTGAAATAGGAGAGAGATACTGGAATCAGAAAGAACTGAGATGAATGTGAAAAATACGTTGAAGGTTAGACTTGCTAATAGATAGTGGGTATGAGTGAGAGAAGAATATGAAGAACCATTCTGCAGCATGTTTAATTTATTGAATGAAATGGCAAATAGTAAGATGAATAATGCCATTTTAAACCCATGAAAGTAGTATGTTAATAATTCTTAAATATCCAAAATATGGTACCCATTATGCTTATTTAACCTTTTGCTGGCTGCCTAAAATGAGCCACTGCTTAAGAATTATAAAGTATTTCCAATTTCATCCATGTCCCTACAAAGGACATGAACTCATCATTTTTTATGGCTGCATAGTAGTCCATGGTGTATATGTGCCACATTTTCTTAATCCAGTCTATCATTGTTGGACATTTGGGTTGGTTCCAAGTCTTTGCTATTGTGAATAGTGCCGCAATAAACATACGTGTGCATGTGTCTTTATAGCAGCATGATTTATAGTCCTTTGCACATTGTGCACATGTACCCTAAAACTTAAAGTATAATAATAAAAAAAGAATTATAAAGTATTTATGCGTAGAGTTGTAGGGTTATCCCAGCTTGAAGGTAAGTAAAATAAATTAACTGTAAAAATATTTTATTGGAAGAATGAAAAAAATATACGACAGGTAGTTAGAATAGACAGGTATTTGAGGAATGCTTAATGAAATTATGAGTTAAAGATCTTAAGATCTGGTCATCATGACGTTGTCAGAAAAAGAATCACATTCCTAAAAGTATACTTGTAATAAGTTTAAAAATTCATGACAATAACAATTACCATCTTACCTCTTTGATTTTATGGGCAAATGGAGAAAGACCCCCACTTTCTACTTAACAACTTCAGGGGAGAGGGACAACTGATGACTTGGCTCTACTCTGGTTGAGATGAATGGTATCATGAGTATTATAAATTGTCTACCTGTTGTATAGACTATGACTGTTGAACTTACATCAACTTGTTTGAATAATGGTCTGAGATTCCAACATTATTTGATGGACTTTGACTACCACGTAGAATGCAGAAATCTGAAAAGGACTGCACTTTTATCCTAACAACAAGAAAAATCAAATAATCCATACAAGTCAAATGTTCTCTGAACCCATCAGAAAGCTGAGGTCACAGATCCAAAAACTAAAATGGAACCCAAAAAAAAAACAAAAAAAAAAACACAAAACTGTGTCTCAGGAGTAATGGGAGTTGAGTAAGAACTCACTGAAACAGCACATGAGATAAAAGAGTTAAAAGTTTGAGCTAAACTTTTTAACAACTGGATAATGGCCAAGTGTAATCTGGCATCAGGTTATAAAACCCATGTAATCCACAGACATGAAGAGAGTTTGCTCTTACATCCATTCTGTTTTCCAGAGATCTGCTTTGGGAATTCATGAGAAAAATTGGAGGCAGGTCAGAAGACCAGAGAAAACTTTCCTCTTGGTACTTAGGAGGAAGAGGATAGTGGCTTCTTTTGCCATAAAGACAAGTATATCTGCCTCAGTAATTCTTTCTGGCAGAAAATAAGCCTAAACTGCTGGGGAAGTGCATCAAACCCTGTTATTCCCCCGAGTATAGTTAAATACCCACCATGAGTAGGCCATTATTTTTATCTTTATTTTATTTTATTATTTTATTTTATTTTGTTTTTGAGATGAGTCTCGCTCTGTCAATGGTGCCATCTTGGCTCACTGCAACCTCTGCCTCCAGAATTCAAGCAATTCTCTTGCCTCAGCCTCCCCAGTAGCTGGGATTACAGGTGCAAAGTAATCTTTCCTTCTTTCTTGTTGCATGATTTCATTAATATAACTTTTGTGGAAGTGTAAATGGTAGAGATTAAAATCATATCAGGTGCCAGGGAATGTTGGAAGATTACACTATAAAAGCACATGACATGCCAGGGGAGGTGGCACACGCCTGTAATCCCAGCACTTCAGGAGGCCAAGGCCGATGGATACCTGCGGTCAGGAGTTTGAGGCCAGCCTGGCCAATATGGTGAAACTCTGTCTCTACTAGAAATACAAAAAATTAGCCAGGCATGGTGGTGGGCACCTGTAATCCCAGCTACTTGGGAGGCTGAGGCAGGAGAATCGCTTGAACCCGGGAGGCAGAGGTTGCAGTGAGCCAAGATCGTGGCACTGCACTCTAGCCCTGGGAAACAAGAGAGAAACTCCATCTCAAAAGAAAAAATAGAAGGGAGGTCATGGGAGAATTTACAGAGAAGGTGGAATTGTTTTATATATTATTGTTGTGGCTTCATGACTGTAAATTCATAGAACTGTATGCTAAAATGGGTGAATGTTTAAAAGTATACCTCAAAATCATACTGATAAAAAAATGGGGAAAAGAACATTCTGTTTGACTGTCCCTATTAAACTAGTACTTTTGCAAAGAAACATTGTAATTAAAAAACACAGAAGTACCAATAACATAGCATCTAATTTCAGCTTCGGGTACCCTGAAATAATACTCCACTCATAAACATTTAATACCCTGATGTCAGAAGTGGGAGAATAGGGAAATAGAAATTCATTGCTAGTTCTATATAACAGTGTCTACAGTTATAGCCTCATTTCATTTTTAAAGTATTTTGGATAAAAATCATTTCCTTTATTGAACAGATTTTGATGTCTTAGAGAAAGTTGGGTACATTAAATTAGAAGTTGTCTTATAACAACTAGGTCCTGGATTACGTCCTGAATTTTCAAAAATGACGATGGTTAATTTCATGTTCCAAAGAAGATTTCAGTCCATTGGAGTGCAGAAATGCTATTGAATAGTAACAACCCATAGTACCTGTATGTACAAGTTTGAGAATTTCCTTGGATGATGTTATTTCTGATAACAGGACCACATAGAGTCAAATGACTTCTCTTAATCACTTTTATTTTGCTATAGCAGAATACCACAGACTACTTTATAAAGAAAATAATCTTATTTGGCTTATGGTTGTGGAGGCTCAGGAGTCCAAGTTTGACTGGCTGTATTTTGCAAGGACCTTCTTGCCACATGATCCCATGGAGTAAGGCAGGAGGGCAAGCATGGTCCAGAGTGAGAGACAGACAGGGCTGATCTCAGTTTTATAACAACCTACTCTCATGATGAAGATAGGAGGTAAAGCTCTCATGGCCTAATCACTTCTTAATTGTCCTAGCTCTTAGTACTGCCACAATGGCAACAAAATTGCAACATGAAACTTGGAGGGGACATTCAAACCCTAGCAGCACTCTTAGAGATCCATATTTTTGTAAATAATACAATAGGATCACAGGTGTAATAAGGTACTAAGTCCCAACGACAAAACAAAAATGTATTTCCTCTTTAATGTTCATTCCCAAACCCATGCAACCACATCACTTCCTATGCACGTCCATGCTTACTTTACTCTACCTCCTGTCTATATTTCAGTTGTTAGTGAAATATACACATATTAATTTGTTTCCATTAGGTTAAACCTTTCCTTTCTTGCAATTATATTCCTTCATAGGAATATATTTTCTATTCTAATTTCATTGTTCAAATTTCATTAGTTTCACATCTAACTGTTTTCATGTCATTTTAAGCAATGGAGCTAGGGATGGATCCTTTTAATATCTATCTAGAGTCCTAGGTTTCTGAAAGGCTATATTACTTTGTAACATAAAGCAGAGTGGCATAAAAGAGGGACAGTCAGTTCTGTCTTCACAGAAGTGATTTCAAATTGACTCTTTGATAATTCTTAAGATTTTTCAAACACTGAATTACATTATTTTTTGCCAATGTAGTTTCTCTGTCCTTCAGACAAGCGTCCCTAACATATAATAACACAAGATATAAAACTGATTTTGAGTAACTCTTCACTTACTGACATGCTGTAGATAATTTTGACAACTCTTTCTGATTTATTTGCAGTAGTCAACTTAAGCAGTAGGAGATTTTCTTGTAGTCTAGCAATATTTCATACAGGGTGGTCACAATCCTGGCTGTGAATTGCCCAATTTTTAAACAAATGGAATAACTAATAAGAGACTTCATTTGCAACCACAGGAAACCACATTTTTTTCACACAAGAGGAATTGTGTTTTCTCTTTCATGGTGTTTTGGAACCACATTTACAAACAATGAGTTAAGCAGACCCGGAGTAGGGTGCATATCTTTATTATAATGTTCTATGGTTTTAACCTACTTCACCTGTCATCAACATAATAAAGTCCGACACTAATGAACATGCCTAACAAGAAAACAGAAATCCACTGAACAGAATCTAGCAAGAAACAATATGCTTAATCCTATAGCAGCACAATTTATCCACTACCTTTTTGACATTTGATTGGAGCTATTTACGGGAAGCACACTTCATTCCCTTTATCAAGACCTCCAGGTTTGGATTTATTCTCTGAGAAGATAATCCTGCCGTATGTTCAGTAATTCCACAGTTGAAGTATTTAGTCACTGATCTGTTGCAATAATATGATAGGAATAAAGCGGGTACTCCTTGAAGGAATGGATTTTGCATTATGAATATGTAGTCATAGGACAAATAAAGAAGGCATTGAGTGAAAATGTCAACATCCTAGAATTAAGTATGTATTTTATATTGAAGATTTAGAATGCATTTAACGTGCCCATCAGGCCAAATGCCTCCAGGAATAGAAGAATGGCAATATAATATGTATTTCTGAGCAAACTCAGAAAAAGAACCAGATTTTAGACTAGGCAGATGGATCCCTTTAATTATGGAAAAATGCTTTTATAAAACCATTACAGCCTGATAAATTTCAGGTTTTCTACTTTGTTTTTGCTACTGTCTTGCTGTCAATTGTTTCTTACTACTGTTCATACAGCATTTTGTTTTAGTTTTATAATGTTGATCACTTATAACCAAGCACAAGAGTTTTCTTGATGTACCTAAACACATAACCTGAACATATATTTAAAGTGGTATTATATTGCATTGAATTATTATATGATATAATAAGCTAGAGTAGTTAATACCTATAATGTATCAAAGATTAACATGGTTTTGTTTATCCCTAATCTATTCAAGAAATTAATTTGAATTACTTCTCAGTTACCTAATATGAATATGTTAATTACAATTATGTGGAAATTTCTTCTTATAATTTTGTAATGCTCCTAAAGCACATAACATTTATATAATATTCTAAATTAATCCAATTTATTTTAGTGATTACTTTGTTTCTTTTTGGTGTGTCAAGGAATCCTGCTACTTAAAAGAAAATTCAACTTCCTTCTCTGTATTCTATACTCCTTTTCTTCTGATAAAAGCTTCATTTTATTCACTAAACTGCTTAATTCATTCATTAAGCTGCTCTCATTGCCAAATGAGTAATTTCCTTTCTCATTCTTATCTCTGTGACATCTGGCCCTCTCCATAACCCTGTGTTTGAAACCGTTTTCTTATCCTTGACTTCAAAATTCCCATACTTTCTTTATCTGCTGCCTCTATTTCTATGACACTTCCTTCTCAGTGTGTGTGTGCGTGTGTGTGTGTTGACATTTATTCTACCTGGTTAAAACCTGACATTTCTGGTTTTTATACCTATATCTTCTTTTTTTCCACTTTCCTAAGTGGTCTTACCCACTGTTTGAGTTAATCTGTGTATACACTTACTAATATTATAATAATTCTCATCTTTAGCACAACACACATCTATAAAACTCTCAAGTTCATTATCAAACTTCCCACAGGTGATTTGAATGCTGGTATGGCCTAATCTGTGTCCCCCAAAATTCATTCACTGAAGCTCTCTCAACATGACTGTATTTAGAGACAGGGCCTTTAAAGAGGTAATTAAGGTTAAATGAGCTCTTGGTAAGTATGGGGCCCATAGGACCAGTGTCCTTAAAAGAAGCGGGAGAAAAATCAAGGATGCCTTTGCGCAGAGGCAAGAGCATGGGAGGACACAGCAGGAAGACAGCTGTCAGTAAGCTAATGAGAGAGACCTCATGAGAAACCAACCTGTCGCCTTGATTGTTTGGAGTTTTAGCCTCCGGAGCTGTGCTTAAGCCATCTGGTCTATGGTATTTTGTTATGGCAGCCCTAGCAAACTAATACTAATAGCATCTATTGTGCCTGAGGTATGCCATGGGAATTACTACATTAATTCTACAAAGGCAACTTCAATATCTGCACTTCTCAGAAAGTTTGTAAGGGCAAAACCCTCATAATCCTATAAAGTTCCTGAATCCTAAAGGCAGGAGGATCCTTTTAGTCCAGGAATTTGAGAGAAACCTAGGAAACACAACAAAATCCTATCTCTACCAAAAAAAAAAAAATTAAAACTTAGCTGGGTGTGGTGGTGCACACCTGTAATCCCAGTACTTTGGGAGTTCAAGGTGGGAGAATCACTTGATCCCAGCTGTTAGAGACCAGCCTAGCCAACATAGTAAGACCCTATCTCTACATAAAATAAAAACTTAACTGGATGTGGTGGTGCATGCCTGTAATCACAGCTACTTAGAGGGCTGAGGCATGAGGATTGCTTAAGCCCTAGAGTTTGAGGCTGCAATGAGCTATGATGATACCATTGCACCCCATCTTGGGTGACAGAACAAGACCCTGTCTCAAAACAAAACCAAAGAAACTCCTCCCCGCCAACCCCCGCCAAAAAAAAAAAACACTTTGCCTCAAGACAGATACAGGAAAGAAAGGGCCAGAGCTGAAGAGGACTGAGTGGCAATTTAGCTGCTGCTAATGCTCTTATAGTTGGTTCTGGCACTCTCTCTCTCTCTCTCTCTCTCTCTCTCTCTGTATCTTGTTCCCTTTTAGTTTGTCTTGACCTCTGAAATCCTTTACTTAGTTTCATCCTTTATTGGCCAGGACTTCAAAAAGCCTAGCCCTTTAGCCCTTAGAGAGACATTTCTTGATAGAATTTTGGATATTTTTACTTCACAAGATGAATTATTCTTTGCCTTTTTCAAATCGGCACAGCTGAGTTCAAAGCTGAGAGGATTATGATGGACAAGCATTAGGCAGGAAGAAAACTTTGTGCAAACATTGAGAAAATATTGCAACCAGGGGATATGCTAACTACTTCACAGATAATAATACTTTTGATCTGCACCACAATTTTATGGGCTCTGCAATTATTATGCCTATTTTATGGATGAGGAAATTCATATAATGAGGTGACCACAAGGTCATAAAGCAAGACACTATGCTCTGATCCTCAAAACTATGGTGACTTTGCAAAATAAAAATAAGTATTTTTCTCAATGTCTTATCAATAAGTTGCACTTTGCTCATGCCAATATAGCAACAAAAAGTGAATGAAATTTTGGAAATTAAGAGACCTGGAAATAATTTTTAGTTTGTATCATTAACATTGATTCCAAACATATTTTGTATCAAGTAATTAATGTAATTTCTAAATATTTTAATTTTGTTTATAATTGAGTCCAGTTCACGGGTTGATAGGTGCAGCAAACCACCGTGGCACACATTTACTTATGTCACAAACTTGCAAATTCTGCACATGTATCCCAGAACTTAAGGTAGAATAAAAAAAGAAAAGAATCCAGTCCAGTTCAGATCAAAGCTCATCTGTTAAATTTCTGTCATGGGGAACCACCAGAAAAATAACTGGCTACCCAGAATATAAGAATACACAAAGTTTCCATTCACAGAGAGACCACAGTATAAGGTTGGGACTGGATTTTCTGTGAGTTCCTTTAATCATTTTTATATCTATGTTCATAAAAATTAAAAAAATAACTAAATGACCACAAAATTGATAATGTACAAATAGGCTCAACACAGACTTCCAAACTGTTTTGTTGGAACAAATGGAGGCTTTGATTACTATAGTTATTGCTATTAACCTGGGAAAGTAAAAAATGCAAAATATTCAAATGAATTTAGAACTAGTTTCAAATTCTAGGAATTTAATATAAGTTTATATTCACTGTAGATTACAAACAGAATAAAAATGGTCTTAGGTTATGTTTCTTTCAAGAACCTCAAAATGTCCAACATTCAATATTACATTGCCTTATAAGCCTTTGAATACGACAAACAAGCAATTACACCAGTATAGCAGATATTTCCCCTACAGGTAAATTATGTTTACTGTAATCTCCTGTTATTTTTGCACACTATTCTACTGACTTATGCAGCTTTTAAAATTTACAATGATACAGATATTAAATTTATATGGCATGTTTTAAACATTGATAAACAGTGTGATATATTTTGCTAAAACAGCTGCGAAAGCTGAAAAAAAAGTCATCCTTTTAGGTTTGTTTAGGTAATCAGAATTGTTAATCAGATCATCCTTTCTTTATGTTCCTTTAAAGTTACATGCCTAGTTCTACTTCCTGGAGTCTAAACTATTTTATCTGGTGCCTCCACCATCTATTTCCATTTGTTTGGCCCACCTAATACTCCATTACTCCAAACATAACTCTTCTACTTTAGTTACACTCATAATCTGCATACTTAAAGTTTGTGCTGTGGCTCACATTTTCTAGGAATGGTTTTCTCATTGCTGGCTAATTATTTGTTCATTAAATAATCACTCATTCATTCATTTCACATCTACTTATTGAGCATCAACTTTGACCAGGATACATTCCTTTCACTCAGGGAACTTATATTCTAGTAGGTAAACATTGATTGGAATTTTTAATTTTGACTGCATGGAGCTAGACATTGAAGACAAGAACAGAAAGACCTAGGATTTGAACCTGCCTGATGATGTTACATTGTTGTAGTGTGTAGAGAACACACATATGCTTATGATGTTATCAAGATTATATAGTTCTGTCTTTGATAGAGAGAGGTCCAGGATGCTGTGTAAGGAACGCCCAGAGAATGCTGAAATGATCAAGGCAGCATTGATGATGGAAATGACAAATGAGCTAAAACTTGATGTGTTATTAAATAAATAACCAAAGGATTATAAACCATGCTACTATAAAGACACATGCACAAGTATGTTTATTGCGGCACTATTCACAATAGCAAAGACTTGGAACCAACCCAAATGTCCATCAATGATAGACTGGATTAAGAAAATGTGGCACATATACACCATGGAATACTATGCAGCCATAAAAAAGGATGATTCATGTCCTTTGCAGGAGCATGGATGAAACTGGAAACCATCATTCTGAGCAAACTATCACAAGGACAGAAAACCAAACACCGCATGTTCTCACTCATAGGTGGGAATTGAACAATGAGAGCACTTCGACACAGGATGCAGGGTGGGAAACATCACACACCGGGGCCTGTCGTGGGATGGGAGGCGGGGGGAGGGATAGCACTGGGAGAAATACCTAATGTAAATGACGGGTTGATGGGTGCAGGGGGCTAGCGTGGCATGTATACCTATGTAACGAGCCTGCACGTTGTGCACATGTACCCTAGAACTTAGTGTAATAATAATTTTAAAGAAAGAAAACAGAAATAAAAAAAGAAATAGGAAGGCAAAGGGTATTGGCGAGAAAATCTCAAGACTTTGATTTAGATTCTAAACTTTAGGTAACTGGATAGATCATTCTGCTTAGAGAGAGTAAACCAAAAAAAAAAAAGACCTGATTTAGAGGTGTTTTCGCTTTTTAACTCATGGGACTCAATGTCACTACCATCATCTGGTGGGTAACTAGCTTTGTGTCAGCTTCCTTCTTCCTCTAAACCTCCATTGCCTTACCCAAAATGGGCATCGTAATAGAAATGAATCCATAGGGTTGTTGCAATTGTTAAAGGAGAAAATTTATGTCAAGTCCTTAACACAGTGCCAGAAATATGTTTTTCTGTGAGCTCAAGCCATAATTCCTCAAATGAACATTTTTTGTCAGTCTAAATCTTTTTAAAAAGTCTATGATTCAGATTTTTAAATCCATTTGATCCATTTTAAAATCTTTTCTCAGTTTATAAGTATCTATTTTGTTTCATTACTACACAAGTAATTATGTTGTAGATTTGGGATCAATCAGCATACCCCATCCTTTAATGATACTAACTTATCAATTTTTAATTGTATTTTAGTATGTACCTATACCAATGTAGTATCATGTCAGAAAATCTTTAAAAAGTATATTCTGTGTTTATTGCTTTTACCACTTCACATGACATTAAAGATCACTGCCATAAGCCTTTAGAGATCAATAAAAAAATCATTTTTTGAAATTGTGTAATCACAGAAATTCTTTCAATTTTATTTTTATGATGGCTCTTTTATCCCAAATTATATTTTTCTTTTCTTGTAAGGTCTTTTGATTTATTTTTTATGATGCCTCTTTTATTCCAAATTATCTTCTTCTTTTTTTCTTTCTTGTAAGATATACTAAGAATTGCTCCTTTTCTTGCTTGAATCTCCTCGATCCATTTGAAAGAAATAAAACGTAATGTAATTTTCAGCAACTCTATTGGGCAAGCTTGCTAGGTTTTATTTTTATCTATTCAAATCGTTAGTAACCAATTTGTCTTCTGCCTCTGTGCACACACAAATATAGCTACTGGCAGTACAACTATTCTTGCTTTTCATTTAATTCTTTTATACTGCTTCCTAGTTTTTCTTTTTTATCAGCAAACAATAGCTTCTTTTTGCCTTTTCACAGGCTGCTCTACTCCAAATCTTTATTTATCTTCCTTTTACTTTGTTCATAAAATCCACTGACAACTTCATATTGCAGTGATTTTTTTTTAATGCTCGGCATTCACACCTTAACATATTGTCTCTCATATACATAGTAATCCCATCTGTTGCTTCCTTACCCTTGCAGCCTAAATAAATAGCAAGTCCTTGGTCCACATGACAACTTGCTATTTCTTTCTACCCAAGATTTGGGTAGAATTTGGGTAGAATGGATGGATACTTACTTAATCTCTAAACCCTATTGTACATTTTCTTATCTTTTAAAAATACTGTCTGTTAGAATTCACAATCGAATATCAACTATTGTATTTATTTACTTATTAACATTTTCCTGAATATAAAGGCTAATGCATAATTGCAAATGCCATCTACTACCCATGTCACCTGTTTGGAGTTTTTAATTTAATGTAAAATCATTGAGTATTAAAAAATTGCTCCAAAAAGTTTATGCTAAAAATCATTTATCTAAATAATGATTTGTTAAAATAATTTGATTATTATTGTACATAGTAATAGCTAACATATTGTACATAGTAATAGCTAACACTTAAATAAGGATTATGAGGTAAATATAACTGATGTATCTGTCATTGAATATTTGAGTTAGTTTGGTTACTCTGGATTTTCTAGAAAGACTATCTTGCTCTGTCATTTAAAAAAATTCTAGAGGTTTCATGGATTGCAAAAGAAAATAAATTTTCCAGAGGTAAGAGGAATATTTTAAGATATTCAATGAGCCACAGCTCTTAATGGAACTCCCAAAGAACATTACCGCATTTAGTTTCTTAATTGGTCTCCTAACTATAAGGGTAAATGTAAATTACTTTATGTATTAATACAGAGGAAAGATCATTTCCATGGAGACAGCACGAATCACTACACCAACTTTTAGAACAGAGATAAATCTTTCTAGTGATTAAGCCCATTCTCCAGTTTTCACAATGTAGAGATATCTACAAGGTCACTGGCAAATAACCTCTAGATATATAAAACATACTTCCAAAATTAGATCAGAGTTTTCTCATAAAATATGCAGAAGACTGTCATGAAGTACTGCATTTTGTCTCTGAAGACAAGTCATTGTTCTTTCTTCTGCTTTGCTGTAAAAAATGTGGAAAAGTTTGTCTTAACTTTATAATCACTTTTTTTGTAATTTACATGCATGTAAATCTGTTAATACTTATTCAATAATAATACATTGTGTTTTCTGTGTCTTCTGTATACTATGCCAAATTCTGTTTTTGAGAGAATTGTATTATTTTGTCAACACTACATATCACTATAACAACTTATCCACTGCTGTCAACTGCTAATTTAAAAATAAAAACTAAATTACCTTTGGGGTCACAAAACTGTTATTAGAAAAAAATGGAAAGCGGTGCCATATTTTTCAATAAAATTTAATATCATAATGTAATAATTCTATGTTAATCAATATAGTTGAAATGTTCTCAATGACTAACATGTTTTATATTTGGTTTGGTTTGGGTTTTGGAATGATAGATGTTAAATTTTAAGTGAAGAAATAAACATGAATCTAAAAATAAGCACTGGGGATAAAAACAATAATTAAGTGGGGAACAAATTTGCCAAATATTAAACTATGGTTATAATTCTTTAGTAAGTGCAATAGTGCATGGCTGGCTTGTGAATAGATATATTAACAAAACAGACTATAACATCTAGAAATGACACAGATACATTAGGGAATTTAGTACATAAATGCAAGAGGACAAAGATGAATTATTCATTAAATGATTATGACAACTAAGTGTCCATGAAGCAAAAGACAGTTGAATCTATTTCTCACAACTTATACCAGGATAAACTGTCGAAATATGAGAAATTTAAATTAAGTAACAGAAATTTAAATAAAGTTACAGAAATTTAAATAAATAGAAGACATCCACAATAAACATCTTTAAATATTTTGAGTTACATGTAACTTTGACAGAAAACTCAAAAGCCATAACACAATTATAAATGTGATTTCATGAAAATATGAACGAAAAATTATCATAAGCAAACTCTAAAAGCAACCTTCATAGTAGCAAAAAGTTTTGTAATTTATATAGCAGAAGTCTACTATTTTCACAGAATTTTTCTTTTTACAAATCATTAAGAAAATTACCAAGGTTCCCCATATATATATGTGTATTTATATACATGTGTGTGTGTATATATGTGTGTATATATATGTGCGTATATATGTGTGTATATATATACACATACACACGTATATACATATATATACACATATATGTGTATATATACACACACACACATAGAGTCCACTGAAATGAATTATAAATGATGCTACAAATGATGTTGCTAAATATAAAAGAAATATACAGAGTGCAATAATAGACACTGGAGGCTCCAAAGATGTGAGAGTAGGAGGAATGTGAGGGATGAAAAATTACCTATCGGGTACAGTGTACATTATACAGGTGCTGGGTACACTAAAAGCTCAGATTTCCCCACTCACTATGCAATATATCTATGTAAAAAAACTGGACTTATACCCCCAAATCTATAAAAGTAAAACAAAAAATGAAATATGTTCCATTGTTTATTAAGAAGGTCCATGAAAAAGAAGAGCAAATTTAAAACATGCTGGTTCACTTGGGTTGGGTGAAATAAAACACTTATAAATAATATTACAGCTTATATAATGAGAATTTGAAAATTTTCATTGGTATTTCATGTAAATTTTTATCTAAAAATTTGTTTTAGGAACTATTCCCTCAGACAAATTTGTTAATTCTTAGAATGAAATACTAAGCTATACATGGTGGCTCATGCCTGTAATCTCAACACGTTGGGAGGTTGAGCCGGGAGAATCACTTGAGCCCAGGAGTTCAAGACCAGCCTGGGCAACATAGGGAGATCCTGTCTCTACAAAAATTAAAATATTAAAAAATAATAGTCTGGCGTAGTGGCATGTGCTTGTGGTCCCAGCTACTTGAGCGGCTGTGGTGGGAGGATCGCTTGAGCTCAGGACTTCCAAGCTGCATTGAGCTGTGATTGCATCACTGCACTTCAGCCTGGGCAACAAAGATCGACGCTGTCTCAAAACAAGAAAAAAAAAAAAAGAAAAATATATATGCAGCCATTATTTTTTTCAAGTATAAAAAATATATTTTTATCTAATGTATTGATATTGAATGACCTCTAAGCTAAAAAGTGACATTAACAAAGAAAGATAAAGTAAAGCAGATGTTACATGTAGCATTTTGTAGAAAGGGAAATATATGTATGTAATTGAATATGAATAAAATATGTGTGAAAGTATAACATTTTTGCCTTCGATGAGATAAAGTGATATGAGGGGAAGTCATTGTTATTCTTCTCGTAACTTTGGGAATAAAGTGAATGAGAGTTGAAGGTTTATAATTCAAGAGTTATTAACTACAGTTGACCCTTGAACAATTCTGGGTTTAGGCTGTTGACCCCTCTCACATTAAAATAACTGCAAATAATTTTTGATTCCTCATAAACTTAACTACTAAGAAACTATCATTGGCCAGAAGCCTTATCAGTAATATAAACAATCCATTAACACATATTTTAAATATATATTGTATACTATATTCTCACAAGAAAGTAAGCTAGAGAAAAGAAAATGTTATTAAGAAAGTCACAAGAAAGAGAAAATATATTTACTATTCAGTATGTAAAAGTGCGTTATCATAAAATTCTTTATCTTTATCATCTTCACATTAAGTAGGCTGAGGAGGAGGAGAAAATGGAGGGGTTAGTCTTGCTGTCCGAGACACAGGTGGAGGAGGTGAAAGGAGAAGCAAGAGAGACAAGCATATTTGGTGTAATTTTACAGAAATGTATTATAATTTCTGTCTGACATTTTGTTTTTTATTTCTCTTAAAATCTTCTTATACAATACCAATTTTCCTTTCACTGTTTGCTTTGTGTTCAGTGGTCATATCATACAAAGGTCTATGTCATAAGTGAATTCAAAAGTAGTCTTAAATAATCAAAACCCTTCTGCTAGGTTGTCTAATGTCAATGTTTTTGGAGGGGGGGGCACTGCTTCTTCTATGTCTTCTTTCTCAACATCTGGTGCTGGTTTGGAAGCACTCATTACCATCTAGTCATCTTCCATAAATTCTTCTGAGGTGGTGTTTATGAGTTCTTTAATTTCTCCAGAATTCATACCTTGAAGTCCTTCACCCACAGCCCCTCCCACATATCCTTTTAGTATATTCAAAATCTCTTTCATGATTTTCTTGATTGACTCTGTCATAAATCCTCTGAAGTCAAGCAAATCTGGACATGGTTTTCTTCAGCAGGAATTAGCTGTTTGGGGCTTGATGGTTTTCTTTATAACAATGATAACATCTTCAGTGGGATGATCCCTGTAGACTTCCATGATGTTCTCTTTATTATGATTCTCTTCCATAGTATTGACAGTCCTTTCCATAAAACACTGTATTAGTTTTTTCTTATGCTGCTAATAAAGACATACCCAAGACTGGGTAAATTATAAAGGAAAAAAGTTTAATTAACTCACAGTTCAGCATGACTGGGGAGGGCTCAGGAAACTTACAATTATGGTGGAAGGGGAAGTAAACATGTCCTTCTTCACATGGTGGTAGCAAGGAGAAGTGCCAACCAAAAGGAGAAAAGACTCTTATAACAACTTCAGATCTCAGGAGAACTCATTCACTATCACTAGAACAGCATGGAGGTAACTGCCCCCATGATTCAATTACCTCCAACCAGGTCACTCTCACCACACGTGGGGATTATGGGAGCTACAATTCAAGATGAGATTTGGGTGAGGACACAGCCAAACCATATGGAAAACCATGTGTAATGAGCTTAAATGGTCCTTATGACCCTTTGTGGTATTGAACTTTCAGGGTTCCAGGTGTCCAGGAGCATTGTCCAATATCAAAAGAACTTGAGAAGGCAATCCCTTACTGGCAAGGTACTTCCTGACTTCAGAGACAAAGTATCAATTGAACCATTCCAAAACAAGGGTTCTCATTATCCAGGCCTTTTTGGTGTACAACCAAAAGCCTGGGAGCTGGTGTTTATCATTTCCCTTCAAGACTAGTGTTTCAGCAGTTTTATAAATAAGGGCAGTCTTGATCCTAAACTGAACCGAAGTGCACAAAACAATAGAGTTAACCTATCCCTTCCTGCTTTAAATCCAGGTGCATGCTTCTCTTCCTTACTAATAAATGATGTCCTTTTTGCCATTTGGGGTTTTTTGTTTGCTTGTTTTAATTTTAGAATAGGGAACTTTCATCTGTATTAAAAACCTGTTCAACCTTTTCTTCTCAATGATTTTCTTAATGACATCTGGTAACTCATCTGCCTGCCTCTTTGTTGGCAGAAGCAACTTCTCCCGTTATCTTTAAGCAAAATTACAACCTAAAATTATCAAACCATCCTTTGCTGGCATTAAATTTTCAGCTTTCGATCCTTCACCGTCTTTTTGCTTTAAGCTGTCATATTATTTCATTTTTTTCTCTAATCACATTAGAGTCTTCTAGGTATAACTTTCTTATAGAAATCCTGTACCAAGAGCTGCATTTTCAATACAAGATACACAGGTATTTTGCAAAAAATGCAAGGTTTTAATGCCTGCTGGCATTGCTAAAGCAATTACTTCTAAAATTTTCTTTTCTTTTGTTTTACAATCGTCCTTATTCTAGATTTATTTATTTGGAAAGGGTGGGCAACTGCAGTTGCAGACCTCTATTTACGGCGCATATCTGGCAATTAAGCTTTCTCTCGTAATGTCATGACTTCTCTGCTTCTTGGTAATATTTTCAGCATCGCCAGTGGCACTTTATGTGGGTCTCACAATGTTCAAGGTTTATGATATTGCACTAAACATGATTAAAAAAATGGGACAACCACAGTATACTACTTTGAATTGCAATAAACACTTTACTGGAGAGACGAACTGCTTACTTTGAGATGATAGGCATCGCACCAGCATTGTAAACAATACTTGAAACACTTGAACTCACCACAATAGAAACAGAGGTGGCTACAACTTTATTATAGTAATACAGTTCGTATTACAGTAAATTTTATGTAGCTATGATTTAATACTGCATCTTTATGTTTGTTTATATTTTTCTTAACTGCAAATGGTAACCTGTAAGGCCTGTAAGTGTTTCCATGTGTAAATTTTGATAATTTTAATGTTTTATAATATATTTGTATATATATTACAGTAGCAAATGATAAAATAGACTCGCTTATCCATATATTGTATGCATTAATGACATGCTTAACTTAATCTTATTTTTTTTATATTTCTAGTGTACATGTTTGAGCCCAAATTGCTACAAAATTCCAAAACTTTTTCCAATATATTTGTTTTAAAATATGTGTGTATAAGTGAACCTGGGAAGTTAAAACATGTGTTGTTTAAGAGTCAAGTGTATATGCAAATCACCTGACAAACAAATATGTATTCTACCTACACTAAGAGTGAGATTGGAAGGACTAGCCTTGTTCTTCAAGTGAGTATCATCTATCAACTGAGTTTTCTTCTTTATCCATGTAAGATAGGTTGAAAGGGTGCTTTCATTCATTTTATATAGATTAGTTTATTGTGTTATTTCTATTAAAATGGTATTTGTTTTATAATATTGCATACATAAAAGCTGAAAGACAGCATTAAAAAAAACTATGAAATCATTCCTGCCTCTCTTATTTGTATATATTTCAAGGAGGTTCACCTTCAGGAGTTATTTAGTCCTTAAAGAAAACTTTAATTTACATTCCCACCAACAGTGTACAAAGGGTCCCCTTTTCTCCACATCCTTGCCAACATTTGTTATTCTTGTCTTTTTAATAATAACCATAGAAAACAGCATGAAGTTTCCTCAACACATTAAAAATAGAACTACTGTATGATCCAACAATCCTACTTCTGGTTATATATCCACAGAAAATAAAATTAGTATCTAAAAGATATATTTGCACCCACATGTTTATTACAGCATTATTTACAATAGCTAAGATATAGAAACAAAGTAAGTATCCATCAACATATAAATAGATAAAGAAATTGTGGTACATATAAACAATAGAATATTATTCAGCCATAAAAAAGGGAGGAATCCTACCATTCATGACAACATAGATGGACCTGGAGAACATTATACTAAGTGAAATAAGTCAGACACAGAAATAACAAAATTATGTTAAATTAAATATTTTATATAAAAATACTCCAGTCTATGTTTATTTTACTGTACCCTGGATGTTTGGGTACAGTAAAATAAATCTCACTTATATGTGAAATCTAAAAAAGTTAAATTTATGACAGTATAGGTTAGAATGGTGGTTACTAGGGGCTGGGAGATGGGAGAAATGGGGAGATACTGGCCAAAAGATACAAACCTATCCCATAAAAGTTGTCTGTATTTATCTCTTCTTTATCTTTAATTAATTCTACTTCTCCCCCTTTCTAAGTAAATAGATACAACAAACACAAGACCATTGTATGTAACTAGCTTTTGATGAAAATTTGGAAAAAGAATGGAGTGAGATTAGAACAAACTTCATAAGAAGAAAATAGGAAGAAATTTAAGAGTCAATTTTAGACATTTAGGGTTTTTTGCTCAATATTACTATTACCATAGGGAATTTATTTTTGCCTGTGTTTCTTCTTAGAAACAGTTTGTTGAGAATCATTAACCCCACCTTCTTTAGTTTCTCAGTATTCCCCCACCATATCAACATCCCTTCTCCAGAGGTCCCAAACCCCAAGCTCTGAAATGCCCAGAGAAATTGTAACTTAGCAATTCGTTCTTTTCTCAGCCTATCCTTGAAGACATGGCTTATCTTCCTTAAACAAAATGCCCTTTTATATGCTTAAAAACTAAAACAAAAAAAAATCTATTTCTGCGGTAGAATTTCTCCTTATGCCACCCTAGGTAGAATCTCTAAAGTAATTTAATAGTATTTTTCTTTGATATACATATTATACTGTTAAGTGATTCATAAAATAACAATCCTCTTTTCACTATAGAGTTAATTACTGTTAGAAATATGCATATTTTTGATTAGTTAGATTTTACATGACACAGCAATATGGAATATATCCTGAAGCTTAGCATAAATTTTGTATTACTTCCAGCGTATATTACACAGGCCTAATTACAGAAAACAACAGGATGTGAAACACTAGTTTCAATTTGATGTGTTTCTCTTTTCCTTTCTATTAAATTCCAATAAACAAACATTTTGAAAGTGGCTCCCAAAACTCCTGAAGGGGGAAAACAACTTACTGAAGTGAACTATCACCTATAAAGAAGCAAATTATTGGCTAAAAGAAATTACTCATTAACTATTGCACCAAAGAGAATTAGGGGATTGAGAATGGAGTCATTTATGAAATGTAAGCAGGTATTCAGTATCTTGTTGAGTATCTACCAATATGAACTAGAAATAGCTAATAAACGTTAGTACCTGGACATTGTTTGATTCCCTGAAAAGATTCTTGGTTAGCTGTCATTTAAATTCTATGCTATACAACTAAAATGACATGTAAGTTTTAATATCAGAGACTTAAACTCAATTGAAGTGTCAGTAGGAAGCATGCAATATTTTCAGAGGTTTTACATCCACATGGCAACAGAAGACAAAGCTCCTTAAATCTGTGTTGCCTGTAAAGATAAAATAAAACTCAGAAGTTATTTTACTTTGTAGTATTCTTCTGAGTTTGCTCATCGATCAGAAACTGAGATATAAAGGTATACTAGATTGAAAGCCAATCCAGCATAAAAATATAAAGTAAAATATTTTTCTTCAGGGAATTTCTGCAGGAAACATAAGAGAATTTAAGGCAACCGATGAACTTTATGTGGAGTGTAAAAAACCTAGGTAAATTTTAGATGGATAAATTTCATCTCCTTCAAAGAGGATTCTTGTTAAGGTATATGATTCAGACTATGCTTGGATGAACTTTGGTCAAATAGCCTGAACTCATAGTTTTTCAAGTTTGGAAACTGAAATCTAAAACTGAAACAAAGCTTATGGGACCTATTTAAGAAAAATAAATTTAAAAAAATTATTCTAAGTTCTCTAGATGTTCTAACACATTTAAATCAAACAATAACCATATAATACACTTGCCTATATTTTCCCATTTTGCATATGAAGAAACTAAGACACACTAAATTTACATAAATACCTCATGTCACATTTGTGTAAGTGGAGAGATGGAATTAAAAATGGGCAGTCTACATTCTGAGGGCAAGCTTTTGAGCAATACACTGCTGCTGCAGGGATAGATATACCTAAAGATAGACATAGATACAGATGTAAGTAAATATGGACAGTTAGGATGTATAGATATATACATAAATGGATATAGATGTAAAATTAAACATAGTTAATATAAATAGATACATTGCTACTTACAAAATATTCTAGAAAAAATGCAGGAGGGAACAAAGGAAAAGGGGGGATTTAAAGAACTGTTTTCCAGAATTCACAGTGGCTTTGTCAGGGTGGTACAATGTGGAATTTCTCCTCCTCCTCTCTCACAGCCACATGACTAACTTCACATTACATGTTTGACATTGCTATGTTGAAATGGGACATTTTTATATATTAAGAAAACAAAGTTTGAGTTGTTTGTTTTATAATTGCTGAGTTATAAATATAAAGATACTTTTATCACCATGTTCTTAATCTCATTCTTTTCTTCTTATTTTTCTTTTTAGTAAAGGAAAAATTTTACTACCAAGAAATGAAAGCAATAGACATCTCTGAGACCCAGGCTTTCCCTTAAGTTCATGTTACCTCTGACTTCACAAAGTCTCACCGCTAGGGGCCAGGAGTTTTATTAAATATGAACATATTTTTTACTACCACACAAGCATATAATGCAAAGTCATTTCAATGTTCAATAATACCAAGAAAGTGATCATTTCTTCCTTAGGTTTGATTCATTCCTAAAAAAAAAAAATAATATTGGCTATTGTGGTTATTATGAGCAACCTGTCAGTAGAATTTTGGGTAGAATACCTGACATTTTGGAAATGTATCCTCAGAATCTATTGGGTTTGATTCAAAGATAAATAAAAAGAGGAGGCTTTATGGAAGGCCATGTGGGAGTGGATAAATTTGAAATAATTGTGCTCTATCTAAAAAGGTACAAAGTGAGTATACCCTTTTTCACTATGTCCTATAGCTGAGAGGAATATTATGAACCCATTAATAAATAAATACATGTCACTCGTGTATTGATCAATTCTTAGATAGAATTTACATATAAACTTTTAGGAAAATAGTTTTTCTTGTAACTTTATTTGTAATTTCCTCACTGCCCTCAAAGAAGCTTGTCACAAGTAACTGAAGAACATTTTCTTTGCTAAGCAAAATGAAGGGATTGCAAAAGGAAGAGCCAGGGAGAAACAAAGCGGCTGATGTACACAGAGATTTGATTTGCAGTTTTTATGTGAGCTGATTCTTTCAAGGAATGCTGATTTCTGTTATGAGGCTTATCTGAGGTGAAATTAGTACCTTCACAAGAGGACAGCCAGCATATGTTTTTTGGGGCTTTTCTAAAGTTTTAAGATTATAAGCAGAAAAAAATGCAACTTGTACTAAAACATTTGGCTATAAACCAATTTATCTAGTGACAACTTTTTAATGATTGTCAGCCAGTGTCTGTGCCAGGGAATAGAGGAAGCCCTTTTTGTGTAGCTTTTGTCTTTGGTCCTTAGGCTTCTCCATCAAAGTCAAAGGTAAATGACATGAAGAGAGTATCAGAATCTTTGGGGGATAGAATTGCTTGGACATGACTGTTTCACCATAAAAGCTAGGCATAGAAAATATTGCCTTACTTATTGAAAAAGCAACCAAGAGGTGAGTCTAGAATTAATGCAGACCTAACTGGACTGATTAAAGCTTTCACTAAATTTTATTTTCCAACATAGGTTTCCTGAACAAATAATCAGTATTGTGAGAGTTAATGTTAGTCATAATTAGTACTTGTTTTTGAGCCCATGTTCTACAATAAACTAGAGATAATTCAGAGTTCAGTGCCAAAGAGGATTAACATTTTAATTGTTTTTAAGACATATTTAAGTGTTTGAGAGATGGAGAACTCAGAGGCAGAAACGTAATGATGATTAATAGAGAGCATCCTCAGATTCTTAAAACGTTAGACTATTTCAGAGTCATTAATGTTTTTCTGCCCCAAGCCATGAAATCACCTTATTTTCCAAAGAATTTAGTTTCTTTTTTTGGAGAAGAATGATTTTGGAATCTAAAACTCTAATAGCAGGAGCACACATCATATTGTTCTGCTTGACTAAAATCCAGCATGGTTGTTTAGGTTTTGTGAGAAAAAAAGGAAAAGAATTTTCTTTCTTTGCCCTTGTTTATTAATTTACTTTCTTTACACATAATGAACAACCACCTTAATTTCTTTGCCACTAACTTTAACATACCATAATATATATATGATAATTATATATGTCAAAAACTTGACTCCAAATTTATTTGCTTCCCCTGTCTTTTTCTGCTTCTGGAGTCTAATGTCCTACTATTAAGGAATTTACTCTCAATTGTCCTGTATCTTCTTATAACTTTAAAGCAAGAAGAGCAATCCAGTTAAAAATCAGATATTTGAATAGGTAGTTTATCAAACAACTACATGGATGTCAAATAAGCACATCAAAGTATGTTCAACATGATTAGCCATTAGGGAATTGAAATTAAAGACAAAATGAGATGCCGCTCCTCCCCAAATAGAATGCCAAACATTAAAATAAACTCACCATACATAGGGTTGGCAAGAATGCAAAGCAATTGGAAATTTTATAAATAGTTTATTTTTTTATTTACTTTAAACTTTTAAAATTGTGGATATGTAATAGTTGTACATATTTATAAGGTGCCTGTGAAATTTTGACACACACAAACAATGTATGATTACCAAATTAGGGTAATTGCGATATCCACTAGCTCTTGATAGTGTCTTTAAAAACTTGAAGATATGCCTAACATATGACCCAGGCTTGTCATCATAATTATGTATTCAAAAAAATTAAAGCTCATGTCCACACAGAAATTGAAACATAAATGTTCGTAACAGGCTTATTTGAAGTAAGTAGCCCAAATATAGTAACAACCTAAATGTTCACTGATGAATGAATAAAATAATTATGGTATATACATACAAAAGAATACCACCTAGTAATAAAAATGAATGAACTATTCACACATGCAATAATATAAAATAATCTCAAAATATTTATGCTGAGTGATGATGAAGCCAAACAAAAAGAGTATATTCTATTTGTTTCTATTTATTTAAATTTCTGGGAAATGAAACTAATTCAGAGTAACAAAAGGCAGATTTATGGTTGCCTGGAGGAGGGAGGAGTAAAAGAGAAGGATCTCAAATGGGCTTAAGAAAAATATGTATTTATGGATATGTTTATTATCTTTATTGCACTTACCTGATTCATCGCCAAAAAACTAAGATTAATACAAAATACAACAAATTCCAAAGCTAAAGTTAGCAATAAAATATATCATATATTATCATCAAAAAGTTGAGAAAATCTAAAGTGGGCAATGGCTAGAGTCTATTTCAAAGTATTGAATGTCATGTCATCAATGAGATGGAAATAATAAATGTCCCAGAATATTTCAATTAATGCTTTATATTTACAAGTTATTTCAAGATATACTTACACTAATTTTCCCTGTCATACCTTGTTTAAGGTATTACTCAAATTATAGCCCAAGAGCTTGTTCGTCTTTTAAAACTAAAACTCTATGTCTATTGAACAGCAATTTCCTGTTTCTCCTTACCCATATTCCTTGGCAGCCACCATGCAACTCTCTGTTTCTCTGAGTGTGACTATTTTGGGTCCTAAAAAGTGTAATCACGCAGTATTTGTACTTCTGTGACTGGCTTATTTCACTTAGCATAAGGCCCTCCAGGTTCATTCATGTTGTTGCATATAGAAAACAGTCTGAATAAGACTACATTGTATGCCTCACAAACTAATACATTAAGATCTTAAATAAGTTCTGCAGAAGTTTATTTTGTACAATAAATATGATATTCATAGTGAGAAAAAATATATCATTCATTTACTTTTGTTTAAGTCCTCTTTCCAGTTTCAGATAACTGTTTTATTTATTCATTTATTCTTCTCCCTTTTCTTTGTCATTAACCTGTTTGTCATGGGTTTCACTCTAGCATTATAGATGATTGGTAATGGCAATTAAATATAATTTAATGTATTTTAATATCTCAAAATGGGCTATTTCAGATATATAAGAAATTAATATTTTGTTATATTTTAATTGTTGCTGAAAGATGAACAAAGGCTATATATACACATATATGCATGGATATACACAAGAAAGAATAATATAAACAAATATCAGGATAACTTGAGAAACTGAAAATAAGTCAATGAAAACTTAGAATTATTTGCTTTTTCCCCACAGTTTTAGAAAACACATAGTTTCTACATTGTATATATTTTACTAATGAGATAAATTGGTCAGCCATAAAATCCAGGATGCATATATAACTTTCTGATTCTAAATGATTAAAGACATTACAAAGAAGACAACAGTGTATTGATTATATATCTGTATCAATGTGAGATTAATATAATATACAAATACAAAATCTACCAATATGAAACAAATTTATGATTAACAATCTTGGCCTCATTAATATAAATGGAATTACATATCATAAGGTAATATAAATGCTATAATGGAATTTATATTAATGAGGGATGGGTCATTAATCTTAAAATTATATAGTGGATCATAACACATACCTTTTCAGGAATTTTTAAAAATATTTAAAATCAACATTGAAATGATATTTGAAAAAATAATGAAACCAATTATTGCTTTGGAAACAAAAAGCAGAACATTTTAAAATATTTAATGAAAAATTAGTATTCAAAAACAACCTAAACGAAAAGTTTATATCTCAATATACTTTCACAAAGTGATCACACCTGTTTTCCCAGTACTCAGATGGAGTGACAGAATTTGCCAGCAACCACAAACCCTATACTTGCATCGCCTTCAAATCACTTTCCACCCCCTAAAGACTGACAATTCTCCTGTCTTCTAACTACGTAAAGTTTGAACTTTGTGTAAACAGAATCATAATGGATGTGTGTATTTGATGTGTTTTTTTCTGAACCTGATTTTGAGAAACTCCATTTATATTGTTGCATCTAGTTATACATTGTGTTTACTTTCATTGATATATTCTATTGTATGAGTACAGAAATTGTGTATTGTTTTGTCTTGCTTTGGGTGAATTCTATTGAAGATGAACATTTGGAGTTTTTCTGTTTTAAGTTTAAATTGGTAGTATTTCTGTGAAAATACATGTTCATTTTGTGGAGTACATATTTAGGAGTAAAGATGGTAAATTATAGGGATATGTATTCAGCTTTAGTAGATGCCACCAAACAGTTTTCAAAGTGTTTTTAACATTTTATGATTTCCTCTACAGCATTTATGAGAGTCTCAATTGCTTCACATTCTAGACAACACATGGTGTCATGAGTTCATTTAACTGTATCCCTTCAGGTACTGTGTCAAAGTAATATTAGTTGTGGTGTTAACTGTCATTTTCTGAAATATGGTATGTGTTATGGGATGAATAGTGTCTCCCATTCCCCAACAAATGCTCAAGTTGAAGTAACTCCTAACCCTTAGTACCTCAGAATGTGACCTTATTTGGAGATAGGGTCTTTAACGAGGTAAAATGAGGTCATTAGAGTACGCCCTAATCCAAGGTGAATGGTGTCCTTCATTAAGGTAATGGAGATTAGGACATAGAGAAAAGACCATGTGAAATCCGGGAGAGAAGACGGCCATCTACAAGCCAAAAAGAGAGTCCTCAGGAGAATCCAACCCTCACCCCCGGCCAACACTTTGATCTTGAACTTCTAGCCTCTAGGGATATGAGAAAATAAATTTCTATTATTTAAGCCACCTAGTCTGTGGCACTTTGTTATGACAGCCCAAACCAACCAATACAATATGTTTATTGGCAATTTGACTATTTTCATTTGTTAAGTACCTTTCTAGTTTTTGCACATTAAAAGACAAACAAAAACCTTTGTATTCTTTTTATTGATTTATAAGAATTTTTAATATACTTGGATATGTTTATTTGCAGATATATATATATTGTAAATATCTTTCCCAATTCTCTGAGCTGTCTGTTGTCCTGATGATATATTTTTAAAAGATCTGCAGATAATATGTTTAATATTTTTCTATATGGTTAGCATACATAGTTAGACTTTTTTTTAAATATTGAATTTTTATTTTCCTAATTCATGGCCCTGGTATAACACATCTTCCTTAAATCTTTTTAAATTTTTCTTTATAGTACTTTATAATTTTTGGAGTAGAAGTTTTGAAAAATTTTCATCTGCTATCTAGATACTTGAATACCAATAATTGGCCTTATTACACATATTATTATTGGTGTAGAAAACTAAGCTGAAATTCTGGGAATGTAATTGACATAGTTACTGCTTGGCAGTAAATCCTGGGCTAGGGATATACTTCCTTGCTACATATATTTCCTTAGAGACAATTAAAGCAGGAGTAGATTTTCTATAATGAACTTTTTTTTTCATTGAATACATGGAATTTGTTTTCTGATCAATCTCCTTATAACTTTTAAAAAAGTAATTATAGAAATGTTTCATGATTTTTGAAAATATTTTCTGTAAATGAAATCCAATCATATGTGAATTTTAAAAAATTGAAATAATAAGCTCATTGATATACTTCAATTTTATAAACCTGTTGCTTAATTTAAAATGGGGAAATAACAATAAACTCAAGATAAGTCTGTCTTTATATTCAGCCTGACTTTTTAAAAAGTTTTTTCAAGTTTTTTAGCATTTAATTTTAATGATGTCTTTCCTCTCAGAATCAAGATTTTCACAATTTCTTCCCACTTTTCTTTCTTTTTTTTTTTTCTAGTGACTTATTCCTTATTTTTAATAGCCCACCTTGGTCTGAAAGGCAACATAATAACCTCGTTTCATCATGTGTAACCAAAAAAAAAAAAAAATCCCCAATACTTTATAACTTTCTAGCTAAGGAAACAGAAGTGAAATGGGAATCATGCTTTAAGGCATATTTTGCCAGATCTGTTGTGAAGAATTGAAGGTTCTGAATGTTAATTCATAGTATAGATTGGCACCTTTGACCACAAACTTATAGTTTGATCTAAAAAGAACCTATATCACCACCACTCATGGTGACTGAATCAGAGAGTGAAAGAAAATGGCTTTCTGCTCTTTCCTTAACATATCACTATGGCTTTACTATGGGGAGGGGGTCTGCACATTGCAAGATGGGCCCAAGTTATATCTTTCCTAGGGTACGGGATAATGGAATACATTTCCAAAGTTCTTTTTCTGTGTCTAGAGAGTGAAATGTTAACATTCAGGTTGAACAGAAGTGGAGAATAAGAAAAATTAATTTTACATATATTTAATAAACAACTACTACTATGTGCCAGGTAGTGTATCTGATGATAAGTGAGTTTCTGGTGAAACTGTTCCAGAGATGCTAATTATGAGAGAATGAAGGTGCATGAAAGTTCCTAAAAGAATTCTGAAACTCAGAAATGAACAAACAAACAAAACTCCAAAACTTAAAAGGATACTCATTAAATGCTCATTGGGTTACTAAGCTCTCAAAATGAGCTAATGTCCAAATATAATTTCCTTTTTATTTAAAATATATGTTTTTTAAATTATCTAGTAAATTCAAATTTAAATCTGAATAAATTCTGCAGTATTGTGCCAATGTTAATTTCATATTTTTGGTAAATGTATGTGGCTATGTAATAACTCTGTGGTATCTTTGCAATTCTTCCATAAATCTAAAATGATTTCAAAATAAAACGTTTTAAAAACATATCATTCTTAAACTGGCTTACATTTCAAAGGGTTATATTTTGCAAAGATCATGTATATCTTGCAGAACACTACATCTCTAGTAGACTTGCCAAAGACACTATTTAATAACTGGAAAGATTACAGGAATCAAATACATATATAAGTTTCCTCTTTACACGGAAATATTGCTCCTCTTTTTTTGTTCGTTTATTTTATTTTTACTTCTAACTCTCTTCTCAACAGACTGTCTTTATTTCACTTCACTGTGGCCTAATCACGGTTGCCCAAGCCCTAAACTTGTATGACCTTACAAGTGAACATCCACCATTTATGATAAATTGACTTAATTTAAACAAACTTTACATTTCTAGATGGAATAATCTTTATTGTTTTGTTGAGTCTACAGGTTGATTTAAAGTCTGTGCAGGCTTTATGCCTAGTACAATTATTTACGGTCAGAGATCAGTGGAGTAGCATAATACAAACAAGGTTACAAAAGCATATTTCTGTGGGTTCTTGAAGTCTCAGGGAACAGGATCCTTTACAGGGGCTTCTCACAATCTAGATAAACTACATTGCCACTTCAGATGGAACTGTACAAAAAAGAGCAAAGGATTGACTAACTTAGGGTTCTAATGTTGATAATCACAGAACTTTGACAATATAGAAGTATAGAGATTAATTAGTGTTTTCATATTTATTGTTATTCCCTGGGGAGTTAGACTTTACCAGTATCATGCAAATCGCTCTTCAGTAGAAATATAGGCTAGAAAAAATAAGTTAGAAAGAATATCTCTATGTTACATCTATTGTAAAATAGGCAATCTGGTATATGTCGGCTACTAACTATCTGAAATTCCATTTGTGGTATAGTTTTCCTTGGGTGGTGCATGACACCAATGAAGATATCCTAGCAATGATGACAAAACAATTACAAAAATATTTAGTCAAAAATACTCCTAATAATCAAAGTTATTCTTATGCTTTGTTTTATCATTGCCAAAAGAAGTTAGTTTTAAAGGAAGATGTTAATGTCTAACAAAAGTGTTTAGTAATCTTCTGAGTAAGGCCTAATTAATTCATATGCTAACTTATTTATTTGTGCATTCCGGGCAAACCAGCAGTAAAGGTAAAACTTTAGCAAACCAGCAGTAAAGGTCAAACTTCAGCAGTTTCGTCAGATGTTTTAATGAAGTGCTGAATTTCCTGCTGCTTGGACTAGATAAAATCCACTTGTTACTGCATTTTATGTGTGTTGTATTTAGTGAATCTAGCACCTTTGGTTGTTGATAATTATTCTTTTTCTCTACATTAAATTCACAGGTCAATTAACAGAATATATTAACTGTCTGATAACAGAAAGCATTTTAAAAGATGATTTTCTTTGTTGATCAAATCAGTTTCAAATAAATTTGCTGTTTAAAAAAACAGCAGTAAATGTCTTTTCTACTTAGGTGGCAGTTAATTTTTTTTTGGTTTGTTTTTAACTTCACATACAGAAAGTGGAATAAGTTATTCTCCTCTCTAGTTCATGGCATAATAATGTATGTTTATGCAGAACCCTGCGAATGCTTTATTTTATGTATTTTTCCTTTCACTTTGAACAATCATAATGCCCTTGCTGGAATATTTAATTTCTATCTTCAAAGTATTATTGAATATTTGAAAACCTTTATAGTGATACTATGTTGTGTATATAATTTTAGACCACATAAAACACATTTTCTTCTAAATTCTATGTTTTAAACATCTTGACCAATTGTCATATATGCATATAACTCATTGCTTTTACTACTTCATCATAGTCCAAAGTGTATAAATGCAATATATTTTTGTAAATGTATTTCTAAAATTTATATTGATGCATAATGATTGTACATATTCCTGGGGTACATGTGATATTTTAATACACGCATGCAATGTGTAGTGATCAAATCAGGGTAATTGGAATATCCATTGCGGCAAACATTTATGATTTCTTTGTGTTAGGAACATTTCAAATTTTTCTTCTAGCTATTTAGAAATGTAAAATATATTATTCATAACTATAGTCACCCTACTGTGCTATTGACCACTAGAACTTGTTTTCTATCTAACTACATTTTTGTACCTATTAACCCCTCTCTCTTCAACCCCACTACCATTCCCAGCATCTGTTAATAATCTTTCTACTCTACCTCCATGAGATCTGCTTTTTTAGCTCACCTGTTTGAGTGAGAATATGTGATATTCGACTTTCTGTGCCTGGCTTATTTCACTTAACACAATTCCTTTAGTGCCATCCTATGTTGCAGAAAATGACAGGATTTCATTCTTTTTTGTGGCTAAATCATATTTCATGGTGCACATATACCACATTTAATTAATTAATTAATTTTATTGGAGACAGGGTCTCACTTTGTAGCCAGGCTGGAGAGCAGTGGTAAAATCATAGCTCACTGCTATGAGCTATTCATATTTTTAGAGATGGCATCTTGCTCTATTGCCCAGACTGATCTCGAACTTCTTGCTTCAACCCATCTTCTTGTCTTGGCCTTCCAAAGTGCCAGGATTGCAGGCGTGAGTCACCTTTTCAGCCACATATGTTCATCTATTAATGGGCATGTAAGTTGATTCCATATCTTGGCTATTGTGAATAGTACTGCCATATATATAGCAGTGCAGATACCTCTTTGATATATGGATTTCCTTTATTTGGGATAGACACCCAGCAGTAGAATTGCTGGATCATATAGTATGTCTATTTTTAGTGATTTGAGGAATCTCTATACTGTCCTCCATAGGGGCTGTACTAATTTACATTCCCACCAGCAGTGTACGAGCTTTTTTCTTTCTCTGCATGTTCACCAGCATTTTTTTCTCTTTCTTTTTGATAATAGGCATTTTAACTGGGGTGCTATGATATCTCATTGTGGTTTTGATTTGCATTTCCTGATAATTAGAGACATTGAGCATTTTTTCTTATACCTGCTGTCCGTGTGTATGTCTTCTCTTGAGAAGTGTCTATTCAGATCTTTTGCACATTTATTAAACTGAATATTTGGTTTACTTTCTGTTAAGTTCTTTTCATTCCTAATGTATTCTAGGTATTAATCCCTTGCCAAATAAATAATTTGCAAGTATTTTCTCCCATTCTGTGTGTTGTCTGTTAAGTCTGTTGACTTTTTTTTCTCTGCTATTCAGAAGCTTTTTTGCTGTTTTAATCCCAGTCATCTATTTTTGCTTTGGTTGCCTGTCCTTTTGAGATCTTACCCCCAAAAATCTTTGCCCAGACCAACGGCCTGGAGTCTTCCTCCATGCTTCTTCTTGTAGTTTCATATTTTTGGGTCTTAGATCTAAGTCTTTAATCTATTTTGATTTGGTTTGTGCGTGTGTTGAGAGAGGTCTAGTTTCATTCTTCTGCACATGTATATCCAGTTTTTCCAGCATCCTTTATTGAGAAGACCCTCCTTTCTCCCAAGTACATTCTTTGCGCCCTTCTCAAAAATAAGTTGGCTGTAAATGTGTGGATTTATATGTGGGTTCTCTACTCTGTTTCATTGATTTCTGTCTCTGTTTTAACACCAGTACCAGAAATTTTGGTTACGGTAACATTATAATATAATTTGAAGTCAGGTAGTGTGATGCCTTTAGCTTTGTTCTCTTTGCTCAGGATTGCTTTGGCTATTTTGGGTCTTCCGTGGTTGCATAAAATATTTCAGGTTTGTTTCTTCTATTTCTGTAAAGAATATCATTGATATTTTTATAGGGGTTGTGTTGAATATGTCAATTGCTCTGAAGAGTGCGGACATTTTAACAATATCAATTATTAAAATCCATGAGTATGGGATATATTTCTTCTTGGCCTAGCCTGTTCAATTTATTTTATCTGTGTTTTATAATTTTTATTGTATAGATTGCTCACTTCCTAGGTTTAATTTATTACTATGTTTCATTTATTTATTTTGGTATCTTTTGTAAAAGGCTCGCTTTATTTTTTTCAGGTTGCTTGCTGTTAGCATTCAGAAATGCTACTGATTTTTGTATGTTGATTTTGTATCCTGCAACTTTAGTAAATTTGTTTATCAGTTCTCACACTTATTTGGTGTTGTCTTTAGGTTTTCCTAAATATAAAATCATGTTGTCTGCAAAGAATAATAATTTGACTTCTCCTTTCCAATTTAGACACTCTTTATTTTCTCCTCTTGCCTAGTAGCCCCGGCTAGGACGTCCAGTACTATGTTGAATAAACATGGTGAATGTAGGCATCCTTGTCTTGTTCCAAATCTTAGTGGAAAGACATTCAATTTTTCTCGTGCAATATTATGCTAAATATGGGTTTGTCACGAGCAATGATCTTTATCATTTCGAGGGATGCTCCCTGTGTAACCAGTTTGTTGAGAGTGTTTAACAGGAAGGAATGTTGAATTTTATCAAATTCTGTTCCAGTATATATTGAAATAATTTTTACATCTATGTTTATTAACAATAATGGCCTATAGTTTACTTTTTTGTGTGTCCTTGTCTGGCTTTGTTATCAGAGTAATGCTGGTATCATAGAATGAGTTTGGATACATTCCCTTCTCCTCAGTTTTTTTTGGGAATAGTTTGAATGGAATTAGTATTAGTTCTTCTTGTCAATGTTTGGTAGATTTCAGCAGGGAAGCCAATAATTCCAGGGCTTTTCCTTAATGGAAGACCTTTTAGCTATTGCTTCAATCTTATTATTTGTTGTTGGTCTCTTGGGCTTTTCTATTTCTTTATTCTGGTAGGTTGTACGTATTCAGGAATTTACCCATTATGTTGGCATATATTTTATAATAGTCCCTAATGATCTTTCGTATTTAAGCGGTATCAGTGGTAATGTCTCCTTACTTATTGCTAATTTTATTTATGTGGCTCCTCTCTTGTTCTTTGTCTAGCTAAAGTTTTATCACTTTTGGTTATCTTTTCAGAGAACCAACTCTTTATTTTATTGATTTTTTGAATTTTTATCTCAATTTTGTCTATTATTATTTCTTTCCTTCTATTTTGTGTTTGATTTGTTCTTGCTTTTTTAGTTCCTTGAGATGCATCATTGGGTTGTTTATTTAAAGACTTTTTTTATTTTTGGTGTTTCCATTTGTTAATGTAAACTTTCTTCTTTGTACTGCTTTTGCTATATCCCATATGTATTGGTGGGTTATGTTTCATTTTCATTTGTTTCACTAATATTTTAAAAATTTCTTCTTGATTTCTTCATTGACTCATTGGTCATTAAGAAGAATGCTATTTAATTTTCATGTATTTGTACAGTTTCAAAAGATCCTCTTGTTGTTGATTGCTAGTTTTATTTCACTTTGGTCAGAAAAGATATTTGAAATGATTTCAACATTTTTTAATTTGTTGAGATGTGTTTTATGGACTAATATATGATGTATCCTGAAGAATATTCCATGTGCTGATGAGAAGAAGATCTATTCTGAAACAGTTGTATGAAATTTTCTAAAAATGTCTGTTACGTACATTTGGTCTAGGGTGCGGTTTATCTCCAATGTTACTTGGTTGATTTTCCAGATGTTCTGGGCGTTCCTTAAAGTGGGGTGTTGAAGTTCACTACCATTATTGTATTGAAGTCTATTTTTCCCTATAAATCTATTAATATTTGCTTTATATATTTGTGTGTTCTAATGTTGGGTGCATATATATTTATTATTGTTATAGCCTCTTGCTGAATTGACTTCTTTATAATTAAGGTATTGACATTCAATGTCTCTTCTCAGAGTTTTTTTTCTTGATGTCTATTTTACTTAATATAAGTATAGCTACTCCTGTTCATTTTTGGTTTCCATTTGCATAGAATATCTTTTTCTATGCTTTTATTTTCAGGATATGCATGTCTTCATAGGTGAAGTGACTTTCTAATAGGCAGTTTACGGTTGGGTCTTGTTTCCTTTATCCATTCAGCCACTCTGTCATTTAACTGAAGAATTTAATCCAGTCAACAATAACATGCAATGTTATTCTTAATAGGTAATGTCTTACACTGCCATTTTGTTACTTGTTTTCTAGTTGTGTAACTCCTCTCTTTCTACTTTCTTCTGTCTTCTTTTGTCGTTAGGTGATTTTTTTCTGTTAATAATTTTTAATTTGTTGCTTTTCATTTTTAGTGTATCTATTATAGGTTTTTGATTTGTGGTTGCTATGAGGCTAACAAAAAAAATCTTATACCTATAATAAGTTAGTTTAAATGGATGACAACCTAACTTTCATCATAAAATAAGAAATTTTAAAAAAGAAATTAAAAACTTCATCCCCTACAACCTTTTGACTTATTGTTGTATTGTTTTATAACTTTTTATATAGCCTATCACTTAACAGATTGTTGTAGCTATTATTGATAGATTTGTATTGTGTTATTCATGTAAAGATATGAGTGATTTATGCACTACTATTACAGTGTTAGAATATATTTAATTTGTCTGTGTATTTACTTTTACCAGTGAGTTTTATACCCTCAAATATTTTCATGTATGTAAACCCTTTTTTCTTTCACATTGAAAAACTTCCTTTAACATATCTTATAAGACAGGTCAGGTGATGATGAATTCTCTTAGTTTTTGTTTGTCGTGGAGACTCCTTATCTCTCCTTCATGTTTGAAGAATCGCTTGGTACAGTATTCTCAGTTGGTGGGTCTTTTTCTTCAGAACTTTGAATATGTTGTCCCACTACTTCCTAAACTGTAAAGTTTCTACTGAGCAGTCTGCTGCCGGATGTATCAGAACTCTTTTATGTTATTTGCTTCCTTTCTCTTGCTGCTTTTAGGATCCCCTCTTTTCCTTAAAAGTTTGATTGTTATGTGTCTTGGGGTAGTCTTATTTGTGTTAATATGCTGGTTGATCTTTGACTTTCCTATATCTGGATAATCATATCTTTCTCTAGGTTGCAAAAGTGTTTTTGTTATTACTTCTTTGAACAAACTGTTTACCCCTTTATCTCTCTTTACTTTCTCTTTAAGTATAATGATTCTACTTTTGCTCTTTTGAAGCTACCTTCTAGACGTTGTAAGTGTCATTTGTGTGTTTTCATTCTTTCTTTCTTTTTAACCTCTGACTGTGTACTTTCAAATAGTCTGTGTTTAAGGTCACTAATTCTTTCTTCTGCTTCATCAATTCTGCTGTTCAGATCCTCCAGTAGATTTTTTCAGTTGCCCAGTTGTATTTTTTAGTTTCAGAATTTTTCTTTGATCCTTTATTTCAATCTCTTTACCAAATTTATCTGATAAGTTTCTGAATTGTTTCTCTCTGTTTCATTACAATTTGTTGATCTTTCTCAAAACAGCTTTCTAAATTCACATTTTTGAGAGGTCACACATCTTTTTCTCTCCAGGGTCAATCACTAGTGCCTTATTTAGGTCATTTGGTGAGGTCATATTTCCCTGAATATTTTTGGTGTCTGGACATTGAGTAATTAGATATTTCTTTTAGTCTAACCTTTTTGTACCTGTCCTTCTTCAGAAGTCCTTTCAGTTATTCAAAGAAGACTGTTGAGTTCCCCAAACCTGTGGTCGCTGCAGTCATTTCCACACTAGAGAGTGCCCCAAGCCCAGGTTTGCTACAAGTCTATCAGACTCCTATGTTTCTAAACATGATAGACTTGCAAAGATTAGTGACAGCTCCCTGGCTTTCTAGGAAAAGTCCCTTGATCACCTCCTTCTTTCCCCTAGCGAAAATATTCTCTCTCAGCTCTGCATTGTCTGGATTTGGAGAAGGGGTGACACAGGCACACCTATAGTCTTTTTTGGCTGGTACCACACTGGGTCACATTCAATGCCCATGGCCTCCTTGACCAGTGCAGATCTGGAACTCACTCAAGGACTGAGGTCACTATTGCCTGAATGCTACTGATATTTATTCAAGACCCAAGGCCACTTTAGTCAGCCAGTTATAAGTTGGGCCACACCTCAGGTTGGTCCCACCATGGTGGATAATCCACTTTTGGCCTACAGTGGGTCTAGGAGTGTTATCTGGGCCTTCAGGTTGCTGCTTTTTGCTGCATTTTACTGTGGCAGGGCTGATACTAGATTTCTAGGCAACGTGCCCTTCACTCTTCCCTCTCGTTTTCCAAAGTAGGAGTCTCTCTTTGCATGCACTGCCTGGAGTTAGGAGACAAGTGATGTCAGCACTGTCATGGCCACTACAGTTGATGTCATGCTGGGTGAATTTCCATGTTATGGCCTCCAAGACCAGTGCAGTACTGGGGGTCACACAAGCATCATGTTTGCTATGGCCTGCCTGCCACTGAACTTTATATGGGGCCTGAAGCTACTTTATTCAGCAAGTTATGAAGCAGATTGAAAGTGGGTTCCTCCTGCCTGGGCAGTGGATTCTCTTCTGGTCTGGGGCAGGTCTAAATTCTTTCTCCATGGAAACCAGTCTGGAATCAAGGGCTGCATGACTTTCCCCTGGGCTGTGTTCCACTGTGGGGGAGGACTGCACTAAATTCTATTGCAACATCCCACACTAACTTCCCTTTCTCTCCCCCACAAAGTCATTGTTCTCTCCATGTTGTGCTGCCTGAGGTTGGGGAAGGGGTGATTTAGACAATGCAAGGCTATCCTTACCCTTTTCAATGAGACTTTTCTTGTTATAGTGGTAAAATTAGGTAGTGTAACATCTCACTTCATTCTATGGCTCCTTTGAAAATGCATTTTTGTTCAATATGATTTCTGTTCAATATGATGTTCCCAGATGGGTGCATGGTCACTGGAGGGTTGTATTCAGCCATCTTACTCCACCTCACAATACATTATTCATCAATTCTCCTTGATTATCAATTCCTTCATCTTCAAAACAGTGTACATATGAAAACATTTTCATACCTTTGCCAAAAATTTAAGGTGCCATTTTTTATAAAATGAAAAACAAAAATAAATAAAAAGAATGGAATGTTGCTCAAACCATTATGTGAAGCTAATAAAACTAATTTTAAAAATATTTTAAATGCACAGAAATAAAATTAGAGGTCGCATTCAATTATTCATTTAAATGTAAAAATTTAATACAAAATGTTTATTACCTATTTCAATGGTATGTCCCAAAATTAGACATAATGTTCCAACAGAAATTAACCCAAAAGGCAGGAAGTCTCAAAAGCAAATATAAAAATACAGTGTGGAATTTAATAATACAAATGAAAACATTAACCATCTAAAAATGAAACATTACTTTGTAAACCCAATATATAAATAAATAAAATTCTCTAAGTTCAATAGTTTATTATCATTAATGTAACAAAGCTGGTTGAATGAAATTTTGATAATTTCCATTAGTGCACTTTTAACTTTATAAGAACATATAGACTAGACTTCAGTAAGATGGAAGGGTACGATTTTTCATCCTTCATCTGCCCTACAAAACAACTACTTGCAGCTATTCAGAAGTGGTAATACCCCTTGGAGATCTCTAGATCCACTCCAGCATCTGGAGTGTAGAACAACAGCAACAGAAAAAAAAAAACAAAAAAAACAAAAAAAAACACAGCATAAGGGTAGGAAGAACAGTTTCACTTTCTCTGCACCACTGCATCCCCCAGCCTGGCAAAGCTCACCTCTAAGAGGAATCCCCTTAGCCTATGAGTCCTCCTGACAGGATGTACAGGAGAGTGGGGTGATGAACTAGCTTCCCCAGACTTTGGAAACATTATCCAGATAACTTTCTTCAGATTCAACCCACTCAGACTACTGGGAGCCCACCATATCTCAGGTCTCTGGAGATGGTTAGGATCAAAGAGGAATGGTGGAGGCTATCAGTATTAGCAATATGGATGTGGCCATAATAGTCTCCAGGGTCCTACACTGCAGAAAACCTCAGCAAAATTTGCTGCTAAGGACCCCAGTGGCTATCGCAGCTACTAAGGCCCCTGCACATTACACTGCCAAAGCCCCATAGTTTTTGCATTCATGGTCCTCAGGTGCCTGAGTTTCTGACCACTCCCTCAACGAGGTGTGTCCACACTGGTGTGTATGTCTAGTCTGCACTGGTGTGTATGACTGATCCCAGAATCAAGCATGGTCACTGGTACATACCAGAAAATAGCCCCCACCTTCTTTGCCAGTGCCAGCACTCACTGTCACACACAGTGGCTTTGGGCCTCCACTACTGTAAATACACTTGCATCTAGCCACCACTCTACCTACCTATGAAAGCATGAACCATTGAATCATTTCGCATTGGCAACAACCGCTTTTAAAAATATTATTTAGACCCTGCCATATTTTTCTTCTGCTTCTGAAATACCCTTAAACTGTATATTGCTTGTTGGATGGTGTCCCATAAGTGCTTTTGACCCAGAAGTGCTACTGAGAACCCTAACAGCCCTCCCAGCTAGTACATATCCCCCCATACTTTTGCTGCCATGTTCTAAATTTCCAATCCATCATTTCCTTAAAGCCACCACATGTCACTGCACTTGGCACACTGCATATCACTATACCAGTTACCACAGCATATTTTCTCAACACTGTAATTGGTGCTACCGTGACCACGTCCGTCTTCAAGGGTGAGGATCTTTTCTTATTGAAGTCAGTCCATGAAATTAGGAAGAGGTAGCTTACTGCTTCTTCAAATGCACAGACACATATATACAAAAAAAAGGGCCACAAAAACTTAGGAAAACAGGACATCCCCAAAGGAACATAATACACTCCCAGTAACTGACCAAAAGAATTGAATTCTACAAATTGCCTGAAAGGAATTTAAAATAATGATTCTAAGGAATCTTGGTATGCTGCTAGAGAACACAGATAAATAATTCAAGGACAAAATAGGAAACTTGCAACAGAGAAAGAAAACATACAGAAGAGTCAAATTCTGCAGCTGAAGCTTATAATATTGAACTAAAAAGAAGAAAAAATCTTCAATATAACTTCAACAGCAGACTCAGTTAAAGAGAAGAAAGAATCAGTGAAATCAAAGACAGGTAATTTGAAAGTATATAGTTGGAGGATAAAAAAAGAATGCAAAAGAATAAAGGAAGCCTACAGGATTTATGGGACACCATCCAACAAGTAATATACAGTTGAAGGGTATTTCTGATAGAAAAGAAAAATATGGCAGGGTCTAAATAATATTTGTAAAAGCTGCTGTTGCCAATGTGCAATGGTTCAATTAGGCCAAATGCCTGCTGAAACTGGGAGGGAAGGATAGATGAGTCAAGAAAACTATATATATATATATATATATATATATATATATATATATATATATATAATTTATATACATATATACACCCATATACATATATACATATATAGACGCATATACATATATGTATGCACACATATATATAAATATGTATGCACATATATAAAAATATTTATACACATGTATACATATATACATATATACATACATATATACACATGTATACATACGTATATGTACACGTATATACATATGCACATATGAATGTATATATACATATATGTGTTTATATACACATATACACATATATACATATGTACACACATGCATATATACATATAGGTATCCTCACATACATATATACATATCAGTATACGCACATACATATATACATACATGCATACATGTATGTGCACATACATACATATACACATATATATATATACATATATACATACATATATGTATATATACATGCGCACATATATGTACACGGACATGTGCACATACATGTATGCATGTACATGCGCATATACATGCATGTGCATGTGCATATATGTATACATGTACATGTACACACATGTATATATACATGTATATGTACACGCATGTATATATACATGTACACATGCCTGTAGGTGAACATGTTCACATGTATGTATATGCATGCACACCTACATGTATGTGTGCATGTTTACATACGTGTATATACACATATATGTGCGTATACATGTATACATATATGCACATATACATGCATACATGTATACATATATGTTTATATACATGCATACAGGTATGCACATATGTGTGTATGCATATATGTATATATACATGTATGTGTGTATGCATATATGTATATATGCATGTATGTGTGTATGCATATATGTATATATGCATGTATGTGTGTATGCATATATGTATATACGTGTGTATACATATATGTATATAAGTGTGTATACACATATGTATATAAGTGTGTATACATATATGTATATATACGTGTGTATACATATATGTATATATACACACATATATATATTATATATATTATATAATATATATATTATATAATATATATATTATATAATATATATATTATATATATATTATATATATATATATATATATATATATATGAATCCAGGGACCCAGGGTAAATAAAATATATCTTGAGTAGCTGCTGCATACACTGGTGATGTTTTGGGTCCTCATAAGACTCAGTTCCATAACCTTTTCCTGCTTTCTGTGAGTTCTCTTGTGATTTTTAATACAGTTAATTATTTTTCTTAAGTTAATTTGAATAAAATGTGGTTACTTGTTTAACAAAGTTATGTTAGCCAAACAACTTGGTAGAACTGATAGTGGCAGCTGCCCATCTGGAGCAGCCACTGTGGGGACAACAGGTGCAGTGTGGGAGGAGCGACCTGGGCTGTACACTCCACAGAGCCAGCCAGGGTGGGAACAGACAGGATCCCCACCCCCTACTGACTCTCAGGAGACCAGGAATCCCCCTTATCCTGCAGGCTTGAAAGTGCCTGCTCCCATTCCCTGGCCTCTTCCCACTGCTGGTGCCTGCTCTGGGGTGGAGCAAAGATATGGCCAAGCCCAGAGACTGTCACAACCCAACTGGGTATGTGCACACTTCAGGGTGGTGCTAACACACCAGATCCCTGCTGCCTGGGCCCATCTGGACTTTGGGCACTGATGAGCACCTGGGGGTGATGGGTGGGAGGGGCTGAGTACTGCTTAGTGTGGAACTGTGGAAACCTCTTGGCATGGACAGCCTGGGTGCTGTGGAGGGTGTGTTAAATGCAGATTCCTGGGTGGGAAGTTGTGGATCCCTGGTGAAACCCCCACCTTCAGGCTAAGCATGGCCGGAAGCCTGGGGGCTTGGCTGCCAGTTCCAGGCAAAGTCTGCACTGGAGTGAGAACTTCAATGATGATCATTCAACCAGTTGGATGGTGCTTTTTCTAGGCCCGCCCGTGGTTGCCCATAGACCAATCAGCACACAGTTCCTCCATTCCGAGCACATAAAATTGCCAGACTCAGCCAGACTCACTCACTGGTTGGGATGACCTACTTGCGGAAAGGAACTACTCACTTAGGGTCTCCTGAGAGCTGTTTGGTCAAAGAAGCTCCTTTGCCGTGCTCACCCTCCAATTGGCTGCATACTGCATTCTTCCTGGACTCAGGACAAGAACTCAGGACCTGCCAAATGGCGGGACTGAAAAAGCTGTAACAAACAGGGCTGAAACATGCCACCTACTCAACACATTGCAGATGACGAAGAGCTGCAGCCCTTCTGGGAGCAAAAACATCAGGACTCCCCAGGCCAGGCTGTGACACACACTGTAATACACTCATTGGGGATCTGCAGTTCCTGGCATCTCTGAGCTTTCAGGCACCATTGTGTTACCCTTGTCTAGATGCTGGAGGAGGCTGCTTGCAATACATCTGGTCCAGCCACAGCCTTGCATGGAGTTGGTGCCTTGCGGGCACCTGGAACTGCTTGCCCCGCTACAGTCAGCATGGTTGGAGTTGTGCAGTGTCCATATCCCATTCTCAGTCACTCACACATCTCTTACCACTCTGCAGCTAGCTCACCCTTGGCAAGTATGGAATCCAAGCCAGTGGTGCAAGCTGAGCGCAGCCTGCCAGGTCAAGTTGGTGGAAGAAGCTCAGCCGTGGAAGCAAAACCCAAGCAGAGGCAAGGCTGGCCACAGAGGTTTCTAGCTAGTGAAGCAACACCCTACGGATCCCATGACAGAACCAAAAGTCAAATTTATGGAATAATTTAGGTAAAGTCATCTGACTTTTAAAGTTAACCTAGGATATGATTGTCTCTTAATCTTTTTCTATTAGTGTTCTCCAGTGAAACTGAACCAAGAGGGTGTATATTATGTATGTATGTGTGTAGTTAGCTCACATAGTTATGAAATTTGAGAAGTCCCAGGATCTGCAATGGGCCCAGCTGGAGACCCAGGAGAGATGATGGTATAAATTCCACTGCTAATCTGAGTCTGAAGACAGAAGAAGGTCAATTTCCAAGATGTAAGACAACCAAGCAGGGAGAGAGAATTCTCTCTTACCATTTTGTTCTATTCAAACATTTGATGAATTGGATGAGGTCTCCCCACATTCAGGAGGGCAATCTGCTTTACTCAGTGTATGAATTCAAATGATAATCTCGTCCAGGACATCTTTACAAACACATCCAGAATAATGTTTAACTAAATATCTACACACGTCATGGCCCAGTCAAGTAGATATATAAGATTAGTCTTTTTCTATTTATAAGATTATACCTTCTTATCTCTCTATATGAGCAAAAATGTTAACAGTTTTGTCTCATTATAATAATATGCTGAGAAAACATCAATTGATAAATTTGGTTTTCTAACAGCTATGGTTTCCCAGCTTCAGTGGTCCATGTACTACAGCTCTAGTATTTTTACATTTGACTTAGTACCGTAGTCCCCCTTGGAATATAAGATGTGTTCCAAGACCCCCAGTAGATGACTGAAACTGAAGATAATACCAAACCCTATATCCACTATGCTTTTTTCTATACAGTAACATGTGGGTGGTGTATACAGCATGGATACACTGAACAAAGAGATGATTCATGTTCCAGTCAGGATAAGACAGTGCAAGAGTTCATCATGATACTCAGAATGACATGCAATTTAAAACTTTGAATTATTTATTTCTGGAATTTCTACCAGTGTTTCTGTTTTGAAAGTTAAATCATTTTATCCCATACTTAAATAGTATTTTGGATAATTATTAATTAATATATTGAATATTTTGAACAAGCCTGGGTTAACTTCCTGGAGGATGAGAGTCTATTACTAATAATACTTTAGTGCATTTAAAAGCAAAATTTTAATAGCTTGGTAATATCCTTAAAATAATTATCAGGAAAGGAACTTGCAAATATATCACAAAGGTGATTATTGTAATGTTTTATTCTTTATTTTACTTATTTATTCATTTATTTTGAGACCACGTCTGACTCTGTATCCAGGGTGGAATGCAGTGGTATGATCATGGCTCACTGCATCCTCAACCTCCTGGACTCAGGCAATCCTTCTGCCTCAGCCTCCCAAGAAGCTGGGACCACAGGTGCACACCTCCATGCCCAGCTAATTTTAAAATTTTTTTGTAGAGACAGGGTCTTGCTATGTTACCTAGGCTGTTCTGGAACTCCTGGACTCAAGCTATCCTCCTGCTCTGGACTCCAAAAGTGCTGGGATTCCATGTGTGAGCCACCATGCCCAGCCCATAAACATAATTTTGAAAATAGAAAATAAAAGTTAATTTCCAAACTGGTTTCTGATTCAGTAGAGGGCTACAAAAAGGAAAAAAAACCTACTCACTTAAGCAGAAAAAATGCCCTTGAACTATGCGCTTGTTTTATTAGAAATATTCAATGAACTGTGCTCTAAACTAATAAATTTTCTAGTTTTCTCTTGTACTCATGGTCTCAGGACACCGAAGGCAAAGAGTTTATATTTTGAGATTTTTTACCAAAATAAAAATAATGGCCCTATTGTATTCCAATTCTGTAAATGAAAAATCTTACACATAAAGCAGAAATAGGAAATGATTCCAAAACTGGAATATTATTAATACATTATAAATATATTACATATTTTAATTCAAAATTAATCTGCAAACCAGTCAGAGTGAAAGAGAGTAAAAACATGAATTTTTATTGAGTATTGGCAATAGATTTAAGCACTTTAATTATAATGAATGCATTATTTATTCCAAAAAATGTTCGCTAATGTTTAAATACTACTACATGCAAATGTCTTGTATGAACTATAGAAAAATCAAGTGAGAGTGACAAACATTCACTCACATGACCTTTGTTTTCTGTAGATACTAATCTCAAATTTTAGTTCTCTGAATTTGAAAAAAATTTTTACAGGCTTTTTAAGCCAATATTTTTAGACAAGATTTTGGAAGAAAAATCTGACTGCTTTACTGCTCAAAGAATTTTTTTTTTAATTTTAGAAAAAAAAAATCCTTGAAGAAGAAATAAAAGGCTTCAGAAGTCATTGATACTTTTGACTGTGACTTTAAGTTGTTTTGATCTACTTCTTAAGTCTATATCTCTTGGAAGCTGGCTGGATTAAGTGTGTTTCTCTTCACTGGAAATAAAGTATTGAAGTAATAATTTCAGAGCCAAATGGCAAATAAAGTGTGCCACGTACATGGTCCAGATGACATCATTTCTGCTGCGCTGAGAAATGCCAAGGAACTGGAAAGCCAGACAACTCCCAGACCATCCCACAGATTGTGGGTCCTGTCCCTCATACTCAGTACAGGTCTGTATGTAATAATCTAAACACTAGATCTGGCACTACTCTGTATCTTTTACAATCGTATTAGTCAGGTCTTCCTGAGTTTTGTTAAACTAGATTTCCCAAAATATAAGACTAAATATACTAACATCATTGGCTATTATATGGAAAATAAACTCAATATTTTCAAATATATCTGAGGAATATTTTTTGTAAAATTTCTCGGTAAAAACAAGTATAGATAATATATTTATATTTCTGCAGTTCTCATAACATTTTTATATATGCACTTATTTTTTGAGTAAGTTTAAATTTTTTAAAAATTTATTTTTTTGTGGTAAAATACAACATTTACTATTTTAACCATTTTGAATGTACAGTTCAGTGGTTTTAAGTACATTCGTGCTGTTATGTAATTATTACCATATCCATCTCCAGAAATCTTTTCATCTTGCAAAACTGAAATTCTACACTCATAAAACAATAACTCCCATTCCTCCTCTTCCCACTCCACCCCTTTCAACCCATAGAAACTACCATTTTACTTTCCTTTTCTATGATTTTTGACTACTCTAAGTAGCTTATGTAAATGGATTCATAAAGTATTTGTCTTTTGTGACTGGATTATTTTACTTGGCGTAATGCCCTCAAGTTAATCTATGTTGTAGCATGACAGCTTTCTCTTCATTTTAAAGGCAAAATAATATAACTTTCTATGTATAGACTACATTTTACTTATTCATTCACCTGTCAGTTGACACTTGGGTTGCTTCTAGGTTTTAGTTATCACGAACAATGCTACTAAGAAGACAGGTGTTGAAATACTTCTTAAGACACTGCTTTAAATTATTTTGAGTATACATAGAGAAGTGGAATTACGGGATTATATGGTCCTTCTATTAATAAATTTTTTGAGAAATCGGCATATTGTTTTACATAGTGGCTGTACCATTTTACATCCTCACCAAGGATGAAGAACACTTCTAATTTCCCTACATGTTCCCCAACACTCATTATTTTCTGGGTTTTTTATTTTTTGATAGTTGTCATCTTAAGCCATTTGAGGTGTCATCTCTGTGTTTTGAATTGCATTTCTCCAATGAATAGAGATCTTGAGCATATTTTCATGTCCTTAGTGGTCATTTGTATATTTCAGAAGGGGGAAATGTCTATATACATTCTTCACCTATTTTTTAATTGAGTCTTTCTTTAATTGTTGAGTTTTAGAAGTTCTCCATATATCCTAAATATTAGTTGGTTACAGGTTTATGATTTGCAAATATATTCTCCATTATTTGTGTTGCCTTTTTACACTGTTGTTAGTGTGTTTTGATGTAATTTTTAAATTTAATCAATAGATGAATGGATAAATAAAATTTATTACATGTACACATCCTTTTCAGTAGTTGATGTCACAAAATTATATCTTTATACCAAAACAAAAAAATTTAAATTATTACTTAATTAACAGTTAAAACAATGTGATAATTTTGTTATCACTTTATATATTATTGTTTTTATTATTAAATAATTTTTAATAACTTATTTACCTTTAAATTAATACTTTAAGTTTTAATTAATGTTTTAAATTAGATCTAAAACAAAAATATTGTAAATTAATTATTGTATATTTATTTTAAAATGTAAAACTCTATTCAATACTGAAAATAACTTTTCTTAATGCATGAATGTTTTAAATTATGTAGAAAACAAAAAATTGACTTTTAATCTAATGGTACAATATAATTTTAACTAATAATTATATTTACAAATTTAGTAGTCTATTAAATTGTGTAGAAAACAAAAAGTGGAGTCACACACCTGTTACAATGATTCTAGCTCCTATAATTGGCCACATGTTTACTTCACTGTGATTTCTGTTTCTTCATATTGCTCTGAGTTATTCTCCAGTCTTCTTTCATTTCAACCTGCAGGACTCTCTTTATCATTTCTTGCAGGATATGTCTAGTGGTATGTATGAATTATGTCAGCTCTTTTTTCTTGGGAATGTCTTCATTTCTCACTAACTTTTGAAGGACGGTTTTGCGAGATTTGGAATTTTTTTGTAGAACATTTTTTTCTTTTATCCCTTTGAATATATCAGCCCAATGACTCCCAAAATTTCTGATAAGCATTCTACCTATAATCTTAATTAAAATCCTTTGATGCGACAAATTGCTCGTTTCTTGCTGCATTCAAATTTATCTTTTTCTTTTGAAAGTTTGATTATAATGTGTCTCAGTGTGCATCTTCTTTGGTTCATATTAAGTTGTGTTTAGATTCGTGTTTGTGCTTCCTTATGTTCATATTCATTTCATTCATCAAATATGCAAAGTGTTCAGCCATCATTTCTTCAGATATTCTCTGTTGTTTTCTCTTTCTCTTCCCCTTCTGAGACTCTCACAATACATGTTGGTCCACTTGGTGTCCCACAAGTCTCTTACGCTCTGTTCACATTTCACAATCTTATTTCTGTCTTTTCCTCAGAGCTGATAATTCCCATTTTCCTATCTTCAAGCTTGGTGATTTTTCTGCTTGCTCAAATCTGCCTTTGAGTCCCTCTAATGAGTTTTTTTTTTTTATTTTGGTTATTGTATTTCTGCTTCCACAGTTTTGTTGTTGTTGTTGTTTCTTTCTTTTTAGATCTTCTAGCTCTTAATTGTTATTTTCATTTTGTTCATATATAATTTTCCTGACTTTCTCTGTGTCTTTCTTTGGCTCTTTGAACATCCTTATGACAGTTGTTTTAAAGTCTTTATCCAGTAGATTCATCATCAGGTCTTTTTCAGGGACAGTTTCTGCTTCTTTTTTTTTTAATTCCTCCTTTTAATGTGACACACTTTCCTATATTTCTGTTTCTTTTTTATGCCTTGTGACTTTCTTGTTGAAAACTATTAATACATATTTGAATATCATAATGTGGTAACTTTTGAAATCTGATTATCTCCTTACCCCAAGGTTTGTACTTTTTTTGTTGTTAATTAGTTTTTATGTTTTGTTTGTTTGTCTTTTTCTGTACCAAGCATCAGCCTATGGTATAAATTTAAGGCCTTCTCTGGTCTTTTCTGAGCCCATGCCTTTCCCTCGGCTTATGTGGTGACTTGCTAATCTCTCTTTATGTATGGTTGCTTTTGAATCTCCTAGTCCTCAATTACTCGCTTATAAAAGGGAAAAAAGAGAAAAGTGAAAGAGAAAAAGTACTGGCTCTTTAAATCATGTGGAATTCACTTTCCCATAGAGGGAGTGGATTGAAATGATTAGCAGAGGTGTAACAACAATGGCTGCCACCACATTGTCTGCACCTTTGAAATCAGAAGCAGCAGTCAGTGATTAACACATTGATTCTTTATATTTGGAGGACAGTGTCCTTTTTGCCCTTCTTGGCTCTCACAAGCTGTGTACAAGCTGCTCCAGAAATATGTACACAACTGCCTGCGGTGGGCCTTGGAAGTGGAAGGTGTGAAGCTGCTACTGTGGTAATTGCTAAAATTGACAGAAATTAACTGCAATTTACCATCTAAGCCTTCCCATGAACTTTACAAGCCTTCAATAGAGTTCTAAAATAGTTACACAAAACAGATTTAGCCAGCACAATTGTTATCTAGGTGGAAAGACAGATTCTTGTTATTTTCTACTCTTCCATCTTTCCAGAATTCTTATGGATAATATATATTTATGACATATAATATTGAGAAATTATAGTAGAACCTCTCAAAGCCTTCATATTTTCATCTTCCACTTACTATCCCAAACCATATGCTATTTCTAGGTAAAAGGAGACAGTCTGACAAAAGTCCTGTAAAATTGACTAGTTGTAAAACCTATGGCAAAACTACATGCTGCCTAATTATGGTGTATAAATTACTATAGGCTACAGTCTGAGTAAAAAAAAGGCATAAAAATTAAGTTTAGTATACATCCACACTTTCTGTTACAATGCTTACTAAGAATGGACATGTTATATACCTATTTTTTTTAACATGGTGGACACTAGCCGCATGCCATTGTTGGGCACTTGAAATGTGGCTATTATGACAGAGAAACTAGTTTTGAAATTTTATTATTTCACATTAGTTTAAATTTAAATACACACATGTGACTAGTGGCTACCATATGTAGCCAGGGGATATTTTTCTAAATACTTTAATTTGACTAAGTATTTTTATTTTATTGAAGATAGTAAGCATAGAGTTATGAGGGGCATCACTGTTAAAAATGATAACATTCATTGAATACATAGAACCCACTGATGCTAGCATCAAATTCAACAATAACAATTTTTTTCTACTCAAAGTCTCTATTAAACTATTGCTATAGAGCATTATAGAAAAATAATAATGAAAATAGTTTTTACATCTGAATTGAAGTTCTCAGTAATTACTTGACATTCTCAGGAATTACCAATTTTCGGTATTTGCCTGGCACATAGTAGGTATTCAGTTAATAACTATTGAATGAATGCATGAATAAACAACTGATAATATTTTATTCTATAGAAATTTCTGTTAAAATAATATTTGTGGCTGGGCACGGTGGCCCATGCCTATAATCCCAGCACTTTGGGAGGCCGAGGAGGGCCGATTGTTTGAACTCAGGAATTAGAAACCAGCCTGGGCAACATGGTGACACCTCGTCTCTACAAAAAAATTACCAAAAAATTAGCCAGGCACGGTCATGCACATCTGTAGTCTCAGTTACTTGGGAGGCTAAGGAGGGAGGATGGCTTGAGCCTGGGAGGCAGAGGTTGCAGTGAGCCAACATTGTGCCACTGCACTCCAGCCTGGGTGACAGAGCCTGACCCAGTCTCAAAAAATAAGAAAAGAAATTAAATAAAATAACATTTGTAAGGCTCTATAACCAGGTGAATTGATAGTAATATATATATAAATTAAATCATCATATTGCAGAGTCATGTTAACTCAATAGAACCTGAAGTTCTATTCATCTTTGAATGCATATGTGGTGACAGAGCCTGACCCTGTCACAAAAAATAAGGAAATAAATAATATCATAACATAACATAACATAACATTTGTAAGGTTCTATAACCAGGCAAATTGATAGTAATCTATATCTAAATTAAATCATCATATTTCATACTGTCATATTAATTCCACAGACCTTAAAGCTCTATTCATCTTTTGATGATATGAATGCATGTATTTCATTATAATTTGGTATTTATTTAGCTATTAACTTTTAATTTTCTCATAACTAAAGTTTTGATAAAATTATTTATTACTCATTAAAGGAATGTATAGTTGTGAATATATGTCTTTTAAACATATCTACATGTTAAATTATTTTAGGGAAGCCTCATTTTTTTAAACTTATTTTTATTCCTGCACACCAGTACAGAGCTTTTTCAATTAGGTAGCATTCCATTAAAATTTTTGTTTTAATTTGATGTCCATGAGGACATAAAGCTTTTCAGAATATCTGTATTGGCATTTTGTCAGTGATTTCTACAAGAATAAGAAATGAGATGGAAATCATTAGTAATATTGGAAAAACAACAGCTGTTACTGTTTATGTACACTTCCAACAGCAAGACTAGAAATCTCCACGGTTGTTAGATAAACCCAGTTTCACTCCTTTAAATGTTCACTAACATTGCAGGAACACCTATTAACATCCAAACAAAAAGTTGAAAGAAGTCTTTTCTGTATATGTTATATACATATATATTATATATACACATACACATATATACATATATACACTATGTATTTATATGCACTTATATATAAATGTATATACATGAATTTTTAATTTTAAGCAATTATATTCTCCACAATAATCTTCATGAATTAGTAAAGATTATTTGGTGTTTGATGTTTAGAATCCTTTCTCTTTTATAGTATTAAAAATATATATGTCAATTTTGAGATTAACGTAGTCATTTTTAAAGCAACAGAACATATGGGTTGTTAAGTTTTGTCTCATCAGTAGCCAAGCTGAGCTATACAAAGCCTTAAAAAAATGACCTCTATGCCTATTACTTCAAAGTAACTACTGAGAATCAACTAAGCTTTTCATTCACTCTTCTTTTCAATCTGCTCCTAAAATATAGGCATCTCCCTGGACAAACACTGAACAAAACATTGCTTCCTTAATATACTGTGGTTCTTTGTCACTGATTTAGGAATATACCCCTCCCTTTCCTTTCAAAATTTTACAAAGTGCCTTCTGGAATTGCAGCACCGTAGCTAGCTACTTTCATACAACTTCAGTTCTCTCCAGTGTACTATTCACCTGTTTCATAATTAATACCTACGTCTTCCCCAAAGACATAACTTCCCTGCTCTCAACTCTTTTTTCTCTCACACATCATTCTTTGTGATGTGTCCTTATTTTTCTCAAGTAATGATTCTAGTCCTATTTTATCTACTTTAGAGGAAATATTTTTGAGGACCATGTCTATTGAGTTCTCTATTTTGCCCCTTCGTTTTGTTCTCAAGTTTCATGCCAAGTTATGCCTTCATTCACGAAAACACTGAGATCTATGTGAATTCATGATTAATCTCCTCATTTTCCCCTTCCCCAGACCTCTTTTCACTATAGCTTTCTCTGAGCCCCTCTGGATCCTATTACAACATTAAACTTTGTTCCACCCATAACTGCTCTTTCATTCAAATCACGAATTCAAGCACCCCATTAGTTGTTGCATAGTATGTTCTCTGTGCAGCTAGTTTGTACAACTATCCTTATGATTACTGCTATTTGATCTCATTGGAGTCTTCAATTCGTTAATCTTTCTTTATTTCTTCCAGTTCATCAACCTTCTTTTTATTCACTTCCCTCATTATCTAAATTACAAATACTATTATTTCAATAACATTCTTGCTGTTATCTAAAGATCTTTATTCCTCTGCCATGAGATCTCATCATTTTAGCAACATGTAAACCTAGGTAAACCATATATTTTATTTATTCATGCTTATACCCAATACCTTAGCATGCTCCATAAAAGGATAGGTGGGTTCCACTACTTATTCAAAATTATCAACCTCGAATCAGGTCTTAGTAATATTGGATATCTTTACAAATTTTCTTTGGCTATCTCAATCTAATTCTGAGCTATACAGGCATTCCACTTCCCAGATAAATGGAATTTTCTCAATTTTCTGCACTTAATACACAAACTCAACTATGTATGCACCAATTTACTTATATCCTGTTTGAATTATATGATTTACCAGTCTTTACTATCTCTAGAAATATTTTGGGTTCCATCACCTCCAGTCTGATAATCAAGCTAAATGATCCAGTTTTATTTAACTCTTCTTCCTATTGCCTAATACCTATTCTTCTTTAGCTACTACCCAATCTACTAGATCCCATGCTAAGTAAAATATTCAATATATAAGCCTATATTTACTAGCTTTTTATTCTTATCTCCAACTTGGTCTTTAAGGCACTCTAATTACACTTCAATTTCCATTTGTTTAACCACACAACCCTTGCCAGTGACAAAATAGTCCTTCATGAAAATTAACTTGATGTTTTTGTTCCCTATTTTACTTAGCCTTAAAAATCATTTCACACTGTTGACCACTTACTATGTTTTTCTTTTTCTTGGTGTCCTTGACATTCCTCTCCTGATTTTCAGCCTAATATTTTGCTTGTTCACTGTCTATCTCCTTACAGAATAATCTTCCTCTTATTTTGTGTGAATTTATTTCTCAATCATTAGGGCCATTTTTTTTCCTCTCACTCTAAATTTTCTCCTTAACAACTTTCACTCATGTATATGAAGTCATGTTTTGCCATATAAAGATAACTTTCATGTTTGTATTTTCAGCCTGATTTTTCTGTTATATTGACCTTTACATCTAGCTTCTCAGGTAGCATTTTAAATAGAATGCCTGAATGACAACTCATTATCAATAAGCCACCAGAAAAATTCATATTTCTTCCTAAACATGGATCTTCACTTGTGTTTTTCAACCCTATGAACTCCACGACCCTCCCTCCAGCCATGTAAGGTAGAGAGCAAGTAGTCACACTTGAAACCTTCTATAGTGACATCTTCCATTTCCAGTCTCTGACAGTTTCACCCATGATTCATATGCCTTTTACATTTTATCTGATATAACCTTTATTTTAAAATCACATTCTTGTTTTCCTGTATATATCCACTAGCTCCTTATTCATCTTACTACATTAGGATATGATCCCTTGCAATCTTTTGCCACAGAGCATGCAGGTTAATTTATGTAATTTAAAATCTAATCATTGTTACCTCAGTTTTAAGCATCTATTGGTTTCCAGTTGCCAAAAAGTGTTAAGAATGCTTAAAATTGTCTACAAATTGCAGGATCTGGTAACTACCTATCCACTGAAGGTAACTTTGTACTGTCAGGCTTAAAAAATAAACAAAACTATAGAATCCATTCTGAGTCATGTTCAAGAAGAACTAGTAGTGTTTTATTTGTCCTAACTGGTATGTTTCCTAAACAAAGAGCCCATGTATTCTGAGAGTATCTTGCCCAAGGCTGGAGTGGGAAGTGGAGAGGTAAGTACTTGGAGTCACTTATTTCTTTTTTAAAAAAACTCAAGAAATTGGCCTTTTTCTTGTTTACAAATTTGAGTGTTCAGTTTGATAAAGAAGGTAGGTTAAGGGAGTTTGGATTAATAATCAGTGGTGAAACAATCTCCAAAATAAATTCAGGGAAACTTGATTTTAAATATGATTTTATGATTATATGTATGTGTACATATATATGTGTCTGTATATATATATATATATATGTAAATATTTATTATATCAAAATATATTGGCATAATGTGTATGTATAACATATGCATCATATGCATAACATAAATATCTTATATGTCTATCATATGTTATATGTCTATATTATTATCAATATTTTTTTGAAAGGTAATTAATGACATTATCCTAAATATTTTTTTACAAATGTAATTAATAATTTTCTACCCATGGAATATGTTTAACTTAAACCTTAAGATGACATTTTCAATGTTATATATTGTAAGATATATAACAATAAACTTACAAACCATAGCTAGTGAAATCCTAGGTACCCTAGTAGAAATGCATAATGATAAAGCTAAGAAAATTGATGCTATAAGCATTGTGTATTTAAACACACTAAGTGAAATTGTTATACTAAAGTGAAATCACAGACTATATACATATAACAGATAAATTATTGTGCTGAACGTACAATAAACTTGCTTTTTTAAACTTCAAAATTTATGCCTTGAGTCTTATTCAGATTATGTTGAAATATGAATAAAAGAACAGAGAATGGAGTATTTTAAAAAGGCAAGTTCTGATTTCTGGAAGGCATTGGAAACTACACTTAGTGGGGTGACTTCATTATGATCTAGATCTAATCCTTAGGTTTGTAAACTATGGCAGGTACTAAATTTTTACTAAAACACAACCCAACTTTACATCTATTTTATGCTAAATGTGGCTGGAGAAGAGTATCTTGACTGCATAATTTTTTTTTATTATTATTATACTTTAAGTTTTAGGGTACATGTGCACAATGTGCAGGTTAGTTACATATGTATACATGTGCCATGCTGGTGCGCTGCACCCACTAACTCGTCATCTAGCATTAGGTATATCTCCCAATGCTGTCCCTCCCCCCTCCCCCCACCCCACAACAGTCCCCAGAGTGTGATGTTCCCCTTTCTGTGTCCATGTGTTATCATTGTTCAATTCCCACCTTGATCTCTACCTATTTTAACTGAGAGTAAGCTTCTAATACTGTCCCCTTCTTTCTCCCGTATTTCCTTATCTTCTCACCATTCTACAAGTTTCTAACACTTCCTCTCTATCTTCACTCATCACTGATAATTTGTTTTCTGTTTCTCTGAGAACAATAGAAGCAATGGTAAAACAAGTCCCACAAGTCCCCTATGACCCAGAAGTATTCGTATCATGCTCTCTGCTTTACTCATTGCTTTGTAAGTGGACTTGACTCCTGTCTAAGGCCAAGCCTTTGTGCATTAGATTCTGTCTACTTTCATCTACTCAAGAACATTGCTTCAACGATTATTTTCTAGCTCCCTGCATCGTTATTGACTCACCTGTTTTTCTTATTGAAATATTTATTTGCAAACTTTCAAAAAATGTAGATTCACATTACATTCAAGATACAATCACTTCTCACTACTACCATGGCTATCACCCTGGTGCAAGGTACCAACGCTTCTTGCCTGGATGATAGAAACATATCCCTTACTTTTATTCTTGCTTCAGCCCACATCAGTCTAGCCTCCAAACAGCAGCCAGAGTGATTCTTTTAAAATGTAAGTCAGATCATGTTAAACCTTTTAGCAAAATTCTTTAATGGTTTTTCAACTTACTCAACATCAGAATCACCAGAGTGGCCAATAATATCAAACATGATTTGGTTCTTTTTTAACTCTCTTCCTTCTCACTCTGTTATTCACATACTCCTCATATTTGTTTCATTATCAATTGACCTCTCTGCTGTTTCTGCAACATGCCAGGAATGCTGTCATGGAGAGGGTATTTTATTTGTTATTTCCCCTTTCCATTAATTTATTTTCATTTTATTTTTAATTGGCAAACAATAATTTTACATATTCATGAGGTACAATGTAATGTTTCCATACATGTATACATTGTAAATGATTAAATCAGGGTAATTCATCACCTCTATCATTTATCACTTATTTCTGTTTACAACATTCAAAACATTTTCTTCCAGCTGTTTTGAAATATAAAATATATTATTATTAACTATACTGCCTCTATTGTGCAATAGAACACCAGAACATATTCCTCCTATCTAAATGTAACTATGTACCCCTTGATCAACATCTCCACTTTCCTCTTCCACTTCTTTGTCCCAGACTCTTGTAACCACCATTCTGCTCTCTATTTCTATGGGTTCAACTGTTTTAGCTTCCACATATGAGTGAAATAATACAGTATTTGTCTCCCTGTGCCTCACTTTTTTCATTTAATATAATGTCCTCTACATTCATTCATGTTGTTGCAAATGACATAATTTCCTGGCTTTTTTATGGCTGAATATTATTTCATTGTGCATATACACCACATTTTCTTTATCCTTTCATCTACTGATGGGCATTTAGGTTGATTCCATATCTTAGCTCTCATGAATAGTGCTGCAATAAACATAGGAGTGCAGACATCTCTTCTACATACTAATTTCAATTCCTTTAGGTATATATCCAGTAGTGGGATTGATAGATCATATAGTAATCCTGTTTTTTTTATATAAGGAATCACCATAATGTTTTCCAAAATAGCTGCGGTAATTTACAATACCACCAACAGTGTTTTAGCATTCCCTTTTCTCCACATCCTCACCAACACTTGCTATCTTTCATCTTTTTGATAAAAGCCATTCTAAAAGTTTTGTGGTGATAGCTCATTGTGATTTTAATTTGCATTTCTCTGATGATTAGAGATGTTGAATTTTTTATATTTCTGTTGGCTGTTTGTATGTTTTTACCTCAAACTAAAAAGCTTCTGCACAGCAAAGGAAGCAATCAATATAGTAAAGAGACAACATACAGGATGGAGAAAATATGTGCAAATCATACTTCAGATAAAGAGCTAATGTCCAAAATATACAAAAAAGTCAAACTACTCAATAATAAGAAAATAAATCACCCCATTTTAAAATAGGCAAAGGACATGAATAAAAATTCCCCAGATAAGCTATTTTCTTATTTTAAAAATCTCTTGGCTTGCTTTCTCACTTCCTTCAGCTCTTTATTTTAATGCTACCTTCTCAATGAGGGTTTCTTTGCATTTCTCTTTAAAATTACAACTTCTGCTCCCTGATATTGAATATCACATATTCTGTTTATGTTTTCTCCATAGCAGTCATCTATTTTTTTATTTTACTTTTTTGTGTATTACCCATCTATTTCAACTGGATTGCAAATTCTAGGATAGCAGAAATTAGTTTTCCTTTGGTCCATTACTGAATCTCCAGTATCTAGAACAATGCCTGGCACAAACTAGTGTTCAATACAAGTTTGTGTAATGAATATATACATTTATTAATTTACACATTTAAAATATCTCCAGTTAAGATATAAATTAAGCCAAAAGTCAGTTAGTCTAGTATATCCCACTCTTAAATTTTTCTAAAATAGGATAAGATCCTTTAATCTCTACAATCTACTTCAAATACAGCCTAAAATAAAAGCTACTGTGGGAAACATAATACTTGGCAATGGACATAACATTTGAACTTCAATCCTCCCTTCCAAACTGACTGGGGATAAATGCGTCATTCCCTCTTTATAATAAGCTTTCTTATTTGCAGTCTCAGATGATAAACTAGACATGGAAATATTATACTTGCCTTTTGTCTTTAGGTATACCCCTCCAAGCCAGACTAAGACATACTAGTTGTGAAGGTAATACTACTTTAGCTACAGCTGTATTTGTTTTAGAGATAATTAGTTTACCATCTGGCATTTGAGGGAGTGTATTACATTTGCTTTAGGGGGAAAACAGAGAAATGATCACAATTGTGTAACCAAGCAAATTCTTCCAATGTGCACAGTGTAGAAATGACATATAGCACTTACTGTACAGTGCTTTAGCAGTTAAAGTGATAAATGGGTAAACAATCTGTTTATATGTGCAAAGATCTGTGCAGAAAATATTAGTTAGGGACTATTTTTTGTTGGCAACCTCCTTCATTGTGCATTAATTTACTATGCTTATCAATTGGATGATCCTGGATTCGGTTTGAAAACTAATTTACCACACATGAATTTATAATGAACAACTTAAAGTGATAAGATGCTTACCTATTTAGGTGGAAGTAAAAGCTCTAGGAAATTAAAGGCATAAATTCTAATCACATCTTTCAATAATAAAATGCAGTATGACTTGCAAAGTCATTAAGCCACACATATGTAAATTCCCCAACAAATGTATGCAAGAAGGCTGTAATGCTCATGGTGCTCCTGTTAAAAATAAAGCTGTTAATAACTGCTTATGAAAAATGTATCTAGGATAGAATAGCAATAATGTTATCAAAGTTATTGAGAAACTCTTGTGCCAGGAAAAGGCCAGATAACAAAGGCTGTCAGTGTTGGCAGATGGAACATTATTATATGCTGCAATAGGTTTATCTTTTCTGCCTGTTCCATCATGTGGCATTTCAATAACCCACTATCAATAGGAAGCTTTACAATGTATATCTTAGTCAGACATTCTCATAATAACCAGAGCAGTAAGTATGCAGTCTAATGTTGAATCTGGCTTGTTCCAGCTGATATTTCAAAACAAGGTTCTTAGACATCTCCAAATGGAGGCAAACAAGAAAAGGTAATATATCCATAACTCTTTTTGTCTGCACAATGGTAGCATTTTTCAGAGCCATTATTCAGGAATACAAACAAGAAATGTTTTCACCTAAGAGCTTTGCTTTTGATGTTGCCCAAAATTCAGGTTTCAATTCTGAATTGCATAGCCAATAATGGTTTAAAGTATTGTTATAAAAGGCCTAATGTTGTGAAGCAAAGAGTAGGCAAACATAAGCAGAGGTTAGTAGTAAACTAATATAACAAAGATCATTGTTTTCATTTTGCATTGCTAATTCTATTACTTTTTATTACGATAAATCTGAATTCCTCACCAGAAGTAAATTTTCTGGATCTTATTTGTAAAGGTAGCTCTCAATATTACTTAAGGAATATTCCAAAAGAGGAGAACTCTAAAAACAAATGCCCAATAAAATAAAGGCCCAAATCAAATATATGGTAATGTAAACATGCTGTTCAAGATTTGGTGCTTTTATAAAAATACATTAATAGATTTTGCCAGGACTGTAATCTTGATATTATGCATTTCAAACAATAAACAACCAGGTAACTAATAATTTTAAAAATATACTGAAAACTTAGAGAGGTCAGTGAGGGAACATTGTGAGTGCTAGGGCATAGCTAAGGCTTCCATTTATATTCCAAGTATTATTTAAAAAAATTACAATTCACTCCATTTCATAGTTGGCAGTTTTGATATTTTCCAAAACTTTTGAATTTGAAATTGTTGTCATGTGAAGTGAAAAGAACAATCAGAGAATCAATAGCATGCATTTCTACTGTGGTTCAGTTACTAAGTGCAAAATAAGACAAGCTCAGGAACCTGGATACTGTCAGATTATTAGAGAGTACAAAGAAAGTTACACTTTAAATTTTTAATAAAAATTATCACATTGATTTTAATGAGGAAGCCATTCCATAATCATAAAAAATTTTCTTAAATTATTTGAATTTTGTTAAAACATACTCATTCAATTGTTTAAACATGATTTATTTTTATTTTTAGTGAAATGAATTTACCCGAGTCTGGTGTCCCTCAACTTTATCTATTTAGTTTCTGCTTTCCTGTAGTTGGCAGACTGTTCCGTTATACCTGATACCAGCAAACTAGGGTAAGATGTAAAGTCTTTGTTTTGATTTTACAGGTCTAATCATGAGTTATTGCAGGTCACATAGAGACTAAGGAATGAGATTGCATCATGATGTGTGTTACAGGACAAAGTGTACACTACATTCTAATAAGTGGTCAGGTTTTCCAGGATTGCAAAGCCCCTTTTCAATCCAATATATCCAAAAAGAAATTTGCCAATACTCTTCATCGTGGCAATTAAATATTTCCACCACATATGTCTTCTGAGAAATCATTATTCACTTGCCAAGTTGAGAGTAATCTGCTACTTCGACCTCCCATACATACATGGCCCTGTCATTCATGTTACCTCATCATCCCTCCATTTTGTCCATTGTCCATTTCTCTTCATAGCCACTACACCTACTTTATTCAGACCATTGGCTCATGGTTTCTTCCACAGATGGCTCTAGCGGTCCACTAAATGCTTCATTGGCCTCAATCTTTAGCCAAAGTCATATTTATAAAGCATAAATCTGAGCAGGTTTTCGACACTAATAAAAAATCTTTAATGGGTCCCCATCTAACATCAGGATAATATCAGAACTCCTTAAGGTAATACAACCAAACAGTCACCTGCCTTCTTCTTGATCTCTGTCCACATCTATTAGCACCCCTGTCTAACACTTCACCTGGCAGTCATGCCAAATTATTTGCGGTTGCCCAAATAGCTAGACTTCTTTACTCTCAGCCTTTATCTCTGATATTCTGTCTTCCTGGAAGATTTATATTTTCATCTAACTTGTACTTAATGTTTGTATATCAAGAGCTTTTCCAGGTAGCAGTTATGTTGCCCTTGCCCCGCCCCCGTAAATGAGTCAAATCCCCTTAGAAAATTTAAATATACTATCCTATACATGACTTATATATTACTTGTACTTGTGTTTTCACCTGTTTTTTTATTTTCGCTTAAATTGTTAACTCACTGAATCAATACATTTTGCTTGTTTTATTATCTAGGAGGTTACAGTTTCTCATTATCCATTTACCTAACAATATAGTTTAGTTTTGTAACTACCCAACAGGTTCACCTCCCCCACTGCCTAGGCAGAACTGATTTATCAAGACAGGGGAAGTGCAATAGAGAAAGAGTAATTCACATAGAGCAGGCTTTGTGGGAGAGCAGAGTTTTGTTATCACTCAAATCAGTCTCCCTGTGAATCCGGGGATCGGAGTTTTTAAGGATAATTTGGTGGGTATGAGGCCAGTGAACTGGGGCTTCTCATTGGTCAGGTAAGAGATAAAATCATAGGGAGTCAAAGCTGCCCTCTTGTGCTGAGTCTGTTCCTGGGTGGGGGCCATAAGACCAGATGAGCCAGTTTATTGATCTGGATGATGCCAGCTGATCCATCAAGTGCAGGGTCTGCAAAATATCTCAAGCACTGATCTTAGGTTTTACAATAGTGATGTTATTCCCAGGAGCAATTTGGGGGATTTAGAATCTTGCAGCCTCCAGCTGCATGACTCCTAAACCATAATTTCTAATCTGGTGGCTAATATGTTTAGTCCTACAAAGGCAGTCTAGTCCCCAGGTAAGAAGGCAGCTTGTTTGGGGAAAGGGCTGTTATCACTTTGTTTCAAACTATAGACTATAAACTAAATTCCTCCCAAAATTAGTTCAGCCTATGCCCAGGAATGAACAAGAACAACTTGGAGGTTAGAAGTAAGACAGAGTTGCTTAGGTCAGATCTCTGTCACTGTCTCAGTTATAACTTTGCAATGGCAGTTTCAGTTTCATCCACTAACATTGGTTACTATTTATTTGTCTATTATGTACACTACATCTAGCATTTTAAAGCAATTAGTGCCTACATCAAGGTTTACAACATGATTTGGTATAATTTAGCACTTATCTATTACAACTCTTGTATATTAAAATTATTTTGTTATTTTTACATATAAATAAATTAGAGTGTAGATATTATATAATATGCTGGAAGTAGAGATCTAGTAAGTAATAAAATCAGAAGGTTTTATTTTAAATACTAAGAAATTTCTTCTGTCACTAATCTTTACAGTTTCTCACTAATTTTGCAATGTAGGAGAGTTTAAATAGTTAAATAATTGAGTATTTTTCAGTATGAAAAATACATACCTGGATGAATAAATAAGAAAATTCAAGGCATCTAAATTGCCATGTTCTGCTCATATATTCTATCCTTTTTAGCATCTTAAAGGAAATAATTTTAATCAGCATTTCAGAATTGCTTATTTTTACTATATAAAGAAGTAGCTCCTGCTAGAATAAAAATTATTTCCAATGTTAATGCTTTTCATGTCAAAGTTTGTAAAAGTTAAAAATGTATTTTCATGAAGAAGCCAACTGTTTACTTTTTAATAATTATGAGTTACATTCAGAAGTTGTTAAAAATGCAATGCAATTTGCCAAAACAAATAGGAAACCAGATTACATGTAACCATGTGTATGTTTACTCCTTATCCACTTTGCTATAAAATATATGTTCACATTTATATTTTATGTGATCGCATCTGTTTAAATATCATTCTACTTGAATTTTTAATTTTTCTATATAAGTGGTAAATTTAAAGTGATTCAAGTCTGTGTTTGCATAATGTAATTTTTAAATGATAGTAAAATAAAACAGGTGCAGAACTTGAAATTTTTGCAGAGTGGATTCACTGGCTTGTATTCAAAAAGCTTCTAAAAACCTGAGTTACCTGGTTAAGGCATCTGAAGCCATCTAAGTGATATACCTCCTCCCAATTGTATCTATGCTCATAAAACTTAAGGATGCTGCCTGGTTGACAAAAATCAGAAAGCTTGTCAGTCAATTTACAAAAGTATATGACAAGTCATAAAATATAGAGGTGGTATTTTAAGTAGAAAGAAACTGAACACAAATGGAAAACCGAAACTATAGCAAAATTAGGCATTTGTTCTGTGGACCCCTAAGATAATATATCCCTCGGTGCATTCCTCCCAGAAAGCACAGAGGCAAATATAAAACATTCTGATATTTGAATAAACACCACAAGCAGAAGAGGTTCAGGGCCATGGCATCTGAATACCTTAAAGTATTGTAGACCCACTAATTTGCAATGCAAAAATTTCAGTCAGCTTTTCAAAGGATGAGTGAAAATTGATGCTTCCATATGTCAAGGACTGAGATAATTTTGATAGAATAACACAGCAGAAAAATGAAGTCCTTTAGAGATAAAGATTTTCATGTTTGTCCAACAAAATTTAAGTGAGCAATAACTTTAGGGAAGGCACTGTGCTAATTTCTGCAGATCTGTGCTGGGGTGTACAAATTGGCCTTTTGATAAGCACTTCTTGACAAGTTTTTAAGATACATCTGAATAAGCACCTCATTTTCTTCTGATTTTTATTCTTTGAAAAGATCACATTGTTCTACTACATCAAATATAGTGATAGTTTAATTTAAGGAAAAATGGCTTGATGTGAATATGAAAGGAAATGTAAGGAACAGAAAATGAAGTGTCCAGAAAGTCAAGAAAAGAGAGCTCATGCAGGGTAGTTGACAGTTTCAAATACCTGGAGGTGAAGCCAAAGGAGGAGAAAGAAGATATTCCTTGGATTATATTATTATGGAGTGCCAGATAATTTTGCAGTGAGTGTTTCAGTAAATACATTTAAGGAAAGGGAAAATTATTGACTGTAATCAGACAGAGTTGACAGAAAAATACTTAGTTTACAGTTCTTTCCTGTTAGGAAGACTAATACAGAAAGTAAGCTGACAAGGTGGCTGGGACATGATGAGATTTTGTTGTTGGTGCTGTTTGTGGTTTAGTTGTTTACTTACTTCATTAATCAGCATGGGAGAGCCTGGGCATTATTATAGATAGAGAAGAAAAATTAGCATGATGAAAAAAGAATGGAAATGCCAAAAAAAAAAAGAGAGAAAGAAAACATGATGAAAAATGTGACCCCAACAAGTCAAGGAGAAATTTAGTCTTAAAAATGGGATGTACTTCCAAGTTAAAGCAATGTGTGAGAGAAAGAAAGAGAGTGAGAGAGAGAATGAGAACATAAAAGTTTGGAAGTACAAAAACAAAAAATATGAGGAAACTTTAATAATAATAAATAGCGATTATTAAATACTTTTAAATAGTCATAGCTAAATGGCCTCAATGTTATTAGTCATATATAAACTGAAGTCATTTCAATTAGTAGTGATGCCATTTGAGTCATATCAAAAATGTTTTGAAAAGCCACCAGCTATGTTGTGAATTATTTCAGCTACTCTCAGAGGTTTGAGCCAGGAATCAAATGAGCAGGAAAGTGTATATGGAAGTTACCTGGGGTTGAGGAAACAGCAAACATGTTTGATAAAAAGAATGAGAAATTTTAAGGTGACGATAATGCAGTTAAGTTCTGGCTGAGTAAGAGTCAGTGAAGCTGGCTTTTTCAACCAAAAAAAAAAAAATGGTTTTATAGAAAGGGACAAAAAGGGATGCCATTGTGGTTGAAAGGTAAAAAGCAGCCATGTGCATTAGCTCATGCCTGTAATTTCAGCACTTTGGGAGGCCGAGTTGGGTGCATCATTTGAGCTCGGGAGTTACAGACCAGCCTCGGCTACATGGTGAAAGCCCTTTTATTTTTTGCCTCTACAAAAAATAAAATAGAAAGAAAAATAAAATAAGAAAAAGGCAAAATGCAATATCTTTAGAAATAAGGGAGTTTGTGAGAGGAAAAATCATGATTTAACATGCTGGCAGAGTGATCTTCCTGAATCCCTGTCCTCTTGTCCTATTTATTTATTTATTTTTAAGTTTTTGAAACGAAGTCTCACTCTGTCGCCCAGGCTAGAGTGCAGTGGCACGATCTCGGCTCACTGCAACCTCTGCCTCCTGGGTTCAAGCAATTCTCCTGCCTCAGCCTCCCGAGTAGCTGGGATTACTGGCACCCACCACCATACCCAGCTAATTTGTGTATTTTTAGTAGAGACGGGGTTTTGTCATGTTGGCCAGCCTGGTCTCGAACTCCTTATCTCAGATGATCCACCCACCCTTGGCCTCCCAAAGTGCTGGGATTACAGGCTTGAGCCACCTCACCTGGCCCCTCTTGTCCTCTTGCATCACCCATACAATAACAGGATTACAACTGACACCCGTCAGTCAATGTATGAGAAAAGTGACATAAACATCAATGCAGAAGTGCATTTGCTTAATCAAAACCACAATAAGATATCACTTCACATTTCTAAAATGGCTATTACAAAACAACAAACAAACAATATGAAAAAAACAGAAAACAAGCTTTTGCCTCAATGTGGAGAAATTGAAACACTTATGCATTGCTAATGGGATTGTAAAATGGTGCAAGTTCTGTGGAAAAACAGTATGTTAATTCCTTAAAACATTAAATGTAAAATTACCATACATATTTTCCCAAAATTCTATTTATGAATATATACTTAAAAGAAGTGAAAGCAGGAGATCAAACATGCATGTTAGCATTATTCACAACAGCCAAAAGGTGGGAGCAACCTAAATGTCCAGCAACAGATTAACAGGTAAATAAAATGTGATACATATAAACAGCAGAATATTATCCAGCCTTCAAAAGGAGGAAACTTTTGAACATGCTATAATATTAATTAACATTGAAGACATTATGCTAAGTCAGGCAGATGAATAAAGGACAAATATCATATTATTTTTTTATATAAGATTCCTAGAGTAGTCAAATTCATGAAGACAGAAAGTACAATAGAGTTTACAAGGGACTCAGAAGCAGAGGGAATGAGGATTATTGTTTAATGGAGATAGAGTTTCTGATTGGGATTATGAAAAAATTCTGGAGATGTATAGTAGTGATGAATGTGCAACCATGTGAATGTACTGAATACCACTGAATTATACACTTAACATGAATAAAATGGTAAGATTTAGGTTATGTGTGTTTTACCACAATTTAAAAATTAATAGAGAAAAGTGCTTTTGGAGTAACATTACTGTAATATAATTAATTTTTGGGTGTAGGCTTTCTACAATACATAGGGCAATTCCTTACAGACAGTTATTATTTCTACAGTATTAGATATTCATCTGGTCTCAGCTCTTATTGGCATGACTTACAGAGGTCTAGGTTATAAACCCTTGTTCTCATTTCATAGTTCTAAATTCAACAATGTTCTTGAAAAAGACTGAGTGAGCTGAGGCAGCTGAGAGACAATGAAAAGGATGCCGATGCTACCTGAGTGTACTGTACTTGTGGTTCTCAAAGTGTGATGTTCAGCAGCTGTGGCAATACCTGGCAACTTGTTTGAAGGAATTACAAATGTTCAGGTCCCCAAACAGCCTACTGAAGGAGAAAGTCTGAGAGTGGAACCCAGAAATCTGTGTTTTAACAAGCTCTCCAGTTGATTCTGATGCATACCAGTGTTTGAGAACCATTGTTCTATAGCATAAAGTACTGGAATCATATTGGAGATGGGTGGAGGGCACCTGGCTAGGATGAGGCGCATGTTGACACATATACAAGATACAGAACTACTGGCCTGGAGGGTGACAATATTCTTGATGCTGTTACTATCCACTCAAATATCATCATCTGCTCCTATTTATCTATAGGTGAGGGATTTTGGAAGTACAGTCTTTCACCTGTATCTCCAATTAGGATGTACACCAGAAATAAAATATAACCCATTTACTTTATTATCCTTTAGCAAACACTGTCAAATTTACCATAGTGTATTTTAATTTATCTGTCTAAGCATATTATGTTTTTTTCTAGGATGTTAGTTTTACTAAATCGTATTATTTATAATTGTTGGTTCAAGAATGATACTTGTATTAATCTTTTAGTCCTTTACCATTGTACTAATTTATTTTCTTGATTATTTATTTAGTGAACATAAGGCATGCATGTGCAATTAACAGCCAACTCAAAAACTTCGAATAAATAAATAACATTTGCTTTTTTGAATGTTCTATTTCCCTGCCTTATCACCACAGAGGTCTCCTAACCTTTGTGTTGGTTTCCAGCAGGGTGTGAAAGCAGATGATGCTGACTTGTGAGAGCCAATTTTGTCTTTTCTCATTATTATTATCTATTATTATTCCTTGATTCTGTCTTCACATTGGTAGCTTGAAATCACATTGTGAAAGTATTTACACCACAGAAATTTACAAACGCCGCACGTTGAAACTTTTTGCTTTTCCTGTAGAAGTAGGTAAATTTTGCTAGTGCAACACTGATTATTCCCTTAATGGTATTTTATTATGGTATTACATGTATGTCTATGTATGTTTATATATGTGTGTGCACATGTTTAGCTATTTTTGCCTGTTTTTGAAATGTATAAAAATAATAATTTTGAATTGCTTAAACTAATCAAAGATTAGTATTTAAAATGCTTCTATATTATTTTATATAACTGTAATGTCATCACTATTCTCTAATGTTCTGTTACATATATAAACCACAATTAATTTCTTAATTATCCAGTGTATGATATTTGTTATTTCGAGTTTTTCACTACTGTTACAGATTTTTGTGCCTATTTCTTTCTCTGAATGTACATTTTCTCTTACATGTATAGTTAGAAGTAGAATGACTCCAATAGTTTTAATTTTTTTAGTAATGCCTATTTTTGTCCAAAATGGTTCTTATAATTACATTTTCACCAAGAAAAGATTATATTATTCATTTATATCTATCATTTGATAGAATGATATTTAGCCATGGTTCTAATTTTTTTCCTGTCACTTACGTAGAAAGTCTCATTTTCGTCTAGATTTGCATTTTTCTGATTAATAATTTGTTTGGCTTCTCTTGTGTGTATGTGGGGGAGGGGGGTTTGTTTAAAGCCATATCTTTCTTATTTGCTATGAATTGCCAGATCATGTTATTTGCCATTTTTCTATAGATGGTTGAATCTTTCTATTAATTGGTAGGGTTTCTTATATATTCTCAATACTAATCCCTTGTTGACTATGCGCAAGCTAACATTCAGCCCATGATACCAAGTATGTACATGCTGATTGTTTACAAGTGGCTTACGTGTTTATTAATCCGTGACCATGCTTTAATAGTTATTAACATTTTTGAATATTAATTTTATTATATATAATACAATATCCTCTTTCAGTTCATAACCTCCTTTCACTTTCTTTGAAGATGTCCCTTATAAACAGAATTTTTCAATTTTAATACATTTGAATTGATATATATTCATATATGTATACAGTGATTACATTATATTGAGTTTTTGGAAGGAAGAGGTTAAGAAGTCTTCACAGCCTCAAGATTGTTTACCTATACTTTTTTCAAATATGTTTGGATATATTTTCTTTCTCTCTCTCTTCTTTCTTTCCATCCTTTCTTCCATTTTAAAGATTTTTTTTCCTAGCTGCCTAGTTGTTCAGTGTATTTTATTCTCAGTAAACTATTATGCTGTGTTTGTCAGATATCAAAGTTGCCTGTACGTGTATGTCTGTTTCAAAGCTTTTTATTCATTGATTTTAGTCAGTATGTCTTTTATTACACTATAACATCACCGTTGTATTTATTGTAAGTTTATAATAAATCATGATATATTTTAGATATATTTATTGATACATACATCAATAAATCTTTATATATTTTAGCCATTTTACTTCAGAGTCTTAGATATTTTTTCATCTTTGCTCTTCTGTGTGCAATTTATTATCAACTGGGCCAGGCCATAGAAACTCTGTTTCAAATATTATTAGAAAACCATTACATTTCTAGAATAATCTTGGTAGAATCATATTCTTATGGTAGTAAATTTTTTTATGTACGAACTTTAAATATCAAGGTAATTATTTAGGTCTTCTTTAATGTCCTTTACTACAGTGTTCCAAGTGTCAATGCATAGGTTTCACACAAATTTTTGTTGATTGTTTTGTCAATTACTTGGCAGCTTTGTTTATGTTTAATATATTATAAAATTTAATTCCAGTGTTTTCTTGATTATATATAGAAATACAAACAGCTTATGTATATTGATATTTTTACAAACACGTTGCTAAACTTTCAAATAAATTTTATTGATTTGTCAGTAAATTTATTTAGATTATCTGTGGAGACAGTCATATTATGTACCAATAATTAGGTTTATTCCCTCCTTCCCAGTCCTTATGTAACCTATTCTTAATGTTTGTTAAGTAGATATCTGTGCAACTTTAAAACCTTGTCTGGCAGGAGTCATATAGCATCATTGTCAAAGTATACGTTTTATAGTTTAAAACTGTTATAAAATTTTAGTGTGCATCAACACCACTTGGAGGGCTTATTAAAATACAGATCGATGGATTCTACCTGTAATGTTTCTCGTTCTGATATATTACATATGGAGTGGTGCCTGAGAATGAGCATTTCCAGCTTCTATATGATGCCAATAATTCTGATAAGTTTCCAGATAATACTAATGATTGCACTCTAGGAACCACAGTTGGAGAAACCCTGGTTTAAAAGACCCAAACTGGAATCACAAATGCATCATGTACAAATTTTGGGACTTTATTGAAATAATTTTACAGACTAGATATTCAGTTGCTCATGCTATAAAATAAAGCTAACATTTTCTACCTATGGAATTTTACAAAGGTTAAATTTTAGACTATTATAAACTACTGATTTTAGGATGCTTATTAAAAAGCATTGTTTTTGTTTTTTTCATCATTGTGTCTTCAGGTATCACCAAATGGATTAAATGTATTAGCATGATATTTCTACAGAGCACCAACGAACTCTAAATCCATTAACAGTTATGATCTCTGATAGGACAATGATGCATTCTAACCTGGTGCAGTTAAAGAAAATTTCTTTAATAAAGTTTTGGGGGAATGAAAGTAAGATTAACCTAACCTTTTATTTAAAACATAAATAATAATCAAATGATGAAATATAATTTCTGTGTAATTATTTATATTAAAGCCAAGAGTCACAACTACTTTAAAAAAATCGGAGGATCATAAAAATCTTTAAACTGACCAGTTTAAGTACAAAGCTCACAAATGGTCTTGCAACAGTTTATTTTATTGTTTTTCATCAACCCCAAAATTCATTAAAAGTACACTGAATAGGCCGGGCGCGGTGGCTCACGCCTGTAATCACAGCACTTTGGGAGGCCAAGGCGGGTGGATCACGAGGTCAGGAGATTGAGACCATCCTGGTTAACACGGTGAAACCCTGTCTCTACTAAAAATACAAAAAATTAGCCAGGTGTGGTGGTGGGCACCTGTAGTCCAAGCAACTTGGGAGGCTGAGGCAGGAGAATGGCGTGAACCCGGGAGGTGGAGCTTGCAGTGAGCCAAGATTGCGCCACTCCAGCCTGGACGACAGAGCCAGACTCCGCCTCAAAAAAAAAAAAAAAAAAAAAAAGTACATTGAATATAGCCTACAGTTTGCACTCAAGCTGTTGCATATTTACCCGTAGGAATCACCAGAATTTAAAATAATATAAAATATAAATCTTGCCTAATTTCCCCCTTGAGATTGGATAGTATAATTGGACAATTTATCACAAACAGTAAGAGAACATATTGAATAAAACAAATAAATCTGGTTCCATATTTCTTTCTAAAACATAGGAATTTACTTTTATATCATCGAAGTCTGTGCATGGAAAGACAGCCTAGAATCACCTTGTTGCTTTATGAAACTGGTCTAATTAATTTTTAGTCCTCTCACTTGAGGATAGAAGTTAATTTGTTTGCTCATTCTGCCTACATATGCAGTAAATCATCAAGCTAGTAGAATAGCAAACCATTGGAAAATAGCAATTCTATTCTATTTACTGGATTAAAGAAGCAAAAGCACTGTAAACTTAATTAAACTGCTATATGTTTCGGGAGCTATTAATTATAAAGATAATAAAAATAATGTTACTGGCATCGTATGCCTTGTGTGTATACTGATTTATTTTTTGAGAAAACATTATGCTTTTATTGGGCTAGGTCTACAAGAATTGCTGACCTGAGAACATGATTTGGTTGAAAGAGAGGAATTGTAGTAACATCAGTATGAGCTTCTTACATATAATAATTCACTATCTTCAAAACTCATGCAACTCCTCAAAAAATCTTGAAGTTAAGGTGTACTGATATACATCTCAATCATAAGATGCAATAGCATTTAATAAGAAATTAATCAGGATGCCTTAAAAACCTAAGTCTCCCCTTAGTACTAAGTTCAGCAAGTGAAAAAGTATGTTAACTTTTTCAGTTAAAGCTTTCTATATCACCTCTATCAAAAGTAATGTGGGGTCTTGAATTAATTGCTTCTACATCACTTAAAAGTATATCCTATAAGTTAAAATAAAAACACATAATATACATTTTATATTGTTTCAGATATAATTGTTCAAAACCCATAATCCGATGAATTATTGTTTGCATAAAAATTTTCATTAAATATGTATTTAACATTGCTTAGTGAATTAAATTTTTTAAAAAGAGTACTAACCTAAAGGTGCAAAGAATAAAAACATCTAGAATTAGGATTCAATCAACCCAAAGGCCCATCGATGATAGACTAGATAAATAAAATGTGGAACGTATACACCATGGAATACTATGTAGTCATAAAAAGGAATGAGATCATGTCCTTTGCAGAGACATAGATAGAACTGGAAGCCATTATTCTCAGCAAACTAATGCAGAAACAGAAAACCAGCATTTTCTCACTTATGAGTGGGAACTGGACAATGAGAATACATTGACACAGGGAGAGCATCAGGAAAAACAGCTAATACATGTGGGGCTTAATATCTAGGTGATGGGTTGACAGGTGCAGCAAACCAACCAGGCACACATTTACCTATCTAACAAACCTGCACATCCTGCACATGTACCCTGGAACTTAAAAATAAAATTAAAAAAAATTCAATCTGACCTTTGACAAGTAGTTTAGCCTTTCTCAGGGTAAACTCTCTCAACTACACTATAGAAGTCACAATACCTGGCAAGTTGTTTTGGGAATTTTGTGAGGATCCATAGGATAACAGATTTTAAAAGTTGCTTTTTTTAGTAAAATGCTATTACAAAGACCTGTAATATATAGTGAAAACCTGCAACACTGTTAAGCATAAGAAGACTCACAACAAATTATTTCATTACTCTGAGAAGCTTTTCTTCCAGTAGACAGTGCTCCTTAAAATGTTACATTTGTAAAACAAGGACAGACTCAAAAATTGGATGAAATCTTGATGTTTCTGAATTGGCAACTGTCACTTCATTACTTGTATTTATTCTGAACATCAAGAATGTCTTAAATCTATTCTTGGTTAAACATTTGGAGCATTGCAATATAGATATTTTTTTCTTGTATTGTGACAATGAGCAAAAAAGGATATCCATGAATGTTAATTTCCTATCCTAGATTTCCAAAGTGATTAACATTTTAATTCAAAGTGTTTCTGAAAAGAGATAATATCTTGTCACCTTGTATTCTTTAGTTAAATATTTTAGTCAAATGATTCATAGGCACTTTATATGTATAAATAATAAAAAACAAAAAAATCATTATCTGAATGCAGTAGAACATTCCAGAAAATCTTTTGTTTCTCAGTTTATGAATAATCATAATTTACAAAGAGAAAGTTAAGCTGGGCCTTCTGGTGTGATGTGTGCCTGTAGTGCCAGCTAATTGGAAGGCTAAGGTGGGAAGATCACTTGAGCCCAGGAGCTTGAGGCCAGCCTTGGCAATAGAGTGAGACTTTGTCTTAAAAAAACAAAAACAAAACAAAACAAAACAAAAAAACAAGAGACAACAAAGAGGGAGAGAATTAAGAAATATATTTTCTTTCATTTTATCTCCCACCTCTCCCTTTTCTTAACAGACTAAAATATAACTTAGTTATATCTGAAAATGGCCTTATAACCTGGACTTTGGGAAAAAAATTAAATGCTTGGAAGGAAAACACTAGCTGGATCTATCTGCCTTTTGATGGTGAAAGAAGGAGAGAAGGTGAAACTAGGGATTGTTTCCATGGTTTTCATTTGTGTTTGTTTTTGTCTGTCCACTAGCTTTGCTAAGAACTCCTACTTCTTTTAAAGAAAATTACTTATACTTGCCTTTTTTTCATCCCATACATACTTAGAAATGTGAGATAATCACAGAATAATAATTAATCAGAAAGCCATCATGGTTCACTATCATAGATTTTTAAAATATATCCATATAATCTGGAATGCTCTAATTAGAAAATAAAAAGTTGAATGCCTTCCTTGAACTATGAATTTTTTTAACCTTTAGTCTTTGATCTGATTATCATAAAGATGTTCAACACTAAAGTTTTAGGTAATGTTTTCTTTTTAAAATAATCAATAAATTCATAAAATCTGTCTTATAAAATCCAGTGTAATAATTTTGTATTTTGCTTCAGAAATACACAAAACATAACTTTAAATCTAATGGTCTTAGATTAAATTCTTAGGTTTACCTTAGAATTGTATATGACATAAATATGTATCAATAACTATTATTTGGTAAAATTAAACAAGTACTTGCCTATTTTTATATGATGGTAACTTTCAAAATAAAGGTAAATTGTATTTACTATGTTAATATTTAATGATCTTTAAGAAAATTGAATAATATTTTATAATGCCCATCATTATAATTAGTTTATGTGAAAAACCAATTGTTATAAACTATATCATGTTTATGTACTTGGAAAAAGGGTTACTTCGGTTAATAATAAGGTGAACCTGTATGAAATACATAAAGTATTTGTCACACAAATGATTAAACTGTTTTTACATATTTAAATGCTTGTATTTTTACATTTTAAAAATTGTAGTTGTTAAATAGTTCACTTTAAGTTTCAAAACATCTCAACCATAATATACTGATAGCCTCCTCTGAGAATGAAACTCTCAAAAGATGATGTACGTAGATATAATCAAATTTCTGTTTTGTTTCAGGCATTAGCTCTGTATCTCTTTAAGTACAAAGAATACTGGAACATTAAAAGGAATATTTAGTCTTTAAGGGATGCATCTCCTTTCTTCTAACCAACCCATATTAAGTAAAGCTCATAGAACAAGCTGTTTCTGAGATTCAATGGAATTCCTAAAATAGACATATCAATTTAATTTTTTAACATAAGTACAAAGATGTCAGCAGAAGCAATGGCTGCCTGAGATAACATACAAGTCTAAATTTGACAATGTCAGTGTGTTTTTGACATCCTAGTTTAGAGTTCTTTGGATGAAGTGGTGAGAGAGAGACTTTGATCACCTGTCTCTGCCATAGAGCTGTGTATAGGATGGGTGCTCCATGATTGAACCCACTTGTGACAAGGAAAAAAGAACAGGATGAAGAGCACAAACTCTATTCCAGGAAAAAAGTATGAACAGAGATTTTAAATCTCTTTAGCACTCTTTCTTCTTATCTTTAGCTTGTGCCTTTCAATCTTCTCTTCTTTACTCGTTTCTTCTATTGCCTTTCTTTCTCCTTTTCTTTTCTTCTATTCTTTTAATACACATGCATTCAATAAAGTCTATGCATTCTTCTAGGCACATTGTCTATCAGAAAACAAAACAAACCTGTAACTTGTGGAGCTTCCATGATAGTGGAGGAAAATAAACAACAATAAAAACATGATAAATAACTGTATTATAATGAATATTAAAGAAGATAAGTAAATTGAAAAAACAGGTCAGGGTAAAAAGGTCAGATTTGCTGGTAGAGGTGGTTTGAAGTTTCAAAAAGAGTGGGCAAGATAGGCATCATTGTGAAGATGCCGTTTGAGCAAGCGTATTAAGCAGGTGAGTTCATCAGTCATATGCCCATCTGCGGAGTGACCTAAGCAGAAGTAAATGGCCAGCAGAAAGGCCCTAATAAGGAAGCCTACATATGTAAAATATTAAACATTGCAAGAAAGCAAGAATGCCAGAATGAGTAGAGCTGACCAAAAGCTCGGAGGAGGGCGAAGGTAAATGAAGTTAGGGAAGTGAATGGTGGGGCAGATCACCTAGAAATTTTCAGACCATTATAAGGACTTTCAATTTTACTCTGAGAGAAATCAAAAGTCACTGGAGGTGTGTGGGTGTGATTGTGCCTGTGTGAGTGTGTGCAAGCGTATGCATCTCCATATGCCTCTGGGGAGGGTGGTACATGTGTAAGTTCTTAGGTTTATTTGGTACAAAATGTGAAAAAATACCTACTAAAGCATGTTATCTTCATTCCTTTCCCAAAAACTCAGAAGTTAAAATCAAAACAACAACAACAACAACAACAACAAAAAACAAAAATCTATTTGCTTCCAGAGTATCACTGAAGGATTTCAAGACTGGGCAACAGTGAATCTCAGAGATGTGGAAATCTACCTGTAAGTCAAGAGAGTATGGGAGCATTTCCCCATGAAATTTACTGCTTTTTTGCTATCCTCAGACCATTTAAGTCACAAGAATATTGCTAAGGAAATAGGCCTGAAAAGAATAGAAAAAATCAGGGAAGAATACAGTTTTCAGAAAACACTGTCTTGACTCATTTTAAATGGGATAGAATTAGAAACGATAGGTTTTCATTTTGTCTGATGTGCTTCCTCTCCCATACCCTCACATCTGTTTTCCACATAAGTACTCCTAATTTTAGGAAAAGCTCTGCCTACAAATGATGAGAAGCACAATTGGGGCATTGTCAAATTTGTATCTGATCGTCAATGCATTCTATCTGCTGGTGATTTTCCCACAAGTTTATTCTTGACTTGGGAAGCCGAGTTGGGAAGAAAAATAAAACCACAAACCCTTAATGACTTGTTCATTGCCTTTAATTCATTTATTTAGGTTTTGTTGGTCTTATTTTGCCCACAGTATCTTAAATATAAATTGAAATTGCTAAATTAGTTTGAGACAGAAAAGACAACTGCATCAATGAAATTCACAGTAAAACTGTAATCATGAAAGCTTGATATTATTTGGCTGTGTTCTCACCCAAATCTCATCTTGAATTGTAGCTCTCATAATTTCCACATGTTGTGGAAGAGACCTAGGTGGAGATAACTGAATCATGGGGTGGTTTCCCCCATACTGTTCTCGTGGTAGTGAATAAGTCTCACAAGATCTGATGGTTTTATAAGGGGTTTCCACTTTCACTTGGCTCTCATTCTCTCTTTTTTGCTGCCATGTAAGACGTCCCTTGCTCTTCCACCATGATTGTGAGGCTTCCCCAGCCATGTGGAACTGTGAGTCAATTAAACTTCTTTCCTTTATAAATTACTCAGTCTCAGGTATGCCTTTATTAGAAGCATGAGAACAGGCTAATACAAAGCTGATAGAAGCAAAGTCTAAATTGAACACTCTACTTCCCTTTGAGAGTAGAGAATTCAGGCGGTCTTTCTGGTTCTTTGCTCTGTGAGGAGCTACATGAGGGCAGATAGACTTGGCTGGAAGAAAAAAGTGATCCCTTCAATTGGTACTTTAAAAAGGTCTCCAGTTTAATCTAAAGATCATGAGTGAGAATGACATTATTCAATGTTCTATCAATTTTCTGAGTATAGTGACTAGTGGGTGATTACATTAAAAGCAAAAAAACCCAAAACTCTTCCTGAAATAAATAATATGAGAGCTATCTATAAATTAGCAGGTTCCTTATCCCAGTTAAGTCTCAATATTTTCACACGTAAATTTTAAGTATAATATGAGTTATTGGGAAACATGTTACCTTATTCTGATAAGTTTAAATTACGGGCCTATTAAGCACTATTTTGTTTTAAGAGCAATAAAAATAATAGAAAAAAAAAAGAACATAATCCCTAATCACAACAGGAAAGTATTTTAATATTTAGATATGAAGCATGATATATACATTTATATACAGCAATGATTCCAGAAAGACCTAGTGTGTAATACTCTTACCATTTTTCTGAAACACCTATAAAATTTGACATATTCTTTGAGAAATAATCAACTATGGTTTGATGGTCATATTTATTAGAAAATTTAGGATTGTTCAATAATATTTTTTAACCTTCCTAAATTTTAAAGGTCATAAATAACAACATAAGCACTGACATTATGTATTTCCCAGAGATTATCAGATAGCTTGATACTTCAGACTATTCATATTGTAAAACTACGACTTAAACACTTGAAATATGTCTGTTTTTATTTAGATATCTTGTATATTTGAAATGCTATTTTCCTTAGTTATACGTCTTGGGCCGTATTTTTAGATATATTGTCAAGGACAGCAAACAATCTAGTGATTTTTTTCAACATTTATCATCAGTTTAATTAAATGACCTAACAAGATAAGTATATTTGGTGAGCATTTGCTATTTGGAGACTAATTACATGATTTATGTGGCAAAGAGTTCTTGTTTTCATTGAATAAAATTTTAAAAATATAACTTAATTATATTTATTATGTCTCCACCTTTTCCTAGCTTTGATTAAATTGTTGCAAAATTCCCTGATCTGAGAAGAATATAAAGTATTTTAAAAATCTGTATGGGCAATCCATAAATTTAAAAATATGTTATATCCTAAAGGTTTATTAATAATTCAATTTAATTCTCAGGAATGTTCATTAATCACCATATATTCTCTGGTTCTAAGTAATTTGTAATCTATTGGCAAGTATAGTTGGTCCTCCCTATCCATAGGTTGTGCATTTGGAGATTCAACCAAACTTGAGTCAAAAATACTTAAAAACAAAAATTGCATTTGTACTGAACATACACAGGATATGTTTCTTGTTATTATTTCCTAAACAATATAGAATAACAAATATTTACACAACATTTACATTGTATTATGAATTTTCAGTAATCTAGTGATTATTTGAAGCATGAGGGAGGTTATACATAGGTTATTTACATTCAAATACTATCCTATTTTATATCAGGTGTTTGAGCACACATGAATTTTGGTGTTCACAACAGGTCCTGGAACCAATCCCCAAAGGATACCTAGGGACTACAGATGCTTCCCCCACCTTCATTAAAATTTCTCCAACTTAACTTCCCTGCCCTCCACTTCCCATTCAAACTACTTCCCCCATCTGTTCCCCATTCTTTATTGGCAATCTTGTTTTTAGGCCTATTAAAGAGATTTTAAAATTGACTATTCATTTCCTTAATCCTCTATGATTTAATTTCCACACTGACTGCTCCATAATTTGCTCTTTCTAGGCTGATGATTTTCTTTACATTTTCAAAATTCAATAGTAAATATACCAGTTATCATCTGCCCCTTTTGATACTGTGGATTATTTTATTGGAAAATAACTCCTCTCTTTGTTTTCCATGATATTATCCTTCCCACCTAATTATCTTACAACTCTTTCCAATCTCCTTTGCTGGAATGATTCTTTATCACGAGCATTTGTCTTATCTTATTTATTTCTTTATCATTTTTGACTCTATATGCTTACTGGGCTTGGGCATTTCTCATATCTTGATTATTATAAAATCTCTATTTCTAGCCTTCTCACCTGGGTGAGCCATTGGCATTTCAATCTCAATATTTCCAACATGAAATGCAGTGCCACTAAATAATTCTCTAATTCTACCTTACTCTTCATTTCTATCTTGTCTATTTCTCCAATATCTTTGTCTACAGTTGTGAGTTTAATCTCTGCACTCCTGAATGTTTCTAAAAGACAGATCAGCTTTGTAAATTACTTGCATTATTTTGATGACTCTACTACAAAGCCATCAAATTCAGATGTCTTACCATGACATTCAGGTTGTATGCAATGTTGTTCTGACGTTTCTCTCCATTTAGCAGCCACACCCCATGCTTTAACTCACTTTTAATATATCTGGCACTTTAAGTCTTTTAATAATGATGTTTATTCCTCTGGAATGTATTTATAACTCCCTTCCCCTGGGAAAGCATAATTACAATTTGGAATAACTGAGTTAATTAATGTTATGCATTTAGAAAAGTTCTTGGTGCATAATATGTGCTTATTAAATGCCAGAACTATTATTTTTGTTACTTATAGTGGTAGTCATAGTCATAACAGTAATAATGTTCAATGTCCACTTTATTGATCATCACTTTGCTCAAAGCTCACTTACCTCCTTCTCTCCTCTTCCTTCTCTCCAATTAGAATTATTGTTCTGTCCTTATTTTTCTCTAAAGTCACCTTGTTATTATTCCTCTTGAGTTTTGACTAATATAACATTGAGTGAATTCTTAAAATTTTATGTTGCTTCAGCATCCGTTTCAAATGCAAGTTTAATTTTTTCATACTAGAAGCAGGAATCAGTCACCCTTGACACAGTTTCCAGTTCTACCCCAATGGCTCAAGCCCGGGGCCAGAGGCAGGATCATAAAAGCATCTTTTCCACCTAGCAGACTGGGCTTCTGTTTTCCTATTGCTTTCTTTAAAGGTATTCAGGCATTGGCCTGGGAGCTTAGAAAAATCTGCACTCTAATCCTTAAGTGTACTGCTGGTTGTCACTGTGCCTGCTTTCTCTTTCTGCCTGACTCCAGACTCCTGCCTTCCAGGACCTGGGAACTGATGACTGCATTCCAGACTTATTTACACTTTCTTTGTCCAGGATGTGTAAATACAAATTCTTGAGATTGTTTCCTGTTGCGGTGATGTATTGAAGTTTCACCTTCCATCTGAAGAACTAGGGTCTGCCCCAGGCCACATTTTCCCTGAGACTCCAGGAAGAAGACAATATTTGGTTGCCATCAGCAGAGTGATTGTCAGGCAGGCAGAAACTGGACAAAGGTGAGACAAGAGACATGCGGGTGTCTGTCAGTATCAACAGGTTTCGCATCTGAGGGACTCCGTGGTCGCAGGTACAACAACTAGGCATTAGGCCCTCTGCCAGGTAAAAGAAGTATCCCATGAATGGCACACTAAACACTCAAGTCCAGCTTCCCCTCATTTCCTGTTAGGGCAGGGTTGCCAGCCATTTGGTACTGGGACCCCAATTTAGATGGGGGCTCTCAAAACAATCATTTATAATTTCTATGGATATCAGCATAAGGGTATATATTATATATGTACATATCACAATCAGGTTTGCTAATATTGGTTCAGTTTTATAAAACTATTAATTTAAATATGAACAAACAATGAAACAGCTATAATTATAGTCATTTAAATTTGTATGCTTCATAAAATAATTAGGTTTCTAGTCATATAAGCACAGAACTCCTTTAGGCCTGAGTGCTTTAATTAAGCATGCCCATTTTATGAAAATCTTTTTCTTGATATAACTTACAAAATAAAAATGTCTTCTAATATTCCAATAAAACACAACTATAAAGACTCTTTAGTTTAGGTTTTCAAGTCAAGTGGAGAGAAGAAAACAATAGTTGTAGGTGAGTGTATTCTACTTTTAGAGTTGAAACAAGGAGTCCTTTTGGATTTAGAACAAGGAGGATAAGGGAAGAAAATTGCCCTTTTCTCAGTACTGAATGAGTAAGACCTGCTTAGTCAGAATCTGCAGATACCAATTATCTGACAACTAAGAGGCAAGACTCCAGAGAGTCTCCTTCCCCCTTCTAAAAGAATAAAGACTAGATTAGAGAAGTAAATTCAACTCCTGGCAGATCTTAATATCTTTCAGTAAGAAATTAAAATTGACAGCAAAATGAAAAAAATAGAATTTAGTTTTGCATAATTATGGGTAGATACTAAAATTAGTGGAGAGTGTTCAATTTAAAATTAGTAGTAAGAGCAGTGGTAAGATTCAGATTTGCTAACACCAAAAAAAATTTCATAAAATGAGACTCAACAGAGTTTGGGTTTTAATTTAAATACAAGAACAGTGTATAGAAATGAGGACTTCCTATGCAAGATAATTAGTAAACAATAATATTAACACTTCCCACAATAAACACTATCTGTCAGGCATGATAGTAACTCACTACTGTAATAATAACCTATGATTTAGGTACTATTGTGATGTGAGTGCTGGTCTAATCTACACAATCAATTCTTTTAATATATTTGACTCCACGTTTACCCTGGGGGCCAAAACCACTGCTGGACACCAGAAGAGTGTAACTAGGTAGAAAGGATGAGGTATCCAGTCGTTTTGCAAATATATTTTCTCAATTACATTAATTTTAGTCCCTCTGCCCTCTCAAACTTTGTTTTTTAAAATTTAATTAATTTATTACATTCATTATCCTAAAAATAAATATAATTTAAAAAGACACTTTAGAAATTAGAAGAATTAAAAAAATGGAACATTACTGACAAAGCCGTTTGTCTTTATCCCTAGCACCAATGTCAGTGATCCTGCCTTTCACAAATAACCACTAATTAGAAGTTCATGGGCCAGGAGTGGTAGCTCATGTCTGTAATCCCAGCACTTAGGGAGGCCGAGGTGGGTGGATCACCTGAGGTCAGGAGTTTGAGATCAGCCTGGCCAACATGGTGAAACCCGTCTCTATTGAAAATACAAACATAAGCCAGGTGTGGTGGTGTGCACCTGTAGTCCCAGCTACTCAGGAGGCCGAGGCAGCAGAATTGCTTGAACCTGGGAGGCAGAAGTTGCAGTAAGCCGAGATTGCACCACTGTACTCCAGCCTGGGCGACAGAGTGAGATTCTGTCTCAAAAAAAAAAGTTTATGCATATTATTTCAAATTTCTTATTATCTTTCCATATATATTTGTCACATCTGTAAATCAAGGTTTAGGTATAGATACGTATATTATCCAGTGTATTAGATTTATAACACTGATATGACAAATTGTCACAAATTTAATGGCTTAAACCAGCACAAATTTATTATCTTGCAGCTCTTCAGGTCAGAAATTTGCTATGGGTCTCACTAGGCTAAAATCAATGTGTCTGCCGGACTGCATTCCTTTTAGGTGGCTCTAGAAGATAATTCATTTTCTTGCTTTTTCTAGCTTCTAGAGATTGCCCATATTCTATAGCTCATGGTCACCTTTCTTAATCTTCAAAACTAGCATTACATCTCTCTTATTATTCTCTAGTAGTTACTTCAGCCTGTAAACCCAGCTGGAAGTGGTTGTCCACTTTTATGGACGCATATGATTAGATTAGGTTCACCTGGATAATGTAGGATAATTTCTTCATCTTAAATTCCATACCTTAATCTCATCTGCAGAGTCCATTTTGCCATATAAAGTAACATATTCACAGCTTCTGAGGATTAGGAGGTGGACTTTCCTTGGATGCCATTTTTCTGTGTATCACAGCCACAAACATATATTATCTGTAAATTGGGTAAGAGGAAGCATAACTGCAGATCTTGTAGCTTCTATTCTATCTTTCCTATAAAACAGAAGTTAATATCAACTGCTCAGTGTATAAGGAATCATCGAAAAGTGGTTTAGAGGGAGAATAGAGTATTATTTGTGTGTATGTGGCATCCATAAAATGGGGGACCTCTTAGGGGATGTATATGTAAGGCTCAGTGAAATGTGTTGAGATGGAGAGGAAAAATGTGTTTGCAAATATATCTTGGCATTCTTCTGAAGAGTAGGAAGATGAGGATTAAAACCTTACCTAAGGTTTGAGGATGCAGGCAAGTTTCATTTGGTGAGCTAGGGTTACTCTGATTTGAATAAGCATGGTGTTCTTAAAATATGTGATTTAAATAAGTATGTTATTCTGAAAACATGGCACATTCTTTTTTTCAGAAATCATTTCAAGGACAGAAGTGACAGAGAATCAGACATCTTGCTATACATGATGGGTACTGTCCAGACATTTTATGGCTAGCACTGGAGTACAGATTTAAGTCTCTGCATCAAAATCATGTAAAAATTACTTTCTTTCAATAGAGATCCTCTGAAAACGCTACACTGGAAAAGATAAAGGAAATCTTATGTTTACTAACAACAAGAAAAAAGACTTTTGAGATCCTACAGAACTAGGTTGCCCATGTTATATCACTTAAAATAGGGTTTTATTTAGATCAAATAACATTATTATTTTTATAATATTTTAAAACCAAAGACATTTCTAAAATTTCATTTACTGATCTGTGCTGTTTTGGGAAAAGATAATATTAGAACACTTTGAACATTTCTTGTGGCACAAACAAATGTGTCATGTCTTTTCCAATTTTTTTTTTACTGTGATACTGGCTCATTTCCATTAGTTATGTCACATAGTAATATTTTGAAGTTGATAGCACTGAAAATGTTAGTGATTAAACGATGTAACCTAAATACCTCACTAAGGATACAGGTACTTTCTTTGATAGATATAAATAAAAGCTAATTGCGACACTAGTTTTTAAAGATTGCAGGTCCTCAAGAGACATGACTAAATTTGCTGTCATTGAATTTTACCTGTGAGGTTAGTGTTTAATTTGACTTTATAGATCAGAAGTGATGTACTGTGTTGTTTGTAGGGCATTTTTCAAAATACCTATTCTTTAACCTTTGGAATTACTTATTAGGTTCTACTTCAAATGTCCTGTTATATTATACTGCATTTTACCCTTGGATATCAAACAAGTTTGTCTCTAATTTGTCAGGGTATGTTAAAATACAATGTTTATAACACAATGTAAGTAATTGATTTCTAGGTTGAAACTGAGAGCCAGGTGTAGGCTCATCTTTACTAAGACACTTCATAGGAAGCCTATAATGATGAAGGAGAATAAACAATCATAGTAAATCATTTAATACCACACCTATCACTCTTTTTGATCCACAGTTATCTGCACTGAGGGAATTCAGTTATACTGTACAGTAAGAGTTGGGCTCTTTCGCTAGGCTAGCTTGGTAATGCACGTTCCAAAGAGATATATAGTGTAGTGAAAGAAGAAGATTTAGTGAGACAAGACACTTTTTCCCCTCTGGACTTTTTGGTACATAAAAGTCTTGTCAGTTTGACATTTGCTACTTTTGCTTTATGATTTTGTCCTATTTTCTTTTTTTCCAATGCCATCTTTATCAAGCTACTGAAATACATTTTGCTAAATATTCCAGATGGAGCACTGTCAGACTTTTTTCCTGGATAGAAACCAGGAAAATTGCCAAGCATCTATTCTCTTTATAGCTCCACATTTTGAACATATTGTATAATTCTAGTATTGCCCATAACTGTCTTATTATTACTAATTGTTTATGAGTTTTCCTCTGAAATTCCAAATACCATAATTGAGTTATATTACATGCATGGTAGAACAGTAGATACTAAAAAAAACTGAATGATGAATGTTTGATCACACTTATATCAGAAGAGGATACTTTATTTCAGCATAGAAAATATATACAACATATACACTATCTGTGTATTTAACGTACAAAAAGAAAAAACTCAAGCCCAAGTATTTTGCATTTAGCATACAATTAATTAAAAACACAATATAGAGTTTCAATAATATTAAGAGAATAAAAGAATGCATACATGCTGTTTAATAGGCCTATTTTAGAGGTGAGAGATATAGAGTAATTCCACCATCTCTGTTTGGATTGGTTATAAAAATATTAGAGACTTCCATTTTAAGTAAAAGCAAACCAGATATTTGCACAGATTATCCCACTCAAGACATCTAGAACAAATTCAAGTATCAGTTTTGTAAACTATCACCCAGCCAAGATCTGGAATATGGAAATATAAAGGTGAGCCAAGAAAGAAAGCTTAACAGACAAACAGATGAACAATACTTTGGACAGCTTTCCAGGAAGAGAAGTATAAAAATTAAAGTACAGGGTTTGAAAAGATGAGGAGGGGAAAGGGTTGCCTAGTAAAGCATGCACATTTTAGTTTGAAAACATGAAACACTACAATTAGAAATAAAAGTGAACTAGGAATGACTGTCACTTGTCTACTTAGCAGGAAAATAACGAGATATAACAATTATACTGTGGTATCTTGGATTAGATCCTGGAAGAGAAAAATGATAATACCAAAAGAACTGGAGAAACTGTAATCTGTAATTTAGTTAATTATATTGTACTAATGTTAAATTCTTAATTTGATCATTGTACCATGGCTGTATATGCCATTATGTTGGGAACCTGGGTATATGGAATTTCTCAAACATTGCAATCACTGAACAAAATACAGTTTGTGTAACTATGTTCATATTAAACACAGTAAATCTACACCGAAAAGCAATACTATAACTAAAGAGGGATAGTTCATAATAAAAAGTTTCAAGTTTCCAGGAGATTACAACAATTTTCAACTTGAATGCACATACTAATATTGTCTGACAATATATTACAAAGGAAAAGAAAGAGATCTATAAGGAAAATTAGAACAACAAATTATATTTACCAAATGTAGAAAAAAAAGACATATGATAAGAAGATCAGAGAGTAATGAAATGAAATTGTAATGCAAAGAATCAACAAATAAGTTAGTTCTTTGAAATGTATAACACAATTCATAAATACTCAAGGAAACATAGCAAGACAATAAGAGACTAAGCACAAATAACCAATACCAGAAATTAAAAAGAGGGGCTATCAACACAGAATAAAAACACAGTTAAAAAAAGAGGGCATTATTAATATATCCATATTAGTATATATGAAAATATAGAGAAAATGGAAAAGTTCCTAAAAATAAAAATAACTTACCAGAACTGACACAAAGTGAAAAAGAAAAGTGAATCATTTTTAAGTATTAAACTTAAGCCATAAGAAAATCTGTAATTAAACCAATATACAAATGATTTCACAGAATGTTATTTAGTGAAAATATAACATTATTCTTACAAGAATATTTTACAGAGAAGGGGAAAAGGAGAATTCATGTCATGACTTATTTTACAAAGTTTTCATAAGCTTGATACCAAAGTACAAAAAGGACATTATAAGAAAGGGGAATTATAATTTTTGTCACAGATATATAATCAAAGATTATAAACAGCATATCAGTAAAATGACTCCAGCATTGTAAAGGAATAAAATTTCCTCCTCTCAATGATAAAAAGTCGGTGGCAGAAAATTTACCAGAAAAATCCTAAATCTCCTAAAGAGTAGAAACAAATATTCCTAGAACAAAGTATTATACTTCAAGGTAAAAAATTAAAAGCTTTCCTTTGAATTAGAGAATAAGGAAAATGTGCCTTCTCCTGGGGTTCTGTTTCAGGTCTTCATTGCTATATTACAGTACAGCAGCTTGAATGTTTTAAAGATTGCTGAAACAACATCTAACATTCAATGTGGTCTTGTACAATTTTAAAATTCACTCAACATGTGGATCTTGGTCCCCTCTCTTTAAACTGATGGAACCATAACCAGGAGACTGTAGTAAAAGTGATGTATTAGAAATTTCAGCAATAGATCATTAACATGTATTTTGTCATTGTTTTGTATGATCACTCTTGGCTCCCAGCCCACATGTTCAGAGTAAGTTCAAGTAACCCATTGAGAATACCATATGATGAAGAATTGAGGTCCCCAACTGCAGTCCCACCAGAGCTTGCAGCTGAAAGCCAGCAACAAGTTCTCAGGCATCTAAATGAGGTAATTTGAAAGTGGATTCTTAGGTCTGGCATCAAACTACCCCAGTTTGGTGTGCATGGACAAAAGAAAAGCCACATCCACTGAGCTCTGCTCAAATTGATTTCTTGGCCAAAACATATCGTTGTTTTAATCTGTTAACTTTTGTGTAGCAATAAGTGATTAGTATGACAAAAATGGAGAGCCATAAGTATTGGAGAAAAATAAAACAGTTGTCAATAATCATAGATTAACTGAATCTATGCATAGCAAATCCAAAATAATCTCTGCAGTTAATATAAATGATAATACAGTGTAGTAAGACTACTGGATAAGGGGTTAATATAAAAAATCTGTATTCTCTCCATACATTAGCTACAAGGTGTGAAAAATGAAGGGGTACCATTTAAATTATCATAACGTATAAAATAATTACATATAAATAAGTAGAGTCATGTGCTGCATACATTTCAGTCAACAATTAATGAATATAAGGTGGTCCTACAAGATGATAATGGAGCTAAAAAGTTTCTATTGCCTAGTGACATCATAGCCATGGTAATGGCATAGCACAACACATTACTCACATGTTTGTGGCAATGCTGATGTAAACAAACCTACTGTGCTGCCAGTCATATAAAAGTATAGCATACACAATTCTGTACAGTACATAATACATTATAATGATAATAAATAAGTTACTGGTATATGCATTTACCATACTATACTATTCCTTGGTACTTTATAGTGTATTCCTTCTACTTATAAAAACAAAGATAACTGTGAAACAGCCTATGTTGGTCCTGTAGGAATACTTCCAGAAGAAGGCATTGTTATCACAAGAGATGACAACTCCGTGTATGTTAATGCCCTTGAAGACATTCAATGGGACAATGCATGGAGAGGAAAGACAGTGATACTGATGATTCTTGCCCTTGTAGGCTTAGACTAATGTGTGTTTTAGTATCTTAGTTTCTAACAAAAAATTGAAAAGTTAAATTTAAAAAAAAATTTTAAAACAGAAATAAGTTTATAGAATAAGGATACAAAGATGAAAAATATTTTTATACAGCTGTGCAATGTGTTTGTGTCTTAAGGTAAATGTTATTATGAGAGTCAAAATTTAAAAACAAAGTTTATAAAGTAAAAAAAAGTTAAAGTAAACTAGGGTTAATTTATTAAAGTAAGAAAAATATTTTTATAAAACGTTCGTAGTAGTATATTTGTAGTAGTAAAATATATGTAGTATAGCCTGACTACAGTGTTTACAAAGCCTACTGCAGTGTACAGTAATGCCATAGGCCTTCAAATTCACTCACCACTCACTCTCTGACTCACTAAGAGCAACTTCCAGTACTGCAATCTCTATTTTTATAGTATGTGCCCTATGCAAATATACCATTTTTTATCTTTTATACCTTTTGTTCCTATTTCTTTCCTATGTTTAGATATCTTGGGACCCAAATACATATTATTGTTTTACAATTACCTACAGTATTCAGCACAGTAATATGCTGTTCAGATTTACAGCCTAAGAGCAATGGGTTATAATACACAGCCTAGGTGTGTAGTATGCTAGACAATTTTGGTTTGTGTAAGTACACTCTATGATGTTCACACAATTATGAAATCACCTAATGACAGAATGTATCCCCATCATTGACACATGGCTATATATGTAGAATATTATGTCAAAATTGTGAAATTTATTATTAAATTATAAATATTATGTCTAAATTTAGATATATATGTAAGTAATTTTTTCTTTTCGCTCAAGGTGACTTCTGTTAGTCAGACTCTATTATAAAGTAGGAATAATATTTTTGAAGAGGAATAATATTTCCGCTCAGAAAATCATACAATATTTTGAGAGACATTAAAGAAGAAATTTTCAAAAGGAGAAACATACAAAATTTATAGATGGTTGGGCTCAGGGTTTTAAGATATTAGTTTCCTGCATACTGGTTTAGAATTTTGTAAAATACCAACCATAACCCAACAAGCTGTGTGTTTGTGTAGGTACGTTTACCAGCTTATGGCAAACTTTAAATGGAAATTCAATGGACTAATACATTTTACTTGAAGAAGTGAAGGCAGGAGGAATCATTATGTATAACTCATTTGCTTTCTCCCTTTCTAGGGCAGTTGGTCGCTTTATTCCTATCCACCACTGCAGTGAACAACACAGCTCTTTTTTTTCCCCAGACATCATCTCAGATTTAAATCCTACAATGCCTCACCTCACAACATGTCATGCTTGTCATCTTTTACACAAAGATTAATTTTTTTCCTGAGGCTTGTGAAACTGTGGGGTCTGCTTTGTGCTGATGCAAATGCAACCTACAGCAAGAAACAATTTTCTCCCTATGGAGCAATACTTTGACCAACAGTTAATAAATACTGGCAGATAATTTCTCCTCCTCTTGTCATACACATACTAATCTGAGATACAGTAGTTTATAGGCGTCTTTGAAGATGTGGCCTGTCTGATCAGGCAGTCAGTTGTCCTTGATATCAAATGGTGGCCAGACAAATAATAACCCTCAATATTCTGTTTTCCCTCTCAGTCTGCATCCTTTTTATCTTTTCTTTGGTGTTACACTCCTTAATAAAGTACAGCACATAATTTTTTGGAAGATTAGAACAGAGGAACAGAAGACAAATCAAGACATATATAGGCACTTGATTTCAAAGAAGGGTGGCCTGAGACCATTAGTAAAAATACTGTTTTTTTCAACAAACGGTGCTGAGATGATTGGATATCCAGTTGGAAAAAATAAAATATAGACTATAGATAATTCTTGATACATTTTACATTTAAATTTAAAGGCAAGATACTAAAATATCTAGAAAATAATAAATATTTCTTAAAACAATGGAATAATTATAAACAAAGAAAAATGTTGAGCTTCTTTATGATAGAGTCTAACAGAAGTCACCTTGAGCAAAAAGAAAAAAAATTATTTACATATATATCTTAAAAAGTAGCACATATTCAAAATATAAAAGGGATTCCTTCACGTCTATAAGAAAAAAAGGCAAATACTCCAATAAGAAAATAAACAAAAGACTTTAAGGGGCACTATATAAATGCATTTTCCACATGGCCAGTAAACATACAAACATATGAAAATATATGAAAAGTTACTCAAACTTATGTTTTAATATACTCACCTGTAAATAACTATAATTTCTTAGGAATTAGAATGTTGGAACCGATACATTAAAAAAAAATGTGAACAAATTTCAAGAAACCCATTTAGTAGTCTAACATTCAACTTACAAGAGTTCTGGAAGAGAGAACAGTAAAAATATGGGGTAATAAATTATCAAAAATATATGAGGTTTACTAAATTTAAATATTATGAGCCTCCGGAATGAGAGGGTTCATGGTTTCCAAAGAACAGTTTTTAAAATAAAAAAACCTAAAATTAAAAGTGACATAAAAAATTACATACCATAACATTTGAAAATATGCAAGTAAAGGAAAATGGCCTAAAAGCTTCCAGAGATGATTAAAAACAATAAAAATCAATGAATAAAAAATCATATAATTAGGAAGAAGAACCAGCCTCACACAGATTTCTCAATAGCTAAACTAATTAATAGGAAAATTACATATAAGGTTTAGAGAATATTCATTTCAACCAGCATTCTATATTCATTAAAAATATCAATCAATATTTAGGACAGAAAATTACATCTTCAGAGTTAAACAATAATGCTCTTTATTTGCTTTTTCTAAGAAAATTTCTCTATAATATTCTTCAGGTAAACAAAGCAAAAAGAATACACATAATCCAGGGACTACCATTACAACACGGGGGAAAAGGAATTCAGTGTTTTTCTTTAAGGGGGCTACAAGCATTTGTGGGGGTTGGGGGGGCAATTCATAATTCTTCATAAAGTAAGAGTGTTTTACAAATTGCCTTCTCCATTTCCATCTAGGAAATGCCAGTGGCGGCATCCTCCTTCCATCTATGCTAGAATCATAAAAGGTTTCTCATAGGCCAGGTACAATGATATCAGGAAAACAATACAAAAACCAACCAACAAACAAAATATTAATTCCTGGCAAAAACGAGGCGCACAAAAGTGGTGATTTACTAATAATGCATATTTTGACAACACTGATTCATATTTTCATAGATATAACAATAATTAACATTGATAAGTAAGTGTGGATACCATTTGGTGGGACAGAAATGGGAAGATAGAAATGAATACAAAGCTAATTTCATGTCAGACATGGCAGGAAGTCAAAAGATAGTACATTAAATTGACAAATGTTTTAAAACATGGAGATGAATACCAGGTGAAAGACCTAGAAGAATTGAGGAAATCTCCCTTTGAACATTATTTATCTACACAAAACTTCAAACAGTCCAAATAAGGCAGAGTGGACCTGCTTCCCCTCAAGTCAGATTCATACTTTCATCAAAGAAAATTGTATTTGTCTCTTCCCATTAAACACATACTCTCCTAATGTGTAAGACAAATTAAGAATAGAATTTGTTGGTTGGCCTGCTCTTCTACATACAAATGAAAAAAAATGCTGTATTTCTTAACAAATAGTCATGTGCCGGTGCTTTAATAGAGATTGCTAACATTTTTTACTTCACTGAACTTTGTTTAGGTTAAGCCTTTGCCTAGATTACAAGTAATAAGGCCATTTCTTCCACGAGCTCAACTTCAGGTTTATTAGTCAAATGGTATAAGGGCAGCTGTTATTCAGGAAAATCAAATAGTCAATGATGTAGTGGAAAGATTGGAGGAAGGAGAAGAGGACTGGTTTTGTGAATACCAGAGATAGGGCTATGCTAACAGTTTTCAAGGTACAGCCCACCCTACTCTTTCACTGATAACTTCCAATCACCATTTTCCCCTTTCATTTTGCTCAATGGCATTTATCACTCTCCAAGAAAGGTATGAATTTTATTTATTAATTTGTGTTATCTGCCTCACCCTTTTAGAATTTAAGTTCCGTGAGGGGGGTGAGAATTGACAGTTTTATAGACTATAGAATTTTCAGTATCTAGAACAGCTTCAGGCTTATGGTAGATGTTCAATAAATATTGGTTGAATAAATAAATGAATAATAAGCAAAATAAATAATAAATGAGATTAAATATTTAAATATTTGATAAATGTGAGGTATTTTAGAAAGTAGAAATAAAACACCAAAAAATGTAATCAGAGAAAGGGTTTAAGAGAGAGAATTTAAATGTAGTTTTACATTTTCAAACCTGTATTATTAGGAAGGAATATGGAATATCATTAAGAATATTATGAAATAACACGGTGAAACCCCGTCTCTACTAAAAATACAAAAAATTAGCCAAGCATGGTGGCGGGCGCCTGTAGTCCCAGCTCCTCAGAAGGCTGAGGCAGGAGAATGGCGTGAACCCGGGAGGTGGAGCTTGCAGTGAGCCGAGATCGCGCCACTGCACTCCAGCCTGGGCGACAGGGCGAGACTCCGTCTCAACAAAAAAAAAAAAAAAAAAAGCGAATATTATGCAAGAGTGTGTTTTGAGCAAATAAGGAGTTAGGAAGGTTACAATTAGAAGTGATTCCAGGGGAGATACCTATCCAGTACCAAAGAGTCTAAAATTGGGCTTAAAAAGAAAGATTTACACACAGAGAAAAAAAAAAAAAAATTCATGGGGTTCCTTTACTGCTATACTGGAGTACAATTCATAGAGGTATATGAATTCATAAATGAACACCAATTGTGCAGGAAATTAAAAAGGAACTGAAAACAACAATGGAGATCAATTTAGGAAACAGAAGTAAGAAGGACTAATCAAATATCATTTTACCAAGTATCTCATTAAAAATCAGAGCCACGTTAGACTGACATGGAGAAATTTATATCACCTTTCTTTCCCGAGTATCATAAAATGTATGAAGAACCAAGATATCCCAAAGCACCACTAAATTGTTTTTTAGTACTTTATTTTATTTCAATGGTAATTTTAAATTATAACTCTCACTGACACAGTATTATAAATGCTAAGATTATAAAACTATACCTTTCCAAAACTGTGATTTATACCCATATATTCAACCAACATATATAGTACATTTATTATGTACTGAGTATTCAAGAAAGCCATCTCTCTATTCACGCATATCATTATCTAGTTAGGTAAAAAACTAAATAAATCATTCATTAACAGGACGGTGAATACTGGAGCCAAGCCTGAAATGCATAACCCTCAGAGGAGGGGTTCAAACACCAGTCTGAAGTCTCAAGTGGTACTATCTGTAGCTACTGACATGATGGTTACAAATGAGTAATTAAAAGTTATCCAGATGTAGGATGGAGTGTAAATTCGTGTTAGGGGAAGGAGGTAGCATATACAAAGGACAATAAAATAAAAAAAAAAGTCGGGGACATTTTTATATTGCCTATTTAGGACATGTTGAAAATATTAATTGACCTCAACACAAATTCTACCTGTAACAAATGTTCAAATAATAGCAAACTGTAGATTATTTGTACCAATTTTTTTCTTTGTATATACAATGTAAAGTGTATTTATCTATGTACTTTATAACTCAAGAAAGATACCAGCACTTTTGACCTTACTATAGTGTAGATCAATTGAAAGAGTATAAAATAAAAGTGGGATGATATATTGCTAACCATAAAGCCCCTGGACATGTGGAAACAAACCTTTGTTACCACTAATAGCCTGGAGAGAATTAAATTGAAATCCCATCATAAATCTCTATAAAACGTGATTTCATTGCTGACCCTACAACCCCCAAATTCTCAACATTTTGATTGTGATAGATCACCTCTGTGATTGTCGGCTTTGAATTCCATTCTTTAGGAGATGTCAAATTACTATTTTGTGATATTTTGAAAAGACCCTTTTGTCTTAATGCAGTTGCCATAGTATTATTTTTTATGATTTTATTTTGTCAATTTAGTTAAGTTTAAGGGCAACGTGGTGCAGTGAAACAAGCACAAATTTTGATGTCAGATAAACCTGAGTTCAAATCCTTGATCTTCACATATATTACTTTATTATTATTAATAATATTTTTGACCAGGACAACAATTGAATTAATCATTCTCACTTCACGAAATAATACAATCAGCAGTTCATGCAAAACTCCCCTTTTATTTAACTTTTAATTATATCCTTTTAATTTGTCCATATTTTCCACTTTTACTCCACTCTACCTCCCACAGACAACAACTCCAGGTGGCTTGAAATGGACGCTTGAGTTTTTATGTAGTTTCTAGAAGTATGTATTTTTAATATGTATTTATTATAAATTCATACAAATTGATAAAAATTTATAGAAATGGCACTGTCCTACAGATTTCATTTTGTCTCCTAATATTTTCATTCACCACTATTTTTTGGACCTATACAGATCACTGTGAATACCCCATTTGCTGTTTTTAATGCTTTTCTATGGGGTACGTCTACCTCATTATACTTACTCATTAGAAATCTAGATTGCCCCTAAGAAGATGATACTATATTTTTCAATACTGATGTAATGAACATTTTCACAGGTATGTCATGGTCCATTATGAAAATTCCTATATGAGAGTACCTGGGGTATAAATTCAGATGTTGTTAGGCACATGATATAAGCAAATTTAATTTTATGTACTGTCAAACTGGCTTCAAGAATGGATATATAAACTGACTTTCCTACTAAGTACATGAAGAGTCTGATTTTCTCACATTTCCATAAATAGTTGGCACTACTACAGCAAATATTGACATGTGTTACAAAATTTGGTATTGTAATTATGTCAATATATACTCTTTGTAGTAAAGTAGGTAATATTTGACTACTATAAACACCTGGTCAGAATGATCCAAAATCTATCATTATTTTCTCCAAATCTCCTAAGCTATAGCTTTTAAAGTTAAATACTATAAGTCATTATCACAGCAAACAATTTAATATACTTTCTACTAAAGAATTATTTCCAACCTCCCAATATGGAATAGAGTGTATCCTTAGGTTACACAAGTCTACAATGAAACATTAATCTCCTATTCTGTATTATTTAGGAATTCTTCTTTTGTAAGTAGAAGAATGCCAGACTCATACTGGCTTTAAAAATATGCAAAAGCATTCCTTCACTTAACTGAAAAGTCCAGATATAGGTTAAGGTTAAATAAGCTTCTAATGATTCCTACTGTCCTCAAATGCCCACTTACTTCATGTCTTTTCTACCTTGAGTGGAGTGTATTTTTCCTATTCTTGATTTTTCTCAAAGTCGTAAAATGGCTTCCATATATTTTCAGAATCTCTAAGCCTCCTATTATTATTTAAATAATTTAGAGATAAATAAAGATTATCCTTTTGCCCCTCTATCATTCTACTCCCAGAACTATCCTCATAAAGACGTTTCTTAATATAAACAGATTTTATGAGAATGAAGTTTATCAAAATAGGGTTTCATAATTTCACAAACTGAATAAAACATTTATCATTCTGTAGCACGTTTTTGTTTTTATACAGTAATATTTTATGATCTTTTCTCCATGCCAATGCATACAGATTTAAGTCATTAATTTTAAAACATGCATAATTGTATTTTAGCTTCAAGGGTTGGAATTGCTTATTTTAGCAGGAGAAATATGATAAAGTAAATTAGATGTTTAAAAAACAGTAGGAAGTATAGGAGGGAGGTAAATAATGAGAACCTCTTCCAGCTTCCAAAAAACCAGTAAGGCTCCAAATCACAGGATGCACCTATCAATTAGCTCAGCTGAAGATTATTTATAAGAGCTCACCTGGAAGCTCCTTCATGCTTCACATCTGCCTAGGTGCCAGTATCTTTTCCAGCAGATAATATGCTTTCCCCTTCTCTTTTGCCTTTAAATATTACACAAGTGCTGCTTATTGTGGAATCTAAAAGGGAACTCTGTTTGTAAATGTATAGGGTAAATGTAATTCATTCCTACGTTTATAACCAAAAGTTGACATGGTTAGGAATGGAGACGAGTATTACTAGACAGTAACCAGGGCAATACTGTTTCAGGCAATAGCATGATAATTTGTCCACTCATGCCTTTATTGATGGAAGTTCAAATTATCTGTTTTTTTTCTTTATAACAATACTCAAAATAATCATTAATGTACTTGTTATTAATTTAATTGGCTTAAGTAATATTACTTTTCTGTTCTAATATGTATTTCATACCACACCGAAATTTAAAATGATGAATTTAAGTAGACCCCACTGTAAAATTAGTTTCTGTATTTTTAACCACCTTCTTCTGTAGACTGAAATAAGTTAGCATTTATTAAAATTATATACTGAAATGCCATGTTTATTTGACACAAAAGCTATACTTTTCCCTCAAAAAAATACATTTTTAGATGTACATATAAATAATTCAAAGAAGAGTATATATTCATTTAATTTCTTTATTAGCTAATACTGGACTAATTAATACCTTACTACATTAAATTTACTTTGGCTGGTCACTTTTTGCGCCATTCATTTTTTGTAACTATTGCAGAATATATCTGTTACTTTGGTCACTGCAAGTTATCACATTTGTTCTCTAATAAGTTTTTTAGAAAGCCATCCCATAAAAAAAAATAAGTAACTATATGCTACATATGAAATGGCATTCTGATTGCAACAAGGAGGACTTCAATGCCAATATTCAGAAACATTAAATGTTTTAAGCCTTGGGTTTCAGATGACTGATCAGGCTATTGAGTACCCGGGTTGCTGTTATTTATTTATTTATTTTAATTTATTTATTTTAAGAGACTGGGCCTTGCTCTGTCACCCAGGCTGGAGTGCAGTGGCATGATTTCGGCTCACTGCAGCCTTGACCTCCTGGGTTCAAGTGATCCTCCCGCCTCAGCCCCCTGAGTAGCTGGAACCTACAGGCGTGCACCAACAAAATGCCCGGCCAATTTTTGTATTTTTTGTAGAGATGGGGTTTCACCATGTTGCCCAGGCTGGGCTCCAACTCCTGAGCTCAAGCACATCCAGTCAGTTGCTGTTATTTATATAAGTGAGATACATCATAATATAATGCTGCTTCTCACAAAAAAATAAAAAGTGAAATGCATAATCTTTTTCAGATAAGTAACTTGTTTCTATACTGAAAAGTTCCATGAGTAAAATAGAATCTTAGAACTATGTTTTTGACATTCTATTCTTATTTTTAGATATGAGTGTTTTGATGTGTCTCTCCACTTTAAAATTAGCTAGTGAAAGAAATGAAAGTACACCTCCTGGGATATTTGCTTTTATTATGTAAAACAGTGGAAAAATGTTTATTCCCTAATGTGAAAACAACAATGACAACTTTGGCAATAAACATGAAATAGTTTTGAAAATTATATAAATAATGCAATTTATACATTTTATGTTTAGAAGTTACTCAAATCACCAGACACTAGGCTTTAGCAATACTATATTGGTGAGAGTATATGGGATACAGACTCAGGAGACTTGATTTTGCATTTTGATTCTTCCATTTACAAGTTATGAATTTACCATTTAACTTTCCTAATCTTTATTTTGTCATCTATGAAATTTGAATAATAGTTACCTATGCAAGTATGAGAATAAAATGAGATCTTGTTCATGAAAAAAATCAGGATTGACTATAACAAGCTATGTGAAGTTATTTGTTATGACCTAAACATGTTTTATAAAATTTATATTACAATTCTTAATAATACTCTAAACTCAAAACAATTTTTAGTGAGAGGTGACAGCGTGCTGGCAGCCCTCGCAGCCCTTGCTTGCTCTGGGCACCTCTTCAGCCTTGGCACCCACTCTGGCTGAGCTTGAGGAGCCCTTCAGCCCGCCACTGCACTGTGGGAGCTCCTTTCTGGGCTGGAGGAGGCCAGAGCCTGCTCCCTCAGCTTGCTGGGATGTGTGGAGGGAGAGGCGTGGGCAGGAACCCAGGCTGCGCGTGGTGCTTGCAGGCCACCGCAAGTCCCGGGTGGGCGTTGGCTCCGCGGGGCCCGCACTCTGAGTGGCCATCTGGCCCCACCAGCCCGGGCAGTGAGGGGCTTAGCACCTGGGCCAGCAGCTGTGGAGGGTGCGCCAGGTCACCCGGCAGAGCCGGCCCACCAGCGCTGTGCTCAATTTCTCGCAGGGCCTCAGCTGCCTCCCTGCGGGGCAGGGCTCCAGACCTGCAGCCCGCCGTGCCTGAGCCTCCCCCACACTGTGGGCTCCTGCGTGGCCTGAGCCTCCCTGACGAGCACCGCCATCTGCTCCGCAGCGCCCGGTCCCATCGATCACCCAAGGGCTGAGGAGTGTGGGGCATGGCACTGGTCTGGCAGGCAGCTCCACCTGCGACGGGGTGCAGGATCCACTAGGTGAAGCCAGCTGGGCCCCTAAGTCTAGTGGAGACTTGGAGAACCTTTATGTCTAGCTAAGGGATTGTAAATACACCAATCAGCACTCTGTGTCTAGATCAAGGTTTGTAAATGCACCAATCAGCACCCTGTGTGTAGATAATGTGGTGGGGACTTGGAGAATCTTTATGTCTAGCTAATGGATTGTAAATGCACCAATCAGCACTCTGTGTCTAGCTCAAGGTTTGTAAATGCACCAATCAGTGCTCTGTGGGGACTTGGAGAATTTTTGTGTCTGGCTCAGGGATTGTAAACACACCAATCAGCACCCTGTCAGAACAGACCAATCAGTTCTCTGTAAAACAGACCAATCAGCTCTCTGTAAAATGGACCAATCAGCAGGATGTGGGTGGGGCCAGATAAGGGAATAAAAGCAGGCTGCCCCAGGAAGCAGTGACAACCTGCTCGGGTCCCCTTCCACACTGTGGAAGCTTTGTTCTTTCGCTCTTTGGAATAAATCTTGCAGCTGCTCACTCTTTGGGTCCGCACTGCCTTTATGAGCTGTAACACTCACGGCAAAGGTCTACAACTTCACTCCTGAGCCAGCGAGACCACGAACCCACCAGAAGGAAGAAACTCAGAACACATATGAACATCAGAAGGAACAAACACCGGACACGCCGCCTTTAAGAACTGTAACACTCACCGCGAGGGTCCACGGCTTCATTCTTGAAGTCAGTGAGACCAAGAACCCACCAATTCCGGACACATTAGGACAAAATGCTATAAGGGAAGAAATAATTTTTAAATAAAAGAAAATGGTGGGAGTAATATTACAAAAAATGGTGGACCAGGAAGTTTCAGGGTTTAGTTCCTCAACCATAACAATAATTAAACTGAAAAAAAAAATGAGAAGAGCCAAGGGTAGTACCTGAGGGAGGAATAGGCTGCTGAACTTTGGTAAGAGACCAACTTGTAGGACCAGCTCCCATCCCCATTCCTTGTCCCTGTTGTGGTTGTGGGGATAGACCACATTCCCAGAGCACCTGATTGGTACCATGGTAGACAGTAAGAACTTGTTCTCCAATGGTTCAGGTTTGTGAGATTTGGTTGGCCTGGTGATTCTCTGAGGAGCTACAACAGATGCCTACCTTTGATTTGGCTCCCTAGGGATGCAGTGGCCTTCCCAGCAGCATCTTCTGGAAGCACACTTTTGTGTGTGTGTGTGTTTGCATCTAGAAACTTAAGAAAATCTGTGTCAGGTCATAGAGCAAAGAGATGACACAGAGAAACTTCATTGACCACACAACAGAGAACACAGACTTTCCAAAAATAGTTTGGAAAAGTTAGCATACAAATGGGTACATTCAGGACTCAATAAGTGACAGAAACAATTTCTGAGGAGAATTTGATTTCCAGAGTTATACTTTAATACTCAAATGTTTCATTATCAACAAAATGTTACTATGCTTACAGAGAAATGAGAAAATATGACTCATTCGCAGGAAAAATAGTTTGAATAAAACTCTTCTAGGAAGCCCAGACATGGAAATTCCTAGCAAAATACTTTTTAAAAAACTGTCTCAAATATGTTCAATGAGCTAAAGAAACCCATGGAAAAACAATGAAAAGAAATTAGGTGAAAAATGAATAAACATAAATAAACATATAAATTTCTCTACATAAAAAGAGAAATTATCCAATAGAACCAGATAGAAATTTGAGGGCTGCAAAATACAATAGCTTAGATGTAAAACAAAATTAATACAGGGGTTCAACAGAAGATTTGGGCAGACACAGTAAAGAATCACCAAAGTTTGAAGTTAGGGCAGTTGAAATTATCTAGCCTGGGGAGGAGAAAGAAAAAAAGAAACAAATGAGGAAAATGAGTAGAACCTGAGGAACCTGAAGGACATACACAAACATACCAACAGGGGAATTGCAGGAGGAAAAAAATAGAAGCAGAAAAATATTTGAAAAAATAATGACCAAAACTGTATTAGATTTGATGAAATTCATGAATCTACGTATGAAAGATGCTCAATAAACTCCAAGACAATAATCAAAAAATTCTACATTGAGATACATTACAGTTCAATTGTTGAAAGCCAAAGGCAAAAAAATCTTGAAAGCAGCAAGACAGAAGCCACATGTCATGTGCAAGGAATCCTAACTAAGATAAATAGCTGTTTTTTCACCAGAAAGCATAGCATGAGAAGAGTGGTAAGAGGTATTTAAAATGCTAAAAGAGGCCAGGTGTGGTGTCTCATGCCTGTAATCCCAGCATTTTGGGAGGCCAAGGCGGGTGGATCACTAGGTCAGGAGATCGAGACCATGGTGAAACCCCCTCTCTACGAAAAATACAAAACATTAGCCAGGCGTGGTGGCGGGCACCTGTAGTCCCAGCTACTCGGGCGGCTGAGGCAGGAGAATGGTGTGAACCTGGGAGGCGGAGGTTGCAGTGAGCTGAGATCGCACCACTGCACTCCAGCCTGGGTGACAGAGCCAGACTCCGTCTCAAAAAAAAAAAAAAAATGCTAAAAGAAATTTTAAAATCCTGTCAACTACCAATTCTACATCCAGCAAAACTATCTTTCAAGAATAAATGAAAATTAATATGTTTTCCAATAAACAAAAGACAAGAAAGTTTGTAACTAGTAGATTTGTACAAAAAGTGCTAAAGGAAGTCCTTCAGGATGAAATGAAAAGATGCTACACAGTAACTCGAAGCCATATGAAGAAATGAAGAACATTGAGAAAGATAACCACATAGGTAAATATAAAGTCCTCTATCATTGTACTTTTGGTTTATAACTTCTCTATCTGTATATATGATTTAAAAGGCAAATACGCAAAATAATTACAAATCTATATCAACTTGTATAATATTAATATATACAGACATAATTTTTGACAAGAAAAATATAAAGGGGGAAGGTGGAGAAGTATAAAAAAAGTGTTGCATGCTACTGAAAATAAATTGGTATTATTCAGACCAGGTTGTTATCAGTTTAATATGTTAATTATAGTTTCCTAGATTACCAATGGGAAAATAATTTTTAAAATATATACAAAAGAAAGTGATGTACTATAAAAATAAATATTAAAAGACAGTAATGTAGAACTGAGAAATGAAAATATAAGACATACAGAAAATAAACAGCAAAATGTCACAAATATGTTCTTTATTATCAGTAATTACATGTAAATGAATTAAATTAGCCAATTAAAATGAAAGTGACAAAATGAATAAAAAAACATAATCTATCTATGTGCTGTCTATAAGAGACTCACTTTGCACACACAGACAACAAGACTTAAGTGTAAAAACACAGAGCTAGCTATTTTATGCAAATAGTAACTAAAACAGTTGGGGTGGCTTTAATATTGTCAGACAAAAGATATTTTACATCAAAATAGTGTACAAGAGGCAGAGGAAATTATATATTGATAAAAGATTCATCCATCAAGATGATATGACAACTATATGCACACCCAACAATAAAGCCATAAAATACATGATGCAATATTGACAAAATTGAAAAGGGAAAGATACTTCTACAACAACAATTGGAAACTTCAATATCCCACTCTCAATATAGGATAAAACAACCAGACAGAAGAGCAATAAGGAAACAGATGACCTGAACAACGTTACAAATCAATTAGACTTAAGAACATATAGGCCGGGAGCGGTGGCTCACGCCTATAATCCCAGCACTTTGGGAGGCCAAGGCAGGCGGATCACGAGGTCAGGAGATCGAGACCATCCTGGCTAACACAGTGAAACCCCGTCTCTACTAAAAATACAAAAAATTAGCCAGGCGTGGTGGCGGGCACCTGTAGTCCCAGCTACTTGGGAGGCTGAGGCAAGAGAATGGCATAAACCCGGGAGACGGAGCTTGCAGTGAGCCGAGATCACGCCACTGCACTCCAGCCTGGGCAACAGAGTGAGACTCTGTATAAAAAAAAAAAAAAAAAAAGAACATATATAGTGAACACTCCACCCAATAGCAGCATAATATATATTGTTCTTTTTTAAATTTTTAAGTTCCAGGTTACACGTGCAGGCAATGTTAGACCGGATTGAAAAATGTGGTACATATAAACCATGGACTACTATGAAGCCATAAAAAGGAAAGAGATTATGTCCTTTTCAGGGACATGGATGGAGCTGGAAGCCAATATCCTCAGCAAACTAATGCAGGAACAGAAAACCAAACACTGTATGTTCTCACTTATGAGTGGGAGCTGAACAATGAAAATACATATTGTTCTTAAGTGGGAGCTGAACAATGAGAATATATATTGTTTTTAAGTGCACATAGAAGATTTTCCAATATAGACTATATCTTAGCTCATTAAACAAGTCTTAATAAATTTAATAATATTTTCAAAATAGACTGTATCTTAGGCCATAAAACAAGTCTTAATAAATTTAAAAAGACTGACAACCATATATTCTATCTGTTCTGACCACAATGAAAAGACTAAAATTCAATAACAGAAGAATACTGGAAAATTTCCAAAGATATGGAAATCAAACAACACTTAACTCTTAACCAACTTGTCAAAGAAAAAATTAAACAGGAATTAGAAAATATCTTGAAAACAATACAAGCAAAACACAATATATAAAACTTTATGGGATGCAGTAAAAGTGGTACTAACAGTAGAATTTATATCTATAAACAGCTATATTTAAAAAGAAGAAAAATATCAGGTCAGTAACATAACTAAAATTTAAGGACCTTGAAACAGAGTAGCAGACTATATTAAAAAATGTAGCATGAAAAAAAATAAGAGAAAACCAAACATGAGAAAGAAAATAATAAAAATTAGAGTGGAGATAAATTTAAAAATTGACAGAGAAAGTTGATAAAACCAAAAATTGACTCTGAAAATATCAATAGTGACAAACTTTTTTTTTTTTTTTTTGAGATGGAGTCTTGCTTTGTCACCCAGGCTGGAGTGCACTGGCGCGATCTCGGCTCACTGCAGCCTCCGCCTCCCGGGTTCACGCCATTCTCCTGCCTCAGCCTCCTGGTAGCTGGGACTACAGGCGCCGGCCACCACGTCTGGCTAAGTATTTTTTGTATTTTTACTAGAGATGGGTTTTCACCCTGTTTGCCAGGATGGTCTCAGTGCCCTTAGCTTGTGATCAGCCCGCCTCGGCCTCTGAAAGTGATGGGATTACAGGCGTGAGCCACCACCCCCGGCCAATAGTGACAGACTTTTAGCTAGATTGACTAAGAAGAAAAAAAAAAAAAAAACTACTAAACTCAAATACGAAAAGAGGACATTTTACTTACTTCATGGAAATAAGACTGATTATGAGGCTGTACTATGAACATTGTGTGCTAAAACATAAAATTACCTAGATAAAATGCTAAAATTCTGGGAAATACACAAACTCCAAGATGGCTCAAGAAGAAATAGAAAATATGAATAGACTTCTAATAGGCAAGCATGCTGAATGAGTTAAAAACAACAAAAACAATAGCAAAAACCACCTCTCAACAAAGAAAAGCCCAGGACCACTGTCAAATTAACTGGTCGATTTATACCAATCCTTTTTAAACTCTGTTAAAAAATATGAGAAAGGAGAAACACTTCCTAACTTATTATATAAGGCCACCATTACCCTGGCCTGAATATGATACCTGAAATTGAAGCCAAAGACCTTACAATAAACAAAAAAATACAACGATATCCCTAATCACTGTAAGTACTATAATCTTCAACAAAATACTAATAAACGTAATTTAGCCATGTGTTAAAAGAACTACAAACCATGTCCAAATGGAATTTATACCAGGAAGGCAAAGATTGTTCAATACACAAAAATCAGTCTATCATCACATTAATATAAAGAAAGTAGAAATATGTAGTTATATAAATTGATGCAGAAAAATAAATTGGAAAAATTCCAAAACACTTTCATGAAAAAAGCTACTCATAAAAATATCATTAGAAATATATATTTGCAAAATAATAAAGACCATATTTTAAAAAATCCACACCTAACATCATACAATGGTAAGTGACCCAAAGTCAATTTTTAAGATAAGAAAAAATACAAGGATATCTGCTTTCTCCTCCTCTATTCAATAGTATTGAATATTCTCACCAGGGTGATTAGCAAAGAAAAATGAAGAAAAGATATCTAAAATGGAAATAAGGAAGTAGTTATCTTTATTCAGAGATAACATGATGTTATATGTAGAATGTCCTGAAAAATCCATAAAATACTGTTAAAATTAAGAAATTATGGGGAGAATTTGGAGAAATTAAAACCATCATACTTTCCTGGTGGAAATACATACTAATGAAGCCACTGTTGAAAACAATTAGACAGTTTCTAAACTAGGTAAACATAGAGTTAAAATGTGGTCCAACAATTTCACTTGTAAGTATAAAAAAAAATTGAAATCAGGGACTTAAACAGATACTTGTATGCAAATGATTATAGCAGCATTATTTACAATAGCCAAAGGTGTAAAAAAGTCAGGTGTCCATCAAGAGATGAATGAATAAACAAAATGTGATAACTACATGCAATTATTATTCAGGTGTAAGAATAAATAAAATTGGGACGTATTCTGAAACATGGATAAACCTGGGAAATATTATGCTAAGTGAAATAAACCAAACATAAAGAGAAAGATTTGTATGATCCCATTTATATAAAATATCTAGAATAGGAAAATTCAAGAAGACAAAAAGTAGATTAGAAGTTACCAGGGGCTGGCCGGGCGCAGTGGCTCACGCCTGTAATTCCAGCACTTTGGGAGGCCGAGGTGGGCGGATCACGAGGTCAGGAGATTGAGACCATCCTGGCTAACACGGTGAAACCCCATCTCTACTAAAAATGCAAAAAATTAGCTGTGCGTGGTGGTGGCCACCTGCAGTCCCAGCTACTAGGAGGCTGAGGCAGGAGAATGGCGTGAACCCAGGAGGCGGAGCTTGCAGTGAGCCGACATCAGGCCACTGCACTCCAGCCTGGGCGACAGAGCGAGACTCTGTCTCAAAAATAAAAAAAATAAAAAAAATAAAGTTACAAGGGGCTGGGATGGAGGGAAAGGAAGGTTACTGCTTAATGGGTACAGAGTTTCTATTTGGGGTAATGGAAAATTTTGGAAGTAGTTAGTGGTTATGGTTGCACAACATTGCACATGTAATTAATGCCACTATATTTGTTTTGTTTTGTTTTGTCTCTTGAGACGGAGTTTGGCTCTTGTTGCCCAGGCTGGAGTGCAATGGCACGATCTCGGCTCACCGCAACCTCCGCCTCCCGGGTTCAAGCGATTCTCCTGCCTCAGCCTCCCGAGTAGCTGGGATTACAGGCATGCACCACCACGCCCGGCTAATTTTTGTATTTTTAGTAGAGACGGGGTTTCTCCATGTTAGTCAGACTGGTCTTGAACTCCTGACCTCAGGTGATCAGCCCTCCTCAGCCTCCCAAAATGCTGGGATTACAGGCGTGAGCTACCACGCCCGGCCAATGCCACGGTATTTTAAGTTTTAATATATTAGTTTTCTGAAGTTATTTAAAAATTGAAATGGTAGTTTTTTTCTATTTGTTATATTCCAGTAATTTCAAAATCATTATTGCAGTTAACAACTAGTTCATAAACCTCTTTAAAGCAACTCTATTTACATTTTGTTCATAATCTTCATTCCTAAAATCTCAATTCAGTTTTAACTCACCAGTGTGTGGCCGAATATGAAAGGCAATTTCAGGAACACTTTTTAAAGACATAACTTTACTGCCCTTGAAATAGGAAATATGTTGCATTGAGTTCTTTAATAACCAAGATAACTTTTCAATTTCAAGAGCAATACCATCTCAAAGGTCACTTTTTCTATTCAGTTTCATACCCTCCCTCATATTGTTGATTTGAACAGGGAGTTTCCATTGATTTCAAAAGGGCCATGAACAGAGATAGACTGAAAACAGCTTAGAGCCCCAAATGAAAGCTGACTGGGGACTTAGGATAATCTGGAATCTGCTTTGGTGAATACACTCAATTGAAATATGGTTATGGTAACATATAAAATCATGTTTATATTTCTCAAAAACTGTAGTAATGATTTTCTACCAAATCAAAATTTTTAAAAATGTATTTTCTTAAAAGACAGATTAAAGCTAGCAGTTATTAGACTATTCTACTACCTCCATCTATATTTATCATCTAAAATTAGGATCAGTATATAAAATTAGATTTTACATTATGCCTTTATTTCATTCACTAGATTACCGAATGCAGTCGCTGATATCCAATGTAAATAGACCACATGAACAATACCTACAGTCATCCCACTATCATCATATGTTGAGCTGCAATAAATACAATCTATTATTAAATCACTTTGCATTATTTATGTTTACTTTAAAATTTATGTAGTAGTTACTATGAGTTCAAGTCCATGCTTGTTTGTTAGTATTTTTGGTGGGTAGTTGCTTACGGAGATCAAGGTGCAAAATTATGTACAGTTCATCCTATATTTACAATAGAGGACTTAGATATATAAATACATTACTGTAATACAATGAGAATTATTATACTTAAAGAAGTATTATAGAAGCACCAAAGAAGCAGTTCTAATTCTGCTTTAGGCAGACTGTGAAGTCCTAACTGGGGTCAAAATTAAACTTTATTTTTCAGGACCAGAAAGATTTACCTTCCTTTATCCGCTTTGATGAAGTATATATTAAAATCTGGCACTTGAAAATTTGGTTTTTGTGTTTTCTTATAGTATTTGGAAAGTTCTTTATACCATCTACATGCAAGTCATTACAACAAATATAACTTGAAAGTATTTCTCCTAATTTGTGCTTTATATTTTCATCTCAAGAATATCTTTCAAAAAGTAGAAGTTTTTTATTTTTATTTTTATGAAGTCCGACTTTTCATTTTATTCTTTAATGGATTGTTTATTTGGTGTTTTTACCTAATACACAATCAGAAAGATATTCTCTATGTTTTATTCTAAAACTTCTACATTTTAGGCATCCGATTTAAGAATGATCCATTTTGACTTAATTTTTTATATAATATCAGGAACGGACAAAGTTATTTTTGGCATATGGATATACAATTGTTCTAACAATTGAAAAGATTTTTTACTATATTTTTACACATTAGTTGAAAATCAATTTACCATACATATGTGGCTCTATTTCTGAACTATTTACTCTGTTCCATTGATCTAATTGTCTATATGCCAATACCATATCATTCTGAGAAATGTAACTTTTGAATAAATATTAAAATAAAGTACTGTTGGCCCTCCATCTTCTTCTTTTTAAGTCATTTTATATATTTTATGCCCTTTGCATTTGCATATGAGTTTGAGTGCAGGTTGAAAATTTCTTCTAAAATTCTGCTTGTAATTATATTAGAAATGTACTTAATCTATACATGGATTTGAGGAGAATTAACATCTTAACAATATTGAGTTTCAAACCTATGAAAGACATGGGGAAGGGAAGCCACATCAATGACCAAAAATACCGTAATTGGAGAAAATGCAGAGAGAGTGGGTCCAGATTAGATATGCAGATCGGTTTATTGCTTGCAAAATGAAGGAACTCCTGATTGATTGTTTTGACTTTCACAAGGAAGTTTGAGACAATGTTTTAGTTCTTGCAGGTGAAAAGTTACAGAATATAGAACTGCAAATTTGCAGTGTGAGGAGAAAGTAGGAACTAGTTGCTTTGGAGACAGAGAAATAACATACTAGCGAAATGTGGGAGAACTTCCAGGCAGTGTTGAAGAGCTCTATGAATTGAAAGACCTGTATGAAAGTCAAAGGGTCTGTGTGATTTTTATCAGACAATATTTAATTGTTTACCCTAGTACAGGCACCAGATAGTTAACAATTTGATTGAAAACAGGCTTGGAATTTAGCCGTTTTATGTATAAAGAAAGGTAAGAAAGAATTGAGCTTTTAGAGAATTTGTTGTAGGTGAATTATGTGAATGGGCCAGAGTCAATGTATTCCTAGTCCCTGTCGGGCACATAAACCATGTTACTGAGAGACAGAATGTATGTCTGGTGACTCTGACTTGATGACATCTACATGATGATGCTGCTGAATACTTATATACAACTAGTAATTGGGGAACTTCTACTTTAATGGCTGCGTTTGGCAACCAGGTCCAGTGAAACAGGTACTGTACCAGCAGGATCCATGATATTAACAGAAGCAAATATAATAAAAATAGTAGGTAATATTTATTAAACACTTGTGTGCAAAGCACTAAACTAAGGCCTAAACCCACTGTACTTCCAAACTTGTCTTACATAATTTTCACAAAATCTTGTGATGCATTATTATCATCACTCTTGTTTTTTTTTTTTAATTGTTGCTTTTCTCGTAATAACTCTGAGAGAGGTTACATGACTGGCCAAGGGCAAAAAGCCTGTACAATACAGAATTAAGATTTTAAAAACTGCCATGTCTATAGTCCATGAATATCTTGCTATTGTACTGCAAAAGAACTGGATTCCAGCTTTGTGATTACCTGGTTTTGTGACTCTGAGAAAGGCACTTATTACTTTAAATTTTCATTTTCTCATTTGTGTTGTAATAAACACTCTAATGTCTCTTTGCCTGTGATATGATCTTTCATTTTCTAAAAAGTTATCCTAAAGAATTTTCCATTAGGAGCATGAAAAAAACTCCAGGTAACTATACTGTAACATAGATATGGCACTTTAGATAATGTTTGAGATTTTACATTAACATTCACCATTAGATTTCATATTTTACTGTAATTCTTCACAGTGCAAATCTAGTAACTATTTAAACTCAAGCTTTCTGTTATTATAAACATAATTTTCTCTTATTTTTACAGTATAGCATACTTATTGCTATGGCATAATAATTCATGTAGTCATGACAATTAAGGAGCTATTTGAGCTATAGTAGCAAAGTCTGCACTCAAAATATTTAGTGATGCCAACATATTTATAATAATACACAATTCGCAGAGTATTAAATTGACATAATGTTTTATAATATGAGAAGTTGGTGCCAAAATATCTTGCATTTCATACACAAGATGAAATATAATTGCTTGCATGACACATCGAAGTACTAGATTTTAGGCTCAGAAATTAATTGTTGAAACAGGGCAGTAATTTATTTTTGAGAAAGTGTCATATATAAAATCAAGCACATGCATTCCCTAGGTTTCTTATGCAATTTTTAGTCTAAATATTATGGATGCTCTCTCTCTCTCTCTATATATATATATGTATATATATATATATAAAATCAAGTATATAGTGATATATAATATACAACACAGAGTAAATATATTGCATATATTCTATATTAAATAGTTATATATAAATATAGTAATATTTTTAGTATCAGAAATATATATTCGCCTGTAAGGATTTATATATATATATATTCCTTCTGCTTTGATCTTCACTATACATTCTAGGAACTCAGTGCAGCTCATATTGCCTCCTAACTCTCCAAGTTTATAATAGAAAGAACATAAACTTAAGTTATTATATTTATTCATGTTATGATTCCCCAGAAATTGCCACAATATTATATGTGAAGGAATAAATGCCTTTTCTCTCAATTGCATAAGGTTTGTGATTTGGGGTTATAAGTTACTAGCTTGGCTTATATAGTAGCTTATAAAACAGAATCATGAAGACCAGAGTCTCCACAAATTACAGGATGCTAATACTCTTCAAACAATGAAGTACTTGGAAGTATACATTGTTTGCCCTGGTTGAAAATATCTAATAGATGTTGTTTATAGAATATCAGGGCTACATATTCAGGTAAAATGTTTGTGTCAAGTGGAATGTATGTGACTGCAACAGAGCTTGGGTGCTACTGAAGTTCTTCATTTCCTACTTATGTCCCTGAAATATTTGTTTTTTCTTCCTGAAAAGCATACAAAGGGTCCAAATAGATAGATAATAGGTACTTATTAGACAAAGACTTAGACCCATGTGGATATTCTAAATTGATTTCAGTAAACAATAAGAAATTAAATTTGTTAGTACATTTTATTACCCTCTGAATATTCCTCAGAATCATTCACTCAGAGACAAAGGTAAATGTATTTAATGTATACCCACATTGGCATGAAACTGTACCCAAACTAACCAGTATGTAGATTATAAGTAAAAGGTAAAAGTTATTAATGAATATATATGTTTTATAATAAAAGACTATAAATGATCTCAGAATAATAATGTTCGTCTCATTTAATTATGTACATTTGAAAATAAGGCTTTAAGAATAATACAATTTCTAATTTACGGTCTGTCCTGATTTACAAAAAAATTGTTCAAAATGATTTATGAGCATGCTTCATATGTAAAGACAAATCCTATATATCTGATGTAGACCTAAATTTCAAAATGCTATCTTGTGCTAAATAGCAATAGATCACACGGAAAATTCTACCTGGAAAGAAAAGACCAAGAGATAATACAGCTCTGTGGCTATAAGATGTGATGACTGAACTCATTTAATCAAAGTTTAAGTAAAAATAGTGTTTACAACTTAGATATATCTGATACCAGCAATGACTTCAGCAATATAGACAGAATAATATCAAGAATTTCAAATAATCATAGAACAGAAAGAGACCTTAAAAATTGTTTTGTTCCATCTCCTGTCAGGAAATTATGTATCATTGAAGCTATTTAACTTTACCTTTACCTTTACTTTTTTTTTTAGAATTGCCCCCAATATCTTCTAAAATTTAATACAGAATGTAAAAATGCTTATTATCCATCAAATGTATCTGTTATGTTTTGAATTATTTTTAAACAACCATATAAAGGACTTTGGAAGAGACCAGCTGGAAATATATCTCATTTATTTTATGAATAAATATGAAAATTATCTTTAGTATGAAGTAAGTATTGTTTTGATACCATCTAATTTGTGGAATAAATTTCCACTCTAGTTCATTGGTGCTATCTTAAAAATCTTTTAATGGAAAGTTATAAAATATGAATAATTCAGTCACATACATCAGTAAGTTTTTTTATTCTGCAATTCTTCAAATGGAAATAATAATAAAAGGGTGATAAATTTTCACAAAGGTGTTGACTAAAAGTATATGTTTCAAATTCTGGATGATTACATATTTAGCAAGGATGCATAAATTAATGCATATTTTTAAAAAAAAATGGCCGGGCGCGGTGGCTCACGCCTGTAATCCCAGCACTTTGGGAGGCCGAGGCGGGCGGATCACGAGGTCAGGAGATCGAGACCATCCCGGCTAAAACGGTGAAACCCCGTCTCTACTAAAAATACAAAAAATTAGCCGGGCGTAGTGGCGGGCGCCTGTAGTCCCAGCTACTTCGGAGGCTGAGGCAGGAGAATGGCGTGAACCCGGGAGGCGGAGCTTGCAGTGAGCCGAGATCCCGCCACTGCACTCCAGCCTGGGCGACAGAGCGAGACTCCGTCTCAAAAAAAAAAAAAAAAAAAAAAAAAAAAAAATGCCCAACACTGATATTCAATGGAATTCATTCCAGCATTGCAGCTGAAGAAGACAGCTATGGAAATAATGAGCAACAGCAAAGAAAAACAATGTTTTTTTTTTTTTCTTCTCTCTGAGCCAATAAGTATTTCCAGGGAAGAAGACTTTAATTGGTTGCTGCAGCCAAGGATAATGGGAGATAATTTCTCAGATCCATCTCCCCAGCCAACTAAAGTTGAGGGATTTATACATGAAATAGCTGGGAAGCTCAGAAAGCAGGAATTAGGGAGGGGTAAGTAAGGAAGCAATCATGATGGGTGAGGGTTCTGGCATCTCATTCTCTGGATGCGATTAACAGTAAGTTTCACTTCCTTGCCTGAGGATTGGTTTCCTGATGAAGGAATTTAAATGAGACAAATATAAATTTTAAGTTTTAAGACTAGGAAGGGCCAATTTATATGTTTATTCAAAAAATTATAAGTGTTCGTTCTATGAGACAATTGTGCCTTTTCATTAGGAGATAATGAAACTATCTCCGTACCACTTTTTGGAAAATGACAGTTATTAAAAATATCCTCCTTTAAGGAATTTTTAAAAGACAGTAAAAGGATCACTGGATATTTATTTTTTGTAATCTATAGGATAAAACATGGCAAGAAATTTAGCACCAAACAATCAGAGACAGAAAGTATTATGAAATGCTTACTATTAGAACAAAAATCAAAAACCCTTACACATTTTCTAGAAACTTGAGAAATTAGGGATTATTTCATTTAAAAATAATTAGAAATCAAAATGAAATACATGAAGTAACAGGTTAAAAAATAAATTTGGAAAAATAATTCCCTTAAAAAGAAATGGAAACAATATGGTATCAGAATTCTAATAGCTTACAAAGAAAAAGGCTTTCTGATTATAAAGGTAATTGTCAAATATTCTTTTTCATCACTACATTTTAAACCTTCTCTGTCATTTGATATCTTTGGCATAGTTCTTATCTTTTCTGATGAATTTTATTTGTTTATAAGCAGTCTCATTTTCAGGTTTAAGAATATATAATATCAATATAATGTAATATCAATACAATCTAATATAAAAATTTCAATCTCTCATGCTATTTAAAGTGCTTCCCACTTTGTTAAATTCCTACGCAATTCTCACCTACTCTCCCAGCTTAGGCCTGGTCTAGGCTCTGAAATTTTCAGGAAGAAATGTCAGCACAGATCATTTCTATCCTCTTTTATATTTCACCTTTTCCCATACTCTCTACGCACTATTTCAGTCCTCCTGCAGAATCAGGATCAGAGGGGACATGTGATGAAAAAGACAAAATTGTATGTGGCTGACGCTATTATTACTGTTCTTCAAGTCTCCTGGCAAGGCAACCTCTAGCTAACTTCTTAAATCTCCCCCATGCATTCCTTGGACAAGTCAAACAGCCTTTCTAATAAAAAAGGAAATCAGCCTTTCTGATTCCCTCTGGTAGGCAAATCTCTTTTAGAGATTCTCAAATTGCCTGTTGAATGACTCAGGCTTTGGTGTCCATGTTGTCCTTGGGAAAATGTTTGCACCTTTGCTTTGCATAACTAGGAACTGAAAATGCAAGATGCACCCACCGCAATCCTCTTCATTTCTTTTTTAATTCTTTTTATTTTAATTTTTTTCTATAAGTTATGGGAGTACAGGTGGTATTTGGTTACATGAGTAAGGTCTTTAGTGGTGATCTGTGAGATTTTGGTGCACCCATCACCTGAGCAGTATACACTGCTCCATATTTGTAGTCTTATTCCTCGCTCCCTCTCACTCTTCCCCCCAAGTCCCTAAAGACCATTGTATCATTCTTATGCCTTTGCATCCTCATAGCTTAGCTGCCATATATCATTGAGTACATACCATGTTTGCTTTTCCATTCCTGAGTTACTTCACTTAGAATAATAGTCTCCAATCTCATCTAGGTCACTGCAAATGCATTAATTCATTCCTTTTCATGGCTCAGCAGTATTCCTTTATATATGTATACTGCGGTTTCTTTACCCATTCTTTGACTGATGGGCATTTGGGTTGGTTCCACCATTTTGCAGTTGTGAATTGGGCTGCTGTAAACATGCGTGTGCAAGTATCTTTTTCGAATAATGACTTCTTTTCTTCTGGGTAGATACCCAGTAGTGGGATTGCTGGATCAAATGGTAGTTCTACTTTTACTTCTATAAGGAATCTCCACACTGTTTTCCATAGTGGCTGTACTAGTTTACATTCCTACCAGCAGTGTAGAAGTATTCCCTGATCACCACATTCATACCAATACCTGTTGTTTTATTTTTTTTTTTATTATGGCCATTCTTGCAGGAGTAAGGTGGTATTGTATTATGGTTTTGACTTGCATTTCCCTGATCATTAGTGATGTTGAGGATTTTTTCATATGTTTGTTGGCCATTTGTATATCTTCTTTTGAGAATTGTCTATTAATGTCCTTAGCCTACTTTTTGATGGGATTTTTTTTTCTTACTGATTTGAGTTTGTTGTAGATTCTGGATATCAGTCCTTTGTCAGATATATAGATCGGGAAGATTTTCTCCTACTCTGTGGGTTGTCTGTTTACTCTGCTGACTATTCCTTTTGCCATGCAAAAGCTCTTTAGTTTAATTCGGTCCGAACTATTTATCTTTGCTTTTATTCCATTTGCTTTTGGGTTTTTGGTCATGAAATACTTGCCTAAGCCAATTTTTGGAAGGGTTTTCCCAATATTATCTTCTAGAATTTATATAGCTTCATGTCCTAGATTTAAGTCCTTGATCCATCTTGAGTTGATTTTGTATAAGGTGAGAGATGAGGATCCAGTTTCATTCTCCTACATGTGACTAGCCAATTACCCAGCACCATTTGTTGAATAGGGTGTCTTTTCCCCACTTTATGTTTTTGTTTGCTTGTTAATGATCAGTTGGCTGTAAGTATTTGGGTTTATTTCTGGGTTCTCTATTCTGTCCCATTGGTCTATATGCCTATTTTTATACCAGTGCCACACTGTTTTGGTGACTATGGCCTTATAGTACAGCGTGAAATCAGGTAGCGTGATGCCTTCAGATTTGTTCTTTTTGCTTAGTCTTGCTTTAGCTATGCGGGCTTTTTCTTTTTTCTCTGTCTCATTTTTTTTTTTTGGTTCCATATGAATTTTAGAATTGTTTTTTCTAATTCTGTGAGGAATGATAGTGGTATTTTGATGGGGATTGCATTGAATTTGTAGATTGATTTTGGCAGTATGGTCATTTTCACAACATTGATTCTACCCATCCATGAGCATGGGATGTGTTTCCATTTGTTTGTGTTACCTATGATTTCTTTCAGCAGTGTTTTGTAGTTTTGCTTGTAGAGGCGTTTTGACTCCTTGGTTAGGTATATTCCTAAGTCTTTTTTTTTTTTTTTTTTTTTTGCAACTATTTTAAAAGGGGTTGAGTTCTTGATTTGATTCTCTGCTTAGTCGCTCTTGGTGTATAGAAGAGCTACTGATTTGTGTACAATAATCTTGTATCCAGAAACTTTGCTGAATTCTTTTATCAGTTCTAGGATCTTTCTGCAGGAATCTTTAGGGTTTTCCAGGTAAACTATCATATTGTCAGCAGTGACAGTTTGACTTCCTCTTTACCGAATTGGATGCCCTTTATTTCCTTGTCTTGTCTGATTGCTCTGGCTACAACTTCCAGTAATATGTTGAAGAGAAGTGGTGAGAGTGGGCATCCTAGTCTTGTTCCAGTTCTCAGAGGGAATGCTTTAAACTTTTCCCCATTCAGTATTATGTTTGCTGTGGGTTTGTCATAGATAGCTTTTATTATATTAAAGTATGTGCCTTGTATGCCGATTTTGCTGAGAGTTTTAATCATAAATGGATGCTGGATTTTTGTTGAATGCTTTTTTTTCATCTATTGAGATGATCATGTGATTTTGGTTTTTAATTCTGTTTATGTGGTGTATCACATTTATTGACTTGCATATATTAAAGCATCCCTGCATCCTTAGTATGGAACTCACTTGATCATGGTGGATTATCTTTTTGATACGTTGTTGGATTCAGTTAGCTAGTATTTTGTTAAGAATTTTAGCATCTGTATTCATCAAGGATATCGGTCTGTAGTTTTCTTTTTTGGTTATGTTCTTTCCTGGTTTTGGTATTAGGGTGATTCTGACTTCATGAAATGAATTAGAGAGGTTTCCTTCTTTCTCTAATTTATGGAATAGTGTCAAAAGGATTGGTAAAAGTCCTTGTCCAACAGTAAAATATCACAATCCTAGACATGAATGCACCTAACACTGGAGCTCCCAAATGTATAGAACAATTCTTAATAGACCTAAGTAATGAGATAGACAGCAACACAGTAATAGTAAGGGACTTCAATACTCCACTGACAGCATTAGGCAGGTCATCAAGACAGAAAGCCAACAAATAAACAATGGATTTAAATTATGCCTTAGAACAAATAGACTTCACAGATACGTACAGAACATTTCATCCAACAGTTGCAGAATACACATTCTATTCAAGAGCACATGGAACTTTCTCTAAGATAGACCATATGATAGGCCATAAAACAAGCCTCAATAAATTTAAGAAAATTTAAATTATATCAAGCACTCCTTCAGACCACAGTGGAATAAAACTGGAAATAAACTCCAAAAAGAACCTTCCAAACTATGCAGATACATAGAAATTAAATAACTTGCTCCTGAATGAACATTGGATCAGAAACAAAATCACGATAGAAATTAAAAAATTCTTTGAACTGAATGACAATGATGACACAACATACCAAAACCTCTGGAATACAGCAAAGGCGGTGCTAAGAGGAAAGTTCATAGCCCTAAAAACCTACATCAAAAAGACTGAAAGTGCACAAATTGACATTCTAAGGTCACACCCCAAGGAAATAGAGAAACAAGAACAAACCAAACCCAAATCCAGCAGAAGAAAGGAAATAACCAAGATCAGAGCAGAACTAAATGAAATTGAAACAAAACAGCACAAAAGATAAATGAGACACAAAGCTGGTTCTTTGAAAAGATAAATAAAATTGATAAACTATTAGCAAGATTAACCAAGAAAAGAAGAGAGAAAATCCAAATAACCTCATTAAGAAACAAACAGGAGGCATTACAACTGACACCACTGATTTACAAAAGATCATTCAAAGCTACTATGAACACCTTTACACATATAAACTAGAAAACCTAGAAGAGATGGATAAATTCCTGGAAAAATACAACCCTCCTAGCATAAATCAGGAAGAATTAAATAACTTGAGCACACCAATAACAAGCAGTGAGATTGAAATAATAATTTAAAAATTATCGACAAAAATGTCCAGGACCAGACGGATTCACCACAGAATTCTATCAGACATTCAAAGAAGAATTGTTACCAATCTTCTTCATTTCTTTTCTTCAACCATGACAGGCATTCCTATCTGACTTCTGTTTTTCACTTTTTTGCATTCTGATGTCAGGCACAAAACCCAGTGTTTCCTGTTGCACAGGCCATGGCTTAGGAAGTCTGTTCAGACTTGCTTAGATGGCTAAGGCAGTAATGGGTATTTGGGAAGTCTTCAGAGCACTATCTTCAAAGAAATTCTCACTCACTGACAATTTCTATTTAATCTTTTTTCATACTCTTATATTTAAGATAAAATTTGGTGATGAACTGTAAGGGCTGCCAAACCTTTTCTGAGCTACTGTTTTGAATCTCTAGCAAAGATGTTACAGTAGCATTCTTTAGGACTATTCTCTTCATTCTGGGGCTTCAGCTGTTATATCTAGGTAGGAAAAGGCAAATTTGAGCATTTTTAAAATAATGGGGTGTTGGTTAATTTACAAATGGACACTTTATTTTTGTTTTCTTTAATTATAAATTGGTTCAACTTTATTAAAGACTAGTTTGGTATAATTATAAATTGTTTCAATATTATTAAAGTCTAGTTTGGAAATATGTATGAAAATATAATGTGACAAAAATAGACAACACATTGATATTCTAAAGAAAATCAAATATTGTACCTAAAAATTATTTGACTAATTTATACATGTATAATTGTAACACTGTGACATTAATAATTATCATCATATTAAGTATACTATTAAAAATAACCTGATGATAATGGATTACTTTCTATATCATCTTTAAAAATTAATTAATGTGAGTATTACAACTAAAAGTACCTATTCCTTAAATAGTTTATCAAATGGCTGCTTTAGATTGTCCCATTTGTTCTGCCTCTTTTTTGGCAATCTAACTAGAATCCATAGCAACCAGGGTATCCATAATACAAAACAGGCTGGCAAGTGGGGACTCAGTCTATGGCCATGAAGTTTTTGCACTGCATAACTCCAGATGACATAATTCATGTAGATATTAATTGAAGGAGTCTCCCTACATGTGTGCACCACAGCAGCTCTGCTGTCCAGTAATATTTCTGAGGATTGTCAGATTATAATAACTGGAAATAACTGGAAATCTCAAAGAAAATCTAACCATTCAAAGATGTAGGAGCCCTGTTTGATTTAAGTGTGACATTGGCATGCAACTCCAAAAGAGAATGCAGTTAAATACTCATTAAAGAATTTCCAATCCTTGTATTTGAAGCAAGTTTCAAGTTCAAGAGTTAAGATGGCCCCTGTTCAAGGGAAAAAGGCAGTGACTCCTCTGTAACTGCTATGAGGTTAATTTTTCATTCTGATCTCTGATTTATAAATGAAGAATAAATAAATAAATAAAATAATCCCAGAAGAGCAGTAGCACTACCATACTTGGTTCATAATGGCCAAACCTGTTTATAGGATTCCAACCTTGTTCTTCAAGCTATTCTTCCTTTCTTTTTGGAATATGCAGGTGATTTTTATTCTATAAGAATTCCAAAAATGAGACAAAAGATCTCAAACCCCTTTATCATAAGAATGGATTTTAAGTTGCCAGGACATAACACAAAATTCATATGGTGTCCCTGCATATGGATGGTTAATGTGGCATGCTGAGGCTGCTGCTGCTGTGTTTCCCTGCAAGGAGCTGCACGCTCTGAAGCCTCCTGGCTCTGAGGACTCAGAGGCTGCTGGCTCTGCTCTGCTGTGTTGCCCACCAGGCCTCACCATGTTATTTTTCCAGGATGCAGATTGTAAGGACGCAGGTGGTGGTGAGATTTCCTTTTAATTAAGGTATAAACAAGACAGAGTTATTGATCTTATAGTGCCAATTTAGCAGCATCTAAGTTGAAGTGTCATGCTCAGTTTCGAGTGTGTGATTCAAAAAAGCCCCATTTTCTGCATGTGAGGAGAATAATAATTAAGAGTATGGCAGACTGCCTGTGTTCAGATTTTGTCCTCACCATTATTGCTGTACATAAATGAGTGAGTTATCCAACTATTCTAAGCCTGAGATTTCTCATATTTAAGATGGAAATAAGATGATTAACAACAGTATCTAGCATTAATTGAGTATTTATGCTTTACAGCTCCATTGAAATAACTTTATATTTACCTCATAAATAGCTATGCTGAGTAGGTGCTGTATTCTCCCTAATTTTGAGAGACATATACTCACATCATTATTTATTATTCTCCCAAAACCCAAATCCTGAAATATGAAACCAGAATTTATTTTCAATCATAAACAAACACAGAGTCACTCTATTTCTTAATCTGTAACACAAACTCTGGTGGACAACACAGCAGAGTAAAGACATGGTTAAAATATCTTTACTCCATGAACTTGGAGTTCATGAAGCTCCAAGAATGTGGATGAGAAAAAAAAAACACGTATTTTATTTCACACATCTTTACTTGAAGATTAGCATTTGCTATTGTAGATGATAAGAGACAGTAGTATTAATGTATCTATGAATTTGTCACTAATATAAACCAGACATCTCTCAAAATAGAATCTAACTTAGCACTACCTCAAAATTGCAGTATCTACTAAACCCACTACTTGATCTTGTTACTGAATGTATTAATAAAGATGTTCATATGCTACTATATCAAGGGTTTTATTTGGTATTTGAATGACTTTACTTCGGTGTAATTGTTTTTCATTTTGTAATCCTATGCATCACTGTGTCTTCTGCTTTGTTTATAATTATTCTAGCAAGTTCAATAACATATTCAATAGGAACTATACTGACACATAGTAACACATGCTTATATATGTTAGACAAGCCCATTACATCCTCACACCCACACGTACACTTACATATTTAATTCTTAATGTTAGTGTGTATGCGATATGCTACCTGAAGAAATTTCTAGGAGTGATAAATACAATGCTTAAAATCTTAATTATGTCCACAATATTACTGTGAGAAGTTTGTTTTCATTTTTTAAAAACTATTATATTCTCTCTTATGTTCATTTATAAGCTGAATTGTGTCCCCTATATGCTATATTTATATTTACATATATATATATATGTAAAATTCCTAACTCCCAGTACCACAGAATGTGAGTGTATTTCTTGATAAGGCCATTAATCAGGTGTTTAAGATAAAATGAGGCCTTACAGTGGGCCCTAATCCGATCTGACTGATATTCTCATGTGATAGTTAATTTTATTTTTCAATGTGACAGGTCCATTGGGTGCCCAGATATTTGGTCAAACATTATTTTGGGTGTGTCTGTGATGGTGTTTATGGATGAGATTAACATTTAAATTGGTAGACCAAGTAAAACAAATTGCCCTCTTATGTGGATAAGCCTTATTCAACCTGTTGAAGGTCTCAATAGAACAAAAAAGCTGAGTAAGAGAGAATTCACTTTGTCTGCCTAACAGTTTTGAGTGGGGACATTGAATTCTTCCCGCCTTTGGACTCAGACTAGAATTTGCACTATCAGCTCTCCTAATTCTCCTCCCTTTGGACTTGAACTGGAATCGTACCATTGAAATTTCTGGGATTCCAGCTTACTGACTGCAGCAATTGGGTTTTGTCACTTTCATAATCATGTGAATCAATTTCTTATGATAAATCTCTCTATTTCTATCTCTATCTGTGTGTGTGTGTGTGTGTGTGTGTGTTTGTATGTGTGTGTATCTCCTTTTAGTTCTGTTTCTCTGAAGAAGCCTAATACGTCTTATAAGAAGTGAAAATTTGGACACACAAAGAAGCACCAGGATTGCATACTTACAGAGTAAAGACCATGTGAGGACACAGAGAGGTGGTGGCTGTCTGCAAGCAGAGGAGAGAGGCTTCAGAGGAAATCAACCCTGCTGGCACCTTGACCTTGGATTTCTAGCATTCAGGACTATGAGAAATGAATTTCTGTTTTTTTAAGCCACCTAGTCTGTGGTACTTTTTGATACAGTTCTAGCAAACTCATACAAGTTTTGCTTATTAATAAATTATATACTCAGAAGAATAACTACAAAGAATACAAAAACCTGAAGAAGGCCAATGGCACGGTACTCCAAAAGCAAAAGCTAAAGTTCCATGTTCTCCGATTCAGGGATATATAGGAGGACCAGCAGCTGGTATCCAGGAAGCTGTCTGATGACACAGAGGACTTTTCTAATCTGCTGTTGATTTCCTCCTTTAGTGGTGGCAAACAGAGAAAGAGGGGGCAACATTTTTATGTTAAAATTCTAACCCACAATGTGATGGTATTAGGAGATAAGGCCTTTGGGAGACAAACGGGTGAAGAGGATGAAGCCCTTATTAATAAGATTAGTGCCTTTATGATAAGGGGCCCCAGAGAGAGCTTGCTTCCCCTCTCTGCTCTTACCACTATGTGCAAATATAATAAGAAGACAGGCTTCTGTAAACCAGAAAGAGTACCTTCATTGGACACCAAATCTTCCAGCACCTCGATCCTGGACTTCTCAGACTCTAGAATAAAGTGTGAAATAAATGTTTGTTGTTTGACCCAATCTATTGTATATTTCTTAGAGCAGCCCAAGCTGACTAAGACAACAACTGCATTAGTCTGCTAGGGCTGTCGTATATAATACCATGGACTCTGTGGTTTAAACAACAGAAATATAACTTCTTACAGCTCTGGAGGATAGGAAATCCAAGATCAAGGTGCCAGCATGGTAGGTTTTATTCTGAAGCCTCTTCTTTGGCTTGTAGGTCACTGCCATTTCTTCATGTGCTCCCATGGCTTTTTTGTATGTATGTGTATACTTCTCTCTCTGATTCTTCTTATTAGGCCACCAATTCTATTGGATTAGGGTCCCATGTTTATGACCTCATTTAACCTTAATTACCTTCTTAGAAGTGCTATATTCAAACAAGTTGCATTGGGTTTAAGGCTTCAGCATCTGAATTTTGGAGAAAAAAAAGTCAGTGCATAGCACCAACTGAAAAACATCTGAGACATTTGTCAGTTAATGCCTGCCCACCATTTATCAATTGTTATTGGAAGATGGGCATTTACTCCCCACACTTCCAAGTTTAGTTTCCCTGTGAGCAAGTTCCCGCAGCTAAAGAGAAGGCACCGAGAAAAAAAATGGTACCCCTTATCAAGATAATATGGGGCACAATATCAGAGTAGGTTTGAGCTTTCAGGAGGCTGTAAACCACATCACAATTGAAATCAGAGATGAGCTGATGGGGTATGCCAGGTGGCACAAAAAATATTATGATCATTATATTATGGACCTCATATGTTTGGAAAGGTGGCAGCTGTTTTTCAGTTCATGTGGGCCCAATAGAAGTAGGCTTTTCATAAACGGAACATGGATTTATCTGGAATCTTTGAGCGCAGGCCATGATAGATTTGTTGGAGACTTCAAAACTAGTGAGGATTTTCTCTTGTAAGGAGATAAAAAATTAATTCTTTCAATCAGTATAACTCTCTTGCTAATTTGAATTAGAAGTATCCTTCCACATCTCCAGGGATTTCAAATTCCTTCATGGAAAGCCAGGAAAAGGGAACATACAGTAACTTATATGTAATGTAAGATTAATTCAATATTGGTGATTTTAAACTGTGTAGAGGTTTTGTTTACATTACCCCTTTATTATTTATTTTATTCAGAAGCATATAATTAGTTATGTATGACATTGCATCATACTATTAAGTGTATAAAACTTTGGCTTTGAGATTGTTAAAAATAAACATTTTAGATGGCACCAGATCCCAAATTCTACCCATTAGCTTTATTATTATTATTTTTTGGAAATGTACAATGAAGTACAAATTTTAGAGAAACTTGAACTCAGATCATCAGAACACAGCACCTCTCTCTGTGACCCATTCCTATTAGCCACCATCATTTTGATTTTAGAAACTCAGATGGTTGATGTGTGATAAAGTTTATAAAAACACAAAGCTCATTGCAGAAGCCTTATTTTGTAAGCATGAATTGTATTTTGGACCTATTAAAGTTTAACATATTTTATAAATATTTAAAGAAGTATTGCATCTGTATACTCTGAAACTAGCAATTGCATATCTAAAAAATCTCAAGAGGAAACAGAATTTCAAAAATCAAATAAGCCCAAGCAAACAAGAAGCTAAAATAATACACACACAAATGGGATTTGACTTTTTAACTCCGAATAGAAGCTGGAGGAAACAAGGAAGATATAAGAAATCTTGGTGGTCAGGCTAAAGAGAAAAAATTGAAGTATGAACATATCTCAGTACTCTAAGGGTTATATCAAGAAAGAGAAGATAATATTATTTTTACTATTACAGGAACATAAATGCTGACTAGCATGCAAGTAAGTTTAAAGTGAGAAGAAGGAGATGGTTCATGGATCTCAGGGAGCTTGGATTCAAGAAATGAATGAAATATCCTCATTAAAGTCATGGTATAGAAATATTCTTTGATGAAAATAATCTATATTGGGTGGTTACACAATGAATTAGATATAATTGGGAAGAGATTATGTGTTATATCACAAACACATACTTTAAGCAGTGTTAGATGACTTTCAAGATGATGTAATTATTGGAGGAGGAAGGGAGACCATGGCATGTTTCTTCACAGAACATGTCTGAGAAATTTCTTGGGTTATGAGCCCAATGGAAGTTATAGCTGAGACTACCTAAATGGGAAATAGGCAGGGAAACAATAATATAATCCAGCATGTGTTTGATTTTTGTCTGATGGAATGGAACCAACTGCTCATAAGTATTATATTTAGTTAGATGAAGATGGAGAGATTTTGTTCGAATAATAGATTACTTTTTCAGACCCCAAAATTATTAACTTCTTATCTTACTCTGTGAGGAATCCTACCTAAGGGAGGAATGTATTCAGAAAGCAAAACGTCTGAGTTTGAAATAAAATGAAAAGAAATGGTAGGAATGCATGTAATGAAGGAATCAATGTTGGTTGCACAAGTATCAGAAAAATTAATGGATACACTTAGAATAAATATCCTAAAACTCAGCAACCTCTATTTGAAGGAAGTGAAGAAACAATGCAAGTACATGAAAGAAGTATTTTGATCCTCACTGGATAATTGAGGTTATAGGATTTGAAGAAGGCTTTTTAAATTGTTTTTTGTATTTCACTTTCAATTGCATTAGTGATCATTTTCTAAAAAATGGTAACTAATAATATTTAAAGCAGACTTCCTTGCTTCTTTTTAATATTAGTATGATGTAACTGCACACTGTCATTTTGGCTATTAGTACGAGCTACACATTCCTCACTCTGCTACATAAGAATACATATACTATAATATTTTGAGAGAATTTCCTTATTAAGTATGGCATTGGATTTTATTGAGTTTTTTTATGTCTGTTGGAATCATTAGTCCTATCCATATTTTATAATGTATTGATATTAATATCAATATTAAATCATCATTAGGTTCTTGAGCTAAATAAATATTTGACTATGGTAAATTATTTTAAGAGATTACTTTATTTTACATGTTAATATTATATTAAGGAATTTAGCATCTACATTCATATATGGGATTTGTTTATACCAGTATTTCTAAAATTCTATACCATAAAACTGTTGTTCTTAAAGGTATTTGCCAAAAACAGGGTCCTGTAGTTCAACAGATGTTTCAAATTCTGCTTTATCTAATCTCTCAAAATATATGGTATACTCACATATTAAATCCTTCTATAATCTTCTATTTAATCTTCCATCATTTTTAATTTTCCATTATTTTTCTCTTTTTCTATTCTTCTAAGATTTGCCTAGATTATTGTTTTAACACATCTATCTTTTCTCTAATAGAATATGCGTAGTAGGTAGAATTTTGATTCCCATGACCTTTGCCATCTGGTGTCATGCCCATAAATATGTTACAATACATGGTGAAAGAACTTTGCAGATGTAATTGAGTTCCCTTAAACTAGGGAAGTTATTCTGGATTACCTAAATAGGTATGAAATAATCACATGAGCTCTTAGAAGCAAAGCTTTCTCCTGTATATGAGCAGAGTTGAAGTCAATGGAAAAAGCAGAAGTCAGAGATATTCATCACATCACTGCTGGTTTTGAAAATGGAGGGGGCCACAAGCCAAGGGATATGGGAGGTCTCAAGAAGCTGAAAATAACCCCTGACAGACTGTTAGCTCCCTGGTCAAGGAAAGGTGCACCTCAATCCTACAACAGAATGAAATTGAATTCTTCCAAAAACCTGAATAAACCTGGTAGTGATTCTCCCACAAAGCCTTCAATGAAGACTACAAATTGACTGACATTTTGAATACAGCTTTGTGAGACCCTTAGCAGAATATTCAGCTCAGCCCATCTGAACTTCTGAAATAAAGAGCAGTGAAATAACAAATGGGTGTTATTCTAAGCTGCTATGTATGTGGTAATTTGTTATGGCAGCAATAGAAAATGAATGCAGAATGTATAACACAGGTATACTTTGGAGATATTGTGGGTGACCAGGTACATTGCTAATAAGCAGTAATATTTTAAAAAGAATATTTTTTCTAAACAGTAAGTTTTAACCATGAGCTTCACAAATTCAGTAAATCATGCTATAAACAGATGTGTTGTCATCTAGGCTTTCTTATTCCCTTTAGAGAGAACATGCAGTGCAGATTTAGCATAAATCTTAAGGGCCCTAGAGTTTCTGGGATGGTAAATGAGCATTGGCTTCTACTTAAAGTCACCAGTTTCCCCTAAGGAGAGAGTTAGCCTGTCCTCTGAAGCTTTAAAGCCAAGCATTCACTTCAGCTTTCTAGCTATAAAAACCCTTAATGGCATCTTCTTCCAATGTATGGCTGCTTTATCTACATTGAAAATGTGTTTGTTTGTTTGTTTGTTTGTTTAAGCATAGCCAATCTTCATCAATGATCTTCTGCATACCTTGAAGCAGCTTCTACATCAGCACTTATTCTTCACATTTCACTTTTATGTTATGAAAATGGCTTCTTTCCTTAAACCTCATGAACCAATCTTAGTTAGGTTCAAATGTTTTTCCGCAGCTTCCACACTTCTCTCAGCGTTCACAGAACTGAAGAAATTTAGAGCCTTACGGCGGATTAGACTTTGACTTAAGAGAATGTTGTGGCTAGTTCGATCTTCTATCCAGGCCACTGAAACATTCTCCATTTTGGCAATACATTTTACTTTCTTAAAATTTGTGTATTCACTGGAGAAACACTTTTATTTTCCTTCAAGAACATTTCCTATGCCTTCACAAGTTGGCTAACTTTTTGCACAAACGGCCCAGCTGTCAACCTGTTTTAGCTTTCAACATGTCTTTCTCAGTAAACTTAATCATCTCGAGCTTTTGATTAAAAACACAGACATGTGACTCTTCCTTTCGCCGAACACTTAGAGGCCATTGGAGAGTTATTAATTGCCATAATTTCAATATCAGTGTGTCTCAGGGAATAGGGAGACCCTGGGAGAGGTCTTGAGAGGGAGAGAGACAGAGAACAGCTGGTCAGTGGAGCAGCCAGAACCCACACAACATTTACTGGTTGAGTTTGCCTTCCCAGAAGAGTATGGTTTGTGGCTCACTAAAATAATTACAATAGTATCAAATACAGATCACTATAATAGATATGATAATAACAATAATAAAGATTGAAATATTTCAACAATTTCCTGTTATGTTACATAAAGACACAAAGCGAGCACATCCTATTGGAAAAATGGTGCCAATAGACTTGCTTGACTCAGGGTTGCCACAAACCTTCAATTTATGAAAAATGAAATAGTTGCAAAGTGCAATAAAATGTGGTATGCCTGTACAATTTTATTGAAACAATAAGTAATACAGAAACAAACTTTAAAATTTAATTGTGTTAAAATAGGGAACTTAAACTTGAGAATGCCTATAGAGAACAGTTTTAGGTGTAGTACGATGATGCTAGACTTTACTTAAGAGATAAGGAAAAACCTAGAAATGAATTCATACATTAAATTATAGTTTAAGTTTTAGGTTAACACATTTAAGTAGTTACGTTTAACTGTATTTGCAACAATTGAGAGATTGCATATGAGAAAAATAGCTCATCTTCAAGAGATTCTCCTACTTTTTACATTACAATGACATATTCAATGTATAATGATGACGGTGATACTACTCTATAGAGTATACAAATCATGCCTGTTGAAAAGTATTTCACAATTTTGGTATTTACTGGTCATCGAAGCATATTTATTCCAATGAAAATAATGTCTGTGAAATGCCCATCAAAGCATTTCTGCCATTTCAATATTCCTTTTCTGAAATCAAATCTTTGGGTGTAATAAAATAAGTGAGAACATTTTTAAAAAACTATTATATAACATTTTTTGAAAATTATTATATTTAACTATTGTTATACATACCACATGAGCCAATTTTTGGTGAACGTTGTTCCTACAATTGCTATTGAAAGATTTAAAAGTTTTAAAAATTATTCCAAAGCAGTTGCAAGAGATGCTATTCAAGGGAAAGAGGGAGAGAAAGAGAGAAAGAGACAGAGGCAGAGAATGAGAGGCTCACTCATTTTTGCCTTCCTCCTGCCCTATAATTTGGAAGGCACAGCTGAGTTCAGCTGCAAGTCAGTTGACAGGACAAACTGGGAACTACAGCCAGCAGAAATCAGCCCTTATGCCACAGAGCAGAGCAGGCATGAGCAAGAAATGGAATCAACAAGAACAGGGCAAGTTTGGGAACAAATGACAAATCAGTTTTTGGTGAATTGCTTTCAGGAAATAAGTTAATTCACATCATAACCAAAATATTGGGTACAAAATAATGACAAAGTGATATCTTTCCTGAGCAATAACATATACACATTTTGATTGATACATACAACTTTATATTTTTTGCAACTTGCTTTAATGTGATAATCATTTACATCTTAAAATTATGCAGTTTAAGAATTTTAGATAGTTTTTTAGAGATCATTTAATACCCAATTAATAGGTGAGAAATTTGAAAATGGGAGAACTTAAGTGATTTTTCAGACCCTCATTTTCTTACTTTCAGTTATAGGTCATATCTACCATACTGCATACTCTCTTTTATTTTTTATTTTTATTTTTTGAGACAGAGTCTCACTCTGTCACCCAGGCTGGAGTGCAGTGGCACAATCTCAGCTCACTGCAACCTCTGCATCCTGATTCTCCTGCCTCAGCCTCCCAAGTAGCTGGGATTATAGGCACCCGCCATCATGTCTGGCTAATTATTTTTATTTTTATTTTTTAGTGGAGACGGGATTTTGCCATGTTGGCCAGGCTGGTCTTGAACTCCTGACCTCAGGTGATCTGCCCACCTCGGCCTCCCAAAATGCTGGGATTACATGTGTGAACCACCATGCTCGACCCATATTCTCTTTCAAAAGTTCTGAGGAAATATATGGTTAACTTATAATAAGTGATACACAGATCATATAGGTGAGATTATAGCAATATTTATACAAAATGTGCATATGAATTCAATTTAAGAGAATTGTGAATACAATCTAAAATCTACATGTTATATATAATACAAGTCTATAAAATACATACAAAATGATAATTACACATTTTAAAAGGCGTGTCATTGATGGTCCTGCTAACCCATTCTTCTGACAATAATCTGTCAGTAGAAAACTACAAATCATTTGTATTGATAATGTTTTCTGTAGCAATTAGAAAGCTTAAACATCATTCCATTTGTAACATGTAGGACACTTAATTGAAACCAATAGAAATCTTAGCTTATTTAAACAAAAAAAAAAGAAAAAGAAAAAGAGTATTGTGTAGCTCAAAAATTCTGGAAAACTATGCAGAATCTATTTTGGAAACTGAGTATCACAAAAAGGAGGTTATGGAGCCAGTCACAGCCAAATCATGCTGCACAATTAGGATGGCGAGAGCAATGCTGACTCTGAAGCTGCAGCTGAGCCCTGAAGTCCATAGCTTGCACTGGGACACTTGGCTCCGAACTGACACTCTGCCAGCAATGCTGGGCCTTAAAAATGTTTGCTGCTACTGCTTCATCGAGAAAGGAATCTCTGTTGCCTCTCATTATTTGCATCACTTAATCGTAACTCAAAGTAGGCAGCTGATTGGCTAAGATTAGTTTAGTAACCACTGGGTGTGAAATGCTTAGTAACTACTCCCCAAAATATCTGGAAGAACCTTTTGAATTGAAGAGGCAAGAAAACTACATACTACATTTCTGATACCCTTTTTTGCAGAAAGGATACTTGATACTTCATTTAAAGCTGAGAGTTGTGTCTGTATCTTCAAGACTTAGATTCAGAGCTGAGTTACTTGGCTATATGAGGAAGCCTCTTTGCTGATACAGATCATGTAGTGATGGTGTGCGAAGTCCTAGACAGCAGCAATTTGATTCAACAACATTCTGACAGTGGTGAGAGGCAGAAGCTCTCTTCTCTACACAACTCTATGGTGAGATTTTGGGAATCAGTCCTAGAAGCGTAGCCTTTAATCTTCTTAATGCTGCTTTGGGCCACCTATGCCTCAATAAACTTCTTCATGTTTAAATATGGTACAAACAATTCTATTGCCTGTAAATTGAGAATGCTCATTAACATAATAAATGGAATCTGTCGTAGTTCCCTGTTACAGACTCCAAGAAAATAAGAATTTACAGATTGTTTCTCCGGGTTTGTTTGAAGAGTGTGAGAATCCATTAACCTTAGAAAAAGGGACTGGACTCTGGAATTGCAGGACACTCAAAACAGTTACATTAAATCCTGCGGTTTCCTGCATGAAGTGTATTGAAAACAACCTTTGGGGCATCAAGTGGCTGGTGCAGTAAACAATTATGGGGACTCACGGAATACGTATAAGAAGAGAGGAGTAGGTCAATTGCTTATAATTACAATCAAGAATTTAAGGTGAAAATATTAGGCTCAAAGTACAAATTCTCAGCTCAATTCAGAGTACAAGAAGACATGGACAATCTTATAGTGTCATAAAATATTCTCTCATCTTTGTTGCTGCAGGGCTTACATATCTGAAATTCAGTTGAATTCAGACAAAATTCAAGTGATATAGTGAAACGGAGTTTGTGATGTCAACTTGCCTAAGGTAAGTAGAACTAAGGATCCCAGAATTCCCTCGCAATGGTTTCCATGTTTTTGCCCCTCCAAAATTCATGTTGAGACTTAATTCCCAAAGCAACAATGTTGGGAAGTGGAGCCTTCTGAAAGATGTTTAGGTCATGAAGGCTCTCATTTTCATGAATGGATGAATGTCACAATGAAAAGAGCTTGTCAAAGTAAGTTCACTCTCCTCTGCTATTCTACCATGTGAGGAAAAGTGTTCCTTCCCTCAGGAAGCAATAGTATTCAGCTTGCTATCTTGGACACACAGAGCAGGCTCTTACCAGATACCAAGCCTGTTACAGTGCCTTGATCATAGATTTTTCAGTATTCAGAACTAGGAGAAATAAAGTATTGTTCTTAAAAATTACCCAGTCTGTGGTATTCTACTACAGCAGCAGAAAACACATTAAGACATCCTTTTTGGCATGGTTCCATGTTACAGTTGCTCAAAAGAAAAATTTGCAAACAATTTGGAAAGCAGAAAAGAGTAACAGTAACCATTACTCTCAGGAGGCCATTATGGATAGAGGTGATAAGAGACACATGTAGAAATACTAGCAGATTTCAGCTTGTCTTTCTTATCTACTTGGAGACAGACAAATGCAGGAATACCAATAGATTGCCATTTGTCCTCACTACCCAGCACTCCATGTCCAAATTTTGTTTTATTACGGTCCCAGCTGACCCATAATAACTCCACAGTCATTCTCATCAGGTGCCTTTAGCAGCCCTCTCTGACACACCTGGCAATAGGAGGCTGGCAAGTGAACTGCCTTTCATCCTTTATCTTCCCTTTTAGATCCTTGCTTCCCCAGCTTCCTCCACAGTAGTGCAAGAGAGTATTCCTATTTAAAAATCCTTATTCTATATTACTTATAGTGTTTTGCCTTTCTGACTGCAACTTCATTGACACATCTTGCAAAAGGATATCGTCTTTAGCCTCATCTCAACAAACCCTCATTACCAATCTAGAGCCCAGTGTCACTCCATGGACCATATAAAGTCAATATCAGAAGCAAATTTTTGAATATCAAAAGAGCTGCAAATTTCCCACTTATATTGGCACAAATTTGAGGAATGTGTGTAGGGATTGATTTTGTTGGGGGCTGCACAAAACAAAAAGGAATAGAACTTAAAATTGGGTTGAGTTTATCAATATGGGTACTCCTAAATGAATTGCAATGTATCATCTCATTTTGATTAATAGGGGATGATTCAAATCATTTGCTTGGCTGGTTAATTAAATCATAATCTCAGCATTTGCCTATATTGAACTTAGAAAGAGATAAACACAATTAATTAACCCACTCATTAATTATGTCCACTAAGGGGGCCAAAATAATCCCCCTTAATAATGACATTGACATATATTTTGAGTAGGGTCAATATCCTTGAAAAGTACTTTAGTAACTCTCATGGCCATCAGCTTTCCATTACTTAAATAAGTTTATATATCCAGAAGTCATTGAGTTAATATATCCAGAAGTTTGATATCTCTATGGAAACACCCTACAATATCACCAAAATCTTATTTCCGGTTTTGTATTCAGTCAAGTTATAGTCTCATGTCAACAAAAATTGTCAACATGTCTACTGATTATTGAATGCTGACTTTAGAGAATGTTAATCCCCGAGTCACAGAATAAAGACATCTAGGGTTCAGGTGGTAAATAGAGTTTGGCCTGAGTCCATCTATAGTGGTGTGGTGATACCAGGAACCCATTATGTATTGGTAGCAGACATGTGGACTGCCCTTGCCACGGTTGATCCCATTATATCACCACTACCTGCCCAATCTGCCAACGGCAGAAACCAATACAAATCTTAAAAAGACATCACAATTAGAGTAAGGGGAAAATGTAGGATCAGCCAGCCACTTGACTACATATATATATTTGTTTTTTTTTTTTTTTTTTTTTTTTTTTTTTTTTTTTTTTTTTTTTTTTGAGATGCAGTCTCACTCTGTCACCCAGGCTGGAGTGCAATGGCATGATCTCGACTCACTGCAACCTCTAACTTCTGGGTTCAAGCAATTTTCCTGCCTCAGCCTCCCGAGTAGCTGGGATTACAGGCATGTGCCACCACATCCTGGCTAATTTTTGTATTTTTAGTAGAGATGGGGTTTCACCATGTTGGTCAGGCTGGTCTCAAACTCCTGACCTCGTGATCCACCCACCTCCGCCTCCCAAGTGCTAGGATTACAGGCGTGAGCCACCGCGCCTGGCACACTTGACTATATTTTTATTTATTTTTTTACTATCTTCTACCATGGAGGAAAGAATCTGTTCTCCTTAAAATAGATATTTGCTCTAGATATGGGTTTGCCTTCCCTGCATACTGTGCTTCAGTTGTAATGCTAATCACAGAATTACTATAAATGTCATTCTAAGTTATGCTACTTTATACAGCTTTGCTTCTAAGCCAATAATAACTCATTTTATAGCAAAAAGCATGCTCTAGCATTGAGAAACAGCTGGTCATGTAGAAAGATGTAATGACTTACTGAAGATTCAGTTAGTGTCAGGTAGGAAACAACTTGTGAGCTTGAGTTGCTTTCTGCTAACATGAGATATATATTATGCATTAGTGAATAGAAGATTGTTTCTTCAGGAGTCTGAGGAATCAATAGGTGAAATAGAGGGGATGCCTCTGACTGTTCTGCCTAATTATCAGTGTCTCAACTTTTTGATTCCTGAGAACATGAAAAGAGTTACATTGTACTGGGACCTGAGACTGACATTTGACAATATTGGGTCAATTGAACTCAAGACCAATACACTGAAGAGTTGTGTTGATCGAGGTGATTAAAGTGGTTTATCAAGAGAAAATGAGGTTTCTGCTACAAGATGGGGATAGGGAAGAAAATACATGTAACCTAGAGAACTCTCTTAAGCTATCTCCCAGTATTTGTCTAATAATAAATGATAATAAAGGATCTGGAAAATCTAATCCAGGTAGGAACATCAAGATATGAAATATTTCAGAGAAGATTTAGGTTACTCACTAAAGGAGGTGCAAACTTACAGAACATTGTCAGCATGAAGAAACTTTTCAGCGTGATACAATTTTTACTATTGTGTTGACTGTTTCATAGCTGTATACATATGTGTAAATTACCAAATTGTTCAATTATAACATTTACTTTCTATTAAATGTCAATTATTAGTAAAGCTATGATTTTAAAATAGACAATTTTATAATCTTATGTCTATTAAGGAAATTAGAGTATTTAAAGATATTCCTACAAATAAAACTCCATGTCCAGTTGTCTTTACTGATAAACTCTATGACAATTTTAAAAGAAGAAATAATGCCATTCAATTCAATTCTACACAAACTTTTCCAGAAAAATTAAATGGAAGAGAATACTTTTCCTTTAAATCACAAGGTAAGCATTACCCTTATTAAAAAACAGTTTCAGAAATTATAAGAAAATAAAACTACATAAACATAGAAGTAAAAGTATTACCACAAAATTTCAAAATCAAAGCCAACTATATATACAGGAAATACACCATGATTAAAAGAGATTTATCCCAAGAATGCAGTTGTTTTGACATTTAAAAATTAATTAGTGCAATTTATCACATTAGCAAACTGAGAAGAAAAATCATATAATTATCTACATGAATATGGAAAAAGCATTTTACACTAATACTTATTCCTATGAAAATTTCCAACAAATAGAAACAATATTCTTCAATATTAAAAGGAACATTTACCAAACCTTGCAACTATCTGCAGATCCAATGGTAAGATTTCATACCTCTTTATAAACTCAGGAACAAGGCAAGGATGTTAGCTCTCTCACCACTTCTTTTCAATGTTGTACTGGAGACCTAGCCAGCACAAAACAAAACAAAACAAAAAAAACAAAAAAAAAAAAAAAGAAGAAAAAAAGAAAGAAATGAAAAAAAGTTATCTAGATTCATAAGAAAAAATTAAACTCTTTGCACTTTCTTGTCAATGATCTGGTAATCATTGAAGAAAATCCTATGGAATCTACAAAAGTAGTACTTGAAATAATATGTGAGTTTAGCAAGTTTGCAGACTACAAAACAAGAGGATAAAAATCAATTGTGTGTATATCTGTGTGTGAATAAAATAATCTGATATTGATATTTTTAAAAGCTACCATTTTTTATATTTAAAAATATTATTCCCTTGTTCCAACCTTCAGTATTCACATACTAAAAAAAATAAATAAACTAATAAATTTTAATGACAAAAGGGAGGTTTTTCACTGTCAGGGAAGAAATAGGAAGTAAGATAGGACAGACAACTTCAATTAACTCTGTGGTAATGAATTAGAGTCAGTCATATATGTACAAATTCATATTGATTTCAGTTTACATTCTAATGGATGGCTACAGAAATAAATATTGATTTGTATGCATACATGGATTACTAAACATACATATATTTTTTAGCTGTATATGTTGGGGGGATCTAGAGAAAGCAGCATTCGAGTGGCAGTGAGCATGCCAGCACCTGGATGTGGTTTCCACATCCAATTCTTCAAAAGGAGAATTGGGGCTTCCTGGAGAAATGGATGACTTAAGGGCTGGGGCAGGAAAATTCAAGATGAGACTTGAGCATCCTGTAATACCATGAAGTAAGGGAGTGTTAAATGAAACAAAAAAAATGAGGGCATGCCAGACGGATACAGGTACAAGCTTTTGTGAGTGCCCAATGGTCTAACTGGTAACAAAATAAAGGACAATAGTGTTGGATTACAATCCATGGAATAATAGGTGTTTCTACCAGTCATACTTATATAAATAAGTAATTAAATAATGGAATGAATAATAAATGAGAGGGCAGGATAAGAAGGTGTCTAATGTAGATATTGTCTAGTTGAATTCTCACATTGCTTTAGAGGTAAGTAATATATTCTCATTTTATATTGGAGAAACTGTAGGGTCAGTGTAGTTGGTTACACAACTAGTTTGAGGAAGTACAAACATAGTAATTCATGTGTTTCTACTTTAAAAATCACCCTTTTATTTCAATATTTTCACTCTTTTTAGCTGATCCCTGTTAAAAGCTTTTTTTTCTGAGTAAAAATTGAATTTATAAGGTATACATTGTGTTTAAGAGAAAAAAAAATCCCTTCATTTAGCACAGGAGTAGCTTCTTGCAGTTCTCCATGTGAGAGTTGGAATTTTATGTTCAAGAAATTAAGAATCTCCGTTTTCTACATATTTGGTCATGGGAGAACCATATCTCCAATTGCACATACGGTACTAACATTAGGTGGTGTGAATATTTGCCACCTGCTGGCTTTTAGATTAGAGGTATCCACAATACTGTGTCTTAAGAAAGCATTTGTGTTGACCGTGTTCCCACAGACCAGAAAATAAAATATTTTTTAGTGCTATTTATTTCGCCATTTATTTTATGACATGTTCTATTAAATTCCAACACTAAAAGTAGCCATATGCATTTGTGAAACATTGCTCTGTTTATAACAATATTTCTATTTTTAGTGACCTGGAAATATTTGAATCTGGAATATAAAACAACTTTTTATTTACTGTGAGGGATTCACATTTATTTGTTTTGTTTTACATGAAAAAGGGGGATACTATTTTACTCAGGAAAATATGTATAAGATATCTCTTAAATATATTATACAAAACTGCCTTTAGTCAGCATTTCTTGGTGTCAAATGTCTAGTATCTGATGTTTTATAATAGATGATAAAGTCTCTACTATCAAGTTACCAAAAAGTTATAAAAATAACTACAAAAATAATACTAGGTGTATATGTGGGAAGTAATTAAAATAAAACTAAATATTTATTCCTAATAAAGAAAATTTGAGGATTAAGTTGAGAGTAAGCAGGCCGCTTAGATGTTTGGTAATGGAAATAGACATGCTTTTCTAAATCTCAGCGTCCACATTAGTAAAATGTAGCAACTTACAGTACAGTACCTACTTCATGGAGTAATGGTGAGAGTGACATGAAATAATAAAAGGATCTTCAAAAATCCAGATAAAGGCATAAGCAAAAAGAAACATAAATTTGTAATCTAGTTTTTTGAAGAAAGACCTCTGAGAGGGAGTTAAATTATTTACATAGTTTACAGTTAAAGTTCTGTAGAGAAAACATCAAATCCTATCATTGCTTTCATTCTGTGTATAACACTATCTTTAATCAAAATCTATGACTTTGGTCATAATATGTAAATTGTTTGAATAAGGAGATATTTATTCTTGTCATTTATTTATTAATTTTGTAAACACCTGTTTTGTCAAATTTGTTTATGCTAGGTCTGGAAGCTGTAACAACAAACTATTCTATTTGTCTTGAAAGAGGTGGCAGTTTCAAGAAGTAACAACTTTAAAACAAATTATAATTTATCTACTACATAATAATGTGTGGAATAGAAATTTCCCTCAGAGAACAAAACAAGGAGCCTCACCTAATTTAGTACTCACATACCAGGGAATATTTTCTTTCTTTAAGAAAATATTCTATGTCGAGGGCTAGAGGTGATTAAAAAGTTAGCAAGATAAAGGGCAGGGACAGGGATGGACAGTGTCGGGAAGAGAGACAAGAATGAGTGTTCCATTGACAGAAGCTTAGACACGGCCTAACAGAGAGTGACAATGGGAATCGTTGGAAGAACCACAACCAGAATAGCACTGTAGAAATGTTTACAAGTGGCCATACTAAGAAAGAAATAGGGAACAAATATTAAAAGGACTTATAATCATTTGTACGGAAATAGAGCTTAGTATCGAGATTAGGGATATTTTTGAAGTGGTAGACTTAACGAGGTGAGGTGATATAATTAGCTATGCAGAATGGCACACAGCACTGGTGATTGGTTTGGACAAGTGTTGGGGTCATGTTCTAAAAGGAGGCGAATTTTTCAAGGGGGCTGCAGGGCACTGATGAGATTACCTTTTAGCCTACTGAATTTGATTGGCCTACTTTACATCCCAGTGAAGATGTCCACCAAGAACTTGGTCTGGAGCTCAACAGAGAGTTCTTGGAAGGAGACACAGATTTAGCTCATCATATTATATGAGTAATTTAATTCACAGGCAGTACATTACATTTCTCATCAAGTTTGGGTCTAGCAATAATGGAAGAGTGCCTAGAAGTCTCAAAAATGTATTACATAGTCAGAAAAATAGTTCCAAAGGGATAATTTGAAGTGTCACATCAGCAAAAGGAAAATAAAAGGAGTATAATGTCAATGATGTTAGGGACAAAAATTATTCCAAGGTGTGAGTATTCAACCATCTCAAGGGCTACAGAGACGTCTGTAAGACGAAAAGTGTGCAGTGGATTTAGCCACTGTGTGCTGTTCATTAAGTCGGTAAATTCAGTACTGTAAATCTGAAAGCAAGGGTAAAAGAGCACAAGGGTAGTAGCATTTGCAGTATTCAACTCACAGTAATCAACTCTAAGTCAGTCACTATTGAATATTTGTTGAAAGACTGCAAAAACATGAACTTGTTTATCAATTCTTAGAGCATAGAACTTAGGTTTAAACTATCGAGCTTCAAAGAAAGTGTTCTAAAACAAATTTAAGCAAGTATTCAGTAGGATTGTGCAGTAAATAGTTTTCTCTGTCTGGACTAATATCATATAGATTATATTAACTATATCAAGGAAAGATGAAAGTTCTCATGCAGTAAGAAATCTTATAGGAAAGGTTTTTAAAATGGTCTGGTAGGCCTACTCAGGTAGAATGTAGTGATTGAGATAATAGTTTCAGACTTTGATTGTTACATTATTAAAATTTACTTGCAATATCAAAAATTATTACCTATATGATATTAACAGTTTACCTAATTTTTCTAAGACTCTAAATCTCAGTGTTCACTTTATTAAAATGTAACAACTGATACTACAGTGCCTACCTCATGGCGTTATGGTGAGGAAGGCATAAAATAATCCATAATAAAGCACTCATAAATTAATGTCTGACATATGCTAGAGTCTCAATAAATATTTGCTCTATTGTTGTTATTATTGTTTATGATGAATCACCATAAAATCTTCTAAAAGATTATATCTTCAATTAAATGGCTAAGGGAATGTATTATGCCTGAGTAAACAAAAATCACTTCTTAGTTGTAGTTTATTATAATTATTATCATTTGTGAATTCAAAAACTTTTTTTTTGAGACTGGGTCTTGCTCTGTTACCCGGCTTCAGTGCAGTAGCACAATTATAGCTCACTGTAGCCTCAACCTCCCAGGCTCAAGTAATTCTCCTACCTCAGCCTCCTGAGTATCTGGGATTATAGGCATGTGCCACCACACCAGGCTACTTTTTTGTTTGTTTTTCTGTAGATACAGGGTCTCACTGTGTTATTCAGGCTAGTCTGGAACACGTGGGGTCAACAGATCCTCTTGCCTATGCCTCCCAAAGTAATGGGATTACAGGCATGAGCCACCATGCCAGGCCCCAGATTCTTATAGAGTAAAATAATTGCATATATAATCCCTGCTTCCTCTCCATCTCTCCAACATGAGGGAACAAACATAAAACAAGAAGTAACAAAATTTATCTATTGTAGCCTTTGCCCTCTGCCCAAGTATAAAATAACTGGAAACTGAAAGTTTCATTTCTCACAGAGCATTTGCTTCAAGCAGGAAACTTTATTGTCAGGACTAGCATCCTCAAGGATGTTTATTAGAGTGAGAGGCTTCATTTATTCCTCAGATTATTTTTACAGTCATTCATACTGATTTCACTTTGCTAACAGTGTGGAACTTCAGGTTACTTTGAGTTCCCCAGAGAGTTAAAGACTACAGGGCAGAAGAAATTGCCCCCAATCAATTTATCTGTCTTTCCACTATTTTCAATATGTTTAGTCCTAAACTGAAACACATTTCAATAATATTAAATTATAGAAAATGATAAGAAAATCTGTATTTATGTTGTTATGGTAAGCAGATATAAACAGCATATAAAAAGTGTCCATTTTTACTGTTTTACATAACTTTAAGTAGCTCATAAGTTTTCTGTTCAAACTTTTTGTTTGTTTGTTTTACCACAGGCCAAATGAAACCATTTTATTTTTAGTTTATGTTTTATAACTTTGTTTTGGAAATCATCACCTATAAATTATTCATAACAAATTCCTATTGCTCAGTCTTTTCATGAAGCTATCCATAATATATTATGAATGCTTCTGTTCAAAAACATTTTAAGAACAGAGACTTTATAAAGATGTGAGGAATGGAATCCATTAGATCATTTTTGAAGAAGTAATGCAGTGGCAACACTAGCAAAAAGAGAATGATCACCAACTATAATGATGACATATATACATATATTTTAGGTGTTTATTTTTTTTTTTACTATTAGGTTCTGACTATAGAAATTGCAATAATAAATCACATTGATTACAGTTCTTAAAATAATTTTGTTTTTAATAAACTTTATGTGGAAACAGAAAATACATTTGGACACTTTGAAGAAACTTTGCAGTAATATGTTCTTTCACTTTTCTTTAGTTTACAACTTCAGCAATGCCCCATTCTACTGCTATCAATATACTATATTAGTCCATTTCCACACTGCTGGTAAAGACATACCCAAGACTGGGAAGAAAAACAGGTTTAATTGGACTTACAGTTCCACATGTCTGGGGAGGCTTCAGAAGCATAGCAGGAAGCCAAAGGCACTTCTTATGTGGCAGCAGCAAGAGAAAATGAGGAAGAAGCAAAAGCAGAAACCCCTGATAAACCTATCAGGTCTTGTGAGACTTATTAACTATCATGAGAATAGCAGGGGAAAGACCAGCCTCCATGATTCAATTACCTCCCCCTTGGTCCCTCCCACAACACATGGGAATTCTGGGAGATACAAGTCAAGTTGAGATTTGGGTGGGGACAGAGTCAAACCATATCACACATTGTTACATTTCTTCCCTGTTTTATAAACCTCTAGTTTAGTCAGTCAGAGAGATGGATTTGAGACGGAGCTCCTATCTCTTCAGTTGCAGCACCAGATTAAAGAATTCTTCCTTGGCAATACTTGCGGTCTCAGTGATTGGCTTTCTCTGCGATGAGTAGCAGGACCTAGCCTGAATCCCTGATGTTTTGGTAACAAATGTGCTAACAACTCCCAAATGTGCACCTCTAGCCAGACTTTTACACTGAAATCCAGACACATCTATACAACTGTCTACAAATTACTTGTCCAACTTTTAAACTCCATTTGTCTCAAACCAATCTTCTGCTTCTCTCCACCAAAACCTACTCCTCTCCTCATCTCTCTAATCTCAATAAAATCTCTTTACTTAGTTCACAAGTCTTAGAATCATTATTTGGTTTCTTTCTTTCATGTCTACAAATAAAATAAATTAGTAAATCCTGCCAGATTTTTCCTCAAAATATTTTGAGAGTCTTACCACTTTTCGTGACTTACATTTCTACCACTCTATACAAAAATATAATCACCTATGAACAGGACACCTATTAACAGTCTCTGGACTGTTCTTCCTGCATTTATTCTTGTCCCTGTAGTCTTTTTGTTGTTGTTGTTTTTTATGTGGCAGCCATGACGAGTCTCTTAATAAATTCAATAATATAATGCTATGTTATAGCTATTCAAATGGATTCCCGTCCTAATAGAATAAATATCAGAATCACTTAAAGCAGCTTACAGAATTCAATTTCATCTACTTTTCTCAATTTATTATCTGTCAAAACACTATCTCTCTTCTTCAGCTACATTTGTCTTCTTAGGTTTATTTAACATGTTAAGCATGTTCTATATCTTAGCCTTTGAACTCATTCTTTTTCTCTTTTTGGAGTGTACTTCCTATGGATATGCACATGTCTGGTTCCTTCAACTCTTACCCTTTAAGTCTTTTTCTTTGTATATCTATCTTTGTACACATGTATATAGATATTGTATACAAATGCTTTATTGTCTATATATTCTCACCAAATGTAGCAGGTAAGACAGTGCTAATAATTCCTGATATATAAACAATTTTAATACATTTTGAATGAACAGATAAATGAGGAATTTAGTTCTGAGGCTCATCTTATCATTTTGGGAATTTGTATATGGTCTTCCTGATATTTTAAGTCATGTTTTTTCCTAATGGGATTGGACTTGGCTGCTCTCACAGAAGACCTGTGATTTCCTGGCCAGAAATCTGTGCTCCAGCCTGTCTATGAAGAACTTCACCCTGAATCAAGTCTCACCATCATTAATCTGGCTAGGTCATCCTACACCTTGGAAGGTGGAATTAATTTAAAATTCAATGATGTCTTCTCTGCATTCAGATGCAGGTGGTGATATATCACCATCTAAACAGAGAGGTGACTTGTTTTTGTTTTAAATAGAGTTTCTTTGTTTTAAACTCCATCAAGAACCTATTACATATTCATTTATTTGGGCAGGTTTGATATAAAAGGTTGTAGATGTCACAATTTTTCATGTCTCCTGGTGTAAATTAAGTCTGACTTCTGATCTATTTGGGTGAATGTCATAAAAAATCATTATTACTAAATAAACATATTGAGATATGTAAGTAAATAGCAAATTCAGGATTAGCTTTTTTTTTTTTTTTTTTTGAGATGGAGTGTGATCTCTGCTCACTGCAACCTCCGACTCCGAGTTTCAAGCAATTCTCCTGCCTTTGCCTCCCAAGTAGCTGTGATTACAGGCACGCGTCACCAAGTCCAGCTAATTTTTGTATTTTTAGTAGAGACGGGGTTTCACCATGTTGGCCAGGATGGTCTCGATCTCCTGACCTCGTGATCCACCGGCCTCGGCCTCCCAAAGTGCTGGGATTACAGGCATGAGCCACCGTGCCCAGCCAGGGCTAGCATTTTCTTACCATTTTGCCTTTTTATTCTAATAACTTTTGAGCAAAACTAAACTTTTAACAAAATGCCATTTTTAAAATTCTGGGATTAATGATTCCGAATTTAAAAATCATACATACTTGAATTTTTTTGAAATGAAATAATGATATATGATCTCAATACATCTTAATAAAACTACAATGAAAGTAGAATGCTGCTGATCGAATGATACATGACATGTACTATATCAATTCAATTGGAAAAGATTCACTAAATAGTAATATTGAATTGGATTTCTATTTGGAAAAGAATGGTGTATATAAAATAAATTTCAGATAGATTAAAGACAAAATTTTAACATTTAGATTACATAATCAGAAAATGATTCTATAACCTATGAAGCAGTAGTCATTCTAGATGAAAATTTAAATCTGTAACCCATGAAGATGAAAAATTCTATTAGTCATCTATATCTGCATAATAAACACCTCAAATCATGGTGTCTTTTTTTTTTTTTTTTTTTTTTTTTTTTCCAGACTGAGTCTCTCTCTGTCGCCCAGGCTGGAGTGCAGTGGCGTGATCTCGGCTCACTGCAAGCTCCGCCTCCTGGGTTCACGCCATTCTCCTGCCTCAGCCTCCCTAGTAGCTGGGACTACAAGCGCCCGCCACCACGCCCAGCTAATTTTTTTGTACTTTTAGTAGAGACGGGGTTTCACGGTGCTAGCCAGGATGGTCCCGCTCTCCTGACCTTGTGATCCGCCCACCTCGGCATCCCAAAGTGCTGGGATTACAGGCGTGAGCCACCGCGCCCAGCGAAATTATGGTGTCCTTTAAGAAAAGAAGTATGTGTTATTATTCATGCTTCTGTTGCTATCTGTTAGCTCTGCTTGTCAGAGTCAGACTTAATTGATCTTGACTGAACTTGCTTCTGTGCGTGTTATCAAATATTAGATGGCCTGGGGACTGGCTAGTCCTTAGCAGCTTCAATTTCAAGGCAGAAAGTAGACTATTGGCTGAAGGAGCAGAAGTAAAAGGGCCACTTGTCTCTCCTCATCCAGTAAAATAGTCTGGGCCCGCTCACATGGTAGTAGCAGGTTTCTAGAAGAATAAGCTACAGTGTGTAAAGCTTTTTAAGGCTTAGTCTCAAAACTAGAACACCATCTTTTTCAGGAAATTCTTTTGGCCAAAATAAGTTACAAAGTGAACCCATATACAAATTGTGTGGAAATATACTCTACTCAATAACAGAGGAACTGAAAACTAGGTTGCAAGGAGTGTGGATAGAGAAAATGATGAAGAATTGGGGCTATTTTTGCAAGCAGTTTACTATAATACATGCAATTTACATACCATTTCAAAGTTTAATATCACTAATACACTTAGAATTTCTAAACTAAAGAAAAGAAATTTGTTTTAATTAGAAGAATACTGGAATTCAGTTCATAGAAAAGGCAATATAGGTAGGCAATGATCCGAACATTTTTTTCAACCATATTAGAAGTTGCTGAAATGCAAATTTAGGAAATGAAATACCAAATTTTCAAATAGACAAAAACAAACAACTCACCTAATAAACATAAGGAGTGAAAAATGTAGGGACCCTAATACACATCATTACTATATTGACAGAAATGTAAATGAGTAAAAAACCCTTCAGAAAGAATTTAATACACTTATTAAAATTCAAAAATGGTTGTATATTTTGATCTCAGAATCCTCCTCCATAAATTTACTCCATAGAAATAAATCAGTTTATAGTTTACTATATTTTACAATGTTTTTTAATGGTGTTTATTGTTCAAATAAATATAATTTAATCTAAATATTTATCAAAAGGAAGGTGATAGAATAAATAATGATACTACCATAAAATAAAAAATTTTGTAACAACTTAAAAATAATAATAAGTTTTACAAACATGGATATATGATAATAACAACCCAGTAGGATCTACAGAATGGTGAAATAATGATAATCTTTGTAATAATTTTGAATAAGCTAGTTCCCAATTGAAGGAGGTGAAAAACTTATTCCCTACCTCACAGCAAATACAAATATCAATCAAAATAATTTTTACATCTAAATATAAAAAAACAAAATAATACAATTCTATAAATAAAATAGGAAAATATCTCTTGACCTCTGGATAGGAAACATTGCTTGAACAAAAAACATTTCCCATACAGGAATAGATATCAAAATTGAACACAATTTTGAAAAATTGAAACAAAAGAAAGAATCACAGCTTATGAATGATAGCATTAAAATAATATGGAATAGAAAGAAAAAAGTCACATAATAGGAGAATATTTACACCAAAAAATAACAGAAAATTTCACATCTAATAATATTTTTTAAAGTGCTACAATTTAAGAATAAACACCAAAATAGAAAAACAATTAAAAGCCTTAAACAGGCATGTCAAAAAGATTAAATATATTAATCATTATTATTTATTAGAAAAATATAAATTAAAAGCTTCAATACCTACCCCCACCACCACTCTGTAATGTTGAAAGAAAAAAGGGGAGGAAGTAAGAAAGGCAGAAAGGAAAGGAAGAATGTGGAAACAAAGGAAAGAAGGCAGGCATGGAAAGGAAGGAAGGAAAGAAAAAGAAAAACAGAAGGAAGGAGGAGAATGAGGGAGAGAGGGAACAAGAGAGAGAGGGAGGAAGAAAGAGAACAAAATGCTACTAAGTATTGGCACAAATAGGAATCATGGCAAATTGCTGAATATATGGTGATTACTCACTTTGTAAAACTAGAACTTTCTATGAACCTTAGAAATATGTGGTACCCCTATGACTTAGCAGTGTTTATCCTAGACATATACCCCAGAAATTTATACAAATGCAAAGAAAGAAAATATTTTAATAATGTCCATAGAAGTATTATGCTAATAGTCACAAACTGGAAACAATTCAAATTTTCCTAACCAGCAAAATGCTTGAAAAGTGAACATGACTTCCTAAGATGGAATAATATACTACAATAAAAATGGAGAAAAACGGTAAAAAAAAAAAGCCACATAAAAATGATGCATACCATGTTATTGTATTTTTAAAATAAAAAAGAGAGTATTAGAGATACAAACTCAGATGGTAAAATCATAAGGAAAAAGAAAAAATTGCTATAAAAATTAATAAAGAGAGTATTTTTGTTAGGAATATTGGTGAGTAGGAGAAAATGTGAGAAACTTTTAGAGTTGTTAGTAATGGTCTTTTATATAATTTTGTGCTTATTCAAGTGTCTGCTTTGTGATAAAACATAGATCTGTTTTCCTTTTTGTTCAACTCTTAGAAATATAAACCATTTTTCACATTATAGAGGTTACAAAATTTAGCTTGACCTCTTATTCTCTGAAGCGGTTTTATAAAAAAAAGGCAAGCATTAATATTCTAGCATTAAAGGATTCACAGTATGAAACAAATGATGTTATTATCTTTATTCAATAATTGATAATAGCTTAGTATTTTACATTTAAAAATATTTGTTATTATGAATTCCATCTACTCAATCTCTATGACAAGGAAAAAAATGCCTTAGTATGTTGATGGCAGAAATGTTGGAGCACATTTTTTTCTATAAAAGAGAAATTGAGCTTTAGTTTCGTTGAATGATTTGGCTTAAGATACACAGATACTTGGGGGCAGAGACAGAAAATAAAGCAAGGTGCTACAAAGTCAGTGTGTTACTAATATATAGTACAAGCTTTCCATAATATAGATATGCCCAAATGTCAACTCTTCTATATGTTTATACTTCCTGTGCCTCTATAAAATTATTGTTTGCAGTTAACCTCTTCATGCTTTCTACAGATTTTCATATCTAACCAGGTTGGATTATGGGGAAAAGAAACAATAGACTTTAAATGTTTGGAACTGGCTAGAAGAGTGACATATAATTAAGTTAAGAAAAGATTTGATGAATAGAAAACAGGAATACTAGTTGCTCTGTTAGTCAATTTAAAAGTGTCAAATCTCTGGAAGGAATTACCTTCAGCAGAACACAAACTTATATGGATACTATGGACTTCATTGGCACAACCATGTAAACTGTCTATATGTACATTTTTCCTCTCTGTTGGAAGGACATTTTGTAATTCCAAGAGAAAATTTGATATTTAAATATGATTTGAATTGAAATGGGGCACTGGAAATAAAAAAATAGATACTATTCACAAATTATTAAATGTGATAGAATTAGCGACGTTTCAAATTCATCTTATGTTTAACATAAGTGGAGTATTGACAGTTTTAAACAATTTCTTATTATTCTTAAAAATCATTTATTTGATGTTGATTTTATCTTAAATATTACCCTCCTATATATTTCACTTCTCATCCAAAATTTTTTAAAGAATAACCCACTATTGTCATCTCCATTTCCCTGGCTTCCAATCATTCCCCAGTTTCTTTCAATCAGCTAACTGCCCCACCCTAATTGTGCTGATTGCTTAAGGTCTTTTTTTTTTTTCTTATAGTTTTCTAATCTAATGGAATAGCTCATCATGTTTCACTCTTCTGAAAGTAATTTTTCCAAAGTTATGTGAAATTATAACAAAGCATTACTTATGAGCTTTTATATATGTTAAATTTTTTCTAAAGTTGTGTTTTTACATTTTTATTTCAGTAAGAACATTTAACATAAGATCTACTCTTAAAATTTTTTAAATATAGAATACAATATTGTTTAGTATAGGTACAATGTTGTACAGCAGATCTCTAGAATTTAACCATCTTGCATAACTGAAATTTCATATCCATAGAAGGGCAACTTCCCCCTTCTTACCACCCAGCTCCTAGTAGCTGTAATTCTATTTTCTCCTTTTAGGAGTTGGACTATTTTTGCCTCATATAAGTGGAATGTGTCCTTTTATAACCAGCTTATCACTTAGCATAATGTCCTGAATCCATGAATTCCATGATGCCCCACATTACAGCATTTCCTTCTTTTTAAATGGTGAACAGTATGCAATGTGTGCACATACCACATTTTCTTCATCCATTCATCCATTTGTGGACATTGTTTCCACATATTGGCTATTGCAAATAATATGGTAATAAAATATAGGAATATGAATATCTTTTTGAGATTCCAATTTCAATTCTTTTCTATAAATATCCAGAGATGGGATTGCTAGATCATATAATAGTTCTTTTTATTTTTTTAAGGCTACTTCCTACTGTTTTTCATAGAGGCTATAACATTGCACATTCCCATTAATAGTGTACAAGAGTTAGCAACTTCTCCACATCCTGGGAATACTTATTATCTTTTTCTGTTTATAGTGACCATTGTAACAGGTAAAAACAGGTAAAGTGATATCTAATTTTGGTTTAATTTAATTTGCATTTTCCACATGATTAGTCATGAGTATCTTTTCATGTTGGTGATTTTCATGTCTTCTTTGGAGAAATGTTTATTCAAGTCCTGTGCCCAGTTATTAATCAGGATTTGTTGTTTTGTTGTTTGTCTGTTTTGTTTCACTATAGATTTCTCGGAGTCCAATCTATATTTTGAATATTAAGCGTTTATTAGATATATGGCTTGCAAATATTTTCTCCCATTCTGTAGATTGCCTTTTCACCCTATTGTTTCCTGTGTAGAAGCTTTTCAGTTAATGTAGTCTCAGTTGTCTATTTTAGCTTTTGTTGCTCACGCTTTTTGTGTTATATCCAAGAGAGCATTACCCAGACCAATGGCATGAAGCTTTTCTGCTATGTTTTCTTCTAGAGGTTTTACAGTTTCAAGTCTTAAGTCTTTAGAGCATTTTTTTCAATTGAGACAGGGACTTGCTCTATCACCCAGGCTGGAGTGCAGTGGTGTGATCTCGGCTCACTGCAACCTCTGCCTCCTGGGTTCAAGCGATTCTCCTGTCTCAGCCATCTGAGTAGCTGGGATTACAGGCACCTGCCACCATGCTGTAGTAATTTTTTTGTATTTTTAGTACAGATGGGGTTTCACCATGTTGGCCAGGCTGGTCTCAAACTCCTGACCTCAAGCGTCCGCCCACCTCAGGCTCCTAAAGTGCTGGGATTACAGACGTGAGCCACCGTGCCCAGTCTTTAATATATTTTGAATTGATTTTTGTATATGGTGTAAGACAAAAATAACTAATGGGTACCAGGCTTGCTACCTGTGTGATGAAATGGTCTGTGCAGCACACCCCCACGACACTAGTTTACCTGTGTAAAAAACCTGCACTTTTATTCCTAAACTTAAAAATTAAAGAAAAAAAAAAAGAAAAGAAAAGAAACCATGGGCCAATATCCTTGGTGAATATAGATGCAAAAATCCTCCACAAGATACTGGGAAGCCAAGTTTAACAGCACATTAAAGTGATCATACTCCATGACCAAGTGGGATATAACTCTGGGATGCAAGAATGGTACAACACACGAAATTAAATTGATTAGAGCACATTAGTAGAATGAAGGATAAAATTATTTGATCATCTCAATACAGGCAGAAAAAGAATTGGAAAATATTAACACCCTTTAACAATAAAAACCCACTCTGAACAAACTAGGAATAATAGAAAATTATATCAACATATTAGAGGCCATATATGAATATCCCACAGCTAGTATCATACTCAATGGTGAAAAACTGAAAGCTTTTACTCTAAGATTGGGATGGAGGCAAGGATGCCCACTCTCATCATTATATTCAACATAGTACCGAAAGTTCTAGCTGGAGCAATTAGGCAAGAACAAAAAGACAACTAAATTGGAAAAAATGAAGTAAAATTATTGGTTTCCAGATGACATGATATTACATTTAGAAAACCCTAGAGAGTTCACACATACACACACACACACACACACACACACACACGCCATTAGAACTAATAGGTCTAGTTACAGAATATAAAATCAACACACAGAATTCAGCTGTGCTTCTATATATCAAGTCACTATCCAAAAAGAAAATTAAGAGAATAATCCCACTTATAGTAGCATCAGAATGAATAAAATATTTAGAATAAACTTAACTGCGGAGATGAATGATTTGTGCAGTGAAAACTACAAAACATTGCTGAAAGTAAGTAAAGAAAATACAAATAAATGGAAAGTCATCATATGTAAATGGAGTGGGGATTTGATTTTGTTAAAATGCTGATACTTCCCAAAAGAATCAACAGATTCAGTGCAATTCAACAAAATTCCAATGGCATTTTTACGGAAGTAGGAAAATGAAATTCCAAATTTCATGTGGATTCACTAAAGACCCTGAATAACTAAACATTCTTTAGAAAGAAAAACAAAGCTAGATGCATCACCTTTCCTGATTTCAATCTATATTACAAAGATACAGTAATTAAAACAGTATAAATCTGGCATTAAAACAGACATATAAACCAATGGAAGAAAAGCAAGTCCAGAATTAAAATCTTTGACAAGGGTACCAAGAATGCACAATAGAGAAAGGATGCCTTGAATTCACCTCATCAATCCACCATCTTTTATCATGATAAATCCTATTGTATTTGAAGCCTCAGCCCCTAGGCTTTATACTTTGGAATCCTTCTCTTTATCTCTCACGGAAACAGGCTTCTACTACTTTGCAACTTATTTAGAAATTAATACTTATTTAGAAATTAATAGTTTTGCCATAATTTTGTAACTTCTATTTATATATAAGAATAATTGATTCATTTTTAAATTATTCATGTAACAAATATTTTTGAAGATATATGTTGGCTAGATGTTGAGAATATTTCAGTTTTGAATCCTAAACACAGAAAAATTGTATCTTTAAAAAATATTTGTTATTTGGATAAGAAAAATGAATTAACTATTCTAAAATTCTGCCACCCCTTAAAGTTAGAACCTAAGTAAAATTTTAAATTACTTTATAATAACTTAATTTGACAGACATCTACATATCATCTGATGTGTTCAGTATTTATACTGTCTAGTAGATTCTTTTTACTGCTTGTCTGGAAAGAATAACATATTTTACTTTTCTTAACTTCTAAATATAAGTTTAAGAAATATCAAAGTAAATTCTAGCAATATTTGTCATGATTCACTGAGTATGTAAATGTAAAACATTCTAAGAAAAAAATGTTTCATTAGGAAAATGCAATCAGTCTTCATGTACCCAAAATCATTAGCACAGCACGATACTATTCAGTGGTTGATTAAAAGTATATATTAATATATTTGTATTAATTATATGTGCTACTATGTTACATTGTGCAATGAAACCAGAAGGAGATATTTCTGACTTTATACAAGACTCTTTTATGCGGTAAAGGCAAAAATTTAGCATTCAAAGATGTCTAGTTAGTAGAAATCGATGAACAGCAAAACACAACAAATGTATTGTTTTATTGAATAACTTGTTAATGAAGGAAATCTCATATATAAACATTCATGGTTAAATATGACATTTTAACAGTAGCTGCTTTCAAACTAGCACAAAAATATATACACAAAAATTAGAGAAACCATACAGTTACTAAAAACCATAATGGATAAGGCTTCCAGAATTTAAGAGACGGTAATAACATATAATGTCCAATTACATATAAGATTATTTTTATTACATGAAAATGAAAAATCACATCTAGATATTCACCATGAAAGGGAATAGATGATCACAAGATTCTTTATACAACCATTACTCTCTCATCCCTATATCAAAACCATTATTCCTAACAACTAAAGATATTTGTATATACGTATTTTCCATGTGGGCTCTCCTTCAGATATTGCTTAAATATTTTTCTGCAACATCTTTCTGTGTCCACTCTGAAGCAGACAGAAGGGAGTGTTGTTGCAGAGGTTAGAGGCAAGAGTACAGAGAGTTTCCACGATACAAATGACAAAATATAATAGGAACAAAGAAGATTTTGGATTCAACATTTGAAACTGAAAAAAATAAACCATAGTTACAATATTAGCTGCATGCCAGAAGAATGGAAAAAAAACTGAAAAGTGTAAAGGCAGCTGAAATAAGCTGATTTCTGTTCACACCAACTTGCAGTTATAGATTTCAGAAACTTGTTTAACCCCACAACAGAGAAATGACCCAGGCATTATGCAGTTACATATATGTTTATACACAAACATGAAAATTGACAAACAAAAAGTTAAATAGGATTTCCTTTGTTAGAAGGTAATTACTGAAAATTTTAAAAATAGGTATAAAGAAAAAGTATTTTATTCTATGAAATAGCCAGCAGAACAAGAAGAGGAAAATAGAAATTTAAGGACTCCTAAAAATTATATTGGTAAAGTTTTTGCCCATTTTTAATCAGTTTTGGGATTTTTTCCATTTGCTTTTATTTTTTCATTGGGTTACTTGTTTTTTGTTGTTGCTGTTGCTATTGTTGAAGGAATCCTTATGTATTTTGGAAAACAACATCTTGTCAGATACACATTTTGCAAATATTTTCTCCCATTTCACAGGTTGCCTTTCCACTCTGTTAATGGATTTCTTTGCTGGGAAGTAGCTTTTAGATTTGGTGTAATTCCACTTGTCTATTTTATTTTTGTTGTCTGTGCTTTTTGTGTCATAGCCAAGAAATCTATATCTACAATTAATATCAAGAAGCTTTTCCCTTATGTTTTCTAAAATAGTCAAAATTATAGAAGCAGAGAATAATATATTAGATGCCAGAACCTGGGAGTGGGGTGGCAGAAATGGGGGAGTTGTTCAACACACACACACAAAAGGGACACAAGGAAACTTTGGGTATTCAAAATATGTCTATTACCTTCATTACAGTGATATCATAGGTGTTTGCATATGTCTAAACTTATCAAATTGTATACATTAAATATGTGCAGTTCTTTGTATATCAATTGTACCCCAAGAAAGCTGTTTAAAAATTACATTGAAAAAATCTAGCCCTAAAGATCCAAAAAAAAAAAAATGTTATGAACTCATGTGGTATCTCAGTGGATCCCAAGAAGACCTACTGTTTATAAAAAGGAACAGAATGCTATAAGAAGACAATAATCTGGAATGAAAATGCTCGGAAAAAGATAAATAGGAAGAGGGGTAAAATAAATAAGATTTTCAAAATAAAAATATCCAAATTATAATACACTGGATTCAGGAAATAATAAAACAGGAAATGCTGGAAATTAGACAAATTATTAAGAAAACAAACTTGGATAAATAACCTAAAAGGCAGAAAAGGGATACAGAAAAAAAGTACTGGAAAAGAGATATACAGAGGAGGAGAATAGAGATGAAAATTGTGGCTGCTATATTTTCCTTCAAAAACAGACTAGATGCCACTGCACTAAGAAACTGTTAGAAAGGACAAATAAAAAGGAAAGAAAAAGAGATGAGTGAAGGGAAAACAAATCAGAAAATGTTTAAAGTTCAAGAGCAGGGGAGAATCCTGAGAGCCACATATAGTCCCAAGACCCCTAGAGCCCTCAGACATCTGGGGTGACACTTATAAACAAACAGTTAAATAAAGTCATTGATTTGAAAAATGAACTAATAAAAAATTGTCAGAAATTTCAGATAATACCTCATAACAAGGTAAGGCTAGTTTATAGACCTGAATGAAAGGAATGCTCTGAATAGCTTTTTATATCAATGTCAGATAGCTCTAGAGAAGTAATAAGACCAGATTATTTTTGAAAAGTCTCAGAAAGAAAATACGTGTAAGAAATTGATGGAACCAGAATGTGTGGGGTAGATTCAAGTGATGATTGACAGTGAGCATCAGATAACAGAGAAGAGAACAAAGGAAATAAGGAGATAGAACTTCCAGCCTGGAGGTTCCTGTGAAGCAATCGGCTGTCCATAGCTCAGTTGTCCATAACTATAAAAGCAGTGTATAGTCATAAGTGCAAGTTGTGAATGCACAGGCTCACCCACCAGCATAAGTCAGGTCCTGTTAATCTATTCATCATGTAACATAGCAACCACCTAGCGCAAGACATAATATTCCTATCAGTTTTAATGGGCCAAATAGAAAGTTAGAGCACCGAGTTATCAGGAAAATCTTACCAACCAGAAGAATTCACTTTCAGATGATTTCAATGTTAAATGCTATCCATGCTTGTGATTTTAATATTCTCACTTTTCTTCAGTGAGTCTTCACTATTTTAAGAGGGAATATTAACGGCTACATTGTATGTCTGTGCACATGTGAGGACTAAATATATGCAAGCATAATTTTGAATACATCTTAAATATAAAGCCTCTAAAATATTGACTAAACATTAATGTGCCCAAATTCTGAATTAATTAATATACATATAGCCATTAAGCTGAGGTTAACTACCTGCATAGCCAGGGTGCAGATATAATATGGGCCACATTAGAGCAAAACAGATTCACAGCTCCGTACTCATAATCATTGAAAAAGAACACTGTGCCTCTGAGCACCCTCAAAGAGCAGATGAAGAAGCCAGATTGTTGCATTCAAGCAAATTTCAAGGTAATAGAAAAGATGGAAAATGAGGATTTAAGAATTGACAATTAAGTGAACGAAATGCTCAGAGGTAGCTAGAAAGTGACAAAGGCAGAATTTAAATCCAATACTTAGAATTATGAAGATAATCTTTTAGTTAATTAAATACAATATATTTAAATTCATTATACCTTGTGTGAAGACGGCCAACTAGACAAAGCCAGGAGGAATGTCTCCCACTGAAGGACCATGACATTGGGAAGAATGATACATTCTGATCAGATCGTCAGAGAGAAGGCAATAAGAGTGGATGGATGGAGGCTGCAGACACTGAACTGAAGGGAGAGGAGGCTGGGAACCTTCTGCAGGGCTGTCAAACGCCAGGACCTGCTCCTGACCCCCAGCGACTCATAAAGAGGGGGTGAGTTGAGCAGGTGAGGGGGTTTCCCACTGTCACCATGAAATTCCTCAACACAGGAGAAGCGATGACCACCACAGACACTTGAGTTGTCAGGGAAAGCAGTTTAGAGAAATGACAGAGGCAGGACTCCAGTCTATATAGAGTCCAGAGGGTTTGGCACAGGAATGTCTGTGGTGGAGCACAGCAAGACCCTCAAAGCTCATCATGATCCTCTAAGAGACTTTAATCTTGGGGTGAGTATCAGTCCTGGAGAGAAGGGTAGTCTTGCCTATAAGACAGGGCCAGTTCAATCAGAGCACCTCCCTCTCCGCCAGCGTCTCTTAGGGTCCCAGCCTGGCTGCACCCACTTACACTGCCACCTTGGAGATGCAACCAGGGTGCTTCCTGGAGGGCCACATCAGAGCTTCTTTGCTAGCAGACCTCACCTAACTGTTGGAGAGCTCCAGCTGACTGGCCCCTGCCATTGCACATCCATCCACCAGGATCCTCAACCCACTGCAGTCTCTTCCCGCCACTTTGCCAGCATGCACTCACTCATAGACCATTCCCCACTGTTTTGCCAGTGTCCCCACGAGAGCAGACTTCACTCCCCTTCCCTTGATGGCTCATGTGCATGCACACCCAGCTGCCCAACCCACCCCTGCCAGTGCTGCTGCCGGCACAAGTATGTGCCCAGATGCCAGAACCCCACACCCAGTATGCCATCACCACTGGGGTGAGTGCATGCACAGACACTAATGCCCCCTACTCTGGCCCCACTGCATGCATCCCACCACACTGCTGTGTCTAACAGGATGTGCGAGTGAGCATGGATTCTGCTGCCACCACCTGTAAGAAGTGCTTTGGCCAGCACCCCAACATTGGAGTGTTGGAGCTAGCAGACTGGGAACACATCAGCTTCTCCTGTGCAGCAGATTCCTAACCTTGAGGAGCCACAGAACAAAGCTGTGGGTCCAGTACCAGCCCTGCATAGTTAGAGCATGCAGCCCAGGAGTGCTGAGCTGAGCAGTTGGTCCCATAAAGTCTTCCAGAATTAAAGCCAGTAGACCTAACCTACCTTATACCATAATCAAACTGTCAAACTCCCAAGGGCATCAAAGAAGGAAAAGCAAGAAAAAAAATTCAAAGCACAGGTACTTCAAAGATTAAAGGAACATCAGCCCACACAGTTGAGAAAGAACTAGAGCAAGAACTTTGGCAACTCAAAAAGCCGGAGTGTCTTCTCACCTCCAGGCTATTTAACTAGTTCTGCAGCAATGATTCTTAACTAGGCTGAAATGGCTAAAATTACAGACACCATATTTAGAATATAGATAGGAACAAAGATTATCAAGATTAAAGAGAAAGCCAAGACCCAATAAAATGAATCTAAGAAATACAATAAAATGACACAAAAGCTGAAAGATGAAATGGTCTGTTTAAGAAAGATCAAACCTGATCTCATAGACTGAAAAACAGCCTACAAGTATTTTTTAATACAATTGCAAGTATTAACAACAAAATAGACCAAGCTGAAGAAAGAATCTCAGAGCTCAAAGACTGGTTCTCTGAATTAATTCAGTTAGACAAAAATAAAGAAAAAAAGCATTTAAAAAATAGAAAAATAAAGAAAAAAGCATAGAAAAGAAAAAAGCATAAAAAAGCTTGAACAAATCCTCTCAAATATGGGATTATGTAAAAAAAAAAAAAACAAATCTACGACTCAGTGGTGTTCCTGATAGAAAGGGAGAGAAAGCAAGCAACTTGGAAAACATATTGGAGGATACTACCCATGAAAATTTCTTCAACTCTGCTAAAGAGGCTAACATTTCAAATTAAGGATATACAGAGAACTCCACTGAGATACTATACAAGAAGACTATCCTCAAGACACGTAGTCATCAGATACTCCAAGGTCTGCAAAAAAGAAAAAAAAAAGTATTAAAAGCAGCCAGAAAGATAGGGAAATTCACCTACAAAGGGAACCTCATCAGGCTAACAGTGGACATTTCAGTAGAAACCCTACAATCCAGAGGAGATTGAAATCCTATATTCAGCATTCTTAAAGAAAGGAAATTCCAACTAAGAATTTCATATCCAGCCAAACTAAACTTCATAAATAAAGGAGAAATAGAATCCTTTTCAGACAAGCAAATACTCAGGGAATTTATTACCCCCAAACCTGCTCTACAAGAGGTCTTTAATAGAGTGCTAAATATGGAAACAAAAGACTGTTACTATCCCCCTCAAAACCACATTTAACTACATAGATCATTGATACTATAAAGCAACTACACAATGAAGTCTGCATAACAACCAGTTCACATCAGGATGACAGGATCAAATACACACATATCAATATTAACCTTGCCTATAAGCAGGCTAAATGTCCCCACTTAAAAGGTACACTGTCAAGTTGGATAAAGGAAGAAGACCCAACTGTAAGCTGTCTTCAGGAGACCCATCTCACATGCAGTGATTCCCATAGGCTCAATGTAGATGGATGGGTAAAAATCTACCAAGCAAATGGAAAACACAGAAGCAGGGGAGGCTATTCTAAATTCAAACAAAACAGTTTAATATAACAATGATTAAAAAAAAAAAAGAAAAACATTACATGATTATATAGGGTTAAATTCAACAAGACTTAACCATCCTGAATATATATGTACCCAACACAGGAGCACCAAGATTCCTAAAACAAGTTCTTAGAGACCTACAAAGAGACTTAGATAAGCACACAATAATAGTGGGAGACTTCAGTACCCCATCAACAGTATTAGACTGATCGCTGAGACAGAAAACTAATATTCAACACTTGACCAAATAAAACTGACAGACATCTTCATAATTCTCTGCCCCAAAACAAGATAATATATATTCTTCTCATCTGTACATGGTACACATTCTAAAATCAACCACACAATTGTCCATAAAACAATTATCAGCAAATTTTAAAAAACCAAAATTATGCCAACGACACTCTCAAATTATAGCACATTAAAAACAGAAATCAACATTAAAAGGTTACTCAAAACAGTATAATTACATAGAAATTATATAATCTGCTCCTGAATGATTTCTGGGTATGCAATGAAATTAAAGCAAAAGTCAAGAAATTATTTGAAACTAATGAGAACACAGATACAACATACCACAATTTCTGTGATACAGCTAAATCAGTGTTAGAAGGACTATTTATAGCAGTACATGCCCATATTAAAAAGTTAGAGCTCAAATTAACAACCTAATATCATACCTTGAAGAACTAGAATAACAAGAGCAAACCAACTCCAAAGCTAGCAGAAGACAAGAAATAACCAAAATCAGATCTGAAACAAATGAAACTGAAATGAAAAAAATATACCGAAGATAAACTAATCTAGATATTGGCTCCTTGAAATAATAAATAAGATTAATAGACTGCTATCTAGACTAATAAAGAAAAAAAGGGAGAGAAGATTCATATAAACACAATCAGAAATGAGAAAAGTGACATTACTATCTACTCCACAGAAATATAAAAACCCCTCAGAGACTATTACAAAAACCTTTGTGCACAAAATCTAGAAAACCTATAAGAATTAAGAAGATTCCTGGAAACATATAACCCCTTAAGATTGAACCAGGAAGAAATGGAAAACCTGAACAGACCAAAAATGAGTTACAAAATTTAATTGGTAACCAAAAGCCTTCCAGCCAGAGAAAATCCACAACCAGAGGGATTCACAGCCAAATCTACCAGACATATGAAGAAGAAATGGTACCATTCTTACTGAAATTACTCAAGAAAATTGAGGAGGAGGCACCAGTCCCTAACTCATTCTATAAGGCCAGGATCATTCTGACAGCAAAACCTGACAGAATTGCAACAACAATAACAACAACAAAAAAAGCATCAGGTCAATATCCTTGATGAACATAGATGCAAAAACCTCTACAAAATACTAGCAAACCAAATCCAGCAGCACATCAAAAAGCTAACCCATTATTATTAAGTAGGTTTTATGCCTGGGGTGCAAGATTGGTTCAAAATATGCAAATCAATAAATAATTCACCACATGAACTAAAAACCAAAACCACATGATCATCTGAATGGATTCAGAAAAGGGTTTCAATAGCATTTGCCATCCCTTTATGTTAAAAACCCTCAATAAACTAGTCATTGAAGGAACATCCATCAAAATAATAGGAGCCATCTATGACAGATTCACAGAAACATCATACTGAATGGGCAAAAGCGGGTAGCACCACCATTGAGAAACCAGAAAAAGACAAGATTGCCCACTCTTACCACTCCTATTTAACATAGTCTTGGCCAGAGCAATCAAGCAAGAGAAAGATATACAAGGCATCCAAATAGAAAGAAAGTCAAACTATGTCTGTTTGCAGGTGATATAACTTGGTACATAGAAAACCTCATAGTCTTTGCTCAAAAGCTCCTAGATCTCACAAAAGACTTCAGCAAAGTTCCAGGACACAAAATCAATGTACAAAAGTCAGTAGCATTTCTATACGTCAATGAGATCCATTCTGTGTGCCAAATCAAGGATGCAATCCCATTTACAATAGACACACACACAGACACACACACACACATACACAAATAAAATACATGAGAATACAGCTAACCAAGGAGGTGAAAGATCACTACAATGAGAATTACAAAACATTGCTTAAAGAAATCAGAGATGACACAAACAAATGTAAAAACATTCTATGCTTATGGATAAGAAAAATCAATATTGTTAAAATGGCCCAAAGCAATTTACACATTCAATGCTATTCCTGTCAAACTACCAATGACATTCTGCACAGAGTTAGAAAAAATATACTCTAAAATTAACGTGGAATCAAAAAAGAGCCTGAATAGACAAAGTAATCCTAAGCAAAAAGTACAATGCTGGAGGCACCACATTACCTGACCCCAAACTATATTACAAGGCTACAATAACCAAAAAAGTCTGATACTGGTACAAAAACAGACACATAGACAAAAGGAACAGAATAGAGAGTCCAGAAATAAAACCACACATCTACAACTATCTGATCTTCCACAAAGTTGACCAGAACAAGCAATGGAGAAAGTACTCCTTATTCAATAAATGGTGCTGGGATAACTGGCTAGCCATATGCATAAGATTGAAACCGGACCCCTGTCGTACACCATATATAAAAATCATCTCAAGATTGATTAAAGATTTACATTTAAAACCTAAACTTATAAAAATTCTTGAAAAAAAAAAAAACTAGTAAACACCATTCTGGACATACGCCCTGGCAAAGATTTCACAATGAAGAGACCAAAAGCAATTGCAACAAAAACAAAATTGATATATGGGACCTAATTAAACCAAAGAGCTTTTGCGCTGTAAAATAAACTATCAACAGGGTAAATGATCAACTTATAGAAAGGCAGAAAATATTTGCAAACTATACATCCAAGAAAGGTCCAATATCCAGAATCTATAAGAAACTTAAATTCACCTGCAAAAGTAAAAAAAGACTGCATTAAAAAGTGGGCAAAGGACATGAACAGACAATTTTCAAAAGAAGATATACACACAGCCAACAAGCAAATGAAGAAATACTCAATATCACTAATTATTAGAGAAATTCAAATCAAAACCACAATGCGATACCATCTCAAGCCAATCAGAATGGCTATTATGTAAAAGCCAAAAAATAACAGGTACTGGTGAGGTTGCAGAGAAAAGGGAATGCTTATATACTACTGGTGGGAATGTAATTGAGTTCAGCCATTGTGAAAAGCAGTTTGGCAATTTCTCGAAGAACTAAAAACAGCACTACCATTCCACCAGCAATCCCATTACTGGGTATATATCCAAAGAAATAGAAATTATTTTATCAGACACATGCACACATATGTTCAGCACAGCACTATTCACAACAGCAAAGACATAAAATCAAGTGGAATGCCCAACAGTGGTAGACTGTATAAATAAAATATGGTACATATACATAGAATACTATGTAGCCATAAAAAAGAACTGAGATTATGTCCTTTGCAGCAACATGGATGGAGCTGGAGGCCATTATCCTAAGCGAACTAATGCAGGAACAGAAAACCAAATACCAATTCTCACTTAAAAGTAGGAGCTAAACATTGAGTACACATGAACAAAAAGAAGGGAACGACAGATACTGGACCCTACTTGAAGGTGGAGGGTGTGAAGAGAGAGAGGATAGAAAAACTACCCATTTGGTACTATGCTTATTACCTGTGTGATGAAATAATTTGCACACCAAACTCCGTGACACAAAATTTGTCTATATAACAAAACTGCACATTTATCACTGAAACTAAAAGTTAAAAAAATAAGTAAAGGTATTTTATATAGTAACTACCTCATTTATCTGCATGTCAGTATTTCAGACAACTCAGATGAGAAAAAAATAATTGTATGTTAAAAGCATCTCTGAGCAACTAAAAGTTCCTAATGCATAATCTTACGCAGCATACTCAAATTATATTAGTAATATTGTTTGACAAATGAATTTTTTTTTTTTTTGAGACGGAGTCTCTCTCTGTCGCCCAGGCTGGAGTGCAGTGGCGCGATCTTGGCTCACTGCAACCTCTGCCTCCTGGGTTCACGCCATTCTCCTGCCTCAGCCTCCCAAGTAGCTGGGACTACAGGCACCTGCCACCACGCCCGCCTAATTTTTTTGCATTTTTAGTAGAGACAGGGTTTCACCGTGTTAGCCAGGATGGTCCCGATCTCCTGATCTCGTGATCAGCCGGCCTCGGCCTCCCAAAGTGCTGGGATTACAGGCGTGAGCCACCGTGTCCGGCCTAACAAATGAATTTCGTAGAAAAATTATTACTTTCTGATATTAGACAGCTGGGGGAGTAATAAAGTTGAGCCTGTTCTAGGTAGCCAGACTATCCATACTCTAGAACTTAGATATGTTCCTTACAAAAGTATTTTACACATTTTAATTTTTTTACTAAATATTTTATTTTAACAAGTTTTTGTTATAACACGTGAAACAATGAGAAGATGTGTAAATAGGCAAATAATCCTCCACCCACACATCAAACACACCTGCTTCATAGAAGTAATATAAACAGACTAGTGAATACAATCCTATATTTTCCATGCTGTGTGTGTGGTTTGTGTACATACACACTGGGTTTTGGAGGAGCTTAAAGACAACAATATAATGCTATTCATATTTCACTGATACCTACTTTTTCCAATTATTTTATTTTAGGTATCATTTCAGGTAATCAACCCAGATTTATTGTTTCAAAGCTGTAAAATATTATATAACAGAAATGAATTTCTTCAAACATTTCTCTATTTTGGGATATTCAGAACATTTCTAATTTTCACAGTGCAAACAAATGCACCTACTTCTACCCTTATTTCTATTTAATAAATTTCCTAAAATTATCATGATGAGGCAAAGGACAGTCAAACTTTAAATTTCAATATTATTGATATATTGTTTTTCAAACAAATTTCCAATGTCTTTAAATCATGACATCATTGTATACTGAAAACGTGTTTTTCCTACTAGTATGCTATACCTATGAGATCTCATACATCATACATATGTGCTACTATTTCTAGCCTGATTTAAATTGTATTACCTATTTTTTTTCCAATATCAGGTTTTTGATTAAGTAAATTCATAATAATTTGTAATGTCTGGTAAAAAAAATATATAACCCACCTAATATTTCTTTTCCACATGTATTGGGCTCTACTACATGTTCAGCTGAACAAAATAACAAAATATGGGAAACTATCAGGTATGTATTAATTTTTAAATTAGTGAAATTTAAATTTATTATACTGGAAAAAAGACTAAAATTCTGATTGTAATTAGTATTTATTAATTTTGACATATTCCTATTTAATGTTATTGTCTTTCAATTCAAAAATATCCTGTCTCTCTACATTTATATATACATTGCTTTGTTCTTTAAAAAATAAATTTACATAGCTATCCACATATGTTCTGTATATGTCTTTTAACATTTGTTCCTTAGTATTATTTGTTTGGCCATTTGTTTTTAGCATTATGTTGAATTTTGTTTTTTTCTACCTCATACCCTAGCCATTATTTCTGATAAGATTTTAGCATTTTAAACACTTAATCTTTTCAAAATACATATTATTCTATTGTTTGCAAGCTAAAGTGTGGCTTTATTTATACATGTGAAAGATAATAAATACTACTTTTAAAATATGCAAAATGTTTGGTCTTGCATGTGAAATAAATTAAGGATCATATGCTCCATGTTCATGCCAAGCATGTTCTCCATATGAATGCCAGTTTTAAGAAAATAGTATTTCTTAGAAAAGCAACTGTGTTATCAGCATATTACCCAAAATAATGATGAATTATCCTAGAGAGTTAAAAATAAATTTTTGTATGAGTTCAATTCATTTTTGTCTTCACATCAGTTTGTTACAATTACGTGTCTTTTTTTCTTTTTGTTTCATATAAGAATATGAAGACTATACCTTTTATTTTCAATACAAACCATTTACTTTCAGATATGAAGATATTTTGTTACTAGGCTATTGTAACTGAGCTCAGTTATTTTTATTTTTTAATGTACAAAACATAAAACACCTTTTAAAAGTTACAATAGCTATATTCATTCATACCCAGAATATTTTAAAGATATATTTTATTAAATTGGTAAACAGATAATAAAATGTTAAAGAACAGAAAAGGGAGCAACAGGGGCTTAAGAACTGATAATATAAGTATAGGAACAAGTACCAGCATCAAGAAAGTGTGGTGTTGGTGAAGGAATAAATAGATCAATGGAAGAGAAATAGAGTACCCTAAAATAGACTCCTATAAATATGGGCAACTGACCTCTGATAAAGGAGCAAAGGGAATACAATAGAGAAAAAAATAGTCTTTTCAATTAAATGTGCTTGAACAACTGAACATCCACATGCAAGAAATGAATCTAGATGCAGACCTTACAACCTTCACAAAAATTAACTTAAAATATATCATGGACATAAATGAAAGAAAAAAAAAACTATACAACTTCTAGAAAATAACATAGGAAAAAGTCCAGATGATCTTGGGTTTGACAGTAAATTTAAAAATACAACACCACAGCCATGATCCATGAAAGAAAGACCAATAAGCTGGACTTCATTAAAATTAAAAACCTATGTTCTGCAAAAGACACTGTCAGTGAAATGAAAAGAAGAAAAGCCACAGGCTGGGAGAAAATATTTGCAAAGTCTTACCAGATAAAGAATTATTATCCAAAATACACAAAAAACCTTCATTCTCAACAATAAAACACAACCCAATAAAAATGTTGGCCAAAGACCTCAACAAAGATGACACACAGATGACAAATAGATATATGAAAAACTGTTCCACATCATATGTTATTGAGAAAATGCAAATTAAAACAACTAGATACACTACCTACCTATTAGAATAACCAAAATCCAGAGCTGAATGGAGGCAAGTATGTGAAGCAATAGGAACTCTCATTCATTGGTGGTGGGAATGCAAAATGGTACAGTTACTTTGAAGACAGTTTGGCAGTTTTGTAGAGAACTAAATATATCCTTATGATAGGATCCAGCAATTATGCTCTTTATTATTTCCCCAAATGAGTTACAGTCTAAAGTCCCCACAAAAACCTGCACATGAATGCTTATAAAATCTTTATTCACAATTGCCAACACTTGGAAGTAGCCAAGATATCCTTCAGTAAGTGAATAAATAAACTGTGGTACATCCAGATAGTGAAATATTATTCAGCACTAAAAAGAAATGAGTCTTTAAGCCAAGAAAAAAAAAATGAAGGAAAAGTAAATGGGTATTACTAAGCAAAAAAAAAAAAGCCCAACTACATACTGTATGATTCCAACCATATGACATCTGAAAAACTATGGAAAAAGTAAAAATTATCAGTGGTTGCTAGGGATTAGAGAGGAGGGAGGGATGAGTAGGTGGAGCACAGAGAATTTTTAGGGCAGTGTAACTACTCTGTATGTTACTATAATATTAGATATATGTCATTATAACTATTTCCAAACAAATAGAACGTAAAAATTCTGGGTGACAATGATGTGTCAGCAGAGGTTCATCAATTGGGACAAATGTGTCACTCTGGTGAAGGATGTTGACAATGTATGTGTGGGGAAAGAGGGTATATAAGATATCTCTGTATCTTATGCTCAATTTTGCTGTAAACCTGAAAGTGCTCTAAAAATAGTCTTAAAATGTGAAGGAACAATGAAGGGGACAAAAGGGATTTAAGAATTTACAAGTACCATCATATCTTGTCAAACAAAAATACAACCTTTATCAGTACTACCTTGAATTTTTAAAGCACAAATTAAAGAATATATTTCATGGAGAAATACATAGAGCAAATAAACAATATGTGCATAGCTACACGTATGATAAATATGTCATCAAACGCATTTATCATAACAATGAATGTGAATGCACTTGTTTCACTTATTAGAAGAAAACGATGTTTAAGAGTGTTGCAAGTCAGACCCCAAGTTTCAGCTTTTTACAAGGAGCAATTCTAAAATGAAGGTTTTGAAAAGACCAAAAAGAAATTAGCAGAAGTATACCAAGCAAGTGGGATCAAAATGAGAACAGAAGTATCAATCTTGTTATCAAAATAGGATACAAGCGTCAATGCAGTAACCATGATAAGAAAGGACAAACTTAATTGCTAAGAGCTATAATCCATAATGAATATGTAAATTTATTACTACTTATGGATCAAAAAACACAGCAACCAACTCTATAAAGCTGGTAATAGGAGATCCAAGGAGATATTGATATAAACATACTAGTAAAATCACTCTTTAATACATCACTCTCAGTACAAGACAAATGAAGTGGACAAAAAAAAATAATTGAGGAGATAAAAGATCTAATCAATATAATAAATGTGGTAGATACTATGAAAATAAATCAAACTTCAAACATTTTTAGTAAAACAAACACCTTCTTCTCAAAGTTCAAAAAATACACAGAAAAATGAATCATATATAAGTCACAAAGAAAAAATCAGTAATTTCCATAAAGTAGGAAGATTATAAGCAACACTCACTGATTACAGTGCAATAAAACTAGAATTTACAAACAAAAGAATAAAACAAAAAGATTCTTCCCCTGGGAAATTAAAACAAACAAAACAAACATAAAACCTTTCATTAAATAACTGCTTGGTAAAAGGAGGAAAATAAACTAAAATTAAAGAACATTTGAGAAATAAGGACAGAAGGCTGGGCGTGGTGGCTCATGCCTGTAATCCCAGCACTTTGGGAGGCCTAGGCAGGTGGATCAAGAGGTCAGGAGATCGAGACCATCCTGGCTAACATGGTGAAACGCTGTCTTTACTAAAAAAATACAAAAAAACAAAAATAGCAGGGAGTGGTGGTGGGCACCTGTAGTCCAAGCTACTCAGGAGGCTGAGGCAGGAGAATGGCATGAACCCTGGAGGCAGAGCTTGCAGTGAGCCGAGATCATGCCATTGCACTCCAGCCTGGACAACAGAGCAAGACCCCATCTCAAAAAAAAAAAAAGAAAAGAAAAGAAATAATGACAGAAGCTTTGTATATCAGAATCAATGAAATTCAATTAAAACAGTTCTCAGAGGATGATTAATTATATAGCATTAAATAGTTTTATCAATAAAGAGAAAAGAAAAAATATATCAGTTAAATTTCTAGTTAATAAAGTAAACTAGAAAGTAAATAATAAACAAAAAGTATAATAAAGGAAATAAAAGTATATCAAAGAAAAGTTTTTTTGACATTTTTGATAAAAACAATTACAGAGACAAGTAATCGATCTAATGAATAAATCAAAATCATGGTATTTAAGAAAGTTAAAATACATAAAGCTGTAAGATAAGTTAATCATAAGAAAAGGGGAGGAAACATGGTGATACAAAATAAGAAATGACAAAGGAATAATCATTGAAACAGAAGAAATGGTTAGTAAATCATAAGAGAAGACTTTGTAGATCTCTATTAAATGAATTTGAAAACCTCAGTAAAATGGGAAGTTTCCTAAGAAAAGCAAAACTGACCCCATCAGAACTGAAAGGAAAGATAAGCAAGAACCTCATGAGATTACTTACCTACAAGGAGTGGGTGGGAAAGAAGTGGAAAGAAGAATGGAATGGAAGGTCAGTGTGTCAGGGATAGTAAAAGGTCTGAGGATCTCTCAGTATATATATTTTATACATAGTAAGACAGGAGAATAGAGTCTAGAGGCAGGAAAATTATGACCAATTTATGCTGAGTCAAGGAAAATCACTAAGGTCTGGGGCCAGGGAATCTAAGGCCAATTTGTGCTGACTTCCTTAAAGAGAAACCACCAAGGTCTGTGGGCAGGAAACATAAGGCTAATTAACACAAACTTCCTAAAGCTAAACCCAAAGGGAAAAACCCCATGCCCCATGCTGAGTAACAAAAGATCAAAGGCTACTCTCCCTACAATCTCCTCCTTCCACCAGATGGAAGGGGAAAGTGCCCTGGATTGGCCTGGGGGCCAAGCACGGACCATCCGTTCATCTGCATAGAATGCCAATTCATCCACTTCAGCCTTTAATTAGCCACAGACCAAATCCTTCATCCGGGTAAGTGGTAACCAATAGGGACCTCAAGAAGAAGTTCCTAAAACCCAGAAAACTTTGTAACATGTAACCTGGCAGTTGAATTGCTTACTTGCACCCACTTCCACCCTATGGAGTCCTTTCTTGCTTTGATAAATTTCTGCTTTCACTGCTTCATCCCTGTTTTGTTACATTGTTACTTTGTGCATTTTGTCCAATTCTTTGTTCAAAATGCCAAGGATCTGGAAAACTCACACTCAAGGTCCTCCTTGCAGTAACAATATGACCCTTAGAACCGTAGTACTATTTTATTTACTCTTAATATACCCCCAAAATTAACAAACAAAATTAAACCATAAAAGTGAGCATACCTGGCAATCACTTTTAGTTTCTAAAAACTAATCTTCAATAAAAGGAACATGGGATCCTTGGAGAATTAGGTGATTCCAGGGAAAGTACAAGTTAACCTGGAATATCTTTTGGCATCAGAAAGTAATAAACTGTTCAAAAAATGAATAAATAAAATGAGGGCTTTAAAAAAGAACCAAAGTGGTCAACTTGGAGGAGCCCCTAGTAGTCAAAGCTGTATTAATTTGAGCAACAACATTAAGGATAACATTAAGTTATAACCTCATGTATAAAATCAACGTGAATGAGACCATGCTGATATAAATTTATAAATGAAGGCAAATGAACAGTTTTTTCTAACAAGAGGTTTTTATATGTGTAAAAGGAAAGAGGGAAATAAAGAATCACCGTTATGCAAATCCCCCTAATAATTATTGAAGACAAGATTTGCCAGTGAATGTTAAAATCAGTGTACAAGGGTTATAAGAGAAACGTGTCCATATTCTCAAATATATTTCCCAAAATATTTATTAAACACAAGGGTCAAATTAATAACCTTACACTTGATAAATCCAGCAGTTACCAAGTTAACAGAATGATCAAGAAAATATCCCCAGTACTAAAACATTGGCATGATGAGCCCCATGCTATGATATACTAGTAAGGGCACCATATCAATTCTCTGGTGTTCTTTCTGAAAATGATAACCTCATTTCAATCATGGAAATATATCAGACAAATCAAAGTTGAAGGTCATTCTAAAAATAACTAATTAGTACTCTTCCAAAGCGTCAGATCATAAAAGACAAGGAAATACTGAAAAGACTGAAGGTCTGAAAGAGATTAAGGAGAAATCATAATGAAATGCAATGTAAAATCCTCAGTAGGATTCTTGAAAAAAAAAATAACATTAGTAGAAAAAAATGATGAAATTTAAATGAGGTTTCCATTTTAGTTACTAATATTGTACCAATATTAATTTCTTCTTCCTGATAATTACATATAATCATATAAGTTGCTAACATTAGGTGAAGCTGGTGAGGAATATATGAATACTCCATGTAACATTTATGCAACTTTTCTGCAAGCCTAAAATTAGTTCAAAATTAAATGTTTCAGAAAATGAGCTTATTGTTTCCATCTGCACATTAACATTACTAAATTAGGGTGTTATATCAGGGATCCACATGATTTTATTCTTTCCCCACATTTGTTTCTATATTTAATGTTGATTATAGATCTAACTCTAGTGATTTATTCATGACAATTCATTACTTTCAACACCTCTTTTCTGCATAGAATAATTATTTCATTTATAAAATAATCTATTTTAGGTTTATACATATCAAAATTATACATTAAAATGTCACTTCTTTAATATAATAAACTAATAAAACATCAGTGATATATTCAAACTAGGTGAAAGGAAAACTTCAGAACACATTTTTGTAAAATATTTAATTATTAAATAACCAATTAAGCTAACAATTTCAATTGTGGCTTTCTAACCTAAGTTTAATTAGTTTTGACTGGGAGCTGTGGAAATCTGAGAACTACACATGAACTAATTTTGCAGAAGATGTCAATGAAAATACTCAGTTAAAAAGTTTAAATTATCACCATTTAATTATGACCATTTAAATCAGCTTTTCTGTCTCAATTAAAAATGTATGCTCATTGCATCTTGTAAGAATTATATGTATTTGCACCATTATTTTTCAGATTGTAGGGTTTAAATTCACTTTCTACAGTTGTATTTAAAATACATGCTATCTGCTAAATATTAACACTGATGAATATATTTGGTAATCTAGTAAACAAGGACAAACCGTTATTATATTGTAATAATATTTAAACAATTTCATGGACAATGACATGTTATAATGAGAAAAGCATATAGTTAAGTCTTATATCTTAATAAATATAAACTATCAGCTATATTTAAAATGCCTTTTTATGTATACAAAATAAAACAACACCATAATAGGTATTCTAAAACAATGATATTTTAATTTATGTTACATAAATCCTTCGATTTATTATAGAATTTGTGGGTATATATCTATTTTCCTTACAATAGTTTTTTAAAACTTAATACTATAGCCTGTGCATTGAACTTCACCAAGAAAGTAAAAGCAGTAAATATTAAAACCTATTTTAGAATTTCTAAAATGAGTTCATTTCTACCACATCAAAGTTTAAGTTTTTTCAATTCAAATTTACATTAGAAATTCAAAAGCTCCTTATATGCATTAAAGATTATTTAATGCATTTTAATCACCACAGGATTCTTCAGAATCAATAGGTTAGCAGTAATTGAGGCTCACTATTTATTGCGAGGTTTAAATACTGTGATAGAAAAAACACTTTCCTTAAAATTTTAGATAATTAATCAGATGAATCAGACTACTAGCTAGGGAGAATTCTGTGTTCTTGAATTTTCTTTAGTAAAACAATGTCTTTAACATTTTAAATCTATGCTCCACAAAAAAAAAAGTTCAACTGTATGTTTTAATATATTTATTGTATCACCTAATATCTAATTTATGAGAGTTGTCATTGAAATTTGATATTCTTCAATAAGATATAAAGTATTTAGATTTTAACAATTTATGGTGATTTCTATAGCCTGCTATGTTGTGATTTCTGCCACATTTTCTTTTGCTGCTTATGTGAAACTCATAAAACAAAATAATCTCAGGATTTGTTTGTATGCATTTGTCAAATTGCTTTTCGTTTAACTCTTTTTTAGGACAATTTCCTAAATTGAACACTCTTTCATGGAAAAAAGTAAATTGGAACCTGCACTTGTGAGGCTTGGAAACTACCACCTAAGATGTTTAAAAGGAAAACTGTCGTTTGCCTCAAAATGTTTATCCTTGGGAAGGAATCAATATTGTGCTGACTTTCTCCCCATACCTAAGTTGGCTTTGCTCCAATAGTATTATTTCCCTCTTTACAAAGTAAAAGTCCAAACAAAAAAACTGTTACTTAAATAAGTTCCTCTCTAATTTATTTGTTCCCCAATGTCACCAGCTCAAAGACATTTACAATAAACTCCATATTGGAAATTGCAAATCTTTCCACATTGCTAGCACTCATGGTCACTTTATAAATTATGTATTTCTTCTTTCATTGTTTCATGTGCTTATATATATGTGCATGTGTATATATATACATATACACACACACACAACATACCTGTTCAAACATTTATTGTTTACTATTAATATTGTTTGGCTCTATGTCCCCACTCATATCTCATCTCGAATTGTAATCCCCACACATCAAGGGAGGGACCTGGTGGGAGGTGACTGTATCATGGGGGGTGGATTCCCCCATGCTGTTCTTATGATGGTGAGATAGTTCTCACAAGATCCGGTGGTTTAAAAGTGTTTGGCAGTTCCCTCCTCACTCTCCCTCTCTTGTCGCCTTATGAAGAAGGTCCTTGCCTCCCCTTTACCTTCCACCATGATTGTAAGTTTCCTGAGGCCTCCCCAGCCATGTGGAACTGTCAGTCAATTAAAACTTTTTCTTCATAAATTACCCAGTCTCAGGAAGTTCTTTATAGCACTGTGAAAACACACTAATACAACCATTCACCAATGTAGTTTTGCCGGCATAATTTGTACTCTCTCTGCCCCCACTCTCAGAAAAATCATAATACTCCTTCAGTGTTCTAATAATCTTAGACAATGGGCTATATCTGTTCTCCAGCTTGGGTTTCAGCTCACTATTTACTGCTTTGGTCTCTTGTCATATTGTCAAATGGACATTAGTGGTGGGGCTCTTTAATCCAATTCGAAATGCAGCCACAACATTCAGATAACTTTGGGATTGCTGAAAGAGAAGACCACATACCTACATCTACGATTATTTTTTTCATATATTTAGTCAGAGACACAGTATTTAATGGGACTATCATTAATAGAGTTACCATCATTGGTGTACATACAACAAATCCTAGTAATATTTTTTTTCTCATCTCTTGTATCCCTAATGCAGTGAACATCAGTTGGTAACACTTTTTAAGCTGATAGAGTCTTGTCAGTTTTTTAAAAATAAATCACTTTTAGCTATGCCAATGCCCTTTTATCCAGCAAGTCATGAAGCCACTGTGGGGATTTTTCCAGTGACTAAACATGCCTATCCCAATTACAGATTCAGGTACTGGAGTGAAAAACACAGGATAGACCTCTGGACCCACTGGGCCCACTGTGAGTTTGACCTCAGTCTCCATCTATCACCAGAGCACTTTATGTTCCCTCTCTGGTGGACCACAGTGCAATTTTTGGTCCCCACAAATTAGTGTTCATTCAAAGTCAGGGCCTCGTAATCTCCAAAAGTTCTGCTCATTTTATTTTCCCCTATGTAGTCACTCTTGTAAATGGCCACAGCCCTTTCAGGAAGGCTAGATGGAAGATTTATTGTGTGTACATATGGCAGTGGTCCATTATTGCAGAACAGGTAGTAAAGAGTAAATTTGTAGCTGAGAGGCAATAAATTGATAACTGGCACAAAGTGTGAAGAGAATATAGAGCATTTCAAATGAAGGACTTAGACCATTATAATAAAATGTGGCAAAATTTATATCAAAGACAATTTAGTCTCTAAGGAGAATAAATGTCAAATAAGAGGAATGCTTTCTTGAGGAGCAGATATTTGATGCCATATTGTAAAACATTAGAAGAATATATTCACCCCTATTCAATAGTCTTATAAGGTTAATAATATCAAGGGATGTGTCCTAGAAATATTATCCATCCTACCAGGGTTGAAAGTATACTTGACACATAATAAGTTTGTACTGAATCTACTTCTCTTTTCGATGAGCTTAGAATGTACAAATATTTCTAATGATGAAACAGTATGAAGGCACATGTTCTGTAGGGGAATAAAAGTTTCAGCTGTGTACATTTCTTATAAAAATAGTATTATTGTACTATAAGCACTTTAATAACTGCTTTTCACCTCTCATTTAATCATGTCTGTTAACAACCTTCTATTACCATCAGATGACAAATATTTATCAGTTGTCCCCAAACAGATAAACCTTAGGAAATATATTGTTGTAGCCGACACTAATACTTTGTTAATGATAATTCAAATATTAATGAATCTAAAGTAAGTTGGAGTCTTCTTTATTGATGGAGTGTAGTTGAGAATAAAGGAAGAATGAGAAAAAAACAGTTTCATTATTTCTATATTCAAATATTCTGCAAATGATATATATCTCTGAGGTGAATGATAAAACGTGATTTTATACCACTATGAAGGTGAAACTATCAAAAATATTTTCATTTCTTTACTTGATTGTAACTAAGCTATTTATTAGTTATTGTAAGGAAAACAGGAATATCTGCATTAATCGATTTGATGTATTTGTCCTTTATTTAGAAAAAACAAATAAATTGAGCACTTGTAAATCTCTCTGACCCAGTGTTTAATTAATCAAATCTAGTACATTTAATAAGCAGAGATAATCCAAATGCTAAGCTTTGTATTTAATCAGTTTGTTGATAAATTGAACATTTAATAGATAGAACACATATAAGAACTGCTCTAGAATATTATGTAGGCAATTTTCATAGCCAAAAAAGCAAATCAGTGAGCATATGTTACTAGCAGAGAGAAAACACAGAATTAAGCACATGGTCAATACATGTGTGTGCTTAATACCTGAACTAGTGAAAAAAGTGACAAATTTTCTCTATGCTAACCATTAAGTACTAAAGAATTTTTAATTAATTTATTACAGACTATACAAAAAGCCCCTGTATATTGTGGGTTACCTACATGCTCCATAGTCAAATTGAGTAAGATGCAACGAGTAGGTGACTCTAATTTTCAACAGGGTTTTCAGAAAAAAAAAAAAAAAAAAAAGTATTTTAAGGCCATGCTACATGGCATGCTCTTATGCATATATCATGATCAATTGGATGTGGCTCGGTATTTTAGTTCTATTCAAATTATGCACATGCACAACCGTTGTCATATAGATAAAAGCAGCTCTGAAATAATGGTGTTTGACAATGAACCTTATTTAGAGAAGCCATACAACCAGATAATTAACACAACATGATAAGAGAATTGTGGTACTTTTTCCAAACCAGCTAAACTTATTTATGATGATAGAATCCAAATAAAATAAGCTTGGAAAGTAAGCGTTTAGGGAGTAAATTGTTTCCTAGCTTATTTTGTTAAAATAGTCAAATTGGCATGGAATTCCCAGAGATTTAGAATATACTCTACCAAAAATGCCCCACCACCTTTGCGTACATCATCTAATGCTGACTCTTCCTATTTTTGCTGTTTTGCTTTTCTCTGTCACTGCATACAACGGAGACCACACTTAGCAGAATCTATTAATTAACCAGGTTAGCTTTGAAATAAAATGAGAAGCTGTCTGTCATGTGAATCTAGCATGTCACTGCACAGAAACAACTCTCTTCCATCTATAAAAAGAAATACTCCATTTTCCTATACAGCTTTCTCTAGCAAAATATTTTGCTGACCAAACTTTGTTTCACTGTTTAAATGGTATTTCTATAAAATCTGTTTAGCAATGCATTATTCAAGAAGTTAAGGTCTTTACTGGCAATATAGCAGGGAGACTAATGATGTTAGGATGGTAATTAATCTTCTTGGAAAAACTTAAGGTTTTATGCATTTTTGTTACATCTAAAAAAAGATTTTATATTCCCCCAAGCATAATTGTGCCACCGATGTTTCTGAAACAAAATCAAGATGGGTAGAGGTAAAGAGTTAGCAAGTTTTTGGGTGGTTTTGGAAAAGGCAACATTCAAGTGGAGAAACAAGGATGTAAGTTCTCACTTTGGGCTGCAGTTTCAGGCTTGAGGGTGGGGTTTTGTTAGGGATCTGCCCTTTTCTGCCTAGAATTTCTCTGCTTCCTCTCCCTATCAATAGCTTAGGAAATACCATTCTGGACACAGGCCCTGGCAAAGATTTCATGAAGAAAACACAAAAAGCAATTGCAACAAAAACAAAAATTGACAAATAGGGCCTAATTAAACTAAAAAGCTTCTGCACAGTAAAAGAAACTATCAACACAGTAAACAGATAACCTACCAAATGGGAGAATATATTTGCAACTATGTATCCAACAAAGGTCTAATATCCAGAATCTATAAGGAACATAAATAAATTTACCTGAAAAAGCAAATGATCTCATTAAAAAGTGAGCAAAGACATAAACAGACACTTCTCAAAAGAAGACATAAACATGCCCAGCAAGCTTAATGAAAAATGCTTAACATCACTAATTATTAGAGAAATAAAAATCAAAACTACAATGTGATACCATCTCACACCAGTCAGAGTGGCTATTACTAAGAAGTCAAAAAGTAATATGGTGATGAGTCTATGGAGAAAACTGAATGCTCATACACTGTTGGTGGGCGTGTAAAACAGTTCAGTCTCTGTGGAAAACAGGCTGGAGATTTCTCAAGGAACTTAAAACAGAACTACCATTTGACCCAGCAATCCCATTACTGGGCATATACTCAATGGAAATAAAACATTTTACCAAAAAGATACATGCCTTCATATGTTCATTGCAGTACTATTCACAATAGCAAAGACATGGAATCAACTTAGGAGCCCATCACTGGTGGACTGGAGAAAGAAAATCTGGTACACATACACCATGTAATACTATGCAGCCATACAAAAAAAAAAAAAAGATGAGATTATGTCCTTTGCACCAACATAGAGCTGTAGGCCATTATCTGAAGCGAATTAATGCAGGAAAAGAAGACCAAATACTGCATGTTCTCACTTATAAGTGGGAGATAAACATTGAGTACACATGGACACAAAGAAGGGAACAAAAGACACTGAGGTTTAATTCAGGGTGTAGGCTGGGAGGAGAGTAAAGATCAAAAACCACCTATCAGATACTATGCTTACTACCTGTGTCATAAGCATAATGTCTGTAACCTACTGGGTACACCAAAGCCCCGTGACATGCAATTTACCTCTATAACAAACCTGCACTTGTACCCTTGAATCTAAAATAAAAGTTAAAAAAGTAAAATTTAAAAAGAGAAGGCTATAAAAACTAGGAAAACAATTTAGGAAATGCAAAATCTGACTTACAGCCATTCCAGAAAGAATGAAAAAAATGATCAAGAAAGTAACAGAAATGTTTTCTAGATCTAATATTTATGAATCTCCAAATTGAAAATACAATCTAATTACTTTGCACAACAAATTTTAAAAACCTAATGCCAAAGCACATAATTATCTGATTTTTAAATGTTTCAGATAATAAGACTCTAACAGCTCACAGAAACAAAACAAGTCCTATTACAAGAACTGAAAAATCAAATAGAGTTCTCAACAAAAAACAAATAGAGTCACTGGGATCTGGAAGACAATTGTGATAGTAGCTTCATTTGTTACTTAACTGGATCATGCTATGCCTAGATATCTGGTTAAATATGATTTCTGCATGTGTCTATGAGGATGTTTCTGGAAGAGATTATCATTTGAATTACTAGACAGAGTAAAGAGAATTGCTCTCCCGAATGTGGGTAGGTCTCATCCAATCAGTTCAGGGTGTGAATACAACAGAAAGGTGGAGGAAGATTGTATTCGCTGATCTCGCACGTTCCGTGCTCCTGGTTCTCAGGCATTCAGAGTCAGAACAGAATCTATGTTATTAGCTTTCCAGCTTCCCAGGCCTTCTAACTACACCAGTGGCTTTCCTGGTTCTCCAGTTTGAAGATGGCAGATTGTGGAACTTCTCGTTTTCCATAACCTCATGAACGAATCCTTCATATAAGCCAATATCTCATGAGTCAATACCAGACACACAGACGCAGACACACACACACACACACACACACACACACACACACACACACATTCTATTTGATTGTTTCTTTGGAGAATCCTCACTAATACAAAGATGAATTGTTTTTATCATTCTGAGTAGAAATGCTTTTTTTCAAATATGACTTATATTGCTGGCCACATTATCAATCAAATGTGATAATATAATAAATGTTGTCATGTATAATGTCACACTTACCATCCGTACAGCTTCACAAAATTCTGAAATAATGTGTTCTTCCAAATATGTGTAACTAAACAAGGAGAGAAAGAGAAGAAGGGAGATCACACACACAGAAAAATCCCTAGAATACTGACAAATCCCTAGAATACTGACAAATATAGAATACTGACAAATACTGTCCTGCTGTTCTTGAACAGCAGGACAGCAAGTTCTAGAGAGCAAAGCATTTGAAACAGAGCAAGACATTAGAGGGCTTAAGAAAGGGGTATGAAATAAAATTATGTTTCTGCTTTAAAGCTTATAGGATATTAAATCACAATATCTTATAGAATTGGAAATGAATTAGCAAAGATAACACAAAAATAAAATAAACAAAAGGAAAATATAAAGACTAACTCCAGTAAAAATAAAAGTTATTCAAGGAGGAGAATATAAGTATAGAACTGCTGGAATTTAATATCAGTATAATAACCAAAATACTGAATACGAATTTAACCAGAACCGAAGATGTAATTTTATGTGGAGGATGGATGAAGAAAAATGTGTGTTTGAAAGTGAGATAAAAATTTTTATCTCCCATTAAAAAAAATCACTTAAATGTTTACAAGTAAAGAATAAGGATATGTAAGAATTCTTTTTGTTTTGTCAACATATAGAGATAAATTTCAACACACACACACATACACACACACACACACACAAATAAATGCACACTTCTAAGTTATTTTCTTCTCTGAAAAGGAAAGTGTTGAGGAAGAGATGAGAGAGGAACTTTAGTCATTGTTATTGTTACTGACGTCGTATTGCCTTCTGCGTTTTAAGAGCTCACATTTCATAATGCGACAAAAATTTAAACTTAATGAAAATTAAAGAATGATTTAATGTTTTCAAAAATACTAAAATCAGTAACTTAAATACCTTTAATATTTAATCTGTCTGCTATCTGGAAATTACAGCAGTAAGTTTAACTTTTTTCATTAATTTGTGAGATACCCTCAACTCTCGATTTTTCATTAATTATCTTCAGCAAATTATTATCCCAGTTTGACATACCTTAGGTACTATCCTGCTTAAGGCCTCTTCTCTCCAATACTAGTTGGTAAATTCCCATGGAATGTAAATTGATTTTAATATTAATATTACAAAAAATATAATTAGGAAGTTGAACCTAGAGCACTATCATCAAACTTTTGCATAAAAACCCATAAATTTATGGGCGTCTTCTACACCATAATGAAGATTTTTAAAAAGATGTATTTTTACTTATTTCATCTCTAATGGCATTATATTTAATGATTTATTGGGTTTTTAATGACATTATTAATATTACATGATACTCATCTCTGGTAAAGTCCCCAAATAATTTGTATTAAAATGCTAAAAAATATTGCAGTGGAAGCAAAATTAAACACAATGAACAAATACAAGTCATAAAATATAATTTAAAATGCAATGAATTATTTACCTTTGAACACATCTGTAGGAAAATAATATACAGTCCCAAAATCTTTTTTTAAAAAGTCATGAAATAACTGGTAAATATAAATAATGAGAAAAAAGTTTCTACCGTCAAATTCACAGAACACAGAAATTATTACAGTCATGCTATAATGTTGATGTGAGTACATTAGAAGCACTCACAACTATAACAAACCATATTTTATTCAACAAAAACATAAGTTACCAAGAAAATTACACGATGGATATTAAGTTGATCAATACATACTTGAAAAAATTATTTTCTTCCTTCTTCTTCCTTTCCTTTCTTTGACAAACAAAAGGATTAGTATTTAATAAGCATTCATCTTGATGTTTAGGAATACACAGATGAATGGGCATGCTTCCTACACCCACCTGACTCACACCATATTTTAGGAACCACTCAAGAAAATAATTGTTTTATATAAAAATTGTATAGGTGCCACAAAAGAGGACCATAATCTCTGTGAGATTAGAAAACTTTGTCTTGTTTCTGGCTGTATCTAGTATCTAAAACAGGCATTGCAAATATTTTCATAAAGTGTCAGACAGTAAATATCTTAGGCTTGCTGGCCTAAGCCTGGCAAGCAACAGTCTCTGTGGCACAGAGTCTCTGGCCTTACAGTGTTGCTGGCAACTGTGAATGCATCAATACACAGAAACAAACTCACCCACTGTGTTGTGGCCAGTAGTTGATTGATCTTTGATCTTGAAAAATGCCCAGCTCATTTTGGTGCTGGTGATAAGCATGTGAGTGATACACATATTTATTCAGTGCCATACCATACTGGTACAACTTCTTACTATCTCTTATATGCACATATATGTGTGACATTGAATTACACATAAAGACAACTGTCAAATAAAGACAAATTCAGACTTAGAGAAGAAGAGACTTTCTTCAAAAAGAATATTGCAATAGGCAGAATATTCTTATCTCATAAATCTGCAAGCATGTGAAAATAAAAAAAGAAAAAGGTTCATTTTGTAAGGAGAGATAAGCAATGCTTAGCAGAAACTTTTAAGGAGAAGTTGAGTAACCAAAAGGGAGCATAATCCTGGTTCGACAGAAAATTTGTCTTCTATCATTAGCAAGCACACAAGATAAGCTGACAAGAGGAGCAAGCTAAAGTTCAAGGGCCTGTGTGAAAGAGAGATGCCTGACTAATGTTTTGTCAAGATAAAGCAGAGGGTTGGTGACAGACAGTAAGTATTATGTTAGCACTTCTGGATTCTGGAACTCCACACTCATCTGAATTTCATATTACACTGTTAGCTACTCCCTCTCCATCTTTTTTTTTTTTTTTCCAGAGAGAGGATCTCACTCTGTTACCAAGGCTGGCATGCAGTGGCATGATCACAGCTCACTGCAGCCTTGAACTCCTAGGCTAATGAGATCCTCCTGCTTCAGCCTCCCAAGTAGCTGGGTCTATAGGTGCATGCCACCACATCCAGCTAATTAAAAAAAATTTTTGTAGAGACAGGGGCTTCATTATGTCACCCAAGTTGGTCTTGAACTCCCAGACTCAAGCAATCCTCCTGCCTTGGCCTCCCAAAGTGCTGGAATTACAGGCATGAGCCATGGTGCCCAGCTCGATCTCTTTGCTGATTCACATTGTCTTAGTGACTCAACATCGGAGGAAATCTCTGAATCACAAAATGTATTCTTCTCTAATTTTAGATAGAGGCCAGGACACTTAAGTAAGAAGGTCTACCTTTCCTGTTTTAAAGTCATGGTTGCATCTACTTTCATAAGAACTTATTGTGTAATGTTTCTGTCAGTAACCTGGGAATAAAGAGTGGAGTTTCTCCTGCACTACAGATCATGTGTGAGCTGCTCTTTAATAAATATTTATTTGTGAATTTGACTTTGGTCAGGAACTTGTTTTTACAGTAATATACCACTTGGTTGCTGAAATTGTACAGGGAGGAATATATAACACATACCTGCCTGTAACCACAGGAGCTGAACACAATTTACCAGAAACAACTTATTTCATCACAGCTTTAGAATTTCCTAACTTTAAACATTTTATTCTTATATAAATGTACAATTTAGTTCTAGAAAACTAAAAAAAAATAGTTTTAAAAGAAATTAAATTAATTCAAAGAAATAAATACACTTTTGCTTTCATCCATGATAAAACAATAGGGGACTCAATTTACTCTTTGACATTAAACAAAACAGCTAGAATATTTTTTAAAGACAGTGTTCAGATATTGAAAAGTGGCCAGTGTCACAATATTAGTGAAAGGAGAAGGGAAATAAGGCAAGCCCTACAATTATGCTAGCTTTCTGCCTAGAGATAATTTCCAGATAGCAATGTGAATGGAAGAGGAATTTGAGATGATCCAGATGTTTCCTTGAGTTTAGGAAACAGAGTTTAAGAGTTCTGGAAGGCCAAGGCAGAATGCATGGAGTAATTTAATGAGGAAGAGACAGAGAGAGAGAGAGAGAGATTGAGAGAGAGAGGGAGAGAGAGAGAGAGAGGGGGAGAGAGAGAGAGAGAGACAGAGAGAGAGAGAGAGAGAGAACCAGAGAGAGAGAAAATGCAAGTGCATATACACTCTGGAGACAGATGATTCTACTGCAGTTTTCAATGCAGTACTAACTAACACGTGTATGAAAAACATTCTAACAGCAGTAAAAGCTTCTCCAGAAACGTGCGTAAAATCCCTAGGGACAGGAAAAGTTTGTAATTCCAAACAGCCAGAGTGGGAAAAACTTCATAATATATGAGAAACTGAGTAGTATACTCACAATGGTATTGCCTTCTTATCATTTTAGCCCTAAAGTCAGCTCTGGACCTCTCTAGCAATGATAAAAGACAGCCTCAAAAGAATCAAACTGTATTTAGTAATTCAATTACATTCCACAACAAACTCCATAATAAAAAATAATCCTTTAAAATATAGAGAAAACATGTATAATACTTGCCACCTGGTTTGAATAGGTGCCCCCAAAAGCCTGTGTTGGAAACTTAGTTTACAATGCAACAGTGCTGGAAGCTGGAACCTAGTGAAAAGTGATTAGGCCCTGTGGGTGGAGTGAATGGATTTATGCCATTAGTGTAGGAGTAGGTTAATTATCTCAGAAGTGAGTTTTTTTTTTAATAAAATGGAGCACTCAGTCCCCTTTTCCTTTGTGTTCATGTGTTCACTTGCCCACATGATGCTTCCCACCATGTTGTGAACATGGCAAGAAGGCCCTTACCAGATACAGCTCTTTGACCTCAGACTTCCCAGCTTCCAGAGCTGTAAGTCAAATAAATTTCTGTTTACCATAAATTACCGGGCTCTGGTATTATGTTATAGCAGCATAAAACACAATGCTATTTTATAAAGAAGAAAGAAAAAAAGAATTGGGGATGCAGGGCAGCAGGAAAACCAGAAATGAGACAAATGTTAGAAATAGTAGGCAAGTGTATTCTTACAATAAGTTTAATTTGTTCAAAAATAGAAAAACATGTACCTCATGAGAAATAGAGGATATATATGAGTCATATTGAATTAATATTGATCAAAAATATTGTCTGAGATGGAATATACCCACCAAATGAGATACTGCAGGATTAAAGTTAGGGAACATAAAGGCCTACAAACAGAAACAATTTGAAATGAAACACAAAGAAAAAAATACTAATCAAAATAGACAATCGGTGAGTGGTCTGAAATATCAAGTGGTCAATATAAAATGGTCTAAAATAAGTATAATTGGAATCCCCTCCAAAATAACTAATGGCTAAGACTATTTCAAAATTTAATGAAAACCATAAAGCCACAGATGAAAGAATTTTAATGAGCATCAAGAAGAAGACACTTGAAGAAGACTACAGAGATACAAATAATTAATTTTCTGAAAATCAGTGATGAAGAAAAAAATCTTTAAAGCAACCAGAGGAATAATACACATTATGTACAGAGATACAAAATTAAAATAACAGACAATTTATCATTAGAAACAATTCAAGGCAGAATGGTAGAACTATATTTTGAAAGTTCACAAAATGAAGTGTATTTGCATTATGTACCCACCAAAATTCATCCAAATATATTTAGCCAATTCATTTATTGGAATATGTATTTAAAATGTTTCCACTCTTCATAATTGAATCTTACTTATAAATGGAAGACGAGCATTAAACAAAATAAATTTTTGAGTAAATAAAAATGTATTGTATGTAAAAGTGTTAAAGACAGAATGAGAAATATAAGTTTACATTTTATTCAATTTGAAAGAGCTGGATTTTTATTTTGTTTGTTGTTGTTGTTCAATATAATTATTTTTCCTCTTACTTTTCAGTCCTCTTTTTTTTTTTTTTTTTTTGAGACAGAGTCTTGCTCTGTCACTCAGGCATTCTCAGCTCACTGCAACCTCCACCTCTCAGGTTCCAGCGATTCTCATGCCTCAGCCTCCGGAGTAGCTGGAACTATAAGTGTGAACCACTGGCTGGCTAATTTTGGTATTTTTAGTAGAGATGGGTTTTCACTATGTTGGCCAGGCTGGTCTCAATTCCTGGTCTCAAGTGATCTACCCACCTTGGCCTCCCAAAGTGCTGGGATTATAGGCATGAGCCACCGTGCCAGGCTCAGTCCTATATTTTTGATTGATTGTGGAAAATTTTAATGCTGTCACTGAAATGGATTAGTTTTCTTCTAAGCAAATCACTTAGCCACTTGATATTCTACTGTATTGAGAGATTTATATGACGACATGTTTCTTTGGGTAAACAAGTGACTGACATAAAGAAAGTTAAGTGGAATATTGGTGTTGAGGAAGACATTTAATTTCCTCTCTATGTGTAAACATTTTAGTGTTGGCTTGGTCTGCACAGTAAACATGAAGGATAAAATAAATATACTCTTCTTTTGATTTTCAGCCAAAAACGTCAAAAGAGTGACATTTCCCTTACATGTATTTGTCTACTTAGTTCTAAGGGCTATAGTTTAAATAAAAATTGTAATATAGGTGAAAAGTCAGTTCAAACATTTTGTACATTCAGAACAAACAGTAGTACAAGCACAGGTAAAATAATACAAGAGAAGGGATTAAATATGGAACATATTGATTGTTATTATCTAAACATTCCCTAACTTGGTCTTTTAAAATTTACACATAAAGAATGTGTCATATAAGCAGTTTTAGACTCTCATAAGAAAAGATGATAATTTGGATGAACACTTGAATCTGATGAAATTAAAAACCTAAAACTCTCCATGTTATATTCATTCAATATTTCTATATAGTTTCTATAGACTTGGTTTTTATTAGGATCTTGAATATGAAATGACTGAATAAATATTTTTACTTCCTATTTTTTTCAAAGATTAAGAACTCTACTCTGATTTCTTATTCAAGTCAGTCAGATAGGTGAAATTGTGCTTTTTAAAAAATCTTGAAGTAGTTTATAATTGAAAGAAACCCTGATAATCACCAGTGTGATTTTTAGAAACTCTCATAGTTGGCCTAAAGGGCCAAAACACTTGACCTGATTCAAAAAGTGCCATATAAATATACCATTCATTTTCTAGCAGTCTCAATTTCTTGAACATATTATTAATAGAATATTGAAATCCCCAAGTCTCTCAATGTTTCTCAATAGGGTAAAGCACCAATGTTTACAATAAAGAAACAACATACATAAAAAGAAAGGTAATATAGCATGAAGCTGTACACTTCAGGATATGCTTGAGTTCTCGCAGAAAACAAGAAAATGCTTTGAAAAGTCAATTCATGTTAAATGAATAAGGCCTGTCTTTTGTGTTCTCCCATTTGATGAGTGATTTTAAGTTGCCTGAGTTGGAAACTTATGTGATCTGTGTTTGCTTTCAATTTTTTATCCAATTAGTTATACACTCCTTCAATATTGCTTTTAAAATATCATTCAAATTTGCTTACTTCTCTCCATTCATAACCCCCGTCGAGAGCCCCATCACCTCCCACTAGAATTTTTCAACAGTTTCTTTAGTTCATCTCCTTGTGTACAATATTGCCCACAACATCCAATTTAATGCACTGTAACCTTAACCAGGGTTTATCACACTTTTTGACCTCATTAAGACTCCTATAGATGATTAAAATTTATTAAAAACCTTCCAACATATTTGGTCAGCTATATGTATTAATATTTATGATATTAGATGTTGAAACTTAAAAAAGCATTTATTAACCGATTAAAAATAACAATAAACCCATTAGCTGTTGTTGGGGATTGGAAAACAATACCCCAAAATGAAGGCCTCAGAAGTAGCCTCAGAGGCAAAAGTTTTTCTCTTTTTCTTGCCCTCCTTTCTCTCAGTCCCACTCCTCACTGCTCCGTCCTCCCCGCCCCTGCCAGGCTAGCCATAGAAACTAGAATCCCTCCTCCCCATGGTGGGTCATAGAAACTAGAACCTCATTTCCTCAAAGCTAGTCATAAAATCTAAAAATATTACTCTATTTTTTTCTCTACCTTTTTGTGTAAAAACTGGCCTAAAGGAATTATCTTACCTATCCTGTTTGACTATGGGTCACAAGGCTCCCATTCCAGAGAGGGTCCTATCCCACACCCAAAGGAAGGAATGCAAGCTCACATGGACACAAAGAATCTAGACAGACAGGGCTTGCTGGGTTTCCCTACTCAGTCTATTAGCATTAGATCATATTATTTTTGCCCAATCAGATTTCTATACAGCTGTCCACACTTTGTGGAACCTAATCATAAAAAGAAACTTTCTCCTGTTATCTTTGAGTCTTCATTCTGAAGACTCCCATATATACACATTATAGAAATTTGTTTGACTTTTCTCCTATTAATATGTCTCATGTCAGTAATTCTTGAACCTCCAGAGGGGTAAGGGTCTTGGCCCCTAGAATGTAAACATTATATATTTTTTAAAAACTTACTTTCCAATTCAAAAACAGCAAGGAGAATGGCAATAATTTTACATTTTTGACAGTCTCCTTAATGGTTAGCTTAATAGAAAATAGCTACATTCTCATATATAATTTTGCATTTATGCTGTTGCAATATAGTGCTTGGTTTAAAGTAAATGAAGTCCATTCATCCTTCCATAGATATGTACTTGGTGTTTCAGTCAGTATTCTTCAGAGAAAGAGAATAAAAAAAAATATTTTATATAAATATATTATATATACATATATACACATGCACACACATATGTATGTGTATATATAGGTATATTATATATAGATATCAAAATATATGTAATATACCTATATTATATATAATCATATATTATACATAATTTATATATAAAATAAATTTATATTTATAAAATATGTCTATAAATACCTATATATGTAGATATACAGGTATATACTTATGTGAACCTATTTTTATTTCATATATTATATAAATTATATTATATTAATATAAATTTTATATATATATATATAAAGAGAGAGAGAGAGAGAGAGAACCCCAAATATCTGAAACAGGTCTCAGTCAATTTAGGAAGTTTATAGTGTCAAAGTTAAAGGCACATGCCCATGACAGAAACTCAGGAAGTCCTTACAACATGTGCCCAAGGTGGTCTGAGCACAACTTGGTTTTATACATTTTAGGGAGACATGGGACATCAATCAATATATGTAAAGAAAAGATGGGACAACTCAAAGTGGGGACGGGGTCCCAGGTCCCAGGTCGTAGGTAAATAAGAGACAAATAGTTTTATTATTCGGAGTTTCTGATTAGCATTTCCAAGGGAGGCAATCAGAAATGCATTTATCTCAATGAGCAGAGGGATGACTTTGAATAGAATGGGAGGCAGGTTTGTCCTAAGCAGTTCTCAGCTTGACTCTTTCCTTTACTTTAGTGATTTTGAGGCTCCAAGATTTATTTGCTTTTCACATTTTCCCCCTTTTGCAGAATGCATTTTAGAAGAAAATAAGTCTGATATCAGGTTTTGTCTGATCTCTCATGGTTAGGATGGTTTATTCCTAGATGGGTAGGTCCCACATTATTAGGAAAGCTCATTTTTAACAGGTTGTGAACTCTCATGTCCTACGAAGAGAAAATGGGGGCAGGGAATGGAGAAAAACAACAAACAAAAAAAATAATTCTGGAAAATTGATATAGACTATATTACTCTTAAGTCCATACATCCATAGGCAGGTAAGAAAGTAGCTTATGTGTGTAAATAGGTTGCTGTTATTTTCTTCTGAAGCTTAAGTTGTCTAGCTTCAGTTTGTAGGGCTTTAAGAAAGCACAACTTAGTTTTAAGTGATTTCAAATTAGAAAAAAAATGGTGGAAAAAAGAAAAGAAAGAAGAAAAAAATTTGAAAACATTATTTTTGAGAACTGTAGCCAGGAAAAATTATAATTCAGTTCAAATTGGAAAAACTAATAAGAATTGAAAATCATTAGGCAAGACTAGAATCTAACAACAGGTGTACTATAGAGTTTACAACATAATTTTTCTCTCTCCAGTTTTTCATTTTTATTAAACATAAATTATGATAGGACCAATTTGCTTAATTATACCTGGCCAGGTTTTTTTTTTTTGTATAAAGTGCAGAAAGAATAATTATTTTTCACAGAGGCTTTTTAAATTGGCTTTGATGGAACTTTGTTCCATAGAAGGAATCTCAGGTAAGACTTTCTTAAAGCTGAACTCAGCCATGGATTTATACCATCAAATACCTATGAATTGGGTAAATTCCTCTCCTCCCGAGGTCCCAAGATAACTTGGTGCTCCAGGGCTAATCAGAAAGTTACATTATTTACTAACTATAGGTCAGGAACCCTGTACAGGGAATGTGTAGACAAGGTATGAAGCCAGTTTTCCTAAGGGGTTTTTATTGGCTCTAGAAGTCAAGTTTGATTCTTTAAAGGAAATCACACCATTCCAGTAAAAGTCTTGGTAAAATAACCAGTTTCTCCAGTGGTGTCCTGCTGCAAAAGAAAATATTTTCATTGCACTTTTGCAAATAACTCTATTGCCATAAGTTAAGAATATTCACTAATAGTTTCCAAATTCTGGAGAAATAAGGTAGAGAGAAAAAAATATGCTCCAAATTTTGTTCACAGGAGTATAATTTACTCAGTTGCTACAAGCTGTAAATAGGTCAAAAGAGAACTTTTTTTGATTCTGAAAAACAAAACAATGTTTCAAGCAAAAAAGTCAAAAGATTACTTAGTCCCCTGTTAGTTCAGTCCATGCAGTTAACTCCTGTTCTGCATGATATTCATGAACATTCCAGCTCTCCATGAGAGTCCTGAAAGTTTCTCCTCTATTCTAATGTCACAACCTCCAAAGTTATCAGAACCCTGCATTTAAGAACACCTGTCAGAATTTTATAGCTAATTATAAAACCACCTTCTAAAGAAGAACAAAACAACACAACAATTGTTTGTGGATGAGCAAAAAGTTTTAGGGCAGCTCTAGTTGAAGACATAATTGACAGGAAAATTTGTTTCCTCTGTGGCACAAAATAATTTAACATTGCAATTATAATTAATACTGATAATGTACACTAATTCATATCAGAATTATAGGAGTTTCATATAATTTTGGAATACATACCAATAAGATTTATACAAACACATCCCAAAGAAATCCAAACACCATTTCATATTTGACAATGATTGCTGTATGATTTATATAGCAAATAAGCCAAATATGTTATTTTTGGACTTTAGGGAACCTAATAGCTTCAAGGATTAATTAAGTCAGAAAAAGACATAACTTATAATTTGATTTTGGAACGTTTGTCAAATATCAAAGGTTTCAAACACTTGATATCACAAAATAGGTTAGAGGTCATCATAAAATAAGTCATTCATTTAATCAAGGTGATAACTCAAGGATTTCAACAACAAAAAGGCAACACCTTCATTCTTGGGAGAGGAGACTTAATTTTCCTAATAATAAGCCGTAATAAAAACAGCATAAAGCCAATTAAGTTTGTTTTCCAAAATTGTACAAATATTAATCTATAAAATTTTAATCACATGAACTATAAGGTGTAATTTCCATAAAACGTTTATAATTTTATTATAACCTTTATTAAGGAGTCAGTTAATGCTCCAAGAAAACCTTGCTAATCTGACAGATGGGCCCATATGCTGGTCCTGCATCAGTGTGCCTTTCACATTAATGTCAAATAATTTATAGAGAAACTGACTTGTTTGATCTCTCAAAATCGGCCCTTACAATCTCAAGCACCTACCTCTTCCATGCTAGTCCCTGAGGAGTTGAGTTGCTTTAATTTCTGGCCCTGTGTATCATGAACACAGTTTCCTTTGATTGGTATCTTCGACGGGGTCTGAAGATAAGGCTTTAACTGCTCTCAGTGTAAGATTTATCAGGACTTTGTGTCCTTTAAGACCAGGATTCAAAGCCCTGTAACTTAATGACACAAAGACTGTAAAAGGGCATACAGGCAGGGGCACAGTGGCTCACACTTGTAATCCCAGTACTTTGGGAAGCTTAGGTGGGCAGATCACTTGAGGTCAGGAGTTTGAGACCTGGCCAACTTGTTGAAACCCCATAACTATTAAAATTACCAAAATTATCCAGGCATGGTGCGGGTAGCTGTAATTCCAGCTACTCAGGAGGCTGAGGCAGGAGAATCACTTGAACCCAAAAGGCAAAGGTTACAGTGAGCTGAGATCATGTCACTGCACTCCAGCCTGGGTGACAGTGAGACTCTGCCTTAGAAAAATAATAATAATAAATAAAAGCACATACAGAAAGTTACATGGATGTAAGAACCTTAATTAAAAAAATTGTTTTCATCTCAGTTTTTTCTAACCAAACCAAACTTTGTATTAATGATATAGAAATTATTTTGATAAAGTACAAGATCAGTTTATTAGGCCAGATTACCCAACACAAGAGAAGATACCTTTTGCAGTGTGACTGCTGTTCCTTGTGGGGAATATTGTATTGCAAGGAAACACTTCTTTCAGACCTTTAAGAGAAAATTTTTGTTTTTCTAGCATCAGGTCAGAACAGTTGGAACCCAAAGGGAAAACAAACTTACAGCAACTGAAAATGATTTACTATTCCAGGCCCTTTAAAAAGGGAGAGAAACCTGAAAACAATGAGTTGCAATAACAGTTGAACTTTGAGTAAAAAAAAATATATATATAACGTCTGTAATTCATGAAGAGTAAAACAATACCTTAAGAAAATTTCACAGGTTCAAACCAATTATTTAGTATATAAGTGCTTTCTTTTTAAAGAAAATGCAATTTCTAGAAAGACCATTATAATTTCCCTTTAATTATAGCCATCTTGATCATATAAAAATTTTTAAAATAAATCACCTTATTATGACTTTTGCAGACTATTTATGACATGCTTGAACTTTCTCATTTGTCCTGAACATCCCTCTTTGTTAAATAACCAGTCACCTTATTCTAGGACAAAATTCACCATACGAGATTCTTTCTCATATAAAATTATTTCACTTTAAGCTTTCTTGCCAAAAAATTACCTCCTTTATTTCTATAAATTTCTTTCTATCTCTCTTATTTCCTGGTTCCTTTTACCTTGTTTTATATATAATCTTTAAATAAGCTTTGAATTAAACAAAAATAATTCACCTTTATTAAAAAACACTTGTTTTTTCTAGAATGAATGTTTTCCTACAATATATTTTTATTGGAAAATACCCAAATAATGAAATATCTATTACTTAATATAACTAGATTTTAAATTATGGCATGTTTGCCTACAAGTATTTATCCTATTGCAGTCACCTAATTATTTTATTTTAATTATTTACCTAGTTTATAAAACCTATGACAGTCATCATTTAAAGTTATGAAACTGCGATTGCAAAATTATAACTGAGACAGTGAAACATATCTGACCTAACTGACTCCACCTTACTTCTAACCTCCAAGCTGTCTTTGTTTATTCCTGGGCATAGGTCAAACTAACTTTTCTGAGGAACTTAGTTTAAGTTTAGCTTTGAAACAAACAAGATAACAGTCCTTTCCCGAAACAAACCCTATTCCTGCCTGGGGACTAGATTGCCTAAAGCCACAAGATTAGAAGTTATGGTTATTTTACTAAATAATTCAAGATTTAGCTATTTTCATTAAGCCAATATCAATGTCTTATTTATTAAAAATTACACAAGCAAAGATCATTCTTTGATCTTTGCTTGGGGCTGGGTTTATAGTTTTATAACACCTATTTTGACATCTTGTAGTATTTGGCAGGGGTAGGTATTAAATTGCTTCATCAATAAATGCAAACAAAAATGTATGCTGCCAATTCTTAAGACATTTCTAATATTGTTTTACCAATAATTTTAAAGTTAGCTTATTATTAAAGATTTTACTAGAGTCACTTAAACTTTAAAAAGCATTTGACTAGTCTTTTTTTCTGATAAAGTATTTGATTTAAATGCTTTCATTTTTCTTAAGCCAATTAATTAGAGCTCTTTTATATATTTTTAGTGAAATATTGTGTACACAAAACACATATACATAAAAGTATTAGGCATGCTGATAGAAGTACATCTTACAGATTCATAAGACCTCTTTTTTTGTTTTAGACTTTCAAATTCTTCATAACCTGTTTTATCACCCTTGGCAACTGTCAGCTAAATAGCCCTAAATTTGCATATTGAAGAAAACAACTCTTAGGTATAAAATCAGATAAAAAAATTTACATCTCAAGGTACAGAGAGAAAGTCTGGTGTGCTAGAGGGAAATTAAAATCCATCTAATTGCCAGTTAAACGTAAAATTATACAAATGTATTATAAAGGTCTTTTAAATATATATATACAGGTATATATATATATATGGGTATATATATATATATATGGGTATATATATATATATATATATATATATATACACACACATGTAGACACACTCACACACAAAGTTCCTATAACTTTTACTTCAGAACTCTAGCATGAGATATTAATACAAATTTACCAAGTTGCAAAAAAAAAACAAAACAAGCAACAAACAAAAAATGGTTAGATTCAAACAGTGGCTTTTATCTCAGTAGAAAAGTATCAGCAGATCTAAAGCAGGCGGAAAAGAGAATAGAGAAAAAGAGAACTGAGGAATTCTATAGTTTGCAGGTCGACTATTTCTCTTTCACTCTAAGGAGGAACTGAGCTACGGACTAGGGTTTTTTGTGGAGTGGGTCAAAGCATGGTAGTTGTGGGCGGGACTTCAAAGTGTGTCACCATTGAGTCATTGCCATCCTCTTACAGGTCTCAGTTTTTCTTTCCAGAGGTCTAAGCCCTTCCAGGAGGGCTCAAAGTGCAGAGGGACCAGCTCCTATATGTGCTTACTGGATAATACTTTTTTTTTTATTTTTTTTTTATTTGAGACAGAGTCTGGCTCTGTCGCCAGGCTGGAGTGCAGTGGTGCAATCTTGGCTCACTACAACCTCCGCCTCCCAGATTCAAGTGATTCTCCTGCCTCACCCTCCAGAGTAGCTGGGATTACAGGCGCATGCCACCATGCCTGGCTAATTTTTTGTATTTTAGTAGAGATGGTGTTTCACCATGTTGGCCAAGGTGGTTTCGATCTCCTGACCTCATGATCCACCCACCTCGGCCTCTCAAAGTGCTGGGATTACAGGCCTGAGCCACCACGCTCAGCTGTCAAGACTTTTTAAAACTAATTTTGTTAAGGGTTCCCTGTAGGGCTGCTGCATGTCATGAGGGGGTCAACCCCCCCAGATATCCCATGAGGCCCCTGGTCACCCAGGGGCACCTTAAGGCTGGGAGGAGCAACATGCCCTTTCTCACTGGGGCTGAGAAAATTCAGTCTCTCATTAACCTATGAAAACAATTTAGCTCCTCATGCAAATGTGCACAGGCAAGCCAAATTGAAATTAATTCTCTGAGAAAAGGCAATGGAGAAGACCTTTTAGAATACATCTCTGAACTAGAAGTAGGATTCTTAAACAACAACTTCCTAGGAGATAAAACAACAGCCAAGACCATTTTCTGTAGTGTCCTCAGCCACCCCTAACTTTGTAGCTCTCTCCACCATTACACATTCCAAGATCAATACTAGGTCATCTCTGGTACGCCCAAAGCCAAAGAGGTCAGGTCATGCAATACAGGAAAATAGAGCTTTAGACCAAAGAAGAATCATCCCATGATTCTTAAAACTTCACAAAGAAATAGAACAACCCAAAAGGGGTGAGTGTTGCTTTTGTTCTGAATTCCTTAAGAGGTTCAAGTCATTAGAACCCTTCTCTAGATTTTTTATTTTTTATTTATTGGAACTAAAAATGGCAAAGGGGGAAGAAGGTATATGGTTGAAGAAAAGTAACTGAAAGAACAATTTTTTTAAGGTGGTACTTCCAAGCTTCAGCAAATTGTCTTATTGGTTTGAGCCATCAAGATAGCTCAAGGTGGTACGAAGCACCAACAGGAAGTTTGTTAAACATCAGGGGTCACCTCAACTCAGAATCACTCAATGGTTATCAAAATGTGAATCCAGAATATCTGAGACAGATCTCAGTCAATTTAGGAAGTTTATTTTGCCAAAGTTAAGGACACTTGCCCATGACACAGCCTCAGCAGGTCCTGACAACATGTGCCAAAGTGGTCTGAACACAGCTTGGTTTTACACATTTTAGGGAGACATGAGACATCAATCAATATACATAAAGCAAAGGCTCCTGCCTTTGGGGAGGGGGCTTCCAGGTCACAGGTAGGTAAGAGACAAATGGTTGTATTTTTCTGAGTTTCTGATTTAGCCTTTCCGAAAGAAGTAATCAGATATAAATTTATCTCAGTGAGCAGGGGAATGACTTTGAATAGAATGGGAGGCAGGTTTGCCCTAAGCAGTTCCCAGCTTGACATTTCCCTTTAGCTTAAAGATTTTGAGGCCTCGGGATTTATTTTTTCATTCACAATACATTATATATATAGAATAGGTTCACATGATTATGGAGGCTAAGTCCCAAAATCTGCAGTCAATAAGCTGGAGATCCAGAGATACAGAAGGGTCCAAAGCAGGAGAACATGTCCCAGGCTGAAGGCAGTAATTCAGAGAGAGTGAATTCTCTCTTACTTCACCTTTTGTTCTATTAAGGCTTTCCATAGATTGGATCAGGCTCACCCACATTGGGGAGGGCAATCTGCTTGACTCAGTCTACCTATTCAGATGTTAACTTAGTCCAAAAACACCTTCACAAACACACCCAGAATAATATTTAACCAAATATCTGAACATACGTAGTATCCATTAAAAATTAAAGAGCATCTAATGAGTAAAACTGAGTTAGAAGAAATAGTGAATGAAAGAATAATAAAAATATCTTTGTAAAAATCTTTATAAAAGTAGAGGTAGATAATTAAGACTCAATAAATAGTACTCAAAATAATAATTCAGTGAATAATTAAACAGAATTCTAATAAATTATCAAACACTATGTAAAACATATTTCCAGTTTGAGGTAAAGTGAAATGATTTACTGAATACTGCAGTGAAATTAAAAAAACTCATACAACATTCACATATGCTTCAATGTGTCTATATATTTATGTCTGAGTCATTTTCAAATGATCCACTTATGTAGTAAGATAATAGAATAAGTGCAATTTCTAAAAAGATATAGCAAAAAAAGCAGTAGAAACACATAAAAGGCAATAACAAAAAAGTAATAAGAAATTCCAATAAGCAATTCATAGGTTGAAGCTGACTGAAGGATTTACTCTGAGAGCTGCCAATTAATGCTGATTATCTTTAAAATTCACCATCAAGAGGACTGATCATCATGTTTTACAAATCCATGCCTAGATAGAAAAGAGCTTTTCAGAACAATAGTTGAATAGAGACAGCTACCTAAGACTTATAATGGGTTGCAATGATATGTTTCAGAGAAGATTATTTATATACTGATGGCAACAAGAAATGAAAAACAATTAAAATATTCAACAATGTCATTGGCATAAGAACCAGCAATGGAATTCTTGAATTCTATGTTATTATTTTTAAAATTAATATCTTATTTTAGAGCAGTTTTATGTTTACACAGAATTAAGCAGATAATGCAGAGAGATTTCCAATATTCTCTCTCTCTCTCTTTCTCTCTTATAGTTCCTCTTTTTATTAACACTTTGCATATATTTACTACAATTGCTAAAACAATATTGAAAATTTGTTATTAACTAAAGGTCATAGTTTGTCATGCATCCACCATTATAGTATCACACAGAATAGTTTCACTGCCCTAAAAATCGCCTGTTCACTATAGGTTGAAGCTGACTAAAGGATTTACTCTGAGAGCTGCCAATTAATGCTGATTATCTTTAAAATTCACCATCAAGAGGGCTGATCATCATGTTTTACAACTCCATGACTAGATAGAAAAGACAGCTTTTCAGAACAATAGTTGAATAGAGACAGCTACCTAATCCCTCTCTCTTGCCTAACTCCTGGCATCCATGGATCCTTTTACAGTCCCATAGTTTTGCATATTAAAAAATGTCATATAGTTGAAGTCATGCAGTATGAGGCCTTTTAGATTGGCTTCTTTAATTAAACAATATGCATTTATGGTCCCTTCATGTCTTCATGTGGCATGATAGCTTGTTTTGTTTTGTGTCTGAATAGTATTTCTATTCAGTGTATGGACACACCACAGCTCCGTTGCTTTAGTTTTTGACAGTTATTAGGGCTACAAACATTAGTGTGCAACTTTTTGTGGACATAGGTTTTTAACTAATTTGAGTAAATATTAAGGAACACAGTAGTTGGATTATATGATAAGACAATATTTATCTTAGTCAAAAAGCTGCCCAACTGTCTTCCAGTGGCTGTGCCATTTTTCATTTCAACCAACAATGAATGAAAATTCTCATTGCTCTGCATTCTCACCAACATTTGATGCTGTCAGTTTGTTTTTTTTCTTTTTTTTGTTTTTGGAGTTAGCTATATGCTTATAGCAGTATTTCATTGTTTTAATTTTCAATGCCCTGCTGACATATGATGTTGAGTATTTTTTCATTTCTATATTTGACATTTATATATCTTATTTGGAGAGGTGTCTGTTCAGATCTTTTGCCCACTTTTTAAGTGGGTTCTTTTCTTAGTTGAGTTTTAAACTCAACTAGTTTAAAACAGACTCTAGTTCTTTACAGATACGTGTTTTACAAATATTTTCTCCCAGTCTGTGTCTTGCCTTTTATTTTCTTAATGAGTATTTGTGATGGTATAAAATGTAATGCAGTCAGTAGTGAGAATCTTTGCAATTTTTACGATACTCTCTCAATGTTTAATGGAAGTAGTTTGCGGGGAGGTTAGCAATTTACCTAGATTAATATATGTGCATCTGTGATGTTAACTAATATAAGCAGTATCATTCTACCTTGGTAATCTTCTACTTATTTTGCAACAATTTGGTGTAAGTTGTCATTTCAAGAATTGTGTAGGTGTTATAAGTTGTCTACACCTACATGCAGACCCATTTTTGCGGTGGTTCAGGTTCACTTAGGTATGTTGCAGTTTCATTTCACATTTAGATCTCAATTAATCTAAATCCTATTTTCCTGCTCTTCTCAGATACATATTATAAAAATATATAAAAATTTCAGTTACTTTTATTTGTATTTAAACATAACCTTGTATACCATAAATGATTTGATTAAGATACATAGGTAACCACTATAGAATTATCATAGCAAAAATGTTAACATTTTTATAGGAAAACAACTCAATACCAAATAAAAATAACTTGAATTAAATATATACCTTCTATGAAGTTTGACAAGGTAGAAAAAGTATAGGAAAAATCTGTATTTTCATAGATTTGCTTGTGGGATTATTTTCTTAATTATTTGCATAAGGGAACAATATTACTAATAATGTATTTCCTAATCCATTTGTGTTTCAGGTTGCTGATGAAAAAAACGTGCATATTTCAGATTGATATGTAATAGCAATTAAATATAAAGTTTCAGGATTACATGTTTCTGTTTAATCATGTTTCTTCATTTAACAAAACTAAAATTTTTTATGTTAAGAAATGTAACTTGATTGATGAGGATTATATAAATAAGCCACTTATAATTTAATCTTATAACCTTATTTTGGAAGAAACCTCTACATATCTCTATAGCAATTCTGTCATTCTTCTCTTATACTAGAAACAGAAAAATTCTTAGAATGTAAGTTCTAAGAGTTTCTTGGACATTCTTCCTAATTTCCCGTTTGCCTAGCTTACTCCCAGTGATATTTCAAGTGTCACTTGAAAGATATTCTGTCTCTCAATACATGATTAGCTACTGCTTCTATGTGTTTCAGCAGTATCAAAGGAGTACTGTATTTCTTTTCCTGTTTGTTTGCTTGTATATTTCTATAGGGGGTGCAATAAAGTTACTTGTTTCCAAAAGGAGCCTAACGGATTCTGCTGAGATGCAAGAAGAAAGTATAAGAACTTGTATTTCTACCTATTTTTATCTTACAAAGGTAAACTTATATTGAATACACTTCCTTTGTATGCTATTAATAGTAGTGTATACATATGTGCCATATATGCTATTAATATTTACAATATATCCATTTCTTCCTATTCTAAGCACTTGAGAAAGTCTACTAGGCTTTCACAGTTAGGAAGGATCATGTGAGTACTTCTGACTAATAATATGAAACTAGAAGTGATGGGTCACTTCTAGACTAAGGTTGAAATAAATCAATGTGCAGTTGTGTGGTTCCTATTTTCATCTGCTTCTCCAGTCATAAAAAAGGCCTTCTATTGAAGTGATAAAACTAAAAGGTTGAAAATGTCTATATTGATTTCCATTTGATGATGGGCAATTGCCCTAAAGTTTCAATATTCAATGATATATATTTTTTCATAAAGAGAACTTAACCTATGAATAAAAACAGCAAATGACATCTCCTAAAGAAACTTACAAGTACAGAATGGTCAATTGCCTTATCCTAACTAGTTTCTTCAGATTTAATGTATTTTAGTGTACTATAATTTATATATACCTGATTAATGGATTTATAAATTATATTATCTTAATGGATAGATATTTGTGAAACTTTGTAATGAGATGGGAAATAATCATAATTATCTATTTTCTTTTTACTCTACACAGCTTTAATATTTATCTCAGAGCAAATCACTAGAGTTATTGGACAACTGATTTCAATTAAAGATGTAGTACATTAGAAAGAGTATTACTGCTACTGTTACAACAACGAACTCAACAAACTTCAAGTTTGTAAATTGACATGAATTCAACAGAGAATTAAGATTACAAGGAAAACAACTAGACTCAAATTTAAGGACAGGGAGGCTAGGATGAGAGAAAAAGAATGCTTGAAGTATTGTGTCGAGACCGCCAATGGACCATCACAAAAGTTTAATCTAAACTTGGTCTCATAGTCTTCACAAATGCTCACTGAAGAAAATTCCCAGGATGATTCAGGGGTCTCTTAAAACTTCTGCTCCAAGACATTGATAAAGAACCTTAGTAACTTGACTATCAACCCTAGTACTGAATTCCCTTCCTCTCTACCAGAAGGTTCACCCCAATGGTATACAGGAGCAACAATCCTCAGGGAAGCCAGATGACTTGCTTTACAGGGGGAGGGGAGTAAGAATTTTGCTGTATGTGTAGAAAGAAAGAATGGCAAGAATAAGATACATGTTACTCAGCAGAGTTCCTAGGCTTGAAAGAGAACTAAGAAATATTAGTCATAAGGGAGTTCAGAATGAACCAAGAAGTGGGTGATTCAGATGGTGTAGCAGTGTCTGCATGTATAACAGTTGGGATCCTTCTGAGAATGCTAGAATAGAATTATGACACTGAGCCACTTCAGCCATAAGCCTTGTTCTTGTGATTTTTTGTTTTTTCTTTCTGGTAATTTTATGTAGCAGGTTGAAAAAGCTACTCTATGCTAGGATAGAATATATACAAATAATTTCAATAATGAGTTCTAGGATGTATTTTCCTTCTTGTATCTTCCTTGCTACCATGATACTAGTAATTTATAAGGGATCTGTGTATTTTGAAAGTATTTGAATAACTTCCGTATTCTTTAGTTCTACTGTTTGATTAGACCCAAAGAAGTCAAGAGGACATACGTATTCCCATGTGTTTTAGAAGCTCAAAGTCAGTGAGATGAAACCCAATATCAAGAATTTGAAGCAAAGTCACTTGTGGGTAAAGAAAGCTTTGAGTTTTTTGGCTAGAGCATAAAAAATAGATTTTCTGGCTTTCAAAAATGTGGATTGCAATTACAGGAGACTGTGCTATTTTTACAATTTTTAGTATAAATAAAGGTATATATAGAAAAACAATAAAGTTGTTGTATTAAAAAAAAAAGAAGAATGCTTGCTTATTACAACAGATGTAGCCAGACACAGGTAGAGAGAATTCAGCTAAAATCATGAATTGGTAGCAGCCAAATGTGTGCTAAGAATGGAGTATGGGAGGTTAGGGCATAGATATAGGGCGAATTAACATCATTTTGCAAGCATTTTTTTCTTTGAATCTCCCTGATGCTCAATTTAAAGTCCTGGCAAAGCATCCATCATTGTGTAGGCTTGAGAATGGGAAATATTAGCTGCTGGTAGAGGGGCAGAAATCTCTATATATACCTTTTGCACTATATTTTCCATGGAACGAAGCTTTAATATGCAGGACAAATGGCAAAAAAACACAATTGTCCATCAGCCACTTTTGACAATCTATTGCAGTTATGGGAAAGAAACATTTGAAAAACAAACAAACAACAAACCACTGTAACTCTGAGAGAGAAGAAGAAATACACTATACAGGGCCCAGAACTATACCAGTAAGAAGCATAGGATTACTGAGTTATGTGAATTACAGTAAAGGGGATGAAAAAAATGCTTTCAAGATGTTTATTTATCAGCACACTAATTACAACTTCAGGTAAGAAACCTATTTGTGCATTCAAGACAGCTAAATAGAAATATATAGACGAAAAGAAAAAAACTAAATGCGTGTTTCCTTATTCTTCTCATTAACTACAACTAAAAACCCTGTATATTTTATATGAGATAAATTCAAGAGCAATCTGAAAAGAAGAGGAAAGAGCTATTACATAATCATAAAATGGTGAATTATCATGGAAAATACAGCAATATTAAATATGTATGTACCTAACAACAGAACTTCATAATATATGGAGCAAATTTATCAATCTGAAAGAAAAAATAGACAAACTCACAAATGGAATTAGAAATTTCAAGACACTCATCTCAGTACAAGACAGAAAATGTAAAGATAAAATGAGTAAGGATACAGAATACCTGAAAAACCCTCTATACCAACCCCACTGAACAATAGTTGATTGTATCAGTTTCAATATGTTAAATGAGTTGAATGTGTTTAGTAAAAAATTTCTTAATTAAGATCATATTCTGCACCTCCCCACCCCATCCCAAAATTTTAACACATCAACTAGAATAGAAATCATACAAAATACTTCCTCCCCAAAAATGGAATAAAAATCCTCAAATATTTGGAAATTAGGTAGCAGTTATAAATAACCCAAAATAAAAAAGAAATTGTTACATATGCTCTACCAAAAATGTACAACATAATTACACTATACAGGACAAGGAAGAAAATAACTAACCTAAGTAACCAAAAAATAGTAGTTAGAAATAATACTGAGGGCTACAGAAAGAAAAACTAGAAAAAAATATTATATTGTAGTAAGAAAATTTGCAAGAAATTTTGAAACTACTTTTCTATGTACTCTACGTTTAAATAAATAACATTGTAAATAATAGAAGGCAGATTTCTTACTCATGGAGAAACATGTTACAAATAGGAAAAGGAAGAAAGAATGAAAGTTGTGGTATTAGATTGAAATCAGAAGTATCAGTATGAACCCATGATTTTTAAAGACATAGTAGATAGATAACAATGATGGTAAAGAGAAAGAGAAAATGGGTACGCGTTGGGTAGTGCACCTATTGATATTTCTTAGGATTTAGGAGAAATGACACCCTAGCAGCAATGAGCACTACTGCTGAGGTGTGATGTCTAATTACCATTCTTCAGTAAAAGAAAGCAAGTCTCCTTAGAAAACCAGTAGGTTCCAGTACTGTGGACAAGAAAATACAAAGTAAGGCTAGAGTATCTTGTAGTAGGAAGAGTTTGAAAAAGTTTAGAGGCATCATTGGCAGGGCACCGGAGCTAACCAGAAGAGCTCCTGACAAAACTGGAACAATTTTATTCACAAAATAAATTATCATCATATTGTAATATGCTTATATTTATCAAATATAAAATATCAGAGTACATATTGACATAAATAACTAAATAAGTACATTAAGAGAGAAGGGACAGCTGGTTCTTACAGAATATTCCAATTAATAAAATATACTGGAACAAAGGGAAGAGAGAATCACCATTGGAATACCATCATAATTTTTATAGTGAGATGCACCCAGTGTTGCTGTCATTGGTTAAAATGAAGCTTTCATGTTAGCTTTACATTATTGTGCAAATATTTGAGAGAAAAGACAAACTTGCAGTATCAAAGTCTGTACCTCAAGATGTTTATTAATCATAAATTTTAAAATAATGACTATTGTTCAGAAACCAGCAGACACTACCTAACAAAATGATCAAATTAACATCAACTGTCGGAAGACATTTATATTACGTAATCCTTATCATATCCCTTTTGTGCTACTCTTGCCAAAAGTTGAGGACCACAATCAAAACATGCGATAATATCAGATAATCCAATTGAGGAACATTCTAGAATATAACTGCTGGTACTCTTTAAAATTACCAGTGCCATAAAAGACAAAGAAAGCCTGAAAATGTCACAGAAAGGATGCTGAGGAGATGGGCAACTAAATTCAATATGAGATCCTAGTCCGATCCTGGAATAGAAAACAGACTTAGTGGAAAAACTGATGAAATTTAAATAAAGTCCTCCATTAATTAATAGCTTTTACTGGTGATAATTTTTTAGTTTAATAATTGTGCTATGGTTATGTAAGATGTCAACATTAAGGGAGATTAAGTTAAGGGCATTAGGGAACTCTGTGCTATTTTGGCAATTGTTTTATAAGTTTAAAATTGCTTATAAATTTAAAATTGTTATTGAACCCTATGATAAATCATTTATGTGTTTTTCTGTATTGAAAAGGTATTTTCAATTGTCTACCTTTTCTGTGATGGCAAATAACTGTCAGTAGTATGTTACACAAACAGTCTAAAATTTATCCTTTTAAGATAAATATAGTGTTGAAAGTGAATAGAAAAATAATTGCTTTGGGAAAAAAGTACAAAAAAATTAGGAAAAAGAAATAACTTATAAATGTCTTACTTATGTGACGTAGTTGCCAAAAATGATAGAAGGGTGTAACAAACTACAATATTGGCACAGTTTTCAACTAAACTAGGAAAGGTAATTTATTAACCTTTATAAAAAATTATTTTTAAAATTCATTGGGTTTTCTATGACTTTTTGAACATTTATCTATATAATATTCTCTAGATGCTTTGACAGAAAACTAAAAAAAAATCAAAGGAGGAAATGTATTGGCTAACAATGATAAATTTCTAAGTGATTAATGTGAGGAACTGATGAAGAAATGTCATATCTACTTCTTGAAATCAACTACATACTTTTTCCATTAGAGTGTGTTTATCATCTTTTAGTAAAATTTTCTGTTTTGAAAGCCATGAAAATTAAAATTTCAAATATAAGATTAAAACTCTAGAATTATTATATCACAAGATTCAATGCAATATTTTATAAGATCATGAGATATTCAATATTTATATTTTAAAATGTTATCAATACTAATGTATAAATAACAAAATACTTATATATTAAATATTTTTAATATATAAATGTTAAGTAGTATTACTATTACTATAATCTTATTAGTAATGTTAATATGACTACAGGCCTATAAGTGGATGAGTATTTATATTTTTAAATGTTATCAATAGTAATGTATAAATAACAAAATATTTATATAACAGATGAAATTTCTTTAAACTACTATTTACTTAATATGTATTTTAACTGTTCAATATATATTTTAGGTTTTAAAAGTTACGTAGAATTACTATTACTATAATCTTCTTAATAATGTTAATATGACTACAGACATATAAGTGGATGAGTTGTAAATATTAATAAAATATATATGGCATTAACAATTTTCAAAAACTAAGATCTACTGCCTTAATGGATTATAAAAACCTTTAAGGCAATTTTCATGGATTGTCCTCAGTTGAGCCCTGCAAAGACTAGCTCATGTTTTGGTATTTAGTAGGCTTGAAATAAAGATTTATTATAAAAAAGCGATTACCTTAATGTTGAATGGATGAATGAAGTGATGCCATTATAATACAGATGAGAAAAATATCTATTTGTTTTCTCAGATGAGAACCAAAATCTAGGATTTCTGAGTTTCTTAGGGCTAAATCTTCAGGAACTCGGCTTCTCAATTATTTTATTTTTTTCCTTTTGATGTCAAGATAATTTGAGAATTGTGGTTGATTGGGCATAAAAGGAAATATCAAAGAGAAGGATAATTCAAACAAAAAAGATATAGAGATTGATTTCTGTTAATTCATACAGATTTTCAAAAATATGGTTAAGAATTTACAGATCGTGAAGAGAAAATAATGTATGTGCTTTCTCTTGATGCATAATAGATAGACTATGAAGAAATTCATCTTGATGGATCCCAGAGGACTGTTACTATGATAAAATATCCTAAAGCTGTGTTGACAGAAAAATAGGAATGGTGTGCTATTATCTGAGCTTTAACAAAAATTCATCAACTATGTCAAGAGCTTCCTATCAAGGTGGAGATAAAATAGTTATATTTTATAGACATATATAAATCACAATAAAAGGTTATACGTAAGTTGACTTTACTTTTATATCATGCTATTTCAGAAGTCTAATTCTCATGTTTCTGATATTTGTCAATTACAGTATTTTGCATACATCTTTTTGTTATTAAAATATGATTATGAATTAACTCTCCGGTTTCTCTTAAATTGTACATTTAGAGAAAACAGGAAACCTCTGAAGGTTTCCTTATGCTATTTTCATGAGAAAGACCATCAATCCTGTAACCTTGCAAAATACACCCCCTTTTGTGCATTTCTGTAAGTGCTCAGTCTCAAAAATATGTAGGAGAAAGAGTAAATTAACTTCAATGCAGAAAGTAAATATTCAGAAATATCTCAAAGCATTTCAAATAATTCATAGACCATTTCTAAAAGCACCATGCTCTAGGCTGGATGTAAAATTACCTGCTATTAATATTGAATCTCTGATGCAGTGGATTTCATTCTTTCCGACTAAGTTAATGCCTATGTGGTGAAAGAATAATGCTCTTTCACATTTCTAACCCTTTCAAATGGATTGAAGATATGCATGACATTAAGCAAATACAAACCCCTGAGTCATTTTATAAGAAAAAAATGTAATACACCATAGATATACAAGTTTGTTTTGTTACATTAATCCTATGGAAAACAATTTGTCTGAGAACACAGAGTTCACTAGCACACAATGATTTTATTTTTCTTCAGGGGTTCCAGTCAATGCTTAAGAAGAAGCAATTTACTAAGTTGTACCTTAGGGCATTGTAATTCACCACACATGAGTGAACATTTTACTTTAGGAAGGTAGTTACTCACAGCAAGATCAAATCTATCCAGTTCTATTTTGCACTGACAACAGTACCTTGTATAAGAATGGCAATTATTGTGTAAAGTCTACCTTTCTTTTGTAGCAATTCTTGAGTTCCTTAAAATTTTAGATTGCTTTTTAGCACCTTCCTAATTGATTTTCTCTGTGTAATAGTAGCACGGTAACAATGTGACATAAAGTAAAAAAAGAATTACTAAGGGATTTTTGTGTATATGTGTGTGATTTCTACCTCTTCAGTAGAGCTTTCTTTTGATTCCACAAGACTACACTGATCTTCTTTTCATACTGTGTCTGAAGGCACAAATAGTGTCTATCATTCACAGTACATTATATCAAATACAGGTATATATTATTTTGTTATTTAAAGAGAGACCTTTGTATATGCTATATCACTTAATCTTTTCAAGAACATTAAAAGGTAAGTAGTGGTCCCTTTCTCACATAAGGAAATTGAGCTTAGTAAAGATGAACATTCCCAAGATCACATTGTTTGTAAATGGCAAAGTTTGGGTTAAAAACTTTTCTGTCCATCTGAGATGAAATTCTTATGTCCATTTATCAAGTTAATTAAAACCGAACTAATGTGTCCTAATGCACTTGATTTGAACCATACTAGGCATTCAAAAAAATTAATAGAAAGGAATCCAACTCAATCGTGGTCTTTTTTGTAGCTCTAGGGCCACTCAAGTACATTGTCATAAAAGAAACATCAATTTTATAACTGTGAGGCTGACAGAAATTCAAATAATAGTTGAATTTGGTAAGTATTCCTAATATACACCTCTAAATACACAATTCCCAGTTTCTGGATCCATCAATGATCAAGATCCACATGGTGATCTCTCAAAGATGAAGAGCTTGGAAAGTGATAAAAATTCCTGTCAAATATTCTAGTTGCCTGTAACTGAAGATTTTTGTCTTCCTCCCATAGAATTGTTGTGTACTTATGTTCTGATATGGCTTTGTAACTATAAATTAGTAGATACCATTTCATTATTGACGGCACCATGCTTTAAAGCCTCTCTACAAGTGGAAGAATGAGGTAAGTCATGTTTAATACTACTAACACTGCCTGATCTTTTGAAAACTGATTATTACCTGGGGAATATAAGGGATGCATTAGTAGTAATTTCCTTTCCCACTTTTTTTTCTTTTTTGCCCCATTTTTAAATTTCATATGATGAATCCTGTTTCATTTGATAAATGGCTCCCAAATCCAATCCCATTAGCTTGGCATACCCTTTATAATCTGCCTCATGATTAGTTCTCCAGCAACACAATTTGGCAATTTCCTCTCACACCTGTGCTCCAGGCACATTGAACAACTTGCTGTACTTTGGCGTTACTGTGTTTTGTCATGCCTCAGTACCTTCACGAGTTCTACCCAGTGAGTACTTCCACTCATTTCCCTGCATAGCTAATCCTTTTCATCTCTCAAAACCCAGTTCAAATATCGACTAGAAATATTTCCCACTTGACCCTAGCTGGATAAGGTAACTACGTATAGATACAAATATGGAATTGGATACGAATTTGGGTACAGTTATATATACAGATATAGACATATATTAGAATTGTTTTATACGGTACTTTGTAAAATGTAGTTGGTCCAAATAAGATTTTAATATTCTAATGATAAGAACCATGTGTGTGCAAGTACTTGTTCTGAACAACATTGTTGAATGTTGTCAGGTAGGAAAAGATGCTTGGAGACTTAAATAATTATACATTTTGACATAAGACACTGTCCATTACCTTGAATCAAAGATGAATATAAAATATATGACTTCAATTTATCTTTTCACTGGCAGGGTAAGATGCAATTTGTCTTTATCAACCTGATTACTTCTAATACAGCCACCAGAGACTAGTCAGTTTTATTTAAATTATTCTGAAGATATAGACACCTAGAAGACTTTGAAGTCTTTTTGTTTTTCCAAAGGACATTGGATCAGATTTTATTTTTCTAATTAGAAATGCATTTTATGCCACTGAATCTTTTAAATCATATTATTTATGATTTCTAAAATCAGAGAATCAATGTTTCTTCTGCAGTTTACATAGACCTTCTTTGATAGAATATATTTTAAAAGTAATGCTGTTTTGTACTATTAGGAGCAAGGGGCTTTTCAAGGTAATAAGGTGCTTGACATATAAATGCCAATATAAAGAAAGTCCTGCAGAAGATCATGTTAATTCTATATCATTTTATTGTTTAAAAAGCATTCAAATCAACCCATTAATTTGTGAGTTTTCCATATGGTTTAAATATCAAAATATGCTTACAAATGAAACTCTAACTTTTCTTAAACTTTCTGTTTTTCTGTATTGGCTTTTTAGCCATAGAATTATATCCTCTTTTTTGGATCATTCTACAAATATTGTGATATGCTTTGGCTGTGCCCCACTCAAACCTCATCTTCAATTGTAGTTCCCATAATCCCCATGTGTGGTGGGAGGAACCCAGTGGGAGGTAACTGAATCATGGGGACTGTTTCCCCCAGGCTAGTCTCATGAAAGTAAGTCATGAGATATGATGGTTTTATAAGGCGCTTTCCCTTTCACTCGGCTTTCATTCTTCTCTCTCCTGCTGCTGTGTGAAGAAAGACAGACATGTTTGCTTCCCTTTCCTCCAGGATTGTAAGTTTCCTGAGGCCTCCCAAGCCATGCAGAACTGCGAATCAATTAAACCTTTTTTCCTTATAAATTACCCAATCTTGGGCAGTTCTTTATAGCAGCGTGAGAATGGACTAATACATAGTGCCATTTAGGCTATCTATTTTGTGTGTGTGTGTGTGTGTGTGTGTGTGTGTGTGTGTGTGTGTGTATGTGGAACAAATTAACTAAAATTGTAGTGGTTTAAAAAAACTATAACATTATAATATCTTAAGATTTTGTTTTGTGAGAATTTGGGCAGTGCTCATTTTGTGCTTTTTCTGCTCCATAGGGCCATTTACAGATTGAGTATCCCTTACCTGAAATTTTTGAGACCAGAATGTTTCAGATTTCAGTTTTTTTCAGATTTTGGAATATATTCATATGCATAATGACATACCTTAAATATCAAAATATGCTTAAAAATGAAACCCTATCTTTTCTTTAAACTTTTATTTTCTTTATTGGCTTTTTAACCATAGAATTATATCCTCTTTTTTGGACCATTCTATAAATACTGTGATATGGTTTGGCTGTGCCCCATCCAAATCTCATCTTCAACTGTAGTTCCCATAATCCCCATGTTTGGTGGGAGGAACCTAGTGGGAGGTAACTGAATCATGGGGGCTGTTTCCCCCATGCTAGTCTCGTGAAAGTAAGTCATGAGCAGGATCAGAGTCTAAAAACAAAATGTATTTATGTTCCATACATATCTTATACACATAGCCTGAAAGAAATCATGTATCATATTTCTAATAATTTTGTGCATAAGACAAAGTTAATATATATTGAACCATTGGAAGCAAAGTTGTCACTATCTCAGTCACCCCTGTGAACAATCTATGGTTATTTGGCATCACTATTATTCCTGACTTTGAGTTTATATGCTACCAATGAGCAATCATTTTTTATACTTATTCACCCATAAGTGCTTAACTGTAAAAGAAATATGACAAACTCTTAATAGAAAAGATAATGCATTCAGGGTAACTATGCAGCACAGTAGTATCACCAGAATACCTGTATCAGCTATTAAACAACAGCAATAAAAAGCAAGGGCAGGCTTTCAGTCTCTATGATGCTGCGTTTTGATTAAAATGTTACCTATACTGTATTTTATTTTTGAGATGAGGAGAAACATCAGAAGCAGTGAGAAACCAGGAAGTGGGTTCTCCAGGGATAAGGAGGCATTTTGCTGGATAGTTTTAAAAAATGTTTCCTCAAGTCATCTGCTTCATTAACAATGGTTTTTGTCTTTGACATTTCTCTTTGATTATATAAACTGATATAATATGATTACTTGTTTTGTTATGAATGCATGCTGCTGCAGTCCTTCAATAAGCCCATCACATATTTTTACCTCGCCATCTTTAGGCATTTTTTCTGCCTTGTTAACGTCATCATCATCATTGCTATTATCACAATTGCCTTAATTTGGAAGCATTTTGGCTCTTCCACCACGGGTCAATGAATGAAAAACTGGACCTTCATTATCAATGTTAAAAATTTCTTTAACATCCACTTCCAGCTTCCTAATGGACTCTGAGGTATATTTGTTGTATATGTAAGAAAGCTAGATTTTTTTTTGTCACTTGATGTACAGAATTCTTCAAAGTCACCACCTTATTCATCATCATCACTCAACATAGTTGCAGAGGAGAGCAGGCCAGAGGTTGTATCATTCATGCACAACTGTGTCTTTAGTCACTGTGTTTCAACCATTGGCAATGGCATAAACAGCATATTCATGCAAAACTCCTTTTGAAAATCTTCCACACCCATGACTCTGTTAGCTTCTGCTACCATGTTATTCAAGAAAGTGTATTCATGTTTACTATTCATTGATATCAAGATAACTTGGTCACATGGCTGAATTAATGAAGTCACATTTGGGAAAAAGTACATGGCATACTCATTATTTTTTATGAGAATTTCAGCAAGATGATGAAAAGAACAGTTGTCAAAAAAATAACAAAATCTTGCAGCATGCAATCCAACTTCCCTGCAGTGAGCACACGTTGTTGGTACAAAATATTTGTGAATCCAATTAGAAAGATATCCCTGGTAATCTATGCCTTTTTGTTAGCAAAATAATGCACTGGTAGGACATTCACTCCTTACAGACAGCAAGGATATACACTTTCACTTATGACAGCAAGTTTACACTTATTTATTTCTGCTGTATTAGCACACCCCAGCACAGCTATTCTCTCCTTGGCATCTTTAATCCCTGTAGTGATTGTTTTGCCAATTACAGTCAGTGTCTCTCTGAGACAATAATGCCAAAACAGTGATGTTTCAGCACCATTATAGACTTGTACTTGTGTCAGATTTTCATTAACCATGACCTTGGCAAACTTGTCAATAAATTTCTCTGCTGCTTCACAATCAGCAGATTCTGTATCATCATAAATCCTTTATACATTTAATGTCCTGTCTTTTATTAAATTCTGCACCTAGCCTGTTGAATTTTCAGTTTTATTCAATTTTCAGTTTATCATAATAGATCCTTGCTTGTTTCATTATCAACACAACATTAAGTGACATCTAATGGATGTGACACTGATGGATCCATTCTTTCAATACACAGTCAAGATCTTCATTTTTAGCTTTATGCAGAGTTTTTCTATATTTTATTAACTTCTGTTTATCACTTTCACAATAGAACTTCAACAGTTTACCCTTCTGTTTCTTCAGGTCATGCATTGTGGTCATTCCAACACCACTTCTTCTGTAAGTGTTTTCACACTTACACCAGTGTCCAGTTTTGCCAACAACTTGACTTGCTGTGCTATCTATAAACAGAAACACTTCCTTTTTCTTATCACTGTTACCCATAGAAGTATTTGCAGGCCTTTTTGACATTTTCAACAATATTTTAGATCACAGAGCAGAGCATAAGAAAAAAATCAAAACAAAACAAACAAAAACAATAATATATATAGGCCTTGGCCCCATGCAGGGCATTATGGGGAACTGGCCATTGGTGTGTCTGGCATGAGCAGGTGCCATTTTATTACCCTTTTTTGTGGGTGTGCTTGAGAGGGAGATTCTGGGTGGGCATGAAAAATATATATTAAAGCTGAAGGGGGCTAGGAGGGTCTTCTTTTCCTTGAGGACACTGAATAGACTGTGTATTGTACATGTGCTTTTTGACTGCAACACATTACGTGAGGTAGGCATGAAATCTTCCACTTCTGGTGTCATGTTGACTTCAACAATTTTTGGACTTCGAAGCATTTCTGATTTTCTCTTTTTGGATTAGTGATGTTCAAACTGTATTTATATCATTTGATAGTTTTCAGCTGGCCAAATGCTGTTGTAGAAGTTTCAAAATTGTTTTACTCACATACTTGTAATTTTAGTAGCATGGTAGAAGGCTAATGTCAGATGAGACTGTGGAATAAGCATCTACATGGGACCTCTCCAGCAGCAACTTCAGGGTAGTTAGAGTCCTTACATGTTATCTGGTTTCTCCCTGGAATGAGTATTGCACTAGGCCTGAGCAGTCAGGCTTCTTATGACCTAGGTTTGGAAGTCTCAGAATGTTATCTACACTGCATTCTATTTGTCAGCCAATTACTATATACTGTTCTTCAGTATTTCTGAAGAACAAAGAGAAGGTTGGGGATTTTCAAAAAAAAAAAAAATAGGAATGTTACCACAGGTCTTGAAAGAAAGTTTATTGGTGTTAGTGAAGGTTTTAGGAGCTGACAACCTCCAGTTGGTGGGTGACGGTGGTGGGCAAAACTAACCCTAGAACTGCATGCAGCATCTCATCTCAGCCAATTACTAAGGAGAGAGGAATTAGACTCAACCTCTCAGTGAAGAGATAGAAAGTAATCTGTGGCCATCTTAAATTTAACACATTCCTCTCTTCAACCACACATTATACGTTACCGCCACATTCAAAATACATGACTTTAGTTGGGCGTGGTCATGCATGCCTGTGATCCCAGTTACTCAGGAAGCTGAGATGGGAGGATCACTTGAGACCAGGCATTCAAAGCCAGCCTGGGCAACATAGCAAGACCCCATCTCAAAAAAATCGTATATGAACTTTTTTGCTTATAAAATAAATAAATTAGCTATATTTTTTAAAATACACAATTTCTCTCCCAGGAGCCCCTAGATTTTAATCTATTATGTCATCATCTAGATAAGCTGCAGGTACAGTTGATGACCCTAGAATTCAGTGCTACTTGTAGTGTCCTTTAAAATATGAAGACATCTTAACCAAACAGTTGAGTTTTATGTTCTCCATAAACCCAATATTCAATGGTGCTGCAGAGAATGCACTACAAAAAACTGTTCATTTCCAAAAGGCAGTTTGAGTACAGATCAGTAGAAGGCATGTAGTGGTCGCTGGTTCATAGCGATTATTAAATCTAGTCAGACACAGTAACTAGTTCCTTGAAAGAATTCATTTTTTTCTCCCTAAAGATAATTGTCCATGGCACTTGGCTCCATATTCTAGGATACTGATTATTTCTGCTAAATCACTCTACATTTTCCATATGAAAAAGCTTATATTTGTAGCTAAGCAACATTTTTTATCTTACTTCCATAAAAAAAATGGGTGTCCCAAGCTTTTTACATTGTGTACTATCTCTTTTTTTTTTTTATAAAGTCTGGCAGTACTTTTGCTGATACAATCCCTAAAAACTCTATGAGCATGCTATGAACCTTAGTGAGATTTACTCCATTAAGCTGAATCCAAATATTAGATCTATGTCAGCCTTTATATGTGTATGTGGTTTCTATGGAGCTATACCTTTACGATTCTTAAAAGCTGTGTTCTTTCCCAAGGTATAACTACAAGCAATACCTTCAAGACCTTTAGTATCCTTTTTGACTTTCTGAAAGAGATCATGAGACACTAACAAGCTATTTCTAATGTCATATAACAGAATTTATAACCTAGCTTTGAGTTTCACCTTTATCCTAAAATCATTTTTTCTTTATATTTTCTATACAGTTCTCTTCAGTTATGCTTTTAAAAAGTTTATAATTTAATCCATCTTTTACAACTCAAGCTTTATCATACACAACTAGCAAAAGCCAGTTGGTGCTTTGTATATTCTTCCTGGAAATAGCCCCGCTCAGATTAAAAAGTTCATTAGGAATGTTTTGTATGTTCCAAATTGCCTCAAGTGAAAGTGTTGCCAAAATGCCTCCTTCCTCCCCTCCAAAACCATTTTCTCATTGTTTGCCAAGCCCTCACCAAGAGTTTCAGAGTTCTTCAATATTTCACTAACAGTCTCCTCAAGGCACCCTCTATCTTTTCCCAAAGCTAATGCCATATACTATAGTTTTTATTATGGCAACACACCACAACTTTCAATTATCAAATTAATTTTTAGATATCAGTCACTGCATAACAAATTATGCAGCCTAAAATGTAGCATTTTTAAAATGGTTTTATTATACTTGACAATTGTGTGGATAAGGAATTTGGGCAGATTTCAGATGCACAATTCTGTTGCTCCAAATGGTGTCAATTGAGTTGAATTGGTGGTATTCCACAGGCAAATGGACTGGTATATCAAGCACCCGGTGGGAAGGATTGGAAGTCTAAGTTCAGCTGAATATGACCATCAGGGAATATACATGTAGCTTGTCTTGCATCACAGTCTCAGATTATTCGGACTTCTCATATGCAAACTAGTTTTTACTAGAGTGAGTATTTGAAGAGGCCCAGGCAGAAGTGGCAAAAGTTCTTTGTCGTTAGCATTTTCAGTGTAAAACATCAGTTATGCTGCTTTCTATTGAGAAAAAAGTCATTAAAATCAACCCGCATTCAAGGGAAGGGGAAGTAGGTTCCACCTCTCGAGGGCTGGGATAGCAGTTAAGTTGTTGCCATTTTTGAAATACGGTGATTTATAATTACTGTTTACTATCTTCTTAAAAATTATTCTTTCCTAGTCCCTCAAAATTTAGCACTTAAAATACTCTGTTTATATACTGTTGATTTTATACAGAGCTATCCAGGCTAAGCTTAGTAAGTCATAGTTTTAACCATTTCACCAATCTTTAATCGCTTTGTTTCTTACATTAAAATTAGACCTAGATTGTAAGTCATCTATTATCTGACCCCAAATAATCTTTAAAGCCCTATTTTTCTTTACTTTTACTCTCTATTGTGAGCAAACTAAATATGCTATACTCATATATCCTACCTTTATCTCATCTACACTGTTTCCTCTTTCTCCAATCTTTCCCTTTATCTCTCCCTGGCTTAGAACACAATATTTATCCAACGTCTCTATCTAGAGATGTTCCTCATATTATTTGATATCTATTACTCTTATTTAACACTTGTTAAACACTTAATAGCTTTTTTATGTACTGATCCTTTATCTTGCTTACCAAATTGAAAATAAGGAAAAGTTGTGCTCTTTATTACTGCATATACATAACTCTAGGAACTTCATTGTTAATCATAGCTCAAATTATTTTTGTAACACACAAATTAATTCCTAAATGTAGGTGTATCTTTTCATTTAACATTTTATTTGAAAAGAAAGAATTGCAATTCATGGCATACATACAGAGTGGGTGCTCTTCAGTATTTCTGAAGAACAAAGAGAAGGTTGGGGATTTAAAAAAAAATAGGAATGTTACCAGAGGTCTTGAAAGAAAGTTTATTGGTGTTAGTGAAGGTTTTGGGAGCTGACAACCTCCAGCTGGTGGGTGACGGTGGTGGGCAAAACTAACCCTAGCACTGCATTCAGCATCTCATCTCAGCAGCCATGGATAAAACTGGTTTCAGGTTACAACAAGCAGTTTCAGTAGCCAGGCTCACAGAAAACTTTGTTCTTGGAGCAATGTCATGTTCCCTGTGTGCTTTTCTGCCTGGCTTCTTGACTCTGTTTTAGTTGGGTATGACAAAATCACCCAATTCAAATGATCAGCTTTAACAACTGCATATTCATACAATGTTTTAGATGAATAACGGTCTAAATGGCAAATGCTAAACAAAATTAATGTGATCTATTTTTTTCTGCAGCAATTTTCTGGGTATAATAAACAGATAAAGTGAATCTTCTTTCTCAGACACTGTATATACAGTTTATATTTTGAAATACCAGAACTGCAATTATTTCATTTTAGCACCCTGATACATGTTGGTGAGGTACTTATTGAATCTCAGTAATAATGTTAATTACTGTTTTGGATTTTTTGTTTGATTGTAGGTTTTTGAGACAGTTTCTGACTCTGTTCCCAGGCTGGAGTGCAGTGGCACCATCACAGCTCACTGCAGCCTCAACCTCCTGGGCTCAAGGGATCTCCTAGCCTCAGCCTCCCAAGCAGCTCTAACTACAGGCAATGCCACCACGCCTGGATGGGTTTTTTTTTTTTTTTTTTTTGGAGAAACTGAGTCTCCCTATGTTGCCCAGGTTGGTTTCAAATTCCTGAACTCAAGCGATTCTCCTGCCTTGGCTTCCCAAAGTGCTGGTATTACAGACATAAGCTACTGCACCCAGCTTACTTTTTTTCTTCTAAAATGTCACATGATGAAGACATGCTGCTACTTGCTTATAATAATGTATTATCAATTTAGTTATTTTTTTTTTCAGTTAAAATTAATATGCTTCTCATGTGACAACCAGGAACCGGTAGAGCTGGGGTGTTTTTCCTTAACAGTTCCTTATAGGTTATTTACAAAGATGAATCATTTTCACAACATTGAATGATGTCACAAATGAAGCTGGAAGGCAAGGCTTTGATTATCCTAAGCATCGGAATTTGTAAAAAGAGTTTAAAATGGAGTATGATTATAGGAAGTTAAATACAGAATATATCATTTAGACAGGGAGAAAAATGGCCGATAGGAAGCAGAACTTGCAGCTCCCACTCGGATGGACAGAGCAGTGTATGGAGATTCATATAGTAAACTTTTGCTTCGAGAACTACCACAGGAACATATGATGAAGGCTGGGAGGATCCACAGATCCTTTGAAAAAAGCAGTTTACCTCTGCAGGTTCCGTGAGACAGTCAAAAAACTGTGAGTGCTTAAATTGTGTGGGGGAATGTCTTTCCCCGGGCACACATCCTCACTGGGGAACCTGAAGGTCCAGTTAATGGGAGAATGACCTGATCTTACCTGTAGCTGAGACAAATTTAGAAAGCCAGGCCAAATATAGGGGTAGAAGAAGCAGTAGGAAGAGCCCCGTGGGCATTCTCTGTCCCCAGAGAAGCCATTCCTGACTTTGTCTCACAGGGATCCTTGGGGAGGGCTGCCAGTAGAGTTGGAAAAAGACCACAGGGAGAAGAAAACTTCCAGCTGCACTTTGTAACAATTTTGACAGGAAGTTTCCTGAACAGCATCTGGGGGAGGAGCCAAATAGGGAGTAAAGATACAAACGCTGAAACAGTGGCAGGCTGGGAGGTGTGAAACCTGAAAGCCCTGCTTGCTTTCTCAGCGGGGATGCTGGTAGCCTTGGGCAAGTTCTCAGTCTTGTTCACCAGCTGCCTGGAAATAAACTCAGTGCTGTTGGACGCCGGGGATGATGGGAGTGAGACTGGCATTTCGGACTATGTGGGAACTGGGTGAGGCCTGACACTGCTGGCTTTGCCCCACTTCCCTGGTGACCTATATGACTCAGCAGAGGTAGCCATAATCCCTCTGGAAACATAACTCCATTGGCCTGAGAACCACACCCCCATCCCCCACAGCCACCATAGCAAGCACCACCCAAGGAGAGTCTGAGCTTTGACTGCCTAAACCTGCCTCAACTTGATGGTCTTTCTCCATCCACCTTGGTAGCTGAAAACAAAGGACATACTATCTTGGGAGCTCTATAGTCCTTCCCACTGCTGGGAAACACAAATATTTATCTAGGTGACCCCAGGGCAAGCTTGTAACCCCCCTGTACTACTGCAGCTGATGCTGTCTTGAAAGTGCATCTCCTGGCTGGAGGCCAATCAACACAAAACCAGGTCACTAAACAAAACTATAATCAAGGACCCTCACAGAGTCCACTTAACTCCACTGCTACCTCCACTGCAGCAGGTTCTAGTATCTGTAGCTGAGAAACCTGAAGACAGATCACATCAGAGGACTCTTTGAAGACACTCCCCATTACCCGACCAGAGCCCGGTAGCCCTGCTGGGTGGCTAGACCAAGAAGAGAAATAACAATCACTGCAGTTCATCTCTCAGGAAGCTCCATCCCTAGAGGAAGGGGAGAGCACCACATTAAGGGAGCACTCCATGGAATAAAAGAATCTGAACAACAGCCCTTGAGCCCCGGATTTTACCTCTTACCTAATCTACCCAAAAGAGAAGGAACCAGAAAAACAATTCTAGTAATATGACAAAACAGCGTTCTATAACACCCCCAAAAGATCTCATTAGCTCACCAGCAATGCATCCAAACCAAGACAAAATCTCTGAATTGCCAAAAAAAAGAATTCAGAAAGTCAATTATTAAACTACTCAAGGAGGCACCAGAGAAAGGTGAATAAAAATTTAAAGAAATTTTTTAAAAGTTACAGGATATGGATGGAAAAATCTCCAGATAAATAGATAGCACAATTAAGAAAAAAAATCACAACTTCTGGAAATGAAGGACACACTTAAAGAAATGCAAAATACACTGGAATGTCTCAGCAATAGAATCAAACAAGTAGAAGAAAGAACTCCAGAGCTCAAAGACAAGGCTTTTGAATTAACCCAATCCAACACAGACAATGAAAAAAAAAATTTAATGAACATCTTCAAGAAGTCTGGGATTATGTTAAACAAACAAAATTAAGAATAATTGGTGTTCCCAAGGAAGAAGAGAAATCTGAAAGTTTGGAAAACAAATTTGAGGGAATAATTGAGGAAACTTCCCTGGCCTTGCTAGAGAACTAAACATCTAAATACAAGAAGCTCAAAGTACAACCGAGAAATTAATTGCAAAAAGATCATCATCTAGGCACATAGTCATCAGGTTATGTAAAGTCAAGACAAAGGTAAGAATCTTAAGAAATGTGAGGCAAAAACATCAGTTAATCTGTTAAAAAAAGAAACTATCAGATTAACAGCAGATTTCTCAGTAGGAGCCCTACAAGCTAGAATAAATTGGGGTCCTATCTTTAGCCTCCTTAAACAAAAAAATGATCAGCCAAGATTTTTGTATCCAGTAAAATTAAGCTCCCTAAACACAGGAAAGGTACAGTCTTTTTCAGAAAAATGCTGAGATAATTCACCACTACCAAGCCAACACTACAAGAACTGCTGAAAGAAGCTCTACATCTTGATACAAATCCTCAAAATACACCAAAATAGAACCTTCTTCAGGCATAAATCTCAAAAGACCTGTAAAACATTAACACAATGAAACAAAAATACACAAAGTATTCAGGCAACATCTAGCATGATGAAGAGAATAGTATCTCACCTCTCAATACTAATGCTGAATGTAAATGGCCTAAATGCTCCACTTAAAAGATACAGCATGCCAGAATCAATAAGAATTCACCAAACAAGTATGTGCTCTTTTCAAGAGACTCACATAACACAGAAGAACTCACATAAAGTTAAGGTAAAGGGTGGAGAAAGATATTCCATGCAAATAGATATCAAAAGTGAGCAGGACTAGCTATTCTTATATCAGACCAAACAGACTTTAAGGCAACAACAGCTAAAAAAGACAAAGAGAGACATCATATAATGATAAAAAGACTAGTCCAACAGGAAAAATATCATAATCCTAAATCTATATGCACCTAACACTGGAGCTCCCAAATGTATAAATCAATTACTATTAGACCTAAGAAATGAGATAGACAGCAACACAATAATAGTGGGGGACTTCAGTACTCCACTGGCAGAACTAGACAGGTCATCAAGACAGAAAGTCAACAAAGAAACAATGGACTTAAACTGTACACTAGAACAAATGAACTTAACAGATATTAACAGAACATTCTACCCAACAACTACAGAATATATATTCTATTCATCAGTGTATGGAAAATTCTCCATGATAGACCATATCATAGGCACAAAACAAGTCTCAGTAAATTTAAGAAATTCAAAATTACATCAAATATTCTTTCAGACAATATTTGAATATAATTGGAAATCAACTACAAAAGGAACCCTCAAAACCATGCAAAGACATGAAAATTAAACAACCTGCTCCTTAATGATCATTGGGTCAAAAATAAAAGCAAGATAGAAATTAAAAAGTTCTTAGAACTGAATGATAAGAGTGACACAGCCTATCAAAACATCTGGTATAAAACAAAATAAGTGCTAAGAGGAAAGTTCATAGCATTGAATGCCTACATCGAAAAGTCTGAAAGATCACAAATAGACAATCTAAGGTCACACCTCAAGGAACTAGAGAAAAAAGAACAAACCAAACACAAACCCACCAGAAAATAAACAACAGATATAAGAGCAGTGCTAAATGAAATTGAAGCCAAAAGAAATACAAAAAATAAGTGAAACAAAAAGCTGATTATTTGAAAAGATAGTGAGATTAACCAAGAAAAGAAGAGAGATGATTTATATATGCTCAATTAGAAATTAAATGGGAGATATTACAACTTATACCACAGAAATACAAAAGATCATTCAAAGATACTATGAACACCTTTATGCACACAAACTAGAAAACCTAGAGGAGATGGATAAATTCCTGGAAATATACAACCCTCCTAGATTAAGACAGGAGAAACTGAAGCTCTGAATAGACCATAACAAGCAGCAAGATTGAAATAGTAATAAAAAATTGCCAAGAAAAAAAAGTCCAGGACTACATGGATTCACAGCTGAATTCTATCAGACATTCAAAGATGAGTTGGTGCCAATCCTATTGACACTATTCAAAAAAATAGAGAAAGAGGGAATTCTCTCTAAGCTATTCTATGAAGCCAGTATCACCCTAATACCAAAACCAGGGAAGGACATAACAAAAAAAGAAATTACAGGCCAATATCCCTGAGGAACATAGATGCAAAAATCCTCAACCAAATACTAGTGCACCAAATCCAACAGCATATCAAAAAGATAATCCACCATGAACAAGTAGGGTTCACATTAGGGATGCAGGGATGGTTTAATATAAGCAAGTCAATGAATCTGATACATCACATAAACAGAATTAAAAACAAAAATCACATGATCATCTCAACTGATGTAGAAAAAGCATTTGACAAAATCCAGCATTCCTTTATGATTAAAACCCTTAGCAAAATGGGCATAGAAGGGACATACCATAGGGTAATAAAAGCCATCTATGACAAACCCACAGCCAACATTGTACTGAACATGGAAAAAGTTGAAAGCATTCTCCCTGAGAACTGGATCAAAGCAAGGACACCCACTTTTAACACTTCTATTCAACATAGTACTGGAAGTCCTACCAGAGTGATCAGACAAGAGAAGGAAATAAAGGACACCCAAATCAGTAAAGAGGAAATCAAACTGTTGCCATTCACCAATAATATGATCATATACCTAGAGAACCCTAAAGACTCACCCAGAAAGCTTTTAGAGCTGATAAATAAATTCAGTAAAGTGTCAGGATACAAAATTAATGTACACAAATTAGTAGCACTTTTATACACCAACAGTGACCAAACTGAGAATCAAATCAAGAACTCAATCCCCTTTGCAATAGCTGCAAAAAAAAAAAAAAAAAAAAATACTTAGGAATATGCCTAACCAAGGAGGTGAATGACCTCTACAAGGAAAACTACAAAATGCTGCTGAAAGAAATCATAGATGACACAAAAGAAAATACATCCTATGCTCATGGATGGGTAGAATTAATATTGTGAAAATGACCATACTGCAAAAGCAATCTACAAATTCAATGCAATTCCCATCAAAAGATCTTCATCATTCTTCACAGAACTAGAAAATAAAATTCCAAAATTCATATGGAATGAAAAATGAGGCCACATAGCCAAAGCAAGACTAAGCAAAAAGAACAAATCTGGAGGCATCACATTACCTGACTTCAAACTATATTATTAGGCTATCATCACCAAAACAGTATGATACTGTTATAAAAATAGGCACATAGACCAATGAAACAGAATAGAGAAACCAGAAATAAGCTGAATACTTACAGTCAACTAATCTTTGACAAAGCAATAAAAAATATAAAGTAGGGAAAGGACACCCTATTCAACAAATGGTGCTGGTATAATAGGCAAGTCACATGTAGAAGAATGAAACTGGATCCTCATCTCCCACCTTATATAAAAATCACCTAAATATGGATCAAAGATTTAAATCTAAGACCTGAAACCATAAAAATTCTGGAAGATAACATTAGAAAAACCCTTCTAGACATTGGCTTAGGCAAAGACTTTATGACAAAGAACCCCAAAACAAATGCAACAAAAACAAAGATAAATGATTGGACTTAAATAAACTTAAAAACTTCTGCATAGCACAAGAAAATCAGTAAACATACAACCTGCAGAGTGAGAGAAAATCTTTGCAAACTATTCATCCAACAAAGGACTAATATCCAGAATCTACAAAGGACTAATATCCAGAATCTACAAAGAACTGAAATCAGAAGAAAAAAACAAACAGTCCCATCAGAAAGTGGGCTAAGGACATGAATAGACAGTTCTCAAAAGAAGATGTACAAATGGCCAACAAACATATGAAAAATGCTGAACATCACTAATTATCAGGGAAATGCAAATCAAAAACCACAATGCGATACCACCTTACTCCTGGAAGAATGGTCATAATCAAAACACCAAAACATAAGAGATGTTGGTGTGGAGGTGGTGAAAAGGGAATGTAAACTAATAGGACCACTATGGAAAACAATGTGGAGATTCCTTAAAGAACTAAAAGTAGATCTATCATTTGATCCAGCAATCCCACTCCTAGGTATCTATCCAGAGGAAAATAAGTCATTATATGAAAAAGATACTTGCATGCACATGTTTATAGCAGTGCAATTCACAATTACAAAAATATGGAATCAGCCCAAATACCTATCAATTGAGTGGATAAAGAAATTGTGGTATATATACACCATGGAATACTACTCAGCCATAAAAAGGAACAAAATGATGGCATTTGCAGCAACCTGAATTGGAGACCATTATCTAAGTGAAGTAACTCAGGAATGGAAGGGTTTAATCAATCATGCCTATGTAGGGAAGTCTCCATAAACACCCAAAGAATAGGGTTCAGAGAGCTTCTGCACAGCTAAACATGTTAGGGTTCCTGGAGAATTATGTACCTAGGGAGGACATGGAAGCTCTGTGCCCTTTCCCATATCTTGCTCTATGCATCCCTTCATTTGTATTTTTTGTAATATACTTTATAATAAACTGGTAAGTATAAGTGTTTCTGTGAGGTCTGTGAGCCACTCTAGCAAACTAATCAAACCCAAAAAGGGGGTTATGAGATACCCAATTCATAGCTGGTCAGTCAGAAGCATATGTAAAATAACCTGGGGCTTGTAATTGGCATCTGAAAGGGGGGCAGTCTTGGAAACTGAGCCCTCAGCCAATGGGATCTGATGCTATCTCTTGGTAGATAATGTTATAATAGAACTGAGTGAGAGTACACATAGCTGGCATTCTCTGCAGAACGGTTTACTTGCTTGATGGTGGAGAGAAATCCCTACACATTTGGTCCCAGAAGTCCTCTGTATTGATTGATGTTGAGTAAAAAAATAGAAAAAGCACTTTTATTTTGTGTATGAGTTTCCTTCTACTCTCAGAGATAATTTGTGAGTAGTCCAAATTCTATACCTAATCACGTATATAATCTTTAAAAAGGAATGCCATTTTCAGAACTTCAATTTCCTCATCTTTAAAATGGATGGGTGACCATAGGCAATACTTGATGTCTCTTTTATATTACATTTAAATTTTAGTACAATCATGGCAAATCAAAATAAATCTGATCTTTGGATTTTTTCCTCCATCTTTTATTCTTCATTCTTAGCTATAATTTCACTTATATTGTTAGGATAGTTTAACAAGCCCAAAGATTAACATGAGACAATGAAATATCTTCTCTTTCTCATTATTATTATTCCTAGAAATCATAAGCTAATTAAACATTTTCTCATCACAGCTGAAGAAAACTACAAAAAGTAAAATAAAAGTAAAAAACTACAAAACTACAAAAAGTAAAATAAAAAGTAACTAATCCTTAACATTAAAAATGTGGTCACACATATAAAAAGTATTTCATAGTCAATACTTAGAAAATGCTTTTTTGCTGATCTAAGTTTTACCCATATTATTCATTGAATTTGTCAATTTAGTTTTTCATCAAATAATAACTGAATGTCTCATATCACAGTATTTAATGGGAACTTTTGAGAGGATGTATAATATTATTGTAGCATAAATTAAAATAAGACAAATAACACTACATGAAAAACAAAAATCTTTAATAAAATTAAAATATTTTCAAACTGATAATCAGGTCACTTTAAAATGAAGAAGATGATCCTGGATTGTCTGAGTGGCCCCATCTAAGACATGATTTCTTAAAATGGAAGAAAAAGGGGTAGGGGTAGTAGAAAAGGGTCAGCTATAGTTGTGATGTGAAAAAGACCCAACTCTCCATTGCTGGATTTGAAGATGTAGAAGGTACCACAAGCCAAGGAATGTGGATGTCCTCTAGAAGCTGAAAAATAGAAGGAAATGGATTCTCCCCAGTGCTACCAGCAAGTCACACAAGCCCCAGCTGACACCTTGATCTTACTCCAGGGAGACTCTGTGTCAAACTTTGTGTTGTGTTTACAAGCAATAGATGACAAGTATTTATGCATTTAATTCTACATGTCTTTGGATAGAGTAAGCAAAGAGGAAAGAAAGCTACATTTTTTTCTGAGTTAACACAATGTTTTAACAACGCTTTATTAGCACAATGTTAATAAATAAGTTTGAGAAGAAATAGCAGAAAAAAATGCAGCAAGTTAGATGTAGACCTAGATATACTACTGACCATCATTATTCTTCGTCAGATTCTGTATGGGTTTATTTCCACTTATATTGATTCTTTGGTTTACAATCACAACAACTTGTCTGCTTACATGTCTAATTGGTTTTAAATATTGGAATTCAAACGCTAAAAGTGATATAGATAACCTGAAGTTGACATTACTTTCTTCCAGAAATTATTTACATTTGCTTTTGGCAAGCAGCTGATGTAGGGGAAATAGCAACCCTATCTCATATTAATCTAATCAATAATTGGTATGATTTAAAGCTGGGCCTTACTTTCTAAAAGGGCTGGCTTATGTTTCACTCTTCATGGATATAGATGAGTCTGGAAGGTTTCCCAATACTTGAGATGCTTGGTGGGTGTTTTATTGCAATTTTGATTTGTCTAGCCTTGAGGTACTGTTGCAATATCTGTTCATTTTCTTAGCCATGTCTGTGGGCATCAGTTAGCATCTTGGGAAAAGGTATCTCAAAATGATAGACTTAGCTCACTGGATTTCCTTCTTCTACATCTTAGCCCTATAATCCTATACTATCTTCCTGCTCTTACATTTTCAGTTAGTTTTTGATTTTTTAAATTTTTGTCCTGCTTTCTCAATTTTCTTTCAGTGAGATGACCTGCTCAAATCATTCATCTGCATTAATATATGTTTATAATTATTCTAAAGGTTTAGTAGTTAGTAGAGGAAAATATTACATCTGTGTTTTCTTATCTAAAATAATGAATTGCTTTAAAAATTTAAATATATAGAAAAAATAAAACCTTTTTTACAGTACATCCTGCCCCCACTTTTTAAAAAGATTTTTGAAAAACCTGAATACAGTGATTCCTATCTTCATCCGGAAACAAACTTCTTTCATTTTTGAAATGAACAAAGGTTTCTCAATGAATAGAGAACATCTTTTTTACTGCAGCTTTAGGTTTACTGTAAAATTTTAATATGATTTAAGAAAAATGAACATTAATTTGTACAGAGGACATAGATTCAAACATATCGTTTGGAGTGTGTCCTTCAAAATAGAAATGACAACACAATTGTACTCTTTTTTAGGAGAACATCACTTTTAATTGAAAAGTAAAGCAGTATATCTCAAAACTCTGTGTTTAACAAAATAAGCCCATAATTTGTTGAGAGAAATAGTTCTTTTAAGTGGTACTGTGAAATTGAGATATCAGAGTATCAACACAGTTCCCCTTCTTTCATCCTGACTCATCTCTAAGCAATATTAAAAATAAGAACTATTTTCCATAAATTTAATTGCCATAAATTAAATCTGTTAAAGCCTCTTCTTATTCCCAATTCACTGGCAAAAGGAAGGGAGATTTTAAATAATCATTTCCATACTGAGAAATTCCCAGATAAAAGCAAATAAAGTCACTATTTTCCTTATGAAAAAGCTACATGTGAGACACACAGGAATACTGACGATATTTAATTCATCCACAAAACTTCAAAACACAAACATTCTTTATCTCCAGCATTATAACAAGATTACATTGTATTTACAGGAGGGGCAAGTAGAGGCAATAACTTGGTAAAAATAAATGGCCAGAAACTTTCTAAAATAAAACAAATGAGGAGACAAAGTCAAAGGCAGATGCAAGCCTGATGAAAGTGATGGTTTATTATCTTTCTTTTTCCCACTGAAACTAGGTCTACATTTACACAGATGGCTTTTCTTTTAGTAAGAGCTTAGTTGTCATTCACATTGCATTTGATACATTTTGGAATGAATCAAATATGATATTCCTCCATATGTCTAGCAGATCAAGCACATTTATAAACATTGACCACACCCACTTCAATCTGGTTTCACCAAGTGTAACTCCCTGGAGATAAATGAATCTTCCATAAGTGCATCAGATGACAGTAATGATATACTTTAGTCATAATTTCCCTGGAAAATAGTATGATATTCACTGTCATATTGGTTCTTATGAACTAAAGGAAAAAAGGTGTCAGCAATTTGAAGTATTTCATTTTATTCACTGGCATTAGTGAAGAAACAACTGTTCTATTAGTTGAAACACAAATGGATGCCAATAAATATTTGTATTTCTTATCAGCATTTGGAAAAAAGGGAAGGAAAAAAATAGATGAGTTTTTTTTTTTATCTTTAGAAAGCATTTTAATCTAAAACTTCAAAAGACAATTAGAGGTCACTATTTCAAATTCGTAGACTACGCAATTGTCTGCATTCCAATCCAGGCAAGTTGTTTGAATACGCTTGAACACCTCCACAGTCTGAGAAGTTGCTTCCTTATTTAGAGCCATTGGGGAATTACCCTTATCTGTACTTATTTGATCCATCCCAAACTTTGTTTTATGAATGTGGCAGAAACAAAAAGATGTTTACTAGAGTTCAAAAGTACGATATATCATTAAAGTTCAAAAAAAGTATTATCCTTTAAGTGTCCAAAATATATGGTCCTACTGTAACATGCAAAAATATAAAATGGTTTTCAGATTTTGGGATTGCTTGATTTTTAGTTTCTGATGTATTACTGAAGAAATTAAGTGTTCTTAATATTTAACATTGTGCCACTCACCACAAATATTAGTTCCATGTTTTATTTTGTCATTTGTTTAGCTCTAATCACAACTAAAAGATGTGCTCTACAGGGGTTTTTATTTGCCTCTACTTTTTTGTTCATCTTTAGGATTATTGAAAATCTTAGTCACTTCTCCCTTGAGGCTTTCGTCCTCCTGGCACTGCTCCTTATAAATTCATATCAATCTACTCCATGTGCCCTCCTTTTTAATACAAATCCTTTTTTTAAATTAAAGCTGATTGAAGATTTCCCTGTGCAATCACACATAATTTAATGGGCATGTACCATATTTTACCTAACTCATAAGAAGCATTTGTGTTTCTGAAGTCATAATCATTATTTGAGAGCTCTTTGAATTCTTGAACAATCCTTTATTGTAGAATGGTATTCATAATTGATTTCAATAACTATGAGTAGGGCAATAACTGCCACCCACTGTCTTCTCACACTCTTCATTTTCCATTGTTCCTATTCTCATGCAGTGAAAGAGATCCTTTTAAAACCTCTTGTTTTTCTCAATTTATAAGTTTTATTAATATGCATGAGCACACAGCATGGCAACAGTGATAAAAAGGTTGTGGGGTGGGGCGAAATGATGTCTTTATAATACAGTTTGATCTATTCCTCCAAAATAGGCACAAAGTCCATTTACTTCCATACCACCCATTCTTTAGGAGACTGGACCTCTGATGCACAAACAAAAAATATGGCATTAAACTAATGAGGTGTTACTCAGAGCAGAAACTACAAAACACATTATAATTTTTTGTTCTCTCAGACCAATTGGGACATAATATAAGCACAACTGAGAGCCAGTATAAAATAGAGGTTAAGAAAATCGATTTCAGAGTGCATTCATGAGTAATTTTTTAAGGAAAGAATGTAAGATTCGCATACTTTCTGATTTCTAGAATGTCTAAACTGCCTTTCTTCTGCCTGCATATTTGAATATCTTAGCTGAATGTACGGTCCTTGGATCCCAGTTCTGTTACTTTCAAAATTTGAAAGCATTACAATGCCATCTTCTAGCCTACAGTCGTATAGATTAGAAATCTCATAGTTGTCTCTCTCACTTGCTCTCTCTCTTTTCATTATTTCTCACTGACACTCATTTGCTGAGTATGCTTTCAGCCTAAAAGCTAAGCCATACGTTAAAGCTCAGTTAGTCTGTGTCTCTCTGACTTGACTTCTGCTGGCAGAGGCACAGATACTGTAGAGAGGAGGTGTTACTCTGAGTATATGAGCACTCCTTTGACCCATAATGTTAAAAGCCTAAAATGGAATGATCTTACCCCATCTCTGATTTCTGCTGACAAGTCTCCTAAGCTAGCAGAAGAGCAGTCTTGTTCTGAAGAGAGAACTCTTGATATTCACATCTAGAGAAATAGTGTTTCTCCGTGCACATAGGCTTGCTTTCTGCAGATAAAGGTCTCCAAATAAACAGAGGTGTAGTCTCCCTTTCCAAGGAAGGGAATATGTCTTTGATCCTTGAGGGAGTGTTTGTTCATGTGTTTATACAAGCTTTTCTCTCCACCCATGGCTGCCTCTTTCTTGGGGGAAAGATTGTTATATCTCCTTGGTTAGAATGTGACATTTTCCACTACTGTGTAACTCTTGACCTATCTTTTCCAAAGGTGCTATATAGGAGTCACTAATTTTTCTTCCAACTAGTTGGGTTAATTTGTCTTCTTTAAAATTCTGCTTTCTCCTATAGTATGCACAGAAGTCTAAACTCATTGATAGGTCATAAGAAGAAGTCTATTTTGGATACAAAGATCAATCATCGATTTGTATTTACTAAAATTGCAATGAAAATAACATTTTCATTTTCATATTTCTGATTCCTACATGTATTTCACATTTGGTTGGAAAATAGTATATAAATGAGAGATATGATTATCAGAGTTTGAAAGTATGGTATGTTCATTAGAGTTCAAAAATGTAATATGCTTTAAGTATCCAAAATATATGATCTTACTGTAACATGCAAACATATAAAATAGTTTTAAGATTTCTGGATTTCTGAATTCTTTCTTTCTGATGGACAAAATGTTTTATGCAGACTTCCTAACAAATGAGACTCCAAATGGCGGAAAGGATCAAGGTGAAGCAAGAAAAACCAAGGGAATTGATTCTGTCTTGTAATTATGCATAGGTACTATTCCTGTCTGAATAACATTATACAAATCATTTATGTGTAATTTACATACATTAAAATGCACCATTTTTGGTATATCGTTGAACAACATTAAACAAATGTTTTCATTAATACAGCCACTGTGAAGCAGGTTCCCTGTGCACTGGTTACCAACTTTGCTTAGTTCAATGAGAGATAATACACTCATATATGCCATGTAACATGGAGTTAATTTATTAGATAGATGCAGCAAGGACAAAAGCAGCCATGGATCCACCATGAGCTAATTCCTCAAGAAATCTTCCCTGGGCCAATTGACTGTCAACTGTGGGTGCCTCACTTCGACCCCAGTGAAGGGACTCTGAAAGGCAGCCTGCCCTGGTTTACTCACCACAGGAGCAATGTGAGCCACTGGGCTAAAGCTTTGAAGGACATCCTGTTTCCATGAGAGAAAGGAACATAACCTAGAAGGGAAAGGAACAGGACTTGAGCTATTTCAGGAAGTGCCTCCCTACCTCAAGATACTGCATGCCCAGCATATTCTGCAGTTATTACTAAGAATGACAAGCAAGAAATGGAGGAGAACTGTGTCAGTCCAAGGTCACTCAAAGAACTGTTTGTAACTACCAGCATAGTCTATATAGAGAATAATTTGTTTCCTTGTACCCTCTTTAAAGTCAATTCTTGTGCCTGGGAAACCACTGATATGATTTCTGACACTATATGTTAGACCTGATTTTTCTAGAATGTCATATTGATGGAATCATGACATATGAATCCTTTTGTATTTGGCTTCCATTGTCCAACACAATGTTTTTGATATTCATCCATGATTTTGTGCATATAAGTAGTTTGTTCCTTTTTATCACTGAGTAGTATTCTGTAATATCAACGTACCACACTTGTTTCATCATTTTCTTTTCCCTGTTAAGGATACTAGTTGAAATATCAGCTCCAATTAGCGTAATAGAATAGAAATAGTGTGTAACTCAAAAAACAATTAGAGGATAAATTTTCCTTTGTGGTTGCTTCACAATTCATATTATAAACCAAATTAACAAGTTACAGACTTGTATTTTTCCATGATTTCCAAGCATAGACATAGAGTTTATTACACGTAAGCCAGAAGGAACAAAAATGATCTCTTGTTAAAACATCCCATTCCTTATAGTGCCAAAATTGTTGTTTTGAAATGGCCATGCCTGAAACCAAAATACTGAAATAATAGAACCTTAATGAATGTAAGTCACTATTTAAAATGGAAGCTAATCAGTGGGATTAGTACCGCAAATGTTTAAAGATGGATATACTGCCATGTAGTAACACCAGTCATATTTCTAAAGCATTTTATGCATATGTTTGTCTTAAATATATTACCATCATTTGGTTCTAAGAGGTGTATCATTTAGACTGCAATAACCCCAAAATAACCAATAAAAGTGAGAATAATTCTAAAACGTCCTAGCGTTTTTCCTTTATGCCTTTATTTTCTTCCTTTCAAGTGTGCCTCATCTCAGTACTATCCTTAAACACAGGCAAGAGGGAAATAAGCACAGATGCATTTAAGTGCATATTGAAATTTAAGGAGGCCTTCTCTTTATATTAAATGCATATAAATTTCAATATGCATTTAAGTGAATGTTGAAATTTAAGGAGACCTTTCTATGGGGAAAGGAGTTAAAAGGCCAAGGGGAGCTTCCCACAACTGCCTTAATCATTCTTAACGATGTTTCTGATACATGGCATCTTCTTAAAAGGCCCTAACCCTGCTTCTGATTCCTGTGCTGCCCTCTTCCCTAGTACCTTCTTTCCAAAAACATTTGTGCATACTGGGCCCCAGTCTCAAAGAGTGGCTATTTGAAAGGGGTGGGGCATGAGCAGAGTAGATGCTTAATTTGGGTGCTTCTCATTTACATATGGGATTGCAGAAAAAGAGGCATGGCCCATGGGTTAGAGGCCAGAAGGCAGTAGCCAGTTCTCCATTTGCTGCTATGTTCTGTCATGGATATATGAGGAACAGGGAACTCAAAACTTGAGCTTGGCCGGGCGCGGTGGCTCACGCCTGTAATCCCAGCACTTTGGGAGGCCGAGGCGGGTGGATCATGAGGTCAGGAGATCAAGACCATCCTGGCTAACAAGGTGAAACCCCGTCTCTACTAAAAATACAAAAAATTAGCCGGGCGCGGTGGCGGGCGCCTGTAGTCCCAGCTACTCGGGAGGCTGAGGCAGGAGAATGGCGTGAACCCGGGAAGCGGAGCTTGCAGTGAGCCGAGATTGCGCCACTGCAGTCCGCAGTCCGGCCTGGGCGACAGAGCGAGACTCCGTCTCAAAACAAAACAAACAAACAAAAAAAAAAACAAAAAAAAACTTGAGCTTAGCTTTGCAGGTAAACATAAAGATAACTTGTCAAGGTGTAAAATTAAGCTATATTTTACTTACAAGTTTGATGACTTCATTTAAAATTTAAAGTATTTATACCTATTATATGTGAGTTCCCATTTCTATTCTTGCCCTAGGCTAAAAAATCTCAGGGGCAAACTGAATTTATTTTTGTTTCTATTGTTAGTTGAGTATTAAAAGCTAAGTATAAAGTACTCTCTCAAGTAAGTCTGTGTTTTGAATGAGACTTTTCTGGGACTTCATTCAACTAGATTCACTCCATATCAAGGAGGTGAGAGTAAAGTGACCTGTTTCTTTCCTCCTCCTTCTGCTTTCTATCAGTGAGAGGCAGGAAGGGAGGGTCTAGGCTGTTTTTATTTCGTTGTAGTAAAACCAGACTTCTTCTTATTCCAGTCACATAACCACTATCTTTCTCTTCGTTTCAAGAAGACAATCACATCTCTCATCTAGCTGCAGTTGTTCTTGTTACATAAGTTTTTTTGTTTGTTATATTTGTTTGAAAAAGACCATCCAAAGGCTAGAGCAACAAACAAAAGAGTTAACTTCCTTCATTAATTTAAATGTGGATATTAAATATGAAGTGGTTTAGAAAAGATGAAGGATTTGGGAAAATTGTGCTTTAGAAGTTAAAGTTTTACACAAAGAGTTTTATAAGGATATAAAGTATCTAAAACCATAGATTTGCAGTAAAATTTGAAACTATGTTTGCCAAAAATACCATAAGCAATATTACAAGGAAACAAGACAAATATGTGTAATAAATGATTTAAATTTGTTAATATATCAATTATAAAGCACAATTAGAAGGAATAAAACTACAGTCATCTTTAGAGAGTGAGAAATGGCCAAGAAAAAATTATTATGTGGAAAAGAAAATAGCTAAAAAAAAATTCAATATATTACTTCCTACTAAACAAAAATGACAAAATGAAAATAACAAGAACCAATTTTTTAATTATCAATTTATATAAGATGTTATAGTGAAAATAGTGTTCAATGTTTGAAACTATGCAGTCAGATTTGGAAAAAAATACAGTCTCATTTGGTTTGTTAATTCATCAAAAGCAATTTAGTAGCATATATTAAAAAACATATCTAAAATATAACTAAGGAAATAATCTCACATATAGAGATGTATGAATAATTTTTATTATCTCAGCATTATTAATATGAAAATATATATAAGGACATTTATAAATAAATTATACCACAGACAGAAATTATTCTGCAACCATTAAAATAATGCATTTAAAATATATTGATGCTATTGAATAATTTTTAAAAATGCTGTGTTCAAAATTGTATTGAGAATTATCACATTTTTACAAATAAAAATCACCAAAAAGATAACCTTTTTTTTTTTTTTTTTTTTTTTTGAGACAGAGTCTCCCTCTGTTGCCCAGGCTGGAGTGCAGTGGCATGATCTCGGCTCACTACAACCTCCACCTCCTCGGTTCAGGTGATTCTCCTGCCTCAGCCTCCCAAGTAGCTGGGATTACAGGCACCTGCCACCATGCCCAGCTAATTTTTATATTTTTAATATAGACAGAGTTTCATCATGTTGGTCAGGCTGGTCTCGAACTCCTGACCTCTGGTGATCCACCCACCTTGGCCTCCCAAAGTGCTGGGATTACAGGCATGAGCCACCGCACCTGGCCCAAAAAGATAATATTTATTCTCTCTGGCTGTTTATATATTTTTTAGATTTTATTCAGTGTATAAATTTTTAAAAGTAATTTGAATTGTCATTTTAGATTCAGGAGGTACATGTGCAGGTTTGTTACATGGGTATATTGCATGATGCTGAGATTTAGGGCATCTCATCACCCAGATAATGGGCATAATACCCAATAGGCAGTTATTCAGCCCTTCCTCCCATCCCTTTCTCCCCTCTCCAGTATTCCCCAGTGTCTGTTGTTCCCATCTTTATCTCCATGTGTTCTCAATGCTCAGTCCACATTTACAAGTGAGGACATATGATATTTGGTTTTCTGTTTCTGCCTTAATTTTCTTAGAATAATGGCCTTCAGCTACATCTCCATGTTGCTGCAAAGAACATGATTTCATTCTTCTTTATGGCAGCACTCTCTGGCTGCTTAGATGATAGGTTAATGTTTTGTTTTCTTATGCTCCTTTATATTTTGCAAACTATTTGCATTACTTTTTAAACAAGGGAAAATATCTTATTTTGAAGAACCATGAATTTAGCTTCTTGTTTTATAGAGTTTGAGGCACAGGATTAGGAACTTGATCAGTTACTCAAAGAGAATTAATTGATCAAATAGATCCAAAACCCGGTATTCCAAACTAGCGTTCTCCCTAGGATAGCTTTTTTCTTCCAAAATCTGATGTCCCAAGTCCTTATGTGGTATTGCCAGGTTTGATCTTTAGCTGAAGGTATCCAGTTTAGCAATCCACCTGCACTAATTGCTTGTTTTGAACTAAATCCAGCAGGCTTGCAGCAGATAGACACTGAGTTTAATATAGAATTGAATTTGAAATGTTGATATATTAAATAACTTTGCAGTAAAACTTTAAATCAACCTGCTGAGGAGGCACATGAAGAGTAATTGATGCAAGAAATTATGGGAGAAAGAAGAATGATTCCCTGAAAAATGAGAATTTCTGAATTGTATGGTATAAAGATCAAAATAAAATTTATAGTGAAAGTCTATGTGAAATGGTAAGCTTGAATCATAGAGCAACCAGATAGCACAAATTGCATAATGAAAAGTAATCATTTGACATCATTAAAAGTTAAGGAAAAAAGATATTTCTTTCTAGGAAAAAAATAAATATATTCTTATTTTCTAAAGTTTATGCTTTTTCCCATTTTAGTTAGGAAAACACATCATTAAATAAAAATGAAGATTTGTATTTTTTAATTTCATGTTTTAAAAATATTGAAGTTGATGCATATGTTCCAGTAATAAAAAATGTTAATTAATTTGCACCTAATTCTCCTCTTTTTCTTGTCACAGAATTCATTTAATAGTTAAAACAATGAAAATAACCTGCTAGAATACACTAGAAATAATGTATGAATCTTTTAAAGCTGGGCAATTTATGACCCATTAGCAGCCTCCTTACTAAGATCATTTGGTTCAGTATACCAACCACATAGAGATACACTGATCATACACCAGAGTCAAATAAAACCTTTTTGTGGTTTTATATTTATTTTTAGTAATACTGACTATTCTTTGCATTTCTTCTAATCTATGAGTATTCTATTCATAAAACATCTCATTTAAAAAATCGGATAGAAGAATACCTCAAAGATAGATAAATTTTATTTATCAAATAAATTTAGTTTTATAACCATTTTTGTTTAACAACTTAAAAATCCTGTGTTTCAAATATAGGATAATATGAAGCAGTTTTTGACTCATTATTTATTCTTCCATTATCTTACCAAAAATTACAGCTATCACAGGAAATTTCCAAATAATTTATGGTGAATCCTATCATGAACAAACTTGCAGAGTTCTATTATTCAAGAAGAATCTTTTGTTCAATAATATTTATAACAATCTCATATTTGGTTATACAGAGATAAAATTATCCTCACATCCCATGTTTGTATCATTTGATTTATAGAAAAAAATACACATTTTAAAATAAAATTGTCCATATGTATCTATTCTACAAATAATTGTGATAGATTCTTATATGTTTTATTTTCATTTATTATTGTGAAATTTCATATAAATTGAAAAATTCACATTGGATTCAAGTTATGTTATTTGAATTACTTATAAGTATCTGAAATGTTGCATTACCTTATATGCAACTTAAATTCCCTTGCAAATACATAGTTTTAATATTTGCTAAATAAGTGGTATGATTAGACAAGTGTGTTCACAAATCTAATACACTGATTATAAACTAATATTTTGTCTGCAAGCTAAGTGATACTTAGCATTTTTTGTCTTTACATCTAAAAACATAAACAATGAACATACAAACAAACAAAAAATCTTGGCAAACAGGAACCTATGATGACAAGAGAAGAACCAAAGAAGACAATATTCAGGCTTATCTTTCATGCTAAGAACCACCATGTGCAACTCAGATTTGAGGCATGCATTATAATTTCTATTTTATAATTAATGACTGATCATGTTGAATTAAGAATGCTTATAGAACGTTTCTGGAAACATACATGAAAGATAGGAAATATGTAATAGGCACATACAAGACACAATTTATATATATATATAAAACATAAATCTAGGTGTCTGCAAGCTGTAGCTGTCAACGCTATAGAAAAATAATTGCAAATATACCTACCAAAAAGTTGTATTATCTATTTCTCATTATCAGTAATATTAGAAGTGGGATAACTCAATTCATGTTCACAAATAAAAGTTCCTTTAAGGGAAAAAACAGGAGGCCTAATATTCCCTTGATCTCATCCTGCCTTCTGATATCTATGCTACTATCACCATGCATTTGAATTCTTTTATCATTGTTTCAATTAATCAATAAACATTTAACTTTGCAACACACTTATCCATTATTTTGTTTTTCATTCCTGTTTGAATCTATAAATTTCCATTTCCAACCAATTTCTCTTGGCTTGAAGAACTTCTGTTACTATTTTCCTTATTGCAAGTCAGATGGTTACAGACTTTCTCCAGCTTTTAAAAAATAAAAATGCCATTATGTTACCTTCATATTTTTAATATGATTTTCACTAAATATAAAAATCTAGGTTTGCAATTTGTTTTGGAATTTTAAAGGTATCTGTATTAGTTTTCTCTGTAACAAGTTACCATAAATTTGGTGGCTTTAAAACAAGACAAATTTATTATCTCACAGTTCTTTAGGTCAGAAATTGCACTAGGCTAAAATCAAAATATCAGCTGAGCTGCATTTCTTTCTAGAGGCTCTAGAGGAGAATTTGTTTCCTTTCCTCTTCTAGCTTCTAGGGGCTGCCTATGTTTCCTGGGTCCTTTGGTTCCCCCTTTTTACATTTTTAAGACCAGCAACTGCAGGTCTTGTCCTTCTCGTATTACCACCTCTTCACATCGTTTTTCTCTGACACTGCTTCCACATTCACATCTGTCTCACTCTCTCCTCTGCCTCTCTGTTCTACTTTAAAGGACCCTTGTGATTCAGTGAGACCTACCCAGATAATCCAAGAACATTTCCCTAATTTAAAGACATTTGACTCGCAATCATAATTCTATTTGTATTTAATTCCCCTTTGCCATGCAATATATTCATCGTTTTTGGGGATTGAAGTTTAGACATCTTTATAGGTGTCATTGTTTTACCTACCACAGTATCATTTCACTTCTTCTACCATTTTTGTTAAAATAGGTGTCAGCATTATTTTTTTCTCTGAATGGTTTTAAAATTTTTCTCCTGGTTTTGATTATCAGTAATTGATGTAAAGGTGTTCTTTGTATTTATTTTGCTTGGGATTTCATTGATTATTAAATCTATAAGAAAATATTTTGTTGATTTTTGAAAATTCTCAGTTATTTTCTCTTCAAATATTGTTTCTGCTCCATTTTCTTTCTCCTGTTTTTCTGGAATTTAAGTTACAAGTACACTAGAGCTGTTCAACACACTTATCTATTTACCTGTCTTTTATATATCTTGCAGCTTTTATCTTTTTGCTTCAGTATGAATAATTGCCTATGATCTATTTTCATTTACTACTTATCTGTATAGCTGCATCTAATCTCTTTTTAAACACATCAATTGAGTTTTTAATTTTATGTATACCATTTTTCACTTCCAAAGTTTACTTTTCGTAATTTTCTATAAACTGTTTTTCTTCTTGAAAGTATCAGTTTTGCTTATAATTCCATAATACATGTTGACCAAAAAATTTCTTTAAGATCTACTTCTAAATATTCTGTTTGATTGTATTCCTTGTTAGTTTGTCTGCTTTGTTTGTTGCTTCTCTTAAAGCTTACAATTTCGTGTTTATTCCTGATTAAGTGCTCAATATTCAATATGATACATTTTAAAGATAAATTGAAGCTCTGCTTGATAGTATAGTCTTCCAGAGAGCATTTATATTTGCTTCTCACAGGAATCTAGACTAAGTGACTTCTAATCCAAATTCTCCATAATCCAATCAGAGATAGAGAAGGGTTACAGCTGAGTTTTAGTTCCTTTGAACTAAAATTTAGTCTTATTCCTGGAGGAAGACAGGAATTTGTGATCTCATCTAAAAATCTGTATTCTTTATTAATGTGTTTTATCTCTGTTATCTGGAAGGCTTGGAATGACAATATTTTTAAAAAGGTAAATTAATATTAACAATATTTAAACTCAATGGATCACAAATATTATTTCAACATGTAACCAATATACAAATTGTTAATGATTAACTAACCTTATTTTTTATTCTAAGGCTTCATATCTGCTGTATATTTAAAACTTACATCACAGTTCAATTTGGACTGGCCACATCTCAAATGATTGAAAGACACTTTTGGCTAGTGATTACATTAGAAAGCTCTGATCAAGTGAAAAATAATTCCGGATGCTGGTCTGCTTTTCTTCCTAAGGTCTTGGTCATGTGATTTCTTACAGAATTGTTAGCTCTACAATGCCACATTTCATAATTTGCTTAATTTTTCCAGTTGTTTTTATTGTTAGAGTTGGTCTGAATTCCCTGTTCTACTATTAATAGAATCAGATTCCTTTCCAGCTTAGTTGGCCATTCTTATTTTTCTTTTTATATTCTGTCATTTTTTTCTCTTTGACTTTCTTACCTTTCATTGATTTGAGTACATTTTATTAATTACAGAATATTTAGTGTTCGAGTTTCTTTTTTTTTTTTTTTTAATATGGAGTCTCGCTCTGTCACCCAGGCTGCAGTGCAGTGGCACGATCTAGGTTCACTGCAAGCTCCGCCTCCCGGGTTCATGCCATTCTCCTGCCTCAGCCTCCCAAGTGCCTGGAAATACAGGCACCCACCACTGTGCCCGGCTGATTTTTTGTATTTTTAGTAGAGACAGGGTTTCATCGTGTTAGCCAGGATGGTCTCGATCTCCTGACCTCCTGATCTGCCCGCCTCAGCTTCCCAAAGTGCTGGGATTACAGGTGTGAGCCGCCCTGCCTGGGCAGTGTTTGAATTTATATTACTTTTGTCCTAGAAATTTTACCATTACTTACCTAACTTATCAAAGCAAAAATTCAGTTAATGTATTCAATCAACTCCTCCCTGATATTGTATTTGTGTTAAAATATGTCATAGGCCAGGCATAGTGGCACATGCCTATAATCCCATCATTTTGGGAGGCCAAGGCAGGAGGATTGCTTGGGTCCAGGAGTTCAAGATCAACCTGGGAAACACAGTGAGATCCTGTCTCTACAAAAAGAAAAGTAGCCAGGCATGGTGGCATGGGGGGCTGAGGCAGGAGGATCACTTGAGCCTGGGAGGTCAAGGCTACAGTGAGCCATGATGGCACCACTGCACTCCAACCTAGACAACAGAAGGAGACATTGTCTCAAAATTGTTTTGTACAGTAAGTACAAAATTAGCTTTATTCACATTTTTATTTTACTTTTTCTCCTTTTCATGTCTTGTATCTTAGGCATTATACATAGAATAACTACTCTTCTGCTTGAAGTTGATCCCTCATAATGTCCTACAATGAAAATTCTCTCCATTTTTCTGGGATTGGTGAATTTGTGTTTGAAAATACTTTTATTTTGCTTCATGCTTGGAAGGTAATTTTTGATAGATATGTTAGCTGATTAAATCATTCTAAACCATATACATATGTCAAATATCACAATGTGTGCAATTATGGTTTTTCACTCAAAACCAATATTAATAATATAGTTGCCTAACTCACTTGGGAGCTAGGGAAGGAGTAAAACTGATCCCTACCACATATTTCATTATTTCTAAATTTCATAATAGGTTAAACATTGCATATGTATTCCTGGTGAGGCTTGTAAATATGAAAAGAGAAGGAAAACAAATGAATTAAAAAGGAAATAAAATATATACATGCAAAGTAAGAGAGAACAAAAAGGAAAACAATACAGGAAAAGGTTCATGGGAATATGTTACTCTTAATTGCTTCTGAAACCAGGTTAGTGGGAAACACATCCTGGGGTTGGGGGCAAGATTAGAAAGTTTTGCTTCAACTTGCTAAAGATAATTGGTATATTATTACACTTCCCAACATCTCAGTTACACCAACATTTGCAACATACTGTGTCCTTTTTCTACACAGTGAAATTGCTAGGAAGAGGAGGTAAGGGCTCTACAGGAGGAAAGGGCTCAGCAGTTATTATGTATGCACTCTGTGTCCATTGCCATGGAGATATTTTATTTGGTTCTAAATTGGTTGATAGATAATTATTTTCAACTTGTGGAAAAATATGATTCCTTTTTCTTCAGCTATTATTTTTGTTATCTTCGCCATCTTAATTGCTCATTCTTTGTTGGCAAACTGTCTAATAGAACTAATAAGTATTAAAATATTGTGCTTGCTTTTTTTTATTTGTAGTTTCACAATGATGTGACTAAGCGAGGATTTTCTTTTTAATTTTATCAATTTGTTTTTAATGTGATTCTCCAAACTGGATTGAAATTCTAAAAGATTCTCAGTAATTCTTCAGATATTTCATAACTGCATTTTATCTGCTGTTAAATTCATCTACTAGCTTTTGAATGCTTTGCTGTTTATATCTGATTATACTTTTAATTTCTAGTGATTCCGTTTTATTTTTAAATGTGATCTACTTTAGCTTCTCTAAATTCAAATGATGTGAAACCATTATTATTCTAGTTTGATAATTCTAAATTTCTGTGGGTATATTCTGCTGTTTTTCATGTCCCAACTGGTTCATTCATAATGAATTATTTTGTTTAGTGAGGTATTGTTTGTTTACCATAAACTTATTCTCTTTGAAACATTGTCTGCAGAAATATTTAGAAGTCTAAGACATAGTTAGGTTCCTCCCAGAAATATATATGTTTCTGTAAAATATTTTCATATACTATGTTTATAGGTTTTTGCATTAAATTCTTAATGTGGCCTTTTCAGGCCACTCAGGAAATATGAATTAAAACAAATATCTTCTTAAGCTATATTTTTAAAAATTACATTTTTGTTTCTATTATTTATTTTATATTTTTTCAACAATGCCATGCATTTTAATAGTACTTTAAAGTTGTCTCAGATTTTCTAGTTTTTTAGAAATTTAAGAAGGTATTTTATATTATTTATCTAACCTATCCAATAATTGAAATTTTAGCAAACCTAATATGTAAATATGTTTCTCCCTTATGCAGGTGTAAAACTTTGTTGACTTATTTATTTTAAATTTTGGAGTGTGCACCTCTATTTAAGTGAAATTATTCTGAGATACTTTTTTTTTTTTTTTTTTTGAGACGTAGTCTCGCTCTGTTGCCCAGGCTGGAGTGCAGTGGCACCATCGTGGCTCACTGCGAGCTCCACCTCCCGGGTTCATGCCATTCTCCTGTCTCAGCCTCCTGAGTAGTTGGGACTACAGGCACCTGCCACCATGCCCAGCTAATTTTTTGTATTTTTAGTAGAGACGGGGTTTCACCATGTTAGCCAGGATGGTCTCAATCTCCTGACCTCATGATCTGCCCACCTCAGCCTCCCAAATTGTTGGGATTACAGAAGTGAGCCACTGTGCCCTGGCCTCTGAGATACTCTTAAAAGGCACGTTTGGATGTTTATTGAAAAAGAGTTTAATTTTTTCTGCTATACATGGGCCACATTATTGTTTTAACTTCATCTCTGGGCTTTTGGATTATGCTGTTTTTATTTTTCATACTAAAACAGGTAGTAACAGGTGAGTAATTGTGAATTCCTAAAGGATATTTAGTCTATTCTTCTTGTCAAGATGGATTGTCTATATTTTTGATGATCATAGATTTTCAAAGGTATCTATTTTCATCTTCCTGACTTGTCTGTTATCGTGTTTTGTCTCTCCCAACACCCAAAGTAGACTTTAAAGACATACTCCAGAGTGGGTAATTTATAAAGACATAGATTTAATGGACTCACAGTTCCACGTGGCTGTGGAGGCCTCACAATCATGGTGGAAGGCAAAAGGCACATCTTACATGGTGAAAGACAAGCGAGAATGAGAACCAAGCGAAAGGGGAAACCCTTTATCAAAGCATCAGATCTTGTAAGACTCATTCATTACCATGAGAACAGTGTTGGGGAAATCACCCCCATGATTCAGTTATCTCACATTGGGTCCCTCCCACAACATGTGGGAATTATTGGAGCTACAATTTAAGATCAGATTTGGGTGGAGGCACAGCCAAACCATATCATTCCACCCCTAGCCCCTCTCAAATTTCATGTCCTCACATTTCAAAACCAATCATGCCTTCCCAATAGTCCCCCAAAGTCTCAACTCATTTCAGTGTTAACTGGAAAGTCCACAGTCCAAAGTCTCATCTGAGACATGGCAAGTCTTTTCCACCTATGAGCCTGTAAAATCAAAAGCAAATTAATTACTTCCTAGATACAGCGGGAGTACAGGCACTGGGTAAATACAGTCATTCAAATGGGAGAAATTGGCCAAAACAAAGTGTCTACAGGATCCATGAAGGTCCAAAATCCAGCAGAGCAGTCAAATCTTAAAGCTCCAAAATCATCTCCTTTGACTGCATGTCTCACATCCAGGTCACACTGATGCAAGAGGTGGGTTGTCATGGTCTTGCACAGCTCTGCCCCTATAGCTTTGCAGGGTACAGCCCCACTCCTTGCTGTTTTCATGGGCTGGAGCTGAGTGTCTGAGTCTTTTCCAGGTGCACAGTGAAAGCTGTTGGTGGATCTACCATTCTGGGTTCTGAAGAGGGCGACCCTCTTTTCACAGCTCCACTAGGCAGTGCCTCACTGGGGACTCTGTGTGGGGGCTTAAACCCCATGTTTCCCTTCTGCACTGCCTAGTAGAGGTTCTCTATGAGGACCCCACTCCTGCAGCAAACTTCTGCCTGGACATCCAGGCATTTTTTATACATCCTCAAAAATCAAGGTGGAGGTCACCAAACCTCAATTCCTGACTTCTGTGCACTGGTAGACTCAACACCACCTGGGAGCTGCCAAGACTTGGGGGCTAACACCCTCTGAAGCCACAGCCCAAGCTGTACTTTGACCCCTTTTAGCCATGGCTAGAGTGGCTGGGACTCAGGACACTAGGTTGGTAGTCCGCACACAGCAGGAGGGCCCTGGGACTAGCCTACAAAACCAGTTTTTCCTCCTGGTCTTTGTGCTTGTGATGGGAGGGTCTGCCATAAAGTTCTCCAACATGCCCTGGAGACACTTTCCCCATTGTCTTGGTGATTAACATTTGGCTCCTCATTACTTATACAAACTTTTGCAGCCAGCTTGAATTTCTCCTCAGAAAATGGGTTTTTCTTTTCTATCACATTGTCAGGCAGCAGATTTTCTGAACCTTTATGGTCTGTCTCCCTTTTAAAATTGAATGGCTTTTAACAGCACTGAAGTCACCTCTTGAATGCTTTGCTGCTTACGAATTTCTTTTGCCAGACACTCTAAATAATCTCTCTCAAGTTCAAAGTTCCACAAATCTCTAGGGCAAGGGCAAAATGCTGCTAGTCTTTTTTCTAAAACATAGCAAGAATCATCTTTATTCCAGTTCCCAGTAAGTTCCCCATCTCCATCTGAGACCTCCTCAGTCTAGATTTCATTGTCAACCAAACTTTCCCACATTTTCTTGTCTTCTTCTGACCCCTCCAAACTGTTCCAACATCTGCCTGTTAGCCAGTTCCAAAGTCACTTCTACATTTTCCACTGTCTTTTCAGCAGCGCTCCCCTCTACAGGTACCAATTTACTATATTAGTCCATTTTCATGCTGCTGATAAAGACATACCCAAGACTGGGTAATTTATAAAGAAAAAGAAGTTTAATGGATGCACAGTTCCATGTGGCTGGGGAGTCCTCAGAATCATGGCAGAAAGCAAAAGGCACATCTTACATGGCGGCAGACAAGAAAGAATGAGAACCAAATGAAAGAGGAAACCCTTTATCAAACCATCAGATCTTGTGAGACTTATTCACTACTGTCAGAAGAGTATGGGGGACACTGCCCTCATGGTTTAATTATCTCCCACTGGGTCCCTTCCACAACATGTGGGAATTATGGGAGCTAAAATTCAAGATGAGATTTGGGTGGGGACACCAGACCTCAAAAAGATTCCAATTAATTACACATTAAATTGTTTTGTAGAAATCACTGACAGTTTCTAAAAATGACTCATAGCTTAATTATCTTGCAAATAAAATATTTGTAGTGGTGATGCAGGATTTTCTGCTCCTTAGCTCAGCTAAATCTGGTATCTTATCTCATGACCAGGAAGAAGTAGGCAAACAGGCCCAATGAGGGGTGAGGAGGGCAAAATTGATTGAGTGAAAGGAAAGCTCTCAGTATGGAGAGGGTTTCTGCACACAATTTTCTACCTCACAAAACTGAATACCAGGCCACCACACATGCGTTGAAGAGGACTGGCTTCTCCCCTGCATAAGGCATGAATTCCTGGTGCCTCCAATTCATTCTTCCAGTGCATATGTGGGTCCTTAGTCTGAGACACTCCACATTGATTTATTTCCCTTACTGCACAAGTGTTAAGGGACAGAATTTTTCACCATGGGCATATTTAGGTAAGCCCCCCATGCACAATGACCTGGGCGGGTCAGAGTTTCTCTGGGGACAGTTCCCTATCTGCTAGGCATTTGTCTGCCTCCTGCCTCTATCCGTGGTGTAATATAGTGGAAGGTTTTGAAACTTTGAGTCTTAGTTATGTCACTTATCTGTAATTGGCATGTTAAGAGTATAAAAATAACCATCTAATCTATCTCACCTATGTTAGAAAGAAAAAGAAAATTATTTTATAAAAACCTATATAAAAGATAGATAATTTTGGATAAAGGAAGAACCCTTGATGTCTATAGTAGGTTAAGACAGATTCATTTTGGAAACAGGTCAAAAATGAACTAAGAAATAAAAAATCATTTGTATGAATTAAAAGAACAGAACAAAATTGGCAATATTTTGTTTTATAGGGGTTTCATGTTCTAGATGATAGTGAGATAGTGAGAATTTTCTGTTTTTACCTCTGACTCCAACTTTTCAATCTCTCTCTTTTTTTTTTTTTTTTTTTTTTTGAGACAGAGTCTCTCTCTGTCACCCAGGCTGGAGTGCAGTGGCCCCATCTTGGCTCACTGCAAGCTCTGTCTTCTGGGTTCACGTCATTCTCCTGCCTCCTGAGTAGCTGGGACTACAGGTGCCTGCCACCACGCCCAGCTAATCTTTTTGTATTTTTAGTAGAGACGGGGTTTCACCGTGTTAGCCAGGATGGTCTCAATCTCCTGACCTTGTGATCCGCCCACCTCAGCCTCCCAAAGTGCTGGGATTACAGGCATGAGCCACTGCGCCCGGCCTTAATCTCTCAATTATGACTTCAATCTTGCTGTTTGCAGTAGATATATGCTTCTTATATGCTAGGTGTTTCTTTTTAGTTTTGTAGGGAAAGAAGCAAAGCAGTGTATAAAAAGTAAAAAACAACTAATTCAGAAAATGATATACTTCCAAGTGGCAGAGATTGCATATTATGAACTAAGAAGTAGGCTGAGCATTCAAAACTTCCACTTTAATGCCAGAAAAGGTAAACATGCAATAAGCAGATATAGAAAACTGGTTGTGTATCCTAGTGCTATAGAAACAAATTAAAAAAGGAATAATTCATGTTTAGCATCAGATTATTCAAAAGTTGAGGGGTGGCAAGTTTTTGTTGTCTGAACAAGAGACTATTGGTCTCTACTGGATCATTCTAGTCATGCACTTTAGGATACCAGTTTAAGTTCAGGACAAATATGATTAAATAAGGAGAAACTCTTCCCTAGAAGGCAGTCTCATTGGCAAGATATTCTAGTACAGGAAGCAGCAATAGCAGTTATTATAATTCTGGCTCACAAACTTGGGATTCTTTTTGAGGTCTTAGACACACTGAGACAAGATCAAGACATGGAAAATAAATGAAATGCAAAAGCATAGCGTCTGAGAAATTGCTCATATTAAATGTTGGCTACCCTACCCAAAATAGGTAATCAATGTTGTATTATGATTGAGAACAATACTTAATGGAACATCAGAGGGCCAAGAATGTTCTTAAAGAAAAGAGGGAAATGAGAAGTTTTTAAACATATGGGATAGTCACTGAAAGAAAGAAAGAATTGTCTAAAACACCTGGAGAATTCAACATGTTGCCAATACCCATTCTAAATGTTTCAAGATGTTGGGAGTGTTTAAAACACCACAGCTAAAGCTGACATGTGCATGAGTTTGTATGCATAAGGTACATGATATTTTTTCAGAGTGTAAAAGGCATAGTGACACATTAAGCTCCCAATGTATGTCATAAAAATATGTAACAAAATAGATATTTTTGAGAAAGGAGGATCCCTTGAGGTCTACAGCGGTTAAGATGGATTCATTTTGGGGGAGAAGCCAATTACATTTAAATTCACAAAAGTTGCAAAACCCACAAGACTGTCTGGTTTTCTAGTGAAACTAAACTTGAGATTTATTATTTTCTTTCTTCCATTTTATCTTCTTATGCCTGTTCTCTAATACAACTGGCAACAACAATGTCAGAACATCACTTTTACTTGGAGTATCAGTCAGTGCATAGTCATTGGGAGATAAGAGAAAATAAACAAATGGTTGGCACTTTGGATAAGTCAGAAGGTTGTGTTTGATCAGTAAGAAGGATGTGTTGTGCTAGTTGGTATGTGTCCTTAATGCTTCACAAGTTGAAAAATTAAGACATAAAAGACAGGTGAAATAGGATTACATTAATCAATATTTAGAGAATTAGAAAAAAATCTATAAAAGATAGCATTGGCTAAAATTGCTGAAGGAGAATATATTTTCCTGAGACACTGAGTCTGATACTTCCATGATTGGAAATGAGAAAAATATAAATAAATGCACAGGTACATACATTAGAGAAGAGTTTTGGAATTTAATTCTTCAAGATAGATATTTCAATAATGGGAAACAGGTAATGGAAATGGGATAAGGTTAGTATGGGTCAAATTATTGTCTTTATTCTGCTGTGTTTTATTATGCGGGCTATGCTGTCATGAGTTGTTCAATGCTTGAGTTCTAAGAATGCTCTTTTGAGCTGCATTTGATGACATGAACACAGCTTGAGATGAGACATTCAATAGCAAGTGGATTTTAGATTACTATAAAATGTGGCTTTACAATTTATTTAATATTGTATTCTCACTAATTTGAAAGTTTTCAAAGGCAATGTCAAAATGGACTGGGCTTCCTTAATGTTCTTTTAATCTCCTCCCTAGAATGGGCAGCCATATTTTTGGAAAATAATTCTATTGATTAAGTGGTATGTATATGAGATATTAAAAATGAGTGACTAATGCAAAAGAAGAGGGTGAAACATCAACTTCAACCCCTTTTGCTTACTTCTCTCTAAAGGAAAAATTATTATCCAGATTGCATAACATTACTTGTTTGGCAATTGCAAGTAAGAAATGGAACAATTGTCTTATCTAAAAAGAACAAGACAATTGAGAGATTGTCTTAATTGCCAAATAAGACAATTTCTTGCTCTCTCTCTTCCCACCACCCACTCACCCATCCACCTTTCACACATACACATCTTCCCCCTTCATGTAATAAGATATTTAGAAATTACTGTCATTACTAGTGAGAATTGTTCTTGGTATTATTTAGATTTAGAAAAAAAAAAAAAAAAGTTTTGCTTGTGCAGTATTCATAAAACAAACTCCAGGACCATTTTCAAAAGGTTCTGACTAGGGTTTGGGAGCTACTCTTCAAATTTAAAAAGTTATTTTTGACTTCTCACAGGCCTAATATATACAGCATTTGAAATTCTATGATGAAAGAAATATTGGTCAGCTAGGAATAAGCATTTCTCATCCTGTAACTTTAACAACAGCCTAATGCTGTCATAAATCCATAGTTTGTATATAGACATACATAAGAAACCAGAAAAATTAACTAGAATTATATATACAAAGATGAGTGTGTGTATATATACATATGTACACTTCATCATATGGTTATACTTTTATGCAGATAGATGGATAGACAGAGAATACATGAACAGTTTTTGAGTGTTCTTCCAGCAAAAAAAAAAAATAATTTTCCATTTTAATATTTAACCTGACTGTAAAAGTACATGGTATATCTTTGTCAGAGCAAGCACTTGAAGCATGCTCACAATTTACAGAGTGCTGCTTAGACTGCTGTGCCTGCATGATTCCTAGTTACTGAAAGTTCCATTATCATAAGCTAAAAATACTATGAATAGGGTACTTTTGACTAAAAGGTTCACATTCATTCCCATTCAGAATTTTCAAACTTATGTTGGTGATAAAAAATTATCTGAAATGTAATGAGAAAGGGCAAATATTAATAAAACATAAATTTGTAAATGAATAGCAGCATTCCTGATTTAATAAAATATGGTGTGCTATTACTACAAAACTAAATAAATTACTATTTATTTTTATATCTACACTCAAATTATTTTTATAATGTTCTATTAATTTTTAAATAGTTAAATATTTTGCCTTGGATTACTTTTTTATTTGATTTGTTTTACCTCTTTTTCACCCATATAGTATTTGTTCAAAGCTGTCACTTTTCATGAATCTACTGGTCTCCATTATTTTCAGAAATCTATATTTACTAATCAGATTTGTATATCTATTTTAAAAATGAAGACATTTTGTTTAAGAATCTTTGAAATGACTGTTACAGATTCTCCCATCTGCCAAATCTGTAACAAAGTTATAGTTGTGAATATAGATGTAGGTCAACTGGTGACCTGTTATATCTGATTTGACATTCTTTGCTGAATTTCTTTAAAGTGTAAGTAGCAACCCAGCAAAAGAGCCTAAGTCTTTTCTTTAATAAATACTTGAAGATGTATGAAAAACATCTTTTCTTGAATAGATGCTTGAAGATGTATGACAAACATTTCACTTTTTCATTAAATGGAAAGTATCACAGAAAGAAGCATTTAACATATTTTCCTAAGTAGACCCAAGTTATTTATAAACAGCAATGCTGCAAAACAAAATTTACAGATTCAGTACTATTCATTCAAACTATCAATGACATTCTTCAGACAACTAGAAAAAGCTACTTAAGAATTCCTATGAAATCAAAAAAGAGTCTGAAGAGTCAAGGCAATCCTAAGCAAAAAGAACAAAGCTGGAGGCATCACATTACCTAACTCCAAACTATAATATAGGAGTACAATAACCAAAACAGCATGGTACTGATACAAAAACAGACACATAGACCAATGGAACAGAATAGAGAACCCAGAAATAAGGTCGCACACCTACAACTATTTGATCTTCAACAAAGCTGATAAAAACAGGCAATGGGGAAAAGATTCCCTATTCAATAAATGGTTCTGGGATAACTGGCTAGCCATAGGCACAAGATTGAAACTGTACCTGTTTCTTATTCCATATACAAAACTCAACTCAAGATGGGTTAAAGACTTTAATGTAAAACTGAAAACTATAAAAACCCTGGAATACAACCTAGGCAGTACCATTCAGGACATAGGCGCAGGAAAAGATTTCATGACAAAGACACCAAAAGCAATGATAACAAAAACAAAAATTGACAAATAGGATCTAATTAAACCAAAGAGCTACTACACAGCAGAAGAAACTATTAACAGAATAAACAGACAACCTACAAAATGGGAGAAAATTTTTGCAAACTATGCATCCAAGAAAGGTCTAATATCCAGCATCTATAAGGAACTTTAACAAATTTACAAGAAAAAAACAAACAACCTTATTAAAAAGTAGGCAAAGGACATGAACACTTTTCAAAAGTGTTCATGCAGCCAACAATCATATGAAAAACAGCTCAACATCACTGATCACTAGAGAAATGCAAATCAAAACTACAATGAAGTACCATCTCACACCAGTCAGACTGGCTATTATTAAAAAGTCCAAAAATAACAGGTGTTGGCGAGGTTGCAGAGAAAAGGGAATGCTTACACATGGTTGGTGGGAGTGTAAATTAGTCCAACCATTGTGGAAAGCAGTGTGGTGATTCCTAAAGAGCTGAAAAACAGAATTACCACTCAACCTAGCAATCCTATTACTAGCTATATACCCAAAGGAATATACATCATTCTACCACAAAGACTCATGCATGCTGTTCTTTATGTATGTTCACTGCAGCAATATTTACAATAGCATAGTCATGGACAAAACCTAAATGTCCATCAAAGGTAGGATAGATAAAGAAAATGTGGTACATATACACCATGTAATATTATGCAGTCATAAAAAAGAATGAGATCATGTCCTTTGTAGGAATATGGGTGGAGCTGGTGGCCATTATCCTTAGCAAACTAATGCAGGAACAAAAAATCAAATACTGTATGTTCTCACTTTTAAGTGGGAGCTAAATGATGAAAACACATAAACACATAGAGGAAAACAACACACACTGGGGCATTTTAGAGGGTGCAAGGTGGGAGAGGATGAGTAAAAATAATTAGTAGTTAATTTTAAAAATGGGTGCTAGGTTGAATACCTGGGTGATGAATAAGCTGTACAACAAACCTCCATGACACAAGTTTACCTATATAACAAACCTGCAAATGTACCCATGAACCTAAAATAAAAGTTGAAAAAAGAAAAAGACATCAGTGTTGATGTTGAATTAAAACTCTAGCACTTTGAATTAATTGCTTCATTTATTTGATGATCTTAAACACTTCATCTACATGGCCTCTTTTATTCCTGTTCAATGTGGAATGGGAAATTAAAAATATAAGGAGGAAAACACATACTTATCATTGTATAAAATGCAATTTATGAAACAGTAGCCCTCTTTTGGCTCTATTTTGTATTATCTACAAAAATACTACAGTGACTTATTAATATGTAAATTTTAATAGTTTCACTCTCCGTTTCCTTTCTCGCAAGACAAAATAGAAAACACTAATATCAACCCAAGGTCACAACAGGAAAAGAGAGAAAAAGAATAAGAAATAAAGATACTAATAAAAAGGATGAAAAAATCCTAATTGTATACTGCAGTATGCCAAGAATTAGTCTTGATCTGCTTGGTTTCTTTTGAGTAGGATTTTTGCATTATTTAGAAGTTTTCTCCATTATATATGTCTGCAACTTACTTAAATTCTTTCCAATTCAGTATTTAGTGCTCAGGAAGAAACAAAAATATCCCTGTCTCCTTTACCTCTACCTCCAAAATTTCAAGATACAAATAAACAAAACAGTTACTTAAAATAGGGTTTCAAAAACTGTATTAAGGCATAAAAATATTTTCATTCACTTTGTTTGGAAATAAATATTTTTGTGGAGCATTTTTTTTCTCCTTGAGAGTCAAATACAAATCCACTTTGAGAGGTTGAAACTAATACTTTTGAAGCTAACATTGTTTGAAGCAATTATTATTATTATTTTTCATGCCGTTTGGGAACAGCAAAGAAGACCATGAAAATCTTCAAATTATCTCAATACCAAAGAATATGTGATCCTAAAGGTCAAGATCACATAGTATATGGTGCTCCATTTTTCAACAAGACTACATTGGGTATTTAGAATCGAAAAATTATACACTTTTAAATGCATGCCACTATACATTTTTACATTTTCCTTTAAAGACCGATGAAACAGTATTTAAATTCATCTGGCAAAAATTACATAGACTTACCTTAAACTTTAATAAACTTCAAGATTTTTAATCCTCAGGATGGTTTAAAATATCAATTTTTAAAAATGCTTAAACGGTGTTATTGAGCAAATGTTTATTAGAAGTATTATTGACTTTATTAAAATATTTTAAAGGAGAACTCTATGCATTGATACATAGATTGACAAAGCTATAGAGGGGGAAATACACAGGAAGAGAGAGAGAAAATATTCATTTCTACAATCATTTTAATGTCTGAGTGAAATTTTTGAAAATACAGATTAACATATAAATGAAAAATAATAGATACTGAATGAACTGAAAATAAGTCTCAAGAAATGTCTAATTGTAAGAAATGTTACAATTGTTACAAATGTTAAAATGTTTACATTATGAGATGCATCAGAAGACACTCATCATTAAGATAATGAAATAGAAGGTGAAGAAATCATACACAGAGAACATCTTCAATGTAGTTAAAAAAACACATAAACTGAATACTTGACGAATGTCAAAGATAGTAAGTTATTCTTGTGTTTGTACCAGCAATCTAAGGTGACATGTCAACTTGACACAGCCTATGAATAGCTTCTCAATAATCATATCATTTTACAGCCTATAATAGTAACGTTGTCACTTGTAACTGGTGATTTTTTTTTACATTAACAGACTTTATTTCTTCGAGTACTTTTAGGTTTACAGAAAAAAACGTTGTGAAGAGCCCCCATATATTAACCTTCCCTCCCCAGGCCACTGTCCCCTATTATTAAAATCTTGCATGGTGTGATACATTTCTTATAATTGATGAACTAATTGATGCATTATTTTTAACTGAAATCCATAGTTTATACGAAGGTTCATTATTTATGTTGTAGCATTCCATGGATTTTGACAAATGCGTAATATCCTGTATCCATTATTACACTCTGGTATAGAATGCCATTAAATCCTGTAATCCACTAGTGTTCCCCTTAACCCCCATCCCCTGGCAAACCACACAAATACTGTTCTTTTTACTGTCGTCATAGTTTTACCTTTTACACAATTTCATGTAGTTGAAATCACACAGCATACATGTAGATGTTTTAATTTGGCTTCTTTCACTTATCAATGGGCATGTAAAGTTCCTCCATGTCTTTTGTTGCTTATTAACTCATATAGTTTTAAAAATTTTCCCCAAATTTATTTATTTTACATTTATGTATTTTACAAATACATATGTATAATATGTATAATAATATTTACATATTATATTTACATATGTATTTACATATTTATAATATTTACATATGTATAATATTTACATGTGTATAATATGTATATTACATATATGTAAATATATGTGTAATATTTACATATGTATAATAATTATACATATGTATAATATGTGTAATAAATACATTATGTATATGTATGTATTTTACAAATACATACATATACAATTGTATGTATTTGTTGTATACATAATGAAGTTTTATTTGTCAAATAATATTCCAATGTATGGATACAGCATAAGTTTGTTTATTCATTCATCTGTTGAAGGATATCTTGTTTTTTTCAATTTTTGGATACTATTAATAAAGCTGCCATAAACATTTGTGTGGACATACTTTTTTCAGCCAATTTGGGTAAATACCTAGGAACATAGCTCCTGAATTAACTAATGTTTAGCTTTATGAGAAACTTCCAAAATGTCTGCACTGTTTTGCATTTGCACCAGCAGTAAATAATTCTTGTTGCTGTGCATCCTCCCTCAGCACTTTGAATTGTCAGTGTGCTAGATTTGGGTCATCCTAATAAGTATGTAGTGGTAGCTCTTTGTTTTATTTGCAATTCCCCAGTGACATATGATGTGGTTTATCTTTTCATATGCATATTAAGCATCCGTATACCTTCTCTGCTAAAGTGTCTGTTTAGATCTTTTGCCCACTTTTTAAAAGTTGTTTGTGTTCTTACAGAGTTTTTAAAACTTTTTATATGTTTTGAATACCAGATCTTTATTAGATATGTTTTTTGCAGCATTATTTTTCACTCCCTGGTTTGTCTTTTCATTAGCTTAACAGGGTTTTTCAGAGGGCCAAAAATCTTTTAATTTTACTGCTATTCAACATAACAATTTTCTCATCCATAAGTGGTGCTTTTTGTGTTGTATCTAAAAAGTCATTGTCAATCCAAGGTATTCCAGATTTCCTCCTGTGTTGTTTTCTAGACATTTTATAGTTTTGCATTTAAGTCAATTATCTATTTTGAGTTAATTTTGGGGAAATGTGTGATTTTTCTCTCTAATATTTTTTGCATGTGGATGTCCAGTTTTTCCAGCACCATTAATTGAAATAACTATTACTTCTCCAAACAATTGCTGTAGCTCCTTTGTCAAAAGTCAGTTGACTTTATTTGTATGAGTCTTCATCTGGTCTATTATGTTGCATTGAAATTTTTGCTTTTTCTATTGCCAGTACCATACCATGTTGACTTCTGCAGCTTCGCAGTAATACTTAAAGTAGGATAATGTCAATTCTACTGTTTTGTTCATCTTCAATATTTTCTGGGCTATTCTGGTTTTTGCCTTTCAATATAAACTTTAGAGTAATTTTTAAATATCTACAAAGTAACTTTCTGGGATTTTGATTGGTATTGCATTGATTTGATCTATTGTATTGAATCAAGCTGGGAAGAAATGGCATCTTGTCAATATCAAGTCTTTCTATCCATGAACATTTGTTTAGGTATCTATGCATTTGTTTAGATATTCTTTGATTTCTTTCATCACGGCTTGGCAGTTTTTTAATGTAGATCTTGTACATATATTGATAAAATTATACCTAAGCATTTTTCTCTTTTTGGTGTTAATATAAGTGGTGTTATGTTTTAATTTCAAATTCCAATTGCTCATTGCTGGTATATAGAAAAGAAACAGACTTTTGTGTATTAACCTTGAATCCTGCAACTTTGCTATATTTACTTATTTTTAAAGGAAATTTTGTAGTTTATATTTTATTTGCATGTAATTCTTTGGAGGTTTCTACATAAATAATCAGGCCACTTGTAGACAAAGACAGGTTTTTTTAAAAAACCTTCTTTCCCAATCTGTGTGCCTGCTCCCCTCCTCTCATCTGCCTTTTATTGTCTTATTGTATTAGTAGGATTTCCATGTGGAATAGAAGTGGTAAGAGTGACATATTTTCCTTGTTTCCAATATTAGGGGAAAGCATTTCATTTTTCCACTTAAGCATGATATCAGTTATAGATCTTTTGCAGATGTGTTTTGTTTTTGTTTTTGTTTTTGTTTTTTAATCAACTTAAAGAAATTCTCTACTCCTGGTAAGCTGATAGTTTTTTTGTTTGGATATATATATATTTTTTTCTCTGAGACAGAGTCTTGCTCTGTCGCCCAGGCTGGAGTGCAGTGGCATGATCTCGGCTCACTGCAACCTCCATCTGCCGGATTCAGCAATTCTCCTGCCTCACCCTCCGGAATAGCTGGGATTACACATGCGCCACCATGTCTGGCTAATTTTTTGTATTTTTAGTAGAGATGGGGTTTCACCATGCTGATCAGGCTAGTCTCAAACTCCTGAGCTTGTGATCCGCCCGCCTCGGCCTCCCAAAATGCTGGAATTACAGGTGTGAGCTACTGCGCCCGGCTGATTTTGTTCGTTTTTAATCATGAATAGGTTTGACTTTGTCAAATGCTTTTTTCTGCACCTACCTATCTGATTACAAAATTTTTCTTCTTCAGCCTGTATACGTGTATTAGTGAAATTTTTAATACCTCTATGCACATGGCAACAATTGAAGTGGAAAAAATGCAAATAAAGATGACACTATGACATCTTAATCCATAATTAAGAAATTCAATCCATCATAATGTTACTGTATACTTTGTATGCACAAGGCATATACAAAATTCAAGAGTCACAGTAATTGTCTTTAGAAATATGCTATATTAATACAAATATGGCAAAGTAAAAAGAAAGTGATGTTTCACCTTTTATTAATTGTATATTTTGTGGTGTAAACCAACTTGTTTGATGCATAGATACTAATGTATCAGGGGTTAACATGTGGATCATGAAACCAATTACTCCTAATAGAAGCATTCTGGGTTTATTATGTAGCATTATGCCTAACCAGTTAGGCAAAAAAGCAGATACATGGAAACATAAAATGTAGTCAATACCTCTGTGTACATTGCATTCTATTCAGAGAAATGATATGTAAATGAATGTACTACTGTTTATAATGGATTTTAATACCAGTAAAATAGAAAAAATACGAACATTCCAAGGTAAAAAACTATGAAATTATAGAGGCAATAATTACCTATAATTACCTCAGATTTCTCAGAGAAGAAAGATTATGAATATTGAACTACATATGACCTATAACAACTATTTTCCTAATAACAGATATTGCTATTTAATTCCTGCTGAATATTTGTAGTTTTCCCCATCCCCAGTAAATTACACATTCTGTAACATGCACTGAAAATTCTCCACAATGTGACTTTAAGACAACCTTGAATCAACATCTTCCAGTATTCCACTTCCTGCCTTTTCTACAGACTACCTGAACAATGGGACTAGTGATTTTTACCTGAAAATATTATGCAGCTTCATGTACCAGTAGCTACTGTGAGGGTGACATAAGCCAAAACTGCCAACAATGACCTTAAAGGTTGCTGGAGAACAAGGTCAACTCCCATTCCCACAACACTGTAGAATAAATAAATTTAAAAGTGAGCTCAAAAAAGGCAGAGTAGGCTTTCTGAAAACATTAAACACTTGGACTTAACAGTACCTATATCCATCATTTCATCCCTTTAGATTTTTATTTTCTTGAGAAAAATAAAATATTTTGGAGAATATTTTGGAATTTAATTCTTCAAGTGCCATCTCTTGGACTTGAAGGAATTATGATTAATTCAGAGGTATACAAGTTCAACATTAACATTCAGACACCTTTTAAAATGAGAAGCCTATTTTTTTGACAACCTTCTTGCCTTACATACTCTGAATTACTCTACATCAATAACATTCATCTCTGAATTACTATTGCTCACCCACTTTAGAGAAAGTATTGTAGTAGCGCTCTGTAACCACAATTTCCACATCTGGGGGTTCAATTGAATACGGATTGAAAATATTTAAAATGAATTACAACACATCAATAAAAAATAATACAAATAAAAAGCAATAAAACATAACTATTTACATAGCATTTATATTGTATTAGGTTTTATAAGCAATCTAGATATAATGTAAAGTATATGGGAGGATGTGAGTAGTTTATGCAAATGCCATACCATTTTACATCAGGGACTTGAGAATCTGCAGCTTTTGGTATCCTCAGGGGTTCTGGAGCCAGTCCCCTGTGGATAGTAAGGAACAGCTGTACTTCTAAGCACTTGAATGATTAAAAGACATTAGAACGTTAATCTTTTCAAATTATACTTCTTTTTCAATTGTAATTCACTTTTAAATCTATTTCGCTTGCACCCCCGTTTTTTACATCTACTGTTTCTCTGTTAGGTAGGAAGAATAGGAATGACAATATTTTGGTTTTTGATGAGAAGGCTCAAGGTGTTTATCTTCACAAAATTTATATAGCAGTTATAATAAAGTCTTAAAGATTAAATGTAAACACCATATTTTCTGTGAGAACAAAATTAAACAATGAAACAAATATCCAACACAAAATCAAAAAAAGAAAATAAAAAGAAAACCAAAAATATTTGCTCTCAAACAGAATGTTCCTTTTTTTTAAAATTTGTCACCCATGATTTAGATGTCCATGCTGATGTTTTAAATAGTTTCAATGTTACCACCAAGTGTGAATCAGGAAACAAATCAAATAAGAGTTTTTAAAAGGTAGTCATAGGGTCTACTGACCAAACTAGTCAATTTGGGGGTGAACATTTCTAATATATTTTTCGCATCAACATAGTTAATTCATTGACCATTAGGAAAACTTTTAAATTTTCAGCTTTGTGATATATAATGTTATATTTTCCTTCTTTTTTATTTACCTATTTTCTCTTAAAAGAGTATACCACATGGTTAGATTTTTTGTTTATATTTTTTAAATATTCAAATTTTAGTTTATATATTTCAGATCAATATAGTTTTCTCCATGGGCACGTCATTCCTCAGTTTGTATAGTTTCGCTATCCTAGTCTAGTGGACATCCCACACAGAAACAAAGATTTCTAGTTGAAGTTTCAAACTTAATACCTATTAAGGTGAAATCTGGGCAAGTCAGCATATGATGTCTATGCAATTCAGTTATGATTGATGGAACTTAAGAAATCTGCTGAAGAAAGTAGTGACAACAAATACATTTATTATATGCCAGTCATTGTTCCAATCATTTTGCATATATTAACATATGTGTTTCTCACAACAACTCTATGAATTAAGAGTTAATAAAACTCTTGTAATTCAAACCCAAGACTGCCATCTCCAAGGTAAATCTTGTCAACCACAGCACAATAGAGCCCTTTGATAAAAAGTGAGAGAATGCAAAAAGAAAAAGTTCTTTTTGTCTCTGCCACTTCCGTCTGACACAAACTGAATTACTATAAAAGCATGTGCAATTTGGAGCTGATGCAGCCATCTCAAAACCAAGAACAGAGACAGCATCAATATATTCAAGATGGCAGAATGGACAGATGGCAAGGTTTGGGTTTCCTAGAATACACTGTTGTACTACTGAACCAACCCTGGGACATACTGCTGCAGACATTTTATTTGTTAAGATAATAAATGGTATTTTATTATTGCGGCCAAAATTACTTTGATACAATGCCCATTACTATCTGACCCTACTGTTTTAACATTTCATTTTATCTCAAATTATAATTTAACCACAATCTTCTTGCCATTCAAATCATCCTATATAACAACAAACTTCTCACAATTGAAGAAGTAGTTCAAATGCTACTTATTCTTTGAAGTATTACCAAATGAAGGAGTTAAATACTTTCTCCTCTTTGTTCTCATACATCTTTATAAATATTACAGCCATTCTCTAAATAAATAGCAAATATTTTATGGTAAATTGAGGACAGCATATCAGCTGGAAGCCTGGGTTATTATTTCTCAGCATCAAGACTGAAACTTAGAATACAGTAAATATTCAGTAACTGCATGTTGATTAATTTAAATTTAAATAGATAAAAATTCAATTAAAGTAATTTAAAAGCCTATATTTCTTTATAATTTATATTCTAATACAGACAGGAAAACACTCATCAAAACAGTCTATTCATGAAAATTGCAACACTTTTTAATAACAGTTTTTCCTTTCAGGAAATTTCAACAGAACTATGTTTACATTTACCTTTGAAAATTATTTTAAATAAATATTAGAAATGTTTTTTAAAGTTTTCCATTTTCTGACAAAATCTTGTTGGTTAGTTTTACATTGCCATCATGATAAATTAAGAATAATATATTTAAAAACTGATTTTTTCTTCTGCTAATTAACTTACATAAATAGCAATAAAACGGGAAACTGAAAAATGAAAAAGACTAATTTAGAGCAGTGGATAAAATTTTTGAAAGCCCACGAGTTTCCTAAAACATTTTATTTTGTTATTATTTTTTGAGACAGGGTCTGTATCTGTCACACAGGCTGAAGGGTAATTATGTGATCACAGCTAACTGTATCCTTGACCTCCCAGGCTAAAGCAGTCTTCCCTCAGCCTCCTGAATAGCTGGGACTACAGGTGTGTATCACCATGCCTGGCTAATTGATTTTTTTTTTTGTAGAGACAGTGTCTCTCTATGTTACCCAGGCTGGTCCCAAAATCCTGGGCTCAAGCAGTCATCTTTCCTTGGCCTCTCAAAGTGATAGGATTACAGGTGTAAGCCACCATGCCCAGCCTCCCTAAAACATTTTAAAATATAGCCTACTTATTTTTAATTTTTTGAAGAATCTCCATTCTGATTTCCAAAGCTGATGCTGATTCAACATTTTACATTCCAACCAATAGTAAACAAGCATTTCAATTTTCCCACAATCTTGCTAAAACTTGTTTTATATGTATATATATACATATACATATATATAGATGTGTGTCAGTAGCCATTTTAATGTAGTTTTTATTTGCATTTCTCTGATAATTAATGACGTTTCACATCTTTTCATAATTTGGTTGGCCATTTTTATGTCTTCTTTAGAGAAATTTCTGTTCAAGTTGTTTGTCAATTTTTAAGTCAGGCTATTTGTTTTTGTTGTTGTTTGCTATTGAGCTATAGGAGTTCCTTATATATTTTGATAATTAACCCCTTATCAGACATACAATTTGCAAAATTTTCTCCCATTCTGTAGGTTGCCTTTTCATTCCATTGATTGTTCCCTTTTGCTGTGCGGAAGCTTTTTAGTTTGACGTAGTCCCCATATGAACCAGCAATTCCACTTCTGGGTATATATCCCAAATAATTGAAATCAGGATCTCCAACAGACGTTTGCACTCCCATGTTCATTGCAGCACTATTCACAATAGCCAAGATTGGAAACAACCCAAGTGTCCATTGGCAGATGAATAAATAAGGAAAATCTGGTATACATATAAAATAGAATATATTTTAGTCTTAAAAAGAAGGAAATCTTGTCATTTGCAACAACATGGGTGAAACTGGGAGATATTATGCTAAAGTGAAATAAGCCAGTCACAGAAGGACAAACAGTGTATGATTTCACTTACATGAAGTATCTCAAATAGTAAAACTCATAAAAACCGAGACTAGAATGATGATTTTCAGAGGGAAGAGAATGGAAAATGGGGAGTTGGTTTTCAAGTGGTGTAATTTTAGTCAAGCAAGATGAACAAATTAGAGAGATCAGCTATAAAATATTATGCCTATAGCCAGGCATGGTGGCTCACGCCTGTAATCCCAGCATTTTGGGAGGCTGAGGCAGGCAGATCACTTGAGGCCAGGAATTTGAGACCAGCCTGGCGAACATGGTGAAACCCCCGTCTCTACTAAAAATACAAAAATTAGCTGGGCATGGTAGTGGGCACCTGTAATCCCAGCTACTTGGGGAGGCTGAGGCAGGAGAATCGCTTGAACCTGGGAGGCAGAGGTTGCAGTGAGTCAAGATCACACCACTGCACTCCAGCCTGGGCAAAAGAGTGAGACTCTGTCTCAAAAACAAAACAAAACAAAACAAAACAGAAACAAAACAAAACAAAACAAAAAAAGTATGCCTAAAGTTAACAATACAGTAATTTGCACTTCAAAATTTGTTAAGGAGACAGATACGGATCTCAATTAAGTGTTCCTGTAACAAACAAAACAAGACAAAGGGCACAAGAATAACAACTCTGGGAAGTGTTGGAGATGTTTACCATGTTGATTTTGGTGATATTATCACAGGTATTTGCATATGTCCAAATTTATCAAATTATACACCTTAAATATATACAGTTATTTATGTCAATTATGCCTCAGTAAAGCTAGTGTAGGCACCAAGGAAGTAAGCTCTCCTTTGCCATCTGAAGGTGCACTGAAAAATCAACTCACGAAAGGCAAATTAATTGGAGAAAAGGCATGCAAATTTATTTAAGGTGTATACACGGGAGACTTCACAATGAAGACCCAAACACACAGGGAATATTATCTATTTTTATGCTTAGGTTCAACGAAGTATGGGGAGTTGTGCAGAAATATGATTGGACAAAAAGGATATAATCTAATGACAAAAAATGGAATAGGGAAACCCAGTCAGACCTGTCTGTCTAGATTCCTGTTGGCCTCCCTGAGCACAATTTCTTTCCTTCTGAGTGTGGAACAGGACCCTCTCTGGGAACAGGGGTCTAATGACCTACAATCAAACAAGGTAGGTCAGATAATTTTTTAATGGCCAGTTTTACATAGGTTTTATGGCTGGCTTTTGAGAAAAAGGGGTTCCGGTTTCTACAACCCACCTTGGGAAAGAGGAAATCTACTTTTTACGGCTAACTTCATGGGAGAATGGGACTGAGACAGAAGGACAGGAGAAGGTCAGAGAAAAACGTTTGCATCAGAGGCCACTTCTGAGTCCTTCATTTTGGGGTATTGTTTTTCTGAGCCCCAACACTGTTAGAAGAAAATACTGCCTGTCTTGCTAACATGAAAAAGCCTGTCAGCTGCTATAAACAAATAGCCAGATATTTGGTAGCTTAGTGGAAACTTTTTAAATTAGCAGATGTAAAGAAGTGGAGAAGGTGACCTAGAAAGATCCAATGCAGTGAGAAAACTATTCAAATAGAGAGGCTTTAGTATGAATATGTAATGAACATCTTGCATATGCTAATTGATAATACTTGAATAAACAAACAAGAAAAGTGATCTCAAATCAAAAATGAGTTAATTGGGAGATAGAATGGGAGGTCACATAGGGAAGCTTGTGACTTTGGTAGGTTAGTTGCAAAAATTAAGTCTCAGCTTTATTTTTGCCCACTTCATATTCACTAATAATTGCTTTCCATTTATATTTTATTCAGCATTTCTCATTTTTTTCAGACTATGTTTTCTTTTTCTTATTATGTCTTACAGAAAACATTCTGCTTTATCACAATCCTAATTGCTGGCCTGCTTTTACATCTGTTATAGATAGAATACCTATAACATAGTAAAATAGACAAAGAAGAAATATGGTTATATATCTTTCAAAATAAAATTACGTTGAAGTGGGACCAAGAAAAAAAAGATAAGATTCAGATGAATTTAAAAGTGTATTTCCTCTGAAAGCCTCACTGCATTGGCGGAGAGGATAGTTTCTTGCTATTAATTTTTGTTTAATAAAGCTAATTTTTTTCACATCATTAAAATATTTGATTTTCCCCTTTCAGAGAAAATGTGGAAGGTTAAAATCAGAAAAGAACATTTAGCATCCTATAGTTCTATATGCACACTTCTGATTTTAGTGAGCATGCTTAATGCTCTGGGAAGATTTCCTGTTCGAGTACTTTTTCTTACAATTAGGCTCAATGTTAAATTCAGAAATCCAGTGAGAATAAGCTACATCCTTTCTCCAAGACTCAGAGAGACAATTTGATTCATAGTTTTAATGAGTGTGGCTTTAATTAAAGCTTAAATAAGATCAGTTGCTCTAGTTGTTGTTTTTTACTCTTCAGGGATTCTACTCAGCTTCAAGATTGAACCTTGGGTGCTGACGCAAGTCTTTGGTTAATAAAAATTGTTTCGTTGCTTGGAACAGGGAATTTCAAGCATCATTTTTGCCAGTTCTACTTTCATTGAATTTATTTGTGTTGTGTGTGTGAGAGAGTGTGTGTGTGTGTGTGTGTGTGATTTTCAAATGCAGATTTACAAAATTTTACATTATTTTAATTACCTTTCCTGATCTTGTATGAGTTGAAGATTAATTTCTACCCTTTCTTGCCTAAAGCTAATGCTTTATCTCAAATTAATAATTCATTCTTACCAGGCTTGAAACGACTTTGCTGAGCATTGTGGCATTTGGGACTCAGTTCAACTCAGCTAATAGGGGACTAAACTATCTTTCAGGTGCTGGGATAGACAAGGAAAATCTCTGGAGAGTGTATGATTGGTCTGCTCTCAGAACCTCTTTTTTCCCACTTTTAAGAACATTCTGCTTTCATGTGACATAAGACATCAAAAATCAGAGCAAAACTCGGTCATATATAAGGCCTAACATATTTAGACTCTTCCTCTCTACAGACCAACAAAATTAGTTGTCCACAGAAAAGGGGATGCTTGGTGTTTACAAGAGTGATTTTAATCCAAAATTTATTGTCTTCAAATACTTGATCATCAATTTGAGTAGAATACTAATGATATAACAATAGGGTATCAATAATACTCCTCTTCTGAAAGACCTCCTAAACCAACTATAACAGAATTCCAAGGACAGAAAACGTTGACTGGTGTACTATGTATTTCTATACATAGCACAGAGCCTGGCAACAAGTTCACACTCAATATTTGTTGGTAAGTAAATAAATGGAAGGAACAAATAAGTAAAGGAAGAAAGACAGAAAAATTAGAGAGGGAGAGTCAGAGGACATGCTCTCCTTTAAAAGCATCAAACATTTCCATTAAAGTTAATAAAATGCAGTCTTCTTACTAGTCTTCAAGGCATTTCATGGTCTAGCCTTTGCTACCCCTCTCAAGGCACCTCTCTCTACTTCACTACTTATTATGTCTGTCACACTGCTCTTATTCAGGCTTCCTAAATCTCCAAGCTATCTCTCTCCTCTTAAGAACTTTACATGCCTTACCCCTTTCCTTGGATTTTTTTTTTTTTGGCATACCTCAGCCTCTCTACACATTTGTCTGAATAGCCTCACCTTCTATAACTAATCATAAGCATTGTATTCTCAGAATGGCCTTCCCTGACCACTCAAAAGTAAATTGCTCCCATCTCCACCCTAATTATTTCCACAACACTCTTCCTTTTGGTAAGCGTGCTTATCACAGTGCTATATCACAAATATAGGAATTTTAACTTTATCAAGTGGGAAATATAGAGGCCATCATTGGGGTTGCACAATATGAAGCAAATTCCAATAACTCTCTTTTTTTATAGTTTTTATTATACTTTAAATTCTAGGGTACATGTGCGCAACTTGCAGGTTTGTTATATATATATACATGTGCCATGTTGGTGTGCTGTACCCATTAACTCGTCATTTAACATTAGGTCTATCTCCTAATGCTATCCCTCTCCCCTCCCCCCACCCCTCAACAGGCCCCATATGTGATGTTCTCCTTCCTGTGTCCAAGTGTTCTCATTGTTCAATTCCCACCTATGAGTGAGAACATGTGGTGTTTTGTTTTTTGTCCTTGCAATAGTTTGCTGAGAATGATGGTTTCCAGCTTCATCCATGTCCCTACAAAGGACATGAACTCATCATTTTTTATGGCTGCATAGTATTCCATGGTGTATATGTGCCACATTTTCTTAATCCAGTCTATCATTGTTGGACATTTGGGTTGGTTTCAACTCTTTGCTATTGTGAATAGTGCCACAATAAACATACGTGTGCATGTGTCTTTATAGCAGCATGATTTATAATCCTTTGGGTATATACCCAGTAATGGGATGGCTGGGTCAAATGGTATTTCTAGTTCTAGATCCCCGAGGAATCGCCACACTGTCTTCCACAATTGCTGTACGAGTTTGCAGTCCCACCAACAGTGTAAAAGTGTTCCTACTTCTCCACATCCTCTCCAGCAACTGCTGTTTCCTGACTTTTTAATGATCGCCATTCTAACTGGTGTGAGATGGTATCTCATCGTGGTTTTGATTTGCATTTCTCTGATGGCCAGTGATGATGAGCATTTTTTCATATGTCTGTTGGCTGCATAAATGTCTTCTTTTAAGAAGTGTCTGTTCATATCCTTTGCCCATATATGTAATATGCTAAATAATATATGAAATCAAAATACTATAAAAATACTTTAAAATATTTAAGCAATACAAATTCAAAATGAAAATCACACTTTTGCCCTTCACTTCCTTAACTGCATCCCCAAACTTGAATGTTTTATTATTGCTATGAATCATTTACTTAAAATTTTTTTGTATATTACATTATTTATATCATCAACTTTTTGGGAATACAGAACAGCCATTTTAAACATTATTAAACATTATGAATTAATTTACATTTTGCCACTGGAAACTTTATCTGACCTGTTAAAGCTTTTAAATTACAAAAGTATTAGATATAATGCTAACTCTTTTTGGGACATAGATACTTTCTAGGTAGTTAGGTAGATTCATATCTCTACATGCTATAAATATTGAAAATAATCTAAAATTTATAGCTTTCAAAGGTAGAATGGATTAAGATAAATCCAATGAGTAGAGATCTATTATCTAACATAATACGTACTTAGAAAATTGTCTTGAGCATAAAGATTTTCAGTAAGTATTGATTTACATTAAATGAGTAAGTGCTCCTGGTTTCTATAACACAGTTAACGGCTCTCTATATGTGTCTGCTAATCTGTAGATGTGGTTCAATGTAATGTGGGATGCTTACACATATCAGAGAGAAAAAAGTAGAAGTAATTTCCCCTTTTCAAAATCTGAGAAGAAAACAGTTCTGGAGAGAATTAGTTGAGCTAGGATCCAAAGACAAAGATCAAAAGGCAGAGCAAGACTCTGCAGGGGAGAAAAAGTGATGTTTTCCTTAACCATGGCAAGGTTCATGACTGACACTCCAATAACAAAAGACAGTGACATGAAAATAACAAATTAATCAATGTTTTATATGACACAGGAGCCTCAGTAATGAAGACCCGAAGAAATAGGGGAAACTATTTTTATGCTTAAGTTTAATGAAGAGTGAATAGTCATATAGAAGTCTGAATGGATGAAAGGGGGTATAATCTAATAGTAACAAACCCACAATCGGGGCACTTTAAAAAATCTGTGTATTCAGATTCTTCTTGGCATCTCTATTTCTTCATTTCTTTCCTCCAGGTATAGGGAAGGACACATGTCACATGAGTAGGTTTTATGGCCTGCTTTCAGTGGAGGTGGGTCAGAGAATTATTTAGTGGCCAAGCTTAGTGGAGAAAAGCAGGAGAAACTCACAGAATCACTTACTTTCTTCTGTAGTTTTTTTTAATTTTCAAAATGCCCTACTTGGGGGAAGTGTGTTCTAAACCCTGACAGCTCATACCGAAATGAGTAAGATCTCGAATAGAGCCAAGAAATAAGCTAGGCATTTAAGATAAAGTCAAGAATATGTGACAGTAAAAATCATTGAGAGTTACAACAGACACATGTATTAGAGGTTATATTCAGGAAGTATTTCAAAATCTGCCAAACCGATAGGAATAAAGACAACAGAATACTCAAGACTACAGGAGATAGCAAGGATGTGAGTTGGGCTGTGACAGTTCAATGGAGAAACCCCAGAAAGAGTCCAGCATGTCATACTGTTAGGTCAACAAACAAAGATACAATAAATTAGGAATATGGGGCACCAGAATAAACATGACAGTGCTAACCAAAGGCCCGTGCTGAAGCTTACAAATTCAAGGCAAGAGAAACACATACTTTTTATAACAAAATTACTGTCTGTTACATGCAGTAAATCAATGTATCTATCTATCTAAAACATATATATATGAGACACTTATTATAGCAGGAGATAATCTCAAAGGTATCACTCATGTGGGCTTCTGTTAAAGTAGGTAAATGAGTACATTTAACTGGGAAAAGCAATTGAAGAAACAGAATTAGCAATATATAAATTCTTGTAATATCTCAAATATAAATATTAGAAAAGTCTTCTTTATTGGAGGAAAATTAATTCACTGTTTTTAAATTCTGTGATCTATAAGTTATGAAATATTATCTTCAAGGCCAACATGTTGATGGATTAATACGTTAACTTTCTTCTAAAATTTTACCCATCAACCAATGGTTTTGATTAAAAAAACAAAGGACTTACTGGGTGACTTTCCCATGAGAAAGTAAATATTCCTTGAACCATCAACATTCCAGTTGTCATTACGAAGCCTTCTGGCATGGACAACATCTATTTTCTTTCTCCATTTACTAAATAAGTATTGCTATTTTCTCTAGGAAACCTGATTTTATCACAAAACATCCTTTAAACAAAACATCCTGAGTTTTGTTATAGTTACATTGGTATTTATAAGATCTAACTCACATGTGTTTGTGAATTATTACATTAATATATACACTTAAAATTTTTAGTACAAAGGAAAACTTCACATCACACCTCTTTTTAGATCTTTTAAAATATAGAAAACAATTGTCAAGTAGTCAAAACTTATACAGGTTTCTAAACATACTTTATCATGTACTATAAAAGAGGTATATTTTAATGAAAGCAAACTTTGACGTAGTTAGGAGACGTAGTTAGGAGAATGTGCAAACCATTGTATGATCAAATTGTTCTTACTTCTCTACACTTGCCTACAAATTTCTATTTGGAAATGTTTTTAGTGATAGAATGGTAGATTTATTTCCCATTAAATTTTCAGTAACATCATATCTGAAAGCATGCTTATAACTTACCTATGAAACATTCTGATGACACTATGAAAATGTTGACTTACTCTAATTACTTTTTCTTAGTAGCCTAATAGCATCAATTCTCAAATGATTTTCTCAGTGTTCAAATTTGCATCACTGAGTGCTCTGTGCTATGGTGAATTTGTGTTTCTGAGCTTCACCATAGAGCCTAGCACATATTAGGCATGTAATATATAATTTAGTTACTAAATAAAACAGAGATCACCTAGGAAATATGGAAAATAGCAGGAAAGCTAGAAAGTGACAAAAAGTGTGCTCGATGAAAGGTCTGTATAAACAAATTTAATACTGGAAAATTGTGTGTATGCAGCTGCCCACTTGTGACACCAACATTTAATTAAATACAGTTGTCTCATAACCTACTCAGTGGTTGAGCTTCCTCACAGCTGAACTAAGATTGTTTAAATAAAATGAAACTCATTAACTTTTCTAATTGTTGTTTGTGTGAAGACTTGAACTTTGCTTTTAAAAAGAAACTGCTCCATCTGCAGCTAGTAAAAAGTATCAGCTGGCAATGTTTAACCCTCATGAATCATCCATTTATTTTTCTTTCCCAAACCAGTGAGCATGGGGGAAAGGAGATTCTGTAAGAAAAATTCAAAGAATATTACAGGAACTTTATTTTGCGCCTCTCTTCGGAGCTTATGCACACCAAAAGGAATAGTTTGCTTGGTTTCTATAAAGGTAAAGTACATGCATCATGGGAATGTAACAGCTGCACAACTTTAGCCTTTCTTAGTTGTCAATGGAGAGGAAACAGATCATCAAAACTTGAATGCTTCATTTTATAATGCTGCTTCATATTGTACAGCTTTAAAATGGCAAGTATCTCTTAACAAAGAAAATACTCCATTGCGGCTAGCTGATAACAAATATATGCTTTCCTTAAAAGAAGTGAAACATGTGAAGCTTCAACTTCATTTTTAGCATTTAAAGGTTAATATAAACGATAATAAAGACCCAGAAGAAATCTTCTATTTGTTGAAATTAAAGAGCAAACAGTCCATCATGCTCCAATCCTTTTTTTCATGTAGTAGTACTTTTTATAGATTAAGACAATTTCACAAATAAAGTTATTTCAGAACACGGATGTCTGCCGATCTTTTCTTATTTGGTAATGATTTTTGTTTTTTTAATTTAGAAAACAAATTTGTTTAATGTTTTTGTCCTGATTTTAGTCACACCTAAAGACTTTTTTTTTTTTTAAATAAATGTGTATACTATTACAATTAAAAACTGTTGATGTAAAAGTCAGCAATTTTGTTTGGGGAAAGACAGGGACTTAAAAAATTGCCATATATTGATTCTCACAGACAAAGAAGGCTGGAGATCAGCTGGCAGACAGGTGTGTCAGCTCTAGTCTCTTGGAGCCCCATGTTCCATCTATTAATTTTTTTCTCTATGATCTTTGGTGAGAAGCTTCCAGCCTAAAGCCGCTTCATGATTCAATGTTTCCTGAAGGGAATGTCTAGCCATTGAGTCCAAAGTTCAGGGAGAAGGAATTTTTTAAAGTGGGAAAAAAGAGCTAACTCCTGACTAATAGGGAGTTTACTTGGGAATTCTGCACATTTCCGCTAACCATTCATAATTACAGAGAACTGTGGTCTCATATCCACTCCTGCATTCAAAGAAACCTCAGAAATATATATTTTTTAAGACTCATGGGTCAAGGTTTAGCTATGAATGAAGAAGCAATGAAAAAATTTGAGAGACAATGAGGTCATGGGCACACAGAACAAAGTCATATTTTTACACTACAGCAACAGAAACAATTACAGATTTAATATGAAACGTAAATTTAAAATACAAACAATAAGCCATTTAGGAATAAAGCAAACTAAATGTGAAATCCCCTTAGTTTTTTCTAAAGATAGGAATTGATATTTATTGACAGACACTGAAATATAAATAAATAGAGAAATGTACCATGCGTATAAATGGGAAGATGCTATACTTTAAAGATACCGACTTTTGGCCAGGTTCTGTGGCTCACACCTGTAATCCCAGCACTTTGGGAGGTCAAAGTGGGCGGATCACGAGGTCAGGAGTACAAGACCAGCCTGACCAACATGGCAAAACCCCGTTTCTACTAAAAATATAAAAATTAGCTGGGCGTGGTGGCAGGCGCCTGTAATCCCAGCTACTCAGGAGGCTGAGGCAGGAGAATCGCTTGAACCTGGGAGGCAGAGGTTGCAGTGAGCCAAGATCACGCCACTGCACTCCACACTCCCGCCTGGGCAACAGAGAGAGATCTTCGTCTCAAAAAAAAAAAAAAAAAAAAATTCACTTTTGATCAGTTCATCTTAGCTGAATATAATTTCCTCATATAACGTCCTCAAAATCTAAACACTTTTTATTTGGGGGTTGATGAGCAATCTCACAAATTAACTCAGGCTTTATATGAAAACGACAAGTCCAAGAACAGTTAAGACATTATTTTGAAAGACATAAGTCTATAGCCTATATTAAGAGTGAGTATAAAGTTAGAATAATAAAGACAGTGTGCTATTGGTGCAAGCATAAACACATTAGCAAATACAATGCAATAGAAATTCCAAATATACATGTGCCTAAAATATTATAATTTTTTAAAAATAGTGATACAAAAGTGCTCAAATTGGGGATCAGTGTGTATAAAAACGACTATTCAATATGTGATGCTGGACAACTGCTTATTAATATGGAAAAAATAAGATGAAATTTCTACTCCAAAACAATATACAAAAATTAATTTAAGATATATTAACAAGTTAAATTTGAAAAGAAAAAATATAAAAATTTTTAGAAAGCCATGTAAGAGACTATCCTTATGACTTACAGGAAGGAAAGAACTTCTTAAGACTCAAATCAATAGTAGTAATACGTATACTGGTAAGTTGACTAGAAACTTATGAACTGTGCCTGACAGAGACTGAAAGGACAAGCTGCATTCTTGGAAAAGGTATATCGAGCACATAGAGTCACAAAATATTAGTATTTGCATTATATAAGGAGCACTTTGAAATCCACAAGAAAAAGACAATAAAAATAGGCAAAAGATATGAACGGGAATTTTATAGAAAAGAAAACTGAACTTTCATAAATACAGAAAATATATTCAGCCTCATTATTTTTAGAGAAAATCAAATTAAAATCCCCCTGACATAATCTTCCACTCTCATCAGAATGGCAAAAATTAAATGACAATACCAAGTGTTAGATGCAATGAAATGAAACAGGGGTTTCCACATTCTGCAGGTGGGGAGTATAAATTAATATGACCAATTTGGAAAACAATTTGAATACTCTTAACTGCATTAAAGATATGTATGCTCTATGTTCCAGCAATTCAATCTATAAACATGTGTACGATATTATTGTACATCTATGCCTGAAAACATGTTCAAGAATATTCATAGCAGCACTGGTTTTAATATCAAGAACTATAATGAGTCCAAAATCTTTATCAACAGTGGGATAGATTACTAAGTATTATATTTAGAAAGCAGAATGCAAAAAGCTGGTAAAATAGTAACCTATGATTACATGACTAATCTCAAAAGCATAATGTCTTATGATAAAAGCAAGCCCAAGTAGTTTCATGTTATACTTTCGTTAATATAAAAAGTATAAACAGGCAAAATTTAACAACGTATATTATACATATATCAAAATTATAAAGAAATGCAGGGAAATTATCAACCAAAAATTAAAGATAGTGTAATCTTAAGAGTAGGATGTAAATTTGAAGGGCTGATAAGTAAAAGGCACAGAGGGAGATTCAAAGTGTTGGTGAATTATATTTCTTAGGATGTGGGATAGGTATGTGGGTGTTGATTATATTTTAAAATAATACACATTATTTTTCTCTGTATAAGGGATATATTTTATAATAAAAATAATTTGTTATGCGTTCAATTTATTTGATATTTTCAGGAGAATAATATATACAGATGTAAAATGCTATTTATGCAATATATTCACACTGAGGTGATAATAAACTTTCTTACGGCACCAGGTATTACGTAACACTGATATCTGCTCTGCATATTCCAATTTCAAAATTCTTGACTACCATCATTCTATCTAATTCACCATTTCTAACATATACTTTAACAATAACTGGAGAACTTCTTTCAAAAGAGAGTATGTATTATAGGAGTCTTTCATTGCAAGTGACAGAAACCCAGCTGAACATAGGCAAAATGTTCTATGGAAAATGTACAGGCTAAAATAATTATTCTAGAAAACAAAAAGGAATATAAAAGACCTCTGCATCTTTACTTCCTTCTTGCAAATTGGCTTTTGAACCTAAGAGGCTGGGCAATTATTGGTGGCAGTTTGGGGTTCACATTTTTCCAGCTTTGATACAAAAATACACATTAAATTAACATCTTTACTAGACATAAGCAATGTATCTTTTTCATGTATCTCTTTTTCAAACCCTTTAGCATTTTAGTTATTTAATTCCTCTAAGAAACAACGCATTCTGAATGCCAAATATATAAGCGGCATTTGGAAGACAGAGATGTGAGCTCTTTGAGAATATTTTTTACTAAAAGGAGACATAAAATGTGCACATCGATACCATAAAATAGAGGAAGTTGTTTGCATATGAATAGCACTGTATTGTATAAAATTGACAACTATTGAATTTCATAGAGAAAATTATAAATATTCAACTCTGGAATATTTAACTTTAAAGTTTGACGGGTATTCGGAGGTTAAAGAAGAGACTGTGTAAGGAAATGATCCATTTATTTAATTTGTACATAGTTGCCGCTCATACCAAATTATAAAATAGGCATTTAAAAACTGTAGGGTGGGTGCAGTACTTCATGCCTGTAATCCCAACACTTTGGGAGGTCAAAGCAGGAGGATCGTTTGAGCCCACGAGTTCATGACCATCCTGGGCAACATAGCAAGACCCATCTTCGTATTTAAAACAAATAAATACAAAAAATAGGTAAAGAGGCCTAATAGTGTAATTAAAGTGTTGGTAATCGATTTTTAAAAGATATACATATGCACATATCTATACTTAATTTATGCAACAGCTATATAAATCACTTGTGAATAAGTGACTCATGAGAGAAAAAAGTATATTTAGTTTTCTTTTACATGTGGCATTTAATATTAGATTAGGTTTAATATTAAATTTTATGTATGCTATTCTATTTCATAATGTATTTTTAAAGTACACTTCAAAAAAGTATGCACTTATATTCCTAACTCCGTATCTCAGTAGTCTCAATTTTTATGCTGTCATTTCTATGCTTTCTGCATAAAGTCTAGAATAAAAAAGCTCTGACAGCTCTATCGACATCTGTTATGAACCTACTTCCTGTTGGTCTCCCTGAGAAGACTGTAACTCCAACACTTCATTATATTAACTACTGTCTTGTTAGCACTCTCTACTCCCTGTCTGTGTGTCTTTTAACACCTTTATTTACACTGGGTAATAATTTTAAGTGTCCATCCAAAAGACTTTCATACAAAACATCCAACTTTTATCCTTACCCCTGTATTCCCGTTTCTCCGTTTCTGAGATAGAGTTCTCTTTACTTTGCCTAAGGCTATGAACTCTTCCTTTGATATACACCTTCCCTTCTGTCTTTCCCTTTCAGTACTCATGCAAGGCTGACCAACCTGTATCTGTCCCGTTCTGCACCGTGCCTCCAATCGTTGGCCCTTCTATCCATCCTGCACACTCTTTAGGTTATCTGCCTTGTAAACATTTTACATTTTTGAATATGCCAGTCAAATGTCACAGAGTATGTGTTTCATGAGATTAAAAATCTCACTCAGAAATTACCCAATTTATTAGATCAAAGATTGTTTAAGCAATGTAAAATGTTATTTGGGTTATATTCTGGCTAAAGTCTATTTCTCCATCTCTGACACAAAATAAATCCTTGATTCCAATTAGGATGAGGACTTTATTCCTCACAGGCCATACTAGCATCCCGTTTGACCTCTCAGGGAGTACTGATACACAAACCAAGAGTATAACACAGTAAAAATACATTACAAACGTAATGTTCCCTGTATGTTGACAGGATCTACATTTTATAATCTCTGGACATCCTTACCGCTTTGAAAATAATATTGCTTTACATCTTCTCTGTTTCATATTAGGCTTTTGGGCAGGTTCATAAAAGAGAAAGAGACAGAAGGGAGTAGAATTCTCCAAGCATGGCTGAGTTGATTTGTTAGTTTGGGCCTTTGTGTTAGAGACAGGCACAGTTTCAAAAAGCAAATTTTATTTTTGCATTATACTCCTTCTAAATGTCAACCAATTCCTTGAACATTTCTGTAGAGTATGCTCTGCCTAAAATCCACAATGTTGTTTCCTAAATTGAGTACTGACATATTAAAATCCCAATTTTCTTATTTACTTAAGACCAATCACAATCCATATACAAATTTTTAGATATCTTTGAATTATTTATGTTTTACTTGTTCATTATTCATGGATAAGATGGGAAGTTTGCTTTGGTAGAAAAACAAGCAGCAGCCAAGTGAAGTCCTCCTTGCCAAATTGTTAGAGTGGGATATGAGGAAGTTTACAACGGACTAGATTGAAGCTCTTTTACTCTATACTAAAAGAATTATGCTATTTGTAAAAAGAAGATAATTTCTAAGTACAACCTTACCTTTCACAGAACTAGGATATTATTTACCTTCAAGGAGTCTGCAAAGAACAGTTTAAAATCATCCTTGCAATAGAAAATAATTCACCTTTCACATACATTGAATATCATACACAAATATAGCACATATTAAAGTGAAGATACTGTTTCATACAATATTAGCAACTGAAGTGATTATCTCTGAGCTGGGAGAATAAATCAGGCACTATGCCGGAGAGAAATACATGGTTAAAAGAATAATGTCTTCATATTAAAATTTTAACCATGTAGTGATAACAACCTTAAACAATTTTTACTTAAATGACTCATGGTGGCTATATTTCAAGTACTCATATTTGAGTATTATTCAGTATTACTATAAAAACTTTAGAGAAATAGAGTATTTACTTATATGAACGAGATTATATTTCCTTGATTCATTATTTTTTCTGAAATAACAGTAATGTGAAGGTATATTTCTTCCTCCTATTAAAACAGAACTGACTCCATGGCCTGTTTGAGAATGAACGATATTCTCTCTTCTCTCTTTTTTTAGCTTTTCTTAGTCTTTTCCATACACCTGTTCTTTGCCTTTAGTTTAGCAGGCTAAGAAGACAAACAAAAACAATGCCAAAAAAAAAGTGAAATAGTACTGAAGACATAATATATAACTAGAGGAAAAAGGAGAAATATTTTTAAAGTATCATAATAAGTACTTAAAAGCAAGCTCGTAAAAAGATAGAACAGATTTTTTTTTTTTTTTTCTCCCGAGACCAAGTCTGGCTCTGTTGCCCAGGCTGGAGTGCAGTGGCACGAACTCGGCTCACTGCAACTTCCATGTCCCAAGTTTGAGTGATTCTCCTGCCTCAGTCTCCTGAGTAGCTCGGACCACAGGCATGCACCACCATGCCCAGCTAATTTTTATATTTTTTTAGTAGAGACTGGGTTTCTCCATGTTGGTCAGGCTGGTCTCTAACTCTTCCCAAAGTGCTAGTATTACTGGTGTGAGCCACTGGTCCCGGTTAGATTTTTTTTTAATTACATAATGAATAAAAATGCGTAGCCAAGTTTTAAATACAATATTTTCTCTGTCAAAATAAAAATTATTCCTACGGAACATAAACTAAATACAAACTACACATTAGCATATTAATTGCTAAACTGTTACTTCGCAGTCAACAGAAAATGAGACCTTGAAGAGGAATAGATCCGAAATACATTTGAGATATTTACTGTACAAAGCAGTTAAGGGATAGTACCTCTATTAGAAGAAATGTTTGATGTTGCAGAGATCATCAGCGTAAGACTAGAAAATAATAATTATGTTGGGATAAGGGTGAATGAAGATGTAGTTTAACTGAATTAAATTCTCATTGTTGCAAGTAGTCAGTATATGATATGAAATAATGATAAATTGAAAATAAAAGTATGAATATATTATTTGAAGTTGTTGATCTATGTTATACATAAATCTAATGTTGTGGTTCTTCTTTGTGGAGGAGACAAGTGCCAGGCACCTCTTTTGAGTCATCCTAAAGCTCCGTACAAAATCAATTGTTAGAAAGCATGTGAGGGCAGAATTTGAGTAGAGTAAAAATGGCAGAAAAAAATATTCCGGCCGGGCGCGGTGGCTCACGCCTGTAATCCCAGCACTTTGGAAGGGCGAGGCGGGCGGATCACGAGGTCAGGAGATCGAGACCATCCTGGCCAACACAGTGAAACCCCGTCCCTACTAAATAAAATACAAAAAATTAGCCAGGCGTGGTGGCAGGTGCCTGTAGTCCCAGCTACTCGGGAGGCTGAGACAGGAGAATGGCGTGAACCCAGGAGGCGGAGCTTGCAGTGAGCCCAGATCACGCCACTGCACTCCAGCCTGGGCGACAGAGCAAGACTCTGTCTCAAAAGAAAAAGAAAAGAAAAGAAAAAAATATTCCATATTATAAATCTATTTTGTTGTTTTGACTCTATGCACGGTTTTGTTATGATAAAACATACAATTAGTTAAATAAGTTAACACAAAATATCAACATTTGTTTTCTGTAAGGCTTGTTAGATGTATCTAAAGATACTATTTATTAACATTCTATTAAAGAATTGATTTGGAAGATAAGGCATTACATGTTCATTGTATGTGGACCTGTTCAAGCCAGCAAAGATTGTTGGAATATCTAAAATATTATGCAGTCAAACTGAAAGGAAATCTACTGGTTGTACAAAAAGAAAGAATAGTTTCTATAAATATATGTAAATCAGTAAGTTAATAGCAGGTGTCACTGAAATCCATTGACCACATTGGTGAGATGCAATAGGGTCACCATTTTTCTAAAAATTGATAAATAAACCAAAGAAAGACTAAACATGTATTCTGCCTTTAGTACCTTAACATAGGCTAGCCAAAATTTTCATTAGGGAAAGTTCTTATTTGTAGACAAAATTCAGCTAACAAATGAAGGCATTTATAAAATTAGATTATAATCTTGAAACTTTTAATTAAATGGTAAATCTAAGCAAACTATAAAAATTAAGTGAAGATCAAGTAGAAATTTTGTAATGAGTGGGTATGAATGACAGCATCTGAAGACATCTGATATGGTTTGGCTGTGTCCCCACCCAAATCTCATCTTGAATTGTAACTCCCATAATTCCCACATGCTGTGGGAGAAGACTGGTGGGAGGTAATTGAATTATGGGGGCAGGTCTTTCCTGTGCTGTTCTCATGATAGTGAATAAGTCTCACGAGATATGATGGTTTTAAAAATGGGAGTGGCCCTGCACAAGCTCTCTTCTCATTTGCCACCATGTGAGATGTGCCTTTCGCTTTCTGCCATGATTGTGAGGTCTCCTCAGCCACGTAAAACTGTAAGTCCAATACACTTTTCTTTTGTAAATTGCCCAGTCTCAAGTATGTCTCTATCCAGTGTGAAAATGGACTAATACAACATTTTTAATACGACAAAAAGAAACTATGTCTTCTGAGTTGATGCTATCTATAAGAATTACCCAATACTACCTAAGGTGTACTTGTTAAAAATAGAACTCAAATACTCATCAAGGCTCTAAAAATAAATGTTTGCAGGATATACAAAAGCTTAATAATGTGAGGGATGAAATTACAAATTCCAATATATGGAAAACTCTACAGGATGTTCAACTTTGTTATTAAAGAAAAATTTCCAAGAAAAAAAGTTTAGGGAGAATGACTTACAGAATAAAAGAGACTTAAAAGATGTATGTATAGAAATTGTTTGGTTTCTGATTTGAATAATCCACATAAAAATATTTCAGTTAATCACTGAAACTGAAAACTGAAATGATTTTTATGATATTTAAAAAGTTATCAATCTTATTGTAGATATTTTACATATTAAAACAATTTTTCACTTATTTTTTAGGAAAAGAACATAACTAAATTGTTACAAAAGGATTGACCAAACATCCTTTGAATGGTTTGAGGCAGCAGTTGTGGCAGGAATGGGGTTGGGGGAAATGGGGAGAAGTGAGTGAAGATAAAAGGGACTGGACATATGTTGATGTTGTTGAAATGAATGATGAGAACCTAGAGGTACTCCACTATGCACTTGGAATTTATCATAAAAATAATTTTGAAAGAACATATTCACTATTGAAAATTCAAACAAGGGGAATAAATTAAAATAAAGGTCACTTATAATCCCATAATTCCAAACATTAAAAGGTTGTATTATTTTATCAGGAAATTATAGCATTATCATATAAATATGGTATATTAATTTTTAAATAGCATTATACCTGAGCATTTTGCTAAGTTACTACCATGTATCAAATATATATTTTACTTATTTTTATAAAAGTGAGACATAAAGCAAGCCTAAGAGATATACTAAAATAATAAGTACTAGAAATATAAAATAATTCTATATAAAATGATTAAATATAAATATGAAAATAAATTATAATTTAATTGTACCCAGAAAAATCATACTTGATTTAAAGAAACTTTTAAAGCAAAATAGAATTCAAAAGCTTCAATTTTTTTTTGTATTTGACCCCTGTTATACTTAGTTTATTTTAGCATGATATAATTATGAGAAATATTTAAAGCAATATTGTTACCTGTGGAAGAGATCCGAGTTCCGGAGACATTGGCGGTTAATCTGTATAGGTTTGCAGCACCCTCCATTCTTGCCTTCTCATAAGGAATTCCACTAAGGGGCATAAGGCAGAAAGAGAGACCGAGTCACGTCTCAGAACAGGAGTGAAGGCTTATTAAAAAGTTTTAGAACGGAAAGGAAACAAAGGGAAGTACAACCTGGAAGAGGGCCAAGCGGGAGACTTGAGAAGCCAAGTACACAGCTTGACCTCTTGACTTGGGGTTTAATACTTTGGCATACTTCTGGGATCTTGCCTTCTCCTCACTCCTAAGATCTTACTGGGAAGCTGCTGGTCAGTTTCAGGTGTTTTCCATTAGAAGATTGCCTTTCCCTGCCACCGGCTGTGACCAATTACTACTTTAGAGAAACAGTTAACAACCACTTGACCATCACCTGAGGGGCTCCCAGCACATTTGGTGTGTGGAGGAGGGGAGCCCTCTCCTGCCCTGCTCATACTTGACTAGCTATCCACTGCAACAATATTTCTTGAATATCTTTTAGTACTAAGTAATGAGAATTCTGATGTTTCAGGAGTGATTGTTACACAAAGTGATATAAATAAAAAGGAAATTAAGCATCTAATATTAATATGTGTTTGAAATACATCTGGTAAAAAATATTTCTTAAAAAATGAAGAGAACTATAATTGACATTTAATGTTTAGTTTCTGAAATTTCAGTATGAATAGAGAATGCTGTCATTCTTACAACATGAATCCAGTGATACAGGCCTTCAAAATAGAGAAAATAAACTATTTTTAAGAGTAATTGTAGGTAAATGATAAATGCATATTGCTACTGCAAATTGTAATGGCATGAGTGGTGTCAAAGGTGTGCTTTTCTATTGAACTTTTTTGAATATAAAAGTAATTTAAACTTGAATAGACGAACTCATAAAGGTTATCTGCTTCAGCTTCTGAACTTTATCTGAAAAGCCACACTACTCACTGTCAGTCATAACAATGCACTATGATCAATGTCAGTGCTGTGATATTTTCTTTCATATTTTGGTCTTCCAAGGAGACATGGTTTTTTATGAATTTAAAAACATGGACTACCCATTGTGTCAACTGTAGAGAGTTAGCTCAAGAAAGAACTTATGATCAATTAGAAAAGAATCATTCTTTCCCTAAAGAATGGTAGTACTGTGAAAATTAACTGGCAAAAAAATTTACTGAGCTCCATAGAAACACAATTATTCCAGTAAGTTTCAATTGGGTAATAACAATAACGATTCATTTTTATTTAGTAGGTAGCTCTAAGAGGTGACATTGAGAGCTTCTCTATAAATTTTAAAAAATACCTTAATTCTGTCACAACATCCTTCTTTTACAAAGATATAGATTTGAAAAGTTTTTTATATTCCTCCCCTTGAACAGGAGGAATGGCACTCACAAGTATAAGGTTGTGTGAGTCAGAGAGACCTGGGTGCTAATTCTGACTGTACCTCTTTATGGTGTTGTAGCAAATCTCACAGAACCTTGGTTCCTCTCCTACCTAAATTGGAAGGGTATTTCTGTTTTTTTTCCTTGCTTATTTGTTTGTACTGTTTCATCTATTCGTGTGTGTGTGTGTGTGTGTGTGTGTGTGTGTGTGTGTGTGTGTGTGTTTTCCCCCTGACTTGGAGTAGCTTCCTCACATTCCTCACTTGCTGATCAGTACTCTGCTGCATACTCTAGGCTCACTCTGTGTATCTCCAGAGTTCTCTCTGCCTTCCAGTACCCCGTCCTGTGAACTCTAGCTTCCCTGCTTTCCCTGCACCCTAAGCTCCATGTCCGCAGTTCAGAGACTCCACTGGACTCTACCTGGGTTCTTGTTACCTGAGCTGCAGCTGGAAACTCTGCAGGCGGTAAACTGGAGCATCCCAGGGCTCACCTAATTCATTTCCTGTCACTCAGGGATCACTGTTCTCCACTGCCTGATTTCCACTGGCTAAACACTATTGCATCATATATTTTCTTCCATTTTGTTTGTTTCAGGCAAGAGGGAGTATCTGTTCTTCGCTATTCCATCTTGGCTGCTTTCTGAATCCTTTGAGTGAGGCATTGGAAGATGCTTTCCTGGGAATTTTACTGCCCATCCAGTCCTCAGTGGGGGCCCATATTTCACAGATTTGTTTCGTTTAATCAAGAAGACAGGGCCCAACCACCATTATTTCATTCAATAGAGTAGAACACTGAAACTGGCTAGAGTCTCCAATTCTGCCCAAATTGGAGTGAAGGAAGTGAAGGAGATTAAGGTCTGTAAAACTCTCCCTTCAGCCTGCTCAATGCTATGAGAAAATACTTGGATCTTTGTCAATCCTAGATTTTCACCCTACCTCCAGTCTTTCCCAGCAAATCGACTATGCCCGAGTCTCTTTTTTTTTTCCTGTTTGCAAATTACATTGTAATTTATAGAGCAACTTATTTGGAAGATTGTTGTCATTCTCATTCCATCATCTTCATTCAGTTTCTCAAATAGAACTCTTCCATCTGCCACATCAGATTCTTGCCGGGGCATGGAGGAGTGTTGTTTGTTTAAAATGCAGATTCCTGGGCCCATCAAGTTTACTAATATCAACTTGGAGGGTTGGGGTTTGTCTGCACTTTAATAAATTGGTAAAATACACATAACATACAGTTTACCATCTTGACCATTTTAAGTCTATAGTCCATTCATGTTAAATACAATTGCTTTAATATGCAATCAATCTCCATAACCCTTTTTGTCTTACAGAACTGAAATTCTATACACATTAAATAATAACACTTCATTCCTGGCTCCTCCCAGCCTTAGTCAACCACCATTCTACTTTAATCTCTAGGTACTGACTACTCTAGGTAGCTCATAAAAATGAAATCATATAGTATTTGTCTTTTGGTCACTCATTTATTTCATTTTAGCATAATGTCCTCAAGGTTTATCCACTTTGTTTATGTCAGAATGTCTTTCTTTTTAAGGCTGAATATTATTGCATTGTATGTATATACTACATTTTGTTTATCCTTTCATCCATTCATAAACACTTGGATTATTTCCACATTTTAACTAGCGTGAATAATGCTACTATGAAACTGGGTGTACAAATACTTCTTCAAGGCATTAATTTTTATTCTTTTAGGTGTATACCTAGAGATGGAATTGCTAGATCACATGACAATTCTATCTTGAATTTTTAACCAACTGCCCTGCTGTTTCTCATAGAGGCTGTACCATTTTACATTACCACCAATGGTGCACAAGGGTTCCAATTTCTCTGCATCTTTGCCAACACTTGTTATTTTATTTTCATAGTAGCTATCCTAATGGGTATGAGTTGGTATCTCAATGTGGTTTTGATTTGCATTTTCCTAATAATTGTAATGTTTACCATCTTTTCACGTGCTTCTTAGCCATGTGTGTATCTACCTTAGAGAAATGTCTATTCTTGTCCTTTTTCCATTTTTTTTTCTTTTTCTCTTCTTTCTTTTTTTTAAAGACAGGGTCTCACTCTGTCACCCAGGCTGGAGTGCAGTGATGTGATCTCAGCTCACGGCAACTTTCACCTCCTGGGCTTAAGCAATCCTCCAACCTCAGCCTCCTGAGTAGTTGGGACTACAGGCACACACCACCATGCCCAGCTAATTTTTGTACTTTCAATAGGATTGTTTGCTTTTTGTTATTGAGTTGTAGATCTCTATATATCCTCGATGTTAACTTCTGATCAGATGTATAATTTACAGATCGTTTCTTCCGTTTCATGTGTTGGCTTTTTACTCTGAGTCCACTCTTGTTAACTAAGAATACAAACTGATTCTGCTAAGGTGAGAGAATTAAAACTGGACCTGATTAAACTCAGTGTAAGTTACAGAAAGGATAACTGCAGCATCTAGGGCAAAGGTAGTAGAGTGAGATTGTGAAGTTACTGCATGCTTTCTCTTCTCACATTTAATTCACTTTACTTATTACTTTCTCATTTACTTTGATTAAGGCACTTCATGAAGGGGATAAATAGTCTCTTATTTCATGCTCAAGTGTGTTCATTGTTGACATTCTCCAGGCAATAGAGTTTTAAAATGAATCAATTAAGTGACATATCCATAAATATTAACCTGAAAATAAACCTTCTATCATCACCACGACTTTACTGAGAGGGGAAGTTCAATGGGGAAGTCCCCACAGAAATAATTCAATGTGAAAATTGTTCCCAATTCATGAAGTATAATAGGGAATAAAGCACTTCACTTTCAAGGATGACACTTTCCTTTTTTGCTCACCCTTACACGTATATCCACATCTAGTAGAGATCGGGTAGAGGTTGGAGGTTTTGAATTCACATGTATCATTTTCATTTAGTAGTAGGCAAGCATCAACTGCAAATAATTAAAAGGGTCAGAATCTGTTTAAAGAGAGTTTATTTAAGGGCAAAGTTTGAGAATAACAGCCCTGGAAACATAGATTCAAAAGAATGGAAGTCAGTATTCCAAAGTATTAAAGTTTGGGATCATTTATATAGGCAAAGTTTAGAGAGGCTTAATGGAATTTCAATGGCTTTGTATATAAGGCTTAATGCATAGTCCCAACAATCTAATTAGTCAATGGTCTTTTTCTCTGGGGAAAGGTATATTTAACATTCCACAAAATATATTTAATCTTCCACTGAAGACCCATGGGGTATTTTGTACCATCTAGTTTGAGTTAGGTACAGAACAATGAAGGAGGCAGTTCATCTATAACAAAAATCTGATTTGAAGGGGAGAAGATCTGATCTCTTGTCTCTCCTAGTCATATACAGAACTAGAACAATGAGGAAGAGAGTTAATCTGTAATCTAAGAAGCACAATTGCAGCCGCCTTGTCCCTGTTGGCATAATAAAATTTAGAGCGTCTTGAAATTTTCTTTTCTTTTACATAAGTAACCCACAGATTAAGAAGAAACAAACTGGGATACATTTTCCTCTTTAGGATCCATAGCTATAGATTACCCAAAATTAAACCTGGGTCATTAGGCAAAGTTTAGCTATAAAAAGACCTAAAAGAGTAATCACTATATGTAAAATATTCACTGACTGTTACCATTATTTAAGTAAAATATAGATATGCACACACACCTTGCATGTAAATGTAAAGTTGAATATAAGCTAACTTAATTTCTACAATATTTTTATTCCAGTTTTTTAGATAATTATATGCTTTCTCAGAAAAATGTAAAAATGTACACAAGAGGGAGGCATTTCCAGAACAGCACAATAAGGACCTCCACAATCTATCCCTTTTAAGAACAAAAAGATTTCTGATACAATAATTATCAAAATCAAGTTTTTTAAAACTCTGAAAATTAACGAAAGGACCACAAAAATATGAAAATTTTTTTTAAATGGCTGACTCCTAGTAAGAACAGCAAGGCTTATGGTGCTCTAATTTGTCCTGTTTTCACCTCCTTCAACTTTTCTCTCCAGAAGCCTTGAAAACCAGCATTCTAGAAACCATGGAATCTCTGGAAGCCTAGGGCACCAACTCATGACTGCCTCTAGTTGGCCATGGGCCAATTCACTTCAGCCTCTAATTGGCTGTGGCCCCAAATCCTTCACCAACATAGTGAGTAACCAATGGGAAACCTCTAAATGGTACTTAAACCCAAGAAAACTTTGCAACTGGGGTTCTTGAATGACTTGCTCAGGCCTGCTCCCACTCTGAAAAGTGTACTCTCACTTCAATAAATATCTACTTTTGCTGTTTCATTCTCTTGTTGCTTTGTCTGTGCGTTTTGTTCAATTTTTTGTACAACATGCCAAGAACCTGTACAACTCTCACTCAAGATCTTCCTTCTGGTAACATATTTTGGCATGCCAGTCAGGAGGTAAGCCTAAATTTGGGGATTTATTTTCTTTCTTTGTTTCTTTCTTTTTCTTTTCCTTTTTGTCAAGCCTTCATTTGTGGGTATGGGATGGACTCATCCCTATGCAGGCTCCCTCCACTCCATAAAAGGGAAACCCTTTCTCTCTCTCCCTTTTCCTTTCCTAACTTGGGACTCTTGGTGGACAGCATCTAAGCATGGAGACAACTGCAGGTCTCTGGCTGGGGCCACTCTCCAGTGAGAAGCGCCTGACCACCACTGCCCTGCCTGGTTCCACCAAGGAACTTTGTCTTTTCCTTTTTTTTCTTTTTTCAGTCTCCTTTTCCTTTTTTTTTTTTTTTTTTTTCAGTCCTGTGGCCACTCTCTGATTTTACCTGAAGGCCAAGGAATGAACAAGGATAGCTGCCCTGCCCAAAAAAGAGAAGGACTCTTTTCTATCCTTTCTGGTTATAGTCCCTTATCACTATGTGTGACACAGTTGGGAGCAGCAGTTCATCCAAGGTAAATTCACATACCTTTCAGGTGATTTCAACCCTCTCTTTCTTATGCTAAAATTCTCCTGTGGAGCCCAAGTGTGCCCATGATGCCAGAAGATAATGTCTCTTAAGTGTTTTGACCTCCCTTCTCCTACTCAATCTGGCTGAGGACCTTTGGGGCCCACAAGCTTTAGAATACATCCTACCTCTTGGACCTCTACTGAAAAAAGCCTGTTTCTTTTGTAGTTACCATATTATTTCTATAGAATGGCCTGCCTATACACAGGAACCACTGTCATAGTGGTGGATTTTTAACCATTCCCTCCCTTGTCAAGGGCTTGAGTGGAATAACCAACCCCATTATTTCATTTTTCATGCCCAAAATCCATCCTACCTCTCTTGAGCAATTACACTTGATCCCCATTACAAAAGAAGCCTGCCCAGTGTTCAGTCTCTGTCATTTAAAATTTATGGCTATCACCCTAATAGAATGGGAAGCATGGGAAAGCATAGCCTTATCACATTTCAAGGATGCCAAGAGTTGGGGCCTTCATCCAGAGACAATAGGGAAACTCATGCTGGGCCATCAATTGTGGAGGGAACCATTCTAAAGTGGCACTGGCCACCATCTAAGGTAAGAGATGCCTGACAAACTAAAAAAGGGCCCTAAAGGAGGATGCCCCTGGGGACTCCAGACATGACCCAATTTTTCCAGCAGGATGCCCCAGGTAAAATTTGGGTCACTAAATAAGCCCTTGTCTTTTCAAAGTCCTCTTTTCTTTTCCAGATGACTATAGGCAACTCTCTATTCATTCTACCTGATTCCCCACTTTGCTGCATCCTCAACCACTGGAATCAATTTGACCCTGGCAATCTAAGAAGAAAATGTCTCAATTTTTTTTTTTGTTTTTTTTTTTTTTGTTTTTTTGGCTTTTGAGACGGAGTATCAGTCTGTCGCCAGGCTGGAATGCAGTGGTGCTATCTCCTCTCACTGCAACCTCTGCCTCCCAGGTTCAAGCAATTCTTCTGCCTTAGCCTTCCGAGTGTTGGGACTACAGGCATGCACCACCGTGCCCAGCTAATTTTTGCATTTTTAGTAGAGACAGAGTTTCACCATGTTGGCCAGGCTGGTCTCGACTACTTGTTCTCATGATCTGCCCTCCTTGTCCTCCCAAAGTGCTGGGATCACAGGCATGAGCCACCACACCCGGCCACATCTGACTTTTTTACTGTAATACTCTATGGCCCCAATATCATCTGGACAGCCAGGAACAATGGGCCATCAATAGTAGTCTTCATTACAACACCATATTGCAACTAGACCTATTTTGCAAAAGGCAGGGTAAATGGTCAGAAATCTCATATGTACAGGTCTTCATGGCCCTATATCAAAACCCAAAAATCTGCAAAACTCCAAGAAGCTGCCCCAAAAGAAAGTCCTGAGGCAGAACCAGATATTGTTGATGACCCCCTTTTACAAGGGCATCTGTCTCTCAGGGGAAACTGCAACCAACCCCAGGTAACCCCCTGCCAAGTGCTCCTGAGGTTACAGCCCAAGATCAAGAACCAGTCTGAGTGTGAGCCAAGTCCCCTCACACTCAGAGGGGAACTCCCTATTAGACTTCCCCTCCAGCCCTGCTTCCCCTTAGAGAAGTAGCAGGAGCCAAGAGCCCCATTTGTGTGGAAGCCCCCTTTTCCATAACCAACATACAATAATGTAAGGAAAAGCCAGGAAGCTATTCTGAAAATCCCAGAAGCTATTCTGAAAATCCCAGAAAATGTGCAGACTGGTTCCAGACTTTGACCTTAGCCTTTGATCTTTCATAGAGAGATGTCCAATTCGTTCTAGCAACCTGTTGCACTTCCTTGGAAAAAGAACAAATCTTTAAGGCTGCCCCAAGAAAGCAAACAATTTATTTGCCTGAAACCCTCAGGGCAATTACCTAGGCCCAGACACAGTTCCCACTATTGACCCTAATTGGAACTATAACACCCCTACAGAGACGAACAACCAGGCCAAATTCCTTGAGGTCCTCCTTGGAGGAATGAAAAAGAATAACTAAGGCAGTAAATTATGATAAATTAAGGGAGGTTAGGGGATAAATTAGGGAAAGCCTTTAAAAAATACACCAATCTGGACCCTTCCTCTCCCAAGGGCAAAGTATGAATGGCACAGGATTTCATTAGCCATTCCACCCCAGAAATTAGGCATAAACTCGAGAAGTACAGATGTGGCCACCAACTAATCAAAATCAGTTTCTTGATACAGCTTTTGTGGTGTATAACAAATGTGACCTGGAGGAAGGGAAAAGGGAACAGAGCAAGGAAAAATGGCAAGCTAAAATTATGGCAGCTGTTATGACAATGCTCTGAATGTTCAATGAGTATCCAAGGGAAACTTGAAGGGCCGTAAGGATAATGCCAGCAAAGGCTCTTGCTTCAAGCACAAGAAAAATGGACATTGGGCAAAGGACTGTACTAAGTACCTGCCAGACTCCTGCTCTCAGTGCAAAGGCCCCCATTACAACCCCTGGCACCGGAGAATTGACTGCCCCTGCTCCCACTGAGGGGCTCAGTTAGTCAAAACTCTAGCAGTGCAAAGACTGAAGGGGCCTGGGGCCTTCCTCACCACCCCTGTCCAGGAACCTCATCATCACTACTAATGAGTCCCAGGTAGCTGTGGATATCATGGGCACCCAAATCCAGTTCCTTTTTGATATGGGGGAAATTTACTCTGTCCTTACTGCTTATGCAGGAAAGATCTCCTCCTAGTCCACAAATGTTATGGGAATAAAAGGAAAGCCACAAACAAGATTCCTGCTCATCCTCTAACCTGCCAATTCAAAAAACGAATTTGCCAGCAGGAATTTCTAATAATACCAAGTTGTCCAGTCCCCTTATTGGGAAGAGATATTATAGGGGCAATTCAAGCACCGCCCAGCAAAATTGCTAATGGTCAATAATGCAGACAATATTCCAGACCATGTCAACAAGCAGGCCAACCCACTAACATGGTATACTGGGAGGCCTAGAAGGGCTAAAATGGTAGTCTCAGTTAAAATATACAGCCTAAGACTTCAGCTATTTTCCCAACTGAAAACAATACCCAATTAAGCTGGAAGAAAGAAAGGGTTTAGCACCCATAGTTAAGAAATTACTTGTCCGTGGACTTCTGAAACCCTGCATTTCTCCCTGCAATACCCCCATTTTACCCATTTTAAAGGCTTCAGGGGGATACCCGAAAGTACAGGATCTCGGAAAAATTAATGAGGCTGTTATTTCTGTCCACCCATTGGTGGTGGATCCATATACTCTCCCGACTCAGGTGCCAGGGGTTGCAGAATGGTTCTCAGTCCTAGACCTAAAAGATGCTTTCTTCTCCATTGCTCTGGCCCCAGAGTCTCAGTACATTTTTCCCTTTGAATGGGAAAATCCTAATACCAGAGTAAAACAATAATACACTTCGACAGTGCTCCTTCAGGGGTTTCAAGATAGCCTACTTTTTTTCATTTTTATTTTTATTGTGCACAAGCCTTAGAGAGGGATCTGAGGGAATCCACAATTGGATAACAAGAGTATACTCCAGGACGTGGATGACCTTCTCCTGGGTAGCCCAATCCAGAAGGTATCTGAACATAATACTATAAAAACCTTGAATTTCTTGGCAGATGAGAGATACAAAGTGTCCAAAATAGTCTCAGGTTACCCTCCAATTGGTCCAATATTTAGGGTATGTCTTAGCAGCCAGAGCCCAGCAAATATGCCCAGAATGAAGTTTAGGCTTCCCCCCTCCCCACAACCAACCAACAATTTCATTCCTTTCTGGGAATGGCCAAGTTTTGCAGAATATAGGTACCAAGTTTTGGGCTCATAGAAAAACCCCTTTATGAAGCAACAAGGGGGTCAGAAAATGAGCCGAGGGAATGGACCCTGGACATGAGAAAAGCCTTCCTCAAGTAAAACAGGCTCTCAGCCAGACTGCTGCTCTTGGCATCCCACACCTCACTAAGCCCTGCTCCTTCTCTGTAGCAGAAAAAAGGGCATAGCTGTGGGAGTGCCATCCCAGAGATTGGGATCAAAACACAGAACAACTGCCTACTTTTCAAAGAAATTACAAGGAGTAGCCTCAGAGTGGCCATTACAAGATGTGGCCTCAGAGTGGCCAAGCTGCTTGTGGGCAATAGCAGCTGCTGCTATTTTAGTAGAAGAAGCCACCCTGAGTCAACCACTGGAAGGGCTAACCCCGTATCAGATAGTCAGTCCTAGAAGTAAAAGGACGCATCTAGATGATGGGAGAAAGGTTAACCAAATACCAGGCCATGCTCACAGACAATCCAGGTGTAATCCTTAAAACCTGTGACAACATGAATCCAGGTTCATTGCTGCCCATAGGCCCAATAACTGATCATTCCCGTGAGCATGTCATTGTACACACATATGTCATGGAGTCTGAATTTAAAAGATCAGCCTCTCCCAGATTCTGGAGATGACAGATTCACAGATGGCAGCAGTTTTGTGTCAAATTGGGAGTGCAGAGCTGGATATGTAATAGTAAATCACAATACCATTATTAAAGCCCAGCCACTGCCCCTAGGCACATCAGCACAAAAGGCTGAAATCATTAGTCTTGCTCAACCATTAATGTTGGGACAAGGGAAAAAGCTTAACATCTATACAGATTCCAAATATGCATTTATGCTCATGCTACAATTTGGAAAGAAAGAGGACTACTAACTAGTAAACATTTCCCCAGAAAGTAGCGGTAATTCATTGTAGGAGTCATCAAAGGGACTTAACTCCTTTAGCACAAGGGAATAGAAAGGATGATAAAGAAACCAAAGCTACAGCCCTCAGGGTGCAATCCCAAGAGATCCTAGCACTGCTTTCTGTGATTCCCCAGTGGAACCTGAAAACAAAATATAGGAAGAATAGTTAATAAATGAGCAAGAAGGAAAAAGAAAAGGATTCTCGTAGTACATGGGATCAAAAGTATATCTTCCTCAAACAAACAACCCAATGGAGAATTATAAAAACCCTTCATGACTCTTTCCACATGGGGAAAGATGCCACCCTGGCCATGATAAACAGGCTTTTCACTGGGGCCTAACTTAGCTTCGGTGGTTAAGCAGGTCTGTCAAGACTGCTCACTGGGACATTTAACAACCCAGGGAACAAAACACTGCCTGTATAGAACAGTCCAGAGAAGGGGAACTTACCCAGGGGAAGACTGGCAATTGAACTTTACCCTTATGCCAGCTTGTAGAGGATACAAGTTTTTGTTAGTACTAATAGATACTTCTACTGGCTGGGTTGAAGCTTACCATATCAGAACAGAGAAGGCCAATGAAGTTGTGAAGCTTCTCTTAAAAGAAATAATCCCCCGGGTTTCAGTTACTCCAGAGCCTCCAAAGCGACAGCCCATCATTTATCTCCCAAATTACTCAAGGGTTTGCTAAGACCCTCAGAATCAAATACTATTTACATTCAGCATGGAGACGTCAATCCTCCAAGAAAGCAGAAAGAGCTAATTGAACTCCAGAATAAGCATTAGCTAAGCTGTTCAGGAAACGTCAGAAATTTGGGGCAGCTTACTGCCCGTAGCCCTCATAAGAATCCATAATCCCCCAAGAGAAAAAATTAATACAGGCCCATATTAAATGTTATATGAGAGGGCATTTTTAACTAATGATCTAATTACTGATCCAGAAGCAGCAAGCTTAGTAAAATACCTAGTTAACCTTGGACAATTTCAGCAGGTGTTACGAAAGTTTCGAATTCAAAGGCTCCCTGCATCAGAAACTAACCAGCAACCCAAAATCAAGTCAGGAGATAAGGTACTTGTTAAAACATGAAAGGAGGGATCATCTGCTCAACAATTGTAACCCAAATGGAAGGGACCGTTTTCAGTGGTGCTGGCCATGCCTTCCATGGTCAAAGTACCAGGATTAGATAGTTGGATATATCTTTTCAGGGTCAAGCCTGCAATACCTGAAGCCCTGGACCTGGAACCTGAAGCTCCCACCAGCCACTATACCTGAGAACCTGTGGAAAACCTGAAGTACCTGTTTAAAAGACAGCTAAAATATAAGTAAATGCCTACCAACTTTTCTTGGTGTTTTTGTTTCATAGTTACTGTAGGCTGGATAATAATAGTCATTTTTATATTTGTACAATTTAACTGCTTTCTTTCAAATGGATGGAATCACTTCCTTTGTAATAATTAAGCAAATTGTTTTCCTCTGTTTAAAAATAGCCACAGAAGACTCCAGATGAAGCCAATCTGGAAAATAGGCAATAGCTTTATTTTCTTGGCATTTGGTACTGCCCTACCTTAATAGCTGTCAAGGACATTGGCCTGTCAGAAATGGAAATAATTAACCATTCTTTTAGTTTGTTAAACTTAACCTGATGGCTTTGCATGACTACCAAAAGCTGGGGATATACCAGGCCTGTAATGTTAGGGGACTGGCCTAGTGTCCCAGCCTACTTCCAGGGACAAACTCATTGGTCTATGGGATGGAGATATGTAGCCCAATGGTCAGTAAAAAATAATTTTGTTGGATCAAGTCCCAGGTTCTCTAAGTTGTTTATTTTAGCCACCAACCATAGTCAAAAACTACAAAAGGAAAAATGCTCTACTACCTCAGCTTGTATCCAGAGCAATTCTCTTTCTGCCTTTGCGGTAACTATGCCAGTTCCATTACTTTCATTGGAGAACTCCAAGAGAGTCAATGTAACTGGATATTTGTTGCTGGGTTACATTTCCTAGTTAATACCTCTGCAGGAATTCAATTACTAAACAGAAATCTTGAGCAGGAAGACAATTTTCTACTTTATCAGGTCCCTGGACCAACACAGCCCCTGTTTTCTGTCGACAAAACTAAAACTTCTAGTTTCTACTCTGGCCGCCCTCATGCAGGTTACCTGTGTTCACCCAATCTCAGTGTATTATTTGGAAATTGCCAATTATCGGGAGAACCTGCCCCGATAGTCACGTAGGTTCTTTTCTATTTTCCCTAAGTGTCGGCCGGTCTGAGAAATAAAGGGACAGAGTACAAAAGAGAGAAATTTTAAAGTTGGGTGTCCGGGGGAGACATCACATGTTGGCAGGTTCCATGATGTCCCCAAGCAGTAAAACCATCAAGTTTTTATTAGTGATTTTCAAAAGGGGAGGGAGTGTATGAATAGGGTGTGGGTCACAGAGATCACGTGCTTCACAAGGTAATAGAATATCACAAGGCAAATGGAGGCAGGGCAAGACCACAGGACCACAGGACTGGGGCGAAATTAAAATTGCTAATGAAGTTTCAGGCACGCATTGTCATTGATAACATCTTATCAGGAGACAGGGTTTGAGAGCAGACAACTGGTCTGACCAAAATTTATTAGGCAGCAATTTCCCCTCCTAATAAGCCTGGGAGTGCTACTGGAGACTGGGGCTTATTTCATTCCTACAGCTGCAACCATAAAAGACAGCCACCCATGAAGCAGCCATTTCAGAGGCCTACCCTCAGGGATGCATTCTCTTTCTCAGAGATGTTCCTTGCTGAGAAAAAGAATTTGGTGATATTTCTCCCATTTGCTTTTGAAAGAAGAGAAATATGGCTCTGTTCTGCCTGGCTCACCGGCAGTCAGAGTTTAAGGTTATCACTCTTGTTCCCTGAACATTGCTGTTATCCTGTTCTTTTTTCAAGGTGCCCAGATTTCATATTGTTCAAACACAGATGCTCTACAAACAACTTGTGCAGTTAACACAATCATCACAGGGTCCTGAGGCAACATACATCCTCCTCAGCTTACGAAGATGATGGGATTAAGAGATTAAAGACAGACATAGGAAATCACAAGAGTATTGATTGGGGAAGTGATAAGTGCCCATGAAATCTTTGCAATTTATGTTCAGAGATTGCAGTAAAGAGAGGCATAAGAAATTATAAAATTATTAATTTTCAGAACTAATAAATGTCCATGAAATCTTCACAATCCACGTTCTTCTGCCATGGCTTCAGTTGGTACCTCCGTTCGGGGTCCCTGACTTCCTGCAACAGCCAATATGTCTTGTATTGTCCCCTTGTGAGGGGATCCCAAAAGAGGACCCCAATTCATAGAACTAAAAAATACCAGCCAATTTACCATCCCCTACTAGACCCCATAACCACTGCAAACCTGGCTGCACAAAACTTATCAGTTATAGCCAAGATAACCTGAAACAAAAACCCCCTACTTTTACAACTTTACTACAAAACAATTTTGCAGCCCAAATTTCACCTTCACAAGGAAATTTGTGGGTTTGTGTTTCTTCAGCATATTTACAACTTCCATCACAATGGAAAGGAAAATATTCCATCGCCAACATTTTCCCTTATTTAACTTTTGCATGGGCCAACACATCTCTCTCCCTTTCCCCATGTACCAACATCACAAAATTCATCGCTAAGCAGGCCTCCTTATCCTCTAGGCTTAATATTATCTTCCATGTTGGGCATAGCAGGGTCGGCTACAGGAGGAGGAGCCTTGGGAATCCAGCATAAACTGCCTAAAGAAACTGTGATATACCTCCAAAAAACAGCAGATTGCCTCACTAGACTTCAACAACAGCTGGACTCCCTGACCATGGCAGCCCTGCGATATCAAAGAGCCTTAGACCTCTTCACAGCCAGACAAGGAGGAACTTGCCTATAGTTAAAAGAAGATTGTTGCTTTTATGTCAGTCTGGTTTAATACAAGAATATATTAGGAATATCAGTACCCAGGCAAATAAATCTGAGCCTTTGGGAACTCTCACAGGAACCTGGCAATACTGGTTACTATCTGCATTACTTCCTTTGGTAGTGCCAATTATTACCAATACTGTTAGCCTTAACTTTTAGTCCAATCTTGTTTAAAACGTTAAACAATTTTTTTTTTTTACTTTCTCCCTTAAAGCAATTCCATGTTTGTATGATGCTTGTGTAGGGTTTCCAACCAGTTCTGGGTGATAATGCCTTCCTCTGCCATCAAGAAGCTACCCTGTCTCCACTAGACAGAGCAGGGCAAGAGTTCTATGGTCCCCAATAGGTAAGAACTATGCCCTAATCAGCATGAAGCTGTTACAGAAGAAAGATCATTGGTCCCTCTGCCTCCCAAAAAGATTTATGGGGATCACGTCTCTCAGTGGGAAGTGTGGTAGGAGAATAGGGTCTGGAGACAGGAAACCTAAAGCCAGTTTGTGCCGACTCCCTGGAACTTGACCAGAGGGAAAATCCTGCCTCTCCATGCCCAACTAACAAGGGACCAAAAGACACTTCCCCTACAAACCACCCCCCTCCACTGTGTCACCAATGGAAAGCACCTCTGGTTGGCCATGGGCCACTCCTTTATTTGCATAGGGCGTCAGCTCAGCCTCTGGTTGACCACAGGTTAATCTACTTCAGCCTCTAATTGGCCACAGGCCAATCCTTTATTCACATAGCTGGTAACCGATAGGAAACCTCTAAAGGGTAATTAAACCCCAGAAAACTTTGTAATCAAGGCTCCTGAGCCACTTGCTCAGCCTGCTCCCACCCTGTGGAGTGTACTCTCACTTCAGTAAATCACTGCTTTTGCTGTATCATTACTTTGTTGCTTTGTTTGTGCATTTTGTTCAATTCTTTATTCAATATGCCAAGAACCTGTAAAACTCATACTCAAGACCTCCCTTCTGATAACAACACCACAGTCAAACTATTGAAAATTAATGGCAGAGAGAGTATTGAAACTAGCAAGAGGAAAATAATCACATACAAGTACTCCTTGATAAAATTAACAGTGAACTTCTCATCAGAAACCATAACAGCCTGAAGGCAGATGGATCACGTATTTAAATACTAAAAGAAAAAGATCTGTCATCAAAAATTCTTTATCCAGTGAAACTATTCTCCAAAAATGAAAAATAAATTAAGATGTTTTGAGAAAAAGAAAAAAACTGAAAGAATTGCTTCTGGACTGGCCAGAGAAGAAATACTAAAGGGAGTAATTTAATCAAAATGAAAGAAAAACGGACATCAATTAGAATTCTCAAAAAAAAATAAGCAACACTAGTAAAGATAATTATATAGGTAGATACAAAATCCCTTATAAATGCATACTAGTTTGCAACTCATTGCTTCTCCCATCTGACTAAAGTGACAAATGCATAAAGCAATAATTTTAAAACTGGGTTGATGACCTTATAATTTACCAGCATGTAATTTGAATAATAAAAGCACGAAGGAAAAAGTGAGAGGGAGCGAAGCTGTACAGGAACAAAGACTTTATACTATTTAAATTACACTGGTGCTAATTCAAAGTGGATTGTTTGAAATTAAGGTTAATTGTAATGCCTAGATCGATTAATAAGAAAATAACTCAGTAATAAATAAAACAACAGGGAAATTGAAGGATACACTAAAAAATCCTATTTTCAGAGGGAAAAGCAGTAATGGAGGAAAAGGGGATCAAAAATATGACACAGAAACAAATAGTAAAACAGCAGATGAAATTCTCATTTTTTCAGCAATTATAGGAAATATTAATGGATTAAGTACACCAATCAAATGTAAAACATGACAGTAATAATTTTTTTATTATTAACTTATTTATTTATGTTTTAGTTTTTAGTTTTGAGACAGAGTCTCACTCTTGTCACCCAGGGTGGAGTGCAGTGGTGTGATCTCGGCTCACTGCAACCTCTGCCTCCCAGGTTCAAGTGATTCTCCCGCCTCAGCCCCCAGAACAGTTGGGATTACAGGTTCCCACCACCACACTGGGCTAATTTTTGTATTTTTAGTAGAGACGGAGTTTCACCATGTTGTATAGGCTGCTCTCAAACTCCTGACCTCAGGTAATACTCCCACTTTGGCTTCCCAAAGTTCTGGGATTGCAGATGTGAGCCACCACACCTGGCCAGTAATAATTTCTAAAATGATGGCTCACTAACGCAAACAGGTTGAAAGTAAATGGATAGTAAAGATATATCACGCAAATAATAAACAAAGGAGCACTTGAGTGAATATACTGCAGAAGACAAAATAGACATTGAGAAAAAAGTTACTACAGGCAAGGATGAAGGTTTCATGATTAAAATGTCAATCTATCTGGGAGATATAAAAAATATAAACAAATATGCACCTAACAAGACAGTTCTAAAATATTTGATGCCAAAATAAATATAAATGAAGAGAGAAGTTGAGAATTGAATAATAATTGAAGATTCCAAACCTAACTTTCAATGATAAAAATAACATAAAGATATAATATCGTAAGAAAATAGGAGCTTTTAACAACATTATAAACCAACTATAGCTAAGAATTACCTGTTGAACACCCAATAACAGCAGAATATACATTATTCTCAAGTACCCCTAGAACATTCACCAAGATACATCATATGTTAGGCCATAGAAAGAAGGCCTTGAAAAATTTAAAAGGATGGATATTGTAAAAGGTACATTTTCTCCACCACAATAAAAATAAATTAGAAATCAATAACAGAAATTTGAGAAATTTGAAATATGTGGAAATTAAATAGCACATGCCTAAGTAACCAAACTTCTTCTTGTAAAAAAGAAATTACAAGGAAAATTAAAACACACCTTGAGATTAATGAAAATGAAACACAATATATCAAAACTTAGAGAATGCAATCAAAGCAGTACATGGGGGAAGCATACCGTTGACAACTGCTAATAAAACAAAAACAAAAAGATCCAAAGTCTAAAAACGTATTTTCTACCTCACGATTAGAAAAAGATCAAACTGGCTGAGCGTGGTGGCTCACACGTGTAATCCCAGCACTTTGGGAGGCCGAGGTGGGCAGATCACAAAGTCAGGAGATCAAGACCATCCTGGCCAACATGGTGAAACCCTGTCTCTACTAAAAATACAAAAATTAGCTGGGCATTGTGGCACATACCTATAATCCCAGCTACTCGGGAAGCTGAGGCAAAATAGCTTGAAACTCCAGCCTGGTGACAGAGCGAGACTCCATCTCACAAAAAAAAAAAAAAAAAAAAAAAGAAAAGAAAAACATCAAACTAAAGCCAAGGCAGCAAAAGGAAATAAATTATACAGAGTGGAAATATATGAAAGAGAAATGGCAAAACAATAGAGAAATCTACTAAACCAAATGTTGGTACTTTGAAAAGATTAGCTTAAGTGCAGAAAAAGCACCTGACAAAATTAGAAAACACTTCATGATACTAACACTCAATCGGTAGGGATGGAGAACTTCCTTAACATGGTAAATGACATCTATGACAAACCCACAATTAACATCATGCTTAATGGTGAAAGACCAAATGCTTTTTCCCTAAGGTAAGGAACAAGACAAAGATGTCGGTTCTCACCACTTCTGTTGTACATTTCGCTGTAGAGTCTATCCTGGAATATTACCCAAGATAAAGAAATAAAAGGCATCTAGATTGGAAAGGAAGAAATGAAAACTATTTCAATTTGCAGATAACATAAATTTGTATTTAGAAAGTCCTAAGAAATTCACAAAAATGTGTAAAATAGACAAATTTCTAGAGACAGAAAGTAGATTAGTATTTTCCAGGGGCTCAGAGGAGGATGGAATGGGGAATATTTGCTAATGGCTACAGAGTTTCTTTTGAGAGTGATGAAAATATTCTGAAATTAGATATTGTTGATCATTGCACAACTCTACAAATATATTAAAACCCACTGAATTGTACACTGTAAAAGGGTGAATTTTATAATACACCAATTATATCTCAATAAAGTTGCTATTAAAAATACATAAGATCCAAATTAGTAAGAAAAATAGCTACGATTTAGACCTATATCTGCTTGGAGCTAAAAGTATGATCTTTTTTACAAGAGAAAATTGGTTATGAGGAAGGTGTTATACTTATTAATGAGAGACATTGCACTTGTGATTCAGAATGGTTCACAAACAGAAGAGCTGGAAGTGAAGTTAAAAGGAGATCTGCTTGCCCTTAAAAAAGCTATTTACCTGATTGTCTATGCAGAATAAACTAGTTAAGAAACCAGAATCTGAACTTATATTGGGTAATATTTTACATACAGCACTCTCAGTTTCTGAATTTATCCACTTAACATTTACATACAGAGAACTTACTATATGTCAGGAATTATTCTTGGCTCTTGGTAGAAATATTTTACCTTTATTTCCTTTTTAAAAAATGTTTATAGAAGTTAGATATTACTTAGACCCCTGCAAGATTTTCTGGTAACTGATGGCAGTAGAGTTTTCTTTCTATTGTTAGAAATATTTGCACATTATCAGTGTTTTGTCTATCCATGAACACACTATGGAATAATACTGCAAAAAAAAAAGGAGCACAAAAGAGAGATTTCATCATTAATTCTTGAAAAGTTTTTAACTATATATGAGTAAAGTTAATATATGTACATACATGTGTGTACACATACCTCTATGTGTGTAACTAAACAAAAATCAATCACAAAACATTAATTTCATCCCAGGTACTTTTCAAATCTGGCACAGTTCTTTGCTGATTAATTATTCAGGATGGAAGCCATACTCTCCTGGTTTTTTCATTACTCAATCTTGATTCAGCTTCATTTCCTTTTAAGGTTCATTGCGATTAATGATGCACTCTATTTAGCACAACAAAAGAATTCTAATTCTCTGTAAATCTTTAGTTTGTTCTCTTGTGAATTAGCACTCCTTTGGTAACTAGACAACCTAGAAATTCACTAGTTTTGTTTGATGACAAAAGGCCAAAAGGAAAGGTCATAGTGGTACTACTTTTAATGAGTTATTAGATAAATACATTTTCTAGATGGTTTAATCTCATCATTCGACTTCAAAATGCCCTAAGAAAAGTCTTTAAATATGTATGTCACTTCTCAATTATCTATGTTAATGAAGAGGAGCAGCAGTGTGTATAATGCAAAATGGGTAAAAATATACACATATTTGATTTAGAGGACATCTATGTCATATGCTCCAAGAATAAGTAAAATTCAAGTCAAACACTGAAGTCAAGTTAGATCCTCACTAGTAAGCTACTGTTTGCTACTGCATAATCCATGATTCTGCTAAACTTCTCCCCATATTCTCTATTGTATCCTGATGCTGAATATTATCATCTTACAGATTGAAATAAAGATAGTAATGAAGGTAAAGAATAGTCTCCTTTGAGTTTCCTATCTAAATGGCTTATGCTTTCTCCTTGAGGAGGAGAGAGTAATACTTTGCTGTAAAGGCTTTTCATTAGTTTGCTGTGCAGGTTATGATAAAGACCCTCAGAGAATCAGGATAAAGGCATAAGAATTAAATATTATATTGAGGACCTACTAAAGGCCACTTCTTTAGCCTAATTAGTACTAACAACTAATTAATTTCAAAGCACTGATTCAGACTCCCACTATATATAAGATCATGTGCAGGAGATCGAGAGGTACTATGACGAATTTATGTGTGGTGGGAAATATCTATATCAAAATAGTAAACATGAGTGTGTTAAAAAGGCGAGGGCTGAGAGTTACGGAAACATATGGAACGAACACTTTCGTAGTACAAATAGGAAAGAGCAGAGAAGACCTTTGATTAAGTATTTAACTTGTGACTGGAATTATCTGACAAGACAAAAAATAAGATTGTAGGATGATGTCGGGGGTGACATAGAAGAGCAATGTGTGTGGCAACTGAGAGTCTAGATTGTAGGACATTTTTTAGTAACTCAAAGAATTAATTTTAAGCAGAGATAATTTTACTGAAAAGCTGATAAAAGTTCTGGCTCAGGGCTTCTCACTTCCAGGGACACTGTGAGAGTGCTCTGCTGCTGGGAATGACATTTGAAGCTAGGAAGGAAAGCCAGGTTGCAGTCCAGAGACATTTCAATGCCAGCCTTTCTTGTGTTATCAAAAATGTCCTTAGGTGATATGAAAGGGAAAAAGGCTGTAATTTCACAGCTCTTGTAATTTGATGTTATTTATTTTTCCCTACTAATATATATTCACTTTATCACTTAACTTTGTATTTATTTATGTCTTTTTTTAATTAAAGAGGACTTCTGAAATTATATAAGCTTCAGGCTCCACAGGCTATATATCTGTGCTTGCTTTAAGTAAGCAGTTAATAAGTTGAACACAAAGTAATAGAGCAATGAAGAATCAGTGTGGCTATTTCAGTGAATCTTGTTTTGGCCTTCCCAATTTTTGAGACCACTAAAGACCATCACATTCAACTTTTCTCTAGAGTGTGAATTGTTGTAGTCCTTATTTATACTTTTAAGATGAATAGATGGTGCCAACAATAATCACAATTTTAAAGATAACAAATATGGCTTCATTTACTTAGAACACCAGGATTTTAAAATGGGCTATTCTCTCTGGAAAGACCTAATTTATTATGCAAAGTTCTGAATAGTCTCCAGAATCCTAGGAATTGAAGAGTACAGAGAGATTATTCAGAAATGATCACTGTGGTATAAACAGTGGCAATAATAATAATTTTAAAAATTTATATAAAAGAAACAGGAAACTTGATTCTAGCTAATTTAAGATATTGTTTGGTTTCTCTTTGGAAAAAAAAACAAAAAAGATCAAATATAATAGTTACTGATGCAAGCAAAGCATCATTGAGTATTCTTTTCTCCCTCAAAAATGACTAAATATTTTTCCTTTTGTCTACTTTGTATGGTTTTGAAAATTACATCTATCAATAAGAAAAATAAGAATCAAATAGAAAAATAGAAATGCAATGTAGTGGCTAAGAGTTTAGATGCCAGAACTAGGGTCGTGGGTTCAAATATATAACTTTAAACAATTTACTTACCCCAGTTTCCCAGTAACTAAAATTGAGATTATAATAGCATCTATCTTACAGAGTTGTGAGAGAATTGAAATAATTTTTTTAACGTTTATAGCTCTTAGCAAGTAGCATTTACCCCATGAAAAGTTATTAAAGCTAAATATTTAAAACCATAGCTTAATTATTAGCGATTGATGAAATTTAAGTTAAAATACCAGAAATGTGTTTTTTTCATGACATTGACAAATAAATAATAAAAATTGTTTTAGCCAGTACTGTTGATACCAAGGTTTGTAGTATCATAAAAGGGTATGTTATTTTCAAAGGACACTTTTACAGTGATTATTAAAATTAAAATTTAAATTATTTTACCCCAGTAACAATATTTTTAAATATGTGTAACTTAATTTTATTCATTCATTAACAAATTAGGAACTATTATGTGCCAGATTCTATTATTACACAAACTAATACAGATAAATATTTCCTTATGGAGCTTGTCTTCTTGCAGGAGGAAAGGAGATGAAATTAGACAAAACACATTAATTAAACATTTCGTGAGTAAAGAGAGATGGGTATACATGACACTGCAGTTCCCTTGAAAACACAACCTGACACAAGAATTTGGTAAAGTAGAATTGGGGGAAGGTGATGTTAGTAATGAGGAGTAATAAGAGTAAAGAAAGTCTGAAATAGGAGGAAAAGCCAATAGAGCATCGGTTATTGAGGTTACTCATATAGGCAAAAGAAGCTTGGCTATACAGATACTTCCAAAACATCAAACAAACAATAGAAGCTGGGCCATATACCCACTGTCTCCATTTCCCGTTGTTTGGGAAGCATGCACGGGGCATATGGGACAGGCTTAAGACAGAAGTGTTTTAACACGGGGATTAAGTGAAAGTACTAGCAGAGCGTGAAGGCATTAGCCACTGTGTCTGAGGTTCATTTTCTTCCCCAGCTTAGCAGAGAGCCAGCTTAGTAGATAGCTGCTGCAGCCTAGGATTGCTCAGTGAAGAACAGAACTGAAGATTACTCTGTTATTTACCCCATTGCGGCCATTACTAACCTGATAAGAGCAAGCAGAAAGCTAGGAGTGGAATCACGATTGGAGTGGTTTAAGTAGGAAATGCAAGAAGAGAGAACAGAGACAAATGGCACTGGCAACTCTACTGAGGAATTTTTCTATAGTTTTTCTGTAATGGGGCATTCAAAAGAGGAGTTTTAATTTTGTTTTGTGTTTTTAAAAACTCAGCAATAATGTCACACTTTCTTGTTGATGGGAATATCCAAATAGAGAGGGGGCAACTTGACAATATTGTGATCAAAGAGACAGTTGATAAAGTGATGCTCCAGTGAAGGTAATGTGCTGCTTAAGCTGATGACATCTGTTGCTGGGTCAGAATTATAAAGTCTAATGATTTACCATGTAGACATCACAATGTGGCAGACACACTTTTAAAAAAAAATTTTCATGGTGCCTGATGAAGAGTGTGGGGTGAAAATTTCCTTTAAGCTATACTCTGGCACCTCCACTGAGTAGAAGATTAGCTCTGAAGACATTTATTTTCCCTAAAACTCTTGACAGATTAATTTTCAAATGCTATTAGTCAATGAAAACTAAAGAGAAACCAAACTAAATTACTTCTTTTCTGGATATACATAAACTTAAAAGTTTTCTATTTTGTGGTACTGTAAGCTGTTTAACAAAATACATATATATAATTAATATTGAAGAGAGTTACTATGGCAATCCATGAATAATGGGTCTGTGCTTCTTTAGTAGGAGGGTCATTAACATATTTTTACAAATAACTTTATTGTTAAATGAAATAAAAGAGAACTGTAAGAAAAAGATACTTTAGAGGAATTCTTTTTCATTTTTTCTAATTATATTTATTTTAGTTCTTTCACTTTTTGTATCATTATAGTCATAGACAAATGAAAGCAGATGTTTTAAAAGTCAGATTTATTTTAAACTGCAATAAAGATCGATGGAAATGTTCATAGCACTATCTAACTCAAAGTAGGCCATCAGACTGTTATTGAAATGCTATGTTTGTGGAATAAATAAATGGAGTAAATAAGCATCTGACATATACATTTATTTATTCCACAAGCATTATTATTTTTAGAGATCCCCATGTGGCAGATATCACAGGTAGTCTGAAAGTTCCAAGCCACAGTCTCATTTCTTAATAAACTTAAGATATGTGTGCAGAAGAGTTTATATAAATTTGTAGAGAGACTTAGACATTTGGAAATGTTTAAGCTGAGGTTGAAGAATCTAGAAAAAGGAAGTAGAAAGTAATTTTACAGCCAATAACCTCTGATCTCTTATTTTATTCATATTATAAATGGAGTTTTGATATCTATTTTAAGTTTCCACCTGTTAATTTACCATGATGTAAATATTAAGCAATGACAATAACACAGAAAGAAAAACAGCAGAATGTTTGTATATATCATATATTCTTCATAAATCATGAAACTTGAAGAATTAATTTAATAATGATTGTTACCTCGGTATTCTATTTTTCTTTTAAAAACTTATTTACTACTGTGCAACTATCTAACAATACATTTTTAGGTGTCAATAGAGATGAATGTATAACTTGTGCTGACAAAATGCTGCAGGTAACTAGATATAGGATGATAAAATTTATTTATGCTTATAAGCAGCTGTATGGAATCACATCAAAATTTATTTACATAGCTCAGTATAAATAATTTTTCTATTATGTTATGTGTCACTTCAAAAAAAATTATAGAATATGTTTGAGATATACCTTTAATAAAAAACAGCGTATTTTGCTCTTGATTTTAATTTACTATGGCAATTTTTTTTCTAACCATGTTTTAAAATTATATTAATTTGGATATTACTTTAGTTTTCCTAATAATTCTATCAATTAACTGCTCAAGTTTACTTGATTCCGCTGTAACAAGTTCAAGAATAAATGTTTATCTTTTCTGGTAGACACAATTGGCTAAAAAACAATTAATATAGCCAGGGCTTATTAAGGAAAATAAGTAGAATAGCTAAATAGTATATGACACGGTCTAAGTGAACACAACTGGGGAAACAATATTACACCTAAGAGATTGTGGATAAAAACATTGTTTCAGGAGATGTGTCAATTTAACCAACAATGCTTTAAAATATGGAGGAGAGGAAGAAGGGCATTAAACTGGGCATACATTTCCTCTAAAATTTAAAAGAAACAGAAAAACATATGAAGAGCACTACATTTCTGAGGTTTTAAATGTACAATAATGGTACCTAAGATGTTTAGATATCCTGAATGACCATCCTTCTTCTTCTCTTTTGTATTGCAATTTTGGCTACCAAAGAACACCATTAGCCCAGAAGTGGTCATCTCTTGTACCTTAATACCTAATAGGCTTCTAGCTGGGACGGGTCTACAAATATGTAGTTCTCTTGAACTTCAAAAGGCTCTATGTGGTGCACACATTTACAAAATTACTCAAATCCATAAGCAGATTCCTTTCAGGGAACACCTCAGCCCTTGCCTTTTAGATGGAATTAAAAGAGCTTTCACCTTGGTATGCACCTGGTGATTAAACCCAGTACCAGTGCTTAGTTTATATCTGAACCATTCAGTCTCAGCAACTACCCTGGGTTAAAAATGGGATCTAGTGCTATTTCTAATATCCAAATTACTACGTATCTCCCTGGGACATTTAGGCTGAAATTTCCCTTAGGTTTCCTAAATCAAAAGTAAAATCATACACCGAAATGAGAAATGATAGAAATGCCTGAAAGAGTAATGCCCATGTGCATGTATGGGTCACAACAAGGTATGATCAATCATCCAGAGCTTTTTGTTTTAGCTTTCCACAGAGTCTTCTCTCTCTCCATGAAGAAAACTAAAATATTATGTACCATTTTTCTTGGGAAGAAAGTTGGCAAGAAGAAATCTCACATACTACTGCTTTCATTAGTCAATCATAGACAAATTTAACAGATTTCATTAGTCAATCATAAACAAATTTGGAAAGTTGGCAAGAACGCCAGGCACGGTGGCTCACGCCTGTAATCCCAGCACTTTGGGAGGCAGAGGCGGGCGAATCATGAGCTCAGCAGATCAAGACCATCCTGGCTAACATGGTGAAACCCTGTCTCTACTAAAAATACAAAAAATTAGCCAGGCGTAGTGGCGGGCGCCTGTAGTCCCAGCTACTTGGGAGGCTGAGGCAGGAGAATGGTGTGAACCCGGGAGGCAGAGCTTGCAGTGAGCCAAGATCATGCCAATGCACTCTAGCCTGGGCAACAGGGCAAGATTCCGTCTCAAAAAAAAAAAAAAAGAAAGAAAGAAAGTTGGCAAGAAGAGACCTCACATACTACTGCTTTCATTAGTCAATCATAAACAAATTTAGAGGGCCAAATAGGCCAGGACCTGATTAGTAGTAACTGGCTTTATTATGTTGCTGTTACAACGGGCATTGGAACACTAGGTTTTTCTTGCAGAATATTGGTGGATTCTTTTGAAACCCCATGTGGCCTTTTGTACCAAATTGTTTTCTGAACCAGGTGATACACAGGCTGACCTTCTTAGAAATTCAGTGAGCTTTGGTTGCTAAAAGCTAATAACCCCTTGAAAATCCCCCATTAAGAAAGCATAAGCCAGGCTTCTTTTCATTCACTGGATATTGACACCTCCTAGTCATCCCAAGAACTATGAGTACAGGCTTTTCTCACCACTGTCTTTGCCCTTCTGCAAGCCCCTGTAGACTGCTTCAGTAGGATTTTGCCTTCACAATTCTCCCAACAGGAAGTAGGTATCAATCTCTTTCTTCACGTTTTTTGTTTGTTTTTGTTTTTGTTTTTTGAGACAGAGTCTAGCTCATTCACCCAGGCTGGAGTGCAGTGGCATGACCTCAGCTCACTGCAACCTCTGCCTCCTGGGCTCAAGCCATTCTCCTGCCTCAACCTCCTGAATAGCTGGGATTACAGACACCCACCACCACTCCCGGCTAATTTTTGTAGAGACAGGGTTTCACCATGTTGACCAGGCTGGTATTGAACTCCTGACCTCAGGTGATCCACCCGCCTCAGCCTCCCAAAGTGCTGGGATTACAGGCGTGAGCCACCACGCCTGGCCTCTTTGCGTGTGTTGAAACTCCTTGTGACAGATGCTAAGATCACGCTTTTGTTTTACCCTCTCATTACTACTCTGTTTTATTGTATCAGAAGAGATCTGTGAATTTCTGAAGCTCAATTCCTCCTTCTTTCAGTCTCATTAATTTCTATATATGTGTTTTTTGCCTTGGCCTTCTCACTTTGGTTCTGGTGTAGTAGAGATGTAAGAGGAAGCCCTCTAAGCTAATAACACATAACATGGAAAAGTCCCTAATTCATTCAATTCCCTTTAGGCCTTTATTTTAGTGTTTATATGCAGACTGGTTAGGGAGTACGAAAAGATTTCTCTTAGTTTACTTTGTATAGTTTGAGAGTCCTTTTGCCTATTGTCCTCAGCTGTGAAGCCCCGGCTGCCTTTCTGAGACAGTAAACATATCAAATTTAAAATTCTGTTATGAATACAGTCTCAATTTTTCTGTGATGGTTGAATCAATTTTTCAGTTTTGCCATCAATCTGCAATTCCATAACCAGCAACAAGTAGGCCTTTATCTAGTGTTCTTATGATCCACTCTATGGGCTTCTTCTCCCTCTTCCTGTTTGCTGGTTATTTCTCAAATTGTGAAAAAATATAAAACATGAAAATCTGCAGTTTTCTTATGTGTAAAGTCTTCCTTAATGCTCCTTTTCATCAGACACCTTCCAAGATCTGGGACAAAAACAGGTACCCCTGTTAATATTCACATTTTTCAGACTAACACAAATAGGTGCAATTCCATTGCTAGAGATTCTGAAAAGGAATTGATGTTAAGAGTCTGATAATGTTTTAAATGTTTCTCCACCATCACTACTTTTAATTATCCAGAATTATTTTCCAAGTTCACAGCCCCTACCCACCAAGCAGTTAACTTTTCCCATTCTTTCCAAATACTTTAACTAAAACCATCCTTGCATGTTTGCTAATATTTCCACCCTTCCTTCTTCCAAAACATAGAGATTTTTGGCTTCCTATAGAATCTAATTAACTTCACCTGTATTCAAACTCCCACATTCTACGTAGATACCACATAAAAAACTCTGTTATCCCTTTTATGCTCAGTCTCATCCTTTTTGCTACTTCTTACATAAACATTTAGATATCCTGGCATTGGGGAACATTGAAAAATAAATGTTTTATCCTAAGACAATCGATTTCCAACTTAAGCTGTGAAAGCCACAGATTCTCTAAGGGGTTTTAAAAGGAGAATTTCTTCCATTGTAGCCTGGAATATACTAACAAAACTCAGACCCAGGAGCTGATGATAAAACTGGAAGGGATCCAGGCACGGTGGTTCATACCTGTAATCCCAGCACTTTGAGAGGCCAAGGTGGGAGGATCGCTTGAGCCCAAAAATTCAAGACTAGCTTGGGCAACGTAGTGAGACCCCATCTCTCTAAAAAAAATACAAAAATTTGGTGGGTGTGGTGGCATGCACCTGTAGTCCCAGCTACTCAGGAGGCTGAGGTGGGAGGATCACCTAAGCCAGGAAAGTCAAGGCTACAGTGAGCCATGATCATACCACTGCATTCCAGCCTGGGCAACAAAGCAAGACCCTGTCTCAAAACAAACAAACAAATCTGGAAGGGATTCAAAGGACAACAGATACTCAGTCTTAAAAATCTGATATCACTAAGATAGGTCCTTAAAGGAAGCTTAGAACCTGGACTTGGGAAACCTAAAAATCCTATATTCCCTTATTTTCTTGAAACTTACTTGCCTATAATTGCAGTCATTTAGAACAATCTCCCTCTTGCTTAGGGATCCTGTAATCACCTCAGCTAAAGCAGGTGCCTCACATGATGAGTCTTTTCCACGTCAAGATCTGGCCCCTACACTTCTAATTGCCTCCATGCCAAATAATCAGAGTCAAGTCTAAACATGGTTTGATTGGAGAAGTACAGACTCTAATCTATAAAGAAATAGTCATTATGCCAAGGAAACCACAGGAACTGGCTAATAACTGCTGACAATAATGAACAATAATGAAGGAAACAGGCACAAGAGTGCACTTTGAGTGTTTTCGACTGGAAATTTAAGATTGTAATGCTAGATAGGTAAGAATAAATTGACAAAAGTTAATGACTGGCAATTTAATATTCTGACAATGACACCTGGCCTCAAATCACCTTGCTCCTTGAGGACTGGATGGAGCAATAGCCTACCATAAATTAGATGGAGGGCCCAATAACATTTTTGGCATCTCTTTGAAGATGAATTCAGAAGGTTCAAGGAGGAGGGGGTGTTGCTGTGGATTTATTTTGTAGGAACTGAGAACACAATATTTGACTTTTCTCTGGAAGGACTCAGAGCACAATCATTTCCCTGAATTACTAGAAAATGCACTGGTGAAGGGACACTGACACCTTTGTGAAGCTAGTTGTCCTCTGCAGGTTGGAGAAAGTGGGAGGTGCTTCTGTAGAATTGTGCATAGCATTCTGCAGTGTGAGAGTCTAAGTAATGTTGCCACTTAGGCAACATTACCACTTGTTGATAGTAGACATCAACGAAGAGTGAAAATTATAGCAATTTAGGGTAAAGGCCAATAGATCATACTATCAGTAAGGGCAAGATAAAGTGTTAGTCAATTGGAAAGTTGCTTAATTTACATAATAATAACAAAATTGATCATGACTAGCAGAAGCTGATATGAGACACTGCTGTACCTCACACATTGTCCAGATGCAAGTAAGTTCAGAGACTTAGACCCTGATACTGAGATTGTTTTTCTCTTGATGAAGGAAAGGAACCGATAATTCTACTACAAGTAGAAATGGTAAATATTCTTTGATTTTTTTCATAAAAGAATCTGTAATCGTTTCTTAGAATAACTATGCAGTAAGGAAAGGAGAATAGCCACATTTTTTATTTCTTTTAGATAAGAGTTCTGAATTGACACTAATAGCAATCCAAAGGGCCAGGGTAGTCTTTGAGTAACAGTAGAAGCTTATGGAGACAAAGTAATAGATAGAAAACAACTTCAAAGCTATCACATCGTGTCTCTGAACCCAGTGTGTGAATATTTTCCTAGTTATAAATATATAATTTAGAAATATATATATATACAGTCCAGGCGCAGTGGCCCATGCCTGTAATCCCAGCACTTTGGGAAGCCAAGGCAGGCGGATCATGAGGTCAAGAGATTGAGACCATCCTGGCCAGCATGGTGAAACCCCGTCTCTACTAAAAATACAAAAATTATCTGGCCATGGTGGTGCACACCTGTAGTCCCAGCTACTCTGGAGGCTGTGGCAGGAGAATCGCTTGAACCTGGGAGGCGGAGGTTGCGGTGAGCCAAGATTGCACCACACTACTCCAGCCTGGTGACAGAGTGAGGCTCCATCTTAAAAAAAAAAAGAAGGAAAGACATATATATATATATATATTTTTATATATATATATTTATATATATATATTATATATATATATTTATATATATATATTATATATATATATTTATATATATATATTATATATATATATTTATATATATATTTATATATATATATATTTTTATATATATTTTTATATATATATTTATATATATATTTTTATATATATATTTATATATATATTTATATATATATATTTATATATATATTTATATATATATTTATATATATATTTATATATATATTTATATATATATTTATATATATATTTATATATATATTTATATATATATTTTATATATATATACACACACACATACATATATATACACATATACATACATACACAAATATGTATTCTCAGGTTGGTGTGTGTGTGTATGTGTGTGTATGTATGTGTGTATATATATGTATGTATATATATGTGTGTGTGTATGTACATATATATGTGTATATATATACATATACACATATATACATATATACACATATACATATATACATATATACACATATATATACATATATACACACACATATATACATATATACACATATATATACATATATATACACATATATACATATATATACACACACATATATATATATATATATTCACAGGTTTGTATAATCCTCAACTGTGGGGTGAGGATTAATTCCCTGATCTGAGAAGTGATAATCATTGTAGCAGAAGGGATCAAATAGACACCCCTACATCTTTCCCTCACTCAAGCCAAGATAGTAAATCCAAAATTAATATTGCAGAAAAACTTGCACATATTGACTTCATCAACAAAAACTTGAAGGATCTAATTGTGGTAGTCTCGATCATATCAACTTACTTCTTTCTATTGTAAAAACCAGATGGATTATGGCAGATAGCTGTTGAGTTTTGTAAGCCTAACCTGATTATAGCTCTGCCACAGATAATGCAATCAGATGTTGCAACTGATAAAACTCTTGGTACTTAATACACCTTTCTTGATTTGGCAAATGTTTTTCCTTGATTCTAAGAGGAAGGGAGAATCAAAAGCAGTTAAATTTTAATTTGAAAACAGAGCAGCACTTCTTTAGCCTCTTGCTTCAGGGCTCTCTTAACTTGCATTTCTGTGTCATAGAAGAGTCATAGAGATCTCCATCATCATAAATTTCACTAATATTACATCGGTTCATTATACTAATGATATAAGGTAATTGAATCCCATAAGCAGAAAGTGTAAAATACACTAGATTTTATATCAGCATATATATAAGTGTCAGATGGTAGGTGGTAATTAAAGATTTAGGAACCAAGTACATTGGTGAATGTTTTAAGAGTTTAGTGGCTGTAACTGGCAGGACCTTCCCTTTGAAATGAAGGACAAGTTGCTATGCTTCACACCTCCACCAACTAAGAAAAATAATAAGGCGTAGTGAAGTTGTTTTGAGTTTGTAGGCAGAGCATATAATATTTGGGAATGCTGCTCTGACTTAATTAACAGATGAAGCTGCCTGTTCAAATGGGATGCAGGGAAGCAGAGAGTTCTATAGCAGGTCCAGCCAACAAACTGTTTTTCAGCATATTTGAAGGTGCTGGAAGTCTTTGGAGTAGACAAAAATGTTCCAGGAAGTCTCTGGTAAACAGCAACAAGTGAGTCACAGTGTATACCTCCAAGGTTCTGGAACAGTCCTATTTTCTGTTGCAAAAATACCCTTATTCAATTACTGACACCCGATAAATAACAATTACAAATGATAGGGACCAGTAGAGATTCTCACTATGTTTTATGATGAGGTGACCATAGCAAAAATTCATCGTGTATTGGAAAAAGTATATTCAAGATCAGCCTCAAGTAGATCCAGAGGGAATGAATAAACACATTTAGAGAAGCACAGATTCCTACATCATGTCTATATGTTGTATTGATAATTCTTCAGTTTAACCTTGTGGCTCAAGGTAAGGTTCCTTTTGAATTAATGATGGAGAGGAAAAGGACTGGAGACTAGTTCACAGATAAGCCATTACCCTATATTAACAATAGAAAGAAATAGCCTCTTACCCTATCACATCCCCTGACCCAACCCTAATATTAACCCTTTAAATATAGAACATATAACATTGAAATACTTCTCAATACCCTGAAAATCAGTGTTGAAGGAAAATATTCTTTAGGTATTGCTGCAAGCAATAATTATGGTCATCCAAAAGTCTAAGAGGGAGAAATGGTTTGATATATGGATATACACGGACTTCCAGGAAGTAGAAAATGACTTGACCATTTGGTCAGAAATCAGGAAAAAACAGCACTGGAAGACCAGGAACAAGGAAATCTGAGGAACAGAAATGCAGATGGCCATAAGGGAGTAAGCCTAAGAAGGTGGGCCACTGAAGGACATTCTCAACAATTAGGTGGATAGTGTGATTCATGCTACGTACCCATGCCAGCAAACTTCTCTTCTTGGGTAATCCAGTGGTCATAAAATGGGTCCATAAGAAAATTTGCCATGGCTCAGTAGTTGCAAAAATGAATACTATTTTCAGTCTGATTCTACAGGAAAGCTTTACAACAAAATCTGCACTTCAGTTAGTTTTGGTTGAGATAGAAGTTGGCATGAAAACTTCCTGGGTAAGATAAGATGGCTCCTTAAGAAGGACCATTTTCTGGAGAAGGGAGAAGCTGTGAATTGTCATCAAATGTACCTAGTTAAAAAAAAATCTGGTTGGGGTAAGAACAACATTCAACATAGACATAAAATATAAAGCTTATGTCATAGTAGTACCATAACTTCTCCCCTTAATACATATTGATCACAATCCAAAAGAGGATGAAACGTTAGACAAATTATACTGGTCAAAGAAAACCCCACAAACATAAAGGGCATAAGAAACATTGGAAATTCTCTGCCACAAAGAATCATTTTCAATTGTCCTTTTGTTTTTGCTATTATTTTGTTTGTTTGTCATATGATTTGAACATTGTTTTGTTAGGACAATTATTTATTCTGGTATACTGTCTTTACAAAGATTTCCTTTTGAAATTCACTGTGGATTTCTGAAAGTATTTTATACTGAAAATGTATTTTATATTAAATAAAACAAAATAATAATAATATGAGTTTATAGTTAATTCATGGACATCAAAGTAATTTCTAAAAATATTTTTCTTCACCTACAATGAACTACTTGTCTACTCTTGCCATGTTACTAGTTTGATTTCTCCAGAATGCTTTTTGGTAGTTTGTCTTGTTTTTTTGAAGATCACATAATCCACCCCTCTTTTATCCCCTGTAAGTCAGTTTAAATATTGAACTTCTGAATCATGCACCATTTTCAGGTATCTCTAACTTCTTGCTGAAAATTGCTTAATATGAGGACAATAGCCAAAAGGCATTCTAGGACACTACCTAAGATAATAACTTTCAAACATATAGAAACTTGCCTTCTGACTCTCACGTAATAATACATGTGCACAGCATAACAACGTTTTGGTCACCAACAAATCACATTGACCATCAGCCCCATTAGAGTGTAATGGAGCTGAAAAAATCCTGTCACCTAGTGACATCTTAGCTGTAGTAACATTGTAGGGATAACAGGTGTGCGACATCATACCTGGCTTAGGTTGGCGCCAAAGTAATTGCAGCTTCTGACTGTGAATTTTAAATCATTATAACTAGGCTCAGACACATCTTTATCAGTCAAAATAAGAAACCTTACAATCAACACATTTTTGCCAACAAGAAATAAGTTTCTTTATTTCTGTTGTGTAAAAATCTGTGCTTCGAGTTTTGACAAACTCTTGGAAAGCATTTTCTGCATCCTGCTGGTTATGGAAGCGTTTTTCCTACAAAAAAGTTGTCAAGCTGCTTGAAGAAGTGGCAGTCAGTTGACAATAAGTCAGGTGAATATGGTGGATGAGGCAAAACTTTGTAGCCCCATTTGTTAAACTTTTGAAGCATTGATTTTGCAATGTGCAGTTAGGCATTGTCATGGAGAAGAATTAGGCCCTTTCTGTTGACCAATGCTGGCTGCATTTCAGTCTGATTCTACAGGAAAGATTTACAACAAAATCTGCACTTCAGTTAGTTTTGGTTGAGATAGAAGTTGGCATGAAAACTTCTTGGGTAAGGTAAGATGGCTCCTTAGGAAGGACCATTTTCTGGAGAAGGGAGCAGCTTCAGTGCATCACGTCGATTTGCTGAGCATACTTCTCAGATGTAACGGTTTTGCCGGGATTCAGAAAGCTGTAGTGGATCAGACCGGCTGAAGACCAGCAAATATTGACCATGACCATTTTTTGGTGAGAATTTGGCTTTGGGAAGTGCTTTGGAGCTTCTTCTCGGTCCAGCCATTGAGCTGTTCATTGCCAGTTGTCATATAAAATCCACTTTTAGTTGCATGTCATGATCCAATTGAGAAATGCTTTGGTGTTGCATAGAATAAAAGAAGACAACACTTCAAAATGATGATTTATCTTTATTTTAGGTTAGATCGTAAGGCACTGACTTACTGAGCTTTTTTACCTTTCTAATTTTCTTCAAGTGCTGAATGACCGGAGAATGGTGGATATGAAGTTTTTCGGCAACTTCTCCTGTAGTTGTAAGAGGATCAGCTTTAGTGATTGCTCTTAATTGGTCATTGTAAACTTCCCATGGCCAGCCACTAAGCTCCTCGTCTTCAAGGCTCTTGTCTTCTTTGCAAAACTTCTTGGACCACCACTGCAATGTACATTCATTAGCAGTTCCTGGGCCAAAGGCATTGTTGATGTTGTGAGTTGTCTCCGCTGCTTTACAACCCATTTTGAACTTGAATAAGAAATATCTCTGCTGGGCGCGGTGGCTCACACCTGTAATCCCAACACTTTTGGAGGCCGAGTGGGCGGATCACCTGAGGTCAGGAGTTCGAGACCAGCCTGACCAACATGGTGCAACCCCATCTCTACTAAAAATACAAAAAAAATTAGCTGGGAGCAGTGGTAGGCTCCTGTAATCCCAGCTACTCAGGAGGCTGAGGCAGGAGAATTGCTTGAACCTGGGAGGCAGAGGCCTCAGTGAGAAGAGATGATGCCACTGCACTCCAGCCTGGGCAACAGAGCCAGACTCTGTCTCAAAAAAGGCATTTGATAAAATTCAACACCCCTTCATGCTAAAAAATCTCTCAATGTACTAGGTGTTGATGGAAAGTATCTCAAAATAATAAGAGCTATTTATGACAAAACCACAACCAATATCATACTGAATGGGCAAAAGCAAGAAGCTTTCCCTTTGAAAACTGGCACGAGACAAGGATATCCTCTCTCACCGCTCCTATTCGACATAGTATTGGAAGTTCTGGCCAGGGCAATCAGGCAAGAGAAAGAAATAAAGGGTATTCAAATAGAAAGAGAGGAAGACAAATTGTCTCTGTTTGCAGATGACATGATTGTATATTTAGAATACCCCATTGTCTCAGCCCCAAATCTCCTCAAGCTGATAAGTAACTTCAACAAAGTCTCAGGATACAAAATTGATGTGCAAAAATCACACGCAGATGACATGACTGTATATTTAGAATACCCCATTTTCTCAGCCCAAAATCTCCTTAAGCTGATAAGCAACTTCAACAAAGTCTCAGGCTACAAAGTCAATGTGCAAAAATCACAAGCATTCCTATACACTAATAGTAGACAAACAAAGAGCCAAATCATGAGTGAACTCCCATTCACAATTGCTACAAAGAGAAATAAAATACCTAGGAATACAACTTACAAGGGATGTGAAGGACCTCTTCAAGGAGAACTACAAACCACTGTTCAAGGAAATAAGAGAGGACAAAAATAAATGAAAGAAACATTTCATGCTCATGGATAGAATCAATATGGTGAAAATGGCCATTCTGCCCAAAGTAATTTATAGAATCAATGCTATCCCCATCAAGCTACCACTGACTTTCCTCACAGAATTAGAAAAAATTACTTTAAATTTCATATGGGACCAAAAAGAGCCCCTGTAGCCAAGACAATCCTAAGCAAAAAGAACAAAGCTGGAGGCATCATGCTACCTGACTTCAAACTATACTACAAGGCTACAGTAATCAAAACAGCATGGTACTGGTACCAAAACAGATATATAGAACAATGGAACAGAACAGAGGCCTCAAAAGGAATGCCACACATCTACAACCATCTAATGTTTGACAAACCTAACAAAAACAAGCAATGGGGAAAGGATTCCCTATTTAATAAATGGTGCTGGGAAAACTGGCTAGCCATATGGCAGAAAACTGAAACTAGACCCCTTCCTTGCACCTCATACAAAAATTAACTTAAGATGGATTAAAGACTTAAACAAAAGACCTAAAACCATAAAAACCTTAGAAGAAAACCTAGGCAATACCGTTCAGGATATAGGCATGGGCAAAGACTTCATGACTAAAACACCAAAAGCAACGGCAACAAAAGCCAAAATTGACAAATGGGAACTAATTAAACTAAAGAGCTTCTGCACAGCAAAATAAACTACCATCAGAGTGAACAGGCAACCTACAGAATGGGAGAAAATTTTTGCAATCTAGCCATCTGACAAAGGGCTAATATACAGAATCTACAAAGAACATAAACAACTTTACAAGAAGAAAACAAACAACCACATCAAAAAGTGGGCAAAGGATACGAACAAATACATTTCAAAAGAAGATATTTATGCAGCAAACGAACATATGAAAAAAAGTTCATCATCACTGGTTGTTAGGAAAATGCAAATCAAAACCACAATGAGATACCATCTCACGTCAGTTAGAATGGTAATCATTAAAAAGTCAGGAAACAACAGATGCTGGAGAGGATATGGATAAATAGGAACACTATTACATTGGTGGGAGTGTAAATTAGTTCAACCATTGTGGAAGATAGTGTGGCAATTCTTCAAGGATCTACAACCAGAAATACCATTTGACCCAGCAATCCCATTACCGGGTATATGCCCAAAAGATTATAAATCATTCTAGTATAATGACACATGCATACGTATGTTTATTGCAGCACTGTTCACAATAGCAAAGACTTGGAACCAACCCAAATGCCCATCAATAATAGACTGGATAAAGAAAATGTGGCACATATACACCATGGACTATTATGAAGACTTAAAAAAGGATGAGTTCATATCCTCTGCAGGGTCGTGGATAAAGCTGGAAACCATCATTCTCAGTAAACTAACACAGGAACAGAAAACCAAACACCACATGTTCTCATTCATAAGTGGGAGTTTAACAATGAGAACACATGGACACAGGGAGGGAAACATCACACACCAGGGCCTGTCAGGGCGATAGAAGAAGTATAGCATTAGGAGAAATACCTAATGTAGATGACGGGTTGATGGGTGCAGCAAACCACCATGCCACGTAACAAACCTGCACGTTCTGCACATGTATCCCAGAACTTAAAGTATAATTTAAAAAAAGAAAATCTCTCGAATTTGCTTTTTGTCTAACATCATTTCCATAGTCTAAAATCACCATAAAATAAACAGTGAGTAATAAGTCATTAGTAAAAAAACATAAAATGAGAAATCCTCATTCAAAGGATGTATAACATAACCACATTTATTTAAGAATGATTTCCGATATCAAATGACAAATTCCAACAAGGCAAAAACCACAATTACACTTGTACCAAACTATTTTTAGTAGAGAGGGTTTTGCCATGTTGGCCAGGCTGGTCTTGAACCCCTGGCCTCAGGTGATCCCCATGCTTTGGCCCCGCAAAGGGCTGAGATTACAGGTGTGAGCCACCGTGCCTGGACACAAATCAAAATTATCTATACTGGGCTTCAATCCTGTTCTTCAGACTTATCATGGGTCAATGTTATCCTTTAGTTAGCTGAGTTTTAACTGGGTGAAATCTATGGTGGATACGGTGGCTCTATCCTCAGATAAGCATCAATTGTACCGTGTCAAGACATGCAAATATATCAAGTCTCCGAAGTCCTCAACTCCTTATGAAAATTCTTTTCTACAACAATGTTTACCTTTGTAGCATTTCAGGTGAGTGGAGTCCATGATTCTTTAGAGTTTATGGATATTCATCTATAGGTGGGAACTTAGGCACAGCTACCCCTGGAGACTCTTGACATTGCTCACGCTTAGAACTACAGATTTATTTGAGCTGCATAGATTTTAAACCCAATAAGCAATGCAATATTCTCAGATCTGCTGTTTGGGAAGGGGCTATAATTATACTCTCATTGATTTGAGATTATTTAAATAGGTTTTTCATATACACATTATAGATCACTATCCTTTTGAAAAGGGAAAATAGTGATAATCACATATTAATAAGTTTGAGCTCCTCAGAATAAATGATCTATATGAATTGAAGGTATTGTTGTAAACATTAGATATATAATAAAAATACATAGAATGAAGCAGTGAAGCCCTGGAAAATCTCTGCATTTAGCTTAGATTGAGCAACAATCAATAATTATATGCAAATTAGTCTTTTATTCAATATACCCAACCTGCATAACATTTGTAGTGTAAATCAGTACATACCGTAGAATTAAAAACCCTTAGGATAGCTAGTGGCCAGAACATTTCTTGCATGCATGATGTCTCAAGAAAGTACATTTAGCCTGGTTGCACCAACAATTGCTATTTTGTATAAACTGCCAAAAAAATTCATCCAATCACACTCCACTTAATTTCACTTAATTTTAATCACAGTATACTTGCATGGACAGGTTTCTTTTGAACACTGATTTATTCTCTAAATGGAGAGGCATGGTTGTTATTTAAGATCTAATGTTCCCTGCTGGTCACATTTGGGAGGCTTTCCAACAGCAGGGCACGATTGTTATTTAAGATCTAACATGCCTCGCCGGTCACATTTGGGAGCTGTTTCTGGCTGTACTGATGCTTTTGCCTGCCTGGAAAATAATGTGCCAGCACCAGAAAAATTGCACAAATTATTTAATGTCTCTGTGGACCCTTCCAGAATTAAGCTAAGCCCTTTTTTTCTTCCTTTTCTAATTAAAATGCTGAGTGAAGGGAGCATATATATACATAGTGAACAAGCCTTTGTAGCTCTTTATTTTGGGCATACTTTAAAACTTAATAGAATACTGAATAGCAAAATCAAGCAAGTTATAAGGTACGCATTAACTGAGTAAAGTGGTACTTGAACACTAGGTTTGTCTTCTGAGTGAAAAAATCACAAGCAGAATCTCCAAAGTAATCATGTAACATTCCAAACTTGTGAAGTGGATGATGTTCATCTGGGCAAGTCCATAGCACGAAATCTTTTGTACTTTATATGTTTTAATAAAGTCACCCCTTGCAGCTAAGGATCCAGGGAAATAATTACTTTTACCTGTCTTCTAGAGTTGTTAAATCATGCTCTGGGCTCTGGTGTAGCACTAAAATAAAAACATGGAAGAAGTTTACTCTGCTATTTGATTTTTAACTGAGTCATACTTTTTATATAATAAAATGCCCAGGTCTTAAGTTTTCAACGTGATGAGCTTTGAAGTTGTATAAACCCATGTAACCACCACCCACCCAATAAAAGATATATAACATTTTCATCATCTAAAAGGTCTCTTGTACTCCTCTCTAGTCAATATCACCTACCTGTAACCAAGGAGGCAACCATGGTGTGATTTGTACCACGTGGATTAATTTCTGTTGTTTTTGGAATTCGAGAATGAAATTGGATAGGATGCATTATTGTCTGTCTGACTTTTTTCCCTCAGCATAATAATTTCGAGATTAATCCACGTTACTGCTCTATATCAGCAATTCATTCTCTCATATTATTATTAAATAAATATATCAAACTATGTATTTAACCAATTTCTTCTTGATGAATTTTTTTCTTTTTCTTTTTGGACTATATAAATAAAGCTTCTACAAACATTATTGTTGGCATATGTTTTAATTCTCTTGGCAAAATATTTCTAATGAAATTGCTGAATCATTGGCCAGATATATGTTTAACTTTTTAATAAATCACCCTAATTTTCCCCAGGATGGTGTTATTTCATGTTCCAGTAAGCAATATGTAAGTTTTCCAGTTGCTCCAAATTCTTGCCAATATTAGGTAATATAAGGCTGCTTAATTTTCATCATTCTAGAGTATGCAAAATAGTGTCCCAATCTACTTTTTTTTCATTTAGTTGATGACTATGGGTATTGAACACACTTTCATGTGTTTTTTAACCACTTCTGTATCTACATTCATGGATGTGTAAAATTTTTAACCCTTTGGCAAAGACACATAATAAGAAAAAATACTTTCAAGATAGCAAAACCTTCAATCAAATATGCATACACCCACACATATTTTAAAAGAATAAATGAACACAAAATTTGATGCTGATTAAGATTTTTAACTACATAGATTAGCCCCACTTAAAAGGTAGCATTTTATAATGTATTTAGAATCACAAGGTGAAAGAATCCTGAAATTTGTTTTATCAAAAAGCCAGTACCAATTATTAACCTGAAATATTTTTGTTTAGTTCCTTTTTTAAATTTTTTTTGTTTTTTGCTTTTTTGGTACATGAGTCAAAAGTTCTATTTGAATCTTTCAAGCCTACCAGTATATGTGAGAATAACTTATATTATCCAAATGATGCATTCTGGGGATAGAACACAAAGTAACTTAAAAATGCAGAGAAATTAGGTCACTTCAGTTGTACATAACTGATGAATGCTAATCAAGCAGGAGATGGTCTTGGGGACACAACTAACCAGGCATAGTAAAGCTGCTTTTGGGAAATGCAAGAGTCTAAGCCTGAATGCTTCAAATCTAGACAAAGGATGGTTCTAAAATTTTAAGTACTAAAAGTTTTCACATAGTTTTTAATAGAGTGTAATTAATACCCTGATATTTACATTCAGAAGTCAATAAAGATCACAAATTTAAGAACAATTGTATTAGGAAGTTCTGGTTCAAGTCATATGAAAGAAAACCTACATTGGGTAGTGCAAGTTTTGCATTGACAGTGACCATGTGCAAAGACTTATGGTAAAGTCTTCTTTACCATAGCAGAAGGTCTTCTGCTACTTCTACTTCAACCACATGCTGCTTTTAGATGTCATGGCGAAGTTCTTTCATCAGTTCTGGTCTCTATCCATAAGGAACACTATAGGTTCTATTACTGCTAAGCATTAGTTATAAAATTTGTTGGAATATCACCATGAGAGTGAAGTGTTGGAAAACCTTCCCATCGCATAAGTGTTTGAAGGACATTAGTCTGGAGATCTAATAAGTCTGAACCTTCTCATTTTCAAGAGCAGCATATAGGAATACCCATCCTCTAGTCTCCTGTAGATATACACAATTGCAAGGTTACATTTATCTAAGATTGTAACACACCTTTAATCTGTGGACTCCTAGCTCCACTCATTTTATAGAGTAAAAGTTTTAGACTAGTTTTCCAGTTTTGAAGAGGAGCAGACACAATGCAGCTATTTGGTTGAAAACAGATTTTTTTTTTTTTTTCAGAATTCAAAGGAGTCAAACAACTCTGAAGTATGGAACTACCTCCAGCAAGTGGACTGTCAACCCAGTCCAGAGACCCAACACTCTTTGATCCTTCACAATTTGTGGAAAGCAGTCTACTGCTCCTGACACATGAGCCTCTAACTCCACCTTAGAGGAGAAGATGAGGGCGGGCTCCAAGTCAGCATCATTCTCTTCACGCTGTGTCAAAGAGAAAAGAGGAAGTCTGGGCCTTCCCACCAGTCAGATAGTCATTAAGAACGTTTTAAAGTTTAGAGAAGTAATCTCAAGATCCATTCTTGATTTTCTCCAGGTAAGCTAGAAGAGAACCAGTGAAGACTGGGAGAGCATCTAAAACAGAGAATGATGACCCATGGTAAAGTTTCAGGAATGCTTCTTGTTAATAAATAGTTCAAAACACATGGAAGATCCCCCTGCAGGATGGTTCCAGCAAGTTCTGCCCAATCAACCTGATTTTGATGGGGACTATGTGGTGGGTAACAATGGAGGCTACCATGCTGGGAAGACAACTAGACATGACGGCATGTCATTGGGAAATGTGCCCCAGGTCATCCATGTATGGCAAACAAACTTGCTAGGTGCTACAGAGAAAACAGTGCAGGCAGGACATGCCATTCTTCCACAAGTCTCGGGGCCTATGGCCAGTCACACCCAGAGCCCCATGGCTCACTGCCTTGTTTGCCCTCAGAAAAAATCTAGGGACATGGCGAGGTCGAGGCTGAGTGCCGCAGTCATCCTGGCACAGAGTAATCACTGGACACCACTCACCCAGATGTCCTCTCCCTTGTAGCCATTGCCCACTGGTGGCCACCCCTGTCCATATTGGATCAAGCCAGGGAGAACTGTGACACTAGCCTGAACTCCCAGGCCTCCAACAGAGGGGCAGATCAGGCTGGATCTGATCAATCTTATACCAATTTATAACTTTTGTTGCTTTTTTTGTTGTTGACATGAATAATGTCTTTGTGTATTTAGGATCTGAGTATTTAGTCAAATATGCAATGTAAATATTTTATCTCATTCATTGGCTAGCCTATTCATTTGCTAATATGACATCAGCAGATATTTCAGTTTTGATGCTTTCCAGCTGATCAACTTTTCTTCTTTAATTGTTAGTCCTTTTGTGAGACTAAGAAAACTATGTCTACCCAAAGTGCACAAACATATTTGGCTGTTTTCTTATAGAAACTCTATAGTTTTCAATTCATACAAGTCTTTGCATGGCTTCTAAATTTTTGCCTTTGAAGTAAATTAGAGGATAAGGTTCTCTAACTTTTATATACAGATATCCAGGTGTTCCAAAACTATTTCTTAAAATGATGCCCCTTTTACTGTTGAATTGCCTTAGTAAATTTTATAAAATTCATATATATGTTTGAGTCTATTTCTTCATACTATATTCTGTTCTATTGTTCTGTTTTCCTTCCTTGTCCTAATAAAAATTATCTTTATTACTCTAGCTTTATAGGAAATCTTGAAATCATGTAGTCTGAGTCCTTTAACTTATTTTAAGACAATTTTGGCTGTTCTACATCATTTGCATTTCAACAATTTTAAAAAAATCAACATGTCAGTTTCCACAAAGAAGCTTGCTGGGTTTCTGAATTTCTAATTTCTTTATTTTTGGAGACAAGCTCCCGCTATGTTGCTCAGGATGGAGTGCAATGGCATGATCGTCATTCACTGCTGCCCCAAACTTCTGGACTCAAGCCATCTTCCTGCTTTAGCCTCCTGAGTAGTTAGAACTATAGGTATGCACCACCTTGCCTGGCTAATTTTTTTATTTTTTATAGAGACAGGGGTCTTGCTATGTTGCCCAGGCTGGTTTCAAACTCCTGGACCCAAGCGATCCTCCTACCTCAAACTCCCAAACTGCTAGGATTATAGGAATGAGCTACTGAGCCCGGCTACTTGCTGAGTTTTGAATGAAGTTATGTTCAATCATTTTGAGAGTAAATAGACAACACTATTGAATGTCCCAATCCATAATCATTGTGTTTATTAAGTTCTTTATTAATTTCTTTTAGCATTTTTTTGCCCTGTTGCACTTGCTGATGCAATACTAGTATAATGTTGTGAGTGGGAACTTGCTTGCCTTTTTTCCAGTTCTTAGAAGAAAAATGTTTCTATAGAGTAGAAAGATATATAAGCAATGACATAGAGTCCATTTTGGCCCAAAAGGAGGAAATGTAGAACAAGTCTATCATCATCCATAAAAATCTTTCTCCATGTCCCCCAGCATGTCAAAATTACCCAAGTTTGTTTGCAGCCTACTGCAAAGAAACAAACAAACAAACAAAACAACCAAACAAACAACAAAAAAGCAGTGCATCATTTTTTTTTCTGAGAGAAACTTAGAAACATTTTATAGGTAAGCCTGAATTGTAACATTAGCAGCACCAGTAATAGTGTCATATTTACAATGAAATCCTTCCTGGATAGAACCCTCTACTAGACATTGAGTGCAGATACCAATCAAAAAGAGCACATGAAATCTCCATTCTTAGTATTTCCAGTATGTATATGTGGGGGTGCATCGCATACCTAAATTGTTCTGCAAAGAATATCCAGAAACTTAAGTTTATTTCCAAAACTGAATTGTGTCTTAATCCTTTAGACAATATCGGAGAAAGAAGCATATGTTCCTTGAAAGCCACAAAGCCTTTATCTAGGTCTCTGCCCAAATTTAAGGTCCAACATTCTGAAAATTACACTTGCCTATCTCTTTATCATAGTTTTCTTCCCTTGTTTCTTTAGTATCAATATAGTCACTATAAATACATTTCTGTGGTTGCCATATGAAAGTACCACAAACTGCGTTGAAGTTTGTTGACAGACACTTTGATTTTTGACTTCTGGACTCCAGAACTAGGAAAGAATTATTCTTTGTCTCTTCTAGCTCCTGGTATTTTACAGTAACTCTTGGCTTGTAGATGCATTACTCCAATTTCTGCCTCTGTTGTAATGTGGTCATTTCTCTCCTTGTGTGTTTTTGGGTCTGTCTCTCTTCTTCTCATAAGGACACCACTCATATGAGATTAAGAGCCAATCTTACTCCAATGCAACCCTATGCTTTTAACATACCTTTTATATTTTTTTTGGCAGACTCAGTTAAACACATAACAATATCTTTAAAAAACTGGACAGAAATAAAACACAGGATGTTATCATAGAGAACTACAAGAATATCATAGAGAACTACAAGAACTACAAGAATACAAGGCATAGAGCAGGCTATGGAATCAAGCTGCCTTCATTCACAAGTTAGCCTTGTTGCTTAACTGCAGTATTACCTTGGGTAAGTCACCCGTTTGCCTCATTGCCTCACCTTTAAAGGTGAAGATAACATTATCTATTATCGAATAACTGATAAATAACAGTCCTGTAGGACTATTGTGGATAAAATAAAATAGCAAATTTATATAAAATTGCACAGAGTAGTGTGTGGCATATAATAAATGTTATAGTGTTGTTTATTATTTAAGGGATTAAATTTAGAGAAACTCTTTACCTTTGATTTCTGCCCTCTGAAAAGTTACTTTTGTATACTTATAAACAATGGCAGTTAAAATCATATAAGCTGTTTATAGAACATATGTATTAATATATTAAATCAAAAATATAGATTTTCATTTGCCATCCTAAACTTTTTGCTAAATGAATTCAATATATTCATTTGGAACTTGTATCTTAGTGAAGTCTAAAGTGTAAAGTGTTAACAGTTAATAAAATATACATACTTCTCTGCAATCAAATATGTCACAACTATTTTCTTTTCCTATTTTTTTAATGAAGCAAAATTCACAAGTCTAAATATATCCAATTAAATGTAGATTTGTTGTTACAGTGTCAAGGAAAAGATAAACTTTATGTGTTTTTCTAAGGTCAACATATGAAATGTTTATGAAATTTTAGATTCAAAATAACACCTTCTATTTCCCATTAAGTGACAGATTGTCATATGGTAACACAATTGTCACTAGTCTACTTTACCTTAGAGTGGGTTGCTACTGGGAATTTGGAATTTGGCAGCAACAGAACATGTTGTTTAATATTCATGCTCTTTACCTTCCCACACTGAAATTTTATCTTTACATGACTCTAAATAATGGTAAATATTCAGTAAAAATGAAAAAGGATAGTGTGAAAGGAATTGCAATAATCCATTGATAGTCACAATGCTGTATTTTATCAGTGGTAATACATGACCCTAAATTTTGAAGGTGAGAGAAAAGTGCATATCTGTTTTTCTTCTTCAAGCTCTTACACTTTAAAATCTTTAGGAAGTGCTTTTCTAGATAACATAAAGAATGCCACTCATATCCTTCTGCTTTTATACAAAATTCAGTTCTGCATTTTATTAACACAGAAGTACAAAGTGAACTCCATACTTTATATATTTGCAAAGTCATTTTAAATTGTTAACTCTAAAACCCCTAATGCTTTGGTAGTGGTGATATTTATATACAGTGTGGCAATTGATTTAGTAGTTTTCAACTGAAAGTGTAGTGTTAGGATTGTAATTATGAAGGTATGAAATTATGCAATATCTAAGCTAAAGCCTGAAAATGCCAGAAAAATATCATAAAGGAATGTCTCACTTCTTTATTGTTTGTAAGTCTCAAAGAAAAATAAACTTTGGAAATCTGAAGAAAAAGGTAAATAGCTCATTCGTGAAAAAAAAAAGACTGTAAGATGTGAGTTAATGATTATGATCTAGGCAAACATTAAGGAAAATCTGAAGACAAAATATAAACCAGAAATCAAGAAATTCTGATGTACCTCCAAGCATTAAGAATCACCAAACTGTCCCCAGAAGCATGACAACTCTCTGAAATGCCATAAACCACCACAAAATTAAGCAACATATTCTTAGGAGGAACATCCAACTAAATCAACTCTGAGAATTGGGGAATTTCCATTCTGTTTTGCTATTACCTGTTATGCGTTACTTAGGGTAGCCCACCTGTTTGTAACAGATGCCTAATCCCATCACAGAGAATGGTGTGTTCTACAGTCATCTGCAATGGGACCAAGGGAACGAAACAGTGACCTGGCTTGTTAGAAGAGGATTATTGTTCATGGCAAATCATTGAAATAGGAAGGCAACTTTGATTTGTTCTCAGCGGCATATTTCAGAACATGACTAATACCATCCTGTCCATCTCCTTTGGTGATGTATGGACTCTGAATTTGGGTGCATCTTTTAAAGGTATGTGTTAACCAATCTTACTCTAATTCAATAGATATAGGGAATAGTGAAGCTATTTTGTGTGCCAGATCCAGAATTACTGGTGAAACACTCTGGCTGTGTTTGACATGAAGAAACAATATTCCACATAAGCTCATTCTGTTCATGGGAAAAATGCTTTCATGACTCTCTTCACTGTGTAAGATGCTTTTATGAAAATTACTAATATTGACTCACTAGAAAAGGATACAAAAAGCCATTTGCTTAAGCATTTTGGCAATGTGCCCATGAAACAATTTGAAGAATATTATTAAATCCTTCCATTTTACTTCTTATTGCATTACAATTCAAAAATATATACATGTGCTCCCTGCTGGTTTATCAAGAATATGTGTTTATAACCATTTTATAGACAGTTGTTTAAAAGTCTGAATAGAACACCTAGGGAGGGATTACAATTCAAAATATTTTGAACTTTTCTATTAAATTACCATGTGCCTTAAAATCGCCCTTAAAAGAGACAGGATGAATAGACCAAAGTAAACTATGTTAGGAAACATGAGGTATGGCATGTGATAGAATCCGTAATACAGCAGGGAGAGAAAAGAAAGATTACATGATAGAGTTACTGAAAGATCAAAAGGTTCTGAAGTTTCAAAGATTAACATTAAAAGGCCATGTGTCCAACAACAACAACAACAAATTATAAACACCTACTATAAGACTATAAATAGCCTAGAAACTGGGTGAAAACATATGCAAGCATCAGTTTCTCCTGACCTCCTAATGCTTGCAGTCTAGTTAGGAAGGTCAATGTAAACAGCTGTCTTTAAGAGAATTACACATTTTATTATGCATTGTTGCTGAGGAAATAAGAATTTGTTTTCAATATTATAAGTTCAGAAGATTTACTTACTGTGGAGCCATTTTTAAAAACAACTTTGATTTTATTTAATATGTTTCTTAAATACATAGGTATAATGGAAATGTAATAGAACTATTACATCCATGAGACTTTAGCCATCTACTGAAAAGGACAATTTTAAATATATCTTTATTTTTTAAAATCTCAGCATGACAACTTTTTATTGTGGTATACTTTTCCCATCAGCAACTGTGCCTGACACACAGTAGATACTGTGTGTACTACTTGTTGAATGAATTTGTAATTTTCATATTCCAGAAAATAAAAGTGATAGCAAAAATAAAAGTGATGGCAAATAAAATTATAATAGTATTGATAGCAACGGGAGCCAGCCAAATGCCTATGCAGATGGGGTGGGTACCCGGTGAAGCCCCACCTCCAATCCGAAGACAATTTAAAGCCTGAAAGCCAAGCTACAAGTTAAATCCTTGGACTGGATTGAGAACTTGTCTTCCTATTTGGTACACTTTCCTCTGATAGATCCCTACCCTTCCCCTGTTTTACATATACCTACCCTTTTCTAATTGTTTTTCTACACTGTCATGCCCACCTTTGAGTGTTGTCTTTGCTTCAACCTTTTTTGCATACTCACAAACCTATCAGCACGTACTCTCCATCTTGTGCCTATAAAGTCCCCACACTCAGTTGATAGAGGGGGAGATGGAGATGGCCTAACTTCAGGGAAGACAACCTGCCCTTCCCATCCCCTCCCCAGCTCCCCTCTCTGCTGAGAGCTGTTTTCATTGCTCATTAAAATTCTCCACCTTCACCATCGTTCAACCGTCCACGTGAGCTCATTCTTCTTGGAGGCCAGACAAGGGCTCAGGACCCTCTGAGTGTGGGTACCCAGAAAGGCTGTCACACCAGCCCTTTGCCCTCGCTGGCAGAGGGCAGCTAGCCCACATCATGAGGCAAGGGGCCAACCAAGCTGCTAACACACCACTGTGTGTGGACAGTGGAACTAAAGGAGCACTGTAATACCCCCTCTCAGGCTTTGGGATCATGGGCACCCTCATATGGGTGCTGCTGTGTTGCCCTCAAGGTGACATGCCTGGTCTGGCCGTGGGCCACACAGGAACACTCACATGCTTCCTCCCACAAGGGGTTGAGCATGGTGGGTGTAGATGGGGTGCCTCTGCCATGAGTCTGGCGAAGGGGCCAAGAAAAATCCTGCATCAGTATCATTTACTTTTATCATGTCAAAAATCTAATTGTTACCTAATAATTTTGCTCTTACAGACCATTTCCCCCTAAGTCTATTTGAAGGCCAAGTTTCAAGACAGTTAAACACCACATGTTCTCACTAATTCGTGGAAGCTAAAAAATGTTGATTTCATAGATATAAAAAGTCCATCTATGGGAGGATTACAGAGGTTAGGAAGGGTAGGAAGAAGTGGGGACATCAGAAAAAAATTGTTAAAGGATACAAAATTGCAGCTAGTTAGGAGGAATAAATTCTGGTGTTCTACAGCACTGTAGGATGACTATAATTAACAAAAGTATATTATGTAGTTCCAAATAGCCAGAGCAGGATATTGGATGTTCCCAACACAAATAATTATAAATGTCTGAGATGATGGATATGCTAAGTAACCTCTGATCACACTGCACATTATATGTATCAAAACATCACTATGTACCCCATGAATATGTATAACTATTTATTTGTAAATTTCAAAAGATAAAATTTCAAAAGGTGAAATTAAGCTTTCATTTAGCTTTGAAGGTCTCTCTCTTTCTCTCACTCCTGCCAGCTCCTTCACCTAACTGATCTGTTTACCCCAGCACAAGAACAGCAAAATAAAGGGAAGTCGATGGCTAATACAGTAATTCTGTGCTGCTACTTAGGTTACAAGTGAATAACAAGAGACATTTCTACAAGTCAAATGTGAAAACCATCTATAAAGCTGACTTGATTGTGGTAGCTTGCTTTTTGATCTATAGCCTGACATGGGTATAATGTAACAAATTAGGAGGTTAACAGGAACCTAAACTAATAATCCCAGATATTGGTTGATTTAAGCATCCTTAACAATAAAAGTTAAAAATATATGCTGCTACTGCATATTTTTAAAAATTTAGTGGGCCATTATTTTCAAAAGCTCAAAGATCATGAATTTAGAGAGGAGAAAATTCAGAGAGGTTAAGTGAATCTGTGAATTCAAATAGTTAATTAGCAGAAGAATTAGTTTTGGATTTAAATCTCCTAATATGACAACAGTGATCCTTGAATCATTAGATTTCAAAGTGGAAGCCAGTGATATTAAATGGCAAAAGCTACACTCCAGGAAATGCATTTGCTTTGAATAGGCTAAAGGAAAAACATTACTCATGAACATTCATTTGAATGTAAGTATCCACAGCAGCAAAAGTTACTTTAGGTTCCCAGGAAACAGGAAAGGGAATACAATTAAACATTTTCTGAGTCTACATGTGAAATTCTCCTTTCTTGCTGTTTGTACCCATCCTGTGACCAGATATATTGAAGTATTTACATTGCCACAGCTGGACTCCTTTTGGAAGCACATGAGCTTTCCGGTCAAGATTTCTCAGAGACTTACTGTAACCTTGTAACCTCATCTGGTCTTACCAATGAGTTTAATTTTGTGTTGTGGTTCTTCAGGCTGCTCTTCTTTCAAGCTGCTATTAACATTGTCTAGGGACTTAAAAAATAAGATGTTTATTTATTAGCATCATTATTTTTCAACTAATACACAGAATGTTCTTTTATCTGTTAGCTCTTTAGAATAAAAGAGCACAAAGTGCCCCCAAAGAAAATTTAGCTTGCTTTGGATGAAGCATAGTATTTTGAAATTGTCAGAGACATTCGAAAACATGGGATAGAAGGAAGATTGACGTAAGAGAATGGCAATGCTCTAAATAAAATATGAGTAAGTTAATTCACGCTGGCATACGTGCATAACTCTGAGATCTTGTGGCACAGTTTCAGGTTCCGGACCATCACGGTAAAGCAAGTATTGGAACAGAGCAAGTCACGCAAATTTTTTGTCTTCTCGATGCATATAAAAGTTATGTTTGCACTATACTGTAGTCATTAAGTGTACAATAGCATTATGTCTGGAAAAAGCAATATATGTATGTGTGTGTGTATATATATATATATATATATACCATAATTAAAAATATTTTATTGCTAAAGAAATGGTAACAATTATTTGAGTATTCATTGAGTCCTCAGCTTTTTATCTGGTGGAGGGTCTAGCCTCGAGATGGATGAGTGCTGACTGATCAGGGTTGTGGTTACTGAACTTTGGGGTGGCTGTAGCAATTTTAAAAAATAAGACAACAATGAAGTTTGCCACATTGATTAACTCTTCCTTTCACAAATGATTTCTCTGTAGCATGAAACACTGATAGCATTTTATCCGCAGTAGAATGCCTTTCAAACCATCATTCTCAGCAAACTATCGCAAGGACAAAAAAATCAAACACTGCATGTTCTCACTCATAGGTGGGAATTGAACAATGAGAACACTAGGACACAGGAAGGGGAACATCACACATCGGGGCCTGTCATGCAGTGGGGGGAGAGGGGAGGGATAGCATTAGGAGATATACCTAATGTAAATGACGATTTAATGGGTGCAGCACACCAACATGGCACATGTATACATATGTAACAAATCCGCACATTGTGCACATGTGCACTAGAACTTAAAGTATAATAAAAAAAAATTGAAAGCAATGCCCTCAAACCTTGCCTTTGTTTTATCAATTAAGTTTATATAATATACAAAATTATTTTTTGTCATTTCAACAATGTTCACAGCAACTTCACCAGGAGTAGTTCCTATATCAAAAAAACACTTTCTTTGCTCATTCATAAGAATCAACTATTTGACAATTAAAACTTTTTATATTTTATTATAATATTTTTATATATTTATATTTTATGAGAATGCAGCAATTCACAAATTCAGGATCCACTTGTAATTTTAGTTTATCTTGCTATTTCCACCAAATCCACAGTAACTTCCACCACTGAAATCTTGAATCTGTTCTTCCAAACTCCTGCTAATGTGGATATTTCACCTCTTCTCATAAATCATAGATTTTTTTAATAGCATCTAGAATGGTGAATCCTTTCCAGAAGGTTTTCAATTTACTTTGCCCAGATCCATGAGAAGAATCACTACCCATGGCAGCTATAGCTTTATGAAAGATTTCTTAAATAATAAGACCTAAAAGTCAAAATTACTTCTTGATCCATGGGCTGCAGAAGATATGTTGTGGTAGCCAACATGAAAACAACATTAGTCTCATTGTATACCTCCATCAGAGCTCTTGGGTGACCATGTGCATTGTCAATGAGCAGTAATACTTTGAAAGGAATCTTTTTTTTTTTTCTGAGCTTAAAATCAGTGGGCTTAAAATCTTCAGTAAGCCAGGCTGCACTCAGATGTTCTGTCATCCAGGCTTTCGTGTTCCATCTATAGACCACAGGCAGAGTAGATTTAGCGTAATTTTTAAGAGTCCTAGGATTTTTGGAATGGTAAATGAATATTGGCTTCAACTTAAAGCCAATTAAGCCACCAGCTGCATCAGTTCCTAACAAGAGTCAGTTGGCTCTTTGAAGCTTTGATGCCGGGCATTCACTTCTCTCTAGCTATGGAAGTCCTATATGCCATCTTCTTCCAACATGAGGCTATTTCATCTTCTTTGAAAATTTGTTCTTTAGTGTAATGACTTTCATCCATTATCTCAGCTAAAACTTCTGAATATCTTGCTGAAGCTTCTACATCAGCCTTGGCTACTTCACCTTATACTTTCCTGTTATGAAGATCACTTCTTTCCTTAAATGTCATGAGCCAACCTCTCCTCAGTTCCAACTTTTCTTCTGCAGCTTACTACCTCTCATAGCCTTCACATAGTTGAAGAGAGTTATTTGTGGCTGGTTTGTTCTTTTGTTCAGACCACTCAAACCTTTTTCAAATCAGCAATAAGACTGTTTCACTTTCCTATCATTGGTGTGTTTACTGGAGCAGCATTTTTAATTTCCTTCAAGAACTTTTCCATTGCATTCACAATTTGGCTAACTGGTTGGTGCAAGAGCTCTAGCTTTCAACCTATATTATCTTTCAACATACCTTAATCACTAAACTTAATCATGTCTAGTTTTTTATTTAAAGTGAAAGATGTGCAACTCTTCCTTTTACTTGAACACTTAAAGATTGTTGTAGAGTTACTAATTGGCCTAATTTCAATATTATTTTGTCTCAGGAAACAGGGAGGCCTGAAGAGAAGGAGAGAGATGGAGGACCAGCAAGTTGTTAGAGCAGTCAGAACACACTCATTTATAAATTATGTTCGCCATCTTGTGTGAGTGCAGATCATGGCGCCTGAAAACATTATAATACTAATATTAAAGTCACTGATCACAGATCACCATAACAAATAAAAGGATAATAAAGAGTTTGAAATATTGCAGCAATTTCCAAAATGTAACACAAAGACATGAAATAAGCACATGTTGTTGGAAAAATGGTGCCCATAAACTTGCTCAATGAAAGGTTGCCACAAACCTTCAACTGCGTAAAGCACAATACAGTGAGGGGTAATAAAACTAGGTATGTCTGTAATTGCAATTTTGTTAACTGCATCCTAATAGGTATAACTTTAAAATTTTATAGAAATCATCAGTGTGTGTGTGTGTGTGTGTGTGTGTGCCTGCTTGTGCCTGTCCACTACTGTTTTGGTCCTTCCCATCCGGTCAAGAGAACCTCCTGCTATGGCCCCCACACCCAGGGTCAGTAACAACCTTGTTCAGGAAGCCAATTCTCAATACACGAGTGATATTAGAAGTTAATTTCCTGCCTTTCTTCTGATACTGAATGTACACAAAAGTGCCCCAAAAGTTCTTATACAATATAAATGTCACTTTCCGTCCTTCTCTTCTTCAAACCTTCTGACCGGTGTGGTTCCTTCCTGGTTATATCCAGCCCTCCTGTTCTCCAAAAAGTTCTATTGTTAAGTCACAGCCTCCTTGACCTGGAGCCCAAACAATTGACTGTATTTTTGAAAACTTTTAATTTAAAGGAGTAGATCTTTTCCTGTTACCCATAACCACTGACTAGAATCCACCTATGAATTGTCTATGGCCAGATTACAGTATAATGCCATAGATTGCCTGTCTTTAACTGATAACCAATATAATCATCTGTTTCTCACCTATTGTGTAGAAAATTCTATATTAGCCTTTGGCTTTCACTGTAGCAGGGAGTACATGGACAATTTTTCTCCTCTTTGTCTCCATGCAAATAGCGTTCAGAAGTTACTTTGTTTAGTAAAAATTAGAATTACAGGAATTAAGTGTTTTAAAAGACATACGTTAATTATATACATGTTTTGAAACAGAGTTAGGCCTGCTGCCACTCAGAGCAGTCAGTTATATCTTTTTGCAAATACCACTTATCTCTTGAAGATATTTCGCATTTTAATTTTACATTTTAAGATTCATTTTATACTTTATATCTAAATGAACATTCTATGGCTAGTATTACTATTCCATTGCAATACATTCAAATCATCCTTGTGAGAAGTTGTACATGGTGATGATGATGTAACCCAAATATTCCAGCAGACCTAAGGATATGATGACAACCGCAATCCATGGTATGTGATTCCCCGAACTTGAGGTTTTTAACGAGGTGCCCAGTGGCAAAAGAAACCTCCAGATCAGAGTGAGGATCTTATCAGTTCTTTTGAAACATCTCTATTTGTCATTCTCTTGGGACTTACTCAATATTGACGGATACACCAGTCAATTTTCTGCTTTCTTATCAAGACAAATAACTTATCAGGGCTCTAGTAACCTTAGAGCATTTCTGAGTCCTTACTATAAAACAGAGAAATTTACCAGGCATACCATCTCCTTAGCAAGCCCATGATTCAGGCTTCAGGTATATGATACCTTGATAATAGCACGTTTAGAAACTTTTTATGGAAGTACAACACGCAGAGAATGAAAGTAGACAGATCCTAATAAATGTAATATCAATTAACTATGATGAAGTGGACACATCTTTGTAAACAGCACATAAATAGAGAAATGGAATTTTATCAGAATCTCAGAAATGTCCCTCTGTCCCTTCCTATTTACTACCCTCAAGGACAAACTATCCTGAGATCTAAATAATTAAATTATTTTGCTTGTTTTGAACCGTTTATCATTTGAATTATATAGAATGTGCTCTTCTGTATGTCCCTCCCACCGCTCTCTTTTTTTGTTGTTGTTTTAATGTGAATGGTTGTGAGATCCATTCATGTACTTTTGTGCAGTAATAGTTTGTTAATTCTCCATGCTTTAGTATTGCATCACAGAAAGAAGACACACTTTATTCAATCATTCTAATGCTTATAGAAATTTGTTTAGTTTCTACTTTTTGACTTTAATAAAAGATTCTGCAATGACCATCATGATGCATGTCTTTTAGAAAGGTACATAGGCATCCAACAGAGTTTATTGTATCCTATAATTATGTTTAACTTTAATAGAGAAGGCAAAGTCTTTGTACTATTAAATCTACACTCCTTCCAGTGCTTAAGAGTCCTTGGTTTTCCACATCCTTACCTCATCGTGGTGTTGTCTGTCATTTGTATTCATGGAAACATATTGTGGTTTTAATTGATATTTTCCTAATGACTAACAATTTTAAGCAACTTTCCATATTTTTCTAGACAATTTAGAATAATCTTCTAGGCAGTGCTTCTTCCAGTATTTGTTCATTGTCTATTGCTTTGACTTGCTTTGACTTCCATTTTATTATTGATTTGTAGATTTTACACTCACACACACAGACACACACAAACACAGAGGAAATGATTATTATGCCAGGCACATATTTTCTGAATATTTTATTTGATTCTTTATTTTTCACTCTATTACTGCATTTTGCTGAGCAAAAAACCTTAATTTTAGTGTCAAATTTATTAATTTGTTATTTATGGCCAAAGCTTCATGTTTAGTATTTTTGTTGCCTCTGCTAGGAAAATGATAATATGCTCCCACTTTTTAAAAAGCTTTATTGTTTGTTGATCACATTTAGATATACAAAGTATCAAGAAATTATGTGTTTATGATGTAAGGTTAAAAAAATTCTGATAAAAATATCCAATTGACTTAGAATATCTTGAAAAGGTCATTATTTCCCCCATCGTTCTGCAGCCTTACTTTGTTTTATATCAGGTAAGCATGCATATATGGTCATTTCTGGACTCACTATTTTGTTTTAATGTCTTTGTAACAGTCATGTGTTGTCTCCATATAGATCTTAAAAACTCTGTCTCTGAGACCCAGCGTAATTCTTAACTTTTGTCCCTCTTTGAGATTTATGTGGCCATTCTTGCCCCTTTTCACCGAAACATAAATTTACAAAATTTTGTCAATTTCTCTTTAAAGATGTTATATTTTTAATATTAGAAGAGTTCAATTTATTAAACCAGTAATTATATTTCTTTCTATTGATATATCCTGATAAATTATATCAGTTGAACTTTTTTCTTTTTCTTTTTCTTTCTTTTATTAATTATACTTTAAGTTCTAGGGTACATGTGCACAACGTGCAGGTTTGTTACGTATGTATACATGTGCCATATTGGTGTGCTGCACCCATTAACTCGTCATTTACATTAGGTACATCTCCTAATACTGGTCCCTCCCCCCTCCCACCCCCACAACAGGCCCCGGTGTGTGATGTTCCCCACCCTGTGACCAAGCGTTCTCATTGTTCAATTCCCACCTATGAGTGAGGACATGCGGTGTTTGGTTTTTTGTCCTTGCGATAGTTTGCTCAGAATGATGGTTTCCAGTTTCATCCATGTCCCTACAAAGGACATGAACTCATCCTTTTTTATGGCTGCATAGTATTCCATGGTGTATATGTGCCACATTTTCTTAATCCAGTCTATCATTGATGGACATTTGGGTTGGTTCCAAGTCTTTGCTATTGTGAATAGTGCTGCAATAAACATACGTGTGCATGTGTCTTTATAGTAGCATGACTTATAATCCTTTGGGTATATACCCATTAATGGGATCACTGGGTCAGATGGTGTTTCTACTTCTAGATCCTTGAGGAATCGCCACACTGTCTTCCACAATGGTTGAACTAGTTTACACTCCCACCAACAGTGTAAAAGCATTCCTGTTTCTCCACATCCTCTCCACACCTGTTGTTTCCTGACTTTTTAATGATCGCCATTCTAACTGGTGTGAGATGGTATCTTACTGTGGTTTTGATTTGCATTTCTCTGATGGCCAGTGATGATGAGCATTTTTTCATATGTCTGTTGGCTGCATAAATATCTTCTTTTGAGAAGTGTCTGTTCATATCCCTCACCCACTTTTTGATGGGGTTGTTTGATTTTTTCTTATAAATTTGTTTAAGTTCTTTGTAGATTCTGGATATTAGCCCTTTGTCAAATGGCTAGATTGCAAAAATTTTCTCCCATTCTGTAGGTTGCTTGTTCACTCTGATAGTAGTTTCTTTTGCTCTGCAGAAGCTCTTTAGTTTAATTAGATCCCATCTGTCAATTTTGGCTTTTGTTGCTGTTGCTTTTGGTGTTTTAGTCATGAAGTCCTTGCCCATGCATGCGTATGTCCTGAATGGTACTGCATAGGTTTGCTTCTAGGGTTTGTATGGTTTTAGGTCTCACATTTAAGTCTTTAATCCATCTTGAATTAATTTTTGTATAAGGTGTAAGGAAGGGATCCAGTTTCAGCTTTCTACATATGGCTAGCCAGTTTTCCCAGCACCATTTATTATATAGGGAATCCTTTCCCCATTTCTTGTTTCTGCCAGATTTGTCAAAGATCAGATGGTTGTAGATGTGTGGTATTATTTCTGAGGGCTCTGTTCTGTTCCACTGGTCTATATCTCTGTTTTGGTACCAGTACCATACTGTTTTGGTTACTATAGCCTGTAGAATAGTTTGAAGTCAGGTAGCATGATGTCTCCAGCTGTGTTCTTTTGGCTTTGGATTGTCTTGGCAATGAGGGCTCTTTTTTGTTTCCATATGAACTTTAAAGTAGTTTTTTCCAATTCTGTGAAGAAAGTCATAGGTTAGCTTGATGGGAATGGCATTGAATCTATAGATTACCTTGGGCAGTATCTATAAATTACCTTAGGCCATTTTCACGATATTGGTTCTTCCTATCCATGAGTATGGAATGTTCTTCCATTTGTTTATTTCGTTGAGCAGTGGTTTGTAGTTCTCCTTGAAGAGATCCTTCACATGCCTTGTAAGTTGGATTCCTAGGTATTTTATTCTCTTTGAAGCAGTTGTGAATGGGAGTTCACTCATGATTTGGCTCTCTGTTAGTCTGTTATTGGTGTACAGGAATGCTTGTGATTTTTGCACATTGACTTTGTATCCTGAGACTTTGCTGAAGTTCCTTATCAGCTTAAGGAGATTTTGGGCTGAGACAATAGCATTTTCTAAATATACAATCATGTCATCTGCAAACAGGGACAATTTGACTTCCTCTTTTCCTAATTGAATACCCTTTATTTCTTTCTCCTGCCTGACTGCCCTGGCCAGAGCTTCCAACACTATGTTGAATAGGAGTGGTGAGAGAGGGCATTCCTGTCTTGTACCAGTTTTCAAAGGGAATGCTTCCAGTTTTTGCCCATTCAGTAGGACATTGGCTGTGGGTCTGTCATAAATAGCTCTTATTATTTTGAGATGCATCCCATCAATACCTACTTTATTTAGAGTTTTTAGCATGAAGGGCTGTTGAATTTTGTCAAAGGCCTTTTCTGCATCTATTGAGATAATCATATGGTTTTTGTCTTTCGTTCTGTTTATATGATGGATTACCTTTTTTGATTTGCGTATGATGAAATAGCCTTGCATCCCGGGGATGAAGCCAACTTGATCGTGGTGGATAAGTTTTTTGATGTGCTGCTGGATTTGGTTTGCCAGTATTTTATGGAGGATCTTTGCATCGATGTTCATCAGGGATATTGGTCTAAAATTCTCTTTTTTTGTGTCTCTGCCAGGCTTTGGTATCAGGATGATGCTGGCCTCATAAAATGAGTTAGGGAGGATTCCCTATTTCTCTATTGATTGGAATAGTTTCAGAAAGAATGGTACCAGCTTCTCTTTGTACCTCTGGTAGAATTCAGCTGAGAATCCATCTGGTCCTGGACTTTGGTTGGTTGGTAGGCTATTAATTATTGCCTCAATTTCAGAGCCTGTTATTGGTCTATTTAGGGATTCAACTTCTTCCTGGTTTAGTCTTAGGAAGTGGGTATGTGTCCAGGAATTTCTACATTTCTTCTAGATTTTCTAGTTTATTTGCGTAAAGGTGTTTATAGTATTCTCTGATGGTAGTTTGTATTTCTGTGGGATCGGTGGGGATATCCCCTTTATAATTTTTTATTGCATCTATTTGATTCTTCTCTCTTTTCTTCTTTATTAGTCTTGCTAGTCGTCTATCAATTTTGTTGATCTTTTCAAAAAACCAGCTCCTGGTTTCATTGATTTTCTGAAGTTTTTTTTTTTGTGTGTGTGTGTGTCTCTATCTCCTTCAGTTCTGCTCTGATCTTAGTTATTTCTTGCCTTCTGCTAGCTTTTGAATGTGTTTGCTCTTGCTTCTCTAGTTCTTTTAATTGTGATGTTAGGTGTTGATTTTAGATCTTTCCTGCTTTCTCTTGTGGGTATTTAGTGCTATAAATTTCCCTCTACACACTGCTTTATTTTAAATGGCTTTAAATATACATCTTTCTGGCTAGGTAGTAAAAAATAATTTTTCCCAGGATATGCATGCCAGTTAAAGAAAGTTTCCATCTTATCTAAAATTCTGTAAGACTGATGGTGGTTGAAATGTAAGAGAAAAGCATGTGTGTGTTTTATCTGTTTGTATATGTGTGTGTACATGTATAATATAGATAGACTATACACTTAAGTACATGTAAGCCTAATATATTCAATATGAATATTAGGACTTAGTTATCACTTCTCTTAGTTCAATGACTTGATTTATTAACAGTGTTTTTTTTGGGCTCCTTGTTTGATGATTGATGAAATTACTAATCCTAAGAAACAAAGAATAAATAAGACCACAATTCATCACTTTTCTAATTTTTGTAAGAGCATTTTGATTCCCTATTTTCTATTTATATAATTAAGGCAGTAACTGTTAGTTGAATAAATGGCTACAAAGAACAATAATAAGATAATAGAAGACTTATAAGGCTGTCAGAGTATTAAAGAAAATAAGGTAGCTAAAGCTCAGAATCTAACAAAATATTGCCATTAAATAAATATTAATCACATCTCTTTGAAAATCAATCAGCCATCTGGTAGACCTATACAGGCTGTATATTATTTCATGTCATTATGATAGCAAAAGCATATATGTATTTTTCATTTCTAAAGAAGGAAAATATTATTTTTGAAAAATGAAATGTCACGACTAAGGCTACTAATTTTAACAGAGTAATAAAATAGTCTCTCATTACTTGGATAGTTAAACCAAACTCTTGATAGAGTTTTGTCCAGATATAGAATTGTTTTATTATTTTAAGAGAGACAAAATAGCTGTATATTTGAAATAGAAACACAAAAACAGAATAAAACACAAACAAGAAAATTTTCAAAACAAGAAAATTTTAAAAAATAATTTGAATATTACAACTTTTTTTAAGTTCAATTTAATGACCCACATAGCTCACTACATAAGCATAAAATGCAATACAGAGGTTGTTATGCTTTAAATACATAGAGGTTGTTAATATGTATGGAGTTTATATCAATGATCCTTCTAAGCAGTGTGTTGCTTCTTGGAGCTCATATATACGTAAAAAGAACTTAAAAGTTAGCTTTGTATTCATGTGTTGTAGTTGGAACCTGAAGTACTTATTATTAAACCTTTATAGTCTTACGTACTTACATTTTTTTCATTATTATTTTACTTAAAGAGTATAATTACTTAAGGAAAGAATTATTTCCTTTTCCTTACTTACTAATAAACATGTCAAACTTCTAAATTTTTTTCCTGTAAGTCAAGTCAAAAACAGTAGGAAAAGGGCAATAGTGTGTTAATTCATGTACATATGCCAACCACAGAGAAACCTGGCTTGAAACATTTTATAACACATTTAAGTGCTTGTACATTACTGGTTATAACTGACCCCCAAATCACGCCTGGTAAACAGCCAAATAATCACCTTTTAAAAACCTGAGTCTATTGTTTGGTAGAGTCAAGACCACAGATTTTGAAATTTGTCTTAGCTGAGCAGAAATATTAATGTTCTTGCTTACTTATTGCATAATATACTGTAAGTTTCTTCATCTCTCTTATTTACTTTCTCTACAATATAGGAATGATATTCCAAATCATCTAGTTGTTTTAAGAATGGCAGAAAATCATTAATGCACACCATTTAGCACAGTGACAGGGTTTTGGCAAAGTAGGTAGTCAATAAACATTCAATCCATTGCTTTTATCTGTTCATTTATAGTTGAATCAAAAAATAGCTTCCAAACCAGGAGCTCCATAGCATACATTATGACCCTAAATATTACCTGACCTTAAATGGAAACAGATAATATTGCTAATAAAATATTGTTATAGATTATATTGGAAAAGTCTTGTAAGTAAACTGTTTGTATTCATCATACACAAGATAACTTTTAGTTTGTATGTTTGTTACAGCACATTGTTTAGTAGAAAAATCCATTGTTCTGACAACATATCAGGACTTGATACTCTTTTTAATCTACCTATCCCTTTTTTTCCAAGCTTTGCTATTATCCCCAAATGGTTAAATGTCCAGAAATTATTAGTCTAATAACCCATGGGTATACTATGAATATTGAACACATTTCTGAATCAATTATATTTTTCAACTATAATTAGATGAGTTGTTTGGGAAAAAAAAGTATGTCCTGAACAATCATAATGTCTATTTACGGTAGTTAAATAATAGGAAACATTGAGTCAAATCTATCTCAGTGTAGAATTTTTCCACAGTGTCACTTATTATGCATCTCACCAAGCCTGAGTCATATTAAGTGATTCAAATGTATTTGCACATTCTTACAGAATAGAGTGACTTGGTTATTTGACTGCTTTATGATTTCTTCTTCATAAAATAATAAGAGGCGGAATAAGACAACATGTTTTTAAAAGGAAAAAATATTGGCAAAATGGAATTATCTCTGTACCATTGAGTTTTGGGAACAATAAAGAGAAGCAAGATCATTGGCATTATTGTTGAGTAGGCTCCTATGCATGCATTGCAGGGAATAAAGATCTGTTGGTATCTGTACTATGTAGAATTCAAGAGAAAAAACAGTGGTAATACCAGTTCTAATAGCCTAGTTAAAAGACACTTTGAGGCCGGGTGCGGTGGCTCACGCCTGTAATCCCAGCACTTTAGGGGGCTGAATCGAGTGGATCACCTGAGGTCAGGAGTTCAAGACCAGACTGGCCAACAGGGTGAAACCCGGTCTTTATTAAAAACACAAAAGTTAGCCAGGCGTGGGCGTGCCTGTAATCCCAGCTGCTACGGGAGGCTGAGGCAGGAGAATCGCTTGAACCTGGGAGACAAAGGTTGCACTGAGCCGAGATTATGCCACTATACTACAGCCTGGGCAACAAGAGTGAAACTCTGTCTCAAAAAAAGAAAAAAAAAAAAAAAGACACTTTGAAATATTGTCTCTCAGCTCTCAGAAGTACAGCAGAAGCTTCAAGTTCGTTACTGATAACCTGAGATTTATAAACCTGGATGTCATCAGTTTCAGCCTGTTCTGCTATAAACCTCATGATTTTCACGTGGTAAATTTAGAATCACATTGTGATCCAAAGGAAATAAAGTAATTTTAGTAATGGAGAAAATTAACAGGGGTTAGGCCAATCCAAATTTCATCTAAAATGTGTCTCGTATAGGCACGCATAGCTTTGGTAGGACCTTAATACATGTTTGTCAATATATTACAAATAACTTTGACGTTTGAGAAATCATTTGTTTCTTTACAAATATCAAGTTAATTATCAAATGTTGTCATAGTATATACAGATTCATAGTTAATAGATTTCTGTTTACATACATCTATATCATAAATGTGGATGATAGAATATTTTCTTGTCTGCGCTAAAACTACCATCATGATTAAATTGCTATTATAGAATGGTACTCTAAATATAGACATTAGTTTTAGTCTAATTTTTGCTGAATTCTGAAGAATTGAATGGCGAGATTTCCTTGTTCAGTTTTTTCTTCACAAGTGAAACTGGAAATTGTCCAATAACATGACAATATATTCTTACATTAAATATTTTCATCTGAAACATACCTTAGCTCTTTTTTGCATTGTTAGAATATAATATTAGAAAGTGTTGTATAACAGAATTACATATGGTACCAGAATTAAATACAAAAGTAATTCTAGCTAATAAAATCTTTTATTATAGATTTCCTTATTGTTCCCTTAACCAAAATAAATAAATAAATAGTTCTTTATGTCTAACACTTTCAGGATGCTGAAATCTAGAAAATATATGATAATAATTGAATTATTTATTTGTATATGTTCAAACTGTTATTGCTTGAATAGGTATATATGTATATAATATTTCTGTATTAATTCATGACAAATTTACAATATAATATATATTATGATCGTTTCACATAGCATATTTGTCTGTGCAATTCTTTAATTACCAGGAAGATGATTTATAAGTGATGTCCAGTAACTATTTAGGAAACAGTAGGAACAAATTTATCATCCTAGGTCACAAATGATGCTAAGAAACATGAAAGAAAATATCACATTTATAAGGGAAATCAGATATTATAAGGAAATACATGAAATGATGTATTTAACACAACAAGAATAACCATTTAATCAATAGGCATACATGAAGCACTTACTTTGTGTAGTGCATAGCTACAATAAAATTCTGGGCTATGAGGATTAGAAGATGAAGTTAGTAGAAAAAAATGTGTAAAGCAAACTATTTATGTGTGAAGCAGCATTCTGCATAATACCATGATACGCTGCTTATTGACATGTTGAACTGTGAAATACTAATTTGGCATGATGGACATGTTGTTTTTGTTTAAACTTTCAGTAAATAGCTTGAATATTTATGTTAATTATGTATATCAAACCTTATATAAAATTAAAATTTTTATTAAGAATTTATTATTTCATTTATTAAGAATTTATAAAGTATTTCAGAAATTTAGGATGCATAAAGAAGAATGCTGCTTCAAAAATATAAATCTTAAAAAGTACTTATGCTTTTAATTGTTCCTACATAACTTTAGATTTACTTCTATTTATAAAATAAAATAATACAAATAATTGGGAAATTAGATGGCATTTAGAAAACAATATTTGATGTGTCCTACATTTTGTACATCATTATGTTAAGTAGGAAAGCAATAAAACAAATTTTTAAGTAGAAATATTTTCTACTGACATTAATATATTAAAATACATTTTAGAATATATTTTGCAATATATTTATTTTAATTATATGATTGTATAATTATATGTTTTAACATGTCAATTATCTTTAATATATATGCCATATTAAATATAATGTACAGGATATATATGTCTAGATATCATTTAATACAGTGTGCATTATATACACATGTGCTCACACACATTAAGTTATTTCTCAGAGCACTCAAAAAGTTTTATGGTAACATAACATTTGTTCACGGAAATAAGCTGTGTTACATCCAGAAGAGTTCCTGAATAAGAATCTGAGTGCAAGTGTATTTTTTTTTTTTTGGTGAGGGAGATGATCCTGAGAAATATTGGAGAGGAGTGAAAAAATAAGACAGGAAAGAAAAGAAAATCTTTAGAAGTTGTAATGCTAAGAAAGTTCTCTCTATGGACAACTAGAGTTCATGACCTTTAGGCACCTGTGGGAGACAGTGTGGAACATTGATTAGTTATACTTGAGGGCCACGGAAATAAGAGTATTTGTACTTCTATTCACTTATTTGTTGAGAGCAGCAACTGAGGGTGCTTGCTCCTAGGACTTGTGATCTACCCAGCCTGTGAACCTAGAAGTGGAGCCCTGCAGGGAAGGTGCTTGCTGTAGGACACTATCTACAGGCACAAGAATAACAGTGAATGCCACTGTTATTCTGGAGAGGCGATCAGGGTGTACAACGAATGGCAATAACAGTGTGGTAGAAAGAAGTCTAAAATGGCCACCAAAATTCCTACCCTTTGGTATAGATGCCTTGTATAATCCCCATTAGAAATTTGTAAGTATGATAAATCTCACTCCTTGGTTGTGTGACATGATACGGAAAAAGGGATTTCACATGTGTCATTTTTATGACAAATCGGTTATTTTGGAGTAAATCAAAAGAGACATTATCTGGGTACATCTGATTTAATCAGGTGGGATCTCTTAAAAATCATGATAAATAATTATTGAGATTTTTCTCTTGCTTACTTTGAAGGAAATGGAAGCTGCCATGGTTCTTATAGCATAAGGAACTGAATTCTGCTACCTACCTGAATGAGTTCATGTGAGACTGCAGTCTTGGCTAACACCCTGATTTAAGCCTTTTGAGAGCTTCAGCAGAGAATCCAGTTATGCTGTGCCTGGATTTCTGACCTACAGAAACTGTGAGAAAATAAATTGGCATTATTTTACTTTCTACCTTTATGATAATTTGTAATGTAGCAATAGAACACTAATACACATGGATATATTAAGAAATATACATTAAAAGCTTAGATTTTTGTTTTAAAAAAATCACAGGCTTTGCCATTTATTTCTGGTTTCACTAGCTGAGACTGATTGAATCATCCCATTCACTAAATCTTAATATCCATTTCACTTGTAGTGTTTATTTTACTGAAGACATGTGCACATCCTTGCCCAATCCTGGAGGTTTCCCAAGATTACCTATTAAGCACTCCATCATTTCTCCATGGTGAGAGCAGTTCTGTCTCTTCGTTATAATACTAGTGTTGCTGTTTTGCTTTGTGTATTAGTCTGCTTAAGCTGCCGTAACAAGATACCACAGATGACTGGCTTAAACAAGAAACATTTATTTTCTCACAGTTCTGGAGGCCAGAAGTCCAAGGCCAAGTTGCTGGGAGGGCTTGTTTCTGATGAAGCCTCTCTTCTCAGCTTGCAACAGCCACCATCTGGCTGTTGTTCCACACAGCCTTTCCTCTGTGCAAAGACAGAGAGGAGTCTTGTGAGTTCCTCTTTTTACAGGACAGATTAGGGCCCACTTTTAAAATTTCATTTATCCTTAATAATCTCTTGAGAGGCTCTATCTCCAAAGCCAGTCAAACAACAGGTTTGGGCTTCAACATAACAAGGTTGGGGAGGCACAATCCAGTCTATAATGTTCTTATTGCCACTATTTTTAAACTGCTATCTATAGCACCAAAACTTCAGCCACCATCTTTTCTATTATACCATTTAACATCTTGCTCTGCTTTTTACTAACCACCTCCACCACATTCTTCACCCCTTGTCCACAATGACCCAGTACTCTAGATATATATTTACTCTTTTTACCTCAATTACCAAGTGATCTTCTGAACACTTCTGTGTCCACTGTGTGTCTTCTGTACCTACACAGTGCCTTCTGTGTCTAGGCTATGCAGATTTCCATCAGAGCTCTATATGTAACACACTTATATGTGCTCATTAATTTTAATGACAAAAACTGCAATTACTTTTGCACCAACTTAATATTCTGTACTGCTAACAGAATACCACAGGCTGGGACATTTATAAAGAACATAAATTTATTTGGCTCAGAGTTTGGATGTTGGAAAATCCTAGATCAAGGCGTTATATCTGTTGATGCCTTGTTGATGCATCATAAAAAGACAGAAGGTAACACATAGATGAGAGAGACAGAGGTAAGTGGGCCAAATTTATTCTTTTATAAAGAACCCATTCTCACAATAATGAACTCATTCCCACAATAATAGCATGAATCCATTCATGAGGTCATAGCACTCATGAGTTAATCACCTCTTAGGGATTCTGCCTCTCAACACTGTTGCACTGGGGATCAGGTTTTCAACCAATAAACCTTGAAGGGACATATTAAAACCATAGCACATACACACAACACAGTAGACACTTTATGGATGCATTTTATGACTGCAAAACAATTACTGATTAAAATATCTATATATATATACACATATGAGGGGGAGACTCCATAAGAAAAAAGCTAACTTATCTGAGCTTCCCATTTATTGCCAGAAAAAGAGGTTCCAATCCAGACCTCAAGAGAGGGTTCTTGGATCTTGCTTGGGAAAGCTTTCAAGGCAAATCAAAGAGCATAGAAAAAGAAGTAAGTTCAATAGAAACTACTCTGATACAGAGTAGGGTGTCCTCAGAAAGCAGGAGGAGGAATGCACCACCCTTTGTTAGTGTCTCTACTTATAAAAAATTATAAGGAGCTATAGCCAAACATGGAATGCGCAGATGTGCTTAATAAAGGTAGGGGCTATTGAAGCTGTCAATAACCACTAGTCCTTCAACTTAGGCTTGCTCATTAATGTTATCTCTGAGTAAAGTAGGCTGTGCTTTTAGGACAACTGGACATTCTACAGGCTTGGTTGGGGATGTACTGTAAGGCCATAAATACTCTACAGTTATAATTGGTGGTCAGCTTATCATGTGGCTATTTTCAGACCACAAGTATCAACCTTATAGGTGCTTTGTAAGTGCTCAGCCACTCACTTAAAGATGGAGTCACTGTAATCATGTTCTATTAAACCAGAGGCCTGGTAAGCAGGGGTTCCTCTAACACATTCGACTACTCCTACCACTACCCTCAGGAAAGAGGTCAACATTATGTTTCCAAGTCCTTTGAAGAAAAACTATGTAGAATTCTTCCAGATTGGAAAATGATAGAGAAAAGTAATATGAACACTAAATGTAGAAACTGCCTTAAATATAAAAGTTTTCTAAGAATATAGCAAGAATTTGGAATTTTCCCCAAATTTTGTGGATATTCTTAGGCATGAGTAACGTAAGTGCAACTGCCATGCAGATTTTTATAGAGAAAAAAAGGCCACAGAGTTATATGCCTTCCAGGGAAGTATGAACCTAGACTCGGGGCTTTAGGTCTCAGCAAAAATTCCACTCCCTATGAACACAAGTTATGGCGCTTCTAACCTTTAAGAATCAGGTAGGCTCAGACAGTCTATCAAATGAATACTGCTTGAAACAAGATCAAGAGAGCACTAACCAAATATTCTAGAGTGCAGTATACTTTATGGAAGCTCTCTTGACCTTGGAGGCTGACTTCATAATGAATTTCATAGGGGCTCTTTGCCATTGTAACTTAATTGAGAAAAAATAAGTTTTATAATGTATTTTGTTTATATTTTTGTTGCAGTTTTGCCAAGGCCCCTTAATGTAGCAGTTTCTTGTTGTTTGAACTAGGACCCTGGGTTCTTTATCTTAGGTCCAAGAAAATTAAGGAATGCAAACACAAAGGTGGGGTTGGAGCAAAAGTTTAGTAAGTGAAAAAAGAAAGCTCTCCGCAGCAGAAAGGGGAGTCCACTTGGATTGCTGGGTTACAGCTGAATTCAAAAGCTTTTTATAAGAAACTGCTCCCTCCCTGTAACTGTTCAAGTAACTTTTTTATTAGTAAAGCTGTCTGTGTAACTCCCCTTCTCTTATCCAGCTGTGGGTATGTCTCTAGCCAAGCACAAAGTGCTGTTTCTCTTGTTTGTATAACTGTGGGTTTGTTTTAGGTAAGCCCCCACCTCCCTGTGCAAGTTCCCACCATGTATATGCCTGAAAAGAGGAGGAAACTTTTTCCTGGGAGATCACTAATTATACAAGGAATAAAGAGCTTCCGTGCTGGACACTGTTTGCTTATGTGGGTGCAGGTGCAGCCTGAGGTTTTTTTTTTCCAGGTTGTTTTATTTTTGCCTGTTGATGTGACTTTTCAGGCAGGCCACTTCTGCAGTCTGAATTTTTCCCAGATAATTTTTCCTTTCTTTCTCCTTCATTTTCATGGTCAAGTAAAATTTATGCCATGTTATGCCTACATCTAGAAAAACAGGTAGATAGATAAATCACTTAGCAGATATATGGATATATATATATATATATAATATATATTTAAATATATATATCAATAAGGAGATAAAAGGTTAACTAGATAGGGAAGTTAGGTAGGTGTGTGGATAATTTTTTACAAATATAGGTGGTACAAGTACAATTTTATTACATGGATAGCCTGCATAATGGTGAAATCTTGGCTTTTAGTGAAGCCATCACCCAATTAGTGTACATTGTATCCCTGTTAATTAACTTTTCATTCCTCAATGCCTACCTTCCAACCCTCTGAGTCTCCAGTGTCTATTATTCTACTCTCTATATCCATGTGTACACATTATTTAGCTCCAGAAAAGAAATTTTATTATATAAAATATGCCTGTACTCAGATACAGAAATTGATAAGCAGATAGAGAAAATGAAGTTAGATAATTTTCCTAATAATAAATATTTTTAAAATCCACATAAGGATTATAGGAGTGAAGACATCAGTCCTTGCATATCACTTTACCCATTACTGTTTATTTCAGGTATTCTTATTTAACAGCCTTTAATTGGGGAAAACTAGGAAACATATTTAACCAACTAAAACTTCAGGCTAGATTTGGGCAGGAAGTTAATAATTATACAAATTAGAAAGAGGTCAAAATGATGAAGTTAATGTCTATCCCAATTGAAGAAAAAGTTATTCAACTACCAGGAGACTAGAAAATATTTAAGCAGCTAATTAGCAGTCTTACAATGTCTTTAATGCTGAATACTCTTTAGCTAAATGAATTCTTACTGAGAAACTCTGAGCAAAAAGTAACTATTAAGAGTACATGATTTCTGCCTTCATCAAATGCGTACTCTTAAAGAATAGAATGTATGTCACGTGTATTTCACAACAGAAAATGTAATCAAGGATTAAAATAAACACAAAGCAAATTTACAAACGCACACAAATGTAAACATTTAATTGTGGCTGAGGGACATAACTAATGTGAAGGCTATCATAAGAATACTCAAAGACCTTGACAATTAATCTCTATGACTTTAGGCAAGTTACTTATTCTTTGTAAGTCTTAATTTCCTCATTTTAAAAATGGGCTTAATAATGCCATTCATCTCATGGCATTTTAGGGAGATTTAAAAAAGACAATCAGATGATTTTTAAGGCAGTGAAAATTCTGTATGATACTATAGATGGCAGACACATGTCATTACAAATTTTTCCAAACCCATAGAATGTAAGACAACCAGAGTGAACTCTAATGTAAACTATGGATTTGTATAACAGTATACCAATGAGGGTTCATCAGTTGTAACAAATGTCTCACTGTGATGGAGGATGTTGACAATATTGAGGAAGCTATATATGTATCAAGAAAGAGGGTATATGTGGAATCTCTATATCTGCTGCTTAATTTGGCTGTGAACCTAAAACCACTCTAAAAAATAAAATTGTTTAAAAATGAAAACAAATTTTTTAAAAAGATAATCTGTGTTAAGCATTTAAATTTTAAGTTAATATTGTCATGCTTTGTATGGTTATAAATTAGACCACTTTATTAAAACTGCATACAATATTTAGACAGAAGAAAGGCAAGGTCTTGATTAGTCAGTTTGGGAAAGTGAGAGGAAATAATCCCTGTTTTAAGTGTCCCAGCCTGGACAACATCAGGAGACCCTCATCTCTCCAAAAAAATTTAAAAAAATCATCTGGGCATGATGATACATACCTGTGGGCCCCAGCTATTTGGGAGGCTGAAGTGGGAAGATTGCTTGAGCCCAGCAGGTTGACGCTACAGTGAGCTGTATTTGAGCCACTGCACTCCAGCCTGAAGAGTAGAGCAAGACTCTGTCTAAAAGAAAAAAAAAGACAGTGTCATTGGAAATATAGTGAAAATAATGGACATAGGCATTTCAGAATTGGAATAAAATTCTTCATTATTTTGTATATCTCTATGCTTGGTTTGTGGAGAAGTGGAAATGTAGAAGTTGCAAGGCTAGATGTGGTGGCTCATGCCTGTAATCCTAGTGCTTTGGGAGGTCAAGGTGGGAGAACACTTGAGTCCAGGAGTTCAAGCCCAGCCTGAGCAACACAGTGAGACTTCATCTGTACAAAAAAAATACAAATTAGCTGGACATGGTGGGGTGTGCTTTTAGTCTTGGGTACTTGGGAGGCGAGTTTGGGAGATTGCTTGAGCCTAGAAGTTAGAGGCTGTGGTGAGCTGTGATTATGCCACTGTGGTCCAGCCTACCTGAGTGACAAAGCGAGATCCTGTCTTTAAAAAAAAGAAGTTATTCAGGAAAATAATCCCTAAAAGAAACTGATGGGTAAAACCTTGGAGTAGAGAAAAAAAATACATGCATGAAAGAGTAAATGATTTAGTCACGAAAGTTTGATTGAATTAAGACAATAAAAATATTTTGATGGCAGAAATGAATGGCCATTTTAATGGTACTGGTGGATGAGTAAAATAAGGAAGGTGGGTGAAAGAACTGAAGAGATGAAGAGCATTGAATTTGATGTGGACTAGAAAACACTGTAGATAATATGCTAGAAAAGTTGTCAATGAATTTTCCATATTGGAGGAAATTTATGGAAAATAAAGAAAAATTGTATAAGCAACAAGAATAAAAAGGTTTTATAAAATCCCACAGAGAACAAGGGCACATTATTCTTCTGTACATAAAGTTTGTCAAAATTGCTATAGTTTTTTTTAAATGATGTAATCATATATGATTGAAGAAAGGGTGAAATTAAAATTTCTCTGCGTAAAAGTATTTATGTGTTCATTTTTTTTATCTCCTCTATAGATAGAATGTCAAAAATATATAAATGAGTGAAAGAAAAGCCATGTCATTTTACTAACAGCTGGACAAATGACTCTAATGAAACAGAAGAAGAATGTTACATGGGGTAGAATTTACAGGACTCTTTGGCTCTGGGCCTGGAATCTTAACAGTGAAACTCAAACAATTTCATTCTGTTCAATAAAAGCAATTAAATGTCCTACATAAAGTGGACAAATAGAACCAGAAAACCTTTATAAAACTAAGGCATAGAGTAAATATCTCACTTTTATTAAACTGAGGGATAATAAAAGGCTGACATTGACCTGTGTCTAGAAGCTGTGAATTAAGAAGACAAGAGACAGTAGACACATTGCTCTAACTGAAACCTGAGCCAGGCTTCCTGCTAAAGTAAGCAGATAGCTAGGCGTGAACAAGAAAGGGAAATCCAGAGGAAGGAAGCCCTGGAAACCTTGCCCCACTAGTAATTACTGCTCCACTAGCAAAAACAAAAACAAAAACAAACAAACAAAAATAGCCACATGTGGACTTGCAGTTAGGCCTATCTCGCTCTGAGACTTATCTGGCCCCTGAAGGAAATAACTTCAGTAGGAAACTTCCCTAGTAGTAAGCATGAATGCTTTGACTTTGCTTGCCTGATAGGTAACCTTTTGCTTATTAAAATAAAAAACACAGACCCCTGGATGGAGATTAATGAGATATTCAGTCTCAGGGACATATTAATGAGACATGCAACATTTGTACTAGCATGTACAGCCACAGTGAATGCATGCCCAGGAGACCACCTCAAAATGCATACTATTAATAGTAATACCTCTTCACACCCCTTTATGAATATTCATGTAAGACTTCCATAAAGGGGGCTCCCCAGTGCCAGTCAACTCTGTTTCATTCTGTAGCAGCTTTCTCTCATCCAGCTTTCAGAGCATACTTCCACTTTCACTGTCAGGTCTGTCTCAATCTCGAGTAGCTGCTCTGACTTTGCTTTCGGGGTGTCTTTCACTTTAGATAAACTTCGCTATGGCCTAACTCTCTTTGTGTGTCTCTTGGCTGAATTCTTTCCTCCAAAAAAGCAAGAAACAAGGACTCTCCACTTCCTGGTTACATTCCCACTGGCATTTGGTCATTCTTCATTTCTCTCTCTCTTTTTCTTTCTCTATTCTTTTCCTAAATTTGATATAGTAACAAGGTACAGAAACTCTCAACTACCATTATAATACCTATTTGAGTACTGTGTTTTACAGAAGGATAGATAGAATCCAGAAGAGATCCTTCTTTTTTAAATTTAACAGAAACTGAAATAGGTAAAGAGGCACAAAAAAAAAAAAAAAAGGTGTGGGGCAAGAATGAGAAATGTGTCTGTGAAAGAGAGAGAAAACAGTATGAAAGTAGTGTTCATGGGAGCCAACTTCCATTTGACAGCGTGAGAAGCTCTGTTGACCAACTTCCCAGTGAAACTGATATAAATTCCAGAAAAACAATGACTGAGAGCCCCTGGAAAACATTCTAAAGGTAAACAGCAAACAAGGAAACATCTATTCAAGAAATTCTGTGAAAATGTGTTAAGAAAGAAGGCAGTTTGTGGGATTTGAACAAAGAATAATTGTTTTTTCATTACCTCCCAGAGACTCCACTCCAGACTGCTATAGCCAAGAACACTGGATCCCCATCTTTTCACCTATCATTTGGAGGGCTATCTTCCCAAGAAGAACAGGACATCAGTATTTTTCACTATACTCTCAGCTACCTATTGCCAAGGTTAAGTCCTGGGCGAATACAACTGAGAAATGGAGCTCTATTTTCCTGCCTACCCCTCACTGAAGCAATGAAGGGTTTATCTTGGGCATGGTACCACAAAGAATACTGGGGCCCTGATTACCCTTGCCCCATGGGGTTCATGAGGCAGTGCTTCCCTGCTGTGGGAGGCAAGCTGAAAGTCTTCCCACCTACCACTGAGCAATTAGCTCCTTCAGTGGGAGTGTCACCCAACCAGAAATTTGTTTTTATTCTAACCTCAAGCTCCATAGCCTTAGGGAGATGTGGGGAAGTAGGCCATGCAGCAGATAGCTCCTAATCTCTTTCCAAAGGAATATCTTTTGCAATAGAGCTTGGTGAAGTTGAAGCCTAAGTAGAGGTTGTGGTGATGAAATGTATTTGGGAGAGCCTATTTCTTAAGATATAGGCTAAACTCTAGGCTAGCTAGTATGAATGAGAGTCCCTGGTAATAAGACAATTAGGGGAAGCCTTCCTGAGGTCAGAAAAAATGTCAAATACTGACCACAGAAAACATTCCATTAAGAATACCACAATTTGTTTGGGTTCCTTTGTAGAACTATTTATGCCCTGAAGCATTTTTCAGACATTTTACCAATCGCCTGGCAATTAGTGGGGTGATAAGGTTTGGCTCTGTGTCCACAACCAAATCTCATGTTAAATTGTAATCTTCAGTGTTGAGAGAGGGACCAGGTGGGAGGTGATTAGGTCATGGGGGTGTTCTCATGATAGTGTGTCATTTCTCACAAGAGCTGTTCTCATGAGTGTGTCAGTTCTCACAAGATCTGGTTGATTGAAAGTGTATGGCACTTCTGCCTTCACTCTGCCTCTCTCTCCTGCTGCCATGTGAAGGTGTGCTCACTTCCCATTCTTCCTCCTTCTGCCATGATTGTAAGTTTTTTGAGACCTCTACAGCCATGGCTTCTGTACAGCCTGTGGAACTGCAAGTCAACTAAACATCTTTTCTTTATAAATTACCCAATATCAGGTAGTTGTTTATGGCACTGTGAGAACAAAGTAACACATGGGGTTAAATACCAGGTTTAGATAGGCCAGGAAAAGAGAGGAAGAGAGCCCTACTGAAATAGCTATCCTCTCAGGATGACTGAGCATACCCAAAACTGTGACTCCTTGAGGAGCAACATCAGAGGATTGACACCCTGGAAGGGGGAAAAAAACATGAAAATACTGCAGTGAACCAATAAGATAGTAAATAATAAAATAACACTGATGAGATGTAGAGAAATGGGAGACCACTAACCAGAGTTGCTAAACTATACAATCTAAATGTTCACTTTCCAAGAAAAAATTATGTGGCATGCAAAGAAACAGGAAAATATAACAGGCAACAAAAACTAGCTGTGGGAGCCACTAGATGTCAGATTTATAAGAAAAAGATTTTCTGAGGTTGGGATTTTGAGACCAGCCTGACCAACCCCGTCTCTACTAAAAATGTAAAAATTAGCCAGGCATGGTGGTGCATGCCTGTAATCCCAGCTACTCAGGAGGCTGAAGAAGGAGAATTGCTTGAACTGAGGAGGCAGAGGTTGGGGTGAGCCGAGATCATGCCATTGCACTCCAGCCTGAGCAACAAGAGCTAAACTCTGTCTCAAAAAAAAAAAAAAAAAAAAAAAAGATAAAGATTCCAAAATGGCCATTATAAACAGATTCACAGAACTAAAACAAAAGACTAAAGACATAAATAAAAATATGATGACAATATAATAACAGAGATATCAATAAAGTGATAGAAATTATAAAAAAAGAAATAAATAAAAATATGGTAACGTAATATCAGAGAGAGAATATCACAAGGTGATAAAATTGTAATACAAGAAAATTGTGGATTTGAAAAATATAATAATATATATATAATAACTAAAAACAAAACAAAAAATAACCACTAGGTGGCTCACAAGTAGATTTGACCTGACAGAAGAAGAAAGAGTAAACAAACTAGAAGATAGATTGATAGCATGCAAGCCAAAGAACAGAGAGATAAAAGAGTGAAGATAAATGAAGAGAGTCTCATGAAAATTTGGGACACCACAAAGCATACAGACATACTTTTAATTATGAAAAAAAGAGAAGAGAGAGAGATGGAGCAATATCCCCTCTCAGGGGCCGGTGAGACCCCCTAAGCATGGAAATAAATGAAAATCTTGAATTTCTTTAAGGAAAATTCCAGATACCTAGCTATCCTGGAAAACTAAGTGAGCAACTTGATAAGCAAGAAGGTTAAATCAACAGTCACCCAAATAAGCTAAAACCACAAGATGTTTGGTTACCTACAGAAACTAAAGATAACATATTGATTTAGTTCCCTGAATTGTTTTTCAGAACTCTGGACCCTGCCACTGAATGGATCCACTGGCGTGTAGATCTCAGAAAAAGGGGAACTGAGGGCTGAAATCTCGCTGCCATTCTTTGTTCTGTATTCCTTTCTGACGGGCCTGGAAGAAGTCTTGACTATGGGCTAGACATTCCATTCTGCTGACCCCAAGTTTGTATACAAAGCTTTGCTTCCTTAATCAGTTATAAACCAGAGAATCTTTAAATTCATCTATGACTCATAAGCCCCCTGATTTAAGATATGACACATTTTTAGGCCAAACCAATGTATAACCTTCCTGTATTGATTTACAATTTTGCTTGTAACTTCTGCTTTCCTGAAATGTACCCTGCCTTTAAAAATCCTTGCTTGTAAGCCATCTGGGAGGCTGAGTATTTAGCCTATGCTGCCTGCTTCTTCTTGCTTAGTGCCCTGTAAATAAACACTTTTCTTTCTCCCACTATAAAACCTCAGTATGGATGTTTGGCTTTACTGCATGAGGCAAGCAGACTCCAGTGCATTTTGGTAGCAAGAGAAAGAAGAGAAAAATGTTTGAATAAAATCACAGCTAAAATCATGCCCAAATTTATTACAAAATATTGTACATATCCAGGAAGCTCAACAAACTCCAAAGAGAATAAGCTCAAAGAGATTCACAAAAATGAAAGGCAAATATATTTCCCAGATAAACACAAACTGAAAATCTGTTACAAGCTAATTTGCCTTACAAAAATACTATGGAAAGTTCTTCAGACTGAAAACAATCGGAACCAGACAGGATATGATTCAAATCTGTAAATAATTACAAAAGACAGCATGATTGCATGTTTATTCACCTCTGCTTCTTTGACTAATTTGAAAAGCAATCGCATAAAGTAATGTGTGTAAAGTTGAATAGTCTTACAAAGTATTGACAGAATAATGCCCCCTCAACCAAGATGTTCACATCTTGATCCCTGGAACATTTGAATACATGCTACTTTATACTCAGAGTGTATCATAAGAAAAATGGCATAAAGATATTATCCTAAATCAGTGGAAAAATTATGAATTAGTCTATGGGTGGCATTCATATAATTGGCTATACATATGCACAATTATATTAGAGTTTTACTCCATCAACAAAAATACATATAAGTAATTTCTAAAGTTCTTCATGTATTTCTAACCTATAACTCCTTTATTTACATTTCTCCCTACTCTCGCAGATTTCTAAGAGGCTAGATACCTATCCAAAATTAATCACAGAGAAGACAAAATTTGATAGTAAACCAAATTTTTGAGACCCTTAGCTACTTCCTCACTTATATTTACTCATTATCCAGGTAGAGAAAAGCAGCTGAAATGGGGGAATGTTGTCTAAAATATTTTGGGAACGTATTTGGTTAATGCCATCATTTAGATAATTTCCTATGATGGAAAAACTTGTACACGACTTTGATTTTGTATTCCTATCAGACTTGGGGTTCATGCAATAAACAGGCTGTAATTCAAAATTAAGGGGTATGGTGGATCACAGAAGTATGCCAAAAATTATGCACAATCTGGATAAATGGGTTCAATCTAACTAGATGTAATTTATCATGGACACATGTTACATTCTGCTCTTAAGGATTAATAATTTACATGCAGAAAAGCCATATGAGAAGATTATAAAATATAAAGCTTTTTAGTTGAACTTATAATTGTATGTGAGTCAATGATAGGATCCAAGTGATTAAAAAGTTAATACAATCCTAAATTGCATTAAAAGGCGGTGTATAGTCCAGAGGGAGTGAATCTTTAGGTTTATTCTACTGTTCTCTGTAAAGGGCATTCCTAAGTACAATGGCTGGAGAATTACCTTTATTCTTATGAGGCAAATTTTTAAGGAAAAATAATATTTGAGTAAGCAGCATGTTTAGAGATGAAAGTCATTGACTCAAAATATTTACCACCATGTTCCAAGTATAATGCTAGGCAATGTACCATGGAAGGAAGGAATTAAAGGAAGTAAGTGTTGTATATTTTGTTATTAGTCTCAATTATATTTTTGCCTCTCCTTGTAAAAAGATTATATTTTCTTTTCCATTTTCTTCATGATTGGTCACTTGGCTCTGGAAGTGACCTACGCAAATGCCAAGTGCCACCTCTGAGTAGAAGCTTTAAAATCCATTATGCGATTCCATCATTTTTTTTCCTTTTCTTCAGCGATATTGTCCCTAAGAACCTGCTCTTTCAATGACGAACACCTGTACATCAGAGCCATTGCCACCCTGCAGCCAAGCTAACAGATATCACATGACAGGAATAAATCTTCGTAGTTTCAAAACACGGAGATTTCAGAGCTGTTTATTATGGCAACATATCTAGTAAAAGTTCACTAAGGTTTTAAGGTTGCTTTACTAGAAAACAGGATATTTAGGGGGATTGTTTTCACCAATTATCTGAATGAGTGTCAAATGCAGAAATTATTAGACTTCATTTTAAGGTTTTAGCAAATGTCCTAGGTAAGGGGTAATAGGATAGGTTAATATATGCACCAATAACAAAGAGGCTTAAAATCTCAGTAGCTTAACCCAAGCAAAAATTATATATTGCTCATGATATTTGTCTGTGCATGTCTATGAAGGGGCTGCTCCATGTGGTCATTCAGAAACTACTACTGATGAATGTTCCTTCATCATTCTGTAGATGTATCGTTTACAAAAAGTGACATCTTCGTCCTTAGAACAAGGAAAAAGGAAGTGGAAGGGCATGCATGAGCTCTTCTATGCATTGGCCTAAAAGGCCACGTCTTACTTCTTCCCACAGCTTATTAGCCAGAGTAATCACGTGACCAGATCAAACTGATATATATGCAGTTGTCCGTTGGTATCCATAGGGGATTGATTCCAGGCCTCTACTAAAGTCCACAGATGTGCTCAAGTCTCTGATATAAAATGGCATAGTAGCCTACCCACATTTTCCTGTTTAAATTATGTTGAGGTGACTTATATCAATACAATGTAAATTCTATATAAATAGTTCTACTGTATTGCTTGGGAAATAATGACAAGGGAAAAATGTCTGTCCATTTTAAATACAGATGCAATTAAAAAATATTTTCAATCCACTGTTTGTTGAATCCACAGATGTGGATGCCATGGATATGGATGGCCAACTATATATGAACTTTATCATAAATATAGATGACATTGAAGTAGAAAAACGTATCTTGTTAATATAAATTCTCATGAAAGAAAATAGTTTATGACCATCAATGAGATATGTAATAGAAGAAATTTATGGGTACAAATCCCTTTTAGATTTGAGGTTTTATGACCCTAAATTTGAGGATTTCATAAGTTTAAATGCGATCATCACAATATAAGCAAGCTGAATTGAGTTTTAAGTGAATAGTAAAATAGGTAACAAAAAAGTTTCACAACATATTGTATAATTATAATTATACTTCATCTCACTTTATAGAATTATTAAGAAGATTTCTCTTACTCTCTAAATTTTTCTTTTATATGCAAACATTTTTTCTAGTTTCCTATTGCCACACAGCTTCCATATTACAAACAAAAGCTTTCTAATTGTCATATTTTCTAAGAAGATAGTTTTAGAACCAAACAACCTAAAGATGCTTTTGTGATGAAAATCCTGTTTTTTTTTGTGGGGATCTCAAATGCAATTAACTGAGAAATTGGCCTTATTATATATAAGTTGAGATTTGTTTATCCAACCAGAAACACTGAAATAACTCACCAATCTTGACACATAGCCAATCTAGAATTAGAAGTCCTCCATGTAATCATTGTGTCTGGCATAAAGACTAAATATTTTGAGGAGGACATATGTTTTTTATAGAGGCTAAGGGATTTAAACTAGCTAAATATGTCAGGTGAATATTTAGTGAAGTTGGTACTCTTCTGCTATTAACTGAAGGGTCATTCAGTTATTTATCTGACACCAGAATATATTGATATCCTTAGGTTGGAGTAGGAAACTATTTATCTGCAAGGTCAGTAAGACTTATTTTAAAATACTTATAATACTCCATTCTTCATGAGTATGCATATCTGTGTAATAAAAAGAAACATTTTAAACTTTAAATTAAAAAGTTTACATATCAAATTTTAATTAACCTACAATGTTTAAATAGAAATGCTTATAATAAGGGAGTGACAAAGTCAATGTGACATGATAAATTGTAAAAAATAATTTTGGAAAGTTTATGCTAATTGATGTTTCCCATCATATTGAAGGTGCCACGCCATGTAAAAATTAAAGTCATTGCAAAATATTTTTTAAATCTTCTCCTAATATTTAGTGAGAGCTTATTTTGTAAAATCCTAAATAATAAGACTGGATTTAAAGAACCAAATTGAACTGGAAAGTAAAGTCATTACATGTTGAAATATAAATTATCTGCAATCAAGTTTGCTAAAATTGTCTTATTTAGTGGTCAGTAAAGTACCCTTATTAGAAAGGATTCTAAACTCTATGCCTGTAACATTATGATGTTAAGAAACACCTTAAAGATTTAACTACTTCCTCATTTCCCAGAGCTTAAAGATTTGTAATGATGGCATTAGTAAGAATGTTTTTTCCATTATGAATCACATGGTTTATCAACAAAGACCCTCACTGATTAATATTTAAAGAGAAAACTGTTTTTATAAAGAAACAGTCATACTCTCTGTATTATAGTATTTGTAACATAAATCATTACATGGTTGAGTAGTGTTCTGAGAATCAGTGTTTGACGGTAATTTATGAGCTTTCAACAATAGGCTTTCTATGGTCAAAAGTAAAAAAATCAATCAATCAATCTGATTTTGGCTAACAGTTAACATTTTATTCTTTAGATATGACAGAAGAGCTTTATTTTTCATGGCATTTATCTTCAGACATTTAATATCTGAAAATTTCCTGAAGCCATATAGTTAAAGAAAAAATATATAGACATTTATTTATTTGTTCTTACATTTATTTATTTATTAAGCATCTAAATTGGCTGGTTGGTATACTAAACCTGAAAGAGAAAGGCAATAACAATGACTAACAAGAGCAAAAAGTCCTGAAAAGGTTTTAAGCAAAGGAAATGAATCAATAATGCTAAATTCATGACAATTAGTTTTGAAAAATTTTCTTTTTTTACAAAATACCCAAACTTTCAATATATATTTAAGCTATTTCACACTAATAATTATGATGGCAGACAGTGACAGTTTTATCTTATTGAAATATAAAATAGTGTAAAAGAAAATAAGAGATATCCAAAGAAAGAATTTTCTTACTACATCACAATACTGAGAATAATACTAGTTTTATTTTTAGACAATACACAAAAATGTATTGAGTTAAATCTATGTTGAATTTAGATACTGTTCTAAAATATTTTTTAATGTACTTCTGTGTCCAGAATTGGTTCCTTCCAGTGGGTTCTTGGTCTCACTGACTTCAAGAATGAAGCCGCAGACCCTCGCGGTGAGTGTTACAGTTCTTCAAGATGGTGTGTCTGGAGTTTGTTCCTTCAGATGTTCAGATGTGTCCGGAGTTTCTTTCTTCTGGTGGGTTCATGCTGACTTGAGGAGTGAAGCCACAGACCTTCACAAGGAGTGTTACAGTTCTTAAAGGTGGCACGTCCGGAGTTGTTCGTTCCTTCTAGTGGGTTTGTGGTCTTGCTGACTTCAGGAGTGAAGCCGCAGACTTTGCAGTGAGTGTTTCAGCCCTTAAAGGTGGTGCGCCCAGAGTTGTTTGTTCCTCCTGGTGGGTTCGTGGTCTCGCTGGCTTCAGGAGTGAAGCTGCAGACCTTCCTGGTGAGTGTTACAGCTCATAAAGGTAGTGCAGACCCAAAGAGTGAGCAGCAGCAAGATTTATTACAAAGCGCGAAAGAACAAAGCTTCCACAGTGTGGAAGGGGACCCCAGTGGGTTGCCATGCTTGCTTGGGTGGCCAGCTTTTATTCCCTTATTTGGCCCTGCCCACACCCTGCTGATTGATCCATTTTACAGCACGCTGATTCGTCCGTTTTTAGAGAGTGCTGATTGGTGCGTTTACAAACCTTTAGCTAGACATAGAGCGCTGATTGGTGTGTTAACAATCCTTTAGCTAGACAGAAAAGTTCTCCAAGTCCCCACCAGACCCAGAAGCCCAACCAGCTTCACCTCTCACTTCCAGGAAATATTATTATAATAATTAGGTTTCTTATGCTGTTGTAGGAAAAGCATAAAAATCCATAACTAAGGAGTAATGAAAATACCTTTAAAAATTCCTGGAACACTGCTTAGTTTTTGCAAAATGATTTCTAGTCCAAATATGCATGCATTGTCTGGAAGCATAAGTGACAGGCTTGAGTGAATACATATCCTTCCATGCAAGGTACAAAGCGGACACGATTTTCAGTGGAAGGGAGTAAAAACAGCTGGATAGTTGGATCATAGATATAAAAGCAAAAATTGAATCAGATAAAGATAAACAGGCAAAGAAGATTTTATTCAAGGCAATTGCAGTAGAGGAGAGGGACCGTAACACAGTCTGACCTCAACTCTGATGAAACAAAGGACAGTTGAGGGAGAGAACTCTGGGCTGAGAGGGAGATCAGGGGGCATCTATTTTTGCAAATTGACTTTACCCATATGAAAAGTAAACTGTTTCTGTTGTTCTCACAAAAAACAGTTTTACAACTCGGAGCAAGTTGTTTCCTCCCCTCCCACAGAGACTATGGAAATGGGAACACTGACTTCCTTGATGATTACATTTCAAATAGATAGCACCCAGGTACTTGAGAAAGGCATCCCGGGCTCTGGGTTGTAAAACTGGCAAAAGGTTTTTAAAAAGATTTATATTCTATTTCGGCCGGGCATGGTGACTCATGCCTGTAATCCCAGCACTTAGGGAGGCCGAGGCAGGCAGATCACGAGGTCAAGAAATCGAGACCATCCTGGCCAACATGGTGAAACCCCGTCTCTACTAAAAATAATAAAAAATTAGCTGGGTGTGGTGGTGCGTGCCTGTAGTCCCAGCTACTCAGGAGGCTGAGGCAGGAGAATCACTTGAACCTGGTAGGCGGAGGTTGCAGTGAGCCAAGATCATGCCACTGCACTCCAGTCTGGGCAACAGAGCAAGACCCCATCAAAAAAAAATCTATATTGTATTTCAAAGGTATAGAAAAGTCATTTACAAGATTTCTAAGTTAAATGCTCTAAAAAAAGAAAGGTCAGGGGCCTAGAATCAGAAAGAAGCCTGTTTAAAGGTTAGTCACCCTGAGGGTGAACAAGAGGCCCTCTTGGTCATAGGACAAATTAAAATCTGAGTAATCTCAAAATTGAGTCTCAATAATCAGTATTATTGAGTTTCAATAAATCAATTTTGTCCAGTGTCCAAGCTCCACCCCCAGAGTTGAGTCCCACTTCTTACCTCACTGGGGCCTGGTAAAGCCCATAAATGGATATCTAAAGCCAAATAAGGGATATCTGAGAAAGATATCAAAGAACTAAACACTCGATCTTCTAAGGATAGAGCAAAAAGGGCTAAAAAAAATAGCAAATAACCTTTTAGGATCCATCCCTAAAGTGTTTCCTCACAATAACTGGTATATTATTCAATCTTTTAAACAGAAAAAGAATTAACCAGTCTTTGAGCATAAGGCAAGATTAGAAGTATCCACATTTAGTCCAGGCATGTAAAACGCTTGCCCTATACTTCAGGAGGCTCCACTCTATGTTTAGGATTCTAGTTGTAAAGCACAAGCTGACTTGAGAACTCACAATCTAGCTGAATTCATCTTCAAAATATGCCTCTCTGGCATAAGGACTGTTTTCTTCTGGTTATTTCAAAACCCTTTTGTAAGTGAAATTTACATCTATAAAGGAAATCTCAATTTGTAAGTATGTGTCCCTCTCTGCACCAGATAGAAAAGGCAGACTAAATCACTAGAGAATGGAGAAAGCGTTGACTTAAATCTACATCGCAAACTTTACCTGTGTTTAACCCATTTATGCCTGAGGTTGCAATTTTTTGATTTTTGCAATTAGACCTTGGTGATGACCTCAGGCAGTAGGATATAAATCACTCCCACACGCTTAGCATTCCAAATAATGGAACACTAGTTAAGGTGCTTTTCTGGCCATCTTGCCTTAATTGAGAATTTACCTATATCCTTCTTTCTATTCTTTCAGCAAATGATAGTATTTAGGCCTGAAGTCTAATCTCAGTGCCTTCGAAATGTAAGTTTTTCACCCTTTCTACTGAAGTACCTTGTAGCCATTCCTTTAAAAATACAAATTTATGAGAGATCAATCATCAGAGAAAAACAAAAAAAATTATTTGGAAATTGGACAAAACATATATGTGTCAACATCATACATTCATATGTATATTAAGCTAATTAAAGTAAGAACCTCCCATCAATCCAATCTCCAGAAAGTTAGAAGGAAGGAGGTCAGGAATGCAACAATTCTCACCACTGATTGCTCCTCAGAATTATTCATACTATTAAAAAGAAATAATAGATTCCTGCTTCTGGCTAAGATAAATCAATAGGAACTGAATATAACCTCCTACTTGAAACAATCGAAACACAAAATATTGATGTTCCTTTATTTATAATGGGATTATGTTCTGATAAAACCATAATAGGTTGAAAATATCTGTCAAAAATGCATTTAATATACTTGTCCTGCCAAACATCATAGTTTAGCCTAGCCTACCTCAAACATGCTCAGAACACTGAGCCTACATTTGGGCAAAATCATCTTGCAGCACAGTACACCATAGAGTGTTGGTTGTTTATGGCCATGATTGTGTGGCTGACTGGGAATTGTGGGCCAGTGACCTTGCCCAACATAGTGAGAGAGTATCTTACCTCATATCATTAATCTGAGGAAAGGTTAATATTTAAAATTTGAAATATGGTCTCTACTGAATGCGTGTCACTTTAGCACTATTGTAAAGTCAAAAAATTGGAAATTGAACCATCATAAGTTGGGGACTGCCTGTATATGAAACAGTGGTTTTCAAGACATTGATTTAAGTCAGTGAAAGTCAGCGATTTCTGAAACAAGGAAAACAAATGAGGAAATCCTTATGATTGTCACAGCTAACTGTCTTGAGAGTTTCTAGACCATGAAACCGGGAGGCAAAACTAGGTTGGGCTTGGAAGACTCCCTGAGTTGAGGAAACAGAGCAGAAATATGGGAAGACCAAATTGCCTAGAGTTCACAGAATGTATCATGGGTTAGGAGAGAATTAAACAGAGAGAAATCTAAACTCTGCAAAGCCCCCCATTACTTAGCTGATTACTGATCCTGTGAGGAAACTATAGGAGGCTGCGTAAACCTATCTGGAAGTATGCTCAGTGCTCACATAGGGTTAGAAAAAGTGTCTATTGCTAATAGCCAGACTGGAAAATTTCATGATTCAAAGGGCATTCCTAGAGCATGCAGGAAGGAAATAATGAGCCACAGGCTGAGCATTGCTCTAGTCATGCCTCCATCCCTTGACCTCCCGCAACCCAAGCCCAACAAATCTTCAAAGCCAGACACAAAAGGATAAAAAGGCCTACAAGTAACTTAAAAGCATCACCCCAAAAAGCTCAAGTCTTTTTATAGTAATAAAATAAAACTAATGCTAGGAAAGGTAAAATCACAAAGTCTGGAATTCAGTAAAAAATAACTAGGCATACAATGACACAGGAAAATGAGACACCTAATGGAGAAAAATATAAATCAAAACTAACTCAAAATTGACACAGAATTTAGAATTTAGAACAGACAAGACCATAAAAATAATTGTTTTAACAGTATTATTATTTTTTTTTTTGAGATGGAGTCTTACCCTGTTGCCCAGGTTTGAGGGCAGTGGCACAACCTGGGCTCACTGCAACCTCCACCTCCCGAGTTCAAGCATTCCTCCCACCTCAGCCTCCCTAGTAGCTGGAATTACAGGGGCCCGCCACCGTGCCCGCCACCATGCCCTGCTAATTTTTGTATTTTTAGTAGAGAAGGGGTTTCACCTTGTTGGTCAGGCTGGTCTCGAACTCCTGACCTCAAGTGATCTGCCCACCTTGGCCTCCCAAAGTACTGGGATTACAGGCATGAACCACCACTCCTGGCCTATAACTGTATTGTATATGTTTAAAAATTTCAGTGAAGACATGGAAGCTAGGAAAAGATCCAGATGAAATTAGAACTTAAACTGCAATGTGTGTGATAAAGCATGCGCTAGATGGAATTATCAGCAGATCATATATTTTAAAATACCAATAACCTTGAACATACTTCTAAATAATCCACAGGTCGAAAGGGAAATAATAACAGAAATTATAAAATATTGAAGGAAAATTAAACATATGAAAATGTAGTAAATGCATTAAAAGTAGTAAGAAGATGAAAACTTTTAATGACTATATTCAAAAAGAAAAAAAGTCTTGAATCAATACCAAAGCATCACCCTTAAGAGTTATGAAGACAAGAGCAAAGTAAAACCAAAGCCAACTGAAAGAAAAATATAAGGATAAAAAAATTATGAAATAGAAAACAGAAAAATGATCAAGAAAAGACAATCACAGCAATAAAACTAAAGTTTGGTTTTTGGAAAGAATCATTAGAATAAAATAATTCTTCAGCTAGAATCACCAAGAAAAAAAAGAAAAGGCACATATTAATAAAATGAGGAATGAAAGAGACAACATCTCTATATCTACCTATAGTAATTATCTATCTATAATAATTAAAATTATTATAAGAAAATATTATGAAAAAATTTAGACCAAAAAATTGGACAACTTAACCAAAGTAGAAAATTTCTAGAAAAACAAAGATTATTAAAACCAACTAAAAAATAAATAAAAAACCTGAATATACTTATAAGAAGTAATGGATTGAATTAGTCATTTAAAATCTCCAAATAAATAAAACATGGAGCCCAGGTGGCTTCACCACGAATTTAACAAAGAAATATTAAGATTTTTACACAAATTAATTCAGAAAAAATAAGGACTGTAGATACTTTCCATCTCATTTTTTGAGGCTAGTATTAATCTGATACCAAAGCTGAAGAAAGCTTCTTAAGAAAACTACAAAAGAATATCACTCGTAAATATAGACGTAAAATTCCCTAACATAGGTTAGCAAACTGAATATACGAACTTAAAAATATGTATATATATATATATATATATATATGTATTTTTTTTCTGAGATGGAGTCTCACTTTGTGGCCCAGGCTGGAGTGCAGTGGTGCGATCTTGGCTCACTGCAACCTCCGCCTCCCAGGTTCAAGTGATTGCAACCTCCACCTCCTGGGTTCGAGCGATTCTCTTGCCTCAGCCTCGTGAGTAGCTGGAACTACAGGTGCAGGACACCGCGCGCGACTAATTTTTGTATTTTTAGTAGAGATGAGGTTTCACCATCTTGGCCAGGATGGTTTTAATCTCCTGACCTCATGATCCACCAGCCTTATCTTCCCAAAGTGCTGGGATTACAGTCATGAGCCACCACGCCCATCCCAAAATAAGTATTTTTTACTGAAGAATTTTCAATAATACATGTAGATATCCCTCATCTAGGAGCTGGTTTGAATTCCAACCTCCTGTCTCTTGAGGATAGACTTGATTTAAGACTCTCTTTCAAAGAATAGATTAGACAAAGGGGAAAATAGTAACTTTACCATGGCAAACTTTGGCAAACACTGTATTGTCTAAGTGATGAAGGTTAACATCATTAGTGATGTCATGTACATAACATGTACTTTCTGATATAATGTGACAAGAACATTTTACATTGTATACGATAACAGGTACTAATCAACATTTAATGCATTTCTCCTGGCTAATTGCATTGCTATATTCACCACTACAAGCCACCTTTTGCTACCCTAATACCTCCAAAAATTACAATGACCTAATAAAAAGATGTTAATATATACTTAAGGAAAGTCAGCTATAATTACAAAAATACTCTCCTTGGCAAGTGTTCACTCTGCAGGAACTCAGGCTCCACTGTTCTTTTAGTTTGCCACTATGATCCCTGTCCGGTTTTTGCAGAAGTCAGGGGAATAATAAGAATCTTACAGCAGCAATTAAGTTATTTAGTAAAAGACAAACAAACACCTCCATTCACAACCCATTGACCCCATGTATTTTCAATGGGAAGAGTAAGAGTTTTCTTTCTGTGTCCTCATAAAAAGAGGATGCCTTTATTTGTTGAGCACTAGAAGTCTCTACTAAAAATGCCCTGTAAAATTTTGTAATGGTAAGAAAAAATGTCCAAATACAATATGTTTTCTATCTATTTGTCTCACAAAATTTTTTTATGGCCAATATCCCAGAGGTTTCCTCTCCATGTAATTGTTTTAGCAGCATGTATTGGTTGAGTGCTGAAGGGTCTACAAGATTATTCTGGCATGTAGATGGAGAAGTCTGGCATCTTGAATGGACTCCTCTGGGATTCCATAACAAATTCACTTTTTTAGTAATCTGACCCTCACTTCAAACACCATTTTTTAGACATGGATTTTCATCTTGTTTTCACATCCATTGTGGGAGGATGACTGCATGCAAGCCTCATCTTTTCATTTATTACTGTACATGTACTGTACTTTTCGGTTATTGTCTTCCACTTACCATGAGATTGGCCATGTGCTTTGGCCAATGGGACAGTAACAGAACTGACCCAAGTAGACTCTGTAACAAGTATCTGTGAGGGTCTGCTTTCACTCTTGGACCCCTGACCAATGGGAAAATTAGCCTGGGATCATTTGCTGGAGGTGTCTGAGAAAACCCTGGAGGTGTCTGAGAAAACCTGGAGGTGTCTGAGAAAAGCCCTCCGCCATCCTCCACCCCCTTGAAAAAGAGCCTAGTGAAATTAGCTTCGATAGGCTTATATCAGTAGCATTGCCTGATCAACACATAAACATGTAAGCAATAATACATTGTTGTATTAAGCTGGTAGGTTTTGGGAGTGTTTTATTATACAGCAATAGATACTAATACATTCATTCACCTTAGTATTAATAATAGAACCTGTCCCTATATTGCTAACTGTGTATGGGTTTCTCTTGCTATGGAGAGGTTTTGCATAATTGTGGTCTGCCTCTGTTCCTAGTCCCGTTTAGAAACTATCATCATCTTTAGCCTCAAATTAAGTGACTAGAAACCACATCTTATTATAGATTCTTAATGCCTATCTAACGGAGTTTCTTTATATTTAGATTATTTTTGTTCATTTATCAGTGACGTTTTAGAGTGCACTCACCCCCATATCGGCAACATTGTGATCTCTGTCTTCACTCTTCTTAGAGATAAATATCTACAGGAAAGGGTTTCTACATGGTAATTCTGGTATTCTCTGCCTTGTCTTTTAGTTTCCTTGTACTCCAAACATGGATTTAAGTGCACTTTTTCATTGTCCCAAAATAGCCTCATTTCATAAATATTTCGACTATATTAAGTATACTGTGATATATTCAGTAAAACATACATATGATAGAAAGTAACCTTATTGAAGAAAAATTAATTTGTATCTGCTTAATAGTGTTAATTCCAAGAAATACCATTTCAAAAACTAAAATAATTAGAACAATTTAAATTCTTATGAGGTACTTTACAATGCCAAAGTGTGATGTTATTTCATAATAGAAAAGACAGTTTTATTAGAATATTTTCTCTTATCTTTCCCTTGTGAGAAATAGCTATATGAGAAAAATAAATTGAGATTATGGAAAAGCAAAAAAAAAAAAAAAAAGACAAGGTATACAATGAAGTTAAATCTCCTCATAATTGATTCAATGATTATGAACATATTCCTTTAGTGAACTGTGCCTCTTATCATATGAAAGCATTTTACGATGTTCAATGTAATTCTAGTGTTGAAATATAAATACTATTCACACAACTTAGCATTCAAGTTATTTCATATCATGCACTAGAATCATGTTCTCTTTTAATATTGGAGAAAAAACTCAGGCTGTGTTGAATATGAGTGATAATCTATCACCCTCCAACGTTAAATCTTAAAAAGAAACATACAAAAAGAAATTGACCATGCATAATACTGTCCTATAGACTGGCTTCTGGAGTGAATCATGTAAGAGGCAATGATGTGTGTGTGCGTGTGTGTATGTGTGTGTGTTTGAGACAGAGTCTCACTCTGTCACCCAGGCAGGAGTGCAGTGGTGTGATCTCTGCTCTCCACAAGCTCCGCCTCCTGGGTTCAGGCCATCCTCCTGCCTCAGCCTCCAGAGTGGCTGGGACTACAGGCACCTGACACCACGCCTGGCTAATTTTTTTTTTTTTTTTGTATTTTTAGTAGAGACGGGGTTTCACCGTGTTAGCCAGGATGGTCTCGATCTCCTGACCTTGTGATCCGCTTGCATTGGCCTCCCAAATGCTGGGATTACAGGCATGAGCCACCGTGGCCGGCCAATTTTCTGATATTTTTAATGTAGCTATGTCTAATTAGTTTCAGATCATCTCAATTTTGTTTCTGTACATTAAAGCTGTTTTGCAAAATGAAGACCCAAAGGTTTTGTTTGCAGAACCAGAACTCTTTGTAGCTGATACTGGCAGCAGAGAAGACATGAATATTCATTTGATAATATAATTGTTAAATTCTAGAAATTAAAGTTTCATGAAACCTGTTTAAATTTTATTTCTGTTGGCAATATTCATCTTAATCTTATCTCTTATCCTGCTTAACATAATCATCTCTTCCCTTTTTTAACATGGTCTTGCTTTCACTGAGAGTTACTAAATAACTTCTAACATTGACTATTTTCTCCTACCGTAGACTTTGTCAAGTTAAAAGACATGCAGATAGTTTTGATATTCAATATTGAATATAAATCACACATGACTTATTTTTAAGTTTACCATACTCTATGATGATTGAATCCATCATGTTTTCTTTTGTTTGATTTCACATTGAATAAAAAAAAATGCTCTGAAACTAAAATTTACCTGCTTGAATGCTTTCACAAATAGAACTACATTCTGTGGATAAAATGTAGTAATTTCACGTTTTTAGTTTTTATATAAAAGTAATGGTTTGTAAAACCAGGTCAATCTCCTTAGTAACTCCAGATAATGGGTGAGCTGAATTAATCATTAAAGACAAGAATAATATAATTTTTGATGGCCTAAATGATAACCAATATCACTGAATAGGTGAATACATGGTTATCTAAGTACTAGATTCAAAGGATTCTCAAGTCTCAGTAAATAAGAGGGAGAAAGTAGAGGTGCTGGGTAAGCCTAAGTATGCAATGTTTTTGCAAAAGTGACACCACTCATCTTGTAATTGAATAACATGCTTATATATAATATATAATTAGTGTATGATATATAAGTAATGAATAAGTATATATTAAGTATATACTTACGTATAACTACTAGATTGGTGCAAAAGTAATGGCAAAAACTGCAATTACTTTTGCACCAACCTAATATATACTTTTACATATTTATACATACATATACAAATTATATATGTAAGTGAAATATATTCACTTGTACATATATAAGTATACATATACATATATGTATATATACTTTCACATATACATACATGAAATATAGTCATGACTATGAAAGGAGTTAGCCAGCTTGCTGTAGGCAGACAGTAAGGGAAGTGTCCTGGAGAACCTCTGATCCACTCCACAAGTGCTTACACCAGATGTTTTGTGCAGATAGGGGAACTTGCACAGGAGGCTTGCTTAAACATGCCCACAATAGACAATTCCACTCCTTAACACGTGAGCAGTAAGGAAAATAAATCAATATGGAGCAGCTCAGACTAAGGGCCCACCTGCGCACTGGAAGGACGGGGTGGAGCTGCCAGGAATTTGTGCCATATACAAATAAGGAACCCAACCTCATCAGCTTTTATATAGAAGCCCTTGTATTCACCTGTGAAAGGGGCAACTGGAAACCTGCTTATCAGGATCCCTCTCTTTGCTGAGAGCCTTCCTTTAGCTTAATAAATTCTACTCCACTCACTCTCTGGTGTTCATGCCCCTAATTCTCCCTGGTCATGAGACAGGAACCCAGACCTATCTGTGCTAAGGCACAAAAATCTTGCATCAACTATTTATATATGGGATCACTATAACAGAAGCAAAAAAAAAATAAAATAAAATAAGAGAACATTAGTATATCCTGGATAATCTGGATACAGCTTTCAGGGGTTTCTCTTGGTCAAACAAAATGTAGTTTGTTTCCAGATAATGGATTGCTCAGATAAATGCAAGAGATCTCTGTGTCAGGAAAGCCAAAGTTCAAAGTACTGAATGGCCGTTTAGACCCTAGACCAGGCTGTGTCCAGATATATTAACTAAAAACAAGTCAATCTATATATTTTGAATAAACGACTTCAATAAATTGGCACAAGAGACTTCTAGGGTGTTTCAGTTTAAACACAACATTGTGAATATCTAGCTAATACATTCCATTTCTACCTGTCTAAGGTTTTATATCATGGCTAAAATCATCCTGGAGACTAGATCAGAACTTCCATAGACTAATAGTGAAGTAACCTTGTCCTTATACAGAAGCCAATGTTTGTGAAAGGAGTTTTCATCTCTACCCTCTCCTTTTATTACATTCTTGAAAAAGTAGTTTTCTGAGTCACACAGGGAGGGGGAAAACAATTTTTGTGCTTCTCATGGAAATTCTATTGTTTAGTTCCAATTCTGTTCATATTTCAGGGATGTATTGGATATTTCCTGGATCCTCAAATGCAGCAATTAACACTATTGAAGTTTGGGTGGGGTTATAAATCAAGTGCATTTTTTTTGGTAAGGTTAAGATGGTTTGACACTGAATGAATGCCTTTTATGTTTATTTTATGTATATGAATTAATTCAATATAGATTTATTAATTACCTACCATATGCCAGATGTGATGGTTAATACTGAGTGTCAAATTGATTGGATTGAAGGATGCAAAGTATTGATCCTGAGTGTGTCAGTGAGGGTGTTGCTAAAGGAGATTAACATTTGAGTCAGTGAGCTGGGAAAGGCAGACCCACTCTTAATCTGGGTGGGCACAATCTAATCAGCTGCCAGTGCACCCAGAATATAAAACAGGCAGAAAACATGAAAAGACTAGGCTGGCTTAGCATCCCAGCCTACATCTTTCTCCCATCCTATTAGTTCTGTCCCACTAGAGATCCCTGACTAATATACTAGACATACAGTTAGGCACTGATGATGCATACTGTTAAGAAACAATTAGACATTATAGATATATGTATATGTATACACCTAAACACAGAAGAGAGAGATTGGAAAGTCTGCTGAGCCTTACTGGGGAATCTTGAATTTATTCTGCTGTAAATGGTTAAATATTAACAATTTTTAAAGAATAAAATGAGATCAATAGAATGTGTTTCAGAGACATAACTGCACAAACTATATGGACAATGGATTGGAATAATAAGAGAAAGAATACAATAGATAAATCTACAAAAATGTAGTCATTTGTTTTCAGTTTCGAGCAGATGCTATTTGCACAAAAATCAATAATAAAAAAATAGCTATGAGCATAAGGAAGTAGATACATTAAAAACAAAGTGGTTAGACACCTTAGACATTTTTTTTTCTAAACAATGTATAAAAGGATCCAGGATCAAATTCATGGGAATTTAGATATCCCATATGTCTAAATTTGGTTTAAAGATATTGGTGAATCTGAAAATACACCAATGGATTTTATCTTTTATATTTGGCATCTAAGAAAATAAATCAATGAACTTCTTAATGTAAATGTAATATGCCATATTTACAGACACTTGAGCATTAAGAATAGTTGTTGGGGTCAGACTCAGAGAAGAAATTGCCTTTGGAATCAGCTTTATTTATATTTGAAAGCTCTGCTCCTTACTTGGTGTGTGACCTTGGGCAGTTAATCTGACCTCTCTAAATTTTAATTTTTGCGTATATAACTTGGGGATAATACGTTTATTGCAGAAAATTAAATGAGATAATTCATGTAAAGCTATAAGCAATGGACCTGACACAGACACTTCTTAATAAATATAATGATTGCATCAATTATGGTATTCAGTAATAGGATAGGTTACTTAATTCTTGATTACAAGTGGCTTGAGCAATAAAGTTTTATTTGATTTGATTTCATCGTAAATGATAAGAAATTCAGAATCAATGTTTGTCAGAGTTGGTTAATTCTGGAGCATGACAAAATTATTAAATAGCCCAGCCCTTTCCATTTTTCTGTCCTGCCTCCTACAGGGCATTTTCCTTGTCTTTAGTGATAGTCCTAAATTAGCTGCAGCATTCTAGCTAGCTTGTCCTCTTAGCACTATATTCAGAAACAGAAAAGGTAAAGCCCCTGTCTTTTTTTTTTCATCCTCAGAGAGAGAGAGAGAAAAAAAAAACAATAAGAAAAAGAAAGAAAACTTAAGGTAAGTTCTTCAGAAAACGCTCCCTAACAAATTGTGCATAGGGTAAAATCACAACTTATGTCTTAATCACCCATTTGCAAAGGATTGGAATAGCCATGATTGGCATATAATAACTAGCTTACACTTGCCAACATTAACCTCTCTGGGGTAGGGAGGAATCCACCTTCTGTTAGTATATTGACCCCTGAAGACCTGAACAAAACTGAGATTCATCAGGCAAGAAAGAAAAGATAATTGCCGTTGGGTAGTTAATAAATTGTGCTTTATATGACAAAACTTTAATGATGAAGATATTGACCTCCCAGTCAGTATTTAATCTCCAAAAATGTTGCCAAGAAATCTTAGTAGGTTAAGGTTGTACACAGATAGAAGTATCATATAATATCTTTAAAAAATTTTATTGATGCATTTTTCATTTTTCTTAACTTAAAAATGTATTCATATTTTCAATCTGTCCCATCTTATTAGGTAATAAGACCAATAGAGGAATACACACACACACACATACACACACACATATATATATAATAATTTGCTTGTATTAAATAGAGATGTTACGAACTTTAATATACCTTCCATTGAGGTAGTGTCACAAAGTCCTAAAATATCTTCATTTTCTAACCTTATACTACTATCCTACACTTTCCTAGTTGTTACATTTTTATAGTTACATGGCAATTCTTTTAAACATGATGAATGTGGGGTGCTATAAAGTCCTGACTAATAATGATTATACTAGTTATGCATGAGCAATTACAACTTTAATAGTAAGATAAGTAGAATTCCATGAGTTAACATTGTTATTACTTTCAAAATAATGAGATAAAATTTGATTTTAGGATAATATAGCAATAAAGACTTCCTACTTTAATCTCAGGCATGATGTACTTCCTTCGTAACACTTATCACATTTTTGTAACACTTTTTGTAATACTAATCACACATTATTTGAGTATCTTCTGTCAATTCTTTTCCAAGAGAATGAAGACCAATATTATCATGTTGGCTGTTCTGGTTTCAATAACAAGCATTTAGACTGGCATGGTACGAGAAATCCACAGAACAGGAGGAAACCTGTGAGAAGAAAAAAAATCTGATTAATCAATGAATAATCAAAACATAACTGTTCATTCAAGAATATTTCTTAGCTAACATTATCTTCAGATTTCCTGGAAATGAGATACCAGTGGAAAATCACCCTTGAACAAAAGTTCGATGATTACAGATGCATTCACAAAGAGTTTAGTCATATGATTGACTACTCAGAGTTACGTTAATCAGAATATGAAGATTGGAACCCACTGCAAATAGATAAGTAGCATTTACTATCTCAAGATCCAATGAAATCTCAATTATTTGTAGTCAAATCTATACTATATTTGGTGATCCCCTTTCCTTCAGTGAATAGCACCTAGTCTCCACTTTAAACATTTAGTGCTATTAAGGGCTATGATTTAAAATATTCTACCCTATAACACTTGGCTGTAGTTAATCACTTTGTGAGTTGGTAAAAGCTGGTCTGGGCACTTTTTCTATGATTTCAAAAATTAAAACTAAATTAAGAGAGACAGTCCTTCTCTGGTGGTGGAGCTGCATGATGTGAAAGTGTAGACCTATTTATCCCCTGCAATATGAAGGAACTTGCTCTGAGAGAATGATGCTGACATCCGGTGGGAAACCAAGAGAGCTGGGGAGTGATGAGTCCGGAGATGTGCAATTCACTCGGTTTTTGTTGGTGCAACCTCAGTCTTGTTAGAAGAGGTGTGGCGGCATCCTTCCAAGAATGTATTCTTTTTATATTTTAGTCAATTCATATTATGTTTGGTATTTGAATCAAAGGTCCACAGATCTTATTTATTATTTATAAAATATATTCTCAATTTTCTGGCTCTCTATTATCAGCTGCTGAACTTTGCTATTTGCTGAACATCCAGACATGCTCCTGCCTCAGGAGAAGCATTTGCTGATTCTTTCCGGCTGGAAATCTCATTTTCCAGGTAGCTGCATAGCTCCTTTCCTCATCTTCATTAAGCCCTTTCTCAAATATCACCTTCTCGTGGAGGCCTTTCCTGAGCCTGATAGATAAAACTGCACAGAATTAACAACTCACCCCACACTGCTGCAAAGCAAGTAAAACCAACGAAACAGCATCATCCCTCCCTTTTGCTATGTATTTATTTCTTTTTATTAACCTTGTCTTTCATTAAAATATCAGATTTAGGAGGTCAGACATTTTTGTGTCATTTTTTCTTTTCCTGTAAACAACACTTAAAATATTGTCTAGTATGTAATAGGCACCCTACAAATATTTGATGAATAAAAGCAAATGAATACATAAAAAATAAACTCACCCCTAGTAAAGTATATACAAATAAAAGTAGAATGGGATTATCAACCTTTTCCATGTTAAGTGTTGGTATCAAGTTCCCTCAAAGCAGTAGGTTTACCTTCTCTCTATTCTGTTACTGTACATACAGAAAACACAATATCAGCTGGGAAAAAAATGACCCTAAATAATAGAATAATTATCATAGGTGTCTAATTATTAAATTACTATCAAAAATATTAGACTGGCTTACAATAACCGTGAGAATATAATAGAATAAAGTATTCAATTTAAAATAGTTTCAAAAAGATAAAGACCTAGGAATAAAATTGAATGAGGACATTGAAACAATTTGGTGGAAGAGGAGATTTAAAGCTCCACTCAGAGAAATTAAATAAAAGTTGAATAAATGTAAAGCCATAAGTACTACTTCAATATAGAGGATAAATATTATAAATCAGTAATTTCTCCTTGTTCTAATCAACATACTTCTGACAAGATTTTCCAGTCAAGATTATGATTCATCATATGCTGATGGCTTTCTTCTCCAAATCCAAGTCAAGGGAAATAATGAAAACAAGAAAATTATTGGAGCTGAGGTTTACGTAGCTGAGAAACTTCCTTAAAATTCCCGAAGAACACTAAAGAAAGAGATGGTTGATTCCCAGTGTGGTAGAGATATAGCAACCCAGATAAGAAAAGGGATGGATTCTCAAGCAAGAAGTGGGTTTTTTTGTTCATTTGTTTTGTTTTTTTGTTGTTTGTTTGTTTGTTTGTTTTGCCTCGATACAGAAATGTGGAAGAGTACAGCAGAAAGGATTGCATTTCTTCTTCACTCTAGAGTGTTTGGTCTGTTAACTATTATTAAAACCCATGTGTGTTACTTTTCCAATTGTAAAAAGTAAAAAATTCCAAAGCACGGTTTTTGTGATCCTTATCATTTTGCACAAGCTCAGCTATTTCTTACACATTTTATTTATAGGCTGAGGTCACTCCTCATATTTTATTGTCTGCTAGGTATCCTTTCTTCAACTTCTGAACATTTTGTTAAAAATGAGGGATTTCCCAGTCTGAGTATATTTGCTTGCTTAGAAGAGGATGCATTTTCTTCCTCATTCAAAATACTTGAAAATCAGATTTATTTTAGATTTCTTCATCTGTCTTGAGCCAACCAAAGAATAAGTGGTCTAAGTTATTTGAAATAGAAATCACTAGTCCTTTGTTAATTTTCATTATCTTAGGAGACTTGTCAGTTGTATCCTTTAAAGAGACAGTAAGCCAGACAAGAACTTTACCTGTTATCTAGAAATGATTATAAAGTTCCTTAAGGAAAGTAGAACACATTCTGACATCTGGCTCTAATTACATATATTTTCATGGAAATGCTTTTTCCCCCTAAGATACATAATATTGTCTTTGTGAAAGAGCCTTAGGAACATCAATAATTAACTAGTAAGAAAAATGGCATCATCTTTGACAAGTAGATGAACAGAAAAGCAAGCCGCATTCTAGCCCTGAGACACCCACATTATATTGGTCAGAGCATATTTTGCTTACTCTCCAAGTTCTTAGAGAATATGCATTATTTAAAAATGGCTGGGTGCATTATCTTTCAAGCTCTGCAAAAAGTCTTTATTAACATAGTGACACAGTTCATTGTTACTGTCAGGTTTGTATTATTAAACCAAAACTTCATAATTACAGCTGTCTGAAACTCTTCCAGGGACAGCAAAAGAGAAGCTACCTTATACAATCATATTACTATTATATGTAGCCAGCTGTAAAATAACAAGGCTAAATTTTTTTTGTTTTTTGTTTTTTTATAATCAATCCTTTTCTTCCCATACAATTTGCCATAACCTTAATATTAAACAAATGAAAAATTCATGTGTATATCAACTCTTTTTCCCTAATAGTAACGAGTCATGCTATAAACTTGCCACAACACAAATTCAAGTCAAATTATTACAAGTCAAATATTAGCCACTTGATTAAAATTAAAATATTCCTTAGTTCATTATTTAACCACCACTGCATTACATATTTAAATATAAGATCCCTTTCATATGCTACATATATATATCTATATATCTGTGAAGTAATTTTGCTTTATATACCTTCTAAAGCATTATTTTTACATACATGAAAGTAAATTGTGATTAGATAACAAATGTAAAGACAGAGCTCTATTCAGCAATAAAAGAAAAATGAATTACAGAGGGAAAAGAGAACTGGATTTAAGGATTAAAAATAGATTTATGTTCGACTTTATCATTTGCTTTACTTTCTTGGAAAAGATATATTCTCTTTGAGTTTTAACTGTGTAATCACTATTATAAAGATAGGGCCAGATAAATAATAAGTAAAGATACTTTGTAAGTTGTCTAAATCTATCCAAATATAAATATTTAAAGGAAAATGTTTTTCACAACTTTGTTCCAATTATTATAATCATTATTACTATTATCATCATCACTGTTGTTCAAACAATTGACATAACATATACTCTCTTTATAAAGTTTAAGTGCACGGTACAGTGTTTTTAACTATGGAACAGTGTGGTACAGCACATCTCTAGAACTTTTATTCATTTGGTACAACTGAAACTTTATATATTGAACAGCATCTTCCCATTGTCCTCTCTCTGGAAGTCCCTGGAAATCTATTCTACTCTCTCTCTCTTTTTTTTTTTTTTTTTTTGGTTTGGTTTTTGAGACAGCATCTCACTCTGTCACCCAGGCTGGAGTGCAGTGGAGCGATCTCAGCTCACTGCAACCTCTGCCTTCTGGGTTCAAGAGATTCTCCTGCCTCAGCCTCCTGAATAGCTGGGACTACAGGCACCTGCCACCACGCCCGGCTAACTTTTTTTGTGTGTGTATTTTTTGTAGAGACGGGGTTTCACCGTGTTAGCCAGGATGGTCCCGATCTCCTGACCTCATGATCCGCCCGCCTCGGCCTCCCAAAGTGTTGGGATTATAGGCGTGAACCACCATGCCTGGCCTACTCTCTATTTCTATGACTTTAACTACTTTAGATACCTCATGTAAGTCAAATCGTTTGGTATTTGTCCTTCTGGGACTGGCTTATCTGATGTAGCATAATATCCTCCAAGTTCATCCATGTTGTTACATTGGGAGGATTTCCTTCTTTCTTAAGACTCAATAATATTCCATTGCATGTATAGATCACCTTTTCTTTACCCATTCATGTGTCGATGAACATTTTGGTTGTTTTCATATGTTGGCTATTGTGATAATGCTACAATGAACATGGAAGTACAGACATCTCTGAGATACCTTAATTTTTATCTAAGAAGTGATATCATTACAAAAAATGTCTATTAAAATGTTAAACATTTTACTTTTGCATGACATATTTCTGTGTTGTAATGCCAAATGATAGCTATTGGTTGGATTGCCATGAGTTTATCAAATGTAATTAATATCTTCTTTTACTCATTTTATAAGTGGTTTGATTTAGTAACTACAGAAAGAAACCTTTTGTCTATAAGTTAGCAAGCATACCCTTAACATGTTCACTTGCAATCTTATTTTTTAGGTTCCTATTTCATTAATCTAAACATTTGGAATCTTTAGGTAAGTTGAAAGATAAATCACTATCTGCAGTTGGGGCTCAGTAAACAAGTTGGGATTATCCAATTTTCCACAACATGTATAAAATTGAGGAGACACTACATGCGTGAGAGCACTTTTTTTGTTTGTTTGTGACAGAATCTTGCTCTGTCGCCAGGCTGGAGTGCAGTGGCGCGATCTTAGCTCACTGCAACCTCCGACTCCCTGGTTCAAGCGATTCTCCTGCCTCAGTCACCTGAGTAGCTGGGACTAGAGGCACATGCCACCATGCCCAGCTAATTTTTGTATTTTTAGTAGAGACAGGGTTTCACACCATGTTGGCCAAGATGGTCTTGATCTCTCAACCCTGTGATCTGCCCACCTCGGCCTCCCAAAGTGCTGGGATTACAGGCATGAGCCACCGCGCCCAGCTGAGAGCACTTACTCTAAATGAGGTCATGATAACATGGATAATAGAGCTGACAGAATATGTTCTTTCACTCTTGCCACAAAGTGTACATAAAAAATGTTTAAAAAATAACAAAATTCTAGGTGATCCAGTAATGCACATGTTCTGATTAAAATCTTAGATGTTAGATTACTGAATTTACATTTATGCCATGAAAATCAAATTATGCCTCAGAATCTTTCTTTGTGAAAATGGTAATATAATGTCTACTAAAATATTGGTTAGGAAAATTCAACAAGATAATTTTTACAACATGCCTAATATAATGCCCTATGTGTAGGAAACACTTGACATTTATGTATGTATTTTCTCTTTGTTCCATCACTTATTCCAGATATTAGTTGTGTTGACTTACAACAAACTACATATCCAACAAGAATTTTAAAATAAAACAGTAAATTATTTTTACATATAACTCGAGAAGTTCTACTGGGGTAATATCATTCAAGCAATACGCATGCCATGGAGGGGCAAGGATCTGCCATGGAAATTAGAGTGAGTTCGTCAAAAAGGATCCTCGTCTGGCATAATGAAGAAACTGTATATTATTTGATATTTGAAACACTGCTTTTATTAATAAACAAATGGAGATAAAATTTATATGTTAAAAGCTGGATACAAATTTGGACTTCACCAAGCAGAAAGAGAAGGGACTGCTAGTCAACTGAAAAGCACTGGGGTGGGAAGACACCTTCCCAGAATCTGGGTACACAGGAAAGGGTCATATGTAGCACCGCATGCTTACAGCTTTTTAGGTAGCCTTGAGATCTGTTTCTGCAGCTCAGAGGGGAAAGTGCTAGCAAAACTAGGAGATAGATGTCCTCACTGTGATTTGAATTTACTGCACAAAGCCTATCTGGACGTAGTGATGAAAAGAGGTGAAGAACAGAGCAGCACCCAAATAGGAGCAGACAGAGGAACTCATGAGTCCAAAAGCAAGAAATTTACCGAGACACTGGAGATTTACTGGGCTTGTAAAATGTTCCCTTCAAGATAAACTTGACAGTGTCTTCCAGGAGTAGAGAATTTCTCAGATAAAATCTGGAATACATCTAGCAAAATAACTGTCATTTATATCAATGATAAATAAGTGACAGGCAGCAGTAATTAGCTAATTAGATAGCTAGAGAGGTTCATAGATGAGAAAGGATATAGTCAGATGGAAAGTACAGATTTAGGAAAAATAAACAGAAAACGCTTGTTTGTCACATCTAAAGATCCTAATGTCTATATGTGGAAGGTAGATAAAATTAGGCTCTATCCCTACCATCTCCCACATCCCCCCCAAAAAGAGGAAGGGAGAGAGAGACAGAAATAATTAGCATTTTTAGTAAAACAAAACAAAATGTAAATCTAAAGACAGCTACAAATGTCCTGTGCCTTGTAGTGATCAAGGGACTTTTTATACTTTCTAGCACCATATTTTATTTTATTTTTTCAATAGTTTTATTTTTGGGGAACAGGTAGTGCTTGGTTACATGAATAAGTTCCTCAGTGGTGATTGCTGAGATTTTGGTGCACCCATCACCTGAGCAGTGTACACTGTACCCAATGTGTAGTCTTTTATCCCTTACCCCCCTCCCACCCTTTTCCCTGAGTCCCCAAAGTCCATTGTATCACTCTTATGCCTTTGCATCCTTATTGCTTAGCTCCCACTTATGAGTGGGAACATACAGTTTGGTTTACCACTATGTAGTTACTTCACTTGGAATAATAGTAGCCAGTTCCATCCAGGTTACAGTGAATGCTATTATTTCATTTTTTTAATGGCTGAATAGTATTCCATGGTATAGACATAACACATTTTCTTTATCCACTTATTGATTGATGGACTTTTGGGCTGGTTTCATATTTTTGCAGGTGTGAGTTGTGCTGCTATAAATATGGGTGTACAAGTATCTTTGTCATAAAATGACCTATTTTCCTCTGGGTAGATACCCAAGAGTGGGATTGCTAAATCAAATGGAAGATCTACTTTTAGTTCTTTAAGAAATCTCCGTACTGTTTTCCATAGTGGTTATACTAGTTTACATTACCAGCAACAGTGTAAAAGTGTTCCCTTTTCACCACATCCATGACAACATATATTATTTTTTTTATTTTTTGATTATGGCCATTCTTGCAGGAGTAAGGTGGTATCGCGTTGTGGTTTTGAGTTGATTTCCCTGACAATTAGTGATGTTGAGCACTTTTTCATCTTTGTTGGCCATTTGTATATCTTCTTTTGAGAATCGTCTATTCATGTCCTTAGCCCACTTTTTGATGGGATTGTTTATTTTGTTCTTGCTAATTTGTTTGAGTTCCTTGTAGATTCTGGATATTGGTCCTTTGTTAGATGTATAGACCGCAAAGATTTTCTCCCACTCTGTGGATTGTCTGTTTACTCTGCTGATTCTTTATTTTGCTGTGCAGAAGGTTTTTAGTTTAAGTCCTACCTATTTATCTTTTTTTTTTTTCATTTGCTTTTGGGTTCTTGGTCATAAAGTCTTTGCCTAAGCCAATGTCTAGAAGGGTTTTTCCAATGTTATCTTCTAGAATTTTTATGGTTTCATGCCTTAGATTTTAAAGGTCTATCAATTACCTTTAAATAAAAAGAGCAGAAATTTGGAATAAGCATGCAATGTATTCTAATCCTGGATTTTAATTTAATACATGTTAAATATTTCCAGTTTACTTTACCTAAGTCTCTGTTTCTGTATTTATAAACTGCAGATATACCATTATTGGGAGGATTCAATTAACTACATAGGTAAGGTTCCTAATAAGATTCTTAGGATGGTTAGATATTTTATATTTCTGACTTTTAAAAAATTAATTGTAATACAAATAAATAAATTCAAGTTCCATATATTTATATAAACATGCTTCCATAATTCTTTTCTGTAAGTAATATATTAGGTATATTTGATGATAATGACCACCACAGAATAATCTACTTAAGATCCTTAGAATACTAAAGTGATTATTACAATTTAGGAAAGATACTCTTTCACCTTCAAAATATACTTCCCATTAAATACAACAGTTAATAAGCTTTGGTAACTCTTCTTTTAGCTTTGTGCATACATAATATATAAATATAAACAGATATTTGTTCATGCATAATATGTAAATATAAACAGATATTTATAATATACATAAATGAATATATACAGTGTTTTTAATATAATCTCTGGCAAATTTCTTGATCTCCTTGTCACAGCATTCTAATCTCTGAAATACAGGTAATAATATTATATCACAAAGTAACTATCATATATAAATCACTTAAAAGAATGCCTAAAATCCATTAAAGGCACTATAAATATGTGTTATAATTATTACAACCAAACTTCTACTAAAATATTGATTTTAATTATTTGGAATTAAAATGAAATATGCTTATTTCATTTTAAAGTATTTATGACACACTTTAACTAAATTCTTTATTTTATAGAAAGTGATAAATTTTCTCATTTTCCAAATATTTAAATCCATAGTTTAACTCTTTTGTAATGTAAAAGTAAATTTAATAAATATTCTTAAAATCCCAAATACCTGGCAATTTGCCTTATAAATTTTAAGCATGTCCCTAGGATTATGGGTCTGTCTTATATTTATAATTTTATATTTTACTTATACAATTATAATTTTATTTGTGGTTATCTTTAAAACCACAAATTAAGGTAATTATGGTTAAAACCACAAATTAAGTAATTAATTCTGATCATGAAAATCAATAGTAATAACAACATGAAATTTCACAATGACAGCCTAATTAGAATCCTATAGCAGGTCTAGCTGCTTACTTCAGGTTTTGTGTTTTTGTTTTCAGATACTATTTTAAAATGAAAGACAAATCAGAAATATTTGGGTCTCTTCTCAAGATCATATTTCTACGTTCTTATACCCAAATCTCATCAAATTTCTAATAATAGCCATAAGTCTTTTTCTGTTTTACTTCGATTGGAAGTTTCATGGATTTTCATAAAAATCAAGGATGTAATGAACTCACAGATATTACTGGACTTTAACTTAGCATACTTGTTCATTACTGAAGACAGAGCAATTGTTTTAACAGTTTAAATACTAATGCTTGTTATATCTGCAACCATTTTATAGTGTGGTATATAGGTGTAAAGATTTAGCAAGAAATAAACTGTACATGTATGGAAAGTAAACTCTTATTGCATGATAATAGAATGAGTTCCTGAGTACTAAAGTGGCTCTCCAGCCTAGTTTTATGGAAAATAATGCACGCATCGTTCTTAGTTCCTCTGGTCTTGATGATATCTCATTTCACGTTGGTTGTACTGACCTCTGGCTTTTATGGCTCATTAAGAATACGGAATGCATTACAGTGATGCTTTCACTCACAAGTATACTTTTACTTTTGAGTATGTCCTTTAGCAGGGATCCCCAAACCCCAGGCCGCAACTTGCAGTGTCTGTAGCCTGTTAGGAACTGGGCTGCATAGCAGGAGGTGAGCCACCTGCAGGTGAGCTTTACCGTCTGAGCTCAGCCTCCGGTCAGATCAGCACTGCACTAGATTCTCATAGGAGCACTAACCTTATTGTGAACTGCGCATGAGAGGGATCTAGATTGCGCGCTCCTGTGAGACTCTTAATGCCTGATGATCTGAGGTGGAACAGTTTCATCCTGAAACCATCCTTCCCTGGGCCCTGGTCCGTGGAAAAATTGTCTTCCATGAAACCAGAACCTGGTGCCAAAAGGTCTGGGGACCAATTCTTTAGAGATCTTGTTGCATGACTTAGTAGAAAAACAAAGTAAAAAGAATCTTAATCAATTCCAAACATCGTTCTTGTCAATTTTCAAACCAAGGCTTGTGATTTTAGTATGGCCAAGCTCACAGATAATTTTTATTTTCATTTTGTGTATTTTTCAGCATTACTTTGTGTTTACTTTAAAAATTACATAAATTTTTAAATAACATGATATTAAGTGATAGTTACTTCAATTTTCTAAAGGCATAAACTGCAATGAAAAAATATTCTTTTTTTCACTTCGATGAATAAATCAGTACTGCCAAATACGTATATAGTGCTTAACAAATCTCATGTATTGTTCTGCACATGCTATCTGTGTTAGTACACATAATTATTATAATCTACGATTTAGATCCTATTATAATGTCCTTTTTACAGATGACCAAATTAAGGCACAGAGAGGCTAAGTAAATTGCCTAAGTCACACAGCTAGAAGGTGACAGAGGTGGAATTTAAGGCCAGTGTGGTCCCAGAGTTCATATTCTTAACTACCGTGCTACATGCCTAAGCAAAGCTATGGAGTTTCAAGGAATACTGATGGCTAATATTACAGAACAATTGCAGATTTGTTCAAGAAATAGTATAATCTATCATGAAAAGATATCTCTTCTCTTGCCTTTTCTCAAGTCTTTGAAGCCAGTAATCACCTTGGTCTTTTAATCTGTTTCTGTTCCTGCCTTACTTTCCCAAGGTAACTTTCCCTTCTTAGCTACTGAACTTCTCCCTGAGATTGCCAAATAAGCAAATGTTATTGAGTATTCTGCCTAATCAAGTCAGCTTATTTAAAATAATGCACTAATGGTAATTTATATATTTAGAGCTTATCCCTTAATTAAGTTCGAGTTCACTGATTTCCAGATACTGAAGCTGCTAGTCCTGTGCAGCACTTATATTTTAGTTTTACCAAGTGGGTATAGTCCCGATATCAAACACTCCCCAGGATCGGTAGCCCACATGTCACACACTGATCTCAGCTCCTACAGCTAAGAGGGATACCATGATCCCAGCACTGCTCTCGAGAAGGGCATTTTGGGGTTCATAGCATATAATCCACCAATGCTGTCCTATCTTTTGCCTCCACAGCGTGGTCTGCAAAATGTACAAAATGCTTCACATTAAAGTAATTAAATAGTCTGAATTTTGATGTTTTTGATGTTGTCATGATTTCAAGTATTTATATAAGGTAAGGTCCATTCATTTTATTAATTTGAAAATATATCTGTATATATTAGTATAAAATATAATCCAATATACAGTTGTCCACAGTAAAAATAATTTTGCTCAGATAACATTTTTTGATGGCTGCATTCTATAAATCTTGGCATATAAACATTAACACTTAAAGTAGATTTTCAGTTTTCTTTTCACTTTATGTTGTTGTCTCTACTTATTCTTGTGTTTGAGTCCTTTCTTTCTTATATAAAATATATTCCTAAGTAAAAAAAAATCGTGTTTTTACAAGATTCCAAATTTTCTCTTAATACTCTTTTTTTTTTTTGTCATAGAGAAAGCATCCCACATGTAGTAAAAAATGCTTTGTGGAGCACATTGGAATATTTTATCATAATTATATTAAGTGAAGGAAAAGAATTGTAAAATTCACTTAGATTTATTTCATTTGTTGATAATGTTATCAATTATCAGTTCCAGGTTGCTTTATTAGTATAAGACTTATTAGAAAGCATTGACTAACTCAGCATGTGCACTGCATGTGAAAATGAAAATGCTATTAGGAACATGTAAGAGCTTAATATTCTGAACACGCACTTCAATCATTGAAAGAAGATTAAAATTCACTATACATTTTGCAAATCTGAATCTTTAAATTGCTAATTGAACTTTAATTGGATTTCATTCTAATTTAATTGTTAACACAAATCAAAAATGTTTACTTAAATATGAGTATTCAAGAGATTTGATGGTCAAGTAATAGATGCTACTCATGTCTATTAATTAGGCATATGTCCCCGGTTTCCAAGGACTAAAATTCTGCTCAGAATACAGTACTACTGAATAAATTTGGAAATTTGTTTTTAGTTTGGTGGTTGAAATAATTTTGTTCCTTAAAATAAAACTTGTTCACTGAAAAATAACCACAAGGAATATTAAAATCACACTATTCTATATTATGCAAAAATACTCAAACAATTAGGAATTAAAAACAAAAAACTCAGTCATTTAATTCCCACCTCCTGTTTATTTTGGAAAATATAATATTCGATTTTGTTCAAGTGAGTATAGGACTTTGTTCGGCTTTTCTCTTTTTTCCTTTTTAGATTAGAATTTTAAATATGCAATCTTGTTAAATTCTTGGAAGCTAATAAGCAAATGTTATTGGGTATTCTGCCTAATAAAGTCAGTTTATTTTAAACAATGCACTAAGGCTAATTTATATATTTAGAGCTTATCCCTTAATTAGATTTCATATTTTCAATTTTCAACTTTTTTTCATCTCTTATTTATAATTGAGAAACTACCTGAGAAGTTCAAAGTATAAATTACATTTTATACTTTGTTTAAAGACAAAAGCCTTTAAACATGTCTTTCTTTAAAATATTTTTAGAAAATATGTCTTTCTTTGAACATATTTTTAGAAAATTAAAACCTCACTAATAATGTTGACCTAGACTGGGCACGGTGGCTCACGCCTATAATCTCAGCACTTTGGGAGGCCGAGGTGGGTGGATCATCTGAGGTTGGGAGTTCGAGACCAGCCTGACCAACATGGAGAAACCCCATCTCTGCTACATGCCTGTAATCCCAGCTACTCGGGAGGCTGAGGCAGGATAATCGCTTGAACCTGGGAGGCAGAGGTTGCAGTGAGCCAAGATCATGCCATTGCACTTCAGCCTGGGCAACAAGAGCAAAACTCCATCTCAAAAATAAATAAATAAATAAAATAATGTTGACCTAAAAATTCATAAATGGTGTATCATATCTAGAAAACAATAATATTATTAAAAACAATTTAATTTGTCATTTCAACTGCACAACTCTGAAAATAACATTTTCCATATCTTATCGATGAGAAAACTAAAGATAAAAAACTTAAATAATAAGTCTAAGTTTATGAAGTTGATGCAAACAACTTCTCCATAGGTTCCTGGCCCTATGCTCAAAAGGGTTATTTTTTATTGTGTGGAACAAGTATGCAAGAATGTTTTCTTATGAATTATGAACTATACCATAAAGTAACAGAAACTACCAATAAACTCTATCATAAATTGACACTCTCAGTAATGGTAGGTAGCATTGTGGTTTCAGCAGTTTGGGCCTTTTTCTTTCCTTTTAGTAACTTCCAATCTCCTGATGCATTATTCAGGTACATACTGCTGACAGTTTTTATGATCTGAGGCAATTGGGAGGAAAGTATCTAAGCACAGCAGAAAGGTAGTGGAAGAGTTCAGGATGCACAAGGTATTTCACTGTTGGTTTTGTTCTGAGATCAAGGATATCTGTTCCTCTGCTGACCCTGAGTCTATGCATCAAATGCTATCAATCTGCGTTAGTTTCCTACTGACAAGAAGGAGCATATTTATCCTTAGCCCTCTTTTGTTATTTGTTCACTAAACAAATGATACAGGAAACATTTATCTTCCTTCTCAGAAAGCGGATTTACATCTTTTATTATTGTTTACTTAGCTTAACTCCAGGTGTTCAGACTGTAAAAAAGTTAGGTATTTCTTGGAAAATAGAGAGTTTGAAATTTGCCTAGTCTTAACTTTATAATCATAGTAGTGATTTATTTGCCCTGTTGTGAACATAAAAGCAAAAGCTATATAAACTTGCACCCTGATATGGGTTGGCTCTGGGTCCACACCCAAATCTTATCTCAAATTTTAATCTCCATGTGTCAAGGGAGGGACCTGTAATCCCCACGCGTACAGGGAGGGAGGTGACTGGATCATGGGGGCGGTTTTTCCTGTGCTATTCTCTTGATAGTGAGTGAGTTCTCAAGAGATCTGATCGTTTTATTTGGGGCTTTTTTCCCTTCACACTCTACTCTCTCTCCTGTTGCCTTGTGAAGAAGGGGCCTTCTTCCCTGTCTGCCATGATTTTAAGTTTCTTGAGGCCTCCCCAGCCTGTGACTCAATTAAGCCTCTTTCCTAATAAATTACTCAGCCTTGGGAATTTGTTTATAACAGTGTGAAAATGGACTAATACACACCCCTTCCCAGATAACACAGAAACACACATATTTTAATTAGCTTTAAAAAAACCCTCAAATATGGGTACCAGATAAAAATTCATAGGCAAACGATTTGTGCATGTAAAAAACATAATACCTCTAATTTTTTTTATATCTCAGCCTCTTTTTGAAGCTAACTTTCTGCCCAGTTGTGTATTACCCAATTAACCTCTTAAAAATAAATTGCCTATGATTTATCAGTCATTTCAGTCACATGAAGATTTTGAAACCTATCCAATATTCCCATAGACAGATTTTTTTTTTTTTGGAAAACATAGAAATTGACCCTTCTGTGTTAAAGCTTGAAACTCACCAGATCCAGACAATGAGTTCCTGAAAGATATCAAAGAACTGAAACTTACCAGATCATCTCACCCAGACAATGAGAAGCCACCTACTTATTCATCATGATGCCTCCTTAACCCTTCTGAGTTACTGTTTTCCCATACATAGTTACATTTCTCCTCTACTATATAAGTCTCCAATTTTAGTCAGTCAGGGAGATGGATTTGATACTGATCGCCCATCTCCTTACCTGCATAACTCGATTAAAGCCATCTTCCTTGGCAGTAATTGTCTCAGTTATTGGCTTTCTGTATGGCAAGCAGCAGGACCTAGGCTGAACCCCTGGTGCTGCCGTAACAATTTCCTTGTCACTATCTATTGGGAAAGCACCTGCTCCACAGCCATCTTCTGCTGACTCCTATGACTTCTATGTTTCATTCACTACTGGATCCTCCTGTCACAACTGTGGGACACCTTCCTTTGCTAACTTCCTTGCCTTTATTTGGGCCATAAAGAAAATGGCTAACCAATGGCTTGGGAGAATAAATTTCTGTGAGGCTGCCTCAAACCTATCTGCCTAGATGCCATCTGAAGTCATTATTCTGTGAGTGTTCTGATACAAGGATGGTCCTATGGTTTCATCAGTGGGTTTGTTGTTTCCTGGATCTTCAGTAGGGAAACAGGCCCAAATCCTCTTTAGTCTAAACTTTCCGAAAATTGACTGGAGGTTTTTTTTCTGCGGGGGTGGGGTGTTGAGAAACAGAGTCTCGTTTTGTCACCCAAGCTGGAGTGCAATGGTGCAACCTCGACTCACTGCAACCTCCACCTCCCAGGTTCAAGTGATTCTCCCATCTCATCCTCCTTAGTAGCTGGAATTAAAGGTGTGTGCCACCACGCCCAGCTAATTTTTTTGTATTTTTAGTAGAGACGGGATTTCTCCATGTTGGCCAGGATGGTCTCTAGCTCTTGACCTAGTGATCTACCCGCCTTGGGCTCCCAAAGTGCTAGGATTACAGGCGTGGGCCACCGCACTGGTCTAACTGGAGGTTTTAATCCCAATACCCTTTCTACCTAGTGGAACAATTGAAGGGCTCCTTCTCAGGCATGATAAACCATAAGCCTTTCTAGCAAGTTTCATGTTGGCCTCTGTCTCCCATCCCTAAATAACTCATATACTTTCCTAAGCTACAGAATGTTAGGAATGGATGATTTTATCCTTTTCCACTTTATTGTTGAGCCAGGGCCTCACTTACGGGTATTCACAAAATGCTTTCCTTCAATACTAATTCTTATGGACGGAATTGTGTTCCCATGAAACACATATGTAGAAGTCCTACCTACCAATAGCCCAGAACATGACTGTATTTAGAGATAAGACATTTAAAGAGGTAATTAAATTTATAAGAGGTTGTGTGGGTGGGCCCTAATCCAATATGACTTCTGTCCTTATAAGAAGACACTTGAACACACATAGACACCAAGGAAGCACAGGCACATGGGAAAAACCCATATGATGATGCAGGAAGCAGCCATCAGCAAGCAAGGAGAGAGGCCTCAGGAGAAAGCAAACCTGCCAATATCTTAATCTTTGACATCTAGCCTCCAGAAAACTGTGAGAAAATAAATTTCTGTTGTTTAAACCATCTAGTCTGTGATTTTTTAATGTTGGTCTAGAAAACTAATATATTAATATTTCAGCCTTCAATTTTCTGAGTTTGTTTTGAATTTGAAATGCTGGGCCTTGACTGTTCTTTTTTTTTTTTTTTTTTTTTTTTTCAAATTTCTGCTATATCATTTCTAATCCTCTATGAATCATTGAATTATTTTAAATAAGTAAGGACTAGATCATGTACCAGAAGGCAGGGTGAAACTTCTTTAATATTTTGATATTTCAGTGCATTATAGGTTATGTACAATAGAGCTGTTATAAGTAAAAATTTGCAATAGAGTTTTGGGCTATAAACATTAAATCCAACTCTGTAACCAGAAAAGAGTATTTAGTTTACAGGACTAGATTTACAACAGGATCAGAAATTCAACAGGGTTTAAATAAGCAACCAAAAGCTTTAGTTACTGAATAAAATTTATAAATTATGTAGCTGACTCCACCTTATTAATATTATTAAACAATATACAGAGAGAGTAACTAATTTGCTCAAAGTAAAAAAAGCTGGATGTAGAAGAGAGATGAAAATAGAAATAAGTTACAATGAATATATTAATATACAGATATTGAGCATATCCAGGTCACTTATGAAGTATGCTTGCCTTTTACTTTTATTACACTCCAACTAACACAAACTAAGCAGAAGAATGAGAAGGACAGCATTCATATTCAATTGAAAAAAAAGAAGAAGATGCATCTGTGAAGATTAAATATTAGAAAAATGGACCATGCCAAAGAGATACATATACGAAGATTTTAAAAGGAGGTTTCATATATCATACAATCTACGCAGTATGCTTCTATGATTATTTTCCTGCTTTGTAACTTCAGTTCTCCTCTTCTGTCACCATGGCATAAACTTCATCTCTAACAAACCATATGTGGTAACTTCAACATACCATATTTGGTTAGTCTCTCTCTTTCATGGACTAATGGTTGTTAAATGAGCACACTGATACATGTTACATGGCATTGTGCACTGAATAATAGCTTGTACATTCAAACTTACTGTTTTGATTTTTGAACTTGGAAGTGTAGAATAATGTACCACGAGGAAGTAAGCTAAGTATAAAACAAGCCTTGTGACTTAATAGAAATTCTAGCCATTAAGTAATGACAGACATTAACTGTTGAGTTAGAGAATACTGAAAAGCAGCTTTTACAAACTCACGTATCTTTAACATGGAGGCAATTCCTATTGTGTTACAGAGAACACCGCATCATTGATCAATAACAAGAAAAATATTTTAAATGAGCAAACTTGATTTGTAAATGATTTCCTAAGAGAAATGCTTTTCTTTCATCTCATGTAAATGTGGTTGTCTCAAAGAAAACACAAGGTCAAATTATTAGTCTAAATGAGTAACAATGACTAACAAAGTGGGGCAAAGCAGTCTTTTTTGTTCATTTGGGGTCTTCTGTTTTTATTTGTGTTCTGATAATAATAGGGACAATAAGTGCCTGGTTGCAAATTGAAAGATAAAAAGGGCGATGTTTAATGATTAAATTCTCTAAGAAATTTGAGTATATTTGCATTATCAAAAGTAAAATACAATCTAAAAAGTGATTACTACTGGCATACTTACAATTCTGTTTTACTGTAAAAAGAGTATTTGATATAGGGATAATGTAAAGATATTTTAAATAAATTATTGATTTTTATTTATCAAAAAAATTATCATTTCAAATGACGCAATGTAAAATAAAATTCTGTCATACAGCTATTATAACTTCATTATTAAAATCTAAAGAAGCCTGAAATAAAGATTTAAAGTCTCTCTTTCATGCAAAAATATGAAAAATGTAAATAGCAAGGGGTCTATATATTTTCAACAAGAAACAATTTGTTGAACAGTTCATAAAACAATTTGTAAAATTTATTGAACACTTTAAAAAGACAAAAACAAGAAAAGACATACTCCTCTCAAATAAAACAAATTCTTGAAAGAGCTCAATTGAATAGGTTTATTTAGCTCTTCCTTTCAAACTCAGAAGTCAGAATCAAGAATATAATGGGTTGTTGACATCAGGTTTAAGGCTTAATTTGATCAAAAAGCTCTTGTAGTGGGTAGTGTAATTATGTCTCATACAATATTTGGGACACATTTATATTTTTAAAATATGCTTTAATCTGAAATTCAAATTTAACTGGGGGTCCTGTATTTTATCTGGCAAAGTTGGTTTGAAGAGTACACAGTTCAGAAACTGGGTGTTTCATGGGAGTCAATAACTTAATGGGTTGTTGACATCAGGTATGAAGAGACGATTCTCTTCAGTCCTTAGAAAGGGTGGATGCTATTGACTTATGTGATTTGGTAGAAAAGCTATTAGTAAAAAAATGATGTCCACTATCAGAAGTCCCTATCAGTCCTTTTAAAGAAGCAACTTAGAGAGGGCAGACGGTAGGATCTCTTCTAGGAAGAAAATGAGGAAAACAAGCAAACAAAACAAAAAATAATGTCTAGCTTTGATTATATTCAGTTTTAATTTGGGTTGCTGGATTTAGAATATAAATATATATGATAGCTGATTAAATTAAAAATTTAAATGACAAATTTTTTAGTGTAATTATGTCTCATGCAATATTTGGGACACATTTATATTTTTTAAAGCATGTTTTAATCTGAAAATCAAATTTAACTGGGTGTATTGTATTTTATCTGGCAAACTTGGTTTAAAGAGTACACATTCCAGGCACTGGGTATTTCAGAAGGGCTCAATAACATAATTTGTTGTTGACATCAGGTTTAAGACTTAATTTGATCAAAAATCTCCTGCAGTGGGTATATTTTCTACCTTGGGCCATTGTTGAGGATGGCATTTATGTTTTCCAGTCCATGGCCTGTCAAGGGGCCCCAGCTTAAAAGAAGAAATTCTCAGCAACCTAAACCTGTAGCTTACTGAATCACCTGTAGTTAGGAAAGTGAACACTAAAATGCTCAGGAATTTGGACAAATAGAAGCTTAACAGTAATACCTTTGTTATATTCTAAAAAGAGCTTCATACAATTTTATGAAATTACAAGTTAATGTTATATAAATATCACCTCAATAAATTATCATCAAACACACACTAGAGAATTTAAAGCTATTTTTTCGGTCCTCATTCAGTGAGTGTGGGCTCCATGAATAAATTTTTCCTTAAATCCTCTTTCCCGAGGACATCTATAATATATATATTTTTTCCTTTCAACTTTGATACAATTTCAATTTTTAGTATTAGCTCTCTGAAGAGGATAAGAAAAAGATAGACAATATCAGCTGATGTATGGAATTTTTCAGAGATTTGTATGGAGAGTCAACTGAAAGTTACAAATGAACATATTAATATATGGATATTGAGCATATCTTGATTTTAAAACGTTTAATCAATCAGGGTTAACTATTACAGAAATTTCTGGCTTAAACATAGTTTAAACTGAATTATCTGTATACTTAGTTTTCATAACTAAAATATAGTGTCTATATTAAATATTTATAGCAGTTTGGTCTTAACAATAAATAAATCAGTAACAGATATGCCTTCTGCTTCTGTCCTAACAACTTGGAGGAAAAGAGCCAGTAAAATTGAGGCATTGCTCTGATGCATGAGAGCCTGACATGGTAAGAGACCATAAACCATGCTGCAGTAGGCATATCACATTCATCCTAGTTTTAAGATGTACTAACAGACTCAAAACTACTCCTTAAGCTGTCCGTGGGAAAGAAAGTTGAGAGCATTTGCAATGATGCACAGCAGTCATGAAAACAATTTTGGACATTAATCACAAGCATCTGGAGAAAAAGAATGCCCTGATTTCTGGGTTGGCATGAGTGGGTAGGTAGAGAGTAGTTAGTGTCACTTCCCATTTTTGTCCGTAGATATTTAAAATTATGTTCTAAAAAAAATGTGTACGTGGTAATAAGTGCTTGGTTTTTTAATACATGAGGTTGGATAGCTGAGCATTGAAATCCCTCCTTTTCCTAAACATTTCCCTTTTTAAATTGGAAGGCATTTTTGAACAGGCTCCTAGTCATTTGCTCCAAAAATTTATTTCCAGATATATCATCTATTTTTCCACATAAACACTATGCCACATGCAAACTGTCCTATTTCATTCTTTAAGGGGGAAAATCTCTCCAGGCTTTGTCTGTTACTGCCCCCTTCCTCTATTATTACAATTCTAATCCCTTCTTCAAGTCTTCCCAGTGACCTTTTTTTTCTTCAGGTAACCTAGTTCTGAAAACCTCTTTCTGAAGTGATCTTTTGTCTCTTATAAATTTTTAAATGATATGCTAGATAAATTTCTGAGATACTTTACCATAAACTGCAATGCAATATATATTTGGAAAATTTTCTTCAGAATAGTATTATAATTACTTTGCCTGGAATAAAAAAGAGAAAGAAAAGTTTACTACATATAATTATGTTGAGACTATTTTATATCAGCCTTTTTGTATACTCTTGATGTTTTTTAGTGGTTGTTAAAATTGATCACAAGAATGTCTGTATTTTTGCTTCAATGGTTTTTGCACCCTTGCAAATTAAAGCACTTGAGCTAATAACAAGGAAGCCTCTGTGGCTCTGCCTACTCTCTGTCTTTTTGCCCTCCACCATCCCATCGCTCAGAATGCTATACCACCCTCAACTTCTTTCTGTCCCTTGAATAACTCAACCTTGTTTATCTCTTTCTGGGTCTTCGCACTTCTTATCCCTTTTATTTAGAATACTCATCCCATGACTGCTTTCTTCTGATTATGTCTCAATTGAAATATCAGTTCAGAGAAAAATTCTCTGACCACCTTTAGCTAAAACAGCTCTCAAAGTTCTCTTGGCTCTCATTTAACTCTTCATAGAATTCATCCCTCCCTCCCCTTCCTTCCTTCTTCCCTCCCTCCCTTCCTTCCTTGCTGTTTTTATCCAATCAACTATAAGCTAATTGAGAAAAGGGACTCTGTCTCTAAAATGGTGACTCTATCCTAGTCACCATTTTACCCTCAGCGTCTAAAACAGTGCCTGGTATATGATAAATGCTTAAAACATATTTGCTAGATAACTGGTGGATTGAATTATTCTGAGGAATACATAAGGCAATGATAAAAAAGGACCCATATCTGATAAAACAGCTTGGAGAAGAGCATATTAGTGAGGTTCAGGACTTTTCTTGTGGACTAGTGTTTAGAACATTGGGGTGAAGTCTGGAAGCCCTATTATAAGGGCTGAGTCAGGAGAATCACAGGCAAGAAATACATCATTGAACTTATTACCTGTAGAGGTGATATTGTGAAACTTAACCCCTTTGACTTCTTCCAGAGTATAACTGTTTGAGTTGTTATGAGCAGTGGCACAAAGCAAAGTATAACTGTTTTCTGTGATAACATGTAAGCTACTTTCTATTGTGTTATCGGTTGCTTACAATTAACACATACCTAAGTTATAATATAAATTTTCAGGATTTCTAAGCAATACAGCATTTGACATCAAGTTTTTTTGTTGTTGTTGTTCGTTTGTTTTGTTTTACTTTGTGTTAGTTGTAAACTTATTCCTGGTTTTAAAGTATCTAGCTTTATCTAGTTCAAGGATTAGTGTATGTTTTTGATAAAGGGCTAGATATTAAATAAATTAGGAATTACGAACAATTAAAACCTTGTTTACATGCTGCTTTTTGTGTGTACGTATATGATCGTACATAACAGTGTGCGTGCACACGTGTTTGTGTGTGCGTAATCCTTTACAATTGTAAAAGTCATTCTTAGCTTGGGTTCATAAAACATCAGCCTGCAAACTAGATTTGGTCCAAAAGGCATATTTCGTCTACCTCTAATCTAGTTAATTTATTTTTTGGTTCTTGAAATGAAATTTCTCCTTTGAGATGGGAATCTCACTTTTTAAAATACATATTACTTCTTGAATTTATAACTTCCATGGTGCACCAATACCTCCTGGATTACTCATCTGCTATATTCTTTTTATCATAGACCTAGTTCTTTCTGTCCTCCAACAACCTGCCTTGTTTATATTTTTTCTTGTCTTCTATTATTCTGTCCTCCAGCAAATAAATATAAGACGTTAAAAGTGGTGCACAATGTTTCTCCAATCTCAAGCCCTATGTTGTTATTGACACCCTTCTCTGGGACTCTGCTGCCTATGAAATCTCTAAGTATGACTAGTTCCCAAATTCCAGTCACCTGATTTAAATCAGCTAGAAGGACATGTTGATTATTCACATTGGACCTATCAGATGCCTATGATTATACTGGACTTGCTTCTTGTTTACATATTGCTTTGCACATTTTAGCTTGCAGACTTTGTTTCTTCCAAGTATATGCAGATGAACCTGTTGCTTCACTACCTGTCTTCTCACTGTTGGTGGGTTTAGTCTCAGATAATCATTCCATTTCTATCTTACCATCTCATTGCATTCTACCACGTTTTGCCAGTATGTGCCATGACATCTGATCTTCACCTCTCCAGTTTTAATGTTGATCCAGTCTTAATATCTTGTTTTTCCCCTAGTTATATACTTATTTTCTTGTGCCTTCATCCTCATCGTTACGACTGATGCTTTCATCTCTATGTACAAATATATTCAGGTCTTGTAATAAAAAAATAAACACACAATGTTTCTTTCCTTTCCAAAACCATTCTCTCAAGTTCCCAATCAATCTCTTGTAACTATAGTCAAAGTTCTCAAAAATATTGATGAGTTCAAATTAATTTAGATCCATCTTTCCATTCCACCCAGTGATTCATTAACTTTGTAAATGCAAAACCTACATTCTCACTTTCATCTTACTTTTCACCCCCAAAACTTTCAAAAATAATTTTTTCCTTTCAATTTCCAAATTACTGCTTCATGACCAGTTACTTTAATATATCTGTTAAAATCATTTTTAATATTTTAAAATTATATTTAAAATATATTTACCAAAATATTCAAACAAAACCCAATTTTTTTCTGGAAATGCTTGCTATATAGAATACAATATTTTTCTTTAATTTATTAAAATACATGCATTAAGAAAATCTCTACTAAGAGAACTATGAACATATAGTCTCAATATTTTAAAATCTCATGTGACCTACAGTCTTACTCAGTTAACGAACATTAATGAAATGCCTACTGTGTTATAAATACACATTATATGTCAGCACTCCTAAACTCTCTTTCACATGCCAAATTCAAGCATCCATACACCAACTAATGAACATATTGACACATCGTAGTGATAATCCTTTGCAGGCAATATTTTTATTTATTTTAGTTAATTTGGTATATCCAATAGTGTTCATAAAATATCTGCATATTACCTTATATTTTGGCTTTATCATTTTATGATAATGAATAAAAAATGAAAGATATGATAAGTTGTATAGAACTCATTATATTAGAAAAATTAACGCAGCAGAGGTTACTCATTATGTGTGCCAGAAAGCAGTGAGATTTTAGCCCCAAGCAGATGGCCATTTGGCCTTAAGCAAATTTTCCTGTGTCCCATTTTGAGGTAAAAGAAAAATATTGAGTATCATCTCCAAAATGCTGGAAATACATTATTGAATATTAAGTCTAAAAGTGAGGCATATGGGATGAATGACATAGCTTTATATTTCTGAGAATGCAACTCTCTTTTATAATCATTCATTAGGAGAATATTATTCATCCTAATGAATAGGTTTTATATGTGTGAAAATTAAAATGCTCCAGTGCATATTATTTTATAATATATATAGTAATATTAATAAAAACCATATTATGTGAAAATATTATATAATATCATCAACATTTTAAATATAAACATTGTTTTTCAACTGCCATTATACTAATGGTGAAATAAATACAGTCTGATTTTGTTTGTTTCATACCTCAAAATTTAATACACAGCAATTTTAACTATCAGCAACAACCTTCTTTTGATGCTTAACAGCTTCAAGCTACTTAGTTATTTTTAATGCCCTGTTAATTAAAATGTGCTGTGTTTTAGTTAATATATGAAATAACTTATTTCTTCTCAAATTTTAAAGATTATATTTTGGATTATCTCAAAATGTCATCTGAAGCAAATCAGGATATTAAAAGCTTTTTACTACTAAATCCCTAAAATGGTAAGAGAATTGTGACAACAAGGCTCTTTCATCAAACACTCCTTTGTTTGCAATAGGATCGTTTCCACAATAGTGATGCAACATAAATTTTGTCAGATGATTATAGATTTGGAAGAACAATATAAAAAGAGATCTCCAAATATTACATTTTGATTACACATATTGAGATATCAAACCTATTAATAATGAAACCCACAGAACCAAAATGCAGTTTTATCTTCTCACAGGCTTTTTGCGAAGCATAAAAAAGTAATGCTTGAGAAATTGCTTTGAAATCCATAAAATGATTTAATAATAAAAAACATTATTACTAATCTCTGAGAATGAATACCTACAATTGAATTACTAGAATGGTTTTGAAAGTTTAGTGTAATTGAAAATTGTAGTACAAACATACAACTATTACTATTCAATTTGTCCTGTGAGACCTTAACGTTTGTTAGAATTTGAAAGCTATCTTCTATATAATTTGAATTTCTGGCATACAGTAGTAAAACACTGCATATACATAAATATACACAGTTCTAGAAAATATATACTATGAAGTATTTTTACAAAAATTTAAAGTACAAAATGAAGTCTACATCACATTTTTAATAAACAAATTTTATTTTGTCTATGCAGACTCTACATGGACCCATCAAACAAATGCATGCAAAAATATATTTTCTTCACAATTAACTGAAGTTTAAGCAAATTAGCTATTTATGCCTTCATAATTAAGGTTAGGTACCTAATTACACTCATAGACATCCCACTGTATTAGCCAAGTAAGGCATAAATATCTGTACAGTAGAGTGTAATTACAATTTATACATGCATGATAAATGTAGCTACCATAGTTATTAATAAGCAGGTAAGCAGATAATCATGAATTAAATTTAGGTTTTAATGGTAATTTAAATAAATGCTCTAAAAATTAGTATATTCACATACTATTTGGTATTTGTAAAGTTCCCTCTTAGATAAAGGTGAAGTCTATTTACCATATTTAATCTAACAGTCATAAATTTCAAAGTTTAACTCCCAAAAGACAGTATGCATTATTTTCTTACAATAGCTACAAAATATATGATTCATTGATGATTACATATCTCTAGTTACAGATAAAAATGTGATACTATCTAACAAAGCTCTGTAGAATTGCCTCTTTGACCCAGTAATCCCATTTTGAGAAATTTATGTTGAAAGTACAGCTCCAGACATACAAGATAACCTACACACGTTATTTATTAAAGAATCATTTGAAATAGCAAAATATTAAAAGCCATCTAAATGTCTATTCATAAAGAACTGATAAACAAAACAATCCCCCAAAAATGAAATATTCGCTAAAATAGTTTTATTCAGGAGCTCAAATTTAGGACAGTCTTCATGATCTGTTAAATGGATTTATGATTTGCAGTTAAGAAAAAATATAGAACAGTATTAATATGCAGATATGTGGTTATTTTTGTAAAAAGAAATACAAAAAGGATTAAGTCAGAAACAGAAGAGAAAATTACCTAACGAGAGTACATTAAAATAGGGTATAAAGTTTAAGTGTTGCTCTGGCACTTGTCTGTTTATGCCTTTTTAATGTAGGTGCGTATATACAGAATACTTTCATGGTTTTTTTCTTAGTACAGCTAAGAAAAGCAACAAAAAAAAAAGCTTCAGGAAAATCTTGAAATCTTAGTAGACTTGTTGTTTGTTGTGATATTGGTTTAGAAATTCTGAAACTTTTATATTTGTATTACAGAGAAGGTGGAGCAAACGAGTGTGTTGGGGTTCTTGAGAACCAAGTTCTTCACTGTGGGAGAAGAAATACATAGAGTCTGGGAGATGTGGAAGAACTGCATGGTGCTGAATTTGAATTGTAAGATTCAGTATGACTATATGAGCTTGTCACTGAATAGTCCTAGGGATATGAGACAGTCAAGCACTCAGGGTTTGGTTTTGGAATACCATTGTTATTAAAAAGAACCAAGGCACCTTTAGATAAATAGTCAACACCTCATCTGGGGAAAGGAAAGCATAAAATAGAATACTTTAATGTGCTAGATGGTAAAAAGGTTTTAAGAAATAGAGAGAGACGGGGAGGGAGGGAGGGAAGATAAAGATAAAGAAATAGGGACATATTTGAAAGACACATGAGCCAACTTTAATGTGTTCCCTGTCAACAAATTTGGGAAAACTTGAAAATCAGAGTGAATAGTGGAGATGGATTATGCCACCATTATATTGTTGAGAGAAAAAACTCCATGAGTCACTCACATTTTTGCAAATGTTCTGAATAAAGGCACTGACACTTTTGTTCCGGACTATCATTTTAAGGATATTTGTATAGCAAAGAGAGATACAAATGCTCCCTCTGGTGCAGAAGAGACTTACATCCTGACCAGGATAAATAAGATACTATCTTTCTCTAAAGGAAGATTAGACAGGTTTGCCAGCAGTCCCTTTATGAGGTCTTTTATCTTTTTTAAAATGAGAAAGTTTTATTGGGGTATAATATAAATAGTAAACAACATATTTAAAGTATAACATTTAATAAGTTTTCATATATGTATATACCCGAAAATCATAAAACCATCACCAGCTGGGCGTGGTGGCTCACGCCTCTAATCCCAGTACTTTGGGGGCCCAAGTGGGCAGATCCCCTGAGGTCGGGAATTTGAGACCAGCCTGGCCAACACGGTGAAACGCTGTCTCCACTAAAAATACAAAATTAGCCAGGCGTGGTGGCGCATGCCTGTAATCCCAGCTACTCGGGAGGCTGAGGCAGGAGAATTGCGTGAACTCGCGAGGCAGAGGTTGTGGTGGGCTGAGATCATGCCATTGCACTCCAGACTGGGCAACAGGAGCGAAATTCCGTCTCAAAAAAAAAAAAATCACCGTAATTTAGATAATAAACATGACCATCATATCCTAAATTTCCTCTCACTCTCATGTAACCTTTTGTAATCCCTTCCTCTCTGCCCTCCTCAGTGCTCCCTATGTAACTATTTATCTGCTTTCTGTCTCTGTAGTTTGGTTTGCATTTTCTAGAATCTTATACAAATGGAATTGCACAGTATGTGCTCATTTTCACCTGACATCTTTCATTCAGCATAATTATTTTGAGTTTCATCTATCTGGCTGTACATATTAATAGTTTATCTTTATTGCTGAATAGTATTCCATTGAATAGATGCATAACAATTTGTTTATCTATTCAGCTGTTGATGGACATTTGGGTTCTTCTAGGTTTTAACTATTACAATGAAGCTGTAATAAACATTTATCAACAAGTCTGTGTGGATATATTCTTTCATTCATCTTGAGTAAACAACTAGGGGTGGAATGGTTAGGTTGTATGGTACATGCACATTTATCTGTTTAAGAAACTGCCAAACTGTTATGCAAAGTGAGTTTACATCCCTGTCATCAGGGTTTGAGACTTCTAGTTGCTCTACACCCTCGTCAACACTTGGTATGATCAGTCTTTTATATTTTAGCCATTCTAATGGGTATGTAGTGGTATCTTATAGTTTTGGTTTGCATTTCTCTAATGAATAATGATGCTGAACACCTTTTTCTGTGTTTATTCGCAATTTGTATATCTTCTTTTGTGAAATGTCTGGTCATTGTACACTTAAAATTTGTGAAAAGGATAGATCTGTTAAGTATTCTGATTACAGTAAAATAAAATACTAAGAAAAAAAGATGAGGTCACTAGCATGGACCCTAGTCAAATGTTACTGTTGTCTTTAATAATAAGGGGGAATGTGAATGTAGAGAGAACATATGAGATGAAGGCAGAGACTGGGGGATCTACAAGTCAAGGAAACACCAAATATTGCCCACAAACCACCAGAAGCTAGGGAAGAAGTATGTAACAGATCCTCTCTCATAGACATCAGGAAGAACCAGCTCCACTGAAACCTTGGTCTTGGATTTCTAGCCTCTAAAACTGTAAGGCAATAAACATCTCTTGTTTAAACTACCCAATTTGTGATGCTTGTTTATGTTTGGGGTTCTCTATGCTTGGAATTTCTCAGCTGTGAGGTTTGTGCTACCAGTTATGCTATAAAAACTTTTATTGCCTCTGATCCAGGGATCTCCTGTCTTTTTCCAGCATCTATGAAATATGGACCCTACACATTTATTAAGAGGATAAGAAAGAATTCAGGAGTACTTAATGATACTCAAAAAGTGAGGGAGAGGCTCTTCTCTGCTTAAGAAACTTTGCATAGTACATTTAAAAGCAAGGCTAAAACCAGAAAATCGCCGTTTCACAACCACTAAAGTGATCAGTGTTTCCAGGAAGGGTAATGAATGGATGCGAAAATCATTGAGTAAAAATTTGATAGGGAAATGGATAGTCACTTGCTTCTAGTTACAGGAGAAATCACAAGGAGATTTTTCATTTCTTAATTGCAATGAAAAAAGATAAATTTTAAGTGGACAGATGTTGCAGATGCTATCTTATCCAAGTGATCAAATTTAGGACCACTAATAATGAAAGAAACTAATATTATGAACTTTCTGATGAGATATAATAGAAAGCACACAAATTACACATTACATTTTCCCAAATATGTTTAATTTCAATGTTATTAGCTAACAATCAGGGAAACTCACATTTGACACGTTCTATGAGACAACTGACTTGGGGCCTTCAAAAATATAAATGTGATAAAAACAAAAAAGGTAGAATACTCTTCTATATTAAAGGAGATTAAATATCTAGACAATGATATGTTACTGGTCATATTTGACTGAGTCTTCAGTCAAAAATGCATCTAAAATACCTTTTGAGATATTTGGATAACTTAAAATTATGGACTTTAAAATAAATTATTGTCTTGTTAATGCTAAATTTCTGGGTTGCAATAATGATATTGTGGTTAAAGAGATAAAGCAAATGAGGCAAACTATTAACCAATTATAAAACAAAGTGAAGGGTGGATGTATGTTTCTAGTACTATTTTCAGTTGTAAAATTTTCAAAATAAAACACAAGAATCTTTTCTAGTTTTGTAAATGTTTGCCATCATTTATTTTATTCATCAAGTAATAAATTGGGTAGTTTTGTTGACCAACTAACATGTATGTTGTGAATGAAGTCTAACATGCGTAAAATAAAATGAATAAACAAATGATTATCATATCATAAAAGTGTATTGAAAATACAAATTCAACATAAAATTTGTCTGTTGCCAGGGGAACTTTCTCAACCAAAAGGTATGGCATGGTCATACACCAGAGTTAGATGACAAAAGACACAAGTTCAGATTCTGGAATACAGAAATACACATTCTGCCTCAGATGTCCTCTCGCTGAACTTGAGTCCCAGTTGCTCACAGCAGAAATTTGCTCATGGTCTTTCTTCCCTCCCTGTCTTTTCTTTCCTGTGTCCTCACTTGTGATTCCTTGGACCAGCTCCCTGATAAATTACCAACACCTGGTCTTCACTTCAAGGTCAACTTTTTAGGGGACCTCAAACCAAGACCATTTGACAAAATGCCAGAAATTTATAACAGTTTCTGTTGTGCTTTTATTTTAATTCATCAACATGGAAAGTATGTTGCTGTTATAAATGAAATGCTAATGTGATAAAACCTTCCCCCAACCGAAGTCAAATCTTACAGAGGTAAAAGTTTTTATGGAATTCCTTCATGTAAAATTAAACTGCTCCTTCTTCTCTTCTAGTTAGGGCAAGTTTTTTATGCACGTCAAACGGGAACTCAATTATGAGGTTAGGCTCATGTCAGCACAGATGGGGCATTGTGATTAACACATTAAAAAATTGCCTTTTAACTGTTAGCACCCTCAATAATCATCTTATTTTTTCTCTTAAATTATCCACTTATATTCCTTACCTTATTGCTTTTCTTAAATGTAGTTTATATATCCATCTTACATTTTCTCTTGTAGTAAGTGACATAATTGTTTAAAGTAATAGTTTTGTCAAAACAGTCTTTTATTAGTAAGAGGTATAATAGTTGTTTATATTTTAAAGTCAATTATTGACACTATAATAATATACTTTCTAAGATTTTTTTCTAATTTTTTGAAAACGTAACTTACCTAATCTGAATGTTTTCAGATATCTACTTTCATTGGTATAGACATGTAAAAGAGAGGAAAATTTAAAATAAAATGTGTTGGTGAACAAGTTTTAATTAAAAGCACAAAGGAATAACTATAGTAAATATAATAACAGTTATTCAATTTGGTATACAAATTTTCGCTCAATTTTTAAAAATCAACTTTTATTTTATGTTCTGGGGTACATGTGCAGGATGTATAGGTTTGTTACATAGGTAAATATGTGCCATGGTGGTTTGCTGCACAGATTAACCCATTATCCAAGTTTTAAGCCCAGCACCTATTAGCTGTTCTTCCTGATACTGTCCCTTGCCCCGCACCCCTGACAGGCCCCAGTGTGTGTTGTTCCACTCCATGTGTCCATATGTTCTCATTGTTCAGCTCCCACTTAAAAGTGAGTAGATGTGGTGTTTGGTATTCTGTTCCTTTGTTAGTTTACTGAAGATAATGGCTTCCAGCTCCATCCACATTTCTGCAAAGGAGATGTTCTTGTTCCTTCTTATGGCTTTTGCTCAATTTTTAATGTTTTTTTAATACATGAATTATGGCAAAAAGAAGGTACAGATGTCTTGATTTAACTCCAATAGAGAATGCCTTGACATGAAAATATCTAATGTAATTTCTAATTTATTATAATTTGTTTTTAACCACTAAAATTGTAAATACCTGAATGTTTTAATTCACTATCATTAGTTTGGGATAGTAAATTAAAAAATGGAGGTGGGAGATAAAAGGTTTTCCTTTGGCAAAACCAGTGTATTTAAAATTGGTGAGAGTCTAGATTTTAAACTCTTCCTTCAAGAAAAAATGGGGACAATATTGAAAATCTTTGAGTCAGTAACAAAGTTTTCCACCACACTTTGAGACCCTTGCTATGAAATGTCAGTGAAAAATCTGAGATGGATAATATAAATTGCTTTTGGCTATCAAGGGAAAAGGAAGATTTGATGGTGCTATAATCAAAATTTCCACTTCTACCCTGGACAGAAAATATTAGCACTTTGCTGGTTTCCTTTTTACTTTTCCTTTACAGATTAAGTAATAGAAATAGAGTGAAACTATTGAAACTTAGCATATGCCTTAATTTATATAAATAGCCCTTGTGCAAAATATTTTGACTTCCATTTGTGTGGATCATCCAGTCATTTTCTCTAGTGTTTCTATTTTAAGCTAAATTTGAGTGGAATTCTAAATTGATATTCATTAAAAAATTTCATTTTCCCCAATATGTAAATACAGTTAAAATATTTTAGAGCACATTTTGTCAAGTTGTATTTATATTAGGGAAAATACTGAAAATATGTTTTTCAAGAACTGCATATTTTACAAAAAATGTAACTTCTCATAGTGTTTTTAGATTTCCTCCAATGAATAAAATTGAACTTCTTTAGGTATTACTCAGAAAAAGTAATACCAACCAGGTTTAAAAAATGATGACAATATAATGTGCCAGATATTAAAAGAACTTTTTTACTTTAAAAAGCAATATTTCATCATTTTTAGTAGATTCCTGCTTATATAAATTGGATCATATTAAGTTGAGAAGAAATCCAAAGATGTATAGAATAAAAATATATAGATATGAATTTTGCAAAGATATCTCACACCCTCACTCAGACTTCTCTGTTATTGCTGTAAGTATTCAATCTTTAAATAGTCTGGCCATTTTTAAATCTCTAAACTGAGAAATAAAATGCCTAAGACTTTCGAATATCACTTAAACACACAACTACTTTAGTAAAATAATTTGGAATATTTTTAAATGTTGCCAAAATTTATATTTTTTTGATATGATTACAGATTTCCCCCCAATTATAGAAAAGGACCACCAAAAAACATTAAAAAAGAAAGACAAAGAACTATTTCTTATATTGCACTGGAGACTGTGGTAGTATAGGAAGAATTTTAGTTAATGATTTACCTTCTCAGTGTAGCCTGAATCCTATCTGCTGCTTCCTTATAATATGATTTGACAGTGTAGAAAGAAGCACTGGAAAATTAAGGAAAAAATCTACTGCCTTTCTTCAACTCCTGACATCTAGGTGGAAAGAGAAAATAGTAGCTTCAGCCACCACTGAGCTTGAAAAATACACTTAGCCATGACAGAGAACTGATGTTATTGTGATAAAGAGTAAATAAAGGGGAGGTAAAATAGCATTTGGTAGAAAGGCTACTAAAAGATACTTGGTCACTAAAAGGAAAAGTCATTTCTCAGAATCTCAAGCCACAAAAATACCTTTGAGCCAAGCAAAGTAAAAAATAAAATATAAATTTGTAATAGTATATTTTATGGGTCAAATAAAATCTGATTATTAACAACTTTTATTTCTATTTTTTTCTCAACATTTAAAATAGTTTTTGGTTTAAAATAGATGTTCTTCCAGACCTTGTCTTTTGCAGGAACATGGATGGAGCTGGAGGCCATTATCCTTAGCAAACTAACTCAGAAACAGAAAACTAAATACTGCATGTTTTCAATTAAAAGTGGGAGCTAAATTATGAGAACCCACGAACACAAGGAAGGAAACAACAGACTCTGAGGTCTACTTGGGGGTGGAGGGTGGGAAGAAGGAGAGAAGCAGGAAAAAGAACTATTGGGTACTGGGATTAATACCTGGGTGATGAAATAATTTGTACAAACCCCTGTGACATGAATTCACTGATGTAGCAAAACTTCACATGTTCCCCTGAACCTAAAAGTTGAAAAAAAAAGATGTTCTTATACTATCTTTAAAAATTATTGTAACAGGAGTAAATATTTTATATTCCCAAACAAAAGAAACCTTGCTGCAAATACCTCATTTGCAACACTTGGTAATAAAGTTATTCATCTTGTTGAATTTAAAAATTTACAAAACATTTAAATAAATATTATTCCTTTAGACCTCATGAGTTTTTAAAATGATTGTCTGCACATATTATTGTGTGTTCTTTTTCTTCAGCCTGTGTTAACTTCATCAAAACATACTCATGGTGCCTCTAGGTCTTTGTGGTAGAATCATATTTATTTTCTCTTCCTTTTCTTTCTCCTCCTTCTTCTTCTGTTTTTTGTTTTTATTAGGAGTGAAACTCAATAAAAGCATGAACCACATCTCTTTTCTGATGTTATTAGAAGAACTTTTGAGATAATATGTATGCCAGATATTGATTTCTGATGTATAGAAGCCAGAATAATTAGTTGTCCTTTTAATAGCTCCATGAGTTGTATACCTACCAGATAGTAAAAAATAAAAAGGAAGGGACCTTGTCTCTAATTCTGATAGTGACAGGAGACAGACACATTCCCAGGCAGACAAGAAAACCCTGGTGAAACGTGACTTTCAAACCAAGGACAGTTTAAAGCCTGAAAACTGAGAGGCCAGATCCAGATAGAGTCCATGACCTGAGTGAGAACTTCAAGCTCTATCTTACCCACTCTCTTGATTGGTTCCTTCTGAACGACGCCTTTTAACTCATAAAATCGCGCTTTTTCCAAGACCACCCATGGACCAGTCAGCACAGACTCCCCCATTCTAAGACAGCTACCCATTTCCAGGGCCCCTCTTTTAGTCAGAGCTTTTCTTTCGTCAGTCAATAAATCTTCTATCTGCCTTACTCATTCTCCAGTGTCTGTGTACCTCTTGGTCACAGGACAAGAACCCAGAACTCACCGAGCTGAGAGCAGTGGGAATAAAAGAGCTGTAACCCTCCTTCCCACTTGCTGAACTACAGGCATGTAAAAGCTGCTGGATGCCACTCCCTTCTACTGGCTGAATTACGAGAGTGAAGGAGCAAAAAGCCTCCTGGGCGCCACTTCCTCCCGCTCACCAAACTTACTGGAGTCACAATTCTAGACAGGGGGATATTTAACTATCTTAAACATAAGGAAGTATAAAGTCAAATCATGTGCTGTAGCCATCTTTATGGGGATAAATGACGGTAAAATATCATGAAAATTATATATACATTAAATATGTACAATAAATATATAAGTAATACAATAAAATCAAACACACATACATGCGGTGTTTGCATGCTTCTCCCTTTTGGCAACTCTGGCTTCGTAAGGCAATCTAAAAGTCAGCTTCTTTACCTTGCTACTTTCCCAAAGATAGTCATGAAACTGAAGCACCAATTGTCTTTGAGGAAATCTTTTTTTTTACATTTATTTTAGTATTTAATGTTTTATATTTATTTTAGTGTAGTGAGCAGTGGGATGTCATTTATAATATACATAAAATATTTATATTTAGTATTTTATATTTATTTTAGTGTAGTGAGCAGTGGGATGTCATTTCTCTCTGAAGCTTGCTTGACTCTTGCTCTTTGTCTTTTTTGTTTTGCTTGGTTTCATTCTGTTTAGTGGATAGCAATGCATTAAATAGTATGTTTTAAACAGATCTAGATGTTCTATAGTGGACTATCCCTTAAGAATATTTAGAATATTCAGAATATTTAGTCTCTCCAAAAATATGCTGAAGTTCTAACTCCCCTATACCTGTGAATGTGACTTTATTTGGAAATAGAGTGGGCTCTAATTTAATATGTCTGGTGCCCTTAAGGGAAGAGATACAGGGACACTGACACATTGTACAGAATACCATGTGAAAACAGAGGCAGAGACTGGAGTGATGTGATGTGTCCACAAGTCAAGGAATGCCAATGATTGTCGGCAACACCAGAGCTAAGAGAAGGGCATGGAAAATATTCTCTCTTAGAACCCTGAGAGCAACCATGCCCTAAGGCAACCTTGATTTCAGACTTCTGGCCTCCAGTACTGTGAAAGAATATCATTCTGTTGGTTTGAGCCACCCAGTTTGTGGCACTTTATGATGTAGCCCTAGGAAACGAATACAGCTGGACTCCTATATCTCAGTTAACTGAAAAAGATTGAAAATGCCTACAATGGAAAACCAAAACGTTTCTCCACTCTTACATGTATTCTAAAAATGATGGGTGTCCAAAAAGTGTTAACATAGCAAGTCTGAGAGTGCTATCCTTATAAAGGCCTGCTTCCAAGGTTGCCTTGGCTGTCACTTGGGAATTTGGTTTTCAGAGTGTTTACAGGCAACATTTAACTGATAAGGGTTACTCACTGTGCCTAGACCTTTTGTGTAAAGAATGTGGTTAATGATGACCTTATGGTTTACCGAAAACACCTGCTTTTCTTCTGGGAATCTGGAATTTTGCTATTTTCTAGACAGAAAGTGGTTGTATCACTAGGCCTCAGCAAATCCTCGGAAGATGAATCTCTAATGGGCTTCCATGTAGAAATATTGCACACATTTTGCTGCTTTTCTTTTACTGGAAGAAAAGTATACTCTGATCTTGGAGTGAGGGAGCATAAGGAAGCCTTCACAAGGATTTCTCCAGACTGACTTGACTTGTGTCTTTGTCCTTCATGATCTGGATGTGTATTCTGAGAACATCACTGTAATAAATCTTAGCCATGCATACACTTACATGCTGAATCCCTTGAGTTTTAGTAAATCTCTGAACATGGGGATAGTAATGGAACCCTCTATACAATAGGACATCAAATTTTTTTTATTCCATTTTATCTCAAGAAACAGCCATTTAGTTTTCCATCACATACATCCCTAGATATGTAGGCATGTGGCGGTAACTTTGAATATTTGGAGTTCCGTAGAAACTACACGTTTTCTTTTGGTTAAATTCTATTTTGTCTCTATGAGTTGTCTGTACAGTATACTTTCTTTGCTAATTTATCTTTCTTTCTTTCTTTCTTTTTTTTTTTTTTTTTTGAGGTAGAGTCTCTGTCACCCAGGCTGGAGTGCAGTGGTGGGATCTTGGCTCACTGCAACCTCCGCCTCCTGGATTCAAGCAATTCTCATGCCTCAGCTTTCCCAGTAGCTGGGATTACAGGCATGTGCCACCATGTCTGGCTAATTTTTGTATTTTTAGTAGAGACTGGGTTTTGCCATGTTGGTCAGGCTGGTCTCGAACTCCTGACTTGAAATGATCTGCCTGCCTCATCCTCCCAAAGTGCTGGGATTACAGGCGTGAGCCACCATGTCTGGCCTTTGCCAATTTCAGTGTAACCTGAAAAAAGCTTAATTACAAGCAACATGATATTTAATATTTGACTGCTAATAAGAATATTTTTAAAGTCCTCTAATACACAATTAAACAGTGATGGAAATATTGGCATATACGAGGAAATCATAATTCTTTTGGCGAATAAAGGTGTATTCAAAAGAAAATCATTAAAATAAATATAAAAGTATATTTTTTAAAAGACCCTCAAGTAAAAGACAGTTAAAAACTATTGCATTGAGAACATGTTAGATTACTGTCACCCATCACTCATTTAATTCATGATCATCAGTTTTATACATGATGCCAGCTGTGCTTCAGCAGTCTTGAATGCTTTCAGTGTATATAAATCTGCTTGTTACTTGCTGTAATCAAAACCCTGTCAGTTCTTTTGGTCCCTTCTCAACTCCTTTCAATCCTACCTTTAATCTCAACAATGTAGAATATACCTGAAAGCTGAGTACTTTAAAAATAAATCCATTTATTCACTGCTCCCTTCTGAAATAATAATTTTGTAGTTTACTCAGCTAACAGCCAATTTTAACAGTTAGGTTTATCAAGTGTTTTTAATCAATGTATGACAACATTATTTCTCTAGACACCAATTGCTGGGAATAAAAAAAATCAGCTCAAATCATAAAAAATAATTTCCTTATTGTGTATAATTAATGTCTGAGGTAGGAAATCTTTTAAGAATGAGATTTCACATACTACTTATAGAAATACCTTTTGGTGAGTGAAAAAAACAAAAAACAAAGAAAATCTGCTACAGCTGTGAGTAGGGCTACGCTCACTAGCTATTTCCTCTTGAAAAATTGGAGAGAGGTAATATCAATACTTTAAAATATTACTTATAATACAAAAATGCAAATGATAACTTGAAATTTATCTTATAAAGTATCTGGTAATTCAGGTTTGCTTTGTTACTTATAGAAAATGATTACATCATTTAAAATATAATCATGTGTATATAAATATAAGTTAAATTCTAACTTTAAATATATATATCATATGATAATTTTAATCAAGCATTTATTTTATCTTCAAGGTAGATTTACTTCAACTCTAGCCACCTGTATAAAGCCATATATTAATTTTTTTGTATGATAAAATATAACTTTAAAAAATTTTGCCTATATTTCCCCATTTCTTTGACATGCATAAATAATTGTTTTTTTCATAAAAACTTTGCATGTTATTAATCTGTCTAAAATCCTTGGAATGTAATTTTTTAAGATAGTTAACTCAAAAATGGCATATGGAACAAGTGTCTTTTTATTTGCATAATTGGTTTATTAGAGCATTTTATTCCACATATATATATATTTAAAAATATTTCTGTATAGAATACTGCATAATAAACAATTTAATATCATCACAGATAAATCTTATAAAATTATGGCTGACTGAATCTGGATTATGAGAATATAATGTTAAGGTGTACAATATGTCTTTTACGTCAATCAGCACAATTTTTTGAGATGTTATTTGATTAATGTAGTTGTATTAGAAGCTTTCAATATTAGTTAAGAAGTAGACAAAACTGCTGAATGGATTTCAGCACAAAGATACAGAATCCAATGATTCATTGCTTTGTCATTACGTTGTTATATATTTAGAATATTTTTTGCAAGGCCATAGATGTGAGTTATGGATTTTTTTATTGATCTGTCCAATTGAAAATCATGATGATGAAATCTTGAATTTTATAAAGAGCAATCAAACAAAAGTGCTTCTATGAATTGAATAGCTTAATCTAAATGTTAAGTTTATTGATGCATAGGATGCATTATACAACAGAGTCTGAGTAATGTATGTAGGAAAGCATAAAGTGCAAGATATAAAAGATGTTGAGATGTCTTTCTGAGATTTACAGAGTCTTTGGATTACTGAGTAATGACACAAAATGACACTTTGCCAAACAAAATTTTGTTATTAAAGGAGTAAAAATTAAACAGAAGAATATAGGAGCAATACGTTGCCAAGTTCATAGATAAATATGAATATTTTATATATTTCAAGTGAAGTGTGAGGATGTTACATAGAGCTCTTTAAGGTATTTTCTTGTGTAAGGTAATTTAGAATATAATTATTTGGTCATTGCAATATAAGTTAATTTCCTAAAATCAAAATGATCTCCATTTATTATTTTTGATTTTTAACCCCAGAAAATTATCCCTTGGGATTCTACAATCAACACACTCCATATTGCACTGAGGTTGGGTTGACACTGTAGAATACGTATTGTGTAGCCTGGGAATACATTTTTGTTTGCCAGTTTTTAAATCTTATTTAAGGCTTTAGTTTGCATATGGCTGTTAGCTTCATATCATACAATTTTCTACACAGTGTTGAATGGTTATAATTGTGATGACAGAAATAATATCAATCAAGCCATTATTAAGTTCTTTGCTCTAATTCATTTCAATTTTGTAAATGTTAATATTTTTATTGAAAAATATTTCTCAATTAAAATTCTCCTTGTAGTTCTAGGCTCTTCTATGTCATGAGGAAGTGATTGTCTGTTTTTGTGTGGCTATTTGTTTTGCTTTGTGTTATATTTTTACAAAAATATAAGGTACAAAATTAAACAATTAGGCGTTAACATATAGACAAAACATAATTTTTTTCAAACAGTATTTCCACAGACACCCATCATCATTTTACCTTGATAATCTCAGCCTTATACAATTACAGAAATGAGGGTAGTAGTAGGTCAACAGTTATAGAAAAGAGAAAATTCAGAAAAATAAGAAAGATACTAAGGGCCAGGACATATTTGAGGGAGACATAATTTCCTAATTTGAGTAACTATTAGAAATACATTCATGAAATATTTACATATGATATTGCTGTGGTTAGATGAACTGACCAATATGAAGTAAGACACTCTCAAAGTAAATTATTTTTGAATAAAATTCTCCAATTGCTTCAGGGGTAAAGGGAAAGGTAAGAATAATTTAATAAGAAAGTTCTCTTACAACTTGCCCTGCAGCTTCTTTTTAAAAAAAATCCTGAACTAAAATCCTTTCTTGATGCTTGACCTTACAAGTTAATTTTTTCCCAAATACTTTACTGTGAGTACCATTAGGCTTAATTAGTGTGATAAAATCTGAAAAAGAAAGTCTGTGTTTCTCTACAAATAATGAATTATATATGGATTTTTATTAAAGTTTAGTTATACTCTATCTGGTATAACAACAAAAATTAAACTTTTGTTTTTATTTTTATATTCTTAGTGTGGTTAGTGTAGAGGTGGTTGTGAAATGTTCATTGCCTGAAAACTTCTGAAATCTAACTTTGAAATTTTTTCTATACATTTATTTTTAATTTGGCTTGCTCTCTCTCTCTCTCTCTCTCTCTCTCTCTCTCTCACTCTCACATCGAGGATAACTTTCTTAATAGAAAAGGAAGGGGAAAAATAGACATACTTTGTTTCCGTTCGGGCAGTTTGTCCTGGTATGAAAGTTAGCAACGCTGGTATAATTGGTTTACAAGACCCATGGGAAGAGTGTTACCATCTCAGCAGGAAAGGGGACCAAAGTCAAAGAAACTGGATAAATTTGTGAAATGGACTAAGAGGATGCTCAGAAAGGGAGAACATTGAGGAGGACTAATGTTATGGATTCCAAGAAGTTCCTTCTAAAAATAATGATGGGTTGGTAATGTAAATGCTACATAAAGATGATGTCAGAGTAGTTCTGAAGTTTAGAGATCACGGCTGACTTGTACAAAAGGAATTTAAACAGAAATTTGAGTGTCAAAAGCATGTCAAACCATGTTTTTCTGGGTTTAGCTAAACAAGGGAGAAATGTAGACTGCCATCTCAAGAAACACAGTTGTGATGAAATTGAGACTTCTAAAGAATTTAATAGAGGTAGGAACAGGTTAAAGATATTTTTTCATTTTCTTTTTATTTGCTTTAAGCAGGGCAAAGCCTTCAGTATGTTTATAAGGACATAGAAACAGAGCATTCTATGGTTCTCAGGGTTTTATGCCTGAGAATGTTAAATAAGAGAGCAAGTTACAGTGTAAATGAAGGTGAAAAGGTCAGAACTTAAGTAAGACTTTTTGTTTTTTTTTTGTACTCAAGGAGGAGTGATACAATAAAACGAATATGAAGAGTTTCCAAAGAGTTTCAACTCTGGTCTGATCATATTCAATATTATATTTAGGGTAACATAGTTGTGATACACACAGTTCAGTGGAGTGAATTTCCTAAAACTATATTTTAAAACTTTACTATTTGGAGTAGTGAACAAATGTAAAAGTTAAACTTCAAAATCAAGTTCACTTGGCTTTGGATTTGAATAGTTGCTCCAATACCGTGTAACTTAGATAAATTTTCTGTGTCTCCATTTTCTTCTTTGAACATTTTTGTATATGGTTTAATTCCTTACAAAAATCAGTTATTTTCTCAAACCAATTTGTTAGTTTCAAAATGGCAAAAAATATTTAATTAAAATGGCTAATATGCCTACATATTTTTATGATTGCATTGAATACCTAACCAACTCTATACAAAAGGTTGCTTTTGTTTCTAATTGCCACTTATTGTACTAGATAGTAAATTACTACTAGTTGGGGGCTATCTTTTTCATCTTTATTTACCCAACTCCTTAGTCAAATGACAAGCCCATAATAAGCACTTGATTAAAGTTTTCTGAGTGAAGTACTAGAGCTAATACTATCTGATGCTTCCATAGAGTTAATTATGTGTTTCCAAATGCATATTGAATTCTTCTCTTCTTTATACTCTTTTATATACCAACTACTGATTATTTTATTGTTGTCTTTACATTTTATTTTTTATTCTTTAAATATCATCATAATTATTTTTCAAATGCAGCCAAGGTCACAAAAAGAGATTTTTTGAAAATTAAGAAAATAAAGATAAAGAAATAGAGTAGAGAGAAAGAGTAAGATAAGGATGTTTTTATTATTACCCAATGGTAATCTAAAAGATATGTGAATTAGTGCCTTCTAAAATTTATTTTTACATTAAATTTTGCTAATCCCGTTAAAATTCATCAAAATAAGAGGGGGCTATGGAAGCATGTACAGAAATTTAGCTTCTAATGTGATAGAATATTTTTCTTAGAAAGCTTTGCTTTGGGGAATACAATTGTTATCATTAGTGAGTTTTCAGTAACTGCCAAAAGTCCAGAGAGATGTGATGAAAGCAGCAATAAGTTTTAGAAGTTGGAAAACATAGATTATATTCTCCTTCCCCTGTGTTATATGTTGGAAAACATAGATTATATTCACCTATCTCTGTGAACTGGAGCAAAAGACTTAGCCTCTGTAAATCTCAATTTCCTATCTCTAAAAATGGAAAAACAATTTTGCGTGGTGTTTAAGGTGAAAGGAGATACTATTTGTGATAATGCTTTAAAAATGTGAATATATATATATATACACACACACACATACACACATATACAGATATATGTGTGGTTTTGTATGTATATATGTATACACATATGATTTAAAAATATGGCAGTACACTAGGCTGTATTCCCATAGTTATGGGGTAGAAATAATTTTCAGTTGTCCTGCTGGTTGCAGGACACAAGGAATAAAGGTTTATTATTTCCTGTTTCTTTGTTTTAAAGTCCCTATAGAAACAAGCAGGTTTCCTTTCCCTTGTTGACAAAATGGAAGCCTACTGGTCACTAACACATCTCCCTTCAAACATAGTATATAATAAACAACCAACTTGCCTAAGGGACAAAGGCTCGGTATCTTACTCTATCTACTTTGATTTCTCAGAAGTTACTGTATTCTAAGTGGTTAATACAACTGCTCCAATAGTTATTACTAATATTGATAGCCAATTGTTTTTATTGATAAAATGTGTAGTTCCTAGAGACTTTTGAGGACAATCTCTCCAAGGCAGAAAAACTGACTTTCTCATAGCTTTCAATTCTGATACCTAAAATTCAGAAAACAGGGAAAAAAAGAAAAGCACAAAAAACTCTTTTTTTTTGTATGCAACTGTTCTTTGACTTTAAACAGTAATGCAATATTGCAATTAAGAAATAGATATAACTGTTGTGGTTAGAAGCATTACATTCAACTTTAGCAAAACTGACACTATAAACAATCAGTGAAAATTACTCAAGATTCTTAAAGTTTAACACCAAAATCTTTCTGGTTAACTGGGAGCATACTTTGGAGGAATCAACAAAGCTGACTCATACTGAATAGCAATACTGCCATCTCAATGCAGGGAAACTTCTTTTGACAGCATAAAACAAAATTCCTTCATCAGTACTTTTCATATAAAATTATCTTTCAAAAAAGTCAATAATAATATGAAATGTACATGTCATAAATGTGAACAATATTAATAACTGCCATATATAAACTGGAAGACATGTAAGAACATTTATAATATGAAAGAATGAGTCAGTGGATGTTAAAAAGTTTAACTTGGGTTTTTGAGAATGTCAATGGCTAATTTGGATATTTAGACATATTTTCACATATAATATACCATTTAATATATCAACAGCAAGTCCTGGTCACCTAAAGTCATTATTGATATGGTAGCCATAGGCATTCATAATATCAATAAGTTTAGTGTTTTTACAGTATGTAATTTGACTTTAAATTATTTTCTCTCTGTTTTCTAAAATTAAGCTTTCTGAAAATATGGTCTATACACTACTATGGATTGAATGACATTGGTCATATTACTTAGGGACACTAAAACTTGCACCTCACTGAAGTGATACAAAAAGTCAACAGGATTAACTTTGTAGTCATTGGAGCATGATATAAAACTTATCTTTCCAGTCCAAAAGGCTGTAAGTCAGTACATTTCTTAACTGTGGTGTTTTATTGCTGTTTAGAGTTTTACTTGTTTTGCAATATTTCAAAAATATTTATTTTCCTAGAGACTTAATCTCCTGCAATGCAATCTGTACAAGTCCTTAGAAGTAATTTTTGAAAGAAAATCTTAAAGGAATTGCCGCCAGTAAGAGGAAAAATTTTCCATACAGAGAAAAACATCAAAGGTAATATATTTTCTTTACATATCCAATAACATTTTATGGGACAGCTTTGTATAAGCAGCTATAGTATGATTTTTTAATGGCCATTGGGATAGACAGAATGTCCTTACTGAAATGTAAATTTGTAATTGAAGTTCCATGTATACTGACTATATTGACTTCTTATTTAGTAGTTTCAGAACAGAGAATAAATATTCATTTAGTGAATTCACTTATGAATCGTTTTCAGCTCAATGGATGAGATATCTGGAAGAGATGTTGCAGTTCTACTTTTGGTTGTGCAGATGTGGTATCCAGCTATCTCAGGATATTAGACCAAACTCAATGTATCATTTTTACAGCACATCTAGAGGTTGTTAGTGACGTCCTGGAAAAAAGGGAAAAGTGAACTGTTGTGCATGATAAAAATGAGGTCAAACTATGCTCATTGTTAACATGATAATTAGGTCTTGCTACTCAGGACTCAAGATGAAAAAGACAGAATTCTCTAAATTTTGTTGTCAACATTGTACATTGTGCTACTGGAGAATTAAAAAAAAAACAGTTTAATTGCTGAAACTGCTTGTTTATAAGATGCTTTGTTGGCAAGGATGATACCAATTTTCTTTTATTTCCCACCTTAAATTGTACACACACACACACACGCATATACACAGACTTTATAGTAAATATAGAAACTAAACCTGCTAAACTACTTTATACTATGTGTATATTGAGTAGAGCAACATACTATGTGATATATATATGTAAATATATATGTACATCCACTATTCACAATCCATAAAATACTATATGTAGTATATAAGCACAAATTTAAATAGAAAATCATAGCCACATCACTCTGATACTCGATAAGACTGTATTTTGTCTCTTTACTTCCTTTTGAATAATATGTCTCCCTCTCTTTGAATTTGAGAATCAATGCATAGCATGACAATAGTAATCTGTATTCACCATCTAGTATTTGTTTGTATTGTAGTAAGAGCCTTGTGTACCCACATTTACTGAATTTTCAAAACATAATGGAAGGCAGAAATTAGTTGAATATTTCTGGAAAAAACAAAATGATTTTCCAAAAGTTAAAACTTCATTCAGCCAGGAGTTATTGGAGCCAAGATTCAATCTCAGTTCTTTTTGATAATGAAGAATAAATTCTAGACCACATGTTAATAGTTCTCCGGAAGCAAATCAAATGGAAAATTGGGCGTGATTTACAATTTGGCTCAATAATTGTTATATTCTTGGTGCACACATTTAGTTATTGCACATCTTTCTAAAATCTCAGTTTTTTAAAATATGGAAGAAGAATTTTTAATTTACTTACATGGTGCTTCCGTAGTAATTATTGAAAAACAATTAAAGAGACTTAATGTTTGCTGTAAATGTTTGAGAAATGTTATATTTCACATTAAGATTATGCTCATGTAAACATTTGCTTAAATAATTTATGTGGTGAATGATGGTTAATACCGTGGAAGAACAGGGAAGAAAAAAGGCTCTTTAATGAATGTAGAAAAAATGTTACAAACTGCTTTCAATATAAATAGTGAAAAAAACAGCCAAACACCTGCATTGTCAACTTCACTGATACTGTATTGTTTTGTTTTTGCCTTATCATCATTTTTCAGTAAAGGGATAGAAGTAGATTTCAAAGAGAAACAATTGTAATAATACAATATTTGGTATTTGAAACAGCTTTTCAAGTCAGTCAGGCAGTGGATCCCAAATCTGCATTTATATTTGCAGTAATTTCTTATTAGCCTCTTTCAGTTACTGAAGTCTTATGATTTAGAAGGCAGATATTACAATAATAGTCAAAGTTATTCAATTTGTATCAGCCACGCCTTCCTCTGAACAACAAAATACAGAAGAGGGGCAGTTCTTAGGAATTGCTCTTTCAAACCAATTGATTGCCATTATTTTGTAAAGAAATAATGGTCAGTGACTAGTGTGTAAGGATATTTATTTTTTCTAACTAGCTATGCTATATTAAGTTTTGATCATTTCTGTATTATAATATTTTCACTTTAATGTTTATCTGTTATTTCATTGATATATAGTTAATGATTAAATATTCATGTACACATTTTTCATTTATTATAAAAAGAAACATTTTCACAGACAAGGGAGAAAAATGACTAAAGAATTTCTCATTATTAAATAGCAATTTTTTTAAATTGAGACTTTAGGGCACTTAAAACTGTAATTTTTTATTTCCTATGTTAAAAGTTTTCTTATATATGTAGCACACTCATCAAAATATATTACAAAATTAAATAATAAATTTAAATTATTTTAATATCTTTGATAACATATTGTCATCATTACGGTCATAGTAAATTGAAATCTAAGAAAATTTTTTTGGTGAATTAATGTAGTGTCTACATAGGCCTACTCTGTGTCTGGCACTCTGCTACATTGTGTGGGTAAATTTAATCCTTACCAGAATCTTATGAAATAGGTCTTTTTACAGATGGAAACACTAACAAATGACTTAACCAAGGTTTAGAGTTAATATCTGTGAATTTCCATGAGGAAAATTTTTTCTAAACACAGATTCTTTCATATTGCAAAAACACACACATTACTTTGTTAAGTTAAAAATAACTACGACTGACTTAAAATTTCATAGACTATTGCAGATTTTTCTTAAAATTTATTTTTGAAAATTTACCATCTTTATATTATAGAATTTTCTATGAGGACTGTATCTGCTGTTCAAGAAAATTCCTTCTTGCTTCTTATGCCTAATTGTGACTCGTTAAGGGAAGAAAAAGAGGTAACATCAGAATCTGTCTTAGTGACTTGAGGGTGAGGAGGAAGGTTGAGGAAATGGAAAATTTGAGAAACAAGGGTATGTTATTTCCTGTTTTCAAACTTCTATTTAGTATCATAAGTTCAAAAATAAAACAATTTCAAAGCATGAAGATGGAAAATATATTTGTTTCTTCTTGAGATATATAGAAGCATGATTTTTCAACTTGGGATAAGAAGGTAATATATATTACCTCCATATATACATATATATATATATATATACACACACACACACACACACACGTATATATATATATATATTTTATTTTCTCTAAAAAGTGTTGAGTAACGTTTTTCTTATATGATATTCACTACAACCTAGAAAGAAATATGATAAAAATAAAGCAGCAAACATACAAGAATAACTTTTGTAAAAATTGCAAATTTTATTAACAACCCTAAGTCTGAAACAATGGGATACACATTAGGATTTAAAGATAACAACACATTTATACTTAGATTTTATAACATACTTCTTTGACTTGTTAGAAAAGTATCTCTATGTTTATTTTGGATATTTTCCAGAGATCTGACTTACCAAAACTTTCACCTGTATTTATTTATTTTTGTTGGTTTTTTTTCCCTTTTTAATCATAATCTTCAAGAGACACTTTATGGATGTAATTAGAAGAGTAGACCTATAAAGAGAGAGGATTGCTCACCTCATTCTCCTCACAGCCCTTTGGCAATCCAGAGAGACAATAGAAAGTAACATATACACCATTTTTATACCTACCACACACATTCTCTGGAGAGTTCAAGAAGAAAAGCAAAATAAGACCTCAATGGTGATAGGCATTGGAAGTGGAGATGGGGTAGGAAGTAAAAATAGAAGGGCTTGCCTCCAGAATTACTTTTCTCACTTCTAGACCCTTGCTTCAACAGCTCTCACCACCTGGTCCAGGGTCAGAGGCCAGAAGGATTGTATAGCCTAGTGTCAAAGAAGGAGGGAGATCACCAGGGTGGAGATGTGCAATGTGTGTACCTGAGTATGGCTTAGGAAGACCTAGTTCAGGATTGTGATCCAAGAAGTGGAGAGGACAGAGACATTTCCCCACCCCAAGGATGGGTGGGGAAAGGAGTTGAGAAGGTGGTTCCGGGGTGTGACGGCTCCATTACCTGAGCACGTGGGGCCACATGGATGTGGACACAGTGCCAGACATTGCTGAGCACACCTCAGAGGCTCCAGATTGGGACACTGGAGTATAGCTGCACATCATAGCTGCCATCCACAGCCTTGCAAACAATGTTCAATTCCTCTGCCTATCTGGCACAGGTGCTTACGGCTGCCATAGACACCAGGCCCAGGCCCTCTTGTGGCACTGTTAATCTCCATCCAGCTCAGCCACCTGCCAGGTTAGGTCCCACTTAGAGACTCACACCCCCAGATAATAGCCCTGCCACCACCACTTCATGTATATCCCTTGTTGGTCACCTCCCCTAACTCTGTAGTCTCCCTCCTTTAGGGTACTGCAATGGCCAAGAAGTTCCTGAATGTATGGAACCAAGTCAAAACCTACAGTGTCCCAGTCCACATGTGGAAAGAAGCTTTTGTTATCCCACTGTTGCCAGTGGCTGTATCTTTCTTCTGGCTCCACATTCATTCACTTTGCCCAGCCATTTGACAGAGTGTGCACCCACCACAGTGGGAACCACCACCCAAAATGGAGGGTATGGTCACCAGGCAGAGGCTGCCCATTTACCTCATATGCCACTGAGCTTCAGAGTCTATGGCCTGAGACAGAGGAATGATCCATATGCAGTCCCAGTGGGGTCAGAGTCTACTCCCTCAAAGCAGACATGGGCCTCAGTTTCACAGAGCTGATGACCAGCCAAGGCTAACATATTACAGAGCTGTGCCCCATTCCCATGTGCAGTGCTGATAACTATCCTCCACTCCAGACTTTTTACTTCTTTGACGTGAGTCATCTCAGAGCACCAGTTGCTGGTATGCTGCAGAGTATGATCCGGTGCTTAGGGAACTTGAACTCCTGTTTCTCCTGGAACAGGAACAGCTGCTGACCCAATGGTACCTCTACTACATGCAGGCAAAAGGTGCTTGGGTCCAGGCTAGGTACAGGCAGATGGTTCTGAGTGAAGACTGGGTTGGGTTTGATGTAATTTTCCATAAGCAGCTGGAGAGGGTGTGGGGTGGGGGATGATGATGGGGCCTCTGCATTAAAGAAGACCTAGCTGTTGACTTTCAGAGTTGAGTGATGCATTGAATCATCAGTGTAAGGGTCAGTTTTGATGCCTCCTGCTTGGTGTAGGTGTACAAATTCTGACATCAAAGATCTTACAGGCCACAGTCACCCACATCCCAGTGTCAGGGCTGCTGTGTGAACTCACTTCTTCCTTAGCGTATATGCTTGGTGACTCCTGAGCAGCCCTACACCTAAGAGTCATGATAGGCTGACCCTGCACAGAGGCTTAATAAGTTCTCCATGACTGTCCATCCCCTAGTGCCTGAGTTAACACCAGACAAGTTGAGGCTGGAGCTGAAATGAATTATTGGTAGAGCAGGCCCTAATGCAGAGCCTTGAAGGAGTTGACCTGATCTGCAGGCTGATGGTAGCCCCAGGACTACAGCACTGTGCATGAGTAGCATTTTGGCTGAGCCCTTTAATGTCCACAAAAAAAGCTGTTTTGCCTGCCTGGCACCTGCTAGGGCTCATGACAGGGCATGACTACAGCCTGACAATGGTCAGGAGTTAGGACCATAGCCACATCTCAGCTTGTCCCCAGCCATTGGCTGCTGCAGGTCTCTCCAATGCTGTGCCTGCATACTGGAGGCAGAGACAGGTAAGATGCCACAGGAGGGCTCAGAGCTGGAACTAGCTGAGTTTTTGTTTCCACCATCACTGGACAACTGCTGATTTGAGTTGATTAGAGCCCCATTGGTTGAGGAGTGGGAACCTCACTAATTTTTGGAACCCAGTCAGTGAAAAGTAATAGGAATCCAGAGTCTAATCTCTGGATTAGACTGAAAGGTAGAAGACTTTGGGATGTTCCCACTCTCTCCCTACAGCTGAGGGTTGAGGGGAGGCGAAAAGCAGAGAGGGCACCAAGACAAAGTTTGTTATTTTTCTTTTTATCATTTTAACCTTTATTTTTCTTTGATGATATCTTTGTACTGTATTGTTTTTTCTATGCCTATTGCAATTACTAACTACATGTCCTGTTTCTTTGATTGTTGGTTTTATCTACTGCCTCTTCTAAGTACACAGAGTGATTATGTCTCAACCACCCCTGGGAGCTTTGGTGCACTGATGTGAAGAATTGGCCATTCACTGTTAGTATTTAAATGCCATAACCGCTCCCCCAACACACACACACACTTTCTCTCTCTCTCACACACACCACACACACACACACACACACACACACACACACACACACACACACACTGTGGACTCCAAGCCAGATATAACCATATCCTCCTCAGGCCACCTTGCCACTAGCTTTGGCCCTTCAAGTAATCTAGGGAAAGGGTGGCCCATAGTGACACTCTTCAATCAGGGTCCACTTTACCATATGATATGGTTTGGCTCTGTATCCCCACCCAAATCTCATCTTGTAGCTCCCACAATTCCTATGTGTTGTGGGTGAGACCTGGTCGGAGATAACTGAATCATGGGGGGAAGTCTTTCTTATGCTTTTCTCATGATAGTGGATAAGTCTCATGAGATCTGATGGTTTTAAAAATGTGAGTTTCCCTGCACAAGCTCTCTCTTTGCCTACTGCCATCCATGTAAGATGTGACTTGCTGTTTCTTGTTTTCCACCACAATTGTGAGGCCTTCCCAGGCATGTGGAACTGTAAGTCCCTTAAACCTCCTTTTCCTCCCAGTCTCAGCTATGTCTTTATCAGCAGCATGAAAATGGTCTAGTACAGTAAATTGGTACCATTAGAGTGGGGCACTGCTGAAAAGAACCCAAAAATGTGAAAGCAACTTTGGAACTGGGTAATAGACAGAGGTTGGAACAGTTTGGAGGTCTCAGAAGAAGACAGAAAAATGTGGGAAAGGTTGGAACTTCCTAGAGACTTGTCGAATGACTTTGACCAAAATGCTGATGGTGATATGGGTAATAATGTCTAGGCTGAGGTGGTCTCAGAAGGAAATAAGGCACTTGTTGGGAATTGAAGAAAGGGTGACTCTTGTTAGGTTTTAGCAAAGAGACTGGTGGCATTTTGCTCATGTCCTAAAGATTTGTGGAACTTTGAACTTGAAAGAGATGATTTAGGGTATCTGGTAGGAGAAATTTTTAAGCAGCAAAGCATTCAAGAGGTGACATGGGTGCTGTTAAAGGCATTTAGTTTTATAAGGGAAACAGAGCATAAAAGTTTGGAAAATTTGCTGCCTGACAATGCGATAAAAAAGAAAATCCCATTTTCTGAGGAGAAATTCAGCTGGCTGCAGAAATTTGCATAAGTAATGAGAAGCCCCATGTTAATCCCAAGACAATGGGGAAAATGTCTCCAGGGCATGTCAGAGGTCTTCGCAGAAGCCCCTCCCATCACAGGCCCAGAGGCCAGGGAGGAAAAAATGGTTTTATGGACCGGACCCAGGGTCCCCATGCTGTGTGCAGCCTAGGGAGGGAGTTGATGCCCTGCATCCCAGTCACTCTAGTTGTGACTGAAAGCGGCCAATGTAGAGCTCAGGCTGTGGCTTCAGAGAGTGCAAGCCCCAAGCTTTGGAAGCTTCCATGTGGTGTTGAGCCTGTGAGTGCACAGAAGTCAAGCGCTGGGGTTTGGGAACCTGTGCCTAGATTTCAAAAGATGTAGAGAAATGCCTGAATGCCCAGGCAGAAGTTTGCTGCAGGGGCAGGGCCCTCATGGAGAACCTCTGCTAGGGCAGTGTGAAAGGGAAATGTGGGTTGGAGCCCACAGACCCCAGACAGAGTCCCTACTGGAGTACCACCTAGTGGATCTGTGAGAAGTGAGTCACTGTCCTCCGGACACCAGAATTGTAGATCCACCAACAGCTTGAACCGTGTACCTGGAAAAGCTGCAGACACTCAAAGCCAGCCCATGAAAGCAGCCATGAGGGGGCCTATACTCTACAAAGCCACAGGGATGGAGCTACCCAAGGCCATGGGAGCCCACCACTTGCATCAGCATGACCTGGATGTGAGACATGAGTCACAGGAGATCATTTTGGAGCTTTAAGATTTGACTGCCCCACTGAATTTTGGAATTGCATAGGATCTGTAGCCCCTTTGCTTTGGCCAATTTCTCCCATTTGGAATGGCTGTATTTACCCAATATCTGTATCCCCATTGTATCTAGGAAGTAACTAACTTGGTTTTCACTTTACAGGCTCATAGGTAGAAGGGACTTGCCTTATCTCAGATGAGACTTTGGACTGTGGACTTCTGAGTTAATGCTGAAATGAGTTAAGACTTTGGTGGATTGGTAGGAAGGCATAGTTAGTTTTGAAATGTGAAGACAAGAGATTTGAGAGGGGTCAGGGTGGAATTATATAGTTTGGCTCTGCATCCCCACCCAAATCGCATCTTGTAGCTCCCATAATTCCCATGTGTTGTGGAAGGGACCTGGTGGGAGATAATTGAATCATGGGGGTGGGTTTTTCCTATGCTGTTCTCATGACAGTGAATAAGTCTCACAAGATCTGATGGTTTTAAAAATGGGGGTTTCCCCGCACAAGCTCTCTCTTTGCCTGCTGCCGTCCATGTAAGACGTGACTTGCTCCTTCTTGCCTTCTGCCATGATTGTGAGTCCTCCCCAGCCATGTGGAGCTGTAAGTCCATTAAATCTCTTTTTCTTCTGAGTCTTGGATATGTCTTTATTAGCAGTATGAAAATGGACTAATACACCATATTTAGTAAAATTTCCTCATATTATCATATGAAGTTTAGTAATAGTTATTATTTTCCTATTTTTAATCTTCATATTTTTGTTCAGTTCCTAGAAAATAATGAGGAATGTTATTATATTTTTATCCTCTAATGTTTTTAATCTTTGAGAAGTGCTTAATCTTAGGAAGGATTTTGAACATAAGATCTCTTCCATTGTAATATATCTATGTGCTAGAATTTTTAAATCATCCATTTCTATAAGAGTAATCTTATTATAAAAACAAATGAATAAATATTTAGGAAGGGGTAAGTATTCATATTAATATGAATTAGCTTGTCATTTATTTTCTTTTAAACAGAAGGTAGCCCTAATCTGATTAGCCTCTTAGTGATTTATAGGATTTCTAGTGCTGAAAAAGCAAGGAAAACAAACCTATCTTACTTTGACTTTTACTGAAAGCTAAATTTGTACAAACAGTTGTGAAATAAATTATTTTTTTCTCTTCAATACTGAATATTGATTTTAAATTAGGGATACAAATTGCTGTTAGATTATTATTATACATTAAATACTAACAACTTTGTAAAGCTATGTATGATATATAAAGCAGGCTGGAGACATATCACCACCAAGTAAGTTTTACTTCTGTTAGTTCACATTTATGTTAACAGTAATTAACTTTAATAATTAAATATATATTAAATTCATAAAATAATTTATAATTATTTGTGTTTGTATTAAATTTATTTTTGTTGATGTTATATTTATGATTCTCCTTGCTAATTAAATTCTTATGAATTTTTAGGAATTGGATTCAATTTCTTAAGTGTTTTATATAAAGTGATACTCTATCTTTAACCTGTATTATTGGCCAATGCACCCATCAGCTTATTCCAGAAATGTCAACTGATGATTGGTCAAAGCTGAGCTCCTCATAGGGCACTATTCTTCCCTTCAGGGAATTTCCTCATCTGAAGTCTCACCCATCCCAAGAGATGGCTCGCAGCCAATGACTGGTTAATGAGAGATAAAAAGTCATAATCTCTTTGCCTCAATTGTGCATAGTTGTGAAGTGTGTTTCCAGCTTCATATATCTTAGTAGGATATGCTGAGTACTAAATTACAACAACATGCTAGTCAGCTTTTTCTTCTGCCCAGTTCTACTTTCATCATTTCTTTACAGGCATTCTTCTCAAAACACTCCCCAGTAAAACTTTTTGTGTGCATCTCTCTCTCTGTTACCAGGAAATACATCTTAGCATCAAAAGTGACTCCAGGAGGAAAAGACCCTATAGTAGGATTTTGGAGACAGGTTCCTTGCTGGGGGCAAAGAGGGTCCCATAACTGATTATAGATAGACTACTGATAGTCCTTGTCAAGCTGTAGAAGCACAGTTGTTAAACATTTATTAGCAAAAGAGAAAACAGGGCCAGGCATGGTGAACCATGACTGTATTCCAAGCACTTCGGGAAGCCAGGGTGGAAGGATTGCTTGAGTACAGGAGTTTGAGACCAGCCTGGGCAACATGGCAAGACCAATTTCTACAAAAAATATAAAAATTATCCGGGCATGATGGCACATCCCTGCAGTCCTAACTACTCAGAAGCCTGAGGTAGGAGGATTGCTTGAGCCCCAGTGATTGAGGCTGCAGTGAGCCATGATCATGACACTGCCCTCCAGTGTCTTGCTGAGCAACATAGAAAGACCCTGTCTCAAAAAAAAAAAAAAAAAAAGTGAAAACACTTGGTTATGCAGTAACTTTCATGTCTAGGAGGTGTCAATAACATGGTAACTCTAAGGACAATGGAATTGGTGTGTGTAGTTGACTCATTAAAGAGAGGCAATGAAAGACTGAACATAATGAGTCACAAATTCAAGACAAAATGTTAAAGCTGAAGACCTTCCTTGTAAACTACTAGAAAACTAATTTCCTATAAGCAGAGGACAGAAAGATCAAGGGACTAGGCTTAGGAGGTAACAGAAAAAATAATAATTCTTCAGAGAATGTTGAATTTTCAGCCTCTGCAGGTTTCCTATGTCAAGGTAAGAGCAACAACATGGAATGAAAGGGATTGTAAGACTTGGGATTAAAATTTGAGTAGATGTAGATGAGAAACTTGAACTCTTAGATTATACAGAACACACTAGGCCTGCAATGTAGATAACTCACCCTTGTGAAGAGATAATCATGGTGGACAGCCTGTCTGGAGTGGCCACTGTGTGCGAGAGGCACAGCTGGGGTTGTGTGCTCTGTGGAGTCAGAAGGAGCCAGGAATAGATGAAAGCTCCAGCCCTTACCTAGTTGGTGGGGCAGCAGCCCATGTACCTGGGTGCTGCTGCAGATACCCAGCTGTGGCTCCAGACCCTGGTATTCCTGCACTCTCAGGGGCCCAGAAAACCCCTGCCCCTGCAGGATTGAAAGTCTCTGCTCCCGCTCCCTGGCCTCTCCCTACCTCCAGTGCCTGCTCCAGGGCAGAGCAAAGTTATGGCCCAGCCTGGATGCTGTTGCAACCTGGCCAGGTGTGCACACACTCAGAGTGGCATTGACATGCTAGCCCTTTGCCACTTCAGCCTCACTGGACTTTGGTTGCCGATGAGCATGGGAGGGAGGCTGAGGGGTTGCTGAGGGTGGCCAGGTATACACCTGCAGGTGCTCCTTGGAATGAACAGCCTGGGTGCCATGGATGGAATGTTGATGATGGCAGGAGGCAGATAGGCTCCTGGGCAGATAAGGGGTGGTTCCCTGGTGTAGCACACCATCAAGCCAGAGATGGAGTGAAGTCTGAGGGCCGGGCTGCCACTTTCGTGTAGAGTCTGTGGTCCAGAGTGAGAACGTATGGTGCTTTTTTCAGGCCCACTCATGGCCACTCATGGACCAGTCAGCACACACTTACTCCCTTCTGAGTCCATAAAAATCCTCAACTCAGCCAGACTTGGACAGACATCACAACTACCAGCTGTGGAAGGAGCTACCCACTTTGGGTCTGCTTGACTTGTTGGGATGGCCTGCCTGAGGAAAGAAACAACACTTCTGGGTCTCTTCTCTGCTGACAGCTGGACACTAGTTGGAATGACCTGCCTGTGGATAAGAGGTATCCACTGTGGATCTCCCACCCACTGAGGGCTGTACTCATTAGACCGCCTTCATGCAGAAAGGAGCTACCCACTCCAGGGTCTCCTCTTCGCTGAGAACTGGACACTCATCAGAATGACCTGATTGTGGAAAGAAGCTACCCACTTTGGATCTCCTGAGAGCTGTTCTTTCACTCAGTGAAGCTCCTCCCTGCCTTGCTCACCCTCCAGTTGTCCATGCACCTCATTCTTCCTGGATATGGGACAAGAACTTGGGACCTGCCGAATGGTGGGACTGAAAGAGCTGTAGGCTGGGCGTGGTGGCTCCTGCCTGTAATCCCAGCACTTTGGGAGGCCGAAGTGGGTGGATCACGAGGTCAGGGGTTTGAGACCAGCCTGGTCAATATGGTGAAACCCCATCTCTACTAAAAGCACAAAAAGTAGCCAGACATGGTGGCACATGCCTGTAATCCCAGCTACTTGGGAGGGTGAGGCAGGAAAATCACTTGAACTGGGGAGGTGGAGGTTGCAGTGAGCCAAGATCATGCCACTAAACTCCAGCCTGGGAGACAGACACTCCATTTCAAAAAAGACAAAGAGAAAGAGCTGTAACACAAACAGGACTGAAACACATCCCCCCACTCATTATGTTGTGGGTGACTAGAAGGAGAGAAGAGCTGTGGCCCTTCAGGGAGCACAGACCTAGGGACTCACCAAGCCAGGGCTGTGACACCCTCTTTTGGTCTCTGCAGTTCCTGACATCTCCAAGCTTCTAGACACCACTGTGTTCCCCTCATCCAGACATGGGTACCCACAGCAGAAGCTGCATGAGATACATCTGCTCCAGCCAGAGCCTCACACAGAGCCGGCATTGTGTTGGTGCCTGGAGCTGCCCTTTCTGCTGCAGCAGCTGGCATGTCTGGCCATGCACAGTGGCCAGACCCCTTGTTCATTCACTCACACACCTCTTGCCACTCTGCACCTGGCTTGCCCTTGGCAGGTATGGGATCTGGGATGGTAGCATGACCCAAGTGCAGCCTGCCAGGACAAGTGGATGGAACAAGCCCAACAAGCATGAGCAATACTCAGACAGAAGGTGCCACTGGCCACAGAGGTGGTGAAGCAACACCCCGAGGATCTTGTGACAATAATACCTTGCTAACAGAAAAGATTAAATTTTAAAACAACCAGAATGAGGATGTTCTAGGCTTTCTAAGGAATGAGAGGGATTATATGGCCAAGAAACTGTAGAATCCCTAATCATAATAAATATTATATATTATAATAATATTAATAATAAATAATATATAGTAATAATAAATAATAAATCTCTAATAAGGAACATCCATGAAACTGGTTTCAATGAAGTGGGAAAGGGTAAGAAAAACTTCAGGTAAGGGATAGTTGATAGATATGGGAGCATTCACCAGTGATACGGGACTTAGCAGCCCAGAAAGGATTCCAAGAGACAGTGTTAACATATTTACAGAATGGTTATTGATAAACAATGGTGTACATTATGTGAACTAGCAATTTTAGAACAATCATGGTGAAGTGGACATAATGCTGTGGATATATTATGTAAGATCCGTATCTAACTGTGTACCACAGATAGACTTGGAAGATTCTCTGTTTACCAAAGTGATTAGAAATGCTCCGGTAAAAACAGCACCAGGAACATGAAATTCAGTGGTAACTTTTCTCTTTAACTTAGAGCTTATGATAGAAAAAGCTATACAGACTTTGATAGCAATGGCAATAATATTTCATTCGAAGCCAGATTGTGTTGAAATGGCAAAAGCATGGTGAGTCTAATTATTGCAACAAGTGTAAAATCAAAGTCATTGTCAGAGGGGCCCAGGATGCAGGAAGCAGTGAGGTGGTAGGTAACAGGATGAGGTTTTTCTAGAGGTAGGATAGGCTGCAATGATTACATTGCTTCATTTAAACAATTTAAATAACTTAAGGATGGATGATCAGTTATCAAGGGGGCTGGGTGCAGTGGCTCACGCCTGCAATCCCAGCACTTTGGGAGGTTGAGGTAGGCAGATCACTTGAGTTCAGGAGTCTAAGACCAGCCTGGCCAACATGGTGAAACTCCATCTCTACTAAAAATACAAAAAAAATAGCTGGACGTGGTGGCGGGCATCTGTAATCCCAGCTTTGGGAGGCTAAATCAGGAGAATCACTTGAACCTGGGAGGGGGAGGTGGCAGTGAGCCAAGATCATGCCACTGCACTACAGCCTGTGAGATAGAGAGAGACTATCTCAAAACAACAATGACAACAAAATGGTCAAGAGGATGAGGGCATCTTATAGATAATTGTTTTCTCATATTTTACCTGTTTTTTAAAATTCCTTCTGTTTTCAAACACACACACACACATGCAAATACACATAATTTTATATTTCTAGCTTCTCTTGAGTAAAGTTGTCAAGTTGTATTTCAATAATTTGATAAAATGTTAATTCCTCACACTTGGGTGCTTTATATTCTTCTGTAAGTACAAAAATGTATTTCATGGCCCTAGTAATAAATTGTTTTAAATGATCTAGCATCCATTAGCATAAATACTTGAGCCTTCATTGGATGTATAATGAAAAACATAGATGGCCTGAGTTCAAAGTCATACTATAGTTACTATCTCTTTCTGTTACTAGTAATTAAAAAAAGTTTTTCTTGGATTATCAGCTACTTGTCAGTTTATTTGCCTTTTATAAATCCAGAACTCTTACCACCCTTTACCAATCATTTGTCTCAGTCTTTCTTTCGTTCACTCAACATTCATCTTTAACCATATGCTATAATCTCAAAAATGCAATAGATATTGGGACCATAATTAAAAAAAAAGACACATTACCTAATGTTAATTTGAAACAATCAAAGTTGTTAGAGGGAATTTGAAAGAAATATAGTAACAACATAAAAGAAAAATTATTTACCACTTTTGCTATGGCATTATCTATTATATATAAATATGACTATTGATATATAAAGAAAGGGCCCACAGTAGAAATATATAGAAATATATATTTAATTTTATTCCATTATTTTACTTGTATGGGAAAAACGTTTTAATATAGACAGTCCTCAATTTACAGTGGTTCAATTGTCATTGCTCAATTTTATGATGATACAAAAGCAATAGTCATTCAGTAGAAACTGAACTTTGGGTACCTGCACAAGTATACTGATTTTTACTATTAATACAATATTTAATAAATTTCACAAGCTGTTCAACACTTCGTTATAAAATAGGCTTTGTATTAGAAGACTTTTTCTAACCACAGGCTAATGTAAGTATTCTGAGCACATTTAAGGTAAGCTAGGCTAAACTATGATATTTGGTAGGTTAAATGTATTAAATGCTTTTTCAACTTAGACATTTTTAACTTACTATAGGTTTTTAGGGATGCTACCCTATCATATGTCAAGGAGCATCTCTATAGACAGTAACTGAGGAAGTAAGATTTAAGCTTTTAATGACTCCCAGACTAGTTTAGGTACTAGTGTCCTTCAGCACATTGCACCTGTAGTTGTTATGGTGCATATAATTCCATGCTTGAAATAATTTTTTAAATTGAATATCTTTCCAAAAAGAAAGATATTTGATTGAGTTAGAACAAATTGATTATAACTCAATTTTCAACTAATAAAATCAATTTATCAGCACTGCTGCTGGCTGATTTACATGTATATGACGATTAGACATTAAAAAAATTATTTTAAAGATTTTCTATTACTTTATTAGAAGCAATATTTAGCCATAATAAAACTAGAGGTAATTAGAATATTTTCTATGATCCAAATATCTTATAGATTCAAATATTTTATAGCATATGGACTTACCTCTTTATATATTTACATCCACATATGTAATTATTGCTTTATGAAATATTCCAGCATTAAACTATGCATATGTTGTTTGCCCTCTTTCAATGTTGTCTGCTTTTGCCACTTTACAGAAGTAACCTAATTCATGGTTTCTGAATTTCCTCTTCCTCTCTGCTATGATTTGAAAGTGTACTCTCAAAAATTTAGGCCCTGCTAATATTATAGTATTAGCAGGTGAGGGCTTTCAGAGGTAATTAGGCCATGAATGCCACTCCCTTGTTGATAGGATTATGGCCCTTTTAAAAGAAGCTTCATGTAACCTTCTGCTAGCTTACTCTTCTGACTTGTCATATGAGGTCACAGCAAAAAGGCTCTCACTAGGCTAAATGCCACCACCTTGATCCGGACTTCTCAGCCTCTAGAATTTTAAGAAATAAATTTCTATTCTTTATAATAATTACTGAATCTCAAGGTTTTGCTGTAGCAGTAAAAAGTACAGAAACATACAAAGAAGAAACTCTACCGGTAGGACAACTCTTCTTGTCCCATGCATGTCTGTTCAACTGCCTAACCCAGTTCCTGGAGCAGCAGGTCCACAGTAGGGGATGAATACTTTTCTGTTTCATTTTCTTTTTAATTGACAAATAATAATTTTATATTTTACGGTGTAAAATATGTTTTGATACACATATACATTGTGGAATGATCAAATAAGACTAATTAGCATATTCATCACTTCAAAGTTTTATCATTTCTTTGTGTTGAGAACATTGAAAGTCCTCTCTTTTAGCTATTTTGAAATATACGATACGTTATTATTTAAAAAAGACTCTCAGAAATTTCTGATGTTAGTTTTCTATAGACAAGTATAGCAGACACTTGACTGTCTCCCTGATGACTATGTCTCCTTTCTCTGATTTCGGAGCAGTAATATTTTCTGGCCTGCCCTGTTGTGGTGGTGGCTATGGAACACAGTTTTGAGCAATCAGATAGGAGTTTCTTGGTATGGCTCCCAAGGAGGCTCATTAAAAGAGGGCATGGCCAGAGGTTTGCCATGAAACCAGCTATAACTGTCTCACAGGAACAATTTTTACCCATCATTTCACAACTCCACCTTTAGTAATATCATGTTGAGTAGCTTAAATTCAGCCACAGTGGGAATATTTACACATGAACCAACAAATTCTGCAAATCAGAAACTATCTCCACCCTACCCCATCCTCACCTCCTTTCCTAGAGATGGCTCACAAATACACCTCTGGATCAAATTTACCACTTGCCTCTTGCCCTTCTCATTTTTCTTAGAATTCAAACAATGATATAGGAGGTAAAGTAAACACATGCGAGTGTCTAGTAACATAGGAAAACTACCATATTAGTTCTGGACTGCCTACTTTCAAACTTTCTTGTTACATGAGAAAGTTAAAACCCTTACTTTGTATGCGCCAGTGTCAGTATGCATGTTGCTACAATTAGATACCACTCTATCAAACACAATAGGAAAATTATGTGTTTTTTTACAAATGATATGTGTTTCTTATAATGTCAGTTATTATTAATTCTAGTTTCATACATAATTATTATTTTGCACATAAATTCGTGGGTAAAAAGCATATCAACACATAATTGGTGAGTTTTGATTGGTAGAACCCACTTTTTTGACAATATGAATGACTTGCATATGATCTAGTGATACTAATTTATTAAAGTGCAGGTTTCACATAAAGATTCTATCAAGGATTTGAGGATATAGAGGACATTTAAGGTACGTCATGGCAGAAGGTATTTCTCCAATTGAAATATTGAATAAAATTGATATTCCATTGTATAATATCATCTAACTCTAATTTTCTGGTACAACTACTCCCAACTTTGTACAAAAATTTACAAGAAGTCATGTAACAAATAAACAGCAAAAAAAGGTATAACAGCACATCCCAACCTTTGACTTACAGTCAACCTGTTGCAGAAATCTGGAAGACATTTCCATTATTCATAAGAACAATGAATGAGTTAGAATGAGAAGCAAATCAGTTGTTCATTCAGAATATGCTGCTAAATGTAGAGCAAAGTGATTCATGTAAAAGACAGTAAAAAGTGCTAGGTTTCTCATATAATGTGTTTTAAAAACACAATTTCGTGTGTTATTCAGAGACCTGGTTCAGCAAAAAATAAAATAAAATACTAAATTATAATTTAGGAAAATAGCAACTATTTAATAACATAACTAATATAGCTATATTCCAAGTTTGGCCTAGGAAAACTTCGTGTAATAGATAAGTCCATTCTGTCATTTGATTTGTAATGACAGTACACACTACATTGTGTGTATGTTTGTGTGTGTGTGTGTGTGTATGTGTTTTTACCACCTTATTATATACTATTTTAGAAGATAATAAATACAAGTACCAGAAAGTTATTTCTAATTAATCTCAATTCTAAATGGTTAATATATTTTAAAAAACAAAGCCATACAAATGAATTAGAAAAAGAAAAAAAAAACAAAGGAAGTAAAAAATAAATGTACCTTAAAGACAGTTTATAATGGGTCTGGGCAAGATGACAACTACATGTAGCCAGGAAAGACCTCTACCACTGAAAGGAACCAAAATATCAAGTAAAGCATCACATTTTAAACAAATCTTTTAAGAGAAAACACTGAAAGTCAATAGAGGGGTGATGCAGGCACCATAATTGAAAACGTAAGTCAGGAAACCTGCTCAGATATGCTTGGTGCCCTATGAAAAACCTGCAGCCAACATCATACTGATGAAGCTGGAAGCATTCCGCCTAAGAGCTGGAACTAAACAAGGATGTTCACTCTCACCACTCCTATTACATATGGTACTGGAAGTCCAAGTCAGAGTAATCAGGAAAGAGAAAGAAATGAAAGTTACTTAAATAGAAAAAAAGAAGTCAAATTGTCTCTCTTTGCTGATGATATGTTTCTCATTTTTTTCTTTCCACTTTTTAGGTTTGGAGGTACATGTGCAGGTTTGTTACATGGGTGAATTGCGTGTAGTTGGAGTTTGGCATGCAGATTATTTCATCATCCAGGTAATAAATATAGTGCCTAATAGGTAGTTTTTTGATCCTCATCACTTCCCATCCTCCACTCTCAAGTAGGTAACTGTGTCTATGGTTCTCTTCCTTGTATTCATGTGTACCCAGTATTTAGCTTCCACTTAAAGGTGATAAGACATGCTATTTGGTTTTCTGTTCCTGTGTTAATTCACTTAGGATAATGACCTCTAGCTCCATCTATGTTGCTCCAAAGAACAAGATCTCATTCTCTTTTATGTTCCATGGTGTATATGTACTACATTTTATTTATTTATTTATTTATTTATTTATTTATTTATTTATTTATTTTGAGACAGAGTTTCACTCTTGTTGCCCAAGCTGGAGTGCAATGGTGCGATCTCGGCTCATCACAACCTCTGCCTCTCGGGTTCAAGTGATTCTCCTGCCTCAGCCTCCCAAGTAGCTGGGATTACAGGCATGTGCCACCATGCCCAGTGAATTTTGTATTTTAAGTAGAGTATATGATAGTTCTGCTGATGTTTTGTTTATTGGGCAGACATATCTTCAATAAGAGTTTTTGGAAAACTCATCAAATTCGATGAATACATTTTCTTCATAACCCATTTGGAATTATTCCTAATAAAATGATAAAATATGTAAAAAAAAAAAAAAAAAAGTAGAGACAGGGTTTCTCCGTGTTTGGTCAGGCTAGTCTCGAACTCCCGACCTCAGGTGATCCTCCCACCTCTGCCTCCCAAAGTGCTGGGATTAGAGGCGTGAGCAACCATTCCCAGCTAATGTACTACATTTTCTTTAGCCAATCCATCATTGATGGGGACCAAGGCTGATTCCATGTCTTTGCCATTGTAAATGGAGCTGTGATGAATATACACATGCATGTGTCTTTATGATAAAACAATTAATATCCCTTTGGGTGTATATAAAGTAATGGGATTGCTGGGTTGAATGGTAGCTCTGTTTTAAGTTCTTTGAGAAATCTCCACACTGCTTTCAGCAGTGGCTAATCTAATTTATAGACCTACCAGAAGTGTATAAGCATTCCCTTTTGTCCACAACCTCACTACCGTATGTTATTTTTAGACTTTTAAGTAATAGCTCTTCTGACTGGTGCAAGATGGTATCTCATTTTGGTTTTGATTTCCATTTCTCTAATAATTACCGATGTTGAGCATTTTTTTATATGCTTGTTGGCTGCATATAAGTATGTCTTCTTTTGAGAAGTGTCTGTTCATGTCCTTTGCCCGCTTTTTAATGGCTTTTTAATTTTTTTTGCTTGTTAAATTTGTTTAAGTTCCTTATAGCTACTAGATATTAGACCTTTGTTGGATGCTAGTTTACAAATATTTCTCCCTTTCTGTAGGTCGTGTTTTCACTCTGTTGATAATTTATTTTGCTGTGCAGATGCTCTTTAGTATAACTAGGTTCTATTTGTCAATTGTTGTTGTTGTTGTTACAATTGGTTTTGGTGTCTTCGTCATGAAATCTTTGCCAGGGCCTATGTCCACAATGATATTTCATAGGTTTTCTGCTAGAGTTATTATTGTTTTTGGTTTTATGTGTAATTATTTAATTCATCTTGAGTTGATATTTGTATATAGTAAAAGGAAGTGGTTTAATTTCAATCTTCTGGTTATGGCTAGTGAGTTATTGAAGCAATATTTATTGAATAGGGAGTCCCCTTCCCAGTTGCTTTTTTTTAATTGACTTTGTTGAAGATCAGATGGCTGTAGATGTGTGGCTTTATTTCTAAGTTCTCTAACTTGATCCATTGGTATATGTGTCTGTTGTACCAGTACCATGCTGTTTTGGTTACTATTGCCTTGTAGTAGAGTTTGAAGTTGGGTAGTGTGGTGCTCTGACTTTGCTCTCTTTGCTTATGATTGCTTTAGCTATTTGGGCCCCTGTCTGTTTCCACATGAATTTTAGAATAGTTGTTTTTTAATTCTATGAAAAGTGTCATTGGTAATTTGACAGGAATAGCATTGAATCTGTAAATTGCTTTGGGCATTATGGCCATTTTAATGATATTGGTTCTTTCTATCCATGATCATGGAATGTTTTCCCATTTGTTTGTGTCATCTTTGATTTCTATGAGCAGTGTTTTGTAATTCTTGTTGTAGAGAACTTTCACATACTTGGTTAAATGTATTCCTAGGTATCTCATTGTGTGTGTGTGTGTGTGTGTGTGTGTTGTGAGTGGGGTGGCATTCTTGATTTAGCTCTCAGTTTGAATGTTATTGTTGTATAGATGTGCTACTTACATTTGTACATTGATTTTTGTATACTGAAGCTTTACTGAAGTCATCTACCAGTTCTAGGATTTTTTTAAAGGCATCTTTGGAGTTTTCGAGGTATAGAATCATAACATATCTCATATTTGGGTGCCTTTATTTCTTTCCCTTGCCTGATTGCTCTGGCTAGAACTTCTAGTACTATATTGAATTGGAGTGGTTTGAGTGGACATCTTTGTCTTGTCCTGAGTTTCAGTAAGAATGCTTCCAGCTTTTGTCCATTGAGAATGATATTGGCTATGGGTTTGTAATAAACGGTTATTATTTTGATGATGTATGTTCTTTCTATGACTAATTTTTGAGATTTTTTTCACATGAAGGGGATATTGAATTTCATTGAAAGCCTTTTCTGCATCTGTTGAGATGATCATTTGGATTTTGTTTTAGTTACATTTATGTGATTAATCATATTTATTGATTTGTGTATGTTGAAACAACCTTGCATCCTAGAGATAACTCCTACTTGGTTATGGTGCATTAGCTTTTCGATGTCTTCCTGGATTTGGTTTTCTAGTATTGTGTGGAGGATTTTTGCATCTATGTTTATGAAGGATATTAGCCTGAAAGTTTTCTTTTTAGGTTGTGTCTCTGCCAGGTTTTGATATTAGATCCATGCTGGCCTCATAGAATAAGTTAGGGAAGAGTCACCCTTATTTATTTACTTTTTTTGGGATATTTTCAGTAGGATTGATAACAAGTCTTCTTTTTACATCTGGTAGAATTTGTCTGAGAATTCATATGGTCCAGGGCTTTTTATGGTTGGTAGGCTTTTTGTTACCAATTCATTATTGGTATCTTCAGAGTTTTAATTTCTTCCTGGTTCAGTCTTGGGACGTTGTACATTTACAGGAATTTATTAATTTCTTGTAAGTTCTCTAGTTTGTGTTCATAGAGGTGTTCATAACAGTCTCTGAGGGTATCTATTTTTTAATTTCTGTGGCTTCAGTGGTAATGTCCCCTTTTTCATTTCTGATTTTGTTTATCTGGATCTTCTCTCTTTTTATTAGTCTAGCTAGTGGTCTATTAATCTTATTAATTCTTTGAAACAACCAACTTTCAGTTTCTTGATCTTTTGTATGGTTTTCATATATCAGTTTCATCCAGTCCAGCTTCGATTTTGTTTATTTTATTTCTTCTGCTAGCTTTGTGGTTGATTTGTTCTTGTTTTTCTGGTTCTTCTAGGTGTGATGTTATGTTGTTGATTTGAGAAATTTCTAACTTTTTGATCAGGGTGTTTTGCTCTATAAACGTTAGTTTTAAAACTGTTTTATAAGTGTCCCAGTGATTCTGGTATGTCATATCTTTGTTTTCATTTGTTTCAAATAAATTCTTGGTTTCTGCCTTAATGTCATTGTTTACACTGTAGGCATTTTTGAGCAGGTTGTTTAATTTTAATGCAATTGTATGTTTTGAGAGATCTTCTTAGCATTGAATTCTATTTTTATTACCCTGTGGTTCAAGAAGGGTTTGGTATGATTTCAGTTTTTTTTAATTTATTGAGAGTTGTTTTATATCCAAGCATGTGGCCAATTTTAGAATATGTGCCATATGTAGATGAAAATAATGTATATTCTCTTGTTGTGGGGTGGAGTGTTCTGTATATTCCTGTTAGGCTAATTTAGTCAAGTGTCAAGTCAAATCCCAAATATCTTTGCTGATTTTTTGTGTCCTCAGTGATCTGTCTAATACTGTCAGTGAGTTGTTGAAATCTCCCAGTATTATTTCGTGAGAGTCTAAGTCTCTTTGTAGGTCTCTAAGAACTTGTTTTATTAATTGAGGTGCTCCAATGTTGAGTGAATATATATTTAGGATAGTTAAATCCTCTTGTTGAATTGCACTATTTATCATTATGTAATGTCCATCTTTCTCTTTTTTGATAGTTGCTGGTTTAAAGTCTGTTTTGTCTGAATTTAGAATAGCAATCCATGCTCTTTTGTGTTTTCTGTCTTCTAGGTAGCTTTTTCTCCACCTCTTTGCTTTGAACTAATGGGCGTCAGCACTAGTGTAAGATGGGTCTCTTGAAAACAGCATACAGTTGGTTTGTGCTTCTTTATTCAACTTGCCACTCTGTGCCTTTTAAGTGGGGTGTTTACACCGTTTATATTCAACATTACTATGCATATGTGCTGATTTGACCCTGTCATCAAGTTGTTAACTGGTCCTTATGAATAATTTATTATGTAGTTACTTAATAGTGTCAGTTGTGTATGAACTTAAGTGTGCTTTTGTGGTATACAGTAAGTCTTTTATTTCCAAGTTTAGCACTACTTAAGGCAAGTGTGATCATAACACAGTTACTTAACATTTGCTTGTCTGAAAAGGATCTTATTTCTCCTTCATTTATGAAGCTTACTTTGTCTGGATATGTAACTTCTGGTTGAAATTTCTTTTCTTTACAAACATTGAATATAGTCCCATAGTCTCTTCTGGCTTGTAGGGTTTCTGCTGAAAGGGCTGCTGTTAGGAGTTCCTATTGTAGGTAACCTGTCTTTTCTCCCTAACTGCCTTTAATCTTTTTTCTTTTATATTGACCTTGGAGAATCTGAGGACTATGAGTCTTGGTGATGACCATCTTATAGAGTATCTCACAAGGGTTGTCTTAATTTCTTGAATTTGAATGTGAACCTCTCTACTGAGGTTGGGGACATTTTCATGGACAGTATCCTCAAATATGTTTTCCATGCTGCAAGTTCTCTCCTCATCTCTTTCAGTGATGCCAATGAGTCATGGGTTTGCTTTCTTTACATAATCTCATATTTCTTGAAGATTTTGTTCATTATTTTTCTTTATTTTTTTCTGACTGAATTGATTCAAAGAACTTGTTTTTGAGCTCTGAGATTATTTGCTCAATTTGATCTATTCTGCTGTTACTACTTCTGATTTTATTATGAAAATTTTTTAGTGAGTTTTTCAGGCTCTATCAGATAAGTATGATTCTTTCTTAAGATGGTCATTTTGTTTTTCAGCTCTTATATCATCTTATTGGATTTCTTAGATTCCTTGGATTGAGTTTTGAATTTCTCTTGAATCTTGATAATTTTCACTGCTATCAAGATTCCGAATTCTGTGTCTGTCATTTCAACCATTTCAGTCTGGTTAAGAATAATTGAAGGGGAGCTAATGTGGTTGTTTGGAGGTAAGAGGACACATTGGCTTTTTGAGTTGCCAGGGCTCTTGCACTGGTTCTTTTGTATCTATGTGGACTTATATTTATTTAATCTTTGAAACTGCTGTCCATTGGGTGGGTTTTCTCTTGTTTTAGTTTTTATACTTTTTGATGCCCCTGAGTGTTTGACTGTGGTGTAAGGTGGGTTCAGTCATCTGGTCCACTTCTGGAATATTTTGGTGGGTTACAGTGCTGGTAATATAATTTTATACACAGAAAACACTAAAGAATGCATTAAAATGCTCCTGGATCTCATAAATGACTTCAGCAAACTTTTAGGATGCAAAACCAATATGCAGTAATCAATAGGATGTCTATACATCAATACTATTCAAGCTTAGAGGCAAACAAACAATGCAACATATTTACAATAGCCACAGGATAAAATAAAGTACCTAGGAAAACATCTAACCAAGGAGGTTAAAGATCTCTAGAAGGAGAACCATAAAACACTGTTGAAATAAATCAAAGATGACACAAACAAATGGAAAAATATTCCATACTTATGGATTCAAAGAATCAACATTGTTAACATGTCCATACTACCCAGAGCAATTTACAGATTCGTGGCTATTCCTATCAAATACCACTGTAGTTTTTTTTTACAGAATTAGAACAAAAACTATTCTAAAATTCATATGAACCAAGAACGTGCCCAAATAAATAGCCAAAGCCTTCTTAAACACAAGGAACAAAGACAGAGGCATCACATTACTTGACTTCAAACTATACTACGAGGATACAGTAACAAAACACCATAGTGGTGATATGAAGATAAACACATGGGTCAATGGAACAGAATACAGAAACTAGCAATAAAACAGCTTACCTACAACCAACTGATCTTCACCAAGTTTAACAAAAATTAGCAATGGGGAAAGGACTCCCTATTCAGTAAATGGGGTTGAGAAAACTGGCTAAGCATATGCAGAAGAATAAATCTGGATCACTGCCTAATACCATATACAAAAATTAACATAAGATGAATTACAGACTAAATATAAGACCTCAAATTACAAGAATCCTCGAAGAAAACCTAGGAAATACGCTTCTGGACATTAGCATTGATAAAACATTTATGATCAAGTCTGTAAAAGCAAATGCAACAAAAATGAAAATTGATAAGTAGAGTGTAATTAAACTAAAGAGCTTCTGCACAGTAAAACAACTATCAAGAAAGTAAACAGAGAATCTCCAGAATAGGAGAAATTAGTTTCAATCTATGCATCCAACAAACATCTAATATCCAGAGTCTGTAAAAATTTATGCTATTCAGCCAGTTGAAAACAACCCCATTAAAAAGTGGGCAAAGGACACGAACAAATACTTCTCAAAGAAGACCTACAAGTTGCCAACAAACATGAAAAATGCTCAACATAGTTAATCATTAGAGAAATGCATATCAAAAAGTCAATGGGATACCATCTCATACCAGTCAGAATGGTTATTATTAAAAAGTCCAAATTGCAGGTGTTGTTAAGGTTGCAAAGAAATGGGAATGCGTATATATTGTTAGAGGAAATGTAAATTTGTTCAACCACTGTGGAAAGTAGTTTGGAGATTTTTCAAATAATTAAAAGTATTACTACCATTCAACCCAATAATCCCACTACTGGGTGTGTAACTAGAAAAAAAAGTCATTCTACCAAAAAGATACATGCACTCATATGTTTATCACAGCAGTATTCACAATAGCAATGATATGGAATCAACCTGGGTGCCCAGCAATGATGAATTGGATAAAGAAACTGTGGTAGATATATACCATGGAATACTATACAGTCATAAAAAGGAATGAAATTCTGTCCTTTGCAGCAGCACTGATGCAGCTGGACACTGTTATCCTGAGCACATTTATGCAGAAACAGAAAAGGAAATATCATGAGTTCTCACTTATAAGTAGGTGCTAAATATTGGTATATAAAGTGGACATAAAGTTGGGAATAGTAGATACTGAGGATTCTAAGAGGTGGGAGGGAGACAGTGGGATAAGAGGTAAAAAACTCCTAATGGGTACTATGCTTACTTCTTGGTTGACAGGATCATTTGTGCCTCAGCATCACACAGTATACCTGTAACAGTCTGTTTTCACAATGCCATAAAGGGCTGACTGACACTTGGTAATTTATAAAGGAAAGAGGTTGAATTGACTCACAGTTCAGCATGGCTGGGGAGGCCTCAGGAAACTTGCAATCATGGCAGAAGGGGAAGGGGCACATCTTACATGGTGGCAGGCAAGAGAAAGTGAACAAGCAAAGGGTGAAGAGCCAGTTATAAAATCATCAGATCTTGTGAGAACTCACTCACTATCATGAGAACAGCACGGGGGAGACTTCCCCTATGATCCAATCACTTCCCACCAGATCCTACCCTCCACATGTGGGGATTATGGGGATTACAATTTGAGATGAGATATGGGTGGGGACACAGAACCAAACCATATCAATACCCATGTATCAAACCTGCATATATATCCCTGGAATCTAAAATTAAAATGTTGATAGTGTTTGAAGGGAAGAGAAGTATAAAAAGGAATGAAATTCAAAACATCATGCCATTAAGTGTACATGTGTAAAAATACTTTATTATTTCTAAGGATATTAACAAAATAAACATACTGAAAATACTATCATGTTGATTTGTGACGCTGGGAACAGAAATAGGGAATAGCATTAACAAGAATGAAAAATAGAATTAAAAAGGATAGTGACTTAGAACTGAAAGTGATAGTTTGCCATCATCTGAGGTGTATGATTAATTTGATTAATTCAGCTGCACTTAAAAGACTTTTAAAAACAAAAACATGTGCATGTAATTTACTCAACAAAACCAATTCCTAAAAAATTGTGAGAATATTCTTCATTTCTTTAAAAGATGATTAGATTCAGTTATTTGTTTATAGGGTTGAAAGATTTTTTTAAATACTGGCAAGGGTATATTTAAATGAGCAATTATATAAAGCAATGGGAACTTAATTTTTATCATCCTTAAAAAATGATTGCTGTATATATATCAATAGTCTTGATTAATTTCATTAGTGATAATTCCAAGAATGAACTAAGACAGAAATATATAGGGCTAAGAAAAAAATAATTGAAATGACTATATGTTGGAATATTGTATTTTTCAAACATTTTATAATTCGTTTACATTATTTTTATAATCATAATCCTATATGGCTGAGATTGTGAAATAGGTTTTGTAATCTTTAAATTGTGAGTTAGTAAAGTGCATTGATATTGAGAAGTGGAAGAACAGTACTAACAAACATTAAAACCGTACTTTTATTCTTCCTGTATTTATAATGATTAATGTCAAAATTCTTTTCCTGGAAAATATCTGTAGAATGTTGTAGGAGGACCAAAGAATCAAAATGAAGTTCTGAAAAAAGAAATATGGTTCATGAAACATATTTACTGGGAAATAAAGATTATGAAAAATACCTCCCAATGTATTAGAGAAAACGGTGGCCACGGGTACCACAAAAATTGAAGGTTTTTTTTCCAGTACCAAGAAAGGCTCCACAGAATTTAGATGATACTATATAGTGCAATAATACAAGGTACTTAGCATTATCTTAATTACACTTTAATGTGTATAACTCTGGAAGGTAACTGAGGATGAAAGACTCCCACAGTCTTCAGCTGTAAATTTGGGATGGAAGTATTTATACACATTGACTGTGAAGACGAAAGGAGATGATACAGGGAAATAGCTGGCCCTGAGTTTCCCTTAGGGAAACTAGGTTTAAAAGGGAAGCTAGGTTTAAAAACAAAAACAAATAAACAAACAAAAACTATATAAATTTGCTGTGCTATTTTCCTTAAGAATTGTATACATTATATTATTAGAATTTTTTAATATTGATTTTATAAATTTATTTTGATGTTAACCAGTCTCACTTGGACATCTAGTCAGCTTCTATTTCACTATTTGCTAGGAAATATGACAAAAACAATTAAAGTCTATTGAAAAAAGTACACAATCTTAATATATGTTATAAAAAGTCATTTATACATAACTAATTTATAAATTTGAGTACACTTTAAAATATATTTTAGAATACTTAGAGTACAGCATTAATATTCCTTTCACACAACTATGCTCTATCTTATCCTTGCAGTTCCTTAGAAAAATCAGATAGCTAAAGTGGCAATAGAAACAGATTGCCAATACATAAAAGGTTTCTTTTCACTTTAATTGCTTCATGACATTTCAGTTTACTGGTAATATGTATCTTTAATCTGAATAGCACAGCCTTTAACTTGCTAGAGTTAAATGCTCAAGAAATGAATGGCCTTACATTTACCAAAATCTAAACTGGGAAGATGAAGCTCAAAGCTGAAACATTCATCTTGATAATAGCCAAGAAGTCAATTGAATTTCTTTTCCAAAGAAGAACTGAGTCACACTCAGTTATTTTCAGTGAATTTTATATTTGTTCATTCAAGTCAAGGTCTCAAAGAAAATTATTTACATATTCAAAACACTCCGCTAAAATAGACTTATTTGACAGAATATCAGAATTAATCTATATTGTTACATGACCTATCTCTAAAGAAAACATAATATTTTATCCTGAAAATTTTTTCCAGCATAAATCACATTTCCAAATCCATCATAATAAAAATGTTTTCATCTTGTATGTGTTTATAAATTTAGTGTTGATTAATGTTTACAATTAGCTGTTTTCTTTGGTCCTATCTTCTATACATTTGATGATCTATTTTTTAAAAAGTAATTTGATGTTCTTTCTTGATTTTTGTTTAGGCAAAGTGTAACTTTAAAAAATGAAATAGGCCGGGTGTGGTGGCTCACACCTGTAATCCCAGCACTTTGGGCGGCCAAGGATGGTGGATCATCTGAGGTCAGGAGTTCGAGACCAGCCTGACCAATATGGTGAAACCCCATCTCTACTAAAAATACAAAAATTAGCCAGGTATGGTGGTGTGCACCTGTAGTCCCAGCTACTGGAGAGGCTGAGACAGGAAAATTGCTTGAACCTGGGAGGCAGAGGTTGCAGCAAGCTGAGATTGCGCCACTGCACTCCAGCCTGGGCTAGAAAGCGAGACTCCATCTTAAAAAAAAAAATGAAATAGTATGGTTGCTGAAAGAGGCCACTTCAAAACTTGTAATCATTAAACAGATGAAACAGATAAGCAACCGTATCTTCTTCAAATGATTCCATTTGTATACTTAAGCCACTGAACATTAGCTAATCATTCTGCTTATTTCTTTTCAATAATCAGAAATTTAATGAATACTTTAGGCCTATATGATAAATGGGGTAATAAAAAAACAAATAATCAAATTGTTGGAGTGTTCTGCAGAATACAACTATTTGGTAGCTACTTCTGTTTCTGATAACCTAAATCTAAGTATGTATTTTATCCTCAGAGAGTATATTCAATATAAATAGAATAAAATATACACCATTTCAAGAAAAAAATGGTAGAGAATTATAATTTTCTGAGCACCTACTATGTGGTGGTCATTTAAATCTCCAACCCACCTTTTGCAATATTTTAATAATATCTGTATTATACCGATTGGGAAATATGGGTCAGAAAGTTTCAAATTGTCACAAGTCTACTTGTTTCTCAGGGTGAGGTTTGAAATTATGATTTGCTAACTGTGTAATAGCAAGCTATCAACAAATAACAATTCTATTTTCAGAATCTGCACCATTCCTCCTGATAATGTTGAGCCAGGAAGGTCACTTCAACAGGAATGAGTCTTTGATAAATGTCACTCTGAGGTGCAGGAACCTTCATGGTACAGGTAGGTTGTTCTTATATCTAGGTTCCAGCTAGTAGGCAGGAAGAAGACAGAGTGTCAGGAAGTTTCACCTTTTCCTAAAGGATTGTAGATGCACATCATTTGCCCTCAAATTCTGTTAGAGATGGCATGGTCAGTGGGTACTCAAACTGCAGTGAGATCAGGGAAGTGCAATCCCACCTAGAAGCCCTCAAGCCCAGTTCAAAATAAGTATGAGGAAAAAAAAGGAAAAAAAGATGTTGGCTAACATATTTGCAGTCTGCCACCATTCCTCTCTAATTCACACAAACCTACTCCTTACTGAAAAATTATTTTGTTATCTTTTTTATCTTTTTTAAATTTTGTTTCATCTAGTGTAATCCCTTTTGATGCAGTTTTTTCTTTGGCCTAGAGGAGTAACTATTTTACCTCTAGGTCCTACCATTTTCTTCCAGCTAGTTCAAATAGCAACAACATGTGGTGATCTCAAGTGAATATATTTGCTGAAATGAACATAAGAACTAACAGCATAAGAATTAAATATATCTCAAAAACTTGCTAAAGTTCCAGGGGAAATTTTAAAGTTTAGATCCCCACAGAAAAGAACATTTCATAGAATGGAGAAAAATGTGTTCTGTGCAGAATACAGTGGGTGGGAAATTGGAAATATGGCATAATGTGAGCAAAGTGAACACCTTTAATGCTCACTGAAAAGACACATATACCTACATGTGGCATGATCATTCAAAATAACATTACTGAGATTCATCCGTGCCATTTGTGTAGTAGCAGTTTGTTCCCTTCTTTTGCTGATTAGTAGTCTTGTCTTCTTTTTCTTCTTTCTTTTCTTTTCTTTTCTTTTTTTTCTTGTTTTTTGAGGCAGAGTCTTGCTCTGTCGCCCAGGCTGGAGCGCAGTGGCACGATCTCGGCTCACTGCAACTTCCGCCTCCCGGGTTCAAGTGATTCTCCTGCCTCAGTCTCCTGAGTAGCTGGGATTACAGGCTTGCGCCATCATGCCCGGCTAATTTTTGTATTTTTAGTAGAGACAGGGTTTCACCATGTTGTTCAGACTGGTCTGGAACTCCTGACCTCGTGATCCACTCGCCTCAGTTGGAGTAGTATTTTCTTAGGTAAGTATAGTTGGTTTTTTATCCATTCTTATGTTGATTCAGGTTTGGGTTGTTTTCAGTTTGCAGCTACTACAAATACAGCTCCTATGAACATTTTTGTGTAAGTCTCTTCTCTGGACATATAATTTCATTATGCTTAGTTAAATACTCAAGAGCAGAATTGCTGGGTCATAAGGTAAGTATGTTTAGCTTTATCATATACTGCAAGAATAACTGAATTCTTTTATTTGTACCCACAGGCAATGTTGAGAGTTCCAGCTGCTCCATTTCTGCACCACTAGATATTTTGTGTGTGTCCATGTGTGTGGGTATGCATAATTTTGAGTAATTTTAGAGGATGCTGAAGAGTAATTTCTGGTTTGAAAATGATGAGCAAATTTCAAATACTTATCAGACATTTGTATATTTCATTTTTCTTGTATTGTTTCTCTTGCTTGTTCAGTATTTAAATATATTGTTTTTCTTTTTATTAATGAGACTCCTTTATATATTTTGCATAAGAGTATGTGTTATGCGTATTCTACCAGTCCATAGTTTGCCTGTTCATTTTTTAAATAATATATTTTGAATAGAAAAAAATTAATTGGAATTCAGTTTAATTTTCATTAGTTTTTGATGATTGATTTATATGTCTGGTTTAAGAAAATGCCTATGACAAGGTTAAAGGGACAGTACTATTTTTTTTATGGTTCTAAATTTTAGGCTTAGGTTTATGATCCACCTCAAACAAATATTTGTGTATGAATGAGTAGAAATCTTGACTAATAATTTTCCATGTAGCTTTCTAGATGTTCCAATACCATTTGTTCAAAAACATTTCCAATTTCCATTGAATTGAATTAGTGCCTTTGTTGATATATTTACTTGACTAAACATGTGTGGGGTTATTTTTTAACTCTGGGTCCATCTCTTTGATTTTTATGTCTATCCTTATTCTAATAACACATTTCCTTGATAATTATTGCATTATAGTAGTCATTAAAATGAGGTAAGTCCCCCAATTTTGTTTTCATATTCAATATTGTTTTTGCTATTTTTTTTAAAGGGACATAGTCTTGCTCTACTGTTCAGGCTGGTCTTAAACTTTTGAACTGAAGGAATTTTCCTACCTCAGCCTCCTGAGTAGTTGGTACTACAGACATGAGCCACCATATCTGGCTGTTTTTGCTATTCTGTATATTTCCACATAAATTTTAGGAACAGCTTTCACTACCCTCTTGGCCTTTTCATCTGTTCATTCATGTGGTTATTCTTGCATTAGATTTTTAATGTAATTATTATGGGTATTTAAAGTAGGCTTAAATTCTTAAATAAATTCCAGAATATGGCTCATTTCTGGATACATTCCTATTGAATATTTAATCCGTTGCCCACGTAGACAAAGTTTTGCTTCCTAACATATCCATAAGTTTTTTGATTGTGTGATGAATATTTTGTGCAAAACAAGATTAAAGATTGAAGTGAATAATATTTATCCCCCAAAATACAAGTAACTTTTTTCATCAGGTTACTGATGCTGGGAGATGTTGTCATCTAATCTTTGGTGGAGCTACTTCTAGGATTTATTGAGCTACAATATATTAAATTTACTACTGGCTTCAAATATTTGAAGTGGGGGTGATTAAGATTGTCCTTTTAAAAGTCTAGGATCTTTTAAAAGGAAAGGGTTGAGAGCCTTAGATACTATTTTTTAATTTTATTGTAAATTGGCACTTTATAATTGTATATTTATGGGGTACAAAGTGATGCTATGATCCATTAGTATGATATGGAATAATTAAATCCAGTTAATTAACATATATATATTACTTCAAGTAAATATTATTTTTGTGGGGAGAACATTTTAAATTTACTCTATTAGCAATTTTGAAATGTACAAAACAATATTATTAACTATATTTACCATATTGCGGGATAGATCTCAAAAAACCTGTATTCCTCTTGTCTGAGATTGCATATTCTTTGATCATCAATTCCCGACTCTCCCTTCCCTCAGTCTCTGTAAAACCATTAAACTCTTTGCTCCTATGAGTTTGATTGCTATAGATTCCACATATAAGTGAGAATATGCAGTATTTTTCTCTCTGTGTTTGGTTTAGTTCATTTAGCATAATGTTCTCCGATTCCGTCTACATTGTCACCAATGACAGAATTTACTTTGTAAGGCTGAACAGTATTATTTCATTGTGTATATATACTATACATTTCTAATCCACTCATCTGTTGATGGACATATTGCTTCCGTAACTTGGATATTGTGAGTGTTGCTGCAATGAACATGAGAGTGCAGATATCTTTTAGAAATTCATTTTAAATGTTTTGGGTAAATACTCAAAAGTAAGATTATTGGATCTTGTTGTTCATTCTTTTTTTTTGGAACCTCCATACAGTTTTCTATAATGGTTAATTCACATTCCCAGCAACAGTGTACAAGTGTTCCATTTTCTTCACATTCTCACCAACACTTGTCCTGTTATCTTTTCTCTTTATCATAATAGCTATTCTTACAGGTGTGAGATGATATCTCATTGTGGTGTTAATTTGCATTTTCTTTTTTTTATTATTATACTTTAAGTTTTAGGGTACATGTGCACAATGTGCAGGTTTGTTACATATGTATACATGTGCCATGTTGGTGTGCCGCACCTTAACTCGTCATTTAACATTAGGTATATCTCCTAATGCTATCCCTCCCCCCTCCCCACACCCCACAACAGACCCTGGTGTGATGTTCCCCTTCCTGTGTCCATGTGTTCTCACTGTTCAATTCCCACCTATGAATGAGAACATGCAGAGTTTGGTTTTTTGTCCTTGTGATAGTTTGCTGAGAATGATGGTTTCCAGCTTCATCCATGTCCCTACAAAGGACATGAACTCATCATTTTTTATGACTGTATAGTATTCCATGGTGTACATGTGCCACATTTTCTTGATGCAGTCTGTCATTGTTGGATATTTGGCTTGGTTCCAAGTCTTTGCTATTGTGAATAGTGCCGCAATAAACATACGTGTGCATGTGTCTTTATAACAGCATGATTTATAATCCTTTGGGTATATACCCAGTAATGGGATTGCTGGGTCAAATGGTATTTCTAGTTCTAGATCCCTGAGGAATCTCCACACTGACTTCCACAATGGTTGAACTAGTTTACAGTCCCACCAACAGTGTAAAAGTGTTCCTATTTCTCCACTTCCTCTCCAGCACCTGTTGTTTCCTGACTTTTTAATGATCGCCATTCTAACTGGTGTGAGATGGTATCTCACTGTGGTTTTGATTTGCATTTCTCTGATGGCCAGTGATGGTGAGCATTTTTTCATGTGTTTTTTGGCTGCATAAATGTCTTCTTTTGAGAAGTGTCTGTTCATATTCTTTGCCCACTTTTTGATGGGGTTGTTTGTTTTTTTTTTTTTTTTTGTAAATTTGTTTGAGTTCATTGTAGATTCTGGATATTATCCCTTTGTCAGATAAGTAGATTGCAAACATTTTCTCCCATTTTGTAGGTTGCCTGTTCACTCTGATGGTAGTTTCTTTTGCTCTGCAGAAGCTCTTTAGTTTAATTAGATCCCATTTGTCAATTTTGGCTTTTGTTGCCATTGCTTTTGGTATTTTAGACATGAAGTCCTTGCCCATGCCTATGTCCTGAATGGTAATGCCTAGGTTTTCTTCTAGGGTTTTTATGGTTTCAGGTCTCACATTTAAGGCTTTAATCCATCTTGAATTAATTTTTGTATAAGGTGTAAGGAAGGGATCCAGTTTCAGCTTTCTACATATGGCTAGCCAGTTTTCCCGGCACCATTTATTAAATAGGGAATCCTTTCCCCATTTCTTGTTTTTGTCAGGTTTGTCAAAGATCAGATGGTTGTAGATATGTGGCACTATTTCTGAGGGCTCTGTTCTGTTCCATTGGTCTATATCTCTGTTTTGGTACCAGTACCATGCTGTTTTGGTTACTGTAGCCTTGTAGTATAGTTTGAAGTCAGGTAGTGTGATGCCTCCAGCTTTGTTCTTTTGGCTTAGGATTGACTTGGCGATGTGGGCTCTTTTTTGGTTCCATATGAACTTTGAAGTAGTTTTTTCCAATTCTGTGAAGAAAGTCATTGGTAGCTTGATGGGGATGGCATTGAATATATAAATTACCTTGGGCAGTATGGCCTTTTTCACGATATTGATTCTTCCTACCCATGAGCATGGAATGTTGTTCTTCCATTTGTTTGTATCCTCTTTTATTTCATTGAGCAGTGGTTTGTAGTTCTCCTTGAAGAAGTCCTTCATGTCCCTTGTAAGTTGGATTCCTAGGTATTTTATTCTCTTTGAAGCAATTGTGAATGGGAGTTCACTCATGATTTGGCTCTCTGTTAGTCTGTTATTTGTGTATAAGAATGCTTGTGATTTTTGCACATTGATTTTGTATCCTGAGATTTTGCTGAAGTTGCTTATCAGCTTAAGGAGATTTTGGGCTGAGATGATGGGGTTTCCTGGATATGCAATCATGTCATCTGCAAACAGGGACAATTTGACTTCCTCTTTTCCTAATTGAATACCCTTTATTTCCTTCTTCTGCCTGATTGCCCTGGCCAGAACTTCCAACACTATGTTGAATAGGAGTGATGAGAGAGGGCATCCCTGTCTTGTACCAATTTTCAAAGGGACTGCTTCCAGTTTTTGCCCATTCAGTATGATACTGGCTGTGGGTTTGTCATAGATAGCTTTTATTATTTTGAGATACGTCCCATCAATATCTAATTTATTGAGAGTTTTTAGCATGAAGGGTTGTTGAATTTTTCAAAGGCCTTTTCTGCATCTATTGAGATAATCGTATGGTTTTTGTCATTGGTTCTGTTTATATGCTGGATTACGTTTATTAATTTGTGTTGAACCAGCCTTGCATCCCAGGGTTGAAGCCCACTTGATCATGGTGGATTAGCTTTTTGGTGTGCTGCTGGATTCGGTTTGCCAGGATTTTATTGAGAATTTTTGCATCGATGTTCATCAGGGATATTGGTCTAAAATTCTCTTTTTTTGTTGTGTCTCTTCCAGGCTTTGGTATCAGGATGATGCTGGCTTCATAAAATGAGTTAGGAAAGATTCCCTCTTTTTCTATTGATTGGAATAGTTTCAGAAGGAATGGTATCAGCTCCTCCTTATACCTCTGGTAGAATTCGGCTGTGAATCCATCTTGTCCTGGACTTTTTTTGGTTGGTAAGCTATTAATTATTGCCTCTATTTCAGAGTCTGTTATTGGTCTATTCAGGGATTCAACTTCTCCCTGGTTTAGCCTTGGGAGGGTGTATGTGTCAAGGAATTTATCCATTTCTTCTAGATTTTCTGATAAAACAGACTTTAAACCAACAAAGATCAAAAGAGACAAAGAAGTCCATTACATAATGGTAAAGGGATCAATTCAGCAAGAAGAGCTAACTGTCCTAAATACATATGCACCCAATACAGGAGTACCCATATTCATAAAGCAAGTCCTTAGAGACTAGAAAGAAACTTAGACTCCCACACAATAATAATGGGAGACTTTAACACCCCACTGTCAACATTAGACAGATCAACGAGACAGAAAGTTAACGAGGATATCCAGGAATTGAACTCAGCTCTGTACCAAGTGGACCTAATAGATGTCTACAGAGCTCTCCACCCCAAATCAACAGAATATACATTCTTCTCAGCACCACACTGCACTTATTCCAAAATTGACCACATACTTGGAAGTAAAGCACTCCTCAGCAAATGTAAAAGAACAGAAATTATAACAAACTGTCTCTCAGACCACAGTGCAATCAAACTAGAACTCAGGATTAAGAAACTCACTCGAAATCGCTCAACTACATGGAAACTGAAAAATCTGCTCCTGAATGACTACTGGGTACATAACAAAATGAAGGCAGAAATAAAGATGTTCTTTGAAACCAATGAGAACAAAGACACAACATACCAGAATCTCTGGGACACATTCAAAACAGTGTGTAGAGGGAAATTTATAGCACTAAATGCCCACAAGAGAAAGCAGGAAAGATCTAAAATTGACACCCTAACATCACAATTAAAAGAACTAGAGAAGCAAGAGCAAACACATTCAAAAGCTAGCAGAAGGCAAGAAATAACTAAGATCAGAGCAGAACTGAAGGAGATAGAGACATACACACAAAAAACCTTCAAAAAATCAATGAATCCAGGAGCTGGTTTTTTGAAAAGATCAACAAAATTGATAGACCGCTAGCCAGACTAATAAAGAAGAAAAGACAGAAGAATCAAATAGACGCAATAAAAAATGATAAAGGGGATATCACCACCGATCCCACAGAAATACAAACTACCATCAGAGAATATATACCTATAAACACCTCTAGGCAAATAAATTAATTTGCATTTTCTTAAAGATTAGCAATGTTGAGCATTTAAATATAAGTCATCTGGTGACCATTTAGATGACTTTTTGAGAAATGTCTATTCAGATCTCTTCTCTATTTTTAATTGGGCATATTGATTTCTTGCTGAGTTGGTTGGGTTCCTAATATATTTTGGATATTAACTCCTTATTGGATATATCTAAGTACAAAATGTCCTATGTAGGCCTCATTGGACTTAAAAAACAAAAATTTTTAGAAAGCAAAAAGCCAATATAGAAAGGATTAAAAGAATAAGACCACAGAAAATCATCAAAACACAAAGAAAGATAGCAAGAGAAAAGAAAAAGAAATGTATAGAACAATCAGAAAACAAGAAAATATCAGCAGTAAGTTATTATCTATCAATAATTATCTTGAATGTAAATGGATTAAATTACCCTATAAAAAGACATAGAGTAACTGAATGGATTTAAAACAAAAAAATACACAGTATTCAACTCTATACTGACTAATCCAAGCTGTTAATGATTTAATTTTGATTGTATACAGCAGTACACTTTTACTCCTCCCTGTATTTTTCTGATGTCAGAATATATATAATTTTGTAATATGTATCCCTTGAAAATTTATTTTAGCTAAAGTTGTTATTAATAGTTTTGTTTTTAACCTCCATACTAGGGATAAAATTGCCTTACACATTATTATTATAGTCCTAGAGTATTTTGAATATGGTTGTTTTTTACTTATATCATTGTGTTTTGTGCTTTCATGTGTTTCATGTTATTAATTAGTAGACTTATACTTTCATTTTAGCTTAAATAACTCTAATAGTATCTGCAAAGCTGATCTAATGGTGATGACCACTTTTAGCTTTTGTTTGGGAAAGTTTATACTTCTCTCTCATTTCTAAAAGGCAGATTTGCTGTGTAAAGTATTCTTGTTTGGCAAAACTTTCCCTCAACATTTTAAATATATGATCACACTCTCTCGGAATGCAGAAATTTTACTGAGAAATCCACTGATAGTAACATATCAATATATACAAAGCACTCCTTTGTATATATTTTCTATTGCTCCTCCCCAAATAATTTCTTTGTCTTTGCTTTTTGATAGTTTGATCATGAGGTATCTTAGTGAACCCCTCTTTGGGTTGAATTTGATTGGAATTGTCTATATTTCCTGTACTTGGATGTTATAATCTGTTCCCAGATTAGCAAAGTTTTAGCCATTATTTTTAAAAATAGGCTTTCTTTTCCATTTTCTCTATCTTCTTCTGTAACTCCTATTAGGCAAAACTTTTGTGTCTTGGTAGTATTCCATAATTTCCATAGGCTTTCTTCATTATTTTATAGTCTTTTGTCTTTTTGCTACTCTGACCAAATAATTTAAGTGTTCTGTCTTCCAGCTCACTAATTATTTTTTGCACGATCAAGTCTGCTGTTGAAGACTACAACTGATTTATTTTTAGTCATTATATTCATTTCTAGACTCTTTTTATTGCTTCTATTTCCCAAATTTTTCACTTTGAGTATTTTACAAATTTTATTTAAATTTTAATTTATCTATCCTTGTAGTTCATAAGCTTTTTTACAGAAGATTTTAAAAATTCTTTGTCAGTTATCTCTTTAAGTTTCATTATTAGAACTTCATTAGGGTTTTATTTTTTTGGAGTGTCATGATTTTCTGATTCTTCATAATTCTCTGTCCTTGCATTGCTGTCTGTGAATTTGAAGAGAAAGTCCCCTCTTCTGGCTTTTAAAAGTGTTCTATGGCAGGGAGAGACCTTCACTATATAGTCTAGCCTGTTACTTTGGAAAGGACATCTGGTGATGATGAAGGTTTTGTGGTCGGTACTTTAGTTGGGCAGGCAGAGCTTGTGGTGGTTTCTTTATTGGATAGGCCTCTGCCTTTTCTCTGATGTTAAGTGGGACTGCTGGTGAGACTCCATTTTCTGGAGAGATCACTGGTTGGGTTCTGCTATCAGGTGGAGCTGCTGGCTGGGTACAATGATGGCTTCTGCTCAGGCCATTCACAGGATGTATTCCTTGGCTGGGCAATTCTGCTATTTCGGATCTGTGGTTGAGCAGACCTATAGGTTAGGCTCTGAGGTTTGGTTGAGTCTTTTCCCAGGATGGGTGTGACCAGTTGGGATATTCCTTAGAAATACATAATTGAGGACTGCCTCACCATCAGGTTGCAGGTATCGTGAGGGTTTCTGCCTGAGTTGAACAGCTGTTTTACTTCCTGGGTCAAGCAGTTCTAGCACATATGCTTCTTGAAAATTCCAAGGAGTTTTTGTCAGCCTGTGTGGGTGGAATCATTGGGTGGGTTTTTTGGTTGAATGCAGCTGCTGCAGATCATACTAGTGTATCAGGCTTGTTTTCAAGTATTAAGGTTTTCAAAAAGATGTTTTGGTCTGTGGGTAGCTGCTAGTTAAACTTTCTGTTTAACTAGTCTATTAATGTTAATAGACTAACATTTTCTATTTTGCCATCTTTCTAATGTCACTCCTCCTTAGATACTTTATAGCTGATAAATTTTTGCTCTGTCCTAGATGCAGTAACAAGGAATAAATCCCACCCCCTCAAATGCAGCAACCATAAGAGGCTATAAAATATTTTAAACAACTTCTGTATAGACACTAGATAGGCAACCAATATCAGCAGTCACTGAGACGGGAAACAAATCAAGTAAGCCTTATGATTATACAACAGTTTCCAGGCTATGAGTTAGGGTGGGAGAACCAGGCGGATCTCAGCAAACTACCTATGTTAAGGAGATAAAGTTGAGAATACAGAAGAACCAAAGTGGCTGGAGTTTGCAAGCTATTTAACACCCGAGAGGAGAGAGCACATAAAGAACCCCAAAGATTTACAGAAGCATCCCCACTTCCTCCAGAGTGTTCAGGTGAGGCAGGTCAGCAAAGATTCATTAAAGGACTACTTAAGGCTTAAAAAAGAATCACCCAATGGACAGAAGGTAGAAGTATCTGCTATTCACAGAGGGCTGTGAATAGTGCTTGTTGCCAGCAACAAGGCTGGAAAACTTCATACTGCATGAGGTACTCAAATGGGTCTTGCCTTAGTAGTGAAGAATAATTAGGTCTAGGCTAACATGTCTTTTTTTTCTGTCTAACAAATGTGAAAAGCAAAGCCCAAAGAGATCCAAATTATTCCCATTAACTTGTCTCCAAAAACAACAACGTGAATTTCAAATTCTCCAGCATGCAAAGATACTAAGAATCCTTAGAAACAGTAACATATGATTTGTAATGAGAAAAAAACTCAAGCACTTAAAACTGACATCCTGCTTTCTACTTTTGTCTCTAAACACTATATTTTCTTTTATTTTTATTTTACTTTGAGTTTAGGGATACATATGCAGAGCATGCAGCTTTGTTACACAGGCATACGTGTGCCATACTTCTTTGCTGCACCTATCAACCTGTCATCTAGGTTTTGAGTTCCACATACATTAGCTATTTGTTCTGATGCTCTCCCCTGCCCCTCCTGCCACTCCCCATTCCCTGACAGGCCCGGTGTGTGTTATTCCCCTCCCTGTGTCGACGTAAACACTGTATCTTTATAATTCATTCTTATTGTTCTCTTATATCTATTATGGCTTCTAACTGTTGCCTAATACTTCTTAGTGCTCATCTATCCCATTTACCTCAGTGATGGAAAATCAGCTTGTCTCCAAATCACTGGCAGCACAAATGGTGCTGCAATTAATACCACTGCCTATATCTACTTGTTCATCTGTTCCCAACTGCCCCTTGGTCCTTAGTTATCTATTCTCACTTAAACATCATTTTTCATTGTATTTCTTCATTGAATTTACCATGTATTATCCATTCTAGAGTTTCATTCACCTTGTGTCTTAAATCAATGACAGGAATCGCTTATGGTAATATGAAACTCTGAGAATATCCCCCCCCAAAACAGATTTTGAGTAACTATATGACAAATCTGATTTTCCCTAAGAATTTTGTCAAAATTAAAAGAATAACAGGAATCCAAGTGAAGCACATGGTTAATAACCTTGAAATACATCATTTAGAAGGAAGGTGGTAAATTCAATTGAAATGTTACAAGAATAACTAATGTAGACAATTAAAGTGCTTGAATAATCTATGTAAAAAGCGTGAAACTGAAAATGGTTTTTATTAGGGGAACTTTATGTCCTTGTGTCCTGCAGTTAAACTTAGATTTGTGTTATGCTTTATATTTTCAACACATTTTACTCTACAATATAAAAAAGTATTCCCAGTCATCAGAAAGATTATGATCTTTTCTTCATTTTGTAAATGTTTCTTACAATTATGGAAATTGCTTTCAAAATTCATTTAATATTCATATTGAAATAAAGCATCTGTTATGGCAGATGGGACAAATGACATCAAGTTCAGCTGTTTAAATAACCCTTAAGGATCAATGTGTAGTCTACAAAAATAATTTGTAATTCATTTTGGATTAATTAATTTGAATTTATGGTGTTTCATAAAGGCATACTGCAGCTGCTCCCAGTATTGAATTAATTGTATTCAACTGATTACTGCTCTTAAAACTTGTATTTTGACAGAGAGAAGACTATACTCCTCATTATTCATTATCTTTTTTCTTTTTAGAGATGGGATCTCACTGTATTGCCCTAGCTAAAGTGTAGTGGTTACTCACAGATGCAATCAATACACACTACAGCCTCAAATTCCTGGGCTCAAGGGATCTTCCTGTCTGAGCCTCCTGACTATCAGAGACTACAGTCATGCACCATCATGCCTGGCTCATTTTGTATCTTTATCAATGAATACAATCTTCAAAACAATTTGAAGAGATAGCGTACTTGAACATGACACCTTATTTGTATAATTATCTAGAGACAAATTTTTATACTGGGAAATTGTATCAATTTCAGCGTGGCTTAAGAAGACACAAATAAGAGTGAGTTTATTCAAATACCTTTGATTACATGCTTTTTTTCTTTTCCTGCTGACCTCCACCACTCTACAAGATGTGAGGAAAATAAATGCATGTTTTGCACAATAAAAAGATCTTAGGCAATTTAGTTTTATTTTTGGATGAGATTTAAGGGAAAAGATAGCTATAATTTAGTCAACCTTCATAAGATATAAATGTAATCATATGTTAAGATATTTTGTTGGCTCTAGTGAGAATTCATTAGCTATTAGAGTCATCTTTCAATCTTCATTGGCAGAGGCTAAAATCTTTAGAAAATTTACTGAAAAATGGGATCACATAGTAATTTAATTCAAAAAAGAGTTCTGTGCATAAAATAAATAATTTTACCTTTAATTGAATGTTTATAATTATTGATTGAATTCCATAATGAACATTTTTCACACTTCATTACACATATTCAGCAGTTTATTTTTCCATTTTGTTATCCTCCCTTTATCTTGCATCTTTACCTAAACCATAGGAATACTTTAGATCAACTTCAAACTTGCAGTAAATATAGATGTTTCCATTTCTAGCAGTATTGGAGTTCTGCCTCTTACCATTCTCATGCCAGGACATTTTCAGGATATTCCAAGCAGACTATACTCATAAACTCTGGAAAGTATATCTTTTAATGGCTTATTCAACAGCACAAAAAATTTATATTTTGTGGAGAAGATGTTTCAGATTGTTTTGTGCTGTTGTAACAGAATACTACAGACCGAGTAATTTTTAAACAATAACCACTTATGGTTCTGGAGGTTTGTGGAGTCCAGGATCAAGAAACTGGCATCTGGTCAGGGCCTTCTGCTTCACCATCCAATGGCAGAAGGTGTAAGGGCAAGAGAATGCACCTACAGAGAGAACTAAGGGAGCTGACCTCAACCTTTTTGTAACAAAACCACTGCCATAATAATGATATTAATCCATTCTTGAGAGAAGAGTCCTCATGGACTAATCACCTTGTTATGGTTTGGATATCTGTCCTCTCTAAACTTCATGTTGAAATTTGACTTCTAGTTTTAAAGGTGGGCCTAAGGTGAGGTGTTTGGATCATGGGATAGATCCCTCATGAACAGATTAGTGCCCTCCTGCTGATGGGGTGGGGGTGAGTGCTCACTACTTTAGTTCTTATAAGAGATGTTTGTTAAAAAGAGCCTGGCACCTCCCTGTGTCTCTCTTGCTTTCTGTCTTCATGTGATCTTTGCATAGCCAGCTCCCCTTTGCCTTTCACCGTGAAGCACTCACCAGATGCCCAGTCTTGAACTGTTCCAAATGTGGAATTATGAGCCAAATAAACCTTTTTACCTTTTTTTCTTATAAATTACCCAGACTTAGATATTTCTTTCTAGCAAAACTGAGCAGACAAAGGCAAACCTCAAAAAATTTCACCTCTCCACACTTTCACAATGGAAATTAAATTTAAATGTGGGTTTTGGAGGGGACATTCAAGTCCTAAGAAAATAAGTTCAAGAAACCAGTGTTATTACCATAATTTTAAAAATGTCATTCTTGTTCCTCACAAAAGTCCACAAAACTACTGGAATATGTACAAATTTTTATTCTTTTTGGAGTTACGCAATTCATATCTTCTCGGAGAGAGGCCCTTTCAGAGAATTTCAGTCATTTTACCATGAAGAAGCAGAGACTATAAAACCAACATATGCAAAATAAGATGAACAAAATGTTTGTTTTAAATAAAATAACTAAGTTAGAATAAACCTACATCAGTAATATCAATTTATATTTTTTCTACTAGAACACCAGCCAAGATCACCTGCCTCTCATTTATTTTTCTTACCTATTCTAAGCATAAGATATTAGATCAGTAGTGATTCTTTATCCTAATAGTAGTGGATTTGCTTGAGAAGGTTCAGCTATTTTAACAACAACAACAACAAAACCCCACTGATATCTTTGACTTGTGCATGTGGCATAATAGTTGTATCTCTGGATTAAGAGATATGTATTTCTTGTTTAAGTATCTGATGACACTTAACTTCTGCTTTTGCCAATCTGTGAACAAGAAAAAACAATGTGCTTGGTCTGGAAAAAAGCAAGGTTGACCCTTAATATCACATTCTTGACCCTTACTAACCAGGAAGGAATTGGAAATAATATTTTTGCTGCTGAGGTTTGTCTAATGGTTCCTGAAAGAATTTTATATTTTCTTAAGTCTAAATCTTAACCACATTTGCTGATAAGGGCTTCTGCTTGTACTAAGAAAAGTAATCTACAAACCATATTGTTTCAAAAGACCAGATACAACAAATAATACAATGTTTCCAAAAGGATACTGTCAAGCTCTGAACTTCACTATGCACATAGCAAACATTTTTGAAGCTATAGTATTTAAAGCTGGCTCATTCAATCCGAGACTCCTCAATTATGTCAAATTCAAAGCAAATCTTTGTTTCAAGACTGGGTCCTTCAACAAATGCCAGTGGTAAAGCAGGAGGTATTATCCAGCCAATAACTCTGGTGATCTTAACTAGCAAACCTGCTAGCATTGCCATCTAATTATTAGAAGTACCTAGAACAATCACTTATGTGTGAAGATTTGACACATTTATTCAGTAAATAAGCAAATTTCCATTTTATTTTTGCTTCTCTGAATTTGAATATGCTTGGACAAATCACAGTAACATTCCCTTTAACCAAGAGGTTCCCAATCTTTTTTGGCACCAGGGACCAGTTTCATGGAAGACAATTTTTTTTTTCACGGACAGAGCGGGCCTGGTTTGGGGATGATTCAAATGCATTACATTTACTGTACACTTTATTTCTATTATTATTACATTGCATTATATAATGAAATAATTATGTAACTCACCATAATGTAGAATCAGTGGGAGCCCTGAGCTTGTTTTCCTGCAATTAAATGGTTCCATCCGGGGGTGATGGGAGATCATGACAGATTATCAGGCATTAGATTCTCATAAGGAGTGTGCAGCCTAGATCCCTTTCATATGCAGTTCACAGTAGGTTTCACGCTCCAACAAGAACCTAATGCTGCTGCTGAACTGACAGGAGGCAGAGCTCAGGTGGTAATGAGAGCAATGGAGAGCAGCTGCAAATACAGATGAAGCTTCAGTCACTTGCTGCCGCTCACCTCCTGCTGTGGAGCCTGGTTCTTTTTTTTTTTTTTTTGAGGCAGAGTCTCATTCTGTTGCCCAAGCTGGAGTGCAGTGGCGCGATCTCGGCTCACTGCAAGCTCCACCTCCCGGGTTCACGCCATTCTCCTGCCTCAGCCTCCTGAGTGGCTGGGACTACAGGTGTGCACCACCACGCCCGGCTAATTTTTTGTATTTTTTAGTAGAGACGGGGTTTCACCGTGTTAGCCAAGATGGTCTCGATCTCCTGACCTCGTGATCTGCCGGCCCCGGCCTCCCAAAGTGCTGGGATTACAGGCGTGAGCCACCGCGCCCGGTGCAGCCTGGTTCTTAACAGGCCATGGACAGGAACCAGTCCATGGCCTGGGAGTTGGGGACCCCTGCTTTAACCCTTTGGGAAAATAGATCTTATTTTAAACTGTTTTTCCCAGTCTAAACTTTTCCACGTACTCAGCATTTTTTTTCTTTTTTTCCTAGTGTGCTTTTTATGTGGATGTCGTTTATCCTAGACCCTTTAATCAGCTGCTTTAATCTTAAAAACAAATCTCTCAAAGGAAAGTAATTTCTTTGAGACCCTCTACAGTCTTTGGAACAAATAACTGCTGAATATCCTTTGTTTTACTCTAGTTTAGATAACGGAATGCCATGTGCATGTACTTATTTCCTTAGTAAACTCAATGGTCAGGCATGAGTAATTTTATTTATTAGTCTCTCCCAATAACCTTTTAAACATAATTCAGTACACATTTTTCTTTGTTTCCAGTTTCAAAGATAAATTTTATCTTCTCAAGTTTATATACTCTTTTTTTGCTTATATTTTCTTCACAAGTAAATACACTTCTTTTTATAGAGTTCACTTTAGTTGTATTTTCTTGGGAATTAATGTAATGATTTATCAATTTATAATATATAGCATAGGTTGGGTTGTTTTAAACCAGGTTTATCTTCTGTAATGATTTTACAAAATGAATATAATCAAAAGTCATATTATTAAAACAGGATAGGAAGATGAATTTTTGAATATTTTGTTGGCCTTATTACTTGTCAGTTATATCATAAATCTTAAAATCACTACTCCACAGCTTATTTCAATTTATGTAAAATATTTCTCCATTTATAGTTTTCTTTCTATGTATCCTTTTCATCATAAAAACTCCAAATGCCTCTGCCTGTATATTTTAATCTTCTAATCGCTTATCAGATTTTCTAGCCCTCAATTTAATAGTTTAAAATTTAATTATTATGGGACAACTGAATCTGATCAACATTCTGTTGTTATATATGTATTCATTTATTATGGGGTAGATATATGAAAATTGTATTTATGCTTTTATAGATATTACCTTTTTTAATTTGGGGAGAGGTATTTATTTTCTTGGCATAACCTTACTTTGACAGAGTCTCAGAGTCTACCAATTTGTGGGAAGTAAATTAGGACAGCTTTCCTTTCCATTTAAGTTGTCTCTTTTGGTTCCTTAGCTATTCTTAAGCTTCTTTGAGATTTCCGCAATCAATAATCTCTTAACATGCTGACAGAGGAAGCTATCCAGAGGTATTTTTATCTATCCTTATATGATTTCATTTATTATGTGCTGTGATATAGCTGTAGTAATATGCTTGTGCATCATCTCAACTTTGCATTGAATTGAAAAAAGAATCAAAACCTGTAAAAATATTGCTATATTCCATTTCATTACCTAGCAAAGACATTAAATGCAAAAGTTCTACATTGCTTAAGATATTGATGTACCACATTACACAGATGGAGCAGAATGCAATTTCACCCTAATAAGATCTTCATGTGACAAATGTCCCTGTTTCTTTCAAGACATTTAAATTATACTCCACAAACTGAATTTTAATAAATATTTAAAAAGAAATTTCCAGACATACAAGTAGAATTAAATAACATGATAACACTAGATTTTATAATTTTTAGTATTTGTCTTACAAGTACTCATCATAACATTCTTATTAGCACATACAAACATCAGCGCCTGTGATCATTAGCTATGGTTTTCAGAAGCTGGCGTGTATTCATGAAATGTAAAGTAAAATGTCCGTTATCTTGTTTATAATCCATTAATTATTTTTGAATAGTGATTTCTTTGAGAACAGTGCCACATATGGCTTCTGAATATGTAAACTAAATTTTTTTCATTAATTATTGTTCCTGTAATTTGAACTAAGATTCAATAAATCCTGGAAAAGTTGACAGATGCAAATGTGAAATTAGGCAGGGAACACTGAGATGGTAAAGAGTTGTTTTGTTTTGTATGTTCTTTTAAAATATCCAAAGCCCTGAAATGAGTTTGTATATTTAAATGTCACTAAATAATTGATATACTTACTTTCTACTATGGTAAACTTAGTACAGGTGTGCACATTGTTTTGGCAAAAGATGAGTGATTTTAACTCATTTAAACTATAAATTATTGAATTGCAATATTGGTGCATTAAATTCAGGAAAACAGAATAGATGCTGCCTGACAACAACAAATCCAGCACAGACCAAAGGAAATACATTAAATACAGATGACGCTAATCTGGTACAGACATGTTGTTTTAAAATTCCGATTTTTCCCCTTAGCTTCTACTCTAAAGCTTGTTTTAAGTCACTAAGGGTAATTAAATACACTAACTTTTGTTTTTCTACCTCTTCTTTTTTCCTTCTCTTTCTTTTCCTTTTCCATTCTTTTACTCTATTCAGAATTTTCTTCAGTGAATGTAAAGAATCACTAATATGCAGACACATTCTCTTCTAAAGAATAAATGGATGGCTAAGTCAGCATGGTCTGATATATGCTTAAAGAAATAAAGATAAACATGCATTTGGCTGGGCATGGTGGCTCATGCCTGTAATCCCTGCACTTTGATTTGCGATGTTGAGCATTTCTTCATATATTCATTATTCCTTTTTGACAAGTGTCTGTTCATGTCCTTTGCCCATTTTGTTAATGGGGTTATTTGGGTTTTGCTTGTTGAATTGCATGACTAGCTTTTTAATTGATAAGTACTCTTAATTTTCTTATTTGTATTCAAATATAAAAGGCATATATATATATATATAGAGAGAGAGAGAGAGAGAGAGAGAGAATACACGTTTTTGTTTGTTTGGTTTCTTTTTTTTTTTTTTTTTTTGATGGAGTCTCACTCTGTCACCTAGGCTGGAGTGCAGTGGCACAATCTCAGCTCACTGCAACCTCCACCTCCCTGGTTCAAGCAATTCCCCTGCGTCAGCCTCCTGAGTAGCTGAGATTACAGGCATGCACCACCACACTCGGCTAATTTTCTTGTATTTTTAGTAGAGACTGGGTTTCACCATGTTGGCCAGGCTGGTCTCGAACTCCTGACCTTCAGGTGATCCGGCCGGCCTCGACCTCCCAAAGTGTTGACATATTTACATCATTTTCATACTCATAGAAAATGATCATTGTTCGGCCAGGCGCGGTGGCTCACGGCTGTAATCCCAGCACTTTGGGACGCTGAGGCGGTTGTATCACCAGAGGTCAGGAGTTTGAGACCAGGCTGACCAACATGGTGAAACCCCGTCTCTACTAAATACAAAAAAATTAGCCGGGCACGGTGGTACATGCCTGTAATCCCAACTACTTGGGAGGCTAAAGCAGGAGAATAGATTGAACCTGGGAGGCAGAGGTTGCAGTAAGCCAAGACTGTGCCATTGCACCCCAGCCTAGGTGGCAGAGTGAAACTCCCCTCTCAAAAAAAAAAAAAAAAAAAAGATCATTGTTCAACCTGAATATATTGTAAACATATGAACAGTTAAAATATTATAAAATTATGTAGAAAATTAAGCCATCTGGCATACAAATTCATGTGTTCGTAATACAAGTTTATCAATATCCAAAAACTATATAATATTCTATTATTCTTTTCAGAAGAAACATGTCCTAAAAGTCACAAAGTTTAAATATGCTATACTTAGGAGCAAAGCTTTGCTGATCAAAATGAAAATGAAATGAATGATATAGTAGAATAATTTAAATATGAGTCTACGAATAAAATGTATTAAAACTATAAACTGTGAAAAATTATTCCCTTCAATATATTGTCTTAACATCTTATATTTACATCTATCAACAAAATGACTTTGTGTATTATTTAAAAGTTTCCTCAAGTCAACTATGTGCAAAGACATTTCTATTATATTTTTTGGAGAATTGAGCTCACATTATTTTTTTCTGTTATTATTAAATAATAAATTATTACATGAATGGTTTAATACTATAATTTTAACAATTGCAGTGAAGATTTCTGATCTTGGCCAAGATGTGTAAACCACTACAGTATAACTCTGCCAGTTCAACTCTGAAATATGCACACGCACACACACACATATGCACACACACACATACACACACACACACACATACATCAACTATCTCTGGACTCTAAAAATTAAGCAAAGCACATAGATGTAGTGGGGGAAAGGGAAACTTGAATTATGTGACAGGGATTTTCCTGTTATGTTTATTTATTTTGTCCTACCTTTTCTCTGGCATTGATCCTAGGATGAGTCCCACACAAAGTGGTATCAGGCTATAAAGGCAGTAGAAGCTCTGATAGAAACCCTGTATTTATTACTTTAAAAATTAGACCTTATTTTTAGAATAGTTTTAAGTATAGAGAAAAATTAAGTGGAAAGTATATAGTGAATCCCTACAGATTCCCTCTCCCTTTTCGCCTTCTCTAACCCATTGTTTCTCCTATTATTAACATCTTGCATTAATGTGCTACATTTGTTATAGTCGATGGGTCAATATTCATAAATTATTAATGGCCAAAGTCTATAGATTACATTAGAATTCACTCATTGTGTTATATATTCTATAGGTTTTGACAAATATATGACATGTGTCCACCATTACAATATCATACAGAATAGTTTTAATGCCCTAAAAGTCCCCTGTGCTCCACCTATTCATTTCTCCTTCTTCCCTTCCCCATTCAACCCTGAGAGCCACTGATTTTTGTTTCATGTCTTCGTATTTTTTCTTTTAGAGAATGTCATATAGTTAATTAGAATTGTATGGACTGTACCCTTTCCAGATTGGCTTCTTTCACTTAGCAATGTACATTTTAGTTTCTTCTATGCCTTTTTGTAACTTGATAGCTCATATCTTTTTATTATTGAATAATATTCTACTGTGTGTACATTTCTCAGTTTACCATTAAGCTATTGAAGTACATCAAATAAATGCCTTCCTACGTATATTATAATAAAATTGCTGAAAATCAAGCATAAAGAAAGAAATCTTCAAAGCAGCCAGAGAAAAATGGCATTTGAAATAAGATAATGTTTTGAATAAATGCAGATTCCTGTGACTGTAACAACAGCTTGAAAGTGCTGAAAAACAGAAATGTCTTTCTACAATTCTGTATAAAATTATCATCTCCTTTAAAAATGATGGCAAAATACATTATCAAATAAAGAAAAATTAAGAGAATTTGTTATCAGAATGGTGGTCTCTGTACGCACACACACTAGTTTTTAGGCAAAAGGCAAATGAAGCCAGAGAGAAACTTGGAACATTAGACATAATGCAAGAAAAATAGTCATGATATAGTAAACATCTGAGTACATATGAAAAACTAGTTTTCTTCTCTTAAGTTTAAAATATGTGTAACTATTTAAAGCAAAAATCTTGGTAAATTTTCAATGTATGTAAAAGTGCAACTGTAACATAAACAGTCCATAAAGTGGTAAGGCTTTGATATTTTATTTATATTAATAAAATATTAACTATGAAATCTGCAAAAGTTTGTGCATATATATTGTGAGGTCTATAATCACTACTAAAAACACACTCAAGATAATGTATACAATAGACCAATTAAAAATCAGAATGGAATAATGAAAATATTCAAGTAATCCAAAAGTAGGCTGGAAGTCAAATAAATAAATTAAAAAAATTTAAAATAACAAAATCACAAAATGGTAAACCAAAGTCACATTATGTCAATAACTATGTTACTGTAACTGAATAATTTTCATATTTAAATGCAAATGATCTAAAAGCACCAAATTAAAGAGAAAAATTACCATATTGCATAAAAAGACCTATATGCTGGCTATAATAAACTAAATATAATGACATAGATTACAATTATAAGCATGAAAAATATAAACTATCTAAACACTAATCACAAGTGAGCTGGTGTGAAGGAGAAGAATAAAGTTGGGGGACTGACACTACCCTACTTCAAGACTTACTATAAAACTGCAATAACTGAGACAATGTGGTGTTGGCAAATAGAGAAACAGGTCAGTGAAACAGGATAAAGATCTTAGAAATATACTGACAAAAATGAAATCAACTGATCTTTGGTGAAGAAGCAAAGGCAATACAATAAAGCAAAGGTAGTCTTTTCATGTTTGAACAACTGGACATTCACATACAAAAATGATTCTAGATATAGACTTTATACCCTTCACAAAAGTTAACTTAAAATGCATCACACACCTAATGCAAAACTATAAACCTACGGGAAAATAACAGGAGAAAATCTACATGTCCTTGGATTTTGTAATAACTTTTTAGATACCACAGCAAAGGCACAATCCCTCAAAGAAAGAATTGATAAGCTGCACTTCCTTAATTTTTTTTTCCTGCTCTGTGAGAGGCACTGTCAAGACAATAAAAAGGAAAGGAGAAAATACTTGGAAAAGATACATCTGATAAAGGACTTTTATTCAAGACATACAAAAAACACTTAAATCTCAACAATAAGAACACAAAAAACAAAATTTAAAAATGGGCCAAAAATCATAGTAGACACCTCAACAAAGGAGATACACAGATGGCAAATAACCACATGAAAAGATGTACAACATCATATGTCATCAGGAAACTACAATTTAAAACAATGAAATACCACTACACACCTGTTAGAATGGCCAAAATTTTGAATACTGACAACACCAAATGGTAACAAGGATATAGAGCAACAGTAACTCTTATTTATTGTGTGAGATAATATAAAATAGTACAGCCATTTTAGAAGGCAAGTTAGGCAGTTTCTCACAAAATTAAATGTTCCCTTACCACGAAGTAGAGCAATTGTGCTCTTTGGTATTTACCTAAAGGAGTTGAAAACTTATGTCTGCATAAAAATCTGTACATAAATGATTATAGCAGTTTTATTCATAATTACCACAACTTGGAAGCAACCAAGATGTCCTTCAATAGGTGAAGGAATAAATAAGTTGTGGACCTCCAAATAGTGAAATGTTATTCAGTAATAAAAAGAAATGAATAATCAAGCCATGAAAAGTCATGGTCATGAAGGAATCTTAAGTGTGTATTACTAATAAAAGAAGCCAATCTGGAAAGGCTAGATACTGATTCCAACTATATGACATTCGGGAAAATGCAAAACTATGAAGAGAGATAACAGATCAGTGGTTGCCAGGGATTCTGGGAGAGAGAGGGATGAATAAGCAGTGCACGGAAGATTTTTAGGACAGTGAAACTCCTCTGTATGATGCTGTAATTGTGGATACATGCCATTACACATTTGTCCAAACCCAAGAATGTATGACCTTAGGAGTGAACCATAATGTAAACTATGGACTTTCATGATTATGATATGACAAAGTAAGTTCATAAATTTTTATAAATATACTCCTCTGATGGGGGATATTGATAGTAAAAGAGGCTCTACATCTCTGTACTTTATGCTCTGTAAGAAATCTCTGTACTTGATGCTCAATTTTGCTTTGAATCTAAAACTCTTCAAAAATATGTCTATTAAAAATAATCTTCCTCTGAGTTTTACAAGATCCACAGATTGATTTGTTTAAAGGTGCTTTATGAAAAAAGAAAGAAAGAAAGAGCTAAGATACTGTAGATGGAAGTGTTCCAAGCAGTCTCTGGACTTTCCATAGACTTTCAGCAGCATGAAGGCAGAAATCTCATCTGTTCGACTTGTTACATAATGTTTATCGATGATAGCAGCCCAATATAGAATTTGATGTTTGAAGCTGTGGTGGCTATTTTTTGAGAATGAGGGAAAGAAAAAATGATATCAGTAAAGCTGACTCATAGACCAGCTACATCTGAGCTGCTAAGTTACCCCACCTGAGACCTCTTACATTCAGACATCTTGCTCTATGGCATAATTAAATGTCCTTGTTGTCAATTTTTAAATATGAATTTGTGATATCAATATTAGAGAAAATTTTCATAAGAGCAAGGAATATTTTCAAGGATAAAAGGAACATTACATACTGTAAAAAGGTTAATTCAGCAAAATAATATAATGATGGTAAACTTGTATGCATTTAACCACAGAGATCCAAAATATATAAAGGTAAAACTGATAGAACTAAAAGATAGACAGATCCAAATTAGAAGACCTGAATGGCTCTACATACCAATGTAACATATAAGAAATTTATATAACACCCACCTACCAATAACACCATATATATATATATATATATTTCAGTTCATATGAACATTCACCAACATAGACCAACAAAGCGTTTTGTAGTACAGTGACAGTGGGATCCATCCTCGTTTGCATGTATCAGCAGCAGTGGCAGTGACAGTACTAAAGGGTGCAGGTTTGTCTGCTGCAGCATGGGGCTAGAAGGTGCTGAGGTGCCTGCCTTCATTCAGACATTCACTACAGTGGTGGAGGCAACCTGTTTGCTGGTGACTGTGCATGCAGGTGCACTGGTGGTGGTGTTGGCACTGGGGTGGGGTGCTGGTGGGTGCAAGTCTGTGTGCATTCTCTGTGCATGGCAGGCAGAGGTGGTCGCACAAGGCCAGGGAAGGTCTGCTGTTTTCTGTGCTGAGTTTTACACAAGTTTCAACATCAACACTAGTTTCGACACAAGTTGAAACTAGTATTGATGCAAGAGTGGGGCACTAGCAGGGTGGGACTGATTGATTCTGTGCCTGTCAAAGCTCCAACTGCAGTGCTTGGCTGGGGGACAGGGTGCAGAGTGCATTCCTACCACAGCAGTGGCAGGGCAGAATGCAGGCACACACGTGTTGACCGGGCAGAAAGTCAAAACCTGCCTGAGTACATGCGAAGGAAAGCTATGTGGGGAGTTGCTGTGGGTCTGGGGGAAGCTGTAGTGTGGGGTATGAGCCTGCCAAGCTGGTGCATGGCCATGGGGGCTGCCCCATGGGAGCTCTCCACTCATCAGACACAGTCAGCCAGTGCAGGAGCTACGTCGTGGGCCCGGAAGGCACTGGAGGCTGCCTTGCAAGCAGGCATGGCCAGGTTGGGGCCCCGGGATAGGCAAGCCAACCAAAGGGTGTTCGGGCCAATCCAGGTCTGTCTTATGGGCAAGACCACTCTGCAGAGTTCAGGTCCAACAGTTCCCCTAGGACTAATGTCTCCTATGGGAACAAGTCTAACCTTAGGAGATGGCAGTCCCTGGCCATGCTATCCTATGGAGGCTCCCACACCAAACCTTCTGGGCTCCATATCAGCTGGCTTACTGACCCTACCACTTCTCTAAGTAGCTCTCCCTGCCAACTTGAGTGTCTGTGAAGGTCAAGTGGTCTCTTCCTGCCGGAATTTCAGAGTCTCATGGCCAAAGCAGGTTGCTCTTGGCAAGTTCAACTTACCTGTTCCCTCAGAGTTTTGTGGGGCCAGGAACTAGTTCTGGTTCCAGGTAGCCCTGTGCAGAGTTTCTGGCTTCCTATCCCTTCAGCCCAGCTTGTATGCCTTTCCTCTGTCCACTTTCAGTGCCTTCCTTCTGAAGATCTGTTAGGAGTGCACCAGTCATTTTGGTCCCTTTGTGGCAGCTGTTCAACCTGGCTGTGCCTAGTCAGCCAGCAGCTCCCTATTTTTATATGTAAAACCAACCTTGCATTCCTGGGGAAAATCTCACTTGGTCTTCTGATATAATCCTTTTTATATGTTGCTTTATTAACTTTGCTAGTATTTTACTGACAATTTTTATGTTCACATTCACAAGAAATATTGGTCAGTAGTTTTCTTTCCTTGTAGTGCTTTGGGTTTTGGTATGAAGACTCATAAAATGATATGGGTAGTGTTTCCTCCTCTTATTATTTTAGAAGTTGAGAAAGATTGATGCTAATTCTTTACACATTTGATAGAATTCATCAATGAAGTCATCTGGGCCTAGTCTATTCTTTGTACAAAGTTTTATTGTTGCTTATATTGTTTTTTAATTAAAAATTTATTATCTTTACTTGTTATAGGTCTGTTTCTTCTTTAGTCAGTTTAGGCAGTTTGTGTTTTTCTCAGATCTTGTCTATTTCATTCTGGTTATCTAATTTGTTAGCACTGCTAGTAGCATTCTCATGAGTTTTGCTATTTCTGTCAGATTAGTATTAGCAATGCCTGCTCTTTCATTCCCCATCTTATTAACCTAAGTCTTCTTTGTCCTGTATTTTGTAGTCAGAACGTAGCTAAATTTTTGTCAATTTTGTTGATTTTTTTAAAAAGCTCACTATTTTATTTATTTTCTCCTTTCTTCTACTCCAATGTATTCATTTCTTATTTTCGTTAATTCCTTCCTTCTACTTTTTTATTTAGTTAATTTCTCTTTTCCTCATTTCTTAAGGTAAAATATTAGTTATTGGTTTAACATATTTTTTTCTTTTTGGTATAATAGTTTCTAGGTATAAACTTTCATCAAAGTACTTCTTTTAGTTGTATTCCATAAGGTTTGGTATGTTATAAACATTTTGAGATAATGTTTATTTAGGTGTGAGATTTTAATTTCCAAATATTTTTTGAATTTCTCAAAGTTATTTCTATTATTTGTTTGTAATTTAATAACATTGCAGATGAAGAATATACTTTATATTTTTTCAAATTTTAAATTAACTGAGACTTATTTTAAGGTCCGTATATGATCTATCTTGGAGAATATTTCATATGCCATTCAGAAGCATATTTATTTAGCTGTTTTTGTGTTAAGTGATATATGCATCTTTTCAGTATAGTTGGTTTATACTGTTTTTCAAGTCTTCAGTTTTTTTAAAAAAATTTGCTAGTTGTTTAATTCATTATTGAAAATAGGTAATGATGTCTCCAACTAATATTGTTTAATTTTTCTTTTCTCTTTTTGATTTCATTCATTTTTGTTAGCTGGTCTTGTCAATCTCTGTATTGACGTTTCTATTCAGTGAGACATTTTTTCCATTCTCATAATTTCTTTTCAGCCTTTAGCTATGGTTTCCTTTCTTTTTTTATTATATTTATAATAGATAATTTAAACCTTTCCTAATTAAGTCTTACTTCTGGGCTTCCTCAAGAACAGTTTCTATTGACTGCCTTTTCCCCTGTGTATGGTCCATACATTCCTGTTTCTTTAAGTGTCTTTTGCTTTTTTCTTGAAAAACTGGACATTTTAAATAATATAATTTGGCAACTCTAGAAATAATAACTCCCATAGTTTGTATTTGTTTGTTCTTGATGCTGTTTATTGGTTTAGGGATTTAACTGGAATAGTCTCATCAAGTCTGCATTGTTTTCCATACAAGATGACTGAGGTCTTTGCTTAGTTCACAGAATCAGTGGAAATTGGATAAAGACTTTCTTAAATTCCTTGAACCAAAGTTCTTGGTTTTTAAAGCTACCACAGAGCTAGGAAGAGAAAAACATATAAAATCCCACGATCCTTGCTGTTCTTACAGAAATCCAGCCACTTTTCTTAAATTATTTTTCTATTATTTCAAGTTTGGATAAAAAAAATCTTAAAAAGTTGATTTTGAAAATTTTTGCCAGTGGTTTTATTGCTTGTATATAGGAGCAATTTTCCAAAAGTATTTTTGCTCAGCTAATTTTTTAATAGTTCACAAAAAACAATTAGTGGAGGAAATGCAGTTTTAAAAAAAACAATACTGGAGGAGTTGGATATCTGTATGCATCAAAATAAACCTCCAATTAAACTGCAAACCTCTTAAAGTTATTGCACCCAGCTTACAGATTCACTTAGCAAATGAACATTTTTGGTAGTTCTGATGACAGTAAACATAAACAACCCACTGAAAAACAAGGGAAAATTTCCTTCCTCTAATCTTTCCTTATAATTTTTAAAAGTCTGAATTTTAGACCAAAGTATTGCCAAAAAATTAACTATAAAAAGTAGCATTTTATGGTTACTTATATTTGTAGCACATAGTATGGTGCTTCAACTGTGTGCTTAAAATACATTAACTTATTTAAAACTAAGGTATTCTTATTATACATATATCATCAGTTTCTTCTTTATAAAGTGAATTTAGAAAGATTAGTTAAATTCCCAAAGGTCACACATTTAATCAGTTGATTTAGTTTAAAAGCAAATGTAGTTATGTACTTTAGGAAAAAGCTCAAGCTACTAAAAATAATGCATACTGCCCCACTATACTTAATAACAAAATACAGATTGTCAAGTTTCACAGATACAGACAGTTCTGTGAATTCTTGTTGTTTTATTAAGTGAGGTTTTGTCAAGCACTCATGAATTATATGTGGAGCATATATGAGCTTACAAATTTCCAGAAGCTCTCCTAACTCTATAATCAAAATCAATATTTCTCCATAATAAACAAAGTAGGACAATTTTATATCTAGAGGATAGTACTGGAAACTTTATCATGTTATTAGAATAATTTCTTATCATGCTATTAGAAAATTTCATCCTTCATTTGTAAAAAAAAATTATAGCAGATATTTTTAAAGAAAATTATTTGGAATATCTCCCTAGAATTTCTAAGAAAGACATATAAAACTTTTGCCTGATTGACTTTTGGTGGCTGCCTTTGAATAGAATCTATTCATTGAATCTGCTGAATTGAGAGTGAAATATATATAGAAAGATATTAGAAATAGAAAATGTGAGATTTCCCTGAGTTGATTAGGAGCATGCAATGGACACATCAACCTATTCATCTTTTTCATTTTATCGGAGAAAATAAATGCCAACATTAATTGGCTAGCTCAGTATCATTTTTATTCTGCAGAATTTTATAGTGATGATGCTTCTCAAGAGTTCATTTTCTTTAAATCAGAACTTTTGTCTTTTAACCTCTCTCAGCTATGTTATTGTCGTCATAATAGCCAGAAATCAATAGGTTACATCTAATGAGAGATTATGACTTTTTGGCTTCATTTACGGATCATTAAATTGGCTACCAAGTTTGCTACATTTTTATAGAAGGGTCAGTTTTAAGGACATTTTATCTTTTTAACCATGAAGATCAAATAGAATGTTCCTTTATTTAAGTGAGAAACCAGCGTTGATAAGCACATTTAATTATAGATTTTAATTTGTGTCTCTTTTATAGTTATAGTTCCTTTTATGTTTTTGCAGTCAATTTTAATTTCATGGAGCTCTTCTTTCTTCTTCAAATTCGTTAATGCAGGACATTTCGTAACACATTTTTTTCTTGTATTATATGTGATGCCTTAAATCCTTTATTATATAATTTTGTTTGCTAAATCAAATCAATTTTGCACTTACGTTCATTCCTTTGAATGCCCCCCCATTCTGACTAGGTCTTTTACTTAATTTTATTTTGACAAGAACATGAGAAATAAAAAAGTTTTAGATTATTTAGATATCAAGCCAGGGAAAACTTATCCAGTCTGGCTTCCATGTGTCTGGTAGAGCAAATAACATAACATCAGAAAAAAAAATTAATTTATGAACATGAAGCAGTTTAATAAATTAACCAAGCTTTTAATAAGTTATAGGTATTTTATAATTTTTATTATATCAGGAATTTCAAAAGTGTTCAGGCACAATGATTTTTTTTTTTTTTTTTTTTTTTTTTTGAGATGAGGTCTCGCTCTGTCGCCCAGCTGGAGTGCAGTGGTGCGATCTCGACTCACTGCAAGCTCCACCTCCCAGGTTTGCGCTATTCTCCTGCCTCAGCCTCCCCAGTAGCTGGGACTACAGGCGCCCGCCACCGCACCCGGCTAATTTTTTTGTGTGTGCGTTTTTAGTAGAGACGGGGTTTCACCGTGTTAGCCAGGATGGTCTCGATCTCCTGACCTCGTGATCCGCCCGCCTCGGCCTCCCAAAGTGCTGGGATTACAGGCGTGAGCCACCGCATCTGGCTGATTTTTTATTTATAATCCACAAATAAAATAAAATGAGATGGTTAGTGCTTTTAAAAATCTTATGGCTGAACAAGTGGTTCTGATAGCTGTTTTTTGGTCTAGGAATGACCATGTCTCGGTAGGCCCAGTGTGAATTGGTCCAGCATATCTTGAAGCTTGATTTAACATTATAACCAAAGAAAAGTTTCATCTTGAGTGTTACAGCTTCTTAATGGTTTGTGACTGCATAGAATGTGGTGCTGAGGAAACATTCAATGCCTTATGTAGGTTTATTGGGCCATAGATTAATTAGTACTTTGAGCAGAGAAGAAGCAAAATACATTGCATGTGTCACATATTTAGGGAGCACATTATCAGGCAAATTACATCAGATAATACCACTATATAATGCCATCTCAATGGACAAAGGCCTTTGTTTAAATTTACATAAAACCAACAATAGTCTCTTTTCTATTTGATATACAGCAATGAATAGATTGCTGTGTAAACAGCCTTTATGAGATACCTTAGAGACACTTCTCTGTACTTGAAATAATGTAGAGTCACTGAATTAAAAATAAGCCTGTCAAATAATATATTCTTTCTTCCTTCTATAGAGAACTGTCTTTCAACTACAAAGGTATAATCCATCTCTCTTTCCTATAATGAATGGAATGCATTAAAAGAAAATACCTTCTTAGTACCTAGGTTCAAATAAGTAATATTCTGTGCTTAAATATCTTCAATTTGAGTATTAAAGATTGGCTTAAGTAGTGTGTAAAATCATGTTATCTATGTATGAAAAAATGAACAATATCATATGGACACCCAAGCCTACCATTCTAAAGGAGATATATCTACTCTGCTCTGGATTATTCCAAAGGGTGTCAAGTTTATTACTCATATAATTTACTCAACAAAAGTCTTATTGGATCCAAACCCTCCTGGATGTCAACTTCTAGAAACAAAGTTCAGTATTAGTGCTACTTCATTTTATTTACTTCCTTTACAAAAATTTATTACTGAAAGAAAATATAATCCAGAAAAATGTTTCAAAACAAATTTTAGGTTATATCCCAAGTGTTTAACTTTTAAAAAATTCAGATGGATCCCAGCACTTTGGGAGGCCGAGGTGGGCGGATCATGAGGTCAGGAGATCGAGACCATACTGGCTAACATTGTGAAACCTTGTCTCTACTAAAAATACAAAAAATTACCTGGATGTGTTGGTGCACACCTGTAGTCCCAGCCACTTGGTAGGCTGAGGTAGGAGAATGGCGTGAACCTGGGAGGTGGAGCTTGCAGTGAGCTGAGATCGCGCCACTGCACTCCAGCCTGGGCGACAGAGCAAGACTCTGTCTCAAAAAAGAAAAAAAATTCAGATGGAATAATTTGATCTCTTAGACCTGATTTGCCATATTTTATTTACAAATAAATAAAAAAGCTTGTAAGATGAAAGATTCTCCTTCCTATAAAATCTTAATCGTTACTTTCCTGTCAAATTCCCTTTCAAAAAAAGTTTCAAAAAATAAGAAAAATAAGACTATTCTTCATGAGGACTGCTATTCACCAAAGCAGTTAATATATTATTTTCTCTGAAAATATAAGGAAGCAAGATGAGCAAGGTGTTGTATTTTTTTTTATTCATTTGGACAATCTGCTTTTATCTCATTTCTGCACAGATGTTCTTTTATGCCAACCCTCCATTTATTGTATATTGTTTTGCAAGCTCTGGGGGAAACAAGTGCCCTACTTTAGGAAGCTGGTAAAAGCTAACATATCAAGGGAATAGAGATAGAAGATTAGAGGTAAGAAAGAGAATAGTTTTCCTAAATTCAGTGAATTAGGTACACTTGGTTATAAATTGCATGACAAAACCAGTTTTGAGATGTTTAAAATATAATGGAGAATAGAGAACATGCCACTAAAAAGTAATAAATATCTAAATTAATATAAATATTTTGTGCTGCTCACAATATTTCTTGTATTTTTGAATGCATTTGTTTAACACATACTATTTATTTGTTTTATTCATCCATTGCTTGAGATCAACAGATAGCAGTGATTATCTGTTAGCACTGTTCATTTCTACGTACTTAAATGAGCATTCTCATTGTGTTACTTTTGATTTAAATGATTATTTTATTAGGTATAAACTAATAAGAATATGTCAAGCTATTTATATGAGTAAGATTTTGATTATCAGAAAATAATTTTTTGCACTATGTAAAATATAATTAGTATAAATCTCTAACATATAAATTTTAGTGTTGACACAATTTAATATGAATTGTATGTATCAATGTGACTCACTATAATAATTTTCTAATGCCTTTTCTTGTTTGAACACTTTGTTTTAAGCCATGTCTTTCACCATTGTGAAATTTACTGTCTCAAAGACTAAACTGATTATATTATTTAAAATAATTCTTTTTTTTTTTTTGAGATGGAGTTTCACTCTGTCGCCCAGGCTGGAGTGCAGTGGCGCAATCTTGGCTCAGCGCAGCTTCTGCCGCCCAGGTTCAAGTGATTCTCCTGCTTCAGCCTCCCGAGTAGCTGGGATTACAGGTGCCTGCCACTGTGCCAGGCTAATTTTTTTGTAGTTTTTAGTAGAGACAGGGTTTCATCATCTTAGCCAGGCTGGTCTTGAACTCCTGACCTCATGATCCACCTGCCTTGGCCTCTCAAAGTGCTGGGATTACAGGTGTGAGCCACTGCACCTGGCCTAAAATAATTCTTAAAGTTAACCATTATGAGCCTATTTTTCTAAGACTCTGTATCACCTTTCATATCTTATGACATCATCATATCTCTCTGGATTACTGTACAGATTCCACTCTTCACATTTCCATCCCCATTCCTTCATTTTACATAACTTAGGCAAAGTAGTTATTTAACATGAAAGTTGCTTAAAACTCTGCATTGCTGTCTATGAGACTTAAGGTATTTGTCAATTCTTTATATCTCCCATTTTCACTCTACCTACTCTTATCTCCCACACTTTATATACCAGGCTTACTTAAAATTTCCTTTCCAGAGAAGACTTATCTCTGGACTGACTTTGTTTCTTCTATCTGGAAGTCTGTTCCACTTAGGATGCTTGAGTATCTCCTTTCCCCTCATCATATCCCAGATTTGGCAACTATTCTTCCAGAGTTCCAAGGTATTCTCCTTCTTAGTACCTCTGCCATACCTATTTCTTATTTGATCATTGAATTGCAACTGCCTCCTTTCTTTCTAATCATTCCTTACCAGCAACATCCTTGAGGTAGTGACTGTGCTTTAGTTTGTGAGAAATTGGGAAATCAGATAATCTGATTTTAATCTGTATCACTATGTCCCAGTCCACTGCAAAGAAATGTGTATCTCAAAAACGGGTGAAAGTCAGGGAAATTAAGCTACTAGATGTTAAAAGAAAAACAATTAGACAGATCAACCTTAGCATAGTTTATTTGAGAAAGAATGATTAATGAATTAGGTAGCACTCAGAACCAGGAAAGGTTCATAGAGCTCTACCCAACAATGTGGGCAGGCTGTATTTATAGACAATAAAAGGAAGTGATTTATAGAAACAGCTTGATTGGTTTCAGCTCAGCATTGGCCTTTTTTGGGCATGGTGTCATGAGGCATTTGATTTATATGGACATGATCTGAAGAGTTGTAGCCTATGATTGGCTGAAGCTCAGCTGCTATGATGGGCTGTAACTCAGCTACTTGTTATAAAAATATACCCCCAGGTTGTTAAGAATATACTAAGTTGCTTGTAGTGTGCTACATATAAAATCAAAGAACAGAGACAGCCTCAGGGCAAGCTTAATTTAATTTATGTCAACATAGACATGACTCCTTTGTTTTCTAGGCAACTAGATTGCTGCCCTAAATTCTTTCTGCATTCGAATGATGGATTCACTGCTGCCCTGAATACTGGGACAATAACATATTCATCATTATTTTCTAAACTAAGTACAGTAGATGCGGAGTTAATATTTGTTGAATAAATGATAAAGAAATTTATAATAATAAAACTGGTTTGAACATTTATAATAAAAATGTTGTGCATTAGTAATGAAATATAACCTTATACTCTAACAAAGAGAACACTATTCACAATTAACATAAATAGTATCATGACATTTTATAATTAATATAAATAGTAAATGCTACTGAAATAGCTCATTCTACACCCTAGAAATCAGGTTTTGAGAGCCTCTTAACAAAGGTCTCAAAGCCATAATTTTCTTCTTTGAGACCTTTTCATAGCTATTGACTATTGCATTTGTAGATAGAAAACTAAAGAAAATAAAACAGGAGGTAATTTTCCTTCAAATAATATTTTCCATTGACTTGTTTCTTGGAATAAGCAATCTTGAAGAATGATGTGGATTCAGAAGCATTGAAGGTGAAAAATTTTCAAGATCACACCATTTAAAGAATTTTTGATGATGTGGGGAAATAAAAAATAAACTGTGAGGCTGATATACAATTCTTATTGGCAGTTTTAGTTTTTCTCATTTTTTAAATTCTGGCAAGAAACTTCCAAAAGAATACTGATTAATAACATGATTGAAATGAGTCAACACACTGTATGAATGTTTTATGTCTGAAATGTGAAAAATAGTCAAGATTAAATCAGACTGGAAATGTCATCTTTTTTCTTCCAAAATAGTTCCTAAAAGTCTGTGTTTAAAGTATTGTCTTTATAATCATTGACTAGAAAATCCAGAACAGATAATTATTATTTTTATATCATAGTTCTTCTAAATTTAAAAGAATTTCTATTGTTAGTGAAAAGAATGATGATTAAATAAAGAGTTCACACAATGACGGCCTCCTAAATCTGAATCTCGCCACACATTTTACATTAAAATCATGCTGAACAACAAGGAGGGGATATAATATCACCCATACTTTTGGCATAACAATGAGATAGAACAGACAACAAGTTTCAAATTATCTGTAAGTAGGAAAATAAACTCAAATCCAGCAGAACTAACTCCAGGAACCTGGCAATGGGCTGGGAATTTTCAGTAAAGAAGAGTCTAAAATTTCACACGACAATGTAAAGGAGTACCGTTCCCTGAAACATGGGAAAATTTGGACGGGAGAGGCAACCATAGCAGATTTTGTAACAAAGAGGAAGAAAAAGAAAGAAGAAAATTAAGAGTCCTAGAATAAATCTCACAACCAAATAAGTAGGACATTGACTATACCAACAAAAGAGCCTTTAACCAAGGACCTGTAGTTAAGCAACCTCAAAAATTCACACTGCCTGCTTATAACTGTTATTTAACATTCACAAAAATGTTTCACATTAAAGAAAAAAGTAACGAACGAAAGTTAAGTATGGATGAAAAAGGAAATAAAATTGAAATATTTCACATGGTAAAAATTCTTCCCCCAAACCAAACATGAAGCAGATAAAATTGTTACAAAATGTCCTAATATGATTAAATACTCTTTAAAAGAAGCACTTACAGATATGCAAAGAAAATACTCTCAAATCAGGAATACAAATATACAAAGCAAAAGTGGACAAAGATTGACAAAAAAAAAAAAAAAAGAAGAAGAAAAAATTTGCATTGGAGAAACTGGCATCTGCCTTAATTAAGTTATCAAGACTAAAATCATCAGTAAAAAGTGATGTCGGCCAGGTGCAATGGCTCATGCCTGTAATCCCAGCACTTTGGGTGGCAGAGGCGGGCGGATCACCTGACGTAAGGAGTTACAGACCAGCCTGGTCAACATGGTGAAACCCTGTCTCTACTAAAAATATAAAAATTAGCCAGGCGTGGTGGCATGGGCCTGTAATCCCAGCTACTCGGGAGGGTGAGGCAGGATAATCGCTTAAACTGGGGAGGCGGAGGTGACAAGAGCTGATACTCCGTCTCAAAGTGAAAAAGAAAAAAAAGTTATGTCAATAAAATACAACCTTTGATAATGTGATAAAAGGGGACTTCAGCTGACTTGTATTGTTTTCAAAAATCCATAACACCAGCATAATCATGAGAAAATATCAGGCAACAACAAATTTAAAGATATTTAAATTTAAAGGTATATAAATTTGCTATAAAATGCCAGATTATTATGCCTCAAATTGTTAAGGTTATGAAAAACAAGAAAAGACTAAGAAATTGTGACAGATTAGAGTCAAACAAGTCATCCTTTATTGGATGCTGGAACAGAAAAAAAAAAGACATTAGTAGAAAAGCTGGGGACATTCAATAAAATCTGCAATCTAGTTAACAGTATTTATCAATGTCAATTCCTTAAATTAAACTAAACGTTAACTGTTGGTCAATAAAATGTTAATATTGGAGGAATTTGGATGAAGAGTATAACTCTCAATTATTTTTGCATCTCTTTTGTAAATCTAAAATTATTTCAAAATGAAAAGTTGAAAAAAATTAACACAATTCATCAAAGAAACTGAGACCAAAAATAATTGTCTTAAGGCTGAGGCAGCAGGATTGCTTGAAGGCAGGAGTTTGAGACCAACCTGGCAAATGTAACAACTCGTCTCTGCAAACAAACACCCAAAACAACAACAAACTAAAACAGTTGTCGGAGAAATAAAGATAAAATTATCAAGATACCAAGATAGATGAGATTCAACTGAAAAGTTTAATTAGGTATATTGAATACAAACATGAAATCAGCCAATAGAATAAAAATAAAATAAAATAAAATAAATAATAAATGTTAGAGAGAAAGTAGATAACATGGAAGATAGGAAAAAGAAATTCAAAACAGGCAAAATTGGAGTCCCTGAGGTGAATAATTGATTTTCAGACTATAATTTAAAAATATTCTGAAACTGAAAAAAGACCTGATTCTATTCATTTAAAAGGGTCATATCTAAAATATATTAATAAGTTGTGGGCCTTGAGAAAACAGGGGAACACTCCACAGGGACTCCAATTGAAAAGAACAAGTTACTTGCAAATGAAAGAAAAAATTAGATTAACAAGAGACTTCTCAAAATCAACATACAAAGCAAATAACATTAACACAACCTTTTAAAGAAACTCAAGGAAAGAAAACTTAGTTCCTAAGATTTTGCACCTAGCTAAGCTTTCCTTCATATGTTGAAATTATAGTAAAGCAATTTAAAATATAACTCAGGTAATTTTGCACTTATATGTCTTTTTGAGAAATTCAATAGAGAATAAGTTTTATCCATCTGTGCTTGGAAAAACTTTAAAAAATTGGTTAATTGTGATATTTCAATTAAAAATCAGAGTAAAGTAAATTTTGGGACAATAAACAAAATAAAAATATGTAAACTGTTAGATTCTCTCATACACTGCTGGTGGGAATGTAAAATGACACAACCACTTTGAAATGCAGTTTGGCAGTTTCTTAAAAAATTAAATAACTACCGTAACACTTAATCATTACACTTCTATGTATCTATCCCAGAGAAATGAAAGCATATGTCCATACGAAGATAGGCACATGAACTTTTATATGAACTTCACTTGCAAGAGCCAGAATCTGGAAACTACTGAAATGTCCGTCAACAGATCAATGGATAAACTTTGTGATACAACCATAAAATGGAACGCTAATCAGCAATAAAGTTAGATGAACTATTGGTACATGGAGCAATACATATGATTCCCAAAATATTAATAATTATAAGTTTAACAGCACTGTGGGAGGTTGAGGCGGGTGGATCATGAGGTCAAGAGATTGAGACCATCCTGGCCAACGTGGTGAAACCCCATCTCTACTAAAAAATACAAAAATTAGCTGGACATGGTGGCATGCACCTGTAGCCCAAGCTACTCGGGAGGCTGAGGCAGGAGAATCGCTTGAACCCAGGTTGGGGAGGTTGCAGTGAGCCGAGATCATGCCACTGCACTCCATCCTGGGCGAGAGAGTGACACTCTGTCTCAAAAAAAAAAAAAAAAAAAAAAAAAACCCCAGACCAAAAAGTATGTCACAATCTTTGAACAAACTTATCTATACTCAGACAAAACAGATACATTTTTGCCTGAGGATGGGAGGAGTGCGACATGAGAAGAAACATGAGGAAAGCTTTACAAAAAGGTAATGGAAAACTGTTGTAGGAGATAAATATATTCATTACATTGAATGTAGTGATAGTTTCAAGAAATATTTACAAATTTACACTTTAAACATATTCACATGCTTGTATGCCACTTAAAACTCAGGAAAGCTGATAAAAAGCATAATTAGAGGTAATAGATTTCTGTAGTCAATCAGAAAAAAAAATATGGGCTTTTGGAATTTATTTGTGTACTTGAAAACACGAAAACATTTGGGAATTCATGATGATTGTGATCAAGTCATAGTCATAGGTTAACTCGGACAAATTTAGAATAATATTTGCTAATATTGAAATGCCATTGTTTATACTAAACTTTTAAAATATCTATGAAAAAATAGGGCTCAGAATATCAGAGTGCTATTTCTGCATGCAACTATTAACAGAAACTTGAGAAGAATCTCTAAGCTATTTTCTATTCCCTCTTTCTATGATTATCTAATTCTTATAACTAACATTCAGAATGAAGTTGTAGAGTGTGAGTTTTGAATTAGAAGTAAATGCCATATTGCTGTTACAGTATCCAACAAAAAGAGTTAATTTAATATATTAAGACCTGATTAATTTTTCGTTATTGTAAAATGATGAAAGTACTGGTTTTTATTCAATATATCAACCAGATTATTGATCAAACCTCATGAAGAATTGCTTAGTAATGCAGTCATTAAGTAAATTACTAGTGAAACATAGCATTTTTTTTAATTGAAAAGAAGTATGTGCATGTTTGGTTTAAAAATATTTAGTGGACTAATTCATAGTTTTTGCAATAGAAACTGCAAACCTATTTCCAAAACATGGTTTAACTTTAGCCATTCTACTTTTGACTGCATTGATTTTTGTTTTCAACCTTTTCTGGTTGCTGTGGCAACATTCTGTAGCTGTCAGAACTAAGAGACTATCTATGTAACATTTCATATTTGAGAGATAATGGTACTGTAAATGAATCTCTGACCTTCCTCACAAGCAAAATGGATTCAGTTAAATATTATTATGTATATTACTCAATATTTTCTTGACTAATTAAGTTGAAGGTTATTAAATTCTGTATATTCATTTTGAATATTACCTCACAAAGTTTAAGCATTTTTATGTTTCCTTACTTAGATATTTTGATTTACCAGACCTCTTGAAAATATTGCATAAGTCTAAATTATTTTTTAAATAATTTGAAAATTGAATTTAAACAATACTAGGACCATTGGGATTTTGTTTTTCTGGCATCTAAATATATTAATTTTGCAGCCTTATGTGTTTGTGGTGGAGTGAGCAAGTTTAGGGAATGTATGTTACAAAATGTAATTCAGGGCCGGGCATGGTGGCTCACGCTTGTAATCTCAGCACTTTGGGAGGCCAGTGCAGGCAGATCATTTGAGGTCAGGAGTTCGAGACCAGCCTGGCCAACATGGTGAAAACCCGTCTCTACTAAAAATACAAAAATTAGCAGGGTGTGGTAGCATGCACCTATAGTCCTAGTTACTCAGGATTCCTAGCTACTGAGGCAGGAGAATCGCTTGAACCCAGGAGGCAAACGTTGCAGCGAGACCAGATAGCAGCATTACACTCCAGCCTGGGTGACAGAGTGAGACTCCATCTAAAAAAAAAAAAAAAAAAATTGTAATTCAGACATTATGAAAATATATACTGCACAATTTCTAGCAAATTGCTTGGTGACATTGTTATCATTCTTTCCTTGTTATTTACACATTCCAGTTATGTATATATTAAACATACACACACTTATATATCTTCCTTAAAGATATTAAACATGAGATAATAAGATTTATGATTTTGAGTTTTAAATAGACTACATTTTTAATTCAACTTACCATACATTACAAATACAATTTACCATGCATAATTTTTAAAAATGAGATTTTTGTCCCTCCCTCAATAGCAGCAAAAACAATCTAAGGATAAAAGGTAAATTTGGTAGTTACTACCATTGAGCTATGAATGTCTAGTATAAAAGTATAACAACAGTTATCACACTAATAAATTTGTTTGTAGGAGTATTTGGCTAATGAATGTCTTTCCCAAGAGGCAGTATTCTTAATGAGGGCAAAGATTTTTGATTGTTTTCTTCTTCATTTTATTATCAAGCCAGTTACCTTGGTGTACACTGGGGGATGAATAAGCAATTGTTTAAATAAATTGAATAATAAATAATAGAATGATAATAAAATGAAAAAATAAGCTATATAAATTTGACTGTCAGGCACAATTTCAAAGCTATATTTTAAGTTTTCTCTGAAAAAATGTTTAGCTTTATAAAGCACAGGAAATTTCTCTAATAGAAAAAGTACAGAGGAAATTTTAAGAATAAAAAGAGACAAAATGAACTGAAAATTTCTGTGTTTAGTATTACATTATAATCAACAACTGAATTTTTAAAATTTTATTATATTACTTATAATCAACAACTGAATTTTGCATCTCTTTTGTAAATCTAAAATTACTTCAATATGAAAAGCTGAAAAAAAGTTAACACAATTCAGCAAAGAAACTGAGACCAAAAATAATTATCATAAGGCTGAGGCAGCAGGATTGCTTGAAGGCAGGAGTTTGAGACCAACCTGGCAAACTTAACAAGAACTCGTTAACAAACAAACACGCAAAACAAAAACAAACTAAAACAATTGTCAGAGAACGCCACAAAGATACTCCTCGAGAAGAGCAACTCCAAGACACATAATTGTCAGATTCACCAAAGTTGAAATGAAGGGAAAAATGTTAAGGGCAGCCAGAGAGAAAGGTTGGGTTACCCACAAAGGGAAGCCCATCAGACTAACAGCTGATCTCTCAGCAGAAACTCTACAAGCCAGAAGAGAGTGAGGCCAATATTCAACATTCTTAAAGAAAATAATTTTCAACCCAGAATTTCATATCCAGCCAAACTAAGCTTCATAAGTGAAGGAGAAATAAAATCATTTACACACAAGCAAATGCTGAGAGATTTTGTCACCACCAGGCCTGCCTTACAAGAGCTCCTGAAGGAAGCATTACACGTGGAAAGGAACAACCAGTACCAGCCACTGCAAAAACATGCCAAATTGTAAAGACCATCGATGCTAGGAATAAACTGCATCAACTAAAGAGCAAAATGACCAGCTAACATCATAATGACAGGAACAAATTCACACATAACAATACTAACCTTAAATGTAAATGGGCTAAATGCTCCAATTAAAAGACACAGACTGGCAAATTGGATAAAGAGTCAAGACCCATCAGTATACTGCATTCAGGAGACCCATCTCACGTGCAGAGACACACATAGGTTCAAAAGAAAGGGATGGAGGAAGATCTACCAAGGAAATGCAAAACAAAAAAAGGCAGGGGTTGCAATCCTAGTCTCTGATAAAATAGACTTCAAACTAAAGAGATCAAAAGAGACAAAGAAGGCCATTACATAATGGTAAAGGGATCAATTCAACAAGAAGAGCTAATTATCCTAAATATATATGCACCCAATACAGGAGCACCCAGATTCATAAAGCAAGTCCTTAGAGACCTACAAAGAGACTTAGACTCCCACACAATAATAATGGGAGACTTTAACACCCCACTGTCAACATTAGACACATCAACGAGACAGAAAGTTAACAAGGATATCCAGGAATTGAAGTCAGCTCTGCACTAAGCGGACCTAATAGACATCTACAGAACTCTCCACCCCAAATCAGTGGAACACACATTCTTCTTAGCACCACATCGCACTTATTCCAAAATTGACCACATAGTTGGAAGTAAAGTACTCCTCAGCAAAAGTAAAAGAACAGAAGTTATAACAACCTGTCACTCAGACCACAGTGCAATCAAACTGGAACTCAGAATTAAGCAACTCACTCAAAAGAACTAGAGAAGCAAGAGCAAACACATTCAAAAGCTAGCAGAAGGCAAGAAATAACTAAGATCAGAGCAGAACTGAAGGAGATAGAGACATAAGAAATCCTTCAAAAAATCAAAGAATCCAGGAGCTGGCTTTCTGAAAAGATCAACAAAATTCATAGACTGCTAGCAAGACTAATAATGAAGAAAAGAGAGAAGAATCAAATAGACGCAATAAAAAATGATAAAGGGGACATCATCACCAATCCCACAGAAATACAAACTACCATCAGAGAATACTAGAAACACCTCTACACAAATAAACTAGAAAATCTAGAAAAAATGGATAAATTCCTGAACACAAACACCGTCCCAAGACTAAACCAGGAAGAAGTTGAATCTCTGAGTAGACCAATAACAGGCTCTAAAATTGAGGCAATAATCAATAGCCTACCAACCAAAAAAGGTCCAGGACCAGATGGATTCTCAGCCAAATTCTACCAGAGGTACAAAGAGGAGCTGGTACCGTTCCTTCTGAAATTATTCCAATGAATAGAAAAAGAGAGAATGCTCCCTAACTCATTTTATGAGGTCAGCATCATCCTGATACAAAAGCCTGGCAGAAACACAACAAAAAAAGGAGAGGTTTAGACTAATATCCCTGATGAACATCGATGCAAAAATCCTCAATAAAATACTGGCAAACCAAATCTAGTAGCACATCAAAAATCTTATGAACCACGATCAAGTTGGCTTCATCCCTGGGATGCAAGGCTGGTTCACATACACAAATCAATAAAGGTAATCCATCATATAAACAAAACCAAAGACAAAAACTACATGATTATCTCAATAGATGCAGAAAAGGCCTTTGACAAAATTCAACAGCCCTTCATGCTAAAAACTTTCAATAAACTAGGTATTGATGGCACATATCTGAAAATAATAAGAGCAATTTATGACAAACCCACAGCCAGTATTATACTGAATGGGGAAAAACTGGAAGCATTCTCTTTGAAAACTGGCAGAAAACAAGGATGCCCTCTCTCAGCACTCCAATTCAACATAGTGTTGGAAGTTCTGGCCTGGGCATTCAGGCAGGAGAAAGAAATAAAGGGTATTCAATTAGGAAAAGAGGAAGTCAAATTGTCCCTGTTTGCAGATGACAGGATTGTATATTTAAAAAACCCCATCGTCTCAGCCCAAAATCTCCTTAAGCTGATAAGCAACTTCAGCAAAATCTCAGGATACAAAATCAATGTGCAAAAATCACAAGCATTCTTATACACCAATAACAGACAAACAGAGAGCCAAATCATGAGTGAACTCCCATTCACAATTGCTTCAAAGAGAATAAAATACCTAGGAATCCAACTTACAAGGGATGTGAAGGACTTCTTCAAGGAGAACTACAAACCACTGCTCAACAAAATACAAGAGGACATAAACAAATGGAAGAACATTCCCCGCTCATTGGTAGGAAGAATCCATATCGTGAAAATGGTCATACTGCCCAAGGTAATTTACAGATTCAATGCCATCCCCATCAAGCTACCAATGACTTTCTTCACAGAATTGGAAAAAACTACTCTAAAGTTCATATGGAATCAAAAAGGAGCCCACATTGCCAAGACAATCCTAAGCCAAAAGAACAAAGCTGGAGTCATCACACTACCTGACTTGAAACTATACTACAAGGCTACGGTAACCAAAAGAGCATGGTACTGGTACCAAAACAGAGATATAGACCAATGGAACAGAACAGAGCCCTCAGAAATAATACCACACATCTGCAACCATCTGATCTTTGAAAAACCTGACAAAAACAAGAAATGGGGAAAGCATTCCCTATTTAATAAATAGTGCTGGGAAAATTGGCTAGCCATATGTAGAAAGCTGAAACTGGATCCCTTCCTTACAACTTATACAAAAATTAATTCAAGATGGATTAAAGACTTAAATGCTAGACTTAAAACCACAAAAACCCTAGAAGAAAACTTAGGCAATACAATTCAGGACATAGGCATGGGCAAGGACTTCATGACTAAAACACCAAAAGCAATGGCAACAAAAGCCAAAATTGACAAATGGGATCTAATTAAACTAAAGAGCTTCTGCAGAGCAAAATAAACTACCATCAGAGTGAACAGAATGGAAGAAAATTTTCACAATCTACTCATCTGACAAAGGGCTAATATCCAGAATTTACAAAGAACTTAAACAAATTTACAAGAAAAAATCAACCCCATCAGAAAGTGGGCAAAGGATAAGAACAGACATTTCTCAAAAGAAGACATTTATGCAGCCAACAGATACATGAAAAAATGTTCATCATCACTGGCCATCAGAGAAATGCAAATCAAAACCACAATGAGATACCATCTCACGCCAGTTAGAATGGTGATCATTAAAAAGTCAGGAAACAACAGGTGCTGGAGAGTATGTGGAGAAATAGGAACAATTTTACACTGTTGGTGGGACTGTAAACTAGTTCAACCATTGTGGAAAACAGTGTGGCCATTCCTTAAGGATCTAGAACTAGAAATCCCATTTGACCCAGCCATCCCATTACTGGGTATATACCCAAAGGATTATAAATCATGCTGCTATAAAGACACATGCACATGTATGTTTATTGTGCCACTATTCACAATAGCAAAGACTCGGAATGTCCATCAATGATAGACTGCATTAAGAAAATGTGGCACATATACACCATGGAATACCATGCAGCCATAAAAATGGATGATTTCATGTCCTTTGCAGGGACATGGATGAAGCTGGAAACCATCATTCTGAGCAAACTATCACAAGGACAAAAAGCAAACACCCCATGTTCTCACTCATAGGTGGGAATTGAACAATGAGAACACTTGGTCACAGGGTGGAGAACATCACACACCCGGGCCTGTCATGGGGTGGGAGGGGGAGGGATAGTATTAGGAGATATACCTAATGTAAACGATGAGTTAATGGGTGCAGCACATCAACATGGCACATGTATACATATGTTACAAACTTGCACATTGTACACATGTACACTTGAACTTAAAGTATAATAAAAATAAATAAAATGTTATTATATTACAGTATATTCAAAAATTATCAATTGACTAAAGACTAGTAAACAAAATTAATTACATTAATAAATACAAATGAATTAAATATTGTCAATTTAAATGTTTATCAGTATCATTATTTATTGAGCTACATTTCACTGACCACAAATGGAAATTAACTGGACATTTTCAACATTATGTTTGAATGCTCTAATCTGCACGAAATCATTTTCCCCAGGTGTCACCCCAAGGCAGTGATTAAAGACATTCTAGTAAAACTTACTTTGGCAGTCTAAAATTAAAATGTCATTTCTATGGGTGAGAATAATTTTCTGCTAAATACAGCTTTCTGTCGGTAATGAGATGCTCAGTGAAGTATTTTAAACATTTTTAAAAGCAACCCAGAGCAAAAAGAGTATATGTTAGAATGATTTAGATAATAGAGAAAAGTGAATGAGTGTGTGTGAGTGTGTGTATTTTTGCTCTTGGTTTCAAAGTGTCAGGAGAAATAACTATTATTAGTCACCAGCTATAATCAGATTTATATATTGCCAAAGGGCAATACAACAGTCATATTGGTGAACATATATATCTTTTGAGGACCTATTCCCATATTTCTTTTTATTTTATTTTTCCTTAAGGAGCCTGCCTTTACATTAAAAAAAAATCACTAATTTATTTTCATTTTTCCACTAGATATTTTCAGTCTAATGGACTGAAGTTGAGTTTATTCACATTAGGAACATCTATTTTAATTGAAGTTGTCTTTATTTTGTTTTAGTCCTTATTCTTTTATTCTTATTGAGATGGAGCTCTGCTCTGTTGCCCAGGCTGGAGCGCAGTGGTGCAATCTCGGCTCACTGCAACCTTGTTCTCCCAGATTCAAGCGATTCTCTTGCCTCAGCCTCACAAGTAGCTGGGATTACAGGTGGGCACCACCACACCTGGCTAATTTTTGTAGTTTTAGTAGAGACAGAGTTTCACCATGTTGGCCAAGTCTTGAACTCCTAGCCTCAAGTGATTCACCCACCTTGGCCTCCCAAAGTGCTGGGATTACAGGCATAAGCCACCATGCTCAGTCTTGTTTTACTTTGTAAATTTTAAAACCTAAAAAAAAAAAATGCATTTTGAAATTACATGATTTTTAAAGCCATTATGCTTATCATTCCTTATTATATAAGATAATGAGATATTTTATAAGAAATAGTGAATATTTTGTATACCTTAAGAACCAAGATTGCGTTCTTTTTTTATTATCATTATTACACTTTAAGTTCTAGGGTATATGTGCACAACGTCCAGGTTTGTATGTATACATGTGCTAAGTTGGTGTGCCGCACCCATTAACTCATCATTTACATTAGGTATATTTCCTAATGCTACCCCTCCCCCGTCCCTGCACCCCATGACAGGCCCCGGTGTGTGATGTTCCCCTTCCTGTGTCCAAGTGTTCTCATTGTTCAATTCCCACCTATGAGTGAGAACATGTGGTGTTTGGTTTTTTTGTCCTTGCGATAGTTTGCTGAGAATGATGGTTTCCAGCTTTGTTTTATTTGCAGTTTTTATTTACAGTTTTTTTGCCGTTTATTTGCAGTTTTAGTAATTTCTATCTTATTTTCCATTGCTGATTTTAAAGAAAAAATTAGATCTCTACCACGTGCATCAGTTTTCTTTCTCTTTATTTCTTTCACACAAATGCTGCAATACAAGCCACATTGGCCCATCATAGGTTTAATGTCAAATTCAGTACATTATTTGGGTAATATTAGCTTCAGTTTTACCGCCAGCCATACAAACATCCTTTCTACTTTATGCAGTTAGTTAGCTAAGTATAATTAATTGAACTAAAGTGTCTTGCCAATGATTGGTTTCTCCAAATTCTTTCACCTTAAAGTATAACTGATTTAAACACACAGCTACCAATCCCTGATAGAGGCCCTTTTATCTTTTCCAAAAAAAAACTCTATGAAAACAAACAAAAAAACATACAAACAAAACAATATGGAAAACTGAGACAGTCATTTAACTTATTTTTAAAATATAGAGATATTTTCCAATAACCACTGGAACTGATGGCATTAGATTGAAAAATACAATGGTTGGCTTAAATTGTTTTAACCTCTGAAATGGAGCAATCTTACCCATCTGAAAGCAGATAGAAATCATTTTGGCTTTCTTGCTGTGGTTTTCTGTTAAAAAATATAAAGTCTAAACCAACTAAAATCCAGATTGCAATCTTTTCATTGCTAAGCTACTGCATATTATTACAGAGAAAGTAATACAAACCACTTCAGTGCTCCTCTTTCAGCATTCAATTAGAAATAAACACAGTACATTTAGTTCTTGGATTGGCGTATATTACTGTAGGAGTTGTCTTAATCTTGAAACATTGAATAACAGAGAAGCAATTTAAAAATAATCATACCTAGAAATTTCCTAATTTAACACTAGAGAATTTAGATTGGAAAAGTATTACCTATGATGATTACAGGTTTGGAAGCATCATAATGAAACTCAAAATATCAAGGACTTTTTTCTAAATTATGACAGTGAAACACATTATAAATTAAAAGATGGGTAAGAGAACCCAGTGGAAAGATAAATTCAAATTATGAATAGAAAGAACTAAAAAAATAATATTTTATGCCTGGCTAAAATATTATTCAAAAGTGAGGACATTTGCAAAGGCATAGCTATTAATACTTTCCCACACTGCCCACCTCTAAGAAATTTATTAAAGGAGTTCCTTAGGGAGAAGAAAAGTGAACAAAATAGAAGGTGAGAGATTTATGCAACATTACCAAACATGTGCATTGATAAATATGCCAGCTAATTGAATTAATCATTGTTATTTGAAATAACCTCTATATGTTTAAAATAACTCCTTTCCCTTCACCACGAAAAAATAATTGTCACCAGGTAGAATGTAGTGAGTAAGGAAAGTGTTTCAAATGTAACTGAAGTATGCTACATTTTTTTTTGTACTTGGAAAAGGAATAGAAGTTGGAAAAACCTAAGCATTTTGTTAGGTAGATTGACGGCTATTTACCTAACTTCTTAATTTAAAGATAATTACTAAGAGAATAACCATATTCCATTTTGTTTCAAAATGAGCCAGTAGCAATCAAAAGATGTACCTCAAGAAAAATTATTCAGCCTAATAGATGTTAGGAAAGAGAAAAAGATGAAAGAAAGAGAGTAATACATAGAAATGCAAAAAAAGTGTATAGAAAATAACCAACAGACTTTAATAATCAATACAGGGATTAGATTTATAAATTTAAAATCCAACTACCTGCTCTTTGCAATTGATACAAGTAAAATAAATTCTTCAGGAAATAAAGGAAGGAAATGCACTATGTAAATATAGACCTAAGTAAAGCTAAATTATATATATATATATTAGAAAAAATAGATTTTAATGCAAAACACATCAATACAAACCTAAGAGCCTATATATTAATAAGAATAAAAAAAGAAAAGCAAAAATATATAAAAGACAACCTTTCCCAACAGCCTTTCTCTGGTCTTCACACAGCAAGTTTTAGCTATAATGTGTTATGTTGAATTGATATTATGGCTATTTTTTATGTATTAGAGATCAATATTATCCTTCCAGTTTATCTGCTAATGTGATACATTGATTTTCAAGTATAATGTCAAAATTGTATTTCATAATAAATTAAATTTGCTTTTGATGAGTTATTCTTACCTATAGTATAATTTGGTCTATATTTATTTATTTTAAAATCCCTTTACATCCATGTTCCTGGAAAATATAAACCTCTAATTTTTTCTCCTAATATTTTTTTCAGATTTTCTGATAACTATTATTCTGGCCTTATGAAAAGTCATTTGTAGAAAAGATGTTCTAATTTTTAGAAGGTATATTAAAATCCACCTGGGTTTTGATTTCTCCCTAAGGGAAAGTTTGTAAGACATTCAATCCTTTGAAAAATACTTTCTAATTTTCTTTATGTCACTTTTAAGTAGTGGTTTTAAGAGTTCATCCATTTGATCTGAATCTTAAAATTTATAGCAGGAAGTATATAAGACTACGTAATTACCATTTTACTACATATCATAATTACTACATAATTATCTACATATCATAATTACTACATAATTACTACATAATATCATAATTACTACATAATTATCATAATACCTGCAACATCTAGTAATACCATTTATTCTTAATTTTGGTAATTTGTGCTTTGTCACTTTTTTACAATTTTATTAATCTTCAAAAAACAATTTTGGCTTTGCTAATTTTCCATTTGTAGTTTTATTTTTTCTTTATTTATCTTCTTATGACTTTAATTCTGTTCAATGTATTTTTTTTATTTGTTGTTGGTCTTCTATCTCATTGAGATACATATTTAGATCAATGACTTCAACATTTTATGTATTTCTAAACTTACTTTTCTTCTTTTGTTTTATGCTGGGTGTATTAGTCCATTTACATACCGCTATAAAGAAGTACCAGAGACTGGGTAATTTATAAATAAAAGAGATTTAATTGACTCACAGTTCTGCATGGCTGCGGAGGCTTCAGGAAACTTACAGTCATGGTGGAAGATAAAGGAGAAGCAAGCACCCTTTTCACCTGAAGGCAGCAGGAGAGAGAGCGAGCACTCAGGGGAAACTGCCACTTTTAAAACCATCAGATCTAGTGAGAGCTCTCTCACTATCATGAGAACAGCATGCAGGAAACTGCCCCCATGATCTAATCACCTCCCACCAGGTCCCTCCCTTGATACATGGGGATTACAATTTGAGATAAGATTTGGGTGGGGACACAGACCAAATCATATCACTGAATATTTATATTATTTCATCTACTAGCTCCCTAGTCCTCTCACCTATTATGTTTAATTTGCTCTTTAAACACTCATTTGGCACTTAATTTCAGGGTTTTATTTAGATTTTTATTTGTAAGTTTAAGTTAACATTTCTTAATTGTATGTTATATTTTGAGAAAATTGAAAACTTACATTCAATTTTAAGAACTATAATGTCAAGATTAAATGTACTCTTCACCAAGTTTTCCCGAACGCTAATAGCTTGCAAAACTATAGTACAGTATCACAATGAGGAAATATACATTGATATACATTACCAATATAGTCTACCAATCTTAATACATTTAATGCATAAAATGTTCCTTCACAACAAGGATCTTTCATACATCCCATTTATAACAACACCCAATTCCCACAGAGCCACTCCATCTGTAGCCCCTAGCAACCATTCATCTCTTGTCGAATTTTATTTTTATTTTTTTAGATTCAAGGGAATAAATAAAAGGAATCTTTACACTAATGTAGTCTTTTGGGGTTGACTTTTTTTTCACTCACCATGACTCCCCTGAGATCCATCCAAATTGCTGTGTTTTGTAGCTGTTAGCCTTTTTTTGTCTTGTTTATCCATTTTTTATTGAAGTTAAATACACATAACAATTTATTATCTTAACCATCTCTATGTGTACAGTTCAGTGGTATTAAATACATTCATCATGTTGTGTCACCATCGCTATCAACCATGTCCATAACTCTTCACCATGTAAAACAGAAACTCTATACACATTAAACATTACCTCCCTATTTCCTGCTTCTCCCAGCCCCCTAGAAACCACCATTCCACCTCTCTCTCTATGATTTTGACTGCTCTTAAGAACTAACATATAAATGGAATTATACAGTAGTTTTCCTTTTGTTACTGGCTTAAGTCACATAGCACAATGTTTTCAAGGTTCATCCATGCTGCAACATATGTTAGAACATCCATCCACTTTCAGGCTGAATAATATTCTATTGTATGTGTACACCACACTTAGCTAACCCATTAATTTTTCCATGGACACCTGGATTGATTCCACGAAGCTATTGTGAGTAATGCTGCTATGAGCATGAGTATACAGATATCTTTTTGAGATCCTGCTTTTAATTCCCCTGAGTATACCCTGGAGTGGAACTCTTGGACCACAAAGTAATTCAATTTTTAATTTTTGGGTGAACCCATATACTGTTTTTCATAGCAGCTATACCACTTTATATTCCCATCAGCAGTGAACAAGTGTTCCAATTTCTCCACATCTTTGTCAATGCTTATTAAATTCTGTGGGTTTTTTTGACAGTAGCCATCCTATCATGTGTGAGGTGGAATCTCATTGTAATTTTGATTTACATCTCCCTTATGATTAGTGATGTTGAGCAACTCTTCAGGTACTAATTGGTAATTTGTATTCTTCTTTGAAAAAATTTCTATTCAAATCCTTTGCCCATTTTTGAATCAGGTTGTCTGATTTATTATGTTTGAATTATAGGAGCTCTGGATATTAATCTTTTGTCAGATATATGATTTGTGAGTATTTTTGCTGATTCTGTGTGTTGCCTTCTTACTCTGTTAATCTTGTCTTTAGATGCAAATTTTTAAAATTTTCATAAAGTTCAATTTGACTACCTTTTATTTCCTGTGTATTTTGTGTCAGATTAAAGAAATAATTGTCAAATCCAATATGATAAAGCTATTTTTTCTTATGTGAGTTTTATAGCTTAAAGTCCTACATTTAGGTCTTTGATTTTTGAGTAATTTTAGTACAGGCTATTAAGTAAAGGCCAAATTTTATTCTTTTGAATGTGGATATTCAGATTTCTAAGCACCCTTTTTTGAAAAAGACTCTTTTGCTTATTGAATTGTCTTGGAACACTTGCCAAAACTCATTAGAACATATATGTAAGGGTTCATTTTGGGGTTCTCTATTGTATTTCATTACTCTATATATCTATCTTTGTGCCAGTATCACCCTATTTTTGATTACTGTAGCTTCGTAGTAGGTTTATAGAAATCAGGCAGTGTGAGTGCTCCACCTTTATTCCTTTTCTTCAACACTGTTTTGGCTATTCAGGGTTCCTTGAGATGCCAAATAAGTTTTAGAATAAGTTTTTCTATTTCTGCAAAAAACAGAACAAAACAAAAAAGAAACAGGCATTTTGATTTTTATAGGGATTGCATTTTATCTGTAGATGGCTTAGGGTAGATTTGACATTTTAACAATTTTAATTATTCCAATCCATTAACATGGGATATGTTTTCATTTACACATGCTGATTTAATTTTTTCATTTGTATTTTATAGTTTTCATAGTACAAGCCTTTACCTAGTTAAGTTTATGTCTAAGTATTTTATTTGTTCTGCTGTCACTGTAAACGGGATTATTTTCTTAGTTGTCTTTTCAGACATTTCATTGTTACTGTATAGAAAGACAACTGATTTTTTATGTGTTCATTTCATATTCTACTATTTTGCTCAATTTATTTATTGGTTCTAAGTTTTTCTATGGAATCTTTGAGACTTTCTGTATGTAAGATTATATTATCTTTTAATAAATAATTTGACTTCCTCCCTTATAATTAAGATGTATTTTTGTCTAATTTTTCTGTTTACAGAACTGTTAGTACTATATTGAATAAAATAGTCAAGTAAGCACCCTTGTTTTCTTCCTAAATTTATGGGAAATTTTCAGTCTTTCATTTTTGAGCATGATTTTTTCTGTAGGTTTTTTGTACATGGCTTTTACTTTGTTAAAGTGGTTTCCCTCTAATACCAGTGTGTTAATCCATTTGCATTGCTCTAAAGGAATACCTGAGACGGGGTAATTTAGGAAAAAGAAGAGGCTTTTTATGGCTCATGGTTCTGCAGGCTGTACAGGAAGCATGGCACTGTATCCACTCCTGGTGAAGTCCTCAGGAAGCTTCCAATCATGGTGGAAGGCAAAGGGGGAGCCAGCATGTCACATGGTGAGCATGGGATCACCAGAGAGAGAAGGAAGTTCTAAGTTCTTTTAAACAACCAGATCTGATGTAAACACATAGAATGAGAACTCACTCAATTACAGTGAGGATGGCAACAAGACATTAATAAATGATGTACCTCTATGATCCAAGCTCTTTCCATCAGGCCCCACCTGTGACATTGGAGATTACATTTCAACATTCAAAAGGGACAGACATACAAACTATATCAACTAGTATGTTAAGTATTTTTACCACAAAAAGATAAACAAATTTTTCAGTTGATTTCCTGTATCAATTAGATATTCAAGGTTTTTTTCCTATAATTTTCTTAGCATGGTGTATTACATTAATCAATTTTCTTGTGGTGAAACATCCTTACATTCAAGGAGTGAATCTCACTTTGTCATGATTTATAATCCTTTTAATATGCAGCTAAATTTGGTTTGCTAGTATTTTGTTGACATTTTTGGTATTAATGTTGATAGGAGATATTGGTTTGTAGTTTTCTTGTAATATTTTTGTTTAGCTTTAGTGTCAGGGTAATGTTGGTCTCGTAGAATGAGTTAGAAGTGTTCATTCTTTTTCAGTTAGTGAAAACAGTGATAAGGATTGGTGTTAATTCTTTAAATATTTGGCAAAATTTACCAGTAAAAACATCAGGTCCAGGGGTTTTCTTGTTTGGAAAACTTTTAATTACTGATTCAATCTTCTTACTGTATATATCTATTGAGATTTCCTCTTACTTTGTGATTTCGTGTTGTAATTTTGTGTGTCTAGACATTTGTCTGTTTGGTCTAGACTATCCAATTTGTGACATACAAATTGTTCATAGTATTCTCTTATAATCTTTTTACAATTTAAGTAGAATAGCTTATTTCTCAATTTTCATTTCTGATTTTAGTAATTTGAGTCATTCTTCTTTTTCCTTACTTAATCTAGCTGAAGCTTTGTCAATTTTGTAGACTTTTTTTCTTTTCTTGTTATACTTTAAGTTCTGGGGTCCATGTGCAGAATGTGCAGTTTTGTTACATAGGTATACACGTGCCATGGTGGTTTGCTGCACCCATCAACCCGTCACCTACATTAGGTATTTCTCCTAATGCTCTTCCTCCCCCAGGCTCCCACTCACTGACAGGCTCCAGTGTTTGATGTTCCCCTCCCTATGTCCACGTGTTCTCATTGTTCAGCTCCCACTTATGAGTGAGAAAATATGGTGTTTGGTTTTCTGTTCCTGTGTTAGTTTGCTGAGAATGATGGTTTTCAGCTTCATCCATGTCCCTGCAAAGGACATGAACTCATCCTTTCTCATGGCTGCATAGCATTCCATGATGTCAGGATTAAGAAACCCACTCAAAACTGCACAACTACATGGAAACTGAAAAACCTTCTCCTAAATGACTACTGGGTAAATAACGAAATGAAGGCAGAAATAAAGATGTTCTTTGAAACCAATGGGAATGAAGACACAACATGCTAGAATCTCTGGGATGCATTTAAAGCAGTGTGTAGAGGGAAATTTATAGCACTAAATGCTCACAAGAGAAAGCAGGAAAGATCTAAAATTGGCACCCTAACATCAAAATTAAAAGAACTAGAGAAGCAACAGCAAACAATTTCAAAATCTAGCAGAAGACAAGAAATAACTAAGATCAGAGCAGAAATTAAGGAAATAGAGACACAAAAACCCCTTCAAAAAATCAGTGAATCTAGGAGTTGGTTTTTTGAAAAGATCAACAAAAGACAGACTGCTAGCCAGACTAATAAAGAGGAAAAGAGAGAAGAATCGAATAGACACAGTAAAAAATGATATAGGGGATATCACCACCGATCCCACAGAAATACAAACTACCATCAGAGAATATTATAAACACCTCTATGCAAATAGACTAGAAAATTTAGAAGAAATGAATGAATTTCTGGACACATACACCTTCTCAAGTCTAAACCAGGAAGAAGTCAAATCCCTGAATAGACCAATAACAGATTCTGAAATTGAGGCAATAATTAATAGCCTACCAACCAAAAAAAGGCCAGGACCAGATAGATTCACAGCTGAATTCTACCAGAGGCACAAAGAGGAGCTGGTACCATTCCTTCTGAAACTATTCCAAACAATAGAAAAAGAAGGAATCCTCCCTAGCTCATTTTATGAGGCCAGCATCATCCTGATACCAAAACCTGGCAGAGACACAACAAAAAAAGGAAATTGCAGGCCAGTATCCCTGATGAACATAAATGCGAAAATCCTCAATAAAATTTTGGCAAACTGAATCCAGCAGCACATCAAAAAGCTTATCCATCACAATCAAGTTGGCTTCATACCTGGGATGCAAGGCTGGTTCAACATACACAAATCAATAAATGTAATCCAGCAAATAAACAGAACCAATCACAAAAACCACATGATTATCTCAATAGATGCAGAAAGGCCTTTGACAAAATTTAACAACCCTTCATGCTAAAAACTCTCAATAAACCGGGTATCAATGGAACATATCTCAAAATAATAAGGGCTATTTATGACAAAGCCACAGCCAATATCATACTGAATGGGCAAAAACTGGAAGCATTCCCTTTGAAAACTGGGAGAAGACAAGGATGTCCTCTCTCACCACTTCTATTCAATTTTGTAGACCTTTCCAAAGAAGCAACATTTTATTTCACTGATTATCTTGTTATTTATCTTTCTCTGTTTGCTCTCTGCTCTAATCTTTATTATTTCCTTTCTTCTGCTAGTTTTGGATGTAGTGTTTTTCTAGTTTTTTAGGTAATAAAGTTAGGTTGATTATCTGAGAACTTGTTATTTTTTAATATAATCATTTATATCTATAAATCTCCCATTTTGCACTGTTTTGGCAGTATCTCATAAGTTTTGGTATGTTTGTGCTTTTTTCATGTCTATTTTCTAACTTCACTTGTGTTCTATTGTTTGATCCATTCATTGCTCAAAACTGTGTTAATTTCTACAATTTTGTAATTTTTTCAGCTTTACATCTATTATTGATATTTAAGCTCATCTCATTGTAATCAGAGGAGATACTTTGTATGATAGCTACGTTTTTAAGTCTATTGTAACTAAATTTGCTGCCTAACATATTTCTGAAAATTCCTCAGTACACTTGAGAAGAATGTGTATGCCGATGCTGTTGGATAGAGTGTTCTGTATATGTCTGTTAGATCTAGTGGGGTTACTGTGTTAGGTCCTGTATTTCCTTACCTACTTTGTATCTGTTTTTTCTATCCACTATTGAGTGTAGGGTATTGAATTCTCCAACTATTATTGTAGAAACTCCTATTTATACCTTCAGTGTGTGAGTTTTTGCTGGCTTTGATGATCTGTTATGAGGTGCATAAATGTTAATAATTATATCTTTCTATTTTACTATTATTACTTGTAATATATAATATCATTTACCTATTATAACCTTTTAAATTTTAAAGTGAATTTTGGCTAATATTAATAAAGCCATCCATTACCCAATTTTGATTGCAATATTCTTGCAATATCATTTTCCATCCTCTCACTTTCAATCTATTTAAATCTTTGGATCTAAAGTGAGTCTCTTGTAGACAGTGTATAATTCGATCATTCTTTTAAATCCATTCTGCCAATCTTGATCTTACTATAAAAAGTTTAATTTATATTTAAAGTAGTTATTCATAAAGAGGAATTTACTTGTCATTTTTCTGTTTATTTTTTATAATTCTTATAGCTCTTTTGTGCCTCATTTTCTACAGCTCTGCATTCTTTTTTGTTCAGCTGATTTTTTTGTAAAAAAATGATTAAATTTCTTCTTTGTTTTTTGTATATATTCTATATTTATTTTCCTTGTGGTTACATGGGGATCATATTTAACATCCTAAGATTTTAACAACCACAACCTCTTTTGAGTTTATATGAGCTTTACTTCAGTAACATACAAAACTCTACTCCTTTAATAATTCTATTGCCATCCCTTTTAGTTGTAGTTTTCATACAATTATAAGTTTATATATTATACACCCCAAAACATAATAATTCTTTTAAACCAAAATTACAATAAGACTAGTATTTAGACTCATACATTTTTTAGTCTCTTACTCATGTAGAAAGCAAAAAATGCAGTAACAAATAATTGCTACAACCATACAAGCTTATTATAATTTCCTATGTATTTGTCTTTATTTATTTCTTTATATAATTTTGAGTGACTGCATAGTGTCTTTTTATTTCACCTACAAGATTCCCTAGAGCATTTTCTTACAGGGCAAGTCTAGTGGTAATGAACCCCTTAAACTTTTGCTTATCTAGGATGTCCCAATATTTCCCTTATTTTTGGATGGAGGAGAGTTTTGCTGGATATATAATTCTTGGTTGACAGCTTTTTTTTTCCTTTTAGAACTTTAAATATATCAGCCTGTTGTCTTCTAACCTCTAAAGCTTTTGATGAGAAATCTGTCTATAGTCTTACTGAGAACTCCTTGTATGTGATGAATTGCTTCTTTCTTTGTGATTTCAAGATTTTCTGTTTCTCTTTCAAAAGTTGGATTTTAATTTGTCTTGCTGTGGGTCTCTTTGAGTTCATCATAGTTGGTATATGTTGAGCTTCTTGGATGTTTATATTCATGATTTTGATAAAATTTGGGAAGTTTTCAGATATGATTTATTCAAATATTTTCTCAGTCCTTTTCTCTCTCCTCCTTCTAGAACTCCCACAATGCCTATGCTAGTTTGCTTGATGGTCCCTTAGACTCTGTTCTCTTTAATTTTTTTTTTCTGTTTCATTCTTATTTACAAATTTCTGATGTTTACTCCCTTCATAGTCAAACTGGAAGTTGGAGTAATTTTTTTAGGATTTCTCTAATTTGACTGAAAATTCAATTTTTTAAAAAACTAAATCCAGTGAGACTTTCAAATCTTTGCTTAGCTTACCAGTCTCTTAGCTCTTCAACCTTCTGCTTTTAAGTGTACTTTCTTTCAGTACCTTCACTCTTTCTTTCCTGACTGTCCTATATATATAAAACTAATAACTTCAATTATATATTTTCTTATTCACACTCTGTTGAGATAAACAACCTCTTAATTTTAAAAATATGTGTGTCTTATCACTCTCTGCATCCTAAGGCATTTACAGAAAGGAAATGCCTAGAGAAAAAAAGGTACTATAGGTTGTTAACTTCTCTTCTTTATATTCTCCTTCTCTCTTGGATTTTATAATTTCAAGTACCAACTGCTGTGATAGTTTTCCAATGCTTTCAAATAGATGTTTTTGTATGTTTGTCCTGTACATTGAATTATTTATTCTAAAATAGCCTGTATCACCATGATTAAAACAGCAATATCACAGAAATAACTCTTGGGTAGCAGAAAACAAGGCAACAGCCCTGTGAAACGATTGAAATTGAAAATAGGATCTATTTCTCTCATAAAATGGGATACTAAAACTGGCGTATTCTCCTTCTGAGAATGATTTAAAAAAATAAATCAATCTTGACATTAACAAAGGGAATTAAATACATAATTTGCCAGATGCAGGGGGCATGACATTTTGTTTATTTACTTATTTATTTGTTTATTTATTTATTTATTTATTTTTTGAGACAGAGTCTCACTCTGTCACCCAGGCTGGAGTGCAGTGGCACGATCTCAGCTCACTGCAACCTCCGCCTCCTGGGTTAAAGCAATTCTCCTGCCTCAGCCTCCTGAGTAGCTGAGATTACAGGTGCGCACCACCATGCCCAGCTAATTTTCATATTTTTTAGTAGAGACAGGGTTTTGCCATCTTGCCAGACTGATCTTGAACTCCTGATCTCAGATGATCCATCCACCTTGGACTCCCAGAGTCCTGGGATTACAGGCGTGAGCCACCAGCCACTGTGCCTGGCCAACATTTTAAAAATATGTTCCACCCTCCCTTTGTATTAAGGCCAAGTAAACCAAAAGCTAAGAAGTTAATGTAAAATTGTGTAAGTTTGGTGGTTTTATCTTCATGATTCAATTCAAGAAGATCAGGTTCCATATAGAAAAGAAATGTCTCTATTGGTCATTCAGTAGCAAATGAGTATTCGTATCCTCCTATTGCAAAAGCCAAAACTCAATTTCCATTTATAAAAGCAGAAAGGTTATCTAATTGTCACAGATAAATTTGCTAAACCTAACTCATATTACATACTAAATAAAGCTTCATAATTCAAAGTCTACTGATATTTAGAAATCATTACAAGCTAATTAATTACAATATTTCTCAATATATAAAGGTTAGAAGATGAACATTAAGTGGAAAGAGGAAAGTTACTGAAGGTTAAGAGGAAGGGCTAACAAATCTGATGGCAAGAAATGAAACTCAAGAGCTTTGGGTGGTACTTATCATACAAGCTAAAATATATCCTATTTAAATTTTATGCAGCATAACACAGCTATTATTCATGAATATGGCCACAGTTTAACAAGAAACTGCATAGGCTTAATATATTTTAACATAATAGGGAATGCTAAATATAATTTATTATGTGTACCATATGTAGGGTCTACAATGAAATAAGATAATAGGCTTAAAATTGCCCTTAAATTCAAGAATGTAAAAAGTTAACTTTTCTTGATTTCTTTTAATAAAACGTATGAATCCAGATACCCCTTTTGATGTTCCAGTGTAAAGTTTTACCTCAGTCATTCTTGGGATATCCACCCCTCTACCAGGGGTTGTACTATGGTTGTAGGAACTTACATACACCAAGATTACCAGTAAAAAGAAGAGAGCCAATTAAGGCTTTAGACATTGTTCATCCATCTACACATGAATTTACAAAGATATCTATTCCAGGCTTTAACGTGGCCTATCAGGAATTGCTGCTCTCTGTGACTTCTCAACTGTTCTTGAGTTTCAGAAATCTTTGATGAGGCAGCCTAAACTTTTATCCCTCTAAATACACTGTACAGTTCTTTATTTTTTTTCCTAAAAGTTTGGTCCTAAGTCTCCTTTGCTCTTTCTCACTCTTTTCTCCCAGCTGCCACCCAGGGATTTATTTGCAGTTAGGATTAATATCTGGATTTGGAAAGTCTGCTTTTTTCTATTGTTTATGTCCAACAGACTTTGCCTCTGCCTAAAAATGGCCTTTCCCAAAAGGAACACAAAGCTGTAAAGACTGTCTTTTGCTATTATTAAATCTTTCTTTGAACAAATGTGTCTTTCTATTGACTGAGAGTGAAGGAGAAAGGGGAAGAAAGGAAGAAAAGTGAAGTTTCATGCACAAATATGTTACTTTTGACTAAACTACTGCAATATCATATATTGCTTCATCGATGTAGAAGAAAAGAGATAGGCACTAGGTATTTGTATTCGATATTATGTAACGTTTGACATTTGATGACAGATATTTTGAAAGTTCTTAAGAACACAATAGAGCAATGAGCAATTTTTCTTTTTTGTCGTCTTCTCTTTTTTGATTGCTTATTAAATAATTGTATTAATTTTTTTCTTGTAAAGATTGATCATCCTAAATATAATACTGGGAAAATGACCACAAATAAAATCATAAAGAATTAATTTTACTTTATTGTATTACAAGATGTATTTCAATTTATGTTAACAATTTGAAATAAGTACACATAAATCACTTGATAGCGTCATCACAAATGCAGTCATACTGCCTTTGATAGAAGTGCCACACAATGTGACTCTAACACATTGGCATCTGAGTATAAATTCAAGACACTAAAATAAGAAGCATTATTTTTTCCACTTAGAAAATAGTTCATTCAATTAAGTCCCCAAGGAGAAAAGGAAATACACATGAAGCCCAATTTTCAAACAAATCTCTAGTGGGTTTGCAGAATTTCTAAAGTTAAAAACTCCTTTCCAATCGACAACCAACCGTCTTCTATAGGATAGTTCTGTGTATGAACTTAAAAGTTCCAGAAAGTTAAAAAGATATAGCGGAAGGTTCGTATTGCTGTGGTACTTCTTTAAAAAATAAAAAAAAACAAATAATAAGTATATAGATCTTCAGTTCAAAATTTAAAAAATGAAATTTCTGTATGTTTTAATATTGAAACCACAATGTTATAACTCAATGTTTATTATAATATTTACAAGTAAAGGTATTATTTTTCTGACTTCATATATTTTTAAGCAAATTAAAACCAAAATTTAATTTTGGGGACTTTGACAGAATCTTTTTGCCAACCACTTATCTTTCTATTAACCCTTAAAAAGACACATATTTTACCTATTCCCTGAAAACACTGGCTTTTCCACCTGGTATAGGTACACAACTCTCAGTTTATTTTATTTTTCTAAGAATTACTTAATTTTCCATTGTGATTTATTTACTATTCTTTTAGCCTCGCATCCTTCCCAGAAGGCTAGGTAGTATTTAGCTGAACATTCAAAACATGAATAAATTCATTCTTCATTTCTCTATATTTTTCTGTAGCAATTTACTAGTACTATTTTATTATCACCACTTACCCATTTCTTGCTATTTGTTTAGTAAATGCTTACCAAATGTTATTAAAGTACTCAAAATAATAGGTTAAAAAATCACAATTGCATATATACCTTTTCCAGATTACAATAATAGTCTCAATGTTTTACCCCACTCTTTTTCTATTCCCTTCAGCGTGTATCTTTGTAGTTCCTCCTACAAAGTGGGGCAGAACTGTTTCTTCACCCTTTGACTTGGAGTTCTGCTATAATTTGTTTGGGAACCATAAAATGAGTTCCTCTCATCCTCTTGCACTATAAATCTCCCATTGTCATATGAGTGGCATGGCCAGGCTTACTGGCTCATGCCAGAGAAGGATAAGGAACATGTAACACAGTGATGAATCAGTCCATCAAAATCCAGATTTGGCCAGCTAATAACCAACAGAGGTCAGCAGAAGTTTCGCCTAGTTCAACCTCAATCAGCTGAACTCAGTAGATACATAAGAAATAATATTTATTGTTGTTTTAAGCAACTGAATTTTGGTGTTGCTTGTAATATATATACGGCATTAGCTCATCTAGGCACTATCTTTGTGAAACTTGTATATTGAGGAAGTAATGTTAGCACCCACAAGCTGAAGAAAATATGAGAAAAATAAAAAACCCTATAATCCTTCTACTGTGTCAGTATTTTTAAATTTCATTAAGTGTGGTTTATTACATTGATTTAATTTTTTTCTGACATAAGACTTTGGCATGTCCTCAGTGTAATGTAGAAAAAAAGTTCAAAATTAGTCAATATTACAATGACCATGTAAATGTGGTAAGCACATTTAATCATCACATAATTCTTTTGAGATAGAAATTCTTAAGGATTATTTACTTTACATGTGTGAAACTGAGGCATTAGAGTTTGATTAATTACAGATCAAATATTGATATAATCATAGATTGCGACCTAAACTTTCTGAAACCATTTCTCATATAGGCGGTTTTGTGTGTGCGTATATACACACTCACAACTAAAAGAACAAAAGATTCTCTCTAAACATATACAAAACCATGTGTGTGTGGGCATGTATGTATTTTCTCACATTCAACGTCATCCAGAATCTTTTGATAATCATTCTCTTGATTTACACCTTACAGAGTGCACTTTTTATCATATATTCCTAAATAACTGTTTTAAGTTTTCTTTTTTTTTTTGACTTTATAAAGCTGTTATTATGAGATGTATATTTTGTAACAAAACTTTCACTTAATAGTTATTCCATGATTTGTCATTTTGGTTTTTTACGGGGGCTATATTTTAATTATTCAGACTACACTGTGACATGCCATTCTATTAGTTTACTGATGTTCATATGTAACTTATCCTGTTGATGGGCATTTGGATTGTTATAAGACTCCTGCTTTTATAAAAAGTTCTGCTATGAAAGACCTTCTGCATTATTTTACAATGCAGAGATAGGAGGAAATCTCTTGGGTTATATATCTAGGAGCAAATTGGTTGTGTCATAAGGTAATTGAGGTTTTGAATTTACTAGATAAATCAAACTTTTTATAAGTAGCTGTACCAAATTATCCTCCATGAACAATCTCGAGAGATTCTACTGATGCATATCCTTTCCAACATGTGGTATTGTCAGAAATATAAATTTTTGTCAATGAAATGAATCTAAAATGGCATATCATTTGATTTAATTTTCTGATCATTAGAGATTAATAATCTCTTCATATGTTCATTGCTCTGATGTGTTCTCTCCTCTATGAAATTCCTATTCAGTTCTAATGTTCATTTGTCTGTCTATTGGATGCTTGTGTATTTCTCATTTTTAATAGGATTTTTTAATACAATCTCGATACTCTTCAATGTCACTTTCTCAGAACTGTAAATGATGCATCAAATTCATATGTTGGTGCAAACGGTATAAATCCAAGTTAAAATGCTTTCCTAAGTAAAATTAAGGGTAAAAATCACCACCATAATATGAAATTCTGGAACACAAGAAAAATTCTAATTTTTATTTGAAAATTATTATTATATTTGTTTAAAATCTTAGTAATTATATTAGTTTCCTAGGGATAGCACAACAAATTACTACAGAGAGAGTAGCTTAAGACACAGAAATTTAATCCCAGCACTTTGGGAGGCCAAAGTGGGCAGATCACTTGAGGTCAGGAGTTTGAGATCAGCCTGGCCAAAATGGTGAAACTCTGTCTCTACTAAAAATACAAAAATTAACCAGGTGTGGTGGCATGCACCTGTAACTCCAACTATTCGGGAGGCTGAGGCATAAGAATCATTTGAACCCAGGAGGCGGAGGTTGCAGTGAGCCAAGATGGTGCCACACTCCAACCTGGTGAAGCAGGATGTTTCCCTGACGCCTTCACGGGACTTGTGACAAGGGTGCCTCGTTTACTCTGCCTGCCACTCTCAACTCTTCACGGGAGGGAGCCTGCAAGCGAATACGTGCAGGAACTGGAGTGAATGAGCACTGGAACCGGCTGGCAGCTTCTGCACCAGTGAGAGTTAACTCCACTCACTCAGACCTGCTGCCTTCCATTTCTCATGGGAGGGAGTTCACAGGTAAGAGTGAGAGGTGACAGCGTGCTGGTAATCCTCATAGCCCTCGCTTGCTCTCGGCACCTCCTCTGCCTAGGCTCCCACTTTGGCAGTACTTGAGGAGCTCTTCAGCCCACCGCTGCATTGTGGTAGCCCCTTTCTGGGCTGGCCAAGGCCAGAGCCGGCTCCCTCAGCTTGCAGGCAGGTGTGGGGGGGAGAGGCGCGAGCGGGAACCGGGGCTGTGCGTGGCGCTTGTGGGCCAGCTGGAGTTCCGGGTGGGCATGCGCTTGGCAGGCCCCGCACTCGGAGCGGCCGGCTGGCCCTGCTGGCCCCAGGCAATGAGGGACTTAGCACCCGGGCCAGTGGCTGCAGAGGGTGTACTGGGTCCCCCAGCAATGCCAGCCCACCAGTGCTGTGCTCGATTTCTCAATGGGCCTTAGCCGCCTTCCCGCGGGGCAGGGCTCGGGACTGCAGCCCGCCATGCTTGAGCCTCCCACCCCCTCCATGGGCTCCTGTGCGCTGGAGGCTCCTCGACGAGTGCCACCCCCTGCTCCACAGCGCCCAGTCCCATCGATCACCCAAGGGCTGAAGAGTGCGAGCGCATGGCACAGGACTGGCAGGCAGCTCCACCTGCAGCCCCGGTGCAGGATCCACTGGGTGAAGCCAGCTGGGCTCCTGAGTCTGGTGGGGACATGGAGAACCTTTATGTCTAGCTCAGGGATTGTAAATACACCAATCGGCACTCTGTATCTAGCTCAAGGTTTGTAAACACACCAATCAGCACCCTGTGTCTAGCTCAGGGTTTGTGAATGCAGCAATGGAGACTCTGTATCTAGCTGCTCTGGTGGGGCCTTGAAGAACCTTTGTGTCCATACTCTCTATCTAACTAATCTGATGGGGACGTGGAGAACCTTTATGTCTAGCTCAGGGACTGTAAACGCACCAATCAGCGCCCTGTCAAAACAGACCACTCGGCTCTACCAATCAGCGGGATGTGGGTGGGGCCAGATAAGAGAATAAAAGCAGGCTGCCCAAGCCAGCAGTGGTAACTCGCTCGGGTCTTCTTCCATACTGTGGAAGCCTTGTTCTTTCGCTCTTTGCAATAAATCTTTCTGCTGCTCACTCTTTGGGTCCACATTGCTTTTATGAGCTGTAACACTCACCGTGAAAGTCTGCAGCTTCACTCCTAAAGCCAGCGAAACCACGAGCCCACTGGGAAGAACGAACAACTCCAGATGTGCCACCTTAAGAGCTGTAACACTCACCGCGAGGGTCCGTGGCTTCATTCTTGAAGTCAGTGAGACCAAGAACCCACCAATTCCGGACACAAGAGGGTGTAGGAAACAGCACTTTTGGGCCCTGGCAGGAACAAACTCCATTTACTAAGCTCGTCACGCTCAAACTCCTTGTGGGAGGAAGCACACAAGTGAGTATGGGCTCCAAATGGCTGCTGTTGGGTTCCAGCAGGAGTAAACTGTGTGCAGGCCCCGCAGCAGCAGGTGGTGGGGGTGCCTGTGACTCCCGAAGCTCCAGAGAGCATGTTACAGTGCTCTTTTAGCTCTGTTGTTTACACAGCTTAAGTGTTAATAGCTCAGTGGGCCCTTTGCCTTTTCGCATGGGGTGGCTGCCCTCTGCCAGCAAGGGTAAAGGGCCAGCGTGACAACCTTTTGTATCTGCACTTGTGGCTCCTGACCTCTTGCCTAGCATCCAGGAAAAATTAGGTGGCATGAAGCAATCGAAGGATGGTAAGTGCAGGGGATTTTATTACTAATTAAAGTGACTTTCAGCAGGAAGGGGAGATGAATAGGGGATAGAGTAGGTAATCTTCCCCTGAAGTCCTGCCATCTCTGGCCAGATTCTTCTCAAGCATTACCCTGTCAAGCTTTCCCTCTGAAGTAAAGCCGATTCTCTCTGATGTCCAGATACAGTCCTGTCTACTGGCTGAGTATGGGGTTTTTATAGACACAGGATCATGTGGGGTGGAGCCATGGTTGTTTAGAAAGAGGCAACATTCAAGCGGGAAAACAGGGATGTAAGTTCTCACTTTGGGCTACAGTTTCAGACTTTTGGCTTGAGAGTGTGGTTTCCCTGGGGACCTGCCCTTTTGTGCCTAGAATTTCACTGCCCCCTGTCCCTATCACTGGCGGACAGAGTGAGATTCTGTTTCAAAAAAAAAAAAAAACCCAGAAATTTATTTTCTAACATTCTGGAACCTAGAAGTCCAAGATTAAGGTGTCCTAGGTAAGGCCTCAATATGTGAATTTTTCAGGGACACAATTGAGTGCATAACAATCAAAGTTTAAGTGTTTAACAATATTTTTTCCGAAAATAATTCCTCAGCAGTATCCTGTGCTGGATTTCTCCTAAAATCCTTTTATTATGTATTAGCTATCCTAATTAGATACTTAGTAGTTTAATCATTGAAAACGATGACTTTTTGCTTTTGAGTAAGCAAATTTTCAAATATATAACAAAGTAGAAGAACTAGTAAATATAATGAATCCCAATGTACCCACTATTCAGCTTCAATGAATGACTAATGGCCAATATTGCTTCATTTATTCTCCCATCCACTTGTAACCTTTTCCAAAAATTAATTCTGAAATATCAGATATCATATCATTTCATCCATAAACATTTTACTATGTATCTTTATAAGATAAGAATTTTTAAAAATAAGCAAAATACCAATTTCACAATTAATTTTAATGTATTGCCTTAATATAATCAAATATCCAGCCAATATAAAAATGTCTCTGGTTATCTGAATGTTTTAGTAATCTATGCAAATGAGGTATCAAGTATATAAATATATATATATATTTAGATCTATATATTGCAAATGGCTGGCATGACACTAAATACACACTTGGTTTTGGAATAGAAAGTGAATACTTCTATCAACAATATTAAAACTGTTGAAGATTTTTGAGGCTTTTGTTTTGCTTTGCATTGTTTTATCTTTCTTTTCTATTGAAATAAGTAGATCAATTATACGTTGATGCAAAAGTGATTGCGGTTCTTTCCCATTGAAACTAATGGCAAAAACTGCAATAACTTTTGTACCAACCCAATATTATGTTTTACAAAGATTGAATTAGTCCCTCTCCCTTATCGTCACACCAGCAATTTGATGCACATATGTATTCATGTTTATCATTCTGTTTGAGATATTTCTTTTCAGAATATAAATTTGCCTTATAAAAAATATTTGTTATTCTAAAGTTATATTTTAAAAGGTTTAGTTCATGTCACTGCGACTTCTACCTGAAATAGAGTATTATTTCTACTTCTCCCTCTCTCTAAGTTAAACATTGTTTTTCTATTTTGTGTTCCTTTTCCATTTTTTAATGAAAAATATTTATTTCCCATGTTTAAAAGGAAAATTCGTATGGTGACCCAGTGCAGAGGGAGGTGGACCAGTCTTCATATCTCATTTATTTATATCAGTGTATTATGTATCTGTGGGTTTCTTATTGTTTCTAATATTGGAGACACTGAAATCACTGGCTGAGTAACCAAGACAGGGAGAATAACAAAGTCCTGGGTTTTAGGGTGTCCTCACCAGAGCTCCTCACAACTGGAGTTTAAAAGACAGAAAAAGCATACATTCAAAAGATGGTCAACTGCTTCAATGTCTGTTTGGAGGCCTGTCATCCTTTACCTCTGTCTGAATCTAAAGTGGCATTGTTTGTTTTCTTGGTGCTTTAAAATCCTTGTGAATTGACCAAAACAGATGGTAGGAGGTATTCTATGATCATGGGTTCACCTGTCTTTCCCCATTTGTGCCTGGACCTTTGCTTTTCTTGGACTTACCAAACCAGAAATCGCGAAATATCCATGAAGTCTTACCATATGACTCTCCAGCCAGTGTCTGTGGTGGTCCCTAACTTCTCTGTGCAGCCTTCTACCAAGCACTCATATATGTCTTACCTCCCATTTGGAATCTGTACGAATATGTTGTGCCAATTCAGGATGTGGCCTTACAAGTATTCAGAGGGAAACACTCTGGATAATTCGAAAGGAGCTGCTGTGCCTGTGCAGCGTGTGACAGTGGCTTGTATCACCCATGAAGATGTCAGATACCTGGAAGCAACCCACAACCTCACAGGTAAGCCTGGACACTCTGGGATGCTAGGGCAGCTTGGTCATCTGTGACAGGTGCAGCAGCATGTCCTCGTCTTGAAGGTTCCACTGGCTCTGCCGTCCCTGACCCCAAGTCCAGCTCCATTATTTTTTAATGTAAGATAATATACTTTACTTAAATATTTGTAAATGATGTATCTATCACATATATGTGTGTGTATGTGTGTATATATCTATATAGAGATAGATAAATAAATATAGTATCTCTTAAAAGAAACTTAACATAATCTGGACACCACTCAACATAGACTCCATTTCTTTTCAAAACTCATGACATCCATTCTGTGGCTATATTATATTATATTCAGCAAATCTCCTGATGGAATGAGTGTTTGGACTGTTCCAGTATTTTCCTACTATAAATCATCCTGTAGCCTTATACACATAGCTTTAAACATACTTTTTTTTTTTTCATAATGTTGTCAGAGTGTCATTGAGATAGAAGCCTGGAAGTAGAATTGCTGAATTAAGGGGAATAGGCATTTTTAATTTTCCTAGCATATTCAAATTATCCTACATATTATTTGTAGCATTTTGCATTCCTACCAGCAATATGAGAAAGTTTACCTGCTTCCCCAAAAATTCACCTATGGAGTGTTTTGTTGAACTATTGTTTATCATCAGTTTGGTTATTGAGGAAAATGGCAGTCAGTGGGGTCTAAATGGACACTCCTCATATTAGGAGCAAAACTGAACACATTTTGCTTTCATCTTACTATGATTTCTTCTTTTTCATTTGTGCAAATTTATGGGGTACGTGAGTGATTTTTTACATGTGTGTAATATTCAGTAATCAAGTCAAGGCATTTAGGTTGTCCATCATCCAAGTACAATACATTTTTGTTAAATACAGTCATTCCACTCTGCTATCAAACAGTAAATTTATTTTTATCCTACTGCATGTTTGTAAATTTGAACCCACTTTTCTCCATCCTCTCCCTTAGACTCTGCTCACACTTCCAGTCTCTGTTATTTTTTACACTTTTTACCAACAAGTGTTCATATTTTATTTTATTTTATTTGTTTTGCTCCCACAGTTAAGTAAAGAACATGCAATATTTGTCTTTTTGTGCCTGGTTTATTTCATTTAAGATAATGCCCTCTAGTTCCATTCATGTTGCTGCAAAGGACATGATTTCCTTCTTTTTGTGACGGAAGAGAACTTCTTTATCCATTCATTAATTGATGGGCACTTAGGTTGATTCCATATCTTTGCTATTGTGAATAGTGCTGTGATAAACATGCCAGTGCAGGTATCTAGGTATCTCTTTGATATCTTGATTTCTTTTTTGAGGGGGTAGACACTTAGTACAGGATTCCTGTATTAGATGTTAATTCTATTTTTATTTTATTTATTTATTTTTTTGAGAACTCTCCATACGGTTTTCCACAGTGGCTGTACTAGTTTACATCTCCACCAATAATGTGTAAGAATTCCCTTTTCTCCACATCCTTGGCAACATCTGTTATTTTTGTGTCTTTTTAATAAAAGCCATTCTGACTGGGGTAAGATGTGATCTCATTGTGGATTTCCTGTTTTTTGTACCTTTTGTCCTTTTTATAATGGAGTTATTTTTTTTATTTTCTATGTTCAGAAGGTCTTCATTTATTAGAGATATTAACACTTAGTATATTTACAAATATTGTCCCTAACTTAGATGTTTTCATATAAGGTTGTTACAGAATCAAGAATTGTTTTATGTCTCACACTTCTAGTGAATATTATCACTGATGATGCTGTGGTTACCAAATTATTAGCAACTATAAGACTTAACCACTTTTTGTTTCCAAGACTTGATGTTTACTTTATGGTATCTATTGAATGTCATTAAAGTTATTACATACTCTGAAGTTTTGTGCATTTTCTGAGGAAGAAGCTTTCTGATCACTGTACATGACTACTTAAAATCCTTGCCCTTGATTACATTTTTATTTCTAATATATGTGCATATACTGACTTCACATAAGTATTTGTGAAAATGTTTCTTTAAATCATGGATTTAGAAGCTTAGCAACTGAAAAATGTACTAGAATTTCAAGATAATAATATCTTAAATTTTCATCTGAATCTGTTTTCATTGTATGAATAGTAGTTTCTTTTGAAATAGCACAATAGGAATAACTTTTTCTTATTTTGTATTTGTGCTAAGAACACTTAGCATAAGATCTACTCTCTTAAATGTTTAAGTGTGCAACACAGCATTGTTAACCATAGGCACAATGCTGTATAGCAGATCTCTAAAATGTATTAATTTTGCATAACTGAAACTTTGCGCCTGTTGAACAGCAACTGCTCATTTCCTTCTCCCTCCAGTCCCTGGCAATCACTATTCTATTTTCTGTTTCTGTGGGTTTCATTGTCTTAAATATCTCATATAAGTGGAATCATGTGATATTTGTCCTGTGAATGGCTTATTTTACTTAGCATAATGTCTTCCAGTTTATTCATGTGTTTGCATATAGCAGGATTTCCTTCTGTTTTAGAACTGAATAATATGCAACAGTGTGTATATGTTACATTTTTTCAAATCCATTTATCTGTTGACAGTCATTTGGGTTGTTTACATATCTTGGCCATTGTGAATAACACTGCAATAAACATGGGAATGCAGATAGCTCTTTGAGATTATGATTTCAATTCTTTTAGATATATACTCAGAAGTGGGATTGGTGGTTGCTCCATATTACATTCCCACCAACAGCATACACAGATTCCATTTTTTTTCACATTCTTTCCAATACTTGTTATCTTTGGTGGTTTGTTTGTTTTAATAATAGCCATCCTAACAGGTGTGAAGTGTTAGCTCATTGTTGTTTTGATTTGCATTTCCCTTAGGATAAGTCACTTTGAGCATATCTTCATATGCTTGTTGACCATTTGTATGTCTTCTTTGGAGAAATGTCTACTCAAATCCTTTGCTCATTTTTTAAAAAATTGGGTTGTCATTTTGCTAGAAGATCTTTAAAATACATATGTTATTAATACTTTTACTCTGAAAACACATCCATTTATTTGTTTTTTTTTTTTTAGCAGAGATTGATAGTAAGCTCTGCATGTTGGTATTGTTACCTACAAATGACCATATTAAAGCCTTCTTTCCTTTAAGCAATGTTTTTAACCTGTGACGACCATTGTCCCATTTTGTATGAACACCACGTGTTAGTAGTGGACAAAGTATTTCCAAAATCTTTTGTCATATAATTTCTCTTCAACTAAAGAAGAATGAAAAAAGTCCCACTAAGTAATCTTTCCTATGGCTTGCTACATTGCTAAAATATTAGGTGTTACAGTTTTTTCTCATACACTATATAATAGTGTATGATTATACATTACATAATATGCAAATATTTTGCCACTATTTTTCTTATAGAACTGGTTGATAATTGTCATGTTTTGAATTAATTTAACTCTTTCTAAAATTATGACTTTTTTAATGTATAAGTTAAAGCAATCCTTAAAGGAGATTATATAAAATTATATCAAAAGGCAAATAAATATACATGAAATTAAAACAGACATAATAAATTTTAGAAACTGGCATGAAAATAAGAGTGTGTGATGAAATTATGGGTGAATTTCTAATAAGAATTATTTGGAGAATGAAACAGCTGGTTTTCAGCTATTTCTAATTAACAAGGGCACAAAATACACTTTTCTGTAAGGATACTCTAGGAAATAAACAGAAAGAAGGTACCATAAAATATGAAAATAATATATTTTACATACAGAGCTAAACAAAAAAATGTGTTTGAATTTTGCATCTCAGTAGAGTAGAATGGTATCCAATTTAAAAGGCATAACAAAATTAACATATTACTGCCACTTTGGGGGATAACTTTTAACATGGTATACAGAAAAAACATAATAAGGTTTAAGGTGACTTTAAATGAGATTATCTGAAAGTAAATGTATAACTAGTGGACTAAACATATAAAGCTTTGATGTCAGCACAAACCATCCTATGCTTTATAATTTATATCAGATTTGGCTTGAAACTTCATTTTATGTGCCTTGCTGAGACAGTATAGAGAAGAGACTCCATCCTGGCAGATCAGAGACATGGTAACCAAGATGCCATGGGCTTCACATGACCAGATATATTTCCTCCCTGACCTTCTTGCCTCTCCTAACAAGCTGACCCAAATCAAGTAGCAGAGAGCTGCCACCTCCTAACTTAGCTGATTAGACTGAATTCCTACCTATAAAAGGAAGAGTCTACCCAGTTATCTCCTTGAGTGATGCTTCCCAAGGTTGCTAAAGTGGGACTCTAGCAGCCCTCATAAGAACCTGGCCATCCCCCGAGGTTACTGAAATGAGACTGTTACTCCTGATAAAAACCAGACCAGATCTAGCCGTCTGAAGATAAGAAGCACTCCAGCGCTGACCTTTCAATTATAATACTACAAATTTCAATTATAATACTACAAATCACACCCAGGGGTAGACATTTAACATGCTAATGAAACACATCATGCCTGAAGAAACATGTTATCAAACTGTGCGGGTGCTACATTCCTTACCTCTATATGGCTACACATCGCTCCTTTCTGGATTCCTTAAAATGACAAGATCAAACCCTTTGGAGAGCTAGCACTGGGATCTCTTTCTTGTAGATTGCTCCCTTGCGGTGCTTGAGCCTTGAGTCTGTTAAACCTTGCCTGAGAAAAATTTCTGTTTGGCCTGGGGGTTAATATCTGCTTATGTGAGGGAGACACAGAACTCAGGATGCAAGCTGCAATAACATTGTCACATCCAGTCCCTCAGATGGGATCTTGCCATGGGGTTTCTATGTCTCCTGGCTCTGATTTCTTATTTTGCTGAATTAAGTTTCATTTATGGATTATCTGACCTTACATTTCTTTTCCCCCCAATTTTTCGTCTCATATTCGACACTGAAATTTTTTCTTCCTATTCAAAATGGTGGCTATACATAGCAAATACTTATTGAGAAGTGTACACTTCTGAAATGAAATGAATGAATAAATGATACATAAATGAATAAATAAGAGTCTTGACTGCATCTTGATTGCCCATCTGCTTCTGGTCATGGGGGATTTTTCAGCAGTCTTTTTTCATTTCATTCATGTTCCGGCTTTTTGGCATGTTACTCAGTTAATTCTCTGTCTTACACTTCTGTATATAACCTTTACTAAAGTTCTTATCCAGAGAAGTATAAGAACTATTATGTCTTTATTTTAGGGTTTTCCTCCAAATCATTTCATCAAAATTTTTACTTGCTGGTATCTAATTTTCTTTTAAAACAACAATAACAACATCAACAACTTTTCAATTATTCTTTTTAAACAGAGCTCTGATATCAGTCATTAAAATAAGACCGCATGTATTTCACTCTATTACATCAGTATTTATCCATTTACAGCATTAGTGTGGAAAAGAGACATTATGTTGTCATGAGAATCCATACCAAATCAATAATTTCACGTATCAAAATCTAGAACTCAATATACAATTAAGAATTTCAAAAAAGTAAAATCAAAAATTTATATTGCATTTTATCACTTTTTTTACAAATGCAAGAATAATGTATAACTATAAAAATAGAAATTAAAATTGAAGCATGAAGATGTAATTGATTTTATAGGACTATTCAGTTTTCACTATTAAAGTTAATTTTGTACAAACCCTATAATTATGACTCATATTTAAATATAATCCAATTTTTATATAGAATCCTTTAATTCTTAAAAATTTTTATATTACGGGAGTAACAATCATAAAAACATAATCTAATTGAGGCAAAATAACTGGTAAAGTAAGTTGTAATGTACTTAAAATGTTCTCTTATTCATATATTAAATAACTTGAAATAATTGGATAATATAAATGCATTATAAAAAATTTCATGGCTCTTATCATAAATTGATTCTCATTTAATTTCACCCTGTGAAATTTAGGCATTATTGAATCATTACAATTGTGTTTCTGAGCTAGGGCTGGGATGTCTGGAGAATGTTTTTAAAAGCAGATTTCTGGGTATAATTTTCCCAAATTTGTATTTATTGTGTCTGAGTTTGTACTCGGGTATTTTTATACCTCTATCTATCTATCTATCTATCTATCTATCTATCTATCTATATCAATTAATAGATCAATAGCTATGTATTATTTTGTAAAGCTCCCAGTGAATCAGAGTTTATAGTCTTGTCTTAGTGATACGAACAGGAGGCAGGGAAATACTGGGTAGAAGAAGGTGGTTCCCCAGCAAAGGTCCCACCCTCAAGCCTGGAAACCCATGGCCCTAAATGGGAACAGGCATTCCTGTTTTTGTGCCCAAATGTAGCCTTTTCCAAAACCACTCTGGCCCACCACACCCCTATCCAGTACCCATATAAACCCCAGACCCCAGGTTCCACTAGCAGAAGAGCAGCAGAACAGCAGAGCAGCACCGCAGAGGAGAGAAGAGAAAGAGCATCTGAACATCGAGAGGAGTTTGGCTGGAACATTGGAGAGGAATTGGCTGTGGTATGGCCACATTCCAGGAGGAGATCATCTTCCACTTCATCCCCTTTCCAGCTCCCCATCCATCCCACTGAAAGCTACCTCCATCATTCAATAAAATCCCCACATTCACCCTCCTTCTTGTTTGAGTGACCTGTTTCTTCCTGGATACCATAAAAGTACCCGGGTACCAAGAGGACAGGGTGTAAAAGGTGGTCACCCTGACTCTCCACTGAGCTGGTTTAACACTTAGCAATCCGCAGATGGCAACTGCTAAAAGAGCATTGATTGTAACACACCCATAGATGCTACTATGGGGTCTGAGCCCAAAAGCGCTCGTCCTGGCTCCGGTACCTGCCCATCTGCATGCTCCCTCTCCAGTGAGGGGTTTGAGTGCTCAGCAGCAGAGCAAACAAGCCACACCCCTGTTGCAAGGCCTGCAAGGGGCTCAGGGAGTTCTCCCGTCTCATTAGGCACATAGCTGACATTCTATTCTCGTTTCATCTAACTCTGTGAGGGCAACTCATCTGCACTCTTAGCCAACTCCATTTCTTGTTCATCCTAAAGCCTGGACATTGCTCTAACATAACTCTCTGCCTCTCCTCTAATTCTAATAGCAATAATAATAACAACAACAATAATAATAATGGTACCAATAATAATTTCTGGTTCACATTGTATTCGACTTCCAGAATATTCCTCTGAAATTTTAGGGTTGACATTTTTATTTTATTTTCAAGAGTTTTGAATTAACAAATTATTATCTCTAAAATAAAAATAGTTTTCAGGACTTTCAGCTTTTAATGTTAATATTTTCAACTCAAGATACAATTTTACTATTTTATACATTTCTGAAAAACTATCCTCTGCTATATTCAGACAGCTAAACAGATTTTTAAAACTTACATACTATTGTCATTCCTATATTAAATATTTTCTGATGCTGCCTAGCTCCTTTTGCTTTCATTTATTTTCTCACCCCCTGAATAGAAACATTTTATTAACACATACTAGACGGTCACGCAGGTTCTTAACATATTTACATACCTGTGGCCAAGAATCTGACCCAATTCCCCAGAATCCACAACTTTAAAAGATTTAGCTAAGTTAATATCCCATACTGCCGGAAACTGCAAGAAACAGCTTGCTCAAGCCATAAGATATATCTATCTTAAAGGTTTATCCATATGCCATACTAGGGCCTGTTGTGAATGATTATTCCCTGTCTGTTTCACCATGGCAGTCAGCCTTTGTCTTTGCTACAATCCAAACCAGGGCAGTTTGAGGTGGGTACTACTGAGGGCCAGTTTTGGTATTTGCTAGCCATCCGTCTGTCTATAATTCCCACATTCCAATTCTGATCTTCAAATTTCCCCAGGGAAGAGTATGCTAGACCCAAGCAGGGAATTTATCACATTTGATGTTGGCACAGGTACCTTTAACAGTTGGGCTATTAGCCCTTTAGGCAAATGACTGTAAATATATATGCATTGTTTAATATAAAATTTAGACCTTTATTCAATTTTCTACATTGTTTTGAAATTTTTACTTGCATAACTTATCATCTATGGCTTGATTCCCATCAGGGCAAGAACAGTATTTTATGAGTTGTGATTTCTAGGCTAATGCCTAGAAAACTATACTATGCATTAAATAAATAAATAAGCACCACCAAACCAGAAGTGAGGTTACCCACCCCATATCCACTCCCACCTTTCTTCTCTCTGCAGTATCCCCTGACATGAATGCAATACACTGTCAAATCCAGAAGTGGGCATGAGGGTGAAGAGAGAGAGCTCCAGGAAAAGTGCTCTAGCTTTGACCCAAGGAGCAGAAAACTGCTAAGACCAGGCGAGAATATGCAAATCTCTCCTCTTTTCTACTCTTTCTTCTTATGTGCATGCTTAAGGTAAGGTGGCAGCTGTGTCAAGGAGAACTCTTAGCAATCCCATAGGAGCCCAAACTCTAAGTCTTCTCATATTTCCCAAGCATATTTTCATTTTGTGGATGTGGAAATTAAGACTTAGACCGTTTGAACAGACCAAAGTCATAGAAGTGGTTATGGAGAGATTTGGATCTCCAATCTATTTCTTCTGATTCTATATGTTTTCTTTTGCCATGCATTTTTATTGCACAAGGCAGTGATTTCTATTTTGTACAGCTCTAATTTCAAATTTTATTGTTTCGTATTTCAGTATTTTTAGGGGAGGAAGGAGAGTCGTGATTGATGCATCCCTTTTCTTCCTTGTTAAAAGCAAAAAGAACATTACTACCATGCAAGTGACTAGGGTGTTATATGGCGCTGTGGAATAAAAGTTAAGCCTCCTCCCACCCCAGCAAACCAGAATTTCTGGCATAAACATACCTTATAGAACAGATATATCAAATCTACTATGAAATATTTAGCATTCTGGATATCTTTAGAAGTTTATTCTAGTCCTGGGCTGTTTATTTCACACATATTTAAATAACTAAAAGAGATATTTATAAATTAAATTATATTTATGGAACAATTACTTTACACATATTAATAGAATGCTATTGTATTTTAACCAGTATTTTCAAAAAATTATTTTTGCATGATTAACTTTTGCAAGCATAGGTTTGATTTTTTAAAGTATACAATTAAAATTATTCTTATTCCCAAGTCTCTATTATTGCCATTCTATAGAACTTAAACATTGCTTTCTTGCTTACAGAAATAAAATAAAATAAAATAAAATAAAAATAAAATAAATAAAAACAAAATGAGAAATTATTCCACGTATTGACTTTAAGAATGTGATTCTGTGAATTCTTCCCATTATTTTTGCACTACCAATAATGATACCTCTTGAATCCTGCCCTAGCTCTCAATTATTGGCACCATGTGTTTTAGTATCCATGTGTTATGCATGACTAATAATATTCAGTATGATGGCTTGAGGCATTATTATTATGGTATATATTCTAAAATTTATTGTTCTATTTTCCTGATATACTCAATACAGTCTAGTTGACAGAAATTACATTATTGATGCTTTAAAACATCTGTCTCAACTCAATTCTGATCAGATTGAAAATTTCTTCTTGCTTCTGAACATTAGTTTAATATACTTACCATGGCTATGATTTTTCTTAGAAGGAAATAAAATTGTTCTTTCAACTCTACCATAAAAGGTTTGAGGTCATGCTTGACTCTATTCATCCTTGGAAGAACTATAAACACTCTACAAAATATTTATGGAGATTTTATTCAGAGCAAGTTTGTGAGAACGCTTAGGACATTTTAGAAAATATCTGTATAAGTTGTATACTTCCTTTTCTGATCGCAACACTATGATTTTGAATTGGATAGTTCCTAAATTATTGTCCCCTAGATTAAAATACTTAGATTCATGATTATTAAATTTATTTATAAATCATTAAACTATTTCCAATACACCTAAAATGAAGTGGTTATTATTATTCAGTGTATGTGTGAATCATACTTTATGGCTAATCTTACCTTTTAGTTTTTCAAACTTGTAATTGTCCTAACCACAGGAGGGTTTTAAAATATCCATTTATATTTTCATGCTTCATAATATTCCTCATATTTCTTAATCCATAAATAAGTTAGACACAGTTAGTCACTATTTTGTGACACCTTTTTCCACTTAATTCACAGGGAACTGGACTCTTCTACGAAACTATGGCCTGTCATACTCTTTCTAATATTCTTCCTATCTCGTTTTTAATCATTAGAATCTCCCAGATTTTGGCTTTATCTTTTCTTCCTTTTGCTGTCTATACCTACTTTCTTGGCAATCTCACTCATTGTCATGAGCCTTAAATACCATTTAACTGCAGACAGAACCTAAATTACTTCTTCCATTCCAGACTTTGCCTGTGTATTATGACCTAATGTATCACACTTTTATTCAACATATCCACCTGCTTTATCTTCACATCCCCAAATAGCAAACCTTGAGGGCCAAAATATCCAGCATGTCCCATTATCTTCCCCATCTCAGTAAAAAGCACCTTTATCTTTCCAGTCATTTATGCCAAAAGTCTCAGAGTCATCCTTGTCTGCTCTCTTTTCTTTGCACCCCCCTATCTTATCTGTCCATAAATTCTGTCTAGTCTACCTTCAAAATATATCCAGAATCTACCTACTTCAGTGCCTTCTCTTTACTGCACTGGTCCAAATCTCTATCATTTCTGTACTAAGTATTTTACAATAGCTTCCTAATTAATTCCCTTACTGTGTCCCTACCCCTCTTTCCCTTTCAACACAGCACCCAAAGCGTTTTGGTCTTCATAAGTCACATGTTCAGCTCCTCTGCTCCAAGACCTGTAATGATTTCCCATCTTTTCAGCAAAGCCAAAATCCTTATCATAGCTACCTCATGTCTGTCCTCCTGGCTCACTATATTTTGGCCAAACCAACCTTCTGGTTCTTTTTAAAGCATTCAAGACGAGGCACACTTTCAATTCACAATTTTTGCATTTTCAGTTTCCTTTCCCTGGAATAGTCTTTCCCCAAGATGGTAATATAAGAAACCCTCTCAACCCATTCACCTCTTCAGGACTTAGCCACAATGTCACTGTGTTAGTGAAGCTTTTCATAGCCAGTCATTTTGAAATTGCACCACCCAGGGTACCATGTATTCTACTCATAGAATGCATTTTGTCCATCTCTGCTCAATTGGATTTCAGTGCCTTTAAGACAGATATTTTAATTACTTTTATTCACTGTAAAATTTTAAGTTTCTAGAAAAGAGGCTGGGACTTAGTTGGCTCTCAAGAAATATTTGGTGAAAAATGGATGCCTTTTGGGCATATCACTATGCTGCAGATTAACTTCAATTTTTTTCTTATTTTCTGTAAACAAATATAAATTTTGTTTCTTCTGTGAGTAGTTACGTAATTACTTTTTAAAATTTTACTCATGTTTCGAGATGCCTGATGATGAAACTACACAAATGGTGGCTTAGAAAATGAGTAACATGAAAAGAACACAATTCTCTCTAAGTCTGCATTTAGGCTCCAAAAGTTTTCTCAAAGCTAGGAGAAAATATATTGCTAACTTTTTGAAATATGGCATTCTCCAATGTAATTAATAATAATAATGTTATATGTATAATAGAGTAAATGGTATAGCAATCGCTATTGTTCACTTTTAAAAAGCTATTTAAATAGTAATGTATTTCACCAATTCCTCTAGAATATGGTCTGAGTTTCCTTGAGCACCTCAAGATAATTGATGTGAGATCTATAATTTAGGATGTAAGATGTGAGAGTGATAATTTAGGATGTTGGATGTAAGAAATATTCATAAAGTAATATACACATTTATAAAGATCAGTTTTTGAAACATCATTTGCAATGTAAATATTAATTGTATGCATAATCTTTGTGAATTTAAAGTCAATTAGAAAATATCAGAGAAGGCCAAGAATTAGAATCAATTATTGCTTAAAAGGACTGCATGTAAAGTGGATATCATTGCCTCAACAGCATCACATAGGAATATTATTACTGGATCTCCCAGGTTTTGTTCTGTTCTATCTGGACTAAAGTAGATGTAAAAATTAATGTAGGATAGTAGGATAGTATAGAAAAGGTACCAATAAAGTTCAGAGTGTCTTAATGTTTTATACATTTTGGTAATTTGGGAAATACAAACATAAGTCAAAGGACCTTATATTAGAGTACCAAGCCCTAAAAATAGAAAGCCATTTCTGTCATTAGTGAAATTGATAATTTCAGAATTGATATACATTTATGGAGTTTTATAAAGGCCAAAGTTCAGAGAAAATAAAAGACAATTTTAATCTGTGTGGCTTACCTGTAGTCAACAATTTATTAGTTTATGATAGATTTTTAGAGCTACTTTAAAGTTAAGCAATAATTTTATGTATACACTTTGAATATAATGTTCTAAATTTATGTTGTATTTATTTAATAATAACACATCATAAAATATTCAAGCAGTAATTGAATATGTTCTATATACAATGGAAACTGAGTATCTTGTCTCTGTATATCAGGCTTATTCCAAAAAATGACAACTGTCAATAGTTTATTGTTTAACATATTCAGTATTCTAGAAATGTTTTGTGTAAAAACAAGTGTTTGGCTATATATGTGGACATATAGATATATGACTGTGTATGTATGTATACCATATATAATCAGTGTTTTTAACAAAAAAGGACGTACGCTATATAAGTTCTGTATCTTCGTTTTTCTTTCTCATTCAAGATGTATTTTAGAGATCTTTTAGCCTTAGCTCATAAAAAGCTATATCCTAAGCTTTAACAGTGGTATACTATTTCATTGTATTTGGTACCATAATTCATGTACACAATTTTCTATTTATAGATCTAGTGGTTATTTCAATATACTATAAACTACACTTCTAGGACTATACTTTTGTTACTGAAATCTACAATGAGTTAAGTTCTATATTCTAGATAGTCTATCTCACCAAGGTGATTGTACTCCCAAACTTTAATAGCATGCTTTTCCCCTTATAACTCTCTTTTATATAATATAGCTGTTTGAGTTTTATTTAATAAAATTGGAAGTTTCCATTCAGTTTTAATTCTCCCGTAAGTATTATTATTATTTCTTCCACAGCCAGGAAAATGGAATCTAAATATATGAAACCAGGCTTTTTCATCTTTAACTACTGAAAATTACTTGGAATTCCACTTTACAGACTTGAACAATTTACATGTAGGGAAAATAGAAAACATATCCATTGCTAGATTTGACACTGAAATATATAGACAGTTCTGAAAAACTAATACGTATTTTAAGTAATTGAGAATGAACTACCTTCCAGGTAATTATTTACATAAGATAATTTAAAATTTCAGAGTGTATTTAATAAACCTCTCTTTAAGCCAATGAGCAAATAGTTGTTCAACAATTTGACTTCATCATTATTCAGTCTTCATCTCATCTTCTTTAGATATTATAAAAGACGTTTCTAACAGAGTGAAATAACACACACTGTCTCTATCAAATGTCAATGGATAAATTATTTAGGATAAAAGGAGCCTGATTTGTGCACAATTTGTTCTTAAAGCTGCACTAGTGCCTGGTGACCACCCTTTCCTAATGATCATAAAACACTTTCATTTCCACTGTTGTGACTTTGAGGGAGACTGAGCGTTCTGTCCTCAAATTTTAGTATTCAGTTTTCTCTTTTGGAAATTAGGGTAGCTTTCCTTGAATCCATTTTTTTTCCTTGAGCTTTGTTTTTTAAACAATTTTACCCTCTAATAATGTCAGATTTGTTGCTACTATCGCCTATAAGTTATGTCAGGGTCTTAGAATATGAATTTTCTGAGATTAGAGAATATTATGTATTTTAAAAGTTTCAACATGTTCTGTTATTTGTGTTTTAATTATTCTCTGCTTCAATTCTCACTCAATTATGATTGTCTTTCTATTATAGACTAAAGAAAACTATCAGTGTTTTTCTTCACATCGTCCATTAATATTTCAGTTCTTCTAAGCTGGGCACTTCAGGTTTGTTTATTATTCCACTCATGAGAAATAATTTGTCTGCTTTACTTTAACTTATGGTATTTTAAACCACATAATTGCTACGTGTTTAACAAGTCAAGCATTGCAGAATTGTGTTTAAAAAGTTAATAATCTCCCCCACAGCTTCCCCAAATCGTATTGCTCTGAGTTAAGGCATATTAACATTTTGGCATATGCCCTTTCAAAATTTCTTTATGCAAATGTAAAAATGTGGAAAATTCATAAAAATATAAAGTTACTTTTTTCAAAAAAAGGATCATAATGTATGTATTATCTACAACTGTACATTTAAACATGTGTGTTATAGATTTCCAGAAGGAAACTATGTCAAAATCCAATTCATTCCATTTATAGTTACATAATGATGTCTAGAGTGGATATGTCATTAATAATTCACTAATTTCCTATGTGATTATTTATCTGCCTCTACATATAATGTTAGAAGAAATATTATAGATATGTCCATAATACTAGTGCTTTAATTATAGGATTATATTTTTTTAAATGGCAATGCTAGGTCAATGGATTTGGGTATTTAAATTTTTCAAATGCATTTGTACATTATTTGTTAAAATTCCTGAACATATTCACCTTCCCACAAGATATGTCAGCAAGGATTATTCATCAAGATTGCTAGGCATTCATCTATTTGGACTTTTCAAAAATTGTTTTCATTTTAGTATTCCTTTCCACAAATTTTCTTTATATATTATATTAACTTCAGTTTCATCATAATAATTTCTTTCTCTAGATTTGTTTTGGTTTGGGAATGGGTTCTTCTCTAGCCTCTTAAAATGATTTAAGCCCAGGGATCTTCAGTATCTTTTATAACAATAGCACTAAAAAAAGAATGAATGAATGAAAAAATGAATTCTATCAATTACCTTCTGGTACTAGTTTCAACTTCTGTCAACAAGCTTTTTGGTAATTATTATCATGTGATATAAGTGTAGAAAATTTATAATTATAGTTTTCGATTAAGAGATTACATAGAACACCATTATGTAATTTCTAAGAAAAAATGTTTATTTTTCTTATAATTTTGTTTCTTTCAAATTATTATAAGAGAATATGATCAGATAATATCTAACTTATTTTAACTTACTGTGTGTGTGTATGACCTTTTTTTGTTACTTTTCACTAACCTTTTCTAGACATATATTGTTTTTTGTAAGAGACCTGGAGCAACTAGAACTGCTATACATTGCTAGTGGGAGTGCAAAAATGCTGCAATTCTTTGGACTGTTTAGTTTCTTTTAAAGATAAATATACACACGCTCTAATAGTTAAAAATTTTATTCTAGGTAAAAAAGACAAATGGGAATAAAACATATATAACTTGTGTAAAAATTTTCATATCAGCTTTATTAGTCATAGCCCCAAACAAGGAACAATCTAAATGTCCATCCACAGAAGAATGCTATATTTGTAAAATGGAATAATACAATACTACTTAGCAATTAACAGCAAACAAACAGTAATCAAGTGATACACACATAAACAGGGATGATGATCAAAATTATATGTTGAATGAAGGAGAACAGACACAGAAATGTACATGGCATGGACTCTATGATTTCATCTGTATATGATTTTAGAGCAGCCAAATTTAATCCAGCTTCTATTACACAATGGGAATTGAAGAGGTGAATTTCAAGCAAATAAATTTTCAAGAAAACATCAAATCTCTCTCTGGTGGCTAGGAAAAGAGAGATAAAATTATACCTCTGGTACAGCTATTTTAATATACTTCACAATATTCAGGGTGATGATGGATAATATAGGAGTTTCTCTTTTATGTATGGTAAGAAAATGCTGAAACCACAGTCATAAATAATGCTTTTAAAGGGAGCATAGATATGATTAATATAGAAAATTATTTATTTTAGAAGCCTTAATGTGCATTTTTTAAACATAAAATGATAACTAAGAGTGCCTGTCAGCTGTGAAGTTAGATATTTTCCTCCAAGGAGATACATATTTTTTTCAGTTCTCATGGGAGAACTGATTCATGAAGTGGTTACTAAAAAGCCTTGTTAAATACTTAGAACATGAAGATCTTATAAACTTTGGAGAAAGTAGTCTCTCATACACTGAAAACTTACTTGCAACAAGGAAAAGGTGGTTTAAGGAATGTTTTATACAATTAAGTCACATAAAAGAATAATCAACAAATATTATCCCAACTTACAGGCTGTTTTTATGATGAATTTCTGCCAGTGTCAGGCCCAGAGTAAAGAATGACAGCAGCAGGCAAACTGGCTAATTCACACATCCATTTACTGGCTACTGAATAACCATAGTGAAGGCTCTCCAAAATCATGTTTGACATAAATATATGTGTATTTTGCCAATTTAGCCAAATCAAAAAGGAAGAATATGTACTGAGTCATATGACATTGAACAAATCACAGAATTTTGGTGATTTTATTTTTAAGTAATCTTTAGTTTCCATTTTAGCTCCATTTTCTAAGATTTTATGAGTTGGATCATTGGTAATCATGTCTAACATATATTATCACTGATGCCAATGTTTACTAGCAAAAATAAAAAAATAAATATAAGAAAATCACTAGTTGATTTTAGTACACTTATTATTAAGTAAAAAATAATATAATTCATTTTATAGAGATACTATAGTATCGATGACTTAAAACTGTATTGGAGCTGTGATTCCTAAGTAAAATTTGATTTAAGAATATTTTGTAAATGACCTAAAAAAATCATATAAGCTAAAACACACGTTGTCCTTTAAGTGTTTATTTTAAAATGTACTATGAGGTATGCTTTCAGGTAAAATGTTAAGTATTCAAGGTGACTAGAAATGTTACATCCAAAAATGACTGTCATTTGCCAATGTTTCAAAATTAAACATCATTTTAGTCAATAATAAGAAAGTATAGTAATGTTTTAGATCCCTTAATATGTTAAATGCTTTGAAATTTGTATTCCCTCAACATATTCTGTAAAGAAATTTAATTTTTAAAATGGATGTTATAACTGAGTGAAGATTTAAAAGGTCTTTTTTTGTATACTACTCTAGCTTTCACTTAAAAGGAAAACTAGGTCTTCAAGAGTTGCAGTAAATGATGGGGTACCTTGTTTCCTATCTTCAAGTGAACATTAATATGCAAAACATAAAAGAAAATGCACTCAACTTTCCATATATTATCATTAAAATAATAGCTCCCCTAAAATTCTAGTAATCAATGTGTCAGCTACGTCTTGCATATATGAAATTCAGTCAGGTTTGAACATTTCCCTACCTAATGTTTATAAAGGATCACACAGTGAGAAAATGCCCAATTTACGCAGTTTATGAGTCATTATCAGTATCTTGCTGCCTGATATTAGAGTCTCTTTTCATTTGTAGTTGTAATTGAAAAAAAGTTCCTTTTTTTCTTTCTTTCTTTTTTTTTTTTTGTTTTTTGTTAAATGCACTTTTTGGGGGATAAATTATGATTTCAAATTTTTTTTCTTGGAAGAGCATTAAATGTACCTAACTGAAAAATGCAACTGAAATATTAAAGCTAAGCTTAGTACTTTTTAATGTTATATTTCTCTAACATTGCTTCTCAGAAGAATATGTGCAATTTTATTCTTTTAAATGTTGACAATATGTATGAACATAGCATGTTTATATGTTTCTAATGTCACAGGATCCTTGGGGTGTCATTTTTCCAACTGGAAACCTCTGTGGTTGATGGCACCTTTGCCCGAGTTTTACTCAGACCTCCTGGGCTCCTTCTGCCCACTTGGCCTGGCAGCCTGCACTTGGATCACACTACTGGCCTAGATCCCATGCCTGCCAAGGTTGAGCCAGTCACAGAGCAGTGAGGGTTGTGTGAGCAAGTTAGCATGGGGTCCGGTCACTGTGCACAGCCAACCACTCTGGTTGTCACAGGGCAGGCAGCTCCAGGTGTCAGCATGGGTGCCAGCTCCCTGCAAGGCTGCAGCTGGACCAGGCATACTGCAAGCAACTTCCACGGCTGACACTGGGGAACACGGTGGTGCCTGGAAGCTTGGAGACACCAGGAACCACAGAGCCCCAAAGAGGATTTCATAGCTCTGGCTCAGGGAGCTCATAGGTCTGGGCTCCCCAGAATGCTACGGCTCTTCTTTCTTTCTCATTTTCCACAATGTGGCTAGTGGAGGACATGTTTCATCCCTGCTTGTGTTACAGTTCTTTTAGTCCCACCATTCGGCAGGTCCAGAGCTCTTGCCCCATGTCCAGGAGGAAATATGAGGTACACAGACAACTGGAGTGTGAGCAAGGAAGAGAGAAGCTTCATTGAGTGGCAGAACAGTTCTCAGGAGACCCACAGTGGGTAGCTCCTTTTTGCAGGCAGGTGATCCAAAAGTCTCTTCAGCTCTGAGCAGAAAGCAGACCCACAGTGCCTAGTTCCTCTCCACAGGCAGAGAATCCTGTCATTTACCTGAGTCTGGCTGAGTCTGGGATTTTTATGGACTTCAGAGGGGAGGAAGTGCATGCTGATTGCTCCATGACTGGCCAAGGGCAGGCCCAGAAAAAGCACCGTAAGTTCTCAATCTGGTCCATGGGACTGGCAGCTTGTCCCCCAGGCCTCAGGCCATCCCTTGCCTGAAGGTGGGGTTTCAACGGGGACCCAGACCTTTCTTCCAAGGAGCCTGTCTGCCTTCTTCTGCCATGAACCTGCCATTCACAGTGCCCATGGTGCCAAGGCTGTCCTTGCCAAGGGGTGACTGCAGGCCCATGTTAAGCCACCCTCAGTACCCCCATAGGCCTCCCTCCCATGCTCATCAGAGCCCAAATTCCAGAGGAGACCGAGGTGGCAGGGGGCTGGCACGTCAGCACTGTCCTGAGTGTGCACACACCCAGCCATGTTGCAACAGCATCTGGCCTCAGTATCAACTTTGCTCCGAAATTGGAGTGCTTGCTGGGAGCAGGGAGAGGCCAGGCAGTGCAATCAGGAACTTCTGAGCCTACAGAGGCAGGGGGACTTCCTGGGCCCCTGAGAGTGCAGAGGTGTCTGGTCCACATAAACAGCTGGTCAGCTGCAGCTGTTGACAGAAGGGCGAGACTCCCACCCTGCCAACTTGGAAGGGGGCAAGGCTTCCACCTCCCCCTGGCTTCCGCCAACTCAGTGGGGCATGCAACCCTGGCCACACCTCCTTCACTGCAGCAGAGGCTGCTCCAGATGGGTCACCACTGCTATCACTAAGACCTTTTATTTTCCAAGTTGGTTAAGTAATTGATAGATTAAAATACTCAGCTTACATACACAGTCACTCACAAATATTGAGTGTATTGATTGCTTAGTTCTATTCTATTCAATGTCTTTAAGCCAGGGAGTGGATATAATAATACAACAAAGCAAAATTTTAACTTTCAAAGAGCATATGGTCTAGGAGGGAAGATTAAATAATCATTAATTCCCAAAGAATGTGATAAATACTTTAAAACTCTATGTAAATCACCAAGCAGTGCTTGTGGTGCTTCATTCACAATATTGAATATCTAAATTTTAAATCTTTTTTTGTATTATTTTTCCATTCAGCATTTTTAGAAAGATAAATCATAGGGAATAGCAACTATGCATATGTTTGTGTTGTCCTAGGAGCAGTTTATCCAAATCCCTGTCAGCTTTGTACCTTGGCCAACCTAATCTTTTATCTTTACCCGTAAAATTTGCAAACCTTTTCCGTGCAACTACCCTAGACACACACTTTGTCTTCTCTAAGGTACACCTTGTAGCAGGTGAACAGTGAATATCTGAGGCCAGTGGTACCAGGGTAAGAAAAATTTACCAAGACAGTTGTAGGTAAAGAAAGAGAGATTTATTAAAGAAAGTATGAAAATACATTGCCAGGGAGCAATGGGCAGACCAGTAGGAGAGGAGCTGACTGCAAGAAGACAAGGGCTTGTTGGGCATTTTTGAGAATGGTACTTGTGCTGTGTTCAGAAGAGGGCTTTGTGTAGTACTAATAATGTCAAGGTTGCAGTGAGTTAACTTGCAAATTTCTATAAAACAAGGGTGTGATGATAGCTGGGTACAGGAAGACTGTGAGTTATTTGTACAGGAGGGATATGTGTCCTGGACTCCATATAAAGGCAAACTTATAACTTACATTCTTTCTCTTTTTGCTTTCACCTGGTCCCACCAGCCCAACTTATTTTCCCTGATTAAGAATCCACATATCTCTTAAACAGAAAATGTTGCTTTTGGTCAATTTAGAACTACTTTGCAGAAGATGATTAAAAAGGTCATATATGTGTGTGTGTATATATGTATACACACACATGCATATATTGTATATGTATTTGTATATCTATGTGTATGTGTGTATACATAAATATCAGTTTGGTCAGGTTGGTGCAAAAGTTATTGCAGTTTTGAGCATTACTTTTAATGGCAAAAACCACAATTACTTTTGCACCAAACTAATATACTTACACATATTCTGTAAATAAATTTTATTTTTAAAATGGATGTAATAACTGAGTGAAGATCTAAAGGCCTTTTATTGTATGCTACTCTAGCTTTCACTTAAAAGGAAAACTAGGTCTTTATGAGTTACAGCAAATGACGAGGTGTGTATACACACACACACACAAATACACATACACATACACATACACATACAAATACATATACAAACATACATATATATACTAGTATATATATACTTTATATATATATCCCTTTTTTCTAAACCTTGGGATAAGGTTTCTTTTTGCATCAAAAACTCTATTGTAAATTTCATAACCAAATAGATATTATACCATCCTTCTCTCTGGACACCCTAAAAAATATGAGAAAAAGAACAGATAAAAAAGGAAATGAAAGTCAATCCTTTAGATTGTCCCCACAGCGTTTCTATGGCAAGGTTTTTTTTTTTTTTAGCCCAGTTGTATTTTCTGCATTTATTTTTAATGCAGACTAGATTTCTTGCTTAATGTTACAATGAAAGGAAAAAGAGGTGACAATCTCTCTTAGATAAGCTATTAGTGTCTGTGGGAAGCCAGAAAACTCATTCAACCTTTTATGATTTATATGTGACTGATTGAGTTTTGTTCTTCCAGAAATATTAACAAACATTTGATGGGTACATGAGTACATGTCACTTTATTAACAAGTAAATACATTGTATTAGTAGAGAAATAAATAGTAGCCCAATTTTGGAACTGTATTTTAATATTAACGGGATGGTTCTAGTAATAATGGTAATTGCAATAATTATCTTGAAGTTTTATATAGATTTGACTAGAAACCCATAAACTAAAAAGACAATAATTAAATTGGGTGTAATTCAATAGATAGCAATGTTATGAACTGTTATAATTAGCTTTTCTGGGAGCACTTTTGTCCTAACCACTGGAAATGTTCAAAACTTGATGGAAATTAGGCCTAGCAATGTTGTCAGTTTCCTTAAGACAGAGTTAAAAAAAAAAAAAGGCTGGGTGTGGTGGCTCACACCTGTAATCCCCAGCACTCTGGGAGGCTGAGGCAGGCAAATCATGAGGTCAGGAGGTCAAGACCATCCTGGCTAACATGGTGAAACCCTGTCTCTACTAAAAATACAAAAAAAAAATTACCAGGCATGGTGGCGGATGCGTGTAGTCCCAGCTATTTGGGAGGCTGAGGCAGAAGAATGGCATGAACCTGGGAGGCGAAGCTTGCAGTGAGCAAAGCTCACACCACTGCACTCCAGCCTGGGCGACAGAGTGAGACTTGTCTAAAAAAAATAAAAATAAAAATAAAAATAAATAAATAAATAAAAGACTACCTTCACTTATCAGATGAAGAACTAAGAAATTAGCCCAAGAACTTTCCTGGAGTCTTAAGATGAGTTTGTAATATTGGACAGAGCCTATTTACGAGAGAGCAAAATAATGGCAAGCACAGGTAAATTTGATGAATATGGAAGCTAAAACTTAGCAATTAGGCTTTAGTTTAAGATCCGTGGTCAAGAGTACATAAAATTGGTAATAATTTTCTTCAATTATCTCAGACAAAAATCAATAGAAATTAAGTTTAGGGGAAAAGCTAATGAGAAAAAGCTACAAAATTTTAATTATTCCCAAATGATAAATGGCCTTCACTATAAATTACTGTCTATGATTTTTCTATTTCGCTCTACAAATTATATTTAAAGTTGATTAAAACAACTAGAGTATAAGTGAAAAATTTAGGCAAAAATGACTATTTGGCATTACAGTCTAACAAAACAAAAATATAAGCCTGTGTCTAAGCATGATCATATTACTTACATTATTTTTTGCTTTTCTGAAATCACAACAAATCAACGTGTCAATTGATAGGAATTAAATTCTGACCATTTGGCCTCAGTCTTCATGAGGCATAGTAGAAAATGCAAAAGTACATGACATATGTCTTCTTGTGCAAACTCACAATTTACTTGTTAAAATTATCAGACATGTAAAGATAAAATGCACAACTGTTAAATATGTTATTCACTCAATTATAAGAAATTCTCAGCCAGTGGTGCCATAAATATGATAAGAAGGTGGCATGTGATGTGTAATAGGAAAAAAAGACTTTGCATTCAGAAAGAATTGGTTTCGGTTTATGGCTCTTCCACTTGTTTTATGTCTGTAAAGTAATATTTTTATGCCTCTGAGCTTAAATTTCCTAACTGTAAAAAATTGCTCCTTACTTCTATCTAAGTTGTTGTGAGGCCATCATAAAAAATACCAAGTGTCTATCACACAGGTTTCTTCTAAATGTTATTTACTTACACCAACAAACAAGAATTTTCTCTTAGTAGATAGAACAACATGCTCAAGGATCAGAAACAAATGAAATAAATTTGCTTTATTTCTGGAGACCTCAAACTGCTTGAATGATTACAAAATTTTTCCAGGTTAGTTCATATTCTCCCTGTAGAATAGTACGCTAGAAGATAACCTATACCTGGAAGTTTGTTACATGGTGTGAAATTAGAACCAAGGAAAGGAATTGGATTATCTTTATTAGTAAGTCATAACAGCCAGATGCAGCAGTGTTATTTATAGGCTGAGAGTAGGAAAGGGATAGAACTACTTTAAAAAAAAAAAAGCTGGACACAGGAAGGTTCACCATCTTCATGATTATTATCTATTTTCTTTCAAAACATTCTTTCTCCAGAAATTGTTCTTTCTCATTGAGAAAAATTTTTCCACCTAATTTCCTAGTGGTGGCTTCCCAGTGACTTTAATAGAATGTAAAAATTCTGCAGACTCATTGACCACCTTATATTGATTTGGGAGTCCTGTTTGTATGTTTGGCACTTGTGCTTTCTTAATTTCTTTCTCCCAAAATAAACAATGCCAACCTCTGCTTGTACCTTTCATTGTGCCCTATAAAGCATTTACAAATAAATACTTCCAAAGTCTTGTAATTTTATTATTAAGCAAACAAAACAAACGGCTGTTTATTTTAGCAAACTTCATGGTAAAAATTCTCTGTAATGATGTACTGTGAAATATTTGAAAAAATGTAATAGTTATCTAAGTCCTATAAAGTCTTAAATAACTTATTTGGGAGATAATGCTCTCCAGCTTACCAGAAGTTTTAAATTAGCAACACTTCTTAAAAGCATCTTCTTTTGAAACCAGCCAAAATGACCCATAGAACTAATGTGTATGGTTTGTTTTGAATAAACATAGAAATTGGCCCTCCCAGTGTTAAAACGTGAGAAAGTTACATTTGTCTTACTGAGTTCCTTTCTCAGGAAACCAACCATCAGGCCTCCTAGATGATATAAAGGAACTGAAACTTACCAGACTATCACATCTGGTCAATGAGACACCAGGCAATTAACCCATCATGAGTGCCTAGTGGACCACCTGCTTCCTGTTCACCAACTCCTTTTTTACACCTCTCTAATTCCTGTTTTGCTGCATATAGTATACATTTCTTCCTTGCTATATAAGCCCCTGATTTTAGTTGGTCAGGGATATGAATTTGACACTGGTCTCTCATCTCCTTGGCTATAGCACCTGAATAAAGCCTTCTTCCCTGGCAATACTTAGGCCTCAGTGATTGGCTTTCTGTGCAGTAAGCAGCAAGACATAGCCCCAAACCCTGGCATTTCAGTAAGACCTTTCCACCAAAATAAAGGACCTAAAGTGCCCAAAACTCTTTTACAGTCCAAATGCTGATAAATGACCATTTTTTTCTTTGGTTCTCTTCTTTTTACCCTCCCTTTCTTTCTCTCCCTCTCCTTTGTCTCCTTTCCCTCCTCCTCTTTCTTCTTTTTTTCTTATTTTTCCTTCTTTGAGTTGCCTATTCAATTGGCACTTAACAGTTTGACCTAATAAAAGGAAATTTGGTGATTATGTTGCACATGCCCATAATTTCTTTATAATTTTGTGAAATCAAAACTTTTAAAAACATTGTCTTGTCCTATGCCATTCCCTCAAGATAGTTATTATACTGTTATACAGCCAATGAAATATGAGAAGAATGTTACTTAATATGAGATTTTATCATGTTTTATCATGTATCACTGTGTCCGGAGTTGGTTCCTTTCAGCGGGTTCTTGGTTTCGCTGACTTCAAGAATGAAGCCATGGACCTTCGTGGTGAGTGTTACAGCTCGTAAAGGTGGCATGGACCCAAAGAGTGGGCAGCAGCAAGATTTATTGTAAAGAGCTAAAGAACAAAGCTTCCACAGCATGGAAGGGGACCCTAGCAGGTTGCCACTGCTAGCTGGCGTGGCCAGCTTTTATTCCATTATTTGTCCCCACCCACGTCCTGCTGATTGGTCTATTTCACAGAGCACTGATTGTTCCATTTTACAGAATGCTGATTGGTGCATTTACAATCCTTTAGCTAGACACAAAGTGCTGATTGGTGCATTTTTACAGAGTCCTAATTGGTGCATTTACAATCCTTTAGCTAGACACAGAGCGCTGATTGGTGCATTTTTACAGAGTGCTGATTGGTGCATTTACAATCCTTTAGCTAGACAGAAAAATTATCCAAGTCCCCACTCCACCCAGGAAGTCTAGCTGGCTTCACCTTTCATCACTACAGGAATTTTTAGATAAAATAAAGTATTTTCTTAACATGAAGGTACAATGATTTTTGTTGTTGTTATCTAATAGTACCTAAATTCATACATAGAAGTATTTTGACAATTACAGCCCGTCTACTTGTGTTTAAAATATACTGTTTGTATCATCTTTAATATATAGTTATGTATAATGGAAAAATTAAACATTAACTCTTAACAAAAAAATGTTGATTTGAGTCCATTTTCCATTTGCGTGAGGAAAAAAATACATAAAAAGAAAACATCCAATAAAATATATAATCTTAGTTTCTATCTTTGTAAAAATAGAGCTACTATTAAATATTGATTCCTTTTACAGAATTCTTTACATAATGAAGACTATTTTCTTGAGCATTTACCTTGACTTACTAGAGTGCTTAGTTAATTAAATATACTCAGTCACTTTAATTTTTCTAGCTAACTCTGATTTGACTAATTAAAAAAGTAAAACTATTGTATTAGACATTTTGAAGGGAGGGACATTTGCTTCATTTCAACAGCTTTAAATGCCACAAAATGCCAGTTAACTAATTTATGCCATTTGAGTGCATAGCATAAATGAGTTCAACAAATAAAATTCTTCACAGATACAAGTACTTGCATGTGTGTATGTGTATTAAGCTTCTATTATAAACCAAATATAAACTACCCAAGAAAGTGAGACTATACCAAAATTCCAAGAAAAAATATAATGGTTTCCAGAATACAAGGACTATATCATATTTTGATTAGAACAAACAAACACAAAGCAAACCTCAGGAATATGTCTTAGAAATAAAACACATTGAGATTGAAATGTGTTTCTGGATATGGAATTGTGATGTATTCCATAGGCAAAGACCTGATATGAGCATTTCCAGATATTCTTATGCTTCCTTTTTAGTATATAAACATATTACTATAAAAATAATAGCTTTCTACTGTCCTTTCTCTTTTATGCTTACCATTCATACATGCATGATCAAGGAAAGGAAAATGTTGCATGAAAGAAAACAAAAATGATAGTTCACTTTATGTGTCAGAAGGTTTTAGTGGGAAGTGCTATGACCAACCAACTTTTTGATATATTAAGATATATAACTTGTTGTACATCACTTTACAAAATCAATTTTTATCCAGACTTAAGAATTTTTTCTGTGTATATTAAAGTGTACATTATGAATACACACTAAAATTATGACAAATTTAGAAATTTAATGTTTAAGTTTCATCTGAAAGGTATTAATTCAGTTATTCAGAAAATATATAAAACAGATATACCAGGCACTCTGTGAGGAGATGACTTGTGAAGCACACAGGCCAATATAATTTTTTTTAAAAAAATAAAGAAAGTATAATCTTAGACTAACAATTATACCAAAGCTTTTTGAAGGGCATAATTAAAGTTAGGAAAATGTGAGAGAGTCCAAGAAAGATAGTTAATCCATTTCATGGTAATCACATGCAGCTTCTTATAGAAAGGCGTACTTCTAGATCTTGACATTATTTTAGTAATTAGGCCAAGAAACAAAAAAATATGGATTATGTACATGAAAAGAATAACTTGTGTTATAAATACCACCACTTATCTAACACTTGGCTTTCCCCTTCTTCATTCTTAAAGAATCCTCAGTTTTGCTCAGATACCACTCCAGCAGTAAAGTGCATGGGAAAATAATTTATTGCATGTTTCATAGTAGCTAGAAGAGAAGAATAGTAATTTCCTAATGCAAAGAAAATATAACTGTTTGAGGGGATGGATGCCTCAATTACCCTGAATTGATCATTACACTTTGTAAACATGTATCAAAATATCACATGTACCCCAGAAATATGTACAACTATGAAATATCAATAAAAATACAATAATAATAATAATAATAATAAAGTTCATAGGGACATATAGGTAGGGGTTTTCATTCACTCCAATACCCATAGAAATAATTCACTTTGGTTCTTATCCACTGTTATTAAAATTGGTCCTTACTCATTAGAAATTTGTTAAGCAATTGATTAAATCATAACTTGTATTTCAATAAGTAGGATAAAATATATAAATTATGATTCAGAATTTATATATGTATATACAAAATCATAGAATAGAACAGAATTTCTCAGATGCAATAATATTAGAGTAAGCATTTCCTCATAAAACCTGTAATGAAAAATAAATATTCTTGGGGCTCCCATGCAAGATGGCTGAATAGGAACAGCTAGTCTGCTGCTACAAGTAAGAGCAACGCAGAAGGTGAGTGATTTCTACATTTCCAACTGAAGTAAACAGTTCATCTCACTGGGACTGGTTAGACAGTGTGCGCCACCCACAGAGGGCGAGTAGAAGCAGGATGGGGTGTCACCTCACCTGATAAGTGCAAGAGATAGGGGAACTCCCTATGTTAGCCAAGGGAAGCCATAAGGGACTGTGCTGTGATGGACAGTGCTATCGGGCCCAGATACTACACATTTCTCACTGTCTTTGCAACCCGCAGACCAGGAGATTCCCTTGGGTGCCTAAACCACCAGGGCCCCTGGGTTTCAAGCACAAAACTGGGTAGCTGTTTGGGCTGACACTGAGCTAGCTGCAGGAGGTTTTTTCTTTTCTTTTTTTTTGGACCCCAGTAGTGCCTGGAACACCAGCGAGACAGAATCATTCACTCCCTTGGAAAGGGGGCTGAAGCCAGGGAGCCAAATGGTTTTGCTCAGTGGATCCCACCCCCATGGAGCCCAGCAAACTAAGATCCACTGGCTTGAAATTCTCACTGCCAGCACAGCAGTCTGAAGTCAACCTGTGATGTTCCAGCTTGGTCGGGGGAGGGGAGTCCATCAACACTGAGGCTTGAGTAGGCAGTTTTCCCCTCACAATGTAAACAAAGCCACTAGGCAGTTTGGACTGAGCGGAGCCCACCACAGTGCCACAAAGCTCCTGTACCCAGACCGCTTCTCTAGATTCCTCCTCTCTGGACAGGGCATCTCTGAAAGAAAGGTAGGAGTTCCAGTCCAGGTGCTTACAGATAAAACTCCCATCTCCCTGGGACAGAGCACCTGGGTAAAGGGGTGGCTGTGGGCGCAGCTTCAGCAGACTTAAATGTTCCTTCCTGACAGCTCTGAAGAGAGCAGTGGATCTCCCAGCACAGCGCTCAAGCTCTGCTAAGGGACAGACTTATTCCTCAAGTGGGTCCCTGACCTCCGTGCCTCCTGACGGGGAGCCACCTCCCAGCAGGGGTCAACAGACACCTCATACAGGAGAGCTCTGGCTGGTATCTGGTGGGTGCCTCTCTGGGACAAAGCTTCCAGAGGAAGGATGATCAAGCAAAAACTCCATCTGAAAGTCACCAAGAGCAAAGGTAGGTAAATCCACGAAGATAAGGAAAAACCAGAGCAAAAAGTCTGTAAAGTCAAAAACCAAAATGTCTCTTCTCCAAAGGATCACAACTCCTCACCAGCAGGGGATCAACAGGGCAAAGAATTAATTGGAAGAATTGACAGAAGTAGGCTTCAGAAGGTAGGTAATAACAGATTCTTTCGTGCTAAAGAAGAATGCTCTAACCCAATGCAAGGAAGCTAAGAACCTTGATAAAAGGTTAGAGGAATTGCTAATTAGAATAACCATTTAGAGAAGTAAGTAAATGACCTGATGGAGCTGAAAAACACAGTACGAGAACTTCGTGAAGCATACACAAGTATCAATAGCTGAATCAATCAAGCAGAAGAAAGGCTATCAGATATTAAAGATCATCTTAATGAAATAAAGCGTGAAGACAAGATAAGAGAAAAAAGAATGAAAAATAACAAAGCCTCCAAGAAATATGAGACTATGTGAAAAGACCAAACCTATGTTTGATTGGTGTACATGAAAGTGACAGGGAGAATAGAACGAAGTTGGAAAACACACTTCAGGGTATTATCCAGGAGAACTTCCCCAACCTAACAGGACAGGCCAACATTCAAATTCAGGAAATACAGAGAACATCACAAAGATACTCCTCGAGAACAGCAACCCCAAGGCACATAATCATCAGATTCACCAAGATCGAAATGAAAGAAAAATGTCAAGAGCAGCCAGAGAGAAGGGTCGGGTTACTCACAAAGTGAAGCCCATCAGACTAACAGCAGATCTCACTGCAGAAATCCTACAAGCCAGAAGAGAGTGGGGGCCAATATTCAACATTCTTAACAAAAAGAATTTTCAACCCAGAATTTCATATCCAGCCAAACTAAGCTTAATAATTGAAGGGAAAATAAAACCCTTTACAGACAAACAAATGCTGAGGGATTTTGTCAGCACCAGGCCTGCCTTACAAGAGCTCCTGAAGGAAGCACTAAATATGGAAAGAAAAAATCGGTACCAGCCACTGCAAAAACAAACCAAAATGTAAAGGCTATCGACACTATGAGAAAACCGCATTAACTAATGGGCAAAATAACCAGCTGGCATCATAATGATAGGATCAAATTCACACATAACAATATTAACCTTAAATGTAAACTGGCTAAATGCCCCAATTAAAAGGCCCGGATTGGAAAATTGGATAAAGTGTCAAGACCCATTGGTGTGCTGTATTTAGGAGACCCATCTCACATGCAAGGACACGCATTTTGTCTTTGTGTGATGGAGGAAGATTTACTGAGCAAATAGAAAGCAAAAAAAGCAGGGTTTGCAATCCTAGTTTCTGATAAAACAGACTTTAAACCAACAAAGATCAAAAAGACAAAGAAGGGCATTACATAATCGTAAAGGGATCAATGGAACAAGAAAAGCTAACTATCCTAAATATATATGCACCCAATTCAGAAGCACCCAGATTCATAAAGCAGGTTCTTAGAGACCTACGAGACTTAAACTGCCACACAATAATAGTGGGAGACTTTAACACTCCATTGTCAATATTAGACAGATCAATGACACAGAAGATTAACAAGGATATTCAAGACTTGAACTCAGCTCTGGACCAAGTATATCTAACAGACATCTACAGAATTCTCCACTCCAAATAAACAGAATATACTTTCTTCTGAGCACCACATAGCCCTTATTCTAAAATTGACCACAAAATTGAAAGTAAATCACTCCTCAGCAAATGCGAAAAAACAGAAATCATAACACTCTCTCAGACCACTGTGCAATCAAAATTAGAGCTCAGGATTAAGAAACTCACTCAATACCACACAACTACATGGAAACTGAACAACCTGCTCCTAAATGACTAGTGGGTAAATAACGAAACGAAGGCAGAAACAAAGACACAATGTACAAGAATCTCTGGGACACAGCTAAAGCAGTGTTTAGAGGGAAATTTGTAGCACTAAATCCCCACAGAAAGAGCAGGAAAGATATAAAATCTACACCGTAACATCACAATTAAAGAACTAGAGAAGCAAGAGCAAACAAATTCAAAAGGTGGCAGAAGACAAGAAATAACTATGATCAGAGCAGAACTGAAGGAGATAGAGACATGAAAAACCCTTCAAAAAAATCAATGAAATCAGGAGCTGGTTTTCTGAAAAAATTAACAAAATAGATAGACTGCTAGTGAGACTAATAAAGAATAAAAGAGAGAAGAATCAAATAGATACAACAAAAAATAATAATGGGGAGATTACCACTGATCCCACAGAAATACAAACTACCATCAGAGAATACTATAAACACCTCTATGCAAAAAATCTAGAAAATCTAGAAGAAATGGATAAATTCCTGAACATATACACCCTCTCAAGACTAAACCAGGAAGAAGTCAAATCCCTGAGTAAACCAACAAGTTCTAAAATTGAGGCAGTAATTATTAAACTACCAACCAAAAAAAAAAGCCCAGGACAAGACAGATTCATAGCTGAATTCTACCGGCGGTATGAAGAGGAGCTGGTACCATTCCTTCTGAAATTATTCCAAACAATAGAAAAAGAGGGACTCCTCCCTAACTCATTTTATGAGGCCAGCATCATCCTGATACCAAAACCTGGCAGAGACACAACAAAAAAAAAAGAAAATTTCAGGCCAATATCCTTGATGAACATCAATGCAAAAATCCTCAATAAAATACTGGAAAACCAAATCAAGCAGCACATTAAAAAGCTTATCTATCACAATCAAGTTGGCTTCATCCCTAGGATGCAAGGCTGGTTCAACACATGCAAATCAATAAATGTAATCCATCACATAACAGAAACAACGACCAAAAGCACATGATTATCTCAATAGATGCAGAAAAGGCCTTCGACAAAATTTAACACCCTTCATGCTCAAAACTCCCAATATACTAGGTACAGGTTGGAACTTATCTCAAAATAATAAGAGCTATTTATGACAAACCCACAGCCAATATCATACTGAATGTGCAAAACCTGGAAGCATTCCCTTTAAAAACCAGCACAAGACAAGGATGCCCTCTCTTACCACTCCTATTCAATATAGTATTGGAAGTTCTGGCCAGGGCAGTCAGGCAAGAGAAAGAAATAAAGGGTATTCAAAAAGGAAGAGATAAAGTCAAATTATCTCTGTTTGCAAATGGTATGATTTCATATTTAGAAAACCCCATTATCTCAGCACAAAATCTCCTTAAGCTGATAAGCAACTTCAGCAAACTCTCAGGATACAAAATCATTGTGCAAAAATCAAGCATTACTATACACCAATAATAGATAGAGAGGCGAATCATGAGCAAACTCTCATTCACAATTGCTACAAAGAGAATAAAATACCTAGGAATAAAACTTACAAGGGATGTGAAGCACCTCCTCAAGAGAACTACAAACCACTGCTTAAAATAATAAGGGAGGACACATAAAAATTGAAGAACATTCCATGCTCATGGATAGAAAGAATTCATATTGTGAAAATGGCCATACTTCCCAAAGTAATTTATAGATTCAATGCTATTCCCATCAAGCTAGCATTGACTTTCTTCACAGAATTAGACAAAACTGCTTTAAACTTCACATGGAACCAAAAAAGAGCCCATATAGCCAAGACAATCCTAAGCAAAAAGAACAAAGCAGGAGGCATCACACTACCTGACTTCAAAATATGTAAAATAATATATAAATATATAAATATTTATTTATTTTATTTATATTTTAAGTTCTGGGATACATGGGCAGAATGTGCAAGTTTGTTACATAGGTATACATGTGCCATGGTGGTTTGCAAAAAGAACAAGACTACAGTAACCAAAACAGCATGGTACTGGTACCCAAACAGATATATAGACCAATGGAATAGAACAGAGGCCTCAGAAATAACACCACACATCTACAACCATCTGATCTTTGATACACCTGACAAAAACAAGCAATGGGGAAAGGATTCCCTATTTAATAAATGGTGTTGGGAAAACTGGCTAGCCATATGCAGAAAACTGAAGGGGACCCCTTCCTTATACCTTATACAAAAATTAACTCAAGATGGCTTAAATGTTTAAATGCAAGACCTAAAACCATAAAAACACTAGAAGAAAACCCAGGCAATACGATTCAGGACGTAGGCATGGGCAAAGACTTGATGACTAAAACACCAAAAGCAATTGCAACAAAAGCCCAAATTGACAAATGGGATGTAATTAAACTAAAGAGCTTCTGCACAAGCGAAAGAAACTATTATCAGAGTGAACAGACAACCTACAGAATGGAAGAAAATTTTTGCAGTCTATCCATCTGATAAATGGCTAATATCCAGAATCTACAAGGTACTTGTAGGGGGACAAGAGGAGGGATAGCATTAGGAGAAATACCTAATGTGGATGATGGGTTGATTGGTGCAGCAAACCACCATGGCACATATATACCTATGTAACAAGCTTGCACATTCTGCACATGTATCCCAGAACTTAAAATATAATAAAATAAATAAATAAATAAATAAATAAATAAATATTCTTTTTAATTTTTTGGTAAAAATTACCACAGGCTCCAGCTAAGCTCATCTAAGTAGTACTTGTTTTTGTAGTATGTGATTTGTCTCTATGTGGGCTTCAAATGAGTGGTGAGGGAGAAACACATGTCCACTAAGAAAGATGGCTTTTTCTAATCAACTGAGGGAAAACCCATACTTCTGCTCCTCCTTTGTCTTCCAGTATATGAGATATTTTCACGGAGATACGGTGAGTCTCTTTTTTTGCATGTGGATACAAGATAAAGAACCAAAAGCCAGCGTACTGAGTATGACAAAGCAGGAAGCTGGATAACACCTGGGTCGTTGTTGATTTTTTGAACTTTTTTTTTCTTGAGATGGGGTCTCCCTCTGTCACCCAGACTGGAGTGCAATGGTGTGATCTTGACTCACTGCAACCTCTGCCTTCCAGGTTCAAGTGGTTCTTCTGCCTCAGCCTCCCTGGTAGCTGGGACTAGAGGCGTGCACTACCACGACTGATTAATTTTTGTATTTTTAGTAGAGATGGGGTTTCACTATCTGACCAGGCCGGTTTTGAACTCTTGACCTCGTGATCTGCCCACCTTGGCCTCCCAAAGTGCTGGGATCACAGGTGTGAGCCACCGCACCCTGCTTGAGCTGTTATACTAAACTTGGAATAGTCTGTCTCCAGAGTTTCTTTATATGAGGTAAATAAATGTCTAGTTTTCAAACCATATTTGGCTGTCATTGTGTTTCTTGCAGCCAAATACATCTTATCTGATACACCATGAGAGTGCGTACTATTTTCACAGAAAAAAAAACAAATGATGTACTAAATTAGGAAATTAGGTTCCATGTTTGTTTTAAGTAGGAGTACAGTAAGAGTCAACTTGCACATTAAAACTTTTGTGTACAGAGGAAAAATTAGTGAAGTTCTGAATCTGAGAACAACAGGCATATGTAGAACATGTTTAATCCATAAAATATACTGACCAATGTTAATGAGTAACTATGGGGTTGGACAAAATTTGGGGATAATTTGGAAAGGTAATTGATGTAAATAAATATGCTCCTAGAATAGCTACCTGCTTTCTAGATATATTAGTATATAATTCATATACATGAAGTGTTGAAGGAAAGGCATATTTGGAAAGTTCATCATTGGTGATAATTTGGATAAGTAATTTAGGCAATGCTTGTGAAATTTGTGAATGGATATTTGATAGCTGGTTGAATATACGGATTGAAGCATCAGGAGAGAAGTTTCAACTAGCAATATAAATATGAGAATCATAATCACATAGTGAAAAATTCAAGCCAAGTGCATTCCTTTATTTTACAAGTACTTATTGAGTGTCTAATGTATGCTAGGACACATTCCTATGTGTCTTTATATGTATATTAAAATAAATAATAAGTAATATGCAAAAGAGAAGCAGTCACCGATTATTCCCTAGTTGAGCTTACATTTTTTTTAGTGGAGACAAAAATGAAAATTAAATGTAATAAATATGTAAAATCCATTTATTATAATAATTTTTATATAAATAAAATTATACAAATACTAATTTATTATATAAATAAAAATTATTATTATATAAATAAAATTTATTAATAGTTTATTATAATTTGGTAAATGCTGTGAAAATAGAAAAAGAGAAAGTACAAAAGAGAGTTAGGAGTACCTGCTTAGTGTGTGTGTGTGTGTGTGTGTGTGTGTGTGCATGTGCACATACTTTCATCTGTGTATTTAAGGTAATCAGGATAGACCTGATTGAGAATTTTGTCCTTTGAGTATACTTTAAATGGTCTTTTCATAAAAAATAATTTTCATCACCTATATTTTTTTGCTGGAGAGTTGGTCCATCAAGGTCCTTACTCCACCATTTTAGAAGTTTTGCCCCAACTTTTTTTAGAAATGTTCTAATTGTTCATTTATCTAATCTTTGGGAATGCTGAGTTATATTACTTACCAGTCATAGCTCTCAGTATGTTAGGATCCCTGGTAGTCACTTTACTTTTTCTGTTCTTTACCGAAATGGCACCCACTTGGCATCTAACAGTTTAGTGTCACCATCTGACTTATAGTTTTAGGGTTAAATAATTGCCATTACTCCCAGTTAACCCAGTCCTGAAATGTATAAACTACTGTTCATTCTGGATCATAAAATAGAATCTTAGCTATATTGGTTTATTAGTCTGTTCTCATACCGCTATGAAGAAATACCTGAGACTGGGTAATGTATAAAGGAAAGAGTTTTAATTGACTCACAGTTCCGTTGGGGAGGGCTCAGAAAACTTACAATAATGGAGGCCCACACCTCTTCACAGGGTAGCAGGAGAGAGAATGAGCGCAAGCAGGGGAAATGCCAGACACTTACAAAACCATCTGATCTAATGAGACTCACTCATTATTATGAGAACAGCATGGGGGAAAGTATCCCATGATTCAGTTACCTCTACCTGGTCTCCCTCTTGACACATGGGAATTATGGGGATTACAATTTAAGATGAGATTTGGGTGGGGGCACAGAGCCAAACCATATCATTCTACCTCTGGCCCCTCTCAAATCTCATGTCCTCACATTTCAAAACACAGTCATGACCTTCCAACGGTCCCCCAAAGTCATAAATCATTCCAGTATTAACACAAAAGTTCAAGTTCAAAATCTCATCTATGACAAGGCAAGTCCCTTCAATCTATGAGCCTGTGAAATCACAAGCAAGTTAGTTAGTTCCTAGATACATTGAGGGTACAGGCATTGGGTAAATAAACCCCTTCCAAATGGGAGAAATTGGCCAAAACAAAAGGGCTATAAGGCCCCATGCAAATTTGGAGTTCATTACAGCAGTCAAAGGAGACCATTTTGGAACTTAAAAGTCTCACATCCGGGGCACATTGATTCAAGAGGTGGTCTCCTGCAGCCTTGGGCAGCTCTGCCACTGTGGCTTTGCAGAATACAGCCCCATTCCTGGCTGCTTTCACAGGCTGGCATTGAGTGTCTGCAGCTTTTCCAGGTGAATGGTGCAAGCTGTTGGTGGAGCTACCATTCTGGTGTCTGGAGTATGGTGCCCCTCTTCTCACAGCTCCACTAGGCAGTGCCCCAGTGGGGACTCTGTGGGGGCTCCAACCCCACATTTCCCTTCTGCACTGCCCTAGCAGAAGTTCTCCATGAGGGCTCTGCTCCTGCAGCAAACTTTTTCTTGGACATTCAGCATTTCCATACATCCTCTGTAAATCTAGGCAGAGGCTCCCAAACCTCAGTTTTTGACGTCTGTGCACCCGCAGGCCCAACACCAAGTGTAAGCTGCCAAGCCTCAGGGCTTGCACCCTCTGAAACAATGCCCTGAGCTGTACATTGGCCCCTTGTAGCCACAGCTCAGATGCAGGGCACCACATCCTGAGACTGCGCAAAGCAGCAAGTTCCTGGGCCCTGCCCACAAAACTAGTTTTCTCTTCTAGACCTCTGGGCCTGTGATGGGAGGCGCTGCTGTGAAGGTCTCTAACATGACTGAGAGAAATCTGTCCCATTGTCTTAGTGATTAACATTTGGCTCCTCATTACTTATGCAAATTTCTGCGGCAGGCTGGAATTTCTCCCCAGAAAATGGGTTTTCCTTTTGCATTGCATCGTCAGGCTGCAAATTTTCCAAAGTTTTATGCTCTGTTTCCTCTTGAGTGCTTTACAGCTTAGACATTTATTCTGCCAGATACCCTAAATCATCTCTCTCAAGTTCAAAGTTGCACAGGTCTCTAGGGCAGGAGCAAAATGCTGCCAGTCTCTTTGCTAAAGCATAGCAAGTGTCATCTTTGCTCCATTTCCCAACAAGTTCCTCATCTCCATCTGAGACCACCTCAGCCTGGACTTCATTGTCCATATCACTATCAACATTTTGGTCAAAACAATTCAACAAGTCACTAGGAAGTTCCAAACTTTCGCACATCTTCTTCTCTTCTTCTGACCTCTCCAAACTGTTCCAACCTCTGTTACCCAGTTTCAAAGTTGCTTCCACATTTCAGGTATCTTTATAGCAGCACCCCCTCTACTGGTAGCAATTTACTGGTTTAGTCTATTCTCATACTGCTATGAAGAAATACCTGAGACTGGGTAATTTATAAAGGAAAGATGTTTAATTGACTCACAGTTCCACATGGCTGGGGAGGCCTCAGGAAACTTACAATCATGTAGGAACACATCTCTTCACAAGGTGGCAGGAGAGAGAATGAGTGCAAGCAGGGGAAATGGCAGAAACTTAAGAAACCATCAGATCTCATGAGACTCATTCATTATCACAGGAACTGCATGGGGAAAACTGCCCCCATGATTCAATCATCTTCACCTGGTCCTGCCTTTTACATATGGAGATTATGGGGATTACAATTCAAGGTGAGATTTGGATGGGGACACAGAGCCAAATCATATCAATTGGTATCTTCCTCAGCATATTCTTTCATTGTTTATTAAATATTTTCCTACAGGCCCTCCTAAGGACATGGTCAGAAAGTGGATTGCCTGTCCTTACATGTTATATGTACAATACCATGATGACGCCTGTAAGCCTTTCCTCCCCATTTCCACTGTTTCCTACATCAGATCTGGCATTTCTTTCTTACTTAATGACGGTGATCATTTTTAATAGTCATTCTAGGAGTTTGTTAGCATAATTTCCTTGAATTCTGGTCAAAGTATTACGTTCCAGGAAATTGCTCTCAAATTAATAAGGTCTCCCATATCCAATTTTGTTATTTTTCCCCTTTGATCTAACACCCTGAGCATATATCCTGCCTTCTCCTTCTGGTCCTGCAACTCTTTCTTGATATTATTTCTTTCCTCCTTTAGCAGGTCTGGCAATTAGTAACACTATTTGACTCAAGTTATGGATAAGTGGACAGGAGGTCAATGTGTGTAATATCCTGAGGAATCCTGAGGAAGCATATGTTGTCTTGCAGGACAGAGTCCTCTGGTCATCTTCAAGGAAAGTGGAGTGCTAGCTCTTTAATAAAAAGGAGCTGACCATTTCTGCAATCCAAGTGCATCAACCTAGACATGCTTATCCCATTGTCCAAGGTCTGTTTTTTTTTCATCAGGGAACTGAGCTTGGCATAGCATATTTTTCTGGCTTGGGAATTAATCTCTAGAGCTCTTCTCTTCTTATGACTAAGTTCTGTGCTCAGTTCTAAGCTCTCTTTGCTCTCTAGGTTCAGGAAATTAGTTTCCCAACAAGTTGGTTCTATAGCTTTTACCCTTAGTTTTTAATTATTAATTATTATCAGCTTTTAAAGTACCAATTTTCCCTAGAAACCACTGTTAAATTGTTTACATAAATTGTAATTCTCCTATATTTCATAATACCTGATATATCCTACTGGTTCATTTTCATCTACCAATACAATTTCTAGTTTGGCACATTCTAGCTTACCATTTACCATTACTACTGGTAAATGTTACCATTGGTAACAATTGCAATGCTACTTTATTCCAGGGGCCATGTATACTGACTGCATATGCTGCCAACAATAGGAATACTCACTGGGGATCATCCAACTCCAAAATCCCATTTAAGCGTCTGCTTCCTAGGACAATTCCAATACCAGTGTTATAGGTTAGGTTTCCTGGGAGGCAGACTATGAGATGCAGATTAGCATGTGCAATGTTTATTACCAAGTGCTCTCAGGATAAAAATCTGCTGTGGGAAGATTAAGAGGCATAGAATAGGAAAATTTTGGAGAAAAGTCTAAAACTGAGGTGGCTCTTCAGAGCAATTATTCTTTGGCAACAAGGCCAGCATATAATACTCCAGCACCCAGTTAAGACATGGGCTGCACGTTGGCTCTTTTTAGCTGGAGTATTTCTCAGTTAGATGGGAATGCTAAAAGCAACCATGGGTGGAGTAAGTGCTTTAACCCTGCAGGAGAGATTTGGATCACAGTATTTATGACAGCCTTGCAGGTCATTGGAAGGACTTTGCCTTTTACTCTCAATGAAAGGCAGTTTTAAGCAGAATAGTATGAAATGAAGAAGGAAGAGGGGAAGACAGAACAGAAGGTTGGGAACAGTTACATTTCAAGTGTTGCAGGAAGGTAGGAAATTCCATCAAAATCACCTAAGAAGAAACGAGCAAGAATGACATAATCATTTTTAAGACATAATTTCAATGGGGAAATAAATAACAGTGTCAATACACCCCAAAGGCAAGACTGGATTTCATAGCTTTGCTTGTTGTGGTCTTTTGGAAGAAGCTTGAGTATATCCATATGCTGAAAGCAATAAGCAACTAAAGAGTGAAAAGTTGAAAATGAAGAGAAAGAATAATGGCCTGATGCATGATGAGGATGAGATCCAAATTTGCTTTTAACAAAATTCTACAGTACTTGAAGAAATACAGAGAAAGAAAGGGAAGAAAACAGAGCAATAACATTAAAGGCAAAATTAAAGGGCATTGTGCTTGGTGTTCTCAATGAAAGACGAGCATTTGTGGTTAGAATAAAGAGCATTGCAATTCAAGAGTTCAGACATGGAATATTTCTGAGTGAGGAAACATTAGAGATGGAAGTTTAGAGATAATGTTGCAATAGCTGTTTGGAAAAATAAAAATGATGTCCCTTGTCTATCCAGACCAAAGTCAGCTTGTCAGCCAAAATGAGGCCTAGCCTTAGAGAGAGATAGGAGAATAAAGACAGAGTGGGGGTTTTATATACATTTTCCAAAAATCTAAGAGAAAACACTGTTAACATAAAAGTTATTTTTCCTCAAACATATAAATTTATGATTATCAGTATCAATATGTGAATTCAACCTATTATATTGCTGTTTTATGATATATTATTATAGATTTAGAAGGTACGATGCCAATTTGTCACATGCCTATAATTCTGGGCTTTCAGTGACCCAGAAAGTGACCATTGTACCCAATAGGTAGTTTTTCTTTTTTATTTAGTTTAATTTTATTTTACTTTTTGAGATGGAGTCTCGCTCTGTCACCCAGGTGGGAGTGAAGTGTCGTGATCTCAGCTCACTGCAACCTCCATCTCCTGGGTTCAAGTGATTTTTATGGCTGCATAGTATTCCATGGTGTATATGTACCACATTTTCTTTATATGATCTATCATTGATGGGCATCTGGGTTGGTTCCATGACTTTCCTATTGTAAATAGTGCTGCAGTCAACATACACATTCATGTGTCTTTGTAGTAGAATGATTTATACTCCTTTGGGTATATACCCAGTGATGAGATTGCTGGGTCAAATGGAATTTCTGGTTCTAGATCCTTGAGGAATCACCATACTGTCTTCCACAATGGTTGAACTAATTTATATTCCCACTGACAGTGTAAAAATTTTCCTATTTCTCCACAACCTCTCCAGCATACATTGTTTCTTGACTTTTTAATAATCGCCATTTTGACTGGTGTGAGATGCAAACCTGATTTCTGATGCAAAGGAATACTACTCAAAATGATTAAAATTATTGTGAAACATCTCACAGCAATTAGGTCAAGTAGAATAAGATTATGTAGCATTATTTTACCTGGTTTAGAAATGTAATACTCAGATGTCCAGCTCATGGAAAAATAATTTACGATTTAAAGTGTTTTTTAAAATGTTTCCTATCTTATATATTTAATAAGAAAATGGATCCATGTATTTTAGGAGATAATCCACATAGTTGGCAAATTTTGAACTCATCTGTGTTAATGTATACTAGCAGTGTCTTGAAATATGTGATATCCTGTAATTTTACATAGAGTTTTGTAAAATGGAGGGAAGATTGTCAACATTTGATATCTGTACCCTTATCTTTTTATGTATCTATGTCTACATATTTATCTATCTATATATATGCATATTAACATTTACTCCTATCCCTGTATCTATATCTATATACTAATATTGATCTATCTACCTATTATTTACCAACCTACCTGGTATTATAATTATATATGATCTCTTATATTCTGAAGTCTAAATCAGGTTCATTGCTTCGAAACACAGTTTCCAAACTTCTCTGTCCCCAGTTCTTTATAAATCTTACTCCAGAATCCTTTTCCCAACAAATAAATTTAAAATGATTATGATGAAATGAAAGAATAAATAAAGAATGGGCCTAGATACAGTTTGGCTCTGTGCCCCACCCAAATTCATATCAAATTGTAATCCCCACGTGTTGAAGGAGGGGCCTGGTGGGAGAGGATTGAATCATGGGGGAGTACTTCCCCCTTCCTGTTCTCATGATGTAATTCTCATGAGATCTGGTTGTTTAAAAGTGTGTAGCACCTCTCACTTTGCTCTCCTTCTCTTGCTGTCATGTGAAGATGTGCTTGCTTCCCTTTCACCTTCCACTATGATTGTAAGTTTCCTGTGGCCTCCCCAGCCATGCTTCCTGTACAGCCTGCAGAATTGTGAGTCAGTTAAACTTCTTTTCTTTATAAACTACCTAGTTTCAGGTATTTCTTTATAGCAATGTGAGAATGGACCGATACAAGTTCTTTTGCAAAATAAAATAGTTGTTTTAATGAAATTGACTAATTGTATTTTATTTAATGTAACCCAGCTGGAGTGCATTGGTGTGATCATAGCTTACTTCATCCTTGAACTCCAGGACTCAAACAATCATTCCACATCAGCCTGCTGAGTAGCTAGGACTGCAGGTGTGCACCACCACACTTGGCTTTTTTTACTTTAATTTTTTGGAGAGATGGGGTCTTGCTGTGCTGGTCTTGAACTCCTGGACAGACTGGTCTTGAACTCCTGGCCTCAAGCAAACCTCCTCCCTTGGTCTCCCAAACCATGCCTGACCCTGAAATTGATTAATTTTAAATGTTAAAGCTTTAAGTTTAAATGATAAGAAAACAAGTATAAGTTAATAATCCGTTAATTGCTAACATTAGTCAACAGTTTTGAATGATCTGATTGAATTTTGTCAGATTCACTTTTATTGAGCTTACTTACGTATTACTTTAAGTACACTGAATGCAGTAAATGGAAAAAATATAATTATGTTTGGCTTTGGATCCTATGTAGAGGCATTTCTAAGCAAATGTTTTAAAGGACCTTGCTTTGTGAATAGATCAAACAATACTATTGGGTGTGTGTATGTGTGTGTGTGCACATGAGAGAGAGAATTAAGAATTGTGTTTATCTTCTATATAGACAATGACGATAAGGGAAAAGATAGTTAATTGTTCAAGCCACTGTATAATTTGCAAAAAGAAAATTTACGAGCTCTAACATGTGTAAATCAAAGCCCTTTGTCTGTTTTCTGTATTTTGCCACTAGGAAAAAAGGAACAAGCTGGGATATTAAAAATATTTTTCTACACTGAATTGCAAATTAGTCTATGAATACACATTTAGTTGCAAGCAGAAAAAACAATAAATTTATTATATTGATAACTTCTTTCTTCTGTTTCCTTTTTACATACAGTATATCTAAGTTTTTATGGTTTTAAATCTTAATAATATTATGAAGCCGTGAGTTGAATTTTCTCCTTTGACTTTTGTTGCTAGATTAATATTACCATTGTTTCCCAGATTCTCCAGGCACAACTCACTTACTTGTTTTTTGTTATTATACTCTTCAAAAATAATTGCTTTATTTTAAAACGTATTATTTTAAGAGGACTCATTTGAACTTCTAACAAATAACTCACATTTGTTTATGTAATGATCTATATAATATTGCATTTTCCTTTAGCAATAAGTACTCCTGGGATTTACACTGGATTTTAGCAGTCATCTAAGGTAGTCTTCCTTGCTCACTATTCTGTCCACATGATCCAGTTCAGACTGTCCATGGTATTAAAACGCATATATATATATACAATCTAGGCATGGATAACTGGCTTGAAAAAAATACATACAACTAGTGGCTACTATCCCACTGGATTATTAAATCAATTTTATCCCATTAAAGGCATTTTTACAAACCTACATTATGTCTGGCACTGTGCTAAGTGCTAGGAATACAAATAAATCTATGTTCTAATTGCTCTTCCAAAGAGCTTATAGGTTAATATGGGAAACATAAATAATTACAATATATTTATAATATTTAGCAGAAGCCTTAAGGTATATAAGACTACATTAAAATCATGATACAAGCAGTTACCAGTTCTATATCTTTCACAATTATACATACAGTTCCTTGAATAGACTATATATATATAAAATGTGTGTGTGTGTGTGTGTGTGTATATATATGTGTGTGTGTATGTTTGTGCTACATTTATTGATGTAAGAGTTGTTGAGTATAAGGCTAAGGGAATGAGTGTGCAACTAAAGTAAGTCAGTCTAACACTTACTAAGTTTAACATTTACTAAATAAGTTTAACTCTTGCTACGTTTAACACTTACTAAGTTTAACAGACCCACCAATTAAGCAGTAATTGCCTGTGCTCGAAAAAATCAGGAAAGTCTTCATAGTAGAAGAGACAATTAAGTTCAGTTTCCCAAGACACAAAGGAGCTGGCCAAACTGATTTATATAGGACATGAACATTCCAAGCACAATGTAGAACCTGAGCAAAAGCTCAGAGGTAAGGAATGGAATAGGTCATTCAAGAACTGTGAATGTATTCACATGGCTGTGGGACAGTAGAAGAAGGAAGAGCTCAGGCTGAAAGGTTTGACGGAGAGGCCAACCACACATTTGATACTTTTAAGTGGTATCGGGACTTTCTGCTTCATTCTGTATGACAGATAAAATGGAACAATGTGGTGAATTTTCTTCTGTTTATCTTGTTTGTGGCCTCAGAATTTTTATCATGTAACTCCAAACAGTCACTAGCAATATTTTGGAGTAGTCATACTCCATGAGATGATCCCTAACTGGCATCTGTACTATATTAAATAATTACAGAATATTAATGAAATGATGATGCTGGCATTTTGGAAAGATTCCCTTGGGGCAGCATGGAGAATGAATTAAATGGGTGCAAATAATAGGTAATATTTCTCTTTATATATTAGATCTTGTCAGCCCAATATTTATCTGCTTAGTCAGAAAATGTCTTGAGCACTAAAAAGATATTTTTTTCAAGAATAGATTTAAGTAGCAGAGAGGATATAATTAGGTGCACTTGGCATTTACAACTGCTAAATTGCCAAAAGGTATATTTTAAATATCTTTAAATCAGATTTCTGTGTATTCCCCCGAAGATAACATTTACATTTTCAAACTGCAAGAATGGAGAATAAAAACAGTTCCAATCTCCCCGGTTTACCTTTATCTGCTGCTCTAACCAGTAACTGCCAGGTCATTCATGATAAATGCAGCCAAACTAGAGAGATATAGATATTTGTGTATCACAATAATCATAAATATCACCTTCTAAAAATCCAAATAACACCTAAGGAAAACACACCTTAAATCTCAAAAATCTTAGTGAAATAAACTCATACTCTTTCCTATCCCCAATAAGTTCTTATTTTTTCTTCTTAATTGGAATTCCCTCTGAACAGAATTTTAAATATCAGGATACCAGTGCTTCATTTCATTGTCACAAAGAAGAGTCAAGAATTCATACACAATGGGATGAGAAGGCTTGCAGGGAGAGTGGCAGCTAAGGGTCAGATAAAGTCTTATGTGTTGTTTAGAGTTTGTTATCTAATGTGTACCATTGCTGAATGAGAACATATGAATAAATTGTATGTAAGAGTTTGCCATGTGACCTACTACTTAAAAGCAGTTCATTTTAGCTCTAATGCTTTGAAGCTCAATTTTACACAGAGATAAAAATATTTTCAGTACAAGTATACTGCATTTAGGGTACAAGTATTTAATGCTATATCTACTCATATATGTACTCACACATAGTATATATCTTCATGAGAGGGTACATATATAACCATAAATTGTCAAATGACCACTATTGACTGGTGCCTTCTTTGGTCCACAAAAGTTTTCCTGACAATACTATAGAGTTAAGTTGATGGCAAACACAGAGTGAGAGGATTCCAACACAAGTGAATAGAATTTTGAGTCAATATTTAATGGCACATTGTTCAAGATATAATATCTTAGAGAGAGAATGTAAGCCCAAAGCTTCAGTTTTCACAGCTTTAAAACTACAATTATTGGCTGGGTGCAGTGGATCACACCTGTAATTCCAGCACTTTGAGAGGCTGAGGCAGGTGGATCACCTGAGGTCAGGAGTTCAAGACCAGCCTGGCCAACATGGTGAAACCCCCTCTCTACTAAAAATATATAAAAAATTAGCCAGGCATGGTGGCAGGCACCTATAATCACAGCTACTCAGGAGGCTGAGGCAGGAGAATCACTTGAACCCAGGAGGCGGAGGTTGCAGTAAGCCGAGATCACGCTACTGTACTCCAGACTGGGGGACAGAGTGAGACTCCATCTCAAATAAAACAAAATCAAACAAACAAACAAAGAAAACCCTACAATTATAGAGTTGTTATTCAATCAAAAAAGAAAATGTTAGTGATGGTACTTCCTAATATCTGTAGGCAGCTATGAATATTAGCAGTACTTTTGCCATCACCTGCAACAGATTTCAATTAAAAATCAATTAACTAAAAGTTTCTTGTTTGCAGTTCTACCATGCATTTAGATAATTCTTTCTGCTTGAATCACCCCTTAAATATTCTTGAATTAACCTTAGTGTTAGTGTCAGAAATATTTGCCATTTCAACTTTTCATGAACAATTGCAAAGATGCATGGTATATAGTAGGTATAAAATTAGAATTTTGCTGGAGCTCACATTTGAATTATGGACTTTTAGATTGGTACCTTCCATAACTATACTGAGTAAAATTAGTTACATTAAAAAAAAGCACATCTCTAAATTTTAATCTCAGTTTTCCTGAAATCAGAGCCTTAGACAATGGTGTTCATGCAGCTGGTATATTTTCGATGTGATCTCAAGCATCAGGTGTAAGGGACAAGATGGGAAATGTGGTGAAGTGAACTAAGGGAAGTGGGTTATACGAGGGAGGGAGTCAATAGAAAGGTGTGCTATAAAGTTATCTACCACCACATGCACGTGATACCTGATCCTGTGAGAACTTTGGAACAATCTTTAAAATGTCCTTTTAGATTTTCTACCCAGGGTAAAAAAAGGGGAAGCATTATACGTTGAATCTAGCTCCCATTGTTCAAGAGTAGCTTAGAGGAAACTCGCTCTGCAACAATTACAGGTTATGCATATGTGAGGAATGTGCATTTGTGAGTACAGAGATAATCTCTACTGGCATTTCATGTTGCAGCATCATGGAAACTGAGCAAAAAGCAAGCAGTACGCAGCATGGGTAAGGAGTGAGACTGTCAGGTTACACCTGCATGAAGTCAATAGGAGCCTTTGTGGAACTGGTCATCACAACAGTGAGTGACAATGTTTCAATGAACAGTTATTTCCTACTCCTGATCTGTTAAGAATATAAGGGTTACCTTGTGCAGTATGGCCATTTTCACGATATTGATTCTTCCTACCCATGAGCATGGACTGTTCTTCCATTTGTTGGTATCCTCTTTTATTTCCTTGAGCAGTGGTTTGTAGTTCTCCTTGAAGAGGTCCTTCACGTCCCTTGTAAGTTGGATTCCTAGGTATTTTATTCTCTTTGAAGCAATTGTGAATGGCAGTTCACTCATGATTTGGCTCTCTGTTTGTCTGTTATTGGTGTATAAGAATGCTTGTGATTTTTGTACATTGATTTTGTATCCTAAGACTTTGCTGAAGTTGCTTATCAGCTTAAGGAGATTTTGGGCTGAGACAACGGGGTTTTCTAGATATACACTCATGTCATCTGCAAACAGGGACAATTTGACTTCCTCTTTTCCTAATTGAATACCCTTTACTTCCTTCTCCTGCCTAATTGCTCTGGCCAGAACTTCCAACACTACGTTGAATAGGAGTGGTGAGAGAGGGCATCCCAGATTCAATGCCATCCCCATCAAGCTACCAATGACTTTCTTCACAGAATTGGAAAAAACTACTTTAAAGTTCATATGGAACCAAAAAAGAGCCCACATCGCCAAGTCAATCCTAAACCAAAACAACAAAGCTGGAGGCATCACACTATCTGACTTCAAACTATACTACAAGGCTACAGTAACCAAAACAGCATGGTACTGGTACCAAAACAGAGATATAGATCAATGGAACAGAACAGAGCCCTCAGAAATAACACTGCATATCTACAACTATCTGATCTTTGACAAACCTGAGAAAAACAAGCAATGGGGAAAGGATTCCCTATGTAATAAATGGTGCCGGGAAAACTGGCTAGCCATATGTAGAAAGCTGAAACTGGATCCCTTCCTTACACCTTATACAAAAATCAATTCAAGATGGATTAAAGACTTAAACATTAGACCTAAAACCATAAAAACCCTAGAAGAAAACCTAGGCAATACCATTCAGGACATAGGCATGGGCAAGGACTTCATGTCTAAAACACCAAAAGCAATGGCAACAAAAGCCAAAATTGACAAATGGGATCTAATTAAACTGAAGAGCTTCTGCACAGCAAAAGAAACTACCATCAGAGTGAACAGGCAACCTACAAAATGGGAGAAAATTTTCGCAACCTACTCATCTGACAAAGGGCTAATATCCAGAATCTACAATGAACTCAAACAAATTTACAAGAAAAAAACAAACAACCCCATCAAAAAGTGGGCAAAGGACTTGAACAGACACTTCTCAAAAGAAGACATTTATGCAGCCAAAAAACACATGAAAAAATGCTCACCATCACTGGCCATCAGAGAAATGCAAATCAAAACCACAATGAGATACCATCTCACACCAGTTAGAATGGCAATCATTAAAAAGTCAGGACATAAGAGATGCTGGAGAGGATGTGGAGAAATAGGAACAATTTTACACTGTCGGTGGGATTGTAAACTAGTTCAACCCTTGTGGAAGTCAGTGTGGCGATTCCTCAGGGATCTAGAACTAGAAATACCATTTGACCCAGCCATCCCATTACTGGGTATATACCCAAAGGATTATAAATCATGCTGCTATAAGGACACATGCACACGTATGTTTATTGCAGCACTATTCACAATAGCAAAGGCTTGGAACCAACCCAAATGTCCAACAATGATAGACTGGATTAAGAAAATGTGGCACATATACACCATGGAATACTATGCAGCCATAAAAAATGATGAGTTAGTGTCCTTTGTAGGGACATGGATGAAATTGGAAATCATCATTCTCAGTAAGCTATCGCAAGAACAAAAAACCAAACACGGCATATTCTCACTCATAGGTGGGAATTGAACAATGAGAACACGTGGACACAGGAAGGGGAACATCACACTCTGGGGACTGTTGTGGGGTGGGCAGAGGGGGGAAGGATAGCATTGGGAGATATACCTAATGCTAGATGACGAGTTAGTGGATGCAGCACACCAGCATGGCACATGTATACATATGTAACTAACCTGCACATTGTGCACATGTACCCTAAAACTTAAAGTATAATAATAATAAAAAAAAAGAAAAGAATCAACACCAAAAAAAATGAGGGTTTAATCTATATAACTCAATAATATAAAATAATTGTATATAATATATAATAAATATATAATGTATATATAGATAGAATAAATTCTCAGCTTAACAGATATGTCAAAAGTAGGATATAGATAGAAATAGATATACATATATAGAGATAGATACAAATAGATATATATAGTTATAAATAGATATATATCTATTTATATATACATATTAATATATATAGCAGCCTCTGCCTTGAATGGAGGATGAGTATAAATATGAACATTTATAAAATAAAGCTAAATTTAGGAAAAATGTTACATATATTAATAAGTGATTCTCTTTTGTAAATTAACAACATCAAATTTGTTGTGTGGCAAGTGAAGTTGAAACTTCATCATTTTATTGTCACCTCTTACCCGGGCATATTGTGATTTAAAATCCTGCAGCAACCAGTTATGTTTAGTATAAGAAAAATACAAGTAAAATTAAGCTGAAGGAGAACACAAATTAGCACATTTGCAATACAATCATTCTTTCTATGTTCAGTTATTAGCTTTGTAACCTCTACACAATACTTTTAAAGTTAGGCCTCAATAATAAGTTGAATATTTGTGTCACCTCCAAAATTTGGGTGTTGCCAACGTGATCCTATTAAGAGGTAGGGCCTCTAAAACTGGATTAGACCATAAAGGCTCCTTCCACATTAATGGGATTAGGGCCCTTATAAAGGAGGCATCATGAAGCTTTGGCTTGCCCTTCCATCTTCAGCCATGTAAGGATGCAGCAAGAAGATCTCACCCAACCAAATGTGGGCACCTTGATCCTGAACTTCCTAGCCTCCAGAAATATTAGAAAATAAATTTGTGTTTTTTATAAATCACCCAGTGTTGGGTATTTTGTTATAGCAGCACAAATGGACTAAGACAATCGATTTAATTTAATTGAAGTCATCTTAACAAATATTTACTAAATGATACCATTATGTTTTTAGCCCTCTAGGAAGGCTAAAAGAAGAATGACGTTAAAATGTTAAAGGGGAAGAATAAGGATATACATTTTAGACTTGATTTGTCATGCATCATTTTGTGACTTTAGGAAATTAATCTAAGTTGTGGAGGATTTGTTTTTCTCATTTTTAAATGGGTGTGATATAATGTTTGAATATTGTCCCTTCCAAATCTCATGTTGAAACTGAACACTCAATGTGGCAATATTAAGAGGTGAGGCCTCTAAGAGGTAATTGGATCATGAAGGCTCTCCCTCAGAATTATACTAATTAATTCTAGATTCATGGATTGATGGGTTTTCATGGAAGTATAACTGGTGGCTTCATAAGAAGAGCAAAAGAGAACTGAACTAACATGTGAGCATGCTCAGCCCCCTCACCATGTGATACCCTGCACCAACTCGGTACTCTTCAGAGAGTTCCCAACATCAAGAAGATTTTCACTATATGTGTCATCTTGACCTTGGGTTTTTCAGCCTTCATAACTAAAAGAAATAAATTCATTTTTCTTTAAATTTATCCAGCTTAAGATATTTTCTAATAAGCAAAAGAAAATGAACTAACATAATGAGGGATTCAATCAAATAGACTCCATTACTCCCTTTAATTATATAATTCTACAAATCTTCTTAACATAGAACCTCCTGCCAGTATGTCCCTTCTGTGCTCATCTCAATGTGGAACAAATCTAGTGTCATAGGAGGCATTTTCCTATATTCCATACTGCAGATACTTTTAGAACCCTTTTTCCAAGCATAGGCAACTGAATCTTTATAGGATTATAAGTGCCTATGTTGCAATAACTTTTACTAGCATACCCTTGCCTTTTCTATCTGACATTTTACTATCCAAAAAAATTCTGTTTGAATCAGAATCATAAATATGTTCAAAAACTTTCAGTCTTTCTTAAAAGCATATGTAAATGACACTGACTTTCTTGAGCTTATCATTATAAATGTTGACCATATAATAATGTTTTGTAGGTTTTCATTTTATATTCAGCCAAAGGCAATTAAAACTACTTGTTTATATCATTTATTTGAGTCAGTGAATTTTTTTATCATTTAAAAATGTTCCATTTAAATCATGGAAGTAAAACGTTATGCAGCTTCTTATTGCTTGCTGTCATTTTGAGAGACATAGTTTTATAAAATAGTGAATTAAGTTTAGAAATAGCATTAGCAATGCAGTTTTTCTGTGCCTGTATGACAGCTAGTAGGGAATTTACTTGTACTTAAAGATTGCTGTATGTGCTGTCAGGTTTATTGGTTAATTTTACCTGTTACCATTGCTTGAAACTTAACAATTATAATGTCATTCTATTAGAAATTCAGTCCTCGCAAAATTGCACACTTTTATATTTTTTCCATTTTTTTTCATACTTAAAGCTGAAATCTTGAAAAGGCTAGGCAAGTATGACACTGACAAAGAAGAAACAAGCAAAGAGTTGCCAGGGGATGATTAAACACATCCTACTTTCTCAGTGGTACAACACTGTGATCACAGCATTTTACGAATAACTTTCAAGACTCAACAAAACCATTGAGTGCTTCAGTACCCATATCATCACTGTTGTATTTCCTTTTGGCAGCTGTGATCATTATTAGCCCTGTTGTGATGACAATGATTCTCTGGATGCTCCTTTAGGCTCAGCTGTTCTTGGCTTATCCTTTTTCAGGACCAGGGAGAGCCAAACCAGAGCAGTGACCTGGGAGCAAGCCAGGGTGGAATTTTGCCTGGCCGTTTTGTGAAATGAATGCTTAATAACTACAATGTTTTAAAGGCATAGAAATAAGAGCATGTAAAATTTTTCAAACCTAATATTCACTTTTCTTGCAATTGGCTAATATTATGAAAGAGAATACACAGGTTCTTAGCATGTGAAATAAATGAAATGAACTCGGTCAAATCCAAATTCTGCTGTTGATTTTTGTTCCTTTATTCTCAGATTCAGTTTTCTCATCTAAAAGTGGAAATAAGAATACTTGGGTTTTCAAGACCATTGAATTGTGAAGATCTAACTTTGAATGAGGTATTGTAATGTGAACACAATTTGGTTTACAAACCACACACTTTTACAAATTTGTAAACTTGTCTTTCAATATTGACCAAATCTGTCTTAGATTATATGTATGCACACATTTAAAAAATAAATTACAATTTTCAAGTCACAGAGTAATTGCTTAGTGAGTTGAAAAATGTTTCTGTATGTTTGTCAACAGTTTGAAGCCTAAATATAAAGTACACCTAAACAGAATATCTAAAGTGAAACCAATGTGGTCTTTAATGTCAATTCACTGTGTGATTTTATACATTGAATCATACTTCACAGGCATGAAATTAAGTACCTGTCACTAACATATGTAACATAAATAACTCTGGAGCCAAATCCTTCAGCTCTAGGGGTTTTTTATTCCCCCATTCATTTAACAGTGGCCAATATTAAGTTTCCTTGAGAAAGCTTATTAATCGGAATCCCAATAGGGAGTACACTTATCTTCTTCATGTTCTATGCAAAATTTTGGAAACTGTCTGTGCTTCATAAATGTTAATTACAGGAACTGATGAACCAGTATAAGTCACATAAATGCAATTTTGATTCTTCATAGTGTTGGTTAGTGTACCTCTGTTGGAGCTAAATAGCTTTTCAAGAGGAATGATGGAATGCAAAGCATTAATAAAAGTGTTATAATTGATTGTGAAGTCTTTTGTTTCCTTTCTTATGTAGATGATTTTAAGGGTACACTTTTATATAAATATTTATAATCTTTGTCTATGCATTTATTAATTGTAAGATTTTTCTTTCATTAGCATGTTAGAGGATTAAATCTATAAGTTAACAAACTCACAGTTTTCCAAGAATGTATCGAAGTTATCAGCCTAATACTGTACTATAAAATGAATGTATGCATGCACATGTGTATGTGCATATATATATATATATATTCTCACACTTTTAAAATGTGGGAATACAAATATGAGTATTATTTGTGTACATCCTCTTTATCTGTATATGTGTACATTAGAGAACTGGAACATTTATATATTAGGAAGAAGGCGTTAGAATATCATATGTAACACCTATTTGTTTGGGCTTTAAAAGATAAGGAAAAACTATTATCAGATATTAGTCTCCTTAGATGTCTAGGATCTGGAAATACAAATCAATGGACTCTAAAGAAAGAAACATCTAGCAACACCTAGATTCCTATGAATGTAAGATTGGATTACCCTATTATATTCCTAACAGAATAGGGTGAATTCTCCAAGCTCCACTCTGCTTGCCAAGAGGCAAGCCTGAGACTGTTCTATCCAAAATAAGTACTATGTTGTGATTTAAAGTACATCCTTATTTTCCTCTTCACTGTCATATGCCATTTATCCAGGATGTCTTTGTCTGAAATATAACCTTGAGGAAATTGCACCCCTAGTCAGACAGTAGACTTTGTAGGCCAAGAAAAAAAGATTAGCTAATCAGAAAAGATTCTGATGTACAGGAATTACAGCTTTTGGCTCATATTCTTTTCACGTAAGTATTAGGATTTTACAAATGGAATACTAATGCAGAAATATTGTTTGCTATGAAGGATTTTATGACCATGTTAAGGTTATATTTATTAGTTTGCTCTGTTCAATCCAATGCAACTGTGCCAAACTTATATTCAGGTAATGTGGAGAGTGATATATAGACAGAGAACAAAAACACACAATTCTGATTTAAAATATAGGCAGGTAGACAGTATACATGTGTAAGCTAGTCTTATACAGTGTTAGGTGCTAAAATAGATGTTCAAAATGTGTCATTGTAGGGTTAGATACATAGCTATTGTAGTACCCTGATACTTTCTAAAATTTGACAATAAGTAAGAGGTTTTCCCAATTTTACCTTATAGTATCTTTGGGGTCCTCTGAGATTAAAGCCTTAGTTATGATTGAGGTGGAAGGAGGAACAAGCTAGCTGGCCTCCAAGCCCTGGAGCTATATCTATATATATACCCAACAACTCCATTTTCAATCTGTGCTTAATGAAAGGGTTCCACTACTAAACACGCTTGAAAACACCTGGTTTAGTTCTAAGCCACAATGATACTTAGAGGTCAACAAATTCATCTTTCAAAGTTGTAGCTGGCTATTACTTGGAACACTTTACTTTCTGACTGATGTATTTACGTGCAAGAAGTACACTTATAATGAACAAAACTGCCTACTATGTAGTCAGAAATGATGGTGATGTGTTAAAATTATACCTTTTCGCACACTTTCTTTAAGAAAAGTAAGCATTAGGGTGTTACAGCCTGAATGTTTCCTTTTAATGCATGATGACCTTGTCAAGATGTTGCAAAAAGGCAGCAGGTAAGTATATTGTGCATGGGTCACCAAGTTTAGGCTTGTCAAAAACATGATCTACTGCTGTGTCTACCTTCATTTCTCAGCAGGAGCCCGTCTGAAGTTGTAGTATAAGAAAATGCACCAAAAACATAGAAAAATATTAGACAAAGAAAAATTTCTATGCTGCCTTCCAGCTTAATTACTTCATATTAAGTGACATTGTAACATTTAAATGCAAATATTAGCTAGAGATGATTCTGAATTACAGCAAGAGATTTGAGCTTCCCTAATCAATCATCAGAAATTGATGAGATTTTTTTTTCTACTTTGGTTTTCTATGTGGCTTTTTTTCTTAGCATCAAACTATGCTAAATCATTCCTACATATATCACAAATTAGTGTCAATATGTGAATGCTTTTGCATTATCTTTCTTTCTAATGTTGTGTAAGCTAATTTTGTATTTAATAAAATAAATAAACTCCTTGCCTTAAATTCCTATTCTTAACTTTGGATAATACTTGCCCTGGCTATCTGGTAGAGTTATCAAGAACAAATCAGAATGTTATGTGGAAAAACGCAATAGTGGTTGCTGTGATGTGCTGCCCAGATGTTCCTTCAGTAACAAAAATGTCTTTTTTCTGCTACTTGCATTGTTGCCGCCAGACGGCCCTCAGATCTTAGCTTTGGAAATGATTGGGCTGAGAAAATTCCTCAGGTCTATGCTCCCACCACATTCGCAGGGAAATATGCATCAAATTATCAGTTGTTAAACTACGTAAAGGTCTGACACCGCTCTCTGACTTGGGAAAATTCCAGAAGCTCTTATGAAGTTTGTGTAGGAATTTGTTGAGACTATACTACAGCCCAACTTCTCCCTGCCCAATGCTGTTTGCTTGTTTGTTTGTTTGTTTGTTAGTTTTTCATTCACAGGTATTGAACCCAAGAATATTCCTTAATACACTTTGCACAGTAATCTCTATCACAGTTTGCTTCTCTGGAAACCCAACCTACAGAAGCAAATCCATTAAATTGTATGTTACTGTCATCAAGCTAAGAAGTATTTGTTCATGAACAGAGTTTGCTAGGCCAATTCTAAGAATGCATGTTCAAGTTGGAACTGCTATTGAAAGAATAACATGAATTTCCATATATTTATTGTATGATTAAGGAAATAAATTTAATCAAATTTGAAAAGGTTAAAATTCTTTATATTTCATATCTCATTATTATAACTCCCTTATCATCCTATAGTGCTGTGTTGAAGACCAAGATCAAAGAGATATAATATGATTAAGACCCCTGTAAAGTAGACAGAACCATTACATTTGAATAATTATTACATTATATAAGTATTATACTACTACTAATATTCCAGATACCTGGGGAAAATTTGCTCCCTTTATTCTATAATATATATGAATTATTTTTTTCTGGAAGAAAACTTGAAAGATTTTTATTATAATTTAGATGAGAAATGTTGAATTAATTGAATCAAGAGGGAATAAAATATGTCAGCATATTTTTGGAATAAAATATTTCCTGGTCATGATATTCAAAGAGTTTAAATTATCTTTTGAGTTTGCTTGTTATTTTTATGATGAAAATGTTTTTCAAGACTAAAGCTGGCCTTAATTATTATATTATTACTAAAGAAGATACTTTATATATATATTATATTCTTACATACGTTCTTTTTTTTTCTTTTTGAGATGCAGTCTCACTTTGTCACCCAGGCTGGAGTGCAATGGCATGATGTTGGCTCACTGCAACATCCGCCTCCTGGGTTCAAGTGAGTCTCCCGCCTCAGCCTCCCGAGAAGCTGGGAGTACAGGCCCCTGTTACCTCACCCAGCTAATTTTTGTGTTTTTAGTAGAGATGCTGTTTCACCATGTTGGCCAGGCTGGTCTTGAACTCGACCTCAGGTGATCCATCCACCTGGTCCTCCCAAAGTGCTGGGATTACAGGCGTGAGCAACTGCACCCAGCCTATATATGAAATCTAAACATAAATGTATGTATGTATGTATATTATGCTTGAAGAAAGAACTAGATTATTGTCAGCTAGAAGAATAATTCATAAATTATTCTTAATTCATAAATGTAAATCAGCTTTAGCCAGAAGAATAATTGTACAAATTCATAAATGTAAATCAGCTAATAGTTTTATTTTGGGAAATTTTTATGTACTGCTTTAAAATATCCATTGTAATGAAATGTGCATTAGCTAAGCTTCTATCATTCCTTTTATGAAGTGGAACCTGTGTATGTAACATGACATATATTTGAAATTAAGACACATTATCTTTCACATATCAGTTTGTTTTTAAATTGTGGTACAATACATATAACATCAAATTTACCATTTTAACCCATTTAAATTTACAGTTTAGTGGCGTTAAGTACATTCACATTGTTATGCAATAATCATCACTATCTATCTCTAGACTGTTTTTATCATCCCAAACTGAAACTGTATACCCATTACACAATACATCTCCTTCCTGCAGCCCCAGGAACCACTATTTTAGTTTCTGTCTTTATAAATTTGGCTAGTCTACTACTGCATATAACTGAAATCATATAATATTTGTTATTTGTCTCTGGGTTATTTCACCTAGCATGGTGTTATCAAAGTCTACCCATGCTATATTATGTATCAGAATTTCCTTCTTTTTAAGGCTGATTAGTATTTCATTGTATGTTTGCACCACATTTTGTTTATTCATTTGTCTGTCCATTGGACATTTGGATTGCTTTCACTTTTTGACTGTTGTGAATAATACTGGTATGAACATTTGTGCACAAATATCTGTTCAAGTTTTTGCTCCCTGATTTAAATTTTTTGGGTATATATCCAGAGGTAGAATTGTCAGATTATATGGTAATTAAAAAAATTTGAGGAACTACCGTGGATATATCATTTTACATTCCCGCTGGCAGTGCACAAAGATCCCAGTTCATTTCTCTACATTCTAACCCACTCATTATTTTGTTTATGTTGGTTGGTTTTTCCTTTCTTTTTTAACAGCCACCCTAATAGATGTGAAGTGTATCTCATTTGGGTGTGTGTATGATTTGCATTTCCCTAATGTTTAGTGATGTTGAACATCTTTTTATGTGCCTTTGGCTATTTGCATATTTTCTTTGAGAAATATCTACTCGAATTTTTCACTTTTAATTGGATTGTTTGGTTTTGTTGCTGTTGAGTTTTAAGAGTTCTTTATATATTTTTGATATCAATGCTTTATCAACTTTATCAGATATATGATTTGCAAATGTATTCTCCCATTCAGTGGATTGCCTTTTACTCCGTTGACTATCCTTCGATGTTTCAAAGTTTATAATTTTGATAAAGTCAATTTATCTGTTGATCAGTAGTTTTAAAGCTTTCCTTCAAAAATAAAACATTAAAGTGGGAAACAGAAGAGGAATTAGATGCTATTTACTTTGTGGCTAATTATTCCCTGCTATGTTAAAGTAGGTTCTCTCTCTTTCATTAGAACCTCCCTACACAGTGTCTACATGAAACTACTTTTATTATTATGAATTTTACAATGGATATTTTTATGTAAGAATGGCAACCATTGCTAACCTCCAACTGGGCAAACCTGAGGAAGAGTGTGCCACCTTCCAGATATATGCTTCTCCATTCACTGACACGCTAGCCTTGGGAATGGCTTAGGCCCTTTGAAACTCAATGGATTAACCTGAACAATGAGCCAATACATATGTCATAGGATTGTTATGAAAGTTAAATGGGATAACACATTTTGTTTTAAAAAATGATAGCACTTTGCTAAATAAATACTACCTAAGGTGATTTAATATCTAGAATACTATCATGAGTTATGTGGTTTTACTAATTCCAGACTTGAGATGAGAAAACAAAGGCCCAAATAATTAAATAACATGTTTAATATATCAAAACTAATAGATGACAGACAAAACTGGGGATATAACTCAAATCTGTTTGTTTCTAAAATATTCTGTTTTCACACAGTGGCAAAGTTATAACTGTTAAACTCAATATCCACCATAGACAAGGTTGTGTAACCATTCAGCAGATTCAGCTTGCCACTGCCTAGACAGAGCCAATTTATCAAGACAGGGGAATTGCAATAGAGAAAGAGTAATTCATGCACAGTGGGCTGTACAGGAGACCAGAGTTTTATTATTACTCAAATCAGTCTCCCCAGGCCTTAGGGGATCAGAGTTTTTAAGGAAAACTTGGTGGGTAGGGGGAAGCCAGTGAGCCAGGAGTGCTGATTGATTAGGTAGGAGATGAAATGATGGGAAGTTGAAGCTGTCCTCTTGTGCTGATTCCTTTCCTGGGTGGGAGCCACAAAATCAGATAAGCCTATTTATCAATCTGAGTGGTGCCAGCTGATCTGTCAAGTGCAGGGTCTGCAAAATATCTCAAGCACTGATCTAAGAAGCAGTTTAGGGAGGGTCAGAATCTTGTAGTTTCCAGCTTCATGGTTCCCAAACCATAATTTCTAATCTTGTGGCTAATTTGTTAGTCCTATAAAGGCAGTTTAGACCCTAGACAAGAAAGAGGTTTGTTTTGGGAAAGAGTTGTTATATTATTAGTTTTAAACAAAGTTTAAACTAAGTTTCTCCCAAAGTTAATTCAGCCTGTGCCCAGAAAGGAACAAAGACAATTAAAGGTTAGAACCAAGATGGAGTTGGTTAGGTTAGATCTCTTTCACTGTCTCAGTGATAATTTTGCAAAGTTGGTTCCAACCTCTCCTTTTGGGTTTTAAAACACCTTAATCTTAAGGTGTAGGCTGTGAATATGGGCTATGAATTGCTCTGGCTTCTTCCTGCTGACAAGGGGCATAGTGGGGTTAGCTGTTGATCCCAAGGTGAGAGGCATGGACCACTTTGCAACTGTCTGCATATACTCATGCAGTCCTGGCTGGGGTTCCAAGGCTTGCATGGCAAAGGCTTTAGTATTGTCATCTATAGTTTTAGTACTGCATTTAAGGGAAGAGCATACTATAAGGTAAATAATGACTACTAGAGTAAGGTGTGCAATTCCTAGTTTAAAAGTAAAGATTTGAAAACATTAGTTTGGGGACTTGTAGCTGGCAAATAATTTAGGATTGACTCCGAACTGCAGGAAAAAAATAAAACTCAAGAACAGCTAATAACCTATGTACTAGAGCTTTTCTTTTGAAGCTTACATTTTCTTTCTCCAATCCCCATTTTTATTAAAAACAACTTATAATAGAATTGATTTATTTACAAAATAAACTTTAGTCTTATTGTACTTGGCCTGATTATTTGCATAAAGAATAATTATTTTTCAAATCAGCTTTTAAAATTGGCTTTGATGGAACTCTGTTCCATAAGGAATCTCAGGTAAGACATTTTAGAGCTGAGCCCAGCCATAGGTTTGTACCCTCAAATACCTAGGAGTTGGATAAATTCCTCTTGAGGTCCCAAGATAACTTGGGGCTCTTGAGCCTGTTAGAAAGTTACATTCTTTACTTACAACAGGTCAGGAACCTTGAATAGGGACGGTGTAGACAAGGTATGAAGGCAGATTTCCCTAGGGGCTTTTGTTGGCTCAATAAGTCAACTTTGATTATTTAAAGAAAGCATGACATTCCAGTCAAAGCCTTGGTAAAACAACCAGTTTCTCCAACTGTGTCCTGTTACAAAAGAAAACAGATTCTTATTGCCCTTATGCAAATAATTATACTGCCATAAGTTGAGAATACTCAAAAATAGTTTTAAAATTCTGAAAAAATCAGGTAGAGGGAAACAAATATGCTCCAAATTTTGTTCAGATGAGTATATTTTACTCATTTGTTAAAAGTGGTAAATAGCTCAAAAGAAAAGTTTTCTTAGCTTTGGAAAACAAAAAAGGATCAGCATCGTTTTAAGCAAAAAGTCAAAAAAATTACTTCAGTCTTCTATTCGAAAGTTTTTCCTCTATTCTAATGTCACACTCTCCAGAGTTATTAATCAGAAACATTCATTTAACAGCACCTATTGGAGTTTGATAGCTAATTACAGAACTATCATTTAAAGAGGATCAAAAGAAGACAATTGTCCATGGATTACAAAAATATTAGAGCAGCCACAGATAAAGATACAATTGCCAAGTAAATTTGTTATCTCAGTGGTACACAATAATTTAACATAAAAGTTAAAATTATTACTGATAACATATACTAAGTCATAGAATTATAGGAGTTTCTCATAATTTTGGAACACTTATTAACAACATATTTATACAAATACAGTCCAAAGAAGGCCAAAACACCATTTCATATTTGACAATGCTTCCTGTATTATTTTTATACAAAATAAGCCAAACATGCCATTTTTGAACTTCAGGGGACCTAATACCTACAAGATTAGTTTATAAAGAGACATAATGCATAATTTGATTTTGGAAAGTTTGTCAAATATCAAATGTTTAAAACACTAGATATTACAAAATAGAATCCTAGGTCACCATCAGTCATTTATTTGGCCAGAATGATAACTCCAAAAAAAGAAAAACCTTTACATTGATAAAGGAGACTTAGCTTTTCAAACAACAAGACCCAGTGAAGATAGCATGAGGCCAAATGAATCTGTCTCTTCTCTCTCCTCCCCTTTTTTTTACTGCTATTTACACAAGAGGCAAACAAAACCCTTTCATTATCTTTTAATATTATATAAAAATATTTTTCAAAAGAGGGTATCAAATTTTATGTTTGTATGAGTGCATCTTTAATGCTAATGATAGTTCTTGAATAAAGTTTTATATATCTATCCAGTTTTAATTAATTTGACAATAAGGTAAGATTTTAATAAACTGTTTAGAACCCTTTATAATTTTCTGTCAAACAGCACATCAATTTTCTAAGAAAACGCTGTTACTTGCACAGATGAACCCAGACCAGATTCTGGCCCTGCATAGTGTGCATTTATTTTAATGTTCAACCTATGGAAAATAATTAAATAATCCCCTTTAAATCTTAGCCAACTTGTTCATATCCACAGACTTTACAAGACTAACCCTTTCTTTACAAGACTAACCCTTCATAAACCTCTTTCACCTTGCTTAAACCTTGTTTTGTCCTGGTACTCTTTTAGGTTAAGACAATCATTAAAACCCTCTGAACTACACAAAATTACATTCCCTTTAACACAAGACATATTTCCATGCCTTCCTATAATCTTTTACCAAAAACATGTTACACTTTCCTTACACACCTTGTATGTAAAACTGTTTCTCCAGTAGTCTCAATTATATGTCGCAATGTTAACTCTTAGCAAATTTTATTTTTGGTGAAAACCTGATAAGTAAGTGATTTTACTTATGTACTTCATGTGGAACCTAGGATATCAGACAGAAGTGCAGATAAAGTCTGACTCTCTTCAGCATAGCTATGGGGCCTGGCAAGCCTCACATATCCTCAGGCCTTATCCAGAATCTAATGCTCCAAAGTTGATAAATTGAACAATTTTTAAAAGTTAAAGAAGCAGTTTGTTACCTTAAAACATTTAGCAAATCTAATATCTCACCTTAATTTAGACAAAATGTCTAAATTTTGAAGATATATTTATTTTACCAACAATTTTTAAACTGTCTTTATTTTCAGAAAATTACTTAAGTCAGATGAACAAAATACATTAAAGTTTTTATTTTTTGGATAAAATATTTGATTTAAGCACTTATTTTTCTGAGCCAATGAATCAGAACTCTTTTTATATAAACATTACACACACAATACATGTAAAGACAGACAGAAGATTCAGCACTTGTAAGCCTTTCATTTGCCTGTTTCTGAACTGAATTACTGGCTTCAGGGTGGAGCCTTTGGAAGAGTAAGGCCAGGAAAGCATCCAGTTTCTGGGGCCTAATAAGGAGGCACAGCTGGAAGGCCAAAACTGATCCCCCAAATTAAGGGTGCCATTTTATACTGGATCCTGGATCCCCAAAAGGAGGGAAATATTATGGGAGAAGACAGTACAGTGCTTCCACTAGGCACTTTATTGCAAGGCTATCCAAAGCCAATCAGCCCATATTATAATCACCTATCCCCCATGGGAGTCTCATCTTCCCTCAGTGGTGGTTGGGGATGTTTCTGTATCTTCCATGTGGCCAACAGCATGCTTCTCTGATTCAAGCATACAAAGAGCTAAGTATCTCTTCATAACTGACATTAGCCATTTCTTGAAGTATATATTTTTACCTAGATATTATACAACAAGGCTAAAAGCTCTCCCTTAATGCAAAGTAATTTTTGATACCCCCAAAATTCAAAACCATCAGATAACACAATGCAAAGCAGAACAGAGCCTTAGATTTTGAGAGGGATCTATTTCAATTGCTGTTTCAATTTCCAGGCTTCAGTGAGGAAAACCAAGTTTTTTCCCACAATGGAGTCTGTGGTTCCTCTGTTCTTCCCAAGGAGTCCCAGACTGTTAGAATTTATCTTAAGTTTTCTCTTGTGGGCATCAAGAATGTCAAGAAGACAAAATGGAGAAGAATAATTGAATCTACTGTGAAGAAACAAAATTTTTCAGAAAAATACAAATCATGAAGAGGGAAAAGTTAGAGCCTCTTAAATACATATAGCTTGGATATCCATTCTTAATTAAGCTGATTTAAACCACAGAGCTCTTTTTTCTAAAAAAAAAAAAAAAAGTTATTTTAAATATCTTATTACCAGACTTTTGCCAGCACAGTCAATATTGCTGGCTTTTGAATTCTACCACAGGTAACTTCCCACATGAAATTAATAAGTTTTAACTAAGGTTATAACTTAACCATGGATGCATAAGGTATCTCAAAGAGATGGTAAGCAAGTTCTTTCTTCCTTTTTAAGATTTAGAATATCTACAAGGGTAATTTAGGAAAGGAAAATCCCAAGACAGAAAATCAGAAGGTATCCATCGGGGGAAAAAACCTCAATAAATGTCAAAGTTACACATATAACAAACCAGAAATGAATGATTCTGAAGGCCAATAATTGAACCTGGGCCATCATTTTCAAAAGATACAGCCTTCGCTACTAAACTACACAACATTGAGCAGTTTCTGTTCCTTTTCCCGGAAGAAGCCTAGAGCAGCCAATTTCAAGCTTGCAAAGGCTTTTCACAGTTCAAGATAATTTAACTGTGACATGAACCCCCAAATTCCTATCCTCTGGATGGTGAAAACCAAGAGAAAGTATCCCCACATGGTCACAAGGTTAAGCTCATAAAGACACAAAGCAAGACAGAGAAACTTCATCTGATATTGGTTTCAGGGACACACAGCAAAGTTTGTAACTGATCACCCTGCTGGGCCGGCTTGAAAAACAGGCTTATATAGGGATCTTAAACCCACATTCCATCCTGTGATACTCCTCTCTCCATTACAGAAAAATAAAGAAAGACAAATTCTTAGCACAAAGTACACCAGATTTCCTATAGCCTCAAAGACTAGTCTCATGAATCCTTTTTTCTACTAATCAAACCCTTGCAGAGGAGACAAAAAGTGACATTTACCATTTACACACACACACACACACACACACACACACACACACAGAAAAAGGGGGAGAGAGAGAGAGAGAAAGAGAGAGACAGCAGAAACTTGGCTGGTAAGAATTTCTTACCCTATTTGCCAGCATACCAGGTTTCCAGGTTCCCTTCCTCTCCAGCTTCTGGAATAATGGAGTAGCTTTTGATGACCCTGTTCACTGTGCCATAGCTGTGGGGTTCAAGCCACTTTACAATGAAAATCACTCTTTTCTGTTTTATGGAAACATAGACAAAATATTTTCAATTTTTTAGCCCAATGGGCTGCATGGAGAACCAAATTAACATTTTCCATCCCAGTCAAAACACAATACACATAACAAAATAGATACTAGTCACCGTATTCACCCCTCAATATCAACCAAGCAAAGCTCAAAGTTTACTGATCCCTCTTTTCTTTGATCCACTCCAGGTCGGGAGGGATGATCTCCAGATGACAATTCACAGTGGGGTCTCTGGGCAAGATGAAGAGCAGATACTCACCCCAGGCAGGTCTGTTGAGTTATCTTCAGGGCTCATCGAATGTGAACAGACACGTAAAGAGGGTTCTCTGAGTTAGGGCTGCTGGACTTCCATTAGCAATTTCTTCAGGGATCCCCTCCACATATACGAACACACACAAAGACAAGATGGACAGAAGGATTTCCAACCCAGATCCTTAACCAAGAATTCCAAGAATATCCCTTCCAAACTATGCTCCTATTCTCCACCTGAGATATCTCCCCTACATCTTCCTGATTGAGAGTCGTCCTGAACCAAGACTCTTCCTACTGGTTAGGGAGAACCAACTGAGACCCGCAAGGAGCTGAACTGAAACAGGCACCCCTCCATGGGGCTACAGACAAACCTTCAATGGAGCTACAGACAAACAGAACCCTAAAAGGAGCCGAACAGAGACACCCCGTGGTAGAGTTACAAACAGACACACCACAGTGGGGCTACTGACATACCCCACTGTGGGGCTACAGAACCAGTCTGGAGAAGGAAGCAGGTGTTGGCAATGCCTAGGATACTCACCACTCCAGACAACCTGCAGTGGGGCTACAGACAGATACTCCATCATGGGGCTACAGAAAGACACCCTGTGATAGGGCTACAGTAAAGGGATGTCTCCTCAGGACTATTTCTCTATTGCAATTAAATCCATGCACATTGAGTTGGTAGCACCCCACCAGTAGAGAGTACCAGAGTCAGCTGCCGGTCTAAGAGAACTAGGCAGGTGCTTGGGCTGGTCTCTGGAACCATCGCTGGAGGGGATCTACTGAACCATGGGCAGGTAGCTTCAAGGGCAATCCCAGATGAGCACCCAACTTTGTAACCACCCAGTGGGTTCACCTTGCCCACTACCTAGACAGAGCCAATTTATCAAGACAGGGGAATTACAGTAGAGAAAAAGTAATTCACATAGAGCCTCTGTGCTGGAGACAGGAATTTTATTATTACTCAAATCAGTCTCCCCCAGCATTTGAGAATCAGAGGTTTTAAGGACAAGTTGGTGCGTGGGGGGAAGCCAGTGAGACAGGAGATGAAATCATGGGAAGTAGAAGTTGTCCTCTTGTGCTGAGTCCATTCCTGGGTGGGGGCCACAAGATCAGATGAGCCAGTTTATCCATCTGGGTGGTGACAGCTGATCCAACAGCTGATACAAAAGTGCTGGGTCTACAAATATCTCAAGCACTGATCTAAGGAGCAGTCTAGGGAGGGTCAGAATCTTGTAGCTTCCAGCTGCATGACTCCTAAACCATATTGTCTAATCTTGTGGCTAATTTGTTAGTCCTACAAAGGTAGTCTAGTCCCCAGGAAAGAAGGAGGTTTGTTTTGGGAAAGGGCTACTATTACATTTGTTTCAAACCATACACTATAAACTCTATAAACTGAGATCCTCCTAAAGTTAGTCCAGCCTATGCCCAGGAAGGAACAAGGACAGCTTAAAGTTTAGAACAAAGACAGAGTCAGTTAGATTAGATCTCTTTCACTGTCTCAGTCATAATTTTGCAAAGGCTCTTTCAGCTGGTCAAGTTTTCTGGAGTGACAGAGGAACAGCAGCACAACTAGGGACAAAATCAGTGGGAAGCAATACTTTAGAGATGGCATATCAGAAAAACTTGAATTAAGAGAATAGATATTTAATTTTATGTTGTCTTTTATGTCCCCAAAGTCTTTTTCCAGCAAAGCTCCTTTTGAGTTTCTAAAAGTTCCTTTCATTTTTTACCTATCTGTGTCCTCCTGTATTTATTAAAATGACAGTTTTCTTCAAATACTGGGTGGAGACAGCTGATAAGTTGATAAAATGTAAACACACACACACACACACACACACATGCACGCACACACACACAGAGATTTTTAACCTCCTTTATTTATACCCATCAATACTCATGAATTGACTGCTTGAAGTGGGGTCACTGGACTCTCACCATTTGGAAGGGCAACCAAATAATCATAAAATCTCAGAACTGTAAGAAAATACATATCTTATTAAGCCTCCATCATCAACTATATTTAATTCATGCCTTATTGCCACACTTCCATATATACTAATAGTCTGTTACATTTGGACTTGATAAGTTGTCATTAACTAACACCATTGGTATTTAGATAATGTCAGGCATAGTTTCCCTATCTTTGAAATAATTTCATGGTTATGAGCCTAAAGGCTTTTTTTGACTGATGGGAGGAAATATTTAGGATGATAATAGAACATAGATAATGATACTTTTGTAGCATAAAGTACCAGAAATGACCTCCAAATCATTGTCTTGCACAGGAATTTTACTGTGAAATTGCCTCAATTAATTAAATTAGATCATACAATGTAACTAATTACAGCAATGTAGCTATTCATGAATTGATTACCTTTAGGAAATATTGAAACAAAGACAGCTAATTCAATTCTTAAAAAATCATCTTATATTTGAATTTTCCTATATCATACTGAAATTATTTAAGAACGAACAGGAAGTTTAGCTTGCTTTTATCTATTACTCAAAACAAAATAAAAATATATAATTTTGGAAGAATAACAAGTTCCACCTTACAAGCAACAGCAAAAAAATGCATTAAAACTCAATGAAACTCCAAGCAGGATCATGTGTTGGTTACTTTTATGTGTCATTTTGAATGGCCACAGGGTGCCCAGATTTAACACTATTTCGGGTGTGTCTGTGAGGGTGTTCTTGGAAGAGATTAGCATTTGAATGGGTGGATTCAGTACGTAGACTTGACTCCTCAATGTGTGAAACTGGGCATCATCCAATCCATTGAGAGATTAAATAGAACAAAAGGTGGAGGATGGAGGAATTCTCTACTTTTGCTTCCTGCCTGCGTACTTGAATTGGGACATCTCCTCTCATCTTCTCTGGCTATCCAGGTTCTCAGACCTTTGTCCTTGGACTTAATCATACTGTCAGCTTTCCTGGGTTGCTGGTTTGCACACAGCAGATTTGGGGACTCCTCAGTCTCCATAATCACATGAGGCAATTTCTCATACACATATGTATATATGTGTGTGTGTGTGTATATATATATCTCCTACTGATTTTGTGATAGATAGATAGATAGATAGAGATAGTAACATTTGTGTGGAAAAACTTTAACTAATACAACAATAAGACAAGATTAAAACCCTTCTCAGCTGATGATCAAGGGACTGAAAACAGGCAGATGATTGGGATACAGAAATCATTATGGTTGAGGGAGAGAAGATAAGGGAATAAGAGGGAAAGGAGAAACATCAAAAAGGAGCAGGGAGGTGGTAACAAGTGGAAGTACAGGGGGTGTTACAATAGTATCAAAAAGAAGTAAAATATTTAGACATGAATTTAACCAAGAAGGTTATGTAACAAAGCAGATTAGCAGCTTAAACTGCTAAGCCTTAAACTGCATTCTTAAAATTTTCTTTTTCCTTTCCTCCTTTCTTCCCAGTTTCAAGATGTAGCTCTGAGATAAATTACACATGTGTTTTACAGCCTTGGATTGTTTTCTTTCCTCCACTCCCTTCCCTTTCCCACTTTATTCTCCTCATGCACATTTATCTACCTAGGTGTTTGTAAAGCACACACCATGCTCATGTACCTGGCCATATATTTTCTTAGAAGCTTCAGGGGTCAGATACTGTTATGGACCAGACACCTCCAGAATTTTTTCTACAACAAAAGGTTACTTCAAGGTGGGAACCCACTCCTGGCTACAGATTTACTGCAAGATTGACTGTGATTAATTTGTAACTTGATGGGGCCCACAATGGCATCGGCCCCTTCACTAGATGGAAAAATATTTCAAGATGAACCACTGGAGCAAGTCACCCTGCCTGGCACCTACTACCCACCTCCACAACCTCTTCTGCATTTCAAACTCTCCATTTAAAAACCCCTGTCTTTCCTCCACCAACTGAAGAGAGAAAATTTTTTCTACCCACTCTGACCCTTGCTAGTGTGGATAATAAAGTCTCCTCTTTTTATCATATCTCATTATTATTTTAGCTCCTTTTACAAGCAGCGAGCAGCTGGACCATTTTCCCAGTCACAGTGTAGGATCTGTCCTCTATAAACTATGGAATAATTGATGAAAGAAATTGAACAAATACACACCAAATAATTGGAAAGATACCCACGTTCATGGATTGGAAGAATATCCATACTACCTAAAGCAATCTACAGGTAGAGATTCACTGCAATCTTTACCAAAACTCCAATGACAATTTTTTCACAGAAAAAAAAAAAAAAAATCCTAAAATTCTTGTGGGACCACAAAAGATCCTGAATAGCCAAAGCAATCTTGAGCAAAAAAAAAAAAAAGCAAAGCCAGAGGCATGACACTACCTGATTTTAAAATCTACCACAAATTTATAGTAACCAAAACAGCATGGTCATGACATTAAAAACAGATACATAGAGCAATGACACAGAATAGGGATCCCAGAAATATATACATGCATTTACAGTCAAGTGATTTTCAACAAAGATATCAAAAACACAACAGGGTAAGGAAAGTCTCTTTAATAAATGATGTTGGGAAACTGGATATTGTATGCAGAAAAATGAAATTGGACCCTTATTTTGCATTAAACACAGGAATCAACTCAAAATTAATTAAAAAATTAAACATAAAACCTGAAACTGTAAAACTACTAGAGGAATGCATGATAAAAGCTTTGTAACATTGATCTGGGCAAATATATTTTTGGATACGACCCCAGAAGCACAAGCAACAAAAACAAAAACAGACAAACAGGATTATATCAAGCTAAAAAACTTCCTACACAGCAAAGGAAACAGCTAACAATCAACAGTCAATAGATTAAAGAGACAACCTACAGAATAGATGAAAACACTTGCCAAGAATACATCTAGTAAGTAGTTAATATCTGACATATATAAGAAATGCAAACAATTCAATAGGAAGGAAACAAATAACATGATTTTAAAATAGACAAAGGACTGAATAGACATTTCTCAAAAGGAGACACACAAATGACCAACAACCTTATGAAAAACATGCTTAACTTGACTAATCATCTGGGAAATGCAAATTACATCACAATGAGACATCACCTCATAACACCTCATAACCGTGAGAACGGCTACCATCAAAAAGACAAAAGATAGCAAGTGTCGGGAAAGATGTGGAAAAAGGTAACACTTGTTCACTGTTGGTGGGAATGTAAGTTAGTATAGATTTTATGGAATATAGTACAGAAGTTCCTCAAAATATTTAAAAAAATGGAACTACCATATGATCCAGCAATCTCACTTTTGGTTGTATACACAAGAGAAATGAAATCAGAATCTGAAAGAGACATCTGTACTCTCTTGTCCATCACAGCATGGTCCTTAAGCGCCAAGATAAGGAATCCACCTAAGTGTCTATCACTGGATAAATGGATAAATAAAATTATATATATATATACACACACACACACACACACACACACAATATGCATACACATTGTAATATGTTCAGCCTTAAACAAGAAAAAAAAATCCTCCCATTTTTAAAAACATAAATGAATCTGAAGGATATTATGCCAATTAAAATTAAGCCAGCCACAGAAAGACAAATAGTGCATGATCTCACTTATATGTATAATCTAAAAAGGTTGAGCTCCTAGAATTAGAGAGTTGAGTGGGGCTTCCCAGGGCATGAGACTGAGAAGGATGAGGAGATGTTGTTCAAAGAGTACAAAGTTTGAGCTATGCAAAATGAATAATTTCTAATTATTATACAGCATGGCAACTGTAATTAATAATAATGTATCATATACCTGAAAATTACTAAGAGATTAGATCTTAATTTTTCTCACTACAAAACAACAATGATAACTATGTGAGGGGATATATATGCTAATTCACTTTATATGATCACTTTACAATGTATACATATACCAAAATATCACCTTGTACACTGCCAATATCCTCAGATACTGTCAATATATACAATTTCACCTGTCCATTATATTTTAATAAAGCTGAAGTGGGGAGAAAAAAAAGTAAGATCAAGAAAACAAAGGATGGGGGAAAATAATATAAGTTGTAGTAGAAGAAGGGAATAAGAGGAAAAGATGGAGAGAAGAAACATTTAAATACAGCATGTGAGAACAGAGGAAGAAAAGAGGAAAATTAATATAAGAGAAAGATAAAATAAAAATGCAACCTGAAGAGAAAGGTGAAATGGAAATAAAAATAAAAGAGAAAGCTAGGATCCAAATTCAGTAGATGAAGAGAAGCCTATGCTGATGTATCTTGGAAAGCTTCTTAAAAAAAAATAAACCTTATATTCTTCTAGCCTGAAATTATTATGAAGATTGTAGACATTATAATAAATCAATATGACAAGTTTGATCAGCCTTGACTTCCTGTGATAAGTGCCCACCTCTATGAATGTGTCCTAAGTGGGTTATAGTAAACATACAGAAGAATGTTACCATTGTTTTCTACAGCCTTCAATTCACAAACCTAAAATGACTGAACATTTGAACCTCACTATGTCATTCTTTAAACGACAGAGGAAGCAAGTAAGATTATAAATGGAATAGGCTGTTACTGAAGAACAGTATCCTCACCCTTAAGTGACTAACTCTTCTACAGAAGAGGGTACCATTGAGTTTTCTGGAAGCTGTCACTTAAATGATGCCCTCAGCATGCTACTTTACATCTAATTAATATGCACTTTACCCTCTGAAAAACTTACTTGCCTTGTTCAGCATTTGCCAGAGTGACATTTCTTTTTAACAGTGAAATCTTACCCACATAATCAAATGTCCTCTTCAGGGTCATGCTACATAGATGAGCATGGCATGTCCCTTCCAAGGTTTTAGAATTAATTTGTATTAATTTGGCTCATGACACATACCAACTATTTAGTCTTAATTACAGGAAATGGATCATCTAATTCAACTGGACAGGTTTCAATGATGGCTTTAAAATTCTTTCTTTCTATCATATCCATATGCCCAAATGTCACAGATTTTATCAAATAAACCCTAGAAACAGTGTTTTTTCTCCTGCATTCAGGGTTTGAATACCATCCATTGCTTTCTGGCTGCTTTTAAATGAGACTTACTTCTGATCTGCAAAATCTCAGACAGGCCATCTGCTTCTGTTAGAGGGCACAATCTTTCAAGTTTATTCTATTGCTTCCTGAATACAACAGCAGTGAAAATCTCCCTAAACGGTTAATGTAGGGAATGGTGATTTTAGTGTTTAAAAATGTATCCTAGTTAGAAGACTGAGTTAAAACTCTTTAAAATATTTTTTTAAAAATTAATGGTCTCGAATTGTGGAATTAAGAATTGAAGATTGCTTTTTTTCTTTCCATCAGTTTTTCACAGAAGTGATTGTCTTTAAAAGGTGTTGTGTTTAGATCTGATTAAGCTATATGTCCTATTAAATAAATTGGCCCTATATGTTATATATTTGGTCATAAAAGGATGCCTGTTATACATTAATCAAAGATTTGTCAGCAACATAACTAAAAATGACAGTTGCAGAGAAAAATATTATTACACTGTTAACTTCTTGAATATTCTCTAATTAGATTTAGTGAGAAAATATTTATTTACATTATTTGCAAGAATGAATTGAATTTCAAGTTGACTTTTTACCCATTCCTTGACCTCATTATTACCCTTTCATTCTTTATCTCTCTGTCTTTAAAATGTAAATGTAAACTGTGTTTATGGAATATACAAATTGAATATTACATTATTTTTATTTCTATCATATGTATGTTAAATTATATGTCAATAGATATCAATGTATGTATCATTCAAATTATAGTAAAATTTGCTAAACATACTCTTCATCAAATTTCTAAGAAGACTTGTTTATTTGGGTTTTGGAGGAAATTTATAGACAGGAATTTCTATCAAATTATTTCCACCACTTTTAAAAATAGTTTTGCCATATGGAGGTGAATTTCACAACTCTTATGTTTTTAGAAGAAGCATTGTTATACTGAAGTGTAATAATTCCTCTCTTTGTTCTTACCCTGGACTTGGACCTCCTTCAGGGAATGAGTAGTGTTTTGGCCATTTCTGTTCAATCATCACCTAGCCCAGAACCCAACATGTATTAGGACTTACTACACACCTACTAATAAGTGTTAAATAAACAGAAACCACTATTGTCATCCTGTGTCTAAGTGGACACAGACACAATTGAATGGTGCACTTGGGATAAATATAATTTAATTTTGAACTCTAAATACATTGAGAATAAAACAAAGGAGGGCTTCTTAAACTTTCATGTGCATTGGAATTATCTGTGTGATCTGCTCATTCTGATTCAGGAGGAATAAAGAATAGCCCAGGAATTTTTATTTCTAACGAAGTTCAAGGTAATACAGCAGCTGCTCGGAGAATCATACTTGGTGTAGCAAGTCACCAAACTATACATGTAATTATATTTAAAACTATATTTACTTAGCTGAAACATTCATTTCCTCTATAAAGAATCTGAGCCACTATATACTTTAAATATTTATTTTTTTCAAGGTTCTTAAGTTCTAAATAACTTTATTAACAAAACTCTCATATGTAATCAAGTACCATATACCATGTAAATACGAATGAAGGAGGGTATGACTGGATTTGAAGTTAACACTCAATTCCAGCAAGCTTCATTTCGGATTGCTATTATATTTGCTATATTTATGGTGTTACAAGATAGAGCTGCCCATTTTTTCAAGATGGTTAGAAACTGAGCCAGCTTCTCCACAGTCAAAAATGATACACCAGATCTTATCCGAGAATAAGTTAATGAATCCCATTAAGATAATTTAGTGAAGGTTAGGGTGACTACTTGTGTGGTTATTCCAAACAAAGTAATAGGATAGAAAATGTAAACGGTTTGTTTTTTGCTGAGATTATATTTTAGCTTGTCTTTGAAATGTGAACAGCTATTTAGAGCATAATCAATTTGCTTCAGAGACACCTATTCAGATTAATCACCATAAACTCCACATTTGAATACTTTTCCATTTAATAAGGCCATGATATAATCACCTGCTTATCTTATGACCAGATATGTAAACAAATGGGAAAAATTGAAATACAGTGACATTTATTTTGATTAAATAAAATAGTGTAAATTAGTACTAAGAACATTTATACGATCAAAATTTATCATTTAATATAGAAAAACTGGTTTTACTTCTTTCAGTATAGGGACAGAAATGTATAAGAAAAGCCTTCTTCTTATCTTTAGTCAAAGGGAACTTCACACAGTATGCAAGACATCTGCAGTTTATTCAATTACCTTACCTTTCTGTAATGGTAGGATAATTCTCTATAACGTATTTCTAGAATTTCTTACATGTTCTATTTTTCCATTCATAACTGAATACAAAAGACAAGTTAGGCCCAATAAGCATCTCATTAAGGCATAACACTCAGTACTTTGAACATGCCTATTGATTTCTATAACCTTAATTGCTGTATTACAAATACAAACTTTTTCAACATATATTTTTATAAGATAAAAGGAGCAAAATATAATATTCAAGTGCTTATACAAAAACATATGCTTATGCCAATGGAAAAACAACACTGATAAAAATTGAAATATTGTTTGGCAGACAGCACAGGGAATGACTGAGCCCTGATACATGAAACTCACATTGAGCACAGGAAGGTGAGTTAAGAGGCATTCCATTTACATGGAATGACTGAGAACTAATTGATACATTAAATTCACCTTGAGCATAGGAAGGTGAGTTAAGAGGTATCTGGTGTATCATTTTTGTTGAAAACTTGCTCGTTATACTACCTTCTTATTTTTGTTTTATGAAAATGGAGTATATGAAATGTGGGAATCATATCTAAGTATCTATGAAAACAAAAGCCTAAATACATTCTCTAGAAAATTACACAAATATTGATATTTGATTTTGAAGGGGCTATAAGTGAGGTTCTTTTTTTCCAATAGTTCATCAACGACCTATTTCATGCTTCCTCTAAAATAGAGTAGTGCCTCGTGATACATCACACTAGCCATTAAAACTATGCCATTTAATGAGAGTGACATCAAAATTTGTTTGTTTTAAATGAGCCATAATTGATAAGTTGGACTGGACTACAAATTTTTTAAAAACAGTTTTTTACCACTAAGATTAAGAAAATAAATTCTGCTTTATGTCCATTAATGTTTACATTATTGTATGTCTGTAGTCCAATGCATCAGAATTATTAGGATTCTTTTCACATTATCAAAACCAAATATAATGCAATAAAAATGGGAAAAGCTTTTTTTTTTTTCAAAATAATACAAAACCATAAAAAATGTTAGCTCTCCAGATGAAGTTAGTGGCAACACTGATTGGGTATCGATTTGTTTTGCCCTAAATTGGTGAAGGGGGTTTGAAATGAGGGAGAATTTGAATAACAAATTATTAACAGATTTTATTAATATATTTTGCTTCTAAAAGCAGGCAAGTTCTTAGTAAATCATGTTCAGAGAAAGCTATTTGTTGAGGGTGTGTACGTGTGTGTATGTGTGTGTTAACACTTAATTAGGTTGTACATTCAGCAAAACTTGACAAAACGACTTTTGAGCAAAATAACTATATGTAAGGAGAATAAATTCTCAATATCTAGGGCACAAAAACTGAGCCCTAGATTTACCTCACTCTTTTAAGAACTCTATGGAGTTGTAGTCACTAGAAAATGCAGGCTAGTGAAGGTTAATCTGCAAGTGGAATAAAAAACTTGCTGAGCAGTGGAGAATGAAGTGTTTCCCAGCCAGTGTCAGAGAACAGAAGTACAGAGAAATGGCTCCCGACACAAGGACTTAGAGCAAGGACCTGGTGGAGTGCACATGGAGGGGATGTAATCTGCTGATTCTTGGAAAAGAGCAGTAAGCCAATCACTGAAAAGGAGCTGAATATTAAACATTCGAATAACTTGGATATACCAGGAGCATGGGCAGCAAAATGGCTTTTGAAATTCAATAAAAATTGAATGGTAAAAGAAAGCTAATGAAGCTTGGGACATAAAAAGAACATAGGAATCTTCTTTCAATGGCAATATTACCCATTTTACAAAGTAGAAGCTTTAAAAACCAGACCAAAATGCATAGTGGAGTCTTACAGCACACATTTATTATGTTTTGCCCTTTATGACTCATACTTGTCTTCACTCAACATGCCCTACACCCCACCCTGAGAACTTCTGATTATGGGCCTTGTATTAAAAAATAAGTGGTAAACATTTTAACTTCAATTAGATAAAATAGAAATAATGACACAAATTAAATTACAGTAAGATGTCAGAGAATGCATAAATATGTTGAGAAATGTGTTACAAACCCATGTTTACAAAAAGACTTTCATAAGAGATCAGAGATTTCAGGGCCTGGACTCAAAGCCAATTAGAACAATCATTTGATTGAACATTTGATTCATTTAAATTGATTAATATATGCAAATAAATGATTTAAATGTATTTTGTTTTTCACTCAGTGCTTCAATATTTGAATTGATATAATTAAAAATTTTTAACCATTTTGAAAAGCCAGTCAGAAACTCAAAATCAATTAAATATTTTAAAACTCTTTTGTTCAATTAATAAGAAAATTTATTAGCCAAATTTTAGACTACAGTTATCTACTGTTAAAAATAAATAAAAATAAGTAAATAGGAAATATATTCCCATGAAAGAGCCAAATGCATTCACTAATACACAATTGTATAAATGAAAATTAAAATATAAAGGTGGCCAAACCTCCCAACTTGATCTGTCAATTTACTCAGTTATCATATAGGAAAGTAACTATGAGGGATCACAATTTAGACGCCCTATTGATCGTTAAAAGTCTAATAAATATTAAATGTAGTACTAATTAAAAGTAAGTAAAACTGAACTGAGAACTTTACAATTTCTTTATTTTAGTCAATGTTTTTATGACCTGCTAGTTTTTTTATAATTTGAGATAATTATGTCTTCAAACAATGTTTTATATTTACTACCCAACAGCTGCTCTTCCTAACCAATTAACACATACACAAGTACACAGACTATAACTTAACTTAAATTTAAACCCATTCACTGAGACTAACAATCTCTGAACTTTTAAACTACATATCATCTGTCCAGGTGCGGTGAGTCTTGCCTGGAATTCCAGCACTTTGGGAGGCTGATGTGGCTGGATCACGAGGTGAGGAGTTCGAGACCAGCCTGGCCAACATGGTGAAACCCCATCTATACTAAAAACACAGAAACTTAGCCAGGTGTGGTGGTGCGCACCTCTTATCCCAGCTACTCAGGAGGCTGAGGCAGGAGAATCGCTTGAACCCCAGAGGAGGAGGTTGCAGTGAGCCAAGATTGCGCCACTGCACTCCAGCCTGGGTGACAGAGTAAGACTCCGCCTCAATAAATAAATAAATAAATAAATACATAAATAAATAAATATAAATAAATAAACTAAGTATCATTTGTAAGACTTTTTGTCCAATAGCCAAAGTATGTACAAATTTATGTTATCAGTTTTTATATATGCATATATATCTGTCCTATTCTACTAAAATCATGTCCACTACACAACATAACAGCTAAAAACAAATTAAAATGAAAAGGGATTTTAATAAAAAGGAGTTACAATTTTCTTCCCATAAGTAATAGTACCACCTCTCTTATCCTCTAAAATAAAGGTTCTTCAAATGTGGCTCAGCATTAGCACCTGGAAACTTGTTAGAAATACATGTTTTCAGGTCTCATTACAGGGCTATTAAATCAGAATCATGGAGTGTGCAGCCCAGCAATCTGTGTTTTAACAAGCCATCCAGGCCGGGCGCAGTGGCTCATGCCTGTAATCCCAGCTTTTAGGGAGGCAGAGGTGAGAGAACAGCTTGAGCTCAGGTGCTCAAGACCTGCCTGGGCAGTATAGAGAGAACCCATTCTCCACAAAAAGGTAAAAAAAAAAAGACAAAAAAAAAAAAATAAGTGGAAAAACCATCCATATATGATGGCTACTAAACTCTGAAAACAACTGATCTATACTCTCATATCTCCATACCCCAGTTAATTGCTTTTGTTCTCCTGCAATCAAAATAGATAATAAAAAAAAAAGGATAATGAATTCAACCAAGTCCTGCAGCACTACCACCCTATTTCAAGTCATCTTCATCTGTTCCCTAAACTGAACCTATAAACAGGTTCCCCCACCTACACCCATTCTCTACACAGCTGCCACAATGATCTTGCCAAAACAGAATTTAGATTGTCTCTTTTTTGGTGGTTCCTATCATACTTAAAATAAATTCCTATAGAGGCATGTTATCTGGCTGTTCCTTGCCACCCATTCTCATTTCTGACCACTCTCCTGTTCCCTATGCCTGAAATACTTGTCTGAAAGATATCTTCATGGCTTTACTTCTTTATCGTATTCGTAACTTTGTTCAAACGCCCCTTGCATTTAATGATCATGCTCTAAAATAGCAGACACTCTAACCCTCTGAAGAGCTGTCTATATTGTCTCCCTTCTTAACTCCTTCTTAACTTTTGGATAGTAGTTATCATTACCTGGAATTATATGTCCCTTTGTTTATTTTTCTTTCTGTCTATTAGAATGTAAGCTCCATGAGAGCAGAGACTTGTTTTTCATTGTATCTTCAGTATCTCTGCAGAACACATGGTAGATTCTCAATAAATATATGTTGAATGAATAAATATATGAATGGAAAATAATATACTGTTTAGTGTTTATATGCCTGTCCATATCTTGCATTGCCTGTGAAATCAAACTCCTATACATACTAATATAAACAAATAAATGATATCTCTAGTTCTAAGGATACGGGTAATAATAGCTAACATGCAGATTGCTTACTATATGCCAGCATTGTTTTATAGCTTTTTATATATTAATTCATTTAATCCCTACAACTCTACAATCCAGGCAATATTTAGATTACTATTTTATAGATGACGAAAGAGAGATTGAATAATCTGTCCATGGTCACACAGCCATTTAGTGATGGAACTGAAATTCAAACGTTGGCAGGTCATGCCCATAACTACTATATAGCACTGTCTTTTTCTGAAATGACAGCAGAGTTTAATAAGACTATTTGGAAATTTGTTCAATAATCAGAAGAAGCTTTAAAGCAGCCAGAAGTTCTAGCAAGTCTGTGAATTTTGCAGTATTTAAAGAGCCAGAAATATCCTCTGGATATTCCCAAGAGCTGTGCTTTATACTCCTTCTATGCGTGAGATAATTATTATCAAATAGAGACATCTTGAGCACACCTAGTATTCAGATCTTGGTTTCTAATACTATTCTCCAATAAAAACACTTAGGGATTCTTGAAGAAATGGTTGATGCTAGGACTGGTACAAGAAGCATACTAAGCCTGGAACATCTCATAGTGTCAGCAGCTAAGAAAGAGCTGGCATACACTTCAACATGCAGGCACACACACACACACACACACACACAAACACACACACACACGTTATGTTAAGATGAAATGTTAAAGGGATAGAGGAGCCAATTGAAAGAGCTTCCAATGACCAAAGGTTGAACAATTTGAGCAAGAAAAGTGTATTGAATTGCACCCGAAAGTATAAAGCAATTAATCATAAGTACATACCGATATAACTAAATGAATAAATGAGTAAATAAATAGGTGAGAACAGTATGCCTGTACATCACATCTTCCATGCAATTTTTAAATAATTTATGGGCAACTGCTCTGAAGAAGGAGGAGAATTAATCTCTGTTTCCTTGGTGTGCATTGCACATAGTGACTTTCTTCCAAAGTGTATAATGGCAGTTTTAGCAAGCATTACATATTCAATACAGATTAGTGTTCTATAAATTACCTTTGTTGGATTTCACCTTTTTGTTATACTATTTGTTTTGAAAGTATATTAGTAGGTATTATTCTAAATTTAATTTCAGGGCAGTGAAGATGGAATTTCTGAAATATATATCTTTAAAAAATGGCATGTTAGCATTATTAGAGTTGAAAATTAATGTTCTTCAAAAAATTAACTCATGACTAGATTCTGGAGACAGTTTGGGATGGGAGAGGAATTCATGAATACGGCCAGACTTTCAGGTTCTGCTGCAACCAATGTTAGACTGCAACAAAATATTAAGTTTTCCTGAATCTATCAGTGATGATTAACAAATGAAAATAAAATTCTAAGTGTCAGAAGGAAAGATTCTGACTACCGTGATAGATAGATGTACAAATATTTTTATAGAAAAGATGCAATAATTGCTAAGAGTTTATCTGAATGTACATCAAAAGGAAAAAGGGCTTTTCAAGGTTTCAGTGTTCTATTCATTTTCTGAGCTAGGTTAAACTCCTTCGGCAGTGCAATCTCCTTTTCCCACCCTACCAAAAATGAAGAATGTGATGTATCAAAAAATCCAATCTAAAAATTAAGTAGTCAGAAATGTTAAAGCAGAAAGTACCTAGAAAAAGAGTGAGTGTGGCAATTAAAGTGAAAATAGTACAGCTCATCAAGTATTGAATCTCTTTAAACTTTACACTTATATCTATATTGCCTATGCACAAGTATATGAAATACTCAAGATAAGAAGTGTAGATATTTCTCAGGCCACCCAGGTATACAATTTAGAAACATTATGATTCACATCAAATGTATTTTAAACTGCTTGACTGCTTTTCTTTTGCTTGGATTTATTTAAATCTAATCTCATCTAAACAATATTTCTGTAGGTTTTTAGTGTTTCATCAATATAACTTGATTTAGATCTCACTGCAGTAATTGCTAGTTCCATGTACACATAATATTTTATTTCTTTCCTTGCAAAGCATACATTTGATACTTGTTCCAGCTGAAATTACAATTCATTAACATGGACTTCATTTTTTTAATTATTTAGTCACAGTGTTATTAAATTATTCTAAGAGCTTGAAAGAGCTTCTGCTATGAAAATAGACTTCTGTATCTTAAAATCCTCTGTATCTTAAAATCAGCAAACATAATAATCTCAGTTTCAGGTGGTATATAATATTTTTTTCTAATTATAGTTTAATCTTACATATTTTTACCTCATAAAAAATCTTTATTAAATAGATCATGATTTTTTCAAATCACAATATTTTAAAGCCCATATATGCCCATCAAAATGTGTATTTCCTTTGGGTGTAATTTTTAAAACCAAAATTAATTTGAAATGCACCATGCGATTTTAAATGTTTTGTGTCCTCAAATTTTGTTTCATTTTTTGTTTGAGACAGGGTCTGACCTTGTCACCAAAGCTGGAATGCAGTGGCACAATCTCAGCTCACTGCAACCTCCACCTTCTTGGTTCAAGAGATTCTTCTGCCTCAGCCACCCAAGTAGTTGGGACTACAGGTACATACCACCATACCTGGCTAATTTTTTTTTAATTTTTTGTAGACATGGGTTTCACCATGGTACCTAGACCAGTCTCGACCTCCTGAGCTCAAGCAGTGTGCCTGCTTCAGTCTCTCAAAGTGCTAGGATTACAGGTGTGAGGCCACTGCTCCCTGCCAAATTTTATTTGTTGGGATGAAAAAAAGCATTTATTTAAAAATTGTAATTTGTTAATCTTTATGTAAAAATCACCTATTCTGAAATAAATAGGTGAGAAGGAAAAAAAGAAAGGAAAGGTAGGTCTCTAAATTCATAATTTGTAGATGAGAAAGAGAGAGAGAGAGAAGCATCATAGTAATCTCATAAAATTATTATTAGAAAGGAGTCTAAACTTAGCTTTGCAAAAATCACAACTACCTTAAAAATGTTGTGTTACTGTGAAAATTGCCGTAAGTCCTGTCAAAAGTCCTTTTTGAGATATTTGTGAGGCTATCACAGCAATGAGATACTATGATTATTATTATATAATGTCTTTGTTAAATATATTTTGTTTGACCAAGAGAAACAAGTACTTGTGTGTAAGTAGAAACAAATTTACTCAATTTTCTATGAAGGGGAATTTTCTGTAACAGGGAACTATCTTAGATCTCATCAATCTATAAGCTTCATTATTTGAGAATGACACCTATAGATGCTGTTCAGAGATGAATTTTAAGATTAACAATAGCCAATTGAGCAATTTTCAGAAGTTTGGTGGTTCTCATCTTTTGGCACTTTAGCAATATGAGAGATTATCTGTTTGTTGATGATCCTTTTACTATTGATTTAAACACATCTATTAAAATATTAGTAAATGGATTTCCAAGAAATAAATTTTACATGAAATGTTATAACATTTCTAAGAAAATAAGGTTGATGTTGATAAAAATATGCAAATATACTGGGGAGTAGTATCAGTGACAATATTATATCTGGGAATAAAATATGATTAAGGAGCTAACCAGTATTGCCAATATTCACATTATTGGCAATATTGGTGAAAGCATTATCATTTTAAACAATAGTCATAGACATTGATTCTACTTCCAAGTTTTTTACTGAAATTCTATAATTTCTAACTTCTTTTCAACAAAATATTCAAATGCTATATTCATTTAAAGCATTCCCACAAATAATGAGGTAAGGATAGCTCAGATTCATTAAAATATACTATGGTATAGATGAGAAGTTTTAATTGGATATGGTTAATATTTGAAGTGTTCACTAAACAAGATTAAATTACTAATTACTAATTATTGGATGTCTTGCATTCATTAAACAAATTAAAATATGAATGCAGATATCCCAAACTATAATTTGAATAGCTAAACTTCCTATCTTTCCCTCAATATCTAACATAATTACTGTTTTCTGTTTTCACTCCGTATTTCCTGGCCAAAACTAGGACTCACTGATTGCCATCTTTGTCTCAAAGTAAAGTAGAAGTGAACATCAGAACAATAACATAAGGAGACTCTATTGGCTCTGCCTTGAAAATTTATAAGAATTATATCATGGCAAAATATTTTTCTGTTACATTATTCCATATTCTTTCTTCAGGATAATCTGTATATAGTGTTTGCCTAGATGTTTATAACCATCATTTGCTCTTCTTCCCCAATGTATTTTTACTTTTTCTTTTTATAATATTTTCATAAATATTTTTGTTTATACTGTCGCTATTTTTACACACACTTAAGTGATTTTTTCCACTTCTTTCATAAACTTTTCTAGCTCACATTTTATCTACTTTTGTCTCAAAATCTCTTCTTTGTTCTTATATTTCTCTTCTGTGCTACTGTTTTATATGAGCAATGACCTTAATATATACAGTGATATTTAATTTGTGATATTTAATTGTGTTCATTATTTTTATATATTCTGTGGCAAGAATGAGCAAACTACTTCCTGGAAAACAAATCACTTCCAATTCTTGTTTTTGTATAGCCATGAGATAAGAATGAATTTTACATTTTTAAATGGTTTTTAAAAACTCAAAGGAATAGCTTTTTATAATACATGAAAACTTTACAAAAATCAATTTAGTTTCCACAAATAAGGTTTCATTAAAACACAGCCATGCTTCATTTATGTATGGTTTATGACTAATTTTACACTACATTGGCAGATTTGAATAGTTCACAACAGAAATGATATGACCAACAAAGTTACATTATTTACCATCTGCTCCATTAGACAGAAAAACATGTCAAGCCCTGTTCTATGTCAGCTCATTCTTCCTTCCTGTTTACTTTCTTTCTCCTTCCTTCCTTCCTTCCTTGCTTGCTTGTGTCTTTCCCTCCCTCTCTCCCTCCCTCCCTCCTTCCTTCCTTTCCTTCCTTCTTTCCTTCCTTCTATATTCTACTTGTCATTTATTTACTTTTCCCATTGCTGTACTTCTTTTTGAGTGGTGATTCTTTTACAGTGTTGGCATGATTGAGTGTAATTAGCCAATGAAAACAGAAAATTGTGTGAGTGTTCATATCATCATTTATCTTTTCTGTTCAATACCATATAGCAATAATTACAATACTTTCTACAAATAATCAGTGCCTAAATTTCCCTTGGTCACTGGCTCCACTGCATTACAGAACTAGTCAATCCAGGAGAGCTCGGGTGAATAGTACATGACCCACACCACTGAAATATTGGTGCAGTTCCTTCTATTGCATCTTTCATCTGTGAAATGCACATTATGTTGGAGCTTTCTGAGATTATCAACCATTGGCAATTTTTTTCTCCTATTCTTTTGTTTAGCAATCTCTGATTTTTACAAATTATTTTTTCTGTTTTTGTCATTTGGGGTTTCAAATTTCTTTAGATTTCATCAGATATAAAGTTTGCATGTTTATTTTTTCATTCTTGTTGCTTTTGGAGATCTGAAAGCCCAAGAATGAAACATCACCTTTACAATAGTATTGTCTTGGGATATTTCAGGTGTCACTTTTCCAGCCAGAAACCTCTGTGGCCAGTGGCATCTTTGCCTGAGTCTTGCTTGGGCCTGCTGGGCTCGTTCTGCTTACTTGGCCTGGCAGGCCGTGCTCAGTTTGCGCTACTGGCCCAGATCCCATGACTGCCAAGCGCAAGCCAGGTGTGGAGTGCAAGGGGTGTGTGAGTGAGTGAGCACAGGGTCCAGCCACTGTGGTGTGGTGGGGCAATCAGCTCCAGGTGCCAGCACAGGTTCTGCCTCCACGTAAACCTGTCGCTGGATCAGATGAATGGCAAGTGGCTTCTGCTGTGGGCACCCTCATCTGGATGAGGGGAATGCACTGGTGCCTGGAAGCTTAGAGATTCCAGAAACTGCAGAGCCCCAAAGAGGTTGTCAAACACCAGTTCAGAAAGCCCCTAGGTCTGTGCTCCCTGAAGGGCTACAGCTCTTCTTTCCTTGTTGCCCACAATGTGGCAAGATGGAGAGTGTGTTTCAGCCTTGTTTGTATTACAGATCTTTTCGTACCACCATTTGGCAAGTCCCAAGTTCTTGTCCCACATCCATGAAGAATGAGGTACGCAGATAACTGGAGTGTGAGCAAGACAAAGAAGTGCTTTATTGAGTGATAGAACAGCTCTTGAGAGACTCAAAGTGGGTAGATCCTTTCCCCACGCAAGTTGTTCTCACGAGTGCAGCCCTCAGTGGAGAGGAGATGCAGAGTGGGTAGCTCCATTCTGCAGGCAGGTTACCCCAGTGAGTGTCTAGCTGTCAGTGGAGAGGAGACCTGGAGTGGGTAGCTCCTTTCCACAGCTGGTAGTCTCGACATCTGTGTGAGTCCAGCTGGGGTTTTTTGGGTTCATAAGGGAGAAAGTATGTGCTGATTGGGCCATGGGTTGGATCAGAAAAAGCATCATAAGTTCTCCCTCTGGGCCATAGACTCCACCTGCAACTGACAGCCTGGCCCCCAGGCTTCACGCCGTCTCTGGCTTGAAGGTGAGGCTTCACAAGGGAGCCACCCCTTTCCACCCAGGAGGCTTTCTGCCTCCTGAGACCGTCAACATGTTGTCCATGGCACCCAGGCTGCTTGTTCTATGGGGGGCTTGCAGGTCCATGCTGAGCCACCCTCAGCAGCCCCTCAGCATCCATTCCATGCTTATTGGCACCCAAAGTCCAGAGGAGGCTGAGGTGGCAGGGGACTGGCATGTCAGTCCCCCCTGGAACACCCACATACCCAGCAGGGTTGTAATAGCGCCTGGGTTTGGCCACAGCTTTGCTCCACCCTGGAACAGTCTCTGGGAGCTGGGAGAGGCCAGGGAGTGAGATCAGTCACTTCCAAGCCTGTCAGGGAAAGGGACTTCCAGGGCCTCCAAGAACTCAGAAATGCTGGGGCTGGAACTGTGGGTGTATCTCAACTGTTCCTAGTTTCTGCTGGCCCTACAGAGGGCATAGCCCCAGCCACACCTCCCCTGTTGCAGCCAGTGTCCTCACAGGGGCTGCTCTGAATGGGCCATTGTCAGCATCACTATCTCCAAATTGAAAATATGATTAAAGAAACTACTTGAGTAGTCTGCATTAGAATAAGATTAATTAACCATCATCACCACCATTCTTTGCTTTTTCAGTGATTCTGAAAGAGCAAGTCATTAATAATATCTCATGTTTAAGACAAGAGAATAAAAAAGTCCTGTGAATTAACTGCATTTCCACCTTATGTCATTCCATGATTACATGATAGGCATCTTACAAGGATACATTTAGAGAAAGAACCTCTAACTTGTTTTTCTTATTTTGATTCATGTAACCCAAACCCAAATTAAGACTATAATATAATCTGTTCTTTGAGGTTCCAATTGGTTGAAGTAAACTTTCATGGAGTACTGAGGAAGAAATAGAGACCCAAAGGAATATATAAATTCATAAATATAAAATTAGCTGATTTTACTTTTGGGTAAGCAAATACCCTAAGAACTACAAGTAGCATGGTAAAAAGCTGTAGTTAATTTTCAGTCTATTCATGTAGAATTTGTATATATGGTTGTTAAATATCATCCTACTTTTAGAAAATAGTTATCATATATTCAACTTATATCAGGAGTTACATTGTGCTTACTCTGACATTCTTTACCAGGCTTACTACCACCTTTTGTCCTTCTTACTTCTGTATTGGTACCCATAGATGATATCCCCTTATAGTGTATCTAGTACATAAAATTAATCCATCTTTCAACATTCTTCAGGAAGTTAGATTAAGTTCATATTCCCCACAGAAAACATACTTCTTTCAACTCACATGAATATTATAATTTTGTTATTTATTTTATTATTTCAAAATGCAAGCTATTGCATACAAATATTTAGCCTTTAAAAATTTCTTTTATAAAGAACAGATTAAGAATGATGTCACCAAGATGACAGTGTAGGAGATACCAGACCACATTCCTCCCACACACACACACAAAATGTAGACAGCTATTCATAAAACAGACTAGCCCAGAAAGGACTTAAGTGCAATCTAAAGAATCTACAGCAACACAGTGAGGAAAAAAAAAAAAAACAAACACATACACATAAGAAAAAAGAAAGAAAAAGGCAAAAGCAATGGAGATTATCCACATGAAAAGGATCATTGGTGAGATCAGCATATCTGAGATACCAATAGACTGCTAGGAGTAAAGAAGAAAGGTAGAAGCTATCAGTAAAAGCCACATGGCAGGAATTACCACCATCCCTATGAACCTGCTCTGCAGAAGACACAAGCATCTCTTGCCACTGAGGTAACCAACAGGTATTCCTGCCAGAGAATACCAGAGAAGGTGGTACAGCCATACAACCCCCTCCAACCACAAAAGTGACTGCTGTTGAGCTGTTAAAAAAAAGGAGTACCTGCCTCTCCCAAACCTGAGTGTATCCTGACCCTGGAGCTATGGCTAAACCACAAGTGTCTACGCTCTAGGCCAAGCCTCTATGGCTGCAGTGGCCCTGTCCATATCTCAGACATTGAAGCCATTGGCACAGTGAACTAGCTTATATTTCATTTCAGAGCCAATCACTCACTGTGCATGCCTGTGCTCCAGATGCTGGCACAGCCACCATAGAGAACTAAGCACTGACCACACCCCAGAGCCAGTCTAACTCTGTGCATGCCTATGTTCCCATTCCTGATCCCTGGAGACTTTACAAGCATTTATTTCTTACAAAATGTTACTAACACAGCAATGGGGTTGCATGACAGCCAGGCATCAGCTCAGCCACCATAGACAGCTAGGCCCCACTCTGACCTTGGAGCTGCTCAAATTCTAAACGTGGCTGTGCTCCTACTTTCAGCTCCCTTGGTTGCTTCACAAGTACCTGTGCCTTGCAAACTATTGCCAACACAGTAGCAAAGGTGTCTGCACACTGGCACCAGTGCCATTACTGCACCAGGTCCCCAATTTTCAGTCCCTCCACCTGTGCCCATGTTTCAGGCCTCTGCTCTGTGGCTACTTCATGGGCATCACTCACAAGACACTGATACAACCACCATTGGGAGCAGGACCACAAGCCAGACCCAATGGGTAGAGAAACGCCCTTAACTGCAAATTCCCTGATGGGAGAAAAAAAATGGAAGGACCTTACCAGCGATTGCCACCAAAGACCCCAGCAACACTCATTGCCACTATGGAAATCTATAGCATTTGCTGCTAAGTGTTTCTGCAGTCTTAAAGAGGTCAGCTGACAGGGCTGCATAGAGACAACACAGTTGCGCTATAATTTGTGCCAGAAGTGCTGAATCCCACCCAGCAAGAACATCACACTGTCTTTTTTGGGGGAAAATATTTCCACACTGAAATTAGTCCATAAAGTCTGCAAGAGATGACTGCTTCATGAAATGCACAGACATCAATATATGGCAGCAGAAACACATACAAAAAAACAAGAAAACATAACACAACCTAAAGAACACAGTAATCTCCCAGTAGCTGATTGCTAAAAAAATAGACATATATGAACTGCCAAAGAATTCAATATAATTTTGTAAAGTGATATAAGTGAACTTTAAGAAAATATACAAAAAAATAATTCAATGGAACTAAAAATAATAAATAAGTGCAAATATGAGAAATTTAACTAGGAAATTGAAGTTACAAAAAATCAGAAATCGGCCAGGCGTGGTGGCTCACGCTTGTAATCCCAGCACTTTGGGAGGCCGAGGCGGGCGGATCACGAGGTCAGGAGATCGAGACCATCCTGGCTAACACGGTGAAACCCCGTCTCTACTAAAAATACAAAAAAATTAGCCTGGCATGATGGCAGGCGCCTGTAGTCCCAGCTACTCGGGAGGCTGAGGCAGGAGAATGGCATGAACCCGGGAGGCGGAGCTTGCAGTGAGCCGAGATTGCGCCACTGCACTCCCGCCTGGGCCACAGAGCGAGACTCCGTCTCAAAAAAAAAAAAAAAAAAAAAAAAAAAAAAAAAAAAAAAAAAAAAAAATCAGAAATCCTGAAGTTGAAAAACTACAATGAATGAAATGAAAAAAATGCAATAGAGTGCATCGATTGCATAATTGACGAAGCAGAAGAAAGAAATTTGAATTTGAAGACAGGTTATTTGAAAATATACAGTGAGAGGAGAAAAAAAAAGAAGTGAGAAAAAAAAAAGAAGCCAGGAAAATGAAGAAAGCTTACAGGATATATGGAACATGACCAAGAGAGCAAACCTTAAATTATAGGTGCCCATGGAGCGGCCACAGAGCAGAGGCCTGAAACATGGGCCTATGTGGAGGGACTGCAGTTTGGGGACCTGGGCCAGTAATGGCATCGGTGCCAGTGTGTAGACACCTTTGTTACTGTGTTGGCAATAGTTTGCAAGGCACAGGTATTTGTGAAGCAACCAAGGGAGCTGAAAGGCAAGAAAGGAGAGAATATGGGTAGAAAGCTTACTTAAATAATAACATAAAACTTTTCAAATCTATGGAGATATGTAAATATTCAGGTATAGAAAGGTCAACGGTTTTCAATTAGCTGCTATTCAAAAAAGCTACTACCAGACATTGTATAATCAAACTGTCAAAATTAGAGACAAAGAGAATTTGGAAAGCAGAAAGAGAAAAGAATAATATCACATATAAGGGAGTTTCTTCTCAGCAGAATTCTTACAGACCAGGAAAGGGCATGATATATTCAAAGTGCTGAAAGCAAAAAAAGGGAAAGGAAAGGAGAAAGGAGAAAGGAGAAAGGAGAGGGGAGGGGAGGGAAAGGAGAGGGGAGGGGAGGGGAGGGGAGGGGAAGGGGAAAAGAAAGGAAAATAAAAGAAAAAGAGAACAAACTGGGAACCAATAATATTTTACCTAGCAGAGCTCTACTTCTGAAATAAAGAAGAGATAAAGACATTCTTAGAGAAACAAAAGCTAAAGGAGTTCATCATCACTGTACCTGTCTTACTAGAAATGCTAAAGGGAGTTCTCCAAACTGAAAGAAATTGATACTAATTAGTAACATGAAAATATGTAAATTTATCAAACTCACTGGTAAATGTGAGTTTACAGTCAAATTCAGAATATTCTAATACTATAATGATGGTGTGTAAATCATTTGTATATCTTAAATATGAATGTTAAAAGACAAAACTATTAAAATAATAATAGATACAATAATTTGTTAAACAATATACAATATAAAAAAATGTAAATTGTGACACCAATAATAAGATGCTGGCAATTGGGGATGTTGAAGTAAAACTATTGAGTTATTTTATGTGGTAAAGCTAAGTTATTATCAGCTTAAAAAAGCTTGTTATAACTATAAGATGTATTACGCATGTTTCATGGTAATAACAAAGCTAAAACCCATAGTAGATACACAAAAGATACAGTAATAAATCAAAGCATATACTAGAGAGAATTATCTAAACATGAAGGAAAACAGGAAGAAAGGCAGAAAAAAGCAAAGGATATACCAAAAAAAAAAAAAAGAAATGACAGTAATGAGTTCTTACTTTGAGTGTGAATGGATCAAATTCTCTAATCAAAAGACATAGAATAGCCGAATGGTTGAGTAAAACAAGACCCAACTACATGCTGCCTACAAAATACTCACTTCACATTTAAGCACACATATAGATTGAAAAATAAAAAGATAGAAAAGATATTTCATGCAAATGGAAATCAATAAAGAGCAGGGCAGATGTAGCCATACTTATATAAGACAAAATAGAAATTAAGGAAGAACTATAAAAGGAGACCAAAAAGTTTAAGAGATCAATTCATCAAGGAGATATTACAATTATAAGTGTATATGGACCCAATATGTAAGCATCTAAATATGTAAAGCAAATATCAGTAGATCTAAAGAGAAAGAGTGATTGCAATACAGTGATCCACCTGCAATAACAGACGGATCATTCAGACAAAAAAATCAATAAACATTCGACTTGAACTTGAGTTAAGACCAAATGAACCTAACAGACATGTACAGAACATTCCATTTATACATAGTAGAATCCACATTTCTCTCAACTATACGTGAAATATTCTCCAGGATAGATCATGTTAGGCTTAAAAAAATCCTTAACGTATTTAAAAAGAATGAAATGGTATCAAGGATATTTTTCAACCACAGTGATATGAAACTAGAAATCAATGAGAAATTTCAAAAAATTTACAAATATGTAGGATAATAATATAAAAATACCTTCGGATAAACAAAAGTGAAAACACTACATACCAAAATTGTGGGATGCAGCAAAAGCAGTTCTAATAGGGAAGTATAGAGCAATAACCAAATTCATCAAAAAGGAAGAAAGATTCCCAAATAAACAACCTAATGTTAGAACTCAAGGAAATAGAAAAAGAACAAACTAAGCCCAAAGTTAGTAGAAGAAATAAAATAATAAAGACCAGAAGTAATGAAATAAAGACTAGAAAAACAATAGAAAAGATCAATAAATATAAGAGTTGGTTTTTTGAAAAGATAAACAAAATTGACAAACCTTTGCTAGGTTAGGAGAAAATAGAGAAGACTCACAAAAATTAAATCAGAAGTGAAAGAAGATATATTACAACTGATACAAAAGATTCACAAAGGATTATAGGAGATAACTATGAACAATTATATGCCAACAAGTCGGATAACCTAGAATAATAAATACATTTCTAGATTCATATGATTACCAAGACTGAATCATGAAAAAATAGAAAATCTAAATAGACTAATAATAAGTAATGAGATTGATTCTCTAATGAAGTGTCTCCTATAAAAGAAATTTCTAGGACCTGATGGTTTCATTGCTGATTTCTACCAAATATTTAAAGAAACACTAACACCAATCTTTCTTAAACTCTTCCAAAAAGTTGAAGAGAAGGGAATTCTTCCAAACAAGTTTTAGAAAGCCAGCATTACTATGAAACCAAAACTGGATAAGGATACTACAAGAAAAGAACTTCCAACCAATATCCCTCATGAACTTAATGAAAAACCTCTTAAGAAAATCCTACCAGCTACTCGGGAGGCTGAGGCAGGAGAATGGCGTGAACCCGGGAGGCGGAGCTTGCAGTGAGCCGAGATCCCGCCACTGCACTCCAGCCTGGGCGACAGAGCGAGACTCCGTCTCAAAAAAAAAAAAAAAAAAAAAGAAAATCCTAGAAAGCCATGTTCAACAGGATAGTGAAAAGATCATTCACCATGATCAAGTGGGATATATCTCTGGAAGGCAAAGATGTTTCAAAATATGCAAATTAATAAGTGTAATACACAATATTAAAAGAATGAAGGACAAAACCATATGATAATCTAAAAAGATGTAGAAAAGACAATAGGCAATATTTAACATCTATTTGTTACAAAAACTCTTAACAAATTAAGTATAGAAGAAATGTACCTTAACACCACAAAAGGCCATATAAGACAAACTCCTAACTAGCATCATACTTTACAGTGAAAAAAGGAAAACTTTCCCTTTAAGATCAGTAACAAAACAAGGATGTGAACGCTTTTGTCACTATGTATCAGTCTGTTCTCATACTGCTAATAAAGAACTATCTGAAACTGGGTAATTTATAAAGGAAAGTCCTTTAATTGACTCATAGTTCTGCATGGCTGGGAAGGCCTCAGGAAACATAATCATGGCAAAAGGAGAAGCAAACATGTCCTTCTTTACATGGTGGCAGGAAGGATAAAGTGCTGAGCAAAAAGGGGAAAAGCCAGTTATAAAAAGATCAGATCCTGTGAGAGCTCGCTCACTGTCATGAGAACAGAATGGAGGTAACCACCTCCATGATTAAATTACTTCCCACTTTGTCTCTCCCATGACACATGGGGATTATGGGAACTACAATTCAAGGTGAGATTTGAGTGGGGATACAGAGCCAAACCATATCACACTTGTATTTAACATATTACTGGGAAATTTAGCCAGATCAATTAGGCAAAAAATAAAATAAAAATAAAAATAAAAATAAAAGACATTAGAATTGGAAAGGAATGTGTGAAATTTTCTTACACATTATAGTAATGTTCTAGATGACATAATCATAGATACAGAAAAACCTATAAATTCCACTAAAACCTCTTAGAACTAATAAATGAATTCAGTAAATTTGCAGGATACAAAATTAACATACAAACATTAGTAGCATTTTTGTACACTAAAAATGAACTATCAAAAAAGAAATGAAGAAAACAATCCCATTTGCAATAGCTACCACATAATAAAATACTTAAGAAGAAATTTAACAAGGGAGATGAAAAATCTGCACACTGAAAACTATACAACAATGATAAAAGAGAAGATGACACAAACAAATAGAAAGATAACCAGATAACCAGATTCACGAGTTGGAAGAATTAATATTGTTAAAATGTTCATATGACTCAAAACAATCTAAAAATTCATTACAATCTCTATCAAATTTCCAATGACATACATTATAGAAATGGAAAAAAAAACTATCTTAAAATTTGTATAACACCACAAAAGGCCCCAATTAGCTAAAGCAATCTTTGGCAAAAAGAACAAAGCTGTAGACATCACAATACCTGATTTAAAATCTACTACAAAACTATAGTAATCAATGCAGCATGGCACTGACATAAAAACAGACATATAGGCCAATGGAACAGAATAGAGATCTCAAAAATATATCCATGCATTTATGGTCAATTTATCTTTCAAAAAGATGCTAAAAACACACAATAGTGAAAGAACAGTCTCTGCAACGAACATGGCATTCAAAGTGGATATCCATATGCTGAGATATGTAAGTATACCCTTACCTCATACAATACTCAAATATCAACTCAAAATTAAATGAAGACTTAAACATAAGACCTGTAACTGTAAAACTACTGGAAGAAAACATAGGGGGAAAGTTCCATGACTTTGGTCTAGGCAAATACCTTTTGGATACAACTCCAAAAACAGAGGCAACAAAAACAAAAATAGACAAATGGCATTACATCAAACAAAATCTTCTACATAGCAAAGGAATCAATCAACACAGTAAAGAGACAAATTATGAATGGGAGAATATATTTGCAAGCCATACATCTGATAAGGGGCTAATATACAAAATACAAAAGAAAATTTAAAAAACTCAATAGTTAAAAAAAAAACCTGATTTTAAAATGGGCAAAATACCTGGATATATATTTCTTTTAAAAAAAGACATATAAATTGCCAATAAGTATATGGAAAAATGCTCAACATTACTCATCATCAGAGAAAAGCAAATAAAAACCAAAATGATATGTCACCTCATGCCTATCAACGTAGCTATTATCAAAACAAAAAAGATAGCAAGTATTGTCAGGAATGTGGACAAAAGAGAATCTTTGTAAAGTACACTGTTGGTGGGAATGTAAATTAGTACAGCCATTATAAAAAACTGTATGGAATTTCCTCAAAAAAAGTGAAAATAGAACTCTTGTATGATCCAGCAATCCTACTTCTGGGTATACACATACAAAGGAGTTGAAATCAGTATGCCAAAGAGTTATCTGCACTCCCATGTTTATTACAGCACTATTCACATTAGCCAACATATAAAAGTAACATAAGTGTCCATCAGGGGATGAATAGATAAAGATAATTTGGTATATATATACAATGGAATACTACTTATTGTTTAAAAGTAAGGAAATCTTGCCATTTGTAACAAAATGGATGAACCTGGAGGACATTATGTTAAGTGAAATAAGCCAGGTGCAGAAAGACAAGCACCACATGATCTCACATGTGGAGTGTAAAAGAGTTAAAATAGAAACAGAGAGTAAAATGGTGGTTACTAGAGACCGACCATAAGTTGGGAATTGGGGAGATGTTGGTCAAAATACAGAAAATTTCAGTTAGACACGAGGAGTAACTTCAGGAGATCTATTACATGTCATGATGACTGCAGCTAGTAACGATGTGTTGTATACTTGAAAATTGCTAAGATAATAGATTTTAAGTGCTCTCACCACAAAATAAGAATAATAAGTATGTGAGGTAATGCATGTGTTAAATAGCTTGATTTAGCCATTCCACAATGTACAAATACATCAAAACATTGTGTCATATCATAAATATATATTATATTTACTTTTTAATTAAAAAACAAAAAATAAAATGAAACATTATACATAGTGTCAAATGTCTAACTTTTAAAATAGTAAGCATTTTATTTAAAGTATAATAAAGCAAATATGGCAAACTTTTCCTTTTTTATTAGAATACTCAACCAGAATTCTGAGCATAACAGCAAAGGCATAAACGTTATGAAAAATAACAAAAGTCTTTTCGAAATAAAATAGGAATTCCTTCATTCTCCCTCACAATCCTCAAATTATGCATAAATTTAAACAAACAGAAACAACAACAAAACCTACTCAAATTCCCTATCTGGAATTAATTATTTAGCCATCATCATCTATTGTTCTTAAATGAGCAAACACAGCAGGAAGGCACTAAAGCAAGAATGATAATTAACTTCAGAAATCACAAATACCTACTAAGTTCAATAGTTATTACTATGCAAGGTCACTTCCAAATGAAGTCCAGAAAAACTGAAGCCTGACGAACATAGGTTGAAGAAATGCATGCACTTCATTTGGAGTTTTCACAGTAACATGTATCCCCAGGTTGGAAATCTAATTTTATGATTCAGTCAATCCTTTTTAAGATTGTTTGTTTTGGAAAATAAAACTAACGAAAATCATTCTTCTTGTAGCTAGTATATCTACATTTATTAAAATGATTTAAGGTTTTGTAATAATTATTTTTAGGTAAATTTTGTTTAAAATGCTATTATTGTTTTATGTTTTGTTAATGCAATCTAAATATTTAATAATTTGTTAGGATGAGAATTTATATTGTAATAATAATTGTGTATGTCTAAATTCCTGGAAAGCATTATTTGAGATACTATTATTTGTATAGCAATCAATTGCAAAAATCAAAATATATAGAATGTAACTTGGAGAGGAACTCACCAAATGTGAGGTAAATAGAGCATTTAAATAAATAAATACAGTAAGGTATTTTGAGCCATTGAATAAAATAATGCATGAGTCCATACTGATGTAGTCAAGTAAATAAAGATATAGAAAGAAAGTTCTTCATTATAATAAAATGCAAAATACTGAAGAAATTATGGAATTTTTTAAATTGCCATTTGATAATCACCATAGAAACAGTAGGTTCAGGCAGAAAAACAAATAATTGGTACTAAAACATTTGGTTAGAAATAAAATGTTTTGCCAGGCACAGTGGCTTGCACTTGTAATCACAACTACTCTGGAGGCTGAGGTGGAAGATCTCTTGAGCCCAGGAGTTTGAAGCTGCTGTGAGCTATGTTAATGCCACTGATCCCCAGCCTGGGTGACAGAGAAAGTCCTTGTCTCTAAGAAAAATAAAATAAAAAATGTTTTAAAAAATGAAATAAGATAATTACAGAGTCTTAAATTGTCTCCCTCCAAGGTACTTTTATCTGCAGAGAAAAAAAATAGTAAATTTACAGTTGAGACATGTAATGGTCATTACCTTAGTAATTGAAGTTCATATCACCAGTAAAGAAAAAAAATACCCTATAATATGGTTGATATATAATGCAGATGTATCTGTTATTCTTGCTGTAAATGTTAACCAAAATTTTATTATGTGGAAATACCACAAATGACAAGGTCATCAAAGACAAAAAAAAAAAAATACTTATGAGGATGCTCCCAATTACAGTTTACTAACACAAACCATGACATCAATGCCATGAAAATTCATAATTAGATCTTAGGCTAGGAAATATTATTTTATTTTGCTGTAAAAGATTTTACAGGAATAGTTTGTGAATTATAAGTTCTGCAGACTAGCTTATAGTATTTTTCAATCCAAATAAACATGTTAATATTTATTTCGAAGAATTTTAAATATATTGAGAAATAAATTACATAAGTAGTTGGCAAGATTATCAAAAGTATTCTAAAGAGGAAGATAGAGAAGAACAGAGAGATGGAGAATGGGAAAGAAAAAGTGAGAAAGAAACAAAGAATAATAAAGGATAGCACATTACAAAGCATTAACATTAGTGGAATTTGGCCTGATTCTAGGACTGGAGCAGAAAATACATAAGTTTAAATCATCTTGTAGTGCCAGAATATGAGGAAAATGTTTTTTTTTTCCTATAAAATAGCAACAACAAGTGTTAATGTATATGTCAAAGGGGATCAGGACTCAAATGCAAAAGATTTCAATGACCAAAGCTGGAAGAATTTGAATAATAAAATAAAGTAGTCCCAGATTACAACCCAAAGTCTAAAAGAAATATCCATTAATCCATAGTGACATAATCAAATTACTGAACAGGTAAATAAATGGGGGAGAAGTGAGACATCTTCCCCTGTAGAATTTCAAATAATTTGTATGAATACTGCACCTTAAGTAGTTAAAGCATAACCTTCCACTCCTTAAGTGTGGATTGGGTCTGGTGACCTCCTTCCAAAGACCATAATATTGAAAGGGGGGCTAAAACTTTAACAAACGATGATTCTTGCAGTGGAGAAATCTGACAAATACTATGTCAGCCAGGTGATAAGTTCAACATCAATAGTGACATATCATGTTGATAGCATGTACTCCTGATATGATATGCTAAAAATGGCATGTTACCTCCGTGATTTTCCTCCTCAAAACACATTACCCCAAGCTAATTATGGAAAAAATATCAAAGAAATCCTAATCGAAGGACATTCTACAAAATACCTGACCATTAATCCTTAAAATGGTCAAGGTCATCAAAGACAAGGGAAGTCTGGAAATCTATCACAGCTGAGGGGAGCCTAAAGAGACATGACCAATAGATGTAAGGTGTTTTCGTGGATGGGATTCTGAAAAAGAAAAAAGACACTGAATATAAACTAAATACATTTGAATAAAGGAGGCTTCACTTAGTAATGTGTCAGTACTGGTTTATTAATTGTAACAAATGCAGCATACTATTGTGTGTGTATATATAAAAATTATACATATGTGTATATTATATATAATTTTTGTAATTGAGTGTTTGTTATTGGCTAAGTAGGTATCCAAACTTAGATCTCAAGAAGAATCACAAAATAGGAGTGTTAAGCAGAGCAATAGACAAAACAAAATGAACAAATTCTGGAAATAGAAACTCAAGATTGTTATACAACATTTTCCTACTACTAAGATACTAGAAAAATTTTATTTTACTGTTAATTTCAGGAGTTTTTTTGAGAAAGACCAAAAAAGCATGTCTAGGTTCAACACAAACTAATTGCATTTCAAAACTACTAAACTTAAATGTGAACAAGTATTTTTTTAATATAGAGAAAATATGTTAATTCACTTTAAACCTGAGTCATTGTTTCTAAGTCACGTCAATTTTTATCCATTTAAAAAAAATTCTTGCCTATGCCTTTGCTTATTCAAATCCTTGACATGCTTTTGAAGAAGTATTTATTGGAAGCATAATGGAAGAGCTAGTAGAATCTGAATTATTAGTTGCAAATAGCAAAAATGAAATCAGGCAAAAAATGAATTCATAAAGGATACTGTTGATTTTCACATTTCAAAACTTCTGGGTGGGACAAATAATCAGATTCGGATACAACACAGAAATAGAATTTGCCTGAGACATTGCTGCTACAATTGGGCATAGACACTAGCTCACCCATTAACACCAATGACAACAGACCCTGAACACTACTCCTACAACTATTTCTACTACTGACCATAGAAAAGGGATGAAATCATTATTACTATAATCATGAAGATTAGAGTAGACTGCATTATCCTTGCTTCTTTTTTGTATGTATTGCAGATTCATAATTTGGATTGGTCCGTTGATTGGAAGATAAGGTTACATGTCACAGAATTCAAAACAGGAAAAAAATGACTCAAAGACCTTCTTTTCAGCATTATAATAAATAGTGGCTGGCAAAAATCTCTGAACTTAGAAAGTGGGTTCAGATGTTAGGCAGCCACCTGTGTTTACCGCATAAGCTACCAAACAACAATTTTATACAACAGACTTTCGGTCAATGGGGAACTGACAGGCTTTATGCAAGACAATAAGAAAATTAAATTTTAGAAATAAACTATGGTTGCAAAGGAGAAACTGGATTGTAGATCATAAGATCAGTTAGAAACCCATTGCAAAGGTCTGCTCAAGTATATTTTTTTCAGGAAAACACATTTTTCTCCTCACAACCCTTTTTAAATGTTATTCTAGTGTCTTCATTTGCATAGAGTGGTAGAGAAGACATGGAATACTATTTTTGTTCTCTTTCTTTCTTAAAGACATTTTATTTGGCTCCATTTGATTTTCAGTCAAGAAACTTAAAAATTGTTTGTTCTTAGAAATAGAAATATAATTGCAATGTATCTAAATGACTGCTTGATTTCTAAACTCATTTTTTAATTCATGGCCCTTATTTTCAATTTTTAAGAAACTTTAAAATAATTTTACCTAACCAGAGCAATTAAGCAAGAGAAGGTAATAGAGTTCATCTAAATTGGAAAGGAGGGTATCAAACTGCCCCTATTTACAGAAGACATAAACTTACTTCTAGGAAAACCTACAGACTCTACCAAAAAATTCTTAGAAATGCTAAACAAATTCAGTAAAGTTGTAGCATAAAAAAATCAACATACAAAATTGATAGTGTTTCTATTCAGGAACAACAAGCTAGCTGAAAAAGAAACCAAGAAGGCAATCTCATTTACAGTAGCGAAACAAACAAACAAAAACACCTATAAATAAATTTAATCACAGAGGTGAAAGACCTCTATAAGGAAAACTAAAAAACACTGATGAAGTAAATTGGATAAAGGATACAAATGGAAAGACATTGCATGCTCATGGATGGGAAGAATTAATATTCTTAAAATGACAATACTATCCAATGCAATCAACAGAGTCAATGAAGAAAAAAATCTAAAATTTGTAATCTAGCCATAAAACAACCTCTAATAGCCAAAGCAATCCTGAACAAAAAGAACAAAGCTGGAGGCACTGCACTACCAGACCTCAAAATATACTGCAAAAATATAGTAACCAAAAGAGCATGAACTAGCATGAAAACAGATACATAGACCAATTTAACAGAATGGAGAACTCAGGAATTAATCAATGTATCTACAGCCAACTAATTTTTGACAAAGGTGCCAAGAATACTCATTGGGGAAAGGACAGTCTCTTTAATAAATGGTGCTGATAAACATGGATATTCATATGCAGAGAGTGAAACTAGACACCCACCTCTCACCTTATAGGAAAATCAAAATGGATCAAAGATCTAAATATAAGACTCAAAGCTACAAAACTACTAGAAGAAAACATGAGGGTTACACTTTAGGACATTGACCTGCAAAAAGATTTTATGAATAAGACCTCAAAAGCACAGGCAACAAGACAAAAATAGATGGAATTATAGCAAACTACAAAGATTCTGCACAACAAAGGAAACAATCAACAGAGTGAAAGGACAAGCTACATACAGAGTGGGAGAAAAGATTAACCAACTACTCACATGACAGGGGATTAATACCCAGAACATATAAGGAACTCACACATCTCAACAGTAAGCAAAACAAATAAGTTGATTTAAAAATGATCAAATGGTCTGAACAGATATTTCTCAAAAGAAGACATCCAATGGCCAACAGATATATGAAAAAATGCTCAACATTGTTAATTATCAGGGAAAGGCAAATTGAAATCACAATGAGGTATCTTCTCATCTTAGTTACCATGGCTATTATCCAAAAGATAAAAATTAACAAATGCTGGTGAGAATGTGGAGAAAAGGGAACACTTATACACCCTTGGTGAGAATGTAAAATAGCATAATACAACCATTATGGAGAGCAATATGGAGGTTCCTCAAAAAAACTACAAATAGAACTACCATATGGTCTAGCAGTCCTACTACCAGGCTGATATGGTTGGGATCTGTGTCCCTGCCCAAATCTCATATTGAATTTTAATCCCCAGTCTTGGAGGTGGGGCCTGGTGGGAGGTGATTAGATCATTAAAGTGGATCCTTCATGAATGGTTTAGCACCATCCTCTTGGTGCTATTCTTGTGACAGTGAATTCTAATGAGATCTGGTCTTTTAAAAGTGTGTGGAAACTCCCCTCCCCTCACTCCTGATTACACCATGTGAGATGTCTCACTTCTTCCTCGCCATGCACCATGATTGTAAGCTTCTTGAGGTCTCCACAAAAGCAGAAGCTGTCATGATTCCTCTACAGCCTATGGAACGTGAACCACTTAAACCTCTTTTCTTTATAAATTACCCAGTATCAAGTATTTATAACTATGTGAGCATGGACTAATACACAGGCATTTATCCAAATGAAAGGAAATCATTATATTGAGGAGACATCTGCATGCCCATGTATATTGCGGCACTGTTCACAATAGCCAAGATCTTAAATCAACCTAGTTGTCTAACAATAGATGAATGGATTTTTAAAAGGTGGTATATATGCAAAATGGAACACTATTCATCCATAAAATAATGAAATCCTGTAATTCATGTCAACATTATGGAACTGGAGGACATTATGTTAAGTGAAATGAGCCAGAAACAAAGGAATACTGCATGGTCTCACTCATATATGCAATCTAACAAAAGATCTCATAGAAGTAGAAAGTAGAACAGAGGATATGTGGGAAGGTTAAGAAGAGAGTAGGTAGAGAGACATTTGTTAAAGAATACAAAATTACAGCTAGATAGGAGGAATAAGTTCTAGTGTTCTATACCATTGTAGGATTAGTATAGTTAACAATAACATCTATAGCTTTAAATAGCTAGGAGGATATTGAATGCACCCAACACAAGAAATGATAAATGTTTGAGATGATGGATATGCTAATTACTCTGTTTTGATCACTCTATATATTATATGTATTGAAACATTGCTAAGTACCCAATGAATATGTAAAATTATCCTCAATTTAAAATATTAAATTAAATTAATTATTAAAAAACAAATAATGTTAGACTTACAGAAAAGTTATAGGAAAGGGGAATATAAGGTAAGGAGTACAAAGTTTCAATTACACAAGGTAATTAAGTTCTGGTGATCTATTATACAGCATGGTATATCTGTTGATATCTATTGATAACTTAGTGTATACTTAAAATTTGCTAAGAAGGTATATCTTAAGTTTCTTATGCATGCACAAAAATAACAATAATAATAATAAATGAGGTAGAAGGGAACTTTGAGAGATGACGGTCATGTTTATGGCCTTAATTGTGGTGATTGTTTCATGGGTATATACCTATCCCCAAATTAATCAAGGTGTATATATTATTTTTTTAAATAAAAGACAACTAACAAAAAATAATACAGTGAGTTCCCATATATCCTATTCTTTCCCCAATATTAACATCTTATGCAAAGACAGTAAAATTGTGGAAACCAAAACATTTATATAGATATAAGACTTTTAACCAATCTACAGACATTCGTTGAATTTTGATGGTTTTCCAATAATGTCCAATAATGTCCTTTTTCTAGTCTATGATTCAAGCCAGGATTACTAATTGTATTATACTGTCAAATTTTTAATATCTTTTGATATATGAAATGTCATCTATCCCTCTTCTTCCATGACCTTCACACTTTTGAAATGATGAAGCCAGTTTTTTTTTTAGATTGTCCCTCAATTAGTGTTTGTATGATGTGGTCTCATGATTAGATTGAAGCTATGTGTTTTTACCTGATGGTGTGCTTTTCTCAGTGCATCATATCACAGTCACCTGGTGTAGACATTAATATTTGTAATATTAATTTTGCTGATCAAATTTCTAATGTGGTATCTGCCATGCTCCTCCACTGTAAAGTTACCATTTTCTCTTTATAGTTCTCTTCCAAAATCCTTCCTGATGTGTTTCGCCATTAATATCGCCCTGTCCTTCTTCCCCTGACACAACCACCACCTTCATTATTTACACATTTCTTGACAGGTTTTTTTTTTTTTTTTTTTGAGACGGAGTCTTGCTCTGTCGCCCAGCTGGAGTGCAGTGGCGCGCGATCTCGGCTCACTGCAAGCTCTGCCTCTCTGGTTCACTTCATTCTCCTGCCTCAGCCTCCCCAGTAGCTGGGACTACAGGTGCCTGCCACCACACCCAATTAATTTTTTGTATTTTTAGTAGACAGAGGGTTTCACCGTGTTATCCAGGATGGTCTTGATCTCCTGACCTCATGATCCGCCCGCCTCGGCCTCCCAAAGTGCTGGGATTACAGTCGTGAGCCACCGCGTCTGGCCTTTTTGACAGTTTTATTAGGTTTTTTAAATAAAGAAAGGTAAACGTGGGCTGAAAGAGCCATCCATGAGCATTAATTGGGTGTGTTATAAACCAGGCACAGAAGTAGGTAAGAAACACAGGCTCTCAAGACTTATAGGGAACATAAACTTCTAAAGAAATACAATAAATATAGGGTTATGCTTAGTTTATTCAAATCTCAATACTATTTTGAGGAAACTATTTTTACATATTAAGTGAAGATTAAAGATTTTGTTTCACATTTAGTAAATATTTATTGTTGATAACTAATTTTTCTTAAATCACATATATCAAGAAATATATTCATTCAAAAAGTTTTTACTGCCTCCTGTGCCTAGCACAGAGCTGAGCACTGAGTCTCATCTGATCCTCTGAGTTATCTCCCCATCTGACATGTTTGTTGGCAGAATGCATTACCCTGCAGCTATATAACTCATGGAGGCTTCATCTTCAAAGAGCAGTAAAAACTCACATGAACCTCTCTTTTGATTAACTTAAACTAAACTGTTTAGTCACCTAATCCAGGGAGAATTATCACATTATATTTACTGGCTCGCCCACACTCAAAGGAAATAAATACATAGGTTGTACACATGGGAATCTGGGGAGCCATCTTGGAATTGTATCTACCACATATCACATAATGGATACTTTTATTTTTACTCACAAGTCCTATAAAATTGAAAGGTAAAGCTGGCTGGGCTTCTGGTTTGGGTTGGGACTTGGAGAACTTTTCTGTCTAGCTAAAGGATTGTAAACACACCAATCAGCACTCTGTGTCTAGCTAAAGGTTTGTAAATGAACCAATCAGCTCTCTGTAAAAACGGACCAATTGGCACTCTGTAAAATGGACCAATCAGCGCTCTGTAAAATAGACCAATCAGCAGGACGTGGGCAGGACCAAATAAGGGAATAAAAGCTGGCCACCCAAGCCAGCAGCCGCAATCTGTTCAGGTTGCCTTCCCAGTTGTGGGAGCTTTGTTCTTTCACTGTTAACAATAACTCTTGGTGCTGCTCACTCTTTGGGTCCATACTATTATGAGCTGTAACACGCACTGCGGAGGTCTGCAGCTTCACTCCTGAAGTCAGGGAGATGAAGTGAGGGAGACCACGAACCCATCGGAAGGAAAAAACTCTGCACACATCTGAATATCTGAAGGAACAAACTCTGGACGCACCATCTTTAAGAACTGCAACACTCACTGTGAGGGTCACTGGCTTCATTCTTGAAGTCAGCGAGACCAAGGACCCACCAGAAGGCATGAGTTTCGAACACAAAATCGGATATTGCCTGCCTTCAATATTGGAGGAGAAGATAGCAAACTGATCCAAAGTGTGAACATTTATCTGTAAAGTTGATTATCTGCAATAACATTTTCCTTGGTGTTCTCAGAAAACTCATTTTAAAATAATTTTCAACATACTGAAAGTTGTATAAATTAAGATAGTAGAATTAAGAGTCCAAAATTATGTAAGTGTTAAGGAATTACAGAAGTGAATATAAAACCTTTCAACTATTTCAGTTCGTTTTAATAACATGATTAACTAGGACTTGGCATTATTTTAGAGCAAACTTCCATACACTTTGCTTTCTATTCACAATGTATTTGCAAGAAAAGTTAAAAAAAATTCTATGATTTTTACTATACCTCTCAGTCCATCAAGAACAAAGATATATCAGAGAAGATCAGATGTTTGGCCGGGGTCTAGTGGGTTTATTAGTAGTTGGTAATACTATTTGGTTTATTTCTGAGTTGAATTCAGACAAAATATTGCTCTTCCAAAGTGAACAGAATTGGTCAGCAGTAAGTTAGTTGCTATTTTTTTTTTTTTGGAGTGAGTTTGGCTGTGTGTGTGTGTGTATTTCATTGTACACTTTAGTCTAAAATTTTTATCTCCATCTATTGCCTAATTGTCAAAACTTTGGCCGTGTTTCATTATCACATTTACAACATTTTCATTTAGCTACACAATGCCTTTGCAGTTATCATTTTATTATAACTGTTGTAAAAGCCATTTGGAATGTAGGTTAAAAACCAAATAGTGAAACATGCAACGTTAACTTTTGTTGGTGCTGTGGATATACTTTATAAAATAATAGATGAAGTCCAGATGTTAAATTTGGCACTTCTCTGCTTGATTGCTGTTTGCTACTACAGACCTACACATATTTTTCCTTTTTTGTGTGTCTTCAGGACAAGCCCTTAGTAAATTGTAAGAATTGTAAAGGAAAGGGACAGAGAAAGGAATGAACAAAGGATAAATGAATCAACTCATGTCACTTGATCTTTCTTATTAATGATACTTTAACAAATTCAACTTCTCCTTGTTATATTTAAAATCATTTAAAATACCAATATTAAATTTGAAAATTAATACTTGCAATAATGACTTATGAAGGGAAACATAGGACTTCTGAGACGAAAACTCATTGGAAAAACCACACTGTTTACCTGAAGAATCACAATAGTCAAGATAAAAAACTTTAGGTAAAAGAGTCCAGAGAAGAAGCTCATGATTCAAGTATATGGAAATATTAGTGTCACTGCTGATGAAGTTTGTGGTGATATTGGCATTCAGTCATTTTAGTTAGCAGGCTTTCCAACCAATATTTGGAAATTTGAAAAACCCAGAAGTTATTGAGCAAAATAATCCCTAGTATAATATAGTTTTGAGTTAATTGTAATAGGCTATATAAACATCTGAAATCTCTTAAGTATTTTCTTCAATCAGTTTTGTGTTTGGAGAAATGAGGATAAAAATATATAGCCTAGTGTTTTCAAATGTTCTTTGTAAAATAATTTCATGATGTGGTAAAGCTTATTTTCTTAATTTAGAAGAAAATTACACAATTACATCTGCAATCTCATAATAATCATGAGATAACTAGTCCATCCAGCTTAGTCATTCACATAGGGCAGACAGAAATTCATTACTTTTAAAAATTAGTTGCAATCAAGACCTTTATTGAATAGACATTAACAAGATCTTTGAAACTGCAAAGTGAAAATGTGATAATCTGATATGTTTCAGAAAATGCTATTAAATACCATTTAGGGTTTCAGATATCCTAAATTATAGACCTATTATTTTTCACATTGATTTTTATCTTTTAATTTCTTACTTATCTCTGCAAGATGTTCTTTAATATCTCATAGGGGGAGAAAAACAAACAAACAAAAAACACCACAAAAACCTCTAATTCTAGCAGACACTGTGGTCTCTATTGGAATCAAAGAAGTTTCATTGCATGTTATATACATAAACAGATATAGCTCAACTCCTTACAAAATAGAATTCCTTTAAAAAAAGGGGAGGCATGTCAAAGAAAAAGTAATATTCCCATGTAATAAGTGTGCTTTTCATTCTGACATAGTTTGATATTTTGTTAAACAATAGAATTAGAGAAAATTATATTTTAAGATAAATCTTTGAAAATACTAACCATAATTATTTAATTTCTGGATATATCCTTTTTTTGAAAATTGTACAGCACATTTAATTAGATTTAAACTATTTTTTCTATTGATTACTACTTGAATGCAATAGAAATTATAGCAATTTAGATACCATTTTCAACTTCTTAAAAAGGAGCAATGCATTTCTCTGCATTGTATTTGTCCAACATCTTAAGCTAATTTTGCAGTTTCTTTAGGCTTAATTTCTTCTCTCAGGTTTTATTTTTTTAATTTTTTTCTCACAGACTAATGGAATAATACCACACACATTTATAGGCATATAAAATGGAAGCTACTCTGAGTAATTCATAATGTCTGGTAAAACCTCTCTGGTTGAACTCTCTCTGGAAGTTTTCATAACCTGAATTTCACCAAGACTTTAAGAAATTTTCCTACAAGATGTATATTTATTTCTCATAAATATATTAAGAAATACTCTTATTTTAACTAAATTATTAGCAGACTAGAGATGACTTTTCTATTTAATTTTTCAATCTGAAACAAAAAGCTAAATGACAACAATTAATCAAAAGGAAAATATATCTGGACAGTACACATAAAATTTCTTTTCATTTAAGATACTATATAGCTGAAAATTAAAAACGTAATTAATGCGTAAACCCTATTAGAGTCGTTGCTTTCAGAAACAACTAACAAACTGTTTTCAGGAATTTTGCTAGCCTCGCCCTATTCCACTAAATATTACTACATGGTCTTCTGACTGGAGTACTTGCACCCTGGAGGGTAGTTGAAGAATCTCAAAGGTATTTTTGGGTTCCTGATGTTTTTCAAGTAATCAGTGCCCATATCATTAACTTCTGTATGAACTCTTCCTATAATTGATCTGTCTCAGACTGTGCCTTTGAGGCACTCTATACATTCTGCTTTTCCATCTTTCATTTTCTCCTTCTCAGTTTAAAAAAATAAAGGCCTGGGCAAGAAGAGCAAATCTCTGTCTCAAAATAAATAAATACATAAATATAAAGGTGTGACCTTCACTAATCCTTAATCTTGGCATCATGCATTGCCCCAGAATGCAAAAAACCCTTGTGGGGACCAAGAAGACAATGCTTGTTCTGGAGGACCCTTTTTAATGACTGACCAAAGGCAGCAGAGGGCACTGTGATTAACACTGCAACCTGGAGCCAGATGGCCTGGCTGGAAATCTCTGCCTGGGCATGATGCATAGCATGAGTTGAGCCATTCAACTTTGCCACACCTTAATTTGATCATCTTTAAAATAGGGATAGCAGAAATATTTACTTCATAGGACTGATACAGAGATTAAAATTTTGAATAATGTTAAAAATGCTTAAAACAACGCTCTGCTTAAATATACTGATTGGTTTGACAGCATGTAATTCATTTATGTGCTAAATACAGAAAAAACATTCACAATGTATGACATTTTTGGAATTATGTCCAACTTTTACCAATAATTCTTACTAAAAATTACTAAAGTTTTAAATCAGTTTGACACTGCCCTCATTTGTGATTAATGAAGGAAAATCCCCTTTTTCTCATAATTCTCACTTAATATATAATAATTTTAGCTGTATATTATGTTGCATTGATTTAAATGAAGTGGATAGGGTCATTATATTGACTATTTTGTTCTTTTTTATTTGTCATTAGATGAATAAATCATCATATGGTTGAGTTAAACACGAAGACTTCTGTTTTCTATCAGTTTTTCTGGCATTATTATTAATAATGTCTTCTTAAAATTCTAGTTTGGATAATTATATGGTCAATCTAAATTTTTATCATCTCATCTTGGCTTGACTGCTTTTAATAATATGTCTCAAAAACTCGCTATAATTTGGTTTTCAATGCATTTTATAATATTCCTCAGAATAAATTTTGATATAGCTATTTAAACTTAAAACTGGTGTCAGAGTTTTTCTAGCAGAGTAAGATTGGTTTGACAACAAGGACTGGCTTTGAAAATTAGTTTATGTGATTGGCATTTTTCATAAGCAAAATGGGCTAAATGTGTCTTTCTAAATATTTGACTGACGTGTTTTTAATAAAACGCATTTATGTAAAAACTTGCATCAGCAAATTTTTGTTGAATTAATATTTCAATGTTGCTATTTAATGGATTAAACAGGTTGTTTCTTAAATAAGATAGTAACAGGTAGATAATTATGGCCATTAGAAAAGGCACAACGAATTCTGTGACATGCTTTTCAGGAACTGAGAGAGAAAATGACTCCATGAATAAGTCCCTTGGCAGTTCTCCTGCTTTTTGCATTAAAATAAACTTGGCTTGAGTCAAGTTACATGTTGATATTATTTAAAAATAAAAAGTATTCTCTTCTCCTTGATGTCTTTCCTTGTAGTTTTCTGTGACTCTTCTGACCATTAGTGTGGTAACACTGAGAAGGCCAACATTAGTAATATGGTACTAAGAGAAAAAAGTCAATATTTAGGTTTGATTTCAGTCCACACAGGAAAAGGAGTATTTGAGATTCATATGTGGCATGTCCTAGGTAACCATGGTAAAGTTGCAAGCATGAACCAGAATTCATTTTATCAATCTTGATCAACATATACAGTAGCAAAACCATGGTATCAGTTAAAAAACTAAAATTTGAAATCTTGGTAATACAGTATTTTCGCCTAATGGTCAGGTTCAAATTTTGGTCATATTGACAATTTGTCTTAAGTGGAAAGTAGATAAATATTCTCTAAATTAAGGAAGCTGATAACTTTAAAGTCAATTTTAAATTGATCACTAGCATGAATATTAAAATCAGTGATGATCAAAGAATATGGGACATGTATAAAACTGCCAAAATACAAAGATATTCAAAATTTAAGAAAGCCCAAATATCTCTCTGGGACTAAAACATAAAACTAAATTAAAATTTCATTCTAAAAATGGAAAAGCACTAGTTTGTAAGTTTCCTTAACTATAAAATAGCATGATGGCATGTTTTACAATATATTTTTATATCAATAAATTTGAACTAATAAGATGTTCTGGCTTTGTTTATAACATCTACCTCATTTCCTCATTAATAAGAAGTTAATTAAATATTCCACAGGTTTTTTTATCCACGTGAGTCACAATTTTACTCATAAAAACTTTTACTCATTAGAAAAGCTGTAAGAAAGTATCATATAATAATTTTATATAATTTTATGACTTTTACCTGTTTGGAGGTCTTCCAACAAGATGCCCAATGAATTCACCTGAGAGAGATGGTGGACTTTTTTTCCAGAGCAGTGCTGTTTATTTGAGCTTTTAAGCCTAGTTGTGTCATTTTGAGAGGTGACAGCGTGCTGGCAGTCCTCAGAGCCCTCGCTTGCTCGCGGCACCTCCCCTGCCTGGGCTCCCACTTTGGTGGCATTTGAGGAGCCCTTCAGTCCCCCACTGCACTGTGGGAGCCCTTTCTGGGCTGGCCAAGGCCGGAGCCCACTCCCTCAGCTTGCAGGGAGGTGTGGAGGGAGAGACACGAGCGGGAACCGGGGCTGTGTGCGGCACTTGCGGGCCAGCTGGAGTTCTGGGTGGGCGTGGGCTTGGTGGGCCCCGCACTCGGAGCAGCCAGCCAGCCAGCCCTGCTGGCCCCGGGCAGTGGGGGACTTAGCACCCGGGCCAGTGGCTGCGGAGGGTGTACTGAGTCCCCCAGCAGTGCTGGCCCACCGGCGCTGCGCTCGATTTCTCGCCGGGCCTTGGCTGCCTTCCCACGGGGCAGGGCTCGGGACCTGCAGCCCGCCATGCCTGAGCCTCCCACCCACCCACTCCATGGGCTCCTGTGCGGCCCGAGCCTCCCCGACGAGCGCCACCCCCTGCTCCACGGCGCCCAGTCCCATCGACCACCCAAGGACTGAGGAATGCGAGCGCATGGCGCAGGACTGGCAGGCAGCTCCACCTGCAGCCCCGGTGTGGGATCCACTAGGTGAAGCCAGCTGGTCTCCTGAGTCTGGTGGGGACGTGGAGAGTCTTTATATCTAGCTCAGGAATTGTAAATACACCAATCAGCACCCTGTGCTTAGCTCAAGGTTTGTGAGTGCACCAATCGACACTCTGTATCTAGCTGCTCTGGTGGGGCCTTGGAGAACCTGTGTGTGGAAACTCTGTATCTAACTAATCTGATGGGGAGGTGGAGAACCTTTGTATGTAGCTCAGGGATTGTAAAGGGCACCAATCGGCGCCCTGACAAAACAGACCACGCCGCTCTACCAATCAGCAGGATGTGGGTGAGGCCAGATAAGAGAATAAAAGCAGGCTGCCTGGGCCAGCATTGGCAACCCGCTCGGGTCCCCTTCCACATCGTGGAAGCTTTGTTCTTTCGCTCTTTGCAATAAATCTTGCTACTGCTCACTCTTTGGGTCCACGCTGCTTTTATGAGCTGTAACACTCACCGCGAAGATCTGCAGCTTCACTCCCGAGCCAGCGAGACCACGAACCCACCAGAAGGAAGAAACTCCGAACACATCTGAACATCAGAAGGGCAGACTCCAGACACGCCACCTTAAGAGCTGTAACACTCACCGCGAGGGTCCACGGCTTCATTCTTGAAGTCAGTGAGACCAAGAACCCACCAATTCCGGACACAATTTCTTGGCTCTCAGTGGTAAGCCCCACATGGAAATATAATCTACTTTTTTCTAATTTCAGTTTTCTTTCCTATAATATATTTTGGTTTTGGTTTATTAACTTACATTTGTTAAGCTATTCCCCATTGGTGGCAGCAATGATTGAAATCTGATTTTAACATGGCTGACGCCTGTAATCCCAGCACCTTGGGAAGCCAAGGCGGGCAGATCATTTGAGGTCAGGAGTTCCAGACCGGACTGGACAACATGGCGAAACTCTGTCTCTAATAAAAATACAAAAATTAGCCAGGTGTAGTGGCGCATGCCTGTAGTTCCAGCTACTCAGGAGGCTGAATTAGGAGAATCTCTTGAACCCAGGAGGCAGAGGTTGCAGTGAGCTGAGATAGCGCCACTGCAGTTCAGCCTGGGCAACCCTGTCTCAAATTAAAAAAAAAAAAAAAAATCTAATTTTCCAATTTTATCCTCTGAATATTTGTTAAATGGATTAATAATTTAGAGATAGCAACGTTCTGTTGGATGAGAGGTAATGAAATATCTCTGCTCAGCTAGTGTTTTTTGTTTGTTTCTCCATTTAAGCTCAACTCAGTTAAGAATCCTATGCCCCTTGGGAAGGACAATAGTTTTTTGATACAAGAACCAATGACATTTTTATGGTTTTGTACTAAGTCGTGACCCATGATGGAAATTATGGAATTAAAGCTATAATCTCTTTGTGTGTTTATTTTTCTAAGTGTCTGTTATTCAGAAAGGCATTTGCCCTTTGTTGTCCGGTTGTGGAACATTTTTAATTCCTCCACAGTATTATTAATAACTTAGATTCCAAAGGCTCTTAAATTAAAACTACTGGATTGACTTATGGAAAATAATAAATCCTTATAGAAATTGAATAATCCTAAAATTCACAGGAATAAAATAAAATTTAATGTTTAACACTTTTAATGTGTTTTACATGTAGTTTACAATTCTTATAAAAACTAATTCAGAAATATGAGTCTTTGTTTACAGAAATTAGGTAAAACTTTGACAAACAAGGCTAATTTAATAATTTTAGTTTAATAAAAATAGCCATGTCTACTCTGATTTATCAATGTTAAGTACAATACAAATGTACATTTTTATTCAATTTGGGGATGTTTCCATAAATGTATTCAAGTTGAATAGCCAAATAAGTTAACATTCATATTTAATATTCAAAGTTATGAAAAATGCAAATTCATTTTTAACTAAATTGAATATTCTGACATTTTAAAAAATTTCAGCAGAAACTATATTTTGCAGTAAGTCCACTTGAAATTAATTTCCAAGATATTCAGATAATTCAGAACCTTTGACTGATACCAAGCTAATTAATAGATTATACGGCAATCTTCCTAAGAAGATGAAATGATGAAACATCATTGACTATTATGTACAATTTTAAGCTACATGAATTTGCCTCCTATTTTTTACATGCTACAAATAAGTTATATCTTTGGGCCATGTAAACAAAGGTGTTAAATTTTGCCATTTTGAGAAGCTATGCATGAAACATTTGTAGTTGCAGAAAGCTGTGTTCCATGCAGCCGTAAGCTCTGCAAGTCTGCTAAGGTACTGGTGTATGAAAGACAATTCTCAATTCTTCACTCCGCCTGTGAATTTGTCTGGAGCTAAGAAAACAAACTAAGAAGTTCTCTTGGGATGTAGGACTTTTAGTGCCAAAACCTATAAAAACCAGGAGGATTAACCTACTAATATTGAGTTACAATAGTTAAAAGTTATAATCATTGTAAGTGGTTTTGACCATACTTAGGAGAAATAGTGATATAGAAATATAACAATGCTTGCTTTCTGCTTTTCAAAAAATGGAGGGTTGAGCGTGTGTGTGTGTGTGTGTGCGCATCTACATGTTTTGCATTCAGATGCTTGTACGAGCTAAAACTTTTTGATGAATCCCCTAAAAACCTTTGTCTTTGTGGGAAAAACTATCAATATTTACCTTGCAGAAACTTGAACTAAGAATTTTTAAAACATTATTTATTGATTCATTTGATCGAGGTAACAATAAGTACATGATATATGAATAATCTTCTATATTATTATGAAATTAGTCTAAACTTCCAGATGCCCTCAGATGTATTTTAAAGTAAGATGTCAGTGTGTTACATCATAAAGAAAATAGATTAGTGTAATAAAAGACAAAATCTCAAAGTGAATTTTATTTGTCCTTATTTATAATATCTGAGTCTGAAAAGTTACGTGTTAAATTCTTAGCAACGTTTACTTGATATTGGTGGATTTGTTTCCATGATTTATTACTTGCTGCCATTGCAATATGAAAGAATATTCTTTTTCTCTGTATAATCTGCTTAGATTCTATGATTTACAAGAATAATTTTCTGTTCTTTATGTTGGGCTTTATCATGCCCTTGATTATTCAGGAAAACACAAAAGTTCCTACCTTATAAAAGAGCTAAGGTTCTTTACAATTGTATTACTTTGTATGTTTATTGTTAAATGTTTTATTGTCATTTGAGTAAAATGTGTAGCCACATACTGTTTACCAGGGACCTACAATTCTATTTTAATTGTCTTTAAATCTCCTCTAACAATTTTTTTGTGACTTCCCACATCATATCCTAACTATAGAAAAAATAAAAATATTTAAGATATCTTTTATACTAAAAACTAATTTTTAAATACTCTGAAGGGCCCCTAAAAAATCACAAAGACTTGTTCTTTCACCATCTAGTAGGATGCTGGAGATAATCAGGTTTATCTGATATGGTACTATTGATAAACTAGAATGGAAGAGCTATTGAACCAGAAGATATGGTTAGTTTTCTTTAAATTATGTCAGTAATAATGTTATTAATATAAATATTTTAGAAATTGTATGCTTTATGAGAAGTCTCTAGAGATTTATCAGTGTCTTCGCTTTTCATACTGTCTCTTAAACTCAAGGAAAACACTGATGTAATTAGTATCAACATTCTGTCAAACTTTCTTGTATATCAGAGCTGGTGATGCTTTGCCTAATGATAATAGGCAACAACAGCATAATGTTATAAGTCATACTTTTAGTTATTATTTAAAATGTTAACCTGTTCAGAACTTTACTTCTTTTATTTGAATTTACTATCTTCTAGGTTAGTGGGTTTCAATTGGGAAATGGATATTCAACTTACCTATAGAGTTTTATAAAGACAAAAATATCTAGGACCTATTTCACAATCATAGAATTTCTTTAGTTGATACTCTTATTAAATTCTTGGTATGTGGTCAGTATATTATATAATATAATACCATATTATATGATATTATAATTTGTATAGATGTATAATGCTTCAGGATTATTGCATGTTTTAAATCAACTTTTTTTCCTGTTAAAATTAGGTCCTTTCATTTTATAAATTAGACCTGATATTCCCTGTGTTCTTCAAAATGAAACTTACCATAATTGGAGACATTTTTCCTAAAATGCATTTGAAATGGCTTTATTTTTTTGCATGCCACAAAAATACCAGATTTCCTTGTCAGTTATATGTTATTCTTGTCATGAAGTCTCATCAGACCTTCTAATTTGAAAGTTATCAGTAATTGATTTAATCACAGCCATATTAAGTCTCTGTCACCTACAGATAAGTTTTGTTTTACTCTCAGGCTTCCATGGAAGTTCTGCAATCAACCAGCAGGAGAACCGCTTAAACCCAGGAGGCGGAGGTTGCAGTGAGCCAAGTATGCATCACTGCACTCCAGCCTGGAAGACAGAGTGAGACCCTGTCTCAACAAAATAAATTAAAATAAAAAATAATATATTTTTCTAACTATCATCCCTTTTCCAAATCAGGAATTCCCCTTAAGTTTTCCTCAATTTCCATGGCAATATCTTTGCATAGATTCATTAAGAATTTGTCCTTTTTAAATAAAAAATATAAAGGGAACTATTCATTAGGCAACAAATGCCTTGTCTGAAATATCACATTTGAGAATGCTGCTCATTTAATCAGAAAGGTACGCTACTTTAAAGAACTGAGGTCCACTTTCTGGAGCCAAAAACTCATAAATCCCTCTCAGAAAAACCTGATTTGCTTTGTAGGGTCTCAGGTTTAGAGATGCTGAAAAAGATATTTTCGTTGCAGACAAAGGACCTCAGAGTATTTGGAGAACTTTGAGAAGAGAGGAATTCTCCCAAATGTATAGGTGTCACAGGTAAAATACAGTCGAGAGATTTTCTTGGACTTTAATTCCTTAAATCAGGATAGCAAATAATAGGGGCTTTTACAAATTCAATCTGTTTCCTTACAAAAATTTTCAGCAAAGTAATTTCAGCAAATTAATTTTCAGCAAAGTAAATGTAAGAAGACTTATGTGAAAAATTAACATTCTCCATGTATCTATGAAGCCAAACCTAATAAAACCAGCTTTAATTTGTGCTCAAGAATATTATTTCACTGAGTTTTCTTAAATCACAAAGGGGAGACTGTTATGAAAACTGATATAAAATAAAAAAAACAAGGAAGAAAAGTCTACTAGATGTCTCTAATGGAAGACTGCATTTTTAGAACATATCCTTATAGGCGATTCTAGCCTTTCTCTGCTATTTGGCTCTCACACTCTTTACCGTGCAGATAATTCACAGCAATGCAAAAGAATCCTCATCTATAGCCATGAAAATAAGTTATTTGTTATTTCTGGTAAAGGTTCAATTGACCTCCCCTTCCAGGATGAAGAAAGTTTCATGTCTTTCTGCATCATTTCAACTATTCCTTACTACATATAAATCTGCACTTGTTAACTTCTATTTTGAATTGATTGTGGCATCTGCCTGCTTCCCCATTAAAACTGAATAAAATCTTTAACACATAAAAATGTGTGAAGTAATTTTTCTGTTTCCTTGTACAAATTAGAAAGTAAAATTGATAAGTGTTCAAATGACTCAGGCTTCAAGTCCCATATTCTTCTTAGTAGAGCAGAGGATGCCTCCAATTCCAATGAGCCTAATATTATCACAAACATGGTACTTTCTTTGTGATAATACTAAATTAGGTATAACATCTTCCCAAGGATATCTTTTAAATCATCGTACTATTCTAAACTATGTATTACTGTATGCCTACTGATGTTCACTTGTTTTTCTGGGTCTGTTGGCTGCCAACAGAATTCTCAAGTGATGAAGTTCAAATCTCACTAGGCAAGGCTGTATCCATGCTAGTAAGACCCTGCTACAGAAATTTATTCATTAAGGTTCATCCCCACCTCAGACTCTGAGTCATTCATTTACAAGTCCCAAGAAGGAATAAGACTTCAATTAGGTAAGACTACACCACTTGACAGCACATGGCATATTAAAGAAAATTGTGTTACTGAAGACTAGGATATATAAGGGAGGGAGGCAAGAAATGAGTTATAAGGTGGATTATAAAATATATGTAAAATTTTTGTCAATTTCAAAATGTCTTATTTTTATCAGCAATGCTCAACATTCAGCTTTCATTATATTTTAATATGCCAGAAATTTTTAGCTAAAATAAGAGAGTGCATTCAGTAATAGAAAGCTGGTTCTCAAATCACCTAGCAGGCATATAAATTCTTCAAGATTGTTCTTCCCACATTTTACTGGCATAAAAAAAATAACTTTTAACTTTTTTAGAATAGCAAAATGTCTTCTATTTGTAATAAAATACCTTTTTACTTCTCATATACATAAATGGTAAATAAATCTATTTAGTTCCCAGGGCTTGTGTATGTTACTATGGCTGTAAATATAGTTTATCCTTGAAGTGTTTATCAAATCTAAATTTAATCTGATGAATAAGATTTTACAGGCAGTTCTGCATAACTGAGTTCCTCAGCTGGACCAAATGCCATTTTACTGTTTTGCCTTGTTTTTAATGCATATTATAAGTGACTTATTTTTTGAACCCCCGCTCAGTAATTTCCAAAAGAGTTCAATCAAACTATGCACGGTTAAGTTCTTGGTATTCCAATGACTTATTCTTCAGCAGTTTTACATTTCATAGCATTTATGGGAAACAAGTTAGATTGAATTGATCTGCATTATTTTACACTGAAAAGCTGAATCTTATGTCTTTATGTTGCCTACATCATTTGTTTAATTCTATTTTGGACTAAGAAAACACTTTTATGTTATCAGAAAATAACAATAGCCCCAGAAAGCATCTATCAATTTGCAAATTGTCAAGAGATTCTGGTCACTGGAGTGTGAAGGTGGACAGAAGGAGGAAGCATGATTGCTGGTTACAATTGTGCACAAACACGATTTTAATATTGAAAATCACAGTTAAAATACATGTCAGTTAACTTACTGGACTTAACTCTGGCATTGCATTTGGGTCCAGTAGTACAGATAGAGTTGTTGAATGCCTGCATTGATTTTATGGTTTTAATTGGACTTAGGACCATTTATTTAGATTCTCTGATTAAGAAGTAGTGGTCTGAGTCAAAGCTAATCTGGTTGGCATTTTTGCTAATAATTCCCCAGCATGAGCTAATATTGGAACCTCTGTTATTTTGTTTAATAAACGGAGCTGTGCAATAATAGTGAGGTTCTCTTAGTCTTAGAATGTATGATGTTTGCTTTCACTTAAAATCCATTGTATTCACTGTAATTTTATTATTTATGTGAGACACTTCCTATAAGCCATGAAAGTCATAAAAAAGGTAATTTTAAAATTTATAGTTGGCAAAAAGATATCTGTAATAAAGGTATTAAAAGTTACCTACAAATATTTATTTCTAATACCAACTACACAGAATTAAGACAAGCCTCACAGGTTAAGGGCATAAACCTGTACAAGATTGGCTTCACTTCAGATACCAGCCACAAGTTTTGAGGTACCCAGGGCCATCCTTACTTTTAAATAACTGGTTCCAAATTTGGACATTCACACTAAGCTCTCAGGTTCAATAATTCACTAGGATGACTCACACGACGTAGGAAAGCAGTATACTTATGATTACAGTTTTATTATACCAAAAGGGTACAAATCAAAGCTAGATAAGAAGAGATTCACAGGACAAGGTCTGGTAGGATCCTAAACATAAAGATTTCATTTTTTTCTGTCTGGAATCAGGATATGTTCTGGCTTACTGATGTGTGAAAATATGCAGAGTATGCCCAAGCTTACCCAAGCCTCGATGTTCAGAGTTTTTATTGAGGTTTGATAACATAGATTTGATCGAAGGACTCATTGGCTACACATCTGAAGTCAATCTCTAGCATCCTTTTCCCTCTCCAGATGTCAAACTGATACTGCATGTCTCAAAGCCTCAATCCTCTAATCACATGGTCCATCTTTCTGGTATAGCTAGACCCCATTCTGAGTCATCTTGTTAGTATAAACTATTAAGGATCTATCATGAGTCATCTTCATAGCATGAAACATTGTGAATAAGAAAGATACTCCTATCACTCAGAAAATTCCAAGGTTCTAGAGGCTACCTCCCAGGAACCAGAAATGAGGCCTAGCCAAATTCTTTATTACATGGGAATACCAATTTGACATAGAAACAGAAATTTAACATTTAGCTTCCATGATGTCTTAAACTTCATGAAATCAATAAAAGTCTCGCAACTCTTTGAGACATAGCAGTGTCTACACCTTTTATGTGACTCCAAGAAGCCAGACCGCTAAATACAGATTTTGGTATGTGAATAAATAAATCTATTACTTCTCTTTTTTATGTATTACTCAATCAAGTTTACATTTAAATGAAAATGAGAATAATTATGTAATAAAGAGCAGTCTAATGTGTTGTTTGCCAATGTGTTCACTATAAAAGGAATCTACAGGTCTCCTTTCTTTGGCCATAAATGGACAGTTATTTTTCAAATAGTAGAACCAACCTGGAAGCAAGGGGACAGGAACTTCTTCCAAGAAGCAGTTTTGTACTCGGTCTTTGGGTTTCTACGAATATGTTCAGATACTATCCTGGTATCTGAACTGGTATCTATACTATCTATGGTATAATGCAAAATCACTATTATACCATATTTTATCCTGGTGAATAGTTTTTATTGTATTTTTGTGTATATTGGATAACTCTCTTGGATATAAAGATTTCCATCCTTTTTCTATGGAAAGGATTTCTCTGCTCATATTTTCCTCAAGTCTGAAATGTTCTCCCTGCTCCTCTCCTTTAAATTGTTCCTTTTCCTGCATCCTATAACACTCATTCACTTCAACAGAAATATATTTTACCCCTATGATTCTATAGAATCAATTGAAGCAGTTGAAAATGCCAGATTATACATAGCTGTTTTATATGTGTGGATCTCTCTTCCAGTGAAATAATCAATTATGTAAGGACTGAATAGGTATTTGAATTTAGCATTATGTATGGAAGAATAATGCAAAACACACAGAAGGAACTGTGTAAATGTGTATTTGCATCTCCAGGTTATTATTCTTTAGTTTGTCTACTTCTCTTGGGTAAATTTTTTCATATGAGTCCTTCTGGTGCTAAGGGAGACTTTTAAAGAATACTGTGTGGTCACTAAGATTCATGTTTATAATATTATATGGATCATATGCATGTTGTACTAAGAAATTCCTCTCAAGAATACATAAAGAAAATTATGATCTGCTTCTATCCAGAGCTGACTTGATCAGTGGCGTGGAAGGGGAGATCTAGAGTCATATTCCCTATAGATGCATATGTTTGTTTAGGAAAGACTAGAAGACAAATCAAGTTGCCTCAAAGAGTTGTAATGCTTCACAGATTCTGATACATAAACTATACATGCATAATGTTATTGGTTTCCATGTAAAGAAGCATCTAGAGACTAAACTACAAGGAGTAATGGCCTTCTATTTGGATTTTCTGCATCTTGTTTCTTTCCAATTTACTCTGTAATTTTTCTGGTTTATCATCTTAGGGTAGGTCACTTCTGAACTTAAAATTATTTCTAATTCCTCTCTATTAGATAAAATAAAATATGATCATTGAAGCCATCTAGAAATTACAGAAAAAGCAACTTTGAATTAACAGAGCATACAGTACACTTTTTGTACCAAAGAGTTTGGCAGATTTTACTATTCCTTGTTCCTGGAATGCACATGCATGGTTTTCCCACTTAATTTTCTGCGCTTAGAATGCTCCTGCTACCATGTCTTATTTCCATCTGATAAAACAAGCTTTCCTTGAAGATCCAGCTCAAACATCATCCTCTTGCAGCCTTCTCTGACCTCCCTGTCCTCCTCATCCGAAGTGTGCAAAGCACTTCTGGAATGTGGGTTTCTTGATCTGGATCCTGGTTACATGTATGTGCTCACTTTTGAAAATTCACCACACATACACTTAAGATGTGTGCACTTTTCTGTGTTTACATTACTTTTTTTCTCAGCTGTATTGAAGAATAATTGACAAATTAAATTGTATATATTTACAGTGTAAATGTAATGATTTGGTATAAATATACATTGTGAAATGATTACCACCATCAAATTATTTAATACATTCATCACTTCTCTCAGTTACCATTTGTGGTGTGTGTGTGTGTGTTTGTGTGTGTGTGGTGAAAACACTTATGATCTAGTCTCTCAGCAAATTTCGAATATACACTACAGTACCATTAACTATAGGCACCATGATGTGAATTAGATCTCTAGAATTTATTCATCTTATCAGACATGTATCTGTATTACATTTAAATTAATAAATGAGGTGACTTAGATTTAGATATTCAAAAGTCAGCGTCACTGGGTATTAAAGCATTTTGGAAGCAATGAAGCATTATACATCATACTCTCATGGAAATATTTGGAAATATTGTAATATCTTATTTAAAGTATTAATGATAATAATTTATTGAGAAGCCAGAATGATGTATCATTAATAAGTGTTGTAAAACTGTTATATATAAAATAATCTTTCACTTACAGCCAAACATTTTCTCATTCTTCTCTGAAGTGGCTTGTAAGCATGTTCCTCTTATGACATTGTTCTTATGCCTTGTTTGTTAATATGAGTATATATCAATATCCAGTTTCTCCTATTATTACATTCTCTTATTATCCCTCATTACATCAGTATTTGTTATAATTAATGAATTCATATTTATTATTAATGAAGCTCATACTTTAATCAAATATCCTTCCTTTTCACCTCATGTCCTTTTTAGAAGTACATACTTTAATCAGGTATCCTCAGTTTTTACCCAATGTTCTTTTCCTGTTCTAGGATCCTATCCAGGATACCACATTGCTTTTGGTTGTCATGTTTCATTGAGCTCCTCTTGACTGTGATATTTCTGCCAGACATTTCTTTCTCTGATGACCTTGACAGTTTGAGGAGTGCTGGTCAAGGTATTTTAATCCTCAATTGGGGTTTGTCTGATATTTTTCTTATGATCGTGCTTGGTTAATGGCTTTTTAAAATGAAAATCTCATAGATAATTGCCATTCTCATCATATTACATTAGGTGCCTACTATTAACATGACTTACTACTTATGATGTTAGTCTTGTTCAGCTGGCTAAGGTACTGTTTGTCAGATTTCCCCACCGTAAAGTTACTTCCCTCCCACCCTCCATACTGTACTCTTTAGAAAGAAGGCAAGATGCACAGACCACACTTAAGAAGTAGGGAATTATGCTCCACCTCTTTGAGAGCAACACAACTTCTTAAATTATTTGGGGTTCTTCAGAAATTAATATTTGTCTCTTTATTTTCATTATTAAATTCAGTCATCTATTTATATCTGTATGGACTCATGGATATTTTATATTTTGGGTTTTAACCCAACATTGTATTATATACTTTCTTGCTCAAATTTTTCCAGCTTTGAACCTGAAGTTCTGTCAGTTGGTCCCTGTGTCCCTTTGACATATCCCACTCATTGTGTGTGTGTGAGTGTGTGTGTGTGTGTTTAGTACTTTCTTACTTTCTGGCACTACAAGTCTGTCTAGGCACTACAAGTCTGTCTAGGCTCATCTTGTATACGTCATTGCTTCACTTTTAGAATCAGCCATTTCTCCTGGAGTTATGATTCCTTTTATTGGAGAATGGAATTAGACACTGAAATTTTGGCACTAGGTACACTTATTGCCATTAGCATATTTTTCCTTCTAGGCCTTCACAGATGACAGATCAAAGACATACTTAAGAATATACTAACCCATATATATACACATATCTACAAATATTTCCATATACATTTATATGTTTTTCTATATACTAAGCTAAACATGAATTTATAACTCAAATCCATTTTGATTGTGGACTACAGTTAGGTATTTAATTCTAACCCATTACCTCGTGAATCATTTTAGCCTTCTTCCTTTGATTATCTGAAATCTCCTGCCCCAGTATTAAGAAACATGATAGCCATTATCTGTCATCCATTATTTAATTTTTCAAATCTGTTACAGATATATATAGATTTCAGAATCATTGATCTATACCATATGGGAAGCAACTTCATCAACTAGAGAACAGTGCTTATGTGCAGTTTATTTTGCCTTTAGTTTTACAAACTCAAGTTGCTTTAATCAGTACTGTTTCTTCCCACCACTTTTAGTGACATTATTTCTTATATTTATAATGTAGTTACATTGTTTGCCACCATTTGTATTTTATCCTTGGATCACATGATCTCAATTTTTTTAAATTTGGATAAATTAAAATGTACTCTTTTTGCCCTGTAGAGTTCTATTGATTTTGAAAAACACAGTGTCACATATCCAGCACTACAGTATCAGACAGAATAGTCACACCATCACAAGATAGTCCCTGTGCTTCACCTATTCAATTCTCCTTTGTCCTGGCCCTGAACCCTTGGTAACCATTGATATGTCCGGTGTTTCTATAGTTTTGTCTTTCTTTACCAGTATGTCATCTGAATAAAATCATACCGTAGTCTTTTCACAATGACTTCTTTCATGTGAGATGCATTTAAGTTTCACCCAGGTTTTTCAGTAACTTAATAGCTCATTCTTTATCCTTGAATAGTATGCCTTTATATATATTAAAAAAAAACAGTTTGCTTTTTAATCCATTCACCAACTGAAGGAGATCTGTGTTGCCTCCAGTTTGGGGCATTATGAATAAAGCTGTTATAAACATTTGCGTGCAGCATTTTGTGAGGACAAAGGATTCAAACTTGTTTTGCAAATACCTAGGAACACAGTTGCTGCATCATATGGTAAGAAAAGGTTTAGCTTTGTAAGAAACTGTCAAATTGTCTTCCAAAGTGGCTGTGTAATTTTGCATTCCCATCAGCAATGAGTAAAAGTTCATGTTGCTCTGTTCTTTACCAGCAATTAGTATTGTCGATGTTAGAAATATTTAGTCATTCTGATATGTGTATAATGGTTTCTCACTGTTATTTTAATTTGAGTTTCCCTAATGACCAAAAAAAAAATGCCCAATGTATTTTTAAAAAGCTTATCATCCCCTATATATGTTTTTTGATGAGGTGTCTGTTAGACTGTTGGTCTTTTTTTTTTACACTGGAATTTTTTCTTATTGTTGAGTCTTTGTACGTTACTGAGAGTTCTTTTTATATTTTGGATATATGTCCTTTAACAGATATATGTTTTGCAAATAATTTTCTCCCAATCAGTGGCTTGTCTTTTCATTCCCTTAGCAATGTCTTTCACAATGCAAAAATGATTACTATCATAAAGTTCAACTTATCATCTGTTTTTTATTGATCATGATTTTGGTGTTGTATATAAAAATTCATCACCAAAATCAAGGTCATGTAGATTTTCTCTTATGTTCTGTTCTAGAAATTTTATAATTTTGCATTTTACATCTAAGTGTATGGTTCATTTTGAGTTAATATTTGTGTGGGATCTGTTACTAAGTTTATTTACTTATTTATTTATGCATTTGTTTGTTGCACGTGAATTTCTAATTGTCCAAGCACCATTATTTTAAGTGACTATTCTTTCTCCTTTGACAGCCTTTCCTCATTTGTCATATCGATTGACTATCTTTGTGTTGTTCTATTTCTAGACTCTCCAATATGTTCCATTTATCTATGTATCTATTTTTTTCACCAATACCATGCTATCTTGATTACTGCAGCTTTATGGCAAATTTTGGGATTAGTTAGTATAAGTCCTTTATCTTTTTTTTTCTTCTTCTTCAGTATTGTGCTGGCTATTCTAGACTTCTTTGCCTTTTCATAACAATTTTAGAATCAGATTCCCAATATGTATAAAAAATCTCGGCAGGTTTTTTTTTGGTATTGTGTTGACTCTATATGTCAAGTTAAGAACAACTGACATCTTAACAATATGGATATGTACATATTTTGATAAATTTATATGAAAACATTTCATTTTTATTATTTTTATTTTTTATTATTACTGATATAACTGCATTTCCAACTTTTTAAATTTTATATTTCAATTTTGCATGGCTGGTGTATAAGGAAATAATTGGATTTTTTTGTATTGACCTTGAATACTGCAAATTTGCTATAACTGTTTATTAGTTCTATAAGTTTTCTTGTAAATCCTTTGGGGTTTGATGCATAGACAATCATGTCATTTGTTAATACAGTCAATTTTATGTCTTTCTTTTAAATTCATCCATTTATTATATTATTTTCTTACCATATTGCACAAACTAGGACTTCCAGCATGATGTCAAATAATTGTGGTGAGACAGGACATACTCTCCTCTTCCCAAACTTAGTGGGAAAGCATCCAGATTCTCACCATCAATATGATGCTAAATGTAGAGATTCTGTAGATCAGTATTTTAGCTGCAGTATATTTATTATGTTCTCTTTTTCTCTTTCCTTCCTTTCTTTATGTAGGCTTTCCTTATCAATTTTAAAAAGTTCTTTCCATTTCTAGTTTGCTGAGAGTTTTTATTATCAACGATTTTAGTATTTGTCTAATGCTTTTCCTGAACCAATTGGTATGATCATATTACTTTTTCTCTTTTAGCCTAAAAATCAAATATAGTGTTGATTTTTAAATGTTGAGGCAGCTTTGCATAGCTGGCATACATCCCACTCGGTGGTGGTGTATAATTCATTTCACACATCATTGGATTTGATTTGCTAATATATTTTAAGAATTTTCACATCTATGCTGAAGAGAAACATTGATCTATAACTGTCTTTTTGTATCATATCTTTTTTTTTGATTTTGTCATTTTTTTAATTATACTTTAAGTTTTAGGGTGCATGTATCTTATAATAATATCTTAATCTGGTTTGGATATTGGGGTAATCATGGACCTATAGAATGAGGTAGAAGTGTTCCATCTGGCTTCTATTTTCTTGAACATATTGTAAAAAGATCACATTTTTTTTCATAAATTGTTGGTAGAGTTCACTGTATATCTAGACTTGGAGATTTCTATTTTGGAAGGTTATTGATTACTGATTTGATTTCAGAAAGTAATACAGGTCATTTATTTATCTTTGTGTGTGTTATAATTTGTGGCTTTCAAGGAATTGGCTGCTGTTACCTAAGTTATCAAATTTGTGGGTGTACTCTTTATAGTGTTCCTTTATTGTCATTTTAATGTTCATGGGATCAGCAGTGATAATTCCCCTGTAATACAGATAGTTGTTTGTTTGTTTTATTTTGTAAAATGCTATCTCGACAGAGTTTTGAGACCCTGGCTAGAAACTGATCAATTCCCCTTTTTGAGTAGCTGATTAAATCCACATGAGAACCCCTTCCCTTATGGAACTCTCACACTCCAGGCCATTATATACCTAATCTAATCACTTGAGAGCCAGCTCCCAGCTAACTGAGAATAGCTCCTAAACCCCAGAGACTGATAAAATTATTCAGATTAGCCAATCCACAGTGACCCTGTAAAATCTAGGTATCCACACCCTGTTTGCCATACATGTTACCCACTAAAGATCCAGCTTGCCATTACCCTGGCACTGTTTACAACCACCTATGGGGTCTTTTCTCACAGCCTTCTCTAGTTCACATCTGTAAATAAGAGAGTTCTGCATTCCATCTAGCCAAGTGTCATTGTGTTGTGTCCTACCATTAAAAAAAATTAAAAATTTTTAAAAAACATCTGGTATAATGAGTACAGTGGCTAACTGCTGACTCCTGGGTATCTTCCTTAGGGGATTTCTCTTGCTTGAAAAAATGTGTTCAAACCACTACCTTGTCTGGGTGGATGGATTTCCTGTCTGTTGGAGAGCTTTGCTTTAGCTGAGTGTCCTTGCTAGTGTGTGGTCAATGTTTGCCGTATCTTGACCTTACCTAGTTGCTTCAGTGTGGAAAACTCCACAATAATTATAATAAAAGCAAAACAGCTTAATGGTATAATTTTCCAAGAACAAAAGGGCCTAGGTATGAGCGCCACCTTAATAAGCAAAGGAAGCTTGAGCGTGAGCCACATCCCCTAAGACCCAATGTTACATGTGTTTTGACACTGGCCATAGAGCTTAGACCTTTTGCGGGGGTGTATAAGGGGCTGATCTCTTATTAGCTCATGTGCCTCAGACTGCCTTGTATCAAGGGCAACAGAGGTGTTGCTCCTAGTTGGGAGAAATAATGGCTCCCCAGCATATAATTTTACGTTGCCCATGTAAGGACTGTGGTATTACCTGCCTTACTTGCTGTTGTTTTCCTAACTACTATTGCCAGTGAACTTCTTGCTTCCAGACCCTTAGAAGTATCATGGGTTGTGCCCTGGGAAGACAATATCTCAATGTTTACTCCAAAAGGGGCCTCTGGATCAAGGGAACAAATATCTCATTCCTGCAGCAGTCCTTTCTCCCTTTCCCACCAGAACACCAACTAGTTATCCAATTGCTTAAATTATACAAGACTGCAGACAGTATGCTTGGGCCTTATTAAGTGCCACCATATATCTACATGCAAAGGAACAAGGTAGCTAACTGCACTGTCCCAAGGAGAGGCTGCTATAGCTCTTTTTAGTACAAACCCTGAATCCTTAGAGATGGACTGGGAACCCTTAAAATAGAGAACACTAGGAGGCAGGTGTCTGGGGATCCCCATACCCTTTCTCTATAACCACTTGGAAGGTCCACAGTATGAGTTATGGGATGGACACAGAAGCTGAAAGCCTTGAAACCAGAAAAGGCAGAGCTATAGTAAAGAGTGGTTTGATTCATCAGCCTCTGGGTTGTAGCCTAGCAATTTTCAGCTGTACCACTCTGCAACCTATGCCTGTGTTACAAACAAAAATATAATCCTCCAGGTTTCAAGGAAAAATATGAGTGATCTCCTTTGGTAAAGAAAAGCCATTGATTTAAATCCAACATAAGCCCAAGGTTCTTAAATCATATGATCATAGCCACCAGGCAGGTCCGTAACCCTAATGATGATATTGGCTTGAGGCTCTCTAGTGGGAAAAAATTATGAATATTATCAGGATAAAGAGAATCACTCCCACCCTCCTGACCTCTGGTAGCATAATCCCTGATACCCACCCCCCACTCGTAAAAAAGGGGAAAAATAAAAAACCCTGGATACAGGAGGAAAAATATCAAATAAAATCTATGTGTATCACACACACACATATATAACACATATTTAACACAATTATATATATATGATTATACATAATTATATATAATATAAATATATACACAATTATATATAATATACATATAATAATATATAATATTCCAACATTAATAAAATAACATATATATTAGAATATATAGTATTTATTATCTATTAATCATATATATTATTATATATGATTATTTAATCATATGTGATTAAATTGAAATCAAGGTCCATAATTTAACCCAATTACACATTCAAAATTTACTTAAAATGTATTGAACAAAATGGTTAAAATGGCACTTATTGGCTTGTGTTCATGTAAATCATAGGTTGTGAATTAACTTTACCATTTGCTAAAATGCACCAATTAGCAAAGCTTCACTGACTTCATAAGACAGTCTCCAACTTACAATGGTTGAACTCACAATTTTTTGACTTTACTATGGTATGAAAGCAATATGCATTCGGTAGAAACCATACTTTGAGCACCTGTAAGAACCATTGTTTTTCACTTTCAGTACAGTATTCAATAAATTATTTAACACTTTGTCATAAAATAGCCTTAATTTTAAATTCATGTTGCCCAAATTTAAGTGTTTTGAGAACATTTAACATTGGCTAGGCTAAGCTGTGATGCTTGGTAGGCCAAGTGTATTAAATACTTTTTCTGCTTACAATATTTTCAACTTACAATGGGTTTATTGGGATATAACTCCATTCTAAGTTGACAGGAATCTCCACTGGGGCTCAAATTGCAGTTATACATGAGGATTCCACTAAATTTAAACATTGTGCTCTCTGTAAACTAAGGAGAGTAACAAAATATAAAACAGAGAAAAAATAGGTATGCTTTAATTTATAGCCTTGAATAATGTCCTAAAATATGCCTTAGTACACATGTATACTCTAATACAAGGAGGAATAAATTAGAATTAAATTAAGTTTCTGGCACTTTACAAAACTGCTTGACAAAATGGGACTTCATGGACACCCAGTTAAAATAGTGAATATGGCACAATGTAAGTTAAAACAGGGCCTTCAAAGGTGAAAAGTTATTATATAGGATATTATTAATAAATAGATAATTATCTCTATTGCTTCTTCATTTGATAGCCCGACTTTACCTGTTTTAAAATCGGGAAAAAATAAATGGTGCTTTATAGTAGATTACTACCACCTTAATGTTGTGGTTACAGCCATTAAGTCCCCCATATCCGCTACCAATTATTACAATAATAACTAACTTCACCTAATCAACAACTAGTAAATATTTTGCTATTATAGAATGGGCTAATATGTTCTATTCAGTGCCTATTTCCAAAACAGCCTCTCAGCCACAGTTTGTCTTTACCTTCAATAGGACACAGTACATATTTACTATCTTGGTTACATTTTCCTTTCACCAGGAGTACAGGTATGGTATAACAATGATGGTATACCATTGGTATAACCTTGTTGAGATCCTCCTCCAAGGACAGCCATTTGAGATACTCCTTAAGGGCATACTAGCCTAAGATCTTTTAGTTTGGTCTGGATTATGAAGCAAGATATTCTTCATTTACAGATTTTACTTAATCTCACTGATGCTGCTACTTACAAATCAGCCTTATTTAAATGGGGGTACCCTGTTTTAAAAAGGCTCTAGAATCTGTCCAAATTAAAATTGTCAGGCACTCCCTTTAGTGTCTTCAGAGACTTCTTCACTTTAGAGGCTTTCACCACCTCCTTTCCTGCCTCCTGGAGTCTCTGGACCACACATGATGACAACAAGTTGCCATGGATTTCTAATGCAAGAAACCCCATCTCACCTTCATTCTATACACTACTAGAGCAAAAATTATTGGTCTTATACTGTGCTTTCCTGGAAAGATATGTTTTCAAAGACTCTGTCTATGACCCTTCATATCCAGCTTCCCATTATGATTTGAATCATAAAAGGAGCACTCCACAAGCTCTGCACAGTTACTGAGGCCTCCTTGATACAGAATATAGTAAAACCCTAGTCCTCTGGTGTATTCTGCTTGCAGGAGGTGGTGGCCTCAATCTCTTGCCAGATGCTGTGGTTCTGAGGGAGGTCACAGCTCCCCAAGACTCCTTGAGTATCAGGGGAGTCTTTTGGGATTCACTGAGTGAATAACAAAGGGAGTTTATAGACTGCATATTTCATTACCACCATCATAACTACTGTTGCTGTTTTCCATCTTTTAACCAGAATGTTCCTGATAGTTTCAGAAGGGACTGAAGAATCAGGCCAAACCTCAGTCATTTTACCACTGGCTGCTCTGGATAGCAAATGGCTCTATATACACAGACTAAAAAATGAAAATAAAAATGAGCCATTGCCTAAGAGTTGTTCCCTTTAGAGTAGATAATTTTGGGAACTCATTGCCTTGCAAATACTCAAAATATAAATCAAGGTCACACATATCCTTATGTATACTAAGGTAACAAAACAAGGTCTCACCAGGACACTCCTTATCACTTCAGAGTTCCAGACATTACCGATGGTAATCAAGTCACATATTTCATTACTCAAAATATACAAGGTTGAAACTCTTGAAAAAGACATTTGGTAAAATGTTCATCTACCTGCTAGGTCCTAAGCAGCTGGTTAAGCTGCTAAGGCTGCCTAAGCAGCCTAGTGAGTTCCTCAAAACATTTCTATTTAGATGACAAAATTACAAATAAACCCCTAAATGGGTCTCTACCTTGTCTCAGCTATAATCTTTCTTAGTTCAATGCCCCTTGACTGTTTCCCACAAACTTAAAAACCTTCCCATTTTCCTGTCCTATATTTAAATGGAGATATAGCTCACGTTAATGTTTATAAAGACTCATTATTACATGAGGTTATTTATTAATATCTCCTTATCTTTATAGGTTTTTGATCCTGCCCCCATCCCATAAAGGTTGGAGGCCAGATAAAGGGCATATCTTCTCCTGGGACCTGTTAACCACAGATTGTCCATAAATGAGCCAGGCACCTGCTCATCCAGTATGGGACTCATTTGAGCCTTAATTTCTACCACCTTAAAAGCTTCCTCATTATTTGAGTTATAAGTGATGGATAATTAATCTGGGCTGTGCCTCTTATCATATCCAGGATATTAAAATTAGTTCTCTAGGGCCATTTTTTACAGACAGTATGGAATACAAAGAAAGGAGATAAAAAACTCCAGTTAATAAATTAAAATCACATTTGGAGATAATAATTGAGTCAACATCACATCCCAGAGTAACAAAACCAAACAGTCCCTCCTTGATAATAATACATGCTAGAGAAAAAATCATTATTAGGCAAGAAAAGCCTGTCAAGTGCAGCTGCACATCATTCTATTGACTGTTGGTCTTGTTATTGGTTTGGGTGTTTTCATCGGTTTGTGATCAGAGGGCCAAACTCTTCAAGTAAGCCATTGTTGCAGCCAAGCACGGCAAATGCTGAGGCCCACATGCCATTGAATTTTGTTAATACAAGCCCCGCATTCGAAAGACATTGATGGCTTGATAGTTACCACCAAATGGAAAACTGAGGCTTAGGGTCCCTAGTGATTGTCAAAATTGTAGGGCCTGACTATAGGCTAGTGCTGGAGCTCCAGTCTCAGCCACAGATATTTTAATTGCCAAACAACCTGATACCCTATTATCAGCATACACCCAAATCAGGTTATGTGATTTAAAACCTATTAGTAACAGAAATTCTATCATCCCCATCTGGGAAACCCTTGGACTATTGGAAACTTAGATTTGGCCACCTTTAATTGGGCCATGAAGTACACCAGTTGGGTTTCAGTGCTTTAGTCTATACACAACAAATATAACAGATGCCAACATCACCTTTGCTGGCTTTGCACACACAACACCGCTTGACTAAAAGATAAGCACAAGCTCCCAGAGATAAGACAAGTCAAGCTTCCAGGTTCAACATTCACATTCAATATGTGTATGTATGTGTGTGTGTGTATATGTATATATTATACTTATATATGCTTGAAATTATCTGATACAGACTTTGTATTTAGAAATGGAGTACTACTGTAATAAGTAACTAAAAAAATTTAAGTGGTTTTGTAACAGAGTGATCAGTGGAGGCTGGAAATATTTAGACACAAATAGATAATGTCTGAATTGACCTGGGTTGACTATTAAAAGAAATCTGAATTTGGAAGATGCTGCTGGTGAGGGCTCAGAAGGAAGTGAGAAGCAAGCATATTACTGAAAATTGGAGAAAGGGATCCTTGTTATGTAGTGGCAGAAATCTTAGCGAAATTTTGTCTTGTAATTGTGTAAAAAGTAAAACTTTTAAGTAATGAATCCATATATATGGCTAAGAAAAATTCCAAGGAAAATGTCGAAGGTGCCATCTGATTTCTTCTTGCTTTTTATTGTAGATAGAATGTAATGGTTAGATTGAAGAAAGAACTGTTGAACAAAAGGCAACCAGAACTGGATAATTTTGAAAATTCTCAGCCTATCTAAATGGCAAGAAAACCCACTAAAAGTTAAAAATCGCTGCTGAAAACGTGACAAAGAGAAATCAAACAGTGTAAATGTATAATTTTTACTAAAATGTCAGTAGGATCCAAAAGTCTGATTATTCAATCATATTAAAGGTATTTTCTATAGATTAAGAGATTCTTGAAATCTTAACCAAATCACAGGACCTCTAGAAAGTTTAAGGATGCTCTACCTCAGCCATCTATGCAGGAGACAAAGAAAATATATTATATTGAAAAGATTTGTAGATATGGATTTTGTCTACTTTAACCACAGTGAAATTCAGGCAATACTTACAAAGTTGTTGAGAAATTTATTTTAGCTGAAACACTGGGCTAAAAGGGCAAAGTATATAAAATTAAAATAAAATTAGTATAAAATTAAATAAAATTACATTTATATCACGAGGTGGACTGGTAAATCTACTTAGATGCAAACATGTGCTGCTTTTTATGAAAAAGAAGGATGACTCAGAAAGGAGAACCCAGAGTCCACAAGAAGGAACCAAGAGCAATAGATAACTTATTCTTGGGCCTTGAAAATTGATAGAGACTCCTCGAATTTTCCCAGCTGGATTTCAGGACTGCAATAGGCAAACAATTCCTAACTTTCATTTCACCCCAGTTTGAAGAAGAATGCCTCTACTTCTTACTTATGTCTCACCTATATCTGTTCCCATAATATATATTGAGTGTGTTAAGCATAGGTAAAGTGTCTCTTTAATTTCTTAGGACTGCAGATGGAAATCAAGTGTGCCCAGGCTTGTTGAATGGATTACACTAAGAAGAGTCATGTTTAGATAAGAAGATTTTGGAATTTGAGATAATGAGATAATGTGATTTAGATTTAAATGATGAGATGTTGGATTTTGAGCTGATACTATAAGGATAAGACTTTTGGAGACCATAAGATGGGGTGAATCTATTTTGCATGTGGCAGGGACAGGAAGTATTGGGGGCCAGAGGGCAAAGTGTGGTAGGCACAATTCTAAGATGACTCCAATAAGTCAAGCTCATATTCCCTTTTCCTTGAGTGTACATTGAATGTGAAACTTGCCCATACAAATTTAAGATATCAAAGGTGATGGATTTCACTTCCTTGATCAGGTCGTATATAAAACTTTGTTTTAACAGAGTGGAGTAAAAGATTTTCCATCTGCCATGACAAGGTAAGCTGCCATGTTGTGAGAGGCACTGTGAGAGAACCATGCGATAAGGAACTCATGGCAGCCTTTAAAAGCTGAAATTCCCTAATCAACAGCCAGAAAGAAAATGGGGACCTCAGTTCCACACCTGCCTGTATCTCAATTCTACCAACATGATGTGCGCCTTGGTACTCTAGAAAAGAACTTGAGTCAGTTAACAACTTGATTTCACCCTATTCAAATGGAGGGACCTGCTAAGCATTGTCCAGACTTTGGATTGATGGAAACTATGAAATAATAAATGTATGCTGTTTTAATATGTAAAGTTTGTGGTAGTTTGTTACATAGCCATAGCAAATTAATATCATTCTAGTAATCATCAGATCTCAGGTGTTTACATACAAAAAGCAAGAATTTTATTTTTAACTGACAAATATACCTATTTCCTCTTTGGTTTTAATGTATATGGCAATGAACTTTTGCCTCAATTTTCTCGTTTGTGAAATGGAGGCAGTGTTACATAATGCATAGAGTTTTTTAACTAATAGAATGAGATATATTATTTCAAATCACTTAATATTGTACTTGTTCTATCATGAATGCCAATTAAAGTTAGATTTCTCCTTCAGCAGCAGTTTTGTCTCAAAATGAGAACGCTACATTAAAATAGAAAATAAGAGACCATAATGTGCTGAGTGTGAAGTAGCTACTGAAAGCAAGAAAGACAGAAGCAGAAAGTGAAAGTGTTCAAGTGGGGATATGGGCTAAAGTGTTATTTAAAAACACTCTTCCCATTGCACCTTACAATTCCACCAGCCACTCGCAACGTGAGCCATACTAGTGAATAGAGCCGGCTTGCTATTCTCTTGCAGTACTTGCAGAATGAAGATAAAGGACTGACTTTTGTTACAAACTCGACTTAATAGTGAGTAATAATTGCTAACCAAATGGTCTCTATATTTTAATGCCTAGAAACTCCTAAGGAAAGTACAATTAAAAACAAAATTTGAATCCTAAACATTTTCTCGAGTTAATGATAGAGGTTGTGTTCCATTGATAAGAAGGTATCATTTTGAATGTTGTTAAATTTTTTATTTAATTTTGATGTCCTCAAAGTGCATATGATTGGAGTATAAGTTAAAATGGCACATTTTTAATAGAAATTGAAAAAAAATTGTCAATTTCCTTCATGTCAGGTCATCACAGTCTTAAGCAGTATTTTATGAGATCCCAGTGCATCTGGTCTCCGGTTTGCAGTTCAACTTTATTGAGCTTAAAAATCAATAAAGGCTATGATTTTTTAAATATCATGATAAAAAAGAACAAACTGGATTATCAGGGTGATTTTATTTACTAGATAACTAATGGATAAGTGTCACTTCATTTCTTCACTAGCATTCTAAAAAATGAAATTATATTTTTTCATGGAACTTGAACTACAGCAATGAAAGAACTTGAAAGTAATATAATCAAGGTAGATTATGCAGCACCAAAATGAAACATTGCAAACATCAAAGCAACTGGATATTCTATTCATTTGCTCCTTTTTCTAATTAGGAAAAGAGATGTTTCTTTTCGCGGATGTATTTTCTAATCATAGGTATTTCTCTATAATTTTTATTTATTTCATTATAAACAGTATGTCAATTAATATTTGATAAAAATATTTCTAAAAGAGATATACTATCATGCATACAAACAGAACAGAGATAGCAGCTACTGGTTGGTACTCAGGATTCCACACCCCAGATCAACATATCCTGGAAGGTTCACCAGGAATTCACAAAAGTGCAGACCAAATTTAAAATAGTTTATTTGAGATAGGATAACAGCACAAGCTCATTTCTTTAACAAAGTTTTACATGTGTGTCTCTCTACAAGAACCAGTGCCCTGATTGTTAGCTATCAGCATCAAATTTTTTTTTTTTACAACTCTGCAATTCTTTCCCCTTGGGAAAAATGTGCACTTCCACCTAAGACATAGAAATTAGCCTCAGGTATTATTTTTCACAGCTGCAGGAATAACTGGCTAGTAATTGGAGCCATGGAATTCAAAGTGAAGTTGTAACTGATTGCACCTGGGAGAGAAGGCCAATGAGTTTTCTTCTTATGAGAAAAATATTGGTTTAACAACTTGATTCTTTGTAATTATGGCCCACAAGGCAAAGGAGAATAATTAATGTATGTTATGTTGGCTGTCTTTTGAAAAAATACTTATTGCTAACTACAACTGGAAATATGCAGTGTTCTGTACATTCCTAATAGCAACCATCACAGACATCTTGTCAATTTTGAATATATACGTAAACGCTAAAATAAGAACCTCAAATTTAGATGAAGAAATAAACTCAGAGAAAAATTCTAGTAACATAATTTAGTAAAATGTGCATAACAAACATAAGCATAGAGAACAGCTTATGCAAGAGTTTTTTTGGAATAAACAGTCTGATGAGACTAACAGTATTTCGAAAATGCCCCTGCACATTTTAGTAATTTAAAAAATATATAATCATACCTAAGAATTTAATCTTATGTTTTAAAATATTGATGTCCATTTTTTATTAATTTAATGTAAATGTTTGAATGTTGTCTCTATACCTGGTAAGTGTTCTTGAATAATGGTTGCTCCATTAAGCTTATTTTACTTGTTCAAGTATAGGAGAATTGCTGTGTTACGCCAAATGATTCTGGAATGTTGAAAATTATTGGGTTGTTTCTTAAACCAAAGTATAGGCTTGTAGGAGACAAGCACAGAAATTTAACAGCATGAATCGAAATTGGCTGAAATGTTCTGCCAAATAAAGAGTTTAATAATAGAGCTACATGAACCTTGACTGCTTCCATTTATAAGATATTTGCAGAAACTTTCCCCATTCGTGATGAATAAGTCTAGAAATTCTGATTTAACTTCAATTTTCAATTAGACTCTAAACAAAATATGAAATTCAAGACATCATCTTTCTTACTGCTGAGATGCTCTCATGATTAATATCCTATGTATACTTAATTATTATTTGAAACAAAAGCTACTGCAACTTATATTCTAGCCACTATCATATGTGTAGCAGTCTTCAGGAGCTCATTAGATTTCTGATGGTTTTGATGAGGAGGACTTGGTCCTAGGAACTTTTATCATAATATCCCTGAATTCTATTTCACCACTTAATGGCTTGAAGTAATATCCAATTGATTTTTTGCAAACTTTTCATGTTTCTCTATCACATAGTAAAAACTTGATTAAAATCCTTTGAAAGAATAAATGAATGTATGTCTAGAAATCAACTGAAGGGATTCATACTCATTTCAGCTGTTTCCAAATAAGCTGTCAGAATGCTTTGGTGCTAAGGCAAATTTATTTGAAGGTACAGCACTGATCCTAAGTCATCTATTCAGGTGAAACCTTATGTTTATGAGTGGTTCTGTATGAACAATAAAAAACCTCAGGAATTCATGACGCTTAGGAAGAGCATAACAAGTTTTTAGGGCTCTGGAGGTTGTTGAATTGAAATAACTTCCTAAATGTTATGAGTGTGTTTACATTTATAGGAAGAAAATATCACTGTTATCAGATTCTGAAACAGATGCATGAAACAAAAAATCATTAAGAACTATGCTTTTATGGAAAATATGTCACTTCCCTTGACATTATATTCTTTTACAAATGTTAATTAGGGATTTCGTTTGTAGTTGAAGGGGAACTCATGTAAGACTCAGAGAACATAAAATAGTAGGGGTTGAAACTAAAGCCTGTATTTGCCCAAAACCTTAATTCTTTCATGAGAAATCTAATTTTAAAAAGGACTGCAGTTAAAAAACATGAGTTTGTTTTCTTAAAGTTTTTTACTCTAATTTCTTAGAATCTTGAAGGTTGGTAAATTTTTAACAGTAAATGCAAAAATAGACTTAAAAGGATTAAAATGTCAATAAACAAATATTCCAAGAAGAGTTTCCAGCATATTCACATGATACTTGCTACTGTCCTCAAAAGATAAGTAACCTTGGGAGGCCGAGGCGGGCGGATCACGAGGTCAGGAGATCGAGACCATCCTGGGTAACACGGTGAAACCCCGTCTCTACTAAAAATACAAAAAATTAGCCGGGCGTGGTAGCGGGCGCCTGTAGTCCCAGCTACTCGGGAGGCTGAGGCAGGAGAATGGCGTGAACCCGGGAGGCGGAGCTTGCAGTGAGCCGAGATCGCGCCACTGCACTCCAGCCTGGGCGACAGAGCGAGACTCCGTCTCAAAAAAAAAAAAAAAAAAAAAAAAAAAAAGATAAGTAACCATGGTGATTAATGTTGATTCATACATGTTGGGCTTCTGTTTATTTCTGGCAATATCCATTATGTTTGCTACAAAAGTTGGCCTTGAAACATCAGGAAGAAAAGGCTGATAGCCTAGACAAATTATTTTAATAGTATGCATTGATGTTTAATTAAGAAGTTGGATTTAACAAAGTGATACTTGAAAAATAATCTTATATAAGAAATGAATTAAATAAGAAAAAACTCGTAAGATTTCGTCAAAACGTTTGATGAGAGGATATTTCCTGCATAATGAACACAAGATAAATCATCTACATGATTGCCAAAAGATATTTTGAACTCTTAGCATCATGCACATATTTAATATATAATTTCCCAAGAATTTCTGAATGCTTTGGTTTTTAATAGATATTTATAATTATAAATCTGTAAACTCATTTGATTATTACAAAAAACTGTGAGCTACACAGAAAAGGAATTATTTGCCTTCACAAGCCCCTTTTCCATTTTATTGGTTGGGAGAGCAAGACTCAGAGAAAATATGTGATACTTCTGCCGTCAAATAGTAATGAAGCTATTATGAACATTAGGAATTTTAAGTTCAACAGTATGAGAACTCAGCTAGTGTTTTGAATATTTTAAGATATAATTATCCAGAATATGATTAATGTAACAAAAACCCATTCTCAATATTAGAGAAAAGGTTCAGCAAATCTTACATTGTTACTTTTATTATCATTCCTCAGTGTTGGGCCAGAGAGTCTTTGTAACTCATATATTGCTAAAGAAATATAAACTAATTCTGATTTGTAGTGTTTCTTGAAAGTATTTTGTGTACTTCATTCAGAGGAACAAGCTTATGGGCTGGGACTTTACCCTGTGTTTTTTTACTCTTCATTTCTTCCTGCCTGAAATGCAAATGTGATGGCTGATATGAAGAAATCTCTTTATGACCATGAGTATAGGTATGACAACCAACACATTAAATAAGCAAAAATACAAAAAGTGTTTGTATGAGCAGTTGATTGCCTGCTTCCACCTCTATTATTTAAGCTACTGTTAAGTGGTTTTCCTTTTTGTTCTTTCAGTCAAAATCAATCCTAACTGATATTAAGTATATACAGAGTTTTGTTTGTTTGTTTTTCTTATGTTTTGTTTTTAACTGAGAAAATCTCTAACAACTTAGGTTTAGGAATTCTTACCAAAGCCTTCCCATTAAGCACCTCTTAAAAATATTCTCTGTCTCTACTGTCCTAAGTGTTCCCAGTTATTAATGATTATCACCTACATGCCAGAAAATTCTCAAGAAGTTCTCCCTTACCCTAGTGATACATAGTCCTTTCATTGAGGAAGTTTAAAATCTAGTGATAAACATACAAAGTTATTATTCTGGTCCAGGGCAACTGCTTTGTTATTAGCCATACTCTCTATGGTAATTTTTGTTTCACTGAAGCACATGACTCTCTGTCTTTCTGCTAGGGAAGGTGAAAGAGCATAATTCAGAAATACAAAGCATAAATTTAAATTCAGAGTTAGTATCTAGTAATTTAACCCAAAGCATCTTTCAGGTTTTGGAAGCAAATGTGGGATGCTGTTGTAATGTCACAGTTCCACAGGATATTAAACTGCCTTGTGCATTGACAGTTGCCCATGTGCATTTTGATTGAACTAGTTCCAGTCATGCTATTCTAACAATAATTATTATTAATAATAATAGAGTACTGAAACCTTTATTTATTTATGTATTTTATGGAAACACAATCAATACCCTTGTGTTTTTCAGCTACAACAATTAATAGGTCCAGTTCAGCAACCCTAACCACATTCAGATTTCAGGATAGATAGGAATATAGTATCAATTGATTTTCAATAGACTTTTTGATAGTTTCTGAAAAAATATAGAAAATAGGAAATTTATAATTTGTTATGACATATATCTATATCAATGAACTTCAGGTCATCCATAAAATGAGAAAAATTCAAGTTCATTGCTGGTGGATTCATAGATTTAATATGTTTCTCAATTTAAGCTTAGTCATATTATTTGCATATATTCCTTCTATAGCCTGAACCGTATAAAATTGTTATATTTATAGATCAATGGAACTATCAGTAATTTTATGTAATTCAATCAAGTATTTGGTTTACCCTACAGTACTTGGGTATTTATGTTATTCATATTTTCTTCTCTTTATTCTTTTTCATTTAACAAATGTTTATTGAGTACCCTGTTAATACTAGATAAGGTCCTGGAGTCTGGGAATTCAACTGTGATTACAACTAAGCTTTGCCTTGATTTGCAATACACTTTGCCTTTTTTTTTTTTTTAACCAGAATAATGTTTCTAAATCTCTTTGATCTTTCATTGGCTGTGTCATTAACATCTCTTGTATAGTTACTTCTGTAGTTTTACAAATATTTTAATCCTGTGATCAAACCTCATATTAGGTAAATACACAATCCTAAAATATATATGGGTATTTAAGTAAAGAAACCCTCAGGAATCTATTGAATTTTTGTAAAAATCTTGTGATCGGAATTAACTTCAGAGTAGTTAGCATGCTAAATGTTACATATAATAAAAATTCTAACTTTGAATCAAATTTTATTAGGAAAAAACATTAGGAAATACTAAAAATTCTTTCAAAAAGTATTGTCTTTATTCTGTTAAAATCTGTTCCTTAATAGTTTTGTTTTTACATCAACCCTTAGGGCTTGCTCTTTTATTGGCTGAAATTATCACATTAAAATAAATAAGTATTATATATGAATACATATATATGTTTACATTTATATATGTTTTAATAGTTTTACAGAGGATATTGTCAATATAATTTACCTCTAATTAACTTTGCTACTACTGTACTTTGATTAAATTGTGGATAGAGATAAAAATAAAGAAATGGCTGCCATTTTCTCAGTTTTTCACAAGGTTGCATTTGTGGGAAGTGTTGTTTAAACATACTAAGAGTTCAATTATGTTAGCTCTTGTTTTGTTTTGTAAAACATCCTTTTGTTCATCTTTTGTTAGCTATTTTCCAGGCATTTCTCACTCTGTAAGGATCGCAACACTGTGTTTTGAAGAATAACCTAAATACTCAATTTCTAATTTAAGAATTCAAAATACTGCTTTCTTCAGTTATATGACCTAAATACACAATTTTCGAATTCCTTAATTTCTGTACTCTTTACCTGTTTCTAAGCACCTCCCACATAGGAAACTCTCACTTAGCTTCTATTTCCCTTCACAAGCAGCCAAATTTAAGAAAGTAAATTGTTCTGTCACAAGTTATCGATCTTGCTGTATTTGCCTTATAATTGTGGTTAAACCTTTGTCTCTGCTATCCTGTCTTCTTTCTATACCTAAGTCCACATCTCACTGGCACTAATACGCTGTGTTTCTTTATGAGCCCTATTGCAAAATATATAGTCTCCCATCTGAGGCATTCTGTCTGTACATTTCCTGAGGCAAAAGGCCATGATGTACTTTTATTACTATCCTTTGCACTTGCCAGCTGACCCTTTCAAAATCTAAAGAATCTCTCAGAATGTTGGATTACCTCTTTCTGTATACTTCTTACTCAGGCTTATTTTGTGTATTGAAGAATTATATAAAAATGTAAGATTTTTCTACCACACCTGACTTTACTTATATATTGTATAATTATGTGTTTAGCTCAGTGAGATAAACAGCTCCTAGAAGTTACATCCGCTTTAAAATAACAGGGATGATCAGAATTACATTGCACAGTTGTCATTAATAAAAGAGAAAGCATGTAGGAATGGGTGTTAACTGATTAAGAAAATGAGTTATTTTTTAACTAGCAATAAAAGATGAGATGTAAGTGACAGAAGAGACAGGAATGCAATCTAAAAATTGAGAAGAAATAGCCATAAAAAGGAGGAATTATTTAATATAATTTAAGATTATAGCTGAAAATAAGAAGTGAAATATAATCTGTATGTTGATCTAAATATCAAAGAATAAGGCATGTTATTAAAAGCAACACTTACCCAAAAATAAATTTGAGAAATAAATGTTTGCATAATTTTAACAATTATTTTAATAGTTTAAATATGTAATTACTTAATATTTTATCAAATATAGACCTTTCAATAAAGGTAAGAAAGATAGATGAATGAATGTGTTAGAAAGAAAATGATAACTGATTAATAGGCTATTCTAATTTGTAACATTGTCTCTTAAATACATAATTTAATTTTACTTCTATTTTTTTCAAAAGACTATACATATAAGTGGTATAAGTTAAGATTAAAGCTATATCTATATACAAAGCACTTAAAAAATAGTTTAATCAGTTGAGTGTTAAATATGCCTTTTCTTCCAAAATGGATTGTGTGGGTAAATACAACCTACAACCTGAAATATTTCTGTAATATTTTCTTAATGGAAGACTTTAAAAGGTGGTAAAGAGCAATGATTTTGTCATCATAATACCTGGATTCCAATTCTGATTCAGTTTTACTGTCAATGTGACTTCTTTACAGTACCTAAATTCCTTCAATAGTACAATGTGAATATTTCTTGATATATTGTAACTATGGACTCATTAAATGTTAACTATCATATTTATTAAGAATATTAAGTCAGTGTGGCGATTCCTCAGGGATCTAGAACTAGAAATACCATTTGACCCAGCCATCCCATTACTGGGTATATACCCAAAGGACTATAAATCATGCTGCTATAAAGACACATGCACACGTATGTTTATTGCGGCACTATTCACAATAGCAAAGACTTGGAACCAACCTAAATGTCCAACAATGATAGACTGGATTAAGAAAATGTGGCGCATATACACCGTGGAATACTACACAGCCATAAAAAATGATGAGTTCATGTCCTTTGTAGGGACATCGATGAAATTGGAAACCATCATTCTCAGTAAACTATCGTAAGGACAAAAAACCAAACACCGCATGTTCTCACTCATAGATGGGAATTGAACAATGAGAACACATGGACACAGGAAGGGGAACATCACACTCTGGGGACTGTTGTGGGGTGGGGGGAGGGGGGAGGGATAGCATTAGGAGATATACCTAATGCTAAATGACGAGTTAATGGGTGCAGCACACCAGCATGGCACATGTATACATATATAACTAACCTGCACATTGTGCACATGTACCCTAAAACTTAAAGTATAATAATAATTAAAAAAAAAATTATTATTTTCTCAGAAATCAAACTAGGTTTTGAACTCAGGGACTGATATGCCTGGAAATTTTTCATTCAATTGAGTATATGTACTAGACATTTATCATGTGGAAAGTTCTCTTGTATTCTTTTTGCTGCCATGTTAATGGCACCAGCGGTTTCCATTCATAGATACAAATAAAGAAAATATGAGCAGCACCTACTCAATATTTGAGGTAGAGGAAAAAAAGGTACAATTTTGAAGTCAGAGCACATTTTAAATGAAGAAATTCTTGAAGAGAAGGTCCTAGGAGTTTTGATATGATTATCAGGAAGACATGATTAGAAATGGTAAAATTTATCCCATGGTCTTCATTAATTGTATTTTATACAAAGAGAAATCAACCAGCAGGGGAGACTATACAGTGAGACAATGATGAATAAAGAAACAAAAGAAGGAGGTGCAAGTGAAAGCAATAGCCTGAGGTATGGCTTTATTTGTTTTAGGCCTTTGCCATGTCTCTGTTTATTCTGATTTAGTGTAGGAGCTGGTCATTACCTCAGAAAAGAGTCTGATTTAGTTTACCTAAATTCCTAACATCTCAACAATTAATAATAATAAACAAATTTAAAGCAGCATGTTAGGTGTAAGGTTGTGATGGTGTATATTCTCCATATAGAAAATTATACAATATTTCAACATGAAAAAGCAATTAAAGAATATGCAACCAAAATTAAAATATGTATTCAAATAGAGTAACTTGTAGAGTTTTAAATACATGCAGAATCAAATTGTGCAACAAGTATAACAAAATAGATCAGGAAGGTAGTTATAGTTGAAGCGTTCTAAGGTTCCAGCATTAAGTAAATGTCAAACCAAAGGAAGAAACTGAGGCAAAATTAAAATAAGTAGATAGCTCATTTGGGCCAAGGTTGAGGACTGCAGCCCAGGAGACATAGATTCAAGTTGCCCTGAGTATAAGCTCTGATTAGCAGTAGTTACAACATCATAAACAAAATTTAGCTAATTGTTATGTCTAGAATATGGTGCTAAATTCCTATAGGTTTTTGTTGTTGTTGTTAAAGTACACAGGGAGCATTTACCAAAAGTATTGTATAACGGGCTGTTTTAAAGAAAATATTAACTAAATTCAAGAGTTTTGTGTATTAAAATTATGTATGTTCTCTGATATAATAGGTTTAAAATATGAATCAATAACTTAAGAATTAGAAATTAATCCTCCAAAGTATAGCAAATTAACCCCAAATAAAATTGATAGAAAAAATGCAAAGTTAGTACAAAACCAGAAATTAGTATGAAAAACACTAACATACAATTAAGAAAAATTTAACAAAACTAAAAATTGGTTCTTTATAAACAAAATTGAAATTGATAAGCTCTGGCGAGATCGATAAAGTACCATTATCAATATCAAGGATAAAAAGAGGACGTTACTTCAATTTCTGTAAACACTACAAGTTAGTAAGAACATGTTATGAAGGACCTTATGCCTATAAACTTCAAATATTTGAATAAATAAGAAAGTGTTTTGTAAACAACAAGTTAAAATGTACTGCAATATTCAATAGAAGAAGCAGACTATCTGAAACGAAATGGGTTCTCCTTTGAATATTTAATTTTAGGTGTAAGACTTTCATTCAAAGAAATATTCAGGTCCAAATGGCCTCATTGATGAAATTTAAAAAATAAAAATAACTTCAGCTTATATACGATCTTCTAGAGAACAAAAAATAGCAAATAATCTTCAGTGCATTTATGGCACCACCGTAATCTGATACAAAATGTGGGAAGTATGTAGTCTTTAAAAAAGTATATGTATATGGTCTTTAAAAAAGAATATTCAAGCCAGTCTCTCTTAGGTGAAAATCTTAGATGCAATACCTAAACAAATAGTATATTATGAGAAAAAAATTACATATAAGGGCCAGAGACTTCTCAATTTAGTATAGCATATGAAATTATAAATTCTAGAAGCTCAGAGAACCCAAAGATGATAAATAAGAAGATCACTATAGCTGGCACATTTTAGACAAGCTGCTGACAATCAAAACTTAACAAAAATATTGAAAGCAGCTAGAAAGAGAAAAGGATAGTTTACCATAACAAACAATGAATTAAATGAGCAGAAATTTTTCATCATAAATGGTTGAGGCAAGCTGGGCATGGTGGCTCATGCCTGTAATCCCAGCACTTTGGGAGGCTGAGGCAGGCCGATCGCCTGAGGTTGTGAGATCAAGACCAGACTGGCTAACGTGGTGAAGCCCTGTCTCTACTAAAAATACAAAAATTAGCCCGGATTGGTGGTGCATGTCTGTAATCCCAGCTATTCAGGAGGCTGAGGCAGGAGAATCGCTCGAACCTGAGAGGTGGATGTTGTAGTGAGCCGAGATGGCGCCACTGCACTTCAGCCTGGGCGACAGAGCGAGACTCCATCTCAAAACAAAACAAACAAAACAAAACAAAACAAAACAAACACAATAAGAAGAAGAAGAGGAAGAAGAAGAAGAGGAGGAGGAGGAGGAAGAAGAAGAAGAAGAAGAAGAAGAAGAAAAAGAAGAAAAAGAAATAGTTGAGGCGGAAGACAGTTGTCCAACACCTACTAATGCTGAGAGAAAACAACTGTCAAGCCAGAAATCTATATCCTGTGAAAATATTCATCAAATATGAAGGTAAAATAAAATTTTTGCTGATAAAATCAGACTAAGATAACTTATCATTCATGGAAGTGTTCTACAAGAACAGGTTTAAAAAAAAAGTTCTTCAGGCTGAAGGGAAATAATTTCAGATGAAAATTTAGACCTCCAAGAGAAATGAAGATCATTGAATATGGTAAATATCTGGGTACACGTTTAAGTCCATTTTTTCTCTTAATTTCTTTTAGATATGCATTAATGTTTAAAGAAAGACATATATGTAACATTTTCTTGTGGAATTTACAGATTATGAAAATGTAATACCTATGACAATTCCAACTAAAATTTTGTTGGAATGCATGGGTAAATGGTTTCATATTGTTGTGAGGTTTCTACTTTTCACATGGCTTGGGTTAATATTATAGGTTGATGCAAAAGTAAGCGTGATTTTTGCCATTACTACAATTACTTTTGCACCAACCTAATACTTCGGAGTAGAAGTTGACACGTAAAGAAATTATATTGTAATTTTTAGTGCTACCACTCTCAATCTACTGTAAAGAGGTAAAATAAAAACATAAGCAAATTAAAATAGGATTTTTAAAAATATTCACACAATCTGGGAGAAAACATAAAACTCTCTTTATGATTACTTTGATTTTCATATCTGAAGTTGATGATACTTTGCCTTCTGTCTTTCTGATAATATTCCTTAGATTTTGTTCTTGTTTATTTCGTAAAGTCATGTTTTCAGAAGTATCAGAAAATAAACGTGATGATAGTGCATATCCTTAACGAGGCCTGAGGAGTGATTAGAATTTCATCTTTCAAAATACTTCCATTTTTTATATCAATGTATGCGTGTAGGAAATAATTTTAATACATAAGACTTTATCCTATTTTAATTTCCCTTTTAAAAATCTAGAATAGAGGCGAATTTTTTTTTTAAAATATCCACTTGTTTTTTCTTTTTTTAATTTAATTTAATTTTTTATTTTTATTTTTATTTTTTATTATACTTTAAGTTTTAGGGTACATGTGCACATTGTGCAGGTTAGTTACATATGTATACATGTGCCATGCTGGTGCGCTGCACCCACTAACTCGTCATCTAGCATTAGGTATATCTCCCAATGCTATCCCTCCTCCCTCCCCCCACCCCACCACAGTCCCCAGAGTGTGATATTCCCCTTCCTGTGTCCATGTGATCTCATTGTTCAATTCCCACCTATGAGTGAGAATATGCGGTGTTTGGTTTTTTGTTCTTGCGATAGTTTACTGAGAATGATGATTTCCAATTTCATCCATGTCCCTACAAAGGACATGAACTCATCATTTTTTATGGCTGCATAGTATTCCATGGTGTATATGTGCCACATTTTCTTAATCCAGTCTATCATTGTTGGACATTTGGGTTGGTTCCAAGTCTTTGCTATTGTGAATAATGCCGCAATAAACATACGTGTGCATGTGTCTTTATAGCAGCATGATTTATAGTCCTTTGGGTATATACCCAGTAATGGGGTGGCTGGGTCAAATGGTATTTCTAGTTCTAGATCCCTGAGGAATCGCCACACTGACTTCCACAATGGTTGAACCAGTTTACAGTCCCACCAACAGTGTAAAAGTGTTCCTATTTCTCCACATCCTCTCCAGCACCTGTTGTTTCCTGACTTTTTAATGATTGCCATTCTAACTGGTGTGAGATGGTATCTCATAGTGGTTTTCATTTGCATTTCTCTGATGGCCAGTGATGATGAGCATTTTTTCATGTGTCTTTTGGCTGCATAAATGTCTTCTTTTGAGAAGTGTCTGTTCATGTCCTTCGCCCACTTTTTGATGGGGTTGTTTGTTTTTTTCTTGTAAATTTGTTTGAGTTCATTGTAGATTCTGGATATTAGCCCTTTGTCAGATGAGTAGGTTGCGAAAATTTTCTCCCATTTTGTAGGTTGCCTGTTCATTCTGATGGTAGTTTCTTTTGCTGTGCAGAAGCTCTTTAGTTTAATTAGATCCCATTTGTCAATTTTGTCTTTTGTTGCCATTGCTTTTGGTGTTTTGGCCAGGAAGTCCTTACCCATGCCTATGTCCTGAATGGTAATGCCTAGGTTTTCTTCTAGTGTTTTTATGGTTTTAGGTCTAATGTTTAAATCTTTAATCCATCTTGAATTGATTTTTGTATAAGGTGTAAGGAAGGGATCCAGTTTCAGCTTTCTACATATGGCTAGCCAGTTTTCCCAGCACCATTTATTAAATAGGGAATCCTTTCCCCATTGCTTGTTTTTCTCAGGTTTGTCAAAGATCAGATAGTTGTAGGTATGCGGCGTTATTTCTGAGGGCTCGGTTCTGTTCCATTGATCTATATCTCTGTTTTGGTACCAGTACCATGCTGTTTTGGTTACTGTAGCCTTGTAGTATAGTTTGAAGTCAGGTAGTGTGATGCCTCCAGCTTTGTTCTTTTGGCTTAGGATTGACTTGGCGATGCGGGCTCTTTTTGGTTCCATATGAACTTTAAAGTAGTTTTTTCCAATTCTGTGAAGAAAGTCATTGGTAGCTTGATGGGGATGGCATTGAATCTGTAAATTACCTTGGGCAGTATGGCCATTTTCACGATATTGATTCTTCCTACCCATGAGCATGGAATGTTCTTCCATTTGTTTGTATCCTCTTTTATTTTCTTGAGCAGTGGTTTGTAGTTCTCCTTGAAGAGGTCCTTCACATCCCTTGTAAGTTGGATTCCTAGGTATTTTATTCTCTTTGAAGCAATTGTGAATGGGAGTTCACTCATGATTTGGCTCTCTGTTTGTCTGTTGTTGGTGTATAAGAATGCTTGTGATTTTTGTACATTGATTTTGTATCCTGAGAGTTTGCTGAAGTTGCTTATCAGCTTAAGGAGCTTTTGGGCTGAGACAATGGGGTTTTCTAGATATACAATCATGTCGTCTGCAAACAGGGACAATTTTACTTCCTCTTTTCCTAATTGAATACCCTTTATTTCCTTCTCCTGCCTAATTGCCCTGGCCAGAACTTCCAACACTATGTTGAATAGGAGTGGTGAGAGAGGGCATCCCTGTCTTGTGCCAGTTTTCAAAGGGAATGCTTCCAGTTTTTGCCCATCTTTTAAAACCTATCAAGTTGAATATAAGGTATACATCATTTGTCATATTAATATGGTGACTAATAGGATAAATTTACCAATTATGTATCAGCATTGTATTCTTGAAATAAAATTTACTTGGATATTGACTCATTATTTCCTTTCATGTGTTTTTTTTTTATTTTTAAAATGTCAACTTTTATTTTTGATTCAGAGGGTTCTTGTGCAATTTTGTTACATAGGTAGATTGCATGATGCTGAGTTTTGGGGTACAATTGATCCCATCACCCAAAGAGTTACCATAGTACCCAATAGTTTCTTTTTTAAACCTTGTCCCACCCCTTTCCTCCTCCCTCTGGTAGTCCTGGTGACTGTGACTATTGTCATCCTTATACCCATGAGTACTCAATGTTTAGCTTCCATTTATAAGTGAGAACATGTGATATTTGGTTTTCTGTTCTTGCTTTAATTATCTTAGGGTAATTGCTTCCACCTGCATCCATGTTGCTGTAAAGGGTATGATTTCATTTTTTTTTATGGCTACATAGTATTCCGTGGTGTGTATGTACTATATTTTCTTTATCCAATCCACTGTTGATGGGCACCTAGGTCTTTGCCATTGTGAATAGTGCTGCTGTGAACATAACGAATGCAGGTGTCTTTTTGGTAGAGTGATTTATTTACTTTTTGGATATATACCAAGTAATGAAAGGCTGGGTTGAATGGTAGTTCTGTTTTAAGTTCTTTGAGAAATCTCCAAACTGTTTTCCACATTCCTACCAACAGTGTATAAGCGTTTACATTCCTACCAACAGTGTATAAGCACTCCCTTTTCTCTACAGCCTTGTGGGCAAATGTGTTTTTTCTCATTTTTTAATAATCACCATTATGCCCAGTGTGCATAGTATCTGATGATTTTCATTTGCATTTCTCTGGTGATTAGTGGTGTTGAGCATTTTTAAAAATATGTTTGCTGACCACTTGTATGTTTTATTTTGAGAAGTATCTGGTCATGTCTTATGATAAGTTTATAATGGGGTTGTTTTTAGCTTTTGAATTGCTTAAGTTCTTATAGATTCTGGATATTAGGCCTTTGTTGGATGCACCGTTTGCGAACACTTTCTCCCATTCTGTAAGGCATCTGTTCCCTCTGTTGATAGTTTCTTTTGGTATGCCGAAGCTGTTAGTTGAATTAGGTCCAACTTGTCAATTTTTGTTTTTGTTGCAATGTTTTTTGAGGACTTAGTCAGAAATTCTTTCACAAGGCCAGTGTCCAGAATGGTGTTTCCTAGTCTTCTTCTAGGATTATTATAGTTTGAGGTCTTCCATTTAAATCTTTTATTCATCTTCAGTTAATTTATGTATATGGTGAAAGATATGGAACCAGTTTCATTCTTCTGCATATGGCTATCCAATTTTCCCAGCACTATTTATTGAATAGAGAGTCTCTGTCCCAATGCTTATGTTTGTCAACTTTGTTGAAGAATTATGATTATTTTCAATTTTACTGTTCTTTTTGCTAAATTTATCAGATATTATTTTCATTAGTATTATACCCACTTCTTTTAAAAATGCCAAATATTATATTTTTGTGATATTTTATTTAAGCCCTTGAATTTCATTTATGAACCTTGAACTTTTATTTGACAGGTCATTTTAAAAAATTATTTAACTTCTTGAGAAATTATTTATTTACTGCTTTTTACTGTTTTATAGTTCCTCTGCTTTATGATACAATTTTTGTATGTATTATTTTCCTTTCTTTTGGGTAGTATGCTTTTTTCTTTCATTGTCTTTGCATTATGTATGATACAGTTACATTGTAGTTATTTTATCATCATTAGTTATTTTTGAATAATGATCATGCTTTCTCGTGTGGCTTTTATTCAATACATGTTTAGAGAAAGGGCTAGGGTCAGGAACTCCAGCATGGAGCTAATAGGATGATGCCTATTATTTCAGTGAATTTTCTCACCACATTTTGCCCTAGAGGTTTGACTTTGCTTCAGGCTAGCTTGCTGTCTTCCTTGTTGACAACATAGCACTCTGTCAAAGGTCCTGTAGTTACGGTCTTAACACTGGTTTCCTTCAGCTGACCACAATTATCAGCTGCAGAGTGGACTGTTCCTCCATTTATTAGGGTTCAGCGTTCAGTTTGCAATCCCACATAGAACAGGAAAAGTTTTAGTTGCTTCTATCTTTATGATGATTTTCTATCTACTTATGGAGAACTCTGACCACTGCATATAACCCTGCAGAAGTATGTTTTTATACTCAGCATTATCCCTTGATTGTTAATACAGCAGCATATTTAAAAGCTGGTTTAATTAGTTTACAGTTTGAGGTTGTGAATAGTTTCTAGTTCTGTTAAATATTGAAATTTTCTTTTTCACTTTTTATTGCTACATTTTCTTTAATATGTCATTTGCTTTGTATTCAGGGTGGTAAATACTTTTACAATGGTTTATGTTCTTCAAACTTTAACAACTGTTTTCTTTGTGTGTGTGTATGAGGTATATATTAATCTCTTTCCTATCTTATACTTGCATTATAAATTAGGAAACTAAATGTTTGCCGTAGTATCACAATTCCTTTATTTCATAAAATTTGCTGAGCACTTTTAAATTTGATGGATTTTATATATATATATATATATATATATATACACACACACTCACACACACAATAATTTTACCTACTTTATCTTCCCTAATGATTATGTTTTTTTAAAAAAAATAAGAATAGAGGATTAAAATTCGAATATTTAAGAAAAAGAAGTATATGAATTAACTAGTTTTCTAAACTTCTTGCTTGAGGGTAAACTACGTAGTTCCATTAAATGCAATTTGTATATGTGGAGAATAGTGAGGTCTATGTTGCTGTTATTGTTTTAACTTAAAATCATGATTGTAAATAGTACCCCTAAAACAGTGGTGAAGCACCTAAGAACAGCTTTCCATCCAACAAATTTCCTAAATGGCTTTTCAATTTATAGCCCAATAATTGATGTCAGAATTTACTATAGCCAGATTGTGACAAATATAACGGCACCGAGAAACCAGTCTATGGTTCTCAGACTGGCACTCCAAATGCATCCTAAGACAGTGTTTATCACTCCCCCACATTCCATTTCTTGGCCATCTCACCTGTACAATCTGGCACTCTATCTGGATACATATTTTTTGTTTTAATTTTCACATAAAATTCTTACTTTTAATGCGCATTAACTCATTCATTTAAGATATATTTATAACAACTATCTATACATCAAGCACTATTCTAGGCAAAGTTAACAGATCAAAATTTCTATTCTTATAAAGATTATAACCTGATAAAGGAACACAGACAATAAATAACCAAATACATAGTATGTCAAATGATGACAAATGCTATGAAAAACAAAATTTGTGAATAAAGGCATAGAGTGTGTAGGGAGCCCTGTTTTCAAAAGTGTTCAGAGGATATCACAGATGAGACGACATTTGAACAAATAAATGGAGGAATTGAAGGTCTGATCCATGCATATATCTAGGAATGACCTTTAAAGACAGAGGTAACAGCCCGGGTGTGGTGGCTCATGCCTGTAATCCCAGTACTTTGGAAGGCCAAGGCGAGCGGATCAACTGAGGTTGGGAGTTGAAGACCAACCTGACCAACATGGAGAAACCCCGTCTCTAGGAAAAATACAAAATTAGCCAGGTGTGGTGGCGCATGCCTGTAATCTCAGCTACTCAGGAGGCTGAGACAGGAGAATTGCTTGAACCCGGGAGGTGGAGGTTGTGGTGAGCCGAGATTGTGCCATTGCACTCCAGCCTTCCAGCCTGGGTAACAAGAGCAAAACTCTGTCTAAAAAAACAAAAACAAAAACAAACAAACAAACAAAAAACACAGAGGTAATGGAAATGAAAAGTACTTGAGTACTTAATATGTTTAATAACATCAAAGGGTATGTGTGACTGGTATACAGCTAGCAAATTAGGGTATGGAAGGAGTTGATATCAGTAGTATCATGGAGCCAAAACATAATAAGGACGTTGGATTTTATTCTGAGAGAGAGGAGAAAGCATTAGAATTTTAGCAGAGATGTGGTATGGTATGCCATTAATCACTCCTTTTGTCATATTGAGAATTCCTGTTGTGGTGAGGTATAGAAAATGCCATAAGTGTATTGGAGGGAAAGGGTAATTCTGGAAATCAGAAAGCTATTGCAATAAATCAGGATAGAAGAGAAGATGGCTTGGAATGTTGTTGTGGTGGTGGTAGTGGTGAGAGATCAGATTCTTGATATATTGTGAAAGTAGACCCATGATGTTTTACTGTTGGAATTTTTGTGGGAGAAAAATAGTAGTCAAAGATAACTACATAGTTTTTAACTGTAAAATAAAATAATAGTTTGCCATTAATAAACGTGAAAGAAAGCATGGGGAAGGAGCAGATTCTAAGGGTATAAGCCAAATGGGTATGTGGAATAGACAGACATAGAAGTTGGGAATTTAGGAAAGGTCTGAAATTTAAAAATTGGTATTTATCAATAACTTACTTATATGGTATTTATGATCATAAGAATAAATGAAATTACCTATGACAGATGTATACTGAGAAAACAGGAAGTCTGTAGTAGGTTCTAGAGTGTATCAAAATGTAGAGGTAGGAACAATGAACACCTTTCAAAAAGAGAATGAGTCCAGTAACGTAAGCGGATAAAGAAAAGGGAATGGTATTCTCAAATTGGAGTCTGTTCCTAAGGCAATGGAAGGATAGATAGCGAATGATTTTGTATAGAAACTTCCCATTCACAAGAGTTTTACTTTAAAGAGATCAGAGGAGTGGGAAAGTACCTGAAACAGAAGATGGTGTGTGTGCGTGCATGCGTGCATGTGTATGTGTGTGTGTGTGTGTGTGTGTGTGTGTGTGTTAGGTTAGGCAATATTAAAGCTTCCTGTTTATATCCTGGTAGAGATGACTCAGCAAAAACAAAGATAAAAATAAATCATGATGCAGAAGACACTGGGCAATTTTAAATGCAAAGTCAGTGAATGGGAAGAAAAAAGTGGGATCTAGTGCACCTATGATATTGTTCTTACTCAGCAGCATGAGCTGTTCATTCTGGAAGGAGAAAGAATGCCAGGAGGCAGACATAGGCATGTTCATACAATTTGGAGGTAGAAAAATGTGGACATTCATTTTCTTATTACCTCTGTATTCTCAACATACCTGGAAAAAATGCAACAGCTATAGCTAAGCAGAGGCAAGAAGTAGAGTACATTTGAAGAGACAGGAAACATTGTAGGGGTGGGGGCAAATGTCCCCTCTAAAAGTAGGAGAGTGAATTTAAAAAGTATTAGAATGTTCAGAAAGCACTGAGGGCACATTTGAGGTATTGTGGCATGAATTTAAAATAACACCAGTTAACATGGCTGTTTCTCTATGGCTAAATTCTGCTACTTGAAAGCTGCCTCAACAATATAAATCATGATGGATGAATAGATAGATAGATAGATAGATAGATAGATAGATAGATAGATCAGCTATGCATAGATAAAAATGATGTGGCCTGCTAACCAAATACAGATTAATAATTTGCTCTTTTTTTAAGGTCACATTCAACTCAGCCCCAGATTAATAGCTTTTCCCAACTCCTCTATTTTATGGATATTTTTAAAGAAATTTCCAGCTCAGAATTTTCTTTTACTCTCAAAGAGTTTTTATATAGCATTACCAAAGTTTTTGCAGACTAAATCCTTCAATTCTGGAATTATTACCTCAGATCTCATCTGTCTTTCAGATAAAACAGCTATTCTGAGGAGGAGCCAAGATGGCCGAATAGGAACAGCTCCGGTCTACAGCTCCCAGCATGAGCGACACAGAAGACGGGTGATTTCTGCATTTCCATCTGAGGTACCGGGTTCATCTCACAAGGGAGTGCCAGACAGTGGGCGCAGGTCAGTGGGTGCGCGCACCATGCGCGAGCCGAAGCAGGGCGAGGCATTGCCTCACTTGGGAAGGGCAAGGGGTCAGGGAGTTCCCTTTCTGAGTCAAAGAAAGGGGTGACGGACTCACCTGGAAAATCGGGTCACTCCCACCCGAATATTGCGCTTTTTGGACCGGCTTAAAAAAAACGGTGCACCACGAGATTACATCCTGCACCTGGCTCGGAGGGTCCTACGCCCACGGAGTCTCGCTGATTGCTAGCACAGCAGTTCTGAGATCAAACTGCAAGGAGGCAGCGAGTCTGGGGGAGGGGCGCCCGCCATTGCCCAGGCTTGCTTTGGTAAACAAAGCAGCTGGGAAGCTCCAACTGGGTGGAGCCCACCACAGCTCAAGGAGGCCTGCCTGCCTCTGTAGGCTCCACCTCTGGGGGCAGGGCACAGACAAACAAAAAGACAGCAGTAACCTCTGCAGACTTAAATGTCCCTATCTGACAGCTTTGAAGAGAGCAGTGGTTCTCCCAGCACGCAGCTGGAGATCTGAGAACGGGCAGACTGCCTCCTCAAGTGGGTCCCTGACCCCTGACCCCCGAGCAGCCTAACTGGGAGGCACCCCCCAGCAGAGGCAAACTGACATCTCACACGGCAGGGTATTCCATCAGACCTGCAGCTGAGGGTCCTGTCTGTTAGAAGGAAAACTAACAAACAGAAAGGACATCCACACCAAAAACCCATCTGTACATCACCATCATCAAAGACCAAAAGTAGATAAAACCACAAAGATGGGGAAAAAACAGAACAGAAAAACGGGAAACTCTAAAATGCAGAGCGCTTCTCCTCCTCCAAAGGAACGCAGTTCCTCACCAGCAACGGAACAAAGCTGGATGGAGAATGACTTTGACGAGCTGAGAGAAGGCTTTAGACAATCAAATTACTCTGAGCTACGGGAGGACATTCAAACCAAAGGCAAAGAAGTTGAAAACTTTGAAAAAAATTTAGAAGAATGTATAACTAGAATAAACAATACAGAGAAGTGCTTAAAGGAGCTGATGGAGCTGAAAACCAAGGCTCGAGAACTACGTGAAGAATGCAGAAGCCTCAGGAGCCGATGCGATCAATTGGAAGAAAGGGTATCAGCGATGGAAGATGAAATGAATGAAATGAAGCGAGAAGGGAAGTTTAGAGAAAAAAGAATAAAAAGAAATGAGCAAAGCCTCCAAGAAATATGGGACTATGTGAAAAGACCAAATCTACATCTGATTGGTGTACCTGAAAGTGATGGGGAGAATGGAACCAAGTTGGAAAACACTCTGCAGGATATTATCCAGGAGAACTTCCCCAATCTAGCAAGGCAGGCCAACGTTCAGATTCAGGAAATACAGAGAACGCCACAAAGTTACTCCTCGAGAAGAGCAACTCCAAGACACATAATTGTCAGATTCACCAAAGTTGAAATGAAGGAAAAAATGTTAAGGGCAGCCAGAGAGAAAGGTCGGGTTACCCTCAAAGGGAAGCCCGTCAGACTAACAGCGGATCTCTCGGCAGAAACCCTACAAGCCAGAAGAGAGTGGGGGCCAATATTCAACATTCTTAAAGAAAAGAATTTTCAACCCAGAATTTCATATCCAGCCAAACTAAGCTTCATAAGTGAAGGAGAAATAAAATACTTTACAGACAAGCAAATGCTGAGAGATTTTGTCACCAACAGACCTGCCCTAAAAGAGCTCCTGAAGGAAGCGCTAAACATGGAAAGGAACAACCGGTACCAGCCGCTGCAAAATCATGCCAAAATGTAAAGACCATTGAGTCTAGGAAGAAACTGCATCAACTAACGAGCAAAATCACCAGCTAACATCATAATGACAGGATCAAATTCACACATAACCATATTAACTTTAAATGTAAATGGACTAAATGCTCCAATTAAAAGACACAGACTGGCAAATTGGATAAAGAGTCAAGACCCATCAGTGTGCTGTATTCAGGAAACCCATCTCACATGCAGAGACACACATAGGCTCAAAATAAAAGGATGGAGGAAGATCTACCAAGCAAATGGAAAACAAAAAAAGGCAGGGGTTGCAATCCTAGTCTCTGATAAAACAGACTTTAAACCAACAAAGATCAAAAGAGACAAAGAATGCAATTACATAATGGTAAAGGGATCAATTCAACAAGAAGAGCTAACTATCCTAAATATATATGCACCCAATACAGGAGCACCCAGATTCATAAAGCAAGTCCTGAGTGACCTACAAAGAGACTTAGACTCCCACACATTAATAATGGGAGACTTTAACACCCCACTGTCAACATTAGACAGATCAATGAGACAGAAAGTCAACAAAGATACCCAGGAATTGAACTCAGCTCTGCACCAAGCAGACCTAATAGACATCTACAGAACTCTCCACCCCAAATCAACAGAATATACATTTTTTTCAGCACCACACCACACCTATTCCAAAATTGACCACATACTTGGAAGTAAAGCTCTCCTCAGCAAATGTAAAATAACAGAGATTATAACAAACTATCTCTCAGACCACAGTGCAATCAAACTAGAACTCAGAATTAAGAATCTCACTCAAAACCGCTCAACTACATGGAAACTGAACAACCTGCTCCTGAATGACTACTGGATACATAATGAAATGAAGGCAGAAATAAAGATGTTCTTTGAAACCAACAAGAACAAAGACACAACATACCAGAATCTCTGGGACGCATTCAAAGCAGTGTGTAGAGGGAAATTTATAGCACTAAATGCCCACAAGAGAAAGCAGGAAAGATCCAAAATTGACACCCTAACATCACAATTAAAAGAACTAGAAAAGCAAGAGCAAACACATTCAAAAGTTAGCACAAGGCAAGAAATAACTAAAATCAGAGCAGAACTGAAGGAAATAGAGACACAAAAAACCCTTCAAAAAATTAATGAATCCAGGAGCTGGTTTTTTGAAAGCATCAACAAAATTGATAGACCGCTAGCAAGACTAATAAAGAAAAAAAGAGAGAAGAATCAAATAGACACAATAAAAATTGATAAAGGGGATATCACCACCGATCCCACAGAAATACAAACTACCATCAGAGAATACTACAAACACCTCTACGCAAATAAACTAGAAAATCTAGAAGAAATGGATAAATTCCTGGACACATACACTCTCCCAAGACTAAACCAGGAAGAAGTTGAATCTCTGAATAGACCAATAACAGGAGCTGAAATTGTGGCAATAATCAATAGTTTACCAACCAAAAAGAGTCCAGGACCAGATGGATTCACAGCCGAATTCTACCAGAGGCACAAGGAGGAACTGGTACCATTCCTTCTGAAACTATTCCAATCAATAGAAAAAGAGGGAATCCTCCCTAACTCATTTTATGAGGCCAGCATCATTCTGATACCAAAGCCGGGCAGAGATACAACCAAAAAAGAGAATTTTAGACCAATATCCTTGATGAACATTGATGCAAAAATCCTCAATAAAATACTGGCAAACCGAATCCAGCAGCACATCAAAAAGCTTATCCACCATGATCAAGTGGGCTTCATCCCTGGGATGCAAGGCTGGTTCAATATACGCAAATCAATAAATGTAATCCAGCATATAAACAGAGCCAAAGACAAAAACCACATGATTATCTCAATAGATGCAGAAAAGGCCTTTGACAAAATTCAACAACACTTCATGCTAAAAACTCTCAATAAATTAGGTATTGATGGGACCTATTTCAAAATAATAAGAGCTATCTATGACAAACCCACAGCCAATATCATACTAAATGGGCAAAAACTGGAAGCATTCCCTTTGAAAACTGGCACGAGACAGGGATGCCCTCTCTCACCACTCCTATTCAACATAGTGTTGGAAGTTCTGGCCAGGGAATTAGGCAGGAGAAGGAAATAAAGGGTATTCAATTAGGAAAAGAGGAAGTAAAATTGTCCCTGTTTGCAGACGACATGATTGTATATCTAGAAAACCCCATTGTCTCAGCCCAAAAGCTCCTTAAGCTGATAAGCAACTTCAGCAAACTCTCAGGATACAAAATCAATGTACAAAAATCACAAGCATTCTTATACACCAACAACAGACAAACAGAGAGCCAAATCATGAGTGAACTCCCATTCACAATTGCTTCAAAGAGAATAAAATACCTAGGAATCCAACTTACAAGGGATGTGAAGGACCTCTTCAAGGAGAACTACAAACCACTGCTCAAGGAAATAAAAGAGGATACAAACAAATGGAAGAACATTCCATGCTCATGGGTAGGAAGAATCAATATCGTGAAAATGGCCATACTGCCCAAGGTAATTTACAGATTCAATGCCATCCCCATCAAGCTACCAATGACTTTCTTCACAGAATTGGAAAAAACTACTTTAAAGTTCATATGGAACCAAAAAAGAGCCCGCATCGCCAAGTCAATCCTAAGCCAAAAGAACAAAGCTGGAGGCATCACACTACCTGACTTCAAACTATACTACAAGGCTACAGTAACCAAAACAGCATGGTACTGGTACCAAAACAGAGATATAGGTCAATGGAACAGAACTGAGCCCTCAGAAATAACACCGCATACCTACAACTATCTGATCTTTGACAAACCTGAGAAAAACAAGCAATGGGGAAAGGATTCCCTATTTAATAAACGGTGCTGGGAAAACTGGCTAGCCATATGTAGAAAGCTGAAACTGGATCCCTTCCTTACACCTTATACAAAAATCAATTCAAGATGGATTAATGACTTAAACATTAGACCTAAAACCATAAAAACACTAGAAGAAAACCTAGGCATTACCATTCAGGACATAGGCACGGGCAAGGATTTCATGTCTAAAACACCAAAAGCAATGCCAACAAAAGACAAAATTGACAACTGGGATCTAATTACACTAAAGAGCTTCTGCACAGCAAAAGAAACTACCATCAGAGTGAACAGGCAACCTACAAAATGGGAGAAAATTTTCGCAACCTACTCATCTGACAAAGGGCTAATATCCAGAATCTACAATGAACTCAAACAAATTTACAAGAAAAAAACAAACAACCCCATCAAAAAGTGGGCAAAGGACATGAACAGACATTTCTCAAAAGAAGACATTTATGCAGCCAAAAAACACATGAAAAAATGCTCATCATCACTGGCCATCAGAGAAATGCAAATCAAAACCACAATGAGATACCATCTCACACCAGTTAGAATGACAATCATTAAAAAGTCAGGAAACAACAGGTGCTGGAGAGGATGTGGAGAAATAGGAACACTTTTACACTGTTGGTGGGACTGTAAACTGGTTCAACCATTGTGGAAGTCAGTGTGGCGATTCCTCAGGGATCTAGAACTAGAAATACCATTTGACCCAGCCATCCCATTACTGGGTATATACCCAAAGGACTATAAATCATGCTGCTATAAAGACACATGCACACGTATGTTTATTGCGGCATTATTCACAATAGCAAAGACTTGGAACCAACCCAAATGTCCAACAATGATAGACTGGATTAAGAAAATGTGGCACATATACACCATGGAATACTATGCAGCCATAAAAAATGATGAGTTCATGTCCTTTGTAGGGACATGGATGAAATTGGAAATCATCATTCTCAGTAAACTGTCACAAGAACAAAAAACCAAACACCGCATATTCTCACTCATAGGTGGGAATTGAACAATGAGATCACATGGACACAGGAAGGGGAATATCACACTCTGGGGACTGTGGTGGGGTGGGGGGAGGGAGGAGGGATAGCATTGGGAGATATACCTAATGCTAGATGACGAGTTAGTGGGTGCAGCGCACCAGCATGGCACATGTATACATATGTAACTAACCTGCACAATGTGCACATGTACCCTAAAACTTAAAGTATAATTTAAAAAAAACCCTAAAAAAAATAAGGATGAAATAAAGACATCTTCAGATTAAAAAAAAAAGAAATAAAGCTATTCTTACCTTATTCATATTTTTAGTTCAGATCATTGAAATATAAACAATAAAACTATAAAGAAAGTAAGCTTTATTTAAGAGATGAGTTTTTCTATTTTGAATGAAGATTGTACAACAGAAAGGTACCTTATTTTCAATTAGTATATATATTAATTAAATTGATTCATTTTTCTTAAGTCATAGCTTAGATAATTAACTATTTAGGAATGTTTGAGCAGTGTATTTTAGGAAAGTGGTTTGGACATATGGTATTATTTGTGACTTTATGTGTTTACAGCAGTGTTCCCATTTTCAGGGGGGATACATTTCAAGATTCCTATTGGATGCCTCAAACCTCAGACAGCACTGAGCCCCAGCCAACAAACACCAAGGTCACCCTTTCACTTAAAGGAAGCACTTGTGGCTTCTCTTTGGCATATCTAAATTGTCAGCCTCACTACTCTTGTGCTTTGGGAACATTATTAAATAAAATAAGAGTTACTTGAATACAATCACTATGATACCATGGCACTAGATCTGGTAACCCAGACGGCTACTAAGTGACTAACAGGCAGGTAGCAGCTGACACAGTATGGATGCACTGTACACAAGGATGATCACGCCCTGAAAAAGATGGATTAGGACAAGAAATTTCATCATGTTCCTCGGCAGTGAGCATTTAAAACTTTTAAAAAATTTATTTCTGGAATTTTTCATTTCATATTTTCAGATTGCTCTTGACCACGGGTAACTGAAATTGTGGAAAGTAAAATCATCAATAAGGGAGGAACTATCGAATAAGGGAGGAACTACTGTGTGTTTGTGTATGTATACTACTGTGTGTATACATATATATATATTCATCTTATGAAATATATCTGAAAGATATATATTTCAGATATATATGCATATATATACTTATATGTGTACTTATATGTGTGTGCATATATATATCTGAAAAGAATTGAAATTTGACTTCAGTTTTTGTCACACAAACACATGTACTTGGGATACACCTTTTGCTTCTTCCTTCTTAAGTACTTATCTTTTTCATCTTATAAAATATATATGAAAGATATATATTTCATATATACATATATACACACAAATATACAGTATATGTAATATATATGAAATATATATCTGAAATATATAACATAGTTTTGCAGTCTGTGTGTATACATGTGCATATATGTTCAGTATCTGAAATATAAATCTTTGAAATCTTATGAAATATATATGAAAGATATGTATGTGAAAGATATATATATTTCGTAAGATTTCAAAGATATATATTTCAGATATATATATTCATATGTATTTCATAGGATTTCAAAGATATGTATTTCAAATATATATTATATATACACATTATATAACATATTTATATATTTTATATACATTACATTTATACATACATTCATTATATTTCACATATTATGCTACTATATTATCTGACATATATATTTCATATATATTTCATACGATTTTAAAGATATGTATTTCAGATACCAAACATATATATATATGTACACAGACTGCAAAACCATGACATATATTTCAAATATATATTTCTGATATATATACATATACTATATATGTACCTGTGTACGTGTGTGTGTGTATATATATATATATATATGTCTGAAATACATATCTTTCATGTATATTTCATAAGATGAAAAAATTAAGTACCTAAGAAGGAAGGCCGCAAAGCCTGTATCTCAAGTACATGTGTTTGTGTGATAACAAAAACTGAAGTCAAATTTCAATTCTTTTGAGATTTAACTGCAAAACTGATATGATAATGTCATCTTCATTGTAAAGCTTTTTAATTGCTCCCAATATATGACTTTCTGTAGAATTCATTATGTCAGTCACCTTACCTAACAAGTGCATTGGAAAATGAGCTTTATGATGCGATATAAAATTCTAACTTCCTTTACAGTCTGGTTATTATCTTCTCTTTTCCATAAAAAATATACCATAAGAATATTTCAGGTAGTAAGAAAGTTTTAATTAAATATATTTTTATAAATCATATAAAAATGATTTCACTTTGGATGAGACCTTCCTTCATCTTTTAATTTTATCATTGTATATTTAAAAATTAAAATACTATAAAAACTTTTAACTGATTCACTTTATAAAGACTTAAGAGAGAGGGTAACTTTCGTATTCCAGTTTATTTTATTTGATAATTTCAATATTTGTATAGGTACCGTCCCAGGACAGAAGTGTTTTTTAATTGTAGGAAGAAAAGAAAGCTTTTTAAATATTTGTATTTGCCATGTTACACTAAAGTCAAAGATCTGTGGTTGATATACAAATGTGTATATATGTTAAAGATACTCAGTGTGTTAAATCATGTACCTCATTACAGAGAAGGAAAAGTGTCAAACACATGTTGTTCTGCTACTCCAAAAGAATTGGCCACTCTTGAGCCACATTAGGAAAGGAGCTGCCCTCTCCCAACCCTGTTCATGCTCTGACCCCAGAGGCATGGACAATCTATGAGAACCCACGCTTCAGACTGGGTTCTGTGGCTGCAACTGGTCCACCCATGTCCAAGATGCTACAGATTTTGCCATAGCCATTTAGTTCACACTACAGACCCAGAGCCACGCTTGTGTTGCATATTCCCAGGCTCTGGGCACTGGCTCAGCTGCCTTAGCGATCTAAACCCTGCCACAACCCTAAAGCTTCTCTGACTCTCTGCACACCAGTGCTCCCATTCTTGACTCCCCTGCTATGTTACAAGCATCTATACCTCATATACTAAGAGTAATACGGCACTAGGAGTGCCACTGCCCCAGGCACTGACATATACTGGTAGGCCTTGCCTTGATCACAGAGCCACTGAAACTCTGCACATGTCTGTGCTCTCAGAAAAAAGCATGCATGAACTTCACATGCAAGTTATATGAAAACAGACAGTCAGAGGAGAAAAAGAAAAAAAATGAATGAAGAAACATTACAGGATTTATGGATAGGTCAGTGTCAAAAGAGCAAACAGTTAAGTCATAGAAGTTAATAAAAAAGAAAAGGACAACAATGGTGTAAAAAGCTTAATTAAATAAATAATAGTAGAAACCTTTCCAAATCTTGGGAAATATATAAATATCCAGTTACAGGAAAGTCAAAAGTCTCTAATCAGATTCAATCCAAATTAGACTCTACCAGAGCATGTTGTACTCAAACTCTCAGAAACCAAAGACAAAGAGAGGATCCTGAAAGAAACATGAGAAAAGAAGCATATCACCTATAAGGGAGTTTCAAGAAGTGTAGCCTTAGGTTTCTCAGCAGAAAATCTATAGGCCAGGAGAGAGTGGGTTAAAGTATTCAAAATGCTGAAGGAAAAACATTATCAAACAAGGATAGTGTATCTGGGAAAGCTGTCCTTCAGAAATAAAGAGATGATGTCTTTCTCAGAAAGTTCCCCCAAAATATCCAAATGCGTTCTGTGAGTCCAGCATTACCCTTAAATCAAAGTATATTACCCTGAAATGCAAGAGATCTATTGCATATTATGGTAACTACAGTTAATGACAATATATTATATATTGAAAATTGCTAGAAGACTAGATTAAATGTTCTCACCACAAAACAGTGATGAACATGTAATGCATATGTTAAATAGCTTAATTTATATATTCCCATTGTGTGTCTGTGTGTGTATGTGTGTTTTGAGATATGTATATATCTAAAAATATGTTGCACATTATAAATATGTTCAATTTTTACTTATTAATTAAAAATAAATTTTACAAAATTATAAGGTAAAACTAAAATTACTTAATATTGCACCATGAAGTATATTGAAATGTAAAATCCATTTTATTTTCTAATACTTTCTGTTTATATCAAATTAAAACAGCATAATATCTTATCATTTAAAACACTCAACATCATTGATCACTAGAGAAATGCAGATCAAAACCACAATGAGACACCATCTCACATCAGTCAGAATGGCTATTTTTAAAAAGTCAAAAAATAGCATGCTGGCAAAGTTGTGAAGAAAAAGGAATGTGTACACACTGTTGGTGGGAATGTAAATTAGTTCAGCCATTGTGGAAGACAGTGTGGTGATTCCTCGAAGATCTAAAGACAGAAATATTGAACTCAGCAGTCCCATTACTGGGTATATACCTGAAGGAATATAAATCATTCTTTTATAAAGACACATGCATGTGTATGTTAATTGCAGCCCTATTCACAATAGTAAAGACATGGAATCAACCTAAATGCTCATCAGGGATAGACTGGTTAAAGAAAACGTGGTACATATACACCATGGAATACTCTGCAGCCATAAATAAGAATAAGATCATGCCCTTTGCAGGGACATAGATGGAGCTGGAGGCCATTATCCTAAATGAATTAACACAGGAACAGAAAACCAAGTACCATATGTTCTCACTTATAAGAGGGGGCTAAGTAATGAGAACACATGGACACACAGAAGGGAATAACACACACTAAAGTTTTTCGGAGGGTGGAGAGTGGGAGGAGAGAGATTAGGAAAAAATAACTAATGGGTACTAGGCTTAATACCATGGTGATGAAACAATCTGTAAAACAAACCCTAGTTTACCTATGTAACAAATCTTCACTTGTACTCCTGAACTTAAAAGTTAAAAGAAAGTCTAATTAAAATATTATATATATATATATATAAGCAACACAAAGGTGAATAACCCTAAATAATGCATTGTTTTTGAAATTTAAGATGGCTTTAGATCTTTGTTTTTAAGAATACAAAAATAAAATGATTTAATTGCATAGTCAGCTACAATTAAAAAATAAATTTTGACTTAATACCACCCTATGATTTTTTTGTGGGGTGAGGCATGAATTGAAATGAATTCAGAACATTGAGTGCCATTGTTATCATTGGAATTATTTAGTCCCCATGTACTGATATACACAGATGAAGTTTCTAAACAATAACATCTACCAAAGACAAAAACTGAATAAATATTTTATTCTATCAATAAGTAATAGTCATCTATAAACAATCTATCTCTTTAAGATATGCGTTTATAATGAAAATTTTGCATTTTAGCTTTAATACTTTTTTGTATCTATTATATTTTATGGTTTTTTATTCAAACGTTTAAAAATGGTAATACTAATAACTCAATATAAAAGAAATTTTTAAAAAATAAAGTCGCATGATAAATACATTTTCATCCACTTACATATTTCTTTGTAAGTAAATATGATGGAAATCCCAAATCATATTTATCGTAATAAAAATATATTGATGAAAATATTATTTTAGTAAGTTATAGTGCTATTACTTTATATGAAGCACGTTATTGACAAACATCAATTTTAATCATATATCAGATGCTATATTTTTGCAGTAATATAAAGTTTTAATGGTATAATTTAGATATCAATTTGAAAGTTTTAAAAAACATTTTGCTTATATAAATAAACTGAAAATAACTAAAGATACCTATTTAATCAGCTATCTACTTTTAGTAGTGATAAAAAAAGCCAATGTTGATTTTTAATATTTTATTAATTGAAAGTTCTAAGAAATAAAAAATCATTACACTTTGTAGAAACTAGCTTAAAGGCAAAATTAAGTATGGCTGGGAAAGTTATTATTCATCAATGTCTACATGCTCTGTGACCTTTCCGAGTCTTGCAGTTTGTGTGGGAACCATATGACTAATTTTGAACTGTGAGAGTCACTTCAGGTCTGAAGCAGTTAAGAGCTGGGTTGCTTTTTACATTTCAATTTTCCCTTCTTCAGTAACCTTGGAGGCCAATTATGGACGGTAGAGCTTAATTTTGGAGGGGAACCTACAGCCTTATTAAACTTATCTGTGCAAGAAATAATATTTGTGGTAGAAAACAGCTTTGATTTTAGGGTATTTATTACAGCAGTGTACATTATTTTAATACCAACAACCATATTTTGAAGTAAAATACCATCAAAGTAACAATCCAAATAGGAAACATTAACTTAGTGTTTGGACAGTGAGTAGCAAGAAAATGTCATTACAATCTGAAAAGATAAAAATCCATGTTATTGATGTGAAAGTATTTGGTAAGTGTATCATTTATTATAACTTTTAAGGCTTATGTGGAGCATGATAAAATAAGAGTTCATGATAACTTGGCATATCGGGATATTTTAACCACAGCAACAGGGAGCCTCTACCGAAACAAATAACACTAAGGGAGGACCAATTTTGGTGTTGGTGCATATCAGAAACTCAGTTTTGGGTATACTAAGATTAAGGTGCTGTTTAAACAACCAGAGAAATAGATTGAAGAGATTCTTGGGTATGCAAATCTAGATATCAAGGAGCAGATATGGCTAACAGTAACATCTGAAGCTGTCAACATATAAATGGAATTTAATACATAAAACTCAATAGGCTTACCAAGAGAGTTGTAGTGAGTATAGCTTTAAAAGTTTAAGGATTAAGCTCTAGAGTTTTCAAACATTTAGAGGATGGGATATGAAGAAGAATAAAGAATAAGCAGAAACAGTCAGTGTAGAAGAAGAAAACATACACACACACACACACACACACACACACACACACCCCACAGACAGAGAGAGAGAAAGAGAGAGACAGAGAAGATGAATGAGATCCTGAATGTTAAGTAAGGGTTTCAAGAGAAAGAATGTTCAGATCAATTTTGACAAATGCTGCTGATGACTGAACTAGAAACATGCTTATCATGAATAACCAGTGGATTTGACATGGGAACATTGAATATTGGTACCCTTGGTGATGAGCTAGGAGCAAAAGTCTGATTGCAATGGTGACGCGACTACATTGACTGAGATAAATATCGGGTTCGTTGTCATGTGCCAGGAAAATTTAGGACAGGGACACACGCGAGGAGTTTAGGAGCAGAGGTTTAATAGGCAAAAGAAAGAGAAAAGGAAAACAGCTCTCTCTCCAGTGAGAGAGAGGGGACTTCTGAGAGGAGAAAACACAAGCCTGCAGTGGATGCCCTGGATTCTATTGTCAGGCTTGTGGAGGCAGTGTCTGATTTATGTAGAGCTCACAGATTGGTTCAATCACGTGTGATATTTACCTAGTGCTGGGGGAAGGCTGGTCACCCCACCCTAATCTTATTATGAAAATGAACTTTCCCCTTGGCCAGCGCCCTTGCCTGCTCCTTACTGTAAACATGGCTGGCAGAGAAGGGAAGATGGGCTGCCATTTTGAACATGATTGGCTCAACTGTCTATGTCTGCAGTTAAATTTTATAGGTTGCTCTTTATAGGAAAGGAAAATGATTTGGGGCTGCTTTTCATTAAAAGGAAAACCTTACCTAGGACTTCTGTACCTTCACTATCTACCTAAGTAATTTTTTCTTTCTTTTTTTTTTTTTCCCCCCCAGAGGGAGTCTCAATGGTACCATCTCGGCTCACTGCAATCTCCGCCTCCCAGGTTCAAGTGATTCTCCTGCCTCAGCCTACCAAGTATCTGGGATTACAGGGACCCACCAACACAACCGGCTAATATTTGTATTTTTACTGGAGACAGTGTTTGCCATGTTGGCCAGGCTGGTCTCAAATTCCTGACCTCAGGTGATCCGCCCACCTTGGCCTCCCAAAGTGCTGGGATTACAGGCATGAGCTACTATGCCCAGGCAGTAATTTTTTCTTAACTCCTTTATCAGTGGTGTCCAAAATATAGAGATAGAGATATATAGGAGACAGTGTTATGAACCTACATTTTAATAATTGTTGCTATAAAAGTAACGAGAGAAAACGTATTTGAAGTTGAAAATTGGGACAAATAATTTCATATGTATTAATGCAGTAAAAATAGCAGTACATTTGTAGACTGGTGGGAATATTCCAGTAAAAAGAGAAAATTAGAAATGCATAAGAGAAGAAAAAATGCTGGAGCAGCTTCTAGCATAGCTTGAATCTCAAGTGTAAGGACTGGCCTTAGCTAGTTTATTGGGATGTATATAGTAACAGCAAAGGAGCGGAGGGAATGGACACAGATGAGGAGAGATTATATGGATTTCAAATTTATTTTCCTTTTTGAGCTTAAAAATAACTTAAATCCTTAAATATGTGACTCTGGAGTACTTGTAAATGTTTTCACGCATTTTCCCCATGAAGAGGGCTGTTAAAGTAATTCACTGAGGCTGGGCATATTGACTCATGCCTGTAATCCCAGGACTTTGGGAGGCCAAGGCAGGCAGATCACTTGGGCCCAGTAGTTAGAGAGCAGCTTGGGCAACATAGGGAGACCCATCTCTACAAAAAATTAAAAATTAGCTGGGCATGTTGGTGTGTGCCTGTGGTACTTTAATACCAACAACCATATTTTGAAGTAAAATACCATCAAAATGACAATCCAAATAGAAACATTAACTTAGTGTTGGGAAGCTGAGGCGGGAGGATCTCTTGAGCCTGGAGGCCAAGGCTGTAGTGAGCCCTGATTGTACCACTGCACTACAGCTTGGGTGACAGTGAGACCTTGTCTCAGAAAAAAAAGAAAAGGAAAAAAAAAGAGCAAAAGAGTAAACCTAGGAACAAAGATGGAATTTATATCAAGAGATTTCAGTTAATCATGAAAAATGATGTTATAGTAATTAAAATTGATTTAGAATGCTATGTCTTTGGAAATACTTTAACAGTATACTTTAAAATAATATTTTGATTTGATAGCTCTAAACTTCCTTTCTACGTGGTAAAATCTGCCATACCTTTTTTACAGATGAAAAATATTTAATAATTTGACTATATTAACAGTTTTGTATGGACAATTGATGAGTGCTTCACTAAGCCTTGCGGGTTCCCTTAATCCTTTCATCACTTTGTATGTATTCCCTTCATTAACAACTCTGTATTGAACCCTTTGGGTGTGCCAACTGTTTTCTGTCAGGACATTGACTGTTACATATGTTATCTCCTATTAAAGTCTCTAAGTTTTTACATCTTATTCTCCCTTCTTTCTCTGGCCTTTTCAATACCATGATATACTAATGAACTGAAAACATTGTTGAATTATGTATCTCCATAAACAGAATCTTAATCATCTGTGACATGACGTTGAGGCCTCTGAGACACAGGTAGTTTCTAGCTTGTAGAACAATAAATTCTAGCACTACAGCAACCCAATGGTATACTCTTCTCTGAATATTAAATGAGAGAACTGTTATCAAAGAAATTTTAATGAAAATTTGGATCTATGTTCCAGGGCCACTTTGAATGTTTTCTTTGTGAAATGTAAGAATATAAAATAAATTAATACAATAAAATAAGAATATATTACTATGTACTAGTAATTAATTACTAATTAATTCATTCTATGTTGAATATTATTATTCCCTAGATATATATGCTTAACATCAAGCTTGTCCGACCTGCAGCCTGTGGGCCTCTTGCATCCCAAGACAGCTCTGAAAATGGCCCAACACAATTTGTATACTTTTGTAAAACATTATGATAATTTTTTTTTTTTTTTTTAGCTAATCAGCTATTGTTAGTGTTAGTATATTTTATGTCTGGCTCTTCTTTCCTGTGACCCAGGGAAGCCAAAAGATTGGACACCACTCCTTTACATAAAAGTATCAACTAGGTTATAATTTAGATCATATTTTAGTATTTAATCTGAAATTATTCCTATTTCTCTCCTCCTCCCCTTATAAAAAAGGATTTGATTTTTAAAATATTTTGATGTTTATCTACAAGGAATCAATAATAATGAAGCACAGGAAAAAAATACCTGTGATTAAATTCTATAAAGGCTTATGTCAGATTGAGGGAGAATGATACTAAGAATTAAAATTTTGTTCCCTACTCTTCAATTCCAGTTCAGAACTTTCCCCTAATTAATTTTAATGAAAAGAATTTGAAGCAAAAGTTTGGCAATAATACTTCTTCTGTCTTTAAAGCAGAATAGCCACATTTAACTTAGGACCATACCCAACTCAGACTCATATTGTTTGTTTCTAAGTCATACATTCCAGAAATATAAACATAAAGAAAAAACAATAAGCGTAGAATAAAGATTTTTGTATGTTTTTCCTAACGTTGGAAGAATGGAATACTGTATTCCTAGTGATTGTGCTAATAAAATTAGTCATTCCAAGCCCTAGCAACTTTAGATAGGTAGAAAAATATATACAATATATATATAGTGAAGAAAAATAAGAATAAATGAGCTAGAGAAAAAGTAATTGCCAGAAAGTTGGAGAAAATAGAGGTTAACAGAGAAGAATAACAAAGTAATATCATAGGGAGTAGAAAGAATCGAGTGAATAAATCCAATGAAACCATAAATCAAGATCAACAAACCTTACAGTGAAAAGGCTAAAGTGAAAAATAAGTCCCTTGCAGACAGAGCTTGTGAACAAGCTCTAAAATATCCTATGAACTTAGGCACTTTGGGTAATCTCTTATGGGATCAAAAATAGCTGTCTAAATGTTGCTTTAGAAAAGAATGATTAAACCAAGAACAAGACAGAGAAATAGACTAACAGGAACCTCCAGAAGAATGAACTAAATAGCTCCCAATCAAGATGGACCTAAAGGACACCAATCAAATAAATCTTCATATTATATTCTTTATTTAAAATACTAAAAATTATGTTAATACATAATTGGATTAGGGAAATCTGGTTATGTATTATTCATATTTTATACATGACATGAGTTTGAAAAATGCCATCTTATGTACATTTCCAGTGAAAAATATATAACAGTAGATAACAGTAGTATTGCAAAATTTCTGAAAACTGGGTGGACCCTGTCTTTTGCTCACTGTCTTAGTGCCCAGGAAGGAGTTTTCATTATCTAATAGAAGATTCTTACTGAAAACCTTAGTTACCTAACAATTTGAGAAAAGATAGTCATCAATTATATAATTACTCTGCAGGTAAGGAAAAGGGAAATTTAGAGTCCTCCTGTAAGTCAGAATGTTAACCCCACATTTCAGGGATACTAACTCCAAGAGGAATCAAATCAAAACATTTTTGGCACCAATACAATTCTCTTCTAAACTTTTAATTATAAACAATGGTGAGTTTGATGTATTTGATAAATCCCAGTGTCCTCCAAAAATAAGTAATATGAGGATTTCTTTTAATTAAAAATATTATAGAACTCTGAGAATGTTTCTGAGGCTATATGAGATTATATGGATTCTATATCTCAGTTTCAGACAAACTGATCTAAGTTGAAATTGAACCTTTAAATAAATTTTATTTGTAATAATCTTAGCATTGTAATATGACTAAACACAAAGCAATGTAAATATTTACCTTGCTTTTTTATCATGAAAAAATTATAATAAATAATGCTTATGTGTGCAACATATTCATTATACTAATTATATTAATTAGTCAATACAAAATTAGGAAACAGTCATGTAATATAGTCAAATCTAAAGCTATATAAATAAAGTTTGAAAATATAGTGGAGAGATAGGCATTATCCTCCTACATCATGAAATGAAAATACAAAATCACCATATAACTTCCCTGAGTAAAAAGTACATAAAATGTCAATAAAATATATTTGGCAGAATGTGGACCACTTCAGGGCTGATCAAAAACAAACAAAAATTCAAAAACAAGCAAACAAAAACAAAAGAGAGCAAGCAAAAGCCATAAACATATTTGTAGAGCTCTTGCAAGTAATGTAGTAATGGTTTCTGAAAGAGGGGAATACCTTCTCTAGCTGCCACAGATCACAGCACACATAATGCATCCTCTACACTTATGCTCCTCTAGTTTTTTGTTTCTATTCAGATCTGTCTGCATGCTAACTATGGCAACTCAAATATCTCAATATGAATACAATTATACTTCTCTATTGAAAATTAATAACATCCACCTTGAAGTGCATATTACTAGTTCTGGGATCATAGTTAGTATGACCGCACCCCTAAGAGAGTCATTCTCAATCTATGGGTAAACTATGCTTCTGTCTTGAAGACTGAGAGCCAGAACCTGAGAAGTGGTTAATTCTACAATGTCCTGCCAATTTTGAGGACTTCTTCCAGGCCACTCATCCCTCTCTCCTCCAGGCACTTTAGAATTGCTTTAATTTCAAAATGGTCCCAAATTTAAATAGTTACTGAAAGTCACAGAGAATTCATGATGAAATATAGTTAAATTTGTTTTTATTATTTGCCTCTTTATTCCACTTCTTCATTTTCTATTTTCTTATTTTGTTATTCTCCCATTCGCTCTATATACCCATTTTCTGTAAAACAATCATTTTAAACATATGCATTCAGTGATCTGCATTTGTCAGATTTGCATTTTATGTAATATTGTGGAGTGATTTTTATAATACAGCATAGGATGAAATCTCATTCCTTTATGGATTTACAAATTGCTAACACTGCTATTTCTTCCCTGATAGCTATTGCAGAAATCTAATACATGCAGAGCTAGCAGACCAATCTGAAAATACCAACTATTATATGAAAGCAAACTTTGAGACATGGTTTTATTGAGAGAAATTCTTCTGCTCCATTAAATTATTCTTCAATAAAAAGTAATATTTGGCTTTCACACAAAACAAAATGAGATATATTTAATTCTGCCTAGCAAAGGTAGCAACATTGATCAGAGCATATTAGAAAACAACGGAGTATCTATTTAGCTGTAATTTGTAAGACAAATTCTCCTTTCATTTTCTGTTTTCTGTGAAGTCCACAAAAGAACCTTAGGACATTTAAAATACAATTCATGAAATCTCAACAGATCACTGCTATGATTAGGCTTTCTGTCTCCACCCAAATATCATCCTGAATTGTAAACCCCATAATCCTCATGTGTCTAGGGAGAAACCAGATGGAGGTAATTGAATCATGGGGGCAGTTTCCTCCATGCTGTTTTTCTGTTTCCCATGCTATTCTCCTGTTTTCATGGTAGTAAGTGAGTTCTCACAAGACCTGATGGTTTTATAAGGAATTCTTCCTCCTTTGTTTGCCACTGTCTCTCACCTGCCACCAAGTAAGATGTGCCTCCTCCCCTTCCACCATGATTGTAAGTTTCCTGAGGCCTCCCCAGCCCTGTGGAACTGTGAGTCAATTAGACCCCTTTTCTTTATAAATTACCCAGCCTCAGGTATGTCTATATAGCAGTAGGAAAATGAACTAATACAGTAAATTGGTACCAGGAGTGGGGTACTGCTATAAAGATATCCAAAAATGTGAAAGCAACTTTGGAACTGGGTAACAGGCAGACATTGGAACAGTTTAGAGGGCTCAGAAGAAGACAGGAAGATGTGGGAAAGTTTGGAACTTCCTAGATCCTTGTTCAATGTATTTAACTAAAATGTTGATAGTGATATGGACAATGAAATCTAGGCTGAGGTGGTAGTGATATGGACAATGATGTCTAGGCTGAGATGGTGTCAGATGGAGATGAGGAACTTGTTGGGAACTAGAACAAAGGTGAGTCTTGCTATACTTTTACAAAGAGACTAGTGGCTTTTTGCCCCTGACCTAGAGCTCTGTGGAACTTTTAACTTGAGAGAGATGATTTGGAGTATCTGGCAGAGGAAATTTCTAAGCAGCAAAGTGTTCAACATGTGACCTGGCTACTCTTAAAAGTGTTCAGTCTTATACCTTCACAAAGAGATGGTTTGGAATTGGAACTGATGTTTAAAAGGGAAGCAGAGCATAAAAGTTTGGAAAATTGGCAGCCTCACAATGCCATAAAAAAGAAAAACCCATTTTCTTTGGAGAACCCAAGCTAGCTGCAGAAATTTGCATTGGTAATGAGAAACCAAATGGTAATCACTAAGACAATAGAAAAAATGTTTCCGGGCCATGTCAGAGGGCTTCACAGCAGCCCCTCCCACGACAAGCCTAGAGGTTTAGGAGAACAAAATAGTCTCGTGGGCTAAGCCAAGGGCTTGCTGCTTCATGCAGTCTCAGAATTTCGTGCCCTGCATCGCAGCCATGGCTAAAAGGGGCCCACGTACAGCTCAGGCTGTTGTTTCAGAGGGTGCAAGGCCCACCCCTTGACAGGTTACATGTGGTGTTGGGCTTTCAGTTGCACAGAAGTCAATAATTGAGGTTTGGGAACCTCTGCCTCAATTTCAGAGGGTGTATGGAAATGCCTGGATGTTCAGGCACAAGTTTGCTGCAGGGGTGCCCTCCTCATGGAGAACCTCTGGGATAGCAGAGAAGAAGGAAAATGTGTGGTTGGAGACCCCATACAGAGTCCCCACTGGGGCACTGCCTAGTGGAGCTGTGAGAAAAAGGTCACTTGGACTTTTGAATTAATGTTGAAATGAGTTAAGACTTTGGGAAACTGTTGGAAAGGCATGACTATCTTTTGAAATGTGAGGATGTAAGATTTAGAAAGTGCCAGGGGTGGAATTATATGGTTAGGCTTTGTGTCCCCCACCCAAATCTCATATTGAGTTGTAATCCCTATAATCCCCATGTGTCTAGGGAGAAACTAGGTAAAGGTAATTGAATACTGGGGGTGGGTTCCCCCATGCTGTTTTTGTGACAGTGAGTTTTCACAAGATCTGATGGCTTTATAAGGGGCTCTTCCTCCTTCACTCGCCACTTTCTCCCGCCTGTCATCATGTAAGACCTGCCTCTTCCCCTTCTGCCATGATTGTTAAGTTTTCTGATGCTTCCTCAGTCCTGCAGAACTGTGAGTCAATTAAACCTTTTTTCCTTATAAATTACCCAGTCTCTTGGGTATATCTTTATAGGAGTAGGAAAATGGACTAATACAATCACAGAAGTTGGTAATACAGACTCATATTCAGGAAATTACTAAATTATGTGGATGTATGTTTTTTTTAAACCCACATTGCAAGTCCTCTGGGAAGGTTTCAATTGAATATTAATCTCAGAATTTCAAAATTTCAGATTTGAAAATAGGAGTCTATATATAAAGTAAAATTATTCTACAGCTCTATTAGTGGTAGCTCTGGAAACCAACCCTCACTAAAATAAATATCAGTATTTATTTAATGGATTAATGAAGATTTCATCAGAAAATGGGTTGTGGAATAAAAAAAAATTATTCTCCCAAGGAAAGGCTCTCTATGATAATTTTCTCCTTATCCTCAGGGTAACCATTAACATAAATAGCTGATCCCTTGAGGGCATTTTGTCAGTTCTAGAAAGTTCTATTTGAGGTCTATTATGCAGTTTAGTTTTTCCTTCAGAATTTATATATAGGATGGTTTTCTGGTCTCTGTCTTTCCATAAGGAAGTATGTTTATGTGACGAGAAGGAATGGAGTTGTGAAAGGGCCTATATTATGTTGCATTTTCATAGCAGGTACAATGTTTGTGTTGCTTTTAAGGGGCAGATTGAAAACTTTAAGATACATGTAAGTGGGAAGAAAAAAAAACTTATACAATTCTCTGGGAGAAACCACAGCTTCTATTTGGCTTCCTTTATAATCCTTATAATTTAACATTTCTATCTCTCTAAAGATCAAGGACAGTATGTATGAGCAACTCAGATTGTAAGCAAATTGAAGAGTTTTATTTTCCATGCAAGTTATGTGATTTTTGTACAACTACGAAGAAATTTGTTCCCAAAACTATTATATTTTCTTCAGGCTGATTTGGTGGGTATGTATGTTATAATACAAAATTTGATAATTTTCTGTTTTTATTGTAGTACTAGTTTAGTGCTCAGGGAATGCTTTCTCTATTCCCTGTGCCTCCAATTATCTAAATGTTCATTGAGATGAACCTTTTAGTGTCTGAAACACGTTGTGAGTTTCTTTGAAATCAGCAAACCAGCTTCAGTGCAGTTTAGTGTGTGTTCATTTTAAGACCTAAGAAAGTAAAATTCATATGAGAAAATAAAAGAAAGGATGCAGGAAGCCATTACTAAATGAAAGTCTTCTCTTGTTAAGTTTTAAATACAAACATTTAAATAAATATTTTAATGTTTACTGCAATATTTAAATGTGTACAACTGTCACATGTGGGGAAAAATATTGGATTTGAATTTGGAGTCAAAAACTTAGGATTTGCATTCGTAGTGTTGCATATTTTCTTTGTATTTTCTAAATCTTTATGCCTCTGTTTTTTAAAACAATTATCTCTCTACTGCTATCACAGAGACGTTGTGCTGAGCAAAGGAAATAGTTTTTGTAAAAATAAAAGTATTATAAACTGAAAGCAATTGTATTTTATATTATATTTTAATAATTTAATCACTGAGAATTTATTACCTTTGCTATGCACTATGGATGATAGAGTGGAGGCAAGACAAGGAAACATTAGTGAAGAAAACTGCAGGTTCTTAAGGGTTAAAATGACTATAAAAACAGTAAGGGGATCGAAGGAAAATAAGAATAATGCTAGAGTCTTTGAGTTTATAAAAAAAATGATAATCTAGCAACTCAGTTGACAGGGATTTGTTGGCGCTAGGTATTTCAAGAAACTTATGAAGATAAAGAAATAGTTTTTCAACGTGGAAGTCTGAACAATTTCATGAAGATCTGAGGTCTGGATTATATTCTCAACCGTTCAGCAGGATGAACTTGCTCAGTCACTGTTGTATTACATCTATTATCTCAGAAAGTGCTCATTTCTGTGTCTCCATTTTTAATTATACACCAGTCTGTCCACATATCTCTAGTTAAAATTCTGGACAGAATCAGATTGGCTCAGTTAAAACTACTCTCCCTGTTTGGCAAAGCTTTCTCGCCAAGCAGTGGCCATAGGCTACTGCCAAAATCATAGATTCTTTATCTTGTGTTGATTGACCATTTCGGATTCAGTCACCTGTTTTATCTGATTAAGAACATGGCCATTACAAGGAAATCCTCTGAGCCATTCCCTAAGTTTAGACTATGAGTTTGACAATTTCTTTATATAATGACTATTGTCATAGCAATCACCTTACTTGGTCAGCTTTCGGCTGGTGTGTATAGTCGAGTGGGTTATCTAGAAAGCAATGAAAGATTGGGACTGGCCTTGCTTGATAGATAAAATCAGAAACTTATAACCTGTGCACCCTTTCATCCTGAGTGGATATCTTGGCCTTCAAGATATGGTTGGTCATAGATGATGTATAATATTATTAAGTAGCTGTCTGATTCTTGAAATATAATTCTAAGAAATACTAGCAATTATGCAATGTTATGATTTCCCATGTCTAAGAAGATTCATTTGGTAATGAAGTCAATTATATGGTTTATGTTTTTATTCATATATAAGGCTATTTCAAAAGTTGACTGTATTGAAGTACCTGATCACAGGTTTGCTCATTCTGAACACACATTAAAATTTTACTTTACTTATATTGTAGTTTGTCTTTGACTGTTATAGACCTGGAATCTGCCCAAAGCTTGCTTTCTGCAAGAGACTTGTCCCTTTCTGATTGCTGCCTGCACCAGCTGGGTTTTCTTCTCACTCCATCATTTCCCAGTAGGCTGTAGCCCTGCCATAGCACAGTGCTGAACTTGTGCTTTACTGCATCCTTAGAGCTTGGCTCTCTGCCTTTCCCGTCCTTGCTCATTCTTTTTCTACTGAACTGAATAGTAACTGCTGATATTGAACATGCATAATTCCTATCTGAGATTATTATTGTAATATAATAGTGCACCCAGTCAACATGTTATATGTTCAATATAGTTTTTAAAGTTTTTATTGAAATTTCAAAGATTTCTTTTCAAAGGCATTTTAAAGTTAGGAATTGAAGGTCAAAATGGTTTTTATTCTGAGCATCAATCTTTTAAAACCCTATTATCAGCAAGGACTTTTCTAAAAGAATGTATTATATATAAATGTTTCAATCATGGTTCATTTTAAAAAATAAAGATGGAAGGTAACAAATGTTTTATCTGATTGCCCTTGGAAATATAGAACTGTGTATGAGATTAGAAAATTGTTTCCCTCTCCATTGCAGTTTGATACACTTGTAGTCTCTAAAGGCCTGTTCCTACAAGATATAAACCATTGCTTCAAGGCCATTCAAACAATATTTAGTCTTTCCTAATGAAAACAAAAGAAATACACACAAAGACAGAAACATATTTCAAAATAATGTTACAATCGTATTCAGCTTCTGAATTGAATAGCAAGCTGTGTTTATTGTTGACAAAGCTAATATCCCCTACTATCAAAAGCAAAAGCTTGTTCACACTTTCTTATTCAGTACTCTTGCAACATAAGAACTGAAGCATTTTGATTATTTCCTCTGTAAGTTTTTAATCAGAAGTATTGAGAGGTGAAAATGTTATTAAAATGTCCTATTATTATTTTGACTCTAAAGTTTAACTTCTAATTGTAAAATTAGAAATGAAACAACACCATGAATGATTACAGAAAACCAACTCTCAAGTTCTTTTCATATTGTTTGACACTATCATCGGATAATAATATTTTTCTTTCCTGTGTGACATAAGATAGGTATAAATAACATTATTTAAGAGGCAAATTGAATATCAGTTAGATAGTTTTTATCATTATACATACCAAAGAAGTGTTTTTCATATGCAACAATGTTTAAAAGCAATGTATACACTAAGCAATTGTCTTAAATTAATCCTTTGACCTGACCAATTGAGTTGTATGCTTCTTACTATGTGTAAGTGACTTGACAAAAATACACAGAAGACCAAGGGCCACATTTTAAATAGAATTCCAGGTCTGAAAATTCTTTATCACCTGGTTTTTCTACTGATTCCATTGAATTTTACCTCTCCAGCTCAAAATAACACAATAAACATGACTGAAATAAAATTCTGTTTACTGGTATCTAACAGTTTGGAGTCAAGTGCTTAAAAATTGTTTGATCTATTCAACTGGCATGTCCTCAATGAAAGGGCTTATTTTGGATTAGTGGAAGCAGATTCTGAGATATGAAAATGACAAGCTGTGCATAAGAATGATGAATACTTCATAAGAAAATTCTAAAATTAAATTGTAAAGTATGTTATGGAAATTTTCTCATCAGTCATTCATTTATTTAATCTTCCAAATTTACTGGATGTCTTTCATGTGCTAATCACAGTGCTTTTGTGGGTGAAACAAAGAGAGATAAACAAGAATTCCTTGTCTTAAAAGTTTATAATCTAGTAATCGACATACATATAAATCAATAAAAGCAAAGGAGTTTGGTACATGTCTATATGTTATTATGGTAAAAAATAAACGTGAAAACAGCTTGGGAATATCCAAGGAACTTTAAAAATAAAACGGCATTTGAGATGAATCTTGAAATATAAGCAGGTGTTTTCATATTGGGTTAGGGTTATTTAAAGCTTTTAGGATGTACTATCTTATTTCAAAGAAATTATAATAGATAATATCCATATTTTGTTAAAAGGTGGCTGTGAGCAAAGGTGAGAAAGAAAAATGTCATAGTTGCACATTGCTTTAACCTTCAATTTTGAATCCAAAGTATAAATTGCCACAGCAATGGAATTCTCACTGAGAGGGATGTGGTTAAAAAAAAAAAAAAAAAAAAAAAGCCTAATAGGATGGCCCTTCCTAGACTATGATGTGATTGCTCCTAAGCCTCTTCTTGGGACACCACTTTTCAACAAAGTCAGAGAAAACATAGGTATATCTTAAAGCATTGTCTACATAAGCATTTGTTGATTAACTTTGCACTGTAATGCTACAGCGCTCTTCACATGTACTAACCAGAAATAGAAGTATTGGAAATAGCCCAATTTCCCCCATAGTTTCTGCCAGAGAATTCGGGTTTATTTTCTCCTAATAACCAGTTAAGGAAGTTAAGGTCATATTTTTATTAATCAAGGACAGATTTTTGTTTACTTGAAATCAGAATGGTGCTAAATTGTGTCCAGAAAAAAATACAACAGAAAATCTCATTGCCGTTTGGATTAGAATGGTTTGTAAATATTAGTTAAAATACTTACTCTAAATTCCTATAAATACATCAGAGATGCACTGAAGAGAATGCAAATCTTGTACTAGTAAGTAAGAGCAACAGCCAGTAAATTTTGAAAATTACTGTTAACCAATTTAATTTTTACTCTTAGACTGATGAGGCTTGGAAAAACTGGATTAGATATATTTTTATTTAATCTAACAATAATATTTTTAAAAGATATAAGGCATAGAAAAAAGATTAACCATCAGTTCAATTTGTCACTCTTCTAACTCTAACAATGTTGACTTCTACTATTCCTTCAGAAGAAAACGTGAGATATTTATATCATTAAAGGATAATGCAGAAAACATTTCTCAATAGGCTTATCTCTGTTGTGTCAAGAGAAGACATTAAGCTTCCAAAACTTTCTCTGTTTCTGTTTTCCTGTAATTATCAGAGATGCAGTCATTTAATTTTCATTTACCTCAGAAACGGATCTATCATGATCTAATCAGAGGGAATTTAGAAACATCTGATGAATGTCTCAAATAACAAGGCATTTCAATCTGAAATTTTTCCTGGCCCAAAAAAATATTCTAACCTGTCCCTAGCTTCTGATTTGCTTCTCATGTAGACTTTTTTCAGTTTAGTTGATGACTCCTCTATTTTTAAAAGTATTTAATTTCAACATATTATAGCCATCCTAGACTCCTTTCACACATCATCCAAACTGAAAGCAAATTCTTTTGGATCTGCATTAAAATAACCTTAAATATTTCCCCCACCTACTGTGATTTAAGTCACCATCCTCTCTTGTAGTAGAATAGTCTAGTAGCCTCCAAACTAGTGTCTCTGATTCTAGTCATAATAGAGTGTCTAAATAGCTGTAAAGCAATATCTAACTACATGTCCTTATAGTAGACTCATTTTACCTTAAAAGATAAACACAGACTGAAATAAATGGGTGGGAAAAGATACTTTATGTAAATGATAACTGAAAGAGAGATGGAGTGGCTATAACTATATCAGGAACAATAGATTTTAAGTCAAAAACTGTTACAAGAGACAACAAAAGTCATTATGTCAATTCAACAAGAGGATATAACAATTATAAATATATACGTACAAAACATCAGAGCACCTAAATATACAAAGCAAATATTAACAGAACAGAATAAAACATATAATACAAAATGCAATGCAATAATAGTGAGGTACATGAATACCTCACTTTTAATAATCAATAAATTATCCAGATGGAAATGCCAATAAGGAAATAGAAGATGTGAACAACACCATAGACCAACTTGACCTAACAGACATATATAAAACTGTATATCAAACAGGAGCAGAATATGTATTAATTTCATTTACACATGAAGAAAACCTTAAGATAAATAATGTCAGGCCACAGAACAAATATTAACAAATTTAGGAAAATTGAAACCATATCAAGTAGCCATTTTGACCACCAAGAGTATGAAGCTACAAATCAATAACAGGAGAAATTTCAGAAATCTCACAAATATGAGGAAATTAAACAACATATTTCTGACCAATAGGAAAATTAAAAGAGAAATTAAAATATATCTTGAGACATATGAAAATAGAAACACAACATACTAAAATTTATGGAATGTAGCAAAAGCAGTGCTAAGATGGAAATTTAGAGTAATAATGCCTATGTAAGAAAAAAGAAACATGTCAAATAAACAACCTAACTCTATACCACAAAGAATTAGAAAAAGAAAAACAAAGCCCGAATTTAGTGAAAAGAAGGATATAATAAATTTTAAAGCAGAAATAAATTACATAGACACTAGAAAAACAAAAAAATTATTTACAAAAAACAACTTTGGACACCAATGTCAGTTGATCTTCCTTGGTTGGCAATACTCCATGCATATTGTAACACATCGATACTGGGGAAGTAGTGCTGTCCTGATTCCACTGGGAGAGGACAATGGGAAGCTCCGTGTTTGACACACTCCTGGACACTGCTCTATGTGTCTTGTCCTTTGGCTAATTTTGATCTGTATCTTTTCCCTGTAATAAATCATAACTATGATATTTTTGAAACACAATACCAACTCTTCTCAAACTTTTACAAAAAAAGCTGAAGGAGAGGAAACACTTCCCAATGTATTTTCTGAGGGCAGCATTACCCTGATACCATAGCCAGACAAAAATGCTACAAGAAAAAAAAAAAATACGGGTCAATATCCCTGTTGAATGTAGATACAAATATCCTTAACAAAATATTGGCAAACTGAATTCAATGCATATTACATTCAATTAAATTCATATTAAATTCAATGCATATTACAGGGATCATACACCATGACCGATCAGGATTTATCCCTGGGATGTAAGCACAGTTCAACATATGCAAGTCAATAAATAATATACCACATTAAAATAATAAAATTTGAAATAATATAATAATCTCAATAGTCAAAGGAAAAGCATTCACAACACTTCACATACTTTTGTGATAAAAACTTTCAAACGGAGTTTAGAGATTGATGAAATATACCCTATCACAATAAAAGCTATACATCACAAGTCAACAGCTAACATTGTACTTAGTGGTGAAAGACAAAGCTATTTTTCTAAGATCAGGAAAAAAATGAGGATGCCAAGTCTTGCCACTTCCATTCAACATTGTACTGGAAGTCCTAGCCAGGACAATTAGGCAAGAAAAAAGAATAAAAGGCATCCAAATTAGAAAGGAAGAAGTAAAATTGTCTCTGTTAGCAGATGGTATGATCTTATGTATAGAACACCCTAAGGACCTTTCCAAAAGAAAAACTATTAGACTTAATAGACAAATTCAGTAAAGTTTCAAGATACAAAACCAACACAAAAATCAGTTGCATTTTAATACCAACTACAAACTATCTGAAAAAATACAAAACCCATTCTATTTTCAATTGCATCAAAAATATAAAAGATTTAGAAATAAATGTTTTTGAAGAAGTGAAACATCTGTACACTGCAAACTATAAAACATTGATAAGATAAATTGAAGGAGCCATAAATAAATGGAAGACATGTTCATGGATTGTTTTTTTGCAAAATAGAAAAGAAATCATATAATTTATATGGAACCAAAAATGACTCCAAATAACTAAAGCAATTTTGAGAAAAAGAACACATTTCAAAGCATCACACTTTTACAAAGTTATAGTAATCAAAATAGATCTACATCAAAATGGGTGGTACTGGCATAAAAACAGAAAAAAAGGCCAATGGAACAATATAGATCCCAGAAGTAAATCCACATGTTTATGGGCAATTGATCTTCGACAAGGATGTCATGAACAAACAATAGATGATCTCTCTTCAATAAGCAGTGTTCATTAACTTGGATATCCACATGCAGAAGAATAAAATTGGACCCTTATTCCAGAGCATATACAAAAATCAACCCCAAATATTTTAAAGACTTAAATATAATACCTTAAACTGTAGAAGTACTAGAGGAAACATTGAAGAAAAGCTTCCTGACATTGGATGGGTCAATAATTGTTTGACTATAACCACAAAAGCACAGGCAACAAAAGCAAAAAATGGAAATTGTGAGTTGCATTAAAACAAAGACTCCTGCATGAGAAAGGAAACAATCAACAGAGTGAAGAGACAACCTTAGGAATGGGAGAAAATATTTGCATACCCTATGTCAGATAAGGGGTTATTATTCAAAATGTGTAAGGAACTCAAACACTCAATAGCTAAAAATAAAAATAAAAATTAACCCAATTAAAATAGGCAAAGGACCGGAATAAACAATTCTCCAAATAAGACACACAAATGGGCAACAAGTTAATGAATGGGTGTGCAACAGCACCAATCATCAGGGAAGTGAAAATCAAAATCAAAATGAGCTATCACCTCACACCTGTTAGAATGGCTACTATAAAAAATAGAAAAGGTGAGCGTTGCCAAGGATATGGAGAAAAGGAAACTCTTGTTCATTTTTCTTGGGAACAGAAGTTGGTGCAGCCATAAGGAAAACAGTATGAGACATCTTTTAAAAATTATAATTACCATATGATTCAGCAATCTCACTTTTGAACATATATCCAAAGGGAATAAAATAATTGTGAAATATCTGTACTTCCATGTGTATTGCAGCATTATTAACACTAGCCAAGGTATGTAAACAATGTTAGTGTTCATTGATGAATGAATGCATAAAGAATATATAGTATATACATATACAATGAAACATTATTTAACTGTAAAGAAAAAAAGGAAATAAGAAAATTCAGTCATTTGCCACAATATGAATAAGCCTGAAGGATATTAGGCTAAATGAAATAAGCCAGACACTGTAAGATAAATACTGCATAATCTCATTTATATATGTAATCTGAAAGTTGAAATTCACAGAAAAAGAACATAGGATGACATAGAATGGTTGTTGCCAGAGGCTGGGGGTTGAGGAATATGGAAAAATATTGGTCAAAACTGATCACAGAGGACTATATCAAGTAATGAAAGAGGAAAGCTTTATATAAAATGATTAGCTACATCACAATAGTAGATAGTCTGAAATTATTGACCAGAGAAGCGATTAAAGTAGTTATGAGGTATGCAAATGTGAAGTGTCAGGAGAAAGCTGGTGTAAGAAATGCTAGTGCTATGGGAATGGGAGTTAGATGACCTGTGTGATAGTAGTTCAGAAGCATGGTCATGAGAAAACTTGAATTGTGTGGCAAGGAAGGAGAGAGAACGGGTTTTGCATGTACACTCAAGACTTTAAGTCATTTTCTGTTGGTTTGTATCTTTTTACTTCATACCTTGTTTTTACAACTCCTTATGGTTATAACTGCCTAATACCAAAGTAAAAATTTTGAATTGCCAGATTTCTAAGATCTGGAAGAAAATCAGAAAGTAAAACTATATTTAAAAAACAAAATTTTAAAAGGTTAAGAGGCATCACTCATTCAAAAAGAACAGATACAAATAAAAATATTAATAGAACCAGATTATTGTTTATTTACTTAGCATAATCATAAAAGTCTGTACAACTGTCATTCAGGTATATTTTGTGTCATAAATTATTATTGTCCTTACCTATTATCTAGGATTGATACCTTGAGGGAATTGACCATTTTCAATGTAGATCTGCTTCAGACAAGAGTTCATAGAGGTAGATCTAGTGCGTTAGCTGCTTTAAGATTATCCCAAATAGTGTGGCAATAAAAAGTTATTTTATATTTTGTTAGGTAAATTACACTTGAAAATTTTCTTTCTTTAATAGAAAGTACTTAATATTCCTTCCCTTCAGGACATGAAGAACTCACCCAACAAGATTAATAGGATTTAAGCATTTATCATTAAATTTGGGAACAACCTAAAAACTCTCCCAGATTCACATTCTATCTATTTTGGGAACAATAATACAACATCTATAATTTATGTAAAACTTCTATTGCTAGACACTCTCACTCTGCCTCACTCTCTCATGTATCATTAAAATGATACAACTTTGCATGCAAAAAAGTACTCCTATAAAATTATATAATATCATAAATTCTGGGCCAAAGTTTAATATGGTTTATTTTATTATCATTATAATAGAATATTTAAGGTTAGAATAAGTGTCAAAGAGCTAAAATACACTATTTTATTCCTTAGTGTTAAATAATATCTGGTTGTTTGTGATAAAAAGGCAGTTATTATTGTCAGCATAAATAGCATGGCTAACATTTTTGATACAAAAATCATTAGAATGTGGTACAATTCTTTTTATTAGTAGGATCTGACAAAAACATAGGAGAAAACAATTATGAAGCTGTAGGCAGAAATTTGACTTACAGTTATCTGACATGGGACCTGAAAAAATTATAACACTTGAAAGTTTTGCTTATTTACCTGGGAAATTAAAAATGTACTTAAAATTTTAAAATTTATTTAAATTTAAAATATACTTTATTTTAGCACCTGTCATAAACATCAAACTAATCTATGTTATTTAATGTTAACAGATTACATATAGAGAATTGAAATGTATATAGTGGGAAAATCAGATATTTAAACATACAGTTATATATTTTGCATGAACATAACATTTATAGCATCATACGTGTATATTAATTTGAACATGTATTGACTTATGACATATGCATGTGTGGTTGTGTAAGTGCATGTATTTCAGTGTTTTATAGTTTCGGTGTTTTATAAAGGAAATATAAAATGTACAGATGTCATGAGGAAAATAAAGTGGTGGGAAAAGGAAGCAAAAAAAAACAAAAAATAAAAAAGATCCTAGTGAGGGAAAGGTTAATTGCATTTTTTTTTTTTTTTTTTTTTTTTTTTTTACTTTCTGAAACAAAGAGAAATGAAGCAAAGGTAACAGCTGCCAGTTTGGTTGAAGGTATACTTTATAGACTGGAGTGGTCACATTTTAATTAACGGCTATGCCCTGCATTTACTTGAAAGACTGGAAAATTATATATAATGCATTCATCATGCTTTCAGGGAAAATGAAAGTTACAAGATACTACAGAGAACACAGTATATTCTGAGGAGCCAGGTAATTTTTCTACAAAGGGTGAAGAGTAGGTTGTGCACCAAAAACTCAAACTTCTGGACATGCTGCAAATGACACTGTTTCAATTACCATGAATGTCTGCTTAGTGCAATTTGTCTTTATGTCATTTAACTGTCTAAAGTATGAACCCTTGGCTTTTAACTAAAACAATTACATAAGTGTACTAGTGAAAGAACAAGCTGATTAAATGATTTGGATAAAGGAACCAAGCATTAAAAACTAATTCATTGACATTTTTAATTAATGATAGGAACTATTGGAGCAGTTTGTTTTAATGCTTTCAAGGATATAATTTTGAAAAACCAAACTATAACCAACGTACCACTTTTTAGTGTTATTGAACTCTGAAGCAGATTTTTATTAGCCTCTTTTGGAGCTCAAGTTTATTTCATAAACAGAAAAATTTTACTTAGTCATTAGTCATTTTAGCCCTTATATCCATACTTATTATTTAATAGGAGATATATTTAGAGTCTGGGGAAAGAAGAGAAGCTTAAACAAAATTCAGTCAAAGCATTTTGTTCAATTGATGTGTGGAGACAAAATGATTCAGCTAATCTTATGAACCAAAGAAATGGGAATTTGGAGGGTTTGTATCTAGACTTGTCATAGGTAAAAGAATCAAGTAATTGTCATCAAAAATTTTTCCATGAAAAATTAAAAAATTGGAATTGCTATCTATTGTGATAGGGGATATTAGGCCTGTTTCTGTGTGGGGTGTCAGGAGTTAACTGGAAGTAATTCAAGGGTGTTAAGTTTAAGATTCCACTTAAATTGTCAAGTGGACATATCTAATAGGTAATTTTTTATATATATATATATATGAACATACGACTAAAGGAGAATACTAAAGGACTGATGTATATATTTGGGAGTTTTCATCATGTAGATTCTGTTTAGAATCATAAACTTGAATTAGATCATCAAAAGACCAGCATAGATAGATAAAAAAGAGAAGACACCCAAGGTCTTTTTGTTTCAAGAATTCTTAGAGATGAGAGTACTAAAGAAGGAAAATGAGAAGACATGCCCACTGAATTAATAGGAAAAACAAAACAAAACAAAACCACAGTTTATGGTGCCCTTGAAGCCAACTAAGGAAAACATTTAATTGAAAGAAGAAGAAATCAACTAGATCAAATGTTCCTCATAGGTCATGAAGGATGTGAAATATGAATTGGCAATTGCATTTTGAAACATACAGATGATCAATGACCTTAATAAGTGTGGGGGTAAAAGTATTATTGGAGTGGGTTTAAGAAACTATGGAAGAAGATAAATTGGAATTGCATATATAGATGGTTCTTTTGAGGAGTTTTACTATCAGATGAAAGACAGAAATAAAGCTGTAGGAAAAGTAAAGTCATGAGAAGTTTTTTTAATATAAAAGAAATGGCAGCATATTTATATGTTGATGGAAAAGATATAATAAGCGAAGAGGGAAAATTGGTAATCTAAATAGTGTAATTCAAGTGTATGCTGGGAATTTTGTTTTAAACAACTTCATCTAATTAATTCTAACCATCATTGATTTTTATAAATTGAATTAGTTTAATATTTTCCCTTACCTCGTAGTTTATACTGTTTATTGTAATTGTCATCCACATAACTATTCCACCATTTTTCCCACTTAAAATAGACACGTTGCATTTTAAACAATTAAATTCACTTTAATTAGTCTTCCAGGTTTAGATTTGACAGGAGTGCACAAATTATATATTTCACAGATTCCCAAATTTCCTCAGTTCTTAGTGTAATTTGCAACAGCATAGATGAAACTGGAGGACATTACGTTAACTGTCTCTATCGATTTTTCACAGTCTCCCTGACCAATGGAAATATCTAAGAATTCCCCTTTTAAAGTAACAATGTGCATAGCACATAATATTATTAGTTTGTGTGGTATGCAAAAGCTGGCACTGTGCTTCCCCTAAAAATAGAAATATGTCAAGTGTCCCTATAAGTTTACTGAAGGGTTGCAGGACCCTTCAGCACTTGGTTCAGGAACCACAGATCTTCCCTCTTCCATGCTTAGCGTTATAGATTGAGCACCAACTATATGCCAGTCACTTTTATAAACAAATAAAAAAGCAAAACTTAGTAGAAAGTAAATGATTACTCAAGGAATACAAGTCATTGGGTGAATAAGGTATGTTTAGAAAATAGGTTTTCTAATGTGCAGGGCCAGTGAAATTTCTGTTCTTCATCAATCAATTCAATTATTCTGACAAGTTCATACCACCCAAATTCACATGTTGAAATCATAACCCCTGATGTGATGGTATTAGAAAGTAGGGCCTTTGAGAGGGGATTAGGTCATGAAGGTGGGGCCCTCATGAATGGGATTAGTGCCATAATAAACAGACAACTGGAGAGAGAACTTGCTTTCTCTCTCTACTCTCCACTATGTGAGGATACAAGAAGATAGCTACTTTCAAAGCAGAGACTAGTTCACCAGACACTGGATCTGCTGGTACCTTATCTTTGACTTCCCAGACTTCAGAAATGTGAAAAATAAATGTTTATTGTTTATGTCACCCAGTCTGCTGTAATTTATTGTAGCAGCCTGAACTGACTGAGACACATGGTATCCCCGTGGCTAGGAAATTAAGGCCAATCAAGGTTCATACCATGCAAAACTTGTTCTCCACAACACGGTCTGTTAATTTGAGACTTGTAATTGCTGAAACCATTTGCTAAAGTGGGAGAAGCCAATTTGAAGAGGAAGCTGATACAGGAGATCACAAGCTTAGAGAATTTTAAGCAAACTATGCCAGAGCCTTCAGCAAACTGTACCTAGAAAGTTTAATTATATGAGTCAACATATTCTCTTTATTGTTTAAATAAGTTTGAATTGAATTTTCTATTTCTTGGAATTAAAATCATCTTAAATTGGTGATGGACAGAAAAGCAAACCGTGATTTACATAGTAGGCACTTACTAATTATGCAGTGATAGTAATATTTTTTTCATTGTGAACTACTAATTATGCCCTAGATAACCAAATTTATGAACACTTCAGAAAGGATTTTTTTTTCTCTACTGTGGATAAAGGGGCGGAGAAAACAAAATCTGTTCTTTGGCTGGCAATAAAACACATGAATAAAAAAGAGAAAATATTATTCTCTAGTTAAGAAAGGATTGATTGTTCTAGAAATCAGGAGATACAGATCACGAACCTCACTTTCCCATTCTATTTTATAACACTTCCTTTAGTATATTTTAAAGCGAAAAGTTTAATTGAAACAATGTCAGTTACATTAAAATTTAACAACCCTTGACATTGACAAGGGTGTGGTTATATATTACCGTTAATTTTCTTTAATAAGACATTGTTTTCATCAAATTCTGCTATCTTCTAATATAACCCAGCAACTTATATATGATCTAAGATATAAAGAAAATGGATTGCAAATGTTTACAAATACTTTCAGAGGATTAGCACTCAAGCACTTGTTAATTCAATGAATATTATTGAGCTTGTACTATGTACTCAAATTTACATGGAAGATGAAATTGAAACTCAAAAGAAAAACACCCTAACTTGAAGTTTACAGCCCAGTGAAATGTTAGACATATACACATTTTAAATATAATATTCCAAATGCTATGTGTACTGGATGTATTTAAAAGAAATATGTTGACTATAAGGGAAATAGTTACTTCTGCCTGAAAAGGTCAGGTTAACTTACAAAGAGATGGACATATTTAAGATGAGATTTAAGAATACAAGTAAAATCTCAAGGGATAAAATTAGGAGAGGGGCAATATTCCTTATCATTAAACTGTGAACTCCTCCAAAGTCAGTGACTTCATAATTTTATCTCCAAGGTTTAGCATTGCAATAGTCACATAATAGACATCTCTTAATTGTTGCTGAAAAGTGCATGGAGGGTGATAGAAGAGTGGAGAGAATCAGGGAAAATGCATAGAAAACTGAGAAAGCACTGTGGAAAAACATCAGCTGCTATATGTATTGCTGCATGGTAAATGGGGAGTTCAGTGTAACTGATACAACATTGTTTTATTAGTAAAAATTTATGACAAATGTTTATTCATGTCAGATCATGAAAGTCATACCATGGAGAGTCATACAGAGTAGGATGCTTAATGTAGCTTTTTTATCATGTAAGTAATAGGTACCCATTGAAGAATTTTGAGAAGAGATGATATGATCTAAAGTGCTTGTTACAGTGGCAATAGGAGCAGCATTTTGGAGAGTAGATTACAACTGCAAATACATTTAAAGGAAGGAAGAATATTTAGGAAATTTCGCAAAAGGACAGGGAAGAGGATATGACTGCCAACATTGTGGCAATGAAACTGACTCTATGCAGGAGGGAAGAGAGCCTAAAATGTCTACTAACTTAATTGATAGTAATACAGATACAGTGTGATGATTTATTAGCTGTAGTGGACCTAACTGATGGAGGCTTTAAGATGACTTCCAGATTTCTGGCTTTTGTGATTAAGAACATCAATGGCACAGCTAGTCTTCAGTACTGTCAGTGCAACAAGAGGTGTGTATGAATGAGAATTGGGATTCTGCTTGGAGTTTAGAAAATAAATCAACAATTTAACTAAAAGATCACAGAAGATGGGTTTTACAAAATACCGATAGTTTTATAAGTCCAGGAATTGTTTCAAGAGTGAAATTTGTTGAGGATGGTAAGAATGAAAAAAGTCCTAATGAAGTCCTCTATTCTTGTTCAGCAGTACTCATTCTATTACTATAGGCCCTTGGAGTGCAGCAAGGGAGCACAAGTGTATGACACTTTTAAGTTCACCAATCTTCAAATCTTTTCAATATGTATTCACTCATAAGTGAATCTGCCTGAGAAAAGTCTCACCATCATGCAACATACAGCAACCTTTCTTTATGCTCAGAATTATACCACTTCAACCAAAATAAATAAATAAATGTATAACTTGTCACTTACTCCTATTCTTATTGAGACGTGAAGCCAGCTGAGCTTTGGGTCTGGTGGGGACTTGGAGAACTTTTGTGTCTAGCTAAAGGATTGTAAACACACGAATCAGCACTCTGTAAAATGGACCAATCAGCACTCTGTAAAATGGATCAATCAGCAGGATGTGGGTGGGGCCAAATAAGGGAATAAAAGCGGGCCACATGAGCTAGGGGCAGCAACCTGCTCTGGTTCCCTTCCAAACTGGGGTAGCTTTGTTCTTTCGCTCTTCACAATAAATCTTGCTGCTGCTCACTCTTTGGGTCTGCACTACCTTTATGAGTTGTCACACTCACCACGAGGGTCTGTGGCTTCATTCCTGAAGTCAGCAAGACCACGAACCCGCCGGAAGGAATAAACTCCAGACACATCTGAACAACTGAAGGAACAAACTCCGGACACACCATCTTTAAGAGCTGTGACACTCACAGCAAGCGTCTGCGGCTTCATTCTTAAAGTCAGTGAGACCAAGAACCCACTGGAAGGAATAAATTCTGGACACATTATTATGGTGCTTTTACTATAGGAATTCATAAGTAAACAAAACAGAAAAAAGTATCTGGCCTCATGGAGTTTGGATTTCAGCAACTAAGTGAATGAATAACAGTGTCGGGGTTGAGAATGTAAAGGATAATAACTAGGTAATTAATTGTTGTGAAATACTGTCTTACTCTTGCAGGAAGTAATAACATCTAGGGATATGTAAAATAATTTGAGTATTAGACCTGTCCATTTAAATAGTGTTCAGTTTTAGAATTTTATTTTTATATTCAATATTTATCAAAAATGTAATATATCTGTTGTATGCTTATTATTATTATTGTAATGATACCTGATTTCAGAAGATGCTTTTAAAATGCTTAAACAATTATTGTCATGAGAAATAAACATATTTTCTATTTAAATTTACATACATACAAAAAGAGACACATGATATATAGATATAGATATGGGGATACATAGGGATAGAAATAGGGATAGGAATAAGGATAGAGATAGAGATAGCTATAGACAAATGTTGTTGAAAACTGTGATAAAATGAACCAAAAAGCTTTGAAATATAACATCATGTTGTATTAGGATACATTTATTTGTAGAAAATGTAAAGAGATACAAAGTTTAAGATAAAAACGATATGATGTCAAATATTCCATTGTAAAAGAAGAACTTGTAAGTATTGGGGGGTTATCAACTAGGCATTGAGTGTTTTCTTTCCAAAACTACAAAGAACCATATTGTGAATTATGTTGTCTAATAGCCTTTGAGGATCCTTAAGGGCAGTGTTCTTGCTTTATTCACTTTAAATCCCTATCACAATATTTACTAAGTGCATTAGCTATTTATTACTGTGTAACAAATTACCCAAAACACTTAGTGGCTTAAATTAACAACAGTTATAATTTCACAGATGCTGTGGGTCAGGAAACTAAGTACATCTTCATTGATTCTTCTGACCTTAGGTTGGCTACAGGCTGTAGTCAACTCAAGACAACTGGGAAGGATCCTCTTCCTTGCTGACTCTTGTGTTTGTTGGCTGGACTCAGTTTCTTGTGGGATGCATTTGTTGGACTGAGGCCTCAGTTGTTCACAAACTTTAGTCTGGAGCCCTCCATCCATTCCTAGCCATTTGGGCCTCTCCATGGACTATCTTGAAACATGGACTCTGTTTCATCAGATTGAGCAAGCAAGAAGGCGTGAGACAACAACAGAAAGAGAGAAATCTAGCAAGACAGAAGTCTTGTAGACCGTCTGTAAACAGTGTTTTGTAAGCCTATAATGAAATATCTTGTTTTTATTGAATTCTATTAGTCAGAAGCAATTCACCAGGTCTAGCCCACACTCAAGGGAAACGAATAACGTCATAAATACTGAGAGGTAGGGTTACTGGGAGCCATGTCAGAAGCTGCCTCTCACACTAAGTAAGCATGTATTTAATTAATAGGTGTTTCAATAAAATTAATTCAATAAATATTGGGAACCCATCAAGCACCATGATGGAAAGAAACAGAAATTAAACACAGCTTTATTCAAAAATAAAATGTAAATTATTTATTTATTGTATAAAATTGATACAGTGCCTCATTTTGCCCTCCACGTATAACTATTAACTAATTGAAAAAAAAGTAATTAGTTTAGAGACATCATATTATATGACTAAAATTGACTTTGAAAAGAGGTTGGAGAATTTTCACAGTGCCAGTCTTTGGGAGAAATTTTCAAAACCAAAAGAGAAAACCATAGCAGTATCAAACATTTGAAAAGCCTTCATGGGAGAATTGTCTAAAAACTCTTAGGTACTTAACTAATTTTATTTAAGTGTTTTACACTGTAAACTTCAGATTAATGGTTCTAAACATGTGGTCCAGGCATACATTGGGGATCACCAAACTATCTCAGGGTTATGTGTCTGGTTGAAATTATTTTGATCATAATATGAAGGTATAATTTGCCTTTTCACTCATTGTCTTGAGTATACAGTAAAGATTTTCTGAGGCTACATTCATGTGATCCTGCAATAGATAGAATGAGAAGTTAATATGAAAAATTGGTTGAACTGTATCAAGTTAAACATTAAGGGGAACAGACTAAATGTTTTGGAAAATAAAGTTATCTTTTGCAAAATATCATCTACATTAGCATTATATAACGTAATATACTTAATTTGTTATTTTTAAGTAAAATAATGAGCATATATTGTTTAAACTTCTTAGTTTGAATTTTAATATTTTAACTGTTGACACATATAACCAATATAGACTAAAGCTCTTTAATATATAAGGTATATAAAGCTCTTTAATAGTGTACAGAAATCCTAAAACCAAAAGCTTTAGAATCACTGAATTAGATAATGCCTAAACTACCCACAGCTTTTTCAACAACTTAGATGGAAAATACATTTTAAGAAACAGAAATTTATATCATTATACCTGTTGTCTCATTATTTGTTTTCATTAAATTCAAATTTCAGATGTTGTCACTTCAATAAACAATGGCATGGGTGGAACGATCATTTTAAACAAGAAAATAATTTTGAATGTAAATGTGAAGTCAATGACCTTCTTTAGTCACACAAAAATATTTATTACACTCATGTAACTGGAAATTATTTTAAAAAATATTTTCCCTCCTGAGTAGAGTAAGATTATAAAGGCAAGATTATAATTATATCAGCAAAATCAGTGTGAGGGCAAGACATAATGACTTTTAATGGATTTTAGGTATATATTTTTAATAAGGCTTGTACTGTATCTTGTGAATAATTTAATGACTGTAAGCGAAGTGGGAGCCCAACTGTAATCTACTTATCCAGAAATACACCACTTCTTCATCATCAAATAAACCTCAGGTAACTCTAGGTTACCTGAGGTTGGGGGGGATTCTTTTCCTTTAATAATTAGTTTTAATGATATGCTATGATAGGGCATTACTATCAATTGGTGTTTTAAAACTAGGTATAGAGAGAGTCATTATACTTAGGCAGAACGGTAGTGCTTAATTGATGAACTATAACGGAAAAGCCCCATGACAGATAAAAAGCCCAACTTTTATTTCATTTTATTAAGAGCCACTGAATTTCAAAAGGGAAAAGGGCCAGCAACAGATTACTCATTACAGCTCAAATAAATTTAACTGTTAATTTTATATTTCTCTAATCACAGATTCTTTCAAGATTGTTCTCATTTGCTATATTCCAGGACAAGCGTATATAATTTCATTATACATCATAAATATGAGATTTTTTTTGGAAAAATCTAATTTTATAGTACATGGACCTATAAAATAATAATATCCATCTCCCTCAAGCACTTAGTCCATAAAGCAAAAATTGAGGAAGGTAAAACACATACGGATTTGGCTTTCTATTCTGATTAGAAGGTAGAAATTTGCAAGAGAGCATTATTCCTACAATAACAATGAAGAAAACTAATAAAATAAATCAGTGATCTGTGGATGCAAAGAAACTTAAATGAAATAAATTTTAGTCATGAAGTCGACAGTTGCTAACAATTTTGAGTATGGCACAAGGAGAAGCCAACACTATATAAACTGGGTAAGGATTAACCAGTGTAATTTTTAATAAACTTTTAAGGGCCATGTCTTTAAAATAAGCCTAACCAATTACAATTTTGAGGAATGTGAATCACAGTAATTCACTGCCAACTCTGTCCTTAGGGGGTTTTGCCAAGTGCAGAGCATTAGTACATCATAAGTGGAAGCAAGGGTATTGCACTGGGAAATAACACCTAGGAACATATCTTTATGAACTGAAAGTCAGCAGCTGGCAGTTTAGGGAAGGGTAGAAATGCTGAGGGAAACAACCTGAGGCATATCTAGTTATACCTTGCAAGAACAAAATAGTGACTCATTTAAGTAGAAACAGGTGAAAAGAACTAAGGGAAACTCCTCAAGGTACGCAGGGGGTCCTTTCTGAATGGACAGCAACAGCTCACTCAGGAGGTGTGTATTTCTGGATAAATAGATTATAGTTGGGCTCCCACTTCACTTACAGTCTTTATTCACAAGATACAGTACAAGCCTTATTAAAAATATATACCTAAAATCCATTAAAAGTCATTATGTCTTGCCCTCACACTGATTTTGCTGATAGAATTATAATCTTGCCTTTATAATCTTACTCTACTCAGGAGGGTAGTACTGGAAAATTGAGAGTAATACCTGAAAATTCAGGGGAACTTTCTGAGAGTGCATGATAGTAGTCTGCAAGTTACTGGGGACAGAAAAAGACAGCCCAGAGAGTTCCCCCAGAGGAACAGAAAGACTTTGCTGAGTTCACAGCAAGAGCCCCAGAAAGGTAGTATAAATATCATGATAACTGAGAGAAATCCCCCTAAGCACACAAAAGCTTCACCAAGTGAAATCAGTACCCAATAAAGGCCACAGAAGGGTAACAAGATTAAGAGAGACTTCCTGAGGTACATAAAGCTAGAAGTGGGCTAGAGGTTCAAGAACACACCTGATCATCCCCAAAAGATGGTAGCTGGGTTATAAAGCGGAGAGAGGGTCTTGGGAGTATCACCAGTACTCAGACCCCAACTCTTGCCTTAAAAACAGTCTTATTCTGTTAAAAAAAATTTGAAGCCAGTGATTAAGTGAATAAAAATAGGAAAAAAAAACACAGAACTACCTCTAGTATAGGTTAAATTACTCTACCTCAACAGCAAAGAAAAAAGGATGGTGAACTTGAAAACAGGTCACTAAAAATTAACCAAGTTGCGGCACAAAAATAATAATAAAATAAAGAGAGGGTCTGAGATGTATGGGATAATATAAAATGTTTAATACATATGTAATTAGGTTCACAGACAGTAAATGGTAATGGGCTTGAAGAAATATTTGTAGAGAAAATGGCCAAAATTTTTATAGACTTAAATGTCCAAATATTTCAATATAAAATATATATTGTCTAAGTTTGCACACACATATATAATTACCAAATTTAAAATGAACCCAAACCAACTAGAATGACAAACCGTCTATATTAGTCAGAGTTATCTAGAGGGACAGAACTAACAGGATATATGTATATATGAGAGGGAGTTTATTAAGGAGAATTGACTCACACAATAACAAGGTAATGTCCTATAATAGGCCATCTGAAAGTTGAAGAGCAAGGAAGCCAGTAGTGGATCATTCTAAGTCCCAAAGCCTCAAAAGTAGGGAAGCCGGCAGTGCAGCTTTCAATCTGTGGCCAATGGTCTGAGTCCCTGGCAAACCACAAGTGTAAGTCCAAGAGTTCAAAAGCTGAAGAACTTGGAATCTGATGTTCCAGGGCAGGAAGCATCCAGCACGGGAGAAAGGTGGAGGCCAGAGGACTCAGAAATTCTGCTCGTTCCACCTTCTTCTCCCTGCTTTTTTTCTAGCTGTGCTGGAAGCCAAGGTGATTGTGCCAACCCAGGTTAAGGGTGGGTCTGCCTCTCCTAGTCCACAGACTCAAATGTTCACCTCCTCTGAAACACCCTCACAGACACACCCAGAATCAATACCTTGCATCCTTCAATCCAATCAAGTTGACACTCAATATTAACCATCACACATTCTAAAGAAAATCTAAGACTTGTGATTATTACTTTTATGTGACAACTTGCCTTTGTTAAGGGATACCCAAGTAGCTAGTAAAAATATTATTTCTGGGTATGTCTGTGAGAGTGTTTCTGGAAGAGATTAGCCTTAGAATTAGTGGACTGAGAAAATAAAATTGTCCCTCAACAATACGGGCAGACATCATGCAAATCCTTGAGGGCTTGGATAGGACAAAAAAGCTGAGAAAGTTGAATTATCTTTATCTTCTGGAGCCAGATTATTCATCTTCTGCCCTCAGACATGAAAGCTTCTAATGTTTGCAGTCTCAAACTGGCAGTTATACCATAGGTTCCCCTGGTTTTCAGGCCTTCCAATGAAAACTGAGTTGCACTACTGACTTTCCTGGTTCTTCGGCTTGCAAACAGCATGTCTTGGATTCCACAGTCATGTGAGCCAATTCCGATAGTAAATCTTCTCATATATCTTTATATATCCTATTTGTTTCGTCTCTCTGGAGAACCCCTGCTAATACAGGAGTAGAGCTTTTTGATCTTGGAATAAGCAAATATATGTTTTGTACAAGTAACAAAATGATAACACATAAGAGGAAAATGATATATTTTACTTAAGAAAAATAATTTCTGATTACCAGAGGATGTTTAAAATAGAACAGGTAAATCCAACCATAAGATAAAATATCCTCAATACATTTATGTCACAAAGGATTCCTATCCATAACATGTAAAGATTTCTGCCAATGATATACACACTATATCTATATAAACACACACACATACAATCTACCTATACCTATATCTATTTATCTATATATCTATATATATGTATGTGTATATATAATATATAAATATACAATTGGTCAGAAAGATATACTAATGGTTAATACACCCATCAAAATGTGTTTAACACAATTACATGATAAAGGTTTAAATTCCAACACATTTTGATGCCAATTCACATATACTCAAAGAGGAAAAAGAAAAACATTCACAATACTGAATATTGCCAACTTTATAAAACAACTGAAAATGTCATGCATTTCTGATGGGAAGATAAAATGACATAAACATTTTTGAAAGTTGCTTGACAGTTTTCTATTAAGTTAAAAATATATCTACCGTATTACCCAGCAAACAGTCTTGTATATTTACATAACTAAAATAAAAATATATGTTCACAAAAATCTTACACAGGAAGATCCCTAACAGCTTTATTTATAGTAGCCCAAAACTAGAAACAACTAAATGTCAACAAACATTTACTGGACAAACAATCTGTTGGACAAATAAACTGTTATATATTTTTTCAATGTAATACTATACAACAACAAAACGTACATACTATGGATACCTGCAACAACATGGGTGAATCATAAAAAGGAAATTATGCAGGCTGGGTGGGGTGGCTCACACTTGTAATCCTAACACTGAGAAGCTAAGGAGGGGAGATCGCTTTAGACCAAGAGTTTGAGACCAGCCTGGGCAACATAGCAAAACCCTGCCCCTACTAAAACACAAAAAATTAGCCAAGCATGGTGGCACGTGCCTCTAGTGCCAGCTACTCAGGAAGGTGAGCTGAGAGAATTACCTGAGCTTGGGAAGTCGAGGCTGCAGTGAGCCAAGATCGTGCCATTGCACTCCAGCCTGAGCAACTGGGAGTGAGGCCCTGTCAAAAGAAAAAAGAAAAAAATTATGCTGAGTAAAAGGAGCTAGACACAATCACACAAACAAACCTATATTGAATGATGTTGTTTACATTAATTCAAGAATAGAAATAAAAGAGATAGGAGTAAAGATTCTAGCATAAAGACCATCATCTTTCAATTTGGATGGTGGTTACATGAGTGTAATTCAATTGTTAAAACTCACTGATCTGTTCAAGACTTGTGCATTTTATTTTATTTATACTTCAATAAAATTTTATATTATTCCTGTGACACTTTTATTTCTGATTTTAAATTGTTGAATAATTTCTATGAAAAGAAGGATAAAAGGAATCTCAATAATTACTCCAGACCACATCAATCCAGTTTGGACAGGATTAAACAGTACCCTTTTAATCACTTGTGTAATGGCCTGGAAATTTTCTTGGTAATAACATCGTAACAATTATATTTCATTTAACTGAATACTTAGTTGAATGAAAGTAAGTATCCTTGAAGTTGATATGGTAAGTATCCCTGAACACTTACTATATAACAAATACTGTGCTGTTTGTCAGGGATATAGCATTGTCTTTGTCCATTTGGGCTGCTATAACAAAATACCTGAGCCTGGGTAGTCTATCAAAAACAGAACTTTATTTCTTGCAGGCACTGATGGGTTTAGTGAGGGCCCAGTCTCTGCTTCCAAGGTGGTGCCTTGTTGTTGTGTCCTCCTCGAGGGCAACCACTGTGTCTTCAGATACTGGAAGAGATGAAAAGGCACAAAGGGAATAACTTGTTCTCTCCAGCCCTTTAATAAGGTCTCTAATTCAATTCATGAAGGCATATGCACACTGGAGTTTAATTTCCAAAGCATGAACTTTTGTGGGACAGCTTCAGACTGTAGCAAGCAGTGATGATGAAATAATGTCCATCACTTTGGAGTTACAGTGATGGAGGAACTCAGACTTGACATATTTAAGGACAATAAAATACATAGTCTAAAAAAAGCAATAATTGGTAAAATTTAGACAATATATACCTATGTTTTAAAATATATCTAAAACTATGCTGTTAAAAATATCTTTTCAGCTCTAATGCTATTTTCCAAGGCATTTAAAATATACATGTAGTTTTAAAAATCTCTCTTCAAAAATTATTTGATTGACATTCACATGACATTTAAAAAATCAGTCTGGTACGGAAAACCTTAGCAAATAATGGAAAATTTGAGAGCAAAAACATCATAAACATATAGCTAAAAACCTTAATTTGATACTGGATCAATTAATCAATATAATAACTAATAAAACATAAAGGTTTATAAAAATTAATAATATTTTAAAATCAAAATATGCTAAGGGATGGAACCAGGTTATTTCTGTCTTAATCCTATTAACTGATATTCTCTAATCACTCCTTATAATAAGATTTTTTTATTATAATTATACTCTAAGTTCTAGGGTACATGTGCACAATGTGCAGGTTTGTTACATATGTATACATGTACCATGTTGGTGTGCTGCACCCATTAACTCATCATTTACATTAGGTATATCTCCTAATGCTACCCCTCCCCTCTCCCATCACCCCACAACAGGCCCTGGTGTGTGATGTTACCCTTCCTGTGTCCAAGCGTTCTCACTGTTCAATTCCCACCTATGAGTGAGAACATAAAGTATTTGGTTTTCTGTCCTTATGATAGTTTGCTCAGAATGATGGTTTCCAGCTTCATCCATGTCCCTACAAAGGAAATGAACTCATCCTTTTTCATGGCTGCATAGTATTCCACGGTGTATACGTGTCACATTTTCTTAATCCAGTCTATCATTGATGGACATTTTGGTTGGTCCCAAGTCTTTGCTATTGTGAATAGTGCTGCAATAAACATATGTGTGCATGTGTCTTTATAGCAGCATGATTTATAATCCTTTGGGTATATACCCAGTAATGGGATAGCTAGGTCAAATGGTATTTCTAGTTCTAGATCCTTGAGGAATTGCCACACTGTCTTCCACAATGGTTGAACTAGTTTCCAGTCCCACCAACAGTGTAAAAGTGTTCCTATTTCTCCACATCCTCTACAGTACCTGTTATTTCCTGACTTTTTAATGATTGCCATTCTAACTGGTGTGAGATGGTGTCTCATTGTGGTTTTGATTTGCATTTCTCTGATGGCCAGTGATGATGAGCATTTTTTCATGTGTTTTTTGGCTGCATAAATGTCTTCTTTTGAGAAGTGTCTGTTCATATCTTTCACCCACTTTTTCATGGGGTTGTTTGATATTTTTCTTGTAAATTTGTTTAAGTTCTTTGTAGATTCTGGATATTAGCCCTTTGGGTATTATTAGCCAATATACCTTTGGGTATGTTAGCTTTGGGTATAATACACCTTTGAGTATATTAGCTTTGGGTATATTAGCCAGATGGGTAGATTGCAAAAACTTTCTCTTATTCTGTAGGGTGCCTGTTCACTCTGATGGTAGTTTCTTTTGCTGTGCAGAAGCTCTTTAGTTTAATTAGATCCCATTTGTCAATTTTGGCTTTTGTTGCCATTGCTTTTGGTGTTTTAGACATGAAGTCCTTGTCCATGCGTATGTCCTGAATGGTATTGCCTAGGTTTTCTTTTAGGGTTTTTATGGTTTGAGGTCTAACATTTAAGTCTTTAATCCATCTTGAATTAATTTTTGCATGAGGTGTAAGGAAGGGATCCAGTTTCAGCTTTCTACATATGGCTAGCCAGTTTTCCCAGCACCATTTATTAAATAGGGAATCCTTTCCCCATTGCTTGTTTTTGTCAGGTTTCTCAAAGATCAGATGGTTGTAGATGTGTGGTGTTATTTCTGTCGTTCTGTTCTGTTCCATGGGTCTATATCTCTGTTTTGGTACCAGTACCATGCTGTTTTGGTTACTGTAGCCTTGTATAGTTTGAAGTCAGGTAGTGTGATGCCTCCAGCTTTGTTCTTTCGGCTTAGGATTGTCTTGGCAATGTGGGCTCTTTTGTGGTTCTATATGAACTTTAAAGTAGTTTTTTCCAATTCTGTGAAGAAGCTCATTGGTAGCTTGATGGGGATGGCATTGCATCTATAAATTACCTTGGGCAGTATGGACATTTTCATGATATTGATTCTTCCTATCCATGAACATGGAATGTTCTTCCATTTGTTTGTGTCCTCTTTTATTTCGTTGAGCGGTGGTTTGTAGTTCTCCTTGAAGAGGTCCTTCACATCCCTTGTAAGTTGGATTCCTAGGTATTTTATTCTCTTTGAAGCAATTGTGAATGGGAGTTCATTCATGATTTGGCTCTCTGTTTGTCTGTTATTGGTGTATAGGAATGCTTGTGATTTTTGCACATTGATTTTGTATCCTGAGACTTTGCTGAAGTTACCTATCAGCTTAAGGAGATTTTGGGCTGATACAACGGGATTTTCTAAATATACAATCATGTCATCTGCAAAGAGGGACAATTTGACTTCCTTTTTTCCTATTTGAATACACATAACAATATTAACCTTAAATGTAAGTGGGCTAAATGCTCCAATTAAAAGACACAGACTGGCAAATTGGGTAGAGTCAAGACACATCAGTGTGCTGTATTCAGGAGACTCATCTCACATGCAGAGACACATACAGGTTCAAAATAAAGGGATGGAGGAAGATCTACCAAGCAAATGGAAACAAAAAAAAGGAGGGGTTGCAATCCTAGTCTCTGATAAAACAGACTTTAAACCAACAAAGATCAAAAGAGACAAAGAAGGCTATTACATAATGGTAAAGGGATAAATTCAATGAGAAGAGCTAACTATCCTAAATATATCTGCACCTAATACAGGAGCAGCCAGATTCATAAAGCAAGTCCTTAGAGACCTACAGACTTAGACTCACACAGAATAATAATGGGAGAGTTTAACACCCCACTGTCAACATTAGACAGATCAACGAGACAGAAAGTTAAGAAGGATTTCCAGGAATTGAACTCAGCTCTGTTCAATTTCCAGGAATTGAACTCAAGCAGACCTAATAGACATCTGCAGAACTCTCCACCCCAAATCAACAGATTATACATTCTTCTCAGCACCACATCACACTTATTCCAAAATTGACCACATAGTTGGAAGTAAAGCACTCATCAGCAAATATAAAAGAACAGAAATTATAACAAACTGTCTCTCAGACCATAGTGCAATCAAGCTAGAATTCAGGATTAAGAAACCCACTCAAATCCACTCAACTACATGGAAACTGAACAACCTGCTCCTGAATGACTACTGGATACATAAGGAAATGGAGGCAGAAATAAAGATGTTCTTTGAAACCAATGAGAACAAAGACACAGCATACCAGAATCTCTGGGACACATTCAAAGCAGTGTGTAGAGGGAATTTATAGCACTAAATGCCCACAAGAGAAAGCAGGAAAGATCTAAAATTGATACCCTAACATCGCAATTAAAAGAACTAGAGAAGCAAGAACAAACACATTCAAAAGCCAGCAGAAGGCAACAAATAACTAAGATCAGAGCTGAACTGAATGAGATAGAGATACAAAAAAACCCTTCAAAAAAATCAGTGAATCCAGGAGCTGGTTTTTTGAAAAGATCAACAAAGTTGATAGACTGCTAGCAAGATTAATAAAGAAGAAAAGAGAGAAGAATCAAATAGACGCAATAAAAGATGATAAAGGGGATATCACCACCGATCCCACAGAAATACAAACTACCATCAGAGAATACTATAAACATCTCTACGCAAATAAACTAGAAAATCTAGAAGAAATGGATAAATTCCTCCACACATAAACCCTCCCAAGACTAAACCAGGGAGAAGTTGAATCCCTGCATAGACCAATAACAGGCTCTGAAATTGAGGCAATAATTGATAGCCTACCAACCAAAAAAAGTCCAGGACCAGATGGATTCACAGCCGAATTCTACCAGAGGTACAAAGAGGAGCTGGTATCATTCCTTCTGAAACTATTCCAATCAATAGAAAAAGAAAGGATCTTCCCTAACTCATGTTATGAGGCCAGCATCATCCTGATACCAAAGCCTGGCAGAGACACAACAAAAAAAGAGAATTTTAGATCAATATCCCTGATGAACATCGATGCAAAAATCCTCAATAAAATACTGGCAAACCAAATTCAGCAGCACATCAAAAAGCTTATCCACCACCATCAAGTGGGCTTCATCCCTGGGATGCAAGGCTGGTTCAACATACGTAAATAAATAAACGTAATCCATCATATAAACAGAACCAAAGACAAAAACCACATGATTATCTCAATAGATGCAGAAAAGGCCTTCAACAAAATTCAACAGCCCTTCATGCTAAAAACTCTCAATTAATTAGGTATTGATGGGATGTATCTCAAAATAATAAGAGCTATTTTTGACAAGCCCACAGCCAATATCATACTGAATGGGCAAAAACTGGAAGCATTCCCTTTGAATGAATTTGAAAACTGGCACAAGACAGGGATGCCCTCTCTCACCACTCGTATTCAACATAGTGTTGGAAGTTCTGGCCAGGGCAATCAGGCAGGAGAAAGAAACAATAAGACGCTTAAAAATATTTTATCATTTCATTGATGAAACATTTAACTTGTACCGAAGTACCAGTCCAAAATGTTTATTTTAGTATTTGGAAATTAGGCTTACATATAACATATTTCATTATAAACCCACAAAACCATACCAGTAAAATTAAATATATTGAATTTACCAAAGTAATTCACTTTCTCTCCAATTTTTGTCCAAATTTTTGGTCAAATTCTTAAACAATTAGAAAAACATAAAATGTTGACATAGTTTTAGTTTCTTATAGCAATACCCAGTTTCCATTTATCATTCTAATCAAGGAGGGGAAGAGATATGCTGGGGCAAACTGTTGAAATCCTGACTAGCATTCTGCTTTCAATATGCAGTAATTGTTTGTCTATTTTTGGAGGGCTGTATTAGTTTCCTGAAGCTACTCTAACAAATTACCTCGAAATAATAGAAATGTATTCTCTCACAATTCTGAAAGCCACAAGTCTAACTTCAGTATCACTGGGCTGCAACCATGGTTCCACAGGGTCATGCTCAATCTGCAGGTTTTAGGAGACAGTCTGTTTCTTTCCTCTTTCAGCTTCTGGCGGCTACCAGCATTACTTGGCTGTGTCTCCAACTCTCCAATCTCTGCCTGGGGGGTCACATTACCTTTCCCTCTTCTCAGTGTGTAATCTCCCTCTGCTTCTCTTATAAGTACATTTAGGATGTTATTTAGGGTCCACCTGGCTTATCTGGGATGACCCTCTCATATCAAAATCCTTAATTTAATCATATCTGCAAAATACCTTTTCCTAAATATAGTAACATTTATACGTTTCAGGGTTTAGAACATAGATATCTTTTGTGGGAACATTTTTAAGTCTACCACAAGGCCTTTTCCCCCATGAGCTTCAACGTATTTTCCATTTTCTTATATTTCACTCGTGTTTCCTTATACTGTCATAAAAGCTTTTGATGGACTGTTTAATGGAAAATTCTAAGATGGCAAGTGATATGGTTTGGCTGTGTCCCCACTGAAATCTTATCTTGAATTGTAGTTCCCATAATCCCCATGTGTCCTGGGAGGGACATGGTAGGAGATGATTGAATCATGGGGGTGGTCTCCTGCATGCTATTTTCATGATAGTGAGTAGGTCCTCATGAGATCTGATAGTTTTATAAGGGGCTTCCCTCTTCAATCATTCCTCTTCCCACCACCATGTGAAGAAGAACATGTTTGCTTCCCCTTCCACCATGATTGCAAGCTCCCTGAGGCTTCCCCAGCCCTGCGGAACTGTGAGTCAATTAAATCTCTTTCCTTTATCATTTACTCAGTCTTGGACAGTTCTTTATAGCAGTTTGAGAATGAACTAATACACCAAGTTTCTCTCAAAATTTGGAGTTCTACTGATTTACTTGTAGCATAAAACTGGTATTTTAAACATAAGGTACTTAATTAAAATGGCAAGCTCTATACTGAAAATAAATGTTAATTTAATATTCAATCTTTCAATATACCATTGTTGTCTACCAACATGGGCTACATTCTGCAATATAGATAAGTATAAAAAATAAGTTAGACAAGGCTTATCTTGGGTAATGCCTTGATACTAAGAAAAGGCCAAGGATCTAGGAAATGAACTGTATCTTTGATTATGACTTGGTAATATTACATATTTCTATAACTTCCTTTTTTTGAGTGTGGAGCCAGTGTCTTACTCTGCTGCCCAGGCTGGAGTGCAATGGTGCAATCATAGCTCACTGTAGCTTCAACCTACTGGGCTCAATTGATTTTTCTGCCTCAGTCCCCAAAGTAGTGGGATTACAGGTATGTGCCACCATGCTGAGCTATTTTTAAATTATTTTGTAGAGACAAGGACTTGCTATGTTGCCAAAGCTGGTCTCAAACTCCTGACCTCAAGTGATCCTCTCACCTCACCCTCCTGTGCTGGAAATATAGGTGTGAGCTACAGTGTCTGGTTATAACTTCCTTTTTGTTATTTTTTTGAGACAGAGTATGGCTCTGTTGCCCAGGCTGGAGTGCAGTTGCGTGATCCCAGCTCACTGCAACCTCCGCTTCCCAGGTTCAAGCAATTCTCCTGCCTCAGCCTCCTGAGTAGCTGGGACTACAGGTGCGTGTCACCATGCCCGGCTATTTTTTTGTATTTTTAATAGAGACGGGGTTTCACCGTGTTAGCCAGGATGGTCTCGATATCCTGACCTCGTGATCTGCCCACCTAGGCCTCCCAAAGTGCTGGGATTACGGGCGTGAGCCACCGCATCCTGCCTATAACTTCCTTTTAATAAGGATATTCTAGAGTTGTACAAATTATTTCCAGGTCATTCTGCTAACATGTATGCTAAACACATTTACTTAGTGGTCGATTGCAAAGAAAGATCATCTTCTGAGGTGACACAAAGGAATTTCCACCTTTGTTTTTACTGTGCATCTGTTGCTTCCTTTTATATTCAAAAATCGTTTAGAGAAGGTTTTAGACTTCATCAGAAAGTGTGGAAACAGGCATCAGGTCTTACTGAAGACTAAATTAATATATGAATAATAAGTTTACTAACAATAAATGAATATATGAATAAGATATAAAGATTTATCTAGCTTCAACCAGTGAAAGACTTTCACATATTCTTGAATATTCCTAAGACAAAACACAGGTTCCCGAGAAGATTCTCTTGTTCTAAATGCTTCCCAATCAAAGGACTTGACTAAAATCACAAAATACAAAATATTTACATAGTAGAGACTGCACGCCCTTTGTATGGATTCCTATATTCATAATTCTTTGTTATTGTATTACCTCTTGTTATTTGTTTGCAAAATTATGGTCCTTATACTGCATACTTCAAATAACCAATCCTGTGGACAGAAATCAGCATTTGCAAAAAATTCTGTAACAGTAAGATTATCTGTAATAATGATATGGAAATAAAGTAAATGGCAAGTAAATGAGTAATTCACCTGCTGTTATATAATGTTTGGTGTTGGTAGAGACTGCCATATTTTAAAAAATTTGTATTTTTTTGTCATAAATTATCTACCTTGTATTTTCAGTTTTCTTCATAGCCTTAATATATTAAACCAAGAACTGTGTTCTATGATCCTCGTAGAGGACTTAACTATTCAGGAAACTATAATTTGAACCTAATGTTTGTCTTCATAAAAAACTCTATCATCATTATACTTAGCAATATCAATTAAATTTAAATACACATTTTAAAGTTCTAGTTCTTACAGACTTTACATCTAGAATTGCTGTCAGAACATAAATTATTCATATAGATAAATGAGAACATAATTAGTTTTATTTATTTGACAAGATCTAATTATTTTCATTGATGTTTCATGTTCAACAGAGTCTGGGTACAGCTTACTATTAGAACTTAGTATAGAAAGATTATCTAAATTCAAAAGATAAAAACTGATTACATTGTACACATTGAATTGTCCTTCCACATCTTCTTTATATTTAAAATTACAAATGTATGACTATTTGCTACATTCTTTTTTTAGAGAAGCCCACCAAACTTCAACAATTCTAAGTGGTCATAGCACAGTAATTTTATAATTATACAGTTATAAACTATTTTGTATAATATTAAGGCACAGTTTTAATATTTAACACCACAATTAATTGTTCATGGTTCATTGCCCCACAAAATAATAATTTTAGTCACATAAAGGAAACTATACATTTAGGTAATTGTGCAAATGGATTTCATTTAATTATTTCTAAAACAGTTAAAATTCACAGCTCAATTTAAAGGTGATGGATTGTACATAATTTGTTCCCTTTTTATTGATTATAGATTAGAGATAAAATTACCTCATGAGACATTTTTTTCTTTTGCCCCTGGCTTCAGAATCTGTTATTCTAAATGCACACTGATTGAATCCACAATGTCCTTTTGTCACAGCATGTTTCTGGCTTTTAACATTTTTCTGCTTATGTAATTACATATTTTAAGAAGATACATTAATTAGTAAACATTCTGGAGCATTCAGGGATTTAGGAGGAATTTATTGTAGATAATGATATGTTTTAACTATTTGTCACTATGTATAAGCTAAAGTTACTCATTTGCTACAAAAACTGGTTCACAAAAAATCTTTCATTTGCTCTATTATGATCATCTAGTCTTATATATAGAATCATACATTTTTAAGTTGTGATGAACTTCAGAAATTATCCACTTATTTTAAGGATAAATTGAAATATGATAGTGGAGATACTGTGTTAACAGATCTTTTAAATTCTAAATTTATCACTTGCTGGATAGATTACTGTATTAGTTCTTATCATTGCTATAACAAATAACTACAAACTTAGTGACTTAAAACAATGTAGTTTTATTTTCTTAAAGTTATGGATGCCAGGAGTCCAAAATCATGGTATTCCTTCTAGAGGCTTTAGGAGAAAATCTGTTTCCTGGCCTTTCCCAGCTTCTAGCAGCTGTTTTCATTCCTTGGTTCACAGTGTATCACTCCAACTTCTAGTTCTGTCACTATATCTCTTTTCTAACTCTGATTCCTTTGCTTCCTGCTTATAAGGAAATGTATGATTCTGTCAGCCCCAACTGGCTAATCCAGGATCACCTCCCCATCTTAAAATACTTAATCACATATACAAAGCCTCCTTTACCACGTAAGTAAATTGACTCACAGGTTCCATGGATTCAGACTTGGAGCATCTTTGTGGGGTCATAGTTCAGCCTACCGTGGTTTACTTCATACTATCTGTAAAAAAGCCATCCATACTAAATTTATAGAGTTATTTTCAAACTCCACAAGATTCTGTTCTCTCTCTTAGCAAGATTATTTCTCATTCTGCATTCTCTATTCTGTTCCATTGGTCTATGTGCCTATTTTTATACCAATACCATGCTATTTTGGTGACTGTGGCCTTACAGTATAGCTTGAAATCAGGTAATGTGATGCCTCCAGATTTGTTCTTTTTGCTTAGTCTTGCTTTGGCTATGTGGGCTTTTTATTTGTTCCATATGAATTTAAGGATTGTTTTTCTAGTTCTTTAAAGAATAATGATGGTATTTTGATGGGAATTGTATTGAATTTATAGATTGCTCTTGGCAGTATGGTCATTTTCACAATATTATTCTACCCATCCATAAGCATGGGATGGGATGTGTTTCCATTTGTTTGTATTATTTATGACTTCTTTCAGCTGCGTTTTGTAGTTTTCCTTGTAGAGGTCTTTTACCTCTTTGCTTATGTATAGTCCTAAGAATTTTATTTTTATTTGTATTTTCATTTTGCACCTTTTGTAAAAGGGGTTGAGTTCTTAATTTGATTCTCAGCTTGGTCACTGTTGGTGTGTAGCAGCGATACTGATTTGTGTACATTGATTTTGTATCCCAAAATTTTACTGAATTCATTTATCAAATCTAGGAGCTTTTTGGATGAGTCTTTTGGGTTTTCTAGGTATATAATCATATCATCAGTGAACAGCAACAGTTAGACTTCCTCTTTACCACTTTTGATGCATTTTTTTTCCTTGTCTGATTGCTCTGGTTAGGACTTCCAGTACTACGTGAAATAGAAGCAGTGAAAGTGGGTATCCTAGTCTTGTTCCAGTTCTCAGGGGAAAGCTTTCAACTTTTCCCCGTTCAGTATAATGTTGGCTGTGGGTTTGTCATAGATGGCTGTTATTATGTTAAGGTAGGTCCCTTCTATGTTGATTTTGCTATGGGTTTTAATCATAAAGGGATGTTGGATTTTGTCAAATGCTTTTTCTGTCTCTATTGAGATGATCATGTGATTTTAGTTTTTAATTCTGTTTATGTGGTATATCACATTTATTGACTTGTATATGTTAAATCAACCTTGTATTCTTGATGTGAAACCCATTTGATCATGGGGTATTATCTTTTTGATATGCTGTTGCATTCTGTTAGCTGGTTTTATTTGTTGAGACTTTTTGTATCTATGTTTATTATTGATATTGGTCTGTAGTTTTCTTTTTTTGTTATGTCCTTTCCTGGCTTTGGTATTTGGGTAATACTGGCTTCACAGAATGATATAAGAAGCAGTTCCTCTTTCTATCTTTTGGAATAGTTTCGGTGGGATTGGTACAAATTGTTCTTTGAATGTATGATAGAATTCAGCTGTGAATCCATCTGGTCCTGGACTTTTGTTTTGTAGGCAATATTTTTATTACTGTTTCAATCTTGCTACTTGTTATTGGTCTGTTCAGAGTTTCTATTTCTTCCTACTTTAGGAGAGTTTTATAAATTCAGGAATTTATCAATCTCCTCTAGGTTTTCTAGTTTGTGCACCTAAAGGTGTTCATAGTAGTCTTGAATGATCTTTTATATTTCTGTGGTATCATTTGTTATATCTCCCATTTCATTTCTAATTGAGTTATTTGGATCTTCTCTCTTCTCTTTTTGGTTAATATTGCTAATGGTCTATTGATTTTGTTTATGATTTCAAAGAACCAGCTTTTGTTTCAGTTATCTTTTGTATTGTTTTTGTTATTTCCATTTCATTTATTTCTGCTCTGATCTTTGTTATTTATTTTCTTCTGCTGGGTTTGGATTTGTTTTGTTCTTGTTTCTGTTTCCTTGAAGTGTGAGCTTAGATTATCTATTTGAGTTCTTTCAGACTTTTTGATGTAGGCATTTAATGTTATTAACTTTTCTTTTAGTACCGCTTTTGCTGTATCCCAGACGGTTTGATAGGTTATGTCACTTTATCTTTCAGTTCAAATAATTTTTGAATTTCCATCTTGACTTCACTGTTGACCCAAAGGAGCAGATTATTTAATTTACATCATGTATTTGTAAAATTTTGAGGGTTCCCTTTAGAGTTAATTTCCAATTTCATTCCAGTGTGATCTGAGAGAGTATTTAATATAATTTCAATTTTCTTCAATTTATTGAGACTTGTTTTGTGGCCTTTCATGCACGCCCGTGTGAAGAGACCACCAAACAGGCTTTGTGTGAGCAACAAGGCTGTTTATTTCACCTGGGTTCAGGCAGGCTGAGTCTGAAAAGAGAGTCAGCAAAGGGAGATGGGGTGGGGCCACTTTATAGGATTTGGGTAGGTAAATGAAAAAAGGGGGTTGTTCTTTGGCGGTCAGGAGTGGGGGTCACAAGGTACTCACTGGGGGAGCTTTTGAGCCAGGATGAGCCAGGAGAAGGAATTTCACAAGACAATGTCATCAGTTAAGGCAGGAACAGGCCATTTTCACTTCTTTTGTGGTGGAATGTCATCAGTTAAGGCAGGAACTGGCCATCTGGATGTGTATGTGCAGGTCACAGGGGATATAATGGCTTAGCTTGGGCTCAGAGGCCTGACATTCCTGTCTTCTTATATTAATAAGAAAAATAAAATGAAATAGTTGTAAAGTGTTGGGACGGCGAAAATTTTTGGGGGTGGTATGGATGGGCGATATTTCTCAGGGCTGCTTTGAGCAGGATTAGGGGCGGCATGAGAACCTAGAGTGGGAGAGATTAAGCTGAAGGAAGATTTTGTGGTAAGGGGTGATATTGTGGGGTTGTTAGAAGAAACATTTGTCATTTAGAATTATTGGTGATGGCCTGGATACAGTTTTGTATGAATTGAAAAACTAAATGGAATAAGAGAAGGAGAAAAACAGGTATAAAAGGTCTAAGAATTGGGAGGACCTAGGACATCTGATTAGAGAGTGCCTAAGGAGATTCAGCATAGTCCTGCTAGCAAAGATTATTTATTTACTTCAAGAGTTTAGCGTGGCAGTTTGGGGATAGCATGACGAGATATCAGCTGTGATGGCTTGGAGAAACAGTGTAAACTGGCAGTGTAAACAAGAGCAGAGCATGTATGAGTAGTTGAGAATGGTGAATAGGAGTATGACTAGACAGAAGATAGTAGGGATGACAAGTTTTTTGGGGCACAGTCTAAGTTGGTCTGGTGTCTGGAATGAGACTGGGGCCTAATAAAAAGGAGTATCTATACAGGAGCTCAAATGGGCTGTACCTTGTAGCATTCTGAGGACAGGTCTGACTTCTGAGAAGGGAAAGTGGTAAAAGTATTGTCCAGTCCTTTTTAAATTGGTGGCTGAGCTTGGTGAGGTGTGTTTTTAAAAGACCATTAGTCTGTTCTACTTTTCCTGAAGACTGAGGATTGTAAGGGATATAAAGGTTTCACTGAATACTAAGAGCCTGAAAAAATGCTTGGCTGATTTGACTAATAAAGGCCAGTCTGCTATTGGACTGTATAGAGGTGGGAAGGCCAAACTGAGGAATTATGTCTGACAGAAGGGAAGAAATGACTACGGTGGTCTTCTCAGACCCTGTAGGAAAGGCCTTTACTTATTCAATCAAAGTGTCTACTTAGACTAAGAAGTATTTTAGTTTCCTGACTCGGGGCATGTGAGTAGGGCTAATTTGCCAGTGCTGGGTGGGGGCAAATCCCTGAGCTTGATGTGTAGGGAAGGGAGGGGACCTGAATAATCCCTGAGGGGTAATAGAATAGCAGATGGAACGCTGAAAAGTTATTTCCTTGAGGATAGATTTCCAGGATGGAAAGGAAATGAGAGGTTCTAAGAGACGGGCTAGAGGCTTGTAACCTAGAGGGAAGAGGTCATGAAATGACGACAGAATAGAATGGGCCTGTGAGGCTGGAAGGAGGTATTTTCCTCGGTCTGAGAACCATTTGCCTTGTGTGGGAAGAGATAGATAGGTGGAAGTTTCAGCGGGGGAGTAGGTGGGAGTGACCAACATGAAGGAGAAAAACTGGCCGTGAGGGACAGAAGTTGGAGAGCTAGCTGCTTGTCTAGCCACCTTATCAGCATAAGCGTTGCCTAGAGCAATGGGATCTGATGCCTTTTGATGCCCCTTGCAGTGAACGACCCCAGCTTCCTTTGGAAGTAAAGTGGCCTTGAGTAGAGTTTTTATTAAATAGGCATTAATGATGGAGGACCCTTGTGTAGTGAGAAAACCTCTTTCAGCCCATAGGACCGCATGGTGGTGCAGAATATGAAAGGCATATTTAGAATCAGTATAGATATTGACATGTAGTCCTTTTGCAAGAGTGAGGGCTTGAGTTAAGGCAACTAGTTCGGCTTGCTGAGAGGTAGTGGAGGGGGGCAGAGCAGTAGCCTCAATGATAGCTGTGGAAGATACTATAGCATAGCCTGCCTTTGCTGGTGAGTGGTGATTAAGCCTGGTGGAACTGCCATCAATAAATCAGGTGTGATCAGGGTGAGAAACAGGGTCAGGTGTGGTATCCGGAATAATGTGGGAGGCTGGATTGAAGTCCAGGCCAGGAACAATGGTAATTGTGGGACTTAACAAAGAGTGAGTACAGATGAAGGAGCCAGGGAGCAGAAAGTACATGTGTCAGTTATGAGGAAGAAAATAGATTTTGGAAGTTATGAGAAATGTAGGGAGTGAGTTGAGCATAGTTTGTGATTTTTAGGGCCTCTAAAAGTATTAAAGCAGCGGCAGCCGCTGCATGCAGACATGAGGGCTAGCCTAAAACAGTAAGATCAAGTTGTTTGCACAGAAAGGCTACAGGGTGCGGTCCTGGCTCTTGTGTAAGAATTCTGGCTGCAATAACCATGCCTAGGAAGGAAAGGAGTTGTTGTTTTGTAAGGGATTGAGGTTTGGGAGATTAATTGGACACAATCAGCAGGGAAAGCACGTGTGTTTTTATGAGAATTATGCCGAGATAGGTAACAGATGAGGATGAAATCTGGACTTGACTGAAGTAATGGGGGCTGTCTGTGAAGTCTTGCGGCAGTACAGCCCAGGCAATTTGCTAAGCCTAACGGGTGTCAGGATCAGTAAGTGAAAGCAAAGAGAGGCTGGGATGAAGGGTGCAAAGGAATAGTAAAGAAAACATGTTTGAAATCCTTAACAGAATAATGGGTTGTAGAGGGAGGTATTGAGGATAGGAGAGTATATGGGTTTGGCACCATGTGGGGATAGGCAAAACAATTTGGTTGATAAGGCGCAGATTCTGAACTAACCTGTAAGCCTTGTCTGGTTTTAGGACAGGTAAAATGGGTGAATGGTAAGAAGAGTTTATAGGCTTTAAAAGGCCATGCTGTAACAGGCGATTGATAACAGGCTTTAATCCTTTCAAAGCATGCTGTGGGATGGGATATTGGCATTGAGCGGGGTAAGAGTGATTAGGTTTTAATGGGATGGTAAGGGGTGCATGATCGGTCACTAAGGAGGGAGTAGAGGTGACTTATACTTGTGGGTTAAGGTGGGGAGATATAAGGGGAGGATGTGAAGGAGGCTTTGAACTCGGAGAAAAGGTGGCAATGAGGTGTGGCTGTAGCCCATGAATAGTCAGGGAAGCAGATAATTTAGTTAAAGTGACTCGGCCTAATAAGGGAACTGGGCAGGTGGGGATAACTAAAAAGGAGGGCTTAAAAGAGTATTGTCTAAGTTGGCACCAGAGTTGGGGAGTTTTAAGAGGTTTAGAAGCCTGGCCGTCAATACCTACAACAGTTATGGAGGCAAGGGAAACAGGCCCTTGAAAAGAAGGTAATGTGGAGTGGGTAGCCTCTGTATTGATTAAGAAGGGGACGGACTTACCCTCCACTGTGAGAGTTACCTAAAGCTCGGCATCCGTGATGGTCTACGGGGCTTTGAGGCGATCAGGCAGCGTCAGTCTTCAGCTGCTAAGCCGAGAAGGAGTCAGTCAGAGAGCCTTGGGCCAGAGTTCCAGGGGCTCTGGTAGTGGCTGCCAGGTGAGTTGAACAGTCGGATTTCCAATGGGGTCCCGCACAGATGGGACACGGCTTAGGAGGAATCCTGGGCTGCAGACATTCCTTGGCCTGGTGGTCAGATTTCTGGTAGTTGTGGCAAGCTCCTGGGGGAGGAGGTTCTGGAGGAATGCCTGGCTGCTCCGGTTCAGGCATTTGGAAGTTCTTGTGTGCTGGAGATATGGCTGGGGTTTGTCTCACAGTGGAGGCAAAGAATTGCAACTTTTTTCTATTATTATACACCTTGAAGGTGAGGTTAATTAAATGCTGTTGTGGGGTTTGAATGTCAAAATTTAATTTTTGGAGTTTTATTTAATGTCGGGAGCAGATTGGGCAATAAAATGTATATTGGGAATAAGACGGCCTTTTGACCTTTTAGGGTCTAGGGCTGTAAAGCGTCTCAGGGTTGCTGCCGAATAAGCCATGAACTGGGGCTTGGTTTTTTATATTTGATGAAAAAGAGCCTAAACGCTATCTGATTTGGGATAAAGAAAAAGGAGCATTAACCTTGACTATGCCTTTAGCTCCAGCCACCTTTTTAAGAGTAAATTGCTGGGCGGGTTGGGGAGGGCTAGTCAGGGAATGAAACTGTAAGCCGGACCAGGTGTGAGGAGGGGAGGTGATAAAAGGATTACAGGGTGGAGGAGCGGAGGCTGAGGAAGAATTGGGACCTAGCTCAGCCTGGTGAGGAGGGGAGAGGTCAGATGGGTCTGTAGAAAAGGAAGATTAGAAAGACTCAGCAACGCTTGGGGTTGGGACTGAGGGGACAGGCAGGAGGGAAAGAAGGAAGATTTGGGATGAGTTGCATTGGTCATAGAGACTAGGAAGGGACCAATGTGTAAAAGAATGCCTGGAAGTCAGGCACCTCAGACCGTTTGCCCATTTTATGACAAGAATTATTTAGATCTTGTAGGATGGAAAAATTGAAAATGCCATTTTCTGGCTATTTGGAACTACTGTCGAGTTTGTATTGGGGTCAAGTGGCATTGCAGAAGGAAATAAGATGCTTAGATTTTAGGTCAGGTGAGAGTTGAAGAGGTTTTAAGTTCTTAAGAACACAGGCTAAGGGAGAAGAAGCAGGAATGGAGGGTGGAAGGTTGCCCATAGTGAAGGAGACAAGCCCAGAGAAAAGAGAGAGTAGAGACACGGAGGGAGGGGTTCGGGGGTTCTTACCCTCCAGAAAAGCGGGAAAGGGGTTGGGACACAGAGATATGAGGTTGGGGTGTGGAAATAAGGGATTGGGGTGCAGAGATATAAGAGGTTGGGGTGCGGAAATAAGGGATTGGGGCGCAGAGATATAAGAGGTCAGGGTGCAGAGATATAAGAGGTCGTGGCACGGAAGTAAGGGATTGGGGCACAGAGATAAGAGGTCGGGGCTCAGAAATAAGGGATTGGGGTGCGGAGATATGAGGTTGGGGTACTTGCCCCTCCGCCAGAAAAGCAGGACTTGCTGCTAAGGGTGAAGGAGAAGGGGTTGGGGGTTTCTTGCCCCCCAGAAAGGTGGAGAAGGGGTAGAGACATGGAGAGAAGGGGTTGGGGTACTTGCCCCTTCCCCAGAAAAGCAGGACTTCCCGCTAAGGGTGAAGGACCAAGGTAGGCGTCCCTGCGTGTTCTGACACCTCTGAAACCTGGGTGAATAATCAGAAAGTTGTCCCTGCAATGATTAAACACCAAGGGAAGGTTGTCTTCCCTTGTCCGTGACTGGCGCCGGAGTTTTGGGTCCATGGATAAAACGTGTCTCCTTTGTCTCTACCAGAAAATGAAAGGAATTGAAATTAAGAGAAGGGAGAGATTGAAGAGTAGAAAGAAGAAAGTGATTGAGGAATAGTGAGAGAGGTTGGAGAAGAGAGTAAGAAGAGGCCACTTACCCGATTTAAAATTGGTGAGATGTTCCTTGGACTGGTGGGTCTGAGGATCTGAGGTCATAGGTGGATCTTTTTCACAGAGCAAAGAGCAGGAGGACAGGGGATTGATCTCCCAAGAGAGGTCCCCCGATCCGAGTCACAGCACCAAATTTCACGTGCGTCCATGTGAAGAGACCACCAAACAGGCTTTGTGTGAGCAACAACTCTGTTTATTTCACATGAGTGCAGGCGGGCTGAGTCCGAAAAGAGAGTCAGCGAAGGGAGATGGGGTGGGGCTGTTTTATAGGATTTGGGTAGGTAAAGGAAAAAGGGGGGTTGTTCTCTGGTGGGCAGGAGTGGGGGTCACAAGGTACTCAGTGGGGGAGCTTTTGAGCCAGGATGAGCCAGGAGAGGGAATTTCACAAGACAGTGTCATCGGTTAAGGCAGGAACAGGCCATTTTCACTTCTTTTGTGGTGGAATGTCATCAGTTAAGGCAGGAACCGGCCATCTGGATGTGTATGTGCAGGTAACAGGGGATATGATGGCTTAGTGGGCTCAGAGGCCTGACATGGCCTATCATATTGTCTATCTTGGAGAATGTTCCATGTGCAGATGAAAATATATATATATTATGCAGTTGTTGGGTAGAATGTTCTGTAAATATCTGTAAGTTCATTTGTTCTATGGTATAGTTTAAGCCCATTGTTTCTTCGCTGACTTTCTGTCCTGATGACCTGTCTAGTGCTGTCAGTGGGGTATTCACGTCCCCCACTATTGTTGTGTTGCCATCTATTTTATTTCTTAGGTCTAGTAGTAATTGTTTTATAAATTTGGGAGCTCCAGTGTTAGGTGCATATATGTATATATTTCCTTCTTATTTTGGTAGACTGTTTCAGCCATGCAGTGGGGCTACTGGGCTCCAGGCTGATGCTGGGGAATGTTTGCAAAGAGTCCAGTGATGTGATTCATCTTCAAGTCTCCCAGCCATGGATACCAGCACCCACTCTGGTGGAGGTGGCAGGGGAGGGAAGTGGACTCTGTGTGGGTCCTTGGTTGTGTTTTGTTGATTGTACTGGTTTTGTGTTGGTTGGCCTCCCACCAGGAGGTGGCACTTTCAAGAGGCATTTGAAGAAGGTGTGCCTAGGATTTAATAACCACTTTAAGATGACAGTGGCACAGAGCATTATTTGGAAAATATATAACTTAGGGAGTAACGGACATACAGGAGCCTTGGAATCAAGGGATGATGGATACTATGGCTATTTTACTCACCTAGAGAAGAAAGATCAGCAAACTACATGTTTCTAATGTAAAGAATCCAACTGACTAAGTAGGGGACAAACTAATCTGTTTGTTGGAGCCACAAGTCATTTGCTATACCTTTATGTTTCAAAAAGATATATAATATGGCTTATAATGATGCTTCAGTCAACAAAGTACTGGATACACAATGGTAGTCCCATAAGAATATAGTACTGAATTTTTACTGTACATTTTCTGTTTAGGTATGTTTAAATACATAAATCCTTCCCAATATGTTACAATTGCTTACAGTGTTCAGTATAGTAACATGCTGTACATGTTTGTAGCCTAGGTTCAATAGGCTACTCCATATGGCCTAGCTGTGTAGTATGCTATACCATCTAGGTTTGTATAAGTACACTCTACGATGTTTGCACAATAAAATTGTCTAACAACAAATTCTCAGAATGTATCCTTGTTGTTAAGTGATACAGGACTATATATATAGCATAGCAAGTGACCTGGCATGTCCAAAAGACTGGAAATATATCCCAGGGAAAAACCTCCACCTAAACTTTTTTTAGGAAGTTTGTCAGCCATTGCGTGCCCAGCACAGGAGAGGCTGTGCAACACGGTGATTGGGAAGAAAAAGTTCTATCTTTAGAATAGAGAGAGAGACAGAGAGAGAGAGAGAGTGTGTGTGTGTGTGTGTGTGTGTGTGCGCATGTTTGCACATGTGTGCGTTTGTGTGTGTATGTGTGTGTGGTCAATAGAGTTTCAGTATCTTTCATGACATTTTTTTCCATTCTTTTGAATTAAATTACTTTGAGCTAGGTTTCTACCTTTTGCAGGCCAAACAGCATAGTCTTCTCATCTATTTTTATACTTTTCTTTGAAAAATTATTACTATCTAGGTGAGTTAATTACATAATTAAATAGTCAGCCCTTGATTACAGTGGGTTCCCCATCTGCAAATTCAACCAACCTCAGATTCGAAATATTAGAAAAGATAACACAGCAATAAAATATAATACAAATATAAAATATTGCAGAATAACAACTATTTACATAGCATTCACATGGTATTACATATTATAAGTGTCAATGAAAACAGTCAAATTCTGTAAAATATTTAAAGAGATTTATTCTGGGCCAAATACGAGTGACCACGGCCTATGTCACAGCTCTCAGGAGGACCGAGAACATGTGCCCAAAATGGTTGGGGTACAGCTTGGTTTTATACATTTTAGGGAGGCAAGAGACATCAATCAAATACATTTAAGGAATGCACTGGTTAGTTCCAGAAAGGTGAGGTAATTTGAAACACAGGGTAGACAATGAGGGTACGGGGGTTCCAGGGTATAGGTAAATTTAAACATTCTCTGGTTGACAATTGGTTGAGTTCTGTCTAAGGACCTGAGATCAATAGAAAGAAAATGTTCAGGTTAAAATAAAAGACTTTGGAGACCAAGATTCTTTTGAAGTCTCATAGCAGCTGCACTTAGAAACACTAGATGACAAATGTTTCCTATTCAGACTTTTAAAAGTGCTAGACTCTCAGTTATCTATTCAGAATTAGAGGGGCCTGGAAGGAAAAGGTCTAGCTATGTTAATAGGGATTCTTTACATGTGCAAATTTTCCCCCATAAAGGATGGCTTGCAGGGCCATTTCAAAATATGACAAAGAAACACACATTTGGGGTAAATATTTTGCTTTTCTTCCTTGTCTCGTAGTGTTACGCTGGAGTCAGTTTGGAAAGTAAGTCATGATATATAAGTTACATAAAACTCATCTGATGAGAATTTACGGTTTGTAGGGCATGACTCCCTAGACCTCTTAGATAGGAATTTGGGCAAGATTAAAAAAAAAAAAAAGGAGTTTAGTCTTCATAAATAATTGAGCGATGATTTAAAGTATATGGAAAGACGTGTAAATTATATGGAAATTCTATGCCATTTTATATAACGAATGAACATCCATGGATTTTGGGCTCCGCTGAGGTCCTGAAACCAATTTCTCACAGACAGTAAGGAACAACTGTATACATGATTCCAAATGCCATTTTCACTTAAGGAACATATTTATAAAGCAATTTTGTAATCTTTACAGTTAAAATATCCATTTTCTTTTATAAAGTCAAATGGTTTATAGGTTGAGAAAAAATTCCAAGTTTAACTGACAGTGGAATATTTTCAAAGCAGCAGTCCATTAACTGCCCAATCTCACTGACTTCATATACTTCACTATTATGAGAGTGATGAGCTTATGCCTAATTATGGAAAGGCCATGGCCTAATGCTGCTTTCAAATTCTTCTCTAGAATTACTTTCTTCTTCTTTTTCAAAAATGTCTTCTTCCTGGAATTTAGAATTTACTGCCTAGAGACAATATATCCTTTTCCATTTAAAAATGTAAAGAATAGGTAATTATATTAAATGAACTTTCTTTGCCAAAGACATAAATAGCCCAAGGATAACATTTCTTAAGCTATTTTCAGCTTTTGAATTATTGGAAATTTCTGTGGTACTGCAGATTGCAACTTGAACTGCTTGCCATAAATCTTCACAAAGAAAGTGTTTGTCTTTGTTCAGCTGACAGTTGGATGAATATGAAAGAGAAAACACAATTATATTTTGCAAATTCAAGGGAGGGATAGCTTGACAAAACATCTTATGTTAGACTAGATTATGTAGAAGTACTTATTTGTATATCAAATACTAATAACAACTGGCTTTGGTAAAGTTAGATAAATAATACCTGTGTATTAAGCTTTCTGCCATGGAGGCAGGCTAAACTGCCTAGACCTTACTGGATTGTGGATAAAAATAAATAGTCAACATCTTCTCAGGATTTTTTTTTTTAACGTTTCTATATACATTATGACCAGAGGGCCTTAATGTTCACTCTGCTTGACTATACCATAGAGGGGCTTCTTCCTGTCTATAGCCTCCTGATCTCCTTTCTCTTAGACCATTTACTTTAGAACACTTGCAAGTACACATTCTTTCTTTGGCTCTTTGAAGTATGTCTCCTCCAGGATTTGCCAGTTTTACAACCCAGAAATGTCTTTCTCAAAAATCCAGGAACCATTTCTTTGAAATGTAATCATCTAAGGAGATAGTGTCCTGCTCTCTCAGTCTCTGTGGAAGGGTAGAAGTCCATAAAGGACAATTAGTAAATAGTGATGGCCTAATCCCATTGACCAACCTGCCCTTAAGGTCCTCCAGTAATTTTCCATTAACTCATTCCAGGGATTAAAACTCTGCCAGGCTTGAAAAACACAAAAACATCCACCCTTTTGTTTCAGAGAAATTATGCTCAATGTCTCTACCCTATTGCTATAGACTTGAATAAAGTCCTCTTTACTTGTTTAATTCTGGCCAGTGCGGTTTTTTTCTGGCAATTGAAAAAGTTGTGCTATTTTAACTTCAGTAAATGCCTCCATAGCAATAAGATTGATTATGTAAACCAGCATGATCTCTTGCCTTTTGCATTCTCTCTTCCATATTAAGTGATATATTGTCTAATTATTTTTTAATTGATTTGCTTTTCAACTGCATATCTATCAAAAACCTAGTCTATAGTTCAAAATTTTATTTTAGATATTTTTAATCCATGAAAAATACAAATACAGTTACTGCTTTGGGGAATGCAAAGTGCCCATTATGTGGATACAGAGAAAAACCCGAAGGAAACGTCGTGTGCTAACCTGTGTTCAGGAAGTGCAAAATTAGAGCTTCACCCAAATGTGCTGTGTGCCACTATGCTGCCAGAAGTCACACTGATAGTTGAAACTGGATGCCAGCCCTGAGAACAAACATATACTTGGCTGATTTGAATTTTGGAATTTCTTACAGGCCCTCAGCTCACCTGTTAGCTGAAAGTGCTAATGAACAGTAAAACAAACAAACAAACAACAACAACAAAAAACTAAAATGCAAGCATCAAGATGAGAAACAAAGTAAGAAATGAGGAAAAAATGATTTTCAAATAATAGAAGTTCACTGCATTTAAAGAGAAGGAAAAAAGTAAAAATAAAACGTAATTTTGAATTTTACACAAATTTATTTTACTTGTCTTTTTCTTACACAAATATGTATTTTTTTTAGTTAAATAGAATACTGTCATTAATGATTTTAAAAGGTAAAACAGATTGAATTAGTTTATTTGAGGAAAGAAAATATCTGGGGATTTCACTACAAATATCACTTTCGTTTGTTGAATTGGAAAATCCATAATTTAATTGGCTACAAAGTCTGACTTCCATGTGAGCACTCAATATATATTTTACAGTATTATTTCTGTTCACATTATCATTATTAATTACAGCATTGAGTTGTTAAGAAAACAGAACCTAAGTTTGAGATCTGGCTCCAGTAACTTGCTTGGGCAAGTTGCATAACCTCCTGGCTTCACTTTCCTCATCTTTAAAAACATGTGCTCCTTTTCCATCTTTATATCCTGTGTAAAAATAGCAGTGAACCCTTTAGCTGTGAATGGAGTTAAACATTTAAAATTTTTAAAAGAAAACCTACTATTAAAGCCTTCTAAAATGTATTTTTTTTTTTTTTTTTACTTTAGCAGGTAAGCTTTAACATGTTTCATCAATTCCTCGGCCACTCCCTTTACACCTTGGTGTGTCACTAAGGCCCCTTGTAAAAGCTGAGTTGTCCTGAGATACAAGAATTATCCTTCTTCTCTCTACTATAAATAGTAGTCTAAATTCTTACATAACATTACAGAGCAGAGTCAAAGAGAGAAAGAGAAACAGGGAGAATGAAATAGAGAAAAATCACATTTAAAATATTTTTTTCTAGTTAAAATTTAGGGGAATGTTCACTATATTCTAATGTTTCCATCTAATGGAAAACAAGAAACATCAGAATTCACACACAGAGAGACAGAAACACACACACACACACACACACCCCTGTACACATACACAGTCCCTTAAAAAATAAAATAGAAAAAGGAGTAATTTTAGTATAAGATACATATGACAATTTGAGATGTAGGACAGGAATTCTTTGATATTTTAAAGGCAGGGCTTTTTTAGAGAATGGAGGAAAGAAACAGGTCAACTGTGTTTCATGCATTAAACACATTTTAACGATTTGAAGCTGAGCTCTTCAGGATTGAATGCTATTATGATTTATGTTCTAAGGTTGGAAAATTATTGCCTAAATGCAGCAAGAATATTGAAAAAGAAAAGAAATGCTGGAAAAATAAAATGTAAAATATATAAATAGCAGAGTGGTAAATTTATATGTATTGACTATATCTAGCCTTAAGCTTAAAAAAAAACTAAAAAAGTAATGTTTTATAATCCACATCTTTGCCCTGACAAATATGAATGCTAAATCAATTTTTTATTAATATTATTGACTTTCAGGGTTCATATGAGATGAAGCACTTTCAATAAATGTCAAATAAGTGTTATTTTAATGTATGTTCAAGTAAGTCAAATAAATGATACTATTCCACTTTGACCTTCTAGGGATCGAAATTACTATAAAGATGTTCCACATGTAAAAAATTATGTCTAATTTACAGCTAACATTTCTGTGGTGGAAATGGGTATAAAAGCAAAGGAACTTAAACTAGGACACAGTAGTCCACCAGTGTCCAAGTCAATTTGGTTAGGAATAAATGGTTGGAGTCTTCATAGTTAAAACCTTCCTTGCAATATCTTTGCTGTAAATGCTTTTAATAACTTCTAACACTCTTGTTAGAGACACCTACATGGGAGGATAAATCCAACAAAGTCCACTCTTTAAAAATTAAATAAATCAACAAATAGGACAAATGGGTGAGAAATAGTAGGCTATGTAAATAATTCTAGTGAGAGACATTGCACATCTCTAAGCATATTTTTTAATTAATAAATAATTTTAAGATCTATTTTAAACAGTTCATGGGAAAGTTTTATATGCAATCTCTTACAGAAAAATCATAAGAATAGTAGTTTACCGTACATATTAAGAGTTTATTCACTTAGACAACTCCAAGAGGTTCTCCTTGTTGCTCAGAGATGGTTGCATTGACAGAATACTTGTAACATTATCAGTTTTCTCTTGTGCCTTGCTCCAGTTCTTTACAATATCTAAAACCATGAATTCGGAGATTGATAGGGCTAATAAGGACTTTATAGATCAATTAGTCCAACCAGTTCAGGCTACAGTTAGAACAGTAATATGGAGAGATTTAGCCCCAAAGTAATATAGTTTTGGGAAAATGTAAAAAAAAAATGAAAATAAACTAACCAGGTATCTGGCCAACTATTCTAGTGATATCAAGATATCACTAATTCTCTAGTGATTTTAAGATAACCTCCATATCTATGCATTTATCATTGGAAGCTTTGGCATTGCTGAAAGGAAGAAACTGGTGAAATAAAAAGTTGTTGAAAGCAGTCAAACAGTAATTCCACCACTTCCAGGGAAGGTTGATGATAATTAAATGCTAAGCTTAATGAGATATTAAATATTAAAGCTAAGCTTAGTGAGAAATTGACATGTTATTAATAGGATGCTTAAGTCAGTTTAGAGGTTTTTACTACAAAGAAAACAATACAATTACACAATTAAGAAAAATAAGAATAAACATTCTATAAGACTAGTTTCCTAGTGCAAATAGTTTTAAAGAGCTAATTCTTACTATTTATAGGAGGGTTAAATAAGGTCAATTCAAAGCACAAAAACTGGCCAGGTGCAGTGGTTCTTACCTGTAATTCCAGCACTTTGGGAGGCTGAGGCAGGAGGATCACCTGAGCCTGGGAATTGGAAACCAGCCTGGGCAACTACAAAAAAATTAAAAATTAGCCAGGCATGGTGGTACCTCTCGGTACTCCTAGTTATTCGGGAGGCTGAGGTGGGAGCATTGCTCGAGCTCAGGATGTCCAGGATACTATGATCTATGGTTGTGCCACTGCATTCCACCCTCCATGACAGAGCGAGACCCTGTCTCAAAACAGACAAAAATTATAACTTGAAAAACCTCAACAGTGTTTATAATTGTATTCCTTAAAATGTGCCAACAAGCAGAAATGCGGCTTTTGAAAAAAAAAAAAAAAGAAAATAGATCACATAAATAATGGATGTAACTCAATGCACATACTATCACTATATGAATATGTTGATGTAAAGTATTGAATCAAGGATTAAATTGAATGAAAACAAATATTTAAAATACATAACATGCTATATTTAATTATACATTGATTTTTATGAGCTTTACATGAAATATCAGAATAATTGTACTGGTTGTTAGAATAGAAATTTAACAGGCCTTTCCATTAGAAAACCTATTTTCTAAACACACCTGTTCAACCGAATGTCATTGGCCAAAAAACCCTTGTGAAGATAAAGTAAGCATCTTTATTTTAGACAAAATTATAAAATAAAAGAGGAAATGTCAAACATACGAAGCCACTTAGTTATTTACACTCAGTTACAGAAGGAAGAATGAGTTCAAATGAAGGCATAGAAAAAGAAACACTGTGGCCAGGTGTGGTGGCTCATGCCTGTAATCCCAGCACTTTGGGAGGTCGAGGCAGGCAGATCACCTGAGGTCAGGAGTTCAAGACCAGCTTCCCCAACATGGCAAAACACCGTCTCCACTAAAAATACAAAAAATTAGCCGGGCGTGGTTGTGGGCTCCTGTAATCCCAGCTAATTGGGAGGCTGAGGCAGAAGAATCTCTTGAACCCAGGAGGCGGAGGTTGCAGTGAGCCAAGATCATGCCACTGCACTCCAGTCTGGGTGACAAGAGCAAAAAGAGAAAAGAAAAAGAAATACTGTGCTGACCAGGAAGTGGTTTTAATAGTCTTGATAATTTGAGGAAAATATGAAGTACAGTTAAAAACAAAAGAAGTTAGAAGGATGTTTTGTGTCCTGGTTGTTAATTTAGAAACAAATGGTTCATTACACTGTCCAGAGAGGTATATCCTAGAGCAAAGTTAGGACAGTGTCTCTCAGGAGGTTTTGAGAACACAAATTCGATGACAGAGGACAAGATTAAGTGTTATATCTTGGGCAGGAGCAATTTAATGACAGGTTCTCTATAGTTCTTTCATTTCAGAGATAACATATTGACCAATATATTGACACTTTAATTTAGTGTCACTCAGTGATTATGCTCCCAATACTGCCAAATTTAAATTCAGATTGGCATTATGCAACACATCAATATTTTATATATGTTCAATAGTGTCAAGGCACAACTCCAAATTCACATTAAGATTAAAGTCACATGCAGTTTTAGGAAAATAGCTTAAGTCTGTTATAGATGTTTGTAGTTGAAATTTTTTTAAGGGAAGATTGCAAACTTATTTTGTAGAAGGAATCTTTAATATGGAAGAATAATTAAATGTGTTTATGTGTTTAGGAAAATATTTTAAGCCTGTAATAGATGTTCTTAGCTGAAATTTTTTAAAGGGAAGATTGCAAACATTTAATTGAAGGAATCTTAAATATGGCAGAACAATTAAATGTGTTTATATCTTAGTTATAAAAACAGTGTAGCCAAGAGTGCATGTAGGCTGTAATGTTTATATTTTATCTCTTGTAATAAGAATCAGAAACTAAGAATTCTTTGATATTTAGTATATCATTTTGCCATAGTGTTAAAGTTATATTCAAAGAATATTCTATATGAACAATAACTATGATGTCTATATTATAGCCATTCCTTGAGAAATAACATATTTCAATCTGGAGTAGAAAATGTGCTTGAGTGCTAAGGTGAAAGAATTATAGATTTCTTCAGTTCAAAGGGAAAAAAACTCTCTGTAAATGTCTCAGTCCTTATGCATTTGAACATTAACAGCAGCAAAAGCAATAATAATTTGTTACTTTTGTGCTTGACATACTTATTTTTAAATGATAAAAAGTTACTGGTGACAACAGAATGAAAATATATAACTATAAAATATATATTGTATACACGTTTTACTCTAAGTTATATTTAAAATACTAAGTTAAACTTTTTATTTTCTCAAATGAAAAATGTAGGGCTATTTTGATTAAAGTTAAGCTAATTATCTGATTATATTTTATTTTAATCAATGAGAATAATGAAAGATTACATAATTATTGTTAAAGACATGCAAAATAATGGAGCATAGCTAGTCTTAACTAATATTAATTAAATGCTCTGTAATGATTTATTTACATTATTGTTCAAAATTAGAAATATTAATAATGTATTATGTCAGCATTAAAAAGTTTTACCTCAAAAAAGAGAGTCATGAAAGGGCAACTTAAAACTATTAGGAAGAACCACATAATATTGCATAGGCTTCGAGTAGATAGCAAAAATAAAAAGGCTTAAAACAAGTTAGTTCTATCTCCTGATTTCTACTTTTAAGTAAATGACAACATCACTATCTGTTTACATTGAAGCTATAATAAGAAATTAATATGGAATATTTTCTTTCCTTGTCCTAATTCAGCCTGATATTATTTTATAAAGGTTTTACATGTAAAAATTTTTAAGGTTTGCATTAGCTTTATGAGTTACCGTAATGCCACTGAAAATGTTACTACTCCCATATGTATCATGTCATACAGTCATTTCCCCACTTTATTTTTATTGCCCTACACTCTCGTTCATACTCTCCTTTTTCCTTGGGATTATTGGGTTAACTCTGCCTATAATTTCTGATCCTTGCCTATATGAAAATCAATGAGTCCCATACATTATTACTAATATAATCATTCATGAATATAATTTTGATCATGTCATTGTTCTTAGAAATATTTTCAAAATTTTTTTGTCCACCAGTATAATAACCCATAACCTATTTTATATCTATTTCCCAAATGTATCATATGATATCCTAAGATATAGGAGTAATAATTCTATAGGAATAAAAACCTATATACATAGAAATTCTATGATAGATAATTCAATGACATATAAATAATAGCTTATGATAACAAAATATAAATAATAATATTTTATTGCAAATAATATACTGTTCTCCTGAGCTGTAAACATTTCATGCCTTGGTTTTGTTGTTCTTTTGCCTAGTTCAGACTCCTGCCTCACAACCGTAAAATTTTCTAAGATGTTCTGCAGCTAATATGGAGTACTAAGTTAAAAACAAGTGATCATTTTCTTAGATAACAACTATAAACTATACCAAGTGCAAAAATCAATACTGCTGGATGATTCTAATGAGTGAATAAAAGCAGGCAGATTTTGGAGGGTTCTCAAAACATGTAACAAATCATCATAAAATAAATTTCCCATTTTTGTGTCTTTGCTTTGGAGGAAGACATGGTTACATCAGTTATGTCATAGAACAACTAAAACTCTAAGAGAAAGCTCACCACCCTCTGTCGAGAGATACCAGGGAAGGAGCTGGAACAACTGGGACCACCTGAGATTGAGGAAGGCAGCCTGGCAAAAATAGGGCCAAGAAGAGGAAAGCTAAATTCCGTGCATAAATGTTATTCAAATTTCTGGTAACTTACGAACCAGATGAGTATGAAGCAGATTTAAAGCAATATCAACTGAGGTCTGAGCCACAGTCCACTGCAAGTATGACACAATTTGAAGTCTGAATCTAGCGAAGTTAATTGTCACCAAAAACATAAACGTCAACATTGTTTGGAGTACTATAATAGAATCTTAAGTCTCCACAATATAACATCCAGTGTAATCTAAAACTACTCCATATATGAAGAATCAGAAAACTTGAACTTTTCTCAAGGGAAAAGAACAGAGTTCAGTCTCAAAATAACACAGATGATGAAATGATGAGATTATTAAGTTTGGATATTATAGCAACCATTGTAACTATGTTCAGTGTGTTTAAAGGAAGATAGACTATTACAAATGAAAATGTAGGAAATTCCAGCATATAAATAACACACACACATACACACACACAACACATTAGAACTGAAAAGTTAAATATCTGAAATTTTAAAATTTGTCATAGGGACTTAATAGAGGACTGAAGATATTAGAGTAAAATGTCAATGAACTTGAAGACAGAACAATAAAAATTATCCAACTTTAAGAAGAGAGAAAAACAAGATATAATAAAGAATGTGAACTGAACCTCAGGGCCATGTGGAATAATATCAAACATGAAACATAAAGGTCATTGGATTCCCAGAAAGAGAGGAGAGATAGGATGTAGGAGAATAGTATTGGAAGAAATAATTGCTCTAAACTTCTCAAATGTGAAAGACCAAAAAAAAAAAAAAAAAAAAATTAAAGATTCAAAAAGTTAGCTAACCCCCTAAAAGGATAATTACAAAATCTATTTCAGGCATGAACACAGACTAGTTAAACTCTTGAAAAAGGAAAACAAAGAAAATATCTCAAAAAAAACAGCTGTAGAAATATTCTACATGATTTAGAGAAAAACAGCAATTTGATCATCATTTTCTCATTAAGAGCAATGAAGGCTAGAAGACAGTCGAATAACAAATTTCAAATGCTGAGAAAAAAACAACAACCTGTAAACCATGATTTTGATATATAGAAAAAATATAGTGCCTAGCAATAAACTAGAAAACATTTAGCAATGAAAACCTAATTTATTATAACCTATAATTTGATGATGTTACTTTAACATACAGTTTTCTATCAGGGATTAAGTAGACAAGTAAAAGAGATCACAAAGAATTTTAAACCAACCAAAAGGCAAAATAATTGATAAATATAAAATTTTTACTTATACAAACAAATGTCTCCAAGTGTTCATAGAGCACTACAAAATATTGTCCCAATCTAGTGTACAAGGAAAAGGAGTTAGCTTATGAAATTAACAGATGTATTGAAAACAGAAATAAAGCAACAAATCTAACAAAATTATAAGTTAATGTTAATTTACTAGTAATTAAAAATAGAATTTTAATGAAAGAAATAAAAGAAGCACTAATTAATAATTAAAATGCATAGAAAAACTTGGGAAATTAAATACATGATCAATAATAAAAATATACAACAATGGAATTGATAATTAAGACAAAATGTTTTAAAAATTAAAATTGGAATAATTACTTAAAAAGTAAACAATTATTAAATATCAAATCCATTCTACTGGAATTGGAAATCTGAGTAAATTAATGGTTATAAAAAATGTAATTATTCATAAATTGTCATAAGTGAAATTATCATCTCTCATAATATATTATAAAAACATTATAATTGATATAAGAAGAGACAGTGAACTTCATAGATCAACCAAAATGGAAGAGATACAAAAATGAATTCTGGCAAAATACCACATCCAGAAGTTGTATTGAAGGATTGTACCAAACGGTTTCACAGAATAAATTAGTCCCATGCTACACAAATTATTTCAGTGCACAGAAAAAGATAAAAACTTCTTTGCAAAGAGCTAGTGAAGAGTTCACATGGGGGACATGTCTGGACCACCAGTCTCTCAGGCACAGTCATCCAGGTGAGTTGCATGTGTTCAGATAAAAAATACTAAAGTTAAATTAGCACCTTATCACAGTAAACGTGTTCTGATACCTATTGTTACAGAATCGCAGGTCCAAGAAAGTTCTTATTAGATGAAATCCTGTAATGTATTTGTGCTAAATGATTGGTAAGTAAACAGCTTCAGTGAAACTACTTTTAAGTGAAAAAGTTGAAATCCACATCCACTTTCCAAAGTACTGAATTATATATGAAATATTTAACGGAATGTGAAAATAATCCGAAGCTATCCATCAAGACCAACAATATCTGCCAGGCTTGAGGTAATCTACATTTTGTTTATTTATTTATTTATTTGAGATGGATTCTCGCCCTCTCCCCCATGCTGGAGTGCAGTGGCGCGATCTCAGCTCACTGCAACCTCCACATCCTGAGTTGAAGCGATTCTCCTGCCTCAGCCTCCTGAGTAGCTGGGATTACAGGCACCTGCCACCATGCCTGGCTAATTTTTGTATTTTTAGTAGAGATGGGGTTTCGCCATTTTGGCCATTTTAACTAATAAAGCCTATGGATCAGGGAGTTCATGTGGAGGTCATGCCTAGATTCTGAAACTGTAACCCATACTCTAACTCATAGATGTAAATAAGATTGAACATGTACAGCAATGTGAATGAGTTCACAAGTGAATATTATATTGATAAATACCACAGTGAGTCAAACCCTAAGACAATACAGTTGCCACTAGCCACAAGTGGCTATGGAGCACTTAACATGCAGTTAGTCTAAATTAAGATGTGCAATATGTATAAAATACACACTGCTTTTGAAGGCTAACGAAGGAAGGAGGGAAGGAAGGAAGGTGGGAGAAAAAGAAAGGAAGGAAGAAAAGGGACGGAGGGAAAGAAGAAAATAAAATTTCATTAATAATTTGTATATTAATTACATATTAAAATGTTTTTTGTTATATCAGTATAAACAAAGTACATTGCTAAAATTAATTTCACTGTTTTATGTTGCTACTAGACAAATTAAAATTAGGAAAATGGCTCTCAATATACTTCTGTTGAACAGTAGTGTCTCAGAAACATTTGTCTTTAAGTCAGATTTCCTTAGGGTTTCTCATGTTTCTCCAGATATTCTGGCTGCCTCATCCACATCTGGTTTGCATGCTATACACAGACTATCTTTTTAGAGACTTATCTCTGCACTGATTTTCCACTTTTTTAAATCTTACTATGTAATTTATTGACTAAGTTAATAAATGTGTAATTTGTATGAGCTCCGACCAACACTATCCATATACATCCAATATGCCCTAGTAACAAAACGCATATCAAACAAACAAAATCCCAATTTAAGACCCTGAACCAGATTTAGTAAAGGTCACTATTTTTTTAAAAAAGTTAAGTAAAATATTAACATATATAATTTGGTCATTTAACAAAAGACCTACCAAGTATTTACTTGGTAATTTACTTAACTTCTTTTATAGGACCAACTTATCTATTATTGGAAAGATGATTATGTCAGGAAACCCATTGAAAGTATGAAAGCGTATTGCAATTAAGAAATCAATGGGAAAACTATTTGAAGTTTTATCGTATCATTATTTTTGAGAAAGATATAAAATCATTATATATTTCCTCATAAATATATTTATAGACAATATTTTTTCTTTAACAAAAGGGTATTAATGTATTAAAAACTGAAGAAATAGATGTCTCCATAACATTAAGAATAAGACAAAAACATCCTGTTTCTCAGTTAATAATTGACAAAATTTTAGTCATAATTGCCAGTTATATAAGAGAGGACATAGAAATCAGATAAAAAGTAAGATTCAAGTAGGGAAAAATCACTGTTCCTTGTGGATAACATAATGAAGAAATATTTTAGGATAAATCATATTCAAGGGTGACTATATATAAGTTAAATATACAAATATCAATAATTGTTCTAGATTTTGACAATTACTGGTCCTATTTCTCACAATAAAATATTAGTATACAGGAATGACTTTAGAAGTTAAGTGCTTTGAGGAAAAAACTAAAGCTAAAAATAAAAGAAAAAGGGAATACTGCCTATATATATGTGTGTGTGTATGTGTGTGTATGTGTATGTGTGTATTTTTGATAAATAAAAAGAAGTGTCTACTTAGTAGAAATACATTATAATGTAAATATATAAATTCCTTCCAAAGTAATTTGTATATTGATGAAGATCTAATAAAAAATTTATTTGTCTTATTTTTAGCTGATTCTAAGATTCCTCTGGCAGAATAAATGGAGGCACTAGCCAAAATAAGTATGACATTGAAAAGAATTAAGCAGAGATTTTCCTTACCAGATGTCAAAACACAAAGCCACAGTAGTTAATTGGGTTTGTCTGGCAGAGATGCCCATTTTTGTGTCCAAAGTTTATTTTCTTTAGTACAAAGAGTTTTACTTAGGTACATGGTTGTTCAGCTTAGTTTGCATTTCACATCTCTTCTGGCTACATGTGTCTTTGTGACTAGTTTCTGGCCAATGAGTTTTAAGCAGCAGTGATAATGTACAGTTTCTGGGTTGTGGCCTTCAAAGACAGGAAGCTTGGCAGCTCTTTTTTGAAATGGTTGTCTTGTACTATTGGTGTGAAGCTGTTTGCCTGGGATAGCAGAGCAATGAAATGAAGCACCTGGGTTCCCAATACCACGAAAATTTCACATCAGGACTATTACGCGAGAGTAACAAATATCCCTATTCTAAAAATCACTATTTGGCCTTTATTAATTGATGCAGTATCCTAATTAATGCAGTATAACTCATTAAAAATGTTCTGATAAATAAAATAGGTTTCTGCAAGAATTTTGTAATGATAGTCACATACCAGTGAGATATTTTTAAAACAAGCTACTTGTGAAAACTAAAAAGTTGAGTCTGTACATCATATCACCAAATAAATTGAGACAATCAAAAAGTTAGAGGTAAAATATAAAACAAGTAAAACAAAAGATAGCAAAGATTCTTCAGCCTGTCAACTGAAGATTTTTTAAAATATAATAGATGGAATTAAATAATACATTTGGTATGTATAACTTCATAAAAATTTAAAACTTGGTATGTAAAAGATCATATGCAAAATTAAGGGTCAAAGAAAATACAAATGTCCAAGCAGTTCTAGTATTTTAAAATTATAAAAATAATTTTTGTTATGCTGAAACTTACCTAGAAAGAGTTGGAATACATATGAAAGTCACCATTTATAGAAATTTCAAAGATATATTTTGGCCATTCTAAAAAATATTTGTTTTAGAATAAACAAGTTATTCACATTAAGGATCATATGAAAATATTGAAATATGAAAACAGAGAGGGAAGAAGATGATGAGCTTCATGTTTACTCATGGAATATGAAAACCACCCATTATGACTTTTAGTTAATAAATTATTATGCAAGGATAGAAATGGAAAGAACATCAAGATGATTGTTCTGAGAGAAAAAATCATGGAAATGTATGTGTAGTCTATATTTGCTGCATATATTGTGTGATAAACTTTATTTACATAAATAACAATTCACATGCATGTATTTCATTTTACCATTTAGCTTTTAGTATTTCTGTAGATGTTTTTTAAATCTCCTGGCATATTTTTAAAAATTCAACTTGTATAAAACCTTATTATTTTCCCACCAGTATGCTAAGTCTTCACATTTAAGCTAGTCCAAGAAAGATTGTAAAATAACCTTTTGCCTGATTTACAGAATAGAAAAGTTTGCTTAGCTCCAAGTTATTTATTAATATTTTCCATTTACTCAAAACTAGAAAATAGCTGAACTTAATGCATTGTTAAAATTGATGTTGAAATCATTATGTTAGGCCGGGCGTGGTGGCTCATGCCTGTAATCCCAACACTTTGGGAGGCCAAGGCGGGTGGATCACCTGAGGTAGGGAGTTCAAGAACAGCCTGACCAACATGGCAAAACTCTGTCCCTACTAAAAATACAAAATTAGCTGGGCGTGGTGGCCCATGCCTGTAATCCCAGCTACTTCGGAGGCTGAGACAGAAGAATTGCTTGAATCCGGGAGGCAGAGGTTGCAGTGAGCCGAGATTGAGCCATTGCACTCCAGCCTGGATAACAAGAGCAAAACTCTGTCTCAAAAAAAAAAAAAAAAAAAAAAAAGAAATAATTATGTCTATCTATATTATAAGTAGCAAAACTCTTTGAGTGAAATCGTCAATATTTCCCCAAATACTAAGAAATGCCAAATACCTAAAGTACTTTCAATGCCACAGTGTTAAAAAACTTATCTTTTACAGTTAAAGCTAGGTGAGAGCAAATGTGTTGCTTTTTCAAAAGGACACAGAAAGATTATCAGGGAGTAGCACTTTGTTTTCACTAGGAAACACCTGAGATCAGACTCAGAGAGCTAATGCAGACCATGAGACTATAAATACGAGTTAATATATAACCTCTTCTTTAACCAATGTCTACTTTGTTCCCTGTTCAAAAAGTGTTTGATGAGTAAGTAGACAACAGAAGAAAGGGCAGGAAGGAATAAGCAAGGGGCAAAGGGAGGGAGAAGGGTGAGAATTTTTTGAAGGACAACATTTGAATATAGTAGTCCCTAATTATTTGCAGTTTCATTTTCCATGGTTTCAGTTACCTGTGATCAGTGGAGTTCCAAAATCATTAAATAGAAAATTCCAGAAATAAACAATTCATAAGTTTAAAAACATCTCTCACTGTACCCCTCCATCCCACTTGACACATGAATAATCTCTTTGTCCAGGGTACCCACACTATCTAAACTACCAACCATTAGTCAGTCATTGATTGATAGTCAACCACCTCAGGCATCAGAATGACTGTGGCAGTATTGCAGTGCTCGTATTCAAATAACCGGTATTTTATTTTATAATGACCTCAAAGTGCAAGAGTAGTGATACTGGCAATTTGGATATGCCAAAGAGAAGCTGCAAAGTGCTTCCTTTAAGTGAAAAGGCAAAAGTTCTCAATTTAATAAGGAAAAAAATTGTATACTGAGGGGTCTAAGATCTGCAGTACAGTAAGATATTTTGAGAGGCCACATTTACGTAAGTTTTATTACAGTATGGTGTTATATTTTTTCTATGTCATTATTATTGTTGTTAATCTCTTACTGTGCCTAATTAACAAATTCAGCTTTAGCCCAGGTATGTATGTTTGGGAAAAAAATATAGCATAGCATAAATAGGGTTTGGTCCTACCTACAGTTTCAGGCATCCACTGAGGGTCTTGGAACATATCCCCCAGGGATAATGGGGGACCACTGTCATAAGAAAATAAATGAATTTAACATTAGCTCTATTTTTAACATTAATAACTGGCAACACTAGTAACGGGCCATGCCATAGGGACCTATCTTTGCTTGTTTAATGAGAAAGCATTAAAGCTGTGTGGTAGAAAAACGCAGAACCTAACTTTTCATATTCTCCTAGATAGGCATCTAGATTACTTATAGTTCGTTTCAGAATATAACATCATTTACCTCAGGGAGAAACCTTTTGAGTTAATACAAAATGTAATATTATTTTTCTTTAAAGTAAATTTCGAGCTTCATGGAATTGTCAGAGAGATAACAGAGGACACAAATAATTCAAGAAAATATAATGATGTGATCCACAATTTCTTATAAATGTGCATATTTCTTGGAAAACTCTGAGCAAAAACATAAATCAAAGCCAGTGTTCATTAGCAAGGATTTTCTTGTATCATCCTATTATTGTTTCTTTGAACATTATTCTACTAATTAACAGCACTTCTACCTAGAGGTTAATAATGTGTGAAAAAAGTCTTAGGCCTATTGTTTAACTTCTTAGAAACACGTTATTTAAAATTTTATTTCAGCTAGTTATTTCCACTAATTACAATCTCTCAACATTCTGATACAATTTATATTTGCTTACAAACATGTAAAGGCATTCATTGAATATTCTCCAAGACTGCTAGTAATTTGCTTGTATAATATATCTACATGATGAGTTGGGAGAGTCTACAATTTATTCGCCACCACTTCTTTTCTTTTAGGTGTGGTTTAAAATCCGTCAGTCTTTCTTGTAATGCAAATCTGCAAAGACAAAAAGATATTTTCTGTTTAAAATAGTGCTGACTGTACTGCAAATAATTCATGCTTTCTAACTGTCAAATTCTCTTTTGTAAATAATTATGTATTTTTTAACCATTAAAAAAGATTATAAGGCATGCCGTATTATATCATATTATTGGTTTACCCAGAAGAGTGCATGGATTTTATCAGTGATTCAGTGTATGTTTACAGAGGATACAGTTGGCACTCAAGATAGCAAAATCAATATGAAAGGGAAGTTCATGGAAAAAAAAGAGAACAATTTTTTACTTGCAATATAATAAAAGTCAGAACTTACACTACTTATTTTCAGGCATATCTCATGAGAATCACATATCTCATGTGATATGTGATTCTCATGTGATATGAATTCACAACCACTCAATTAAATTACTTCACTGTTGGGTGGATAATAAATAAATATCTTGCCCATGATCACAGAGTGAATGTAAGGTAGAGGTAGAACTGAGATTCAAACCTTTATTTATCAGATTTCATACCCCTACTCCCACATATATGGCTGTACACACACACACACACACACACACACACACACACACACATCTATCTATCTATCTATCTATCTATACACATATACATATATATATATACACATATACATATACATAATGCTACCTCTTGGAATAGATGCCAGAAAACTACAATTTACCTAAGTAATCAATTATTACTGTAACATGTATAAGTAATATTTTATGTGGTTTAAAAAATTCTGCAATATTGGCTGGGTGCAGTGGCTCATGCCTTAATCTCAGCACTTTGGGAGGCCAAAGCAGGTGGATCACCTGAGGTCAGGAGTTCAACACCAGCCTGACCAACATGATGAAACCCCATCCCTACTAAAAAATACAAAATGAGCTGGGCATGGTGGTACATGCCTGTAATCTCAGCTACTTTGGAGTATGAGACAGGAGAATCGCTTGAACCTGGGAGGCTAAGGTTGCAGTGAGCCAAGATCGCACAATTGCACTCCAGACTGGGCAACAAGAGCAAGACTCTGTCTCAAAAAAATAATAAATAAAATTCTACACTATTTACCAAATTCATCTTTTAGGAAATTATTTGAGTCTCGTAAAGACCCGTAAGTATATATTTTATTAATTTGTACAGAAATTCTGTAAAATTCAGTCTTCTTGGATTAGTAAACAAGTTTGTATTTACCCTAATTTATAGTCTGAATCACTAACATTTATTATGTTCCCTACAAACTTCACCATACCAGCTGGAAAAATCCTACTTATGTTTGTTTCATTTAGTTTATTATATTCTCAGAAAGAATTTAACCACACGTGGAAAAAACATTTTCTGTATATCTGCAAATGTTTCAGGTCAAGTGTCCCTATTAAGAGTGTTTGACCTTAGGTTCTTGCTGCACCATGGGATCTGGTGAGTGGGATTCCATGAAGGCCACATTAGGCCTATATAAGATGCAGAGAATTTACTGAAAAAAAAAAAAAAAAAAAAAAAAAAAGTTTTCAATGCTGCTCGAAAACCCAGAGGCCAAAACTTAGCTTCAAGTGATATTCCCAACTGGGCATTTTAATGCACTTCTGAGGACTCTTGATTTATAGAGCTTTTTTATTGACAGATATTTTTCTGTGACCTATTGTATGGCAAACACAGTATTTTATACGAGGTTAACTATTACCTATCTGAAGTAATAAGCTGATAAGCAAAGGATACCATTGTACACACTGAAATGTCATTTTTTTTTTCATATAATAAGCTTTAAATACAAGCATATTTTCTAAGTTTTGGTCTTAGAATAAGTTTCTTATCTAGAAAATGATATTTAATTTGCATTAGGCAGATTTTCAACTGCAAGAAACATATTTCCATATTAAAAAAAAAAACTTTCCTCAGATTAAAGGTGTTTATGCATACATAAATATTTTAAATAAAATAGACAAACTATTCTGTTCAAAGAATCATGCAATTATATACTTAATCTCATTTTTAATATTGTTAAGTAATTTAAATAATGCCATGTTGATTTTGAAACTGGCCCGATTATCCCACAGAACAAATGTTTATGATTTCTTTTGAATAAACATAGAAATTGACCCTCCCAGTCTTAAAACTTGAGAAAGTTACATTTGTCTTATCTAGTTCCTTTCTCAGTAAACCAACCATCAGGCCTTCCAGATAGTATCAAAGGGCTGAAACTGACCAGATCACTGCATCTGGACAATAAGATGCCAGATCCCTTACCCATCATGATTGCCTAAGTGAACACCCGCTTCCTGTTGACCAGCTTCTCTTCCTTATCCCTCCCTAATTCCTGTTTTTCTGCATATAGGTACACATCCTCCTTGCTGTATGGAACCTTGATCTTAGTCAGGAAGGTGGATTTGAGACTGATCTTTCATCTCCTTTGTTACAGTACCTGATTAAATCCTTCTTCTCTGTCAACAGTAGTTGTCCCAATGATTGGCTTTCTGTACAGCAAGCAGAGTCACTTAGACCACACTGCTGGTGTTTTGGTAACAACTTCATGCCAATTTAATTAGGCTATATACATATGCATAAGCAAATGACAGATAGTACTTTGTCATTACATTCAGTCAGCAAAGATAACTATATCTGTCTTAATAACTGACAGCTTCAAATTTGAATTCACAGTTTATAAAGAAAGAAATAATGTGTACCACCTAAGTTTAGGTGGGAGTAGAAATAAAGAGGGCTAATCATAATAGAGTAAATTTATTTAGTTATATTTTAAATAAGCAAATTGACTAGATTAATACTACAGTTGGATATTTTTAGAATGAATAAATGGGTAAGGGAACAGAGATCCAAATTGGGAAAAAGAAGCTGAAGCTCTCCCATACCCTGGAGATAGAAGGCTTCTTTTTTTTTTATTTTTTTTTATTTTTTATTTTTTATTATACTTTAAGTTTTAGGATACATGTGCACATTGTGCAGGTTAGTTACATATGTATACATGTGCCATGCTGGTGCGCTGCACCCACTAACTCGTCATCTAGCATTAGGTATATCTCCCAATGCTATCCCTCCCACCTCCCCCCACCCCACCACAGTCCCCAGAGTGTGATATTCCCCTTCCTGTGTCCATGTGATCTCATTGTTCAATTCCCACCTATGAGTGAGAATATGCAGTGTTTGGTTTTTTGTTCTTGCGATAGTTTACTGAGAATGATGATTTCCAATTTCATCCATGTCCCTGCAAAGGACATGAACTCATCGTTTTTTATGGCTGCATAGTATTCCATGGTGTATATGTGCCACATTTTCTTAATCCAGTCTATCTTTGTTGGACATTTAGGTTGGTTCCAAGTCTTTGCTATTGTGAATAATGCCGCAATAAACATACGTGTGCATGTGTTTTTATAGCAGCATGATTTATAGTCCTTTGGGTATATACCCAGTAATGGGATGGCTGGGTCAAATGGTATTTCTAGTTCTAGATCCCTGAGGAATCGCCACACTGACTTCCACAATGGTTGGACTAGTTTACAGTCCCACCAACAGTGTAAAAGTGTTCCTATTTCTCCACATCCTCTCCAGCACCTGTTGTTTCCTGACTTTTTAATGATTGCCATTCTAACTGGTGTGAGATGGTATCTCATAGTGGTTTTAATTTGCATTTCTCTGATGGCTAGTGATGATAAGCATTTTTTCATGTGTTTTTTGGCTGCATAAATGTCTTCTTTTGAGAAGTGTCTGTTCATGTCCTTCGCCCACTTTTTGATGGGGTTGTTTGTTTTTTTCTTGTAAATTTGTTTGAGTTCATTGTAGATTCTGGATATTAGCCCTTTGTCAGATGAGTAGGTTGCGAAAATTTTCTCCCATTTTGTAGGTTGCCTGTTCACTCTGATGGTAGTTTCTTTTGCTGTGCAGAAGCTCTTTAGTGTAATTAGATCCCAGTTGTCAATTTTGTCTTTTGTTGCCTAACGTTTAAATCTTTAATCCATCTTGAATTGATTTTTGTATAAGGTGTAAGGAAGGGATCCAGTTTCAGCTTTCTACATATGGCTAGCCAATTTTCCCAGCACCATTTATTAAATAGGGAATCCTTTCCCCATTGCTTGTTTTTCTCAGGTTTGTCAAAGATCAGATAGTTGTAGGTATGTGGCGTTATTTCTGAGGGCTCTGTTCTGTTCCATTGATCTATATCTCTGTTTTGGTACCAGTACCATGCTGTTTTGGTTACTGTAGCAGAAGGCTTCTTTTTAAGGAGTGGTAACTAAATTGTTCTGATCATCAGATTCTAAGTAAAAACTTGTTCTGCTTCCTATTTATTTACAAGGTAAGTTTATTTACTTTACCAATAATAAATGTTCAAGGAAAATATCCATATATGGTAAGATTCACAATAAGCAAGTCAATGTTAAGGCATACTTCTAATAACTTTTTTGGCAATTTTGATTTTTCTTTACCTATCTCATTTGGGGATTTTTTTTTTTTTTTTCGGAGTCTCGCTCTGTTGCCAGGCTGGAGTGCAGTGGTGCAATCTCTGCTGCAACCTCCGCCTCCCAGGTTCAAGCGATTCTCCTGACTCAGCCTCCCAAGTAGCTGGAATTACAAGTGCACACCACCACGCCCAGCTAATTTTTGTATTTTTAGTAGAGATGGGGTTTCACCATGTTGACCAGGATGGTCTTGAGCTCCTGACCTCGTGATCCACCCCCCTCAGCCTCCCGAAGTGTTGGGATTACAGGCATGAGCCACCGCACCCAGCCTGGTAAAATCCTAGTTCTGGCATTTTGTTTATTGTCACTTATATTTGCATTATTAGTATCATCTTCTATTATGTTTAATTGAAGCTTTTATTACAGGAGTTTTTAACAACTAGTCAATTTTATGAGAAATATTTTAGTTTGCAGTATGCTAAATAATCTTTAAGTCAATTTACTCTCCAATATATCACAACTGTTTTTAAAGAATCAGTTGCTACTAAAAACATACACCTCCCACATTTTTTAGGACTCTCCATATATAATATATTGTTTGTTTTCTTCTGAAATTCAGACCAAGAATGTAGCAACACAGATCCTATCTTTCAAATATTAACAGAAAATAACTTTTTTTTTAACTTAAAAAATATAATTAGATAGTTATGACTCACTGAATTTTTCTGAAATTCCTGGGGTACTTTGTGTATAATTTTAGAGACAACTCTGGAACCAAGACATACTGCTACTGGTTTATTTATTTATTTATTCAATCAATCATTAATTCATTTAACAAATGCTTAAGAACCATCTATGTGACAGGCACTGCTCTAGGCACTATGCATATAACAATGAAAAAACCTGAGACAATGTTTGCTCATGCAGTATTATTTCTAGTTGGGAGGTAAAGATGATAATAAATAGGTGTGTGCAAGTAGATACACATGAACACACACACATAGATAATTATTATCGATACCAAAAGTTCATGGGGAACCATATGTGGGGAAGAGATATTGGGAGTGCCCATGAGTGTGCTATTTACAGAAAGTGGCCATGATGGCTTCCTTGAGTAGGTAAGATTGGAGCAGTTTTCTGAAGTAGGAGAAAGAGAAAAATGACTGGCTCCTTGAAGGGTAAGGAATCCAGGCAAAAGTAACAAAAGCCAAACCTGAATTTTATTTTGCCTGTTCTAGGAAAAGCAAGCATGGTAGTAAGACAAAGCAGAGGAAGAGAGTGGGAGCTACAGGAGATGAGGTGAGAAAATTTGTAGAGAGAGATCCGCAATCAATTGGAAATTACAGGAGATTTTATGGGGTTTGAATTATCTTCTCAGTGAGGTAGGGAGTAACTGGGGGCATTTCAAAAGAGGAGTGAAAAGATCTGTGTTAGATTAAAAAGGATCCCTTTGACTGCTGTGTCGAGACTCATCTGTAGGGAAAAGAGCTAAAGCAGGCCGAGTATTAGGTGGCAAATTATGGTGGCTTGGCTGAGGATAGTAGTGATTCAGGGTGTGAGAATTTTCCAGCTTCAAAAGTAGAGTCAACAGGATTTGCAAATGGCTTTTCTATGGACCACCAAATATAGAGAGAAATCAAAGTATCTCAAGAGAGACTCAAGAAATCAACATCTCTCAAGCTACTTGGCTAGAAATATAAATTTAAAAATGGTTAGTATAAAGATGAAATTTAAAGCCATAATATTAGAGGAGATCACTTGAATAGTGAGTAGAGTTAAGGAAAAGAAAAATATCTAAGAAAGAGCTGTTAGGGAGTCAAATGTTTAGAAACTAAGAAGATGATTAGGAGCCAGCTTTTTCCAGTTCTGTTCTCTTCTGTTTAGAGTTTATACCTTCATCTACTAAAAATGTCGAGTATCAGGAATATCTAATGCTAAATTCTCCCTTCTAGCTTCTATGCTATGTTTCTCCAGACTTTTTGCCCTATTTATCTTTAAAGCTTCACCATTAGGCACTATTATTATTTTAATAGTACTAGTCAAGGTAATAGTAATTTGTGCAGCCAATTATTTTTGGATTTGGATTTCTTATTTGCTCTCCATTTTTTTTCTTTTAGCACATTTTTCTAGGAATTTTTTCTTTCTTCTTGAAATAACATTTTTTACAATTTTTTTTTTTTATTTTCAGTCTTTTGATGGTCACTCAGTGGTTGTTAAGTCAAATACCTTTATTTGGAGTATCCATGTCTACTCTTGATAATCTTCTATTACCTAAATACAGTTGTGATTATATTCTTTATTTCTTTTCAGTTTTCATAGCAGCCACTATAGTATCTTTATCTGAACACTAATGTAATTGCTAATGTAAGCAATCCTTGAGGATCTAATTCTACTGTTAACTGACTCTCTGATTTTTATAATGATGTCATTCTATTAACAAACTATTGGGGTATTCTTGCCACCTTACATTGGAAAAATTTGTTATTTATGGTTACCAGATATCACAGCTGACTAAGCTTTTTATCAGTCTACATCCAGAATCCAGGCCCAATAAAGGATTCCGAGGCTCTGATCATTACATGCTATCTGGGCTTCTATGAACAGAGGTTCTCAAGGGAACCCTGGCCTTCCAGGTTGCCTGCTGCTCCAGCTCCAGTAATCTGTCATTTGTTCTCCTATTTCCTTGGGCAAGTAGCAAGAGAGATTGGTAGACTTTTCTACCTCCTGTGGAAACAACTAAGCTATTCAGGATCAGACTGCCCTAAAGTGATATATTCCCTAGAACACTCAGTCTTCCATAAAGCTGGAAGCAGTACTCTCATTTCTTTTTGTATTCAGTGCACTTTCATGTCAAAAAAGAAAATAGCTCAGCAGAAAAAAGGATGGTCCGTTATAACAGGGGCTTCTGAATTCAGGATCACTCACCAACCCTTCTGAAATTTTTGCTGATCCTTAGTAAAAGATAAATGTAATTTGTTATCCAGCTAAATTTATTAAATTAAATGACAGAGAATTTTTTCTATAATTATTCCTATCGTTTGATATAAAACATATTTTATTAAAAAACATAGTGTGAATAAATAACAGAGTTTTAGTTGTTTTGTGTTGTTTTAAATGATTTGCCCAACTTCCAAAAAATACAATGATATAAACACACATGACTTTTAAAGTACGTTGTGGGCAAAATTTAAAATTTTGGTCCAAATGAAAGTAGTTTGAACTTACGATGTGGCATGTACTAATTATGGTGTAGCATTTGATTCTCTGTGTCAGGGAAAGGGATAAAAAATCTTATTTATAAGTACATAGAAGAAATATAACTTTCTGTTTATTAAAAGCATTTTGAAAAGTTTATAAACAAGTTGGGGAAGTTAAGGTTTATTCACACATTATTAGAAACTCCCACTTTAAAAACTAATTAAACTGTTTTTATTTCTTTTTAGATTAATTTTAAAAAATTTAACCATATACATATACAAAATATCAATAAGAATTCTACCAATAACCAAATTTTCTTAAACCCCGACTCTTAAGTTGTATTTCAGTCTCAACATTAAAGGAATATGTTAATTAAATAAGCTTGGCTCAGTACTGGGAACAAATGCTTCTACTGTGCGTTCATCGTTCTTAGGAATACACTTTGCTCAGATATATATATTCCTATACACTTTGTGTATTTCTAAATGTCTATATTTCTGCATACGTATATGTATAGTTCTGCCCACTATAATGAGCAAATACACTATTATAATGGTTTGTCTTCTTTCTTTAGAATAGAAATGTCCTTCTTACTGAGAGTTTACTATTGGCTATATAAGTAAGGCAAGCATTGTAAATTATCCTTTTCTTAATTAGTAAAATAAAATATTTGTCATTGGGTAGTTATTTGATTAATTGGGTAGTTATCTGATTACTTAAGAAAAAAGCACTATCCTTTATTAATTGTTTGACATGTTTTTGCTGGTATTGTTTTGCTTACTATTTAATATTTTATGTGATAATTTGTCTTAATTCAAGGTGAAACTGCTGTAGTTGTTTCTCTAATTGATAAATAATTGAAATTTTATTCTAGTCAGGTACAAATATCACTATATTGGGAAACTGAAACATAGGCATCAGTATAGCAAGAAACTTGAAATCTATCAATTATCTAAATTTAGATACTTTTCTAGGATAGTGTAGATTGTATATGGCAAATATGGTTTGCAATATATTTCCAGATGAAATATGGAAAGTATTAAAATAAATATGCAAAATGTCAAATGTTGAATTATAAACAATTGAGAGAAATATGTCATTGTATTTCCAAATTGTAGACTCATTAATGTGACTTGCTTTTCTAGTTGTAGTTTGTTGTAGAAGGTCAAAAAACAGGGGATGTAGATAATGAATATATTAAATATATTCCATAAATATATTCATAGAGTTATGAAGTTATAAAGATTTAAGTTTCAATTTTAAAGTATAACATCTGAAATTCTTTGAATCTAATATTTTCAAATACATTTTAAAATAACTTCCAACTTTGTATAATTATGAGCAGAGACATTATTATAGCTTTAATATATTCTAGATAATAGCTTCAGCATAACAGACTTTATAGTGAGTGACATAATATTGTACACATTTATGAAATCAGAAAGAAGAGAGAATTGAAAATATCTAAACTTACAGCAATAGATAAGGGTTCCAGAAGAAAATTAAATATTTCACTAGGCCCAAAAGACTAGATTTCTGCAATGAGCATATTTTTCCTAGTAAATACTTTGTAATGAAAATGTGAGATGTTTGTTTTAATATATCTGTAAAATGTATTCTGCAGAAACATGTGCCTTAAGAAATAAAAATACATGTTAGACACATGGAACAGAGAAACAACATAATCCAAGCTTGTTATAATCTTCCAGAGCCTTCAAAAATAGAGAAATTACATAACTGCTGGATGTGATTGATATTGAGAGCAACTGAATTAGTTTTTCTCCCTGTAATCCATGTTTTTGAAGGATTTGAGTTAAAAATAATATATACATGGGCATTACCAGATAAAAAGATATATTGATTGATACAGAAATGCATGAGAAATAAATACATACATAGATAAAATTCTAAAATAATATATTTGGAAAATCTTTACTGGGTAATTTGACCAGTAAGAATGTAGTAATGTTGAATACTTCAGGTTAATACATTTTGTAACCAACTTACTAAAATGCCATATAGGTAAACAACTGATAGGTATTTATTATTTTCACAGGAATTTAAGTATAAGATAACTATATCAACTAAGCTATTTATCATTTTGAAAATTTTAGAATAGAAAGGAAGAACAGAGATCATTTGACCAATTTTAATCACTTCAATTACTCATACAATTTTTAAAAAATCACATCAATATTCTAAGGTAAAAGCCAATAAGTTATGTTAGAACAGGGTCACAGATTTTTAGAACAGGGTAGAAATTGAATGACTAGTTATCTGTAAGGTCATTATCAAATATAAGCGATGGTGAAGCTTTGAGTAGTTAAAACAATGCCAGTTTGACAATCCAATCCCAATATACTGTGAGTACCTGACATGATGTGCTAGGCATTGATAAAATTGGAGGCAACTGAATAAAAAATCAGGGTCTCAGCCTGTTCACAATATGCTGGAGACAACTGTAAAAGTAGACTCTGAGTCATAATATAATGTTTTAAGTTCTCTCCTTGGAGCATGAACAAAGTCTTTTGGATGAATTGATTCATTGATTCAACAGATATTTATCCATTCCATAACACACGCCTTGTACTTGGCCAGATGCTACAGTTAATTCTGTGAAATGAAAGTAGCTTCTCATGGAAGATGATGTTATGCAAAAGAAGATGATTAGAATTTCATTAGGTAGGAAACTGGGATTGACATATGCTCAGCAGAAGGAAAGGCAGGAGAGAATGGATGTGGAGGTTGGTGAGAAGGCTTAGGAGTATGGCAATCTGGCAATTGGAGATCCTTAGGGAAAACATGCTGTCTGATGTGATTTCCACAGGCAGTTGCAGGAGGGAAGTCTTGGAATTAGGCCTCAAATATTAAAACTTTCCAGTTTAGCTTCTACATGCCTGAAACTCACTGGAATAGTTTACTATAAAAGAGTTACTACAGTAATCTCATATATTCTGAAGGCTCTTGCGATACATTTTATTAAATACTTAAAATTGTATTTTTTATAGAATTAATTCTTAGAAAAACAAAGGAAAAATAGCTTGTAATTTGGACTACTCTTCTACTCTACAACTTCTATCCAGATAATATTCCTATTTTTGCATCTCTTGTGTGTGTGTGTGTGTGTGTGTGTCTGTGTGTGTGTTTGTGGGGGGCATTGGGGTGTGGTTGTGTGCTCTGGCTGGATGTCTGCTATCTATGGAGATAGCCTTATTTATTTTTATGCTAGGCCCAAGCTTTTCAGTCTCAGGCATAAGGTTACATAGCATTTCTATAGCACTGGACACTAGCCAATTCTTTTTCTATAAACCAGCTTAAGAATAAGAATCTTCTTTTAGCTGTATTGTTATTTTATCCTGACACCCATTACCTATCAATACTCTAGGTAATAAGTTCTTAGAAATTGGAGAACATAGTGATATTGAACAGTGTAGTTAAATTTAAAGGGCTTAAATTTAAAACTTGTTCCAGGTTTTGGTATTAGATTCTCATATAAATATAGGCAGTAAAAGCTATCCAGACGCCAAAGATGAACTGATATATAGCTATATTAATATAATGTTGATCCCAAAGAACAAGACACGGTGGATAAATTAAGGTTTTCAATATATACATGTTGCCTTTTGTGTAATTCACTTTGCAACAAAGGTTTGCTTCTTTTGAAGCTTAATAATACTGGTATCAACGAGTTTTTCAATACCAAGGATTTCCTTGAATACTAGCTTCTTAAAAGCTTAAAATAAAAGGGCATACATATCTGCATGTCTTTGTTAGTTTGGTGCTGAAGATCATAGTCCACAAGATACTTTAGAGGAAACACTGTGCAAGAGAACCCACAAGGCTGCTTGTTTTACAAACTGGCAAATACATAATTCATTTTTTTTTCAGACTGAGTTTCCCTCTGTTGCCCAGGCTTGTGTGCAGTGGTGTGATCATAGTTCACTGCAGCCTTGATCACCTGTATTCAAGTAATTTTCTTGCACCTCAGCCTCCTGAGTAACTAGGACTACAAGTATGTGCCACAGATTGGCCACATGTCTGACTAATTTTTTAATTTTCTGGAAAGATGGTGTCTTACTAGGTTGCCAAGTATTTCCTCAAACTCCTGGCCTCAAGCAATTCTCCCATCTTGGCCTCACTATTTTTATTACAGGCATGAGCCATTGCATCCAGCCAATCTACACTTCTGATAGTTCTCTATAATGTTCTTGAGAGCTACTCATAGTCATAGGTTAAACTGATGCTGCTTTCTGAGGGACTCCGTTTTATATGATTGGTTTTGAAAACAAAAAAAAAATAAGTAATTTAACTGCTATATAATAAGAGAGTTAGAAAAATACATGATGCCTTAGGGATTTGATTTCAAATAAATTTTGATGATAGGGCAAGCCTTTCTGAGTATTTTGATCACTTTCTTCCATTGATGTCTTTCATTCATAGAATCATGTGATTGGGAGGCTGAGGTAGGAGGATTGCTTGAGCCCAGGAGGTCTCAGCTGCAGTAGACCATGATCATGCCACTGCTCTCCATCTGGTCAACTGAGTGAGACTCTGTCTCAAAAATAAAATAAAATAACGCAATTGGTTCAATAGAAAAATCGGAAGTACTTGCACTACATAAAAATAACTTCAGAAAGTGAAAAGGGCTTAAGAAATAATTTATGTAAACCTCTCAGAAAAGTTGTGGTGAAAATGACAGATCAAAAAAAGGATGTAACGTAGATCTCACAATTATTAGCATACCAAAACTTAAAGTGTATAGGCTCAATCCCCTCTATTCCACGTGGATTCTCTAATAGCCTGTAGCATGTACATGACTCTTGCAAACGTGAAGCTTGTAAATCTCAGAAGCTTATTACTAGTTAAACTCTAAACTATATATGAATTGATGGTTAAAATCATGTCAAATATTTAACATAACTTATTTTGTAAATAAGATTAAAAGTTTATAGTAACTGGAAAAGAGCAATGTAGTAAATATTTTATTTTTTTAAATTTACCATCTCAAGATTATAAGCCATAGTGTTCTCAATAAATTTTTTGAGCTGTGCTGAAGGATGATAAACAATAACAATTAATAATGAGAAGCTCCTAAGCAATCTTTGTTCTTATTTCCTTTATAATTTTCTTAACTATTTATGGTTAAAATATTTGCATGATACGAACATTAACATTTTTTTCCAAGATGACAGATTAGAGGCTTTATAGCATGCCCCAGCCACTTGGAAATAGCAAACACAGTGCATAAAAATCAACTTGATTAGCCTTAATTCCAGAAGGAAAATAAGAACTAATTGAAATAGTGAGGGCCAACCCAGAGCCCGGGGAGGAGAAGGTGGGCAAGCAGCTCCCTTGCCTGATAAAAGTGAGTGAAGCCCAGTACACAAGAGGGGTGGTCAGTCACCCTCTGTGCCTCACCTTTCCACTAAGGATCTGTGCCACCCAGGCCAAGGAAGAGCACCTTCTTTCTCCTAAGCCCTGGAGCTAACTTGGGGAGCAGCTGAGAGATAGAAAAAGGAAAAGACATGGGTAAAGCTGCAGGCATTCTCCCAGGCCCAAGACTGAGAGGAGAATGCCATTTTTAATCTCAGCTCATACAAGCTCAGTCATTGTTTGGTGGCCAGCAATTGCAGAGAGTGCCCCAGAGAACACATTAGAATTAGGCCTTTTCCCATTGCAGAACTGGAGCAAGAAGAGAGTTGCTGAGGCCAAGGTTTCACCTGGGCAGCAAGGCTTGGAGCCAGGGAGAGCTTTGAGACCTGGAGCTGGTCTGGTCTGTGTGGCATTGCTGGGTTCCGCAGCCTGCTCCCTCAGTCAGTTGGGGAGGAATGCCGCACCAGCTCCAAGGAATGGGAAAGAGGTGGACCCCACTCCCCTGGAGATCTAACCTTCAAAGCAGACCACCTCTAAGGAAGGAGGGAGCACAGCCCACCCAAAGCTCCCTCCGGATCAAAGGAAATGTGAATATGGTGCCAGCTGCTGAAGGGGACATCAACAAAGCCTGGGAACATACTTGGAAAGTGTCAGCTTCTGAGCCCAAGCTAAGCCATCATAACCCCTGTGACCTGCACATATACATCCAGATGGCCTGAAGCAACTGAAGAACCAAAAAAGAAGTGAAATAGTCAGTTCCTGCCTTAACTGATGGCATTCCACTATTGTGATTTGTTCCTGCCCCACCCTAACTGATCAATTGACCTTGTGACATTCCTTCTCTTGGACAATGAGTCTCAGGAGCTCCCCATCGAGCACCTTGTGGCCCCTGCCCCTGCCTGCAAGAGAAAAAACCCCTTTGACTGTAATTTTCCACTACCTACTGAAATCCTATAAAACTGCCCCACCCCTATCTCCCTTTGCTCACTCCTTTTTCGGACTCAGTCCGCCTGGACCCAGGAGATTAAAAAGCTTTATTGCTCACACAAAGCCTGTTTGGTGGTCTCTTCACATGGACATACATAACATTTGGTGCCAAAGTCCTGGCACAGGGGGACTCCTTCAGGAGGCCGGCCCCCTGTCTTCGCCCTCACTCTGTGAGGAGATCCACCTACGACCTCAGGTCTTCAGACCAGCCCAAGAAACATCTCACCAATTTCAAATAAGGTAAGCGGTCTCTTCAATCTCTTCTCCAGCCTCTTTCACTACCCTTTAATCTCCCCGTCCTTTCAATTCCAGTTCTTTTACCTCTCTAGTAGAGACAAAAGAGACACATTTTATCCCTGAACTCAAAAACTCTGATGTCGGTCATGGATTTGGGAAGACAGTCTTCCCTTGGTTTCTGATCACTGCTGGTATGCCTGCCTTGGTCAGTCACCAACATTCCCTTGGTGGCAAGTCAATTGTGGGGATGCCTGCTTTGGCTGCTCACCCACATTGCAGCCCAGGGCTGCTCACCCTCACCCCCTTCTCTGTGTCTCTACCTTTCTCTTTAAACTTACCTCCTTCACTATGGGCAAACTTTTGCCCTCCATTCCCCCTTCTTCTCCCTTAGCCTGTATTCTTAAAAACCTAAAATCCCTTCAACTAACAGCTGATCTAAAACCTAAACATCTTTTTTCTCCTGTAATACTGCTTGGCCCCAGTACAAACTCGACAATTTTTTCAAGTGACCAGAGAATGGCACGTTTGATTTGTCCATCCTACAAGATCTAGATAATTTTTGTTGTAAAATGGGCAAATGGTCTGAGGTGCATGATGTCCTGGCATTCTTTACACATCAGTCCCCCACTAGTCTCTGTTCCCACTGTGACTCATCCCAAATCTTCCTTCTTTCTCTCCTATCTGTTCCTTCAGTCTCCACTCCAAGCTCTGAGTCCTTTGAATCCTCCTTTTCTATGGACCCATCTGACCTCTCCCCTCCTCCCCAGACTGCTCCTCACAAGGCTGAGCTATGTCCCAATTATTCCTCAGCCTCCACTCCCCCACCCTATAATCCTTCTATCACCTCCCCTTCTCACACCCGGTCTGGCTTACAGTTTCGTTCCGCAACCTGCTCTCCCCAACCTGCCCAACAATTTCCTCTTAGAGAGGCGGCTGGAGCTAAAGGCAAAGTCAAGGTTAATGCTCCTTTTTTCTTTATCCAACCTTTCCCAAATCGGTTAGGATTTTCATCAAATATAAAAACCCAGCCCCGTCCATGGCCCGTTTGGCAACAACACTTAGACGCTTTATCACCCTAGATCTAGAGGTGCCAGAAGGCAGTCTTATTCTTAATATGCATTTTATTATAAATAAAGTTTATATATATACATTTATTTTAAATAAAGTTTCAGTGTGACAAAAGAAGTAGCACTGGAATATAAAATTTTCTTTTTAATTCTCAGCAAGGCAAGTTACTTCTATAGAAGGGTGCACCCTTACAGATGAAGCAATGGTGAGTGAATACTTGGACAAGGGAGGGGAGGGGGTTATTATCCCTGACGCATGTGGCCCCTGCTGCTGTCTAGTTCTGCTACTGGCTAGGGTTAGACCGCACAGGCTAAACTAATTCCAATTGGTTAATTTAAAGAGAGAGATGGGGTGAGTGGTTTGGCAGGAAAAATGATTATGCAGGTTGGAGAATGAGTCAGGATGGAGCAGGTAGCAGGTAATTGGAATGAGTCAGGGTGGGGCAGGTGATTCAAATGAGTCAGGGTGGAGCCAGTGATTGAATTGAGTCATGGTGGAGCAGGTAATCGAAAAAGGTTGCTTTATGAGGAAGTTAAGTTTAAAAGTACAAGGCAAAGATTTGAACATACTGACATATTGATTCTTTGAAATGAAATTTAGAACTCATATCTGACATTACCCAATCCACTCCCGACATTAGAAAAAGCTCCAAAAGTTATATTCTGGCCCTCAAACTCCACAACAGGACTTAATTAAACTTGCCTTCAAGGTATACAATAATAGAGAAGAGGCAGTGAAGCGGCAACATATTTCTGAGTTGAAATTACTTGCCTCCGCTGTGAGAGAAACCCCAGCCACATCTCCAGCACACAAGAACTTCAGAATGCCTAAACCGCAGCAGCCAGGTGTTCCTCCAGGGCCTCCTCCCCCAGGATCTTGCTTCAAGTGCCAGAAATCTGGCCACTAGGCCAAGGAATGCCTGCAGCCCATGATTCTTCCTAAGTCGTGTCCCATCTGGGCGGGACGCCACTGGAAATTGGATGGTCCAACTTGTCTGGCAGCCACTCCCAGAGCCCCTGGAACTCTGGCCCAAGGCTCTCTGATTGACTCCTTCCCAGATCTTCTTGGCTTAGCAGCTGAAGACTGATGCAGCCCAATTGCCTTGGAAGCACCCTGGACCACTATAGATGCTTCAGTGGAGGGTAAGTCCATCCCCTTCTTAATCCATACAGAGGCTACCCCCTACACATTACCTTCTTTTCAAGAGCCGGTTTCCCTTGCCTCCATAACTGTTGTGGGTATTGACAGCCAGGCTTCTAAACCTCTTAAAACTCCACAACTCTGGTGCCAACTTGGACATATTCTTTTATGCACTCTTTGTTAGTTGTCCCCACCTGCCCAGCTCCCATATTAGGTCCAGACATTTTAACTAAATTATCTGCTTCCCTGACTATTCCTGGGCTACAGCCACACCTCATTGCCACCCTTTTCCCCAGTTCAAAGTCTCCTTCGCATCCTCCCATTGTGTCTCCCTACATTAATCCACAAATATGGGATACCTCTACTCCCTCCTTGGTGACCGATCATGCACCCCTTATAATCCCATTAAAAGCTAATCACCCTTACCCTGCTCAATGCCAATCTCCCATCCCACAACAGGCTTTAAAAGGGTTAAAGCCTGTTATCACCCACCTGTTACAACATGGCCTCTTAAAGCCTATAAATTCTCCTTACAACTCCCCTATCCTACCCATCCAGAAACCAGACAAGTCTTACAGGTTGGTTCAGGATCTTTGCCTTATTAATCAAATCGTCCTTCCCATCCATCTTATAGTGCCAAACCTGTACACCCTCCTATCTTCAATACCCGCTTCCACAACTCACTATTCTGTTATCAACCTCAAAGATGCCTTCAAAAGCACAGGCTATACTCCACTTACCCTTTACAGTTCTCACAACCTTCAAGCAATAATATGCTCCTCACACCTTTCACATTTATTGTCTGCCCCTTGACTCCTCTGGCTCTACTGTCTCTTAGTTGAAATTCCAAAAGTAACTATTAACCATGGGCCCAATTTCAACCCAGCTTCTCACTTAGCACATAACACAAGTCTTGAACCACATGACTGTATTTCCCTAATACACATAGCATCTTCCCCCTTTCCTTATATTTCTATTCTTCCAATTCCAAACCCAGACCACACTTGGTTTATCGATGGCAGTTCTTCTAAACCCAATCAATTTTCACCAGCTAAAGCTGGATATGCTGTCGTGTCCCACACCTCTGTTATAGAAGCTGCTGCACTTCTTCCCTCCACCACTTTTCAACAAGCCGAACTGATTGCTCTAACTTATGTGCTCTCTTTTGCTAAAGGAATGCACATTAATATTTGTACTGACTCCAAATATGCTTTCCACATCCTCCATAACCATGCTGCCATCTGGGCCGAAAAAGGCTTCCTTATCACATAAGGCTCTTCCATTATCAATGCCTCCCTAATAAAGATCCTCCTTAAGGCTGCTCTCCTGCCAGCCAATGCTGGAGTCATTCATTGTAAACGACACCAGAAACCTACTGATCTTATTGCAAAAGGAAATGCCTATGCTGACAGGACAGCAAAAGAAATAGCCGGTGCCTCCACACCCACTAATATTCCAGCCCCTACTCCAGAGGGCCAGTATTTTTCTGTCTCCTCTATCACTCCCACCTACTCTTCTTCTGAAAACCTGCTCTACCAGTCTTTTCCAACTCAGGGCAAGTGGTTCTTAGATCATGGAAAATTCATTCTTCCTGCCTCACAAGCTCAGTCCATTCTTTCTTCCCTTCATGACCACTTCCATGTGGGATACAAGCCTCTGGCTTGCCTCCTGCAGCCCCTCATCTCCTTCCCTTCATGGATATCCATCTTCAAGACCATCACCTCTCAATATTCTGTCTGCCATGCCACCAGCCCCCAAAGCTTTCTCAGGCCTCCTCCTTTTCCTATGCATTCAGGCTTGTGGATTTACTCCAACACAAAATTGGCAAATTAACTTTATTCATATGCCCCATGTCTGTAAATTTAAATATCTCCTGGTTTGGATCAACACCTTTGCTGGATGGATCGAGGCCTTTCCCACTAGCTCTGAAAAGGCTACAGCAGTAATTTATTCCCTTCTGACAGATATAATTCCCTTACGTGGCCTCCCTACTTCCATTCAATCTGACAATGGTCTGGCCTTTATTAGTCAAATCACCCAGGCAGTTTCTCAGGCTCTTGATATTCAGTGGAAACTTCATATCCCCTACCATCCTCAATCTCCAGGAAAGGTAGAATGGATGAATGGTCTTTTAAAAACAAACCTCACCAAGCTCAACCTCCAACTTAAAAAGGACTGGACATTACTTCTACCACTTGCCCTTCTTAGAATTAGAGCTTGCCTTCGATATGCTATAGGGTACAGTCCATTTAAACTTTTATATGGATGCACTTTCTTGCACGGCCCCAACCTTGTTCCAGACACCAGCCCTCTGGGCAATTATCTTCCAGTCCTCCAGCAGGCTAGACAGGAAATTCGCCAGGCTGCTAATCTTCTCTTGCCTACTCCAGATTCCCAGCCATATAAAGACACCTTAGCTGGACGATCAGTTCTTGTTAAGAGTCTGACCCCTCAAACTCTACAGCCTTGGTGGACCAGACCCTACCTAGTCATCTATAGCACCCCAACTGCCGTCCATCTGCAGGACCCTCCCCATTAGGTTCACCATTCCAGGATAAAGCTGTGTCCATCCAACAGCCAGCCTGATCTCTCCTCTTCCTCCTGGAAGTCGCAAGTACTCTCCCCTACTTTCCTTAAACTCACTCGTATTTCTGAAGAACAGTAATAACCCTTATGAGCCTAATACATCCCTTCATTCTATTAGGTCTATTCATCCTTACCCTACACTTTGCAACAGGGCTTTACACAGTCACCCCTGCTGCTTGGACTGTGCCCCAAAAACTTGTCATCCCTACTATCTTCTGTCTAATCATACCCTATTCATAATTCTCAACTACTCATAAATCCCCTGCCCCAGTTTATACTTTTACACTGCCAGTTTACACTTTTCCTTCAAACCATCATAGCGGATATCTCCTGGTACTATCCCCAATCTACCACTCTTGACTGCCTCTTGGAGTGGATAGATGATCTTTGCTGACAGGGCACCCTCCAATACTTTCACCCTGATGAAGTCCTATTCTTTACTTTTATACTCACTCTTATTCTCATTCCCGTTCTTATGCCACCCTCTACCTCTCCCCTGCTATCTCCACCACACTATCAGTCTCACTCACTCTCTCTAGCCATTTCTAATCCTTCTTTAACAAACAATTGCTGGCTTTGAATTTCTCTTTCCTCTAAAACCACTGAGGCCTCAACTTACTCACTCCTGGAAAAGGAGAACTACGTATATTTTTAAATGAGGAGTGTTGTTTTTACCTAAATCAATCTGGCCTGGTATATGACAGCATAAAAAAACTCAAGGATAGAGCCCAAAAACTCACCAACCAAGCAAATAATTGCACTGAACCACCTTGGGCACTCTCTAATTAAATATCCTAGGTCCTCCCAATTCTTAGTCCTTTAATACGTGTTTTTCTCCTCTTATTCAGACCTTGTGTCTTCCATTTAGTTTCTCTATTCATACAAAACTGCATCCAGACCATCACCAATCATTCTGTATGACAAATCCTCCTTCTAACAACCCCACAATCTCTCCCCTTACCCCAAAATCTTTCTTCAGTTTAATCTCTCCCACTGTAGGTTCCCACACCAAACTTAATCCCACTCAAAGCAACCCTGAGAAACATCACGCATTATCTCTCCATACCATCCCAAAAAATTTTTGCCACCCCAACACTTCACCACTATTTTGTTTTGTTTTTCCTATTAATATAAGAAGACAGGAATGTCAGACTTCTGAGCCCAAGCTAAGCTGTCATAACCCCGTATCCTGCACCTATATATCCAGATGGCCTGAAGCAACTGAAGAACCAAAAAAGAAGGGAAATAATCAGTTCTTGCCTTAACTAATGACATTCCACCATTGTGATTTGTTCCTGCCACAACCTAACTGATCAATTGACCTTGTGACATTCCCTCTCCTGGACAGTGAATCTCAGGAGCTCCCCACTAAGCACCTTGTTGTCCCCACCCCTGCCAGCAAGAGAAAACCCCCTTTAATGATAATTTTCCACTACCTACCCAAATCCAATAAAACTGCCCCACCCCTATCTCCCTTTGCTGACTCCTTTTTTGGACTCAGTCCACCTGCACCCAGGCTATTAAAAAGCTTTATTGCTAATGCAAAGCCTGTTTGATATTCTCTTCACACAGACACAAGTAACAGAGAGGGGGTCATATCTAGCCTTCCTTGCTCCCCAGGGTACTCCTGCAGAAGAGGCTGCATCTCTGCCCATTGAGCACCCACCAGCATGGGCTGCAAGTGGAAGCTTCTCCCACTTCTTCAGTGGCCGCAACCCCACCAAAGGTGAGGATGTGCTGGAGGAGGGAGCTTTTTGCACTTCTCTGTTGCTCTGGCCCTCACTGAGGATGAGCACTCACAGAATAAGAGCCTACCCACTGGCTCTTACTCTTAAGCGCTATCTACTGGACTAATTAATGAATTACACCACCAAACAAAAGTGTAACACTGCAATAAGCAACATCTGAAAAAGCCACCAAATGGACCTATCTGCAACTGAGGAACCCATACAGAGACTTCGCCCTCTGAAAACATCCAGAAATGAAGACAACTGATCATACGCAACATAAATCACACTCATACTTTCAAGGAAAAGAATAATAAAAGAAAAGCCTCATCCAATGATATTCAAAAAAATAAAAAAAGAAGCAGCAGATCCTTCAGATAAGAACCAGCACAAGAATTCCAGCAATACAAAAAGCCAGTGTTTCGTCACACCCAAAGGCGCCTAAGAATCCTAACCAGAATGAAATGCCTGAAATGACAGATGTAGAATTCAGAATATGGCTGACAAGAAAACTCAACAAGATCTAACAGAAAGTTGATATCTAACAAAAAGAAAATAGAAAAAAATAATCCAGGATTTGAAATATGATATAGCTATACTAAAACAAACAAACAAAACAGAATTTCTGGAATTGGAAAATTTACTATAGGAATTTCAAAATAAAAATTGGAAGCCTTACCAACAGACTAGATAAAGCAGAAGAATTTCAAAGATCAAATACTGGTCCTTCAAATCAACCCAGTGAAACAAAAATAAAGAAAAAAATAATTTTAGAAAATGAACAAAGCCTTTAGGAAGTAGAGGATTATGTAAAGTGACAAAATCTACAACATATTGGCATTCCTGAAGAGAAGAAGAGAAAGTAACTTGGAAAACATGCTTGAGGATGTAATTCAGTAACATTTCATCAAGTCCTCGAAAGCAAACGCAACAAAAACAAAAGTTGACAATTGGGATCTAACTAAAGAACTTCTGCAGAGCAACAGAGACTATCAACAGCATAAACTGACAACCTACAGAATGGGAGAAAATACTTGCAAATTCTGCCTCTGACAAAGGACTAATATCCAGAAGCTATAGGGAACTTAAACCAATCAACAACAAAAACCCATTAAAAGTAGGCAAAGGACATGAACAGACACTGCTCAAAAGAAGACATACAAGTGGCCAAAAAGCATGAAAAAACACTTAACGTCATAAATTATCAGAGAGAGGCAAATCAAAACCACAATGAGATGCTATCTCACACCAGTGGGAATGGCATCACTAAAAAGTCAAAAAACAACAGACATTAGTGAGGGTGCAAAGAAAAGGGAACATTTATACACTGTTGGTGGGAATGCTAATTAGTTTAGTCCCTGTGGAAAGTAGGAGATTTCTCAAAGAACCAAAAATAGAATTACCATTCAACCCAGAAATCCAATTACTGGGTACATACCAAAAGGAAAATAAATAATTCTACCAAAAAGACAAATGCTCTCACATGTTTATCACAGCACTGTTTCACAATTCCAAAGACATGGAATCAACCTAGGTACCCATCACTGGTGGACTGGGTAAAGAAAATATGGTACATATACACCATGGAATACTACACAGCCATGAAAAAGAATGAAATAATGTCATTTGCAGCAACATAGATGCAGCTGGAGGGCATTATCCTAAGTGAATTAATGCAAAACAGAAAATCAAACACTGCATTTTCTCCCTTGGATGAGATTTGCATATTTGGCCATCATTAAGCAAGCTCACTAACAACCTAGGGAAAGTCATTGCAAGCCAGTATTCAATGGGAGTACCATGGTTGACAGTGTCATGATTAAAAATGTAACCATAATTAAATAGTACTAGAGAAATGTAGATGCAAGAAAATCTACATTAAGTATACCTTCCAAAGAGCAATAGCATTGCAAAGTAATAACAGTGTTGTACCATTTCCTTGTGTTGAAGCATATGAAATATCCAGGCATGGCATATTTGAAATTAAACATAAGTGGAATATATTACAATAAAGAAAACAAAGAGGTGGCTCCTGGACCTCAACAGAAAGAGATGCTGTTGTGAAATTATGCAGACACTTCATGTGCATAGATTACAAAAGAAATAGTACATATGCACCTTTCCTCTACTCATTATCTAATTTTTCATAGATAAATAAATCACTGTATCACCCATAAGCCCATGAATGGTATAATACATTTTTGTTTTAGTCAGTCAAAATTAATTTAGCTGTAATTATGTTTATCATATGTATACGTTCCAAACTTTTATGCTCTGCTTCCTCTTAAATGCTTTGCCACATAGAAATTTATTCTGCCAGATACCCTAAATAATCTCTCTCAGGTTCAAAGTAACACAGATCTCTAGGGCAAGGGCAAAATGCTACCAGTCTCTTTGCATAGCAAGAGTGACCTTTACTCCAGTTTCCAATAAGTTATTCATTTCCATCTGAGACCACCTCAGCCTGGACTTCATTGTCCATATCACTATCAGCATTTTGATCAGAGCTATTCAACAAGTCTCTAGGAAGTTCCAAACATTCCCACATCTTCTTGTCTTCTGAGCCCTCCAAGTCTCTAGGAAGGTCCAAGCTTTCCCACATTTTCCTGTCTTCTTCTGAAAGACAGAAGCCCTCCAAATTGTTCCAACCTTTGTCTGTTATCCAGTTCCAAAGTCGCTTCCACATTTTGTGTATCCTTACAGCAACACCCACTGTCTCCTAGTACCTGTTTACTGTATTAGTCCATTCTCATGCTTCTATAAAGAACTGCCTGAGACTGGGTAATTTACAAAGGAAAGAGGTTTAATTGACTAACAGCTCCACAGGGGTGGGGAGGCCTCAGTAAACTTACAATCATGGAGGAAAGGGAAGCAAACACATCCTTCTTCAAATAGCAGCAGGAAGGAGAAGTACCAAGCAAAGGGGAAAAAGCTCCATATAAAACCGTCAGATTTCATGAGAACTCACTCACTATCATGAGAACAGCATGGGGGTCACTGCCCCCATGATTCAGTTACCTCCCACTGGGTCACTCCCATGACATGTTGGGATTATGGGAACTAAAATTCAAGATGAGATTTGGGTGGGGACACCGCCAAATCATATCAATGTGCGAATGGTGGAAAAGTAGAGGAACAATTCATGAAAAAGTCCAAGTTATATTCTGAAGAGGGAGTACTGTGTATGCTTACATTAGAATAAGTAGTACAAACTCTAACTGAATTTAAATATCTTGATGTGGTCTGGAGCAGTTAGTGAAAGTCTCAGGAGACAGTAGAAGTCTCAAGAAAGGGTATTATATAACATTTAAAAAATTATGTTTCTGAATATCTACAAAGATTATTTTATTAATGGAATTTGGCCTTCTGGGTATCTTTGTTATTCCTTATGCTTCATAAATTCTCTATCATATTTGATAGTTTTGTTCAATCCCACCACTAAAAGTTTATCTCCTAGCTTTAGTAACGGTGTATTATTTTGTACTTCTCCTTCTTTGGCATCTATCATCCTAGTTTTCAGATCTAACCTGTAAGAGTTCTGTTTCTATTTTGGTTTTCTTCTTTATTCATTTCTCGCTTCAGTAATCTCATCCTTTCTTTCTTTCTGATGATCATCACTTCCAGGCAGATGACTACTGTGTGTATATTTATTTACTTATTGTTTTGTTTGTGATATAATTTGGATCTGTGTCCCCACCCACATCTCATGTTTGATTGTAATTCTCAATGTTGTAGGTGGGGGCTGGTAGGAGGTGATTGGATCATGGGGGCAAACTTCTCATGATCAGTTTAGTACCATACCTCTTGGTACTGTCCTCATGATAGTGAGTGAGTTCTCATGAGATCTGGTCATTTAAAAAGTATGTAGCTCCTCCTCCTCACTCTCTTGCTCCTGCTTTCACCATGTGGTATGCTTGCTCTTGCTTCGCCTTCCACCATGAGTAAAAACTCCCTGAGGTTTCCCCAAGAAGATGCTGGTGCCATGATTCCTGTACAGCCTCCACAGCTAAAAGCCAATTAAACCTATTTTCTTTATAAATTACCCAGTCAGATTTTTTTATAACTCTGAGAGAATGGACTAACACAGTTTGTTGGGTAATTTTTGTTGTTGTTTTTAATTTTTTTCTTAAAATTTTATTTTTTTTAAAGTTCAATAGTTTTAGGGACAAGAGTGGTTTTTGGTTACATAGATGAATTGTATAAGTGAGAGCATGAGGTATCTGGTTTTTGATTCCTGAGTTACTTCACCTAAAATAATGACCTCCAGTTCCATTCAAGTTGCTGCAGATGACATTATTTCATTCTTTTTTATGGCTGAGTAGTATCCCATGGTGTATATATATATATATATATATATATATATATATATATATATATATATATATAAAATATATACACACATTTTCTTTATCCACTCATTGGTTGATGGACACTTAAGTTGATTCCATACCTTTGCAATTGTAAATTGTGCTGTGACAAACATATGCATGCATGTGTATTTTTGCTGCAGTGATTTCTCTTCCCCTGGTTAGATGCCCAGTAGTGGGATTGCTGCATTGAATGGTAGATCTACTTTTAGTTCTTTGAGTGATTTCCATACCATATTCCATAGCAGTTTTACTAATTTACATTTTCACCAGCAGTGCATAAGCATTCTTTTTTCACCACATGTTTGTCAACATCTTTATATTTTTTGACTTTTTAATAATGGCCATTCTGGCTGAGGTAAGGTAGTATCTCATTGTGGTCTTAATTTGCATTTTACTGATGGTTCATGATTTTGAGCCTTTTTTCCTATATTTGTTGGCCATTAATATATCTCATTTTGAGAATTGTGCATTCATGTCCTCTGCCCACTTTTAAATATAATTATTTGTTTTTCTTCTTGCTGATTTGCTTGAGTTCCTTGTGGAGTCTGGTTATTAGTCATTTGTTGAATGCATAATTTGCAAATCTTTTCTCCTGTTCTGTAGGTTGTCTGTTTACTCTGATGATTATTTCTTTTGCTGTGCAGAAGCTTTTTCATTTAATTAGGTTCCACTTACTTATTTTTGTTTTTCTTGCATTTGCTTTGGATTCTTATAAATTTTTTGCTTACGCCAATGTCCAGAAGAGGTTTTCTTAGTTTTTCTTTTGGACTTTTTATGGTTTCAAGTCTGAGATTTAGGTTTTTAATCCATCCTGAGTTAATTTTTGTATATGACGAGAGATAAGGATCCAGTTTCATTCTATATGTGGCTATCCAATGTTCCCAGCACTGTGTATTCAATAGGATGTCCTTTCCCCAATGTATGTTTCTGCGTGCTTTGTCAAAGATCAGTTGGTTGTCAGTATTTGGCTTTATTTCTGAGTTCTTTATTCTGTTCTATTGGTCTATGTATCTACTTTTTAATGTATATTTATAGCTTGATCAAATCCCTATACATGGATGTGTTCAATAACTTTGTTGAATAAGAAATACTTAATGAATACAAATTAGTGTTAGCCCTTACCCACTATGTAGAATATGATCTCATAGGTAGAATATAACTGGAGCGAATTAGTTTCTTTCTATCCCAGAAGTCCACATTTTATACAAATAGATACACCTATCACTTTACAATTGTCATCATTGCTTCATCTGATTTTGGGGAGATAGCTTCATAAAAATTAATTTGATTCATAATTGTAACTAATACTGGAAAGTGGATAATACAAAGAATCCAAGTATTTTTAGATGAATGGCTTTCAGGTTAGGAGTTTTTAATTGATGAAATTGTGTAAACCTTATGGAAACACTGAAAGATAGGTATTCTTAACTTCAATTTTTTATATGTAAAAGTCAGATGCTGAGAGATAAATTACTTATCAAAAGTAGTAAAAAAGACAAAGATGAAGGCTACCCTCTTTCTTTTAATTATACCATAGTGTTTCCTCTGATCTGAAGAGGACAAGTTTTTAAAAGACTGTAACATGAATAATGCACTAATTATCATTTTAAACTGTGAAATTTAATTACCTAATGTAATTAAAGGCATATATTAATTTGACCAATACTCGTTCTTGAAATTAATGGTAAATTAGATATTTAATGTGTAGTTATGTGAAAATTATTAACTTCATTTTTCAATGTCTGTTCTTTTAGAAATATCTTTGAATATTGATTAACCAAATATAGCAATATAGGCTAATGGCAACAAAAAATACAATAACTGTCATTTGTAGAAATGTAGCTACACCACAAGTTGTTGAGAACTGGTAACTGCTGAAAGGGAGTAACATCAGGATAGGTTAATGTTTGTAATATGTAATTTCAACTTCACGGTACCTTCACTCATGTTACAAAGTAGATTACAAAGGGTTTCAGCCCTTTACAATCAAGGAAGAGATGCTTTCTACCTTTGGCACCAGTTTATACATGGCCTTTAAGATGAACCATAAAGTGGAAGAGAAAATAGCCTCCAAATGGGGGTCATCTCAGTCAATGACTAAGAGGAGGAAATGGGTTTGGTCATGCACCGGCAGTCTCTGCCATAGGTTATTCTGTGGCAATTAAATACCAACTTCATTCTTTATTTCCATGGATAGGGTATACTCACCCCTCCAGAAGAGAGAAAACCTGAAATACTATCATTTAGTAATGCATTCCATCACAGTCAAGGATGTCTAAGAAAACATGCAGTGCTTTCTAAGTCAGAATGTGGTTCCTCTTGTTCTAATCATTCTGTGATATAAAGTCCCCAAACTAAAACTCACCAATACACTATAATATACAGGGAGATAATAAATGTAATAAAAACTTCCAATCTGAAAGGAGATGGGAAGCTTTTTAGCAATTCCATAAAGCTACTGGAATTTTCTGGGGGGGGCCTTGGGGTCCCTTACCTGACAGTTGGTGGTGTTCTCTGATTATGACTGTTTCTGTTATTTGAAAGGAACTCTCTATTTTTTAAAATAAGCCTTGGCATTTTTCTTTAGGGAGGACACTGAGTCTTCTTGGGTGACATTTGAGATGGGTCTTGGATGCTGTAGATCTTTCTTAAATAGTCAGACTTTTAGAAACCGGACTTGTGGGTCCTTTGACAATATAATATCCCCGAGAACTTAATGGGCTCCTAACCTATTTGTTCCCAGTCAGTTCTTTGTGCTCGTAACCATATATAAATATTTATTAAATCTGCATAATTTCTTTTCATCCTTTCCCAATTCTCTTAATGGCTGCTACCTTAAGGCTACCCACATTAAATGGAAAACCTAAAAGCCTGGGCCTTAATAAGCCCTTGCTGTTTTCTTAAACTTATTTTCTGCCGGGTGCAGTGGCTCACGCCTATAATCCCAGCACTTTGGGAGGCTGAGGTGGGTGGATCATCAGGTCAGGAGTCCGAGACCATCCTGGCCAACATGGTGAAACCCTGTCTCTACTAAAAATACAAAAATTAGCCAGACATAGAGGTGCGTGCCTGTAATCCCAGCTACTCGGGAGGCTGAGGCAGGAGAATTGCTTGAACCCCGAAGGCGGAGGTTGCAGTGAGCTGAAATCATGCCACTGCACTCCAGCCTGGGTGACAGGGAGAGACTCTATTTCAAAAAGAAAAAATAAAAAGAAAGAAACAAAGAAAACAAAACTTATTTTTCTCTCCTTATATTTAAATGTACACAAATTTTCTAAGACTTCAATGCCATAAACACTCAGATGCCTTTCTCTGAGTTCCTCTCTCTTACTATACTGTGCCTAATTGTCTTTGAATTTTTCTCTTTCTTGATAAATATAGCTGATAATTGTCAACATACACATCTACCATTTACCCTGGAGCTCCTGGTATGGACATCCTTCCAGGTTATTGCAGGCGATGATGACACAAAAGGTTTCGCCTCAGTGTGACATAGATCACCAACTTCATACGGGAGTCCTCTGGAATCCAGGTCTACTCCTCTGTCATTCTTAGGATTGTTCCTTTTCCAGTGTTACTAATGTTACCTGTCTTCCGGGGTTCTTTTTCTGAGTAAATAGCACAACCATGCATCAAATATCTGAGAAAAGAATCAGACATTCCTAGCTATTTCTGAGCATACACATTAACTTTTATTAATCATGAATTCTTTTTTATTGTATCTCCTTAATATCTCTTGAAGCCACTCACTTCTCTTATCCTCACAGAAAAAATCCTTCTAACTGGTATTGATTAATTTTGGCTTTATTCCTTAGCAAATATGCAAATAGGATCACATCATTGCTCCTCAAAATTGTTCCTGTTACCTTCAAGATAAATTGCAAATTATTTAGTATAGCATTCAAATTATTGTTGAGTATCCAGACCCCAGTACTCTCTTTCTTACTTAGAATCATTCCCCAAATTATGTTCCAACCTTTCGCCATTGCTCCTGGAGGCTGTTTTCTATCTCTCTCTTTTTTTTTATCTCTCCCATGATACCATCTTGCACATTGTTTCTTGTTCTCCTGTTTGTCTCCTAAACAAAACTTGTCAGATCCTTGAGAACAACTGCAGGGTTTTATTTGTGTTTTCATCACCAGTTCTTAATATATTTCCAGGAGCACTATTGACACTCAATACTGTTCGCTGAATTATTAAATGGGACAAGTACTAGATACTAACTACTCTCCACCTCCCCTCCTTCAGTACCCCAAGTACTGCAGGGAGCAGTGGACATCTCTCCAATGCAGGGATCATTGTAAGCATCTTAAAAATGCACTGGGTGCACTGGTGCCTTAAGGCATGTATTTCAGAACCAAGTTTTAAGCATCTCAGAACCTCAAGGATATTTTGAAGTATACATTGATGCTAATACTTGAAAATATCTATATTGGTGTGTGACAAATAGATCCTGAAATAAGAACTTTGTGGAAGAATAGCAGCAGCAAAGAGAAACTTTAGTTTTCCTTATTCCTACTGAAGAAGAGGGAAGGGGGATTAGAGGCTTCCAGTACCTGAAAAGAACAAAGGTTTCTCTACCTTCCTTTTTTTCTTTTCTCTCTAAAAATTATGAGTGCACCTTTAGAGGTTAGTGAGCATGTGGGAGATGTAGCTGTGGGAAATACAAATACTAGGCCTGAGCATACAACTTATATTTCTAGAAGAGATGTATTAAAAAAGAAACAAAATACACACCTCCCCGTCTTTTTCCTGTTTTACACAGAGAATTTTGCATATTCATTAACTCATTCATTTTCAAAGTCCAAATTAAGGTGTGAATCACATAGACAAGGAACCATTTGTTATCATCTACCAAATTATAATTAATTTTTGACTCTACCCTTAGTGAGTTCAAATGGGATAATAGATTAACAAGTGTCTGAATTAAAAGTGATAATCAATTATCACATTTTCAGACTACCTGTAAGTATTTACTGATAAAATAAATATTGGAGAAAAATTGGTGTGGATTTGGAGTAATTTGCTTTATTCACAATATTATTTTCTCAGAGCAAAATGACGATGGAAAAGAATTGTAAAATTTACTTACTGGTGCATGTGTTACAAAAAATATATATTAAATTTCAATATTAGTTTCTCAATTCCTAGTAGAGCTCTGATTATTTCATAGAATAAAAAGGATTGTAAAATGAAAGAAGTGTTCTCATGAGAACTCTTCTACTTTTTATTAAATATTTCTTGAGCACTTACTGGATAACAAACTCAATACTACATTTCAGTGATGCACAGATGGGTCAGGGTATGGAATTGTCATGCAATTTCAATTTTGTGAGTGCTTACTATAAAACAGTGAAGAAGATGAAGTTAAGCAGATGATATAAGAAGAACTTTTGAAGTCCTTCTTGTTCCAAGTTCTACAGTGAGGCTTCATTATATTTTTAATTAAAATCTTTATTGAGATAATTATAGATTCACATGCAGTTGTAAGAAACAATACAGAGAGGTCTCTGTACACTTTGCCTGGTTTCCCTCCAAACATTTTTGCAAGCATTTGTAGTATAATATCTCAACCAACATATTGACATTGATACAATTCATCAGTGCTAAACCTGTTTCCCTGCTTTTAGCTGTACTTGTGTCTGTGTGTGTGGGTATGTGTAGATGAGAACTACATTTTATACAATTTTATCACTTGTTCAGGCTCGTGTATCTGCTACCACAGTCAAGGTATTAAATAAATCTAACAGCATAAGGATCTTTTCAATTTCTCTTTTTAATCACACCCATTTTTCCAACCCTCCTCTCCATCCTAACCCCTGATAACCACAAATCTGTTTTCCATGTGTATAATTTTGTCATTTCAAGAAGGTTATATAAATGGAATCCTACAGTATATAACTTTTTTGGACTGGCTTTTTTACATCCAGTATAATTCCCTTGATATTCATCCAAGTTATTTTGTTCTTGCCTTTTTGTTGCTGGCATGGATATACCAGTTTCCTTAACCATTCAACCATTAAGGAAATTTGGATTGTTTTAAAGCATTGGCCTATTAGACAAAAAAAAATCTTCTAAATAGGTTTTTGTGTGGGCGTACATTTTTGTTTCTCTGGGATAAATGCCCAAGAGTAAAATTGCTGAGTATATGATTGGTATTATGTTTAGTGTTTAGAAAAACTGCCTGCCAGATTATTTTCCAGAGTGGCTTGATCATTTAATAGCACCAATAGCAATGTGTAAGTGACCAGTTTAAATCTTCACCAGCACTTGATATTGTCACTACTTTTTTATTAGAGCCATTATGATGGTTGTGTAGTAATATCTCATTTTGATGTTAGTTTGCATTTTCTTGATTGCTAATGATGTTGAGCATATGTTCATGTGCTTATTTGCCTGTCTTAATCGGTAAGTTTCTGCATATCTTTGGCCATTTGCTAATTGTATTTTCCTTTGTTGTAGAATCCTGAGATTTATATATCTTGCAAATATTGCAAGTTCAGTTCCAGATCACTACAGAAAAATCAATATCACAATAAGTGATTCACATGAATTTTTTTGGTTTTCTAGTGCATGTAAAAGTAATGTTTACACTATACTGTAATATATTAAGGTGCAATAGCATTATATCTAAAAATAATGTACATATCTTAAATTTAAAATACTTTATTTTTAAAAAAATATCATCATCTGAGCCTTCAGTGAGTTATAATCTTTTGTTGGTGTTGGTTCTTGCCTTGAAGTTGATGGCTGCTGACTAATCAGGGTGGTGGTTGCTGGAGGTTAGGGTGGCTGTGACAGTTTCTTAAAATAAGACAACAGTGGAATTTTCCACCTCAATTGAGTCTTCCATTGATGAAAGATTTCTCTGTAGCACACAATGGTGTTTGATAGCATTTTAACCACAGAACTTCTTTCAAGATTAGAGTCAATGATCTCTAATTCTGCCACTGCTTTATCAGTTAAGTTTATGTAATATCCTAAATTCTTTGTTGTCACTTCAACAGTGTTCACAGCATCTTTATCAGGAGTAGATTCCATCTTAAGAAACTGCTTTCTTTGCCCACCATAAAAAGGAAATTGTAGCAACTCAGCCACATCTTCAGGCTCCATTACTAATTCTAGTTTTTTTGTGTGTGTGATTTCTACCACATCTGCAGTTATATCTTTCACTAGACTCTTGACCCTAGATGGCATCTTCTTCCAGTATAAGGTAGGTTTGGTTTACATTGAAAATATATTGTTTAGTGTAGCCACTTCCATTAATTATTTTAGCTAGACCTTCTGGATAACTTGCTGCAGCTTCTAACTTAGCACTTGCTGTTTCACCTTGTAATTTTCTGTTACAGAGATGACTTATTTCATTAAACCTAATGAACAAACTTAAGCTACCTTGGAACCTCTTCTCCAGCTTCCTCATCACTCTTAGCCTTCATGGAACTGAAGAGCATTAGGGCCTTGCTGTAGATGAGGCTTTGGCTTAAGGGAATGTTGTTGCTGATTTGATTTCTATCTAGACCACTCAAACTTTCTCCATGTCAGCAATTGGGCTATTTCACTTCTAAAAAGTCATGCTTACGTTCACTGAAGTAGCTATTTTAATTTTCTTCAAGAACTTTTCCCTTGCATTCACAACTCAGCTAACTGGCGCAGGGGGTCTAGCTTTAGGCTTATTTCAGTTTCAACACGCCTTCCTCACAAAAGTTAATCACTAGCCTTTGATTTAAATTGAGAGACATACAATTCTTCTTTTCACCTGAACACTTAGAGGCCATTGTAGGGTTATTAATCATTCTAATTTCAATATTGTTGTGTCTCAGGGAATAGAGAGGACCAAAGAGAGGAAGAGAGATGTGGGAATAGCCAGTGGTGGAGCACTCAGAACATGCACAACATTTATCAATTTTTAAAGTTTGCTGTCTTACATGGGTGCAGATCATGTTGTTCCAAAATAGTTACAATAGTAACATCAAAGATCACTGATCACAGATCCCCATAACAGATATAATACTAATGAAAACATTTGCAACAGTCAGAGACTTACCAAAATATGTGACACAGACACAAAGTGAGCACATGCTATTGGAAAAGTGGTGCCAATAGATTTGCTCAACACAACATTGCCACAAACCTTCAATTTGTTAAAAATAAATAAATAAACCATAAGTATCTGCAAAGCTCAATAAAGCAAAACACAATAAAAAGAGGTGTTCCTGTTTGAGTTGCTGGAAGGAAGACATTGAAATCCCCAATTATAATTGCTATTTCTCCTTTCAGTTCTATTAGGTTTTGTTTTATTTGCCTTGGGACTTTGTTGATCAAGGTGTAAATATTTAAGATCATTATGTCTTGCTGTTCCCTTTATCCTTATGCAATAATGTCTCTCGGTCTCTAGTTACTTTCTTTGCTCTTAAGTCTACTTTTAATGATATTAATATAACTACTACTGTTGCTTTCTTTTGATTAATGTTTGAATAGTCAACCTTTTTCTACCCTTTTACTTTCAACCAATCAATATGATTAAATCGAAAGTGACTTTATTGAATGCAGCATATATTTGGGTCTTATTTCTGGTGAGAAATTTATTATGTCCCCTTATAGGTAAATAATCACTTCTCTCTTACTGCCTCTACATTTTTCTTTGTTGTTAGTATATTCTTTAGGTTGAAGTATGATGTACCTTAGCGTGGATTTATTTTCGTTTATATTATATGGGACTTTTTCAGTTTCAGTTATATTAGACCTGAAGGTTTGTCCCTTGCACCAGATTTGGGAAGATTTCTGTTATTATTTATCTGATAATGAAGACATTTCAGCCTTGCTATCTTAGTCTTCTCTTTATGGGACTCTGATGATAGGGCTTTTAGATCTTTTGTTCTGTCTTACAGTCCCTGAGTCTCTCTGTTCATTTTGTTGTTGTTGTCTATTTACTTTATTTTTTTAATTTTATTTTTTATTTTAAGTTCTGGGGTACATGTGCACAATGTGCAGGTTTGTTACACAGATAAATGTGCACCATGGTGGTTTGCTGCACCTATCAAACCATCATCTAGCTATTAAGCCCAGTGTGCATTAACTGTTTTTCCTAATGCTCTCCCTTCCACCACCCCACCCCCGGAAAGGCCTCCATGTATGTTGTTCCCGTCCCTGTGTTCATGTGTTCTCATTGTTCAGCTACCACTTGTAAATGAGAACATTCAGTGTTTGGTTTTCTGTTCCTGTGTTAGTTTGCTGAGGATAATGGCTTCCAGCTCCATTCATGTCCCTCCAAAGGATATGACCTTGTTCCTTTTAATGGCTGCATAGTATTCCATGGTATATATGTACCACATTTTCCTTATCCAGTCTATCATTGATGGGCATTTGGGTTGAGTCCTTGTCTTTGCTATTGTGAATAGTGCTGCAGTGAACATACAGGTGCATGTATCTTTGTAATAGAATGATTTATATTCCTTTGTTTATATACCCAGTAATGGGATTGCTGGGCAAAGCACATGGACAGACATTTCTCAAAAGAAGACATTCATGTGAGCAAGAAACATATGAAAAAATGGTCAACATCACTGATCACTAGAGAAATGCAAATCAAAACCACAATGAGATGCCATCTCATGCCGGTCAGAATGGTGATTATTAAAAAGTCATGAAACAACAGATGCTGGCGAGGCTGTGAGAAAGAGGAAAACTTTTACACTCTTGGTGGAAATGTAAATTAATTCAACCATTGTGGAAGATGGTGTAGCGATTCCTCAAAGATCTAGAACCAGAAATACCATTTGACTCAGCAATCCCATTACTGGATATTTGCTTTCTACTATTGAGATTTGATTTATTGCAATTTTCTAATCTCAAGTTTTTTACTGGATACTTTGTCATCTCCACTCTACTATGGAACCCATCCAATAAGTTTTTATTTGTTTTTTTTTTAAGTTTTATATTTTCCATTTGGTTCTTTTTGCCTTCTATTTCTTTGCTGAGTGCTTTCTCTAGCTGCTTATTTTTGTCAGGGTACCAATTATCTTGCTTATCAATGTCAGATTTGCTTGAGGTTGCCACAGGAATTGCTGTTCAGCCCAGGGGGAAAATGAGCTTATGTGGGTTGTCTTATTTTTTTGTTTGTTTTTTTGTTCTTCATTTTTAATGTGTGTGGGTACATAGTAGGTGTATATATTTATGAAGTACATGAGATGTTTTGACACAGCATGCAATACGTAATAGTCACATCATAGAGAATGGGGTATACATCCTCTCAAGTATTTATGCTTTGTGTTACAAACAATCCAATTATACTATTTTAGTTATTTCAAATCTACAATGAAACTGTTACTGACTGTAGTCACCCTGATGTGCTATCAAATACTAGGTCTTATTTGTACTATTTGTTTGTACCCATTAGCCATCCCCATCTCCCCTCACCACCCGCACTATCCTTCCCATCTTCGGATAACCATCCTTATACTTTCTATCTCCATGAATTCAATTGTTTTGATTTTCAGGTCTTATGTGGGTTTTCTTCTATTGCTAGGTGTGGGTGTTGGGAAATGATGAACCTCTCTGCATTTCTCCTATAGAGTGAGAGAATATATGACTCTCGGCCATTGTGCTGTTTCTTGGGTCTTGGGTTCCCAAACCGGTTTGCTTTCCACTTTCCAGCTTTCAGAGCTCTCTCTTGATTGCCACATGCACTACAAAAAGAGTTTATCATTGTGCTTAGTGTGAAGGAAATGCATCTACTCCATATTGTTTGATCTAGTATTTCTTCATTTTATTTTAAACATTGTTTAACTTCCAAATATTGAATCTACTTATATCTGGTTATAATCCTAGAATATATTTCAAGCCCCAAAGCAACTGTTATTTTAAAGTCCATACCATTGCCCCAATCGTATAGTAGAAAACAATATATATAAAGTTCATTTTTAGTCTTCTTGTGAATCAGTGCTTTGCAAGCAACTTAATTCTTTTTTTAATATGGGTACATAATTTATATTTTTAAACAAATAAAGGCATAACTTGCTGTGTCTTCAAACATTATACTTGCTGAGTAAGGATAACCTTAAAATGAGTTATTTTCACAGTAGGCTTAGCTTAGCCCCTCCTCTCTTTGTTCTCTAGAATCTTTCACAACCCCATTAAAGCATGCATTGATTTTGCACTTGGGCTTTTATTTTGTTTGTTTGTTTAGAAGTCTATCTTTTCCACTAAAATAGGAGTTCCTTATAAAATAGGCTGTTACTTAAATCACCTTCGTGTCCACATCACTCTAATTTTGCAAAGTGCCTTACATATAAAACCTGCAAATGAATGATTGCTGAATAAACATAGAATAAAAATGCAGAATATTAGAGAGTTTCATCAGAGATGAGGAAAAAGTAAAATCTTCTACTGCTTCATAGACACTGCAACAATATTTTGTTATTTGCATATCTCTCTTTTATAGAATCAGACTCTTAGTTCAATTTAAAATTTGAGATATGAGACTTCTACTCTTTTCATACAAACTGATTTCTTACGATCGATTGATGAGGAAGCATGTGTTCCTAACGCAGAACAAACTTGTTAATAGGATCTTTTAGCATCTAAGATAGGAAAGGGAAGGACATAAATAAACATATTTACCACCTTAAGGCGTATTTACAAAAGCAGTCTCTAAGGATAACTAACTTCTTATGATTTTCTTACACAAAGGATTTTGATATTTAAGTAAATATGGATACTGTTAATATACCCAAGGATTTGGAATTCTCTGGAAGACATACCAGGAAATGCTACTTTCCAGTTACTAAAGATCATGGAGGACCTATCCTTCACAACTCAAATGATAAAAATCTGGCAAGAGTGTAGTAGATGAGGAATCAACAGTTGATGACACAAGATAAAAGAAAAATGCCATATTTTTCCTTACTGCTCATCCCAACATTTTTGTGTTACTCCAATTATCTAGCTTTAGTAGTCATTTGGTTTTAACTTTAGGGAAATGAAGTGGCACTATACATAGAGTTAGCAGTGGTATTCCCCCAGACTGCTATATATTTTACATGTAAAATTTCTGATATTGTTAAATGTCAAACAATAAAAGTTAGTTTCTCAAAAGGGAAATGAACTTATTCTTTTAATAGTAATTCTGAACACTAAAGATTTTTGATAGTTATCTTGAGAGCAAGAGAATCACAGAAACTAAGCATGAATAAATCTCAGATTATTCTCAGTTCACAAAGAAAACAAACTGCTTCCACCAAAATAATAACTAAGACAAGATAGACGATTAGTCTCTAAATGGCAGTCTATTAGTTAAACAGTTACATTTGTAGTCGAATATTTTCAGCAGTATCTTCTGATTGTTATTTATTACAGCTGCAAAACCTGTCAAAGGCTTTTAGGGCATGAAATATGATGTAAGTTTGACAATATATAATTTATATAGAAAATACTTCTGGAGAAAACAAGGAGAAGGATGTTTATAGAGGTGATCTTGTGTGACAGCAATATATCTTAAAATATTTGAGATTCATAGCAATTTTCTTCCCATGTCAAATACTTCATTTTTACTCGAGTGCTTGTTTTTAAAAATCATCAAGCTTTCCTGTGCTGGAAAAAGCCAAGGGGCACTAATACGAAACTGGAATACTTCAGAATATGTTGTTTATTATACTAACAAATTTATTATCAGAAAAGCATGGTACAAATGAAAATTAATAATGTCCAAATGAAATTTCATTTCCCTGTTGTGAGATGGAAGCTGCAAGTGAACTCTGGAGAAGCATGACTTATGCAAAATAAGAGAGAAAAAATTAATCAAGGTGTAATTAACTGAAATTTGCATCAATTAAGTGACTTGGAAGGTACTCGATAGGAACAAAACCCAGTTACATAACCACTGAATTAATATGGCTTGCTTTAAATATGAAGAAAATGTTTTGTGTTTCAAAAGCAGTTTTAAAACTAGCATGCATTTCTTTGGAATTAAATCATTCTAATTTGCTAAGCCATTAATTATCTTGGTAGTTTTGCTCTAATATCTTTTCAAGAATCATGTAAGTTCCTTGAAAATGACACACCAGAATATCATCATAGAGGTCTCTAATATAACTGTTCTTTTGTCTGGATTGTGATTAAATATGATGGCAGTGAGTGATACTGATGAATGTTATGTTAAATAAAAAATCTCTGACAACCCTTGATGAATTCAGTGTTCCACTGTTGTTGAAGTTGTTTTCCATACACTATATGGAAGTATTTTTCTAAGAACCAAGAATAGTCGTTATTTTGCTGAGTAGATTATAAGTAATCCACATATATTGCAAATATAAAGTAGCCTTGAACTTCCAAACAAATGAAAAGGGTGGGTACTCTCTCAAAAGATAAAAATGAATAAAAAGAAAAGTTGGGCTAAAATACAAGAGAAATATCTCTGTCATGTATAAACAAAAGGGAAATGGAAAACAGTCATAGGGTGAAGACCACTAGTCTGCGAGGTGCAAGATTAGACGGTTTAATATTTCTGTGATGATGCCAGACAAAGGCACATGTCCAGGCTCACTGTTTGAAGAAGAGTTGGGTGAAGATACCCAGCTTATGAAAAGAGGCTGAAGAAATTATTGGAAAAATGCTACCTTAAATAGACTGCTACCAAACTACAACAACACAGACATAACTTTAAAATGAACTGAACTTGACCCCACACTGACTCAGAGATTATATCACAATATCTCAGTATCACTGTGGCCTGTGGCCTGAGTCTCGAACTGACTTCATAAATGTGGTTCTGGTTCTACACTGGAAGCTCTAATAGCTGAGTAGAAGGAACTGTAAAACTATAAACAGGACGGGTCGATGGGTACTGCAAAACACCATGGTACGCATATACCTATGTAACAAAGCTGCACTCCTGCACATGTACCCCAGAGCTTAAAGTATAATTTCAAAAAAAAACTATAAACAGGATAAAACTGGAAAATCTAGTAGATTTGGCCACAGTACTTTAGCTATGTAACAAAAACAATAAATAGTAACAATGAAAATGATCATAATTTTGACATATTGAAAACACAACTCTATTATATTAATCTGGATATGAATCTATTTATAAAAGCGCACATGTTTGCTTTCATTTTTTAAAAAAAACTTTTATATACATCCAAAAGGAACACTTTTGGTTTATTGTCAGGTTTTTATTACTGAACTGTTATCCTAGAACAGCATATTGGAGTTAAGAATTTTTGAAGTGAAACAGCTCTTGGTGATGGCAATATCCAAAATGTGACCCTAAGAATAGGTGGATATAGAAGAATGAAGGTGAAAGCTGCTAACATCAAGGAGGTCAAAAAGGAAAATGCGTAGACAATTGGATGAAGTGACTCTGATTATTATGGACTTGCTTATGATGGTGACAAAAATGTGACTGGAGAGAAAAACAATGAATGCATTATTAATTTTCCTATGATTATGTTTGATTTCCCAGGAGGTCAGATCATGACAGCAGTAAGGAGGAGAGAAGGAAGCCAAGAATTCCTTGGTGTTTAAATCAAATTCGCCATTATGACTAATCTCTGATAATTACTTTATTAATTCATTCATTTACTCAAAACATTTAGTGAGAACAGTCTAAGAGTGGTTTACTTTTCTAATTTTACCTCTGCTTGAAAAATGATGTACATTTTTCAAGAAAATATAAAGACTTTTCTTTGTAAAGTAACAATTCTTTTGTAGTTTTCTACACTTAATAGAGAGTCCCAGAATTTATTCATTTTACCCTTACTTTCTTCTAGTTACACTCAGCTCTTTTATAATCTCCTCTATTGCCATGTTTGTAAGTATCATCTCTATATTTATATCTCATTTCAGACTTAGATAAGCATATAATTGATAAGTATTAATATTTAAATGCTGAATAGTATTTAAGATAAATTACAATATTAACATGTGCTAAACTATACTTCTGTTAATCAAAACGCCATGCTGCAATCTTCTACATATTAATAGATAGCAATTCCAGTTTTACAGTTACTAAAACTAAAAACATGGATGCTATTTTTAATCTTACATTTCTTTCCCTTAAATCTACATCTGATCATTAGCAATTTCTTTTAGGCCAATCTTAAAACCACAGGTGCAATCTGACCTCTTTTTACCATCTCCCTCATTCAAGCCAACACTTGCTACTTGCTCTTGTCTGGACTATTGCAGTAGCCTCAACTGTTCTCTCTGCTTTTGAGTTTGACTTTCTTCAGTCTGTTTTTACTAAAAGAACAGAGTAGTCCTGTTAATACACAGGACAGAACATTTCATTCATCTTTTCAACAGCTTCCAGTGGTTTTCCATCTCAGCAGTGTAAACAAGTTTTCTTTCTGTTCCTAACTAGCCAGACATGCTCCCACCTCAGGAAATTTCCATGTGTTACTGTCTCTGCCTAGGACATTCTTCCCACCAATATTATTTGCTCCTTTTCCACCTTCAGTACATATTATATATGTACTGAATATATAACTTCTCAGTACATTATTTCCCTAGGCTTATTATCTAGACTGAAAACCCCTGCCTGCACAGGGCCCAGCTCCCTTCCTATCTTTTTTTTTTCTCTCTGAGCATTTATTATCATTCATTTATATACAACATATTTATTCATTTGTAAAAATTTTGTATGCTATACTTATTCAGCTTGTTTCTGGCACATCTTACTAGAATGGCAGCTCAATTAAGGCAGGAGTTTCCTGTTTTGTTTTCTGTTGTGACCCTAACACTTAAAACAGTGCCTGTGCTCAATAAATATTTGTACAATGAATAAATAAATGTGATCATATATATGTATATATATATATATATTTGCACCTATTTTATTAAATCAAATGTCACAGTTACATTATTACAGTTATTTAAATATGACATATAATATCATAGGTGGGACTCTATTTTGTTAGTTTGTCCTATAAATTATTTATTGCAAAATGTTTGCCTATTATTTAATTGCAATTTTTCTTAATTATGTAATACATTTTTCATGTTTAATTTTCTGTACTCCTATCACTAATTCAAATCAAAACACTATTTTATTAAACTGTCTGAAGAAATATGCACTGAACTATTGCATAGGTAATTCATAGCTCTTCCAAGGACCCACAGGTTTTGAAAAACAGAACTGTGTTTTATGCTGAAATCATAAATTCTCTTTCCAGGCATAATAATTTTCATACTGAAATGGTGAATTGTCTTTCCAGGTATACCAATTTACTATGCCTAATCCCAAAGACTCATAGTAAGTCGCTTTAATTATGGTTGTTGTATATCATTTCTAGGTAAGAAAACGTTATGTAAAAGTTGCCAAAGGCTTGAGAAAAAATGGCCACAGATCAACTTAAACAACTATTATTCTGATTCATTTTTCAAATACCTAAATAATACTATTACATTTTCAGAGAAAAGTCTAAACTCCTTAGCACAAGTTTCAATGTTCTATGCAATATCAGTTAAGCAAGACTTCTCCACCTTTGTTTTGTAATCCCCTCTATTTCTTCACTCAATTTGCCCCTCACTACAGCTGATTTTGCCAATTTTCTGCTGGCATGCAACCTTGCAGAGATGTGGCGATTTTCTGCAGCTTCATTCCATGTAGTCAAAAGGCCACTGAAAGAAGTAGCTTCCTAATATTCAGATCACAGCCAATTCAGTTTGGCAAGAGACGGTTTATTTATTTTTAAATATTTCTTAGTATTCAATGAAATGTTTTATATTTAGTAGTTAAAAATACATACAGAATTTAAAACATTTTCTAAAACTGATATCCCCTTCTTTTATTTGTAGACCTAAAACTAAATGAATAAAAAACATTCAGGTCAAAAATATGACTCTCATTTTTAAAAATACTACTTCATGTTGTTTATGGTGCTATAGACTTACACTCTTTTATAACTGAAAGAAATATTAATGACAATTATAAAATCAGCCATTGAAAGGATTTTAAGAAAAACAACTATTGCAACTGCCATAATTTGGTGGTATTGGAAGGCAGCAGAGGTATAATACAGCTGATGATTGGCGGGGATAACTGGCAGCTCCAAGCCAGGCATTCCATCATGTCAGAGCCCAGCAGGAAACATGCAACAAAATCAACAATCACTTTTATATGTACAGTTCTTTATCATTCAAATGCCTCTCTCAAAGTACTTTACAAGACTGTACAATGACTGCAAGAAATAGCGACATGAAGCAAGCAACTGAAAGCTAAATAGAGGGAAAAAGTGATCCTTATGTATTTGATTGGCGAGAACAGAACATCTTTGGGCATTTTGATTTGGATGAAAAGATGTTAAATAGTCAAGACATGAGGCCCCATTGGGGGATGTTTGTTCAATGGTCATTTCGGTAGAACTATGCAAATAACACCAAGAGAGTCCTAGGTTTAGCAGATATAATTCACAGAAGAAATTTCAACACATTATTTTTTAAGTTTGCAGACAAGGTAGAAAGTGAATCACCTAGAAATTTTTATGACCACTTTAAATTTATTCTGGAACAAGAAACTGGAGTGTATGAGGATAGGAGCAACCAAATAGGCAAACAAACAAAATGCTCTTTATGCCTTTATTTGCACTGTATTGATAAAAACAAGGTGCTTAAAAAGCATCTATTAAAATAAGTTATCTCCCTATATAGTATGTAGTAATTGTACATTTTATTGGTGATAATAAAATGCTCTGCTTTCACTGTTTTGTAACTTGCTTTAGTGTAAGATTTCTCAATATAAACATTATTGTCATTTTAAGGCAAATGATTTCTGGGGTGAGTGGTGAGGGGCTCCCTGGTGCACTGTAAGTTGTTTAGCATCTTCTCTGGTCTCTTTCCACTAGTTGCAGTCGTAACTTCTAAGTCGTGATAGCTAAGCATGTCCCCAGATATTGCCAAATGTCGTTTTCATTCGTTTGTGTGTTTTTCTTTTGGGGGATCGAAAGAGCCAAATAATCCTCTGTTTTGAGGACCAGTGCTACAGTATGACAGAACATTAGTTTTGCTGAACTACTTCTGCCTCCACCTGTGAGTTGCTGCTGACTTTACTAAGTCTTTAATGTCGTCAATTCTACCATAACATTTAATTTATCACACTCTATTGTAATAGCCAACTTCTTCATGTGCTGACTCATCTGGACCTAAGGACTGTGAAAGCAGAATTCTTGACTCCATTGTTGATCATGGTTTCCCTGAAAGAAGCACAGAGCTTGGCATATAGCACTAATAAATATATGTCTATTGAATAAATTACCTTCTTCATATTATAAGTTCATGTACAAAAACACAGAAAACAGCATGGACAAAAGAGTCTGTAAATTCAGAATATGTTTGCTTTATAGACGAATAGCTTAAGGCTCTGAAAGCGACACAGAGACTGAAAGGTAATGCATGGTTATGTAAAGGCTGAGTCTAATGACTAAATTTATCATTTTTGGTTCCTAAGCATAAACATATTATCCTCCTGAGGCAAGAAAGTATTAACCCGGGCCTCCAAAATTAAATAATTTCAATAAAGATAGATTGGTCATACTCATGCTATTAGAGAATGTAGTACACTGTTATGGATGTATTAACCTGTTTTATAGAAACTTGCATCGTCACTATGGGGCCATCTAGATCATTTTATCGAGATTATAAAACAGAGTCCAGAGGGAAGTATTCTAAGTTTAATATAAACTTGCAACTAAAAATTTATAGAACTATATGTCTTCTGTGAGGTCTTAATTGCTTTGGGTCGTTTGGGGAATGAGAAAAAAATGAATGAGTACGCATTTTCTCTTATACAAATGTAAAAATACAGGACACAATAAAATGCCTTGTTATGAAATTGTACTTCCTGTACAAAAGTTTGCACCTATGAGCTCCTTAATTTTCTATAGACCTATTTTCCTTTTCTTGGTTGAATAAAATCATAATGATAAAGAAAGGAATTTTTCGGTCTTTTGATGATAACTAAAAAAAAGATTTCTCTTGCACTATGTATACTCTCATAGATTACCTTTCTCATTCTAGCTAATCTTTAGGCAAGTGTTTTTATCCAATTTATTTTTCTCTTCCTTTTCCAGTTTTTCTGGGGGAATGTGTGGCTAACCATAGCATTAAAACAATATATGTTGTCCTATAATATTTGTGGGCTATATCTTAATATTTTCATTTCTCTTACATTTAGAGTTTCCAGAAACAATTGAAAAACTGTCTTAGGATGGCTAAAATAATTGAACACATTTTTAAAAAAAATTTGTTATTCAATAATTCACTGATTTTTGTCTTTTAATCTCATTCAGTTATAGTTATGTCCAACAATCCTTTTCATATCTTATACCATTTCATAGGTAAGAATACTTCCCACTTATTCAAGAAAAATCACTGTGTGTGTATGTGTGTGTGTGTGTGTGTTTGTGTGCATTTGCTTCCTCAATAAATAATTTGTGAACACTTATGGTGTCATATTGTCTGTATGAAATATATTAAATACAATTTTGTTCCTCTAGATACTCATATCTATTAGTTTAATCAAATAATAAAAGTATATATGTAGCAACTTATATTTTATTAAAAATCCAAATGTGCTAAATAGTTCTCTTTACATTTGATATATGATAACAAACCTGGCACATATTATAGCCAATGCAGCCTTACCTTTATCTTACTTTAACAGGCTATACTTACTTATAATGACCATCCATCATTTTTCTTAGTCCAGTATGAAAGTCTTAGCCAATTTGGTCTATAATGGACTACTGTAACTTCATAAGAGCAGCAAATAAATGCCAGTAGCTGGCCTATCATCTACAGCTAATATATTATCTAATACTCCTCCCACCCATACAGGTCTATAAAGAATGAAGTGAGGTTAGGAATTGTTAATCATGTAGAAAATGTAATGTCTATTTATTTATTTATTTGCATGTTTTTTCTAAGTACATTGTGTATGCCAAACAGATACAGTAATGTTATATAGTTAAAGTAACTAGAATACACACTGGATGAGATTCTTTCTTGTCCGACTCTACCATTGCTAACTAGTGTAAACTCAATTGTCTTTGAACAGCAATGTTTCAGTGAAGGGCTGGGTGGCAGACCTAAGCAAATAAGAGCATGTCACTTTCATATCATCAGTGATTGGTTCATCATGGTCCAATATAATAAGCTCAGGACTTTTGCTCAATTATTGTGTGAAGCAGGTATTCCCCACTCCTGATGTGAGAGAGGAAGCTTGTAACTTTGGATAAATGTAATACTTCAGCCTGAATATAAATCTTGCACCTGGATGAGCGCAGGATCATAAAAACTACAGAGAAATAAACTCAAAGGCCACATCAACCTGTATCTAAAATTTACTCTTTATCTGCCTTTTCATTTTGTAAACCCAAAATTCTCCTTTATTATTTAAGTTGAAATTGGGTTATTTCCAAAAAAATAGCCACAAAGCTGACTTATTGCAGTTATTTAAGCAACGTCAATATAGATCATGAGTTCATGGACAAGATAGGCCTATAATTCAAAATTTCATTTGGAGATTTAAAATATTTGCACCAGGTTTCTGCATGTATAATAGTCAAATCTTTAGTTTATGAGTAAATGCAGATATAGATATTATCTTAGCTCAAATGTTTTTAATCAAACAGACTTTTAGTAAATGCACTGAAGAAAGAAACTGCACTTCACAGAACATTCTTAAAGTGATGGGATTCCATTGGAAAGCCTATAAATATTTAGGTAACACATGGTGCATATATACATCAGACAGGAATTAAAAGCCTGAGGAAGCCATGAAACTGTGTGGTGTCTCCATGTAACTTGGATCTAACATAATAATGTCAGTGATTTTGGGTATCCATAGAGTTATTCTTTTTATACAAATTTGACTCCCCAGTAGAATTTGCCTGCTGAGGCTTATAAGACCTCAACAGTTATCAATTTTAGTTCCCAAGTTTTTATGGATAACCCACTATGGACCGAGTTCTAACTGAAGAGTAATTTGAAGAGCATGTTGGTCCAATGAAAATTACCATAGCTATAAGTAAATAACAGATATGATAAGATCAAAATGTCTCAGACAAGATATCTAGCTAACAAAGACTCCTGCCCTTGAATTCAAACTCAGAGATGCACAGATGGAAAATGTGGTTCTATGGGTCCCAGAATCGAACTCAGAAAAGCTGAAAAACCTTGGGAAGCAAAAAAGCAACTGAATCCTGCTACACAATAAATAAGGAACCCTAAGTGGGCTTCACCAGGGGTATAGATAACAGATGCATTTTGGAAAAGAGCTTTCCCTGCACTTTCTTGGATTCATCCTGGACAGTTCAGTTGTCTCTCTCTTCCACATCTGAAAGTAATAAGGCCAGAGTGGCATGGTGCGGTATCTTTAGGTTAGCGCTGGGGCCAGAATCAAACATTAAGTTCACAAAGCCCTGTTCATCTTTAATCATTTTCTCTTCTTCTACTTCTTCTCAGGCCAAGTCTAGGCAATTAAAAGAGAGTGTGACAACCATTTGAGAAGTACGGAAACAGCAGCAGAATTAATGAGTGGATTCCTGAAGAACAGGCAGAGAAATAGCATGAACTAGAAGGAGTTGACTCCAGATAACTGTGATTGTGGCTTTTCACACCAAAATGATATCTGCTAGCACAATGAAAAGCTTTAAAAAGGGACTAGAGAACTTTCTATGAAGGGAAAGTAAAAATCATGCCAAGCAATAGGAAGCACTGGTGAGGAGATGGGGAAATGAGAAAACTCATGCATTCCTGGTAGCATTGTGAACTAATGGAGGTCTTTTGTAGAAGAATCTGGAAGTAATTGGTGAAATTTAGGATATGTATACCTAATGGAATAACATCTGACTCATGGATTAGTTTTCAAACAGCTTATGATGAACTAATTTATAGGTGTTGATTTTATTATATGTTTTCTAGCAGCAGAAAATTAGAAGTAACCTAGAAGTCCATAACTAGGAAAATGAAGGAATGAAATAATGTACACATAAATGTATATTTATGCACACATAGTAATATACACACATAGAGTATCAATTTATACAGTAAAAAGTAATGTATAGAATTATATATGGGACTAACTGAAGTATCTTAAAAAGTTACTTGAAAAGAACAAAGTAAAATTCAAGAGATGTATAGCACAATACTATTTATAAAAATTACAAACATGCAAATGTTTTACTGTGTATTTTAAAGTAATATAGTGAAGTTGAATTGGCAAGTTTAACATTATTTTTACTAGAATGGATATTATGAGTAGAAAAAAAGAATAAAAGTTGGAACGGATGGGTAATGGTGAAGACAATAAAATACCAAGTGTCAAATATAATCACACTGATTGTATATGCATAATCCCAAAGACTAAACTAAAATTAATACCAAAACCAAAGCCAAAGTTAAAGGCAAAGCCCAAGAGCTGAAGAACTCAGGAAAAAAAGAGAATAATTAACTAAATCCATAGGCCTAGATAATTATTTAATTATTCTGTAATATTCTTTTGAATAACTAGGAAAAGTCCATATAGTTTTAATAAAAAAGACAAATATTACGTGCTAAGAGAAGGGGTCACAGAGAATAAGATCACCCGAAATTAGCTAAATGTTTAGTGAGTGCAATACTACAATGCATTTCTGATGCTAACTATTGAATACCTAGAGTTAGCACAGACTTCACAGGGTTAAGAACAGAGTTCTCATCAAAACTGCTGCACAACAACCACAAGTTCAGGGTTTCCCAGGCCATTTGCACTTCTGATGAACTGGCTACAAATTCAAGGATTCCGTGACCCCTTGAGGTTTGATAATGCGCTGAAATGACTGACAGAACTCAGGAAAGCAATGTACTTACAATTATAATTTTATCATAAAGGATACAAAGCAGGACCAGCCAAATGAAGAGATGCATGAGACACATAGGGCAAGATGTGAAAGGGTCACAGACATGGGGCATCCATGCCCTTTACCCATAGAGTCAGGACGTATCACCCACCCTTCAAACCAATATTGAGTTCATCAACCAGGAATCTTACCCAACCCTCGGTGTCCAGAGTTTTAGTAGAGTTTCATTACATAGGCATGATTAATTGAATCATTAGTCATATTATCGAAATCTCCAGCCTCACTCCCTTCCCGAAAGGTCAAGAGGTTGGACTAACATAATTTGGCTTAAATCATTAACCATTTAATCATATGGTTCATCTTTCCGTTGTGACCAGCCCCCATTCCAAGTCATCTTGTTGGCACAAACTCAGGGATGCTGCAGGGCCTGCTTTGGAATATCAAAGACACTTGTATCACTTAGGACATTATAAGGTTTTAAAAGGGTCTCTTTAGAAACCAGGAATAAAATAAAACAGATTCTTTATTATATAACAGTGAAATAGTAGGGGAGCAAGAAGAGATGAGAAAGGAAAGAGTCTCTGTGCTATGTTCTCATTTCATTTCACAGTATTTAAAAATGCAGCATCCTATATGGCAAGTTCAGATACTTGAAATTATGCTGTAGATAATAGGCAGCTGATAGTAGTTTCTAAGTAGAATAGTCATATGATTAGTATATGTCTTCAGGAGGATATTGGGTAAGAGTCTGGAAGTTGGATTAGATAGGGAGATTAGTGACATATCTTCAAGTTAGTAGAATATCATCAGAATTAAGGTGAGATAAAAAAGACACTATCAAGGGTCATCAAAAGAAGAGGCTAAATAACAGGGACATTTAAGATATAGAATTAGAGATTCAGGAAGATGCAATGCTTTAAGGATTCTTCTTTTTTTTTTTTTGAGATGGAGTCTTGCTCTGTCGCCCAGGCTGGAGTGCAGTGGCACAATCTCAGCTCACTGAAAGCTCTGCCTCCCAGGTTCACGCCATTCTCCTGCCTCAGCCTCCCGAGTAGCTTGGACAACAGGCGCCCGCCACCACGCCTGGCTAATTTTTTTGTATTTTTAGTAAAGACGGGGTTTCACCGTGTTAGCCAGGATGGTCTCGATCTCCTGACCTCGTGATCCACCTGCCTCGGCCTCCCAAAGTGCTGCGATTACAGGCATGAGCCACCACGACTAGCCTTAAGGATGCTTCTGAGCTTTCTAGCTTGAGAACAGTTTGATCTTACATCAATGTGTAGGTTTGTGCTGAAAATAATTTATGCATAGGCCAGAGAAAAATATTTATTTTATAAGTATTTGGAAAAAAGTTAAACGTGCTGCATTACTGATTTTGAAAATAGATGTTTGAGTTTAACCTGACAAAAAGGGTTATACATTTGCCCTTTTTGTATGTACATTACACATACATGACAGTACACGTGACAATGAGTTTCATTTCCTATCTGCATGATCAGGACACTGCAGCAGGAGCCTCCTTTTGGCATTTATGTATTATGTTCTGAAAGTTTTAAGTTCTCACTATTTCCAGGCTCTGTAGAGTGACAGGCTTTAAGGGTGAAAGAAAATTATATGCCAAATACAAGGGATCAATGGAAACATGATACAATCTTTATTTGAGCAGGACTGTAACATTATTTTTAGTTGTTTGTAGACAGGAAAGTGTTCCATAGGAAAGGTAATGGTGTTGCCCCTTAGAATTCTTTGAACAATAGCACCAACACTGCCTTGCAGAAGACGTAAAGATGGAAATTCTCCCTCAGGAGGCCAATCTAGGATTGGAATTGTTTTTGAGGAAACATTTGAGCCTTGTTTTCTATTTCAAAACTGTTAGGAACACAAATAACACCTTTAGCATATAACAGCTGTGAACCTCCATGCTGAGAATGAATGCATTATGCAGCTTCAAGAGTGTAAATATATGTTTATCAGGGATCAGTCCAAAACTGAGAATGTGCTAAGCTCCAGACAGCTGGCAAGAGCCCTGGGACAAAGGTTAAGATTTCCTTTAAAAATAAACTGATAGAAAATTGGTGGTGATGGTGGGTTTACCTAGCATTATATGCTTAAAAATATGCTGGCACCCTTACCAGCTAATGACACAAATGTAAGTGCAAATGAAATCAATGCTCTGTGCTTATTTTATTTCACAATAACTGAACTTCATGTAAGTAAAATACAAGAGAGTATATACGAGTAGCATTTTAACTCAAAAATCAATAATTTAAAAAATCATTTCTATAGAAAATGTCTTTATACCACAGAAGATATTTTTAGATGTCTTTTGCAAGGCTTTGTTTGTTCCCGAGATTTAAGCTACATTGTAAGAAACAACAATTCTTACTCAGAGGCTTCAATTCAAGTTTTCCCTCTGGAGATGGTTTTCAGGATACAGGCAACAAACAATGTCCAAGGCTTTCCTATGTTGTGTCTTCCCACCTTTTAATTTTGAGCCTTGATAACGCTGTGCTACTGTGTTGATTACCCATTCTCTTTAAACATTCTTTTCCAGGATTTTAAACCACACATTATAGCAATGTAGAATAAATGAAATTTTCAATACCAGTTCAATGATAGGTGTGATAGTATTAAACCCACTAGAAGTCATTTTTCATGATTTGTATTACATTTGGAAGCACTCTTCATTGCCACTACCTAAGCAAATTTTTATGTTAACCAAAATAGACACAAATAAAGGACAATCAAGTTTTTTTTCCCTGTGGTCTGCTATATCCCTGCATTTTATAAGTCTTATTTACTTATTTAGTTGTTCATTTTGAACAAAGTCCATACACATTAATAATTTTAGACCTACTTTGCTATATTTTACAATGATTTTCATATACTTAGAATTTGATATTTGATCATTAGTCATCACTTAACTTGTACATTAGAAGTTAAGAAAAACAACCTGAATCATGGGTCATAGGCTTCCTATATAGAACTGAAAGTTGAACAAGATTGTTTCTATTTTCTTTGGACATTAGCATTCGATTTTAATGTTTATTCCACTTTAGTGCTTTATTATTTGATTTAAATTTCCTGATGTTACCTAAGTACTTCATGCAAATTAGCATATAGTGCTTTTGTTTATGCTTTATTCACTTTACGAAATACCCTTTCCATCAGGAAGAAAATCCATTATGATCTAGATCAAACATCAACTATTTGCTGTGTGTTTCAATTTCACCATTCCTAACTTTTAATTTCTAACAATCAGTAAAGTTACATATGACATTACAAGAAGGAAAAGGAGCAAACATATTCTTACCTACTCAATACCTGTCTGTTTGGTGCATACTCTTTTTCTTGTAATATATTGGAGGTTAACAAAGCTTAATGCAGTTAGCTAACTTCTCCATGTGACACAGACAAGATGTTGAATGTCTAAAATGCAACTTAATAGAAAACAGAACAAGCTTATGCTCCTCATTTCTACAATAAGATAATTTTAATTTATGTCGCTAACTTGTAGTTTACTAGCTAAGCCTGATTTTTTCTTATGCCGTTTGCTGGTTAAAGGGTTATCCTACAAGTTTAACTCACTCCCTTTTCTCTCTAACTCTTGCTACTGGAAAAGTAAACTGATGTGGTACTTTCTTAGAGCATGGCAGTAGAGCTTTCCCATAAGGTCTTGTTTAGATCACCTTGGACACAGCAGATAAAAGTGTAATAAGATTTAGGCTTGAAATGAAGATTTTTTGTGGAAATATGGGGAAGATGTAAAAAGTCTCTTAGCTTTACAGCAAATATAATCCAGTCTCAAGGTTACTGGAGTTTTCTGCATTTCTATTTTGTATTGCTTGGAAGCAAAAATTTCCTTACTAATAAAATATAATGTTGATTTTTTTGTCAGTGTACCTTGTCTTTCTATCTCCCTTAAAAAAATTTAGAAGAAAAATTGATAGCAAGATAGAATTTGTGGATTTCTGCCTCAATTGGCCAAATGTTATCTAAAAGTCATTGAGCGCTATCCTTATTTCCAGTAGGCCTATTAATAATAACACCAAAAGGCACCCACCCAAATTTTGTGTTATACCCACTGTCAGGTTGTTGACGTCTTATTGATCTTAATATTCCCAGAATATAACATAGTAACTGACAGATAAATGCATGAATAAATGCAATTGAAATTGAACTCAAATAAACCTTATGTCAAAATTAATATATTTTGAAGCTATCATTTATTAAGTATATAAAGGAAGTATGTCTAACATAATGCAGTGTTGTTTATTGTGAAGACAGTCTTGTTTCCTTCAGGAAGGAGTGTTTAAATATTCTTTCCATTAGTAGTGAGGGTGAACTGAACCTTATACATTCTTTCCCTTGTTCTGCTTGTGGCCAGTTGCAATTATTTATGAAACATATGGGTAGAATAGGGTGTACAGTGTAAAGCCAGGGAACACAATGGCTGTCTTTGTATGATGCTTGCTGTCTCATATGGGGAATAAACCCCTGACCTTGGCCTCATTAACACCAAGCTCTAATGAGCTGAGATAATGGGTCCAGATTGTACACCAGCAGGTATCAAATCTAATTTAATTCAACCATTTATTCCTATTTTTTAGAACTGACTTTTTAGAGTGTGATATTCAAGTATACATACTTTCTAAGATTTCTAAAACAGTATATATTTGCTTTCTGGTGGTTGGACCTGAAAAATGAACATTACCCTTTTAATCCCTTCAAACTTATTCATTTCAAGTAGGCTATCGAATTGTTGCCATAAATAGTGTTTTCAGGTAGATATAATCCCATTACATATTTTGTGGTTAGCTGGTCAGGTGCCAACAGATACAAAAAAAAAGACAGATTCCTAACAATATATGAGGCAAGCAGACATGTTGGTTTGGGTAATGTAATTAACTTGAGAAGACAAAATACAATATTTAGTTTTTTTAGCCTTTCTCAGCTGCTCTCAGGCAGCATAAAACTCTAAAACTACTTGGTCCAAATCATTACCTTTCTCACTCAAGCAATTGATTATGTGAGTGTATACACACACACACACACACACACACACACACACACGTGTGCATGTATATATGTGTGTATATATATATACATATATATACACACACACACACACACACACATATATATATATATATATATATGCAGTCCAAGGATGCTGAACTATAGTAGCTTTTTGGTAAAACATGGAATATAGCCTGTGGCTTGTTTTTCTACACTTTATGGAAATGTTAGCCATGCCCATTTGTTTACCTATTGTCTATTGTTTATTTCGTGCTATGAAGGCAGAATCCAGTCCTTTAACAGGAACCTAATATTTAAAATGTTTAAGAGGGACAAAGTTTAAAATAGTTCCTATGTAGTCATTTACAAAAAAAGCTTGCTGAATGCTAACCTGGTCAGTTAATAGAATTTAATTGACCAAAAATTTAAGTTTTAACAGGCTGACTTATTTATCTCTATAATGAGAAGTAAACGGAAATGGAGTTCCAGGACCTCAGTGCCAGTTTTGCTTCCCAGATTGGTAATCATTCTATTTCTTTCAGTCTGAATTTCTTTATCAATAAATATATGGTATTGAGTTAGATATTCTCTAAAATGTATTCTTCACTCTAACTTTGTAATTTCAGTTTTTTAGAATTGTAAAAGAAAATTCTGAAATTATTCTAGAGTTTACTGATCTCCCCAAACTGTCACTGTCTCTCTGACTATCCAACTTTCACAATCTAGAGGGAGGGCTTGGGAATCATCACTAACATCCAACAGATAGAACAGATCTAGGGACCCAAGTACAACACTTCTAAAGTATGTTGTGAGGACTAGAGGAGCAACTTGGATGCACTAAACTGAATCTGGCATAATAATGGATGTGTATGACATAATACTAAGTTTTGCAAAACTCAGGTCTCCTTCACTATTATTAACCTTATGAAAAACTCATGTTCTTTAGTGATATCCATGGATGGTTCATGTTATCTTCATTTCCTCTAGACTGTCGCAGATGCTGCTTATTCTCCATGATAGAGATACAACTTTCCTTCTGTTAACTCTGTTGTTACAAAACTGCGATATTCCGTATCCTTCCTCATCATACATGACAACTGGCATTTGATGATGCAAGGGTATTTAAATGGGCCTCATCTCACCTAGATAGAAGCTATTTAGGGCCAATTATGGGCTCTTACTCTTACTGAAACTAAAATAGGAACTAGATGTTTTCCTTATTTCTTCTGTTGCTTCTTAACAATGGAATGATACATAAAATAATTGTGATGAGGGTGTAGGAATGCAAGAGTGAATGAGGAAGAAGATTTAGCAATATCATCTAATTGTATTTATTTTACCCCTTAAAAGAATTCTCATGGGACTCTGAATCTCCCATTAGCCTACATATGATTTTTACTACTTGAAGGGACCTAGAATATTAATAAAATGTTAACTATTGTTTGATAATTCAGCCACTGCAATTCATCTTGCAACATGTACTTTTTCATTTGGTGAGGATTAAAAACACATACAAAGGTCTTGTCTTTGTCTAGATATCCTCTTTTTTCTAACCTGTTCAAAATCATTAAAGTTTGTCTTTGCCTGAGCAAGGGCTAATGAGATTTAGCTGTGCAGAGATTTCAGGAGACCTGGTATAGGCATTCAACATTCAGGGCACTATTTCCAAACTATTAGAGATTCAACTGTGGAGTATACCTAGCATCCAATTGTGTGTACCAACCATGAATCAGCATTGTAAGCGTGGTGGCAGAACAATATGAACACTCTTTAAAAATCTTTAAACAGAGGAAGTAAAGCATTATGGGCAAAGTTTAAGTATAGTTTATACAGTTTCTGTCTTTCAACACCTTAAATTTCTGGTTGATTATGATTAAAGGATTTAAAGGGCAACCAAAGAGTCTGGCATAACATTAAATACATCCCAGAACACATAATTGTGACAGCATGCTAACATCATTGCTCATAAAAATTCATTTTGACATCACATTTATAGGTGAATAAATTATAACTAAAAATGTTTCATTAAATGAGTAAATTAATCTATTTGACCATTTGCTATTAAAAAATCCATCAATACAATTAGTTGATTTATTTTTCCTCATGACTAGATTAGGGTTTAAAAAGTTGAAAAATAACCCTAAATCAGGAGCTTGGCTTTTCTAGAATTTTCAGAGAAAGATCATAATATATGTATAAGATTGGCACATGTGTTTCAGATGCCACTTGACAGCCTAGAGTGAGCCTGTAAGCAGTAGCAATAAAGTTTAGGTAATAAGGAGAAGCATCAGCATAAAGTCTGCAAAAGCAACTTTTCAGAGAAAAATGGTAAGGAGGTGAGACTTGGAATTCTAAAGTGATAACAAAGCCATAGGGTAGAAGATTGGAATAGGAATAGACCAACTTCAGGAGAGGACCCAAGAGCCATGTAAACTTCAAAGGTGTCAAAGTAAAGCCAAAGATCAGGAGGGGAGATGGAAACAAAATGACAAACAAAAATTCACTATAAAAAAAGAAAGGCTTTACCTTTTATAAAGGAATTCACTTAAATATTTAATGAGTAATTTCATACTTATATTATTTAGGCTTGCAAAAAGTTTTAGGACAGTTCATGCAAAGTACATACCAGATGTCAGCCACAAGCTAGTAGGGACCTTGGATATTAACAAAAATTTTATATTTTATTTTTAACTTCAAACAAAGAAAATGTATTGATTCTTCCTCAAAAGCATGAAATACTTAACTGACTAGGATAAATCTGAGCCACCAGAATATAGGATGGCCAGTGATAATGCAGTTCTCTGACCTAGGTGTCAAAAACACATGAATGATTTCTTCAGTGTGCCATCATTAAAATTACTTAGATCCACACTTCTTCATTCTTATGTAATGTGAGATTTAAATTCTCTAAATAAAACTTTATATTGGTCTACTTTATGTCTTATGCCCATTCTATGACTAACAGGTTCACTGACATTTCATAAAATGAAATGAAAAAATAAGTGCTGTACCTTATGGGAAAGTTAGGATGATATTATGAAAAGGAGGAAAGAATTGAAGGTTGCCAGAAGAAGAAATACAAAAGATAAAGTAACTTTGTATTAAGATAACTTTACAGTATAATCAGAATTTTCTGCAGCACTTAAACTACTTGTAATTCAGCCTCATAGCACACCCAAAAGATTCGAAGAACAAAAGAAGCACATTTCTGCATAACCCTATCTGAAAGAGCAAATTTATAGCTCTGGTTTATTATAGAGGAGAAGATTAATTATAGAGACAACAGAAAACAGTTTCAAATTCCAATTATGAAACTATCACAATGAATTTTTTCCTGGTATGCTGTTGCCACAGTCACTAAAAATCTATGTTTGCTTTCCTCTCCTCCATTTTATCCTATATTTAACATTCAAATAGAGCCCTCCTGCTTTTGAATGTAGCATCCTTCATAAGGTACAATTTTTGAGACATTTCTAGCTAAGAAAATTTTATGCAAAGCCACAGGAAGTAACATGATGCCACGAAAGGGCACTGGATAAGGAGGTGAGGAAGCATGGAGAGTAAGCTGTCTATCTTTGTACATAAATCCTATATGCATTAAGTTGACAACCCATTATAGAGCCGTCTATCCATTCTGGAATGCATAGAAACCTTGGCAAAGTATTTTGGTTTGCCAATTTTTGGCACTTGAAGCCATTTCCCATTGTTCTCACTCTAGCGTTTCTAGATTGAATGATGGTAATTATCAAAATATATCAAAAATTCTCCTAAACGATAAAGGACAGTGTTGGGATGTGAGTGTGTACATAGGTGTGTGTAGACAGGGTATGTTTGAGAAATGATGAAAATTAGTGATTCAATCCTCTAGCAATATGGCCTATATTTTACAACAAACATACATATATATATATATATAAATATGTAAGATTGGGTCTCCCAAGAGTGATGCATAACTATCTTCATTTTAGTTTGGCTGATTTTCCTAAATATAAATAATTTTGGCAAATTTCAGTAAAAAAAAATGCTTCATTAAATACATAGTTTATTTAATAATCAGAGCAACTACCTGTATACTTAATTATATCCATTATTTAATAGAAAATTATTTCTCTTTCCTTTACAAATATAAGCTGCTTTACTCTCACTTTGCATTTTACTTCTTAGTGCCTTTTAATACACACATTTTCTTATTTCAGTTAATACTAAAAGATACAAATTAACAAAGGCTGCTTAATTTTCCTTTGTTTGTTCTTATTTAGACAAGCCAACTCCATGATCCCTTAATACTCTGTGTCACAAGTAGGGAAAGCTTATTAAGCTGATGTTACTGATATTTTACATTTTAGAATAATCTCTAGAGCCAAGAAAAACTAAAGTGTTAATGTAATTAAGTTATTAATTTCAAGTCCAAATATTTTACTACACTATAGTAAGTCCTGCTTATTAAGTAGGTAGCACATATGGAGAAAATAAACCTCTAGGTTTATTCTAGAGAATCCTTCATTCTACGGTTCTCCAGAATTCTACTTGGCCTTTTTTACTTTGATAATCAAAATATTAGAATAGGTAAGAATGATTATACCTATGTTGTTATAATTGGGGTGGCTTAATAATTAGAAATTTCATAATATTTATAAATATGATAAAATAATTATTAAGTGTTCTAGAAATAAGACACACACTCTGAAATGGCAAATACATATGCACACATACACAAACATATGCTCATAATGTATTATCTACTATTTACATGTTTACTATGCAGTCTGATACCAATTTCCTAACTGCTACAATCAGTTGTTTATTTGAGGAATGAATGTGGTGTTCAAGGCTGTATTCTCTTTAAGATTATGAAAATTCTAATTTATGAGATCTATCATATTCTGGACTAAACTCTCTGCCCTGACTTCTCTGAGGTTATTTGGCTTCTTCTTTTTTTAAGTACTGAATGTGAATTGCTGGGCCTTTTTTTGCCTTTTTTATATTCACCCATAAAACAAACCTTATTATTTATGATGTTGAAGCTTCTGACTCTGTAACCTGTTTTCAAGTAATTTCTGGCACTGAACTATTTTTAGCATGATAAGTATTTTAAACCTTGTCTAAAAGTAAGAATCGGAATGTGTTTTAGATCCAAACAAAAAGCAAATCATTTTAACACCTGGAGGAGGCTACAGTGATCAATGTAATAATTGATTAGAATTGGGGATATTAACACAAACTCACGTTAGCTTAATATAGATACAGGTGGTTATTTATAAAAGTGTGTGTGTGTGTCTGTACATGGGTTAGTATAAATACATATATATATTTTTGCTCAGTCAGTTTAGAGATACTAAAAGAAACAATGCCCCTATGCAACAGCACACCAGGCACAACTTTATTGGTTCCTAATGCCATTCTCCAATAAAAGCAACCAAGGATCCTTGGAGAAACAGCTAATTCTAGGACATGGTAGAAGATCCTGAGGCATTTTATAGTGTTAGAAATAAGGAGTGCTCAACACACACACACACACACACACACACACACGCACACTTATGAGATCAAAGGCCCATAGGAGGCAACTGGAGAAGCTCCCATTTGCCAAAACTGTAACAAGGTGAGCAACAGAGTAGTATTGGATTATAATCCAAATTATATAGTAATACTCAGTAGTATTGGATTATAATCCAAATTATATAGTAATAGTAGTATTGGATTATAATCCAAATTATATAGTAAATAAATATCCATGAATCTATACTGATATAAATATATGATTGGATAACTAAATGTAGAGAATAGACAAATCTGTCACACAGTAGAATTTCAAATAATTATGTAAATAAGCTTTGTGATGGTTAATTTTGTGTGCCACCTTGACTAAGCTACAAGATGCCCAGATAATTGGTATTACATTATTTGTGGGTGTGTCTGTGAAGGTGTTTCTGGAAGTTATTAGCATTTGAATCAGGATATTGAATAAAAATTACCCTCACCAATATGAATGAAAATCATCCATTCCATTGAGGACCTGGATAGACAAAATGGCAGAAGAAGGACAAATTCTCCCTCGTTTGAGCTAGGACATTATCTTCTGCTGCCTTTGGACATTGCCTCTTCTGGTTCTCAAGCCTTTGGACTCGAGTCAAGACTTACACCATCACTCCTTCTGCACTCTCCCCTTCACTTCTCAGGCCTTTTTACTCAGACTGAATTATGCCACCAATTTTCTTGGTCATCTGGCTTGCAGATGACTTCTAGACTCTATAATTGTGTGAGCCAATTACCATAATAAATCTCATTGTGTGTCTATGTGTTTGTCTGTGTATGAGTGTGTGTGCGTGTTTATGTGGGGGGGGGGCAGTGTGTATGTGTATTCTCCCATTGATTCTGTTTTTTTCTGGAAAACTCTTGACTAATACGCTCTGTGTTCAAGGATGAGGACATGATTCCCCGTTTCTTAGGTGTGGGCTGTGCACAGCAACTTTCTTCCAAAGAATAGTAGTATGCAAAGAGAGATTTAAAAAGAGTAACTTTCCAGTGGAGAAACCTCTCAAATACTACTTCAGCCAGGTGATTAAGGCCAATATCAAGTCATAAACCATGTTGATAATGTGTACCCTTGATATGATGTGATGAAAACGACCCACCATTGAGCTCCTCCTAAAACCTATAACTCCAGTTTTATCATAAGGAAAACATTAGAAAAATTCCAGAGGAGCACATCCCCCCAAACTAGTCAGTAGTTTAAACTTTTAAGATCATGAAGAATAGACTCTTAGAAACTGTCACTAGCAAAAGAGTCCTACAAAATATGATACCTAAATGAAATGTGGTGCCTGGATGGAATCCTGAAACAGAAACAGACCTTAGATAAAAACTAAAGAAATCTCCACGTTATCATTAGTTAATGATAACGTATCATTATTGGTTCATTAATTGTAACATATGTACTATAAGAATGGAAGATGGCAATTATAGGGGAAACTGGATGCTGGACATTTGAGAATTCCCTGTATGTTCTTTTAAATTAATCTTTAAATCTATCATTTCTAATTTTATTTATTTGCATCTTCTCTTTTTTCCCATAATTATTCTGGCTGAAGCTTTGTCATTTTTTTTTAACTTTTCATCAAACCATTTTTTGTTCCATTTATCTTTTGTGTTGTTTTCTTTTTTCATTTCAATTTTATTTATTTCTGCTCTGATCTTTATCATTTCTTTTCTACAAATTCTGGGTTTGGTTTGCTCTTGCTTTTCTAGTTCTTTAAGATGCATCGTTAGATTGTTTATTTGAAGTTTTTCCTTGTTTTCATGCAGGCACAGATAGCTATAAACTTTCCTCTGAGTACTGCTTTTACTGTATGTATACCATGGGTTTTGGTACGTTTTGTTTCCATTATCATTTGTTTCAAGAAATGTTTCAGTTTCTTATTGCTGGTTATTGAGGGCCCAAGGAGTCTTCAGTTAGCAGGTGATGAATGCTGACGGGACTGAGTCCTTTCCTTCAAGGCAGCAGATCCTCTTCTGGCCCAGGGTGTGTCTAGACATGTCATCTGGGAGCTAGGGCCTGGAACAAGGGCCTCCTGACTCTGACTGGTGCCCTATGCTGCTGTGGCTGAGCTGGTATCCTAGATGTAAGACACAGTCCTCCTCACTCTTCCCTCTCCTCTCCTCAAGTGGGAGTTCTCCTACTGAGATACCATCTGGGGCAGCCAAGGGACTCTTGGCATCAACTGTCTCCTCAACCCAGGTGGCACAGCTTAGGGTTAGAGGAGGGGTGATGCCAACACCCACTTCACTGCCCCAGATGGTGTCTCAGTATTTTATGTATGTGTCCTGTCCTGACCCCAGTTCTCTGTCTCTGTGCCTATTTCAGCACTAGGACTCACCTAAAAGTTGCAGTACTTATAGCCCAGACTGCCTTTCAAATTTACTTGGAGACACAGCGTGTTGTGCCACACTGTGCCCTCAGTGGCAAGGTTTGAGGCACTCAGGTTTGAACCACTGGGATTGGAGATCCCTTTCTGGCTATGGTTGGATTAAATATTCACTCCGTGGACAGGTGCTAGCTGAGTTTGGTCTGGTTTTCCTCTTTGCTCTAACAGGACAACACTGAGTTCATTGCCTCACAGTTGCTGTGTTCTTCCCCCTCAGTGCCCAGAGAAGCTCTCTGCACCACGAAGCTGCTGCTGGGAGTGGGGGAGAAGTGGCATTGGCCATTTAGGATTGTTTTATTTTTATCTCTTCAGCACCTCTTTCAACTATATAAAGTTAAAGCCAGGTACTATGAATACTCACCTGATCTTTGGTTCTTATGAAGGTGTTTTTCCCATGTAGATAGTTGTTAACTTGGTGTCCTTCAGTGGAGAACAATTGGTGGAGCTTTCTATTCTGCCATCTTGTTCCTCTCCTACCATAAGTACTTTTAAACAAACAACAAAATACTGTGATGTAAAAATTTTAAGGAGTTTTGGAGATGTGAATTCTTTTTTAAGAGAGCCCAGAATAATTAGCCAATTTAATTCCAAAAGCAAATACCAAGCAATACCCATTTTAAGGTGCTGCTCAGTTGCAAATGAAAGGCAGAGAGAGGGAGATAGAGATAATTTGCTTCCTTAGCATCAACTCTTTGTTTTCTCAATAGGGGAGATCCAAAAGTGGAGGCAAACATAAAATTGGTTTGGGGAAGAGGTGCCATAGAGGAGAAATATAAATAGCTACAGTTCACTAATCATGTAAAACCAGGCTGGCAAGTATTATCTGACTCCATGGTCAGTCACTATAACACTGTGAGGAAATACATTTTTCAGTCAAAAAGCCCTAACCTAGATTAATGAATTTAGTTGATTTGAACATTTCCAACTTTTATTTTATTTTTCTATTCTCATTATATTACTTATTTTTTCTCTTCTGTACCACCTCAAACTCCAATAATGTATGCAAAGATCAAACACATTTTCTGTAGTTCTGTGACCAGCCTACATGGAAATATGTAACCCAAGGAATGTCTGCCTTACCCTGTTTCTCAGATTCTCCTTCAGAATTCATTGAACTCTAATTTCAAAATTTGTAACACAGCAGTAAAAATGATGGGCATGATTTATAGTTTTAGCAGTTGAATATAGTTTAAAATAAAATGTATTTATAGACTTTCTGTCTGCAAGAAATGTGCCACTCAAACTAATTAGTCTGCATTGTTTTCCAAAGAGAACCAAAATAATCTTACAACTATAACCTATGTGATAGCTAAATCAAGAATGTATATTCTAAGTTTATTGAGGGAGAGGTTTGTGTCTTATACTTGAAAAGATGATCTCCCACAATTTTCAGCCTATACTTTGTTTTGAATGCAATAAATAACGATGATGCTAAATCAAAGGCAAGAGGATAGCAAGAGTGCCCAGTAATGACTATGTGGCAGATCCCGTAATAGGTAGTAGTTCAAATTTTTTTGTGGTACCATATCGAACTACTATCATCTGGTCTCCAGAGAAGTTAACCAATGGCAACATTTCATTAGTGATTCTTTATCTGCAATTCCTTTGGAAAATTATTCTCTTTTAATTAAACTTACTTTAATCTGGAATAATTCCTCAGACTTCCTTTGTTTTTCAAGACATTTCAATTATTAGAGCTTACAGAGTAGTTATTGTAAAATGGCTCTCAATATGGGAATGTCTGTTGTTTCTTCATAATTAAATTCAGGTTATGCTTTTTTGGCACAGATAACACCAAAATAGTATTCAGTCCTTTTCAATAACATCATATTAAAAGCATCATGATGCCAGTTGGTTCTATTATTGATGATGTTGCATTTGATCTGTTGGCTAATGTAGCGCCTGCCATGTTTCTTTTCTATGAAGTTACTATTTTCCCTTTGAAATCAATAATTAATTTATAAGATAGATTGAATCTACACAGTTATGCTGTATCTCATCAAACTTTTGCCTACTTGATTTAGTATCTATTAATGATTATTGATATGTCACTGTGTAAGCATTTAATATATAGAAATGTGTATACAAGACTAAAATTATGTATCCAACACTGAAAAGTGAGGATTTAAAATAATGGTGAGTACTGTAAATAAGAGGTAATAATAATTCCTTTAAAAAATGATTTCATGAGAAAATATGAGGGAAATTTAAGTGAGACTTATCTAAGCAGGTGATATAGGAGCTGAGAATTAAATCAACAATGAATCAATAATACATTAACGGAATGGAGATTTCTAAGCAGAAAGAACAGCAAGAATAAAGATTCTATGAAAGAAAGAGATTGGCATCTTTAGCAGATAGAAAGAAGGCCAATGGATGAATCAACAGAAATTACGGAGAAAAGTAGAAGGTGTGATTTGAGATGTAGATAGGCTAGATCATGAGAGGCATTGTAGGTCTTTGTAATAATTATAAATTTTATGCTAAGTGCCATAAAAGGGCATGGGAGCAGATAAGTAACATGGGCTATATAATCTGTATTTGTAGATATATATCTATGTATATATACATATACTTACACACATGCAGTCATTACTGTAATCTAACATTAACATATTTTTTGGTAAGTTTTAGTAAACTACTCCTAAGTACCTATTATATTATTTGGTTAAGCTTAACCTCAGGAAAATTTTTTTTTTAATTTAGATATTTGTACCATATACAACTGTCATCAAGAATAGGCAAATGTGTGTATGATATCTTTAAGCTATAAAGTAGCAGGACAAATTTGCAGAATCAATGTGTACTTAAATAATTAATTATGCAGATATAAGCAATAACAAATAAGTGTCGAAAAATATGCGTAAAAAGAGATAAAAAGACAAAATCTTCAGAAAAATAATTTTAAAAAGCTTTTCAATTTTAGATTTGACAGAGTGTCTTTACTCTCTTTACTGTTCTTATCTGAAGTCTTTCCAGAGACACATATATTACATATGAGTTAATGTAAGATGAAGAATAATAGGTTCTCACATATCCTAATGCCTATCTCCCTTTCCTGGGTCAGCCAAGGTAAGTCCTTTCTCATCCATCATATGCTTCACACATCTAGAACACAGTTGCTTCACTGTAGTATTGGTATTTGCTCTTGTCTGGTGATCATATATTTCATAATTAATTGGAGGGATATTATCAGCTTAAATGAATTTTTAGAATTTCTGTTCTGTTGCACTATCCCAGGAGAATAAGAGGCATGTCATAGTGAATAGATAACTTTGTAATTATTTCAATTTACCATAGCACAATCTTTACAGCATGTAGCAATTACTGAGCATGACCACAAAATAATGTCCTCTTTTCCCACAGTTCCTCCAGCATAAATCAGACAAGAAAGCCTAGAGTTATCATAACTTAGTGTATAAATTAAAAGAAGTCTGGTATTAAATTTCTGTAAAATTATATGGCATAACCTAATATTTTGTATATTCAAAAAACTTTCCAAACCAAGGTCAATCTTCAGGAATTTTTACTGTTTCCTTTATAACATGTAACCTGTTTATTATAAAATTGCAAAAAACATCACACAGCTCAGCAGGATAACTTAGATTTTGCATCCCAAGAGAAAATATGCCAAAGATTTTTCACATCTATAAAAGCTGTTTTTCTAATTAAATATTCTGAATGTTTTATGAAAACTTGACAGCTGAACAAAAAGGGAAAATAAAGAAACATTGCTAAGCATGAGTAGGAAAATTGTGGAAATCTTTTCAGAAAAAAAGTATAACCAAAACACCTTATTATTTGACTTATTTTTACTAAACTGGAAAAAAATCATTGTAGGTGATTCTGTGAAGGTTAATCATGCATTGTCAGTAATGCAAAGCTGAGAGGCAGGCAGACTCAATTCTAAAAGAAAAATTTAATTTATCGATCTTCAAGTTGGAAAGCTGTCTTGGTTATGTCTACAAATTATTCTTCCATGTTATCAAAAGTAAGAAATATCTATACTGTAGGGCAGGAGACCACTGTGTGTGTATCAACTATATTGCCCTTCTATATTTCCTTGAAACGTTAGTCACCTGAAAAAAGAAAAGGCTATGGAACATTCACTGGCTACAGAATACGGACAAAAACATGCCAGGGAGGCAAAGAAACACTTGTTCAACTCTTCTACTAATTTGTGCAGACTACTTGGAAAACTACTGGATTTGTAATTAAACAGGCTAGGGGCCAGATCCTGATTGTTCAAATAACCAAATGTGCTAGCTTGAACAAATGACTCATCACATAATGTGAGATTCAAAATAAGCACCTCACTGTTTATGATGCAGACTAAATGCAATGATGTATAAAATGTGTTTCCAAGTTACTAGACATCCAATTTAACATTGCCCTCTTGCCTATTTCATTATGCTACATATTTCTCTCACAATAAGAAGAGAAACCAAACTCATGAACTGTTGACTTTATTTGACAGCATTTGTTGGATACTCACTATGGCAAGATCCATACTAAATTCTGAAGATAGAAAAAAAAATGGGCTACATTTTCTTAATCCAATCTATCATTGTTGGACATTTGGGTTGGTTCCAAGTCTTTGCTATTGTGAATAGTGCCACAATAAACATACGTGTGCATGTGTCCTTATAGCAACATGATTTATAATCCTTTGGGTATATACCCAGTAATGGGATGGCTGGGTCGAATGGTATTTCTAGTTCTAGATCTCTGAGGAATCGCCACACCGACTTCCACAATGGTTGAACTAGTTTACAGTCCCACTAACAGTGTAAAAGTGTTCCTGTTTCTCCACATCCTCTCCAGCACCTGTTGTTTCCTGACTTTTTAATGATCGCCATTCTAACTGGTGTGAGATGGTATCTCATTGTGGTTTTGATTTGCATTTCTCTGATGGCCAGTGATGATGAGCCACAACAGTCCCCGGTGCGTGATGTTCCCCTTCCTGTGTCCCTGTGTTCTCATTGTTCAATTCCCACCTATGAGTGAGAACATGCGGTGTTTGGTTTTTTGTCCTTGCGATAGTTTGCTGAGAATGATGGTTTCCAGCTTCATCCATGTCCCTACAAAGGACAAGAACTCATCATTTTTTATGGCTGCATAGTATTCCATGGTGGGGAGGGGGGAGGGATAGCATTAGGAGATATACCTAATGCTAAATGATGAGTTAATGGGTGCAGCACACCAACATGGCACATGTATACATATGTAACAAACCTGCACGTTGTGCACATGTACCCTAAAACTTATAGTATAATAATAATAATAAAAAAATGGGAAGGATACTTCTGAAATGAAATTCAAGAAAAAATATTCTGAAATATCACACTTAAGGAAAATTTGATCTAACTTATTTATCATTACTGGCCTTTTTCAATTCGATGGGTAGAACATTAGTGTCACTCTCATTTTGCTATGTGTTCTTGAACTTTGACAAATTACATTTCAATTCCTTGTGTTTCATTCATGTGCTAGTCTGTAGCCATAAGTACAAGGTTTATGGAGTCAAAACTGATCTTTAGTAAAATCTTGCCATAGGAGAATGGCCTTGGGCATTTTAAACTTTCTGAGGCTTAGTATTTATGTTATTTTTAAAAATTAATAGAGATAATATAGCAAGTATTTAGAAATGTGTGAACACATAGTAAGTGCTCAGTAATTATTGACTATCATTATTATTGATGTTATTTCCTATTGACATGATAAGGAACTAAAATGTATATCGTTGTTGCTAGGATAATACGTGGGAAAGATTTTCAATATAAGCTTCATTTACTTTTTGTAAAAATAGAACAAAAATTATTATTTGCCAAATATCCTACAGACTTATTTGCAGAGGGAGAAAAAAAGCATTGAAGAAGCATTGACATAGGAGTAACTCTTTACCAATGTGTCTTCCCCATGAGTTATGTAAAAGATTTTAATAGAATTCCATAAAAGTGATACCTAGCCACTAACTAATGAAAGGTTTACATCAAAGAAAGAGAGAAGTAAAAATAAAATAAAAGTCTTCCAAATGTGATAATATTAAAATTTTCCCCAAGTATTTTTTTAATTAGAAGTAAGATTAACAGGTTAATATTTATTTTTATAACCAGTAAAACACATTAGATTTATCTATGATAGAAAGGCAAAAAAATGGCTTTTGAAGATATTGAATAATGGAAACCTAAGCTTCCTTTGCAACTTGGACAGATGCTTACTAATGGTAATCAAATTTATGTATTTTGTTGTTATTGAAAAGCACTTCCATGATATAGGTTGGTTTTCACAACAATCCTATAATATAAATTAAAGTATGGGAAATTGAGTTACTCAACATAAATAGCTAGTAAATGGTATAGTTGGAACTTAAACCCAAGCTTTCTAATTAATAATTTCTTGTTTTCTTATATATACTTCCTACCTGCCACATATTCTTTCCAAGGAACATAAGATATAAAATAAGAGTTTTTGTTTCCTGTTTAATGCCTCTATCCTGAATACATCTTGATATTTCAAATATTGTGTTTTTTCTTGAATTAATATACAAATAGTTTTCTGAAGAATTTGAGAGAGTTTAAAAGGAAAAAAAACTGATGAGCAATTTAAATGTATTGAAAATACACCGTGCACTGTGTTTAAAAGTAATTCTATATATTAGAATAAAAAATATATACTCTTTCACTGCAGGCTAACTCAGTGGCAAGAATGAATAGGAACTGTCTTACTCTGAATGTATTAAAAAACTGGTTGCCTGGTTTTATTAATCTAGTTATGTAGCATTTGCTTTTAGAACACAAAGCAAAATGTGTTGTTTATCCTTGAAACTTATCTGAGTTTCAAAACATACCAGAATTACCCCCGATTTTCTGAGTTTAAAAGAGGTTGAACACTTGGCCAAAAACACACTTATTTATATTTTATCATGTTCAATTTAAACTTAGACTTTATAGCATAGCAAAGCCCTCTCTAAATCTATCATGGATGAGATTCTCAGTTTTGTAGAGATCCCTGAGGCCTAGCTGATGGTAAGCTAAACTTTTATTGGCCCACCTTTTCCAGCTATAATCTATGCTTCCTACATGTAGAGAGAATTTCTGGCACCACTAATTGTATCTTGTCTAAAAAAAAATTCTTTTAGAATATTCAATACAGCTGGAAGCAAGATGTAATGCCACAATGACAGAAAAGTGATGTTAGGGCTTCCTCTAAAGTGTATGCAATGTCAGGACTAAAGTTAAAGAGACAGAAAGTTTGAAAATGTTCTTAATAGAGTGCTGTCCCTTCTTGGCTATGTTATTTGCCATTACCTTTTTTCATGCAGAAAGAAAAATGAACTGCTCTTTCCTCACCTTTCAATAAAACTGCTCACCTTTAGAATCACGTAGGATAGTTCTATACCAATGGTGTAGTAAATGGCATTGCTTATCGAAGGGCTAATTCCACATGTGGTTATCTAGGTTTTTAGTTTTTGGTTTTGCTGTTGTTTTTATTGTTGTTGGCTTTTGGGCCCATTTTACGTGTCAAAAAATAGAATAAAAGACTAACAGATTTGTAATAAATTTTCTCTTTCTGAGGGTCACTTCGAAGGGACTGATAAAAAGATTGGAATTCTTAGCTGAGTAAGTTTCTTTGGTTACCTGTGCCACATTTTTAAAAGCACTACAGAGCTTCTTTATACTTAGAAGAACAGAACTTTTTTTTTCAGGCAAGTAAAGGTATTTTTTCAATACTAGATATCAGAGAAGTAGAATCTTCCCACTCTATGCCTATTATGAAAGACAATTGAATTTAAATTAGCTTGATCTTGGACCATATACAATGGTGTTTAATTATAGAACTATAAAACATTATTGTTTCATTGCCTTTAATTTAGGATTGGAATATTTAATCTCTTCTTATCTATTTTAACACAAAATATAGACAATAAATTTAAGATAGTAAGATTAGGTAACAAAAATCTGATGAGATAGCAAGATCACCAATATATGGCCTTTTAGAACAATAATTGAACTGAATTTTTTTCTCTCTTACAAGCCTCAGACTTCCGCCTGTATGTCCCACAGTTATTAAGCCCAAAATGCTCTGTACCAACTATTTTTTTCTCCCTGATGTTCTCCATTCAAATGACAACCATCTTAATATCCAAACTAGAAACATGAAAGCTCTTCTTTGTTCTTCAATCTACCTCATATTTCATATCTGATCATTAACTAATCCTCATGAACTTACGGAATATTAATTAAAGTCATTCTCTCATCTCTTGTATGCTATAACTCCGGTTTTACCACAAATCAACTTAACTGATCTCTTTGCTTTGAATACTACCCCTCTCAAGTCATTCTTCATATAGTCCAGAGATATGGATGTAAAAGGTGAAACGAACCAGTCATTTTTCATTAAACAATTCTTACAAGTTTACTCATTGCCTAAAGGCAAATTATATTCTTAATGTCCAGATGTTAATTCCTTGGTAGTGTGTCTTCTATCTAGACTTATACCTTATCATCTACCTTCTGCTTAAGTCATGGTCTGTACGAAAGACCTTTTTTTATTGAAGGACTTGTCACCAATTATTCTTGGCTGGAAACCACTATAGTAATAAAGTTCAAGTGCACTGGTAAATTTAGAGGGAGGTAGATGAATAGAATTAAAACAGAATATTGAGGAAATACAGAAGAGAGGAAAAAGAGAATCACATTGATTTTTTGCCAAGACTGTGAACTAGGAAAGGCTGTCATCTCCCTCCACAAAATGACTCTTTGATAAATTGTTGAAACAAAGTGGGTGTGGATATGAAAGAGATAATAAACACTTTGAAAAAAATCTAAGAAGGGTACTTGAAATGGTGTTGGGTGAATAACATAGCCTGGAAGGGAGGGTGGTTGGAGGTGGGAAGCAAAGGATAAATTGACAGAAATGGATTTAGTTATGCTTTTCCTCTTCACTGAATAAGATAAACATTAATTTATTATCCATCAAAGAAATTACCTTCTCTAAAGAATTGCTTTTGTCCTCAATGCTTTATATATCCTTTCTTACTTATTTTTTGTCAAAGAAATTACATATAAGTGACATCCTAGGTCTAAAGTGCTGGTAAAGAGGATGGTCAGCATCAGAGCAGTACAAAATTTTAATGGCATAAGAAATTCATAAATACAGGTGAGAACTGATCTGTTGCCTCAAAACTCTGTTAGGCTTCCATCAATGATTAATTACTGGGTCAATTGTCCTCCCACTGTAAAGAGCTAGAAAACAAAATATATTATGCAATGGGTTCAGACATTGAATAACAAGCAGTGGAGGTTTCTGATCTCTGAAAGAAAGGATCTCTGAGAGAAGAGCCCTACAACAGCCCTAGAGAAATGCCTGAAGGCACATATTATACCACTGCGCATAGGGGTGGGACCAAACAGAAACTAGTAACCTCACTCAAGTAAGGAGACAGATATGTGGATTTCGAGAGGCTGGGGTCACTAAAACTTGTTGGGCAGAGCAATGATGAGGAGAAGGCTGCATTGAGAAAGAAAGATCCAAGCATCTGCAAAGGAATACCCTCATGTCTTTAGCTGAGTAGTGATCTTACATGCTTAAGAAACTAGTTGAGACCAGGGAAAGACTACTAAAATACATTAGGTCCAATAATTCTTAAAGCTCACAAGAACTGGAAATAGTCAGTGTTCTCAATAGCCAGAGTAAGGAGAACTCAGAATTTGGAAGACTTTGGATACATTTCTCAGAAGGATATTACCTTATTAGTGGAACTAAAGTAGTCCCCAAATATATGCTACTCTGGATCAGCCACACTAAAACTTATAAAAAAAGCTCAAAAAGATCAAACTAATCTGTGAGTTACTTAACTGCACGTGAGATGAAAACCCAGTGCTATTTATAAAATACCTATAAATCAAGTACCTCTAAACATAAAAGGTACAATTTCTGGTACTCAATTTAAAAATGATTATGCATACAGAGAAGCAGATAATTATTGTGCTTAACCAAGAGCAAAACTGCTCAACATAAACAGACACAGAAATATGAGACATAATGAATTTAGTAGATAAGAGCCTTAAATAGTAGAAAAGGACCGTAAATAGTAGGTTGAAACACTATAGCATGGCTTATTTCTCTTAATATAAAGTTCTCCAGTGTCATCCATGTTGTTGCAAATGACAATATCTCATTCTTTTTTATAGACACTACTGTGTATAAATTAAATAAGCCAGTCACAGAAAGATGAACTTCACATGTTCTCACTTATTTGGGGGAGGTAAGAATTAAAACAATTTAACTTGTGGAGGTAGGAGTAGAATGATAGTTACCAGAGGCTCGGAAGAGTAGTGGTGTGTGTGTGTGGTCGGGGGAGGGTGAAGGGACACGGAGTAATGTGGGGATGGTTAATGGGTACAAAAATAGTGTTAGATAGAATGAATAAGATTTAGTATTTGATAGCATAACAAAGTGACTACAGTCAAAGTAATTTATTGTACATTAAAAAATAACTAAAAAAGGATAATTGGATCATTTATAACACAAAGAAATGATAAACATTTAAGGTGACAGATACCCCATTTACTCTGATGTGATTATTGTTCATTCTATTCCTTATACAAATATCCATGTCTCATAAATATGTATACCTACTATGTACCCACAAAAATTAAAAACTAAAAAAAATACTGCTGCACACAAGGCTTGGCATAATATAAGCATCCAATAAGTGTTAATTCCTTTTCTGTGACATAAAATCTCTAAATTAAAAAAGAAGATGGCCAAACAGAAACAGCTCCAGTCTGAAGCTCCCAGCATGATCGACACAGAAAATGAGTGATTTCTGCATTTCCAGCTGAGGTACCTGGTTTATCTCACTGGGACTGGTTGGACAGTGGATGCAGCCCACAGAGGGCGAGCTGTAGCAGGGTGGGGTGTTGCCTCACCCGGGAAGTGCAAGCGGTGGGGGATTTCCCTTTCTTAGCCAAGGGAAGCCATGACAGACTACCTGGAAAAACAGGGCATTCCTGGCCAAATGCTGTGCTTTTCCCAAGGTCTTAGCAACTGGCAGACAAGGTGATTCTCTCCCGGGCCTGGCTCGGTGCCTCCCATGCCCACAGAGCCTTGCTCACTGCTAGCACAGCAGTCTGAGATTGATCTGCGAGGCGGCAGCATGGCTGGAGGAGGGACGTCTGCCATTGCTGAGGCTTGAGTAGGTAAACAAAGTGGCCGGGAAGCTCAAACAGGGCAAAGCCCACCGCAGTTCAACAAGGCCTACTGCCTCTAGACCTCTGTGGGCAGGGCATAGCTGAACAAAAGGCAACAGACAACTTCTGCAGACTTAAACATCCCTGTCTGACAGCTCTGAAGAGAGCAGTGGTCCTCCCAGCATGGCATTTGAGCTCTGAGAATAGACAGACTGCCTCCTCAACTGGGGCACTGACCCCATGTAGCCTAACTGGGAGACACAGCCCAGTAGGGGCCAACAGACACCTCATATAGGCAGATGCCCCTCTGGGACGAAGCTTCCAGAGGAAGGATCAGGCAGCAATATTTGCTGTTCTGCAATATTTGCTGTTCTGCAGCCTCTGCTGGTGAAACCCAGGCAAACAGGGTCTGGAATGGAACACCAGCAAACTCCAACAGACCTGCAGCTGAGGGACCTGACTATTAGAAGGAAAATGAACAAACAGAAAGGAATAGCATCAACATCAACAAAAAGATCATCTACACCAAAAGCCCATCTGCAGGTCACCAATATTAAAGACCAAAGGTAGATAAAACCAGAAAGATGGGGAGAAACCAGAGCAAAAAGCTGAAAATTCTAAAAATCAGAATGCCTCTTCTCCAAAGAATTGCAGCTCCTCATGAGGAACGGAAAAAAGCTGGACTGAGAATGACTTTGATGAGCTGACAGAAGTAGGCTTCAGAAGGTATGTAATAACAAACTTCTCCGAGCTAAAGGAAGATGTTCAAACCCATCACAGGGAAGCTAAAAACCTTGAAAAGAGATTAGATGAATGGCTAACTAGAATAAATAGTGTACAAAAGACCATAAATGGCCTGATGGAGCTGAAAACCATGGCACAAGAACTTCATGATGCATGCACAAGCTTCAATAGCCAATATGATCAAGTGTAAGAAAGGGTATCAGTGATTGAACATCAAATTATGAAATAAAGTGAGAAGACAAGGTTAGAGAAAAAAAGAGTAAAAAGAAATGAACAAAGCCCCCAAGAAATATGGGACTATGTGAAAAGACCAAATCTATGTCTGATTGGTGTACGGGAAATTGATGGGGAGAATGGAACCAAGTTGGAAAACACTCTTCAGGATGCTATACAGGAGAACTTACCCAACCTAGCAATGCAGGTCAACATTCAAATTCAGGAAATACGGAGAACACCAAAAAGATAATCCTCAAGAAGATCAACCCCAAGACACATAGTTGTCAGTTTCACGAAGGTTGGAATGAAGGAAAAAGTGTTAAGGGAAGCCAGAGAGGAAGGTTGAGTTACACACAAAGGGAATCTCATCAGAATAAAAGCAGATCTCTCGGCAGAGACTCTACAAGCCAGAAGAGAGTGGGGGCCAATATTCAACATTCTTAAAGAACAGAATTTTCCATCCAAAATCTCATATCCAGCCAAAGTTAACATCATAAGTGAAGGAGAAATACAATCCTTTACAGAAAAGCAAATGCTGAGAGATTTTGTCACCACCAGGCCTGCCTTACAAGAGCTCCTGAAGGAAGCAATAAACATAGAAAGAAACAATGGGTACCAGACCCTGCAAAAATATGCCAAATTGTAAAGATCATCGATGCTATGAAGAAGCTGCATCAATTAATGGGCAAAATAAATAGCAAACATCATAATGACAGGATCAAATTCACACATAACAATATGAACCTTAAATATAAATGGGCTAAATGCCCTAATTAAAAGACACAGACTGGCAAATTGGATAAAGAGTCAAGACCCATCAATGTGCTGTATTCAGGAGACCCATCTCACATGCAAAGCTGAACATAGGCTCAAAATAAAGGGATGGAAGAAGATCTACCAAGCAAATGGAAAGCAAAAAAAAAAAAAAAAAAAAAGCAGGGGTTGTAATCCTAGTCTCTGATAAAACAGACTTTAAACCAACAAAGATCAAAAGAGACAAAGAAGGCCATTACGTGATGGTAAAGAGATCAATTCAACAAGAAAAGCTAACTATCCTAAATATATATGCACCCAATACAGGAGCACCCGGATTCATAAAGCAAGTCCTGAGAGACCTAAAAAGAGACTTAGAATCCCACAGAATAACAATGGGAGATTTTAACACCCCACTGTCAATATTAGACAGATCAATGAGACAGAATGTTAACAAGCATATCCAGGACCTGAACTCAGCTCTGCAACAAGCAGACCTAATAGACATCTACAGAACTCTTCACCCCAAATCAACAGAATATACATTCTTCTCAGTGCTACATCACACTTATTCTAAAATTGACCATTTAATTGGAAGTAAAGCACTCCTTAGCAAATGTAAAAGAACAGAAATCACAACAAACTGTCTCTCAGACCACAGTGCAATCAAATTAGAGCTCAGGATTAAGAAACTCACTTAAAACCACATAACTACATGGAAACAGAACAACTTGCTCCTGAATGACTACTGGGTAAATAAAAAAATGAAGGCAGAGATAAAGATGTTCTTTGAAACCAATGAGACCAAAGATACAACATACCAGAATCTTTGGGACACATTTAAAGCAGTGTGTAGGAGGAAATTTATAGCACTAAATGCCCTCAAGAGAAAGCAGGAAAGATCTAAAACTGACAAAAACATATCTATGCAAACAAAGTAGAAAATCTAGAAGAAATGGATAAATTCCTCGACACATATACCCTCCCAAGACTAAACCAGGAAGAAGTTGAATCCCTGAATAGACCAATAACAGGCTCTGAAACTGAGGCAATAATTAATAGCCTACCAACCAAAAAAAGTCCAGGACCAGATAGATTCATAGCCGAATTCTACCGGAGGTACAAAAGCAGCTGGTACCATTCCTTTTGAAACTATTCCAATCAACAGAAAAAGAGGGAATCCTCCCTAACTCATTTTATTGGGCCAGAGTCATCCTGATACCAAAGCCTGGCAGAGACACACAAAAAAAGAGAATTTTAGACCAATATCCCTGATGAACATTGATGCAAAAATCTTCAGTAAAATACTGGCAAGCCAAATCCAGCATCACATCAAAAAGCTTATCCACCACTATCAAGTTGGCTTCATTCCTGGAATGCAAGGCTTGTTCAACATACGCACATCAATAAACGTAATAGATCACATAAACAGAACCAATGACAAAAACCACATGATTATCTCAATAGATGCAGGACAGCTTTCGACAAAATTCAACAGCCCTTCATGCTAAAAACTCTCAATAGGTAGTGATGGAATATATTATCTCAAAATAATAAGATATATTTATTACAAACCCACAGCCAAATCATACTGAATGGGCAAAAACTGGAAGCATTCCTTTTGAAAACTGGGACAAGACAAGGATGCCATCTCTCACCACTCCTATTCAACACAGTGTTGGAAGTTCTGGCCAGGGCAATCAGGCAAGAGAAAGAAATAAAGTGTATTCAATTAGGAAAAGAGGAAATCAAATTGTCCCTGTTTGCAGATGACATGATTGTATATTTAGAAAATGCCATCATCTCAGCCCAAAATCTCTTTAAGCTGATAAGCAACTTCAGGAAAGTCTCAGGATATAAAATCAATGTACAAAAATCACAAGCATTGCTACACACTATTAACAGAAAAACAGAGAGCCAAATCACGAGTGAACTCCCATTCACAATTGCTACAAAGAGGATAAAATACCTAGGAATCCAACTTACAAGGGATGAGAAGGACCCCTTCAAGGAGCACTACCAAGCACCACTCAACAAAATAAAAGACAAAAACAAGTGGAAGAATATTCCATGCTCATGGATAGGAAGAATCAATATCGTGAAAATGGCCATACTGCCCAAGGTAATTTATAGATTCAATGCCATCCCCATCAAGCTACCAATGACTTTCTTCACATAATTGGAAAAAACTGCTTTAAAGTTCATATGGAACCAAAAAAGAGCCCCTATAGCCAACATGATCCTAAGCAAAAAGAATACAGTTGGAGGCATCATACTACCTGACTTCAAACTATACTATAAGGCTATAGTAACCAAAACAGCATGGTACTGGTACCAAAACAGAGATATAGACCAATGGAACAGAACAGAACCCACAGAAATAACACCACACATCTACAACCATCTGATCTTTGACAAACCTGACAAAAACAAGAGATGGGGAAAGGATTCCCTATTTAATAAATGGTGCTGGGAAACCTGGCTAGCCATAAGTAGAAAGCTGAAACTGGATCCCTTCCTTACACCTTAAACAAAAGCTAATTCAAGATGGATTAAAGACTTAAATGTTAGACCTAAAGCCATAAAATCCCTAGAAGAAAACCTAGGCAGTACCATTCAGGACATAGGTATGTGAATGGACTTCATGACTAAAACACAAAAAGCAATGGCAACAAAAGCCACAATAGACAAATCTGATCTAATTAAACTAAAGAGCTTCTGCATAGCAAAAGAAACTACCATCAGAGTGAACAGGCAACCTACAGAATGGGAGAAAATTTTTGCAATCTACCCATCTGTCAAAGGGCTAATATCCAGGATCTACAAAGAACTCAGACACATTTACAAGAAAAGAACAAATAACCCCATCAAAAAGTGCGCAAAGCATATGAACAGACACTTCTCAAAAGAAGACATCTATGCAGCCAACAGACACATGAAAAAGTGCTCTTCATCACTGGTCTTCAGAGAAATGCAAATCAAAACCACTATGAGATACCATCTGACACCAGTTAGAATGGCAATCATTAAAAAGTCAGGAAACAACAGAGGCTAGAGAGGATGTGGAGAAATAGGAACGCTTTTACACTGTTGGGAGTGTAAATTAGTTCAACTATTGTGGAACACTGTGGCTATTCCTCAAGGATCTAGAACTAGAATTACTACTTGACCCAGCCATCCCATTACTGGGTATATACCCAAAGGATTATAAATCATGCTACTATAAAGACACTGCAAACATATGTTTATTGCACCACTATTCACAATAGCAAAGAGTTGGAACCAACCCAAATGTCCAACAATGATAGACTGGATTAAGAAAATGTGGCACATATACACCATAGAATACTATGCAGCCATAAAAAGGATGAGTTCATGTCCTTTGCAGAGACACGGATGAAGCTGGAAACCATCATTCTCAGCAAACTATCTCAAGGACAGAAAACCAAACACCATATGTCCTCACTCATAGGTGGGAATTGAACAATGAGAACACTTGACACAGGGTGAGGAACATCACACACCAGGGCCTGTCAGGAGGTGGGGGTCTAGGGGAGGGATAACATTAGGAGAAATACCTCATGTAAATGATGAGTTGATGGGTGCAGCAAACCAACATGACACATGTGTACCTATGTAGCAAACCTGCACGTTGTGCACATGTACCCTAGAACTTAAAGTATAATAATAAAAAATAAAATCTCTAAATTACCTGCCAAGTGCTTTTGTGTTTAGTCATTCATTAAACAAATATTAACTAAGCACACACACACACACACACACACACACACACACACACACAATTCTACACCTAAAGGAGAAAAATCCTACCTACACAAAAAATACTACTCTTCACGCAAGAAGCTGTCTATATGTAAAAATCTTAGCTCTAAACTGCTGGTGGGCTTGTGAGGTTGGAAGAACAATATCTGTCAGCATAAAGATTTACTGAAAGTGGAGGCATTGATGAGGACAGTAGTTGAAAAATTGGAAAAAAATGTAAAATGCAATCTGTACAAAATAACGAGGTTAACAGAAGATTAGTCTGAATAGTAAAAGATCACTGAGCATAAAGCATGGCAATAGAACTTATTCAAAATAAAGCTCAGGATTAAAAAAGCTAAAGAAATACAAACAGAGACTTAGATGTGTGGCAATATGAAGTGTTGTATGTGTACCTGAAGGCTCAAATGGAGGGGGTTGCAGGAAAAATATTTTAGGACTGATGACTAATATTTTCCCCAGCTTGACAAAAATTATAACTTCACAAATGTCAGAAGTTCAACAAACCCAAGAAGAAGAAATTTAAATAATTTAAAACCAAGGGACAACAAAGTAAAATTGCTTAAAATCAGTTATGAGAAAAATCTTAAAAACAGCCAGAGGAAAAAATATCATACTGCATGCAAAGTTATAATTGTAAGAATTACAGCATACGTTTTATTAGAGTCTAGGCAAGCAGAAAACAATGAAATAGGATCACTATAATACTACTAATTTAAAAAAACAGGATTAAAAGCAGTAATAAAAAAATTGTCAAGCTCAAATTCTATACTCAAAGAAAACAAGTTTTGAAATTAATGTCAAAATCCTCAGATTTAACTGCCTTTTCCAGATTCTGCTTCTTTTAAAGTTTTCTGGATGAGATATTTTAATTGAAGTATGTGTCTAAGTTGACAACCAAAGGGAATGATTAGTAGTAGTTTTGTGGTGCTCAAAGCTCTCTATCCTAGGCTTCGTACCATTTACTTTTCTCAAACCACTGGATTAGTAGAGATCAGGACCTTGTATTATTTTTTCCCCCACAGGACACACTACTGAGCCAAGTAGATGATAACCAGAGAAGAATAAACTTAGAGGTCAAATAAATAGATATTTGAAGAATATAACCACTTCAAATAATAGTTCAAAAGAAAAAAATCAATACAATGGAGAGGGAACATATATCAAGTCAACCAAAAGTAATGGAAAAGACAGATCTAGAACTAGAAATAAACACAATAAAATTTTAAAGAAATAAGGGAGGCTGTTAGCAGTAACCAACAAGAATAAGTAATAATTAAAAAGCCTCAAGATAACACAATACAGAAAGTTATTTAAAATAAAGTACCACACATATGAGTCAAAGAGTAGTATAAATATGTAAGAAACAAATCAGCAAGGTAAGTGGTCAAACAGGAATGTTAAAAAGGTGACAGAAAGGGATAAAAAAGTATAATATATATTTAAAAAGTAGAAGATATAAAACATGAAGTATCCATTTTGGGTTCAAAACATCCTAGAAGAGGAGGAGAGGGAGAGGAACATAGAGAATTAATTATATTTGAAAAATAATTTTGTCAACTACCAGAAATAATCAAAAACAAGATTTTAAGAAAGAAAACACTGGTTAAAATAAGAGATTGCATGATTAATTCCTTAATCATATGGCTAAAGGATCACAAGTAAACAAGTAACAGAAAAGAACTATGTCTTATGACATTTTTGAAATTTCATGGATTACAATCATTTAACAAATGCTACAATGATTTACCAGTACAGTATATTTTTAAAAAGTGTTATCTGCTATGCATATATTTCTCAAGGTACATTGGTGCATATATATGAATATTTAGGTATTTATCATGTTTTTCCTTGATAGGAAAATTGTCATACTCAAGTACTGTGAAGCAGACAGAGATTAATTATTGAGGTCTAAAAAAACTGAAAAACTGCCTGTCATTTCTAGTGCCTTACACAATGTTTGGGATAGTCACATATGTTTTATACTTATATAAATAGTTAGAAAAATATATGAGATAATCAGAGTTTCAAAACATTGCTTATTGAATGTCTGCATGACAGACAGCAAAACATTAGACACTTAGGTTAGTGGGTTTGGGATTGTATTGGGATTATATTCTAACCTTTTAAAAGCCATAAAAGTTATGCTCATAATTTAGGTTCACTTACAAACAGTTCTAGTATACATTGTCCTGATTCAAGATTTCATAGTATAAAAGCTATACCATTCATATTCCTTAATAAATATTTTTCCCACTAAATATTTTAACCTTTTATAAAAAGCCCACGATGTTGATTTGTCTTTTTCTAAAATAAAATTAGTCCACATGGCTCCAGATAATAATTATATCACAAATTTCTGGAAGATACATTATTTCTCTTCCTTTTCTTCTCTTTATTTACTTCTGTATTAGACTAATATTTCCAACATTATTTTAAGCTTTCTTTTAAATTTTTTCTGTCACAGTTCGGAGACAATATATATTTGGTATATAGGGACGAGTGGGAAATAGTGACTTGAGAAAAATTTGTGATACAGAAGAAGGTGAAGGTGTGTCCGGAATTGGTGGGTTCTTCGTCTCACTGACTTCAAGAGTGAAGCCACGGACGCTTGCAGTGAGTGTTACAATTCTTAAAGATGGTGTTTCCAGAGTTTGTTCCTTCTGATGTTTGGACGTGTTTGGAGTTTCTTCTTTCTGGTGGGTTCATGGTCTCACTGGCCTCAGGAGTGAAGCTACAGACCTTTGCGGTGAGTGTTACATCTCATAAAGGCAGTGCAGACCCAAAAAGTGAGCAGCAGCAAGATTTATTGCAAAGAGCAAAAGAACAAAGCTTCCACAATGTGGAAGGGTACCTGAGCAGGTTGCCTCTGCTGCCTCAGGCAGCCTGCTTTTATTCCCTTATCTGACCCCACCCACACCCTGCTGATTGGCCCATTTTACAGAGAGCTGGTTGGTCCATTTTACAGAGAGCTGATTGGTTCGTTTTGACAAGGTGCTGATTGGTGCATTTACAAACCTTGAGATAGACATGGAGTGCTGATTGGTGTATTTAGAATCCTCTAGCTAGACGTAAAAGTTCTCCAAGTCCCCACTAGATTAGCTAGACACAGAGCACTGATTGGCACATTTACAAACCTTGAGCTAGACACAGGGTGCTGATTGGTGTGTTTACAAACCTTGAGCTAGACACAGAGTGCTGATTGGTGCATTTACAAACCTTGAGTTAGACACGGGGTGCTGATTGGTGCATGTACGATCCTTTAGCTAGACATAAAAGTTCTCCAAGTCCCCACCAGATTAGCTAGATACAGAGTGCTGATTGGTGCATCCACGAACCCCAATCTAGACACAGAGTGCTGATTGGTGCATATACAATCCTCTGGCTAGACATAAAAGTTCTCCAAGTCCCCACCCAACTCAGGAGCCTAGTTGGCTTTGCCTAGTGGATCCTGCACCAGGGCTGTGGGCAGAGCTGCGTGCTGGTCCCGCTCTGTGGGCCTGCACTCCTCAGCCCTTGGGTGGTTGATGGGCAGACTGGGCACCTCAGAGCAGGGGGTGGCACCTGTTGGGGAGGCTCAGGCTGCACGGGAGCCCACCGCCAGGGGGCTCAGGCATGGTGGGCTGCAGGTCCCGAGCCCTGTCCTGTGGGGAGACAGCTGAGGCCCGGTGAGAATTTGAGCATGGCGCAGGCAGGCCGGCAGTGCTGGGGGACCCGGCACCCCCTACATGGCTGCTGGCCTGGGTGCTAAGCCCCTCACTGCCCAGGGCTGGTGGCAAACTCGCACTGGCCCACAAATGCCATGCGCAGCCCCGGTTCCCACCTGCGCCTCTCCCTTCACACCCTGCAAGCAGTGGGAGCCAGCTCCAACCTTGGCCAACCCAGAGAGGGGCTCCCACAGTGCAGGAGTGTGCTGAAGGGCTCCTCAAGCGTGGCCAGAGTGGACGCCGAGACTCAGGAGGTGCTGAGAGCGAGCAAGGGCTGCTAGCATGTTGTCACCTCTCAAAGGGATACCAACTTTACCTGCTAAAGAGTAGACAGAGTTAAAGTAGTAAATTCAGAAGAAACTGCACAAGTAAAGAAGAAGTAAACTTAGAAGAAACTTAAAACATAAGAAAAGGAAGAAATAGACTTGAGGTGAGAAAGACAAAAGAAATAGAAATTCTTCCGAATTTAGATGTGGATTATATTCTTTTCCCAGGATAGTAAAGATATTTCAAGATATCAGGAAATGTGGTTAGGCTGAATTAAAGATCTTGGTCCAGCTGCACTGGGCATGCTCCACTCTGCTGGCCCTGGTAAAAGGATATGGTCTTCTAATAATTGATATATAATGATGAAAATCACATGAAATTAAATAAACATGTTTTCTGAATATTTCAAAATAAACTTAGGTTTACATGTTTTAGAGAAGAAAACAGAAAATGTCTGCATCCTGTTGACTTGCTTCTTATAGCACTGACTCTCATTAGCATGATGTAATATATCTTGTAGTAATTAAAGCCAGTTATTATTAGTCTAATTCATGGCTGCTTGAAATGGAATTCCAGAAATCCGGAAGCACAAATGAGAAAAACAGAAATCTTTGTTCCTCGGCTCTAGGTAGAAGAGTCAGAGCCATCCATGAGTCAGCTGCTTGATTTTCTCTTTGTGCCACTATCATCTCCTTGCATTTAGGGCCACTTAGAGGTGAGGAAAAGAAAAGGATTCAACATATAGCATATTGGTTTTTATTGTACATGTTATTCAGAATTTCTTTGTAAAACTGTTTCCAAAACAATAAAAGCAACTAAAAAATTAGTAAGTGAAATATATCACGCTTGCCTGCTTCCTCCCAAACATATCACATCAATTAATTACTTTTTACTGATGAAAATAATCTAACTTCCATTAAGGCAACTCTTTCAGTTCCTCAGGGTAAAAAGAAGTTCTTAGTTTTTTAAATGCTATAATTTGGAGCATGTTAGGAGGTACAGAGAATTGGAGATAATGCTACTTAACTACATTATTTTCTTTCAATGTAAGTAAGATTTCATTAGGCAGAATTTCAAACCCATCAATCACAGGTAAAAAATTCAGTTACAACTGAAGTGTTTATCATATTTTAAACTCATATAAACTTGAGGGACAATGTGAATGGTAGTTATTGAAGCAGTTTAAAGGATTACCCTTTGTCAAAGAACATAAGCATTAAGTTTGTATTTTCATTGTGCATAACAAATGTTATAAAATACTCTTTGAAATAAATGACAGGGAGAATCCCTGTACTTAATCTTTAAAAAAATAGTTTTCATTCGGCTCATGTTAAGAAATATGTATTTAAGCTACACTTACCATTTATTATGAGTCAATCACCAACTAGGATGTGAAAAATATTCTCCCATAAAATAAAATGACTATTCCATTCTCTTTGGGAAAAGGTAATTTAATTTAAAAAACTATATATACATATTTTGTTTGAAGGATCTTTGTTGTCAAGTGAAAATAAAACATTTGTCTTCAGTCCAACATAAGAAATTAACAGAAAATCTTTAACATTTTCAATAATATGGTGCATGTCTGTTTCCTGAAAAAATCTTTTGATGAAAGATGAGATTTGCATGTATGAAATTTCATATCTCTTATGAAGTGACTGTAAATTATATTCTTAAAATTCTTAGTGGGAAAACAAACACACACATTTTTTAAAGTTATTTTCAGTATATATTCCCTACTAGCAACAAGTATATATACTTTTTATTGATTTCATTTATTGTCTATGGGAGTATGAGATGGAGAATTTAGGTGCTTTAACACGTCTTAATGTAAATATTTAGCCTTTTAAGGCCAAGTATACAACTGGTTTTAAACATCACTACCTTCTTTCTCTCACATTTTAGCTCAAAACAAGTTCCAATTTCTCTCAGCTATAATTCCAAAATCATTCTATTCTGTCTGGCTTAAGATCACCTTACCCATTACTTCCAATTTACTTCCAAATTTATTGAAATATGTAATATATATTCACTCTTTCATTTCTCATCTTTCAGTTGCTTCAGTATCAAGGTAGTCCCTGACTCTCCATTGAAACATCTTTTACTGTCTGGCAAAATGTTCTGTCTGCTGAATCCCATGGCCCTTTCCTGTGTATACTCTTCTGTATCTTCAAATATCAAGCATCGATTCATTCTGGATCAACTCTTCTTTTGCCTCATGGCAACATTATCTCTGTCTTACAGTTCCTCATTCTGTCTACAACATTTAATATCCTTTACGGGTTTATTTTTGTTTGTTCATGTCAAGTAATCTAGTTCTTTTTCCAAACATTTTATTTGAAACCAGATCATACCCTAGCCTCATGTTCTATTGGTACATCTCTGAGTGTTATATGAGGTTTCCACGACAGTGCTAAAAGCCCCACAATACTTCTTCCTGCTGGTTTGAAACAGAACCTGAGGCTTCTTGGCTCAAGAGAAGCAAATAGATTAAAATTGAGACAGGAGAAAAAAGGGCTACATTCTACTAACAATGTTTCTGTTTCCAGAATCTCCTTGCTTTACCCAGGTAAGAGTTCTACAGTTCACTCTTCCTTTCCTTTCTTCCCTTCCTTCCCTTTCTTCCTTCCCTTCCCCTTCCTCCCTCCCTTCCTCCTTTCCTTCCTTCCTCTTTTTCTTTCTTTCTTACTTTTTCTTTCCTTCTTTCTCTTTCTCTCTCTCTCTTTTTCCTTTCTTTTCCTTCCTTCCTTCCTTCTTTTCTTTCTCTCTCTTTCTTTCTTTCTCTCTCTTTCTTTCTTTCTCTTTCTTTCTTTCTTTTCCTTTCTTTCTTTCTTTCTTTTCCTTCCTTCCTTCTTTTCTTTCTCTCTCTTTCTTTCTTTCTCTCTCTTTCTTTCTTTCTCTTTCTTTCTCTCTCTTTCTTTCTTTCTTTCTTTCTTTCTTTCTTTCTTTCTTCTTTCTGTCTCTCTCTCTCTTCTTTTTCTTTCTTTCTTCTTTTTTTAAACAGAGTCTCTCTCTGTTGCCCAGGCTGGAGTGCAGTGGCACAATCTCAGCTCACTGCAGCCTCCACCTCCCAAGTTCAGGGAATTATCCTGCCTCAGCCTCCCAAGTAGCTGGGATTACAAGCACGTGTCACCACCACGGCTAATTTTTGTATTTTTAGTAAAGACGGTGCTCCATCAGCTTGGCCAGGCTAGTCTCAAACTCCTGACCTCAAGTGATCTGCCCGCCTTGGTCTTCTAAAGTGCTGGGATTACAGGCATGAGCCATGGAAGTTGGCCCCACTTTTCCTTTTGACAAATCTCTTAACTATTCTATATCCTTCACACAGCTTCTAGGAATCTATTATTTTAAAAATATATAAAAAATGAGGAAAAAGAAAATATGAATCCTGTCACCTTCTATTCCTCCTCTCAAAGCCCTGAATCAGTTGCTACTAATAAAATAATAGAGAAAATGGCGATTAAGTTTCAAGAAACAGAATTTAATCTCTTAATCCTTATTCATCTTAGACATTTATTTTCCCATCTTTTCCAGCATGTCTCCTCGTAGCTTACGCTCTCCAAGTTGTTCCATGACCATTTTTTCTTTATAGAGCTAACTCTTTCTCTTCTATTCAATCTGGAAAGTCTCCCATAAAAACATGACTTACCTTTTACTCTCCTTATCCCTGCAGGAAAGCATTAGCCACACACATTCCTAAGTGCTCTGTCAGTATTCTTTTCCATTTAAGTATTAAATACATGCTTAATGAAATAATGAATAAATGAAACCAAACTTAGAGCAAATAGACATGGCACTTTGAGTAGGAGAGTAGTTTAATATAGAAGTAATTTAATATAGAAGTTGACTGCCATTACATTTTCTAGGTGGGGCTATAAACAATGCTTCTCCAATCTTTAAAAGTAGTCACCACACATGACTCACATATAATTCAAAAGTGTCAAAGTAAAGCACTATGGATGTTTTATTCTTTGACATATCAGTTTTCAAGAGGTGATGAATATTGACAAAATATTTAAGCAAATACACTCAACTTTCTGGCATGTTGGATTAATAGTAATCAAAATCTAAAGTAAACATTTATGAGATATGAACCTTTTTTTAATGACTCATTTATTTGTAAAATAAAATAACATCTTTAGTGCGTATATAATTTTGCTGTGCAGGGAACTGTTTCTTCAATATCCAATACTTGTAGGTAGATTATAAACCTTTAAAAATGGTGATATTTTTTAGTTATAAACAAAAAACAGAAGTATATCTGAATGGACATTACAATAGAGAGCCATCTTTTACTTTCATATGTTGTTACTTTAGGAAAACATTTAGTTATTCTTTCTCTTGCCAAGAGATTAGAAGACATCATTAAATACTTTGAGCTCCAGAAGGTGTCATCAACTCGCAATATTTTTGCTGAGTCATCCAAATACACACAGCTAAAAGCATTAATTTCCCCTTAAAAGTATCCTGAAAGCTGTGCTGTTTCATAAACAGAAGCAAAGTCAGCTGAAAAAATACAGTCAAATTCACCTGTAAGTGGAAATATATTTTAAAAAATCAATTTTGAGTAAAGTGTTGTTATTTATTATAGGACAGAATTTAATCCAACTAGGTTTTTGTGCAGGAAATTTAATATATTTCTTGATCCTATATACATTTCATATTGAAATGTTAGAGCTATTTCTACTGTTTCAATTGTTGGATCTAATCCTTCATCTCTGAGGGTTTAACTAATGAATTCCAAAGTCCTGACTTGCAATATGTTGTATTGCCTTTTAAAGGACAAGGCAGCCAAACCTGACAACAAAGTTGCCTCTTGCCACGAATTTGAAAGCATCTATTCTTGCCTGATGTGTATATAGATAATCAAAACTTGGCTTATACTAGTAGAAATGAGTCCTTTCTAGTGAATAAATTATAAGACAACCATTCCCATTTCCTACAAATTCAAATGAATTAAGATACTTATCTTGTCATTGTCTAATATTATTATAAATTTCAATGCCATTTACTATCTAAACCTGATTTATTTTCATGTCATTCCTCTAATATAATATGATAAACTATATAATGGCAACAAGAGGAAGCAAATTTAAGTATTTCAGCATCCAGAGTAAACGCCAAATGGTTTACATAGACCTACAACCACAAAGATAGTAATGAAGATCATTGCCAAAGGCCTTGATGCTAAATATCTTATTAATGTTAAATAATAAGATGCTTAGCTCTGAAAATTCAATGTCCACTTTTTACAGATGATACCCTTGTATAACTATATTATAATATCACTGTGTAGCTAATTAGCATTAAATTTTAAGTTAACGACAGAGAATCAGGACCTTGTGAGATTATCCAGGCAGGGATTTGGTCCAAAGGAGTTTCCTCAAACCTGGGAAATCTGTTTATATATAAGCTCATAGATAAAATATTTTGAGTAAATCTGTTGATATATCTGGTTTGACCATGATTGCAAAGGTGGTTCCATGAGTTATAATAAAGACATGTATTACTTAATACCTAATGCAATATTTTGGCTTATGTAAGTGAAAGAATGTGTCTGCTCAATCTGGTAAATCATGTATAATTTAGAATAATTTATTTCTGCATGCAATTAAACTGACTATTCTTTTGTAAATAAATGAAAAATGCTAAATATTTCAGGGTTTTGCTCCTTTTTTATTACACTTTAAGTTCTAGGGTACATGTGCACAACGTGCAGGTTTGTTATATATGTATACATGTGCCATGTTGGTGTGCTGCGCTCGTTAACTCGTCATTTACAATAGGTATATCTCCCAATGCTATCCCTCCCCGCTCCCCCCACCCTATGACAGGCCCTGGTGTGTGATGTTCCCTACCCTGTGTCCAAGTGTTCTCAATGTTCAATTCCCACTTATGAGTGAGAACATGCTGTGTTTGGTTTTCTGTCCTTGCGATAGCTTGCTGAGAATGATGGTTTCCAGCTTCATCCGTGTCCCTAAAAGGACATGAGCTCATCCTTTTTTATGGCTGCATGGTATTCCATGGTGTATATGTGAAACATTTTCTTAATCCAGTCTATCATTGATGGACATTTGGGTTGGTTCCAAGTCTTCGCTATTGTGAATAGTGTCACAATAAACATACGTGTGCATGTGTATTTATAGTAGCTTGATTTATAATCCTTTGGGTATATGCCCAGTAATGGGATGGCTGGGTCAAATGGTATTTTTAGTTTTAGATCCCTGAGGAATCGCCACAATGTCTTTCACAATGGTTGAACTAGTTTACAGTTCCACCAACAGTGTAAAAGTGTTCCTATTTCTCCACATCATCTCCAGCACCTGTTGTTTCCTGACTTTTTAATGATCACCATTCTAACTGGTGTGAGATGGTATCCCATTGTGGTTTTGATTTGCATTTCTCTGATGGTCAGTGATGATGAGCATTTTTTCATGTGTCTGTTGGCTGCATAAACATATTATTTTGAGAAATGTCTGTTCATATCCTTTGCCCACGTTTTGATGGGGTTGTTTGATTTTTTCTTCTAAATTTATTTAAGTTCTTTGTAGATTCTGGATATTAGCCCTTTGTCAGATGAGTAGATTGTAAAAATTTTCTCCCATTCTGTAGGTTGCCTGTTCACTCTGATGGTAGTTTCTTTTGCTATGCAGAAGCTCTTTAGTTTAATTAGATCAGATTTGTCTATTTTGGCTTTTGTGCCATTGCTTTTGGTGTTTTAGTCATGAAGTCTTTGCCCGTGCCTAAGTCCTGAATGGTATTGCCTAGGTTTTCCTCTAGAGTTTTTATGGTTTTAGGTCCACCATTTAAGACTTCAATCAATCTTGAATTAATTTTTGTATAAGGTGTTAAGGAAGGGATCCAGTTTAAGCTTTCTACATATGGCTAGCCAGTTTTCCCAGCACCATTTATTAAATAGGGAATCCTTTCCCCATTTCTTGTTTTTTTCAGGTTTGTCAAAGATCAGATGGTTGTAATGTATGGCGTTATTTCTGAGGTCTCTGTTCTGTTCCATTGGTCTATATCTCTGTTTTGGTACCATTACCATGCTGTTTTGTTTACTATAGCCTTGTAGTATAGTTTGAAGTCACGTAGTATGATGCCTCCAGCTTTGTTCTTTTTGCTTAGGAATGTCTTGGCTATAGGGGCTCTTTTTTGGTTTCATATGAACTTTAAAGTAGTTTTTTCCAATTATGTGAAGAAAGTCATTTGTAGCTTGATGGGGATAGCACTGAATCTACCGATTACTTTGGGCAGTATGGCCATTTTCACAATATTGATTCTTCCTATCCATAAGCATGGAATGTTCTTCCATTTGTTTGTGTCCTCTTTTATTTCGTTGAGCAGTGCTTTGCAGTTCTCCTTGAAGAGGTCCTTCACATCCCTTGTAAGTTGGATTCCTAGGTATTTTATCCTCTTTGTAGCAATTGTGAATGGGAGTTCACTCATGATTTGGCTCTCTGTTGGTCTGTTAATGGTATATAGGAATGCTTGTGATTTTTGCACATTGATTTTGTACCCTGAGACTTTGCTGAAGTTGCTTATCAGCTTAAGGAGATTTTCGGCTGAGATGATGGGGTTTTCTAAATATACAATCATGTCATCTGCAAATAGGAACAATTTTACTTCCTCTTTTCCTAATTGAATACCCTTTATTTCTTTCTCCTGCCTGATTGCCCTGGCCAGAACTTCCAACACTATGTTGAATAGGAGTGGTGACAGAGGGCATCCCTGTCTTGTGCCAGTTTTCAAAGGGAACGCTTCCAGTTTTTGCCTATTCAGTATGATATTGGCTGTGGGTTTGTCATAGATAGCTCTTATTATTTTGAAATACATCCCAGCGATACCTAGAATATTGAGAGTTTTTAGCATGAAGGGCTGTTGAATTTTGTCAAAGGCCTTTTCTGCATCTATTGAGATAATCATGTGGTTTTTGTCTTTGGTTCTGTTTATATGATGGATTACATTTATTGATTTATGTATGTTGAACCAGCCTTCCATCCCAGGGATGAAGCCAAATTGATCGTCGTGGATATGCCTTTTGATGTGCTGCTGGATTGGCTTTGCCAGTATTTTATTGAGGGTTTTTGCATCGATGTTCATCAGGGATATTGGTCTAAAATTCTCTTTTTTTGTTGTGTCTGCCAGGCTTTGATATCAGGATGATGCTGGCCTCATAAAATAAGTTAGGGAGGATTCCTTCTTTTTCTATTGATTGGAATAGTTTCAGAATGAATGGTACCAGCTCCTCCTTGTACCTCTGGTAGAATTCCACCATGAATCCATCTGGTCCTGGACTTTTTTTGGTTGATAGGCTACTAATTATTGCCTCAATTTCAGAGCCTGTTATTGGTCTACTCAGGGATTCAACTTCTTCTTGGTATGGTCTTTGGAGGGTGTATGTGTCGAGGAATTTATCCATTTCTTCTAGATTTTCTAGTTCATTTGTTCAGAAGTGTTTATAGTATTCTCCGATGGTAGTTTGTATTTCTGTGGGATCAGGGGTGATATCCCCTTTATCATTTTTTATTGTGTCTATTTGATTCTTCTCTTTTCTTCTTTCTTAGTCTTGCTAGTGGTCTATCAATTTTGTTGATCTTTTCAAAAAACCAGCTCCTGGATTCATTGATTTTTTGAATGATTTTTTTGCATCTCTATCTCCTACAATTCTGCTCTGATCTTAGTTATTTCTTGCCTTCTGCTAGCTTTTGAATGTGTTTGCTCTTGCTTCTATAGTTCTTTTAATTGTGATGTTAGAGTGTCAGTTTTAGATCTTTCCTGCTTTTCTTGTGGGCATTTAGTTCTATAAATTTCCCTTTACACACTACTTTAAATGTGTCCCAAAGATTCTGGTATGTTATATCTTTGTTCTCATTGGTTTCAAAGAACATCTTTATTTCTGCCTTCATTTCCTTATGTACCCAGTAGTCATTCAGGAGCAGATTGTTCAGTTTCCGTGTAGTTGAGTGGTTTTGAGTGAGTTTCTTAATCTTGAGTTCTAGTTTGATTGCACTGTGGTCTAAGAGACAGTTTGTTATAATTTCTGTTTTTTACATTTGCTGAGGAGTGCTTTACTTCCAATTATGTGGTCAATTTTGGTATAAGTGTGATGTGGTGCTGAGAAGAATATATATTCTATTGATTTGGGGTGGAGAGTTCTGTAGATGTCTATTAGATCTGCTTGGTGCAGAGCTGAGTTCAATTCCTGGATATCCTTGTTAACTTTCTGTCTCATTGATCAATCTAATGTTGACAGTGGGGTGTTAAATTCTCCCATTATTATTGTGTAGGAGTCTAAGTCTCTTTGTAGATCTCTAAGGACTTGCTTTATGAATCTGGGTGCTCCTGTGTTGGGTGCATATTTATTTAGGAGAGTTAGTTCTTCTTGTTGAATTGATCCCTTTACCATTATGTAATGGCCTTCTTTGTCTCTTGATCTTTGTTGGTTTAAAGTCTGTTTTATCAGAGACGAGGATTGCAATCTCTGCTTTTTTATTGTTTTTCATTTGCTTGGTAGATCTTCCCCCATCCCTTTCTTTTGAACCTATGTGTGTCTCTGCACGTGAGATAGGTCTCCTGAATACAGCACACTGATGGGTCTTGACTCTTTATCCAATTTGCCAGTCTGTGTCTTTTAATTGGAGCATTTAGTCCATTTATATTTAAAGTTAATATTGTTATGTGTGAATTTGATCCTGTCATTATGATGTTAGCTGGTTAGTTTGCTCGTTAGTTGATGCAGTTTCTTCCTAGCCTCAATGGTCTTTACAATTTGGCATATTTTTGCAGTGGCTGATACCAGTTATTCCTTTCCATGTTTAGTGCTTCCTTCAGGAGTTCTTGTAAGGCAGGCCTGGTGGTTACAAAATCTCTCAGCATTTGTTTGTCTGTAAAGGATTTTATTTCTCCTTCACTTATGAAGCTTAGTTTGGCTGGGTATGAAATTCTGGTTTGAAAATTCTTCTCTTTAAGAATGTTGAATATTGGTTCCCACTCTCTTCTGGCTTGTAGAGTTTCTGCCAAGAGATCTGCTGTTAGTCTGATGGCCTTCCCTTTGGGGGTAACCCAAACTTTCTCTCTGGCTGTCCTTAACATTTTTTCCCTCATTTCAACTTTGGTGAATCTGACCATTCCATGTCTTGGAGTTGTTCTTCTCGAGGAGTATCTTTGTGCTGTTCTCTGTATTTCCTGAATTTGGATGTTGGCCTGCATTGCTAGGTTGGGGAAGTTCTCCTGGAAAATAACCTGAAGAGTGTTTTCCAACTTGGTTCCATTCTTCTCATCACTTTCATGTACACCAATCAGACATAGATTTGGCCTTTTCACATAGTCCCATATTTCTTGGAGGCTTTTTCGTTTCTTTTACTCTTTTTTCTCTAAACTTCTCTTCTTGCTTCATTTCATTCATTTGATCTTCAATCACTGATACCCTTTCTTCCACTTGATCTAATTGGCTACTGTATCTTGTGCATGTGTCATGTAGATTTCATGCCATTGTTTTCAGCTCCTTCAGGTGACTTAAGTTCTTCTCCACACTGTTTATTCTAGTTATCCATTCACCTAATCTTTTTTCAAGGTTTTTAGCTTCTTTACAATGGGTTCGAATATCCTCCTTTAGCACAGAGAAATTTTTGATTGTTAGCTTCTTTGCAATGGGTTTGAACATCCTCCTTTAGCCCAGAGAAGTTTGTTATTTCTGATCATCTGAAGCCTTCTCCTCTGAACTCGTCAAAGTCATTCTCAGTCCAGCTTTGTTCCATTGCTGGCAAGGAGCTGTGTTCTTTGGAGGAGAAGAAGTGCTCTGATTTTTAGAATTCTCAGCTTTTCTGCTCTGGTTTCTCACCATCTTTGTGGTTTTCTCTACTTTGGTCTTTGATGATGGTGACGTACAGATGAGGTTTTGGTGTGGATGTCCTTTCTTTTTATTAGTTTTTCTTCTATCAGTCAGGACCCTCAGCTGCAGGTCTGTTGGAGTTTGCTGGAAGTCCACTCCAGACCCTGTTTGCCTGGGTATCACCAGCAGAGGCTGCAGAACAGCAAATGTTGCTGCCTCATCCTTCCTCTGGAAACTTTGTCTCAGAGGGGCATCTGGCTGTATGAGGTGTCAGTCAGTCTCTACTGGGAGGTATCTCCTAGTTAGGCTACTCAGGGGGTCAGGGACTCACTTGAGGAGGCAGTCTGTCCATTCTCAGATCTCAAACTCTGTGCTGGGAGAACCACTACTCTCTTCAAAGCTGTCATACACAGATGTTTAAGTCTGCAGAAGTTTCTGCTGCCTTTTGTTCATCTATGCCCTGCCCCCAGAGGTGGAGTCTACAGAGGCAGGCAGGCCTCCTTGCACTTTGTTGGGCTCCTCCTAGTTCAAGCTTCCCGGCCGCTTTGTTTACCTACTCAAGCCTCAGCAATGGTGGACGCCCATCCCCCAGCCTCACTGCTGCCTTGCAGTTCGATCTCAGGCTGCTGTGCTAGCAGTGAGCGAGGCTCTGTGGGCGTGGGACCCTCTGAGCCAAGTGTGGGATATAATCTCTTGGTGTGCCATTTGCTAAGACCATTGGAAAAGTGCAGTATTAGGTTGGGAGTGTCCCAATTTTCCAGGTACTGTCTGTCATGGCTTCCCTTTGCCAGGAAAGGGAATTCCCTGACCCCTTGCTCTTCCCGGGTGAGGGGATGCCCTGCCCTGCTCGGTGGGCTGCACCCACTGTCCAACAAGCCCCAGTGAGATGAACCTGGTACTTCAGTTGGAAATGCAGAAATGACTCATCTTCTGTGTTGTTCATGCTGGGAGCTGTAGACTGGAGCTGTTCCTATTCGGCCACCTTGGAACCTCCCCGGCTTTGTTCCTTTTTGTTTAAAAAAGTAAAATCAAGGGTGCTTCTAAAAATATGAGAGAATTTCTTTCCTTAACTTTTATTTTAAGTTCAGGGATACAACTGTATGTTTGTTATAGAGGTAAACTCATGTCACAGTGGCTTGTTGCACCAATTATTTCATCACCCAGGTACTGAGCCTAGTACCCAGTAGTTAGTTTTTACTCCTCCTCTCTCTCCTCCTCCCCTCAAGTAGGCCCCATTGTCTCTTCCCTTCTTTATGCTCATGAGTTCTGATCATTTAGCTACCACTTATAAGTAATAACATGTAGCATTTGATTTTCTGTTTCTGCATTAGTTTGCTAAGGAAAATGGCCTCCAGCTCCATCCATGTTCCCACAAAAGACATTACTTCTTATGACTGCATAGTATTTCATGGTGTATATGTACCATATTTTCTTTACCCAATATGTCATTGATGGGTATTTAGGTTTATTCCATGTGTTTGTGCAGCAACGAACATTCAGATGCATGTGTCTTTATGATAGAATGATTTATACTCCTCTTGATGTATACCCAGTAATAGGATTGCAGGTTCAAATGGTATTTCTATTTTTAGCTCTTTGAGGAATCACCATACAGAATTCCACAATGGTTGAACTAATTTACACTTCCACCAACAGTGTATAAGTGTTCCCTTTTCTCCACAACCTTACTAGTGGTTGTTATTTTTTGACTTTTTCATGATAGCTAGTCTGACTGGTGGGAGATGGTATCTCATTGTGGTTTTGATTTGCATTTCTTTAATGATTAGTGACATTGAGTTTTTTTTCATAAGCTTGTTGGCTGCATGTGTGTCTTCTTTTGAAAGGTGCCTCTTCATATCCTTTGCCCACTTTTTAATGGGGTTGTTAGTTTTTCTCTTGTAAATTTGTTTATGTTTTTTATTCATACTGAATATTAGACTTTTGTCAGATGCATAGTTTGCAAATATTTTCTCCCGTTCTGTAGATAGCTGATAGTTTTTTTTTTCTGCACAGAAGTTCTTTAGTTTAATTAGATCCCATTAGTCAATTTTTGCTTTTGTTGCAATTATTTTGGTGTCTTTGTCATGAAATCTTTGCTCATTCCAATGCCCAGGATTGTATTACCTGTGTTGTCTTCCAGAATTTTCATAGATTTGGGTTTTACATTTAAGTCTTTAATCCATCTCAAGTTGAATTTTGTGTTTAGAGAAAGGAAGGGGTCCTATTTCAATCTTCTGCATATGGCTAGCCAGTTATTCCAGCATCATTTATTGAATAGAGAAGTTTTTTCCCTGCTGCTAGTTTTCGTCAGTTTTGTCTAAGATCAAATGGTCATAGGCGTATGGCCTTATTTCTGCACTCCCTATTCTGTTCCATTGGTCTATGTGCCTGTTTTTGTACCAGTACAACACTGTTTTGGTTCCTGTAGCCCTGTAGTATAGTTTGAAATTGGATAACGTGATGCCTCTAGCTTTGTTCTTTTTGCTTAGAATTGTCTTGGCTCTTTTTTGGTTCCATATGAATTTTAAAGTAGTTTTTATCTAGTTCTGCAAAGAATGCCATTGGTAATTTGATAGGAATAACATTGAATCTATAAATTGCTTTGGGCAATATGGCCATTTTAATAACATTGTTTCTTCCTATCCACGACCATGGGACCTTTTACATTTGTTCGTGTCATTTCTGATTTAACAATGTTTTGTAATTCTCATCGTAGAGACCTTTCACTACCTGGCTAATTGTATTCCTAGGTATTTTATTCTTTTTGTGGCAATTGTAAATGGTATTGTGTTCCCGATTTGGCTATAGGATTGACTTTTGTTGGTGTATAGAAATGCTAGTGGTTTGTGCATTTATTTTTGTATCCTGAAACTTTACTGAAGTTGTTTATCAGGTAGAGGAGCATTTGGGCTGAGACTATGGGGTTTTCTACATACAGAATCATGTCATCTGCAAAGAGGGATAGGTAGACTTCCTCTCTTCCAATTTCAGTGACGTTTATTTATTTCCCTCATCTGATTGCTCTGGCCAGGACTTCCAATACTATGTTAAATATGAGTAGAGAGAGAGGACACCCTTGTCTTGTGCCAGTTTTGAAGGGGAGTGCTTCCAGCTTTTGCCCACTCAGTATGATGTTGGCTGTAGGTTTTTTATAGATGGCTCTTATTGTTTTGAGGTATGTTTCTTCAATAACTAGTTTATTGAGAGTTTTTCACATGAAGGGATTTTGACTTTTATCAAACCTTTTCTGCATTTATTGTGATAATCATGTGATTTTTTCTTTAGTTCTGTTTATGTGATTAATCACATTTATTGATTTGTGTATGCTGAACCAACCTTGCATCCCTGGTATGAAGCCTACTTTATCATGATAGATTAACTTTTTGATGTGCTGCTTGATTCAGTTTGCAAGTATTTTGTTGAGGATGTTTGCATCAATGTTTATTAAGGATATTGGCCTGAAGTTTTCTCTTTATTTGGTTTTGTTGCTGTAAGGTTTTGGTATCAGAATGATGCTGGCCTCATAGAATTAGTTGGAGAGGAGTCCCTACTCCTCAATTTTTGGAATAGTTTCAGTAGAAATTGTACCAACTCTTCTTTGTTCATCTGGTAGAATCTGGCTGTGAATCCATCTGGTTCAGGGCATTTGTTGGTTGGTAAGCTATTTATTACTGATTCAGTTTTGGAGCTCATTATTGGTCTGTTTAGGAAATCAGTTTCTTCCTGGTTCAGTCTTGGGAAGGTGTAAGTGTCCAATAATTTATTAATCTCTTCTAGATTTTGTAGTTTGTGTGCAGAGAGGTGTAGGTGGTGGTTTCTGATGATTATTTTTATTTATGTGAGTTCAGTGGTAGCATCCCCTTTGTTATTTGTAATTGTGTTAATTTGGATATTTTCTCTCTTTTTTTCTTTATTAGTCTAGGTAGCAGTCTATCTTATTCATTTGTTCAAAAAATTAATTCCTGGATTTGTTAATATTTAGAATGGTTTTTGATTTCTTAATTTCTTCCATTTCAGCTTTGATTTTTGTTGTTTTGTTATTTATTGTCTTCTGCTAGCTTTGGGTTTGATTCATTCTTGCTTCTCTAATTATTTTGGTGTGATATTATGTTATTAATTTGAGATCTTTCTATCTTTGTGATGTAGGCATTTAATGCTATAAATTTCCCTCTTAACACTACCTTAGCTATATCCCCCAAATTATGGTATGTTGTTCTCTTTTCTTCCAAAGAACTTTTTGATTTCTGCCTTAATTTCATTATTTACCCAAAAGTCTTTCAGGAACATGTTATTTTATTTCCATGTAATTGCATTGTTTTCAGCAATTTTTTTGTCTTGACTTCTATTTTTATTGTGCTGTGGTCCGAGAGTGCATTTGGTATGATTTCAATTCTTCTACATTTTCTGAGGATTGTTTTATGTCCAATTATGTGATCAATTTTAGAGTATGTGCCATGTGTTGATGAGAAGAATGTATATTCTGTTGTTTTGGGATGGAGAGTTCTGTAGCGCTTTCTCAGATCCATTTGGTCCAATGTTAAGTTCAGGTCTTGAATATCTTTGTTAATTTTCTGCCTCAGTGATTTGTCTAATACTGCCAGTGGAGCGTTGTTTCTCACTATTACTGTGTGGGAGTCTGAGTTTCTTTGTCTGTCTCTAATAACTTGCTTTATGAATCTGGATGTTCCTTTGTTGGGTTCATATATATTTAGGATAGTTAGGTCACCTTGTTGAATTGAACCCCTTACCATTATGAAATGCCCTTCTTTGTCATTTTTTATCTTTGTTGGTTTAAAGTCTGTTTTGTCTGAAATTAGGATTGCAACCCCTGTTGTTATTTTTTTCTGATTTCCATATGCTTGGTAGATTTTCCTCCATCTTTTTAATTTTGAGCCTATTGGTGTCACTGCACATGAGATCAGTCCCTTGAAGACACCATCCCATTGGGTCTCACTTTTTTCTCCAGCTTTCCACTTTGTGTCTTTTAAGTGGCACATTTAGCTCATTTACATTGAAGATAAGTATTGATATTTGTAAATTTGATCCTGTTATTGTGTTGTTAGCTAGTTATTATGCTGGATTATTTGTGTGGTTGCTTTACAGAGTCACTGGTCTGTGTGTTTTTAAGTGTGTTTTTGTGTTAGCTGGTAGTAGTCTTTCCTTTCTATGTGTAGTGCTCCTTTTAAGATCTCTTGGAAGGCATGTCTGCTGGTAACAAACTCCCTCAACATTTGCTTATCTGAAAAGGGTCTTATTTCTCTTTCACTTAGGCAGTTTAGTTTGGCTGGATATGAAATTTTTGGTTCTTCTTTAAAAATTTTTTCTTTAAGAATGTTGAAAATATACCTCCAGTCTTTTCTGGCTGATTGTGTTTCAGCTGAGAGGTCTGCTGTTAGCCTGATGGGGTTCCCTTTTTAGGTGACCTGCCTTTTCTCTCTAGCTGCCTTTAACACTTTAACATTCTTTTTTTTTCATTTTGACTTTAGTAAATCTGATGATTATTTGTCTTAGGGATTATATTCTTGTGTAGAATCTTGCAGGGGTTCTCTGTATTTCCTGAATTTGACTGTTGGCTTCCATAGCAAGGTTGGGGAAGTTTTCATGATATCCTGAAATATGTTTTCCAAGTTGTTTGTTTTCTCCCCATTCATTTTAGGGATGCCAATGATTCATAGATTTGGCCTTCTTATATAATCACTTATTTCTCAGAGGTTTCCTTCAATCTTTGTCTTTCTTTTTACTTTACTTTTGCATGACTATCTTATTTCAGAGAGCCAGTCTTCAAATTCTGAGATTCTTTCCTCAGCTTGGTCTATTCTGCTGTTAATGATTCTGATTGTATTGTGAAATTCTTGTGTGTTTTTCAGCTCTGTCAGATCCATTAGGTTCCTTTTTATACCAGCTCTTTCATCATTCAGCTCCTGTATCATTTTATTGTAACTCTTAGTTTCCTCATATTGGTTTTCACTGTTCTCCTGAATCTCAAATATCTTCATTCCTATCCATATTCTGAATTCTATTTCTGTCATTTCAGCCAGCTCAGCCTGGTTAAGAACCTCTGTTGGAAAACTAATGTGGTTATTTGGAGGACCTACAACACTCTGGCCATTTGAGTTACTGGAGTTGTTACATTGGTTATTTCTCATATCTATGTGTGGGTGTTTTTTTTAATTGGTGTGCAGATTGAGTACCATCAATAGACATCTCTTCTAGATGTTCCCACAGAGCTGAGAATTTGTGCAGGGTCTTTATTTGTAGCTGACTTCCTGCTGTTGGTTTCACAGGGTGATATGTTAATGAGGTGTTTTTAGTGTTGAAGCTTTAGGGTGTAATCCACTAAGTGGCACTTATATGTATTGATCAGTTCGTAGGCTCCTGCTTGGTCATTTGGGTCACCTATATTTCCTCACATTTGCAGCCCTGCTCCCTCTGAATGCTCTGCAAATCTGGGCTTCTGTCCAACTTAAGTGCAGGCTGTAGATCATGGCTTGGCACTCATGGGCTTCCCACTGTAGCTCTAGGGCAATCTCAGAGTAGGGCTGTTCTGTTATGCTGGGAGTCCACACCAGTCCCTAGTCACCTCAAATTTTCCAATACCTGAAGGTATCAACAGTGAAGATTTCAAAACTGCAAAGACTGTGATCCCTCCCTCCCTCTGGGAGCTCTATCCCAGGGAGGTACAGTTCTGTTGCTAGCCTAAATGCATCTGTAGGAGGCAGCTGGACACCCTGGTTGGGATGTCCCTCTTGGTGGGGATGAATGAAATCAGGGACCCACTTAAAAAAGAAGTCTGGGCACATTTTTGTAGAGAAGTGCTGTGCTGGGGTTCTCCTCCAGCCCCCAGTCAAGTTGGACTCTCCAAAGCCTAAAGGCCAGAATGGCTAAGTCAGTCAAACAGCAAAGATGGCAGCCTGTCCCTCCCTCTGGGAACTCAGTCCCAGGCAAATTTGAAACCCTTCTCAGCCAAAAAATACTAGTGTGGGTGACTGGAGACCCCAGTCAGAATCCATGTGAATAAGCAGTCTGAACACCTAGAGAGAGCTGCTGGACTGTGTTGGGGGACCACTCCAATCCATAGTTGCCTCAGATTCTCTAGAGCCCTAATGCAACAGTGGCTGAGGCTGTGAAACAGCAAAAATGGTAGCCCACCCTTCCCCTTGGGAGCTTTGTCTTGGGGAGGTGTAACACTGCTACTGGTGACTGGCTAGAGTTCCTAACCAGCAGGTTTTATCCTATTAGGAGCTGTGGAAGCAGGACCTGCAGACAGTCACTGCTCAGCCCCTAGGATTCAGTGCCTTTCCCAGGGGTGTGTATGGTGGTGTAACCTCCCACTTTGCTGGAGTTACGGCTGCTTTTGCTGGGAAGCCTAGGTATCTAAGGTTCCCAGGTCTCTGCACATGCTTGAGCAGCTTCTCTGCTGAGACTCCATGTGGCTTTGTGTCAGACTGAATGCCCTGGTGGAGTGGGTTCACAAGGGGATCTCCTGACATGAGGGCTGCAAAGATCTGTGGGAGAAGCATGGGTTCCTGGGGATGCTCGTTCACTTACCACTTCTATGAGTGAGGGAGGGTCCCCTGGCTTTGTGTCACTTTTTGGGTGGGCTGTCAATCTGCCTTGCTTTTCTCCGTTCTCTGTTGGTGAAGTTGTTTCCTTGGTTTGTCCCAATGCATGCACCTACCTGGATGTTTCAGTTGAAGGTGCTGTATTTACTCACCTCTTCCATGGTCTGTGGCCTATTAGAAACTGGGCTGCACAGCAGGAGGTGAGCAGCAGGCCAGCAACCATTATCACCTGAGCTCTGCATCCTCTCAGATCACTGGCAGCATTAGATTCTCATAGGAGCGTGAACCCTATTGTTAACTGTGCATGGGAGGAATCTAGGTTGTGCTCCATTTGAAAATCTAATGCCTGACGATCTGAGGTGGAACAGTTTAATCTCAAAACCACAACCCCAATCCCCACCCCAGTCCATGGAAAAACTGTCTTCCTTTAAATCAGTCCCTAATGCCAAAAGGGTTGGGAACTGTTGTTCTAGTTGGCCATCTTGGCCAACCCCCTTGAAGAATTTCTTGAAGACAGTTTAAAAACACCCACACACAGATATGAAAAATAACCAATGTAAGAACTCCAGTAACTCAAATGGCCAGAGTGTTGTTGGTCCCCCAGTGACCACATTAGTTCTCCAACAGAGGTCCTTAACCAGGCCGAGCTGGCTGAAATGACAGAAATAGAATTCAGAATATGGATAGGAATGAAGATCATTGAGATTCAGGAGAACAGTGAAAACCAATACAAGGAAACTAAGAGTTACAATAACATGATGCAGGAGCTGAATGATGAAAGAGCTGGTATAAAAACGAGCCTAATGGATTTGACAGAGCTGAAAAACACAACTAAGAGCAGTATATTTTAGCTAATACAGCCAATTTACTTTGTTTTTTCACTTAAGCCCTTTATTATTTGGTAAAATACTACATTGTGAATATTTGTTTTAAAATATGTAACTTGTCTCATCAAAATAGATCTTATAATTGAAAACCAGAAGTTTTGAAATACATCTCACTTCATTACTTAGAAAGACATCACAGAGAAATTTCCCCAAAACTAAAAAGTTTAGTACTACTGGGTTCTCAAAAATATTTTTTATTTCACAATTCCCTATTTTAGTTGTAGTGATTTGATTATACTTTATGATCATCTTTTAATCTGTTGTAAACACTATCGGTTGGAAATTAAGAGTCTAAAAGTAGAATATTTAAAATTCTATTTAACTTACTATATTTATTTAAGCTAGAAAATGTTATTTGGTTAAGACAGTGTTTGATAACCTTTTAAACCTTGGGGATTTCCTCCAAGTGGGAAGTCAGTATTGTGGCTCTAGCCAGAACAAATTATACTCTTATTTTTGGCTGTTTTGTTACAGCCACTTTGCTTGCTTTGTAGCTGTGATTTCAGGCATACCATTATAAAAACACATTTGTGAATAATATTAAATAATATGTATATATGATATATCTACATGTAAAATATACTTTTTTAATATTTATTTTTGTAAACAAGGGTACAGATGCTCCTCAATTTATACCAGGGGGCTACGCAACAATAAGCCCATTGTGATTTGAAAATATAGTAAGTTAAAAGTTCATTTAATACCATAATAGAACCATCTTTTAAATAAAAAAAATTACTGAGTCAGAGACTCAATGATATGAATTTGTGAAGCACATTCTGTGTGCCCAGAGCTGTATACTAAGAATGGCAGGTTTTCATGGGATCAAAATGTGGCTTTTGGTCTTGGTTATGCATATTTTCTGGGCGGTGGAATTGCTAAAGTTGCAATGCTAGTCTCCACTGTCTGTTTTCTCTCTCCTCTCTCTTTCCTCTAGGGCCTGTGAAGCTCTAACTGTATCATCTCTCCAGCAATAGCAGACATGTATTCAGAATATATTTCTTTTATTATTTTGTTACTCGACTGGAATATATACTTCCCAACTTTCACTGGTTCCTGGGAAAAATTATGCACTTTTAAATAGGACCCAATTTTACTTAATATCCTTTAATATTTTATGAATATATAAACTAAATTACAAGTTACCTTTGTCTTCAGTAAAATTTTTCCTAACTTGCTTTTCTTAAAATTATTTTAAACTTTAAAATACATGTCATATGGAAATTGGGATTTATGACCTACTTGTATGCCATATTTTATTAAAACTCATAATCACAATACAACAGAACAAGTCATTCTCAGGAAAAGGTAAGAATTTGCCCTGAAGAAAATACAAGACACAGTTGCATTTCAAATTCTTATCTGTCCCTTGCTTAATATTTCATAATGACTCCTCTTATTCTTTTGATATGCTCTATCAGTGATTTTCTGTTTTATCTTACCTTGCAATTACAGTATTACTTTCAATACAGCCTATGTTTAAGAATATGCGGCTAATGAAGAACTAAAATGTATTAAAAGCTTAGTGGCCTATTCACTGCCACAATATGCAGTTCCAAAAAAAAAAAAAAAAGGAGAGAGAGAGAGAGAGAAAATAGAGATCAAATGTAATAATGGCAATAGTTAGGAATTAGAAACAATTACATCTGTTTATTTTCCAAGCAGTTATTGCACTCAAATTACAGTACCTTACTTTATAAGTGACTTTTCTTAATACTTCTAATAAAGGCTAGAGCACCCCTTCAAACAAATATGTTTAGATACATACATACACACGATGAACCCGATTGAACAATGAAGGTTCAGTTATCTCAAAAACATTTTAAAATATTAGTTATCTGCAGATATGACACTGAAAATGTTTAACAACCAGCCTGGCATTTACTCACACCAATCAGAACAGTGGCTGACTGTACCTGCTGATACAGCTGTACTGATGCATGCAACCCTGGTCATCTAGATAGGGTAACATTTGTTGCACTCTTGGACAGTAAAATACAAAATCAAATGATAATTTGTGTCTATGTGTAAGTATTTTATTTTCCTTTTTGTAATAAAGTGAATCATATATTTTCTATGATATTTTTCTTAAATAATTGTTCATCTTTTGCCTTTGAAACAAGCATAAGGCCAGGACTTTTCAAGGTCAAAGAACTTGGGGAGATGCTGGTAGGAATAGAAGGAAATAGTAGAACCCATTAGATCACAGTCATTGGTTGTTGATAGTATGTAGCTGTATGTAATTCTATGATACTATTTCTTTCTGATTTAAAAAGACATTGTAGTTAAAGGACTAAATATAGTTCATCCACAGGATTCTAATGATTCTACCTCCCTTATTTTCTAAAGATCGAATCACAAGATGGATATTATGTTAATATAATTTAAAAAAAAGCATATTACAAGTAACAGTCTTATTCTACCTTACTTAAATACAAATATTTTGTAAAGAAATTAAGTAGTGAATATTCAATTCACATTTATAAGTCTTTATATGTATATGCATATATATTTATTAAATGCAAACAATTTATTATATATTTACAATTATATATCAAACTTAAATTATGACAAAATTAGTACAAATCAATTTCAACAGAAATTATTTCTTGAATTTCATTTTCACTTTGTGCAGAAATATTACACATGAAAAAGTATTGTTTTTAATTTCAGGTGTTTTGTTATATTTTATTTGAATTTCTAAGTATTAAAATGATGCTTTAATTATGAAAATATATTAATAAGGATAATTAATTTTGACAATCTTGTTTTGGATGTTTTATCTTGAGATAGTAGATGAAATTTCTTTCATTTATTTATTCCTTGAACAAATATTTTTTGAAAGTCTATCATGTATGAAGCATTATTCTGTGTACTTGAAACACGTTCATGAATAAAAAATCTAGTTGATGTGGCACTTACAGAATAAAAACAAGGGGGAAGATCACAAGCTGGCCCATACATTGTCAGATCATGTGTGGTCAGAGTGTAATTGGGCTTAAGGCTGTTCATTCATTTCATTAAAGATAGTTACAGTTATATCCTTCCTCCTCTTTTTTTTTCTTTCTTTAGTTACATTTTGTGAGTTTTGAAAAAGAAAGTCTCCACTCCTCTTTGACCAAAATTTATAAACTACTTTTGCTATCGAAAAAAAAGTGGGGTGGGCAGGAGAAAAAGCTCCCCTTCAACTATTAACCAACAGCGGCTGTTACATTTCTAATCATTGACACTCAAAAAATGAAAATATTTATAAACAGCAAACATTTTTTGAATTTAATTAAAAAAACCCTTCATCTTCAAGAGTAAACCAGATGGATTTTTTTATATTTAATTTTGTCCAATTTTCTTATTTTTACTAGAAAACTCATGTTTTGTGAGCATAATTTTCAAAGCACCATATTTTATATTCACACATTTATCACACTCTTCTGCAGTGGAATGCATTATGTGGCAGATAGGTTTACATTTTTCTCCAAATTAAACTTCTGTTTCTCATATCAACTTTAAGTGGAACTTGTACCTAGCTGGGAGATGGTGGTAAACACTACCTTATGAATTGCAATTTGAAATAAAATGATCAGTTTCTACTTTGGCTTGTTACAAACACACATATAATAAACACAGAAATTACTACCTAGTGTAGCTGATGATGAAAAGATGACCAGGATCTCACATTTTTCTTCATGCTATCAATGTCCCTTTAAATAAGACAGAAAGATTAGAAGAAAGGAATATAAAATAATAAAATATCAATTTGATAAAAATGACTTTGTTCAACAACTTTTTTTTATCTTTCAATGTTCACTATGTAGTTAAATTAATATTTTTGGCTAAAGAAATAGATGCTTTTTAATATAGGAAATCTTAACAGGCTATTTTTTTCTCTCTTGTCCATATATAATAATTTCTCCAACGTAAACATCAAGAAACAGATTGTTAATCTTTGTTAATGAACATGTTCAAGATTATTCAGTAAAGACTTTTCTGAAATGATTGTACAAATATTAACCAGATGTAGATGTGAGACAGGAGTTCTTTATGCTTTACAACTTTTCAAAAGTCCATGTTAGCATTTTATATCATTCTGAACGTAGCACTGTGAAATTGATGCTTTTTTTTTAAATTTACAATTCTGAATACCAAAGGTTTGGGACATCTTTTCATATTAATGAGTCACATGTTAATCAGTTTTTCTGTGATAGGTCATGATAACAAACCACACCCAAAAACCTCAGCAGCTTACAAGAACAAATATTACTTCTCGCTAATTTTAGTTCTGACTCCGCTCTGCATTTATTTTAGGGTGTGGCTCTGTTTTGTGCTATAAGTTGCCTGGGGGTACCCGCCACATAATTCCTTCATTCCTGTTTATAGGATGAGGGAGTAGCTTCTATTTGCAATATACTTTTTTATGAAAGAGGGAAAATGTAAGACAACTGGCATAAACATTCAGTAGCTCTTAAACCATCTGTTCATATGTCACATAGATCATATTCACTTACACATAATTGGTCAATGCAAGTAAAATGGACAAACCCAAAATTAGTAGCATGGAAGTGTATATACCCCACTACTTCAGTGACAATTGACATGGATGCACAATCCTATTCTAAGGGAGGGAAAAGTACAAATATGTGAAAACACTAATACAATCAATGACAAGTCATGCGTATTTTTTTGGGGGGGTTAACATAAAAATTAACTGGGTAACATAAAAATTAGTTACCCAGTTTTCTTCATTGAGTAGAACAAAATATCAGATCAAATAATAAAAAATGCATAGCTCAAATAAAAATATATTTCTAGTTATATTCAATTGGAGAATCTCTAGAGCAAATGTAAGGACTTGTGCAGAAAAATATTTTTCCTAAAATTATGATGCATATTTAACATGGGCTTCAAATAATTTTCATTAAATTAAAATCATGTTTATAAAGGATAATTTCTTCTCATAAAACTAATAGTAACACACTATTTGTGTGAATTCTTAGAATTTCATTCAAAAGACTTTACATCCTAATACATATAGTTTTATTTTTTGTGTGAATTAGCCTTTAAATATTGTCACATGTAAAATATTCGTATCAGGAAAAAATGTTGATTGAATAGGTTCATTTTTCTGCATTGTCAGAATTTGCTGAACAGAATGCTGGCAACCTCGGTTAAATAATGACTACAAGGTAACTAAACCTTGGCAGTTAATGATAGAGATCTCTGGGAAGATGTACAAGTTTATGTCCCCTGGAACTATCTGCTTACAGTCCAAAGTATAGGGGACTTAGAGACTTTCCCCTCTTCTCTCCAGATAAGATTTATTTATATTTAAAAAATTACATCTGTTTCTCTCTGTTTCTTTCCTCTTCCCTCTCTCTCCCTCTTACTCCCCTATCCCTTTCTCTTATTTAATTCTATCACTTTCATTCAGTAGAGTGCATTTAATATACGTCATCTCTGTTTTGTGTATCTCAGCCTGGAAAATTTAAAGTGAAGTTAATATTGCCTTTCTGCATAACAAGTGGAGTACTGAGGATGAATATTTGTGCAATTGAGTTATGTATTTGGGTTTTAAATTAGAAAAAACATTTTGTCCTTATTTCAAATAGCAGTGACTGTATAAGAATTGGTTGCCATCATCTTGAAGGTTCAAACTAAGCCAGACAGTTTTGAGAGCTTTAATCATTGTAATTGCAAGAAAATCAAGGCAAACAAACTTAATTACAGTTTTGTGTGGCTGGCTTTTGAAAACATCTTTTATACATATAAATTATTGACCTCTTGAATATGCAGACTCTGTCAAACAAATCTAGATGTTTGGAAATTTCAATTATATTCCTAATAGTTTATGTTGTGTCATGTCAATATTATGAAATTCTAATGGTCTATGTTTGGGTTCAACATCATTTTCCATGTTTTTATCCTGCATTCATTCATGTCTTTTACTATTACTTTCAGCAGTGATGATTTTACATCTCAAGTAGAAAATAAAGTCAATATTTCATGTTCAAAAGTTGTTAGTGAAGAATCTTTAAAATTGACTCTTTAAGTAGAAAAAGTTGATGAAAGTTGATGCTTTCAAGTTTCAGGGTATAATTTAGGTCCAAGTTAGATAATTCACCTTGAAGGTAAAATTTAAATTGCTGTTTTTAAAATTTCAGTTAGCTTAAGAAAATATATTTTTTAAATGATTCATTATACTTCAGATTGTTTGTTTCATTCTGTGTTTTACTTATCAAAAATTTAAACCTGTATTTCCTGATTTCCCAAAGAAAACTGAATGTCTGTTATAAAATTAGTCTGCAAGACTACTGAAATTAAATAAATAAGGTATAAAGAACTGGTGAAAAATCTTTATGAACAAACAGACCCATTGTTTAGAGTTCAGACAAATTTGGAGTGAAAACCTAGTTCTTTCACTTTTGGATTTGGGAATATTATTTAACCTAAGCCTTAGAGTACTCATTTCTATAATGAGGATACAGCATCTTTCTTTATATTGTTTTCAAGTCCACTTGGAAGAAAATAAATGTGACATGCCTGGCACAATTTCTATGGTGTCACAGGAGCCATATACATGGTAAACATGAGAAGTGGTATATTTGTAATATTAAAATCCTAGCAACAACAACATAGTGCCTTGCTTTCCCTGTGTGTAAACAAGAAACAACAAAATGTGAGAAACATAATCTTCAACTATACCAGTCTGCTTGCTATTTCCAAAACTTTTCTTACAATTTCTTAATGTTTGCATTATTGTTAATTTTAATTCTTAAAGCCTCTTCTCCAGTCCCTCCAATATTTTTGCATTTCATAAATTGTAACTGTTCTTTGGCACAAATGTTACCTTTACCATAGAACATTTCTCAGTTCATGCTGGACATTTCTCTTTTCCTGACTTACAGTCCATACTGTTAAAAGCTATTTGCGTACATGTCTGCCTCATGTTTAAGATTATAAACATTCTTATAGGCAGTGAAGAGATTCTGACAGTAGAGAATATCAGAGCCCATGGAAGGAGCCCAAGCAGGAATAATAATTCTACGGGCCAGAAATTAGAAGGGGAAAGAAGGAAGGAGGTAAAGAAAGTATTTATTCAATAAATGTTTCCAGATAAAGAATAATATCTAACACTTTTTAGCATTTAATATGTGTAAGATACTATTCTAAATATCTGAATATGTTAACTAATTTTTAACAGTAATTTTATGAAGAAATTATCTTTATTTACTTTATTTTCTAGATGAGAGTTTAAGTAAATGTTACCAAAATTTTCAATAATAAAATTGGTGATACCCTGGATTCAAATAATGCAGTCTGGATTCATAGCCTCTGATATTCATAGCAATGCTATGCTGCTCTTCACTACCTGCATCGTCACTGTTAGAAGTGAATGGATAAATGGATGAGTGAGTAAATGAGTGAACAAATGAACACAGGGGTGCATCAGGACATTGCTATTGTACTTTCAATTACTGTACATCTGTGTTTCAAGACTGCAAGTCTTTGAAATATCAGCATCCCTCTACTCTAAGATAGGATGTGTATGCATGTTGTTGTTTTTGTTGTTATCCTAGTTGTTAAAATAGTAGAATTTTAATGCAATGCCCTTGGAATTATAAAAAATTTCTCCAGGCAATCTGAAGCCTGAATTCAATAAAATGTCAAAGTGTGTAAAATAGGGAACTCAACAGAAAACTGTAGAAACCACATTAATATATAATTTGCAATATTTCTCTTGATAAAAATTAAGTTTAGAAGCAGAAAAATATTGAAACAGAATTCAAAAAGAAATCCATTCACCGTCCATGATTATCTTGAGCATTTTGATCAATTTCAGATGCTCCAAAAGATAATTGTCAAAAAATTAGTATTAATTGGCAGTTTTGTAGTAGCTAATACCATTAACGCTGGAGTCACATTGTCTGATTCCAAATGCAACTATGTCAATCTCCATCTATATTTTCTGGATAGTTACATATCTCTCTATGCCTTCATTTTCCTATTATAAATAAAAGTAAAAATAATCACTTATTCATAGGATATTTGTATGCCTTAAATTACTTAATGTATGAAAATCAATGATAAAACTATGTCATATACTAAACACCTTATATGTATTTCATATTAGATTTTGATATTATAGTCAAGACTTAGAAAAGCCAACCATCTTCTCTTTATATGTGAAATCATTTAACTTTCAAAGTTGTAATAATGAATATATGTACTTTAATTATATCTACACACGGTTACCTCTCCCTAGACCTCTTTCAAATTATTGGGCTAAATCTTTCCATAAGGAAGTTCAACTGAGTTAGTATTTCAAATAAATCTATACTTTAAAAGTCAATAAATCTTAGCCTTAAAAATAACTTCTGGGGTGTTTCCAGAAGAGTTTTTATTTTTTCTGGTCAGAGTTTCTCCTCTACTCATTTTACAGGGCTCATGAGATTGGTGGGTCATAGGATATTTCATAGTACTGGTTGGCTATTTAGTATCTGGTTGGCTATTTAGTATCTAGTTGGCTATTTTCTTTTCCTAAAGGAACCTAATTTGGTTTATACATCTAGATTCCTCTGGTAACTCATAGAAAGGAGATCCCATCTGCAGTTCCAGAAATAGTTGCTGATTAGTTTTAGCTAATTAGTGTGCAGCATTCCTCAGTGACTGTTAATGCTCCAAGTGGGAAAATTTAACTTAAATAGGCCCAGATTAAAGGGGAGATTTATATTCCAAGTTCGGGCAAATTGTCCTTATTTTTTTTTCCTGTCTCCCCTTATTCGACAGGAAAAAATAATTTAGCCCCAACTGCCATTGGTTTTTATGTTATGATCACAGGGCAGGAGCCATGAAAGGTATTCAATTTGACACCAACACTGCAGAGCTGAGAGGCTGAATAAATCTGACTCCTAATTGCATCAGTGAGAGCCACGGATCACATGGTGCCTTGATCCTATTTTACTTTTGGACTTCCGCTATGTTATAATAATACATTTCTTTATTGTATAAGAAAGCTTGAGTCATGATTTTATGTTATTGCAGTCCCCCCAAAAAAGCATTGTACCAGAGACAGCTCACAATTAATATTCTCGTTTCTCATTGAATCTTCATTGTCTTAAATAAAAAAAAAATTATAATTATTTTCCTTATTACAGAAATCTGTTTAGGCAGTTTAGGGCCGCTCTATGCTGTCATTAGTGATTTGTTTCTGTCTACTGGATGCTTCCATATTTCACTGAATTGGTGTTAAAAATAGTTAACATTTCAAATAATATTGGTTAAGCTAATGAATAATATACCAACAAAGGGGAAAAGAGTATGTTTTAAATAGCAGGAGACCTTTTGAAATAAGACTATGTCACAACCTAACTCTGTAAAAAGGCAGACATTGGTACAAATCATGTAGTTCCGATGCTTTAAATTATATCTATTGGAAATAGACTTTCAAAATTAAAAAGCACATTGGTACATGAAAATTTTTTTAACATGCCCGAGTTGTAATCTTCCTAACACAAGCCCTAAACGTTTTCAACATTTTCATAAGGTGTTGGCATTTCTAGTATGATTTTAGTAATAGTTGGCTCCAGGACTGATATTGAAAATAAATCCTGATTATGTTACAACTATAACATTTGTTTATGTTTCATTTGTTTACATATTTCAGGATTGAAAGTTATATACTTCCATGTATTTTTATTAACACTGGATTTTCAAAGGAAACTTATTTCACACTGCTAAAAAATTTCAGGTTGCTATTTCATTAGCCAGAATTTAAATGTTATTAAATAAAATTTAAGAACCATGTAAAAAATGTTTTTTCTTCAAGGAAAGAAAAGTTAGTAGCCCTAACCATTACAATTTTTATCATGTATATTAAAAAATGGGCTTACCGGCATTCCTCAACTAGTGTCTTGTTAATCCTGACCGCATAGCAAAGGTACTGAAGGGGAGCATTCTCATCCTCATCTTAGAGATCAAGTTCATGAACTTGGAATGCTGCCTTCAGTTGATTCAGCTCATTATTTTCTACTGTAATTTAAATTCCCACATGAATCAGGAATCTAATAATCAAGATGCCAGTCACAATACATTTAAGGGGTATTTTCAAGTAAATGGGATGCAGCTATATATTTAAAGAAATCAAGGATTTTCACTGAAAATACAATTATTTTTGAATTTTGATTTATTTTCACATAGATCAAGAACAACAGAATCTAAGCCATGTTGAAGATTGCAAGCCATCTTAGAATTGATTCCTATCCTCCAGCTTGAGTTTGACGATCACATGCAAAGCTACAGTCCCTTAGACAAGCACCTCAATTCCAGGTTTTGCATACAATAAACTAGGAAAGATAGTTGAGTTCCATAATAAATGACCACTCCTGCCAACATTACCAAGACATAATACAAGACTGCTTTTACTGCCACCTCTATCTTTGGTTCACTTATAACCATATAAGTCAAAGGAATACATGGTAATGGCATACCTTTCCACAGAATCTCAGTCCCAGTCATTTATTTATTTACATACACAAATACATGCACAAATGCTCTTATTCTATTTCTTAGATAATTTAAATATCTTAATTTCCCCTATTATTTTGCAGAACAATGAAATTTTTCTTAGATGCTAGATTTTGGAAATCACTACCTAGAATAATTTTGACAAGGAAGCAAGATAAAAACACAAACATAAAACCAAAAACCTATATAGACAACTAGCTTTGGGTAGTACTATTTTTTCTTAAGTAACATTAAATTTAAAATATACATTACACAATTATCTCATATTAGTTTGGTAGCTAAAAGTGTAATTGAATGTACACATATGCATGCTCAAGGATATTGACTGAGACATTACATAGAGGATTTTAAAATTTTAGGGAATCTATACGTGTATTGAACAAGGTACCATTCTACGTATATAAATAAATGATATGTTCACATTTATATTTATATTAAGCATGCATAAAAAAGATTGAGGCAAAGTTTGAAAGATCTCAGAGCTATACTGTCAGAAAAAAGTTATAGTACAATATATATAAAACATTTATTTGTAAAGGTAATATTATGCACATGAACATACATGTACATTTAAATATGTGTAGAAAAAACTAGAAAGAGACACTCACCAGATGACAGCAATATTGAAAGGGAGAATAAATAATGATGTTTATAATTTGTTCTTTATTATTTGAATTTTACCAATGGCAACATTTGTATTGTTTACATGGACAATTAGAAAAAAAAAAGTCAGTGTAGATCATCCCACATCCTATTTTCCCAACTACAGTTACAAATAAAAGCAGCTTTCAAATTATGCTGAATCATGAACTTTGGAAAGTAACATTGTAAAATTATAGGTATGTTATTTTATCTCAGTAGTCCAACTTTTTATTTTGAAATTTTTCCTGAATGGAAGAAATACACAGGTTTAGCTTAGGAAGGGTACTGCAAAATGAAAACAAAAACCCAACATCTCCAAGCCTTAGGTAGTAGTAACAGAAACAATGACTACACATTGGCTTGGGTCCTGTCCTAACATATTCATCTTATACATGTCAATTCTTAATAAAGGGTTACTTTATGGTATTCTTTACAGTCGTTTTATCATTACAGACATTTCTTTACTGTGATAGAAAGATCTGGAACAATATATCTGTAACTTTTGTAAGAAATGATTCACAAATTTTTTTAATATTTAAAGCAAATCATGAAAAATGAATTTTAAAGAATACATAGCATCATCTATTTTTTGTAAGGCAACTAGAAATACCATTTTTAGATTAACATTTTCTGTATTTTGTCTTTTTATAACATTCAGTCAACATTAGACATCATGCTTACTTGCCAAATAAATGAATCCCTAACAAACTTTTTAGAAAAAAAAGGCTCTAAAACTAAGCATGAAGATGTCAGCAAAGAATGAATTTGAAGCATTTAGCATCTGAAATTAAAATTTAAAAGTTTAATAAAATGCATAATCAGATACATCTCTGACACACCTTTTTTCTGTCTGAAAATGGTAAAAAATTGGAAGAAAAATGCCAGTACATATACTCCTTTCTCTTATCCAGTGATATATGAATACAAGAAAGGTATGCCCAGATCTCTGCTTCTCACCATCATATTTTATGCTGAGGCTTGTTCATATGATCCCACTAAATTTGTCTTCAGGTAATCACCACAAAAATGACTAAGTATTGCACATAACCTAAAGCAAATATGATTCATCACACTCATTTAAAACTGTCAAAAATTCATGTTTTAAACTGCACTTGTAAATTTACTGGTCATTTCTTTACTTAACAAACGGAAAATTCTAGAAAAGAAACCAGAGAGAATGTGAAGTCTATGAGGGCAGACAAATTTATTTTTAATCCTTACATCACACGTATGCACATGGTGCCTAAAACATAGTAGTATTCAACAATCACTTATTTTAAATAAAATATTAAAATTATGGAACCAATTTGCTCATCTGTTTCATAAAAATAACTTGAGCAAATTTACAAGCAAATAACAAAATACCCCATTTAAAAAGTGGGCAAAGCACACGAACGGAGACTTCTCAAAAGAAGAAATTCATGTAGCCAATAAACATATGAAAAAAAGCTCAACATCACTGATCATTAGAGAAGGGCAAATGAAAACCACAATGAGATACCATCTCATGCCAGTCAGAATGGCGATTACTAAAACGTCAAGAAACAACAGATGCTGACGAGGTTGTGGAGAAATAGCAACACTTTTATACTGTTGGTGGGAATGTAAATGAGTTCGACCATTGTGGAAGATAACTTCACTTGCTCTGAGGGATAGTGCTGATGTAGTGGTGAAAATACTAGGCACATATAATAAGAGTTTATTCAATGGTGATATCAAAGGCAGTTAGCTACTCAATTATTCTAACTCATTAAGACCTTAAAAATGCTTTAAGTAATAAATGGAGTAATGAATAGATAAAGAGATATCATCCAGTCTCTTTTTCATCTAACTGTTATTAGTGATATCATCTTTATTTTTTAGTATTGGAATAAGGATATTGTGAATTGAAAACACATGTCGTTAGTAATTAAGATGTTAAAGAAAAAAAATTCATGCTACTTATTGAAGACAGTAAGGCAAACTACCTTCAAGGAAGGGGGCATGGCGGGTAGGTACAGGGATCACGGCAACGGGGTGTTGCAGTGAAGAAGGGAAATTCGACTTCACTGTAAATACAGCATGGGCCGGTGGAAATTTATAGCTAAAGAGCAGAGCAGAGTTCAGGGTATAGAAAACTACTGAGAGGAAACATCAGTGATGCTATAGACTGAATGTTTTTGCCCCCTCAAAATTCACATGTGGAAATCCTAACCCCATGATATTAGGAGGTAGTGCTGCCTTTGGGAGGTGATTAGGTTGGACAGAGCATTCATGCATGGGATAAGTACCCATATAAAAGAGGTACTGAAAATCTACCACATCCTACCTGCCTTTTGAAGACATGAGGAGAAGATGGGCCCTCTAAGAATCAGAAAGTGGGCCTTCACCAGACGCCCAATCTTCCAGTGCCTTGATATTGAACTTTTCAACCTCCAGAGCTGTAAGAAATAAATGTGTGTTGTTCAAGCCATTCAGTTTATGGTATTCTGTTACAGCAGCTTGAACAAGACATAGGGTAAGGGGGATCATGACTAAACCAATCTAACAGTATTAATGCTAGAGGAAGGCCAGGATGATCAGATGTCACATGGAGGATGGTGGAGGATGAGGAAACTGATCAGTTCTTGAAGGTGATCAGTTATTGAAGGTGAGTGGTTTCTGCTAAATGACTTAACAAGGTTCTTTAGCAAGAACCTTAGCAAGGTTCCTGCTAAAACTAGAGTTTATAAGGGCATGCAGAGATGTGTCTAGGAAGAACATTAGGAGCCTAACTAAAGTTTGGTCAAAATTTAGTTGAATTGTTGCCAAAATCAAGGCACTCCATACATCTCTAATATGGGACTGATAATACAAACCAGAATGTTGAGTGATGAATGTTTCATAAATTGTAACCCATTATGTATGTATAATTTGACTTTAATCATAGGAAGCTTTTCAATATTGACCAATGTAAACATTTCACGGAAATGTATGGCTATCCTACACTGCGACCAAATGGCCCATTTTACTCACAAGAAAGCTAAAGTAAAATTATGCTTACATGGGTGATTTTTACCTTTTTAAGGTAGTATTCTCTATATGCAGACTCAGTAAATATTCCAGAATGTATGTGATTTAGGGGTGATGATTAATACATACTTAGAAGATAACCTGCACCATAGTAAGTGTCCCATTAGAATTTATTAAAGGAATAACTAGGGAGCAGCAAATCTCAATAGTAACAGAGGAATAAAACAAGTTCTCAAAATATGTATTTAAAATGAAGATTACTTGCAAAGAAATTATTTACTGTTTCTGGGTCTGTGAGTTTCCTCTTTAGTATCAGAAAAGCTTATGATATTTGTTGACACAGATTCAGATTATATAGAAAGGTAAATAAAACAAATAATCGATAGCACCAAGATGTAATACCAAGAGCTCCATCCCCCACTTCCCTCATCTGTCTGTCTGTCTGTCTAACTATTGATATGAACTTTTCTGTTTATATACCACAGATTACAATTGCTCTACTATAGAATATAAGGATATCACTTGGTACTGCCAATTTAAACTCCAAACAGTAGTTGCAATCACTTCATGTCCTTATCAATTTTCTCTCCTTTTCAATTTTAGTAATTTTTGTGGATGTGTGCTGGCATTTCAATGTGGGTGTAGCATGTATTGCCCTGGATGATTAATAGTGTTGATAAAATTTTCATAGTTTATTGGGAATCCAGATAACCTATTCTTGTTAAGTTCAAGGATTTTTCCCCTAATTGCTTACTCTTATTAAAAATTGAGTTAGCACATCTTTATATAGTCAGAATGTGACTCATTCCTCAGACATTTGCTTTACTTTTTCTACTATACGAGTTGATTTTTCATCTGTTGATAGTATTCTTTTTAAAAAAATTTATTTTAATTTTAAGTTCCTGGGTACATGTGCAGGATGTGCAGGTTTGTTACATAGGTAAATATGTGCCATGGTGGTTTGCTGCATGTATCAACCCATCATCTAGGTATTAAGCCCAGCATGCACTAGTTATTTTTCCTAATGCTCTCCCTCTTCCCAGCCCACCCCACAACAGACCCAAAGCCATTGCAACAAAAGCAAAAATTGGCAAAGGGATCTAATTAAACTATTGAGCTTCTGCACAGCAAAAGAAACTATCATCAGAGTGAACAGACAGCCTACAGAGTGGGAGAACATTTTTGCAATCTATTCATCTGACAAACGTCTAATGTCCAGAATCTACAAAGAACTTGAACAAAGTTACGAGAAAATAGCAAAAAAAAAAAAAAAAAAAAAAAAAATTAAAAAAGTAGGCAAATGACATGAATGGACACTTTTCAAAAGAAGAAATTCATGTGGCCAACAAATATCACTGATCATTAGAAAAAGGCAAATCAAAACCACAATGAGATACTATCTCATGCCAGTCAGAATGGCAATTATTAAAACGTCAAGAAAAAACAGATGCTGACAAGGTTGTGAAGAAATAGAAACACTTTTACACTGTTGGTGGGAATGTAAATTAATTCGACCATTGTGAAAAATGGTGTGGTGATTCCTCAAAGATCTAGAACCAGAAATACCATTTGACCCAGCAATCCCATTACTGGGTATATACCCAAAGGAATATAAATCACTCTATTATAAAGATACAAGCACATGTATGTTCATTGCAGCACTATTCACAATAGCAAAGAAATGAAATCAATCCAAATGCCCATCAGTGATAGACTGGACAAAGAAAATGTGGTACATATACACCATGGGATACTATGCAGCCATAAAAAACAAGATCATATCCTTTTCAGGGACATGGAAGGAGCTAGAAGCCATTATTCTCAGCAAACTAACACGGGAACAGAAAACCACATGTTCTCACTGGTAAGTGGGAGTTGAACAATGAGAACACATGGACACAGGGAGGGGGACAGCACACACACTGCTGATAGTATTCTTGATGGACTGCAACTTTTAAACCTAATGTTGTCTAGTCTTTCATATTTTTTCCCTTTGAACTTTGTACTTTTTGCCTTCTTATTAAGACATCTTTGTTACTTCAAGGGTTATGATCTACTTTTTAAAGATAACTTATTGTTTCACCTTTCACTATTCAATCTACAATACATCTGAAATTAGCTAATTTTTGGATGAATTTTTAAAATTTAGATAAAATTTATATACAGTGAATTTCTTAGATAACTGTATAGTCAGATTTTTTTGAAAATATTGTATAAGTAATTTATTAACTATGGAACATTTCCATCACTATAGATATTTCAGATTCCTCCCTCCAGTCCCTGCTTTCCAGAGACAAATACTGTTCTCATTTACTGCAGCATGAATTTATATTTTTTTGTTCTTAAACGTCATACACATGGATTCCAGAATATGCACTCTTTGGTATCTGACTTTTCTCACTCAACATAGGTTTTAAAAATCTACACATTATGTGTTTTAGCAGTTCATTCTTTTTACTGCTAAGTATTTTAGGATATGGATGTGACAAAACTTGTTTTTTTTTCATTCCCCTGTTCATAGACAATTGTTTTGTTTTTAGTTTTCAACTGTTATAGAAAAATCTATCATAGCATGCATATTCAAGATTTTTTTATGGAAATATGTTTCCATTTCACTTAAATCAATACCTAGTTTCAGAATTGATAGATCATAGCATAAGTGTATGACTAATTTTAGCAGAAATTTTCAGTTTCCAAAATGGTTGTACAATTGTACTCTCTCACCAGCAATATATAAGAGCTCCAGTTACCCAGATTTGATGCCATAATTTATTTAAGCTATTATAGTAGGCATGAAGTTTATTTCATTGTGAGATACACTTTCCTGATGAATGAGCATTTTTAGGCTCTTCTAGGTGCTTTTTGGTAATGTATATACCACCTTTTGGAAACTGTCTTCAAATCTTCTATGCATTTCTAATTGTGTTATTTTGCCTTTCATGTTTTATTAGAGTTCTTTCACTGTCAGTATGTCATGTATCTTACATGTGTATTTCAATTAATTTCTCGCAGTCCGTGGCTGAACTTTTTATTTGATTTGATGGTGTATTTTCATGAGCAGAAAGTTTTGGTTCTGATAAAATCTAATTTTCATTTTTTCTTTTATAGTTAGGATATTTGTGTCATTTCTAAGGAATTTTGCTTACACAAGTCTGTAAAGATATTATTCTACTTTTTTGATGGGAATTTTAAGGTTTATTGTTTACTTTCAGGCTAATGATCCTATTCCAATTAAGTTTTGTCCATGATATAAAGTTTGGGTTGATCTAAATCAGGTTAATTTTGTGTCTGGTGTGATATAAAGGGTTCATTATATTCTGTATGGATTATCAATTATTTCAGCATTATTTGATGAAATGTTTCTTTCCTAATTTTGTATCTTGCTACAACATTTAAATACATTACAATGTATGCGTGGTATATTTCTTGAGTCATTTCTGTTCAAATATTCTATAAGTCTAACTTTGAACACTACAACATTGTCTTTCTTAATGTAGCTTTTTTGTAAAAAATAAAATTAAGTAGTTTAGACCTCCCATTTTTTGGTCATTAAATATTTTTGGCTGTTCTAAATACCCACATAAATTTTTAAATGCTTATTAATTTCTGTGAAATATTCGTTGCAATATTGATTAGGATGCATTGAACACATGAATCGATTTGAAATGAATTGACATTCTTATCATATTGATTCCTCCAAACTGAGAACCCTAATATATTTATTAATTTCTTCTTTAATTTATGTCAGCAATATGTTATCATTTTTCAGAGGTTTTGTCTATCTTATTCTAGATTTATTGTTAACCATTTTTGTTTAGTGTTTATTTTAAATAATGTAGCTTTTAGCTTAATCTGTCCAGTTGTTTAGAGATATAATCATTTTTTGAATACTGACTTTGCATCTCTTGACTTTTTAAAATTTGGATATTTATTCAAAGAAAATTTTGTAGATTCCTTCGTGTTTCAGAATTGATATTTGTATCTGTTGTTAGGAGAGGTCAAAATGTACTTTTTGGTCCCCATACCTATTCAGTTGACCCAGCATCATTTATTGACATTTTTAGCTCATTCTCACTGCATGGAAGTTTTTATTTCTCACAAATTAAGTGACCATATTTATATTGCTCTGGTTGTTGTTGTTGTTGTTGTTGTTTTCCAGAGTCTCGCAATGTCGCCCAGGCTGGAGTGCAGTGGTGCTATCTTGGCTCACTGCAACCTCTGCCTCCCGGGTTCAAGCAATTCTCCTGTCTCAGCCTCCTGAGTAGCTGGGACTACAGGCGCCCGCCACCATGCCCAGCTACTTTTTTTTGTATTTTTAGTAGAGACAGGGTTTCACCATATTGATCAGGCTGATCTTGAACTCCTAACCTCAGGAGATCTACCCTCTTCGGCCTCCCAAAGTGCTGGGATTAGAGGCATGAGCCACCACACCTGCCTGTATTGCTCTGTTTTTAAGCTCTCCATTTGGTTTCATTTGTACACTTACATAGCTTTGCACTTATACAACTCTGTCCTATTTACTGTAGATTTACAATAGTGATACATGTATAAGCCCTCCTTCTTTCTTTCATTCAAAATTGTTTTGGTGAATCCTGGAGTGAAGCAGGCTAACTGTACACTGGTTACCACCACAGCCCATGGCATCTTGGGCTTCATTTCTACTACTTGCTTGAGTCCAGCGAGACAGAATACTCACATACGTTAAGTGAAGCAACTTCACCCCTCACACATAGGCCGCCAAGGACAGTAGAAGCCTAAGATTTGGGGTAAATCAGTCTTTAAGGATCAGTAAAACTTCCTAGGGAGGAGGGAGTATTTTCTCTGTATGACCAACTTACACCACAGCTGAGGGACTCCAGCAAGCAGTCCACCGTTTTATACCCTCAGGACCACATAACATACTGGGCTGAATTATTGAAGAATATCTGGTTTCTAGGAGGGACAGGAGTAGATCCTGGGCTGTTCTGGCCAGCTCTCACTCATCTCAGGATGCTGCATTCCCAGCACATTCTATCTACAGTTATTCTTGAGAATTACAAATGAGAAAGCAGGGAGGACTGCATTGATTCAATATCATTCATTATCACCTGGAGAATTATCCTGCACTTTATTCTCCCAACTCAGCTTTCCCTCTTAGCAAAGTTAGTCTGTTTCCTATGCCCATTCATCTCCCTGAATCTAGAAGTAGAGGCTTGTGTTCTTAGACCGATATAAAACCTTGACTGATAAAATCTTAGCACAATGTTGTTGAGTCATAACCAGAATTCATTTCATCAGGCCCAACAGGACCACTACTATAGGCAGGATGATCAGGTCTGCCTGGAGCAGCACCCTAGCTCAGAATCCATGGGAGAAGTTGCTAAAAGAGTTCAAAGGAGCATCCTCCAGGTGGCTTCACTCTGTGGCCAGTGAACCTGCTTCTGGATCTCTGTATTTGTGTTTCCACAATACCTGAGGTGTTTATCTGGGCAGAGCAGGAGGCACTGGAAACCCTACATGCTTCTTAAAGTTGGGCTGAAAGAAAGTCTAAAGGAATTCTTTTGCCTAAAACAACCTTCCCGAGAGAGTTGAGAGATGCCTACTGGGCTGCTGAAGCAGTGGGTGTACAGGAGGCAATGTCTGCCATGGTCAGGGACAGATTTATTATCATTTGTTCCTGAGCTCTGACTCCCATGTATAGCACCAAAGATCTCATGAAAGACAAATCCAGAGTCAGTCACACTTCCTGGCAGGTCTCTAGTAAGAGACTTGGTGCACAGATTTAGGCTGCAGGTTTAATGGGGTATCTCATTCCCACGGTGCACACAGCACCCCTTCTTCTGTTTTATTGTTCGATGAGCAATTGTTCATGGAATGGAGGTGAGACATCGGCATTTACCAGGCAAGTTTTGAGTTAGTTACATGAACTCAGTTTCCCTGTGCAATATTGTTCATGAAACCCTTACACAGAGGACTGGCAACAGTCTGGCCCTTGTTTTTTTCCTCACTGCTGGGGCACTTCCCTTTCATGCAATCAAAGAAGCTTGGTGCATTAAAGTACTGACCCACCAATGTTGTTTTAGTTATGACCCTGACATTTTGTCACCGTTGGTTAAGTTATTAAAAAGTGCCTCTGGCTCTCTCCCATGTGGCAGGTGCCAGATCCTCAATCGGTAAGCCAGGGTTCAGGTTCTGCCAGTGTACACTGTGGCATTAGCAATACTGGTTTAGTTTACTACTGATGGGAAAAGAGGGTCCCTATGGTCTGACAAAACATGGTCTGGCATGGCAGCTTACCCCCGGTAGCCACAGGTTGGGAGAGCCTAACAAAGCAATTATGCATCCAGGCCTCTGCTGCCACATCCTTTCAGGAAAAGAAGAATAACAGGTTAGTGTCCCACCCCTCACTCCTTCCAGGGTCTCTGTTTTTCACTATCATTTAGGTAGGGATTGGATTCAGTTGGTGTAGCGACCCAGTCTGCCTGTCCCAATGCTGAGGTTACTAATTCTGCGTATGCCCTTTGCCTTTGTTGCTTAACCAAGACGTTTCAGCCTCAGTCATCCAGTGCAGGAAGGGAGGTAACGTCTCTTTCAGACTTGACATGTCTGATAGTCTGATAAAATCGCCCACCCAACCAGATGGATCAGATGTCCCCAGTCACTATAGGGAACCTAGCACCCTAGTATTATTTGGTCCTATTGCTCACTTTTCTGGGATTCTATAAAAGGGAAGCGAGGATGTAGAATAAAACTAACTTTTGTTCACTGTTGGGGGGAATGTAAATGGAGGAAAACGGTATGAAATGTTCTCAAAAATTAAAAATAAAACTACCATATAATCCAGGTATCTCACTTCAAGGTATATGTCCAGAGGAAATAAAATCAGTGTGATGAAAATATATCTGCCCTCCCATGCCCATTGCACCATTGTTTACAACAGCCAAGATATGGAAATAACTACATATCTGTCAAGATATGAATAAATAAAGAAAAGGTAATATATAATATATATTTATATATACCAATATTAAATATGTAATAATATTTATAACAAATACTATTCAGGATTTGAAAAGAAGGAAAGCCTGCCATTTGTGATAACTGAGTGAGACTGGAGGACATTAAGCAGAGTGAAATAAGCCAGACACAAAACGAAAAATACTGCATGATCTAACTTATGTAAGATATCCAAATACTCCACCTCATGAAAGCAGAGTAAAATGGTGGTTGCCACAGGCTAGGGGGAGGGGACAATGGGAAGATGTTGGTTGGTCAAAGGGTAAAAGTTTCAGTTAAACAAGATGAATAAGTTCTGGACACCTAATACACAGCATGGTGGCTACAGTTAATAATTCTACAATAATACAATAATACATTGTGTGCTTAAAATATGCTAAGAGAATAGACCTTACTTCTTTTCACCACTCCTCTGATCTTAGTTATTTCTTGTCTCCTGCTAGTTTTTGAATCTGTTTGCTCTTGCTTCTTTAGTTCTTTTCATTGTGATGTTAGGGTGTTGATTTTAGATCTTTCCTGCTTTCTCTTGTGGGCATTTAGTGCTATAAATTTCCCTCTACACACTGCTTTAAATGTGTCCCAGAGATTCTGGTACGTTGTATGGTTGTTCTCATTAAAGGAGTTGTCTACCCTCTCTGTCTCTGTTTCTTCCCCTCCAATTCTCCCTTAATCCATTCAAATCATACTTCCTTCTCAATATTCCACAGGAACCTCCTTTTTCAAGGTGGCTCATGACTTATACATTGTCAAATCAAATTCTCGATTCTTAGCTTACTTGGCCAATCAGCAGCATTGATAGTTGCTTCCTCTTTTTATGAAACTTTTTTTTCACTTGGCTTCCTGGACACAATTCATTCTTGATCATTCTTCTGCTTCACTAAGCTACATTTTCTTGGTCTCCTTTACTATTTGCTTCTCATGTTTCCAACTTGTAATTGTGTCTCCGTATTAGAACCTTACTTTCTTTCTGTATATTCAGTCTCTATGTAATCTCATCCAAACCCATAGCTTAAAAAAAAAAGCTGAGCATAAACAAGTTTTTATAGGTCTGTTTCTTCTTCATATTTAGCTAAGATTCTATCTATCTACCTATAAAATGCATATTTGTCAAAAGTTAATACAATAAACAAAGATCAATGTGTATAACAGTACAGAGAAACCCAATTAACAAAGCTCATCTATCTGATACGTCAAGAAATATGCACCTCACAATTACCGAAACAAAAAATTATGTTGTTTTCAATTCCACAGGAAACAGTTCCAAACGTAATCATAAGCTGATCTATAGATCAATTCAAATCATTCAAAGTACAGGTCTGACCACAGTGGGAATAATTTAAATATCAATAAAAATAAATAATTAGGCCAGGCACAGTGGCTCATGCCTGTAATCCCAACACTTTGGGAGGCCAAGACAGGAGAATTGCTTGACCCCAGGAGTTCCAGGCCAGCCTGGGCAACATGGCAAGACTCTGTCTCTACTAAAAATACAAAAAAGTTGACCGGGCATGGTGATGGCACCTGTGGTCCCAGCCACTCAAGAAGCTGAGATGGGAGGATGGCTTGAGCCTGCCACCGGGGGCCGGAGGTTGCGGTAAGCTGAGGTTGCACCACTGCACTCCAGCCTGGATGACACAGCGAGACCCTGTCTCAAAAAATAAAAACATAAATAAACAATCAGAAAATTCTGAACTATTTGGAAATTAAGGAACATGCATTTTTTTCAGTTTATTAAAGTATACTTTTCAAATAAAAATTGTATCTATGAAAAACATACAATGTTTTGATACATGCACTCGTTGTGAAAGGACCACCACAAATAAACTAAGTAACTAATTTGTCTAGTATTTTTTCAAGGCCGTATACCTTTCTCTCTGTATATATTTTTATCCTTAATGATTTATTGAATTACCTGTAACAACAGCAACAAGAGAGATAATTTTAAAGAAAAACAATTTTATAGGCAACTATTTTGAAATGAGAATCCACTAATGATAGATTGATTCATTGGTCATTCATTCATTAAAAAAAAAGTAATTGAGTGTGGCCAGAACTGGGGTTGACTCTGGAGTTATAGGACACAAAAGCAAAACTATTCTACTGAGTTATATTTTTAGGCAGACTCTGAATTCATGATTTGATAAAAAATATTACAGTTTTACTACACTTTTTTAGAAAATAATTTCACTAACTAAAAATTCATTGCCTATATGCTTTTCAACCTTTACATGTGACTTTATCCTTTCCTTTACATAAAAAAAAGTAGAAAGCAAAGCTCGGAAACAATACAATTAGAAAACTTGCAAGAAACCCAAGTGATAACCTAATGTAGCTTCAAGTAGGACCTATTTATTCTGTTTATTCTGTTATAGGCTTTTACAATGTTCTTCACACTAGTCAAAATGTAATTCATGGAGCTAACAATTAAATTGTCCTATAGATCTACAGGTCTTACTGGAAGCAGATTTTCAATAAGACCTTAAAGGAAGTTATGCATATATGTCTGGAAAATATGTATTTAGGTTATATTTTACAAGCACCTCCCCACTCCCCAGTAAAACCTGAAGTCTGTCCTTTAAAATAAGTTCTGTTAAATTCCATGTGTAGAATTGATGGTACTGATTTTAACTATAGAATAATATAAATGCTAATTAGTGTTCCTGAAACATATCAGGGCTACTTAGTGTAATTTATCTTTAACAGTATGGAACACAATTGTTTGTAGTTATTTTCATTATTTCCATAAACATGCTGATTTCTATAAGTAAAATGTATATTGAAATAATTTTCATAACATATTTACCTTTTCAATACATTTTAGCATATGTGCTTAGTCTTATTTAGCTTGATAAAGCCCAAAAAGTAAATTTAGGTGATTTTAAAAATATTTAAAATATTTTATATACTGAGACTTTCAGCACTCACAAAACACTTTTACACACATTTTTTCCAAGTAATGTTCATAACGAGTCTTTGAGGCAGACAGGGCATCTTCTTCTAACAGATTAAAAAACTATGCCTCAGAGAAGTTATGTAAAGTTCACACCCCTAGGAAGTCAAAGACCTGATAATTAAACTGGAATTTTCAGACACTAAATCTTAGGAGCAAAATGTAATTCCCAACTATCCAAGGCTTTCATGTCCTTGCATGATCTTTTGAATTCCAAGCCACATATCCTAGGGCTTAATGGAATAAGGCAGAAATAATCTTTTTACAGTAATTTTGCTGCAAAGATGCTGTCAGGTGTCTCCACAGAGTAGAAAGATTGCAGAATATTAGCATAGCCATTAATTACAGCTACTATGCTGAGAGAAAGTGGAGAGAAAGACATTGAGGTGCTGTTGAATCATGCACAGTTCAGAGCCCGACAGAGCTGACTCCAAATACTGTCCTCACCTCTCATTGTGCATTGATATTCTAGGAAAGTAAATCAATCTATCTGAGCCTATATTTGGTTTTATCAAAAACAAGAAGATGATGGCATTCACAAGGCAAGATTATTGTAAGAATTCTACTTAAAATATCTGCATTCAAAAATCAAATATGAGCAAAACATTTATTACCTTGATTTCAAACTTCCATTTTCACTAATTGGAGAAGTACTTGTTTTTATTGTTGTTGTTTGTTGTTTTTGTTGTTGTTTGTTGTTGTTTTCGTTTTTAACTCATATGTATCTGTTTTTTAAAACAGTCTTCTTTGGGGATTTTCTCTTTTCAAGAGGCCTAATCTCCTCTTTCTTCACCTGGAGTGCAGATGAGAAGCTTTCATTTGCACATGTACTGGCAGAGGGGTGTTGGGTATTGGTTCTCCTTGAGCTCTGGTTAAGTTGTTTAGTTCTACCTGGCCTACATTTTTCGGCTTTTTTTTTTTTTTTTTTTTTTTCCTGTTCCCATTCTGGTAGAGCTCAGCCCACCCGGTCACTAGGCTTCTGAACTTTTTATGCTGGTTTGGACCAGGCCCTTCCAGGTTGTTTTCATGTTGGGTCAGGCACTGTTGAATTATTATGGCCCTACCAATGACTTCAGCTGGGAGAGCCCTATATTCTTTAACCACTTCCTTCTAAGTCTACGGCTCTTCTTTTATTTATTTATTTATTTATTTATTATTATTATTATTTTTTTTTTGAGAGGGAATCTTGCTCTGTCACCAGGCTGGAGTGCAGTGGTGCAATCTTGGCTCACTGCAACCTCTGCCTCCTGCAGGTTCAAGCAATTCTCCTGCTTCAGCCTCCCGAGTAGCTGGGAATACAGGCGTGCACCACCACGCCCAGCTAATTTTTTTGTATTTTACTAGAGACGGGGTTTCACTATGTTGGCCAGGATGGTCTCAATCTCCTGATCTCGTGATCCACTGCCTCGTCTTCCCAAAATGTTGGGATTATAGGCGTCACCCACCGCGCCCAGCCAAGGGCTCTTCTGATATGGCTCTTCTGATATACTAACTCACTCTCTTTTGAGATCACTGGAACAATACTCTACTTCTGTCTCTGCACTGAGATTATGTAAAGTAATAAGGCTTTATTCAGGACCATCTACCCAGTCAGTGCCTTCCATAGCCATTGCTACTCTCTCAGAAACGTGCCATGTGAGATTTTAAGGCAAAGCTGACTGTGAGTCTTTTCTGGAAACCTTGCAAGTGTTCAATTCACTACCTAACCCCACAAAACTGTCTGTATATTTCCACCATCTACTCTTAACTTTTGACCTGAGGAGTGGCAAGACCCGTGAGTTTTGTCACTGTTTCTTGCTGCCTTAGATCTTTTTCCTAGAGATATTGTGAGGCAGAAATATCCTTTACATCATATTTTGTAGCTCTCTTATTTTATGGTATAAATATTGATCTTGTCTTCCTGTTCTAATTCTTGTTTAAAATCTAAATTTGAGGAATTCCAAGAAAATTCTCTTTTTGAAATTTCAAGACTATTATTTTACTGAGGTAAAAAAATCATATATGAGAATCAAAACTGAAGAAAAACATTTTTTTTCTAAATATTTCTTCTTTTATTTCCCAGTGGGAAGAAGCCTCAATCTAATAGGCTTATCTCAACAGCAAGTGATACTAAAATGGATGAAATTAAATATCCTAAATGGAAAATAATTTAGATGCTATTTAAAAATCCTCTCCTACTATACCTTCAAAACACACAGCATCTGGCATATTATAGATGCTTAATAAGTTGAAATTAAAAGTATTATTAGCTATAATTATGAGATGACTTAGTTTAGATATAATAGTTTATACTGTGCTCACAAAAATTGTCATTGCCATATTTGTTAATAGTATAGATGTTATTCCTCTGATAAAATCGAGTTAATTTTTAAGGTTTCCCTTGATCAGAACTGTGGACATATAATCCATGTTGGGTTAACATTCATATGTATTAGGCAGTAGAAAAATAATTACCTTCATTCTGCAATGGGACCAACATAGGAGCAAATGCTGACCCTTGGACTTAATAAAGGTTCATTCTGGGCCTAAGGACAGAAAAATTTAGATATATCAAGCAATTGATTTTGTACATAAGCAGTTAAATTTATTTTTAAGATCATTTTAGAAACAATTTAACAAACTACCATGTCTTACTGTTTCAGAGATGCTAGGATATTTTAAAAGGGGCTAAAAGAATTTTGTATATTTTTCCCTCAATCTTTCATGTATATGTGAGATGACTTAGTTTAGATATGATTATGTATAATATACCATATAATATATTATAGTAGATATTACATTATATATGATAAAAATTCAATGTATACTATATAATATATAGCATATATTATAGATAACGTATTTTAGCATATATTATAATGTATTATCTATAATATATAGCATATATATGATACATATATATGCTATATATATGCTATATACATATGTATATGTATATGCTATACATATATACCATACATTATATATAATACATTATATAATGTATGGCATATATTATATATAAAGTATCAGCATACATTATATATAGTATTATATATAATATATGGCATGTATAATATAATGTATATATAATATAAAGTATATATAATATATATAATTTATATCATATTATATATACATGTGTTAATTATAATATATGATTATTATAAATATATAATACATACCATATGTAATATATGTCGTATATAATTATTAAATATAATAATATATATCAGAATGATTGAGGGAAAATTTAATCTCACACTTAAGTAGACTGTTAAAATTATATTAATATATTCATTAATTGTTTGAAATGGGTTTTCACAATTCTTTAATATAGGTACTTGACCACACACCTAACTAGTATGATGCATCTATAATGTCTGTTTTATGTTTTCTCTAATACTCTTCTGAAATTTCAAGCAGACATTCCCATAGGCAGAATATCATACGTCATTATGTATTTTCTTCTGTGAATTCTTTATTCTCTGAAATGTTATGCAAGTATTTATCACCAGGAACTGACCCAGAAAGGTAGCTAAAATAATTTTCTTTGTCTAAAATGACAATCTAGTAGTGGCCAATAAACATTTTTAAGAAACCACTACACCAGAAGATAAATACAATAATAGAGCCATGGGCATGGCACAACAGGAATGCAGGAAACGGGGGATGGGTTGCTAAAGAAGATTATATGAAGGAGGTTTTTTTAAAATAAAATCATCCTTATTCAGGTAAATTCCATACAGTTAAATCAACAGTTCTACCCAGACAAGTTTATGACTTTGGGTAAATACATACAGTCATGTAAGCAATACCAAAATCACGATACAGATTATTTATATTACCACAAAAACTTCCTCATGACTCTTTGCAGTCAGTCCCTTCTCCTCAATCCTGGACAACACTGATCTGCTTATCACAATAATTTTGCCCTTTCTAGAATCTCATATAAATGGAATTATATAACAAGTTGTATTTTGTGATTGGCTTCTTTTACTTAGCATAACGCTTTTGAAATGTATCTGTGTTATTACAACAGATATTTAATTTAGTTCCTTTTGTCCTATAGATATATAGGACATCCTTATGTTAGATAAGTTTATCCTGTCAAAGGTGGATGGACATTTGGGTTATTCCTAATTTGAGGCTATTATCAATAAAGCTGTTCATCATTAATATTTCTTCTTTTACTGTCTATAAGTTAAATAATAAATATCCCCTTGAGTAGTTAATCACTGGATAAACTCTTACAAAAATTTATTAAGTTGAGAAGGTAAGTTAGAAAACTCCTAAATATTCATATATGTATAAAAATTTTTAGTTATAAATACTGAAATATTAAAATGTGTCTGGGGATGTCAGTTTAAGTACATATACTGACAAGAATAAATCCAAAATTAACTCGTTTATTCCTAAGCAATGTGAATTGAGATTATTTTTCCATATAACACTTTTCTATATTTTCACAATAATATAAAAACTTGATGCATAAACATATAAAAGCATTAGGGAGTATTTAAAATTAGAATTAGTGGCCTCATATTAATTACACTGCACTCAGAATTCTAGCTTTCATTTAAAGTCCATTCACACAACAGTATTCAGTAAAATGCCTTTTGCCAAATAAATTTTGGAATACATTAAATACCTTTTCGATTTTTTGAGATTTACAATGTAAATAAGCACAGAGTAAATATTCTGCAAACTTCTATAAGGCTTAAAAACAGTATTCTGAGATTTACTGCTAAATTGATCCCTCTTCCAATTACATAATTGGCAAACAATGCTTTATATTGTAGGATACATGTATTGGTCATGTACATAAAACAGTAGAGATGGCTCTTGTGCTTGTTATTGGAGGAAGTGAAAACTGAAGAATGAACTTGAAAAACAAAATAATAATAATACCATTTACTACCATAATAATAAATTTCTCTTGAGAATTTAGCATCCAGTTTGTCAAAGTTACTTCTTAACACTTACCAACAGAAAAAGGTCCATTCAACAATATTTATTTTAATTTTGCCTTCCCCTGTGATGTAATATTAAACTTTCTTGGGTTTGAAATATTTTCAGTAATATAATATGACGTATGTGTTCCTGAACTTCAACAAAATAAGAAAATATAAATAGATTAATCTGGACTTAATAGTTTACTTCTGCACACCCATTCCTTCAAAGCAATTAGTGTATAGAAATTAAGTTCCAATAGAGTAATAAAGAAAATTTAAGTTTGAAACTTAACAATAAGACAAAGTGTATCTATAATGTGTTGTTTACCTTCTAATCGATTCTAATTTCCCTCAACATTTATTAGATAGAATTAGACACTTCCCATAATTATTTTGATATAAACTCAGTCAATCTGTTAAATGATTCCCTTAGAGAGAGAAAGATTTATTTTGGTTTATCAAAACTCTCAAAATGTTGCTCATTGATCCAATTAGTTATTTATGCCTCTATTTTTAAGATGGATTTCACTATATTTTAGGAGTGCTATGTTCACTGAATAAAATGCTCTTATTGCACTCTGTGGTTTCACTGAAAGTCTTCCTTTAAATTGTAAGTTCTGTTTCAGCAAGTTAGTGTTTACTCTGTAGCTTTTAGAGAGTGAATACAAGATTTCAAAATTGTCATTGGTACCGTTTATTGCCATTACCAACTATATATTACTGACAAAGGTAACTTATCTATTGATTTACAATCTGAGCAGAGATATGAAGAATCAACTGTCCCTTGTAGCAAATGATTGTCACTTGGTTCAAAGGTTAAGAAAACAGAATCTATTCACAAAGATCTCATAGATACATGTATCACAACTGTACTCTTTCTGCTATCCTAATTATTAGTACAGTTCATTCATCAACAGCAGATAATTTAAATCTATACAAGCATATATATGAGACAATAAAATGATTTTTTGTTAATATTAGGAATAATAAACATATGAGAACTTGCCATAGTGCCGCCTTTTAAATGAGTGTGAGGAAGAGTGATGGGGAAAAGTCAGCTACGTATTTCATACATTTTTAGATTCAACTACATAAAAAATAGCCTTTTTCAAGATCTTGGGATTCATGTCCAGTGTCAACTATCTACTTACTGAATTTCCTGTTGCCCTGGATGAAAGTGTGAGGCAGAGTAGGACCAGAGCCTGACTTGCCACCCACAGCAGACATCCGTGTGATGTTGCCCATGCCTTTATTGCATTCAATTAGTGAAGATTTGAAATATGAGCACTAGGAAAATATCAGTGATTGCATCTTCTGCAAATAGGTACATATTCTATATTTGACCCGTAAAAAAGAACTGTAGAAAAGGATATCAATAAAAATTTCAGTGATGTGTATCAATAGATAACTGACTTGAATGAAAAATGATTTAGTCCAGAATATTGGCAATGATAATTAGTCTAATGTATGAATTCATTTAACTTTGCCTCAGGGCTAGCCTAAATCTGTTACTCAAAATCATAGTGTATAAACTAAGGGTTAACTTGTGTTTCTCTTATAAAAAGCCCTTAATGTAACATAGAGAAAGAGGGGATTATACTTAACAGGAGGGAATCTGTATCTCTCCCAGTATGAGCATTTTATTTGTATCTTTATTTTACTCAGAATCAGCTATACTTCATACACTGTTTGATTCCTTTCTTACCAATCTCGTTTAATTCAAGCTACTTCTTTTTTTTCTGCTGACTCAGCCCAACAGAAGTTTTTTTTTTTTTTTTTTTTTTTTTTTTGAAATCACTACTGCCCTTTTGTAAAAGATTCTGAAGAACTCTAGTTCTGCATTCACATGGCTCAACAGCTAATCAAACTTACTTCTCAGACCTACGGTTTCCACATTCTTTCCCTACACACCTCCTACATTGTGTCCCATGGCTTATATTTGTATCCTTTCTCTGAAGAGAACCTACCATATCTGGGCTATTCCCTTCAAAGCCCGGTAATGTGTTTCTAAGCTGAAGTTCCAATAATGCATCACTATACTTTGTTACAAGCCTCCTTGATCCCACTGTTTATTAAACCAAAGAAATATATGCTAAGGATCTGTGTGCCAGATCCTATATGCTAAGAAATACATGCTAAGGATCTACTTATATATAGCACACATGTAAGGAATATATGCTATGGATCTGTGTGCCAGTTCCTATGCTAGGTGATGCAAATGGCATTGCCCTAATAATCAGCTGCAATATAGTTGAAAGATAGAATTTCAAATAATATTGTCTATGGTAAAATATAGCTAAATTACAAGTAAATATGAAATAAAAAGGAAATTATTAAATCAATTTGAAGAATGAAAAGACAATTTCACATATGAAAGATAATTTAGAAAAAATACAATTTCAGGAAAGTGGCATAAGAATGAGATCAAAAAGAAAGTTGGGCTGCAAAAAGTTCTTTTGCACACCTCTACTCTTCTTTCTGAATCGTTTCCATTATTTGAGTTCTTTTACTCCACTGTCTTCTGAATCTCACCAAATGGTATATTTCTGTGTTTTGTATCCTAAGACCGTAAAATACCACCACAATTTATTAAGCTTTGGATTGGTGACGAGTGCAAACAGCCTCATGAAAAGCTGGCTTAGCATTTCTCATGAGGTTGTAGTCAAGATGTCAGCCAGGACTGCAGAATCATCTGAAAGCTAGGTTTTCGATGAAGGATCCACTTCTAAGCATATTCACAAGGCTATTTACAGGAAGCTTCAGTTAGTTCCTCACCACATGGCTTTCTTTGTTGGATCACTTCAAACACAGCAGCTGGCTACCCTTGTATTAGTGTAGAAAGAGAATGAGACGGGAGGGGAGAGAGAGAGAAGGGGCATAAGGAAAGAGGAGAAGAAAGGGTCATGAAGGGAAGGGAATACTATTGATCTTTTTCAAGTTTTTAAAATTCATTCTGTGTCAATTTGGATATTCTATATTTTGCTGACAATTATCCATGTTATTCAAGATTGCAAATTAATTTCCATTTAATATATTAGAATAATCTATTTATAATCTTTCAATATTTTTATATCTGTTTCTTTGTTCCCCTTCATAATCTTAATCCTATGTCTTTTACTTTATTCCTTGATTCTGGATAGGTGCTCTGAGGAAAGTGCACATTATGGGTCTTTTCAAAGAACCAGATCTTAGATATGTTTATTTTACTGTTTTATACTTTCTATTATTATTCATTCAATTTTATTAATTTATTTTTATGTTTACATTTCTTGTTTTAGTCTGTGATTTTTCTCCCTAAACTTATTTTCATGAATAGCCTTTCATCCAATATGTAAAAAATGTATCTCTCTTCCTTAAAAATAAAGGCATTTAAAACTGCAGCTTTTTAAGATTTTTTATTATAAATTTTAATATTAAAATAATATAAACTATTAAGTTTTAATTAAATTTTTCTTATTCAATTTATTTTATATTATAATTCATAAATTTTTGTATGATGAAATGTTATCAAAGATTATATTCTTAATTTCTAAATAATAATAATTATCTTACCCTCTCATATTTTTTGTTGTGTAGTTAAAATATATATAAACAATTATAGAATTGTTTTTTAATCAAGTGGTTCAACAGTTTTTGCTTTGTCATTTGTTGGTTGACATTAAGCTTGTTTTTGTTCTTTGTTTTTCCAGCAACCTTCTCTGTAGCTCATTTCTTTAGGAAAGATTACAAATCTAATTGTTTCTTTAGTTTAGGAAAATGTTCCTTGTGTTTTTAGTTAATTCTTTCACATTGCTGTCTTCCACCATTTTGTTATCTATAAGACTTATTTTTGACCCTAGCCCTCTTGAAATTCTATTTTAATTCTCTTACAATTATCTTATGGTTGTCATTAATATAAGTTCAGATTGGTTTCTGCTGTATGAAAGTTGCTTGAATAAAATAGAAATGTATTGCTCTGTCCCATAATGGAAGACCAAAGGTAAGATAGATCTGTTTAGATATGGTGGTTCTGAGGTTTTCGGGGACTTAGGTTATTTGCTACAATGCTAATACTAACTATACTAACTTCCATCCTCATTGGTCAGGGTGTCTTCTGAGGCTCTGGTCATCACATCTCACTTTCAGAAATTATTCTTCACAACCATTTTTCTTACATTTCGTTGGCCAGGTTTGAGTTGCATGGCCACACCTAATGGCAAAAAAGTCTGGGATCAATAGTCTTTAAGCTGAATATTTGATCACTCTAAATTAAAGGAGGTTTCTATTACTGAGTTGAAAGATAATATTGGATAGTAAATAGCAACCAGCACCTTGTGCCAAACTCTGTTATTGTATTTCTTTTTAATTGCTTTGAAATATGAGTTACATTTGATGTTCTAGGTGCTTAAAATCATGCATTGACAGTGTGATCGTCTCCTTCAATTAATACTGATTTTTTAAAAGTGAGTTTATATTTCACTGGAAGACAATCTTCTAATCTTCTTGTGCTGCTCTTGGACTTTTGCAGATGTCTAATTATATTTTTTCCCCTTAACTATTGTCTCCTCTAGTCTTTAGCAACATTTTCTAAGTACTTTACCTATTTTTTTCCTGACCACTTACATATGTTATTTTCCTTTGTGGTTTGTGCAGAGTTAGTTGCTCTGGTACCTACAGTTGCAAAAGTCTTACAAATAATTTGAACTACAGTGATTTTTCCAACAATGGTTTAATTCTTAAATGAATAGTTAATCCTTACTTAAGCCTTTAGATATCAGAAGGAAGCTTCTTTTTCTTCAGGCCCCATTCTTTAATGGCAGGGCATCCATTTTGCTGCTTCTCAGCTCCTTGTGAACAAAAAAGACCAAATTTACCTAGAAGGGAGAATATCTCTCCTCTCCAGTGAAGTCCAGGGGCTGCTGAGCCAAGCTCGCTCCAGATGTCCTGCTTTCAGCTACTCATCATCATTTATTTTTTTCCTAATTCACAGGTTCTCGCATAGTTGAGATGAGAAGAACCCACAGAAATTCTTATTATCAGAACTTCTGTAAGCCAATGACTACATTTTCACACTGCAAGACTAGATTGCCTGAGAGAACTAGCCGCTGCTTTGCTTAGGAAAGGAATATAATTGAAGTTGGGAGTAGAATCAAATCAGGAGACATTCTAATAGCCACCTTTCAAGATTTTCAAATATAATTTCAAGCTATTGAATATTTTTAATTATTAGGTTCCTTTCTTCAATTGGATCTTAAATGGAAGTTTACATTAAAGCCAAATTTCTTAACTAAAGGGGCAAGACCTGAAACCCAAGCCACCACTGTGCCCTTTGTACCCACCCCTTGATTCCACTGTGGCTACTACTATCTTCAACCCTACCTATACAGGGAATATTGTTTTAAAAACAGTGATCTATTGACTATTTGGCATACATTTAAAAATATTCAGAACTCCTGTTTAAAGTAAATATTGGAATCCAGCCGATAATTCTGACTATTTCTGTGCAGAGATGTAATGTCATCTATTCTGGAATCAGGTTTGTATATGTGTGTGTGTTTTTAACAAAAGGAAGAAAAAAATCCTTTTTCAAAATCATAAATGTCAAGGAAAAGTTCTCTTTAGTGGAATGGACAGAAAGTACTCATTGGATACTCCACTTTCTAATAATGTTAGTCTTGCTGAAACCATCACTCATGTTGAAAATAATTCATAAATTTAGACAAAACTATTTTAATCTTCCCCAAGCTAAAACTATTGAGGAGCTGACAAAATATTAAACAACTGATCCAAATTCAGATTTTAAGATAATGGTTATTAATGGTTTTTGTGTCTTCACTATTTCCGAAATTCTAGTTGTAAGAAAAAATAATTTGTTTATGGCCTACTATACTATTTAGCAATCTTTGGAGACAGATGCTTGATGATATATTCCATCTAATAATGTGTTATCTTGGTGAAAATGGGCACATGCATGCATTTTCTGGGGCTCAGTTTCTATATCTGTAAAGAATCACCATAAACATTCACAGAATTTTACATTAGTTAAGTGAATTAATTCACATACAGAACTCATTTTTAGTATTAATTTTGAGATGGCTCATATATTACAGATTTTATAAAGCTAACTCAAATAACTTTGAGTTGGAATAGAGAAGAAATGCATATCAATATCCACACCTATATACGTACCCAGGTAGATTAAATATTTCCTTTGAAAATCTGCAGCATGTCTGCGCCTCCTCAGGGTCCTCACTCCTACCCAAGTCCTTATTGCCTAGAACTCATTAGACTAAGTGTATCCATCTACAACTGAGTCTCCCCAAGTCCAAGACTCACTGTGTAGGTGACTCTTTCTCAAGCTTCAATCTCTGCCAGTTGAAGTGCACACTACCAATAGCCTAGTCAAGACCACTTTTTCTATTCTACTACTGCCAAACACTTTAATTCATTAAAATAACTGTTTAACAAAAATAGTAAATAACCATTAGAAGCAAAAAGAACAAGAAATTAAACTAGTAATAAACTGATGAAAATATTTTAAACATATTTCGAGCCTAGAGAACCATTTCACTACTTCTATTCAGCTGTTTTCAGTGGATTTTCAAGCTTTAAAGCATGGCATTTGGAGTATATGACAAACCTGAAGAAAAATGGTACAGTAAATTTTTGACTTAATACAAATGTTGTAGTAGCATTAGACAACATCTCTGGAATGAGAAACACATGAAAACAAGACAGCTTTGCTTTTAAACTGGCTGGCTTTGATTTAGTATTACATTACTATCTGTTTTATGAGTTCCGTAATACAAGCCTATTTGGTTCATAATGAATAAATGATGAATAATTCATAACATGAAAAAATTAATCAGAGAAGTCTGATTTTAGAGATCTTTTTCTCAAAAAGAGACAAAGCAACCATATAGATCATGAGGTACACTCTTAAAATACCAGAATTTTTTGTTAATATTAGTCTAAAGAACATTATATTCTGTAAGCTCAAAATCAACCTCTTTAAATAAATAAAACCTCTTTAAATAAACCTTCTTAGATAAATTATTTTACCTAAATGGGTACATTACAAACGTGTAGATTTATGCACAAAATGTAACATAATCATGGACAGGCAAGCACTGTTGCTCTGCTTCTTTTTCCATCTAATTTTAAATCACACTGAATAATAAATCAGTTGAACTGATGACTTGTATAAAATACTGAGTTCTTTGGAGAAATAACACTATTTATTATAAATTCTGTAACCTTGGAATGTGCAATTGTGATTTGTAGGTATTTTTGAGCCTGCTGTAACAGTATTCTAATTCCCCAAATCTGAAAGATAGAGAAAAACACCTACCTCAAGCCTTATCTAAATAGAATATCCTTACTAAAGCTGCATTCGCACAAGAAGCCTAACTGGACATATGAAAGCCTGGCATGTTTGTGTCTGTTTTCTCTCTCTTTGTTTTTTTTTACACTGTTTTATTCTAACCTCAGTTGAAAATGACTTTAAAAAGCCCAGGTCTACTAGTTTTGGTAGGAAAAAGGCTGAATTAGTATAGTGACTTTCAGTAATGGGATGTGTCCCTGTATTGTCATGTATGTTGATCTCTCAAGTTAGTAGGTGTTATACACAGAATTTACTGACAGTCAATCCTCTATCTATCCTGAGTGAGAAAAAATGGAAGAGGGAATGGTGAAGAGGAAATGTCTAAACAGACCTGAGCCTGGCAACAGGCATGGCAGGTGGTGGATCTGGAAAGAGATAAGAAGACCCAGCAAACTGTCCAAGAATATAACTTAGGCAACTTGGTTCTTTCAATGCAAATTTTTTATGGACTGTCTCATGTGTCTTGTTCTTTGCCTAATAATGCTTTCTTCACTTTCTTCCCCTGAATTTTTGAATCAGAATTGTTCTTGTTTTTTTTCTAAATAATATTTTAAAAGACTAAAATTCAGTACATTACAAATAAATATAGGAGGCATAACTCAGCTCACACATTTAGATGTGCAATAAATATTGTATTTCTTAATTGTGTTTAAGTAACTGATATCCAACTGAGAGACCTCATTATGCTGGAAAGACAGCAAAATCAAACTCAGGCATTATTAAAGCCTGTGTGCACTGTAGGGAACTGCAGAGATCTAGCTTACATCTCTACTTGGAAAATGGAGGAAGGGTCTCTAGTCACTGGGAGTCGTCTTGTATAAGACTCCCAGTCTCTGGTTCTATGGCTACTGTAGGCTTCTCCCATCACCAGCAAAGAGCAGAAATTATTGCCAAGAATGGAACTCTTGACGCTTGAAGTCTAGCCTGCCTCATGCCACAATTCACTCACACCCTTTAAGGTCTACTTTCCCAGTCACTCCCAGGGCAGCGTCCATCAGAACTCAGAAATCTGAGACCACAGCCATTTATCTACTTTACATTGGGGGAGATAAATCTCCTTTCTCATTTTTCTGCCCTGATATGGTTTGGTTCTGTGTCCCTGCCAAAATCTCATATTGAATTGTAATCCTTAGTCTTGGTGGTGGGGGCTGGTGGGAGGTGATTGGATCATGGAGGCAGTTTCTAATGGTTTAGCACCATCCTCCTAGTGCTGTCTTGTGATAGAGTTCTCATGAGATCTGGTTGTTTGAAAGTGTGTGGCACCTCCACCTTTGCTCTCTCTTCCTTCTGCTCCCTCCAAGTGAAGATGTGCTTGCTTCTCCTTCACCTTCTGCCATGGTTGTAAGTTTCCTGTGGCCTGCCAGAACCAGAAGCCTGCACAGCCCACATAACCATGCACCAATTAAAACTATTTTCTTTATAAATTAGCCAGTCTCAGGTATGCCTTTATAGCAAGGTAATAATGGACTAATACATGCCCTTAAATAGCAAAGCTATCAGGTGCTATCATTATTTTAACAGTCACGAATATTAGTTGCCAAGCAATGAATGGTCAGAGACTCCACTGATTGCAGTAAGTACACAGAGCCATTAGTGATCCAACTTGCTGATCAACCCTCAGACATTCAGTGAAAATCATATCTATTTATACTAAGTAACATAGTCTCAAACTCAGCACAAATTTTAAGGCTAATCATTGACCTATTACCACACTTCAATTAAATGTCTTATAATTAGGGCCATCACTCCAGCATAATTAAGTCATTTCTTTCCCTCATACTACCCCATACATTATATTCACTAATCCAAAGATTAAATATGACATACATCCTTTCCATTAAGGATCCTGCAACCTGCTTTGACAATTTTAGATCACACAAATGTCATTTAATGCAATAAAATGGTTTCTTGCCCTTCAGTAACTTTTCTCTCTGTAGGTTAACATTCATGTTTAGCGTATCAAAAAAGCATCAAGATTCTGGTGACTTTAAGCAGTCTTATATAGTGATTTTGCTTTCAGTCAAACACAGAATAGGCCACTAACCTAATGTTGACATTTGCTTTTTATTTGTGTGTGTGTGTTTGTTTTAATTATCCACGATCAGTTATGAGGCAGCCTTACTTTAAATACCAAGAGCTCTGTTAACAACTGACAAAAGGAGGTACCCAACTGAGAAAAAGTGCTGAGGTCAAAACTGATTCTCATTATTTTCTGAGTTCATTAAATGCCATATTGAAAATTAGGAAAGTCATATTAAAGATTTTAATTTTACTACTTATTTGTAGTGTTAATATAAAATAAAATGAAGACAGACCAGGCCTGAGAATCCCTAGAGCAGATAAAACCACTTAGGTTACGTAAAGGAAATGGTTATTTCTTGTAAACGCCTCTGGTGATCATAAACAAAACTTAACTTGCCTTCTAAAAGTGGAATAAGATGATCACTTTTAACCAATCCTTTGCCTCCTGAAAACCATATTGTAATTACAGTGATGGTACAGGTTAAAAAACGTCTGCATTTTTACTTCATAAGTAGTTCGTAAAGCCATGCCTCTTAACTACTTTTGTTTGAGACCTCTAGGTTCAGAAACTGTTCTTCCCTGGGCGAGATAAACTTTCTGTAAATTAAAAAAAAAAAAAATGGCAGATAAAATTGTTCCCATTTATTGAGTATAAATTATTTTTTTTTTTTCTTCATGGGCTCTCATTCTGGTTCCCAGACTGGAGGGCAGTGGAGCTCACTGCAGCCTTCAACTTCTGAAGTCAAGGTATCCTCCCACTTCAGCCTTCTGAGTAGCTGGGATTACAGGTGTGTGCCACTATGCATGGCTAACATGAAGTTTTGAAATATATGTACATTGCTAAATGGCAAAATCAACCTAATTAACATAAGTATTACTGCACATAGTTGTCATTTTTGTGATAACACTTAAAATCTTGTCAGCATTTTTCAAGAATGCAATATATTATTAACTATAATTCACCATGTAGCGCTTTAAAATTTTTAAATATAATCTGTTTTATTTTTGACAGTAGTTAATAATTATAACAGCCTAAGTGAAAAATGAGGTCTTATTATTATAAAAGAATTTTAAAGTCTTAAAACGGACTAGATAAAATAAGTGGAAAAATAGATTCCAGAGATCTAATTTCAGAACATCATTTATTATAACTATATGAAATGAAGTAGATGAGCTGCTATCATCCTTTAAAAGAAGTCTATTCAGATAAACTTCAATAAATATGTTGTATTGAAGAAAAGGCAAGATGATTTCTCTAAAAAAAATGAGATCTATTAAACTATTAAGCCATTAAAGTTGTTTGAAAAGAAAAAGGTATTAGAGACAATGAAGGGAAATATGTGGGACAGAAAATTGGATCTAAATGTATGTGAAAATAAATATAATTTAAAAGCTCTTGAAACACCAAAAACATTTTAAGCCTTGAGAGAGATGTGACTGTGATCTGAGTAACACATAGTTACAACTTCTGTTTCTCAGATTATGGATTAAAAACTTCCTGATTTTTCTTGTTCTATGCAATGATTAGAGATAATTAAATGACAACATCACGGACAAAACCTTCCTGGCTTCTTAAATAATGATGCTTTTTATAGATTAACTTCACTTTTGTTGTCCTACTTTGCTTAGACCAGATGAAAGATAACCCATGACGATTACACCCTCTGTAAAAAATGTTAAATGCACCCTCCCCAAGAGGAAACACTGCCTATAACCAATCAAATTGCTTTAACTATGCATCAGCCATGTATGGAAAATGTTGCAGTCCTCTTAAAAACTCCTCTGTCTCTGCTGATATAAATGAAACCATAACTTCTCTACTTCTGGATGCTGATTCCATTTCTTTGGAGTTAGTGTTTCTGAGTGGTCTATCCTCTTACACTTGACACTTGAATAAACTCTCTTTAAAGTAGATTCTGACCCTCTTGATTATTTTAGGTTGACATAGAATTAAAAACAAATATTACCATATCCAACACCAAAGGCTGTAAAAAAAAAAAAAAAAGAAACTGTAGAGTACTACTTTACTATGAGTAGAAACAAGGTTTAAACACAAGGATCAAGATAAGAAAAATGGAACATTTAGTTTATTTCCTAAAAAAGCATAATTATTAAGGGTGGATGTGGACAAGTAAAAGTCACTAAGGCCACAGAATAAAAGCTATAATTTATTAGACCACTACACACACACACACACACACACACACACACACACATACACACAAACTATTGTAAAGATATAAAGATATTGAGAGAATATTTTCAAATATTGGTGTTTGAGGTTTAAAACGGTATGTGAGCACCTTGTTGCATCATCTATTGATAATTTCACTCATCTCCCTGTGAAGATACAGATATGAAAAAAAGTCCACATCACAGCCAATAGCTAAGGCTAACAGACAACTAAAGTAAGTACAGGTACAAAACTCTTCATTTAACTCTAGCATATATATATATGAAGCTAGACTAATTAAACCTTACACTGGCCTTATTCTAAGGAAGAGAGACCATTTGAAATATGCAATGAAGAAAAAAATTATTTCAAACACTGAATGACATGCATCTAAATATATAAAAGAAAAACAAATTTCTAAGGAAATGTAAATATAACAAAAGAGTAAAAGAGGGTATTAAGATACATCTAAGTCCTTGATAGAAAAGACAATGTTAAAATATCAATAATCTTATTATTAGACATAGTTCAATCTAATTATTTTTAAATTATAAATGCATATTATTGAATGATTCATATATAATTGTTATAATAAGGCTATTTTTTCATTTTTTTTCCAGTGGCAAGATTATATATGTCATGAGATTTCACCAAAGTAGAATAATTTATAGTATATTTCTAACTAAACAAATAATCAAAGACATTTCCCTCAAAATGGAAATAAATATGCTCTCATTTCAAAACACAAATAGAGCCTTTCCTGAATAAATGAGAAATGGTTGTGTGGCATATCTATTTAAAGGATTTAGGATATTGTACAATTTCCCTGTGCTCACAAGGGTTTGTAAACAGTCGAATAGAAAATCTCTGGACTAGACAGGAATATGAACCCTTATTAATCCGATGGGAATAAATGGCAATGATTCAGTTCGGATATATCATCGAGCTACCTACAATGGTTTGTCATAATGTAAGCTTGCACAAATTAGAAGCAAGCCAAGGAAAGGGGGATAAGGGAGATACTGAACTGGAAAAGATTTGCCTAAATTGGCTTAATTACATTTCAGCCACGTTTGTTACCAGAGGGTAACAAAAGAAGGCCTCAGAAGGGGATTAAATTCAATTATACATTAAAGTAAGGAATAAATCTTTCCCCAAAGAAACAAACCTATACTGAAATTGTGGACAACAGAAAATCACCCAGTAGAAATTACTAAACATATGGGATACAGTTTTTAGAAGACGCATATAAAGATAAATAATAAAATTTCAGTGTTTTTACTATTAATAATAAAAACTGACAACATTCCAAAATGAGAATAAGTCAAAAATATGTAGTAAGTTAATAAAATTCAATTTAAAAATGTATTTAGATGGCAGGAAAATTATATTATTATGAATAATATAATATGTAATAATTTTAAACAACTATCAGTTCAATCCTTACAAAGCTAAGTAAGAAAATAAAAATAAATGGCATATGAGATTGGAATGAAGAACACAACAAATCAGTGAACTAAAGATAAGAGAAAATGTGCAAGTCTAAAAAAAGGTGGCAGCTTGAGTTATTGTTGACTGCTCTTCGTTGCCTGCATAATATAATTTATGCCTTTTGCCATATTGTTCAGTAGTACTTACTTGTACAGAAGTTTCAGTATATTTCTCTGACTCAATTATGTAGAGTTTGTTACTTGCTTTGGTCAAAGAAGTGATAGTTGAAGCATTATGAACAGAGGCTTAAATGTGGTTGCATGACTTTGCTGTGTCTTTTTAACCATTACCTTTTACTATAAAAAGAATAGGTATCAGGTAGTCACTGGTTGAAGGAAAACGAGGGGACATGTAGAGAAGAATCTAACCCACAGTCTAGAGCAAACCCCGGCTGGTTTCAGACAAGCCTAACAGAGTCCAAGCCTACCCTCAGACTTATACAAGAAAAACACAACCTTTTCCTTCTATGCCATTAAGTTTAGGACTAGTTTACTGTACAAATTACTGTGGATACAACTACTATATAAAATAACTTAAGAAAATATGAATCAAATGGTTTTTTAAAGTCACGAGTTATGCTTTATTGATGTCTCTTGGAAGAATGCCTGGTTAAGCTAGGAAGCTGGAATCAGACTCGTGTTCTCTCACTTATTAGTACTCTTCAAGTCTCAAATATTCCATTTGATTCTTAATTTCCCATTAATTTTTCCTTTTAGTAATAAAATAATATTTTTATAAATGTATATATACATATAAATATGTAAATGTATATAAAGTGGAATAAATTTTAAAATGAACTATTATGCACACAATCCCTAGATTCAACAGTGATCACTGTTATTATCTTTTCATCTTTTATTTTTTTTCCTCCTTTTGTATTTCATAACATATTGTAATCCCAGTTACTTGGAGGGTTGAGGCAGGAGAATTGCTTGAATCCAGGAGGTGGAGGTTAAAGTGAGAGGAACAATCGCACCACTGCACTCCAGCCTGGTTGACAGAGTGAGACCCTGTCTCAAAAAAAAAAAAAAGGGATCTATTACTTCATGACTCCTAATAGTTAGAGGGCAGTGGATTGGGGAAATAGGCAACATGTCCCACTTAGGGAAAAAAAAAGTCCTGGATACTTTCTACCTCGTGGACGTCCATTTAGTTACGTGGTTACACACTCTCAGGGCCGTGCTAAGAAATACTGCTTTTATTCTTGAAAGATATATACTCAAAGAATCAAGAAATTTTATTACAATAAGAAAGAACTGATATTGGAGACAACTGGTAGTCCCTGAAAATCTATTTTATAAAAGTCAGTAGTTATTTCTGAGGAAACATCTTTTATGCTGAGAATTGAAGGATACGTCCATAAAATGATCTTAAACTAACAACTACTGTGAAGCTTAAAAAAATGAAACACTGAAAGAAGTCATGTTAAAGTTAAAAATGGAATGTTTTCCCTGCTAATATAAAACATTACACTGAAAACATTAATAATTATACAAAACACAAAGATGGCCGGGTGTGGCGGCTCACGCCTGTAATCCCAGCACTTTGGGAGGCCAACGTGGGTGGATCATGAGGTCAGGAGATCGAGACCATCCTGGATAATACAGTGAAACCCCGTATCTACTAAAAATATAAAAAAATTAGCCCAGTGTGGTGGCGGGCACCTGTAGCCCCAGCTACCGGGGAGGCTGAGGCAGGAGAATGGCGTGAACCCGGGAGGCGGAGCTTGCAGTGAGCGGAGATCGCGCCACTGCACTCCAGCCTGGGGACAGAGCGAGACTCCGTCTCAACACAAGCAAACAAACAAACAAAACAAACAAACAACACAAAGGTAAGAAAGAGGCAAAGACAAATTTATTGTCATGTATTACAGCATGTTAGGATACTTTGGAAACTGAAAATGATCAACTGAACAAAATATCTATGCAGTAAGAAGGTAATTTACTACATATGTAAATACTATATTTATATTTTAAAAATGCAAAACCAATTGTTTCTCAGCATAAGATAAGCATTTGAACATACAATAAACCTGAAAATAATCTAAAAACTAAATTCTCCAGAAACATCCACGATATATATGCAAGAAAAAAAAACTACTATTGAAAGATATTTTAAAAGTCTTAGAAAAAATAGCATATTCCTGAATAGAAAACTTACCACTATGCATATGACAATTTTCTCTTTAAGAACCTAAATTTCAGATATAATAACAAATTACATAAGAAATTTGGGAACTTAATATTATACTTCAAAAGATATCTAACAAAGTAAAAGATCTAAGTAACAAGGAAATGAAAAAAGAAATTAATGTATAAATTTTAAGAATTGAATTTAAAAATTCACTTTTTAACTGTAATTGAAACAGAATGATAATGACAAATGGTTATAAGCACAGATGAAACTAGCAGAGGCAAAAATATAATGAAGTGAGTTTAGGAATAAATTTTAAAATATCTTTTGATTCAGCAAACCCACTAGTAAGAATTTAAACTAAAAAGAAAAATATTGAAAAAGATTAATGCTCATCAATATTAAAATAGCACAACAAACTAATAATGAATATTAGAATCACTTGACTAGCAACAATAGATGTTACATAAATTATGACACACTTATATAATGGTTTACTATTCAGTCATTAAAAATCATGCTATAAAACAATAACTTCCATACATGTATTTAATATCAAAAAAGTAAGTATGATTTCAATTGTAAGATTAAGTAGTACATGTTAATAGAAGAGTGACTGAAAGGATATTTTAAATTATGATGGCTAATCTCTAAATGCTGAGATTGTAAGATTAGCTTTATTCATATTATTTAACAAAAAAACCTAGAAGTGCATCTCAGGTAAAGAATAATTATTTTAAAATCATTTAAGTAGTGTTTTAAAAGTTTTACTAGGCAGATGCTAGTTATAAAAAATTTAAAAATCATATGACAAAAGTCTTTGCAATGGCAGGACTCATTAAACAAGTATTATTTTTTGTGTCCACTTGGATGAGAAAACAGTATCTGAAATGCAAAAGAAACAGAAGGAAATGTAATTCACACATTAAAAATTATACAAATGCAACAGAAATTTGGAAAGAAATATAGTTAATGTAGATTGGAGATTTCAAACTGGAAAATCATGAACACTCCTCTGAGATAATATATGAAGAAATATAGATAGAGACTAATGAAGTTGTTTCAGCTTCTCATTGTAGTGTATTTATTAAATATTATCCTACAAACTTAGGTTAGCATATCTTAGATCTTTAATTCTTTTTTTTTATTCTAACAGAGATTTGTAATACCTGTATATGCAAAATGATAAAATTCTACTGAAATATATTAATGAAAATCTGAGCAAATAAAGACACACACACTATGTACAGAGACTCTTGACTGGATAAAAATGTTAATTCTCTCTTAAATAATATATAGATATAAGGTAACTCCACACACAACGGTAACAGAATTTTATATAGAATTGCAGGAGGTTTCTTTCTAAAACTAAGAATAAAAAGTAGTGTGTATGCATTCTTTTTTCTCCATAACCTCACCAGCATCTGTTATTTTTTGACATTTACTATTAGCCATTCTGACTGGTGTGGGATGTTATGTCGCTGTGGTTTTGATTTGCATTTCTCTAATGATTAGAGATTTTGGGCTTTTTTTCATATGGTAGTTGGCCACATGTATGCCTTCTTTTGAAAGGTATCTGTTTACGTCCTTTGCCCACTATTTTATGGAGTTGTTTTTTTCTTGTTAATTTGTGTAAATTCCTTATAGATGCTTGATATTAGACCTTTGTCAGATGCATAGTATGCAAAAATTTTCTCCCATTCTGTAGGCTGTCTGCTTAGTCTGTTGGTAGCTTCTTTTGCTGTGCAGAAGCTCTAAGAAAATGTGGTACCTATATGCCATAGAATATTATGCAGTCATAAAGAACAAGATCATGTCCTTTGCAGGGACATGGATGAAGCTGGAGGCCAATATCCTTAGCAAAATAACACAGGAAGAGAAAAACAAATATTCTGTGTTCTCACTTATAAGTGGGAGCTAAATGATGTGATCACATAGGCACAGAGGGGAACAACACACACTGGGGCCTTCCAGAGAATGGAGGGTGAGAGGAGGGAGAAGATCAGGAAAAATAACTAATGGATACTAGGCTTAATACCTGGATGAGGAAATAATCTGTACAACAAACCCTCATGACACAAGTTTTCCTATGTAATGAACCTGCACTTGTAACCCTGAACTTAAAATAAGAGTTAAAAAATAAAATAAAATAATCAAAAATAATAAAAAGCAGAGGTTCAATGATACATAACCCTTCTGAAGGGGGACTTGCACACTTAATGTAAAACTAAAGTACTTATGACAATGATATTGGCACAGGAATAAACACACAGACTAATAAAACAAAGAAAAGTTAAAAAATATTTTGAATATATGAAAATTTAACATATTAAAACACTGATATGGGGTATTTATGAAGAAAGGAGGTACTAAGCAAATAGGAAAACTCGTTATCTGTAAAAAAATGAAAATAGATCTCGGTCTCACATTATATGTAGAATTAAAAACCAGAACATTTAATTATCTAATGGAAATATTTTAAATATTTAGAAGAAAATAAAGGCTTTGGTATGAGATTTCTTAAATGAGATATAAAAACAGCAGCAGCAACATAAACCATCAGTTTTAATAAAGGATTGTTAAATTTAACTACACTAAAATTAGGATTTCATGAAAAAATAATAAGCTAGACCTGGGAGAAAATACTTGTCATATGCATGTCTAATAAAGGATTGGTATATAAAGCATACAGACTATACATCCATAATGAAAAAGTATACAACCCTGTCGAAAATAGACAAAAGATGTGAAAAGCTTGTGCTAATGTTCAGCCCATACAGAACAGGGCAGGCTTAATGTCCTTCACATCTAGCTTATTTTCTGATTGCGCTAATATCTACTTACAATGATTGTTGCCTTTCCTGTACCAGTTGCTAAATGTTTAGAATATCACTCTATCAACAGGCATTCCACGGAATAGGAAATACACATGGCCAATAAACATATGACAAAACAAGCAATGGGGGAAACACAAATCATGGTCTTAATGAGGTCGTTCACAACCAATGGATTGGAAAATATGAGTTTTGACAATACTAAATGCTAAAGAGAATTCAAGTCAACGGATCTTTTATAAGCAGCTTGTGTGTGTTTCGATCCATAGACATTTGGAAAACAATTTGAGATTTTCTTTTCAAGTTGAATATTTCCACTACATCCCACAGCCCCATTCTTAGGAATATATCCAAGAGAAATGCTTGCCTGTGTGCAGCAGAAATAGAATCTTCCCTTTCTTTAATGTTTCTCCAACTTAGGGAGTCTTTGTCTCCATCCTGTCTTTGAACATACTTGTCTCTTCATGTCTACTAATCCCTTCAAGCCCAAGCCAATAATGCAAGTTTTGTGAAAATAACTTCTGCATTTATGCCTGTTACACAAAGGGAATACAGATACTTGGCTTATGGAAGTAAATCAGAATAAAAAATATAGACAGAAAGTAAAAAAAAAAAAAAAACACAGAAGTTAATATTTAAATAACTTGTCCTGGTCTATAATGATAATAGTACATCAGCCACTATTTACAGAGTGCCCACTGTATGCCGATGTTTTACAAACTTCTGCCATGATTAACTTAATTTTCCACAATATTTTCATAAAGTTTGGGCTATGATTATTATTTTTCATAAATTAGGAAACTAAGGCATACAAAAGTTAAATGGTCCAAATTCCTACAGCTTCAAAGCAGAGCCCAGATTCTAATCCAGATAATCTTTTTAGAAGGTTCAAATCTGAAAAACTACATTAAGCCCATCTCAATGTCTACTTGCATTCCTCCTTATCAGCACTGGTGACCCTGGTAATCATTATGCAAAACATGAAATAGACTCTGAACATCCTTAATTAGATCAAAGTTGGATAGCTTATCTCTGAGTCGATCAATGACAGTTCCTCAGGATCTTGGGATTTGGAATGAGCAGTGGGATATCAGAATAAAGAGCCTGAGATAGCAAAGGCAGAGAAACAGAGAGTTAGAGGCTTATGACAAAACAACATGCCAACGAGACCTATAGCTTATCAATACATTATAGTTACTAAAAATAGCATTATCTTTTGGTTGGGAATAGATAACATTAGGAGACTTAGATTTGATTTCTGATACACATGACATACCAGTTAATAATAAGCTAAATTAATGATCAGAATTTTATTAACAATATTTTTCATGGTGCTCTTCAGCTTTCAAAATGCTATTATTTCAGTTCATTTTAACTTGATTTAAAAAAGAAAATAAGTTCAACATTAATAGATGAGGAAACTGAGGGTGAGAGAATTGAGATAATTATCCAAAAACACTTTCATTACTTCTGAGTTCAATTCTAACTCCGCATCTTCAAATTACTGTTTTTAACAGTAAATATGTTCTTATTCTTATATCTTTCTAAAATTGTTTTTTCATCTATACAAGATTTATGGTGTTTATCCACACTCTTTTCTGCTCCCATCGAAATATCTTTACTCATGATTTAATCAGTATAAGTTTGGGTGATTGCATTTTCTTTCTTCACATTAACTGTAAAATAAATTTGTTTTCATGATTCAGTGTCTTAACAAATTAAAAGTACTTAATACAGAATATGATCCCAGGTAGCCCCTTACTGAGTTAATGTACAAGATAGGAAAGTCGAGCTTGATAGAGTTTACTCAGGAGGACCTCATTCAAGCAGGGCTCAGAGGCACAATTCACGCTGCACAGCATATTACAAATTCATTGCATCTCCACAGCGAGAAGGGGAGGATAAAAAACATTAAAAATTATTTTGTTTTTGTTGCTGAAGTTACATGAAAATGCAGTCAACAGTAAAATGTAAGATGTTAAAAGACAAAGAAAGATTATATTACAGTGTATACTGGTTAACTCTGTCATAGTTTAATTTGGAAAATGTCATATGTAAATATAGCTCTAAAGTTTCCATAGATTCAACTAAAACAGTGCTCTGCAGAAAACGAAATAGAACTCAAGATAAAGCCAAAATGAGTTAGATACAATTGTGTTCCATAACTTAATTAGTATTAAAATGAGTCAGTACCTAATTACATTAATTACATTAGTGCATTGACAGAAATTTCCAAGAGTTATACTGTGTTCAGAAAATAGATTTTATTTCAGGAGTTTGCAAATTTTATAATCACCATAAACATTTTAAATATTTCATGCAACATTTTATTTGAAACTGAAATTGTTTCATAAAAGTTCTGTGATTATCTGAAAGCAGTGCACTAAATTTTCTTTGATGTGTTTTAAATGTTTACAAGTCTTCTCATTTCTAGACACCACTACAGAAACATATTACTAATAATTTATCTTTATAGAATATTTTTAATATTTCCCCAGTTCTCTTAAAGAGTAATTTACATTATTGTGTTCTCCTTTTTTTATACTCTGTATGAACAGAAAGAAAAAGGATGTGATAAAAAAAATTCAGAGAAAACATTTTGCAAATAATCTTTCTATAAGTATTTTATAAAAAATAAAATTGCTGCTGATCTGAAATATAAAATATTACATTTCTAGTCTTATGTAGAAGGAACTCAAGCAACAATATCATTACTCTTTATGACACTGATAATAAGTCAAGTGAGTAAATAGTAACTATGTTGGCTCCTAGAGGATACTTGAGTAAAATATACATATAGGTAGCATATAATTTGTGAGAGGTTTTGGAATAGTCAATGCCCAAGATCAGAGAAGGAGAGCTAACAACAGAGGTAAAGGTTAGAGTACAGGGAGCCATGAACCAAGAAATGTGGGCAGCTGGAGAAGCCAATAAAATCAAAACAACAAATTCTTCCCCTTGATCCTCCAGAAGGAACATAGCTGAAGACCTGTTTTAGACATTTTACTATTAGATAATACATTTATGCTGTTTTAAGACATTGAGTTTGCAGTAATTTGTTATAACAGCAATAAGATACTAATCCATCAGCTGTTCAGTCATAACCTGAAATGAAAGTCATTGTACACTTCCTCATATTTCTCTCTGTATGCCTAGCACATAGAAATTGTGTGGTATAGGTTCTCAAAATTTCCTTTGCAAAATAAATGGAGTTTAAGCCTTTGATGATCAACTGAAAATTTTAAAGTAGATTATGAGTAGAGTAAAATATATTCTTAATAATTTTTTAAACTTTTATTTTAGGATCGGGGCACATGTGCATGTTTGTTATATAGGTAAACCCATGTCACAGGGGTTAGATTTACAGATTACTTCATCACCCAGGTACTAAACCTAGTACCTAACAGTTATTTTTTTCTGCTCGTCTCCACCCTCTCACTCTCTATTTGTGGTATTTGGTTTTCTGATGCTGTGTTAGTTTGCTAAGGATAATGGCCTCCAGCTCCATCCATATTGCTGCAAAGAACATGATCTAGTTCCTTTTTATGTCTGCATAGCATTCCATGGTGTATATGTACCACATTTCCTTTATTCAAGTCTGCCATTGATGAGCATTTCAGTTGACTCCATGTCTTTGCTATTGTGAGTAGTGCTGAGATGAACATACACATGCATACGTCTTTATGATAGAATGATGTATATTCCTTTGCATTTATACCCAGCAATGGGATTGGTAGTTCCGTTTTTAGCTCTTTGAGGAATCACCATACTATTATTCCCACATGTTAGTTCCCACATATTAGTTCCCACATACCTATTAGTTCCCACAATGGTTGAACTAATTTACACTCCCACCAACAGCGTAAATAAGCATTGTATTTTCTCTGCAACCTTGCCAGCATCTGTTAGTTTTTGACTTTTTAATAATAGCCATTCTGACTGGTGTGAGATGGTATCTCATTGTGGTTTTGATTTGCATTTCTCTAATAATTAGTGATACTGAGCTTTTTTCATATGCTTGTTGGTGGCATGTAGTTCTTCTTTTAAAAAGTGGGCAAAGGACATAAAATTTTTGCTAAATACAGCAGGCAAAATCATTACATTAGAAGGAATTCTAATAAGAATAATTTATTGATATAGTTTTAAAAGTAGAACTCAGATGTATATCCACCATAAAATTTCACTGATAGAGTGGTATTTAAGTATCTCAAAATGTCTTCTGAATTTGCTTCACTTTAAGAAATGTGTTGAACCAATTTGAATGTAATACAAAATTTTGTGCAGACTTTTGGACAGAAAGTAATGACCTAACCATATGCTTCAGTAATCTGAATGATGTGCCTTACAGACTCAGGAAAGGCATATGGATGATAGCACTTCATTCATCTCACTATGTAAAGTTAATGGATTCTGTATTCCATTTTACTAGAGTTTACAGGTTGTCTACATTAGTTTCTTCAGAAGAGTATATTATAAAGCTCCTTCTTGGTAACTTTGTCATCAAAATTAAAGACATTTAATTCAAAGTCTGGAACTTAAAATATCTTACCTATATATTAATTTATTTAATGTGAAAAGGCACAATGAGAGAATTTACCTGTTTATGAATGGTAAGTCAGGACACAAAATATCTGTTGTTAGACATAATATTCAAAACGTCAGAGGATTATCTTAATCGGTGTGGAAGTAGAAGGAAAAGATGGATGTATATACATAAATAATCACTAATTAGAACTCTGATAAAAAGGCATAGTATTTGGTAGCAATAGATTACCTTCCAAAGTGACTGTAATGGGTAAAATCATCATATTCTGAATCAGTGCATAGTTAGTAGGCACAAAGAAAAAAAAGTATGTTAAATTTAAAAAAGAGACTGACTGCAAAACAGAACATGATTGACCATATGTTCACAAGTCTTATGTTTTCAAGCTAACTGTGAAAGAGAATTATTCCCCTTCCTCTTGTTAAAAGTTTTACACTCTCCAATTCACCTGATGCCAAAGATTCTCAACACCATCTTCCTGCTAGTCAAATTGAAGGTAATCATCTTCACCCTCTACATGAAATCTAATTACGTTTCTCTTGATCTCATTGGTTAGCTTCAATTCTTAACCGTCATTAATCTTCTGATTTTTCATTTTCCTAATTTTATTGAACATCTTATGAATCAAGGAGGAATGGTGGTCAGTCACCTATTGCATAATGTGTAGCATGTATAAATGGACATGAAGTGATCAGCACCAATAACATAGCCAGGAAAACAGTGTACAGTATCAACCTCTGCTTCCCTTGGTAAAAGGGTCTGCAAGAGTAATATGACTGAACAATTCAACTTGGAGAAAAGTAAGGGTTGATATAAGGTTTATTAAGGTTTATACATATGCTGCCTGTATTTTGTAGAGATAGAATGGGGTTCCCAGTGAGATATTTTACAATTTTGCTAGATAGTGAGTATACTCCACAGCTGAGAACAAGTGACATTTAATACGTCACATTCTTGTTTCATATAATCCCTCGCTGTTTTTGCCAGCCAGCTCCCTGTGGTACTCCCTTATCCCTTTCTACCAGGCTTCCACCATGTAAGTAAATGACAAAGGCAAATAATTTCATGAAAAACTCTTTTTCATATAACATTTTTTCTAGACAAATTAGCTGCTAAGACGCATAAGACAAATATACCCACCATTTAAAAGTAATAATTTATTGGGAAGACAGAATCTATACAACAAATTATAACATAAGGGGAGGCATAAGCTAAGAGTACAAGAAGTACATAGACAAAACTGAAGATTTCTGAGGCTTTCAAGATCTAAGAAAAAAGTTTCTGGTAGCTAGGTTTATTAAAATTTTAAGAAAAACAGTTGTAGGTAAAGTTGCTTAATTCTGTTCAGATCAAACAATGGTAACTGCTTTAGTGTTTTTGAATGACATTAAATAATTCCCTGAATTTCAGCAACTTTTATACCCCTTGAAATGCTCACATGTCAATTACTCTATTACAGTACTAGGATATGAGTTCTTTGAGGACCACACTAGGTTTTTTTGACTTTCTATATAAAGAGCAAAGTACAGCATCTGTAATTTTACTATGTTATGAAACCATTCCCTTTATCAAAAGTTTAAATAATTGATTTTTGTAATAGCAAAACATTTTTTTAAATTTCTTTATGAGAAATATTTGTTAAAAAAAAAAGAGGCAAGTTAGTGTAGTTATCTCAGTCTTCTCAAACAGGAAATTCTAGTAGAGGAGTGTCATTGCAACTATACAGGACAAAGTATCTTCTTTTCTTTCAGACATAAGAAGTTGGAGACATTTATTGCAGAAATGTGTGATGAATCTTAATATTATGGGACCAAGAATCTTTAGGTAATATTCAAAAAACCTTACTTTATTGAAGACTGATAAGAATGAAGAGAAATCAAGATTTCAAGGAATCTTTAGAAATGTAGAATTATTCGTTTTTTATTTTTTGGTGACCCATTGTTCATTTCTTTCCTTGATTTGATCTCTAGCAATTAACCAGGAGAAATTAACCAGTGTAATCAAAAGATGAGTAATTCTTAGCCATTTTTTGAGTACTATGAGGATGGCTTGTGTAGAATTCTCCTGTACTTTAAGGGTATTTTGTTTTTCAATATTTATTTGAAAGTTAGCTATTCATCTGTAGTATGACATAAATACTTTCCTTCAAGAATTCATTCAATAGCAAACACATTTTGAGTACCAATTTAAAAAAAGGAGATCACCGAGAAAAAATGGTGAGAAATATAAACTTTAAAATAATGTAGGTGAGTACACTATATGTTTGCATATCCTTATTAGATACTAAGATATATTTGCTATAATTAGAATTTTACATATAATCTGAAAATACTTACTAAAATGCTAAAAGCAAGATAAATATTTTAAAAATATTATTTCTTTGAACTAATGAGGCTTAAATATTAAACAAATGGATTTTCTGGAAAATTTCTATACACACAAATTCTAAGTAAATGTTATTGCCTAGTCAACAAATTTGTGTTTGTGTACGTGTGTATGTGAATTGATAATAGAAACAAGGGTTCCTAGCAAGACCTTTGTATCAAGAATTTTCCTACATATTTATTATCTGAAATATCATATATATATTCGTGTATATATATATTATATAGAGAAAAACTTAATACTTCTTTAAAATCTTTACTTGAAATAGTTTTGAAATTAAGTATGTCAGTAAAATATCTAGTTCCAGTGACATTAATTTCATGATGAAAATTATGAAAGCTTGGTTTGTTGTCTTGTTAAATTTTAGACTGATTTAATGTTATCACCCTAAAACAATCATAGAATTCTTTTTATCCTGAGAGTTCCCAGTGATACAAAGAAAATATTAAAACATGTTTTCAACGTGGAAATTTATTGAGAAATTATACGCTGTTGAAAGCCATGTTAATAACGTCGACAGTAATATCAAAGCACAGTATGTTAATGCACTATTAAATTGATGATAAACTTAAGAGGAAATGGGCCTTTTATATATAAGAATATATCCTTCTTAAATATTAATACATTGTAAAAAGTAATTTACAAATGTAAAATGTAAATTGATAATGTCCCAAAGCACCCTAATGTAATGTTTCATAAAAAAAGTGTATTTCTAAGTTTGAAAATTATTATTTTAATGTATAGTAGTGTAATATACAACAAACAAGAAATTATATTAGAGTGCAAAAAGGCAGAAAATAGAAAGTGAAGTTGGGGAGAATAATCAGATGAAAATAAATAAAGAATAACAAAACAGAAAAAGTAATAAATTGCTTTGGTATGTTTAATTTTCAATTTAGATTTGGGACTATTTTTTTTTTACTTTTGAGGGGGAATATGTGTAGGAAATTGTCTTGGAAGAAAATGTACTATGTTTTTTCTTGGCTAATTTAAACTGAAAATAATGGTAGGATACAGTGAGAAAACTAACAAACACACGTTTAGAATACTTATTCAATTATAAAAAAATTATATGATCCTTACAGAATGAAATTAATTCTTCATCAGAAGGAATGAGAACAATAATAAAATCTAGAAACTTAAGCATAACTATTTCAAACTGGCCAACTTTCTTTCAAAAATCTAATTAATAGTAACTCATCCGGACTTCTGAAAATATATGTTTAACAATGAAATCTGAAATTAGCCATGCGTCATGGCGGGCACCTGTAGTCCCAGCTACTCGGGAGGCTGAGGCAGGAGAATGGCGTGAACCCGGGAGGCGGAGCTTGCAGTGAGCTGAGATTGCACCACTGCACTCCAGCCCCGGGGACAGAGCAAGACTCTGTCTCCAAAAAACAAACAAACAAAAAAAATGAAATCTGATCACTGTGAAGTCAAAGTTATCTTTTTCATTACACTTACGTCCTATGTAAGTTTGAAAATTACTGATAATTTTCAAATGCATGCATTTGAAATGTGTAGCACACACAAAAGTGATGTAGCAATACCAGTACTCACCTTGTGACTTAAGCAGGCAGCATTCATTGTTTTTCCCACTGTCCGTGATATTTGTACACCAATTCTGTACTCAGGGTACAATCAACACACAAGAAAAAATTAGAAAAACAAAACTGCAATAAGAACATTGAAGCTGGAAGGAAAGCACATCACTAACAACTGGCAAATGTTAGATTTCGTTGTCTTGGTACTCTGTTTTGGTGTTGTGAGTAGAAAAGTCTATGAATTATTTTAATAATCTAACCAACTATTAACTACTAATGCCTAACTTCTCAGATGAGATATTTGCCTTTGGAACTTCTTGTCACCTCTTTACAGTATGGCTTGTTTGAGTTGTGGAAGCCAAAGAAACTCCATCTTGGATGTTAATCTGCCATGTTGGCTTCTGATTAACTCTAGTTCCAGGAAGGCCTCTTAGACTTCCCATTTGTCTATTGTTCCTTGTGTAAGGGCAGGTACTTAGTGCACTTGGGTTCAATTAATCCTGCACTTAGGTCAAACAATCTTGATGTTATCATACTTCAATTGTCCTACACATTCTTTCTGAGCCAGCCCTTCCTTACGCTACCTAAACCCAGGGCCAGGGCATAACGGGGCCGAGATCCACCATCTTGTCTTGCCACCACCCAAGACACAGCCAGGCCTTCTGTTCTTAAGTCCCTATTAGATGTTTTTTCCTGAGAAACTGGATTTGTCGGCCCCTTTGGCCTCTTTCTCGGCTTCTTTGGACTTAAAGGTAGGTTTGCGTAGACCTGCCCACCATGAAGCAGAGTCAAAATAGGAATGTCAATATCTACCTAATCCAGCTTTCTATGTCTAACAAATATTGAAAGCTCCATAATAAATTGCCTTTCCTTAATCTTTCTGTGCCAGCTGAAGTAGTTTATGCTACCTCTTTTCGTCTCAAATACATATTTTACATTTCATAGAGGCATGTCTGTTTCCTAACTAGGATGTTCTGGCTCTGGATGGACAAACATTAAATACTTTAAATAATATGTTTTCTGCCTAGCCCTGTATTTCTATATTCATATAGGAGGATGTTTGGTTCACTTTGTCTCAACATCTGGTAATATTTTCTTACATCATGTTTTGTACTTTTATTTTTACACCAGGAATGCATTATGTGCACATAATTTACACACGTGAGCCTAAAATTCATCAGATGCTTGTAAACATTTCTCAGTGGTGTTATGAGATAACGACATTGACAAATCTACCATTATAGTGGCAGTTTCCAGAAAAATTCAAGTTAGCCACAGGAATCTGTCAAGTAAGATTTCTATTACTTCTTCCAGGTTGTTGTTCCTGTTTTATTTGCTATGCTATTCTACATAAAGATAGTTTGGTCAAATTTTTATAAACTTTCTTAAGTTTAACATTTTTAATATATTGAATGAATGGAAATAAATATATATTTGATTTCTTGAAAATATGGAAACCTTCTATCAATTAGGATAACCAGAAGCTGAGAACAGTCAGATCCATGAATATGATTGAAATGTGTAAATAAGAAATCATATACTTAAAAGTACTCAAGGATTTTAGTGTTATTTCACATATATTTAATAAAAGTGACGCCTTATTCAAATATTCTTTGATTAGTACTGAAAACTAACTGAAGTTTTGTTCATATGACTTATATCACCAAAATTAGCATGTTAACCTCAGAAAGAAATGAGATGTTATGTTTGGTTTGGTGTATACAATTCGCATTCACTAAAATGAGATGTTGTTAGTAGATAATACAAAATCATTGTTTGCCAGAGGGCTAAGTTTATTTCTTCCAAAACAAGGCACACCCCACCTTCAGAATTTGCTTAAGAGCCCTTTCTGTAATAATCCTTCCTGGCTCCTGGTATTCCAATTCTGACTCCAAAATTCTCTTATTTTAGCTTCCTTTTGGCTGAATATACTGATACTTTTATTATCTATTCAAAAGTTCCTGGTTTTGTGTTAGTCTACATTTTAAAAAAGCTACTTTGCTCTGTCTCACTCATAAATTGGCATGCTCCTGGAAGAATATTTCTCTGCCCACAGATGAGGGTACTGATATTAAGGAAGTTGAGTGGTGGTCCCAGATGCTATCAGAGTCTGAGGATCAAGAGGCCAGTAAACAAGCATATTGTAAAAATGTCTATATAAAGAACACTTTTAATCTTCGATTCATATATTTTATTGGTACATACTAAGGTTATCTCTTCCCCATCTTCTGGCAGGAAATCGCTGGCTCAAAGGTAGTAGGTGTGAGGTGTGGGAATGAAAAGAAGCTAGTCCTAAGACAGGAAAACTGAAAGTTAAGTAAAAGGCTCTTTTCTCAACTGTGAAACTGCAGGTACTCACTGCTGAGCTCCAGATATAAACATCCGGTCTGCTAATCTACAGGCAACAGGCAGGATGATCCTCCATGAAGTAAATGAGAATCCCAGAATTAAAGCCTAAGCATTCTGATATGGGAGGTTCTCTAGTGAAAAATCTTAAAGCTACCTGTTCATCCTATACAAGCTTACCAGGGGCAAGCTCCATCCATGCACAGATTGCTTTCCACTGCCTCACCTGTGAACATGAGTGAACGAAGATTTCCATATTCATAAGGGAAGCTTGCAACGCAAGGTGTAGAAACCCTAACATTTTTACAAAAGGAATGTTAAATGATAGAGATAGACATGCACTATTTCACTAACAGGTTTCAAAAAGAGCAAACAAAAAATTTTCATAGGGAAGGATATTACCTTATTAACTTTTTTTTCCTAAAGTGAAAGGTTATAAGGTTTTGAGGAGAAACAGTATAGCAGAAATAAACAATTTTCATTTTGTTAAATTTTAGAACATGAAGATGAAATAATATTTTAAAATTTTCTAAAGCAGAAAAAATTTACTGAAATTTGAGAATTAAAAGAACATCTGAGATCACAGTAACAGCACTGGAAGACAAGAAATAGGAAAAAAATGCCTTGTAAGATAAAATAGCTTACTTTTAAGGTAAAATAGCTCCTGAACTAGACTTCTAATCCAGGAAACTGGCATTCAAGTATAAGGGTAGAAGAGATATATTCTAGACATGAAAAGTTCAAAAAATAAATGTAGCTCTCATTACTCCTCTCTCAGAAAACTTCTGGGTATGTATTTCAACAAAACAAATAAATAAATGAAGAAAAGTTTAATCAGATATTGGAAAAAGACGATACTCAACACCTGAAAGAAGTGAAGGTAATTCCAAGGATGACAACTAGATAACAAATCTACAGAGCAATCTGAGAGGGCTCCAAAATTCCAGGAAAGCCTGGGGAAAAAAGAAATGTCAACAAATAGGTTATTTGACGAATATGGTCTTATGAAGAAGTATACTACCCAAGCATTTTACAGTATGTATAAATTGTGAGATGGCTATGTCAAAGATTCCAAAAAAGCATGTTTTTAAAAAACTAGTCAATTATTGCCCCAGGGAAAAACAAAATATATTTAAAAAATAGAGTGGACCAATGGTATGTAACCTAGAGTATCAGTTGGTAATATCTTATAATAAAAGCCAGAAAAAAGTCAAAACACTGACTTTACCAAAAATAGAAGAGAACTATGTATCCAAAATGTATGGCAAAGTATGCATCCAAAATGGTTAAATATCCAGAATCTATAAGGAACTTAGGCAATTCAACAATTAAAAAAAAACCCAAAACATTAAGAAGTAGGCAAAAGACACGAACATTTTTTTAAAGACATACAGGCAGCCAAGAAACATATAAAAGATGTTCACTATCCCTAATCATTAGAAAGATGCAAATCAAAATCACAATGGGATACCATCTCACACCAGTCATAATGGCTATTAGTAAAAAGTCAAAAAATAATAGATGGTGGTGAAGCTGCGGAGAAAAGGGGACACTTATACACTGTTAATGGAAATGTGAATCAGTTCAGCCACTGTGGAAAGCAGTTTGGAGATTTCTCAAAGAACTTAAAATAGAAAAACCATTTGACCCAGCAATCTCACTACTGGGTATATATCCAAAGGAAAATAAATCATTTTACAAAAAAGACACACGCACTCCTGTGTTCATTGCAGCACTATTCACAGTAGAAGACATGGAATCAACCTAGATGATCATCAACAGTGAACTACATAAAGAAAATGTAGTACATGTACACCATGGAATACTATACAGCCATAAAATAGAATCATATCATATCCTTTGCAGCAACATAGATGCAACTGGAGGCCATTATCCTAAGCAAACTAACACAAGAACAGAAAACCAACTACTACATGTTCTCACTTATAAGTGGGAGCTAAACATGGAGGGAAACATTAGAGACTGGGGCCTAGTTGAGGGTGAAGGGTGAGAGGAAAGTGAGGGTCAAAAAGTTACCTATCAGGTCCTATGCTCACTACCTGGGTGAAATTCTCTTTATTTGTTTACTAAACTCCTGCAACATGCAATTTACTCATGTAACAAACCTGCCCGTGGACCCTGTAAATCTTGAAATAAAAGTTGGAAAGAAAACAAAAAACACAGTGTTATTTATTCAAATTTGTAGTATAGCAATTTGGGGAATAGGGGCTGAGTGTAGTGGTGGTTGGATAGTGCTGAGATGATATCTAAAATACTGAGACAAGAGATAGAAAAATGCTAATATTAGAAATATGAAATAAAACACACTGGATATCTCTAGAAGACATTCAAGTAGTTTGCTCCGAACAGAAAAAAATTGGTAAAACTATGTGGTGTACTGCTGACCAGGAATTGTTGGGTTTGTGAAAGGAAATTCCTGGTGAGCTGTTAAAACTTCACCACGGCAACGCTAATTGATAGCTTATCTTTACAGGTGCAGTTACCCCCGCCTGCCAGACAAATGCATATCAGATTGTGCCCCTACCCCATTTTGTATGTATTATATTACGTAAAATGCAGATTCTGGCTGGGCGCAGTGGCTCACGTCGGTAATCCCAGTACTTTGGGAGGCTGAGGTGGACAGATCACGAGGTCACGAGATCGAGACCTGCCTGACCAACATGGTGAAACCCTATCTCTACTAAAAATACAAAAATTAGCTGGGCGTGGTGGCGAGTGCCTGTAATCACAGCTACTCAGGAGGCTGAGGCAGGAGAATTGCTTGAACCCGGGAAGCGGAGGTTGCAGTGAGCCGAGATCACGCCCCTGCACTCCAGCCTGGTGACTGAGAATCCGTCTCAAAAAAAAAAATAAAGCAGATTCCCCACATTTTTCATTTGCTCCTTTTGTTTAAGTAAAAACTGTGTGCTTGTCAATATCCTGCCCTTTCCCCTTTACATTTGGAGCGCTCAAAATCATCTTCAGAGAAAGGCATAGACCTGTCTCCCAGGCACATCCTTAACTTTGGCAAGTAAGTCTCCAAAAATAATTAAGACTTGTCTCATCATTTTCTTCAATTGACAGGTTTATATTTTTACAAGCTGTTAACACATTTTTCACACTATGTATGTATAGTAAATAGGTAAAATAATATTTTAAGTTAACAGCAAAATACTGACCAATTATTTTTAAAATAATCTTTTAAATTTAAGTTAACCAAAACAGCCTATAGTAACAGCTCACAGAAATATCATATTTGCTCTCCTCTTCCTTCCTACTAAAATACAAATAAAATCAGAGAAAAATCAGCAATGCACTGACAAAAGCCTTGGAAATCAAGGGTCCATAATTCATTAATATTTGAAATGAATAACTTACACATGAGAGGAACCAAATTTAAGTATCTCTAGTGGTACACACACACATAGATCATAGAAACACAAGAGGGAAAGAAAATCACTTAAGATGTTCAAAAATAACCCCAATGTTAGAGTCAGTGTCTATGTGTGCAAACCAAGCTTTTCTTTACACTTATCAGTACACAAGGTAAATATCCAGTATTATGTACAGGATTGTATAAGGAATGTCAAGGGCAGTAGAGATAAAAAGAAATCTTGAAAGAGTACATACACTACAAGGATTACTGGGGATTAAGTTTTTAAATAAATGTTTCAGGGCAAAAGGAAAGTTCTGAATATTCCCAAAGTACTTAGAAGTTTACCTTTCATACACAGAAAATTAACAGTGGATTCTCTATTTCAGTTTATCAGAGCCATAGAAAATTATCACTTAGAATTTTGACTAAGGTGTGCACATATTCTTGTATTTCATCTTAATATCTGAAAGCATATGTTGAAAATAGCTGTAGGTAAAGCATGAGTTATTTGAGGGGGGTGTGCAAAGAAGATGAATAAAAATAATAGGAAAGGCACAAATTCGGACTCTATTAGACTCTATTCATTTTAGATAGGAATACTGACAGGAATAAGCAACAATGACAAACATATACAAGCTTGTACATATGAAAAGATTTTGAAGTGTATGAGAACGATTACTCCTAGGATGCATAGAAAATGAATTTCAGCAAAAAAATACACCACAGTAGAACTTTACAGTGGATCTATTTATGTTGTCATTCATTCATACAACAAATCTTGCGAGTATGTATTGTGTTTTTGGCATGATTCCCAGAGAGGAAACTATAGTAGTGACCAAAATAGACAAAAGTATCCATGCCTTCATGGAACACGCTTTCAAGTGTTTTAGATGGACAATAATCAAGATATATAAGAAAAGTGTATAGTACATTAAACAGTGATAAATGCTAAGGAGATTATAGAAACAGAATAGAAAAACATGAAATGCCATACCTTGGCAGTTTGGGGATTTTAGGTCGGGTTACCAGGAAAGACTCCACTGAGCTGCTGACTTCTAGGTAGATGCCCTGTCCGGAATTGGTGGGTTCTTGGTCTCACTGACTAAAAGAATGAAGCCGCAGACTCTCGCAGTGAGTGTTACAGTTCCTAAAAGCAGGATGTCCAGAGTTTGTTCCTTCTGATGTTCCAATGTGTTCGCAGTTTCTTCCTTCTGGTGGGTTCGTGGTCTCGCTGGCTCATAAGTGTTACAGCTCATAAACTCAGTGTGGACCCAAAGAGTGAGCAACAGCAAGATTTATCACAAAGAACAAAAGAACAAACCTTCCACATTGAAGAAGAGGATGGCAGAGGGTTGCTAGTGCTGGCTCAGGCAGCCTGCTTTTATTCTCTTATCTGGCCCCACCCACATCCTGCTAATTGGTCCATTTTACAGAAAGGCGATTGGTCTGTTTTACAGAGAGCTGATTGGTCCGTTTTGACAGGGTGCTGATTGGTGTGTTTACAATCCCTGAGCTAGACACAAAAGTACACCACTTCCCCACTAGATTAGCTAGATACAGAGTGTGGACACAAAGGTTCTCCAAGTCCCCACCAGAATAGCTAGATACAGAGTGTCAATTGGTGCATTCACAAACTCTGAGCTAGACACAGGGTGCTGATTGGTGTGTTTACAAACCTTGAGCTAGATACAGAGTGCGGATTGGTGTATTTACAATCCCTTAGCTAGACATAAAGGTTCTCCAAGTCCCCACCAGACTCAGGAGCCCAGTTGGCTTCACCCAGTGGATCCCATACTGGGGCCACAGGTGGAGCTGCCTGCCAGTCCTGCGCTGTGCGCCGGCACTACTCAGCCCTTGGGTGGTCAATGGGACTGGGTGCCGTGGAGCAGGGGGTGGTGCTTGTTGGGGAGGCTCAGGCCGCGTGGGAGCCCACGGCAGCGGGGGGAGACACAGGCATAGCATGCTGCAGGTCCCAAGCCCTGCCCCGCCGGGAGGCAGGTAAGGCCCGGCGAGATGTTGAGCACAGCAGCTGCTGGCCCAGGTGCTAAGCCCCTCACTGCCTGGGGCTGGCGGTCGGCGGGCAGGCCTCTCCAAGTGCCGGGCCGCCGATCCCAAGCCCACCCGGAACTCGTGCTGGCCTGCAAGCACCACGCGCAGCCCTAGTTCCCACTGGCGCCTCTCCCTCCACACCTCCCTGCAAGCTGAGGGAGCCGGCTTCGGCCTTGGCCAGCCTGGAAAGGGACTCCCACAGCGCAGTGGCGGGCTGAAGGGCTCCTCAAGCGCAGCCAGAGTGGGTGCCAAGGCCAAGGAGGCGCCGAGAGCGAGCGAGGGCTGTGAGGGCTGCCAGCACGCTGTCACCTCTCAATGCCACTCTTGTAGATGTCTAAAAGTGAAACTTTCCAGGTTGAGAAAATAGTAAGTGCAAAGGTCTTGCGGAAGGAAGTGGTGACTGGCCTGTTTCAGGCACAGCAAGGAGACCAGGGTGATGGGGCAGGTGCAGAGGGAGAGGGCAGCAGATGAAGGGAATCACAGAGGTGGCTGGGAGGCAGATCACACAAAGCTTTGCGAGTCATGAAAAATACTTGGTCTTTATTTTCCATAAGGTAATAACCTTTAGGAGGGCTTACTGAGATTTCTATTTTAATGGGATTATTCTATCATCTGTGTTGAGACTAGACTTTACTGAGGCAAAGTAAGTAACAAGGAAGCAAATTTTGATACTGTTGTGATATATTCCAGATGAAAGAACTCTGGGCCAAAGTCCTGGTAGTGGAGTGGTGAAACGTCGGGATATATTTTGAAGATTGAGGCAAAAATAAAATTGTTGATGGAATGAATATGAGGTAATGGATAAACTAAAAAAAAAATCAAAGAGTGTGCCCTGGACAACTAGAAGACTGGAACTGCCGTTTACTGACTAGTAAAGGATTTTGACAGGAGCTGGTTCAGAGGAATATCAGTATCAGTATCTAAGATTTAGGTGCTTTAATTTCAAGATGCCAGTTAGATGAAGATCCAAGAAGACCTGTCAATAGACATTAAATATATAAATCTGGAACTTGGGGAAGGGATCTAGTGCTGGCTGTTGAGTGAATGAAAATAGTAAAATGTATGAGTGCTGTAAGTAAAATATATGAGTTATGTGAACTATATAATAATATATATATAGAGAAAAATTCCTGACTAATATATACACCAAAATAGTGAGAGTTACAAGAAGTTAATAAATTATGCAGACAACCTGTTTTTTTTTTTTTTTGAGACGGAGTCTCACTCTGTCACCCATGCTGGAGTGCAGTAGTGTGACCTCAGCTCACTGCAATCTCCACCTCTCAGGTACAAGTGATTCTCCTGCCTCAGCCTCCGGAGTAGCTGGGACTACAGGCACACACCACCACGTCCAGCTAATTTTTTGTATTTTTAGTAGAGACGGGGTTTCGCCATGTTCATCAGGCTGCTCTCAAACTCCTGACCTCAGATAATCTGCTGGGATTACAGGCTTGAGCCACCGCGCCTGGCCCAACCTGATTTTTTTTTTTTTTTTTTTTTTTTTTTTTTTTTTTTTTTTTTTTTTTTTTAGTCAGGGCTGGAGTGCAGTGGCTCACTGCAGCCTCAACCTCCTAAGGTCAAGCAATCATCTCACCTCAGCTTCCCTAGTAGCTGGGATAACAGGTGTGAGCCAACATGCCTGGCTAATTTTTTTTTTTAATGGGGTCTCACTATGTTGCACATGCTGGTCTCCAACTCCTGGCCTCAAATGATCCTCCTGCCTCAGCCTACCAAAGTGCTGGGATTACGGGCATGAGCCACCATGCCTGGCCCACCTGATATTTTTAAGTGGTTAACAATTTCTTTTTTAGTTTTTATTTCAGATTCAGGAGTACAGGTGCAGGTTTGTCATATAGGTAAATTGTTTGTTACAGAGGTTGGTGTACAGATTATTTCATCATGCAGGTCACAAGCATAATACCCAAAAGGTAGTTTTTGAATCCTCTCCCGCTTTCTACCCACCAACCTCGAGTAGACCCTGGTGTCTGTTGTCTCTCTCTTTGTGTCCATGTGTTCTCATCATTTATCTCCCACTTGTAAGTTATGAAGTGCAGTATTTGGTTTTCTTTACCTATGTTACTTTGCTTAGGATAATGGCATCCAGCTACATTCATGTTGCTGCAGAGAACATCATCTCATTCTTTTTTATTGCTGCTTAGTATTGTGTGGTGTATATGTACCACATTTTCTTTATCCAGTCTACCATTGATGGGCATTTGCTATTGTGAATAGTGCTAAGATGAACAAACACATGCATATTTTTTATGGTAAGATGGTTTATATTCCTTTGATTACATATTCCATAATTAGATTGTTTATCAAATGGTAATTCTGTTTCAAGTTCTTTGAGGAATCACCACACTGCTTTATACAATGGCTGAACTCATTGGCATTTCCACCAGCAGAGTATAAGCATTCTCTTTTCTCTGCAACCTCACCAACATTGGTTATTTTTGACTTTTTAATAATAGCCATTCTGACTGGTGTGAGATGGTATCTCACTGTGGGTTTGATTTTCATTTCTCTAGTGATCAGTGACATTGGGCTTTTTTTCATATGCTTTTTGGCTACATGTATGTATTCTTTTGAAAAGTGTCTGCTCGTGTTGTTTGCCCACTTTTTAATGGGTTGTTTTTGCTCCTTAATTTATTTAAGTTCTTTATAGATGCTGGGTATTAGACCTTTGACAGATGCATAGTTTACAAATATTTTCTCACAATCTGTAGGCTGTTTATTTACACTGTTGAGAGTTTCTTTTCCTCTATAAAAACTCTTTAGTTTAATTAGGTCCCACTTGTCTGTTTTTGTTTTTGTTGCAATTGCTTTTGTCACCTTCATTATGAAATTTTTTGCCAGATCCTATATCCAGATTGGTATTTCCTAGGTTATCTTTCAGGGTTTTTATGGTTTTAGGTTTTACACTTTAATGCTTCTTGAGTTGACTATTGAATATGGAGAAAGGAAGGGGTCCAGTTTCAATCTTCTGCATATGGCTCGCCAGTTATCTCAGTATCATTTATTGAATAGACATTCCTTTTTTCATTGCTTATTATTGTTGACTCTGTTGAAGATCAGATGATTGCAGGAGTGCGACATTATTTCTGGGCTCTTTATTTTCTTTCATTGGTCATTGTGTCTGTTTTTTTACCAGTATTATGTTGTTTTAGTTACAGTAGCTTTCTGGTATAGTTTGAAGTTGGGTAATGTGATGCCTCCAGCTTCGTTCTCTTGCTTAGGATTCCTTGGTTATTTGGGCTCTGTTTTGGTTCCATATGAATTTTACAATCATTTTTTTCTAATTCTGTGAAGAATATCATAGTTTAATAGGAATAACGTTGAATTTGTAAATTGCCTTTAGCGGTATCACCTAAATGGTTAATATTTTCAATGAGTACTTTACAAAAAAAGGATATTCAAAACATCAAACAAGAAATGTAGACAACATCAATAGTTATCAAAGACATTAAAACTGCAATGTTATAGCAATAACGATCCACTAAAATAGCTGAAATTTAAAAAGCTGACAATACCAAGCACGGTGAGAATGTGAAGCAACTGAAAACATCATACACTGATAATGGGAATGTAAAATGATGCATCACACACAGCCATTCTAGAAAACTATTTGTTATTATGCAACAGATTGAATATTTAATAGCCAAGTAATTTCCCTTTCAAGTATATACCCAACTGAACTGAGTACATGTGTGGACAAAAAGCATACACAAGAATATTTATAGCAGCATTGTTTTTAATAGTCTAAAACTATAAAGAAGCCAATTGTTCATTTATAGTAAAATAGATAAATAATGGATGTGATGTGCGTAAGATGGAATACCATATAACTGAATATCTTCAAGCTATTACCAGATATAATAAATAACACTGGTCAATCTCACAAATATAATTCTGTGTGAAATAATTCAGACACAAATGAAAATATAGTGTATGATTCCATTTACATGAAAACTAAAAACTTGAAAAATTAATATATAGCATTAGAAATCAAGAGAGGGTTTACCTCTGGGGACAAGGAAGAGGTAGCTATTAGGATAAGCCATGAAGGAGGCTGCTAGGGTGCTGAATAATGGTCTATTGTTTGGCCATTGTCGTATGGTATGTTCATTGTGTGAGAATTTGTTGACTGTACTTGTAGGTACGTGCTTCTTTCTCTATGTATATTATACTTCTATAAAAATGTTTATTTTAAAACATGTCAGAGGCACTTGAAAAAAATACAGACTAGATAGAAAAATGTGATTCCTGAGACTGGAAACTGAAAATTTAAACAGCTGACTATTCCCACTTAAAGAGAGAAACTTAGAACCAGAGAACAGATAAGAAGATGTGTGGTACAGTCAGACAAACAGATGCAAAAAGTCAGTTTGGTAAAAAACAAAACTGTAAAAAGAGGAAATCTGCTTATCTTTATGGATCACAGAGGGAGAAAACAGAGATTGGAAGAGAAAAATATTCCAAGAAACAACAGTTGAGAGTTTTCCAAAATGGATGAAAATACAATGCTCAGATTCAGACAGCACAACAAATCTCATGCATTATAAATAAAAAGAAATCCTTATCTGCAGACATCATAGTCAAATTGCAGAACATCAGAAATAGAGACAATCTTTAAAGGCATGCAGAAAAGAGAGACAAATTGCTCACAGAGTAGGGACATCAAATTGAGAGTAACAACAAACATCAGAACAGAGTTAAATAATATCTTTAAAAGAGGAGCAAAATAGCTGTCTAATGAAAATTCTACACCAAATGAAAACTATCTTTCAAAAATTAGTTTAAGAAAAAATATAGAAGGGACTGGCTGACAGCACCTTAATCTATAATCAATCTTAGCACCAGTATGGTACAGCTATTAGACGTTATGTGTTTCCTGAAATGAAGAATGATAAACTATACAATATAACCTATAATGTATTCAGAATTGAATTTATCAAGGCTTTATTTCTAAAAGTGTATAGAAAATAATGGAGAGTAAAGAATAAAGCAAATAATACCAAATAATATTAATAATAAATAATAGTTTATATATTTACATATTTATTATATTTCAAAGTTATTTTATTTCTGAATTAGAAAAAGTAGTCCTTTTTTCCCCTGATTCCATAAAATCATAAATATCATATTCACTTAGGAAAAAATTTCAGAAATAAAGAATAAAATTTCAGGTACCAACTAATTTGCAGTGACACTCACTTTTGTACATAGCTAAATTGAGTTGTTGTTATTACACAGATGAGTTTCTATTTTTAGAGAGCTGGTGTATCAAGCTTGTGCCTTAAGTAAATGTGTGGTACTAAGTAAAATTTGGTGCCTAGAGCAGGTGCAGGCTGTCTCATAGTTAGAGACACAGAGACAAGTATATTCTCTGTGTCCTGAAATGAAGGCCTAAGAAATGTATGGAACTAACCTTCTAAAGAAACACACACCAGGATAAGATGTACTAAATGGAAGCGAGGCAAGACAATGGTAGATTATGTCCAAGTCTGGGTTAGATGGGAGTTATCTCCTTGGTAAGATTATCCAATTGAATAGAAGAAAGTAGGTATTGTTTGATTGAACCATGGGCATTTTTGAGAGACTCAGAATTTCCTAAGGCTATATCTCAAGCTCTGAAAGACTTTCAGACAAAAAGTAGATGGATGTGTGAGAAAAACTAATATCTGGTCTAGAGGACAAAGAAAAGGTAAAGAAGGCACTTAAATGCAGCAAATAGTACTAACCCCTGTGGAGGAAAAAGGATAATTAATTTAAGAATTTTGTTAATTCTTAGAAATGCAGCTAAGCCCTCCTGAAATGACATTTAGAATAGCACAGGTAAATAAAATACCAGAGGCACTGCTCACTTGAGCAAAAAAGGATTCATATAGTACCCTGTGGCTGGAGGCTTAGTGGAGCACATTGAAAAGGAGATCAGGCTATAGGAGCTCTTTTTTGGTTCCATATGAATTTTAAAATAGTTTCTTCTAATTCTGTCAGGAATGTCAATGATAGTTTAATAAGAATTGCATTGAATATACAAATTACTTTGGGCACTATGGCCATTTTCACAATATTGATTCCTCCTGTCCATAAGCATGGAATGTTTTTCCATTTGTTTGTGTCCTCTCTGATTTCCTTGAGTAGTGGTTTGTAGTTCTCAAGACAATCCTAAGCAAAAAGAACAAAGCTGGAGTCATTACTCTTTTGAACTTCAAACTATACTACAAGGCTAAAATAACCAACACAGCATGGTACTAGTACAGAAACAGACTCATAAACCAATGGAACAGAATAGAGAACTCAGAAATAAGACTGCACATCTACAATCATATGATCTTTGACAAATCTGACAAAAACAAGCAATGGAGAAAGGATTCCCTATTTAATAAATGGTGCTGGGAGAACTGGCTAGCCATATGCAGAAAATTGAAACTGGACCCCTTTCTTAAACATAACTCAAGATGGATTAAAGACTTAAATGTAAAACCCAAAACTATAAAAACCCTAGAAGAAAATCTAGGCAATACCATTCAGGACATAGGCATTGGCAAACATTTCTTGAAGAAATCGCCAAAAACAATTGCAACAAGGATCTAATCAAACTAAAGAGCTTCTGCACAGCAAAAGAAACTATCATCAGAGCAAACAGGCAACCTACAGATTGGGAGAAAATTTTTGCAATCTTTCTATCTGACACAGGTCTAATATCCAGAATTTACAAGGAACTTAAACCAATTTACAAGATAAAAACAAACAACCCCATTAAAAAGTGGGCAAAGGACACAAACAGACACTTCTCAAAAGAAGACATTCAAGTGGCTAACAAACATATGAAAAAAAGCTCAACATAACTGATCATTAGAGTAATGCAAGTAAATATTACAATGAGATACCATCTAATGCCAGTCAAAATGGTGATTATTAAAAAGTCAAGAAACAACAGATGCTAGCCAGGTTGCCGAGAAATAGGAATGTTTTTACACTGTTGAGGGGAATGTAAATTAGCTCAATCATTATGGAAGATGATGTGGCAATTCCTCAAAGAGGTAGAACCAGAAATACCATTTAACCCGGCAATCCCATTACTGAGTATATATCCAAAGGAATATAAACCATAGTATTACAAAGACACATGTATGTGTATGTTCATTGAAGCACTATTTACAATATCAAAGACATGGAATCAATCCAAATGCCCATCAATGATAGACTGGATAAAGAAAAGTGGTACATATAAATCATGGAATACTATGCAACCATAAAAAGGAATAAGAGCATGTCTTTGCAGAGACATGGTTGAAGATGGAAGCCATTATCCTCAGCAAATTAACACAGGAACAGAAAACCAAACACTGCATTCTCACTTATAAGTGAAAGCTGAACAATGAGAACACATGGACACGAGGGGAACAACACACACTGGGGCCTGTTGGGAGGTGGTGTTGCAAAAGGGAGAGCATCAGGAAAAATAGCTAATGCATGCTGGGCTTCATACCTAGGTGATAGGTTGATAGGTGCAGCAAACCACCATGGCACACATTTACCTGTGTAACAAACCTGCACATCCTGCACTTCTACCCTGGAAATTAGAAATAAAATTAAAATTAAAAGAAAATGAAAAAGGGATCAATGCTTACCAGGCACCTCAGGGTCCAACCTTTGGAAGCGTCACAGCAGCTTTGCACAGGGTGACTGCTTGGCTGAAGCTAAAAGGGAATGTGAGAGAAAACTTTCCCAGGAGGAAAATTTCACAGGTACAGAAAATTCTATAGCAAGGGCAATAGAAACAATTTCTGTCACAGGGCTAAAAATGTCTGCTCACCAGAAATAGTGAAAGCTATGTCACTAGCCAGTAGCCCACCTATATATAATCTGAGGGAACCAGAAATATGGGACACAAAGAGAAAGTAGCAAGGAGGATGCTTTGAATACACTAGAAGGAAAATAAAGAAACTTTGTATTAGACTAGGGTTGACATGACTGCAAGTTTCTTAAATGGGCAATGAAGCTTCTTTAAGCCCCAATTCTTAAATGCATTATCTGTGAAATGAGAGAAGATGAATGCCTGTCTTTGCTCCTCACATTGGTAAATGTGTATTTTCAAAAGTAATATTTTGCTGAGTGATTTCTCTAAGTTTATGCATCCAAAATTAACTGACTTGTGTAGTTTACACTTTAATAGCATTAAAGGTCTTCTAAAACTTTAGTATTTAGTTCCTTAAATTCTTCTCCTTAAATAATCTTGAACCCCACTGTATTTCATTCTGTCACTCTCAGAGCCATCACATGAATCATGTAATCACTAATAACTTGAATTCTTTTCTATTACTAATTTTATCAATTTTCTTTTCTTACCACCACTTTCATTCTATGTTACCCAGCTTAATTCCAATGTTTTAGCCTCATAATCATTCCTTGGCCTTTGCCCTCAGCTCCCTTATCCTGATTTTACTTACTTGTACTTCCTTGGCAAAATCACAATCCTGGGTATGACTAAATCCCTCTCCAATTTGCTACTGCACCTATGCAGCTAAACATAACCAGAGTAAAGACACAGTCATCTTGACTAACCTCCTCTGAAATTTATAAATTTTAGAATATAAAGTGCATAATATTTATAATTATACCAGGAAAATTGGTGTAAATTAAGACTGTCTCTGGAAAAACCATGGTATATGGTCACCCTAACTTTCAACAAACAAACAAAAAACCATAATGATACATACATATTCTAGAATATCAAGAGACTCTTGAAGTAACAAAAATAAAGACAAAATTGGATAAATTTAAGATACTTCTTCATCAAAAGACACCAATAAATGCAAATTGTGGAGTTGGAAAATATGTTTGCAACATTTTGAATGAATAATTTTTTTCTGTCCAGAATATATTAGAACTCCTACAGATTAAAAAGTAAAAAACAGGTTTTCTAATATTAAAATGGGCATGAAACCTCAAAGTAATTCACAAAAGCATATACTGATAGAAAGTAAAAATATACAATATTGTTAAACTTCATGTAAAAAACATGCACATGTTTCTCTTCAATCAAAGATAAAAGTTGAAATTTTTTAAAATTTGTTTAACTTCATTGGAAAATAATAAGGAAATTCTAATTAAGCCTACAATAATATGCCTCCGTCAACAACAAAATAAGCTTAAAAATTAAAAGACAGATAACATCAAGTGTTGGTGAAGATGTGGAGCTTGAGAACTCTCATTTATTTCTGGTCAAAGTGTGAATTGAAACAACCACTTTAGGGAATGATTCACCATTATCTTCAATTATGGTATCTTCAATTTAGCAAGTGTCACATATCCTATGAACAACACATGCCATGAACAGTAGAATGAATAGATAAATTGTGCTATATTTTAAAATGCATAAAATACAACTTATGCAGTACAATGAATTAATCTCACACACATAATATTGAACAGAAATCAGAAAGAGAACATATAATATATGATTCTACTTGGCTGATGGCAGAAATATACCATGGTATTATAAAACATAATAAGTGGATAAAGGAGAGTAAGGAATTGATTAGAAAAAAAGTTCTAGATTGTAGAAAGGAAGGAGGAGTTGGTGATTGCAAATGTTTTTTAATAGGTTAGGGATGCTGGCAATATTCTATGTCTTGATGTGGGAAGTGGTTATAATAGTGACTCATTAAGTTATGAATTTTTGGTTTGTGCATCTGATGAATCTGTGTTATATGTCAAAATAAAAATTTATTTTTAAAAGTTTGTATTACTTTTTAGGGGCATGCCTTTAATATTAATCAATTTTCATTATATATACATGCAATTCTTTAAGCAATTACTTAGAAAAGTACAAAATCATGAGTTTACTTATTTTCTAATCTTGAAAAATGAAATCAAATTGTCATAATGTGGACCACAACATCTTTTAAGATTTTTTTTGGTGATGCAATTTTCTCTTACATCAAAGAAGCAGGTTTGTGTTTTTAGAATGATACAGGGCAATACAGAGATAGAGTGAAGGACTATACCTAGACCTGCTCCAAGATGTTCTATTCTTTTTCACTTTTAGTCACCCAATTCTCTAAATAGTTGGAAGAAATAAAAACCTCAAGATCTTCACCTAAAACTCTCATCAAAATGTCATTACCATCTACTATTTTTTTAAGCAGACTCCTCCTGTGTAATCGATGACAAACAATGATAGCATCTAATTGGAGATTATTCGTAGGTAAAATGTATTTAGCTGCAAATGATTAGGAAAAAATGAGATCACATATCTATCCACAACTCTCCTTACAGGATAACAGGAGTGATAAGAAAGCAAATAGAAAGGCAGCTAACAGTAGGCTAAGAAGCATTTATAGGTTCTCGAGAACTTTGTTTACTGAGTTATAGTAATCCATAAATAGTTATACAATTGTTTGTTTACTTTGTTCTATTAGAAATATTTGCTCTTATTTTGGTCATGAATAATAAAGCCCTGAAAATTACTCATTTGGCATTTTGGATTGCAATGACTCTCAGAAGAAGTAACAAATATGACTTCAATCAAGTTTAAAGGAAAACAAAAAAACTAGATCTGAGTATTCACTTTTATTAAAAAGGCAGAAAGAATTAAGTACCAGTATATGAATAGTCCAAGTGAATATGGTATAAGTTGTAAACATTTCTGAAAAGTTTTTATTAAGTCTTTTTTTCCTACATGGAAAACATTGATATTCAAAATACTGAATTACATTCAAAGCTCCTTGGTAGTTTTGGAGCATTTTTGCCATGTGCAAATTGGGGCATTGTTTATTCCAATTTGCACATGGCAAAAATGCCTGCATGAAGAGATTTAAGCCTTATAATAGACATAAAATCACAGATAGAAGCAGGAATTATATTCTAGTTAGCAAAAATATTTATTAATTGACCTCTTGATTATGCTGGGTTTCTCTTGAACTTGAATATGGTGAATCTTGAGTGCCTTTTTGAACCTAAATCTTAAGAGAGAAGTTATATTTCTTACTGTGACTTAGACATACGCTTTGTTTTTCTATTTATTTAAGCAACATGTGACACTAACAATATAGTGTAAGAAGTTCTCTCCATATAGAAGGGTTATTGAACATTTTTCTATTCTGTTGACTCTCAAGCACGTATTACAACCCCGTCTAAGATGGTTCTCTAATTGGAAAGGGGAATTCTAGATGTCTTGTCCACTCACTGTTTTTTTTTTTTTTTTTTGAGACATGGTCTTGCTCAGTCATCTAGCCTGGAGTGCAGTGGCGCGATATTGGCTCACTGCAACCTCCGCCTCCCAGGTTCAAGCGATTCTCCCACCTCAGCCTTCTGAGTAGCTGGGATTACAGGAGTGAGCCACCATGCCCGGCAAATTTTTGTATTTTTTTTTTTTTTTTAGTAGAGACGGGTTTTCACCATGTTGGCCAGGCTGGTCTCGAACTCCTGACCTCAGCTGATCCACCCGCCCAAAATGCTGGGATTACAGGCGTGAGCCACTGTGCCCGGCCCTTGTCCACTCACTTAACTGGCCAGTCTCCAAGGTCTGCCAATGTCAATGACAATTAGTGCCAGTCTTCACATTACTGAGAGATGTGGTAAGTTGGTAGAAATCAGATAACAGTTTTTGCAATATAAAATGTCACATTTCAGTTACATATCTTACCCGATAATTTTCATATAGTTCTATTTGTTTACAATCAGACAACCTAAAAGAAGGCTTTATATCAAAGAATGAAGTAAAATAAAAATTATAAAAATTATATATATAGTTTATTTTGTATATATATATATGTATATCTCCAAACAGCTGAGGTGACAGTAACAGTAAAATAGAATCAAACAAAGCAGAAGTTACACACAATTTTTTAGCAAATATCTCATCATTTACTGACCAAGACTAAACATATACATGTGCATGCAAATACACACACACACGAGTTGAAAAAAGCAACATTTGTACACTTGAAATGCCAATTTTACCTCATCTTTTCTGAGTTACTCCCTTTCCTACCTTGAATATATAATACCTATTTCCTGGAGTAGAGAGAATAAGATTTTGCTTTACAAAAATATTTGCTTTATAAAAATATTGCTTTTTTTGGCTTGTGAAAATTTTTTTGCTTTATAAATATATTTGCTTTATAAAAATATTGCTTTATTTTATTTGGTTTGTGAAATTTTTAGCTGCTCAGAACAAACAATGTCTCGTTTTGTGAACGAGGCTTCATTTAAGCACATCAAATTTCCATTCATTTTAATGTAATTTAGTACATGTGTTAATTCACCATATATTTATTGAGGCCAACTAAATGCCAATTTTGAACAAGACTGGGAATGCAAAGATGTCCATGAGATAACTCTTGACCTTGAGGGGCATGTTGTTTAAGATGCAAGTAACAAAACGCCAACTAGGACAGCCTTAAATGAAAATATCATTGATTATTTTACAAAACTAAGATCATCAATATACCTGCATCTGTACCTGCATTTCCTGTTTTCTTGAATCTTACTGTGCATAAACTGCCTATTATCCTTTATAATGTCTTCCATCAAGATACTGATTATTATCTGTTGTTTATTTCTTAAATTGGTTCATCCCCTATATTTTTAATTATTCTTTCTCTAGGATCAACTCTCAACAGTATTCACATATGCTGTATCTATCATTCACTGTCTCAAACATACATTTTTATTTTTCCCATACCACCCTCGGGCTTCTTCCCATTCATTATCCTACTGTTGTAACAGATTTTAAGATGTTGTCTATAGTCTCTGTATAGTTTCTCTTTTCTCCCACTATCTCTTAGGAACATAACCCAGTCAAAATTTTGCCCCCGCCACTCAACTGAAACTGTTTTGGTGATGGTCACTGATAACCTTCACAATGACGAAGCTAATGGTTCCAGGTCCTCAATTTGTTCAATAAATTAGCAATACTTGAGCCAACTAATTACTCTTTCATTCTTTAAGTACTTTTTTTTTATCTTAGCTTCTGAGTCATCATCTTTCTCTTTTGTTTTCTAACTCACTGCTCACTCCTTCCCAGCCTCCTTTGCTGTTCTTCCCCATCTTTCTCAACACTGCAAGCAATGCTGTCCCCCAGGATCAGGCCTCGGGAATATTTTTGTTTTTTTCTTTAGCCAGTACACACTTTTACAGTGACATCATGCGACCACAGGATAATAAACAACACTTTCACATTGGCTACTCTCAAATTTATAGCTCTGACCTGAATGTCCTCCCTATACTTCAGACTCAGATATGTAACTTCCTACATGAAATTTCTACTGGGATTTTTGTTAAATGTCTTCAAATCTATTTAACACACCTAAACCATCAAAAGTTACTCCTCCCACAGTCCTTTCCACATCAATTAACAGCATTTTAAATCTGGATGTTCGGGACAAAAATCTTCATTCTCTGAAACTGACATCCAGTCCAGCAAACCTCATGTGCTTTTCGTGAAAATACATTCCAATATTACACTTCTTAGTTCCTCCATTGTTGCTCCCTGTCCCAAGTAGAAGCCAGCAACAGCTGTCACCTGAACTACTTCAATAGCCTTCCAACTAGTCTCCACGCTCTGTACTTGTTCCCTACAATTTGTTCTACTGATTTTAGTCACAATGATTCCAATAAACCTCAGTTAATTTGTGTCACTTTTTGTTGGTCATAAATGCAATTTTTATATCGTTTGATTTTACTTTTATGCAAGTATTTTGACTTGTGCAACAGATTGAATGAGGGGTCTTAGATCCTAATAAATATGATGAAAGCTTTAATTTTCCGAAGAAGTGCTACCATAATTTCTATGTCCGCCTCCTATTTCTCACTAGATAGCTGATTCTGTTGATACACGTTAAGCCTATTCCATAATATTTCTGACATTCTCTCATTTTCATTTTTTAGATAGTCTTATTAACATTCTTAATATTTGTACTAGTAACTTTAAAACATTTTCATATTTCATTCTTTCTTCTACTTCTCATGGAAAACAGGCTTGAAGTTGTAGTGACCTCTGGTAGAACCTGCCCGGTCACTGTCACCCCTCCGTCTTTACTGCAATGGTGTTACAGGAGATAGAAATACAGAAAAAACAAACAAACATGTTTCTTAGTGAGCTACCCCATGGCTATGTGGCCATCCTTTGCTTACTTGGCTATCTTTCATTTACTCTTTCATCTGAATGATCCTATATATAACAATGGAGAAACAATGTTCTGCTCCTTGGGTGATAGTAATTAATCTGTCAAACACTGACTTTTCTCATTTTTGCTATGTTAAATGATCACAGTGCTGGTTCTCTCAAGGAAGACATTTATTGTTTCTTCACGGGTCCCTAAGGGGACCTCCCCTGACCCATCCCTGTAGTGAGATCCTCCACCTCTTTCTTTTCTCCATTAGTCTTCACCATGCATGATGCCACCAATAGCCTTTTAGGTATGGTATTTCTTTATTCAAAATACTTCTTTAGGGTATTTACATGACACTTTAAGTCTTTAAAACCTTCCTTTATGTCATTGCAGCTCATGGGAACTATATACTATGCCTTCCCAGATGATAGAATTATAAGCTATTTATGCCCCACACCCAAAACTAGCATTCTTTGTTTTCCTTACCCTTTTCTTTACATCTCAACAACAGCAATCGCTCTGATGATTCAGTGGGTCCATAGCATTCAAGCAACAGATGACCATGCACTCTGATTTTGTACTGGTGAAAGGGGAAGGTTCAACTTAACCTACAATATAGTAATGGGCAAGTTTGGGGCTGGGGAGAAGATAAGTTGAATATCCTTCTACCCAATGAGTAGAGTAGAAAAAGAGCAATTCCCTGCTAGTTCCCAGTCCTTCTATAGACTAGCTTTCTCTTTCTTTATATGCCATGATAGAAAAGACAGGAAAATCATTCAGTTGGTTTTTTACTTCTAGAGACACAGAAATTTCAGACCAATAAATAAGCAGTCTAAACTCAAATACACTTCGAAGAATTTAATAATTTCAGTATAAAAAGTTTTCACTTTTGCAGTAACACATGCACGATTTGATAACTTCACTTAACAGGAAGAGGTTTTTAATAGAATGTTACATTATCTATGACTTATATTTATAACTTAGTTAGCTTCCAAGACCATAATTCTTATACTCTTCAACTGTTATTAAAGAAATATCTATATAGGAAATATCTCTATAATAGTAAGTACCAGTGAACTCTTAGAAAATATTTTAAGATTTACTCTGTAATGTGAAATAAAAATGAGAAATTGTATTATAGTTCAAATATTTTCCTCATCATTTCTTGAATCTGTATTGTATTGATTCACTTAGTATGATTAACATAACCAGGCAATTTACAACAAAAAGAGCTAGCAGCCTCCAGATTTGTCAATGGAAAAGAGAACATATATTATTTAGCAGATAAATCTGTTTATCAATTAAAATGTGACTTTAAGGAAAAAAATCTGAGAAGTTGGGAAAAAAACTATAGTATTCAAAATTCAAGTGACTTGTGGAAAACTAAGGAAATGATATGTTTAAAAAATTGATGTACTTTTCTTTAAAAGTTAAGTATTGTTTACACATAACTTATAAATGTTTGTCTTTCATATACTGAATTTGTGCTTGATTCACCACTCACAATGTATTATCAACAATGTTTTTTCACCATCTTAACACAAATGCTGATCCTTACCTCATCAGATATTTGGGATATCAGACAAATTAAATGAAAATGAAAATCGGAAATATATTTCATGTTTTATACCTTTAGTTGTGACACATCTTTTCATCAAACAGAATACATTAAGATGCTTTGGTTAAGAGCTGCATCAGATAGACCACTTCAAATGTAAGAGCCTGTATCCAACTATCTACGAGGCATAATGTCTATAATGTTCATTACTTGTGTGTTTGTCCTTCTGCTAACCAATGACTTTTCCACTTTGAATCCGTGAACCAGCTCCTAGAAGAGTGACCTGTAGAAGATTAAAATGTAATAGATTAAGAAAAATTAAGTTAAAAATTACAGCAATAAAGTATGTAGATTTTAAAAGTCAGATATTGTTGGATATAAACACATCTCTATTTTAAATTGTCCTTTTTTGTTCACATTCTATTACCAATTTATACAACTAGAAAACAAACATGGACAAGAGACCTAAACTAAAAATCCATATTGAAAAGTGCTTCTCTTTATAATTTGCAACTCTAGAACAAAACGTTACTAACAAGAACTCTCCCTGATGACTTCTAGCTGGTGATTTGCCCAGAAACGATTTAAATAGCTTGTCTGTGGAGCCAATAGTGTTGTCGTTACAATAAGATACCTTGCACATCTTTGAAAAACCTATATGCAACAATAAACTCTGAAGCTGAGAAGACTATTCACACTTTCCTGGCATTGGAGCAAGTAAGATGACACTTTACAACCCTGCATTGATCAGTCATTATATGTATGTTATCCTTGAAAAAGGCCATGACCTTGGAAAAGTGGCTCTCTTCAGCAGAGATAGGGTAATCCCTGGAGATGGTTGGCTGTAGAGATGTCTGCTGACAGCACTCTCAACAACTGGAAGCCTTAAATGGGTTTCTGGGTGACACTGCAAAGAGTGCACTACACTATGCATTACAAAAAAATGTTGTAGTAAAACCTCACTGCCAGTGCTAATGTCTCTGGCACAATGTTCGAAAGGAGGGCCAGTGACTCCATGTACTGCTAACTCCTCACATTACTTCTTCCACTTGCAAGTTTATTATGGAGTAATCTATCTCATGAAAATTAAGTAATATACAATTGTATTAGGGTTCTCTAGAGGTACAGAACTAACAGGATATACATATATATATATATGTTTATTAAGTATTAACTCACATGAACACAGGGTCCCACAATAGGCCCTGTGCCAGCTGAAAAGCAAGGAGAGCCATTCTGAGGCCCAAAACTGGAGAACTTGGAGTCTGATATTGTAGGTCAGGAAGCATCCAGCACAGGAGAAAGATGTAGGCTTGTAGACTAAGCCAGTCTAGCCTTTTAAGGTTTTTTTTTTTTGTTTTTTTGTTTTTTTGTTTTTTTTTACTTTTTTGGCCTGCTTTATATTCACTGGCAGCTGACTAGATTGTGCCCACCCAGATTAAGGGTGTGTCTGCCTTCCCCAGCCCACTGACTCAAATATTACTCTCCTTTGGCAGCACCCTCACAGACACATCCAGGATCAATACTTTTCATCCTTCAATCCAATCAAGTTGACACTCAGTATTAACCATCACAGCAAGTCTTCAATTTTAGTTGCCAAATTTCCAGAGACTGGCAAAAAAGAAAAAAGAAAAAAATCCAGAATGTCATTGGCATAAGTAGTAAATTTGAGTAAGTACATTTGGGCCTTTTGAGTATTCAAAAACCCTGTATATTTTTATTTAAATGTCCACACAAGTCATTTTTAAAAATTTTTTGTAGATATGAGATTTCACTGTGGTGCTCAGGCTGATCTCAAACTCCTGGCTTCAGGCAATCCTCCCACCTCCGCCTCCCAAAGTACTGGGATTGTAGACTTGAGCCACCATTCCAAGGTGGTAGCGTAAACTTTTCAGTATTGCTGTTAGCAAGTGAGTGTTTGCCAGTATTTGTCCATTGTACTCATGTGCCAAGTAGATGTTCATTGCACATCTGCTTTCACTGTGTCACCATGGTGCCATGAAGTGTGTGAGGAGCCTCTAATCTGCAAGGATGAATGCTGCATTGACTACAGGATTCTGTTGTGTGGAATGGTCACCTACACAAATTCTATAGGCATAGTAATTTACTTTTTTATATATCAAGTAACTATTTGTAAAACTTATACTCCCAAATTATTACAATGATTACAAATATGTTTTTCCATGTTTCATTGCCTGAATAAAAACTGTTTAGCACTGCTAAAAAAATAAATGTCCACACAATAGCTATAACAAGCTGATCTCGCCTAACGCACTCCTACTATTCCCCATACAAGTGAAAATTTAATCACACTCAACCTCCCTCAAAAAAGCTGATTTGATATTTATTAATTATTTTAATTATTTTCAAGCTTCATTGAGGTATAATTGTTATAATAAAAAATTGAATATGCCTAATGTATACATTTTGATGAGTTTATACAGATGCATCTACCCAAGATGCCATCACAGTAACAATTTCCTCTGTGTGTATGTGTGTGTGTGTGTGTGTGTGTGTGTGTGTGTGTGTGTGATTGGTTGAGTTTGTGGTAAAAGCATTTAACATGAGTTGTATCTTCTTAACTTCTTTTTTGTTGTTGTTGCAATGGAATCTTGCTCTGTCACCCAGGCTGGAGTGCAGTGGCATAATCTCAGCTCACTGCAACCTCTGCCTCCTGGGTTCAAGCAATTCTCCTGCTTCAGCCTCCCGAGTAGCTGGGATTACATGTAGGAGTCACCAAGCCTGGCTAATTTTTGTATTTTTTAGTAGAGACGGGGTTTCGCCATGTTGGCCAGGCTAGTCTCGAACTCCTGACCTCAGGTGATCCACCCACCTTAGCCTCTCAAAATGCTAGAATTACAGGTGTGAGCCACCATGCCAGGCCTTTAACATATTTTAAAATGTACAATATCATATTGTTAACTATTGCTGACTGTCATTCATTTCTCTTCTTAGTCAAAATTTTACTTATGGTTTCTAAAAATTTTCAATTAAGGTATAAAGTCAGCTATTCCTGTAACATAGTAAAAATTTCCTAGTCTAAATTTTCTAAAAAACATATATATTTAGAAAGTATATTTTTTTTCCAGAAAATATGCTGCAGATGGGCAGCCAGTAGTGGCAATAACCAGGTTAGATTGATGAATGGCAATCTGTATTAGGTATGTAACCCATGTTCCTTCTATTATAACCACATAATTTTTAAAGCAAGTGTTTTGTTGGCTGCCACAGAACACGTCATCTTGTCTACCTGACTTTGAATGTCTTCTTTGCAAAGGTATTTTTGCTCAGAATAGGTAGAACTGAAAGACATTATGTTAAGTGAAATGAGCCAGACACAGAAAGACAAACTTCACATGTTCTCACTCATTTGTGGGAGCAAGAAATCAAAACAATTGAACTCGTGGAGATAGAGCGTAGAATGATGGTTACCAGAGGAAGGGAGGGCTAGTCAAGGAGAGGGGAAGAAATAGGAATAGTTATGGATCAGGGATATAGTTAGAATGAATAAGATCTAGTATTTGATAGCACAACAAGGTGACAATCAACAATAATTTATTGCACATTTAAAAATAACTAAAAGAGTATATTTGCAAAGTTTCTAATACAAAGAAATGGTAGATGCTTTAGGTGATGGATACTCCATCTGTCCTGATGTGATTATTACACCTTGTATGCCTGTATCAAAATATCTTATGTACCTCATAAATATATATACTTACAAAGTACCTATAAAAATTAAAGATAAAAATTAAAAACTTACTGACATTCTATGTCCATTTTAAGAAGTTCATTCATGTACTTTTTGATCAAATCTCCTCATTATTCATCCTCCAAGCTTTCCCACCCCACCCCCAAATCCCTGATAATATGTCAAAATCTTTAGCTTCTGGGCAGAATAAGCATGTATCTTTACCTTAAAACACCTATTTTTCCAGTCAATGAAATTTGACCTGCTATTAGATGTTTTCCATACAGGAAAGATTTGTTTTCTCCATTATAGGTAAGCGATCACTGTGTCTTTACAGAGCTGCAGTATTTACCCTCCTATTACTGCTAATACATCACTTAGAGTCATCAGTCAACAAGTTTCACTTAGACATCAGGTCGTAAAAGATTTTCCATGAAACCAAAATAGGAATCATGTGAGAGAAGGCAGTGAAGTTGACATACCAGCATTTAAGACCTCAGAAGGTTTCCAGTAACAGTCTGAAGACATAAATCCATGTGGAGATGAAGTGCTAATATACTTGATTTCATGATTTGGTGGATTGGGAAACCTTGGGTTATATGCTGACCGGGCTCAGGTTGTTTGTACAGAAACACAGAAGGAAACCAGAAATTACCTCTAAAAACGAAGATACTTATTTGCTCAACAAGATTTGGCTTTAGTAAAACATCAAAAACAACAACAACAACAGCAACAAAAACCAATAGCAACAATAAAATCCTAGTTCTTCTTCTGTAGTTAATCTAAGCTTGCCTCAGAATGTGTATATAATTATTTTTACACATACTAAGTTATAACATTAGATCCTCAAGATGAAGTCCCTTTTATGCTTGTACTTCAGCCTTAATCAGCTTGAAATTATTACAGCTTCCAAGCTAGAGTTCACATAGGAAATGGAACAGAGAAAGTTGGTATATATTAACTCCAAAACTAAAAGATAATCAGATTTTGCTTGTTTCATACTCAAAGAAGATACAAGATGTAGAATATATCTTTTACTCTGAAGAAACACTCAGAAAGTAATTTAGATGGCAGGAGTCTGAATTTTCAGTTGGTTTATCTCCCTCTCTCAGTCACCAAAGTAACTTACCAAGGAATTTAAAATATCTGTGACTTCCTACCAACCTAGACATATCATCTTGAATAATCAATACAGGAACCTAATGAGATATCCTGTTGGCACTTAAAGTGATAAAAGTTTCTATGAACAAAATTATTATGAATCTAGAGGCTGATATTAGCCTCAGCCAATATTGTAAGGTATATTGCTGTCAGTTAGAAAATAAATACATACAAGTGCTGCCAGCATTCCCTCATTAAGGAATAGAAAAATAATAGTTGCCAGATCAGTGGCTGTATACCCAGGTAGAGCTGCGTAGATTAACCCCTGTCAAAGAGGATTTGTGTTGCTGTGGTCATGGTCATGCAAATAAGTAGGACCCTATTGGGCTTCCCAAGTCATTAAAGAACCCATACTCATTAATCTCCACCACAGACTGTCATGGTTCAAATTTTGGGGCTACCTGTCTGGGCCCATTCCCTATTATAATAACCATGCCCACTGGGACTTTAGATGATACCTACTACACTTCAGCATGCTACTCTGGGAGTCCATCCTCCGCACTGAAAACAGGAATCACATTTAGCAACAGCACTTCAGACCATAGACTGAAGGAAACAGTCACAGTAATGAGTTTTCATTGCTGAGGTTGATGTTACCCTCTCTCATGTATTCTCAGTGCCATGATCCAGGAATTGTTTTCTAGGACTTACTGTGTGACGTGGTAGTGACATGTCAACATGTCACGAATGATAAATCTACTCTAATTTTCCTATCTCTGTAAGTCATTGAATTCTTTCTTCTATTGTATTCTAAGAAATATGTGAAATCTCAATTTAGTAAAGACTGCTGATGAGTTCAAGATTCAGTCAAACAGTCAAATAATGTTTATAATCTCTCATTAAAATTCTATTAGCAGATCAAATGGAAATTCTGGTCAGGGCCTTAGACAGTGGGCATTCCGAACTTTAGAAATTGGGAAATAAGGAGAAACTAATAAAAAAAATTAGGAGATGCTAATTAAGTTGTAAGAGGATAAAGAGCCATGAGTTTCCCAGAATTCAAGTGGAGGAAAATATGTTTTTTATGAAATAAGGGAATTATTAACTTTGTTAAATGAAAATTATGAATTTGATAATTTAACCATAGATAATTCCCCACTGCATTAATAATACAGAGGTCATTGTTGAGCTGTATCAGTGGAATGTTGGAGACCAAAGCCTGACTATACTGTACTCAAGGGAAAAAGGGAGGAGATCAGCTGAAGAAAACAAAAATAAACCAAATTATAGAGAATGTTTCATGTTAAAAAGAAAACAGGGAAATGGTAGAGGGTGAGCTAACTGGAGCAGGATATATGGCAAAACTAGTTTGTTGTTGTTTTGTTAACATGAATAATATTATAACTTGTTTGTTTGCTGATGGAAAAGATCCAGGTGATGAGGGGATAGTCATTCTAAGAAAGAGTGGAAACAGACAGGCAGTAATGTTCTTGAGGCTATGAGAGCAGTCAAATCTAGTATACAAATGACTTATTTGGCTTTAGATAAGAGAAGGAACAGTTCTCCCAAAGGGACCAAAAGAAAAGCAAGAAATGAGCACAGTTCATTGATTGCATGTGGACATGGTAAGTGCAGTGGATTGTATGTAGAAATTATTTTTCTGAACGTCTGTCTTTTCTCAGAGAAATAGTGGCTAGAAACAATACCTGAGAATGAGAAGTAGGGGAAGTATAGGGGGGTTTAGGAGTGAAAAGGGCATGGCACAGGTCTCTCAGACTGTGAAGAATAAAAATATAAAAGAAATATAGTACGATGGACATTATTGAGAGCCTAACTGAGGTCAACATAAATGAATTTAAGGTATACCAGTCATAATGCTTGTTTGTTTTTCTTTAGCTATGTGGAGAAGGAGCTGAATAGAAAAAAAGACTCAATTTAATTCATGTAGACAATTTGTGGTGTCAGTCTCTCCTGTATAGAATGTAATGTTTATAACAGCAAGGTACTCACTCTCTTGTTTCTTGCAGTATCCTGAAAACATATATTATATATAAAATATATATATAAAATATATATATATAATATATATAAAATATATATATATAATATATATAAAATATATATATAATGTATATATAAAATATATATATAATATATATATTATATATATAAATGCTATATATATGTATACCATTAAAATATATGAATTAGAATATGGAATATATATATATATATTCCATTAGTTCTGCTCTGCTAGAGAAACCTGATTAACACAGATCTTGGTACCAGGAGTGGTTCTTGATGAACATAATATTAAGGATGGAGTTCTTTCATTGGTTTTGATGTTTCTGGAGTTGGCTGCTTAATATGATTAGACCCCACAATGCTAAGGACTCTACTTCTAATAGTATGGAGAACACTGATAGTCCTTGGCATGAACTGTTTCAAGAGTTATACAAAATAAATGCATTTGACACTCCTGATTCAATACTCACGAGAGGCAAGGACTTTAGTGACTCTATACATAATACCTTTGTCCATATGTGGAGATCCAAGGAACATAATAAAGCTGGTTGGTTACTCCTAAGTTCAGTGGACAAAATGATGAAAGAAAATAATGAGCTCAGTGTTTCTAACTCCTGGCTTCAGAAGCAGATACTGAGCCTCAAATCTGCTAAGATTGCCCTGGGTCAGAGTCTTATCTTCTGTAGAGAAAGAGCTGAAATTCTGGAAACACAGACACAAGCTCTTAAAATGTGGGTGGTTGACCAGCAATGAAAGGGGCATGCACAGTTCTGCCAGGTGTTCAGGCATGAGAATAAATGTTATCAGTGTGGGAAAATGGGGGAAGGAACATAGCATTAGATGATGCTGAATTTATTGATTTGGGCCCACTAAGTAGGGACTCTGCATTTAATGTTGCAGCTCAGGGAGTTAAAAAAGGCTCTAATAGTTTATTTGCTTGGTTATCTGACACATGGATTAAAAGTTGGCCCACTGAGCAAGCTGGAAATGCCAGATCTCTGTTGATTTAATGTAAAGGAAGGGATCCAAAGGGTTAGGGAGATTAGGATGGTGGAGTGGATTAGTCACTTTAGACCTATTCATCCCAGCTGGGAAGGTCCAGAAGATATACCCTTGACCAATGCCTTGCAAAATAGATTTGTGAGGGCAGCACCTGCATTTTTCAAGGCAGACCCACCCTTAGTCTGGGTGAGCACAATCTAATTAGCTGCCAGCATGGCTAGAGTATAAGCAGGCGGAAAAAATTTGAAAAAAAATACTGTCCTAGCCTCCCAGCCTACATTCTTCTCCCGTGCTGGATGCTTCTTCCCCTCAAACATCAGACTCCAAGTTCTCCAGTTTTGGAACTCGGACTGGCTCTCCTTGTTCTTCAGCCTGCAGACAGCCTACTGTGGGACCTTGTGATTGTGTAAGTTAATACTTAGTAAATTCCCATTTATATAGCTATATATCTACTTCATTAGTTCTATCCCTCTGAAGAACACTGACTAATACACTAATGTTTTTCTTTCTGCCCGGGTAACAAGGAGAACCTACAAAAAGAAACTTAGACATGACATGTAGCATTGGTGACTGATTTCATACCTTTGAATGTATGCCTCAGCTCTGGCCAAGCACAGATATCTCAATATATGGTAGGCATTCAATAAATGTCTACTGAAGTAATGGAAATTCTGTTATGATAATAATAATAATAGCAAACTTGTATAACTCTTAATACTTGCTAAAAACTATTTTATGTCTCTTATGTTAACTCCTTTAATCCTCCCAAAAACAGTGTCAACAGGTGATTGTCTAAATAATACACATTTTTCAGTCTTTCTTGTTGCTCTGCATTTGAGTTTCTGTGAGATTTAAAGTAAAGTGAATCCTACATTGTATTCAGAAGATGAAAATTCTAGGTACTGACTTACTGAGCTTCCCTTGAAGCTAGGGTGTGAACAGGTATACTAAGCAAATACCCTCCACCCCAGATATTGAATTGAAAGCTAGTGACAAAAATAATTAGTGCCATAAAGGTTCATCCCAGTTGGAGTGGCAGCTGCAATCAGCTTAATTTCCCAAAAGCATCATTGTCTTGTTAAAACAAACCAGAGAGTCTGGTCTTCTTCAGTGGTAGAATATATATATTACACAGGAATCCTAAACAGAGTGCTCTTTTGTTTTTTTGTTTTTTTTTTGATCTGCCCTAGTTGTATGAAAGGGGTTCTCTAGGTTCTCAGAAATTTCTCAGTCCCATAATACTATGTAACTAATTATTTTTAATTAATCAGCCACAATGGATTTCTCTTTCTTGCAAGTAATATATTTGATTGATACACTCTTATATTACCTTAGATCAACAGAAACATTTAAAATTAATTCCTCATTAATAAAATTAGTTAATTAATTTGGTAATACATTGATTGCATGTTGTACTATGCCTTGAGGGAGTACAATAATGAATAGCAAGTTCCTTGTGACCTTATTGTGTCATAAGTGAGGTAAGCTAGGTTAATCATTAACTGATATATGATTAATAAGCACTTGTAAGGAGAAATAAAGTATCCAAAAGATTCATTAGAAAGAAAAATTATTTTCATCAAGAATTTTCTGGGAAGGTTCACTTGAAGTAGATAACTTTTTGTCTGGGAATGTAAAGTGAAGGAGAGTGTACCATGAGCAAAGCTGGAATCATGAAATAGTTCAGGACCCATCTTTTAGTTTGGCAGCAGACTGAGCAAGGCTTAGAAGATGCCACAAACTTAAGTGATCTGGGGGCTAAGGATACTGTATAACAGTATAAATAATACAGTATATGATCATCTCAGTGGTGCAGCCTATAGTGACAGTATCTCAACCTTTAAGACATTTAGTTTTGTATTTTTCAGACAAAGTGCTGATAAATTAATAAAGCTGAAGCTGCTAGGTTTTTTTTTTTTTTTTTTTTTTACCTCTGGCTTATATCTGATTTTTTTATATAGTCCAGAGGGTACACTGAAATTTTCTCAGTAAAGAAGGGGCAGAATCAGATAAGTAATTCAGGATATTGATGAATGGTGGTCTTTAAGTAAATTTGGGAACAAAATTATTTAAGATTCGCATTTTGAGGAACATTAAGGAAGATCTGTGGGAGTGTTCAGTAGGTTTGAGGTCTATGGGAGCTCTACTCTTTTGCCTCCCCACACTTACTCTTTTAGATCAGCCACGTTGTGGTCTTTTACTCTATTTTCATTCCTATTTCTAAATTACTTCTTGTTAGTCTTGAGGCATATAGCAAAAATACCCAACAATGCATTGATTCAAGCAGAGGAGGAATTTATTTCTCACTCATTTAATAGATTCTTGTAGATGGGCAGAATCTGCCCCAGGATTCATTTTAGGAATCCTCACCAACTGGGCAACTCTATCATCTACAAGTCACAACTTGCAAGTTCTCTCCAGTCATCATTGTCTCCAACCAGCAGAAATAACAACAAAAAAGGAGTATATTTAGAATATGGATTAAAGACTTAAATGTAAACACAAAACTATAAAATCCCTAGAAAAAACCTAGGCAATACCATTCAGGACATAGGCGCAGGCAGAGATTTCATGACAAAGATGCCAAAAGCAATTGCAACAAAAGTAAAAATTGATAAATGGGATCTAATATAAACTTAAGAGCTTTTGCACAGCAAAAGAAACTATCAACAGAGTACCAGACAACCTATAGAATGGGAGAAAATTTTTGCAATCTATGCATCTGACAAAGGTCTTATATCCAGCATCTACAGGGAACTTAAACAAATTTACAAGACAACAACAAACAACCCCATTTAAAAATGGGCAAAGGACATAAACAGATACTTCTCAAAAGAAGACATACATGTGGCCAACAATCATATGAAAAAAAGTTCAATACCACTGATCATTAGAGAAATGCAAATCAAACCCACAATGAGATACCATCTCACACCAGGAAGAATGACTATTATTAAAAAGTCAAAAAATAATACATGCTGAAGAGGTTGTGGAGAAAAAAATGCTTTTACACTGTTGCTGGGAGTATAAATTAGTTCAACCATTGTGGAAGACAGCCTAGCAGTTCCTCCAACACCTAGAGACAAAAATGCCATTCAACCCAGAAATCCTGTTACTAGAAGTCTACCTAAAGGAATATAAATCAGTCTATTATAAAGATACATTTATATGTATGTTCATTGCAGCACTATTCACAATATCAAAGGCATAGGATCAACATAAATGTCCATCAATGATAGACTAGATAAAGAAAATGTGGTACATATACACTATGGAACACTATACAGCCATAAAAAGGAATAAGATCATGCCCTTTGCAGGGACATGGATGAAGCTGGAGGCCATTATCCTTAGCAAACTGACACAGGAACAGAAAACCAAATACCATATGTACTCACTTATAAGCGGGAGCTAAGTGATGAGAACACATGAACACGTAGAGGGGAACAGTGCACACTGAGGCTTACCAGAGGGTGGAGGTTGGGAGAAGGGAGAGGATCAGGAAAAATGACTAATGGATGCTCAACTGAATACCTGGGTGATAAAATAATCTGTGCCACAAACCCCTGTGACACATCTTTACCTATGTAACAAGCCTGCACATCTGCACATGTACCCCTGAACTTAAAAATGAAAGTTAAAAAAAAAAAACAGTATATCTAGAGTAAAGGGCTTTTAGTCTATTTAGTTTTCACTTGCTTACTTTAAAGAAAATAAGGTGGAAGTTGCACATATACTCATACTCATACTCACATTCCATAGTGACAGCATCATCATATGACCACTGAGTAACATAGTATTCCCAGGAAATCAAGTGCCCAGAAAGGATAAAACAGACAGGAGAGGTGAGAGACAGGCAAAGGTCTTCATATTTGTTTTCATTTGTCTGCTATCCTTCACACAATTTGAAAGGTTGCCTTTTAGAACCCACTACTCTCACGTCCCTCTTGGAGACATAGTGGTAGATTTGAGAGGGTCACTGTGAGAATATTGACTATCTCAAATTTCATATTGCATTTTCAATTTTATTTTGGACTTTTAGCTACAAAATTTAATTCTGAATATTTGACGTTTAACTTAATCTTTCTGTTCTGAATTTCAATATTGTTTAGTAACATACCAATATTTTTATTGATACCCGAGGGTATTCTATTTTATGTGTGCATACTTACCAGAAATGGAGAAGTAAAAATAGATTTATATGGCTTTTGGTCACTTTAAATTAATTAATTACTTTATTTATTTATTTATTTATTTATTTATTGGAGGTTTGCATTCATGGTTGGTTAAGAGGATAATGATTAGAAAGTTTCAGTAGTGAAATTCAAGTTAAAACGCATTATTTTTTTCCAATGGAATAGTATAGTTTCAACTGCATTTTTTGGTGATAACTAGCCTCCAAGAGCTCCCAAAAGATTTCTGCCTCCTGGTATTCACACTCGTTGGAGTTCCTCTCTCACTGAATGGGACTAACATCTGTTGCATATAAGATATAGAAATAATGGAGTGTGTTTTTTGATGCTAGGTCATAGAAAGCATCTGTGTTCCATCTTTCTGCCTTTATTTACTCTCTCTGAGTGAAGACAAGAGCATGTCATTAGATACATAAGTGCATATAACTAGTACCAGACAAGTGAGTCATCTTGGAAGCAGATTTTCCAAACAAAGCAAAGCTTTCAGATGATTGCGATACTGGTTGCATCTTAACCATATATCGTGAGATACTCCAAGCCAGAATCATGCAACTAAACTGCTGCTGAATGCCCTATCCACAGAGACTATGAGATAACAGGTTTTATTAAATTTTATTTTTAATTGACAGATACTAACTGTATATATTTATGGGATGCAATGTGATGATCTATTTTTACAATGTAGAATGATTAAATCAGGTTAACTAACAAATTTATCACCTTGCATATTTATCACTTTTTTGTGTGGTGAAAACATTCAAAATCTACTCTGGTTGGGGGAAGATGAAACATTAATCAAAGTATACGAGGTTTCAGTTACATAGAAAGAGTATTGATTATTTTAAGCCACTGATATTTTAGATGATTAGTTATATAGCAATAGATGACTACTGTAATTTTCAGCACACTCATAGCAAGGTTTCCCTAAGCATCTAGCTACATTGTATTCTATGTTCAATATAACCTTGAAGTTTTCATGGTTTTTGCACTGAATGATACAGGATGTTTTGTGTTCGTTTTTTGGTGTAGGAATTAGCCAGCTAGTTTTTCCTTAAATCAGATTTGAGTTACATGTGACAGAAATTGTCTGGAGTTCATTTTGTTTCTTTCTAAGAAGGCTACCTAGAACATCAAAGTGGATCATTAGATTCACAGAGTCTGAATAGGAATCTGTAACAATGAGTAGAAAGAGTATCATCTGCAGCAAGAGAACTACAGATGAGCTATTGCCCAAAATGTGGGTAGATTGTCCATGTGTTACAGGATCCTTGGGGTGTTGCTTCACCAGTCAGAAACCTCTGTGGACAGTGGTGCCTTTGCCTTAGTTTTGCTCAGCTCCACTGGGCTCATCCCACCCACTCAGCCTGGCAGGCTGTGCTTGACTTGTGCTACTGGCCTGGATTCCATGCCCGCCAAAGTCAATCCAAGTGTGTAGTGGCAAGGAGTCTGTAAGTGAGCATGGGGTTTGGTCACTGCACAGAGCTAGGCATGCCAGCTGCAGTGGAGTAGGCAGCTCCAGGTGCTGGTACAGGTACTGGCTCCCTGCATGGTTGCAGCTGAACCAGGTATACTGCAAGTAGCTTCCACGGCTGGCACCAGGGAATGCAGGGGCACCCAGAAGTTTGGAGATGTCAGGAATGGCAAAGCCCCAAAAGAGGGTGTCACAGCTCTGGCTGAGGGACCTCCTAGTTCTGGGTTCCTCAATGGGCTGCAGCTCTTCTCTCCATCTTGTCACCCACAATGTGGTGATCGAGGGGCATGTTTCAGCCCTGTTTGTGTTACGGCCCTTTCAGCCCCGCTATTCGGTGGGTCCCTACTTCTTGTCCCATGCCGAGGAATAATGAGACATGGGACAAATGGAAGGTGAGCAAGGTGAAGAGAAGCTTTATTGAGTGATAGAATAAGTCAGAGGTGACCCAAAGTGGGTAGCTCCTCTCCGCAGCCAAGGTGACCCAATGAGTGTTCAGCTCTCAGCAGAGAGGAGACACCCTGGAGCGGTAGCTCCTCTCCACAGGCGGGCTGTCGATCATCTTCTCAGCTCTCAGCAGAGAAGAGAATTGGGTGGGTAGCTCATCTCTAGAGCTGGTCATCCCATCTGGTGTTCAGCTCTCACCAGAGAGAAGACCCTAAAGTGGGCAGCTCCTCTCCACAGTTGGCAGGTCATTGTGTCTTTGAGTCTGGCTGAGTGCAGGGGTTTTATGGGCTGCATAAGGGAGGAAGTGTGCATTGATTGGTCCATAGGCAGCCATGGGTGGGCCCTGAAAAAGCATCTCATGTTCCCACTCTTGGCTGCAAGACCAGCAGCCTGGCCCCCAGGCTGCAGGCCCTCCCCAGCTTGAAGATGGGTCTTTACCAGGGACCTGCCTCCTTCCACCTAGGAGCCTGTCTGCCTCCTGCCACCAGTCATTGCGCCCAGGTCGTCCATGCCAAGGGGGGCCTGCAGGCCATTGTAAAGCTGCCTTCAGCAGCCCTCTCAGCCTCCCTCCCATTACAGTTGTTGCTAAAATTCCAGAGGGGTTTGAAGCAGCGAGGTACTGGCATTTCATCACTGCCCCGAACTAGTGCACACCTGGCTAAGCTGCAACAACACCCAGGCTCAGCTTCAACCTCAGTCTAAAATTAGAGTGGGCACTGAGAGTAGGGAGAGGTCACGTAGTGGGAGCAGATACCTCCAAGCCTGTAGGGGCAAAAGGGGGGCCATCCCATGTCCCAAAGAGTACCGAGATGCCAAGGTCCACAGATGCAGCTCCCCAAACTGCAGCTGTGCTTAGGAGGGCAGGGCTCTTGACTGTTTCCAGCTCCTGCCAGCTCTGTGGAGAATGCAGCCCAGCCATGCCTGCCCCACTGCAGCCAGTGTCTTGGCTGTGGCCCCTCCAGGTGGGCCACTGCTGCCGTCAATTCCCCCTCTGAAGAGGTACATCTACCTGCCTATAAATGAGGGTCAATGACCACTTGTAACTGTTTCACGCTGGCAGGGAGCAATGTTTTGGGGGCAACAACTGTCAAATCTTTCTCAGAAGCTTACCTATGGGTTCCCAGTAAAAGGGAGCCATTGTCTAAGGCTCCGTTTTCATAACCATTTGGAGTTTAATGGCCCATCCATTTTTTTTTCATCTGAGCTGCAATCAGAGGTCACTGGTTGATTCACCCCCACAATTTGTCAAACCTGAAAATTGCTCAAAAGAAAGTTTTCCTTGACTCTGAAAATAAATAAATAATAAAAAAAGAATCAGCAATGTTCCAAGCAAAAAGTTTAAAAATATATATGTATTACTTCAGTCTTCTATTAGTTCAGTCCACCCAGTTGACTCCTGTTCACTATCTCCAAAGTTACCAGGAACCTGCACTCAAGGATTATAATCCATCTTTTGAAGGGGATCAATACAAGACAACAATTGTCAGTAAATGTCAAAATGTCCTAGGGTAGTAACAGTCAAAAGCATGACTGACAAAAAAAAAATTGGTCACCTCTCTGGTTTACAATAACCCAACACAATAACCCTAATTATGATTGGTAACACATACTCAAACATTTGAATTTTAGACATCCTGTACAATTTTGGAACACATATTAACATTATTTACTAAAATATATACTGAAGAAGACGAAATAACACCCAATCTCAACAATCTTATGTAACTAAACAAGTAAATTAATCCTGTTTACCTCTCCTTTGGATGCTCCAAAGGCCCTCTGTAGCATCCTAAAGTTAGGTGTTAGAAAATACAATTTTGAAGCTGAAATTTAATTTTGGGAAAGCAATAAAATATGTTAAAAGCTTAAAACACTTACTGTTATGAAATAGGATTCCAGGTTACCATAAGTCATTTTTTTAGCCAAAACAATGACTCCAAAATTTTTGTTTTAAAAAGGCAAAAATCTTTATACATTAAGAGGGAAGACTTAGCTTTTCAAACACTCTGTCTCTTGTCATTCCTTTTTTTCAGTATTCACAAGGCAGACAAACACCTTTCATTCTCCTTTAATATTACATTAAAATCTTGTTCAAGAGAGAAAACCAAATTTCACCTTTGCATTAGTCTACTATTAATGTCAACTCCATTTTTTAAATGAAAACTTATAGACAAATTGATTCAATCTTAATCAGTTTGACCATAAGAAGAGAGTCTCATAAACCTTTTCCAAATTTGTGTTAAAGAGCAGATTAGTGTCTTTGTGCTTTTATTTCAATGTTCAATTTACTTAACAACCGAGTAATACCGTTTTGAATTTAGTCAATATGTTCACACACAGAATTTATTTTAAAACATTAATTGGTACAAAACTTCCACACCTTGTTCAAACTTATAGCTCTATCTCATGTAATGCAGAACAATCCTTGAACCCTCTAAGCTTAGGCAGAAATTTACAATCCCATGCCTTCTTATATTCCACCACCAAAACCACATTCCACTGTTTTACACACATTATATGCAAATTTGTTTTGAGCAGTTTCAATTACATGTTATAATGGGAACTCTTAGCAATTTTTATTTTTTGTGTAAAATTTGGTAAGTTATTTTAATTATGTACTAGATGCAGATAAAGACTGGCTCTTTCCAGCATAGTTAGGAGTGTGGTTAATTCCATATGTCCCCAGGCCTTACCAAACTGTAAAGCAGGCAAGTTAAATAATTTTCCAAAGCCAAAGAAACAGTTTTTTACCTGAAAGCATTCAGCAAACCTAGTATCTGACCTGCATACTTTGGATCATATGTCTACATTCTGAAGACATTTTTGTATTACCGGTAATCTCCAGAGCTGTTTTTATTTCTCAGAATTTAAAGTCACATGAACTTTGCTTGAGTTCCTTGTAGATTCTGGATATTAGCCCTTTGTCAGATAGATAGATTGCAAAAATTTTCTCCCGTACTGTAGGTCGCCTGTTCATTCTGATAATAGCTTCTTTTGCTGTGAAAAAGCTCTTTAGTTTAATTACATCCCATTTGTCAATTTTAGCTTATGCTGACATTGCTTTTGGTGTTTTACTCATGAAGTCTTTGACCATGCCTATGTACTGAATGTTATTGCCTAGGTTTTCTTCTTTAAGTCCTTAATCCATCTTGAGTTAATTTTTGTATAAGGTGTAAGGAAGGGGTCCAGTTTCAGTTTTCTGCATATGGCTAGCCAGTTTCCCAACACCATTTATTGAATAGGGAATCCCTTCCCCATTACTTGTTTTTGTCAGGTTTGTCAAAGATCAGATGGTTGTAGATTTGTGGTGTTATTTCTGAGGCCTTTGTTCTGTTCCACTGGTCTATATATCTGTTTTGGTAGCAGTACCATGCTGTTTTTGTTACTGTAGCCTTATAGTATACTTTCAATTCAGGTAGCATGATGCCTCCAGCTTTGTTCTTTTTGCTTACGATTGTCTTGGCTATAGGGGCTCTTTTTTGGTTCCATATGAAATTTAAGGTAGTTTTTTCTAATTCTGTGAAGAAAGTCAGTGGTAGCTTAATGGGGATAGTATTGAATCTATAAATTACTTTGGGCAGTATGGCCATTTTCATGATATTAATTATTCCTGTTCATGAGCATGGAATGCTTTTCCACTTGTTTGTGTCCTCTCTTATTATTTTGAGCAGTGGTTTGTAATTCTCCTTGAAGAGGTCCTTCACAACTCGTGTAAGGACCTAAGTATTTTATTCTCTTTGTAGCAATTGTGAAAGGGAGTTCACTGATGATTTGGCTCTCTGATTTTCTATTATTGGTGTATAGGAATGCTTGTGATTTAACAACCCCATCAAAAAGTGGGCAAAGGATATGAACAGATACTTCTCAAAAGAAGATATTTATGCGGCCAAAAAACATATTAAAAAAAAACTCATCATCACTGTTTGTTAGATAAATGCAAAGCAAAACCACAATGAGATACCATCTCACCCTAGTTAGAAGGGTGATCATTAAAAAGTCAGGAAACAACAGATGATAGAGAGGATGTGGAGAAATAGGACCGCTTTTACACTGTTGGTGGGAGTGTAAATTAGTCCAACCATTGTGGAAGACAGTGTGATGATTCCAAGGATCTAGAACCAGAAATACCATTTGACCCAGCAATCCTATTACTGGGTATATACCCAAAGGATTATAAATCATTCTACTATAAAGACACATGCACACATATGTTTATTGCAGCACTATTCACAATAGCAAAGACTTGGAACCAACCCAAATGCCCATCAATGATAGACTGGATAAAGAAAATGTGGCACATATACACCATGGAATACTATGCAGCCATAAAAAAGGATGAATTCATGTCCTTTGCAGGGATGTGGATGAAGCTAGAAACCATCATTCTCAGCAAACTAACACAGCAATAGAAAACCAAACACCACATGTTCTTCTTACTCATTAGTGGGAGGTGAACAATGAGAACACATGGACACAGGGAGGGGAACACCACACACTGGGGCCTGTTGGGGGTTGGGGGCTAGGGGAGGGATAGCATTAGGAGAAATATCTAATGTTGATGACAGGTTGATGGGTGTAGCAAACCACCATGGCACGCGTAACACCTATGCAACAAACCTGCACGTTCTGCACATGTATACCACAACTTAAAGTATAGTAAAAAAACTTTATACTTATTTTTTATTATTAAAGGATCTATTAAAGGATATTTCTGCTGGATATGGCTAGGTTGCAAGTGTTTTTTATTAATACTTTATAGATGTCTTTTGACTCATTGGATTTCTGGCACTAGGTCTGTAGCTAATTCTTCTACAGTTCATCTGTAGGTAATGTCTTTTTCTCTCATTACAATTTTTTTTCTCATAAAAAAGTCACATAAACTAGAAGACATTATAGCTTTTATTTTTCTTTAAGCCAGTCACTTAGAGCTCTTTTTTATATAAACATCACACACAACACGTTTATAACTACACAGATGAACAAAAGAAGATCCAGTATTTCTAAGATTTTTCATTTGCCTTAGAATCTGAGAGAAATCTCTCTGCTTCCAATTCCAGGGTTTCCATGAGGGAAACAGAAATTTTTCCCAAGACAAGGTCTGTGACACCTCTTCTGTTTGACCAAGGAGTCCCAGGGTATCAGAAGTTATCCTAAGGCCTCTCATGTATGTGTCAAGAGTGGAGAAAAATAATCCAGTGGATAGAGAAGAAAATAAATGTTCTAGAAAAACAAAATCCAAGAAGTGAAAAGACATAAAGGCCTTTTAAATGTACCAATAGCTGGGCTACCCACTTTTAATTAAGCTGACTTTTGACCATAGTAGTCCCTTTTTAAAAGGTCATTTTAAATCTCTTATTACCTGACCTTAGCCGCAGCAAATGGCCAATGCTTCTGGTTTTTGAACTCATGGAGTAGCAGATAATGCAGTACTTTTTACCATTCCTACAACCAGTTTGCACAGAGAGAGGGAAGCCAGAAGTCCAACTATCTAGAATTTTTAACCTTTTACTGGTACATCAGGCTTCTGGGTTCCCTTCCCCTGAGTTATGAAGCCCTGTTGACCCTGGAGTCCTGTGAAGAGGAAGCAAAGAGGTTACCTGCATTCTGTAAAATTTGTCCCTTCTCAAGAGATTGCTCAGTCAGAAATTAGGTTTTATGCATCTGAGGGGAATGCCCTGTAGTACAGTGACACAATTACCCATCTGCAAAAAGAGGGCAGAAGAGGAAAAAGGAAAAAAAATAAGACATTTTTTTCCCTCCTTCTAGAGTCTGAGGGTCAAAGGGGTGACCCAGTGATTCAGGATGCACTCAATAGGAGTACAGGCTGAAGATAGTTGGTTCCTCATCTGGAAAGAGGGGGAAAATGTGTACCTTTGTTCCTTACTCTTTCCAGTGAATACCCAGGGTATGTGAGGGAGACACAAACAAAAAAGGTATCCCTTTCTTTCTTCCAACCTTATATCCCTAAGTCCCGGTGACCTGTGCAGGTGCCGACCATGGGTGCAGGTATGACCTTCCCCTATGAAGCAGGGAGGCATAGCCGGCAGGATTATTTACATTCACCTAGTGGTACCTTAACCTCCCACTATTGGTAACCGTTGAGTTCACTAGACCTTGTTTATGCCACGATGTGAGTATGAACTCCATCCACAAAGTGGGAGGGCCTATTCGGCAGGAATGAGTCATGCTCACCTGCGCTGTGCCCCTAGGCTTCTGCTATCATCTGCCTCTGGATCCCCCAGATGTGGATTTTCTGTCTAGGGTGTCAAACTGAAGCTTGGGACAAAAAGCTGCCTCAAGAGGGTGTATGGATCCATTGAATTAGTCCCAGGTGGCCCTCACCAAATTGCAGCCTGCAACTAGTGGGGTCAGTAACTCCATTGCTCTCCTATCATAAGCAGGTGAAGCTGTGGGCCCAGGTCCCCTTCAAACAAGGGAGAGAAATGGAGTCCCAGGAACTGGGGACGTGGCCTAATAAGTGCCTCCCAAAAGGAGAAAAAAAAAACCCTCACATAGAAAAGCTCCCCACATTCACAGGACTATGTTGACTCCTGACATGGTGGAGAAAGGAGAACATAAGTGCAGGGGAGGGGAAAGTACCTAGGGGGAAAAGCCTCTTGCTCTATGCAAATGGGTTCCTTCAACAGGGAAAGAGAACAGTAAGCAAGAGGTCTCTTCAACTACAACTAAAGGGTTGAAGAAAATATTGGTTAAAGCCTTTCCTGAGATACCCCTCTTGGTCATGCTAAGAGAGGAGCCGGGGGCTAGATTGGAGAGGATAACTGAAAGGCCTGCTCCAGTGTCCAGAGGGGGTCCACCTTCCTTCCTTCAACTTCCAGGATCACCCGGGGCTCCTGTATGGTAATGGTGGTCTGGACCACCATTTGGCTGGTCTCAAGCTCTTGTCACATGCCCAGGAAGAATGAAGTATGCAGACAAATGGATGGTGAGCAAGGTGAAGAGATTTATTGAGTAATAGAACAGCTTAGAGGAGACCCTGGGGTGGGCAGTTCTTCCCTGTTGGTTGGCAGGTCACTGGAGTCTGGCAGACTCCAGGGCTGTCCATGGACAGCCATGGGCGGGCCTGGAAAAAGCACCACAAGTTCCCACTCCACGCAGCGGGATCGGCAGCCCCTCCCCTAGGCTCAGGCCCTCCCATCTTGAAAGTGGGGTTTCACCAGGGACCCACCTCCTTCTGCCCAGGGGCCTGTCTACCTCCTGCCTCCTTTCATGGCGCCCAGGCTGTTTGTGCCAAGGGGCGTCTGCAGGCCAGCGCAGAGCTGCTCTCAACACCCCCTCAGACTCACTCCTGTGCTCCTCAGTGCCCAAAGTCTGGATGGGGGGCGAGGCAGCAGGGGGCTGGCATGTCAGTGCTGCAGTGAGTGTGTGCACACCCGGCCAGGCTACAACAGCACCTGGACTTGGCCTCAACCTGTCTCTTAGATCGGAGAGGCCACAGGGTGTGAGGAGAGGCCAGGTAGCAGGAGCAGACACCTCCAAGCCTTCCCAGGCAGAGGGGGCCTTCCCAGGCCCCGGAGAGCGCAGAGATATCCAGGTCCACAGCCACAATTTGGGTGGCTGTAGCCGTGCCCAGAAGGGTGGGGCTTGTGCCTACTCCAGGCCCCCAAGAACACAGGGAGGCCAGGGTTGCAACTGCGACTTGGGCAGTTCCAACTGCTCCTGGGTGGGCGGGGCTCCCACCTGCTCCTTGCTCCTGCTGGCTCCGTGGAGCATTCCGCTCAGCCGCACCTTTCCAGCTGCAGCCGGTATCTTGGCAGCAGCCGCTCCAGGCAGGCTGCTGCTGCCATCACAAGGACCCTATAAAAACACTGACGCGAGAATTAGCTTAAATCACCTTCTCAGCTTTAAGAGAGTAATGCCAGCTCACAACATATCAATGATGAAAATTTTCTGTTCATCTCTCCCCGATTTCTCCAATTCAAACTTAGTGATGGGTATGGGTCAGGAACGATGGTTAGCAAGGTGGCAGAGCAGGAGGAAAAGAAGCAAACCATGTTTCTTCCTTCATTACAGTCTTCTCCATTGTAATGAATCCAAACTTAGAGGTGGAGGGATGGAGGAGGTACTTTGACTTTGAATCCAGTTTGAAGTTTGTTTTTGGCATGTCATTGGAGATTTCAATAACTAAAGTAAATACAATTTGTATTACAAAATATGAGAAGAAAAGTCATAAGAAAGAAAGGCTCTCTGTATTTTCTCTTGTGTCAGTGGGAAAATTAGCTCCACTGTATATATGTAAAGGAATGGTGGAAAACCAACATAAAATTGCTTTATGATTAAATCTCCAAAGTCATGTATTTCAGTATAATAGTTTGATTGGAAATATAGAAAATTGCACAGACCAAAAATAGACAATTTTATTGATGTAATTGTTTCTAAAACCTGCATGCTAAAATAATAATTTTTGCTTAAAAACAAAAATGTAACTAAATTGAACTAACATTTCATAAGACTAAATAGCTGTTTCTGTTCTCATTTTATGTTGTGAAGCTACACACAATGTAAAGGAAGGATGTTTTCCTTCTCTTATGAATGTAATTAGTTTGTGGAGTTTGATAACCAGACATAAAAAGCTCTGTAAAATTTTTCCAGACACATTTCACTCAACTGTAGTTCTTTACAGTTTTCAGTCACATTCCGAGGGGCATAAATAGATGTATTACCTTATTTACATAATAGAACCTTGAAGCCAGCATAGCTATTGCATAGGCCACCATGTCAGTGAGAGCTTTAGAGTCTCAACTCAGGCTTAAGAAGAGATTCCAATATGCATTCAAATGAGTCAGCTGTATATACATACAAACTTTCAAAAAAGAACCTAGAAATGGTTGAACCAAATTGATTTCCATCCTAAGAAAACTTGTTTAAATTGATAGGATAGCAAGAAGCACATAGCATACAATATACTTATTTCAGTTTTCACTTTGTTTTGAGAGTGATAATAAAGATTTTGATATTAATCTGGTATGATGGAAAATCCTTCAGTAAATTAAAATTTCTATTTTTAATCACTGTATTATTACCATAAAATATTACAAATGCATGACTAATTTTTAAAAGCATGTATCAGGCAAAATAATCCATAAATGACCAGTTTTAAATATATGCATTTTAACAACGTTTTTATATAGTTCCACTTAGAAAAAAAAAAGATCATTCTATTAATAGTCTAAACAGTTTAGTTTTATGGAATAATATTTAATAATAAAACAGTTAACATGCCTAGCTTCCTAAAATTAACATAAAATACAAACAGACCTAGAATCAGTAAATACCTGTTTTAAAATTCTTTAAAAAATGCAAACAAACATAAAATCATAAAACGAAAGAGGTAGAAGATGCTTTAAACCTCATTAAACCTCACATGTCACTTTAGGAGAAGGGAAGTAAGACTTAAAGAGTAGACAGATTTTTGATGGTAGAAAATAACTGACAGCAGCCAGGTGTGCTGGCTCATGCCTGTAATTCTGGCACTTTGGGAGGCTGAGGCAGGCAGATCATGAGGTCAGGAGTTCGAGACCAGCCTGGCCAACATGGTGAAACCCAGTCTCTACTAAAAATACAAAAATTAGCTGGGCATGGTGGCGGATGCCTGTAATCCCAGCTACTCAGGAGGCTGAGGCAGGAGAATTGCTTGAAAATGGAAGGTGGAGATTGCAGTGAGCCGAGATGGTGCCACTGCACTTCAGCCTGGGCGGCAGAGTGAGACTCCATCTCAAAAAAAAAAAAAAAAAAAAAAAAACTGACAGCATTTATAAAACAATGATAAAATTCTCACAGTTGTAAATTGTCAGTCTTTTCCTGCTGACTATTGCAAAGCCAGTATCTGGCTTAACTCATGTCATCTTTATGTGACTCTCTAGTTGGTGACTATGTTTAATGATCTAGGGAGAGCAAAGCATTCTTCATTTTTTTTCTTTCTTTATTTATCTTTAAAGAAAATTGAGAAGAAATAACATGTTGTCTGTTCCAAATCCTTTTATTGATAATTTTATTTTTTCCACCCAAATGGAAACAACATTTATCTCTATCATTATAGTAACTAAACACAAGGCGCTCCCAGCAAATTCATATTATCTGTCTTTAAGGTATAGCAAACCTTCTAATAGACAACTGACACTCTAACTCCAGCTTCTGCCAATTTTACCGTAGTCCCTTCTAGATATGACAGGATTCTATCATTGTAAAGTTAAATTTACTTTGAACACTATAAATCTCTCCTTTTACATAATATGCAAGAAGGAAAATACAATAGTAATTCTCTTCATAATGTTGGTTTAAATATAACATATTCAAACTCTACCTTTACATCTAGTTAAAAAAGTATTGGCAAGCCATTATGTTCTATGTTTTACAAATTTAAATGAGTCCATATTCTAATCCATAGTTCTGAGGAGATACGGAGGTCTGACCGGATTTGAACGTGAAATCCACTGCATCACTGATTTTAGGCAACACGAACCCTTTCAGTCTCAGTGAAAATAAGCAACACAAAGATAGATAATAATTCTCACCTCATAAAATTGTTTGAAGGAATAACAAAACCTATGTAACTATGTCTAGCAGAGTTCCTGATGATATGTATTAATTCAATAAGAATTTGTCTCCAACTTTTTTCAGTAAATATATTTTTCTCTCAGAAATTTTAACATTTTTAGTTTTATATGTGTATTTTATATGCGTATACCTGTTTTATTTTTGAATAGGATTTATTGAAGAACCCTCTTGTCAATTACTTTTTATAAAAATAATTTTTACTAAATATAAATGTTAATATTTCTCAATGCATTTATTGCCATGAATAATGGAATGGTTTTCAACAAAGTAAATAATAGCAAACTTTAGAATTCAAGTATTTATACAATTACTTGTATGTTTGATAAATTCACATTTAAATGTAAATCTAAGGACTTAGAAATAGAAGCTAAATATATAGATTAAACTACATATATCAACATTCTTTAACATTTTTATATAATTAATATTAATAACACTGGAAATAATGGAGTTAAGAATCTCAAACATATGACTTTGTAGTTATTTAATTTGTTACATGTCCTGTAGGTGCCCTTGTCCTGTTTATTTTAAACTGTTACATAGTTGCAAAAATAGACCCATTTCATAACAATGTAGTAAGGCATATATTCTTGCAGACTTTAGAATTCACAGAAATAAAGATCTGTGGCTTTTTTTTTATTCCTGGCTCTGTTTCAAGAAGAGAGAGTAACTCAAAAACAGAGTAATTGTACTTGATAGGCTAAAAGCTTTGGGTGAAATTCATTTATCCTTCTGAGCTCAGCATCCCTAGGAGAACCTGTCAGTGAACCCTGGGATATTTCCATCTTCTGAGTACATAGGGCTGCTAGCTTTAGTTTATCCTATAATTTCTTTCTAACTTTATGCCTATTCTTGGCAGAATCTGGAAAAGAATTGACTGGTTCTTAGATCCATTCCTCTTACACAGCCTCAATAACTTTTTACTCATAAAATATAGGAATGTAATTCCTAGTCCACCAGTTTTGTTTGTTTCATATCTCTTAGTTCCAAAACACATATTCCTGCCCTGAAATCTTATCCTACTCATTCATTTTTCTTTTGAAACGCTCTTCTGCTTTCCTATTTTTTTACAACCATTAAATGTATCATAATAATAGATTGATTTAAATGAGTATTCTTTTTTGTATTTAAGAATGTATACATATTCATTATATAGAGACTGTTGATGCCAAAATCTAATAGGAAGAGGTTAGAAATGGTGGGGGAGTAGATTTTATTAAACTTGTAAGGTGTTCATGACATTTAGTACCTGAAAGTCAAGGATGCTTAGTGACATATAAGAAGAGACCATTCCTAAGGAGTAAAGACATTTCTCTCCCACCCACCCCCAAAATGCCAAATGTTACCTCATTAAGAAATGCTGAATTTACTTTAGATCCTTAAATGAACTTTCATTTGATTTTTCCCACTTGAATGTTAATGAGATTCATATTTTCCAAAATTTATTAAGTGACTGCCTGATAATACAAGTTATAATTTGGGGCATTTATTGTTTTATAATAATGTTTATAATTAATACAAATACATTTTTAAAAGTAAGCATAAAATATTAAAATCAGTGTGGTGTGTAGATATAGCAAAATACTGACAGTGGTAAGCCAATGATAGCTGTTTGAAAAACTCTAAATTTGGGGTGTTTCTCATGTGTGCATGTGTGTGTGTTTAATAACCCAACTTTAATCAATATAATGTTGTAAGTATATGGACCCATCCAAATAAAAACATTTTTTCATTTAAGTTCCTACCCTCCCACATACATATATTATGAATAAATAATAGATTTCTAAGGAGGTAGCAAAGATGCTTCACAGTCTGACAGCTTGCAAAACTAAAACATGCAAACATTAACTCCATCAACCAAATGTAATTTAGTTTTCCTTCCTACTTATTTATGATTAAAATTTGCATCTTGCCCATTCTGTCTCTTCTTTCTTGTATCATCTTGTATTTCTCTACACTTTGTATTTTAGGCTACAAATATTGTTAAACTTTAATTTGGTAGTCAAGGTCAAATTTATTGGAACTAAATGTTTAAACAGTTCTTGCAAATCTAAGGCTCTTGCAACTGAGATCCAAATTGCATTGCAAGACAGTTTTGGAACTCAAAGCCAGTAATTTCACAGTTTTCTAATTGGGTTCTTTTAAAATTTTCTGTTTCCTAGGGCAATAATGCTTCACTTACGATCAATTAATAAAGGCAGAAGGATTTCATGTAGAAATGTATTTGGCAAGAATTTAAAAAGTGGGTATTAATTAAGAATATTCCATTGCCATAATCAAAATCAAGTATATTTTAATAAACAAACAAAAAATAGTGTCAAATATGCTTATTCTTTTTCTATCACAGTGAAAAATATTCTCCCATATTAAAAAGAAAAGTGGTAAGGATAAAGTAGATTAAAGAAACAACATTCTAAATATCTATGTTGTAAAAAGTAATAGCATGAAAGGTGTGAACACTCCAGGGACAATGGCATATGTACCTAAGGCACTGCCAACAAAACATTAGTAAGTTAGAATTTTTTTTTCTCTTCTCCATTGTCCATCAAATGAGTTGTTCTATTAGCAACGGATTATGAGTGTTGGCTGAAACCCATAAGTGCTCTTTTATAAAGCAGCATGTCAGTGGGCCTCTGAGTCTAAATATCATGAAAGTAATTTTAATCTTTCTGCACTGTATCTATGTGTTGGGCTGTCAGACTTTTTCAATGTTTTAAGTAATAAACCTACTCACTTAATATCTAGATGAAGGATAGATAAAAGTCAAGAATGTTGTAATATGAATAGAGCAGGAATATTTAAATGCATATATACATTTATACATATAATAACATACCTAAAGGATAATTAAATTTTGACCTTTACTATGATAGCACAACTTAAAAATAAATTCTTACTAAAGGTCCAGTTGTCTAATGTCCTCCTGATTTCTGCATAATTCCATGAATGATTCTGTCATAAAGCAATTTCTGTTTATGGAAATGTGATTCAAGTAAACAGAACTCCAGTTATGCTTTGCTAATAACTACTGAAATCTGAGCCAATAAATTAACCTTTTGACCTTAACTTTTTTCATTGAAAATCTTTTCTACAAATACAATTAGTACAATTAATTTCATAATTTCATACTAATTTCAACTGTAGTCACTATGGATGAGCAAAGCCAATTTTAAAACAAGTGTTTGTAAGCACAGCGTATTTTGCTCTAATAATTGTTATTAGAAAGAAGAGTTCTTTATGCATTTTGAAGCAATTTAAACTAGCAGCTCTATTTTACTATTCGTGGGTCATCTAAACTGTAAGCATCTGTTGACATATTTAAAGCTGTTTTTCTGCAGTGAATTGTAAATTAATATTTCAATCAAGATGATCTGTAGCTTTAAGCTATTCAAAAGAAAATGTGGCTTGACCTATTTAAGATCTTGAAAAGATTCTGAGGAAGATATTTTTAAAATATGATCTCACAGTTATCTTAAAATATAGATTGATGTCAGGTGAACTGTCTAATCTTAGAAAACTGATAACCTTCTAACAGCAAAATGTCAAAAATATCTTTGACCTATCTAAAATTATGAGTTCTATATGGATAAAATAAGATTAAACCTATTAAAACACTTTTGAAATAAATAAATTCTCTGTTCCTCTCAGGCATTATTAGATAAAGGAATCTTAATGTAATCTTCTTATAAAGTAACATAAGCCATGTTATCCTGTGGTCAAAAAGCCTTCTGGGGCTCCTCTATCCTTCCAAATTCAGTGCAGATTCTTTTACATGGTCCTTAATACCCTCCAGAGTAGTTACAAACTATTTTCCAGACATACTTTATATTATCAATGCAGACGCTGAACTGCATTCGTCGTCATTATTTAAACTACTTGTCTCATGATTTGGCATCTCAGAATCTTTTGCATTATCATCTCTTTATCCTGGAGTGTGTCTTTCATCTTTATCCAAAAGTAGCTGCCTTATTCTCATTTCTATCCCCAGGATCGAATAAAAGGGCAAGAAAACAGTAGGATTTTGGCACATAGTAGCAGGATCAAACTTATAACACGACCACTAGTTAGTCTAATATTGCACCTACCTCTTTATTTAACTTGGTGTCCAGGTTCCAAAAAGTCAAAAATGCTTCAATCAAAATTATGTTCCCTTCTGGAAGCAAGTCACATTTCCAAGGTTATGCTGATTGATATATGCACACACACACACACACAAAATGCTTAAGTTATAATATGGGATTGAAAAGATGATATGGTGAGTTTAAAGCTAGTGAGAATTCTAGTATGTTTAAAGATGTTAAGCTATAGCCTACTTACTTAATATACCAGAGGTCCATGTAACATAATTGTGAAACAATTACTTAAATGATTATTTATGATCTCCTGGAATTAAATGTCTATTGAAGATGACATTTTGATTAAATGATAGGTCACTAATATAGATTATTGTAAAGGACATGAAGGACAATGACCACAATAGTGTTTAACTGTTTCTAAAACAATTAGAGGGCTTAAATATAAAGAAACAATTAAGATTTAAATTTTCAATTATCAGATGACGGTATGGTCAAAAAATTAGCAAGTTTCTATGATTTTATCAAAAGACTCATCTCTTTAGCTGTAAGATTGACTCAGCTGTTAAAAAAAAGAATTATTGACCCTACTGTTAAAACTTAATTTCACAGCCTTATCAAGTCTCTTAAAAGAAAATTAGGGCAACTATTGGTAAAGAATATTGACACTAGAATTGAAAATGAAACAATTTGGAGGATATCAAATCTCTAATCTCACTGAATTTACCTTATCACAGAGGGTTGATTCTACCAGTTTTATGAGGATTGCCCTGTCTTGTTTGAAAGTGCTAACACATCTGAGGTATTACAAGTTAACTTAAAGGTCTTTGCTAATTCTCATGCTCCATCAGACCTATACCTGAACCCTGAGTCCAGCATGCACAAGAGATAAATAAAATTAAGACAAACGAACAAGGAAACCAAATAGACCAGAACAATTTATGTAGGCAGTGATGATGGTTTTTAATAATGTTTTATGTCAAGATGAATTATTGACATTGATTTCTTTTCCAGAGAATTTATATTCAATAACCTTTCAATCATCTAGAATTGTTTCCTTGATTGTTTAACTGAAACCTAGACTCAGTGGGCACTAATCTTAAATAAAACGAATTCCAAAAGGTTCTGATTATAGGAAAGGTGGAATGGATTTATCATGTGTAGCCTACTCATTGAACCCTTCACTATGCCTTCCAAAAGACACTAAGGATATTAACTTTACCATGTGTATAAGTTTCCTGTGGTTGCTGTAACAAAGTACCACAAACTGGATGTCTTAAAACAACCAAAGGGTATTCACTCACACTTCTGAAGCCTAAACATCCAAAACCAAGTTGTTAGCAGGGTCATGCTCCTTCTGAAGCCTCCAAAAGAAGATTCTTTCTTTCTTCTTCCAGTTTCTGGTGGGCAGGCTTGTCTTGGCTTGGGATAGCATCACTCCAATCTTTGCCTCTATCTTTGCATGATTTTCTTTCCATTATATCTGTGCCCACATTTCCCTTGACTTATAAGGATAACAGTCACAATGGATTAGGGCCGATTCTAATGACCTTATTTCAACTTAATTACATCTGCAAACACCCGATTTCCAAATAATGTTACATTCAGAACTATTGGGGTTTAAGACTTCAATCTTCTATCTTTTGGGAAACAAATTTCAACCCATAACAATCTGTCCTCTAGTCCCCAGGATTAATATCCTTCTGAGGTGCAAAATATATTAACTCCATTTTAGCATCCCACAAATTCTTACACAATTCCTGCATCAACTCTAAGTTCAGAATCTCAACTACATATTCAACTCAAAAGAGTTATCTAAATCAGGTATGAATGAAACTCTAAGTATAGTCTATCCAGAGGAAAAATGCCTCTTCATTTGTGAAGCTGTGAAACTAGGAAACAACTTGTTTCCAAAATACAATGGTGGGACGGACATAAGTTAGATGTTCCCATTCAAGAAGGGAGAAATTGAAAGGGTAAAAGGGAATGTGGGCCCCAAACAATTCTAAAACCTACCAGGCAGTGGTTCTATGCCCTGTTCTCTAGGTCCGCTGGGGTGACGGCTTCACCTTCTCTGTTCAGTGGGGCAGCAACGCTGCTCTCTCAGCCTGAGGGTGTCAAATCAACCCTGGTTTCTGCATCCATGCCTCTTTTCTTAGTTATTTTTCTTTATTCTATCTTGTCTCTGCCTCTTTCACTTTAGACTGACAGCATTCTTTTTGGCATGAAATCCTTAAAAATTATAAGTCATGTGACAAGAAGTTCTTCCACAAATATTTCCTGAATAACCACATTTTTATTTCTGGCTTCTGCTGAGATAGTTGATTGGATCCAAGAGTCACATGCCTAATATCTTTAGCAAACAGTTTACAGCCATGCATTTGTTCTATTTCCAGAGCATACTGTCTGAATAGGCTGAGAATTTTCCAAATCTTCAAGTTCTGGATTCTTTTCACTTAACAGTTCATTTCTCAATTTATCTCTTTTCCTTCTCATTTTATTACAAGCAGCAAGAAGACTACTTCAACATTGCTTCAAAACTTTCTCAGCTAAATATTCAACTCCATTGCTTATAAATTCTACTTTTTACCCCAAATAATACAGGTCAGCCAAGTTGTCTGCTACTTTATAACAGGGATCATCTTTCCTTCTGAGGCCAATAATACATTCTTCATTTCCATATGAGGTCCCACCAGCAGAATTTTTAATGGTATCACTTTTAGCAACATTTTGTTTATGACAAACTATGCATTCTCTAATATGAAAGAAACTATCTCTATAAGTCACCTCACTTCCTTCAGAATCACTTTTAATGTCTATATTTCTACCAACAGTCTCTTCAAAGCAGGTTAGTCTTTTTCTATCAGTGACCTAATTTTTTTTCTAGCCTTACTCAATACCCGGTTCCAAAGCACTTTACATTTCTAGGTATCTGTTACTACACTATCTCATTCCTGGTACCACAAACTAGTTTCTTGTAACAAAATACCAAAAACTGGTTTGCAGCATAATAGTAAACAATATATTATCTGTCTGGTGATGAAAACAAAAAATACTCCCATCGAAACAAAATCTCTGATTCCAATGGCAATTTCAAAATACCACAATTGGAAGATCTGTTTATCAGCCCTTAACCATCAGAAAAAAAAAAAATAAGATGAGTGTGATGTCCAAACTATAGTGAGTAGGACCAAAGATGTATTTTGAAAAAATATGATATTCAAGGATTTTGTCAGTGGTTAAGTTATCAAAGGTTTCTGAAACTGAGGGATTTATTAGGTTAATGATATCTGTGTAATTAAAAACAACAACAACAAAAATATAACCTCTATGTTTGGTAACTGGAAACCAAATCTGAGGCATCATAGTGGTGCCTCAGGCCTTCACCCCGTTCTCAGCCATGAATTGGTCTTAATTAGAGATCCCTTTGACTGAATGAGAGATTAGGAATTACTCTTGATAAAAGATCCTGAAATAAATGCCATGGTTAAATACCGTTAAGTCTTCCTGTTACTTCCTGTTCACCTTCCATACAGAGACCTAATATTCTGATTAAAATTGTGCTAAATCTTCTCATATAATCCTATCTTCTAATTTTCTTATTATTATCCCATGTTTCCCATCTTGTTGCCTGTTTTGTAGTTTCCAGATGATTTTTTAAGTTTACAGTTTACTTTCCAGTTCACTAATTTATTCTTTAGCTGTTTATATTTTGAAGTTTAATCCATGAATGAAATTTTCAACAATCATAATTTTGATTGCTAGAAATTTATACATATATATGTGTGTGTATACATATATAGGTATACATATGTATATATTCATTTATAAGCCTTTGTAGATTATATTTGAGATTGAGTCCTTTATTTATCTATATTCTGTATTATTTATCCAGTAGTTTCAGGATCTACTCTCCTATTATGTGTTTGACTGTTGAATCTTACACATAGTCTGTTTTCTCATATGTTCAATAATCTTTGCTTGCAAGCTCTATGTTTGACCTTAATTGGAGAAAGAGTAGTGAATTTAAATTGGAATTTTGAGATGTTTTCCTTCACAGAAGATTATTTTCTGCTTTTTAAGATTAGCAGCAGGTATCACCTGCCATGGGACCACTTCAGAACCTCCATGAAGATCTGGGCTCAACATGGAGTCCAGACTGTTTCTCACCACTTTGAGGCTAGCCCCGCAGTCTGTTACTTTATAGCAGCTATGAATACTTGTCCTCAGAAAACAACCTTTCATAATAAAAATCTTCAACAAATTAGGTATAAGAATAAAGGCCATATATGACAGACCAACAACATTCACAGTGAGTGAGGAAGAGTTGAAAGCATTTTATTTGTCATTCCTTAAATTGGCAGTAGAGTTATTATTAAGGCTTAAGACTAATAATTTAACAAATTATCAGCACTATTTTTCTCTTCTTTAAATAAATGAGAAACATTTTAAAAATTAAGATTGCATTGGAAGGTATTCCTTGATTTCTATATATGAGGAAATTTAATCATATCCTATTTACCATTACACTACATATGAATCACATTCCATAACTTGGTTAATAAATTTCACAAATACTGTCTAAAACCAATTCTGACTCTCTTATATTTTCCATAAGTAGATCTATGAATCAGGAACAAACTATCCTACAATGTATGGTCCATAAACTTTCAAGACAAGACTCTCTAAGTTACCCATTCAGTCCCAAATGCTCAAAGTCTAATTCATTTGCCTAAAAGAAATATGGAATTGACTAAATCCTAAGAACAATTGGCTTAACCTAAAATGGAAAAAATAATGACTTAAAGCACTTTAGCAATCTTGCCCCATTTTTATTGTCTTGCTGTCAAATTTAGCCAGTATGTTTTAACACCCTACAAACTGCCTTTTGCAAATTCTTACTATTAAATAAATACATTAATTATAGGTAAAATATATAAAATATGTATAATATGCACATCAGTATAACCCTTACAATGACTGTACAAAGTGCTTGTTTATTGAAACTAGCAATAATATACTATCTCTGTAAATAACATAGAAATATATTCTGTAGCTCTTAGAAAACTGGGAGGAGTTTAGAAAGGAGGAGCTTTCTGCATTCACGGAGTACTCGTTGTATGCGAGGGCACATCACAAACATTTTGTCAAAAATCCTCACAACAGAACTTTGAAATAAGTGATATCATTCCATTAGATAAATAGGACTCAAATTAGATAAATGAGACTCTGGTCAAATATGTTTTCTAATATATCTTAGTTCTTAAACACCACACTATCTTTTGTTAATATGTAAATTTTAATATGAGTGGTTTTAAGAAGAATGTAAGCTTTAGCTCAGTTATCAGCTGCTTTCCGTAAGTCCAATGTATTTTCAAAAGAAAAAAATGGAATACTGCTGTGGCTTAATTTGTAATAAACATTATAATTCTGTACTTCATCTCCAAGAAGAGCAGATGATTTATCTTTCTACATTCCAAGTAAATCACTAGTAATTTCTCATTATACATTGAGATATTTCTACAACTGGATTTTTGTTTTGTTTTAAAATAGAAAATTTCTACCGTAGCATACCTAGGCTTTGGAATATATTTCTCTCTGATCTATTTTTTTCTATTAACTGTTACTATAAATAGAAATCTCACTTTGTGTATTGAGCCAATGAAATAAGAAAAACAAAGCGAAAAGTGTACTCTGAATGCTAAGCCCTTTACTGTTCCATTACAGTTTAGAAACTCTTATTGTTTATTCAGTGGCGATTTACTTTAAAGCTTATAGAACACTGTATTAGACTAAATTCCCTTTGGGATGTTTGTTTTCTACTAATTAAATATTAGTATTTTAGCTCTGCTACAGTTAAGTATTAACAATTCACTTTGAAAATGAAAGTACATCTTTGCATTCCCAAAGAATGAAAACCACTATGAAAGGATTAAAATGTTGTATAAAAAAATCACTGTATAAGGATTAACTACCTTGGCATTAGAGTCTACTTTTCTGCAATAATGCCTACCCCATAGTTCTGCTGCCTCAGCTCTCTCAGCAGACTTTTATTTTAATACTGATTTCCTTCCATTAAAATCATCTATTTACTTACACTTATCTGTCTCTTGCTCTAGAATAAAAGTTCCATTGGGGTGACAACTGTGTTATATATCTATGTGTCATGAACATGCAGCCATAAAACTTTCAGTTACATTGCAGGCACTTGGAAAATATCTGTTATAAGAATGAATGAATGAATGAAAGGTTTTAAACCTGCGAATTAGCACGCTATATAAAACCTATGACTCTTAGTCACTTATACTAAGCAAAAGGGCACATTGAAATAAAACTATTAGACCAATAAAATTGATTAACTTTGACTTTGGTTTCACTACTGCTTTCCCTTTGCCACTGTCTTATTTGTGTCCCCAAGCTGCCTCCACTCTACTTTTAAAGCAATACCAAGCAAGGCAGTGTTCAGGGAATTTTATCCTTTATCACTTATTTCTTATTAAAACTAATGTTCTGAGATCAGTTCCCCTGGCTGCTTACTGTGAATAACAGTTATTTCCTTTCTCTCCTATTTTAGGGTATAGTATTCGGCCCCAGGCTAATCCCAAATTTATGGATATTAAGGAAACTTCTATTCACTTAACTTCCCCCCACCCCGCCCCACCCCCAAGACGGAGTCTCGCTCTGTCATCTGTCACCCAGGCTGGAGTGCAGTGGCATGATCTCAGCTCACTGCAACCTCCACCTCCGGGGTTCCAGCAATTCTCCTGCCTCGGCCTCCTGAGTAGCTGGGATTACAGATGCCCACCACCACACCCAGCTACTTTTTGTATTTTTAGTAGAGACGGGATTTCTCCATGCTCGCCAGACTAGTCACGAACTCCTGACCTCAGGTAATCCACCCACCTTGGCCTACCAAAGTGCTGGGATTACACGCATAAGCCACCACGCCCAAGCTACTCACTTCACTTCTAAGTTACATGACAGGGTCCTAAAGATTTAAGACTATCCTGAAGTGTTATGGTGGAGTGTCTTCACAGAGTTGTTGAATATTTGACATGTCATGACTCAAATTCCCAGGAGGAAAAAAACTTGCTCATGCAGTTTATTAAACAACCATCAAGCAAGTTATCCATGGAAAGGTGGATGAGGCAGTATGTTATGTAAATACTATGTTAAAATAGTATATTCTTTTTATTCTTCACTTGCATTAGGTTTCATTCCACTTGAATATATCTTATCTTTTTTACTTAGATAGTATTTCTACTACATTAGAAATCGCAAGTTGATACTTATTACCCATTCATCTTCTTATCAATTTACTATAATTTGAGTAGTATATTATAAGCCTTCGAAAAGTAATCGTAGTCATTTTTTTGTTTCTTCTGCATACAAAGAAAACAAGGTAGAACATTTGTTAAGAAAGTGGCATCCCAGGGTGAAGATGCAGCTCAAATCAATAAACTCAGCAATACTTTCATGTCTAGAAATTGAGTCTCCTGTGGAGTAGTTTGCCATCAGTTTGTGCATTAAAATCAAGTTCCCTGAAAATTTCTGCAGTTTTCCAAACTTTAATAAAACAAGTTTCTATATTCTGGGAACTGAGTCATTATTGATTATGCTTTGAAAAAAGAATCAAACCAGGAACAGAAGGTCAAGAAATTATCCAATGCAGAGATTTACTGAAGGTTGAAAATGACTTAAATTCTTTTCTAACACAATTTATATCACTTTTTAAAATGCCGCATAGTTCAGATATTTTTATATTGTCTGTATAATCTTTATTTACTATTTTTAATAAAACATTAACTTTTAAGTCTATAGTATGTACAAGGTACTACACTATATATTTGGCAGGGTGAGTTTAATGTGTGTACATGTGTGCATGCACATGTGTGAATGTGTATCATCAATAGCACAATTCAACATTCTGGGAAAGTATATGAAACATGATTTAGCAGTATATTGTTGAGGGAAATACACAGATACTTTTAGCCAATAAAATACAGGAGATTGATAAGAAGAAATGATAGAAAAGGGATGTTAAGGGGACTCCTCTTCATTTACTCAACAGAGCAAGGAAAACATGGACAAGTAGACAAGTAGTGGAGACCAAAAGATAAGGAGAACAAGTAACAAAGATTGAAAGGGAAATTATAGAAGAAAGAGAATCCAAAGGTCATTTCATGAAAGACCTACACTCAATGAAAACCCAGAGATGAGAGTGAGAGGTCAGAAGAATAGAGTATCCCCTAATGTTATTGACTAATCTCCCACTGACCCACTGTAGACTTATTACAATTGGAATAAATAATTTAAAACTAACATAAAGTACAATTGTGTACACTCTTTATTGCTCCATGTGTGTGCTTGATTAGCAAGGCTGTTACATAATGGAAAATAACACTCCACACTCCTAAAGTATGAGCATGATAGTAACTCAAAAATCAACTCATTTACCAGTCAGGAAAATCCTACAAACTACGTTTTTTATTATACAGATGAGACCATTGAAGGACAAGCAGTTTAGAAGCATAAGAAGTTGAACTCAAGTCTTTCTGATTCAAAGGCAGTGCTTTTCAAATTCTATTAAAACTGTATTATTTATTTGTATATAGTTATAGTGTGCATATATATATTATATATGTATGTATATACCTGACTCACTACACAGAGGTTTATAAAAACAGGGATTGTACATACATAGTTGGTCCTTCATCTCCATGAGTTCTGCATCCATAGTTTCAACTAACCGTGGATCAAAAACTCCCAGGGAAAAGAAAAAATTCTCAAAGTTCTGAAAAGCAAACCTTGAATTTGCCATGCACTGAGTACTATGTTGAATCCAAGTGAAAGTAGAGATGTTTAGGCATTATATTAGGTATTATAAGTTACTCAGAGATTATTTAAAGTATATAGGTGGATGTGCTTAGGTTATATGCAAATACTATGCCTTTTTATATAAGGGACTTGAGCATCCTCAAATTTTGGTATCTGTGCACGTCCTGGAACTAATCCCCTATGCATACCAAAGGACAACTGTATTAGGCTTTTTGGGCCTCTATAACAAATTAGCACAAACTTGTTGGCTTAAAACAACAGAAAATTATTCTTTCTTCTGGCCATCGTAATGTGGTTGGAAATAATGTAAAACATGGCCACTTCCAAATACGGTTAAGATAAACAGACTTGCCATACTTCAACATTTTGTCCTACCCAGAAACCTCCTCACTATGGGATCCAAATAGCATCACTAGATTGTGGAAAAGTGTGGGATTTAGAGACAACATTTTTAGATCTGTATAGTAGCCAAGGAGCACTACCTTATACTCATCTAATTGTGACACGAATGAGAGATTTTTGTGTGTGTTCTAAGCTACTGAGATACTGAGATTTATTTATCCACACGTATAACCTCATGTATCTTGATTAAAGAAAATGCTTCAATAAAATAATGCTTTAAATCTCAATAAAATAAACAGGTAAGGAGTCAAAGTCAATAAAATAATGTGTAACCTTACTTGCTAAAAAGATATAACTTTAAGAACTACATGATTCTCGTATAGTATTTGCAAAATTTTTAAATTCACAATAGAATAAACAGGTGAAGAATCAAAGTCAATAAACTAATATGCAACCTTGCTTGTAAAAAAAATTGAGCTTTAAAAATTACATGATTTTCCTGAATATTGGCAAAATTTAAAAAAATACAGTAATCTCTTTTGGTTGAGAGGTTAGTGGGCAAAAATATATCCTTCTAAAAGGAAATTTTACAATAGATATAAACTTGAAAATATATGAACTTTTTTGGGTTTTTAAATTTTTAATAATTTTTTGGGTACATAGTAGGTGTACATATTAGGTTAGCACAAAATTATCATGGTTTTTACCATTGAAAGTATTATTTATGAGGTACATGAGATGGGGTACATTGATACAGGCATGCAATGCATAAAAATCACATTGTGGTAAATGGGTTATTCATCCCTCACATAGTGAATAATAAAATCATATTCAGAAATGTATCATAGGAAATAACTTGATATGCACAAAAAATATGACAAGAATATTGAGTACTACTGCATAGTTACTCGTAGTTAAAACAATTAAAAATATAAATGCCCATTCATAGGAAAACCAATAAGCTATTGTGCATGCACATTGTGGAATGTTATGTATTTGACTTAAAGGTGTAGAATGTTATAATTTTTAAGAAAAGATTAGTAGGTTACAAGATAAAACACAATATTCATATTTTATTAAGATATGTCTGTAAAGTATTAACAGCAATAATTCTGAATTATGCTTCTAAAATAGTTTTCTCTTCTTTATACTTATTTTTATTGCTTAAACATCTTTATATTCTTTTTTATAGCCAGAAATATTAAGGGAAATATTTTATTTTTTTAAGTAGAAATGTTTAATGGTTTAGATAATTAAAAAAATAAATAACACAATATATCATCTTGTCAAATTGACCACAAAGTGGTCAGATTCCTGTGTCATCTAGACATGTTTTACTTCCATAGCAAAACAACTCATTGAAAAGGCAAAAGTTTTACTACCTTAGCCAAGCAACTTTTAACTGACAACGGTAAACATATTTTTACCCTAAGGTTAATAGTACACATAGACTACACATGTTTTGCACATATTATAAATTATTTGCTAAGTTTATGGATATTCTAACTTCTAAAATAAACATTTTAGATGAGTTTCACAGTAGTTGAGACCAAATGTAACTTTTACCTGTTTTAAAACTTTTTAAAAAAAATTTTATCCTCGTCTTTCATAGTCCTAAAAAAAGTTTCACCTGAATAGATTTTATATGTTCATACTGGCTCCTTTGTACAAAGAAGCTCAGTTTAAATATAATTTATTTAAAGCAAACTTCCTGGATCAATATCTAAAGTAGTTCTAGTTAATATTAGTCTCTATAATTCTAATTTAGAAATATTCACAATTTGTATTCTTAAATGCATACATGTTTTTTCTTCCTTGTCTACTAGAATGTAAAATTTATGAGGGCAAGATACATTCCCATCTAGTTTTCCTTTGTATTCCCAACACATAGCACAGTATTTGGCGCACAGTATTTGCATACTCAATGCTTGGGGGGAAACTATTTTAGAGTAGATTTTATCTCTCTTTTTCTTTTTATTTGTATACATTTAAAGGGTACAAGTGCAATTTTGTTACATGGATATATTTCATAGTGGTGAAGTCTAGGCTTTTAGCATATTCCTCACCCCAAAATCTACACTCTATCCACTAAGTAATTTCTCATCACCCATCTTCCTATCAACTCCTTTACCCTTCTGAGTCTCCAATGTCCGTTATTTCACACAGTATTTATAATAAGCACAATTTATTTAGTTCCCACTTAAAAGTGAGATACATGGGCTATTTGACTTTCTGCTGTTTCTGAGTTATTTCACTTAATGGCCTCCATCCACGGTGATTCAAAGGACATCAATATTTTTTATGGCTGAATAGAATTCCATGGAGTATATATGCCACATTTTCTTTATCCAATCATTCATTAATAGACACTTAGGTTGATTCCATAGCTTTGCTCTTGTGAATAATGCTGCAATAAACATACAAGTTCAAATATCTTTTTGATATTATGATTTATGTTCCTTTAGGTAGACGTCCAGTAGTGGGATTGCTGGATTGAGTGAACGGCAGTCCTATTTTTATTTCTTTGAGAAATCTTTATACTAATTTACACTCCCACCAACAGTGTATAGCATTCCCTTTTCTCCACATCCAGCCGAAATTAATTACATTTTTGTATTTTTAACAATAGCCATTCTGACTGATATAAGATGATATCATGATTTTAATTTGCATTTCTCCGATAATTGGTGATATTGCACATTTTTTCATACGCTTGTTGCCCATTTGTATGTCTTCATTTGAAAAGAAAATTTATGTCCTTTGCCTACTTTTTAATGAGGTTATTTGTTTTTGTTGTTGTTGTTGAGTTGTTTGAGTTCTCTGTAAATTCTGGATTGGTCACCTGTCAGATGCATAGTTTGCAAATATCTCTAAAACAATAATTCACAAAACGAAAGCTCAGACAGTATTTCGTCCACTCTTAAATTTATAAAACATTTCATCTAAAAGTCCTCTGCAGCAATTACTTGATGAAAACACATCTCCATGCACTACATTTGCTCAACCTTTGTAGGGCATTTTTCTAGCTTGAGGTTAATTGTTATACCTATTATTATACATTATCTCTAGATCTCCTCACTCCATTCCCAACAAAATTGGACAGTTGTGAACTATCTTTATATAGGCAAGCTGGGTTGCTTTTCCTGTTTCCTTGATTTAAAAGCAAGCTTTATCACAGATGCAAGACATAGAAATATGAGAAAAGATATTTGGCTTCATCTGATTTTTTAAAAGAATGTCTACAAATATTGTTTTGCTCTGAAATCAAAGGTAAGTCAGTTTTAAAGGTTTTGAGATTTTACCTCATAGTCTACCTTTATTTTTCATATAATTAACATTACATCAATGTGGATATATTAATACTTTATATAAAATAATTAGATGAATCTAGGTCTTTACAGATAAATTTGTTCTAACTCTTGTTATTACAATGAAATATACAAAGTAACAAAATAGTTACAGAAAAAAGTGTTTCATTGTACATTATAAAGAAAAACATACCTTTTACATCCCACTTAGGAAAACGACCATATGTCTTCATAATTTAAGAAAAAAAAATCATTTGAATACCAGTTTGTAGTGGTAATAAAAAACACCACAGGGAAGAATTGCAGATTAACAACATCAAATTTTAAAACAAAGATGGGCTGCAAAGTGCTGAATTTTTAATCAAAATATGCTTCTTGCAAATACTAATGGGGAAATAAAATGTTACCTCATGCCAGAAAAGTGAATTATTGTGATCATAATTCAATGGAAATGAAAATTAGGCAATACTAGCTGCACAAGCATATGAAAAATTACTTAGGTGAATTTCAAGAAGATCTCAAGACATGCAGATATTTAAGTTCTTAAAATAAATGTAAAATATAAACATTAAACATTAGGATCTGTGTATATTCATTCACTTTTTAAAAATGAACCAGATCATAAGGGCAGTGGTTTCATCTGATTTAGTCTTGTTACATATGGCTAATCTGATTTAGTCTTGTTACAGATTCCTACATATGGCTAAATCATCTGATTTAGTCTTGTTATAGATTCCTACATAAGATAGTATCTTCTCCTGTTTTCTCCTATGATAAAGTACTTTTGAAGGCCTTTCATTAGCCTGTTTTTAACACAGTCCTTCAATTAATGCTCATCACTGATTTTTTTTCAGTTCTCAAGTTTGTTATTGTTTCTGCATAAAATATAATATCACTTACAAATTAAAAACATTACTAAATTACTTAGGTTTATAATTTTTTATTTTATAATTATTGTCAATACAAGAGATTCTGATATTAAAAAATGATTCAAGACAGAAATTTAATATATATAACATACAAGATACAAAAATTGGGTCTGCAATATATTTTCAAATTCCATTAAGAAATAAACATGCAGAGTGTTCACTAGAATCTTCTCCTGGGTCCCAAAATAAAACTTTTAATAGTTACCAAAATATTAAGATTTCTAGGAAGTCTATCTATAATGCCTATAATAAGGTACACACCAAATTTATTTTTACTGAATTTAAGTTATATAATTTAAACCTGAATCAGTCTTCTTAGCCTATAATGACACCACTGTACATTTACCCAATTGCTCAAACAAAAGACCACAGTCATTTTCAATTATTTTCTTTTCTTCTTTGACACATGCCATCCACCAATAATTCTGGTTGACTTTATCAAAAAATAAAAAGTAAAAAATCTGACCACCCATCACTATTTACACTTTTTCCGCATCATTCCAGACCAACACTATTTTTCACATGCCAAACAGACACAACATCCTAACTGGTCTCTCTGCTTTCAGGTTTATCATATTACAACCCACACTCCAAACAACAACATGATTTTTTTTAAAAAAAGCATAATATCATTTCCATTATTAAAACATTTATTTCAATAATTTGGTTTACAAATTATAATAAATTCAAATTTCTTATAAGTTTCCTACCAAACTCAACATAACCTGGTGACTACTTTTCTCTCCAGCTTTACGTCTTATTACTTTTCCCTTTTCCATTAATATCTTCCAGCTATGTGTGCCTTCTTTCTAGTCTTTAAGTATCATTGCCTTTGTACCTGTTATACCCTTTATACTACAGAGGCAGTTCTCTGGTGTTTTGCATAGTTCCCTTTGTATGGCTTATATCTCAGCTCAAAGTCACCTCTGCACTGTAGTTTTCCTGACCACCCTAATTAAAGTATCTCTAATGGCATCCATCATATCTACTCATTTTGTAAAACACTTATTGCAGCCTGAAAGAGTGATACTTTTGTTTTCATGTTTACTGTATCTCTCCCCTCAGTAAAAGATAATCTCCATGAGGGCAGAAGTCTTGCATGGTTTATCACTCTATATCTTGCACTTAAAACAGTTTGGTGAATTGTAAGCATTCAATAGCTGCCTGTATAGAGGGTTTGCTAACACAAGCATCTTACATACTAATGAGAATTTCTATATGATTAGTGAATGCGTAACTTGAGACTATTATTTTTGTGGAAATGTATTTATACAGGGAAGCAGTTTTTGTGTCAATCTAGAGATATCTGTGCACAACACCTCTCAGTGTTTAGGAATCAGATTATATTTATAATTAATATGTGTAGAATTGCCCTTAAATTTACTTTATTTTAGCAAACACACTGATTTTGTTTTATAATTTATTGGGTTTTATTATCCTACTTTATGTCTTCTCCAGGAGTCAAAACAATGTCACATTCAATGATAGCATGTTACTACTAGTCACAAACTCAATATAGACACAAAGAATGCCTACTTGCTTGTGACTTTCTGTTTTAATAAACAGACTCTTGTTTTTAACTGCAATCAAGAGGAAAAATAGGCCATATCTTAAAGCTAAAAGAAAAATGTATTAATATTTCATTGAGGCACACTCATTTCCTGGATGGGAGATTAAGGGAACAGTAGTTTGCAATCTAATCTGATGCACATTTCTGGGCAACAATAAGAAAAGTTATTAAAGTGAATGCAAAGTGTAGGTTGATCCTCACAGTGACTTATCTTCCTAATAACAAAACAATAAAAGCTCCACACTGATACTCTCAGAAAAACTCAATACCCCCATTTGCATCTCTAGTGTCTACTTATATGGATGAGCATTAATATTTGACCTTGAGCTACTGAGTTTGCTGTTTTAATTTCCTCTTTTGCAAAATCCACTAACTGTTAGGCATTACAAATGGCAATAAGTATAATCAGCCGGACTCAGAAAAATCTACTCTCTACATAGTGGATGGGAGAAAAGGAAAGGAAATAAAATAGAGGGAAAGGAGGCCAAAACAATAGCACACACAAAAAAAATAGAAATACAAAGGAAAAATCATGGTGACAATGAATCAGAGATTGCATTGTGGTAAGCAAAATCAGATCATTATACATATAACTACATTCTTCTCTTCAATGTTTAAAGTGTCATTTAAAGAAAATTGGATTCAAAAAGGCTTCATAAATCCTGTTAAATATTATTCATTCAACAAAAATTTACATATTATGTCCATTGTTCCAGATTGTAGGGACACCATGGTAAACAGACAAGGTCCCTGTAATTTATGATCCAATGGGAGGAGATAAATAAAAACAAGCAAAAATAAATTAAAATTATTGATAATGAGCACTCATAAAAAAGAATAAATATGTAAAATAGAATGATGTGTTAGAGTGTTGAATATATAATTATTAGACAGGGCAGTCAGGACAATGATCTAAGGAAATGACATTTCCACAAATATCTGAATTATAAAATAGTGTCAGCCAAAGAAGCGTCAGAGAAGAATTAAGCAAACAATGATAATTTTTTTAACTTCTTGAAGTACTTGGTAGTTGCTTTAAAGCTAATTGTGTAATTGTGTTTTCTACATCATGCGTGCTCATAATCTAATATAAACAATACCAATGTGACTAAATAAAAACAATTTGGAATGTGAAATCATCACAACATAGATTGTTTGATGATAACTTAGATGTCTGTATTCGTTTGGTTGAGTATTGATTTTGTCAATTATTTTAAGAGTCTTAATAATTTAAATTGCTGAGTGCCTAGAAGATGCTAGAGTAGGAATATTTTGAATTCGTAGGCCAGTCAAACTTAGTTTCATATTCCAGTTTCGCAGGCTTTTAAGATGTGTATGACCTTGGGGACATTATGCCACATGTCTGCACCTCAGTTTCTTTGTCCATAAAATGTGCATAATATAAATATTTCATAAGATAGTTGTTAAACTTAAATGAGATAATTAGGCAAAAATATAGTTACCCTCGAACTATACAGGTTTGAAGGTCTACTTATATGCAGATTTTCTTCTGCCTCTGCCACTCCTGAGACAGCAAGAACAACCTCTCTTCTTCCTCCTCCTCTTCCTCTTCAGCCTATAAATTTGAGGACAAGGATGAAGTCCTTTATGATGACCTACTTTCACTTAATGAATCGTAAATATATATTCTTTTGCTTATGATTTTTCTTAATAACATTTTCTTTTCTCTAGCTTACTTTATTGTAGGAATACAGAATATAAATGCATATAACACAAAAATATATGTTAATTGACAATTTCTGTTATTAGTAAGGCTTCTGGTCAACTGCAGGCTATTAGTTTGCATTTGGGGGAGTCAAAAGGTATATGTTCAGTTTGTATTGTGCGAGGGACCAGTACCCATACACCGCTGTTTGTTCAAGGGCCAACTCTATAGTGCATAACGTGTAGTAGCTCTAAAAAAATTTTGTGTTCATGCTACTCCCTTTATGCACTACTCATGCAATTAAATATAACTATACAGATTTTTAAGAAAAATATCTAATATTTGATAGCACAACAGGGTACTATAGTCAACAAAAATTTATTGTACATTTTAAAATAACTAAGAGTATAATTAAAATGTTTGTAACACAAATAAATTATACATGTTTGAAATGACAGATATCCTATTTACCCTGATACGGTCATTACACCTTGTATGCCTGTATCAAAATGTCTCATGTACTTCATATATATATATATATATATATGTCATATATATAATACACATATACATACACATTATGTACCCATAAACATTACATTTTTAAAACAATTTTAAAAAGAATATCATGTCATATATATAAAGGAAAATGGACTTTAGAAATAAATAGATTTGAACCTAAGATCACTCAGCTTACCATTAGCTGAGCAAACTTCTATAATATCACCTTCTTCTCTGAAACTCAATGTAGACACGAAGGTTTTCGTTAGATTAAATCAGAAAATGTATTTAGAGTACCTAACACATAACAATTGTTTAAAATCTATGATAGCTTTATGCAACAAAATTTATTATAATTATGCCTACAATTATCTAGACTACTTTCAAAATTCAGACATCAACTTTATCCCAAAAAGGAGATTAAAAATCCATTTTAAGTTTTTGTGAAGAACCACCAATTAAAAATGTAGTTGCAAGTTTCACTAGACTAGTTAGTTTGGCTTAGGCTACCTTTAATTTTTTTATATATCTTTTAATATATTTTTAATATATGTGTATATTAAATATATATTATATTAATATAATATATAATATATATTTATTTAAATATATTAAATATATCATGTTTAATATATTTATATAAATATATTAAATATATTATGTTTAATATATTTATATTTATACAATATATAATACATTTATATTATATTATAAATGTATATATACACATTGTATATTTATTATATTAATTTATTATATAATAAATATATAATAAATATATTAATATATATTATATATACAATTTATTTTATATAAATATATAATATATAATTTATATGTTATATAAATTATACTGAATATATTTATATTATATATTATGTTTTATATATATTTACATATTTAATGTATAATATATATTTAATATATTTTTAATAATTAAAATACAGTAATACTAAAATAGGAAATCTATGTCTGTGGACTGTAGCGCTAAGTTGTTCCCTATTCACTAAGATTCTCAGTTTTAACTAGACATGTAGGTTGGTTGAATAAATTAGATATAACAAATGTCATAGGCTTTGGGAATAGATACCCTGGTTCATATTTTAGCATTATCACTTTTTACCCTTGTGATCTTAGATAAGCAGCATTACTTCTCTAAGCCTGCTTCCTAAAATAGAAATGAAAAGCATAAAAGAAACTACTTTTTTAAACTTATTTTGAAAAGCAAATGAGAGGCCAGACGCAGTGGCTCACGCCTGTAATCCCAGCACTTTGAGAGGCCAAGGCGGGTGGATTACATGAGGTCAGGAATTCGAGACCAGCCTGGCCAACATGGTGAAACCCTGTCTCTACTAAACATGCAAAAATTAGCCGGGGTGATAGCAGGCACCTGTAATCCCAGCTACTCGGGAGGCTGAGGCAGCAGAATTGCTTGAACCCAGGAGGCAGAGGTTGCACTGAGCCGAGGACGTGCCATTGCACTCCAGCCTGGGCTACAAGAGCGAAACTCCATCTCAAAAGAAAAAAATAAAAAAAGCAAATGAGATAGTGTAGTAAAATAATTAATTCAGTGTTTGTAATATTGTATAAGTGTAACAAGTGATCATTATTATCATCATTATTTATCATTATTACAGTTATTACTAATACTATTATTATGAGTATAGTAAATTTTTCCTTTCTTCAGCATCTGGTAGAAATCTATAATAAAAATTTACCTGGCATTTTCTATAAAGATATATGAAATGAATACAAGTATTTTATTTTGTACTTGATTCTAAACTGTACATATCCATATATTACTAAATAAAGATGAGGCGCTTCAATGGACATTTTCTACGTGCTACGTACTATGTTAAAGAGGTAGTGGTGGCCGGGCGCAGTGGCTCACATCTGTAATCCCAGGACTTTCGGAGGCCAAGGCGGGTGGATCACGAGGTCAGGAGATTGAGACCATCCTGGCTAACACAGTGAAACCTCGTCTCTACTAAAAATAAAACAAAAAAAAAATTAGCCAGGTGTGGTGGCGGGCGCCTGTAGTCCCAGCTACTCCGGAGGCTGAGGCAGGAGAATGGCGTGAACCCGGGAGGCGGAGCTTGCAGTGAACTGAGATTGCGCCACTGCACACTCCAGCCTGGATGACAGAGCGAGACTCCTGTATCAAAAAAAAAAAAAAAAAAAAAAAAAAAAAAGAAGTAGTGCTTCCACTGTGAAAGTCATTACACTATACAAAATAAAGCTCCTTAATATGATATTGCTTACTTGATTACCAGAATAGTAAAAGAAAATATCATCAGTAGAAAAATAAAATGCGATCCCTATTTTCAATATTGGGATGGATTATGTACTTTGATTGATTCTCCTGCTGTGAACAGCTAAAAACAATGCGTGAAGTTTAAATCAATGGGTAAAATAGAGCAAAAGAAATATATGCATGTGCTTGCATGCACAAACAACTCTTAAAATGTTGATGAGTATTGAGCTGCCAAGGAATTAAAGAATCATCAGAGGCAAAAATAAATACATAAAAATGAAAAGCGAGAGAAATATATGACACTAAAATTGGCATTCACCTGTATTGCATTTGATAGACTCCAGTGACCCTGAGCATTTAAATTTTTTTGTTCATAAAATCCTGGTGAAATCTGAGGCAGGAGTTAAAAAATAGACCAAGTATAAGAAAACAAGTTGTCATTGTGGCTGTCTGCTTTGTATTGCTATAACAGAAAACCATAGACTAGCTAATTTATAAAGAAATAAATTATTTCTCGCAGGTCTAGAGCCTGGGAAAACTAATATCAAGGTGCTGACATTTTATGTGGGACTTCTTGCTCTGTCATCACATCACAGAAAGCAGAAAGACAAGAGAACACAAGCTCAAGAGAGGGTAGAAAGCAGCTGAACTCATTTTTTTAAAATCAGGAACCCACTGCTGCAATAATGTCATTAATCCATTCATGAGGGTAGAGGCCCTCATAGCCAAATGGCCTTCTAGAGGTTTCATCTCTCAAGACTACTGCAGTGAGGATTAAGTTTCCAACACAGGAATTGGACCCACAACTGACTTAAGAAATTACAATTAGGAACACAAAATTATATATATGTACGTGTGTGTGTGCACGCGCCTGTGTGTGTGTATATATGACATTTAAAGAAAGTACATGGGGAGTTAAAATAGGATTAAGAATTGAGATATGTAAAATCTTCAGATTTAGAAAAATGCGTGTAAAACTTGTAGAAATGAGACTGGGTGCGGTGGTTCACGCCTGTAATCCCAGCACTTTGGGAGGCCAAGGCGGGTGGATGATGAAGTAGAGAGTAGAACAGTGGTTACCCGAAACTGGGGTGAGGATGTAGAAGAGAGCATGGGGAGAGGGTGGTCAACAGGTACAAAGTTACAATTAAATAGGAATAATTTCTAGTGTTCAATTTCACAGTAGGGTGACTATGGTTAACAGTAGGGTGACTATGGTTAACAGCAAGGTTTTGTATATTACAAAATAGCTAGAAGAGAACTTTTAAATGTTTTCATCACACAAAAAAATGATAAATGCAGAAGGTGATAAATATATTTACCTTGATTTAATTGTTATACAACATATATATGTATCAAAATATCTAATTGTACACTATATGTAAAATTACAATGTGTCAAAAGCAGAATATGGGGCAGATTATATTACCAACTACATTTTAAGCTGGAGAAAAATTAAACAGCAAAATTTATAGGGGTCTTACTAGATGCCAAAAATATGCTAAGTATTTTTTCAAATGTTAATTTATGTAAAACTTCAAAACAATCATCTGGAGATATAATTATTTTCTCCATTTTCTGGATGAGAAAACTGACACTTGGCTAATTTAAATAACTTGATCACTTTTACATAGTGGCAAAGCTGGAAATTTATATTCTTAAAACCTAAAATGCACTGCCTCTTACAACTTAATATTTAAAGTAATAAGAATATTTTCTAAGATTAGAATAATAGTTACAAAATACAGCCAGGATTCAAAAGCAACCTTCTGACACCAAAGCAGTATTGCCTCTGTATTTCATCTCTTCATTTTCTGTCAATGGTAATTCATTGTTGATCTCATCTTGTTTTATGACTGGCTCCTAGGTTTATATTTGTAGCCCAAACATTTCCCTTAAAATTTAAACACATATCCAACTACCTATCAAGAATAAATTGGATTCTACTTTACATTTCATAGAACTATATATGTTCAAGTAGATGTACTTGGATATTACATCTACTATTCTAGAATAGATAGTATATCTACTATCCTACAGTAGATAGTTCATCTACTATCCTATAATAGGACGTACTTAGTATATATCCAAGTAGATATATATGATATCTAAAAATCTTATTTAATTTACTAGTTGTAAAGGATACATATAAAGATAAATAATGGAAATACTAGTTGAAGCTTCACCTCTTGATAGCTTTGGAATTGTGTTAAACAAAGCATTTAAACTTGCTGAACATCAGTTTTTTCATTTGTAAAATGGGACTAAAATAGTATCTATCTCATAATATTATTATGTGGCTCAAGTAGATTAATATATATAAAAACCAAAAGAGTGTATTTTAAGCCTTGAACAGAGAGCAACATAAAGACAGAGAAAGTTAAAAAAGAAGAGAGAAAGAGAGGAAACAAAAAACAGAGAAAGAAGCCACAAGGAGAGAAGTAAGGGGTGTTTTGATTTGAATTAGGGGTTTCAATCCAATGAGTTCAGGCAATTTGTTAGATAATATAATTGTTATGAACATTTGTGTTTCATGGAATGAATGTGATGAGCAGAAGTGCCCTTTAAGAAGTTTAATATGGATGCCATGTAGATGCCACATAAAGAAGAACAGGAGCCAGATGGACCTAGAGTTGTGGAGTGTATGCTTAGCTCTATAGTAGATACATAGTGGAAATAATGAAAGGGAAGAAGACGGACTTGTATGATGTTTGCAGGCAGAGAGGTGGTCAATGTTTTGATCTGCAATTTATGTTATAGTGGCTGCAGCTTGGTGTTGCCAGAGCCTCTCTGTCCAATACTACATCTGTCTACTTGGACCTAAGTCCACCTGGTAGTGCTTACTGCCTTTCTCCCCTCCCTCAACAGCAGCCTTGCCCAGTCTTTTTAAGCCCTACTACCAAACATGGAACGGGGTCAGTAAAGGATTTTTTCATTTTCCTTGAAACATTTTTTCCTCTTTCAAAACTGTAACCTTGGATCTGATCTGAGAAAAGATAAATCTGTGGAGTGAGAGGAAATTGCACGACAGGAGGCTGTCGACAAACATATTATAGACAGCCTAAGAAGAAAACACTAGCTCTAGGATCAGGAATCTCAGTTGCCTTTTCTCTCTACTTATGATAGATGCAGAGGGAGAAGTGCCAGATACAATAAATTTGCGAAGACAGGAATTTCTAAATATGCTGCTGAGGTGAGGTAACTACAGCAAGTAATTCATCGATTCTCTCCTGTGTTCTCTTGGTACCCAGTTCAGTTTCCCTCTGAGCAACCTTAATCTTAGATCTTTTTAAGAGCTGCCTCATCCTAGCACAAATAATCAGAAGAGCAGCAGGTAAAAAGTCCATTCAGCGGGGAGTCACAGTTCTCCTTCCTATCCCTTCAAACACATACCTAATTCACAACACAACCTGGCCACAGTTGTGGCATGGGGACCGGAAAGAGAAAACTAAATAAATTTTTTAAAAAAGATTATAAAAGGAATAATGCCAAACAGCATGGAGTCTCTGTGAGAGGAAATGTGCTTTTAAGTGTTAGTGTGTTTTAAATGGCTTGGAGTGATACGGGAGGGGAAGGGAAGACTTGAGGGCAAAACGTCCTAATGTCCAGTTGCCTAAAAAAGTACCTACAAGGGTGGTGAAAATTAGTGGCTAAACATTTCTAATTGTTTCCATCTACGGCTATACCACCCCGAATGCATCTGATCTCAACTAATTGCTTCAGTGACAACTTAGTGCCAAATTGATCATAATGTTCTGGGCATTCTAGATGCAGAAGCTTAAGGAATATGGCACTCTGCTCATCCTGAGAAGGTTTAAATTGCAGCAGAGGGAAATAACAGAATGCCTTCAACAGGTTTACTAAACCCACTGAAAAACAAAACACACAAAAAAATGAAGTCTCGTTCATATAAAACCTTTTACCCACCATGAGAACTGAGCATTTCAACATTTTATGACATGTCCTGCTTTCAACACCATTGATACTATACTAATATGCTAATTAAAGATGCAGAGTATGATTTGTCCTGATTTTCATCTGCCCTGATTCTGAATATTCTGAATGAGACTAGAGTCTATAATATTCACACCCTATGGAAGGAGGATAGATAAATATGATTAAGAAATGGTCCCAAGCTATGGTGGGGGAAAAAGGGTAGACAGGCAAGGTAAGTGGCAAGACCCAAACAGATGGCTCTCCACCTTCATCCCAGCCAAATTCTGTCATCTTTTATGTCCTTTGTGATATCCTTAGTATTTCCCATGTAATATCCTTATTATTTCCCATGTTTGTAATATCCTTCTTGTAATATCCTTGTAATATCCTTATTATTTCCCATGTTTGCTTTTCTCTCTGATTTTTTGTCAAAGATCCCATACCACTTGGTACTTTTATGACATTGTGCTACGATTGGAAGATACTGATATAGAAGATATGTAAACCATAGTCTTAGATCTAGGAAATTACTATCATAAGATTACTAATGATAATGATAGTAATTAATATCTGCTGAGGACTCACTATGTACTAAATATTAGGGCTAATCACTTCACATACATTACAGTACTTAATGTAAAAAGGTATACATATACATTTATACATAATATATATAATTAGATATAAATTATGAAGAGGTATAATTATATAAATTATAATTATGTAATTATATAAATATATAATTATATATAATACATATCATATGTAATTTATATATAAACACATATATAACTTATATTAGTAAGCTTATATATACAAACTAAGAACTATTATTGTTATTATCTTCATTATGTAAACAAGCTTTTAATGATAGTTCTAGGGGGTGAATAACTGGTGAAACCAACATTTAAACCTGAGCAGTTGGACTTCATGTTTTAAACACTTTGAAATTCTGCTTGTTCAAGTGAATATAATCTCTACTTTGCCTTAATATTGGACCATTAAAGTTTTTACAAATCACGTTGGTAATAAGGGTAGATGACTCAAAGATAAATGCCAACATTTTTATCCCCACACCAGCCCTCTCTCCTCCCCCAAAATGGTGGCTAATGGTGTGGTAGTAGTATTTAGTATTTTAATATTTTATATTACTTAATTTTCTCCTTACAACAAATCTATGAATTAAGCAATATTATCAAAATTATCCTGAAACAGAAACTAAGTACTCAGTATCAGATATTAAAAGTATTTTATAAAACAATGATATTACTTCAAGAAGTGCTCGTGAGCTTCTCTCTTGAATTACTTTCTCCAAATCATGATAACTTTTATCAAGGTATTTCAATGGATTATAATTGATTTGTTGTTCCAACAATCATAGAAACAAATATCAGCCCTTTGTATCAGGGAAGTTCTATGACTTCACTGATTACAATTTGAAAAACATGAGATTGCAATCTCTAATAACTCTCCTGTTATTTTACTATCTGTATTCTATTTTAATTCATATTTTAATCATCTGCATTCTAAAGTTTACCTTTTGATCACATTGTAACTTGATGGATGTAACAAGAAAATAAAATATATTGTGTTAGAAACCAAAAGGAAGTCCTCTAATGCCATACTACCTACCACTGGGTCTATAGCAGGCAACTTTTAAGATTGCCTCCAGATGCCCCTGTCTCCTGGTATTCATGTCCTGCTTAATCCTCTAGCACTCCTAAACAATAAAGTGATGGGATGTCACTTATATGATTGGATCATATAACATAATGACCTTCCTCTTGCTAGCAAACTCTCTTATTTGCTGTCATTAATGAAGTAAGCCCACATGTTAGTGAGGCCTCCATAAAAAGAATCTGAGGAGAGCCTCCAGCCAATGTCCACTATAAACTGAAATCCTCATTCCAAGAAAAATAAGGAACTTCCCTTAAATGGCCCTTAAGGAACTGCAGTTTTGTCAATAACCACCCACATGAGCTTGGCAGTGATTCTTCCCCAGTCTAGATTTCAGACAAGACCTCAGCTCTGCCCAACCTTTAATTTCAACATCTGTGAGAAGCCATGAAGATGCAGAACCACCTTAGCTCTGTCTTGATGTCTAACTAGAAACTATGAGGCAAACATAGTTTGTTTCAAGCAACTAAGTTTGTGATAATTTGATATTCAGCAATAGACAACTAGCACAGAGACTAAACCAAGAACATTACCATCCTGATTTTCTTCCAGTTTCATTATGCCAGGGAAGTGTTAGAAGGAATTGAGTTCCACAGGCCTGGGTTAACAAGCACAAGCCGTTTTACAAGAAAGCTGTTCTAATGGAGAGACAAACCAATAATCAAAATAACTCATGACATAACTGAGAAAGTCCAAGTTCTACATGCATAATAAATAAATAAACAAGTAAATAAATCAATACATAAATTTAGGAGGTACCCGTGAGGACCAAGGCTCTAGAGTCCCTGGAGGTTCACTGAAAATCATTGACGTTTATCAAATTGATTCATAGGAAAAAAGGACTACAAGTTTATTTTGCATGTATACATGGGACGCTTCAGAATAAAGACCCAACATCGCAGTGATGCACTGAAACTCACATACCATCTTGAGGTTGTAGAAAGAATGTAGGCTCAGAGCATGGCCAAATAGCTTATGTTGCTAAACCAGGTATGAGTGGCAAGACAGGTTATAAGATGCAGAAAGGAAGAAGCTTGCCTAGCAAAGTTGGCCTTGATATGTAGATGAAGTCTCATAGGTAGCAGCTCTCAGAGAGAATAGATGGTAAATATCTCTTTTCAGACCTTTAAAGGTGTCAGATTCTGGACAGATCTCTCCTAGATTCTGGAAAAGCCTAGAAAGGGAAGACTTGGCTGCATTAATGGAGATTCTCTATGAATGCAAATTTCCCACACAAAAGACAGCTTTGCAGGGCCACCTCAATCTGCTAGCCCTGTGGTAGCCACTTCAAAATATGTCAGAGAAATATTTGGGGGTAAAATATTTTTATATTCTTCATAATTATAGGGAAAATTATTATTTTGTCAAGATACATCATTTATTCCATACTTTGTGATTACTACTGAAGCAGTTCCATCTTTTTGAAGGCTACTGACTATAAAATTGTCTGAGGAACTTGAATACCAGCTGGCTAAGTTCTGGTTCAGTAAGACCATATATTAAATGTTTTATTTTACAAAATTGTTCTTTGATAACCGTGGTTTATGTCACTCATAATGCCCCCATCATCATCCATGAAGATGAACAGGTCCAAAGTTCCCTGAAACAAATTCCTGGAAAGGCAAGCCAAACTCCAGGTGACGCTTCTTCAATGGAAGGACCTGCACAATGGGACTGTCAAAGTAAAATTACAATGGACAAAATTACATACGCAAAGAAATCTTTAGCTAAGTGCCTTGCAATAGGGTGGAGAGGCCAGAACTGAAATCTGAACTCAGTTCTGCTAAAATTAAGGGTGGGAAAAGTTTTAATTTCTGAGGTGAGAAGCCATGTGTTTGCTAATTGTTTTTACTTAAAAAAGAAGGAAACTTTCTCCTATTTAATGGCAGAAGGTAGTTTTACATCTTGGAGCAAGGAATCCCCCACCCCCTACAATTAGGTACCTACTCTTTCACAGAGACTGGGAGATAAGGGTATTGTCTTCCTTAATTATTACATTTCAAAGAGATGGCTTCCAGGTCATTGAAAAATACCTCACTGGATCATAAAACTAGCAGGGTGGGTGAGGGAGCGGCTAGAAAGATTTACATTTCAAAGAGACTGAGAAAAAAGTTACATTTTCTTCTCAATTAAATCCTCTAAGATAAGGGTGGTTAGAGGCCTAGAGTCAGGAAGAAGCCTGTCCAAATTTAGTCAAGCTGAGAGGAACACTGAAACCACTTTAGTCAAACCTCAGAAGGAGGTCACTTAAAGTTGTAGGAAACAGCTTTTCCCACTCCTTACGGTGTCACATGCCATGAGTATTGTAGATTCCAGGACTCAACATTAGGCAATTAGGAAAAGAAGAGGCTTCTTAGGTACATGGAATTAAGAATGGAGGAGTCTGTATGTCTGTAATACATTATAAATGACCACTTTTGAACTATAACTTGATGGCATATGGTTGTTTAGAAATGATGAAGGGAATGTTATCAATGACTCAACAGAAATAAAAATAACCATTAGAAACTACTATGAACACCTCCATGCAAACAAACTAGAAAACCTAGAAGAGATGGATAATTTCCTGGATGCATACACTCTCCCAAGACTGAACAAGGAAGAAATTAATGTCCTGAACAGACCAATAATAAGCTCTGAAATTGAATCAGTGATAAAGAACCTAACAACCAAAAAAAAAAAAAAAAAACAAAAAACCCAGGACCTGATGATTTCACAGATTAATTCTACCAGATGCACAAAGAAGAGCTGGTAACCTTTCCTATATAAACTATTCAAAAAAAAAAAAAAAAAAGAGGAGGAAACACTCCTCCCCAACTCATTATCTGAGGCCAGCATCATCCTGATACCAAAATCTGACAGAGACACACACACACACACACACACACACACACACATACACACCATACACACTTCAAGGCCAATATCCTTGATAAACACTGATGCAGAAATCATCAACAAAATACTTACAAACCAAATCTAGCAGCACATAAAAAGCTAATCCTCCATAACCAAGTAGGCTTCATCCCCAGGATGCAAGGTTGGTTTGACATACACAAATCAAAAAATGTGATTTATTATATAAACAAAACTAATGACAAAAACATGACTATCTCAATAGATGTGGAAAAGGCTTTGATAAAATTCAACACTCCATGTTAAAAACTATCAATAAACTAGGTACTGAAGGAACATACCTCAGAATAATAAGAGCCACCTATGACAATCCCATAGCCAGCTTATATACTGAATGAGCAAAAGCTGGAAGCATTCCTATTGAAAACTGGCACAAGACAAGAATGCCCTCATTCACCACTCTTATTCAACATAGTATTGGAAGTCCTACCAAGAGCAACCAGGCAAGAGAAAGAAATAAAATGCATCCAAATAATAAGAGAGGAAATAAAACTATCTCTGTTTGCAGGTAACATGATTGATTCTATATCTAGAAAACCCCATAATCTTGGCCAAAAAGCTCCTTAATCTGACACACCACTTCATTAAAGTGTCAGATACAAAATTAATGTAGAAAAATTACTGGCATTCCTACACCAAAAATATCCAAGCCAAGAGCCAAATGAGAAAGGTAATCCCATTCACAATTGCCACAGAAAGAATAAAATACCTAGAAATACAGCTAACAGCAAGGTGAAAGATCTCTACAATGAGAATTACAAAATATTGCTAAAAGAAATTAGAGGAGACACAACCAAATGGAAAAACATCTCTTGGTCATGCTCATGGATAGGAAAAATCAATATCATTAAAATGGTTATACTGCCCAAAGCAGTTTATAGATTCAATGCTATTCCTATCAAACTACCAACAACATTCTTCACAGAACCAGAAAATCTATTTTAAATTCATATGAAACCAAAAAACAGCTCAAGGCAATCCTAAATAAAAAGAACAAAGCTGATGGTGTCATGTTACCTGTCTTCAAACTATACTATTGGGCTACAGTACCCAAAATGGCATGGTATGGTACAAAAACAGACACATAGGTCAATGGAACAGAATAGAGAAACCCAGAACTAAGGCCACATACCTATGACCACCTGATCTTGAACAAAAACCAGCAATGGGGAAAAGACTCTCTAGGGAATAAATTGTCATCCTTGGGTTGTTGTTTTTCCAGCTGGAAGCCTCTGTGGCCAGTGGCCCCTTTGCCTACGTTTTGCTTGGGCCCACTAGGTTCATTCTGCCCACTCAGCCTGGCACACTGTCCTCGGCTCATGCTACCGGCCCAGATTCCATGTCTGCCAAGGGCAAGCCAGGCACAGGGTGGCGAAGGGTGTGTGAGTGAGTGTTGGGTCTGGCCACTGTGAACAGGCAGGCACGTTGACTGCTGTGGCAGGGTAGGCAGCTCCAGGTGTCGGCACAGGTGCAGGTTCCATGCAAGTTTGCGGCTGGATCAGATGCATCACAAGCAGTAGCTTCATTTGTGGACCTGGGTCTGGTCAAGGGGAATATGGTGGTGCCCAGAAGCTTGAAGGCAGCAGAAACCACAGAGCCCCAAAGAGGGTGTCACAGCTCTGGCTCAAGGAGCCCCTAGGTCTGGGCTCCTGGAAGGGCCATAGCTCTTCTCTCCTCTTTTCTCTCCTTCCCATCACCTGCAATGTGGCAAGTGGGAGGCATGTTTTAGCCCTGTTGTGTTACAGCTCTTTCAACCTCACCATTCATGGGGTCCTGAGTTATTGTTCCACATCCAGGAAGGATGAGGTATGTGGACAACTGGAGAGTGAGCAAGGCAAAGAGGTACTTTTTTGAGGGACGGAACAGCTTTCAGGAGACCCACAGTGGGTAGCTCCTATCCATAGACAGCCCATCCCAACATCTCTGCAGCCCTCAGCAGGAAGAAGACCCAGAATGGGTAGCTCCTATCCACAGACAGGCCATCCAAACATCTCTGCAGCCCTCAGCGGGGAGAAGACCCAGAGTGGGTAGCTACTATCCACAGGCAGGTTGTCCTGTCATCTCTGCAGCCCTCAGTGGAGAGAAGAGCTAGAGTGGGTAGCTCCTATCCACAGGCAGGTCATCCCATTATCTCTGCAGCCTTCAGTGGAGACAAGACCTGGAGTGGGTTGCTCCTATTCACAGGCAGGTCATCCTTTCATCTCTGCAGCCCTCGGCAGAGAAGAGACCCAGAGTGGGTAATTCTTATCTGCAGGCAGGTTTTCCTGTCATCTGCCTGAGTGCGGCTGAGTCTGGGGGTTTTTATGGACTTCAGAGGGGAGGAAGTGTGTGCTGATTGGTTCATGGGCGGCCATGGACAGGCCTAGAAAAAAACACCACAAGTTCTCACTCCTGTCTATGGATTGGCAGCCCAGGCCCAGGCTTCAGGCTGTCCCTGGCTTGAAGGTGGGGTCTCACCAAGAACCTGACCCTTTCTGCCCAGGAGCCCATCTGCCTCCTGCCACAATCAATCATGTCATCCACAGTGCCCAGGCTATTCACGTGGAAGGCTGCCTGCAGGACCACACTGTGCTGCCCTCAGCAACCCCTCGGCCTCCTTCCTGTGCTCACTGGGGCTCAAAGTCTGGAAAGGGCCAAGGTGGCAGGAGGCTGGCATGTCAGCACCACCCTGAATGTGCACACACCCAGCTGAGTTGTGACAGTGCCGGGGCTCAGCCACAACTTTGCTCCAAATTTGGAGTGAGCACTGAGAGAGGGGAGAGGCCAGGCAGCAGGAGCAGGCACTTCAGAGCCTGCAGGGGCTAGAGGGGTTTCCTGGGCCCTGAGAGTGCAGGGATGCCTGGGTTCACAGTCTGGGTCCACAGCCTGGGTCTACAGCCACCACTGGACAGCTGCAGCTGAGCCGGAGAGGGCAGAGACCCCACCCCTCAAACTCGGAAGGAGGCAGGGCTCTCACCTGTACCAGGCTCCTGTGGGGTCCATGGAGCATGCAGCCCTGGCCATGCTTCCTCTACTGCAGCCAGCATCTGCACAGCAGCTGCTCCAGACAGTTCTTTGTTGCCATTACCATGGTGCTGTAATAACTGGCTAGCTATAAGAAGACTGAAGCTGGAACCCTTCCTTACACCATATACAAAAATCAACTCAAGATGGATTGAAGACTTACATGAAAAACTCAAAACTATAAAAACCATGGAAGACAATCTAGGCAATACCATCCTGGACATAGGAATCTGCAAATATTTTATGACAAAGTCACCAAAATCAATTGCAACAAAAGCAACAATAGAAAAGTAGGATCTAATTAAATTTAAAGATTCTTTACACAGCAAAACACACTATCAACAGAGTAAACAGACAACCTACAGAACAGGAGAAAATATTTACAAACTATGCAATAACAAAGGTCTAATATCCAGCATCTATAAGGAACATGAACTAATTTACAAAAGAAAAACAACCCCATTAAAAAGTGGGCAAAGGACATGAACACACTTCTCAAAAGAAGTTGTACATGCGGCCAAAAAGCATATGAAGTAAAGCTCAATATCACTGATCATTTGAGCAATGCAAATCAAAACCACAATGAGATAGCATCTCACACCAGTCAGAATGGCTATTATTAAAAAGTCAAAAAATAACAGCTGCTGGTGAGGTTGAAGAGAAAAGGGAACACTTAGACATTGTTGGTAGGAGTGTAAATTAGTTCAACCAATGTGGAAAACAGTATGGTGATTCCTCCAAGAGCTAAAAGCAGAACTGCCATTCAATTCAGGAATCCCATTACTGTGTATATACCCAGAGGAATGTAAATCATTCTATCATAAAGACATGCGCAAAAATGTTCATTGCAGCACTATTCACAATAGCAAAGACATGGAATCAAACTAAATGCTCATCAATGACAGATTAGATAAAGAAAATGTGGTACATATATACCATGGAATACTATGCAGCCATTAAAAAGAATGAGATAATCTCTTTTGTGGGAACATGGATGGAGCTGGAGGCTATTATCCTCAGCAAACAAACACAGGAACTAAAAACAAAATACAGCTCATTCTCACTTATAAATGGGAGCTAAATAATGAGAACTCCTGAACACAAAGGAAGAAACAACAGACACTGGGGTCTACTTGAGGGTGGAGGGTGAGAGGAGGGAGAGGTGAAGAAAAGACAACTACTGGGAACTGGGCTTAATTCCTGGATGACAAAGTCATTTGTACAACAAACCCCAAGGACATGAGTTTACCTGTGTAACAAACCTTCACATGTACCCTTCAAACTAAAATAAAAGTTAAAAAAAAATTAAAATTAAAACTATGGATACTAAAAATATATTTAAAAGATGTTGCTTAATCATATCAACACAAAATAATCAAATAGAGTTTTACTTTGGTATCTAAACAGGGAGAATGCATATTGCGAGCATCCCCTATGGCTATGCCCTCTTAAGTGAGTCTCCCTGTCCTTTCTCATGTCATGTGACATAAGCTTCCTCTTCAATGGCTCCTACCTACTACAGCTGATATTTGAGAAGGGGTGAGGGCACTTAAAGCCTTTCTACTGCTTACTTCTCACACTTATTTGTAGTGGAAACTTGATTAAAATCATCATTACCATTTTATTCTACACAGGGAAACAAAGTTTTGTAACTTAGAACAAAAAAATCTCCCAATGGTAAGGTTTTATTGACCTATAAAAGTAGTGACTTTTTCCATCATTCCATTATGATTTAGTTATCGAACATCTTTTTCTTTCCATGACTCTCAAAGGTGAAAATCACAAAGCCTTCCCCACACAATATCACCGGAGGCTGCTTTTTATCTCTTTGAGAAATCACTCAAAATTGTCATTTGGGATTCAATTTTCACTGATGTGAAAGTCACATTTTACAGTACCTTATTTCAGTTTATCTTTCCAACACAAACCCCACGATGACACAAAACACAACTTCCTCATTTTGGTAGACACAAAACAAAGCCCTTTTATTTATTATATGATATTTTGGTTAATTGAATGTGCTTTTTACCTAAATTTTCAGAAAATGAAGTGCCTTTATTACAATAAGTGAACAATTTAAAAGTATACAATGCTTTACTTGATATACTTAGTTTCTTACAGACTCACTACATAACAAGAGAACAAATAGGTGGTCTTATAGAAATTTGGAAGGGAAGTTTGGGATGGGTTAATTTTTTTAAAATAGCATTTAAAATTAACTGTAGGATAGAGCTATAATTGTCAAACAATCTCCATTCTCAACGGTACCTGAAACTGAGAATAAATTTTTAACAAATTTGGGCAAAGTGTTTGGAGAAAACTGACTGAAAATATAAACAATAATGCATCTATAATATTTACTGAGGAGGGCTTTGAGCAGTGTATATTTGGAAGTAATCTCATATAGAGATTAACATACTTGGGTATATTCATATTCCTGCACTTTGAAAGTATAAACTAAATATTTCAACCTTGTTTTAAATAAATATTAAAATTTGCCTCCCCACAACTCTAATTTTGCTCATATTCTACTGGCTAGAATTTATGCACAATGCCTTATCTAATAGGAAAGGTCATCTAGCTTTTGCCCAAGAAGAATAAAGACGTATAATTAAAAATTAGCCAGTTTCTGCCACATCCAAATAACCTGTTCCAGAAGACACAGCCAAACACTTTTTACTCCCATTTAGCATCAGGCAATGAAGGACTTTCCACTCTGAGAAACAAATGAAAACAGCAAATTCCTTACTCTTCACCAAACACTATCTGCCAACTGCTCAGACTTTAGGTCAGTGAGAGCTAGGTTTGAATTCCTACCTTTCACTTTCTAGAAGTGTGAATAGAACCAATTTATTTCTTTCTGCTGAAATGTGTAGATTTTATGAGGACTTGGGTACTATTGGAGTGAAGAAATAATTGTGTTATAGTAATTTAAAGGAAATAACTATTATATTTAACATACTAGTTCCTGGATTTCCAGTTCCAAAAAAATCTAAGATTTCACAATATTTGTTACTTTAAAAATGGCTCATAAATTTTCACAGCAATTTTATAAAAAATTGATTTTTTTGATGTTAAAAAGCAAAGAAATGTTATACTTTTAATGAAAGTAAATATTAAAACAATTATGTATCTGTCACCTAATTGTTTAAAACATTTTTCCATTTCTCTATTTGCAAAATATTTTATAAAACGGGTAAATGAGGTTATCTATTATTATAATCCATTATGACTTACTGCTCATATAGATTTAGAACATAACTCAATTCTCCAACCTGGTTAAATATGTTAGTCTGCTGGAAATCTGTATTTGGAAATGCTCTTTTATATATACTGAAAAAATTAGTGTTTTCCGTGTCAGGAATGGATGGCTTTCTCTACTCTAAAGCATAAGTAGACATGTCCTACTTCTTGTCACATAAAGAAAGATGACACAGATTCAGTAATTTCATCACCCCAAGTAGATCACTGTACAATAACGTAAGTCTAAACATTCTGTTCCTCAGATTGAAAGGATTTAGATAGAAAACTGACAATTATACTAGTGTTCAGCTTTTAATCCTTATGTTATTCTAATACTTAATGTTAAAGGAATTGAAAATGACACTTTACTTTTTACCATAGTCGTGAATGATTATGTAATACAACTCTCATCCATTACTTTGGCACTATAATTAGTGAGATCATCCCAATATCAATGCATGTAATTGAATAACACATGAAGAATAATTGGAATATTGTAATGAATTCTAGCAGAATCATATTTCAAAAGTGTAATTGTTTCTGTTGTATTTGAGTTAACGTGTATCTTTATCTAAATGATGGACAATAAGATATCTTCTACTACTTAAATACTTCGTACATGAGTATTTAATAATTTCTACAAACTTATTACTAGAGTTGGATAATCTTAAGGTTTAAAAGTTTTGTACATTTATATAGGGGGTTACAAAAAGTACAAATAAGATTAACAGGTAAAGCCATCCCCAATGAAAATATCTACCTCTTGAGTAATAACAATCATCAATTTTAATGCAATTGCATGTATTTTATTAAATCCTGAAATTCTTTTAAGAGTAAAAGTGGAATCTTCTAATCTTTCTATTTCATGACAAGGGGGAACAATATTGTCTAATGCAAAAAAAATAATAAAAATCTCATTCTATCCCCAAATAAAGCAAGTATTTCAAATTATTTATAGTTTGATCATTTTATGATAAAGAATATAGCATGTCTCTGTTTCCAGTTTTACCTTTTACTCTTCATTAAAAGTCAAGATTGGTTCCAAAAAGGAATGCTTCATAAGTTTGGATAAAAGAAATAATGACACATTTCTTTATAGAAATCTATTTTGAAAGAGTCCCAAAATGAATTAGAACTTATTCAAACTTCATTTGATTAAAAACTGTTTTGAAAAATTCAATCTTTTAAGTTATATATTTAAATTCTGAGTTTCTCTTGTTTAATCTTTGTCAAAGAATGTTATAACAGAGCCTGTTGAAGTTTGCTGTACTTCAACCTCTGATGTAGCATAGATCTTCTCAGATAGTAAAGGACAAAATATTCAATTAAATTTTTAGGAACCCAAATGTGAGCTAAATTTGGAAAAGTATATTTGAATTAAATATTACAAGCAGTTTGAATTTTTCTCTAAATAACTTTCTGCATCAAGATGGTTTCTCATATTATGCTGTTACTTAAAAACTATATTTGATGCTGAATTATATCAAAGCAGTAAAAATAATAAAGTTTTATTGATTTTTGTCACCATTAGCAAATCTATGTTGAACAAGTATTATGAAAATAAAATATGAAAATTTATATGTTGAAAATTATTATGTATTAATTTTTACAAATACCTTTAAAATCTGTTTTAAACATCATTTTCTCAAAAAACAGTAACTGAACATAATTTTATCTGGGAAAACATAACTGATTTTTTTTAAGCATGAGATAATGGTATATCTATAGAATTCCTTTTTAAAATAAGTGTTCCTGAGTACAAGGGTTAGAAGCAAGATGGCCGACTAGATGGAACCAGGAGGAACAACTGCCACTGAGGGACTAGGACGTTGGGAAGACTGGTGCACTCGGAGCAGACCTTGAGAGGGAAGGCATTAACAAAGGGAAGACACAGATGCTAGGCTGAAGTGGGTGGAAGCTGGGAACCCTGCATGGGGCTACCGTGCACTGGGACTCATTCCTGGCCCCGGGTGATTCCTGGGGAATGGATGAGTTGGGAAGGACAGGAGCAACTCAATCTCATCAGGAACCTCTCAAATCCTGGCAGCAGAAGACCTCACAACCTCCATGGACAAGAGTTGGACAGGAAGAGCTGCTTAGAGAGGGGTTAGGGGCAGAATTCCAGCTCTTACAGACCACAGAGGGTTTGGTGCGGAAGTATCTGTAGCAGAGCATCAACAGGGATACCCATCCCCCAAGGATTGCCCCCCAAGTATTTAGCCTTTAAGGAACTATCATACCTGAACAGTGCAGGGACATCTTGCTGATGAAATGGGACTGGTCCAACCTGAGTATCCCCCTCTGTCTGCTGGCCTGTCCTGGGGCCTAGCCTGGCCCCTCCTGCTTGTAGTGCAGCCTCAGATGCCCAGCTGAGGTGCCTTCTGGGGTCCTGAATCATAGCTCCTGTGCCTGGTGGACTGCGTCTGACTGTTGGAGAGCTCCAGCAGAGCAGCCCAGACTAATGCACAACAGCCCATCAGCACCCTCCTGCCTCCACATCCTTTTCCATGCTGTTTTGCAGCAGGCACTTAACAACAACCACCCCTCACATCACTTTGTCAGCATATATGTGCTAGGGTGGACCTCACCTCCCCTTCCCTGACTGCACACATGTACAAGTGCAACCCACTGTGCCATTGCTGCCAGTGTGAGTGCACCCTGCCCCCACCACCCCCCCACCATGCTAACATTGCTAATGCAAAAGCACTCAAGGAGGACAGCAGCCCTGCTTCCCACCCTGTGCCACCATTGTCTCTGGCTGGCGCATTCACAAGCTTAGAGAGCACATGCCCTATGGCTGCCAACACCTCACTCCTGAGCCGACACTGCTGTTGGTGAGAACCTACACATGAAGACTAGTGGTCCTGACTCCCCACTATGCACAGGCCATGCTGCCTGCATTTAGGCACACACAGAGGGGGCCAGTACCACTTCTGCAGTGCCTCACCAAGTGCCAACACCACTGTCTGTGCAAATGCATGCACAGATGCTGGTGGCCCCACACAAGTCCACACCACACTGCTACTGTCACTCCTGTAAATACTCACACGGAGGCCAGCACACCTGAAGTTGCCAGCACCCTGCTGCAGCCAACAGGAGTGCATCCTGCCACAGTGCCACTGCTGCTGGCACGTAAGAACAAGCACCGATCCCACTGCCACTGCCTGAGGAAGCAATTTGGCTGGCACCACCCATGGGAGTGTTGTGACCAGTGGTCCAGGAACACATCAGACCCTCCAGCAGAGCAAGTTCCTAACCTTGATGGAGGAGAGAATAAAGAACTGGGGCCCAATACCAGGCCCCCAGAGTTAGCGCATGCAGCCCAGGAGTCTGAGCTGGGCCTTGGACCCCTAAAATCTTCTGGAAATGAAGCCAGTTGACTGAAGCCACCTTATACCATAATCAAACCCCCAGGACATCAAAGAGGATAAAATAAAATAAAACCCAACCAAAGGATAGCAGCTTCAAAGATTGAGGGAACATCAGCCCACAAAAATTAGAAAGAACTAGCACAGAATTCTGGCAACTCAAAAAGCCAGAGTGTCTTCTTACCTTTAAACAACCACACTAGTTCCCCAGAAATGGTTCTTAACCAGGTTGAAATGGCTGAAATGGCAGAAAAAGAATTCAGAATATGGATGGGAATAAAAATAATCGACAGTCAGAGAAATTTGAAACTCAATCCCGGGATTCTAAAGAACACAATAAAACAGGAAATGAAAGATGAACTGTCCACACCAAGACAGACCCAAACTGGGCTGATAAAGCTGAAAAACCTGCTTCAAGAATGTCAGAATACAACCACAAGTATTAACAGCAGAATCAACCAATGTAAGGAATGAATCTCAGAGCTTGAAGACTGGCTCTTCAAAATAACTAAGTCAGGCAATTTAAAAAAACAAAACGAAAACAAAACAAAGAAAAATTAATAAAACCTATGAGAAATGAGGAATTGTGCAAAGATATCAGATCTATTATTCATCTATTTCCCTGAAAGACAGGAAGAGAAAGCAAGCAATGTGGAAAACATATTTTATGATATCATCCATGAAAATTTCCCCAACATGCTAGAGAAGTCAATATTCAAATTCAGGTAATGCCAAGAACCCCTGCAAAATACTACACAAGAGGCCAGGCACGGTGGCTCATGCCTATAATCCCAGCACTTTGGGAGGCCCAGGTGGGCGGATCACCTGAGGTCAGGAGTTAGAGACCATTCTGGCCAATGTGGTGAAACCATGTCTCTTCTAAAAACACAAAAATTAGCTGGGCATGATGGTGGGCACCTGTAATCCCAGCTACTTGGGAGGCGGAGGCAGGAGAATCGCTTGAACCTGGGAGGCAGAGGTTGCAGTGGACGGAGATTGCTCCACTGCACTCCAGCCTGGGCAAAAAGAACGAAACTCCATCTCGATAATAATAATAATAATAATACAACACAATAAGACATACCTGAAAATTAATTAAAAAGTGGGCAAATAATATAAAGACACTTCTCAAAAGAAGATGTACATGTGGTCAAAAGCCTATGAAAAAAGTTCAACATCACTAATCATTAGAGAAGTGCAAATCAAAACCACAATAAGATACGATCTCACACCAGTCAGACTGTCTATTATTAACGTTAATAAATGACAGATGCAGATGAAGCTGTGGAGGAAAGGGAATACTTCTGCACTGCTGGGAATGTAAATTGGTTCAGTCATTGTGGAAAGCAGTTTGGCGATTTGTGATATAATTTAAAACAGAATAATCATTCGACCCAGTAATCTCATAATTGAGTATATATTCAAAGAAAAATATATCATTTTACTATAAAGACACATGCAAATGTATGTTTACCCCAGCACTATTCACATTAACAAAGACAAGAAATCAACCTAAATGCCTAGCAGTGGTAGACTGGATTTTTAAAATGTAGCACATATACACTATGGAATGCTATGCAGCCGTAAAAAGGAACTAGATCATGTCCTTTGCAGCAACATGGATGGAGCTAGAGGCCATTATCCTCAGCAAACTAACTCAGGAACAGAAAACCAAATACCGCATGTACTCACTTATAAGTAGGAGCTAAATATTTAGTACATATTGACATGAACAACAGACACTGTGACCTACTTGAGGGTGGAGGGTAGGAGAAAAGTGAGGACTGAGAAACTGCTTATTGAGTACTATGCTTATTAACTGGATGATGAAATAATTTGTATGCCAAACCTCCATGACACGTAATTTAATTATACAACAAATCTACACATGAACCCTTGAGCCTAAAATAAAAGTTTAATAATAAAATAAAATAAGGGCTCCGACTTGTGATATAATTAGTTATTATTTTAAAAAGATAATTGTTACTGTTAACTTGGTTGATTTTCCCAAGACTTGATCATGTGATATTTGAGAGGAAAAAAAGGATGGAATCAACAATTTAATGTTCATTAAATCATACCAGAGTGTCTACTTAAACAGAATTGAGCAACATTTTATATTCTTCCACTTGATCAATATATTTTCTTACTTGCTGGGTCAGTGTTAAGACTCTACCATCCTAGATCTCCAACATGTCTTTCCAAGCACATATTTATCCCCACACGAATTCATTGCTCTTTAGCTGTTTTAGATCATCGATAATTTACATAATGAAATAATAACTTTTTAAGGTTTTATTGAGTTATAATTGACAAATAAATTTGCATATATTTAAGGTGTACAACATGATGATTTGAGGTACCTACAAACTGTGAAATGATTACCACAATCAGGGTAGTTAATATATCCATCACCTCATAAAATCACCATTTGCATGTGTGTGCGTGTGTGTGTGTGTGTGTATTGTTATAACATTTAAGATCTACTCTCAATAGATTCCATGCATATAAAAATTATTATCAATTACAGTTGCCATGCTATGCATTAGAGCCCTAGAATTTATTCATCTTAACACTAAAACTTTGTACCATGTAAACAATATTTCCCCATTTCCTTCATCCCACAGTACCTGGCAACCACTAATATACTCTGTTTCCATGAGTTTCATATTTTTAGATTGCCCATAGAAGTGAGGTTATGCAGTATGTATCTTTTTCTCTCTGGCTTATTTCACTTAGCCCTCCAGGTCACTTCATGATGCAAAGGGTAGAATTTTTTAAAGTCTGAATGATATTTTATTTTATATATATATATATACACACACACACATATATATACACATATATACATATATACCACATTTATATATATTATAATATGTGATATATAATATATAATGTTCTAGATCTATATCACATTTTATTTTTTCATTCATTCCTTGAGTAACACTTAGGTTGTTTTCCTGTCTTGTCTTTGTGAATAAAGCTGCAGTGAACCTGAGAGTGCAGATATCTCTTCAAGTACTAATTTAATTTTTTTTTCTATTTATCCCAAAGTGAGATTGCTGGATCATTTGGTAGTTTTAATTTTTTGAGGAACTTCCATACTGCTTTCCATAGTAATTATACCAATTTACATCCCCACCAACAGTGTACAAAACTTCCTTTCCTCCATATCCTTGCTTAAACTAGTTTCTCTCATAATTTTTATTATAGCCATTCTAACATTATGAACTGATACCTTATTGTGTCTTTTCATTTTTCGATTTTTAAATTCTTTTTATTTTTAATTATTCTGAGTACATAAAGTTGTATATATTTATGTGGTACATGTGAAGTTTTGATACAGACATACAATGTGTAATAATTTACATTTCCCTCATGATTAGTGTTGTTGAGCATTGTTTTCATCTACCTGTTGGCCATTTGCATGTCTTCTGTGGAAAAATGTCTAGTCAGTTCTTTTGAATAGACATTTTAATATCAGATAATTATGGTTGTTGTTGATATTGATTCCTATGAGTTCCTCACAGATTTCTAATATTAATCTCTTATCAGATTTAGGGTTTACAAATATTTTATCTTATTCTGTAGGTTTTCTCATCAACCTGTTGATTGTTGATTATTCCCTTTCTTATGCAGAAGCCTTTTGGTTTGATGGAATTCATTTGTTTACTTAGCTTTTGATGACTATGCTTTTGTTGTAATATCTAAAAAGTTATTGCCAAGACACATGACAAGAAGTTTTTCTCTATATTTTCTTATAAAAGTTTTATAGTTTGACATCTTACATTTAAGTCCTTAATCTATATTGATTTAATTTTTGTGAGTGTTAAAAGGTAGAGGCTGATATGGTTTGAATCTATGTCCCTGCCCAAATCTCATGTCAAATTGTAATCCTTAATGTTGGAGGTGGGGCCTGGTGGGAAGTGATTGGATCATGTGTGTGAATTTCCCCCATTGTGCTGTTCTCATGGTCGTGAGTGAGCTATTGTGAGATCTGGTTGTTTAAAAGTGTGTAGCACCTCCCCTCTCTTTCTCTTTCTCTGGCTCCAGCCATGTGAGGTGTGCCTACTTGCCCTTCACCATCTGCCATGATTGTAAGTTTTCTGAGGCCTCCCAAACCATGCTTCCTGTACAGCCTGAGGAACTGTTATCTAATTAAATCTCTTTTCTTTATAAATTACCCAGTCTCAGGTGTCTTTATAGCAATGCAAGAATGGACTAAGACAGAGGCCCAATTTCATTCTTTTGCATGAGGAAATCTAGTTTTCTCAGCACCATTTATTGAAGAAACTATCCTTTTCCCCATTGTGTATTTTTTACTGCCTCATTAAATAGCTATTGACTACATATGCATAAGTTTATTTATAGGATTTCTATTATGTTCCATTGTTCTATGCATCTTTTTTTTTTTTACACTAGTACCATGCTGTCATGATTACTACAGCTTGGTAATATAGTTTTAAATCAGAAGTGTTCTGCCTCCAGCTTTGTTTTCTCTCAAGATTGCTTTGACAATTCACAGTCTTTTATGGTTCCATACAAATTTCAGAATTTTTTTCAATTACTGTGAAAAATACCATTGTGTTTTGGTAATTATTGAATTATGTTTTTAGGTTACACTTGGTAGCATGGACATTTTAACAATATTAGTTTTCCAATCCATGAACATGTGATATCTGTCCATTTATTTGTGTTCTCTTCAATTTCTTTCATTGATGTTTTATAGTTATCAGTGTACAGATCTTTCAATTCCTTGGTTAAATTTGTCTCCTATTTTATTCTTTTTGATGCTATTTTAAATAAGATTTTTTTCTTTATTTTCAGATAGTTTTTTATTAGTGTATAAAACGCAACCTGGTTTTTGTATGTCGATTTCGTATCCTGCAGCTTTATTGAATTCATTTATTAGTCCCAACAGTTTCCTGGTGGAGTCTTTCGGGTTTTCTATATACAAGATAATGTCATCTGTAAAGAGACAATTTAACTTCCGTCCTTCTGATTTGGATGTATTTTATTTCTTTTTCTTGCCTAATTGCTCTGGCCAGAGCTTCCAGCAATATGTTGAATAGGAGTGGTGAAAATGGGCACCCCTGTCTTGTTCCTGCTCTTAGAGGAAATTCTTTCAGCGTTTCACTGTTGAGTATGATGTTAGACATGTTGGCTTGTAATAGATGGCTTGTAATAGATTTCTTCCAAACCCAACAGATTCTATCCAGAAAAATAATACATATATGCAAAGCTATGTATGTTGTATCATGGAGTTTATAATTTTACAAATTTGATCACTCTTGTTTTAGAAAATTAATATGAATAATTAATGACTTGTGACTACTTGGGAGTTACCATAATAAAGTAGTCAAAACCTAAGATGGTGCAAATTCTGCAATGAATGTATGGAAAAAGTCAGACACAGGATTTTTATTTGGCCATAAAAATGTTCTGAATTTTTGGCTATCTTTGAAATGGAAATCCATGAAAATCTGTGGCCATGAAATAAACCTTTGCATTCTAGATGTACAGTCATTTCACTTCTCTAACCAATTAGATGACAAATAATTTTAATTTGTAAGGTAAAATATATGTATTATAAAAAACTTTGTTGATTTCAAATTTCACTTTGTAAACACTAAATATATCTTCATAAATAAAGTGTATACAACACAAGCATATAGAAGCTACCAAGGATGCTGTTTTATTAATTTATTATGACTACGCTATTATTTTACTAATATTTCTTTTTTTTTTGTTCACCAAAGCATTTGAATTATTGTTCTATCTGAATGTTTACAGGTATAGCTACTGATGAAGACCACTTCATTTTATTTTGGACATTACTAATTTATTTTTAAAGTTGGTTCCTGCCATTTCAGAAATAAGAATCTTAGGTACCAAAAATTTTCAAGAAACTCACCATGATAAATCTTGAAAATATATATGATTTTCTTACTTTTCATTGGTGTCTGGAAGACTACGTTATAGCTACATTAAGAAATGAATTTTAGAAAAGTTTGCAATTGATTATTGATGGAATGCATTGTGTTAAGTTATAGGCCAAGTATACTTGCTTTTTCTACTGCTTGTTAGGTATTTATAGTGTGTGCATATGGTCAAAATTCTTAACAATTAAGACATATGTCTCTTCCTTACAAAGCTTGTATCATTATGCAATAAAATGTATTATATCCATGCTTTCCACAAATTATTTCCAATAAATGTTTGTGTAATTACATTTACTTTAGCATTTTGCTTTATCTCTTACCATTCTGCTTTACCAATCCCTTAAAAAGTAAATAAATTATGTTTGCCAAAATCCAGTTGCCTTCTTTAAGGTTCAGTAATAATTTGGGACAAATGTCAGTCAAAACAAGAGAGATTATATCGTTATTGTGGTCTTAAATTATTAAATCCCACACGTCGGAAGTTTTTAATTATTTTATCTATAAACTGTATCCAATAAGTGTTTGTTGTATAATTATTTTTACAAAGAAAGACATTCTGCAATTTGCATTTTCATGTTAATTATCAATAATAACCAATGACCAATTTCTGTTCTTTATTTAGGAAGAAAAATGTATAGAAAATAATTCTTGTTTTCAATAATCTTTAGCTGCACCCATATAACTAAGTATCTCCAGGCAATTGCAAATTTATTTTTCATATGTCGATAAACAAAGCTTTTTTAGGACTCTAAAATTTTTGTCAAGTCATTTTAAGTTTCACTCAAGATCATGATTTGTTGAAGTTTCTAAATACCTGTTCTGTGTATCTTTTTTTTTATTGATATGGCAGATACTTTTGCAAGGGTACTTATTAATTTGGTTCTTTTTTCCATTTTCTGGCTAAAAGTAAATTATTGAATTTGCCATCTCATAAGGTATCAAACTGTAGCTTAAGGGCCAATGTTTTATAAGCCAGCATTAAGAGAACCTTTTTCTGCTCCTAATAACAGTGAGACACTAATGTATTTTCATTTTAGTGCAAGTGCAGATTCACACCAACAACTGTTTCTTCAATATTTCATATTTTAAATGTAAATTAGAATATGTATTATCAAGTATAAACATTCTACAAAATACCACTGATGTCATTGAAGATCAGGTAACATTTTATTCTTGCAGCTTCAAGTGACATTTCAAATATGCAGAACAAATTAATTGCAAATATTTTCTGATTTTAAGAAGACCGAAAATAAATTTAATTTATTAAAAGAAATATTATATATATGTGTGTGTATATATATGTATATATGTATATATGTGTGTGTGTATATATATATACACATATATTATCTCCTTTGAGCACAGAATCCATAATGTTAAGCCTAATTCTATACTTACAGTTAATTATTTTAAAAAGAGATGATAAAGCATAGCTTGCTTATATAGAAAGTTTATTCAGCAACATCTAGGATATAACTAAATCATTTAAAGATTTAAGCTCTTCAACTCACACGTGACCGCCACATTATTATTAAGCAACAATTAATAGAGCAAAACTTTCTAGTGTGCTAAATGCTTTTAATTGTGAACTGAATGTGTAAAATGTTCTTAATGTAGAGGATTGCTCTTATTTTTCCATTGTTTCTCTTTTTAAAACTATCTTGAGCTTTCTGAATGTACTACTTTTATAAGCCAAAAATTAATTTACACATATACACACAAAAACACGTAGAATAAGATGAGAAAAAAAGAAAATCATACCTTTTAATTGAAATCTTTTCATTATCCATTCCTTCTCTCTATTCTCTCCTGAGCTGTCACTTTCGTCCCTCACTTTTACCAAATGATTACTGGATCAGCCAATAAAGGCAGCCTTGATTAGTGTGAAACATTGCATAGCTACTGAAAAGTGCTGAGCAGGTAAGGAATAAATCAAGAGGAAATGAAGTACTTCTAGCCATATGAGAACATGAGTCAATCAATAATGAAAACAATTCATTGTAAAAGCAAATCCTGAAAAAGGAACCTTTAGCTGCTATGGTTTCCTTCACTGTTTTAGTCTGCAGAGAAGTGAACCAAAGTGTCCTCAGATCCTGAAACCAGACATAATCTCATTTACACTGATAAATTAAACTTGTGAAAGTTTTCCCTGAACAGCACCAGAATAATTTTGGGTACAAGGGGGCCCAAAATTATTTTTATTGGAAATAAATAAACAAAATCTTATAAATAAACAGCATTCTGTTGTCAGCTTTCATAAATAGGTGTTACAAGCACCATCCTAATAAAGGTAGTGATATGGTTTGTCTGTGTCTCCACCCAAATCTCATCTTGAATTCCCACCTCTTGTGGGAGGGGCCCTGTGGGAGGTAATTGAATCAAATGGGGAAGGTCTTTCCTGTGCTGTTTTCATGACAGTGAGTAAGTCTCACAATATCTGCTCATTTTATAAGGGAGAGTTTCCCTGCACAAGCTCTCTCTTTTTGCCTGCTGCAATCCATTTAAGATGTGACTTGCTCCTCCTTGCCTTCTGTCATAATCCTGAGGCCTCCCCAGCCATGTGAAATGTAAGTCCATTAAATCTATTTCTTTTGTAAGTTGCCCAGTCTCAGGTATGTCTTTATTAGCAGTGTGAAAATGGACTAATACAGGTAGTATAATAAAATTAAATATATATACATATCAAGAAAAATTTAGACTGATCATAGATAAAATGAGAAGCCATCAAAATAAATATTAAAAAATCATAAAAGCAGTATGCATTTGTATTTTCTATGCTAATATTTCAATTTGTTAATAAAACCTCAATAGGGAAAATACATATGGAATACATACTAATACATACAATTATACATAAGACATTACCTATGAAAACAAAGCATTTGAAAAAAGAAAGATCATGAAAAAACTAAATAAAGAGAATAATAAAAGAAGTTAAAGATAAAGCTAGAAACCGATATGTACATATAAATTCATACATAATTATTTGAAATGAAGTGATAATTTATTCTAAAGTTTCCCAGTGTCTCAAGGAACAGTAAAAAAGTGATCATTTCAAAAATCACTGTGTTTAAAAGATTAAAAACATTGCCTTGGTTCATGAGAAGGATGAAGCCTGAGAATAATCTCCAAACTACCATCCTTATATAGTTTTTATAAAAGAAGACCCTACATGACGTGGAAAATAGTATCCTTCAAAATGCCACTACAATAAATAAAATCATAAATTCAAAATTTTATATGAATTCTGACATATATGTACCTCAAGGCAATTTCAGAGTAAAATGTCAAAATTTCAATTTAGTAAAGGCTGACCCATGAAGGTCAAAAGCACTATAATCTAAAATTGAAGATCTTGTATCATCTGGCTTGATCCAGGATTAAAAAAATACATATATAGATATGGATATAAATATGATGCAGATATAAACACACAAATACATACTTGAGAGATAGATACAGACATAGAGATGCAAAGTTATATTTTCAAATGGCATTGTTACAACCTTGAAGCAGAAGGTATATACTTTATCCACGTAACTCTTTACCAAGTGACTGATATATATTTGGACACTTTAAATTGGGTATGGTTTGATGTTTAGAGTGTGGTGATATGACAGAAAGGGATATATAGAGTGGGTTAGGTACCTCTTCCACCTGCTCTCACTGTACTTTCTTCATCATATTGTGTCCTTATTGCTCATTTTAAATTGCTCATTTCATAAAATCAAGAACACTGTGAACTTAAATTTTAGTTCCCAGAAATCAAAGAGTTGGATAATTTGAGGTAGATGCTCATAAAATATTTGTGAATTAATTAATCTATGATATTTCATGAGTGAAATATGAGATAAAATATGTTGGAAAATGTGAACAGTCATGGACCAAAAGTAAGTTAGAAATAAAATAAGCAAAACAAAACTTTTTCTTTTTATTTCCTAATTAATTATATAATGGATTTCTCATAATATTTTTAAATGCTTATGAAGTACTGGGAAATAGCAACTCAAAATGTTAGAAATTTAAAAAACAAAACTGAAAACCTCGTTTGCATTTATAAGAAGCTTTTTAAAAATTAAAAATCTTTGAGAAGAAATAGATAGCTGAAAATATGAAAGAAATATTGACTACATTCAAAATCTATAGTAAAAATTGAGTTCAGTAAATATAATCTTAAAATTAAGTCAATATGGAGTCTTTGCATATTTGTCAAAAAATGGAACTGAAAACTGAACTTCTACAACTTCTTCACTTAAGACTTGTTTTATAATACATCTTCATATTATAAGACTGTGTTACCTTAATGGCTTAATTGTGAGTACAATCATTTATCATTTACAGTTTCCTGAGTTGCTACATGGGAGAAATCAATGTGCATGAAAAAGAGGATCATAAAAAAATGCAGTGATCACAGGCAATGAAAAATAAGTTGATAGATTACCTTGCCTCCGCCCAGTCTTATCCTAGAACTATAAATAAGCATGCTAGTGGACAATCTTTTTTCTCTGTAATTTTATCCAATTAAAATGAAGAGAGGAGTTGACACCATAATTCAGATAGATTCAGGTTTAACTTTGGAGGTTTGAATGAGCTAGATTAACTACCTTTCACATCGTTGCTCATTTCTTCCATTTACATTTGCCGCTTTGAACTGGTTAGCTCATTGGCAAACATGGTTGTATATAGACAGTCTTCGGGTCTGGACAAAAAATAAGACACTTGAGAGAATTAAATAGGCAGAGAATATGTAAAAATTTAATGTGAATTAGAAAAAACTAGTTTGGCTATGGATTTTCCCTAACAAGGAGCCTCTAACGGGAACAGAAATGGTAATCGGTTTATTGGGAATCGCTATATTCCCAGTGCCAACCACTGAACGTGCCACTTAGAACTCAATAGATATGTATTAAATTAGTTTTGAGAGTTGCCACTGTGGGCGAGAAACATTAATTAATCCCAAACTATGGAAGCCACGTGTGAACTATTGTATGATACATATAGAAAGAATGTATTAGACTCTTTCACAATGTATCTGCTCTAAAAACACTTTTGGAATGTGGAGAATAACTATATTCTTTGTGTTACAGAGAAAAGAGCAGCTTATTTTTGTTAATAACTCAAAAAAACCTAAAGAATATTTTGATGCATTCCCTCTTAGAAATCAGCTGGTAGATATCTTCCATGTTGCAGCAAACCAAATTACTCTATGGTGTGATGCAGAACAGCTTACTTACCTATCCTGGCTTTCCCAATTTGTGGCGTTTCCTCAGCATGCTTAAGGAGGGGTTCCTTATAATGTAGAAAATAAGGCATTTTTTTATCATCAACTGATCCTTGCACTTAAAGGTGATTTATCTTCAGCCTTCTTTGCAGCATGTTTCCTTGCTACAGGCTAAAATGTTAATAGATTTTCTAACTTTGCTTAGATTATATGAGATATAATAGCAACCATTACTAAGACATCAAACTATCTTTTTCTATCTCTTAATACAATTAAAAACACAGTTGTATATCATTTGCATATGAAATTTTATGATTCTTGAGCATTACATATTAGAATTAATTTTTATTATAAAGAAGCCAGAATTTTAAATATCTATAGTAGAGGAAACAAAGTCTAATTTGAAATATTTATTTTTTTCCTATCTTCATGGCCAAGCAGATTTATTTAGGATCTACCCATTGTTTTGGCATATTGCAAGAGTCAGAACAGTCCCAGCACCTAAAAGACAGCTCAGTCTGCTGGGAACACGTAGACATCAACAAACTCAATAATCATTAATAATTTCATGCTAAGCTTTTAGCAAAATGTCATTTGAAAGCAAAAGAGGTATTTGTGACTCAATCCGTGCTATGAAATAGGCACTAATTTCATATTTAAATATTTAAAAGTTTTATAATTTATTTTTTTCATCAACGGATACATTAATGTGTTCAAGTATTACTGAATTTCTCTTCTTTTCAGAGCACTGGCCCAGGGCATTATTTTAGTGAATCATCCATCCACTAGCTGCCAGTGTTCTGAAATACAAGAATCTAGCCTTTTCCCATATCGTCCCATGAAGACTCACACAATGACAGTGTCTCCAAGCCTAGGGGGTATAAAGACGAATTGCAATCACTGCAAATTAGTGTCCACTGGGAAATTCCTGTCTTTGGACTCTTATGAACATCAAATACCAACTTCTCTATAGCTGTTGTTTAACCTTGGGCAATTTATTTTACCATCATGTACCTCAAATTTAAAATACTTAAAATACAAATAATAATATGGATTTTATGAATGTTAAAATAACATGAAAATAATAGGTACAATGCATGACATGTCATCAGTAAATATGAGCTATTACTCATTTTTTTCAACAACTATTTGAGTGCCTAATGTATACTGGCAGTATTCTGGTTACTGGCAATGTAACAGTGAAAACGAGAGACAAGTCTCTATGCTTGCGGAAATGAGTTCAAGCCTTAGTTTACATTAATTAAGTCTATCACTTTGGGCAAGTTATTCCTCCAACCATTAATGTAAAGTATTTATTGAGTTTTTTCTATTATATTCTTACTTTATTTTATTTACATCACTTGGTATTATTGATATTATAACATTTGTGAGAATTGGGTGGCTGACAGTCTTATCTATTACTACATATCCAGCACTTGGAACAGTATGATTAGTAATCAGTCAATAAACAGTCCTCAAATAATGAATAAACTTAGTTAGCTTACCTATTATTAAGTCTCTTAATCTTTAAAGTATGAACCAAAATAGTATATATCTTATAAGTTTGTTGGAAATATTAAAAGAGATAATAGAATGGGGTCTTGAAAAGTGCAATTACTTTATTAAATAATGGTGGAGGTTTTCTCACATAACTATTTTTGTTCTTTGAATGTTCAATCATTGATTTAAGTCAAGTATTATTTCTGAGAGGAAAAAACATATTAACTCTTTGGAGGAGAAACACGAAATCCATAAATAAAATAAGTCAATATCATTACTAAGATCTATAATGACATATGTTGGTATCATTAAATATTAGTTAATTGCACCATTTGCATCATCTTGCAGATCTCACAAATGAACTTGTCTCTTGCACTCTACTCCTCCATCTATGTATTGGTAAATAATGACTCAGCGTCTCCACTTTGTTTCCCTACCATCATTCAATACAAGCTCTTCTAAAATATAGCTAATGATTTCAGCCCCACACCTGTTTCAAATCATTCTCTCAGCCAAGTGTATTTGAAATCCTTCACACATATTTACTCCTCTACTTCCTTATTCTCTTTTCTAGCCATTCACAAACCTGTCCAATTTAATTCTTGAAAATTTCTTCCTTTTTGTTTCTAACAGGGACAAGAATCTTAGCTGTACATTTCTGGGATACTACACTCATTTCTCTTGACCTTCTCTAGTTTAGCCGGCAAATAATCACCAATTTTGTTTTTAAATATATCATCATACTAATCATGTTCTCTCCCTAATGAAATCCCATTAGAACCTCCCCATTGTCTATTAAGAGAGGATTAAGCTCTTTACAGAGCTGCCTTCATGGGCATGCTAACTGTGCAATCAGAGTCTCATACTTAGAAAGGCTCCATGTTTGCTTTATTGATCTGCTGCTACCATCATGAAATTCTTAATATTTTTAAACAAAGGATCCCATATTTTCAATTTGCCTTGGGCTCTGCATATTATGTAGCCAGAACTGAATACTTAGCCTGGCATCCATTTAACAGTCCTTTCCAATCTCATTAATTACTAATCACATCCTTAAATTCCTAAATTAATTGAGGTTGCAATACTTATTATTCCTTACACATTACTGGGATGGCTAATTTTTATGTATCAAATTGAGCTAAGTGCTGTCAAGATAGTTGGTAAAACATTATTTCTGAGTGTGTCTTTGAGGGTGTTTCTGGACAATATTAGCATTTGAATCAGTCTACTAAGTACAGAGGTTCCACCTTCCCCAATATGGAGTGGGCATCATTCAATCCCTTCAGGGCCCAAATAGAACAAAAAGGCAGAAGAATGGAGAATTTCTTCATCTATTCATGAACTGGGACATTCATCTCCCTCTGCCTTCGGACATCAGAGCTCCTGGTACCCAAGTCTTCAGACTTCATCATTCATGCTGGCATACCTCTGCCACTAGCACTCCACCTTCCTGGTTGTTAGACCTTTGTCCTCCGACGGGAAATTATGTCATGGGCTCTCCTGGTTCTCAGGCCTCCAGACCTGGAATGAATTACACCATTTACTATTCTGGTTATCCAGCATATTGTGGGACTTCTCAGCCTCCATAATGATGTGAGTCAATTTTCATAACAAGTTTCTTCTTGTATATCCATCCTGTTGTTTGCTCCTCTGGAGAACCCTAAGTAATAAAATTATTATCTTCTTACCTTTTATTACATATTTTCTACTCAGTTTAAAACACTCTTCATTTCCTGTCTAAATCAAGACCAGCTCAACATTGAGCTTCATGAAGTTATCTGACCACTGAGACACAGTAAATTGCTCTCAAAAATGTGTACAGCATTTTTGATTTGCAGTACCCATTAGACAGTTTTTTATTTTATTATTTCAATTTTCTGTAGAAGATTGTTACTGTACCTAATTTAATAATTCCCTAAAAAGGGATCACCACTTGTTAGATGTTTTATAGGCCCAATGTATTTATCAAAATGCCTATAATATAATTGCTACTCCAGGATTATTTTGCCAAAAAAGTAAACTGCCTAAATTACCCTAATAGATTTGTTTATAAAATTCAAAAATAAGCTATATAAAACTTTTCTGAGATAGTCTGCCCTACAATTTATTTCTCAGAGTGAAGGAAAATAGAAAAACATTTCTCTAGACTGTGATAATTTGAGGAAAAATTTAAAATAAATATATATTTAAATATATATATATATATTTATATATATATTATATATATATATATGGAGAGAGAGAGAGAGAGTTTAAAATTTACTTCAAAATTATATATTTGCCTGTAGTCATTTCAGCATAATTCCTGGAATGCTACCTTTTCTGTCATAGAATACCTAAATTATTTATTTTATACACCCAGGTAATCACAACAAGACATTTCTTTGTCCTTCTGGCCTCCCACTTAGGTTCCACAGTTGCTCTTAGTGACCACCATATCTACTCCATGTCCTAGAGTTGAGATCATTTGTTGACACAAATATTGACCAAGAATAAAATTTTTTTGAAAAATAATCCACTGAGTACTTGAAAAAAGTAATGCACTGATTGCCTCAAATTTCAAACAATATGCAGCTGTAAGAAATATAACTAAAATTTAGAAACAGTTATTAGCAGCAAAATCTTGTTCTATTTTTCACTATGAATGAGTAGTCTTAGGCTTTACATTTCTGATATCAGAATCCCAGTAGTTACATTTTTAGGAAAACCAATATTTAATTTATGTTGCTTGAATATGTCACTAAATAGGCAAAACCTAGTTTGTGTTAACAACTATTTAAGCAATACCATCCAGATATCTGATAAACACCCTTAGTTTGAAATACTTTTAAAATATTAATTGAGCTTTCTACACATAGAAAAAGCAAACATTCCCCCAAATAAATGTTTCAGAATAAAAAGATTTCTCCAGATTTTTAGCCTGCTTTAGAGTATTGTCTAACTTTAGTGTTTTGTTTCTATTGATTATATTTGTTATTCTTTTTATAGGTCATAATATTCCTGTTTATTTGTGTGTCAAAGTTTCTTGTTGCAAACTAGACATTCTAAATAATATAATGTGGAAATTCTGGAAATAAATTCAATCTTCCTCAGGGTTTGTTATTGATACTGTTTTTGTTGTTGCTTTCTGTTGGTTTAGTGATTTTGTTGGACTAATTCTGTAAAATATGTATTCTTCATAGTGTGTGACCATTGAAGACTCAGTTAGCTTGCTGGTCACCTCATAATTAGATAGAAATTTCCCTAAATGCTTTGAAACACTAAGTCTCCCACCTTTTGCCAAGAGGTGCTGTGTGAGTGTTGGGTTATGCCTTCATCATTCCAGGAGCTTACAACTGTGTCTTATCTGGCTAACTTGTTGCTTGCATAGAGCCTCAGTGTTAGCCAGAGGTGAAATTCTTAGGCCTTCTGAAGTCTTTCTTAGTCATACACAAGCCCTGCTCATCTTCAAGGCTTTCTAGAGCCCCAGGAATATACTGCAGTTTTTTAAGCCTCCTGTGGACATTTCACTCTACAAGTTTTTATTTTTAGTTTTTTGTCAATCCTCTTGTTTGCTTCAACTGGTATCACTGCCATAGGCAGCCAATGTTAAATTAAATGCCTTAAGAGAAGGTCTTTCTTCAGAGATTCCAGTCAAGTAAAATAAAGACAACTCCTGTGAAAGGAGTTTTTCATGTGAGTTTCCTGACAGGTCAAATTGTGACAATGCTGCAGAAGTGGGACGTTTTGAGTTGCTTCAAACCCATTCTGTTCCCTCCAGGGGCTGCTAAGCTGCTGGTTTTCACTATGATTGCAGGACTGCAATTTTCAAGTCAACTACAGAACTATGGCAAATTAAACATCAAAAAGTCCTCTTCTTGCTGGGATTTAGCCACTTTATTATTAGTGCATCTGAAAGTGTTTCTCCATTACTATTTTTGACCTATGAGTTCTTTCTTCACTTAAAAGTAAAAGGAGTTGATTTTAATTGGCATTAGGAAACCCTGGATATGATCTAAGAAGTTAGGATATAGAACTATTGTTTCTCCAACTCTCATCATTGTCTCTGCAATTCTAATTCATGAGCAAAACATTAAAAATGTGCACACTAGGAATTTGGTAGCAAGATAAGAAGCTGTGATATTGAAGGAAAATAAAAGAACATGAAACTACAAAAAACAACTCACCCAGAGACAAACTTTTACAGCCAGAAGTGATTAATTGATGGCTATAAAAAGACACAAAAAATAATCTGAGTATTTGCTTTGACCTCATCTTCTTTTACAACATGTTACTTGGCCATAATTTAAAATTATTAGCTTCAACATTTTTGAGAAAACTAATATTCAGCACTCTGGTTCTATTTGTGTTTACTGACTTCTCTAAAAGCTACTCTTATTCCTCAGTTCTCCAGGAAGAGGAAGAGAACCTGCTCCACTCCCCAACAAAATAGCAGAGAAGAAAGTCATTCCCTCTTTCCATCCCCATTATATTCATAACCTCCTTCAAATATTCTCTCCCCTTAATGAGGAAGGAATTGAACAAGGTCCATCTGTTTACACTGCAACTTTGACAGTTAATGCTTCAAGGGACTACCTTAACAACACTGGAGAAGAGATAAAAATAAGAGAGGTGACTTATCTATAGTCATGTAATAGGTGTCATATTAGAACTTTACAATCATCATTTCATGTAACTACCACAATTACTGTACCAATGAAGCTCAACATTTTCCAGCTAATAAGTCATAGAGGGAAAAAAAAATCAAACATAGTTTTGCATGATTCTAGTCGATGCTCTTACACTGTTTCTCTTTTTCTTTCTTTGTAGCCCATGTGCACCCTCCCCACAACCTATACATAGCTCTATTTCCAGCCCCACTGGCTTAAACAAATAACAATAATAGTTTAATATTTAAGCAACTAATCTCTCTCTTTTTTTTTCTCTCTCTCTTTTGAGACAGTCTCAGTCTGTTATGTAGGCTGGAGGGCAGTGGCATTACCATAGCTAACTGCAGCCTTAACCTGACTATCCAGGTTCAAGTGATCCTCCCATCACAGCTGGGACTACAGGCATGTGCTACCACACCTAGATATTATTTATTTATTTATTTATTTATTTATTTATTTATTATTTTTTTTTTCTAGAGGCAAAGTCTCGCTATATTGCCCAGGCTGATCTCAAACTCTTGGGTTCAAGTGATCCTCTGACCTTGGCCCCCTAAAGTATTTGGTACAGGTGTGAGCCACTGCACATAGCCTGAAGCAACTAATTTCTTAAATAAAGTCCACAAGCCACAGAAAAGTATAGAGACTTCCACAATTAAATTTTCTTTAATATCAAAGTATAATGCCTGGAGGATCTCATCTAGACAACTGAGGGGGCTCTCAGTCTTCTTGATTTTTGGAAAAGATCATATATTTTCTGATTGTTTCTTGCCACCTCTCGTTCTGAAATGATGCCCCAAGTAGCACCGATATGCTTTTCTAACCATCTTGAAAAGCAATTGTTCTTTACTCATGCTTCTTCACTGTGTCTGAGCTCAACACAGGTACATTTTTCTGCAAAGGTGACATCTCAGCACAAGGAAAGTGTACAAAACAGAAAAAACACATAAGTCCTTAGTGAGTGAAGCCTGCCGTAGCCTATATGGAATATATTTCACCAAAATAGAATATACATATATTCTATAAGTATGTATATTTACATTGTAATTTTAAGCATTAAGTTAATTTTATTTGAATTTATTAGAAAATAAAATACAGTAAGAACTTAATTGCTATATTTCACATCACATTTACTTCGTACGATAGTTATAAACTAAAGAGAGCATTTTAAGACCTTAACAGATACTTCACCCAAGAAGATGTACAGATAGCAAATAACCATGTGAAAACATGCTCCACATCATATGTCATCAAGGAAATGCAAATTAAAATAATAACCAGTACACACTTGTTAGAATGGCCCAAATCAAGAACACTAACAATACCAAATGCTGGAGAAAATGTAGAGCAATAGGAACTCTCATTCGTTGCTGGTAGAAACACAAAATGGTACAGCCACTTTGGAAAACAATTTGGTGGTTTCTTCCCAAATTAAACGTGCTCTTACCATATGACCCAGCAACACATTCCTCAGCATCTGCCTAAAGAAGTTTAAAACTTATGTCTATACAAAAAACTGCACATGGATCTTTTTAGTGGGTTTATTCATAATTGCCAAAACTTGGAAGCAACCAAGATATCCTGAAGATGTCCTTCAGCAGGTGAATGAGTAAATAAACTGGTGTATCCACACCATAGGATATTATCTAGCACTTAAAAAAAAAAAAGAGTGATCAAGGCACAAAAAGACAAGAAGGAAACTTAAATGCATATTAGTAGGTTGAAGAAGCCAATCTAAAAAGCCTACATACTGTATGATTCCAACTATATGGCATTCTGAAAAAGGCAAAACTGTGGAGACTGAATAAAAAAGATGAGTGGTTGTCAGGGGTTGGGGGAGGGAGAGATGAGTATAAGGAACACAGTGGATTTTTAGGGTGAAGTAATCTGCATAATACTATAATGGTAGATATTCATCTAAACCCACAGAATGTATAACACTAACAGTCAACCCTAATGTAAACTATAAACTTTGGGTGATAATGATGTATCAAAGTAGATTAATCAATGGTAGTAAATGTACCACTCTGGTGGGGCATGTTGATAATGGGGGAGGTTATACATGTGTGAGAAAAAAGTGAATATGGGAAACCTGTGTACCTTCTTCTCAATTTTGCTTTCAATCTAATAGTGCCCTTAAAAAACGTCTTAAAAAATATCTATCAGAGTTATTTTAAAGGTTGTGCATTTTACATTCTCACCAATGTGTAAAATGTATACCATGTCCTCAACAACCTATTAAGCATTATTATTATTTGTTAAGCTTAACCTGTTTAAGCTTTTTATTATTTTTTAAAATCCCACGAGTAGAGATATATAATTCTGGCTTTAATTTGTAATTTTCTAATGTCTAATAATATGGTGCTTTTTAATGCATTTATTGACCATTCACATATCTTCCTTTTGCCCATTGTTATTTATTTTTTATTTTTTAAAATAAAATTTATTTAAAAAATTTGTGGATACATATTATGTATATATATTTAGGGGTTACATGAGATGTTTTAATATAGGAATGCCATGTGAAATAATCACATCAGGGTAAATGGAGTATCCATCACTCCAAGCATTTATCTTTTGTATTAGAAACTATCCAATTATTCTTTTTTACTTATTTTAAAATGTACAGTTAAATTATTTTTGACTATAGTCACCAGTTACGCTAACAAATATTAGGTCTTATTTACTCTATCCAACTATGATTTTGTACCCATTAATTCTCCCCACTTCCACCCCTCTCCATACACTACCCTTCCCAGCCTCTGGTAACCATCCTTCTATGTTCTAACTCCATGTGCCCAGTTATTTTCATTTTTAGCCCCCACAAGTAAGTGAGAATGTGCAAAGTTTGACGTTCTGTGCTTAGCTTATTTCACTTAACATAAAGTCCTCTAGCTCCTTCCATGTTGTTGCAAATGATAGGATCTTATTGCATTTTATGGCTGAATTGTACTCCATTGTGTATATGTGCCACATTTTCTTTACCCATTCATCTGTTGATGTTCAGTTAGCTTGCCTCCAAATCTTGTGAAAAGTGCATCAATAAACATGGGAGTGCAGCTATCTCTTCTATAAAACAATTTCCTTTCTTTTGGGTATATAAATAGGAGTGGGATTGCTGGATTATAAGGTAGCTCTATTGATGATTTTTTTGAGAAACCACTAAGCTGTTCTCCATAGTGGATGTACTAACTTACGTTCCCTTCAGCAGTACACAGATTCACTTCACTCCACATCTTCACCAGCATTTATTATTGCCTGTCTTTTGGATTAAAGTCATTATAACTGGGGTTAGATGATATCTCATTGTAGTTTTGATTTGCATTTCTTGGATAATCAATGTTGAGCACCATTCCATATACCTGTTTTCCATTTGTATATCTACTTTTGAGAAATGTCTATTCAAATCTTTTGCCCATGTTTAAAAAGGATGATTAGATTTTGTCCTATAGTGTTGTTTGAGCTCTTTATATATTGTGGTTATTAATCCTTTATTAGCTGGGTAGTTAGCAAATATTTTCTCCCATTCTGTGAGTTGTCTCTTCCCTTTGTTGATTGTTTCCTTTGCTGTGTAGAAGCTTTTAAACTTGATGTGATCCCATTTGTCCATTTTTGCTTTGGTTACCTGTGCTTGTGGAATATTACTCAAGAAACCTTTGCCCAGGTCAGTGTCCCAGAGAATTTCCTCAATGTTTCCTGTTAGTAGTTTCACAGATTGAAGTCTTAGATTTAAGACTTTGATCCATTTTTATTAGAGTTTTGTATATGGTAAGAGATAGGAGTACAGTTTCATCCTTTTGCATATGGGCATTCAGTTTTCCCAGCAGCATTTACTGAAGAGACAATCCTTTCCTCAATGTATGTTCTTAGCATCTATGTCAAAAATGAGTTCATTGGAGATATCTATGAAATATTTATTCTGTTCTACTGATCTGTGTTTCTGTTTTTAGGCGTGTACCAGGTCATTTTGTATTATATATTATATATAATTATATATATTATATAAGTCCTTCCCAGTCCTTCCCACTCTTCCCTCCCCTTTTCACAGGCAGAAGCACCTCACCTCATGGCCAGCACCACCACAAACCCATGGGGAGTAACTTCAGGCTATTTCTGCTGTTCCCCTCATGACTAAAACCTCTTTAGTCAGCTTGTGGTGACTAAATAATATATAATAATTACATATATTATATATATATACTGTGTGTGTGTGTGTGTGTGTGTGTGTGTATATATATATATATATTCTGTAGTATAATTTAAAGTGAGGTAATGTGATTCCTCCAGTTTTGTTCTTTTTGCTCAGGGTGGCTTTGTATATTGTAGGTTTTTGGTGGTTCTGTATTTCTTTTAGGATGGTGTTTTCTATATTGTAAAGAAGGTAATTGGTATTTTAATAGGAATTTTATTAAATCTGTAGATTGTTTTGGGTCATATGGACATTTTAATGATATTGATTCTTCCAATCCATGAACAAGAAATATCTTTCTGTTATTTTGTGTCCTCTTCCATTTGTTTCATCAGTGTTTTATAGTTTTCATTGTAGAGCCCTTTTGCTTCTTTGGTTAAGTTAATTCTTACATATTTTATTTTGTTTGTAGCTATTATAAATGTGATTAGTTTATTTCTTTTTCAGAGAGTTCATGGCTGGCATATTCAAATGCGACTGATTTTGTGTGTTAATTTTGTATTCTGAAAATTTACTAAATTTATCAGTTCTAATTGTTTTTTAGTGTAGTCTTTAGGCTTTTCCAAATATAAGATTATTCATCTGCAGAGAAGGTTAATTTGCCTTCTGCCTTGCCAATTTAGATGCCCTTTATTTCTTTCTTATGTCTGATTTCTCAAGTTAAGACTTACAGCACTATGTTGAATAACACTGATGAAAGTGGGCATCATTAGTTTCTCAATCTTAAATGAAAGTCTTTCAGTTTTTTTCCCATGCAGTATGATACTAGCTGTATGTTTGTCATATAAGGCTTCTATTATGTTAGTTATCATCCTTCTATACACAGTTTTTTGTGGGTTTATATCAGGAAAGTGTGTTGAATTTTACCAAGTGCTTTTTAGCATCAATTGGAAACAATTGAAATAATATGATTTTTGTCCTTTATTTTGTCATTACAATGTATCACATTAATTATTAATTGATTAATTATCTATTGAATAATTGAGAAAAGAGATGGTATGTTGAACCATCCTTCTATCTCTGGGATAAATCTCACTTGGTCATGATGAATAATCTTTTTAATATGTTGTTGAATTTGGTTTGTTAGCATTTTATTGAGAATTTTTGCATCAATATTCATCAGAGTTATTGGCCTGATACAGCTACTCCAACTCTTTTCTGGTTTTCATTGGCATGAAACATCTTTTTCATCCCTTTATTTTTAGCTTATGTGTGTCTTTATTGGTAAAGTTTGTTTCTTGTCGACAACATATCATTGGATCTTGATTTTTTTATCTATTCAACCACTCCATCTCTAGATTGGATAATTTTATCAATTTACATTCAATGTTATTACTGATAAGTAGAAATTAACTCCTACCATTTTATTATTTGTTTTCTGGTTGTTTTTCATCTTCTCTTTCTCCTTTTCTTCCTTTCTTCCTATCTTCCTTTTATTGAAAGTAATTTTCTATGATGGTATGATTTTTTTTTTGCTCTTTTCTGTTGTGTTTTTTCACTTGAGGTTAGCATGAGACTTGCAAATACTATTTTATAACCCATTATTTTCAGCTGATAACAACTTAACACAGTTTGCATAAAAAAAGGAACAAACAAAAAAGCAAAAGGAAAACTTATAAAAACTCTACCCTTAATTTTGTTCCCCTGCTTTTAAGTTTTTGTTTTTATTCATATATTATTGTACTGCCTATGTATTGAACATCTGTTGTTATTGCTCTCATTTTTTTAATTGATTCATCATTTAGTCTTTATACTTAAGATAAGAGTAGTTTACACATCACAGTTACAGTCTTATAATGCTCTGTGTTTCTTTGGTGTATATCCTATTACTTACTATTAGTGAGTTTTGTACCTTCAGATGTTTTCCTATTGCTCATTAATGTCCTTTTCTTTCTGACTGAAGTATTCCCTTTAGCATTTCTTGTAGGACAAGTCTGATGTTGATGAAATCCCTCAGCTTTTGTTTGTCTGGAAAAGTCTTTATTTCTCCTTTATGTTTGAAGAAAATTTTTACCAGATATACTATTCAAGGGTAGAAGTTTTTTTTCCTTCACCTCTTTATATGTCATGCCACTATCTCCCCGCCTATAAGTTTTCCACTAAAAAGTCTGCTGTCAGACATATTGGAGCTCTGTTGTATGTTATTTGTTTCTTTTCTCTTTTAAGATCCTTTCTTTGTCCTTTGTCTTTGAGAGTTTGATTATTAAGTGACTTGAGATAGTCTTCTTTGGGTTAAATCTACTGTGTGTTTCATAAACTTTCTTGTACTTGGTTATTGATATTTGATAACCAAGTACAAGAAATGTTATTGATAACCTTTCTCTAGGTTTGGGTGTTCTGTGTTATTATCTCTTTCAATAAACTTTCTACAACTGTCTCTTTTTCTACCTTATATTTAAGGCCAATAAGTCTTAAATTTCACCTTCTGAGGCTATTTTCTAGATCCTGTAGGCATGCTTCCTTTTTTTTTTCTTTTGTCTCCTCTGATTGTATTTTCTAACAGCCTGTTGTATTTGTCTGCTCTCATGCTGCTGATAAAGATATACCTGAGACTGAGCAATTTACGAAAGAAAGAAATTTAATGGACTTACAGTTCCACATGGCTGGGGAGGCCTCACAATCACGGTGGAAGTCAAGGAGGAGTAAGTCACATCATACATGGATGGCAACAAGCAAGAGAATGAGAGCTTGTGCAGGGAAACTCTACCTTATAAAGCCATCAGGTCTCGTGAGACTTATTCACTATCATGACTACAGCACAGGAAAAACCTGCCCCCATGATTCAATTACCTCCCTCTGGGTCCCTCCCACAACATGTGAGAATTCAAGATGAGATTTGGGTGGGAAGACAACCAAACCATACCAACTGTCTTCAAACTTACTATTTTTTTCTTCTGCTTTACCCATTCTGCTATTAAAAGACTCATGCATCCTTCAAAATGTCAGTTGCACTTTTCAACTCCAGTATTTCTCCTTGATCTTGTTAATTATTTAAATCTGTTTGTTTAAGTTATCTGATAAAATTCTGAATTCCTTCTCTGTGTTACCTTGAATTTCTTTGAGTTTTCTCAAAAAAAGCTACGTTGAATTCTGTGTATGGGCATTGAAGAGCTAGGTAGTTAATGTAGTCTTTGCAGTTTGGGCTTATGTGTACCCATCCTTCTTGGGAAAGCTTTCCAGGTATTCAGAAGGATATGGTTGTTTTTATCTAAATTAATCTGCATTAGGGAATACCCAAAGGCCAGTAACACTGTGATTCTTGCAGACTAATAATAGATGCACCACCTTGATGATTTTGGATAAGATCCAGAAGAATTATCAGGCTTACCAAGCAGAGATTCTTGTTTTCCTGTCTTGCTTTCTTCGAAACAAATGGAGTCTCTCTCTTCTGAGCCACCTGGAGCTGGGGGCAGGGTGAGACAAGTACCCCTGTGGCCACCATCACTGATATTGGGCTGAGTCAGTCCTTAGACCAGCATAGGACTGGTCTCACCCATGGGCCACTGTAATCACTACTTGGCTATTATCTGTATTTGCTCAAGGACGTGGAGGACTCTACCATCAGCTGGAGGTGAAGCCAGCCAGGTTTGTGTCCTTCCTTCCCTTCAGGTCAATGAGTTCCCCCAGGCCCAGATTGGTAGATAGCTGCCATCCTAGAGCCAGGGACTGGAGTCGAAAAAACTTAAAAATCTACCTGGAATTCTATCATACTGTGGCTAAGCTGGCACTCAAACCATGAAACAGTCCTTCCCACTCTTCCTTCCCCTTTTCACAGGCAGAAGTGCCTACTTCATGGCCAGCACCACCACAAGCCCATGGGGAGAAACTTCAGGCTACTTCTGCTGTTCCCCTTATGACTAAAACCACTTTAGTCAGCTTGTAGTGAATGTTGGCTGGCCTGGGACTCCTCCTTTAAGGCAGTGAGCTCCCTTGTGGCCCAAGGTAAGTTAACAAATTCTGTTCAAAAGCCAAGGCCTGGAATTGGGTACCCCAAGAGCCCACTTAGTGCTCTACTCCTTGTGGTTGAGCTTATATCTGAAGCAAGCAAGTCTCAGAGTCTCACCCAAGACCCATGGCACACCACCTGTGTTGACTGCTGGTTATTCAGCACCCAAGGGCTCTTTAATAAGCAGGTGATGTGCTCTTTTAGGACCATGTCCTTCCAGGCAAAGCGGTAGATTCCCTTCTGGCCTAGAGTGTGTGTAGAAATATGATCTGGGAGCAAAGTACTGGAAAGTGGTACTTATGGCTCTGATTGACCCCCCTATCCTACTGGGGCTGATCTAGTATCCAAGATGTAATAAAAGTCCTGTTTACTCTTTTTGCTCCTGTCTTCAAGTGGAAAGAAGGAGTCTCTTTTGGAGTCTAGAGCTGTGTAGCCTGGGGTTGGAGGGGGGCATGTCACAAGCGCTCTGTTAGCCATCCATGTCCACTGGCTCTGAGCCCAGTTTAGTACTAGGATTTATCTGGGATTTGTAGCCCTAGTGGCCTAGACTGCATTTCAAGTTTATTTGGAGCCTCAGCGCACTTTATCCTATAGCAGAAAGGCTTGCTGGAACACAAGTTTCAAACACTGGAATGGGTGATTCCCCTCTGGCTGGGGGTGGTTTAAATATTCCCCCCCGGACATCAGTTGAGTTCGGTTCAGTTCAGTGTTGTCTTCTGATGTGATGGGGCAACACTAAGTTCAATGCAATGTCACAATTACTGTGCACTCCCTTCCCAAGTGTAGATTCTCTCTCCATGCCACATGGATGTTGCCAGGAAATGGGGGAGGGTGATTTTGCTGATTGAAGACTGTCTTTCCTCCTCTCTTCAATGCCTTTTTCAGCAATGTGAAGTTAAAAACCAGGGACTGTGAGGGCTTATCTGATTTTTGGTTCTTATAAAGATGCTTTGTTTGTGTAGATAGTTGTTAAATTGGTGTCTTTGCCAGGGGAGAGTTGGTGGAGCCTCCTGTTCAGCCATCTTGCTCTGCCCCACCTCCTACAATTTTATTTGTTTGTTTGTTTTTTTATGTATTTTGAGACAGAGTTTCACTCTGTCACCCACTGGAGTATACTCATGCCACTGGAGTATAGTGGCATGATCTTGGCTCACTGCAACCTCTGCCCCCCGGGTTCAAGCGATTCTGCTGCTTCAGCCTCCAGAGTAGCTGGGATTACAGGCACCTGCCACCACGCCTGGCCAATTTTTGTATTTTTAGTGGAGATAGGGTTTCACCATTTTGGCCGGGCTGGTCTCAAACTCCTGACCTCAAGTGATCTGCCCGCCTTGGCCTCCCAAAGTATTGGGATTACAGGCATGAGCAACCACATGTGACCACCTACAATTTACTTTTGAATTGTCTTATCCTTACTGTATATTCTGGATATAACTGATTTTATTATAACTATGCTTACATTTTGATAACTACTGTGTTAATGGAATCTTTTGAAAAACAAATGTCATTAATGTGAACTTTAGCATCTCAATATTTATGTTATAGTTAATGTTTAGAGAGTCCTGAATGATAATCATTTGCCTATACCAATATCACAAAGATATTGCTCTCTCCCATTTTTTTTGAGGCTACAAATTTTGAATCTTTACTCATAGGTTTATAATCTATATAAAATTAATATATGTGGGTGTTTTCATGTAAATGAAATAAGCGTCTTATTTTTATTATGTTCTTATTTTCTATATACAACCCCATTTAAAAAAATTCTTTTTTCTTTAAATTACATGAAACACTTGTTGAAAATCAATTGAATATATATGTATTAGTCTATTTTAGGACTTTCTCCTGTGGTCAGTTCATTTTTTAAAAACTGCAGCACATTGTCTTAATTACCGTATCTATATAATAACTGTTGAAATCTGGTTACACAGGTCTTCAAAGTAAATTTTTTAAATTGCTTTGGATATTTAAAATCCTCCAGATTTTACATAAATTTTGCAATAACCTCATAAATTGCTTTTAAAAATTATCATTTATGATTACAATGGGGTTAGTGTGAATCTAGAAATAATTTGAAAAGTGACATCAAAATTGAGTATTACAATCCATGAACATAGTATTTCTCTCTATTTATTTGGGTATTTTTTTAATCCCTATTTTGCAGTTTTCTATATAGAGATTTTACATATAGGTCATTAAATTACTCCAGTATTTTATAACATTTGAATCTATTTTGAAAGCATGACTTTTCAGTACAAATTAGGATGTGGAAATGGCATATAGTCTTCATAATCAAGCAGATCCTGATTTCAAAACCTAATTCTTCACTTACTAGTTTTATGAACTTGAGTAAGCCTCTTAAATAGACTATTTTCTTGGCCATAAAATTATGAAGAAATTTGTAATTGTAATAATCACTAATTTTGTTTATTACTTCATGTTGACCTTGCTCTTCTTTTGATTTGTATATCCCACTCTATGAGTAATGCCAAGAGGCAGAATCCAAAAGACTAAATGTTTATTTTCCCCAACTTCCTTGATTGTGAAGAAATGGACACATGATCAAGGCTAAGTCTGCTACTTACAATTACCCAGGGTTTTAATTCTGAACTATTTTCAAAGAAGTGCAGCAGTAAAGGGGGATAGAGAATTAATTTTGGCCACAGGGACACCAGCAGAAAAAATGAAGTTTACAGACACAAATTAGCAACAAAGCCAGCAATCAGCTCAACATTTCCTGCTGACAGTAAAGTAGCTGGAGCTGTGGAATCCTGTTGTTCTTTCCAAACACTCTTTGCGTTGGAAATGTGGCTGTGGTTTGGCTGTCCATCCTTCTTTGCTCACGCTATTTTGTGAGCTTTGTTGTGCAAACTTTCCATGGATTCTAAGAGATAGGCATCTATGAAGTATTCTCAATCCTTGCAAAACGTTCTTTTTCTGTTTAAATTATCCATGTGCAACTTGTGTTGCTTTCTACTAAGAACTCTAGCTAGTACTCTGCTTCACAGCATTTGTGTAAGAATTAAATTAAGTAAGTAAAAAAATGACACAGTGCCTAATACTGCAATTCATTCTGAAATTTTCTTTAAACTTCTCATTCTATATCTATTTTAGATCATGGAAAATATGAAGCATCAGAGTAATTAATATCTTTAATTAATAATCAAATCCCTCCAAATTCATGGTAATGTTTTATATAATAATGCATGGATGTTCCTGGACCAAACTGAGGGTTGGGCTGCCATTTCTTGTGGCTCAATAATGAAATACAGATGAACTGGGGAGGAAGAGAGTTTCTATTTCTGCAACCAGTTAGAGGAAGAAGGCCTGAAAATTAACACCAGACCAACTCAAGATTACAAAGTTTTTCAGAGCTTATGTACCTTCTAAGCTATATGTCTATGTGTAAATTTGCATTCATCTAAAGACATAAGCAATTAACTTCTTTTAACCTATAACTAAGGTCTGAGTTTTAAAGACCTTCCTCTGGAGCCTCAGAAATTTGTCCAGGTGCTGGGGTGATTACCCTTATCTTGTCTCCTGCTAAATCACAGACGTTTGGGGAGTTCCTTCAGACTCCCAATATACTTGTTTGTGGAGGCCTGGGAGTTTCTTCATATCCCCAGTAAAACTTGTTTATTCATGCTTTAAGATTCAGGAAAGGCCTAGGCAAAACTCTTGGTGGGCTTTTGTTACATTCCCACCTTTGTATAAGGGTACTGGCTTTTAATATTTAACTTAACCACTCAGTTGGTACAGAAACAGTTGTTATGGAGGCCTGTGTTAGTGAGACCTGGCCTGCCACATGGATACAACAGAGGATTTCTAAATTAATTAAATTGCCTGGACTTTCATAAAATCAAAATACCTTAAACTTAAAAAACTGTAAACATACATTAATACCTAGAAAAAGAAGGGAGACTTAATCCTTAAGTTTGAGTATTCACTCAAAGGCATTTTAGCCTGAAAGTTCTCGGGGAATAAACAGAAGAGATGCAATAAATACAACATTGAAACAGATTCTGTGCAGTATTTATGCAGTATTTGTAAAATTCTAAGCATTGAAATAATAGTTTCTCTCTAGAATCGTGTCCCATTTTCTGCCAATAAAATTTTATCATATTTTTTGCTTTTATTTCAGCTGTGTGTTTGTTTGAAAGCTTAATGGATATTTCTCTAAAAGATCCCTAATTTTTATTCAGTGGCATTCTGAAGTATTTTTCTAGAAACAGGTACTTTGTTCAATTAATTTTTGCTCTAGAACTTACTTTTCTAATCTTGTCTCACATGAACTAAATATATTATTTATCCACTCTGTTTCCTGTATGCTTTAAAAGCTTGTAAAACCCATGGCTATAATCTTACAAACTTCATTTGGTAAAGGTATTGAACAAAGATTTTTATATTGCTAACTAGATCTGAGGAGAATATTTGTTACCCATTCTTTTTTTATCAATTGCACCATGATTGGTTATATTACATCCTTTTTCTTTTTTTAGACTAGGTGTCTTCTACATAGCACAAAATACAAAGACAAATATTAGGTTTCTTCTACATAGCACAAAATAGTTTTCATCCAGACTTGAGAGTCACTTGAATAGAAATGTGAAGCCCTAGATTATTAAGGAGTATTAACAAGTACAGATATATTTACTGGATTGGCCACAGGAATAGAAGTTAGAAGACCTGGTTTAAATCCCAAATGCAACATTTGTGTTGTTGTCGTTATATGGTTTCAGAGAAATTAAACACCAATCTCAGCTTCTTTCAACTATAAAATGGGGATACTTTAGATAATATGTATGTACCCTACCTACTTCCAAGTAACACCTTGAGCATCAGATGGTGTGATATATGTGAGAGCAATTTGCTAAACTGAATAGCATTTCAAATTGCTTCTCTCTAAGAAAGCACTCATCACAATGTCTGGTAATTATCTGTTAACTTGTCTGTCACCCCTTCTAAATTGCTTCCGCCTTGAAGAAAAGATGAATGAATGAAAATGTAAATTACAAGTTACAGAGCCAATAAGAATGTCATAGTACTTGAAATCTAAAAGATTTTCACCACTTGCTGTGCTTTCACAATCTTTTTTCTTCTTTAAATTTAGAAAGAAATTGTATAAACTATGCTCCTACAGCCTTTTGCTTTTTTTCTTGTTTTCTTAACTTTAAAATGAGACACAGTTGAAAGAGAGAGTGTGGGGTTATAAAAATGTTGCTGTAATAGACAATAGCCTATATATAAGAGAACTACTATTGTAAATAATTAATAACAGAAAGAAAAGATTTAAACTGCTTTTTAAATTAAAGCTGTGGTTTTTATATCAAATATCTTTTATCAATATGAACTAATTTCCCCCTGTAGAGTTATACAGGACACACATATTAATACAACAATCTTCATTGTTACAATTAAAGCATTAGGGCCAAAAAGAGAATTGTGTAATTTATCATGGCAGAGAGTCATTTCTGCATTTGTGATTATAAATTTGACGTCTGTTTTTATGCTTTGAAAATGTGCTGAAATCATTTATTCCTTAGCATGTGTAGAAAGCATGTGTCTTTGTTTTTATTTGAGGATGTCAATGGACAAGTCATTGCCTAATTTATTTTCAGTTTCAGCGTTATTTTTTCTAGAATCTGGTAGAAAAACTCTTTTTCATTTTAATAAACAAAGTTGGTAAAATATAATTACTCTAATTCTTCCCTTTCGCTTTGGGGAAAAAACCCTCAAAAGAGTTTCTGTCACCGAAAATATCTGTGCTTTTTAGTTACATGATATTTCATTGAAAAGTTATAACTTTGGCTGGGAATTAACAGGTGTAAATAAACAAGGAAATATAATAATTATATGGAGATATAGCAAGTAAACCATCTTTCTGACTTTTCATTTATCATTCATTGGATATATTTCATACATTGGTCAAGTTAATTATTACTATAGAAATGTATTTGATATAGATTATAAATCACAGTATTATGGTCATTAAAATATTTGAAAAAAATCCCATTATGATAAATTCTTTTATTTATATAATGTATTTCGAAAGCAGAGCCCTTCAATCTTCACATATATTGAATTCTGTTTCTTTTGTATGGACAACAGATCGGTAATCCAAACTATCAGTTTGTTTAAAATTTCCCTCAATTTTGTATGCAAATTAGTCAGAATACAGTAATAGCATTGTAGAAAAAAATGAGTTCTTGTCATATGGCCAGGAAAACTTAGGCACATAGACACATTGTAGGTGAGTATGGAAGGGTATATTGGGTGAAAAAAAAATAACTCTCCGCAAAGTGAGAGAGAGTCCTGCTAGCAGGTTTTCCACCTCACAGATTGAATTCCAGGTTACCACACAGAAACAGGAGGGGCCAGGCTTCTCATCCCTGCAAATGGCATGAATTTCCTGAGGCTCTACTCCATCCTCCCAGTGTGTAGGCTGCTAGAAGATTCTCCAGGGACCCCTTTTTACTTGACTACCTCAACAGGGAGTATAACATGTTATATTCTTGAAGTTTAAGTAACAGGATTGGATATTTAGTACTGGCTCCACCTCTTTGTGTGTTCTTAGAAAAATTAACCTGTTGTCTCCATTTTCTTACAGAGGAACAAGTTTGACAATGCTTCTTAACTTATTGGGGGGTTGTTTTTGTTGCTTGTTTGCTTTAATATTCAATGGGATGTTGCTCTATGTAAATCTCCTAGGAGAGTGCCTGGCCCAGGGTAGGTACTCAAGGAATACAAACTGCAATCTAATTACTACTGCTCATATAATTAATCATCACACAGAAGTAGATTGACCACCACAACATCCACCCTTGATCTTTTTCTCCTGCTATTTGACCACAGGCATGTAAGTAAAGAGAGAAGTGTCAACCAAAAATAAAATTCTAAGGCCCCCAACCAGCTAAGGGCTCTCTTAAAATTTAACTTGAAAGACTAGTTCAGGCCATGACAGGAAGTGGGGGTCAGACATGCCTCATTATACCTTTCCTGCATTAACATCAACATGGACTTTGAGTCATAAGAAACATTTTACAACCTATTCTCTCTGAGGGCTACTATCTGAAGACTTCCTCTGCATGATTAAACTTTGGTCTCCACAACATCTTACTGCAACCCACACATTCCTTTCTATTGACCCCGGTTTTTAGATAAACTAAACCAATTGTCAAATCAGAAAATGCTTAAATCTACCTGTAATCTGGAAGTCCCCACTTCAAGTTGTTTTTGGACCAAACCAATGTATTCCTTAAGTGTATTTTATTGAAGTCTTATGTCTCCCTAATGTATATAGCCAAACTGCACCCCCAATCACCTTGGGCACATGTTCTCAGGACCTCCTGAGGGCTGTGTCATGGGCCATGGTCACTCATATTTGGCTCAAAATAAACCTCTTCAAATATTTTACAGAGTTTGACACTTTTTGTTGACAGAAGTCAATGGGTAAGGCACAAAATATAGAATTCATACATGGGTGGGGATGACAATATTAATAAACTTTCCTTTCATGTATGTCACTTATTAGAAATATCAAATGGTATCCTATAAAAAAGCAACAATCATCTCTGTGAATTGTACTTTATATAGTTCTAAAGGATGGGGGACTTTTATAATTTGACAGTAATAATAGTCAATATTTACACAATAATATTGAACTCATGCCTTGGGTCATTAGAGAGTTAAAAGAGCAAAATCTCAGGTTGTTTCGATTAGGAGCCGAATCTGGTGGAATGACTCAGAAAGTAATATAATTTAATGTTCTTGCACATGGGAGAAGAATTACCAGTTAGAATTCAGCCTGTAAATTTTTTCTCTAAGCTTAGACAACCAATATATTTATACAACTTCTCTTACTCTCCTGAAAGCAGCAGTAGAGACAATTTGCAAATCAAAAGTGGTCAGAAGTAGGTTCAACATCCCTTTCTTGGAGCATAATTGACTTCCTCAAGTAGCACTGAGGTACCTTTATGTTTAGCAACAATGTAGGAATTGCAGTACTTATATAGAAATTATCATGTTAAAGGCTCTGTACTCAGAATCTGGACAGTCACAAAAGTCATTATTTTTTCCAAAGGATCACTCAGCCCTCCTACATGCTACTTGGATAGTATATAGAAAAAGATCTCTAAAAGAAAATAATGTTTTTCAAGAAGTAAGTAGTAAGAATATAACCCAGGGAAAGGTTTTATTGAACTATCATTTACATAAAGTAAATTTTACATATCTTAAATGTACTGCTCAATGACTTTTTACATTTGTATATATCAGTTAGACGACTACCCAGTTCAAGACATGAAATATTTTTTTACCCCAGAAGCTTTATTGCTCCCTTTTCCAATTGATAGCTTTCAAAGTAGTCACCATTCTAATTTTTTTTCATCAGAGGTTAATTTCTGTCATTGAACTATATAAACTTGTACAAATATCTTATTAAATAGGAATTTTAATTTATTACATATTTTAACGTTAGATTTATTGTTTACTTTTGTCATTGTATTTGCTATTATTAATTGTTTGGACTTAGTTACTTTCTGCTAGTGAAATCACCTTTGCAAAATTATGACAGAGTGAAAGAGATCTAACCTAAGCGACTCATCTTGCTTCTAACCTTTAAGCTGTCCTCATTCCTTCCTGGGCATAGGCTGAACTAACTTTGGGAATAACTTAGTTTATAGTTTAAGACGATAACAGCCCTTTCCCAAAGCAAACCTCTTGCCTGGACTAGACTGCCTTTATAGTACTAACAAATTAACCACAAGATTATAAATTATTGTTTAAGAGTCACGCAGCTGGAGGCTACAAGATTCTGACTCTCCCAAAACTGCTCCTAAGATAAATGCTTGAGATATTTTGCAGACCCTGCACTTGAAGGATCAGCTGGCACCACTCAGATCGATAAACTGGCTCATCTGATCTTGTGGCCCCCACCCAGGAATTGACGCAGCACAAGAGGACAGCTTCAACTTCCCATGGTTTTATCTTTGACCCAACCAATCAGCAGCACTCTTGACTCACTGGCCTTACCCTATCCACCAAATTATCCTTAAAAATTCTGATTTCTGAATACTCAGGGAGACTGATTGGAGTAATAACACAACCCCAGTCTCCCATACGGCTGGCTCTGCATGAATTACTCTTTCTCTATTGCAATTCCCCTGTCTTCATAAATAGGCTCTGTCTAGGCAGTGGGCAAGGTGAACCCATTGAGCAGTTACACTAGCCAATAATGTCTGCTAGAATTTTAAATTAAATGCATAATATTCATTATTAACTTATTGAAAGGTGAAGCTGGCTGGGCTTCTGGGTCGGGTGGGGACTTGGATAACTTTTCTGTCTAGCTAAAGGATTGTAAATGCACCAATCAGCGCTCTGTGTCTAGCTAAAGGTTTCTAAATGCACCAATCAGTGCTCTGTGTCTAGCTAATTGGGTAGGGGACTTGGAGAACTTTTCTGTCTAGCTAAAGGATTGTAAATGCACCAATCAGCACTCTGCATCTAGCTAAAGGTTTGTAAACTTGCCAATCAGCACTCCCTGTCTAGCTGGGGACTTGGAGAACTTTTCTGTCTAGCTAAAGAATTGTAAACGCACCAATCAGCACTCTGTCAAAATGGACCAATCAGCGCTCTGTAAAATGGACCAATCAGCTCTCTGTAAAATGGACCAATCAGCAGGATGTGGCTGGGGCCAGATAAGGGAATAAAAGCAGGCCACCTGAGCCAGCAGTGGAAAGCCGGTAGGGTCTCCTTCCATGCTGTGGAATATTTGTTCTTTCGCTCAGCAATAAATCCTGCTGCTGCTGCTCAATCTTTGGGCCTGTGCCGCCTTTTCCCTGTAACACTCACTGTGAAGGTCTGCAGCTTCACTCCTGAGGCCAGCAAGACCACGAACTTTCCAGAAGGAATGAACAATTCCAGATGTGCCACCTTTAAGAGCTGTAACACTCACCACAAAGGTCTGCAGCTTCACTCCTGAAGTCAGCAAGACCACGAACCCAGCAGAAGGAAGAAACTCCAGACGCATCTGAACATCTGAAGGAACAAATTCCGGACAGACCATCTTTAAGAACTGTAACACTCACTGCGAGGGTCCGTGGCTTCATTCTTGAAGTCAGCGAGACCAGAAGCCACCAATTCAGGACACACTATATCTGTGATCCAGGTAACAACTACAGGGAGGAATATTATTGACGAAAAGAGTCAAACTGTAAAATAGTTACAGAAATGTATTCTGAGCCAAATGTGAGTGACCATGGCCGATAACCCAGCCCCAGGGCATCCTGAGAACATGTGCCAAAGGTAGTCAGGCTATAGCTTGGTTTTACACTTTTTTGGAAGACATAAGATATCAATCAATACATGTAAGATGTATATTAGTTTGGTCTGGAAAGACAGGATGACTCAAAGAAGGTGCTTCCAGGTCATAAATGGACTCAAAGTTTTTCTGATTGGCCATTGGTTGAAAGAATTTATCTTGAGACCTGGAATCAATGGAATAGAGTAGCTGGGTTAAGATAAGGGGTTGTGGAGACCAAGGTTCTTATTATGCAGATAAAGCTTCCAGGTAGCAGACTTCAGAGAGAATAGATTGTAAATGTTTCTTATCATAGTTAAAAATGTACCCAACTCTTAGTTAATTCTCTCCTGAATTAGGGAAAAGAGCTGGAAAGGGAAGGGGATTCTCTACAGAATGTAGATTTTCCCATATAAGAAATAGCTTTGCATGTCATAGAAACATTTTGGGATAAAATATTTCGATTTTTTTCAGGGCGTGCTACTTTTCATGTTGATATCTTAATGCTACAAAGAGTTGGTTTTGTCAGTCTTAAGGTCTCTGTTTTAATGTCAATGCTGGTCAGTAGCGCCTGAAATTCAAAGGGAGGAACATATAATGAGGCATGTCCAAATACCCATTCCCATCATTGCCTTACCAGCAATAACACTAGAAAGTATTCAGGGATTTTTGAGAAATGCAGATAATCAGAGGATCAGTTTAAGCAAACTTAATAAGCAAGAAAGAAGCTATTACCTTATGTGCAAAAAATATAACCATAGGCACCTAATACATAATTAAATGTACCTAATACACTTGTTTGATCCAGGTTCCATTATTATAAATATTGATCTTTATTATAAAGGCCTAAGAAAAATATGTAGAGGGTCCAAAGACTTAGCTAGAAAAGCTCAACTAAAGGGCTTTAATTTATTAAATGAGAAAAATAATATCCCTAAGAGTAACTTTTTTATTAAATGAATTATAGTATATGCATTCTGAAAGATCCTTAAGGACTAAAAATGTTCCACTGTGATTCTTGCAAGACCTTATTCCCCAGCTGTTCTTTTGTACTCCTTTTTTAAACCCAAAATGACCAGTCAGTGGCTGGTACACTGTGACCACAGTCTTACTGCCCCAACACCCTGTTCCAAGATTAGTGCAACTTTGACTGACCTTGGACAATGTTCTATAAAATCTTTAAGTTTCTGATTTCCTCGAAAACATATCTTTCTGCTGTTTTCAAATAGACACACCTTAATAAAGGTGTAAACTGATGTCCTTGGCTGTTTATCGTATATGGAAGAACATATATCTATTTGGAATGCTGTTATAGAAGGTTGATAATAGAACCAAGCATGTTTAAAAGACATTACATGAGACACAATGATTACAAACAGACAAAGTATATATACAAAATAAAATGTATAAAATATAATCTCATTTTAATTTTTTTTTTTGTTTTTGAGATGGAGTCTCACTCTGTTGCCCAGGCTGGAGTGCAGTGGTGCAATCTTGGCTCACTGCAAGCTCCGCCTCCCGGGTTCACGCCATTCTCCTGCCTCAGCCTCCCAAGTAGCTGGGACTACAGGCGCTGGCCACAAAGCCCGGCTAATTTTTTGTATTTTTAGTAGAGATGGGGTTTCACTGTGCTAGCCATGATGGTCTCTATCTCCTGACCTCGTAATCCACCCACCTCGGCCTCCCAAAGTGCTGGGATTACAGGCATGAACCACCGCGCGCCCAGCCTTAAAATGTTTTAAATAAATTTTTAAATACACAAAAATATATATTTACATATGTATACGTAAGTATGTGATAGACACCTATAAAACCACACATCAAAAAAGTAACAGGAATTGTCTTTAGCTGGCAACAGGTAATTCTTTTTTTCACTTTGCCTTTGTGGAATTTGTTTCCTCATTAATTGTTGTATATGCATTGTGAATGACCTTGAAGGACTTTTACAAAATACTTTTATAATTCATCATGCACATATGTATGGAGTTATATAATCTGAATGCATATAATGTCATAATTGTAAAAATTTACTTCAGTCTATCAAATCTTTCAGTCAGATGTTAACATTTATGCTCAAGTAGATGTTTAAAACATATTTTTAAATAAATGAATAATTAAAAGTATTAAAAATCAAATATGAAAATAAATACATATTCTTAATATTTAAAAGTATTGTATCATAACTAATTGCACAACTTTATTCCTCTAAGCCTAAGAATCAATAATGCCTCTTTTTTTTCATAATATGAATAAGACCCAAATATTTCTTGTTTAATGTTGGTTCACATTTGATATCTAACGTAAGTTTTATTTTTCGACTTAAGACAGAATATTAAAAGATTTTATACTTTTATTCAACTAGTGGAAAAGCAATGTTTTTGTATTTCTCAAAAAAACTACTATCAGTATTGTTTATAATTTTAAAAATAAGAAAAACTATATTTAAAGTTGTGGACAGAGTCACAAAATAAGCAGTGATGTCTTACAAATTAAACCTTATACATACTCTATTATGTATACGACTGATGCATGTCCAAACAGATGTCAAATGATGTGTTAATAAAATTTCCAAAGCCAAAAATCGATGATTGGCAATAAATATAATGCAAAGCCATACTTCTTTGAAGCTTCTAGAGCCCAAATGAATATGTGCATAAAGGCAAAATCTTTAATTTTAGACCTGAAAACACAAGGCACACAGTTAAATTAATAGAATTAAAAAATTAACTACCTATAAGTACACACAAATTTCCTAGTTAGGAAATGCTATGAGAATGGTAATTTGGAATAGATGGTTGAATTTAAAGATTTGATTCTGGCACCAGAACATGACTTTGAAATGCTCAGTAGGGCATGAGTGCAATATGATCCATCACCCTGAATCTGTAGCATTTCTAGCAAAGCACAGCATTGCAAGGGTGGGGGAAGGGGGGAGGGATAGCATTAGGAGATATACCTAATGCTAAATGACGAGTTAATGGGTGCAGCACACCAACATGGCACATGTATACATATGTAACAAACCTGCACGTTGTGCACATGTACCCTAAAACTTAAAGTATAATAATAATAAAATTAAAAAGAAAGAACAAATCACTGGGCAATGTACTCATTCTGTGTAGCAACACTGTCCAATAGAATTTTCCTATTTGCAAGACATGCTCTATGTCTGCACGGTCCGGTACTGTGATAACTAGTCACATATTGCTGAGAGCTTGAATTGTGGCTTTTATGACTGAGAAGCAGAATTTTTAATTTTAAAAAAATGAATGTAAAATTTTGGTCATATGTGATTCATAGCTTTCAGATAGGGAAGCTCTATAATTATCCTTTAATCAATTTGATTATTAGCTACACTCCCAATTCAGTCCTTTTTTTTTTTTTTTTTTTTGTCTTGGGGCATATTTGGTTCACAAGTGAAGAAATTAGTCAGTATCATGAGTCTTTGTTGTTATTGTTCTATATTTAGTCATGCTAGTCATATAAGAAAGTATCAGCTACCTTTTTAAAATGCCATAGAAGTTAAAGTCCCTCCAATCAAAGCACCACTGGGGAACTCCAGCAGCTGGACAAATACTAACTCTGGCTTGGCTGGATCAAAATATCAGAGCCAGGGAATGAAGCCTTACTGCCCTCTACTCATTGTCCAGATACATTGTTGAAGACGTCTAAGAATCTTTTAAATCTTTTAAATATTTATGATAATAGCAATATTTAAATGTTATATTTTAAATTGTTCAAGTTTGAAGAGATAAATTATGCTAGTCTTGTTCACGCAAATTATCATTTAATAGCACTTGGCTTCAGTCTAATTTGGCTTCAGAGTTCTGCCCCAAGTGAGAAATGTTTACTTATTTGATAGCACACAGTGCAGCTCACGGCAGAAGTGATGTGAAGCCAGAAACAAAGTGGACTGACTTTACTGTTGTGTTTGGATTTACAAATTAAAATGTATTTCAAATGTTTTCCAAACAAGCAGTCTCCATATGCTCAGTGGCCTTGCTGTCTCTTGCAGGAAAAGATAAAAGAGTGGAGAAGTTGAGACAGGTCATTCTAACTCACTTAAGCTTGAAATATCTTGACCTTTAATGGTTGTCCTAAAAGGAAGAAATAATTAAGTCATGCTAATTGTTTGGCGGACTCTTCATTTCCCTTGATATTTAATTTTTCTCAGCATGCTATTCCTTCACTAATATCTGAAGACAGCTTCAAATGACAATAAAATTGAAACTCTTGCTTAAAATTTCTTTAGGTTCATTCCATAAAATAAGGTGAAATGACTGTTTCTATTAAGTTTCTATTAAGCTGTGAAATACTTCGATTATAAATATATTTAGTTATGGTATGCATATTCCACATTCATTCTTTAATTTGATGATGAAAATAGCACCTACAAAGAATCATGGCTTAAAAATGAAACAGTTATCACATAATTAATATTTAATTTCTACTCCTAACCATCTCAAAACCTCAGAAATCCACGTTCCTTTGTTTTATTTCCTGTCCTTCCCATTATTTCTTAGATATTTTATTTTGTAATTGTGATGGTTAATTTTAGGTGTCAACTTGACTAGATTAAGTAATACCTGGAGAACTGGTATATTATTATTTCTGGGTGTGTTCGTGAGGCTACTTCCAGAGGATATTGGGTGTGCACCCATGAACTAAGTGAGGAAAATCAGCACTCAATCTGAGTGGGCACCATCCAATTCGATGGGGGCTGGATATAACGAGAAAGGAGAGGAAAGGCGGTATTTTTTTTCTCTCTTTCCAGGAGCTAGGACACTCTTCTTTTGCCCCTAGACATCAGAACTTCAAGCTCTCCAGTCTTTGGACTCCAGGACTTTGACCAGCAGCCCTCAGGTTCTTAGGCCTTGGACTAGATATTACACCATCAGCTTCTCTGATCCTGAGGCCTTCAAAGTTAGACTGAGCGATGCTACTGGCATCCCAGGGTCTCTGGCTTGCAGATAGCCTGTTGTAAAGCTTCTCAGCCTCCCTAATCCCATGAGCCAATTTCCCTAATAAATCACCTCTAATATGTCTATATATGTATGTACATATCTTATTGGTTCTGTCTCTCTGGTGAATACTAATAAAGTTATTGTTCTTAGTTTGGATTTCATGTACAATTGTCATCAAACTATTTTTATATTACTCTTTAAAGTCCAGCTCCTCGCCGAATCTCATCAGCTCTGATGTGATATCTTCAAACGTAAGAAAATATTGAAACAAAAAAAAATCAAGACAGATATTCCAATTTAATGATAAATGAGGATGTAATTTATATATGTAATTTATATATATAAAATAACATGATATGATATATATGATATTTAATTTGTATGTTTGACATAAGATATTACATCATGATAAGATATTAAATCATATATCAAATACAGAAACGAAAGAGACCAAGGTCTTAATAAAATCTTTATAAAATGTTAAGTGGATTTAATGTTTCAGTTTTTTAAAATACAAATAAAAAATATAGCCCCTTGTTATAATTGGTACTGGTCTTACAGCTTTTGTAGTAGGTTTTTTAAGATATTAAGTTTCAAAACACTTTGTTGAAGATAATCATTTAGTGGCTTTTCAATAAAGTCAATTTTTAAAAAAATGTGTTTTACATCATGCTATGCATCAATACCATAGTCCTAATGTCTCAGATGCAAACGTCATGCAAATCAAGAAAAGGTTGACAAATATCATGAAAATGCCCATGAGATAAAATAACTGTTTTATTATAAGTTATCAGAGTCTTTGAAAATCATAGCACCTGTGAATAGCCACTGCACTCCAGCCTGAGTAACATAGCAAGACCTCATGTCTTAAAAAAAAGATTAAAGCAGTACTTATACTTACAGAATATTTAAATATTGCCACATTATTTTTGACAGCAATATAACTGAAAATAATTGGAATTTTTCCAATGGTGAAATTGTTAAATATGGTATGATTATATTCTGGGTATTAATAGTTATTAAAAGTAATTAGAAGTATATCTTAATTTGGAAAGATGACTAAGCTATATTTTTAAATTGGAAATTAAGAGTCAAAATAATTATTATATGTTTTAAAAAAGCAATAAACCACACGTATGCATATGGATGAGTCATAAGAGATAGCATTAAGCTATTATTATTAGAAAGGACTGGCAAGGAGAGATTACATTTAAAAAAAACATACATTGTTTCATGATGTGAAATGAACATGAATTACGTCTACATTTGGAATTTAAAAAGTTGTAAAATGATGAGTCATGAATATAACTGTATTTCTGCAGACCACAAGTTTCTTCACTTCTTAAATCACACTATATTTTCCAACTCTTTTTCTCTTTTTTGTAATCTCTGCAGAGAAGTCTGAAGTCTCTGTCACTAAGAGTAAAAAGCCTGGGAACAAAGAAGGGAGCTTGGTGAGGACATCTCTGATTCGTTCTCTCCTGCCCTTTCTGATGGTTTGACTCATGCTCAATCTAGGTCACTAACTTTCCTCTGGCTAACATGGTACCTTTATAGAAATACCAGATGGTTTTGTTTTAGCAGCTCTCATGCTTATGTAGTGCTTTGCAGTAGCATTTGAAAAATCTTTATTTCATTTTCAATTTATTATAGAAATCCTAATATATAGAGCCAAAGAGCCAGAATTTTAACAGGTTCAAACTGATCTCACCTCTGCTACTTCTTAATAACCTCTAAACTGGGGAGGTTTTCTCATTTAAATAGTGAAGATGATAATAATTCCTTCACCAGGAAACTATGAAGTAACGTATAAAATGTTTCACACATTGTAGGCACTCAACCGAATATTAGCTGCATTTTCTTAACAATTTTTCAAAACTGTCTTCATATTAAAATTTTATCTTCAGCCCAGGTTTAACCAGCCATCATTGGAATCAACAACCCAAAGGGAAAATTGGTAGTGAGGTTTATAATTAAAGTATATAAGCAAATTCTTCTGATCTTCTGTACCAGAAACCTTGTCAAAACTACTTTAAACTATTTTCCTATGATACGTCAAACCTTTCCTTCAGTAATTCAGCTTCATTTTCAGGCACAAGGTCCAGGAATCCAATCATTTAGCATACAAATTAGCTTATACCCTTGCAATAGCTTTTAGTTTCTTTAGTTTTCCTTTCTTGATCTTCAAGACAGGACAATTATCTGTTGCTGACTGTTCCAATAGCAAATAGGAAATAAACCTCAGAAGCACGCATTTATACAGTATCAAATATGTTAGAATGTTCGTGGATGCCTGCTTCTATGGGGACAAAGGGCTGCAAAGACCAGGCTGTGTATCACAGAGTGCTAACCGACAGAGTTTGATTGTTTGCTCAAGCTGGGCTGGCACTTTAGAAATGAAGTTTTCCAAGGAGTATCTGAATTGAGAAAAGGGGTTTAGGCTGTCTGAAATTATACAAAAAGATTATATATAAGAAATCCATTTGATAATATACATGACAAATATAACTACCAATGAATCTGGATAGATTAATGAACTGACCCATCTCTTTATTTAAGAAGACAAATGAAAAGAAAATATCCAGAACAGTTGTGGACAAGGGCTCCTATCTATAAAATGTAACATATGGTGTATTAGTCTTCTGTGATATTTTCAACAATCAAACGTAGTCTAGGTCAGCATTTTTCTAAAGGAACAGTCATTCTATTTAGTTTAGAAAGACAGTGTGTGGTGTCTTGATCAAAACTCTTTGCCTCTTGTTTTTTTAGATTATACAAGGCCACTAAGCTTCCTTGTATATTTTCATTATCCCTCTTAGTTATCTTCATTTCTGTGACAGCCTATCCCATTTATGGTGTTTAAATTTCCTTAGCTTCTCTCTCTCTCTTATTATCTTCTAGAAACTTCTAGACCCTAACCTGAACCTCTATCTCACTTGGTTGTCAGCAGTCGTTTCATGCTTATTTCAACAGAGCAAAAAGATAGGTATTTTTTGTTGTTGTTTAAAATTTTCTTTCTTGCATCTAGAATATGTGCCAGAAAAGTAAATTTGATATTAAACAAGGCAAAGTTAAATTTTGGAGAAGAAATACATTGTAACTTAGATACTGTGGGAGAGAAAAGGATGAAGTTTATTTGGCTTATGGTTTTTATTTCTGAGAAAAAAATGTTCCATTGATAGCCAGATCTTCTTAAAATATAGGTTTTCAACATAGGTTCTATGTGCATGGAATCTCTATTAGAGTTGCAAAAGTACCCCCAGAAATAAGTATGCCACCTTAGCCGCCTTAGGCTTAGTTCAAACCCTTCATTCCAAATTCTGAAGACATCTAAATAATACATTAAAAGTTGTTGTATATTGTTTAAAGCACGACCTAAATAGGAGATATAGTCTCTACTCAGTTATCTATGAAATTTGCACATTATCAGTAAGCTTTATAGAGCATTTTATTAAATACATGAAAACTTGCATCAACAAATGTATTAAATGTGTTTATAAATCAGATAAAATGCTAAGCTCTTGAATACAGTTATATGATAAACACGCTATTAATAGGAAATGGAACTGAGTAGCTGCATAAATTAATCACAGATGGCTTACTTCAGGGGCTGACATTCATATCTAGACTAATAAGATTTGTCTAAGAATTACTTTGGCTAGATTGCTAGAGTAAACAATGATGAAATGGATTTCATGATCTTAGCACTGATCTGTGTGTTCATGTTACTCACACCCCTGTGTAATAAATAGTCCCTGTTTGGATGACAAGTTTAGTGAGTGTGATGGACAAAGCAATGTATGTGTCCAGAGTTTATTTTAACTGTCAAACAGCTTAAGAAGGTTTGCTCTGGGAATAAGTGACCTCTATACAAAAGTTCTTAGATATCTATATAAAGTTGATTTCAAATATCTTATTTTTGGAATGCTATGAATATAATGTGGAAAACAAAATATTTAACATTTTCATTTTTCATTGTAATTCAGACTAGATTTCCCAAAGTGCTAATTCAATAAAGACTATACAAGCAGTTTTAATCAGAAACACTACTATATTGTCCTTGAATATTTACATATAAATATTTCTATTGTAGACATATCTGTTGAGGCCAACAGAAGTTAATATTGATTGGATAGAGTCTTTTTCATTGAGACAATAAGAGATAGAATAACAACCTAAATGGTTCTGAACAAGGGCTCCTATCCATAAATTTTAAAATATAGTTTAATCTGAGAAAAGGACCCTGTAAAGTACTGAATACATAAGTTGTTTGCTCAGCTATGGTGCAAAGGCCAGATAGAAGTTCCCTTATATCTCAAATAATATTTGTATCCCCTTTGCCACATCAGGTGTTATTCTAGTAATTAGCTAGTCACTAAGGCACTCAGAGCATTAATCTAATAATCAGTAATCCTGCAACTTCCTAGTTTCAAAGCCTCCTCCTAGTATACATCTGGGTAATTAGCAACTCTGCTATAACTCTGTTTCTTCATTTATAAATTTAAAATAGCCCAACTATTTCTCTATCTTTTCATCAAATTTTATTTGTGTTATAAGCTTTTACAGTAGCCTGCATTTGTACAACTACTGAGTGTTTCAGAACAGATATGATTACACCTACCACCTTGGCATACTTATTAATATTGCCCCATTTGAACTCTAAAAGTATCATGATTTGGATGATAAGCTGTACAGTCACCCTATTGTTGGATTGAAAGTGTAGAGATTATTCTCCCATTTTATGGTGATGAAGTTTAAGACTGAAAGTTAATTATCTTTAGTAACACTTTATCCTAGGCAATGCTTTTACTACTATAACTTTCTGCTTTTGTTCACATAACTCTTTCTTTTACTGGGGAATATCGGGGTACAATACTATAGAGTGGGAAGAAATAAAAGTTTCTTTAGCTCCATTTTAGATTTAGTAATTTGGATATGCTCTGTAAAGACTGTGACATTGCTGATAGTAACATAGGCCTAATTAGCATCCTGTATTGTGAAGCACAGTCTTGTTGAAGCATGCATCTTGGCAGAGAGAAAGGTTGTGCCTGTCTTTTATGGTAGTCAAAATTTTATTAGTTTCACTTCAATTAAAAAATGCGACCTATTTTTTCAAATTTGTTTCAAATTGAATTTACCAGAGAAAAAAAGAACTATTCATTCTTAACATTGCTGCATGAAATTATCAAGATGACATGTAATATAAAATTATATAATGATAGAATGTCTTTGACCCCAGGCACATAGATATTTTGGAAGTCATCTTATCATGCCTCTAATTTTACAAATGGGAAAACTATGTCAAGAAAAATCACATACTAATATCTGAGACCAGAGCAGTACTATGGCACTACATACACAATGAGATGAAGAGACAGGTTTCAGCATTTGACAACCCCTTTCTTCCAAAACTAGTTACATAAAAGGCTCTGTAAAGAAAAATATTTTGGTTAAACAGGTTTATAAATAGGATGTTTCATAGACACAGCTCATAAAAAGACCAAGAACCTGGTAAAGTTCTACAGGTAAGAATCCCATTTTTCTTCATGTCACTGAGCATGTCTAGAAGTTGTTGGTCTACATATTCTTATTTTGTTTATGTATACTTCTTAAGAAGATCTATTAGAAATTGATGATGTATAGAAATAGTTATCAATCTTCTTAAATATGAACACATTACCATTATTCAGTAATCTCATGTTAACTCTAGCATTGGCTAATCAAGAAGTAAACAAAGACTAAAAAGTTATTAAGAATTAGGTACCAGTAGTATTCTTGTTTATGGAAAAATAATTACACATATTTACATAAGGTTATCTTTTAAATTATAATCTTTGGTTGAGATGACAGATGTGATATGCAGATATGGATAGATAATTGATAGAGAAAGCTAGATAGATATTTTCACTCCTTTAGCTGACATGTTGAACAATGAAATAAATACAGAACAATCTTAAAACTAAGCACACATATACAGTACGTAAATGGGATAAAATAAATGATTAGGGAATGAAAATCCTAACTCTAAAGAGAGAAGTAAAGGACAATAAAATATTAACCATGGTTCTTGCTTAATTTAACCTAGCTCACAGTGGTGTTGAAAGAAAACAATCAAGTTTAATCATTCTTTATGATTCTTACTGAATATTTGTCTAGAAAAAAGAGCCCAAGCTTCTATGTGACTCACTTGTGCCATTTTACTTTTTATTCCTTTATTTATTTTGAGACAGGGTCTCACTCTGTCACCCAGGCTGGGTGCAGTGCGAGGCTCACTGCAGCCTCAACTTCTCTGGGCTCAAGCAATCCTCCTACCTCAGCCTCCCAAGTAGCTGGGACTACAGATGCGCTCCACCATTCCCAGCTAATTTTTTACGCTTTTCTGTTTTCATAGAGACAGGATTTCTCCGTGTTGCCTAGGCTGGTCTTGAACTCCTGGGCTCAAGCGATTCTCCTGACTTAGCCTTCTAAAGTGCTGAAATTACATGCATGAGACACTGCGTCTGGCCAGTTATGTGATTTTATAATGTTCAAGTGATGATTTATTCTAGGACCCAGAAAAATCCAGAATTGCTTTTGTGCATGATGCCCAGGGGGATTTCTTCCAAATGTTTCCATATTTTAAAGGCTTGCATTTTTCTGCTTTTGCATGAGAAGAAATGTGGGGTAAATTTTGATGCATTTAATTTCGTGGAAAATTCAATAAATAGCTGCTTTAAATGTCTAGAAAAATAAAAACACTAATACTTTTCTTATCAAGAATGTAAATGAAGATAGAATTCATTATCTCTCTCTCCAAAGATCAAGCATTAATGCTTGCCAACATGTCACATCTTTTCTTTTCAAAATTTATTTTCTTTTTCCAAAATGCCATCTTTTCCTCCCACAGTTTCTCTCCAGGACTTTGTATAAGCATTTCCTTTTCTTACATGTCAACACATATATGTGCTAAATGTCACAATGTTTCTGAGAGTCCCTTAAATTAATTCAATAAACAAGCATCATTATTTTATTTATTTCTAAGTTTTTTCCAGACATGTTCAATTAATTTTCATCTTCATCACGAAGTATCATGTATACTTAAGATTTTCACTATGCAACGGGACATAATGTTAAATTATTAAAATTCTTCTTATAAAATATAAATAAATGAATGAGAAATTTAAACACTAAATTGTCTCTTTTTCTTTCTATTTCCTTTATTTTTTTTTCCTTCCTTTTCATTCATTGACAAAAGGAGTGGCCTTCACTTTACTTCCCCCCTCCTTTAAGGCTATCAAAACATATCTTCTAACTTCTACTTGGAATCAACGTTTGGGCTGGGATATTGAGATCATATTGCATTTCTAGACTGAAGCTTTTGCTTAAAATATGTTTCAATTAAAAATTAAGCTGAGGCGGGGTGCGGTGGCTCATGCCTGTAATCCCAGCACTTTGGGAGGGCCGAGGCAGGTGGATCACGATGTCAGGAGATCGAGACCATCCTGGCTAATACGGTGAAACCCCGTCTCTACTAAAAATATAAAAAAAAATTAGCCCGGCTTGGTGGCGGGCTCCTGTAGTCCCAGCTACTCGGGAGGCTGAGGCAGGAGAATGGCGTGAACCCGGGAGGCAGAGCTTGCAGTGAGCCAAGATCGCACCACTGTACTCCAGCCTGGGCGACAGAGCGAGACTCCCGTCTCAAAAAAAAAAAAAATTCAGCTGAATTTTTTAAAAGAAAAAATGAAAACTAGTGCAGTGTGAGAACAGCAGAGACTTCACAATAGCAAGAAAATGCTTAGTTTATATGTAATCAGCATTTACCATGTGCAGAGACTGCTTGAAGGGCTTTAAACATATTACATCATTTAATCATCAAGATAACCCTGTGCTATTATCTTCATTCTACCAATGTGGAAAGTGAAACACAAATATTTTAAAGCACCTGCCCAAGGTCACATAGCTGGTTCTTGATAAAGCTATGATCTGATACAGGCAGTCTCGTTCTAAGATCCAACCAAATCACTATAATCAAGGCAAGGATGATTAAAGTAGAATGGATTCTATGAGTGGTATAGAATCTGTGACATCCATGGATGCTTGAGTTCTGAACATTAAGTAGGTGATCTTGGAGGCCAGGGTAAAGGCCTTGCTGGGTGAGGTTTGAATTGATAGACGACGTGCATTGAGAAGCATAGCTAAATTCATCACTTTCCAATGCTTGCTGGTCACACATTATCAGAGAGAGAAATTCACTGAGTTGACCATATCAGAAGACCCCTACGTGCCAATATAAGTGCCCAAGATGTTTTGGTCAAAACTGTAGTTCCTTCCAGGCATGGTGGCTCACGTCTGTAATCCCAGAGCTTTGGGAGGCTGAGGTGGGAGGATTGCTTGAGCTCAGGCGTTCAAGTCCAGCCTGAGCTAAATAGCGACACCTGGTGGCTAAAAAAATAGCTGGCTGATGTGGTGCACACCTGTGGTCCCAGCTACTCAGGAGGCTGAGGTGGGAGGATCCCTTGAGCACAGGTATTTGAGGTTGCAGTGAGCTATGAGCACACCACCTCACTCCATCCTGGGCAACAAAGAAGGACCTTGTCTCAAAAAAATGAAAACAAAACTGTAGGTCCTTTGGCAAAATAAGGAAGGACCCTATATTAATAAAGTTTATTGTTGTCTAGACAAGACACAAACCAACCACAAGCCACAGATTTTAAGTCTATGTTTAGAGGAAACTTATCTCATTCTAACTTCAACCTTGAAACTAAAATTTTAATATTTCATGAAGCTCAACTGAGAAAGGAATTAAGATCAGTTAAGTGCATAGTATGTGAGAAACACACCATTAGGTGTTTTGAATTTCATTATATCATTTAGTTTTCAGTTTAAAGCTTTTAAAGTGATGTTCTTGTCTTAATTTTTGAGATGAGAAAACTGGGGCTCAGAGAGATTGGGTAATTTTCCAGAGATCATTTAACAAGCTAAGCTGCAGTGCTGGCATTCAAAGACAACTATGCGGATTCAAATGCCATGGTCTTTCTACTCTACCAATATGCTTCCATAAACCCAATGTCTAAACTCAGGGAAATGAGCAAGAAAAAAAAAATTGCCTCTCAGAATAAAATGTTCCCTACATTTTCCCAGTCTCCTTCAGGCTAAAGACTTAAAAAAAAAAAAAAAAAGGCCACAATATTCAGAACAAGCATTCTTTCTCCGATTCTGACCCTAACCTACCTTTTAGACACCATAGCTTTAGATTTTTCTGGAACTTTATATTTTTCATTATTTTTCCTTCTCTTGTATGCTTTCTCTGACTTAAATGGGTTTTTTTTTTTTAAATCAAACTTTGACTATGCTTCTCATATTAAAACAAGACAAAACAGATGAAAAATGTCGCCTCATTTATATCTGTCATCTTTCTTTTTTGCATCACTGCTCCTTCAAGGCCATGCTCTTGAAAATGTTGTCCTCGGTGTATTAATTTCTTCATGTTTCATTCACTCCACAACCAACATTAACACGGTATCTGCCCCCATCACTCCACATCTTGGTGAAATCACCAATGTCTTCTAGTGTTAAGTACCAAGGGTATTAATTTCAGTCTTGCTCATGATCTCTGAGTAGCTTCTTACAATATTGATGGCACACTATTTGAAAACCTTCACTTCTTGATTTCTGTGGAGATACTTTTTTGATGATAGTCTTATTTCACTGGTTGCTGTTCTCACATTCCACAGGACTCTTTCCTCCACTTACCATATATTAATTGTAGCAGTTCTTCACGTCTTAGTAATAGGGCCTTGTCTCAATTAACTCTAGCCATAGAGGACAGCAAATTTATATCTCACCCCAGTGAATTTCTGTAAGTCTCAAGCCCACATATTCAAAATCCTTGTTGATATCTTTTCTTGGATAATAGTAAAGGTAATACAAATTCAACACATCCATATCCGAACTCATGTTCTCTCTCTTTCCTCTAGCCTCAAGTCAGCTATCCCTCTGTCTTTTACCTAAGAGTTCAGAGGTATGCCTCGTCCTATTGTCAAGCAAAACAGTTAAGAAATCATTCTTGCAAATTACTTTTTCTTTACCCCAATATTCAACCTATTACTACACTTTGTTCATATGATTTTCTAAATACCTTAACACATTAAAAAAAAACTTATCTCTGTTAAATGGTCCACTGATGTTCTGCTTTTGCTCAATATCTCTCCAAAATCTTCATGTAAAAATAACCTTAAATTCTGCCCACAGTATCTTAATCCATGGATGAAAATAAGTCATTTTGTATTCTATGTCTCTGATTCTGCCTCCCCAGCATCCTCTCTTATATTTTCGGGTTTACAAAATAATAATCTCATGACTAGCTAATAAAAATACATTTTTTTTTTCAGAACCAGCTCCATGCACTTCTAAATGCTGGGTTTTGACACAGATTAGAGGACTTCAAAAATAGGTAGAATAGATAGTTCCCCAATATGTCAGTATGGGACTGAATATTTAAGATGTAATTAATGGAAAAAGGCATTCCGTGCTTGGACTTCTTGTATACCTTATCTCTGATTTGAGAATATAGAGATAATTCGTGGGATACAGGAACATTGTATGACACCTACTTTTCATATGATAGCATTGATACTGACTAAAGACCACCCAGGCTCATCCCCTAACATCCATGCACTCTGCTGCTTAAATGGGTACAAGTTTTTTACTACCTGGTTACCTGCCGCCATGCCCTGATCATCTTGAGCTTGCAGTGGGCAAGAGCCATAATAATTGACTGTTATTAAAGTGTCTTAAAATATTATTGCAGTTTCTAAACTTCTGCTTCTCAAAAGCCAAAAGTAAATACTCTGCAATGCTCAGAACTTTTCCTTGGAGAAGTCAACCTCCGTGCTGGGCAGAAGAGGCAGATGAAAGAGAATAGTTTACAGAAGCTTTTCCAGCATCATTTTATCTCCCATTTTTTTCCTCTTACCAGCTTGGATAACTCTCTTGGCAAGCTGAAATGCTGGCAAGGCATAGTTTGCCAATATTTTGCTGCATTCTCTTTTTTTGTTTGTTTTAATAGACTTTATTTCTTAGAGCCATTTTGGGTTCATAGCAAAATTGAGCAGAAGGTACAGAGACTCAACATACTCCTTACTCCCACATAGGCAAAACTTCTCCCATTATCAACATCCTCCACTAAAATGGTATCTTCATTATAATCCAATTGATGAACCCACACTGATACATCATTATCACTCTTGGTGTTGCACTTGTTGTTCACACTTTGCGTTGCATATCTATAGTTTTAAAATGTGTAATGACATGTGTCCACCATTATTGTATTAGGATTCTCTAGAAGTACAGAACTAGTGAGATAGATGCATACATGAAGGGGAGTTTATTTGTTGTTTGTTTGTTTGTTTGTTTTGAGACAGAGTTTTGCTCTTGTTGCCCAACCTGGAGTGCAATGGTGCAATCTCGGCTCACTGCAACCTCCGCCTCCCAGGTTCAAGCAATTCTCCTGCCTCAGGCTAACAAGTAGCTGGGATTACAGGCGTGAGCTACCACGCCGGGCTAATTTTGTATTTTTTTTTAGTAGAGACAGGGTTTCACCATGTTGATCAGTCTGGTCCTGAACTCCTGACCTCAAGTGATCCACTCACCTTGGCCTCCCAAAGTGCTAGGATTACAGGTGTGAGCCACCACACCCGGCCTGAAGGGGAGTTTATTAAGGAGTACTGATTCACACAATCACAAAATGAAGTCCCACAATGGGCTGTCTGCAAGCTGAGGAGCAAGGAAGCCAGTCCAAGTCCCAAAACCCCAAACCTGGGAAGCTGACACTGCAGCCTTCCATCTGTGGCCAAAGACCTGAGCGTCTTTGGCAAACCACTGGTGTAAGTCTAAGAATCCAAAAGCTGAACTTGGAGTCCGATGTTCAAGGGCAGGAAGCATCCAGCACAGGAGAATGTTGAAGACCAGAAGACTCAGGAAGTCAAGTCCTTCCACCTTCTTCTACCTGCCCTATTCTAGTCATACTCACAGATGATTAGATGGTGCCCACCCAGAATGAGGGTGGGTCTGCCTCTCCCAGCCCATTGACTCAAATGTTAACCTCCTTTGGCAGCACCCTCACAGACACACTCAGGAACAATACTTTGCATCCTTCAATCCAATCAAGTTGACACCCAATATTAACCATGATAATTACAAAGTCATACACAATATTTTCACTGCCCTAAAAATCTGTGTTTCATCTAGTCACTCCTTCATCTCCATAACCCTTGGGAACTACTGATCATTTTATTGTCTCCATAGTTTTTCTTTTTTCTGTAACGTCATATAGTTGGAATCATACAGAATATTGCCTTTTTAAATTGGCTTCTTTAACTTAATAATATACATTTAAAGTTCCTCCATGTTTCTTCATTGAATTGCTTGTTTTTTTTTAATTTTTTTCCTTCTCTTTAGTGTGTTTTAAAAAGCTCTCCCATCATTAAGTCTCTAGCCATTAACTAAGTCATATTCAGTAAGTTTCTCATATTAATTAATTACCTTTCCTGCAATTAATCCTCTTTTTATTCTTTTTCCTCATCATTCTTCACAATGACTGGGCTTTTTTGGAGAGTCTTTCTGAATTCACAATGTCTAGCTTTTACATACTTCACCAGGATTCTAGCACCCAACTTAACAAATATGCGAAATGTTCTGTGGCAGATTTTGTTATATGAAGAATAGGGGTATGTTGTTTTTTAATGACATAATTCAATCTGAGCATGTCGTTTTTTGACTTAAACTTTGGCCAAAAATATTTTATTGTCTCCCTTCACATAAAAATAAATTCCAAACTCTTGAGTGTGACATCTAAAAATGTTCTTACTCTAATCTCAGCATGATGTTTTCATGTGGTGAGGTGGAGTGAGGGCCATTTCATTATTAAAAGTGTAGAAGAGGAGAGCAAATAGGAGAAATTGTCATTGGAAGTACGGACTGACAGAGCAGTGCCTAGGAAGAGCAGATCATGGCAAAGTGACAATTCTAGAAAATGGAGATGAACAAAGACCTAACCCCAATGATCCCAAGGATTTAGGTACTGACTCCCTAATGACATTATTTTTTAGCATAAAAATTGCAAATTATCAACTCTTTCTCAAGATTTTTTTTTTTTTTTTTTGAGATAGTCTTGCTTTGTCACTCAGGCTGGAGTGAAGTGGTGTGATCTCGGCTCACTGCAACCTCCACCTCCCGAGTTCAAGCGATTCTCCTACCTCAGCCTTCCAAGTAGCTGGGATTACAGGCGCATGCCACCACACTCGGCTAATTTTTGTATTTTTAGTAGAGATAGGGTTTTGCCATATTGTCCAGGCTGGTCTCGAACACCTGGACTCAAGTGACTCGCCCACCTCAACGTCCCAAACTGCTGGGATTACAGGCATAAACCACCACGCCTGGTCTTCTATCAAGATTTTAATTCATAAGCAAAGTTGCTCTATGTCCTAATTGAAACCCAGCATAACTGAATTTGGATTTCCTCACATAAAGTCAGAGTATCACTACTTGGCAGAACTGCAGCATCTCTAACTTTTCCAGAGAAAGTGACCTAATTCCAGAGAAGAGCAAACCTGTGTCCCTGAGATGTCTTAGAGAAACAGTCTCAGTAGTGTGAAATGTATTTCCTTTGTCTTGAAAAGGAAGGCATTTAACTCAATAGAGCATCAATGTTTTTAAGTAGATATTTCTGTAAAGCCATTGACACACAGGTCACTTTATCCTGTGGTTTCTTTTCCCCCAACACAGTCTAAAAGCATTTGTAAAAAGCATTTTTTTGTTATTCTTCTCCTTGGTGTAATCTTGCTTGTATCACAGTTTAAAAAGTTGAACATAATATGTTTAACATCTATTCTCAGCTCTCTTTTCTCATGATGGACAGGTCAGTTCAGAGGTTTGTGATTTCCTGGGGCAAATGTACAAGAAATACATACAAATCACTGCTTTCTTCTAATTAGATATATATTTGTGAGACAAACTAAAAAAGAAATAATTCTATGTTTCTGACCTCATTCTCATGCTGAATAATTGGAGGTAATTCTCACAGATATTTGAGCTTCTATTTAATCTTTGCAACTAAATTAAACTATTATATCTCAACCCTTTTTTACTGTTTACAAAAGTAAAGAGATTAGCAATAATTGAGAGGAAATAAAATGTAGACAGCTAACCTAGATAATGTGGGTGTTTCGTTGAATCACCAAAATTAACTTAATTTCATGTTCAACCTGCAATTCATTTTGACTGCATAGGTCAGACTCTTGGCTCTATTACCCGAGTTCAGTAGGTAACAGGTACTTTGTTCTGGTTAAATGACTACACTTATAGCAGGTTCCTGTGCAGAGTTCATATTCACCTTCACTAAAGCAAAATATTTCACCATCACTGTTAACAGTGCCATTCAGTATATCTATCAACTATACTCCAATATATCCTGGCAGCAATTCAGACCACTCAAATTGCAAAGACATGACGGCCCACTTGAAGCCCACCAAATCACTCTTTACTGTAATAATCACATCTAGCCTTGGCACTCAGTCCCAGATCATTCTCCCCAAATGAACAAGTAAAACGATTGGGGGAAAATGCTCCCTGGCAACAGCTTGAACTTAAATGGTGACAACAGCTGGTTCAGCAGATGTTCCTCATATGATATAACACCTGTGTTATAAAAGATCGAAATTTGACTAAATTTATACTTTAGATATCTTAAAAATATTTTAATAGAATTGTGCAATTCAAAACAGGAAAATAATGTTAAACCAAGTGCATTAATAATATTAAAAAATAATATTCACTTATATACCTTTAGTAGCCATATACCTCTAAATTTTAACAACTTTCTATAACCTTGCAATGACATCTGGGACAATCAGTTCTATCCTACAATCTTGCTGATATAGAAATGGTTTGAATAAAATAAATGGCATACAATAAATTCAAGGCAAGGCGTAATATTAAACTGTGGTGATTTTAATGTTTGCTTCAGCTTTAAGTAATTTTTAAAAAATGTAGTATAGTTTGAAGTGAGGTAGTGTGATGCCTCCGGCTTTGTTCTTTTGACTTAGGATTGTCTTGTCAATGTGGGCTCTTTTTTGGTTCCATATGAACTTTAAAGTAGTTTTTTCCAATTCTGTGAAGAAAGGCATTGGTAGCTTGATGGGGATGGCATTGAATCTGTAAATTACCTTGGGCAGTATGGCCATTTTCACAATATTGATTCTTCCTACCCATGAGCATGGAATGTTCTTCCATTTGTTTGTATTCTCTTTTATTTCACTGAGCAGTGATTTGTAGTTCTCCTTGAAGAGGTCCTTCACATCCCTTGTAAGTTGGATTCCTGGGTATTTTATTCTCTTTGAAGCAATTGTGAATGGGAGTTCACTCATGATTTGGCTCTCTGTCTGTTATTGGTGTATAAGAATGCTTGTGATTTTTGCACATTGATTTTGTATCCTGAGACTTTGCTGAAGTTGCTTTTCAGCTTAAGGAGACTTTGGGCTGAGACAGTGGGGTTTTCTAGATATACAATCATGTCATCTGCAAACAGGGACAATTTGACTTCCTCTTTTCCTAATTGAATGCCTTTTATTTCCTCTCCTGCCTAATTGCCCTGGCCAGAACTTCCAACACTATGTTGAATAGGAGTGGTGAGAGAGGGCATCCCTGTCTTCTGCCAGTTTTCAAAGGGAATGCTTCCAGTTTTTCCCATTTAATATGATATTGGCTGTGGGTTTGTCATAGATAGCTCTTATTATTTTGAGATACGTCCCATCAATACCTAATTTATTGAGAGTTTTTAGCATGAAGGGCTGTTGAATTTTGTCAAAGGACTTTTCTGCATCTATTGAGATAATCATATGGTTTTTGTCTTTGGTTCTGTTTATATGCTGGATTACATTTATTGATTTTCATATGTTGAACCAGCCTTGCATCCCAGGGATGAAGCCCACTTGATCATGGTGGATAAGCTTTTTGATGTGCTGCTGGATTCGGTTTGCCAGTATTTTATTGAGGATTTTTGCATCAATGTTCATCAAGGATATTGGTCTAAAATTCTCTTTTTTGGTTATGTCTCTGCCAGACTTTGGTATCAGGATGATGCTGGCCTCATAAAATGAGTTAGGGAGGATTCCCTGTTTTTCTATTGATTGGAATAGTTTCAGAGGGAATGGTACCAGTTCCTCCTTGTACCTCTAGTAGAATTCGGCTGTGAATCCATCTGGTCCTGGACTTTTTTTGGTTGGTAAGCTATTGATTATTGCCACAATTTCAGAGCCTGTTATTGGTCTATTCAGAGACTCAACTTCTTCCTGGTTTGACTTCAAACTATACTACAAGGCTACAGTAACCAAAACAGCATGGTACTGATACCAAAACAGAGATATAGATCAATGGAACAGAACAGAACCCTCAAAACTAATGCCGCATATCTACAACCATCTAATATTTGACAAGCCTGACAAAAACAAGCAATGGGTAAAGGATTCCCTATTTAATAAATGGTGCTGGGAAAACTGGCTAGCCATATGTAGAAAGCTGAAACTGGATCCCTTCCTTACACCTTATATAAAAATTAATTCAAGATGGATTAAAGACTTACATGTTAGACCTAAAACCATAAAAACACTAGAAGAAAACCTAGGCAATGCTATTCAGGACATAGGCATGGGCAAGGACTTCACTTCTAAAACACCAAAAGCAATGGCAACAAAAGCCAAAATTGACAAATGGGATCTAATCAAACTGAAGAGCTTCTGCACAGCAAAAGAAACTACCATCAGAGTGAACAGGCAACCTACAAAATGGGAGAAAATTTTCACAACCAACTCATCTGACAAAGGGCTAATATCCAGAATCTACAATGAACTCAAACAAATTTACAAGAAAAAAACAAACAACCCCATCAAAAAGTGGGCAAAGGATATGAACAGACACTTCTCAAAAGAAGACATTTATGCAGCCAAAAAACACATGAAAAAATGCTCATCATCACTGGCCGTCAGAGAAAAGCAAATCAAAACCACAGTAAGATACCATCTCACACCAGTTAGAATGGCAATCATTAAAAAGTCAGGAAACAACAGGTGCTGGAGAGGATGTGGAGAAATAGGAACACTTTTACACTGTTGGTGGGACTGTAAACTAGTTCAACCATTGTGGAAATCAGTGTGGCGATTCCTCAGAGATCTAGAACTAGAAATACCATTTGACCCAGCCATCCCATTACTGGGTATATACCCAAAGGATTATAAATCATGCTGCTATAAGGACACATGCACACGTATGTTTATTGCGGCACTATTCACAATAGCAAAGACTTGGAACCAACCCAAATGTCCAACAACGATAGACTGGATTAAGAAAATGTGGCACATATACGCCATGGGATAATATGCAGCCATAAAAAATGAAGAGTTCATGTCCTTTGTAGTGACATGGATGAAACTGGAAACCATCATTCTCAGCAAACTATCGCGAGGACAAAAAAACCAAACACCACATGTTCTCACTTTTAGGTGGGAATTGAACAATGAGAACACGTGGACACAGGGTGGGGAACATCACACTCCGGGGGCCGCTGTGGGGTGGGGGAAGGGGTGAGGGATAACATTAGGAGGTATACCTAATGCTAAATGACGAGTTAATGGGTGCAGCACACCAACATGGCACATGTATACATATGTAACAAACCTGCACATTGTGCACATGTACCCTAAAACTTAAAGTATAATAATAATAATAATAATAATAATAATAATAATAAAAATAAAATGTAATACCCTTCTCTTCTAAAACTAGCTTCCACCCTAGGAAATCAAGTTACTTAAAATGTACCAATAAAACCTTAGAGTTTCTTATATAAGTATATAAATATATTTATAATATGTATGATGTTATTACAGAAAATAATGTTTTACTCGGGAAAATTTAAATTCTGGATTAAAAGTTTTAAAAAATTCTAGGGCCCATGATTGTGGTAACTTTCACCATCTTGGTTCACTGAAAAATCGCTATATTTCTGACCCAGCCATTGTTTTAATATCTAATCATAATAAAGATATGTAAGGAAGGCTACGATATGTTACATGACTTCTTCATCCTATTGAGATCTATATTTTAGTATACATCTTGTAAACCACGAATATTTAGTCTGTGTCTAAAAAACAGACTATTTGTGAGAATCTAGTCATTTAAATTTGTGATGTTTTTGGCACATCCAAGCCTATTAATGTGTTTTCTAATATATATTTGGTTTCTTAAGATACTATTATTTCTAAACAGTTGCAAATTTGAAAGTAATAATTCCTAGATGACTAAATGACTATTTTTTGAACAAAATGGATGGCTAAGTAACCATGTTCAACTAAGAAATTCTAAACTCAGAGGCTGTCAGTGAGCCACAACAGAAAAATAATTTGAAATGGAACCACAAAGATGGAGATAGCTCTGTCTCAGAGCAGTTTAAAGCTATATGTGGCAGGCTCAATATTCAAATAGGAAATGAATTTGCCTGATTTATCTGGAATGCAAAGAAGGGGGAAATGCTCATCATTAGTAATATGTACTTCCTACAAAAACTTGAATTTTTATGCTCTGTATGATCTTAATCTCCCTCACTCCAATCTTAACCTCCCAAAATCTAAAATAATCAATACCAGTTTCTGAACTCCTTCCATGTGCTTGAAATTGTGATATGTACTCAACGTTTATTATTTCATTTAATTTTCACCACACTATAAATCAAGATTCATTATTATTCTCCACTAACTTAGGATACTGCAAATTATGCCACTCCAGTTGACTTCACTATCATTTTTTAAAAAATATTATATCACATTTGAAGATGTCCAGAAAAAGGACAGACTTCAAGGCTGTTTGATGTAGTACTTCCTTAATGTTCTTAATGATCCATGTTTTTCCTAGTTTCATTCTTCTTTAAAAAGTATAAATTTCATCCTAAGTCTAGTTCGCCTTCTGATTGCAAACTGGCTTAAAGAGGCAGCTGGGTTAATATGTTTCTCAATCCCATCCAGCTAGAAAAAGATTGGCCTTTCTCTCCCAGGAGCTTTGAGTATGCCTCTCCTCATACCTTACTGGACTAAATTAGATTAATTACATCACTAAAGTAAGAGGGATGTAACTATCCTAACTGGTTAAGAATGAGCATAAGAAATGAAAAAAATAAAACTTTGAGGAATACAACATAGTATTATCTCCATTTTCTTTCTGGAAATGAAATCAAGAGTGAGAAGCTAAGTAATTTGCCTATGGTTCTGCAGTAAAGGAGTGATGGCTCCTAATTGGGAAGTGCATCTATGCCATAGTATATAAACACTATCACTAATAGTATTTATAGAATATATAGAATAATCTACTTCATCATGTGTTATTCTTAAATAAGGAATACAGGTAGACAGAGTTGGAAATTAGTGAGCATAAGAAAACTAAGAATTTCCTGACTGGGTGCGGTGGCTTGTGCCTGTAATCCCAGAACCTTGGGAGGCCAAGACGGAAAGATCACTTGAGGTCAGGAGTTCAAGACCAGACTGGGCAACATGGGGAAACTGTCTCTACTAAAAATACAAAAATTAGCAAGGCATGGTGGCAGGCACCTGTAATCTCAGCTACTCAGGAGGCTGGGCAGGAAAATTGCTTGAACTTGGGAGGAGGAGTTTGCAGTGAGCCAAGATTGTGACACTATACATTAACCTGGGCAACAGAGTGAGACTTATTCTCAAAAACAAACAAACAAACCCTAATTTTCTCCATTCCTCCATAAATTAATTCAGTAGTATTTCACAACTAGTTTCCACAGATATGCAATTCCACAAGATATTAGTGTTTCCTGATTTTTAAAAAATCTATTTTAGTGACGAAAAGTAGTATACATTTAGTATACATTTATTTCTCTCTGCTCGTTTTTGCTAAGGACATAATACAATAGAAAATAGTAAGAAGGTTATGAAAGATGGAGCTATAAAGTTGGGTGGTCTAGGGACTTTAGGACTCAGGAACAAACACCACAGATGATGACCCCTCCACCCATCGTGTCAGTGGGAGGAGTGGCATCAAATGACCCAGGACAGCATTGCCCTCACCCTCTGGTGTGGTGGCAGTAGAGACTGCAGGGACTGTAGTCTTCCAATTACAGCCCAATGATGGCAAGTTGAATCCATTCTCACCCCAAGTAGGAATTGGAGACAGAATCTAAGAAAGTAGGGAGCTAGAGAAAATCACCTGAATAGGGGCCGGGCACAGTGCCTCATACCTGTAATCCCAACACTTTGGGAGGCTGAGATGGGCAGATCACCGGAGGTCAGGAGTTCGAGACCAGCCTGGCCAACATGGAGAAACCCCATCTCTAATAAAAATATAAAAATTAGCCGGGCATGGTGGCATGTGCCTGTAATCCTAGCTACTCGGGAGGCTGAGGCAAGAGAATCGCTTGAAATGCAAACTAGGCCATATGGCAGAAAATATTTGTAGATCACAAATCCAAAACAGGTGTATCCTGAATATATAAAGACTACTTCAAACTAAATAATAAGGAAACAAATAACCCAAATATAAAAGTTAGCAAAATATTTGAATAAATATCTCATCTATAATGATGCATGGGTGCCAAATAAGTACATGGAAAAGATATTCAGTATCATTAGTTATTATGATATGTAAATTAAAATCACAATAAGATACCGTTACACATCTAGTTAGCTTGATCTAATCATTCCACTTTGTATACATATATCAAAACATCACATTGTACCCCACAAATGCACATAATATGACTTGGCAATCAAAAGTAACATTAACTATAAAGTTTTCCAGAAAAGACTGACCATACAAATTCTTGGCAAAGATATAGAGCAATTAAAACCCTCATATACTGCTTGTTGAAATGTAAAATGGTGCAACCACCTCAAAAAATACATTGATCTGATAATTTCTTAATATGATAAGTATATACTTACCATATAACTCAGAGATTCTACTTCTGGGTATTCAAGAAGAATGGAAGAATATATCCCTACAAATATTAGAAGAAGAATGATCATAGAAGTTTTATATATAAGAACTAAAATTTGGAAGCAGTCCAAATGTCTATCAGCAGGTTAATGAATAAACAAAATGGGATAAATTCATATGATGGAAACCTACCCAGCAATATGAAGAAATGAAGTATTGATATACTTATCAACAGAAATAAATCTCAAGAAAAATTGAGTGAAATAATCTACACAAAATAGTGTTCTATGATTCTGATCATGTAAAAATTCTAGAAAATACAAACTAATAGTGACAGAAAGCAGATTAATGGTTGCTAAGGAAAAGGGGCACAATGTGATCCAGTGCAATGAAAGGAAGGATGACAGAAGGACATAAGAAATCTTTTGGAGTTGATACATTCTTTTATTACCTTGAATGTGGAGTTGATTCGTATGGCAGAACATTAAATTTTACTGTTTAAATATATGTGATTTATTATATGCCAATTATAAACCAATAAAATGTTAAAAAAAAAGCTGTAAGGTAAAATTTTATGTAGAGAAAATTAAAGTAGGTACATTTTTTATGTAATAGATGTTGCAAGTCTTTCAACACAAAGCCAAAAGTTACTGCCATTAGATCAACATTACTGTGTTAAAATAGAAATGTTTTGGAATGCCAGTGAGACTCAGATATAGCAGATAACTATAGTAAGTCTCAGCAAGAAGAGCTGGGTCCCTGAAGCTGTTAATGCTAAGATGTCAAGATCTGGTGAAGCCTGAGTTGCTTTCATATCAGTACTGTCATTATCCAGCTTGAAAGAGTTCTTACTTCTAACCAACCCATTTTTTACTCCTATCCAATTATTAAGCCACCTATAGGAAGGATTTATTTATGTTTTACTTCTAAGTTTAAGGATTTTTAAAAAATACATGCTCTTTTCATAATGGGTTTACTATTTTTGAAAACTGGTATTTTGTTTTAATAGGGAGCTATTAATTTCAAAATCCACAAAATTTGAATTGTTATATAAGAAATTTCTTTCAAAGAAAAACTAGATGGCTTTTTGTTTGTTTGAAAATTTTTCTCTAGGTACTTTTGCTGAAACAGAACTTCACAAATGAGAAATGACATAGAGGTGGTTGTGAAAGTTATAGACTGGCCAAACAGTTTTAAAGTGATAAGGCCCTAACCCCATTAAAAATTGATTCTTTTAAAGACAGCTACTTTGAGAATATATAAGCACCTTTAGATGACAGAAATGCTGTCTTAAACACTTCCCTTCCACCTGTGTATAATAGAGATATATTGATTGCTTGTTGCCATCTATATTTTTGATGACCTCTCTGCAACCAACATGACGGCAGTGTCACTTTCAACACTATTCATACAAACATCATTAAATCAGCTGGCAAAACAGGAGCATGGCTCCTAGGAGAGGGATAACTTCATTGGAAAAGACAAGGGCAACTCAGAGACATGACTTCAACATGCTGAAATGTCTGTTACAAAGGCAGAACAACAAATATCCTAAATAAATATACTCTTCTATACCATCTATAATAGCAACTACATGCTTGAAAATTGTAATCATATCTTTCTCGTTTTTCTTTATGGGTTATGAGAAGTTTCTCTACAACTGAAATGCAAACTAGGCCATATGGATAGTGGAAGGAAAAATAGGTAAAGGGAAATCATAATAACAAATAAAGAATGATAAGAGCCAACCTAAGTGAGAGAGAGGGCAATATTCAAATTAGAGATCAGAACTGATGACGCTCATGAGCTCAGGGGGTGTGAAAAAAATAGCACCTGTACTAGGAGTTCCAAGATCCCAGATTTGCACTGTTCCTTAGCTATTATGTCCCTCAAGAAATGGGGAATGTGTATATATAACACATTTTGCTATGTGGACATTAGGGATGGGACCCAGCCGGGCACAATATTGCTATTTAATAAATTTCATTGATTCATTGCTTTACATAGAGAACAGAGTTTGGTGGAACAGTAAATACATCATTGCAAAATTGTTCATCTTGCTCCTTTGTCCTTTGTACATGAGGGTATTCCTAGAAATAAGTAAAGAGCAGTGGTAGCTCTAAAAATGTTTAAATAACATTATTACATGCATTTATTAAGCATCTCTAATGACAGGAAGCTAGGATTGAGATACCAAGAAATATGAAACATAGTTCCTACACTCAGTTCACGACCAATAGCAGTATAACACTAAAAGTGTAAGCAATAACACAAGACTATGATAAAACTCATATGAAGGGTATACTTTATTATATATAAAGTCTACATTTAATTCGTTTCCTCTTAGAATTATGAAAGATAATTTACTGTATCTTGATCATTCAGCATTAATCAATTCTTGCTATGATTATTTCTAACTTAAAACAGGGAGGAGAATTTCAACACTTGGATGCTAAGTTTTACCAATTAGTTGCTACCCGTATACCTCAGAATAAATCTTAGTATCCCCAGGAAATACTATGTTTAAAGTTTGAATATATAACACAAATCCAATACTTTGACTAGATTTAATTTTACTAGAAGGAATCCAAGAAATTCCTAAAACTCAGTGGGGTTATATGTGTGTGTGTGTGTGTGTGTGTGTGTGTGTCTGACTGTCTGTCTGTGTGCATGTCTGTACAGAAAAGAGACCTCAGTCTAGGCTCTTGCCCATCCACTCAACACAACCCTTGAAAACTGGAATTGTAAGATTGTATTTCTTGTTTACTCCAGTCTAATCCATTATACCTGACTGTGTGGTTCACCTCTTTTCTCATTGAACAGCCTGCAGAACATTGATATGATGCCATAGGCACATGAAGAAGACACTCAGTGCAATGTATCACATGAGATCTAATCAGTAATGTACAAGAGTCCACTAGCTGCATAATACAGCTATTCTGTACTAGCCTGCCATTCTTTCCTTCTGCCCACTCACAGTTCTATCAAGTATGGATGCCACACAAGAATACTTATACAGGAGACACTTAGTGGAGAAAATCTAGTTGGAATATAGCTGAAAGTCAGGGCTCTATGATTTATCTTAATCCTGAATCTACATGGCATGTACATGAATTTTAATTAAACTGCATGTTTACTTTTAATAAATATGGATATTCAAAGGTGGCTTTGGGTAGGGGAAGGAGACACTGATGGAGATTGCGACCATGTTTTACATGAACTCACCCAATTCCAGTTCCCACTGTATCTCTTTACATGCACATGCGCATGTGCACACACACACACACAAAATACTCTTTGGTGAGACCACTGGTCAAGTGTCCAGTCACCACACTAGACATGAATACTACCAACACCACAATATCTAGGACATCAGAATATTATATTTTGTTCTTTAACAACAGTATACCTTACAAAAACCCAAGCTTGCTTTCTGTATTCTGCATTCTTCCAACAATATGATTTTGTTTTGACTTTAGCTAGGATGGAAAAATCAGATTAATGATAAGCATTGCTTTAGATCCTGCACTAAATAATCATGAGGCGTTTCTTCTGTCAGTCAAATACAATAGAATTATTACTCACAGTCAGTTTTTCTAAACACTTCAATTATTCCATAGATTATCCCCTAAAAAGTGCTCATCATTTGACTGGCAGAATCCCTTAAGTGGTTCAATCAATGGAACAAATTATCAGTGGTGATTATGATAACCCACAATTTAGAACACTAAGTTGAGGAACAACTTTCTAAAAGTTCTCAGAAAATATAATGTAATACAGCACAATTGTAAGATATTTAATTATGTCATTTTATTTGTCAGCTAACTATAAAAATTGGGGAAGGGCATGATACACACCATTCAAAATAATAGTTTAGTTATGTCTGGTTCTAATTTGAAGCAAATTATATAATCTTTTGATGGCTACAAGTATATTTTTATGTTTAGACTTTGATATGGTAATGATAAATAGGTTTTTATCCCATGAGCCTTAGCTAATTGATGTTTGGAAACAATCATGCAAATTTCATTTGTATCAGGACCAAAAGGGCACTGGTGCCTATATGCCTATAAGGCCTCTGTGCCTATGACGGTAATTCAAACACTGTTTTCTGCAAGGTATGTAGTGCTTCAGAATAACCCAATCATTGATATCCCTTCCTTGTCTGAACATGAATCCAAACATTAGATGATCTCTGGGGACTATTGAGGTTTGGAAATGCATGACATACCAATTACTATGTTAGGAATTCAAACCAGTGCTAAAACCATATTTTCATTAGCAAACGCGTAACACCTCAGGATAGAGAGTTGTTCTCCAAGAATACAAAGGACATAGTCGTTGTCCCAGCCTAGGGCCTTCCCTGTCCCAGTGGTCGTCTCCAGGTTGTAGGCTGGAATCCACACACAGCCAGTGACAACCTGTCCCTCATAAACTTAAATGAGCATCAAAAAGCCCCAGGAAAAGCAGACTGCAGACCTCACTCTGCTCTCTACATTTTGTAGGTATAGTTTCATGGCCATCTCAGCCGACGCTCAGCCTCTCCGCAAACTCTGAAAATGTAGCAGCAAAAAGGATCATGCAGAGATGGAACTGCAAGAAGCAGCAAGTGTCAGGGCCCAAGAAAAAACAACGGCCTGAATTTTCTGAGGACTTCTCCCAGCAAGAGATTCACCCAAGCAAGGAACTGCCAAGAAAGGTACAGATGCAGCATCGTGGATATAGAACTGTGAAGCCGAAATAAACTTTTCAAAACTCTCAATAGTAATAATAACAACTTGTAACAATTCAATAACTAATGCTACAGACCAGAACTTATTATCTTTCTATTCTTTTAATAAGCAATATTAGGCCACATGTGGTGGTTCACACCTGTAATCCCAGCACTTTGGGAAGCTGAGGTGTGAGGATTTCTTGAGGCCAGGAGTTTGAGATCAGCCTGGGAAGACAGTGAGACCCCGTCTCTACAAAAAATAAAAATAAAATAATTAGCCAGGCATGGTGACATGAGCCTATAGTCCCAGCTATTCTGGAGGCTGAGGCAGGAGGACTGCTTGATTCTGGGAGGTCAAGGCTGCAGTGACTGAGCTGGGATTGCACCACTGCACTCCACCCTGGGAGACTGAGCAAGATCCTGTCTCAAAGAAAGAAAGAAAAAAAGCAGTATTAGACAACTGCCAAATTACAAAGAGACCCAAGAGTATGCAGCCAAAACAAATTAAGGAGAATATTGTAGACATGTGCCAGTCAATTGCTATAGTTATTTTATGTTACTATTCTAAATGTTGTGAATGTCAGCTTTTTAAAATTTATGTAATTTATATTATCCTTCTAAAGAAAAATGCATTAGAATCCATAATTTTGCATTCTTGTTTCGTTTCTTTTGTTACTGAATACACTTTAGACCCACAAAACCTAAGTCAGCCTCAGTGTTAGTGCACATTCTCTAGCCCTGAATGGGTGATGCTGTGTCTTGGAACTGCATGTTATTCTTCTATTATTTTATTGTGTCTAAATAACAGAACTGATAGATTTCTTTCACATTTATCAAGTGTCATAAGTCACAGTATGATATGGTTTGGCTGTGTCCCCACCAAATCTCAACTTGAGTTGCATCTCCCAGAATTCCCATGTATTGTGGCAGGGACCAAGGGGGAGGTAATTGAATCATGCGGGCTGGTCTTTCCCATGCTATTCTCGTGATAGTGAATAAGTCTTATGAGATCTGATGGGTTTATTAGAGGTTTCTGCTTTTGCTTTTTCCTCATTTTCTCTTGCCACTGCCATGTAAGCAGTGCCTTTCTCCTCCCGCCATGATTCTGAGACCTCCCCAGCCATGAGGAACTGTAAGTCCAATTAAACCTCTTTTTATTCCCAGTCTTGGGAAGTCTTTATCAGCGCAGAGTGAAAACAGGCTAATACATAGTACTAAAGATTAGCCGCCTCTACAGTCTTCTGAATGATCACTTTCTTAAACTTCTTGAATTGTACTCTTCTGAAGCATCTCTCATGTGCACACTTTCTCTGTCTTATGTGATCCTCATGTGACTTTTACTGCTCTTCTGGGGTTCTGCATCTTTTCTTGCCTGGTTCACTTGAATACTCATATTTCCACCCTTCTTTTCTTTCCTAAGCTCTACTGTGCTTCAGTATTTGTCCTCCCTCCTGACCTGCTTGTGCCTAAGAGTTGGATATTTTTCAGTTTCTTTGTCCCCTAAAATGAGAATCAGAATATTTGATTCTGTCATTCAGTGATGGTTAAAATGTTGTTCCTGGAGCACATTTATCAGGATCACTTGGGCCCACTCAGGGACATAATGAACTGGAATCTCCAAAGGTAGTTTTCAGAACCTGCATTTTAACAAACCACTCAAGTGATTCCTATGCAGACATGAGAATTAAACCCATGGTCTTAGATAATTAAATTTTACCTTTTGATCACCAAGTAATATTTTTCAGTGGCCAAAGAAGTACTTTTTTCTTTTCTCGTTCACACCAGGATCTTTTTTGTTTGTTTGTTTTCTGTTTTTTGAGATGAAATATCATTCTTGTTCCCCAGGCCAGAATGCAATGGCACAATCTTGGCTCACTGGAACCTCTGCCTCCTGGGTTCAAGCGATTCTCCTGCCTCAGCCACCCGAGTAGCTGGGATTACAGGTGCCTGCCACAATGCCTGGCTAATTTTTGTAGTTTTAGTAGAGAAGGGGTTTCACCATATTGGCCAGGCTGGTCTCGAACTCCTGACCTCAGGTGATCTGCCCTCCTGGGTCTCCCAAAGTGCTGGGATTACAGGCTTGAGCCACCGCGCCCAGCCCCACAACAGGATCTTTAAGGAGAAGAAATCAGTCCAGAGGTTTCTCTTCCCAGTAATACAAGTTATACTACCCTTCACATTCTGAAGTTCAGATGCTGAACTAAAATTATGTTTTTGTTTCAAATTTATTAAAAAAAGTTCACCATACCTAAATTTCTAAAACATAGTCTCAATTGCTACCAAAAAAGCAATAACTTTAAATAATAAGTAACTTTAAAAAATATGTTTAGGTGATACTGAGTATTAATAGAGATAGGTTCAACATATGTCCAAACTATATTTTTAATTTAATGGCCCATAATTAATCTCTCCACCATGTACCTGACACTATAACTGCAATCTCATCTGTATACGGTACTTGCCATTTCTGGAACACATCCTATACTGACCAGCCTTGCCCAAAGTCGTCTCTCAATTTTCTTTTTTTGCAAAACTACTGCTGCTGCTGCTAATATCTTACATTTTTATAGCACTTTATAGTTTAGTAAGCTCTTCCACATCCTACTCAATCTTTACAACAATTTCATTAAGATGGAGGTAATTGTGAATCAGAGACATTAAATAAACTGCTCAGAATTCCAGTGTTAGCAAGAAATGAAGTCAGGTTCAAAAACACGTTTGTTTTTTGTTTTTATTTATTTATTTATTTATTTATTTATTTATTATTATACTTTAAGTTTTAGGGTACATGTGCACAATGTTCAGGTTAGTTACATATGTATACCTGTGGCATGCTGGTGTGCTGCACCCACTAACTTGTCATCTAGCATTAGGTATATCTCCCAATGCTATCCCTCCCCCCTCCCCCCACCCCACAACAGTCCCCAGAGTGTGATGTTCCCCTTCCTGTGTCCATGTGTTCTCATTGTTCAATTCCCACCTATGAGTGAGAATATGCGGTGTTTGGTTTTTTGTTCTTGCAATAGTTTACTGAGAATGATGATTTCCAATTTCATCCACGTCCCTACAAAGGACATGAACTCATCCTTTTTTATGGCTGCATAGTATTCCATGGTGTATATGTGCCACATTTTCTTAATCCAGTCTATCGTTGTTGGACATTTGGGTTTGTTCCAAGTCTTTGCTATTGTGAATAATGCCGCAATAAACATACATGTGCATGTGTCTTTATAGCAGCATGATTTATAGTCCTTTGGGTATATACCCAGTAATGAGATGGCTGGGTCAAATGGTATTTCTAGTTCTAGATCCCTGAGGAATCGCCACACTGACTTCCACAATGGTTGAACTAGTTTACAGTCCCACCAACACTGTAAAAGTGTTCCTATTTCTCCACATCCTCTCCAGCACGTGTTGTTTCCTGACTTTTTAATGATTGTCATTCTAACTGGTGTGAGATGGTATCTCATTGTGGTTTTGATTTGCATTTCTCTGCAATGGGGAAAGGATTCCCTATTTAATAAATGGTGCTGGGAAAACTGGCTAGCCATATGTAGAAAGCTGAAACTGGATCCCTTCCTTACACCTTATAAAAAATCAATTCAAGATGGATTAAAGACAAACGTTAGACCTAAAACCATAAAAACCCTAGAAGAAAACCTAGGCATTACCATTCAGGACATAGGCATGGGCAAGGACTTCATGTCTAAAACACCAAAAACAATGGCAACAAAAGCCAAAATTGACAAATGGGATCTAATTAAACTGAAGAGCTTCTGCACAGCAAAAGAAACTACCATCAGAGTGAACAGGCAACCTACAAAATGGGAGAAAATTTTCGCAACCTATTCATCTGACATAAGGGCTGATATCCAGAATCTACAATGAACTCAAACAAATTTACAAGAGAAAAACAAACAACTCCATCAAAAAATGTTTTTTGTTTTTCTATTTCGAAACAATATTTCTATCAGTGAATCTGTTTTTTAAGAAGTATCCCGATAGCTTTCCAATGAGAATTAATTTTCATTTTTCTTTATCAGTTCATAAGAGTGTGGGAAGGAAGGTGGCTTTGTTTACACTTAAGTATTCTTGATGGAGTTAAAGTAGGTAATGCAAAACCAGACAAAACTACTGTTTGATGTTGAAAGTTAAGATGATAGTTAACCTTAGTGCCGAAGGAGGGTTAAAGGTAGGGTGACAAGGGCATGTCACAAAAGAGTTTGTAGAGCTTCCGGGTCTCTGATTATGTTGAGTTTCTTGATCTGGGTGCATATTAAACTGTTTCTTTCACTTTATAAAAATTCATAGTCACCCAATTAGAATTTGTGCACATCTTATTCAACAAGCTCCTAGATTGTATTTCCAACTTCGTATAAAATTCTTGTTAAAATGTGTTGATTTCCTTTGAGATATTTTTGTGTGACTATTAGGGAAAAGCATGATAGAGTGTATCATAGAAAAGACAAGAAAACTGGGAGATAGGTTTTAGGCGGAAGAGATTAATTTTTAAAACGACACACAGGGATCCTACAATAGTTCACCAGAAAGTGGTCAGGAAACCTACAAAATCATTATGTCTAATATATACTTTTAAGTCATTTCCTATTATTGTCTTGGTTATGTGCATTCTACATTTCAAAACCAACCTTTGTTTTTTGTTTTTTGGGGTTTTTTTCCAAAAACCTTAGAAAATTTTGTAGAAGAAAGAAAAGCATTAACAGAAGGATAGCAGAGTACTCGATATGTTGTGAGATGATGGGTGAAAGTTGAAAATTAAAAAGTAAATAAATAAATAGCATTAAGAATTTGGAGTGACAAAAAGGATATAAGACTATTTCATTCCTCCTATAGAACTCTCACATACACTAGTAACACACCTAGATTTCCAAAAAACCTGGAAGGAAGTTCTAGTATTTCCATTTATATAGAAAAACAATGGAGATAGGTGGCATTTTTCTTGAATGTATAGATGAGAAAAGTGAAGTACGGAGAGGCGAGAAACAAGATTACATAGCTAGCAAGGGGAAGCCTGTATTCAAACTCGTTAGTTTGGTTTAAGAACCCTTATGTTAACTACTTTACTTATTGCCACTAATGTATTAACAATGGATGAACTATTTTAAAATAGTAGATTCCAAATAAATGATATCTATCTTGATTTTCATCACTTAGAAAATGACTGACACATATGTACCCTAAGTATTTAAGGTACAGATGAATAAATGAGTTATGAATTAAAATATTTCAATAAAATTTTGAAGCTATTAATATCTTAAGATTTCTTTGCTTTTTTTTTTTTTTTTTTTTGAGACACAGTCTCGCTCTGTTGCCCAGGCTGAAGTGCAGTGGCGCAATCTCCGCTCACTGCAAGCTCCACCTCCCAGGTTCAGGCCATCATCCTGCCTCAGCCTCCCAAGTAGCTGGGACTACAGGTGCCCGTCACCACTCCTGGCTAATTTTTTGTATTTCTTTTACTAGAGACGGAGTTTCACCATGTTAGCCAGGATGGTCTCGATCTCCTGACCTTGTGATCCACCCGCCTCGGCCTCCCAAAGTGCTGGGACTACAGGCGTAAGCCACCGCACCCGGCCAAGATTTTAATATTAATCATCTTGGAAGAATTTTTAGTGAAAAGTTACTGGTGGCTTAAGTATGAATTAAGTATGAATCTTTATAACAAAACAATCGTTTTACAATATTTTAGGTCTTTGGAATGTTTCGTACATTAAAGTACATTTGAAATTTGTTGCAATATAATTAAAAGCATTAATGTACATGAGAGATGCCTGTCTTCACACCTTGTGCAAAGGTTTGTATCAGTCAACTTGCATGCAACTAATAATAAATTAGACCTCAGTGGTTCAAAAGAAAAAGTCACACTCATATGTTCAAGCTTTTCTTTTAAGTTATATATGAACAAAATGTGTGTGTGTGTGTATATATGTACACACACACACCATATATATTTATACACACACACACAAATGAAAATGCTCAGGCATTCTATAGCAAAACATTAGCTGCTTCTTTCTCTAGTACCCCAAGGGATTGCTTGGTTAAAAGTGTAATTAGTTTGAAGAAAACATTGAGCTTTTTTAGTTTCCTCTTGCTACTGGAGCTAGCAGTGTTGCTCTGGAATTAGAGATAAACATTAACTTTATCATACACAGACCATAACAAGAAAAAGGAAGGAAGGTTGTTGCTTTGGTGTTCCATTATCTGAGCTATCACTTGCTACTATGTTATGCTGTTTTAATTAACTAGAAACTAATGGTATTTTAATTAACGAAAGCTGAAAACTTCATGATTTCTTTTTAAAAATATTTATGTATGCCTAAGTTTACTGAGTTGGAACAAAAAATTAAGTATTCATTTATATTTTAGATATTATAAAGTGGCTTTAGAAGTAAAAGCTCACTGCACAAATTCATCAATTATTAACATTTTAGTAAGAATGTAGAAAACCTTTGTTTAATCATTCTTCTTCCTAATTTTACAGAAAAGTTCAGTAAAGGAACTCCATAGTTACTGTAAATAGAAATCCATTTATATTTAGTAATACTAGACAGATATGTTCTATCATAAGTGGGAGTGATACATCTTTCTGCAACATGCTGCTCTGAGCCACTCCAGTGGATTTCATTATCCTATAAGGGAGGCCCAAAGCTTCCCTTGAAAACTATTAACCTTTGCTGACTAATGCATCATAATCAACTGCCCATCTGTAAGCACCACCCAAAAAAGCAGAAGTCCATGTCCAAAGATTTATCTTTAGCTCATGAAAATCACTGGGAGTGTTTATGAACAGCCATTTATTACCTTTCATGGGGCCCATATAATTAAAATTGTCTGGTTCTTGATTTGCTGTTGAGTGAGATTTAGAAGAAGAGGGATATTGCTATAAAATTACAGTCACAGATTTCATTACAGACCTTACAGAGAACCATTTGTCTTTCTATGGTATCCTCATATGGTCTCTCATCTGTAACTGATCTGATGTTGAGTTTCTGAAAGTTGTCCTAATCCCTGTAGATCCTAATTATACTAATTATAATTATCACCATTCGTGGCACACCTTTTATGTGTCAGCCAGTGTTATAAAGGAATTATGATGGTTGTTTATAGTGCTTTCTACCAAGCTACCTGTAAGTATATGAATTTTATAATACAAGAAACTAAGTTTAAAGACATTAAGTGAAATGCTCAGCATTAAAGGGTGGTAAGAGACTCTGTGGAGATGTCAACTCAGGACTCTCCATAGATCCACAGGCTCTCACTGTTTCTTCTGCTCACTGTGCTATGATTAAGTGTTTGGGATCTTCCTGGAGAGAATTAAATAAATTATTACTCTTTCCATCTTCCAAAGCTAACATTCTGCCCTAACTAGAATAGATGGTCACTTAATAAAATGGTTAGCTAAAATAATAATACTGAGTGAACATATATGTATAACTCATAATTAAAAGAATGATCAAAAGTGGATCAGAGATAAATTTATTATCTGTGCACCTAACAGGCATTAGGCACTCATACTCAAAACATAGTCAGTTTTAGATTATGTAATTAATGATTGAACAGACTACAACAGGAACATATGCACAATCTACTGTGACCATCTGTTACAAATATTCACACAAGAAATATGGTATATGATGTCATCTTTGAATCTAAAGGGTGAGAATAAATTTTGCATAATATTGTGAATATGTCTGTGATAACCACATTAGGTATATCCCTTATAACAGTGACTCATGGAATGGCTATAAAATGGAATATTATGCAGTATTTAAAAATATATCTTATAATAATTCTTAATGATTTGAGAAAATAGGGTATAAAATTCTAACTTGAAACTGCAAGTTACAAAACTAAATGTGCCACAAGTTCACTTTTATATAAATATATTCACATATATATTTACCAAAAAAATGCTCAACAAAAGTAGAAATACACATTCAATGACTATCCCAGGTTTGAAGAATCACAGATAACTTTTGATTTCTTTCTATGCTATTCTCTATTTTTAAAGTTTTTTTAAAAATTTGATGATTACAAAATTCATTACGAAAAAGAGACATGCTACGTACACATTTTCAAGATCCTAAAATTCAGTAGTATATATTTTAGACACAACAAATGTTGTTCTTTGCATGCATAATCCTTTTCCTCAAATCATCAGACTAATAACTTTGTACTTTGTTGTCCTGAATATTTTAAACACAAATATAACTTGCTTTTCCCTTCTACTTTATGAACATGGCAATGGGTTGCCTAAGAAGTATTGTGATTTATTAGCTCTTGGTTAATTGCCGCAATTATATGAAATCAAATGCACAGGTTGCTCCAAGGCAAAATGCTGTTTAAATGAAAAAAAATCAAATTTTAACCATTCAGACAATAAAATTTGGCTCAAATGTTAGCCTAATGAAAAATCAAGGCAAAATTAGAAAAAAATAAATAAATTACAGAAATTGGACCTTCAAAGTAAGCCTGGTTCTTCCACATTTTTTAAAGCCCCAGACAACATATATTACAGTATCAGATGTAAGATACATGAGATCAGAGCATCTATCTCTCTTTTGTGTGTGTGTGTGTGTGTGTGTGTGTGTGTGTGTGTGTGTGTGTGTGATGGGGCCTCACTGTGTTGCCCAGGCTGGAGTGCAATGGTGCCATCTCTGCTCACTGCAATTTCTACCTCCTGGGTTCAAGCCATTCTCCTGCCTCAGCCTCCCTAGTGCCTGGGATTACAGGTGCCTGTCACCACGCCTGGCTAATTTTTTGTATTTTTAGTAGAGATGGGGTTTCACCATGTTGGCCAGGCTGGTCTCAAACTCCTGATCTCGTGATCCACCAGCCTCAGCCTCCCAAAGCATTGGGATTACAGGCGTGAGCCACCGTGCCCGGCCAGTCAGAGCATTTCTCTAGCTTTCTATAACCACTGTCGAACACAATACATATTCAATAAATATCTTTAACAAATTATTTGTAAATATATTTAAATACACTGAATTTAAGGAGCTTTAAGATAGCTAAGACGCATATTTTTTAAGGAAATTTTCTGCTGGGAAATAATGTAGTCATGTGTAATGATTTAATAATAAAATGTCCTAAGTTCAAAATATTTATTAAATGAATATACTATTGCTCCGTAATTTTTCAATACAATTTGAAAGATTTTTCAAATAAAAATTTACAGTCCCTTGGCTAGCAGGCTAATAATCTAGGATATTTCAGTTGGTATTTTTTGTTTGCTTTTGGTTTTGATTTTTTTTTTGAGATGGAGTTTTACTCTTGTCGCTCAGGCTGGAGTGCAATGGCGCAATCTCGGCTCACTGCAACCTCCACCTCACAGATTCAAGTGGTTCTCCTGCCTCAGCCTCCCGAGTAGCTGGGATTACAGGTGCCTGCCACCATACCCGGCTAATTTTTGTATTTTTAATAGAGACGGAATTTCACCATGTTGGCCAGCTGGTCTTGAAGTGCTGACCTCACGTGATCCGCCTGCCCTGGCCTCCCAAAGTGCTGGTATTATAGGCGTGAGCCACCGTGCCTGGCCTGAGTTAGTGTTTTTATTGGAGTAAATATTCAAGTTCTGACTCCAAACAATTATCCCTTTCCTATCTTTTATCTCATCCCCATTATTGGCTGCATCTTCATGGATTATAAAATAACGTCATGATTTTGTGTATTCATCTTTGACTGGGCTAGTAGAAAAGTCTCCTTATTTATTTTCCTCTATTCTTCATCTACTTCTTCCAAGAGATTATTCCCATCCTCCCAAACAATATTTAGATGATTTTAAGGATTAAGAAAATGTCTATTTAAAAATTCGGAATACAGGACACCACAAAGTTCCATCTAGGTCTATGATTCTAGATACAGTTTTGAAATCTTGCCAAATATGATCTCTCTCTCTGAGTCATCTTTTCAAAAGTAATTTTCTGAATTCTTATCATTGGCATAATATTACACTGAAACTCTTGTCATACAATAAGAAAATACATAGCTAGAAATAAATATTCCAAATACAGAATTAGTAACATAGAGGAAAAGAAGGTTGTGGTAAGAAAATGATAAAACACAGAATTAGTAGACTTATGTTTTCCCATATATGGTCATAATTACACATAATGCCCTGGGGCATAGTTGCCCTATCAGTGTAATTGAATCATGCAAAATTTCAGTAATTAGCTACCCTGTAAATCACTGAAGGACACTTTGTGTATCACCAGTAGAATTGTTTGCTCATTCCTCTCTAAGAAACTATCAAAATTAGAGCTCAGAGCTTAGTTGACTTCAATTGCTACTAGAAGTTCCAAACTCATAAAATCATTAATTATTTTTCTGTGATGTTTGGCCAATCCCCTAATCGCAACCAATCCTTCACCTTCTTTCCTTCCAGTGAAGTATTTCTAATGTGCCCCAAGAGCTCCCTTCATCTCTTTGCCTTATAGAAAAACTTGGCTGTCACCTGACGACACTGCTTCCACTACAATCTTAAATGAAGGCTATTTCTTTGTTTTGTTTTGCTTTAATTTTTTTCACATTCTCCTTTTTTTTCTGATTGTGGCTTGACTTGGTGCAACTGCATTAAGATTCGCTGACCTTCTAGTGCTTCTTCAAGAACATTATCCCTCACTGTCTTCCATCATCCACCAAATTCCTAACCCTCTCTCTCATACTCAGAACCCATTGCCCATGCTCACAGCCTGCCTAAAATATGACTTTTGAGTATCAGCCTATCTACTCTAGCCTCTTATTTTCATATCACTGACCTAAGTAACTACTTGTCTACAAGTACTTATCCTCCCTGTCCTTGATTTCTAGAATATTTTCTCAAATTATTTTAGTGATGATTTTCTCTGCTTCTTTTATTCAGATACTGAACCTCTTGGTAGATTCTCTAAATATCTCAATTCTTCTATATCTTTTTTATCTATTTGCAGTTTTCTTTTAATTCCTAGAAGGTTTTTGGAAGATTTTCTCTACTTTTGTTCAATACTTTTCATAAGTTTGTCATTTCTATTAGGTTTTTAATTTCCAAAAGCTATTTTGTTTCTCTGCATTTCTGTGTTTAGGGATGCAATATATTTTCTTATTTATTCAAATATATTAGTGATAGTTTTCCATTTTTTAACCCTGCATGGTCTTTGTCTTGTTTAATTTGTTTTATTCTGTATATTTTTCAGGGCTTTTATTAGTTATTTGAGACACTTAGTTTTGAGTATCCCACAACTCACGTTTAAGATTGTGTTAATAACGAAGCTAGTGGAAAGTTTTGAACATGCAGGGTGAAAGGTGTTCATTTTAGTTTTTAGTACAGGGCAATCTGGTTGATCAGTGTTTGAAGAACCCCTGATGTTCTCATCTGTGTGTGTTTCCTTTGGGGTTGATCACAGTCCTCAGAGAAGACCTAGGGAGGTCGCAAACCTGGAGGCCAACATTCTAGAATAAGTGAAGTAAAAAGCCTGGAGAGTATTGAACTTCAGTATGTAAATATTCACTTTATCCCCTTATTTTCAGCAAGGATTCTCCACCCTCAACTGTACCTGATTTGTCTTAGTTTAAAGACCCTTTGCTTTATCTTCTCTAAAGAACAAATACTTAGGGATTTTGTTGTGTTTTCCTAATAATGGAGTTAGTGAGATATAATTCAAATAACATTATTATTCATCCAGCTAGAGCATACGACATAAGGCATTTTTAACATGTTCATAGAATTGTGCATCCATCAGCACAATCTAAATTTAACACAGTTTTTTGTTTCCCCCAAAAGAAACCTCATACTCATTAATAGATACTTTCCATTCTCCTCCACCTTCAGCCCTTGGTAAATGCTAATCTCCTTTTTATCTCTATACATTTGCCTAGTCTGGACATTTCTTATCAATGGACATATACAATATATGGCTTTTTGTGATTGTCTTCTTTCACTTAGTTTCCAATATTCATCCATGCTGCTGCATACACCAATACTTCCTTACTTTTTATTGCTGAATAATATTCAATTGTATGGATATTACACATTCTTTTCATTCATTCTTTCATTCATGTAGGATAGATTAAAGGAAGTTGCTTTGCTCTGAGAAGTAAAGAAGGGTATTGTGGTGTATAGCTGTTTCTGAATCAAAATTTCAGCCAATAATCCCAATTTTAAAAATATGTAGTGGTATTTCCTAGGTGAGGCTGCAGAGAAAAGGGAACACCTATATACTGTGGGTGGGAAATTAGTTCAGCCACCACAGAAAGCAATTTGGAGATTTCTCAAAGAGCTTAAAACAGAAATGTCATTTGACCCAGCAATCTCATTACTGGGTACACACCCAAAGGAAAAATAATTTATTCTACAGAAAAGACACATGCACTCATATGTTTCTTGCAACAATATTCCCAATATCAAACATGAAATAAACCTAGGTGCCTGCCAACAGTAGACTGGATAAAGAAAATTTGGTACATATATACCAGGAAATACTATGCAGCCATAAAAAAGAATAAAACCATGTTCTTTACAGCAATATGGATGAAACTGGAGACCATGACCCTAAGGAATAGAAAATCAAATACCACATATTCTCACTTAAAGTGGGAGCTAAGCATTGGGTACACATGGACATAAATATGGAAACAAAAGTCACTGGGAACTACTAGAGCAGGGAGAGAGGGAGGAAGGCAGGGGATGAAAAAACACCTATTGGATATTATGCTCACTGCCTGAATGATGGGATCATTTATACCCCAGCCTCAGCATCACACAATATACCCACGTAACAATCCTGCATATGTACCCCCGAATCCAAAATAAAAGTTGCAATTATTATATATATATATATATACACAAACACGTATATAAAATAATTGAAACTACATATATATGGTGCCCTCAATTCAGAAAACTTTTAACCATTCTGTGGAATAAATTGGGCCATTTTTCAGCCCTCAACTTGCCATTTTAAGATACCGCTGTCTTAAAAAACCAAACACCACATGTTCTCACTCATAGGTGGGAATTGAACAATGAGAACTCTTGGACACAGGAAGGGGAACATCACACACAGGGGCCTGTTCTGGGGTTGGGGGAGGGGGGAGGGATAGCATTAGGAGATATACCTAATGTAAATGACAAGTTAATGGGTGCAGCACACCAACATGGCACATGTATACATATGTAACAAACCTGCATGTTGTGCACATGTACCCTAAAACTTAAAGTATAATTTAAAAAAAAAATACCGCTGTCTTACTTCTTATAAGTCAGGCACCATTTTTAGCTAAAATTTAACTTCCATAATTTTATTGTTGTTTTCTCCTACCTCCCTTATTTTGACCTTATTGATTTGTCTCTTAAATATTCTTTTACCTTTAATTTAGTAGTTTACAAGACAGTAACATAATACCCTTGTTTTTTATGTGATCTATACTCAAAATCTAACCTGGATAAATTTTATTACACATTGTTCTAATCTATATATGTAATCACCATGTAAAATTTGTATGCACGTATAATCACAAACAGTATGAGATAGTCTTTTTTTGCAAACTACTCATCTAACAAAATATTAATAATTAGAATATATAGGGAGCTCAAATAACTCAATAGGAAAAAACAAATAGTCTGATTTAAAAATGGGCACAAGATCTGAATAAATGTTTCTCAAAGGATGACATACAAAATGGCCAATGGGTGTATATAAAACTACCCAGCATCACTAATCATCTGAGAAATGCAAATCAAGGCCAGAAGCGGTGGCTCACGCCTGTAATCCCAACACTTTGGGAGGCCGAGGTTGGATCACCTGAGGTCAAGAGTTTGAGACCAGTTTGGCCAACCTGGCAAAACCTCATCTCTACTAAAAATACAAAAATTAGCTGGGCATGGTGGTGTGTGCCTGTAATCCCAGCTACTCAGGAGGCTGAGGCAGGAGAATTGCTTGAACCCAGGAGGGGGAGGTTGCAGTGAGCCGAGATCAAGCTATTGCATTCCTCCCTGGGCGACAAGAGCAAAACTCCGTCTCAAAAAAAAAGAAAGAAAAGAAATGCAAATCAATACTACAATTAGATATCATCCTCTCCTAGCTAAAATGACTGTTATAAAAATGACAGGCAATAACGAATGCTGATGAGGATGTGGAGAAAGAGGAACCCTCTTGGTGGGAATGTAATTAAACCACTATAGAGTATGGGGTTTCCTCAAAGAACTAAAAACATAACTGCCATATGACCCAGCAATCCCACTGCTAGGTATATACTAGGTATATATCCAAAAGAAAGGAAATGAGTATACTGAAGAGATAAATTGCATTCCCATGTTTACTGCAGCACTATTTACAATAGCCAAGATATAAAATCAGGTGATGTGCTATTAATGGATGAATGGATAAAGAAAATGTGGTATTATTATACATGTAAACAATGGAATATTATTCAGTCATTAAATGAAATAATGAAATCCTGTTATTTGCAGCAACATGGATAGAGCTGGAGAACATTATGTTAAGCAAAATAAATCAGGCACAGAAAGACAAATATCACATGTTCTCATTTATATGTGGGACCTAAAAAAAAAATTGACCTCATAAAGGTAGAGAGTAGAATGATGGTTCTCTGAGGCTGGAAAAGACAACAGGAAGGGAGAGATAAAGTGGACATGGTTAATGGGTACAAAAATACAGTTAGAATGAATAAGAACTAGTATTTGGTAGCACAATAGGGTGACTATGCCTAACCATAATTACTGTATATTTTAAAATAACTGAAAGAGTGCAATTAGAATGTTTCTAACACAAAAGAATTGATAAATGTTTAAGGTGGTGAATACCTCATTTACCATGATTTGATCATTACACATTGTATGCTTGTATCAAAACATCATATGTATCTCACAAATATATAGAACTAATATGTACCCATAATAATTAAAATTAAAAATAAGTAAAACACAAAAAGACATTCTTTGTAAGTATCATTTCTTGCAGGTGTACAAGTTCATTACTTGTATCACTCTGATATCACCAAATAACTTTCTCAGTGCAAAAATAAAGATATTTTCTGCTACATAACTGGTTTTATTATTTATAAAAATTAAAATTATTGTCAGTAAAAGTAGTTGGTTATCTATAACTATATATAAAAACTTTTCAATTGGAAACTGTGCTTTCTTCAAAATATTGCATATTTGCTTCATTATCAAACTGATATTTTATCACCAAGTTGAAGACAATAAATAGTAAAAGCACAATTCTCAGGATCTCTAATTTGGGAACTAACCGTAAGATGTTAGTGTGAGAAAAAGATATAGCATATTTCTTTAAGGTCTATGAATCCATTTTACTTATACTAATATTCGTTTGTAAATACATGACTTAACCTCTAAGTTTCAATTTCATCCTCCATAGAATTTGTATTGATTTACAAATAAACTCATTGCACAGCTTGCAAAAGAGGAAAATTATGCTAACCTGCACTATGATTATAAAGGGAGGCTAATCATTAAGCAAACATTACCTAGCATAGTGCTATACACATAACAGTAGGTATGTACCCTAAAGCAAGTCTTCAGTTGTATACAGCTGTAGATAAGAGCTCTGAAAATGAAGGTGGTTCACATCAGGGCTTTGCTCACAGTTTGATTGTGGCAGCGTTTAGTTCCTTCTGTGCCTCCATTTCGGGTTTATTAAATTGACTTGGTAATATTTTCTACTCCATCCAATTTTGTGGGGTTTAAATAAATATGTTAATGTAAAGTTCTTATAATAATACCTAGCTCAATAAATATTAAATATGAATATTAAAATATTTGAATATATTATAATTGTCATGTTCATTAAGGAAGGTTTAAGATAAAAGGCACCCTTATTTGAGCAACACAAAATGGTATGGGCCTTAGGAGAAGCCCTAGGTTGAAGCATCCAATTAAGTCACTTACTAGTCATATGACTGAGACTAATTTACTTACACTCTCTGAACTAGTATACCCCATCTGGGTCATTCATTCACTCATCCAGTCATCCACCAATCATTTATTTGATAACTATGATGTGTGAGGAAGTATACTCACTAAAAAATTAGTGGCAAAAAGTATATTACTTGTTTTATGCATTATTTTGAGAAAGAAATGGATTCATTTTGAAAAAAGTAAATCTAAGAAGTATCACTTCCCATTTCTCTTTTTTACATATGAAGGACCTCATAACTTAAACCTAGTTGTATTATTATGATACCATATCAGCACAAGTAATGAAAAATTAGTAATCCAGTTCATCTCCCTGATTTTTGGAAAAAAACTAACAGATAAATGAGAAATAATTTAGGTAATAGGATATTTGAAAATTAGCTGCTATATCATAACACTGAAAACATGACCAGTAGAGACTCAGTATATAAGTAGCCAAGTGTTGTTAAAAGCACATCAATATCAACATTATTCTAGGGAAATGTTTACAAAGATGGCATATTACGTATTCTTGTAGAACAGGCGCTGGTAAACAATTTCTGTAAAGGGCCAGATAGTAAATATTTTAGGCTTTATGGATCACATAAAATCTCAGTCTTCTTTTCTCCTTCTCCTCTCCTCCTTCTTTATTTCTTTAAAAATGTAAACGTTACTCTTAACTCACAGGATATAACCAAGTAAGTCATGTGCCAGATTTGGCTTATGATTGCAGACCCCTAGTATAAAAATAATAAAAACACGAACCTTGTTCAAGTTGCATCTAAAGGCTCTTATAAGGAGATCTCCAAATAGCCAAGCCAATTCCTCACTTCTCAAAATGATAACCATTCAACCAATCATCCATTCAAAGCACACATGTTGAGCGTCTCCTAAATTCCTGGTATTATTACAAATACTGGAAATGTAAGTTAGTGTATACACTAGGAAGTTTATAGGGTTTGTTTTTGTTGTTGTTGTTTCAGGGGAGATACAAATATGAATACAAGCAAGGAATTCATGGTGAAAATGCTAAGATAAGAATAAAAACAAGAGGTTAACAAGGAACAAAGGGGGAAGCTGTTATCTCAGTCTCATTGTGGAAGGAAATATGGAAGTTTTTCGAGAAAGTGATGTAAAAATGAGGGGATAAAGATAAATAAAGGAGTGAAGGCTTCCAGAAGAAAGAAAAATTAGGTGCAGCATTTGACAGGCAAGAGAGAACTTGGCATGTCGGTGAAAAGGAAAGAAATCTCTTCTGGCTAAAGTACTCATAGTGGAAAAGAGAGGGAAGCAGGTTGAGTAGTAGAAGAGACCAGAGAGCTAAGCATGAGACAGATCATGGAGTCATTTAGGTCTCATAAGTCATATTACGAAGTATTGACTTTCTCTACAGAGAATGGGGGAAATGTTGAAGGATGTTAAGCACATGAAAAGTATGATTAGGTATGCACTTTAGAAAAACACTTCAGAAGAATGTAGATTTGAGAGCTACCCAGAAGCAGAATGGATAGGCCTTTGTGATTATGTGAATGATTTTACATGGCACATAAGGGAGAGAAAGACAAGATCAATGTCCAGTTATGTAACATTTGCTTCACTTACATTAAGTTAATGTCTCAGACACAACTTGTGTTTTTTTCCTTTTTCTAAGTTTATTCTTCCCATGAAGAATGCCTCAGCCTTCTGCATTAACCTCTTGAAATCCTATTTTTCAATGTCCAGTTCAATCCCTCACTCCTTTAACACATACCCTTTCTTGTCCTAACTCATTAGATCGTTGTTTATTTGTTTTTATCAGCTTTCATACTATAGAGATCAATAACATATAGTAATTATTTTCTGAATTTTGTTATCCTTTCATCAACCAAACAATACTGGTTGCACAAGTGTGGGGTGTATATTCACCGATTGATGTATAACTCTACAGGGGGCTGTGCACTAGCCTGGCCAGCTGTTAGCTACATACTCTGCTGTAGGTGTATAGTATTCCACAGATAAGGATTCTCAAACATCACTATAGATAACCTATTGTCTAACAAACTTACACTCAGAAATTTCTTTCTTAATTGGTTCCACATTTTTCATGTATTTTAAATATATCTAATTCCTTGTAACCCTACAAAGCAGGTGGCATAGAATCCCCTCTCTCTGAAAAGGATTAATGCCATTCTGATTGGTATCTCCCCACACTGACTTCTGTCTCAGTTCAATTCATTCTTCACATTGAACTCATAACATTTTTAATAGCTGTTAGATCATGGCATTCCCCTATTTAAAACTCTTTAGTGGATTTAGTATGAAATCTGAGTCATGATATACAAGTCTTTCATATATTGAATCCTGGCAAGCTCTTCAACTTTACTATGAGTTACTTATTGATGTTGATGACCAGCCTCAGGGGTTGTCTGTCCTTCTGCACTATTTAGTTCACTGTTCTTTTTCATCTTAGGAACATTAGCTAAGTCATTCCTTCTGCCTGCTGCATGTCTTCCTCAGTTATCTCCACCATGCATCAACAACTTCCAGCTTTTACTCATCTTTCTAGCCTTCAATTAAATATTAATTCCCTTGAAAATTTTCCCTGATGTTCTTAATTCTGAGCCACATTCAAACATTTCTGAAATCCAGACTCATCTTCTAATTGATATGCACATTCAATATAGTATTTATGTTTGGGAGGCCAAGGCAGGTGGATCATGAGGTCAATAGTTCGAGACCATCCTGGCCAACATGATGAAACCCCATCTTTCCGAAAAATACAAAAAAATTTGCGCTGAGCATGGTGGCGCGCAACTGTAATCGCAGCTACTCGGGAAGCTGAGGCAGGAGAATCACTTGAACCTGGGAGGCAGAGGTTGCAGTGAGTCTAGATCTTGCCACTGGACTCCAGCCTGGATGACAGAGCAAGACTCTGTCTCAACCACAAAAAAAAAAAAAAGTATTCTTTTTCTATTTAAAAACTTTTTAAAAAAATAAGATTACATCAGTGGTATTCCTGGTAATTTTTGGCATCTTAAAACTGAAGAAATATGATGTGTTCTGAGACAATTCTGTAGCTGCCCTCTTGCTACAATTATTGCCATTGTCATTTACTCCCGCTCACCTGAAAAGCACCAGGAGTTCTGGACCCTGCTTGTCTCAGTCACTACTCTGTGTCACTCTATCTTAAACTCTTAGCACTGTGCTGGAACTTGACAGGTAGATAGTATTCATGGCTTAAACAATAATCCCATTGCTTTTCATTCTCTCCAGAGGCAAATATATGGTGTTGAAGGTGATGTAAAAACATGCTGGGGGTTCCTGCCATCTTGAGGATTTAGGCAATCTTGCCTCAAATCCACAATTTCAAAACTTAGGAGAGTCTAACACTTCCAATACCTTCAATTCCAATATCTGCTTCTACTTTGGCTCAAGGTTATTTTAGTCTTGCTAAGATTTGCCCACAACATTTTACAAAATTCAGTTTGTCAAGCATTCTCAGTAAAAATTAATTCCCACCAAACATGTCATAAATTAGTATTTTTATCTGATTGCAAGTTCATGGAATAATGATAGAAAAAAATTGACATTGATTACCACATCAGATGCTGCTGATGATGACTAGGCCTCCTGCTGTACCACCAACTTTGTTCCTCTTACAAGAGCTATGACCCTAGTAGCCAACCTCAAAAACACTTAACCTGTCTTAATTCTGGATCAATAGTGAATAAAATTTTCTGCTCTCTTTATTTGAATTTCATCCTGGTACCTCATTGTGTTTTAGTAGGCAAACTAAAAGTAAGAGCCTTTGGTAGAACTACCATATAATCCAGCAATTCCATTGCTGAATATACATCCAAAGGAAAAAAAATTAATAAATACAAGAGATATCTGCATTGTCATGTTTATTGTGGCATTATTCACAATATGGAGTTAACCTAAGTGTTTGTCAATGAATGAATGGATAAAGAAATGTGGTACATATACACAATGGAATATTATTGAGCCATAAAAAAATGAAATCTTTTGTTTGCAACAACATGGAGGGAACTGGGAGTCATTATGTTAAGTGAAATAAGCCAAGCATAGAAAGACAAACATCACATATTCTCACTCATATATGGGAGGTAAAAAGTGGATCTCATGAAGATAAAGAGTAGATTAGTGGTTTCCAGAGACCAGAAAGAAGAGAGAGGGAGGGAGAATGAAACCAAAAAAAAGCAAACAGAAAAAGAAAAAGGGGAAAATAAGTTCTTCTGAAACTGTTGGACTCTTATAAGGGACACTGTAAGCACTGGGAAAAATCAGATTTTGCTGGGAGAATGGAAACTCCTAGGAGAATAAAACAAAGAACATGAGTTTTGCAGTGCAACAGAGCTGAGTTCCACTTCTAGATCTGCCATTTATTCACTATGTAACCTTGAGCAAGTTGCCTAATATCTTCAAACACCAATTTTTTCAAATGTCAAATGATAGGGAAACACTTATTACTTTCATTTGTTGTAAAGATATAATGAGGTGGAATATGGAGCCTGCCAAGTATGGTGGCTGCTGTTTAATGTTGTATCCATGAATGTGCATAATGGGAAATGAATGGTACATTGAACTGCCCAAAACCGCAAAAAATAAATAAATAAATAAATAAATAAATAAATAAATAAATAAATAATGATTTTAGAATAGTAAATATGGGTGGAAAAAGATTTATTGGTAGAGAAAATTTTCTCCCATACCCACATGTGACTCCCACCCCCAACTCCCATATACCTTTGAATAGTTGTGTTTGCCTTCAAAAGTAGTAGACGATTACAGAAATGTGTCATGATATACAGCCATGTTTCAAATACAGAAGTTTGGGAATTAGTGCTGTAAGTCATTAGCTGTTATGTTTAAATAACAGCAACTGGTTTTGTGCTGTTTCAATAATAGCATTAGCTATGAATCCTCTTACATTTAAAAAAATTACAGATTTCTTTAGCAAATTAGCAAATGCAAGAAAATGAAATCACTCTTATATTATAATTTTATTTCACAGCATGAGAACTATGTTGCAAATAGTCTTGTTTCAGCATCTAGCCTCTCATTTAAGAACTCTGCTAATAAGTTCACTCTGAACAGAATCAAGTTTTCAAAGCTTGAAGGATAAGTATATTCTGATATGGATTAAGATATAATTTTCAAAATGATAGATAATAAAATTTATCTTAATTATGGAGGTTCTGCTTAATCATTTCAAGTGTTCTTAATATGTCACCCACTCCATAGGATTTTAGAGTGAGATTTGGTATAGAATTTAAAATATATTCAATTAGTGAAACTCATTTTAGTATAAAAGTAGTCAGTCAGTCCAGTAATGTCTACTGGGTCCTTCTAATGTGTCAGCACCAGTACTGGATAATTATGAATAAACATGATTTTAAGAAGGCAAGCCAGATACGATCCGGGTAATTGCAGTCCAGTAAAATACACTTCTGGCAGTCAGAATCAAAGGCACAAGATGAGGGAAAAAAACAGATGCCATAAAGATTAACGTAATTTACTACATAAGTTTTAATATCCCATACTGCAAAAGATGCCATAAATATATAAAAGACAAGAGATTTGAAGAAATATTGTCATTATATATATCAAAAGGAGATGTCAAAAGTAAGCACTTAAAATGTTAGCCAACAATAATATTTTGTACGTATCAATGCATACAGAAAAAGTGTGGAAGATACATACCAAACTGTTAATATTATTACCTCTTAGGCATAGAATGAGGTTAATGAGGAAAGAGTAGGTTAATAACATTGTCACTTTTCATCTTAGTACTTATCAGTGATGTCTGAATTACTTATTCAAGCCTATATTACATTGTAATTTAAAAGGTGTGTGCTATCCACATCCCTAGCAATACAATACAAATGACTCCAGAATATAAGAAAAGCTATCTAATTTATAACATATTCCTTAAAAGCAAAGCTTAAATATATGAATTCAATAAGTCATAGAACAAAAGCAATCTTCTACTAGAAGTTCTTATATAAAATAAAATGTATGTTGAAGAAATAATCAGATGACCAAATTATATCTTACCTCACTTATGAAGAAAATGGGAAGAATGACTTCTTGTGGGAGACACAAAGAATTATAATCCAATGCAAACACATTGCTAGAGCTACCTAAACTAAGTTTCATGGTAACATAAACAAGAGAACAACCAAATTTGACCTAAGAAGAAAGAACGGGGAACCCAGGTTGTATGAGGAGAATCAAATTTATTAACTAAAGAAGGGGCAAAGTGGCATAAAAGGCAGAAAGAATGTTGTGAACCATATGCCCACGAGTGGCATATTAGGGTAAAAAGTTTAATTTTGATAATATATTATCTCTGATAAAAATTAGCATGCCTTATTTTTTTCAAACAAACTGTATTGTACATACAAACATAAATGTGCATGCAAATTCCTTGGGAATCTCATTGAAATGCAGATTCTGATTCAGTGTGTCTCACACGGTGCCTGAGAGTTGGCATGTCTCACAAGCTTTCAGGCGAGGTTTATTCCACTGCTCCATCCACGGACATCCTTGAGTAATAAGAATGCGACATATTTGACAAATTGTGTTAAGAAACAGGTCGGCTTCATGCTGGATCTCTATTCCATTAAAGCAATCTGAAAAACCCCAGTTAAACGTGTTACTGCTCCACAGGGACAAACTATTTTTGACATTTCTAAGTTCGTAGAAAAGTAAATATTTTATGTATTTTTTGTTCATTAGTTGTGTTTTAATTTTTTTTAGTTGGAGTTGGGTTTTTTTGTGTTGGTTTGTGGTTTTAGTTTGCTTTGCATTTATTTTCTTACATTCTTCCCTTCAACTTCTTACCATTGTCTTGGTTCTACAATACCTAGCTTGGTAAGACCTCTAATTTTGGCAGTTATTATCATAGCAGCATACAGTGGCACAATAGAAAAAAATGAGTTACAGATTTCTTGCTTATCAGTGAATGTTATTATATGTTTATGCATTTTATATAATTAATATTATTATATATGTTTATATAATGTATATTCTGGGCTAGAACTACAGCTGATTGTGACATCCTTCCTTTCACTCATGGGCAAGGTTGTTGGCATCACTAATGTACACTAAATTTCCTTTCCTCTTTCTCTCTGTTGTGAGTGCATTGCTAAAGGTATATTTTCATAGTAATTAAGAATTTAAAATCAAGTTTGTTAGAATTACGTCTACCCAATTTACTTGCAGATTGTGTAACATGAGACAGGAATGTCAGCTTCCTTCCCTGTAAATTGGTGACTATTGTTACTATCTCATAAGAATAAAATGAATAGTGTATATAAACATTTAACTCATGTATGGCACATTGGAGGTACTCTCTAAATGGTTGTTTTTGCTAGTAGCTGGCATAAACGTCACCACCACAACAGTCACAAAATCCAGGTGTGGAGAAATGTACCTCTATTTCTCATTTTAACTCAACCTGTGAATTCACTTCCCTCTGATGTTATCAAAAATATTTGCTATTTAAACAGAGCAAAATGGAGCAGGATAGGATTCTACTTCAGATACATGGTCTTAGAAGGCTGCTCTGATGAGTGATATTGAAGTAGAGATCTGAAGGAAGTGAGGAGGCACACCACACTGCAGTAGGAATCTTTCTGTTCATATCTCATTACACTACAGGACCTTCACTGCACTTCTCAGAATCTACATCCACTTCTCAGAACAGCTTAGCAGTTTCTCCTGTATCTGTGTGAAATCAACCTCCAAGAAAATCTGGGTCTCTCATGAAACATTCAGATGGTTCTCAGAATCTTCTTTACAGATACAGTCAGCTCCTTCTTGCAAGTCCATAGTTATGGGATCCCCACTGACAACCTCGTGCCTCCCAAGCATAGCATCAAGATGGCATCATGAAGGCCAGAATGGCTTTAGCAATCTCTCCAGCCACGTGACCGTAGGGTTTCTGAGAAAATCTCACTTGATTTGGAACTGCCAGGGCCTAGCAGTGACTCTGGCAAAATGTAAAGGCTCAATAAATACTTGCTGAATGAATAAATGAAAGCCCTGATTGTGAATTACATCTGAAAGAAGAATATGCTTCAATAAGGTAGGCAATTCTGCAATGAAGGCCCTGCAAATAGTCTCCTCAGAATATTAAGACAAAATGTTTACAACATCATCCTTACCAAAAGCCACCAATTTTTGTTTTCAAGTGAATTTAGCCCTAAGACAACAGAATTGAATTTCTCAAATTATTCATTTGTCTTAAAAGTTCCACATCCATATTTAATCTAAAAGAATATAAAGATCCTGACATTAAATAGTGGTGATCAATGCACAATTTTGTGAATATACCAAAAGCCAGTGAATTACATACTCTTAAAGGGTGAGCTGTATGGTATATAAATTAAATTTTAATAAAGCTATTTTTTAAAATCCTAGTTAATCTAAATTTCTTATGGGTATTTGGTCAAGTCAGGATTATCACACTTACCCTTTTCTTTCCCTCATTCTTTTCAGTTATGTAATTTTCTGAGTAGGGGATGGATGGGGAAGCTTGTGATTTGCCATGGCATTGGTGAGGAGTCATCTTCTCCTTGCCTCTCCTCTTCTGGCCACTGGTGAGTTATCAACACCCTTACAATCCTTAGAAAGTAGTTTCTGCCTGCATCTTCTTATGACCCCTCATGGGCTCTGGTCATCAGATCTACAGAGGTAATTTTAGGTGTGTTCCTCTGGCCTCAACCCCTGACTCCTGAAAGCCTTCTGCTCCACTCCGAATCATTTTATTTATCTTTCAGAAGTTTAACAATTTGGACTGAGTTCATTCTCAGGAGACTTTTTCTGGGCACTGTAACTGTAATGTTAGTTTCTCAATGGAATGGGCCTTTTTTAAGTAGCATGGCATTTTCCTCGGCTAGTACCTTGAAGAAAGCACAACATAAGAGGGGATTTCTGTTTTCTCACTTGCTATGATGCAGTCTCAAACCTCACTTGGGCATCTAAGTTCTCTTATTCTTCAATTCTCTTAAAATTTATTCTTGGGTGCAGAAAGAATTTTAAGTTCCTCTTTGTGTAACATGAAAGTTATCTTTTATTTTGTTTTATTTTTTATTTTTCCTGACTTTGTTCTTTACGGATCAACTATATACTGAGTTTTTAGGCACTAAATCTTATTCTAAGTCAAAACTCCCAGCTTTTGTGAATAAACCTGCTTTGTATTTCAAATCTATTGTCTCAGCCATGAGTTTTAAAAATCCAATCAGAAATTCCTCTGGCTTCTTTGTTCTGAGCTATAGTCTTACTCCATTTGAAAGAAGTGTGGATGGAAAGCTATTGCAACTGTCAGAATCATGAAGGATAAGTACAGCATACAATGGCACTCAGTAGGAACAAAACTACGTTAATAGTTAAAGACAGAATTGCAACATTTTAAATCATTTAATCACAGGAAATTCTGCCCAGTTGTAAGGCTAAAAGTTTAGGAAACTATACTAAACTAATAGTATAGAAAACCAATAGATAGATAGATGACAGATAGATAGATAGATAGATAGATAGATAGATAGATAGATAATAGCAATAGATATATCAATGACAGAGAAATATGTGTGGTTTTTTCATTTAAAAATATGTTTTACTTCATTAAGTGTTGAGCATGAAAAGATTCTGCAGAATAGGATTCCTGTATTTCTTGAGTTTCCACTGTGCTTTTCTCTTTATTCCTTCATTCAAATAACATTCGTGGATTGCTAGCCTATTCCCCACCGTTACCATATGAAACCTGGTAAGCTTGTATTCATTTCTGAAATATCCAACTCAAGAAAATTACTCCTTCCACACAGAGCTTCTTCTGACAACCCCATGCACAATCACAAGTTTCCTTCCTTTTATGCTTTATAGTGTTGTCTCTATATTCCATCATTCAGATCCTCTCATTGAAATTGAATTATGCCTTCACTACAGAGTTAGATTCCCAAGGGCAAAGATAGAAGCATCTCTTTAAATATTAATTTAAGGGATAATTGGGCATATTTACTTGCTTAATCAAAGTTGAAGAATAAGGCCAAACTCTGTTCCATAGAAGCCCTTTAGTAAGGCAGTTGTGTCAGTTCTGGATTCTACTATGTAGTAAACTACAATGGTAGTGGATATTGTGTTTGTCGGACTTGCCTAAACAATTCAGGCAATGGAACAGGTTCACAAGATAAATAAGAAAGAAAAAGCTATATGAATGCTCCTCCCACACCAAAATTGTAAGAAAAACATAAAGCATGCCATTTTGTCACACAATTCAGAGGTGGTAATAATGGCAGTGGCAGGCCATCTGGAGTGGCCACTGCCATCACGCTAGCTGTAATGGGGAGATGTGAGAGGTGGCAGCAGGAGCAGCTGTGGGAGCAGCAGTGGTGACGGTGGGACATCTGTGCCCCACATCCCCAAGGCAGCCAACTGTCCCCCACCCTTGTACGACTGGGCAGGACCTGCTCCCAGGCCCAGAGCCTCTACCACTCTGGACCCTGAACCCTTGTCACCACTCTCACCCATATGCACTGCAGGGAAAATGAGGAGAGGAGGTAGGCAGTCCCTGGAGACTGCCTTGGGAACACCCCCTGAGCCCACCTCCCTGGGAGCCACCATTATAGGCCCAGGCTGAGCTGCCAGTCTGAGGGAGAGCAGCATGGTCCAGCACAGAGGAGCGGGCAGAGAGGGGCCCAGCGAGGACTTGAAGCCCCTGACCCAGGGTCCGAGGAGGCACTGCCTAGGCTGTACACTCCATGGAGCCAGCAGGAACTGGAGACAAGTGGGAGCCCCGCCCCTTCCTGGTTGGCAGGGTATGAGCTTCCCAGGTGCAGCTGCAGCTGCCCTGCTGCTGCTGGAGACCCAGCCTACTCTGCATTCTCTGGAGCCTGGGAAGCCTCCTTGCCCCCAACAGGCTCAGAAGTGCCTTTTATTGCTGCCTGGCTTCTCCCATCTGTCAATGCCTTTTCCAGTCTCAGAGCAAAGTCAGGGCCAAGCTTGGATGCTGTAGCAGCCCCGCTGGCTGTGACATGCTCACAGCAGTGTTGACATGCCAGCCCCCTGCCGCGTCGCCTCCCTCCAGACTTTGGGCACTGACAAGCACAGGAGGGAGCCTCAGGGGGAGCTGAGGACAGCCTGGTGCTGGCTTGCTGGTGTCTTTTGACATGAACAGCTTGGGTGTCTTTAACAGCAGCAGGAAGCAGACAGGCTCCTGGGTGGAAGGGGGCTTGTCCTCAGTGAAGCCCACTTTCAAGACAGGGAGGGCTTGAAGCCTGGAAGCCTGGCTGCCAGTCCCCTGGACCGGAACGGAAACTCACGGTGCCTTTTCTGGGCTTGCATATGACCACCCATGGAACAACTGGTATGCACTTCCTCCCCTCTGAGGCCCATAAAAGCCCCTGACTCAGCCACCGGGGAGAGGATGGGATGACCAGCTGCAGTGAGGAGCTACCCATGCCATGGTCTCCTTTCTGCTGGGAGCTGAGGAGATGAGGGGACCACCAGCTGCAGAGAAGAACTACCCTCTATGCTGAGAGCTGAAAACCTATTGGGATACCCTGGCTACAGAGAGGAGTTGCTCACTGTAGGTCTCCTCTGAGCTGTTCTGTTCCTCAGTAAAGCTCCTCTTTGTCTTGCTCACCCTCCACTTGTCTGCATACCTCATTCTTCCTGGGTGTAGGGCAAGAACTCTGGACCCACAGAATGGTGGGCTAAAAGAGCTGTAACACAAACAGTGCTGAAACACATCCCTTGCTTACCATGTTGCAGGTGGCAAGAAGGAGAGAAGAAAGAAGGAGAGAAGAGAGAACAAGAGAAGATCTGTGGACCTTTTGGGAGTGCAGACTTGGGAGCTCACCAAGCCAGGGGTGTGACTCCCAATTTTGGGCCCTGTGGTTCCTAGAGTCTCCAAGCTTCCAGGCACCACCGCATTCCCTGGTGTTAGCCATGGAAACTGCTTGTGGTGCGCCTGGTCCAGCAGCAGCCTTGCAGTGAGCCAACCTCTGTGCTGAAACCTGGATCTGCCTGCCCAGATGCAGCAGACAGAGTGCCTGACTGTGCACAGTGGCCTGACCCCATGCTCACTCACTCACACACCCCTCACCACTCCACTCCAGTCTTTTCAGAAGTGTAGGATCCAGGCCAATAGTGAGAGCTGGTAACACATTATTGCAGTGAGAGTGTAGAATAAGGAAGCACAAGGTAGAGTGAAAATCAGAGGTGGCACAGGGCAAAATAGCCTGAAATAATATTGCTTCTAATACAAGCTAATTTTTCCTTCCAGGATATGAGTGACTTTTCATAACTTTTATTCTTTCTAGGACACTGATAACCTGGAAGACATTGCAGATCAAATAACATCTGTTTTTAAAATATGATTTTTCTTTTCTCAATTTTCTAAGTGTTTGTAGGAGGAAAGCATTAGACCTTCTGGTAAGATATATTTATCTTAATTTGTGGTTAAATATTCAAACAAAATATAAAGAGAATCCATTCTAAATCAGGGGCCCTTAGATCCATGATAATTTTAACATGTCTCCTGCTTTGGTTAATTGGCTGCACCCTGTTTTCTGTGGACTATCCAAAACACCAATTTATACTCTCCGTGGATTTCAATCTTGGCCCTGAGATTTTGGTGTTTGTTTCTTGTGAATCAAAACAAAGGAGAACTATACAGTAGGGAAAAAAATGGAAGTTATGGAAACATGGAGAAAGAATGGAAAATAAAAAGGGGAGAAAAATGAGAAAACAAAAGACTAAAAGAGAGGAGATGATAGAGAAAACAAGTGCAGGAAATAAAGAAAATTCAAAAATTAAGTGGAGAGAAGGGCACGTTGGAAGCAAAATATGGTAGAAAGTAAAAGAAAGCCCCTCAGTACTGAAATCAGATATGATGCTGTTAAACTTACCCATAACTTGAAGGTACTCCTTCTTTTTGTTATTAAGCAGTGTGGTATCACTAAATAAAATTTTAGTGTTCCTTGTGAGCAACATATTGGTGTCTGAGAAGCCATTAATGTGATCTAAAATATAATAAAATAGACATTGATTTACTTAAAAACCTAAAACTGTTTGAAAACCTGTCAGTAAGTGATAATATGACCGAGTAGTTAAGGTTTTATTATACCGTTCTTGATGGGAGGAGAAATTAAGGAGAAAGCTGTATTAACTTACTGCATTAATTAGAGCAGGCTGAACAACTGTAAAAAAAAATAGACACAAAATGTAATCACTAAAAACAAGAGGATTTATTTCTTGCTCACTTAACAGTTCAGGATGGTATTCTAGGCTTGTTTTTGCCTCTCTTCCACATGGTGACTCAGTGATTCAGGCTTCTTTCACATTGATGGCTTCAGCATCTCCTAGACTCATGTCATCTTTTACATCACCTTAATGAAAAGAAGACTTTGGTTGAAACAGGTGCTATCTTAAAAACTCTGACCTGAAAATAGTTCACATCACTTCTGTTCATATTCCATTGGAAATAATATAGCCACATGAACTCATTTAATGAAAAAGTTCTTTCTGAACATTATCTTACATTATTATCTATCAGCAGCAGCATGTGATATCCATAACACACCCTTCTACATAACATAATGTAGGATTCCATAGTCTCTTGAATGTAGTCCTATCTAACTAGTTATTCTTTCTCAGTCTCCTTCACTGCTTTCCTTTTCTTTGACTCCTAATGTTGGCATTCTCCAGGACCCAGCCCTATAGCCCTACTCTCATCTCTGTCTCAGCTCTTGGGTTATCTTTCCCAGGTTTGTGGCTTTAAATATTATTTATTTGCTGACAACTCCCAAAAGTATCCAACTCAGACTTCTCTCAAGAACCCCTGCCATTTTTATCCACCTCTTCACTTGAACATTCATTGGATATCTCAAACTGAACATGTCCAAAACTTATCTGGTGACCTCCCGTCCTAAAGCTGCTTCTTCTAATAGCTTCCCCTATTCAGTTGATTAAAAAAAAAAAAAAAAAACCTCCATCCTTTCAGTTACTAAACTCAAAACGCCATGTCCCTTACTCCTTTCATTTTCACTCCACAGCCAATCCAAAAGAATGCCTGTTGGATTCTATATACAAAATATGCAGAATCCCAGGATTTCTCACAACTTTGCTCATACTAACCCAGTCTAACTCACCATTATATCTTTTAGATAATTATAATAACTTCTTAAATAGTTTCATTTTGTCTGTGGTTGACCCCTATAGTATATTCTCAATGCAGCAGCCAGAGTCATCTTTCCAAAAAGGATAAAATTTTAATTGAGATCATGTCACTACTCAACTCAACCCCTTGGAAACCTCCCATTGTCACTCAGAGTAAAAGCCAAGTTATTCACAATGGCATGTAAGGCCTATGTGACCTGGCTCCTATTATCTCTCTGATCACACTTAGTAATTCTGTGTCCCCTCTCTCTTTGACTCTCAATTGTGCCATATCAGAGGGTCTTCTTTGTGCGTTCTACCCTGGGACCATACCTGCAGTGGGCATGTGGGAATGTGTCATTCTACTGCTTTCACAATTCTCTTCTTCTTGTGGAAGTTTGGCAGAATAACGGAAGATTAAAAGTTTGAATAGTTACAGGCTTTTTAGGCAGAGCTCATGAGCTCTTTGGCAAAAATTCCTTCAGAAATTGAGTAGTTCTCTCCAGTGTTTTGTTTCCAGCATACTCTGTGTGCCAATGCCACAACTAAATTTCTAATTTAGGTATAAATTTCAGTTCCATTGTTTTTATTTTTGTTGTGGCTTTTTTGTTATTTATTGCTTTGTGCCTTACCTTGCTGTCAGTTCTCTCTCTAAACTTAATGGAGACTACATACTGAAGTGATATGAAATAGTGAGCTTAGTCATTTCAAGTCCCTAGGGCCCTCATTTTATGGACTGTTTTCTTCCCTCTCTTTACAAATCTATCAATTCCAGCTTAACCACATCCCCTATAATATCTTGCTAAATGCAGCAAACAGAAGTCAAAACACAGTGACCTTCTATTTGTTAACTATTTCCCATAGACCTAAAAGCTCAAATCATGCTCTACCTTCTAAGTTATCTCATATGACAGCTTTATGAAATGTTTATTATGGTTTGGCAGAAATATCTCACATTCTAATGTTCATTTTTCTCCCGTACTGCTTGTCAACTAAATAAATGTCACATCTTTTAATTTTTTTATGGCCACATCCTCCCTTCCAATGAAAATACCTGTATTCTTATGAGCTATGTAAAATATCAAAGACAATAGAGGCTTACTTCTTGTTCATATAAATGGCAGGACAAGTATTTTGAGGAGCTAGTCTGCAAATACTGATTTGGGAGCCTGGACCATTTTATATTTGTATTCTACCGTCCTTTAGGGCCACACTGTCACCTGTACCCAGCAGACAGGAGAGAAAGAACATATAAAGAAGAAACATCCTCTCTCTTAAAAGCTCCAGCCTAAAAACCACTCACATTAGTGTTGCTTACATTAGAGTAGAGAAAATGAAGTCGACATCTACTGCAAGGGATGCTGGAAAACATCATCCATCCATGTGCCACCTTCTAACCTACTACAATGAAAAAGGAGGAGGATGGCTCTTGGTAGAAACCTAGCCATCACTGCCACCATTACCAATTAAAGCCTTGATTTTTGTATATTAAGAGGAAATATAAATCAAATGCCTCATTTTATATATCTGTGATAATTGTGCTTAAAGGGCATAGTATAAAATTATAATTTTATAATATAAATGCACAAACATATAAAGTATTAACTCAATGAGATATGACAGGAAAAGTATATTCCATGTTTAGTTTTTTCATTATCTAAAGTTTCCAGGAGAAAAACAAGCTAATAAAACTATGATGAAATTACCTTTTAAACTATCACCTTAAGAATTACGGTAATAATTTCAAACCATAAAAATAATGGGAACTAAGTTCTAATTTTAATAATGAATTGACTCCAAAAATTAAAATAATTTTAATGTAGATTTTCCTTTTTTGGAATACATTAGGGTACTTCTAATAATTAATTATATTTGTAGAAAATTGAATCTTTCATAAAACTCCTGTAAATTATTAGCACTATGTCATACATTTTCTTTTTTCTTTTTTTTTTTTTTTGAGACAGAGTCTCGCTCTGTCACCCAGGCTGGACTGCAGTGGCAGGATCTCTGCTCACTGCAAGCTCTGCCTCCCAGATTCACGCCATCCTCCTGCCTCAGCCTCCCGAGTAGTTGGGACTACAGGTGCCCACCACCATGCCCAGATAATTTCTTGTATTTTTAGTAGAGATGGTGTTTCACCGTGTTCGCCAGGATGGTCTCGATCTCCTGACCTTGTGATCCACCCACCTAGGCCTCCGAAAGTGCTGGGATTACAGGCGTGAGCCACTGCACCCAGCCACATTTTCTAAATATAAGAATTTAAGATAGATTACAATAACATCTATAGTTTAATTCAAAGGATTTTTCTCAGATATAAGTTGGGTCAATTTGAGACATAAATAGGATTCAAGTTTAGATTATTTTAGCCCTGTGCACAGAAGAAACATTTCTTTCTTTTTTTTTTTTTTCTCCTGCCTCAACCTCCTGACTAGCTGGGACTACAGGCGTGTGCCACCATGCCCAATTAATTTTTGTATTTTTAGTAGAGATGGGGTTTCACCATGTTGGCCAGGATGGTCTTGATCTCTTGACCTTGTGATCCTCCTGCCTCATCCTCCCAAAGTGCTGGGATTACAGGCATGAGCCACTGCGCTGGGCCTTGACATCTTTTTATTCTGCAAATTTTACAGGATTTAGTAAAAATATTTCATAACATATTTATGTATTTATTTATTGAGATGGAGTCTCCCTCTGTGGCCCAGGCTGGAGGGCAGTGGCGTGATCTCGGCTCACTGTAATCTCTGCCTCCCGGTTTCAAGCCATTCCCCTGCCTCAGCCTCCTGAGTAGCTGGGACTACAGGCGCCTGCCACCACACCCAGCTAATTTTTTGTATTTTTAGTAGAGACAGGGTTTCACCTTTTTAGCCAGGATGGTCTCGATCTCTTGACCTCGTGATCTGCCTGCCTCAGCCTCCCAAAGTGCTGGGATTACAGGCGTGAGCCACAGTGCCAGGCCTATTTATTTTTTATTTTACTTTAAGTTACATGTGCAGAACGTGCAGGTTTGTTACTTAGGTATACATGTGCCATGGTGGGTTTGCTGAACTTATCAATCAACCCATCATCTAGGTTTTATTTTTTTATTATTATTAATTAATTAATTAATTTTTTTTACTGTACTTTAAGTTCTAGGTTACATGTGCACAACGTGCAGGTTTGTTACATATATATGCATGTGCCAGGCTCGTGTGCTGCACCCATTAACTCATCATTTATATTAGGTATATCTCCGAATGCTATCCATCACCCCTCCCCCGACCCCACGAGAGGCCCCACTGTGTGATGTTCCCCACCCTGTGTCCAAGCGTTCTCATTGTTCAATTCCCACCTATGAGTGAGAGCCTGTGGTATTTGGTTTTCTGTCCTTGTGATCGTTTGCTCAGAATGACGGTTTCTAGCTTCATCCATGTCCCTACAAAGGACATAAAATCATCCATTTTTATGGCTGCATGGTACTCCATGGTGTATATGTGCCGAGTTTTCCTAATCCAGTCTATCATTGATGGACATTTGGGTTGGTTCCAAGTCTTTACTATTGTGAATAGTGCTGCAATAAACATACGTGTACATGTGTCTTTATAGCAGCATGATTTATAATCCTTTGGGTATATACCCAGTAATGGGATGGCTGGGTCAAATGGTATTTCTAGTTCTAGATCCTTGAGGAATTGCCACACTGTCTTCCACAATGTTTGAACTAGTTTACAGTCCCACCAACAGTGTAAAAGTGTTTCTATTTCTCCCCATCCTCTCCAGCACCTGTTGTTTCCTGACTTTTTAATGATCGCCATTCTAACTGGTGTGAGATGGTATCTCATTGTGGTTTTGATTTGCATTTCTCTGATGGCCAGTGATGATGGGCATTTTTTCATGTGTCTGTTGGCTGCATAAATGTCTTCTTTTGAGAAGTGACTGTTCGTATTCTTCACCCACTTTTTGATGGGGTTGTTTGATTTTTTCTTGTAAATTTGTTTAATTTCTTTGTAGATTCTGGATATAAGCCCTTTGTCAGATGGCTAGATTGCAAAGATTTCCTCCCATTCTGTAGGTTGCCCATTCACTCTGATGGTGGTTTCTTTTGATGCACAGAAGCTCTTTAGTTTAATTAGATCCCATTTGTCAATTTTGGCTTTTGTTGCCATTGCTTTTGGTGTTTTAGTCATGAAGTCCTTGCCCATGCCTATGTCGTGAATGGTATTGCCTAGGTTTTCTTCTAGGGTTTTTATGGTTTTAGGTCTCACATTTAAGTCTATAATCCATCTTGAATTAATTTTTGTATAAGGTGTAAGGAAGGGATCCAGTTTCAGCTTTCTACATATGGCTAGCCAGTTTTCCCGGCACCATTTATTAAATAGGGAATCCTTTCCCCATTTCTTGTTTTTGTCAGGCTTGTCAAAGATCAGATGGTTGTAAATGTGTGGCATTATTTCTGAGGGCTCTGTTCTGTTCCATTAGTCTATATCTCTGCTTTGGTACCAGTACCATGATGTTTTGTTTATTGCAGCCCTGTAGTATAGTTTGAAGTCAGGTAGCATGATGCCTCCAGCTTTGTTTGGCTTAGAATTGTCTTGGCAATGTGGGCTCTTTTTTGGTGTCATATGAACTTTAAAGTGGTTTTTTCTATTTCTGTGAAGAAAGTCATTGGTAGCTTGATGGGGATGGCATTGAATCTATAAATTACCTTGGGCAGTATGGCCATTTTCATGATATTGATTCTTTCTATCCATGAGCATGGAATCTTCTTCCATTTTTTATGTGTCCTCTTTTATTTCATTGAGCAGTGGTTTGTAGTTCTCCTTGAAGAGGTCCTTCACATCCCTTGTAAGTTGGATTCCTAGGTACCTTTTATTCTCTTAGAAGCAATTGTGAATGGGAGTTCACTCATGATTTGGATCTCTGTTGGTCTGTTATTGGTATATAAGAATGCTTGTGATTTTTGCACATTGATTTTGTATCCTGAGACTTTGCTGAAATTGCTTATCAGCTTAAGGAGATTTTGGGCTGAGATGATGGGGTTTTCTAAATATACAATCATGTCATCTGCAAACAGGGACAATTTGACTTCCTCTTTTCTGAATTGAATACCCTTTCTTTCTTTCTTCTGCCTAATTGCCCTGGCCAGAACTTCCAACACTATGTTGAATAGGAGTGGTGAGAGAGGGCATCCCTGTCTTGTGCCAGTTTTCAAAGGAAATGCTTCCACTTTTTGCCCATTCAGTATGATATTGGCTGTGGGTTTGTCATAAATAGCCCTTATTATTTTGAGACACAGTCCATCACTACCTAATTTATTGAGAGTTTTTAGCATGAAGGGCTGTTGAATTTTGTCAAAGGCCTTTTCTGCATCTATTGAGATAATCATGTGGTTTTTGTCTTTGGTTCTGTTTATAAGATGGATTACGTTTATTGATTTGCATATGTTGAACCAGCCTTGCATCCCAGGGATGAAGCCCACTTGATCATGGTGGATAAGCTTTTTGATGTGCTGCTGGATTCGGTTTACTGGTATTTTATTGAGGATTTTTGCATCGATGTTCATCAGGGATATTGGTCTAAAATTCTCTTTTTTTGTTGTGTCTCTGCCAGGCTTTGGGATCAGGATGATGCTGGCCCCATAAAATGAGTTAGGGAGGATTCCCTGTTTTTCTATTGATTGGAATAGTTTCAAAAGGAATGGTACCAGCTCCTCTTTGTACCTCTGGTTGAATTTGGCCGTGAATCCGTCTGGTCCTGGACTTTTTTTGGTTGGTAGGCTATTAATTATTGCCTCAATTTCAGAGCCTGTTATTGGTCTATGCAGGGATTCAACTTCTTCCTGGTTTAGTCTTGGGAGGGTGTATGTGTCCAGGAATTTATCCATTTCTTCTAGATTTTCTAGTTTATTTGCATAGAGGTTTTTATAGTATTCTCTGATGGTAGTTTATATTTCTGTAAGATCGGTTGTGATACCATCTTTATCATTTTTTATTGCATCTATTTGATTCTTCCCTCTTTTCCTCTGCATTAGTCATGATAGCGTTCTATCAATTTTGTTGATCTTTTCAAAAAACCAGCTCCTGGATTCACTGATTTTTTTGAAGGGTTTTTGTGTCTCTATCTCCTTCAATTCTGCTCTGATATTACTACTTCTTGCCCTCTGCTAGTCTTTGAATGTGTTTGCTCTTGCTTCTCTATTTCTTTTCATTGTGATTTTTGGGTGTCAATTTTAGATCTTTCCTGCTTTCTCTTGTGGGCATTTAGTGCTGTAAATTTCCCTCTACTCACTGCTTTAAATGTGTCCCAGAGATTCTGGTATGTTGTGTCTTTTTTCTCATTGGTTTCAAAGAACATCTTTATTTTTGCCTTCATTTCGTTATGTACCCATTAGTTATTCAGGAGCAGGTTGCTCAGTTTCCATATAGTTGAGTGGTTTTGAGTGAATTTCTTAATCCTGAGTTCTAATTTGATTGCGCTGTGATCTGAGAGACTGTTTGTTATAATTTCTGTTGTTTTACATTTGCTGAGGAGTGTTTTACTTCCAACTATGTGGTCAATTTTGGAATAAGTGTGATGTGGTGCTGAGAAGAATGTATATTCTGTTGATATGGGGTGGGGAGTTCTGTAGAAGTCTATTAGTTCTGCTTGGTACAGAGCTGAATTCAATTCCTGGATATCCTTGTTTAACTTTCTGTCTCATTAATCTAATATTGACAATGGGGTGTTAAAGTCTCCCATTATTATTGTGTGGGAGTCTAAGTCTCTTTGCCAGTCTCTAAGGACTTGCTTTATGAATCTGAGTGCTCCTGTATTGGGTGCATATATATTTAGGATAGTTAGCTCTTCTTGTTGAATAGATCCCTTTACCATTATGTAATGGCCTTCTTTGTCTCTTAATCTTTGTTGGTTTAAAGTCCATTTTATCAGAGACTAGGATTGCAACCCTTGATTTTTTTTTTCCATTTGCTTGATAGATCTTCCTCCATCCCTTTATTTTGAGCCTATGTGTGTCTCTGCACATGAAATGCGTCTCCTGAATACAGCACACTGATGGGTCTTGACTCTTTATCCAATTTGCCAGTCTGTGTCTTAATTGGAGCATTTAGCCCATTTACATTTAAGGTTAATATTGTTATGTGTGAATTTGATCCTGTCATTATCATGTTAGCTGGTTATTTTGCTTGTTAGTTGATGCAGTTTCTTCCTAGCATCAATGGTCTTTACAATTTGGCATGTTTTTGCAGTGACTGGTACTGGTTGTTCCTTTCCATGTTTAGTGCTTCCTTCAGGAGCTCTTGTAAGGCAGGCCTGGTGGTGACAAAATCTCTCAGCATTTGCTCATCGGTAAAGGAATTTATTTCTCCTCCAGTTATGAAGATTAATTTGGCTGGATATGAAATTCTGGGTTCGAAATTCTTTTCTTTAAGAGTGTTGAATATTGGCCCTCACTCTCTTCTGGCTTGTAGAGTTTCTGCCGAGAGATCCGCTGTTAGTCTGATGGGCTTCCCTTTGAGGGTAACCCGACCTTTCTCTCTGGCTACCCTTAATATTTTTTCCTTCATTTCTATTTTGGTGAATCTGACAATTATGTGTCTTGGAGTTGCTCTTCTCGAGGAGTATCTGTGTGGCATTCTCTGTATTTCCTGAATTTGAATGTTAGCCTGCCTTGCTATGTTGTGGAAGTTCTCCTGGATAATATCCTGCAGAGTGTTTTCCAACTTGGTTCCTTTCTCCCCATCACTTTCAGGTACAGTAATCAGATGTATATTTGGTCTTTTCACCTAGTCCCATATTTCTTGGCAGCTTTATTCATTTATTTTTACTCTTTTTTTCTCTAAACTTCTCTTCTCACTTCATTTCATTCATTTGATCTTAAATCACTGATAACCTTTCTTCCACTTGATCAACTCGGCTACTGATGCTTGTGCATGTGTCATGTAGTTCTCATGCCATGGTTTTCATCTCCATCAGGTCATTTAAGGTCTTCTCTATGCTGTTTATTCTAGTTAGCCATTCACCTATCTTTTTTCAAAGTTTTTACCTTCTTTATGATGGGTTCAAACATCCTCCTTTAGCTCGGAGAAGTTTGTTGTTACTGATCGTCTGAAACGTTCTTCTCTCAACTCATCAAAGTCATTCTCCATCCAGCTTTGTTCCGTTGCTGGCAAGGAGCTGTGTTCCTTTGGAGGAGAAGAGGCACTCTGATTTTTAGAATTTTCACCTTTTCTGCTCTGGTTGGTTTCTCCCCATCTTTGTGATTTTATCTACCTTTGGTCTTTGGTGATGGTGATGTACAGGTGGGGTTTTGGTGTGGATGTCCTTTCTGTTTGTTAGATTTGCTTCGAACAGTCAGGACCCTCAGCTGCAGGTCTGTTGGAGTTTGCTGGAGGTCCACTCCAGACCCTGTTTGCCTGGGTATCACCAGCGAAGGCTGCAGAATAGCAAATATTGCAGAACAGCAAATGTTGCTGCCTGATCCTTCCTCTGGAAGCTTCCTCTCAGATGGGCATCCGGCCATATGAGGCATCAGTCAGCCCCTACTGGGAGGTGTCTCCCAGCTAGGCTACTTGGGGGTCAGGGACCCACTTGAGGAGGCAGTCTGTCTGTCCTCAGGTCTCCAACTCTGTGCTGGGAGAACCACTGCTCTCTTCAAAGCTGTCAGACAGGGACATTTAAGTCTGCAGAAGTTTCTGCTGCCTTTTGTTAAGCCAGAAGAAACATTTCTTTAGGTGAAAGTGGGAAGCAGATAAATGTGACACATTTTATGTCATTGCTAAATGGAGATTTTGGATAAGATTTTCATCTATAAAGAATCCTCAATGAAAATGAACATATCTTTGAAAACTGGGTCTTCTAACAGAGGAAATGATGAAGCCATAATCACATCAGTGAACTCACTTTGTATTGAAGTTTACAGGATCATCTAACTTCATTAATTTTTTTCCCTTTCTTATTGCTGAAACAGAAAGATGGCAGGTGAATGTGGAAATTAATCCATTAGAGTGAACATGTTTCTATTTCAAAGTATGTTAATTTCATTTCTACTTTGTCAGCTTTAATTTGTCACTGAACCTAAAATGGGATAATTGTACCAGCATCTAAGTTCACATATGTGGTCAACGTTTTCCTAGTTTTATAAAGTTACATTTAGATTCTGTCGACACTGCTCAATGTATTACAAAGTAACATGTGTTGAGACTTGGCTCTCGACATATCAAATTAAGTCAAAATATAAATTAATTCAATGACCACTCTGTGTTGATATTTGCTCATTGTGCTGTAAACACATTTTGTGAGGAATCCCTATAATTTCACCTAAAATTATACAAAAAGCCCTACCACAAGAACGTTATTATTTTTGAATACCTTAGATATTCACTTTGCAAAACTACAGGTACAATGATTTGAGTGGGGGGCTATGTAAAAATAAAGGGAGAAATAAAGACACTGGCTAATAACCAAGTCTAACTCCAAGATTCTATCTTCTGTTAATTTATTTTAAACAGTCAAGATGGAATTGAAACAACTCTGAAAAATTAAGAGCAGAAATTGTAATATCTAAGATTTATTTATTTTTCCTATTTAAGCAGTCTCATGTCATTTTTGTAAAAAAAATCACTTATTCTTAGAAAAGATGTTGTTGTTAGTCATACATCAGTGTAAGCAAAACTATGTCATAAATAAGCTTTTTTAATAAGCAGAGAAAAAGGGGATAAAAGAAGAAGAGCTATAATATGAATAGCTAAATGTCTGTTTTAGAATGAACAAATAAATAAAGAGTGAGAATAAGGGCAAATAAATGTTAACAGTTCTGAAGCCTGTACTTACATCCTTTTCTTCCCATGATGTTATCCCTTGTATTAAATCATTCACAGATAATTTAATAATTTCTCTGAATTAAAATATATCTTTGACACTTTACTCAAATGCCAAGAAATTCCAAAAAATTTAGGGGAAAAACCATGTACTTAATGTGTAACAAATAAAGGCATCCTAGAAAATGTTTTCAAAATATTTCATGGCATATAAGTACTTTGGGGTATTTTGTTAAGTATAGATTTATAATACATCTATTATATTTACATTCTTGACTATAAATACTAAATATCTATAACACTTTACAGTAGGCTTTTATTTTCTTTCTAAATAATTTCTCAAAATAGTGCAATCTATTAGGTTTTCCTTTTTACAGCTGTTAAAATGTACTTGTACATTTTATTCATATTGATGTTACTGCCAAAAAGAAATGAAAACCTGCATATAATCTATGCTCAAAGTTGTGTCAAATTGAAAGATCAGGAAAATTTACATGAATGGTACCTTATGAAAATTATTGGCCTCTATAATGAATTTTCCTAAGCTTGTCTGTTTGAAGAAATACTCCTTAAAATCCTCTTTTTAAAATTTTTTTGAAAGTATACTTTTATTTGGAAATATATTTTTTTCTTTCTGAAAGCATCTCATTTTTATTCTTTGCTGTGTTTCAATGAATTACACGACTTCAGAAAAAGGATATGGAATTTATCACTATCTACATTTGTTTGTATTTAGAACTGTCAGAAGTGTCCTATTTTTGAAATCCTGGTAATTGCGTTTGTTTTTCAAACTTTTCTAGTAAATCCCACACCAAAGAAAAGAAAAAGAAAATTGAAATTCAGATCTAAAGGTATTAGTTAGTAAAGTAAGAGAATGTCAAATGGATGAATACAAATATATATATATATACATATATACACACACATATATATGTCTATATAAAACAATGCATGAATAAATAATCATGGGAAAGTATATTAATTGAATGAATGCATTTTAAATGTGATTTTAATAGTTGCCTGATAGTTATTATAAATGTTTTTATTTTTACAAATATATACTTTCCTATTTGCTTATCTCTTATTAATTCGCATTTTTTAAATTAGTCTTCTTGGGATACTAGACATGAATTTATATGACGTAGAATAACAATTATGTATTCTTTCAATTCAATTTTTTTATAACCTGCTACATTTTCAGGCCAATATTAACATATTATTTACATCCTAACGTACTTTCTTATACTTTAACACTTTTGAAATATAGATGAAATCTTATAGTTGTTATATACATTTATGTGATTGTGGTTTTAACAAAAACCTATTCAATTGAAAGCTTTAATTAAAATTTGTAGTATCATAGACTGTGAGCAGTATGATAATTATAGCAGTAACAGTAAAATTTTTTCTTTCCTATTTTTACTGCAATACCTCTGATAGTTCTATATTTAAGTATAGTAATACTAAAAGCTTGCATTTATAGATAACTTAATATGTAGCAAGGATTATCCTAAGAGCATTATATTTATTAACTTATTTAATCCTGGAGAAAACCCTTAGAGGAGGTACTGTTTTTATGAACATATTTCTGATGAAGGAACTGCAATATGGTAATTTGCTAAGGCTTACCCAACTGGTCCATGGTAGAACGTGAGAAGGAAAGGATCAGTGTCTATCTTCAGAGACCAGGCTTAATCCTTTGCTATCCAAACGTCTTAGTATAGCAGTTAGCTGACCGTTTTAACAGCTAATAGTGATCATTATTCTGTTAAACTTACAATGCTTCATATCTAATTTTTAAATGAAATTTTTTTAATGAGGAAAGGGCTTTAGCTTTTATTGAATCAATTCCAAGTGCTGAAATAATCATATAAATGTTATTTGTCATACAAATATATTTTGCCTATTTCTCTTTTATAAACTGAATAAACTATCTTATAAGATTTAAAAAACCTCATTTTAGATAGAAATATAGAAATATGCTTAATATAAAGCTTTTAAAAGCTGGGGTGTTTTATTGACAATATGAATACTTTTTGTTATTATTTATGGTGTGTTTTTACCTTCATTAATTTTTTTTCTAACTTTCTTTAGATTAATATTTATTACTTTTCTTTCATTATGTTATAATTTGGTTGTAGCATATTATTCTGTTAGTATATTGGGTTTCTTGCTATCTCTAGCAAAGTGAAATGTATTTACAATTATTCGTTCCAGTATAATCAGCAATTATCCCTGGACCAATCTGTTCCGCCAGGGAGAGTGTGAACTGGTTTACATGTTTGTTTTTCCTTTTTACATTGAAAAATACAAAGCAAGTTTATAAAATATAAATCAAATGAGGTAATTCTGCATTTTGAAGTGTTGTACAACTTTATCTAGAAAGATGATATTTCCATTTATTTAGTAAAGTTTTATTTCTTTATTTTAATAAAAGGCTCACATTTTATTTTCTATTGTGCTTATGTGTTTATTTCAGATACATTTTCTAGCTAACTCAGTTGGCATAGAAAAGCTATTGACTTCTGTATTTTTCCTTTAACTGATCTTACCACATTCTATTCACAATTATAATAACTGGTCTTCAGATGTGGATGGGAGAAGCTTTCTATATCATACTACCTATAAATAATGAGTTAGTTTCGCCTGTTGCATTTCTCATAACGATTGTTTCTTATTATTTGTTTAACTGCAGTGGCTAGAACTCCTAGCTCAATGTTGGATAATGTGGTGGAAGTGGACATTATAATTTCCTTCACAATTTTAAAAAAAAGCATACTCACCTATCATTATGGAGTATACTTTTTGTTTAATGCGTTGATTCATGCTTGGTAAATGATCTTCTCTTCCTAAGTTTTTTTTTATTATAAATATATACTACTTATTTTTACTTTTTGTGTACCTATTAATGTGTTCACATAGCTTTTATTGTTTACTCTTTTAAAATGACATATTGCATTAAAATGTTTTCTAATATTAAACAAGCCATAAATTCCTTCACTAAGTAAATTTTGGTTACTACATATTCTGGTTTTGTTTAGTTTTGCTTTTGATAAATACCTGAGCCTCTTATACCTACTGTATTGTTCAGGAATTTGGCAACTATACTTATCATTGAGATTTGTTGGTCATTTCATTTTTTTTCCTGACACCTGATTTTAATATGGAACTTAAATCTAGTCTCAGATAAGAAGGCAGATACTCCCTGTGTTCTATTCCCTGGAGGAGTTTGTAAAAGTAGGAAATACCTGTGATATAAATTCTTAGAATAACTCACCTACAAAATTATCTGAACTTAATGTTTTGAGGGAATATTTTGAACTCCTAATTTAATTGTTATATACTTCTCCTTATTTCTATTTCTCCTTGAGATGGCTTTGAAATTTACTTTTTCTAATAAAGAATCCATTACATCTAAACTTTGAAGTTTATTGGCATAAAATTATTTACACTTTTAGTCTATATTTAGTTTCTCATACTTGCATTGTTTTTTGTCTTTTTCCCCTTGTATAGAATTGACTTTTGAACAGTATGGGGGTTAGGATTGCCCACAAACCACACAACTGAAAATTTGTACGTAAGTTTTGACTTCCCAGAAACTTAACTAACAGCCTACAGTTGACCAGAAGGCTTACTGATAATATAAACAGTCGATTAGCACAGATTTTGTATATGTTATATACTATATTCTTACAATAAAGTAAGGTAAAGTTATTAAGAAAATCATAAGGAAGAGAAATATATTCACTTTTTTAATATATATCTTTTGTCTGTTTTATCACTGGGTCATTATAAAGGTCTTCAAGCTTGTCATAGAATAGACTGAGGAGGAGGAAAAGGAAGGGTTGGTCTTGCTGTCTCAGGGGTGCCAGAGGCAGAAAAGGTAAAGGAGATGGAAAGGGAGGCAGGGGAGGAAGGCCTTTACAGAGCTTTTGGAAAATACATTGTAATTTCTGCTCATTTTTTGCTTTTTCATTACCCTTACAATGATTCTGTTTGGTACCAATCCTTCTTCCACCATATGCTTTAGTTTCAGTGCCTGTTGTCATAGAAGGGTCATGCCATGAAAAGAAGTCAAAAGCAGATCTGTGACAGATTTTCTGATGTCAGCTTGTTTTTTGGCTCTGATTCATCTACGTTTTCTTCATTATCTGGCTCTGGTTCAGAAGCACTCAGCTCTATCAAGTCATCTTCTGTTAACTCTTCTTGTGTGGTGTACAATAAGTCTTGGATTTCTCTAAGATCCATATCTTGAAAGATTTCACCTCCTATATTTTTTGCTGTATTCACAATCCCTTTCATGATTTTCTTGTCTGGCCCTGTCATAAATCCTATGAAGTCATGCAGGACACCTGTACACAGTTTTCTGCAGCAGAAATTTATTGTTTCAGGCTTGATTTCTTCCACAGCATTTTCTATAACAATAACATCTTCATTGGTGTAATCCTTCTAGACTCACATGATGTTCTTTCTATTGGGGTTTTTTCCACAGCAATGTCAATCCTTTCCATAGAGTACATAATGAGGCTTGAAAGTCCTTATGACCCCCAATCTAGAGGTTGAAATGAAGTCGTATTTAGGGAAAGGTAGACCCCTTTGACACCTTCAACATTGAACTCATGAGGTTCTGAATAGCTGGGGGCCTTGTCCAATATTGAAAGAACTTTAAAAGCCGGTTTCTTACTGGCAAGATACTTCCTAACTTCAGAGACAAAGCATCAATGAAACTGACCCAGTATATATGCCCTCATTACCCTGGCCTACTTGTTATACAACCAAATGACTGACTAGGAGCTGCTATTTTTCATTTTTTTCCTCCAAATGCAAAATTACCTGCTGGATTTTGTTCAATTGTTGAGGATACATAGTAGGTGTATATATTTATGGGGTACATGAAATGTTTTCATGCAGGTGTGCAATGTGAAATAAAACACATCATGGAGAATGGACATCCATCTCTTCAAGCATCTATTTATCCATTGAGTTGCAAAGAATTCACCTATACTCTTTAAGTTATTTCGAAATGTACAGTTAAATCATTATTGACTATAATCACCCTGTTGTGCTATGAAATAGCAGGTCTTATTCATTCATTCTATTTTTATTGTACTCATTAACTATCTCCACCACCCCCACCCCCTAGTTCCCCACTACCCTTCTCAGTCTCTGGTAACCATTTTTTTGGCATTTATCTTTCTAATTCAAGGCTCTGGAGTTACCAGAATTAGACGTAAGGGTAGTTCTAATCATAAGCCTGACTGCACTTGCACAAAAGAGTAGAGATAGCCTTTCCCTTCCTATACTTTCCTGCCTTAAATTTTGGTGCTTACTTCTCTTACTTACTAATAAATGTCCTTTGGAGCTCCACCACAGGCCCCAGATTAGGGCACTTTTGTCTTTATTAAAAACCTGTTCAGGCAGATATTCTTTCTTCTCAATTATTTTTTTTAAATGGCATCTGAAAAATTGTCTGCTGCTTCTTGGTCAACAGAAGCTGCTTCTTCTGTTATCTTGACATTTTTTAAGCCAAACCACTTTTTTAAATGATCAAACTATCCTTCGCTGGCATTACATTATCCAGCTTTAGATCCTTCTTCTTCCTTTAGTTTTAAGTTTTAATATAATGACTTCACTTTTTATCAAATTATATTATTCTGTAAGTATGCCTTTCTTATACAAATCTTGCATCCACATAAATTTGCAGTTTTAATACTAGATAAAAAGGTAATTTGTAAAAAGTGTGAATTTTTTTATGCTTGCTGGCATAGCTTCAGTGAAAGCTTAATAAATTTCTTATTCATTTTTTACAGTGGTTTTTACACTGGATTTATTTATCTTAAAATAGCAGCAACTGCAGCAGCAGACCTCAATCTGTGGTACATATCAAATAACTCAACTTTTTCTTATAGTGTTATGACGTTTCTCTGCTTCTTGGGAGAACTTCCAGCATGACTGGTAGCGTTTTGTATAGGTCCCATGATACTATTCAATGTTTATGGTATTGCACTAAACAAGATGAAAAATACACAAGGACCACAAAAGACCACCTTTTACCGCAATTGGCAATTTACTGTAGAGACAAACTCCTTATGCAGAGATAATTAGTATCACAGAGTATTTAAGTAGATACTGGCAACACTTGAGCTGACCACAATAGCAACAAGCGATGGCTAAAAAACTATAGCAGTAGTACCAAACATATTATGCAGTTTATGAAATAATACTCCATTGTTATATTTGTTTACAATTCTGTGGGCTTCAAATGGTGTCATGTACTATTTGTGAGTGCTTGTGTGCATGTGTTAATAAATATTAACTTTTTATAATAGATTGATGTATATTTTATGGTAGTCATCTTATAATAGACTAGTATTGTCTACATATATTTCATGCACTAGTAACATAACTTTCTTAATTTTTTATATTTCTAGGCTACACAGTTCATTCACAAGTTTTTTCAAATTGTTACAACTCTCCAAAGAATTTCTAAATATGTTGAAATAAATAAACATGAAAGTGAACCCATGCAGTTCAAACCCATTCAAGGATCAACTATAATTTATTTGTGACATTCCTCCTCTTGCTTGTTGTTTTCTGTGATTAATTTGAGCAAGTTGTGTGTCTTTTATTAGTTGCTTCAAAGAACCAACTTTTGTAGAGTATGTCTGTTTCCAATCATATTAAAGTCTTCTCTTATGTTTATTATATCATTTATTGTATTCCCTTTTGGTTTGCCTGCTATTCTTTTTCTTCTTAAATTAAATGCATAACTCATTAATCTTTAATCTTCTTTTCTTAATATGACTATTCAAGGTTATATTTTTCTAAGTGTAATTTTAGTGTCATTTTATGACAAGATTATATTTTTCCCTCTAAGTGCCATTTTATGACCATTGCTTACATTTGACATGTGGTATTTTAACAATTGTTAACCCAGCAATCCCATTACTGGGTATATACCCAAACGATTATAAATCATTCTACTATAAAGAAACATACACACGTTATATTTATTGCAGCACTATTTACAATAGCAAGGACTTGGAACCAACCCAAATGCCCATCATTAATAGACTGGAAAAAGAAAATGTGGCACATATGCACCATAGAATACTATGCAGCCATAAAAAAGAATGAACTCATGTCTTTTGCACGGACATGGATGAAGCTGGAAACCGTTATCCTCAGCAAACTAACACAGGAACAGAAAATCAAACACTGCATGGTCTCATTCATAGTTGGGAGGTGAACAATGAGAACACGTGGACACAGGTAGGGGAACATCACACACCAGGGCCTGTTGGGGCTGGGGGTGGCAAGGGAATGGAGGGCATTAGGACAAATACCTAATGCATGTGAGGCTTAAAACTTAGATGACAGGTTCATAGGTGTGGCAAACCACCATGGCACATGTATATTTACGTAACAAACTTGCACGTTCAGCATATGTATCTCAGAACTTGAAGTAAAAATAACAATAATAATAGTTTATCTTTTCGTATTTTCAAAAAATCAATGATATCAATGATATCTCTCAAACTATGAGTTATTTCATTACTTCCAAGCATACTTTCCATTACTTTTCATTATATCCAAGCATACAAAGATATTATTGCTAGTGTAACGGCTTTGAATGGGCTCAATTTTTATGAAAAGTTGCATGTGTGAAGAAAACAAATGGGAATTCTACTAATTTTGGCCACAATGTAATTGATGCTGTCATTATAAATAGAAACAAATGTATTCATAAAATATAAAATTAATTTCTTGTTTAATTCATTATTTTTGAAGTATTTGTTAATTTTAGAGAAAAAATTCTAATGGATGTCATCATGAAATTATAGTAATTGGAAAAAAAAAACTCTCATCCTCTGTGGCACCAAACTTAATAGTGCAAAAATTTAAAAATTGTACATAATATATAATATGAACATTTCATGACACATTCAATTAAAAATTTTCCATTGAGTTTTATTCCCTGTATTTCTTAATGCTTTTATGATTCACTTTAGTCTGAAATGACAACGCTAGGTTAATGTAAATGATAGCTGATATGTTTAGGATGAATTAGATGCTTCTTAAAACATTTTAGCTTTGCCAAAAAATGATTTCAGCAAATATTGGTGACCATTATTTTTTAAATAACCACAATATTCTTGAAACACAAAACCAGCATCCAAAGCCAAGTCCAGCATTTGTAAAAATTATATCCTTTTTTTGTAAATTCATTTGCTCTCTTAGCACAGTTCGTATCCTCAACTGGTTGACACATATGAAATATATTGTATATTAAAACCAAACCTTGTTAATATTTTTTTCTTTTTTATTTTATTTTATTATTATTATACTTTAAGTTTTAGGGTACATGTGCACAATGTGCAGGTTAGTTACATATATATACATGTGCCATGCTGGTGTGCTGCACCCATTAACTCATCATTTAGCATTAGGTATATCTCCTAAAGCTATCCATCCCCCCTCCCCCCACCCCACAACAGTCCCCAGAGTGTGATGTTCCCCTTCCTGTGTCCATGTGTTCTCATTGTTCAATTCCCACCTATGAGTGAGAATATGCGGTGTTTGGTTTTTCATTCTTGCGATAGTTTACTGAGAATGATGATTTCCAATTTCATCCATGTCCCTACAAAGGACATGAACTCATCCTTTTTTATGGCTGCATAGTATTCCATGGTGTATATGTGCCATATTTTCTTAATCCAGTCTATTGTTGTTGGACATTTGGGTTGGTTCCAAGTCTTTGCTATTGTGAATAGTGCCGCAATAAACATACATGTGCATGTGTCTTTATAGCAGCATGATTTACAGTCCTTTGGGTATATACCCAGTAATGGAATGGCTGGGTCAAACGGTATTTCTAGTTCTAGATCCCTGAGGAATCGCCACACTGACTTCCACAATGGTTGAACTAGTTTACAGTCCCACCAACAGTGTAAAAGTGTTCCTATTTCTCCACATCCTCTCCAGCATGTGTTGTTTCCTGACTTTTTAATGATTGCCATTCTAACTGGTGTGAGATGATATCTCATTGTGGTTTTGATTTGCATTTCTCTGATGGCCAGTGATGGTGAGCATTTTTTCATGTGTTTTTTGTCTACATAAATGTCTTCTTTTGAGAAGTGTCTGTTCATGTCCTTTGCCCACTTTTTGATGGGGTTGTTTGTTTTTTTCTTGTAAATTTGTTGGAGTTCATTGTAGATTCTGGATATTAGCCCTTTGTCAGATGAGTAGGTTGTGAAAATTTTCTCCCATTTTGTAGGTTGCCTGTTCACTCTGATGGTAGTTTCTTTTGCTGTGCAGAAGCTCTTTAGTTTAATTAGATCTCATTTGTCAATTTTGGCTTTTGTTGCCATTGCTTTTGGTGTTTTAGACATGAAGTCCTTGCCCATGCCTATGTCCTGAATGGTAATGCCTAGGTTTTCTTCTAGGGTTTTTATGGTTTTAGGTCTAATGTTTAAGTCTTTAATCCATCTTGAATTAATTTTTGTATAAGGTGTAAGGAAGGGATCCAGTTTCAGCTTTCTACATATGGCTAGCCAGTTTTCCCAGCACCATTTATTAAATAGGAAATCCTTTCCCCATTGCTTGTTTTTCTCAGGTTTGTCAAAGATCAGATAGTTGTAGATATGCGGCGTTATTTCTGAGGGCTCTGTTCTGTTCCATTGATCTATATCTGTTTTGGTACCAGTGTGGGCTTCATCCCTGGGATGCAAGGCTGGTTCAATATACGCAAATCAATAAATGTAATCCAGCATATAAACAGAACCAAAGACAAAAACCACATGATTATCTCAATAGATGCAGAAAAGGCCTTTGACAAAATTCAACGGCCCTTCATGCTAAAAACTCTCAATAAATTAGGTATTGATGGGACGTATCTCAAAATAATAAGAGCTGTCTATGACAAACCCACAGCCAATATCATACTGAATGGGCAAAAACTGGAAGCATTCCCTTTGAAAACTGGCACAAGACAGGGATGCCCTCTCTCACCACTCCTATTCAACATAGTGTTGGAAGTTCTGGCCAGGGCAATTAGGCAGGATCAGGAAATAAAGGGCATTCAAATAGGAAAAGAGGAAGTCAAATTGTCCCTGTTTGCAGATCACATGATTGTATATCTAGAAAACCCCATTGTCTCAGCCCAAAATCTCCTTAAGCTGATAAGCAACTTCAGCAAAGTCTCAGGATACAAAATCAATGGCAAAAATCACAAGCATTCTTATACACAAATAACACACAAACAGAGAGCCAAATCATGAGTGAACTCCCATTCACAATTGCTTCAAAGAGAATAAAATACCTAGGAATCCAACTTACAAGGGACGTGAAGGACCTCTTCAAGGAGAACTACAAAGCACTGCTCAATGAAATAAAAGAGGATACAAACAAATGGAAGAACATTCCAAGCTCATGGGTGGGAAGAATCAATATCATGAAAATGGCCATACTGCCCAAGGTAATTTATAGATTCAATGTCATCCCCATCAAGCTACCAATGACTTTCTTCACAGAACTGGAAAAAACTACTTTAAAGTTCATATGGAACCAAAAAAGAGCCCGCATCACCAAGTCAATCCTAAGCCAAAAGAACAAAGCTGGAGGCACCATGCTATCTGACTTCAAACTATACTACAAGGCTACAGTAACCTTGTTAATATTTTTAAGCAAATATCATTAAAGACCAAAGGGGGAAGTGCAAATAATGTACTAGATCTATTATAAAAATGATTATTCCCATTTCAGTTGTTGATGAATGCAGCAGTTTATTATGATATTTGAACTATTGGATACTTAGTAAATTTAAGTTATTCTAAGAGAACCACTTTTAAGACCAATTATTGATGAGTAAGACAACAAACCATGGTCAGAAAAGTTCAGAGGAATTCCCTATCACTGCATATAAATATATTGCATTTCAAGAATATTCATTTTAAACTCTCATTTCTATAAGGACTTTATTTTATCAACAAGTTTATAAATTAAATCAGGATAAAGAACAATAAGAAAATATTTTGGCAAGCCATGCTAATTCTTAACGTTTTATTGTATATTATATGTACACGTTTCTTAGTAATGGAAGGTAGGAAACGAGAGATGAAGCTGGACTTCCATGGCTAGTTTTGACTTCGATAATGGACAACAATTATCAATGATGAAGGCATATTATCTTGGGCAAAGATATTATTCTTTTAATTATAGTATCTATCAAAGAAGCCAGGAAATTTACAAGGAGACATACTAGATAAAATTTGGTCTATTTTAAAAGCATGTACTCACTTAAACTACTTCATATCATGTAAATTGAAATATATGTATATTATACATATTGAGAAAATATAGATTTTCTGGCTCTTTCTACATTCTGTGTATTCAACAAAAATGCATATACACAATTCTTCCTGTGCACTTGTGTTTGTATTAAAGTTATGCTAATTTAATATGGTAGATTTTAGTATTTTTCAAACTTCATTCTACCTTTATTCTATTATTTATTCTATTCCTCTAGAAGTCAGCTTTGGTTATGTAACTTTCTTGGGCAATAAAATGTGAGTGACAATTATGAGTAGGTTTTCAAGAAGAAAATCTTGAGCGATTGTGTTTACTCTTTTTTCCAGGAGCCTCTGATACAGACAAATCCACCTGTCTTAGTTGCAGAGAGAAAACATATGCAGCTAAGCTGGAGCTGAACTGGGCCTCAATGGATATACAACAAACCAGTAACACCTAGGCATCATCCATTTTTTCCTCTTTCAATAGGTATATTTATTGTAGTTTTCTGTTCCAAAATTGTAAAGTGCATGTTTGAGAGATATAGTGTGTCATTTAATTCAGAAATGTCTAGATTAAAACAATTCATATTGTAAACCAATGTAGAGATCATGAGAGCCTAGACTTTAAGCCTAGTGCTGTGATGGATAAAATTTTTAATTTAACTCTATTTGGAAGAAAGTGAGAATATTTAATATGAAGAAAGTAAGAGAATATATGTGACAGCAGGAATAAATTGTGGAAGAATTATTGTTCAAATAATTCACTGCTGTAACATTACTTATGGTAGATCATGAACTTGCTTTTATCATTGAAATGAGAACAAGTAACACACATCATCTCTGAACAGCTTAAATATCCATTAGTTAGTACCACCATTCTTTCTTTTACTTCTATCCCACTTAGAGACAGCTCAGTCAGCTAAGGACCTAGAAAGAAGACACCTGTAGCAGTACTACAGGGGGTAGCATGGGATCAGTATGTAACATGGGTGAAAACAAAATATTTGTTTCTGTAAGCCATTAAGATTCTGAGGTTATTTATTAGTTGCAGCATATTTTAAGTGGAAATTAATTGTAAATGTAAGCAGTAACAAAAACTCAGTATTCTGAGAAGGAATTACCTTTTCCACCAGGAAGTTGGGAACTCAGCCTTAGGAAGTACATAGATGAGAATATTAGGGTGCCTTTATCACTTCCCTTTCAAATTTACTTTAATCTCTCTCATCTTTGATGATCATGGGACCATGGCTATAAGAATAATTTTGATGAGAAATATTCAGATGAGCATTATTCTCTATCATCTTCCAAATCTTTTTAATTATTATTATTTCATCTTTTTGAATCTGATTTGAACTGTGCCTACATACTCTCAAGCTAACATCTTTACTGAGCAAAATTTGGCTAGATACCTGATTCATGCATCTCATAAAATAGATGATTAGCATGAAATTTACAGAAACCGAAAAAATGAATTCCTAGATAATTAGCAGGTAGCTTTTTTAGTGGATACCTAAAAATATATCTTTGCATAATGTTTGGTTTTGCTTGTCTAAAATATAATCCATTGGTATATGATAAAGGTCATGGTTCTTAGATGGACATTGTTAGGACATTTTCATCAACTAACACATATTAAGCTTCTAAAGATCAATAATGTATACATGTTAGTGTTATTTATCCTAGTACATGATGACAGGGTATGCATTAAAACATTTTTTACATCAAAAGCTAGTGCTTTACTATAGTACTCTAAATGTATAGATTATTCCACAATGAGAAAATTGGGAAAATATATTCTATAAAGATTTTTTATTCATCTCATCAAAAATATATTGTGAGAAGCTAATATGTGTAGGACACACAGACACTGAGAATTTGAAGAGGCATAGGATACATTTTGTTCTTAAGAAATCCTTAACATCTAATGGGTAAGATAAATAATTTTTAAGGGAAAAAAAGTTTCAGCCTAACATATAGAACAAGTTTAGTAATTGGTATTGCTAGTAAGTTCCATAGGTTTCAAAATAGTAAGTGATGTCCAAATATTTGCAGAGAAAGTGAAGATTTTATTGAGGAGATGGGTTATGTGAAGGTTGAGTAAGATATAGGCAAGTGGAGTAAAGAGATAACAGCTTTATTGAAAGAATAAATCTTGCAGATAACATGCCCATCACATTTTTGGAGACACTGAAGACCCACTTTTGCTGAGACAGATAATTTTTGAGTGGGAAAAATGAAAGATACAAGAGCCGTTGAAGGCTTTTATAAAGGGGATAGTATCAAAAGAGTAAGCAGGTTATATAAAAGAGTTGAGAGCCTTTATTTTTAAGTTATTACAGAGGAAGAGTCTACACTGTTTGGTGACAAGAAGCATGGTAACTGATGAAGGTATGCTCAATGATCATCCCAGAGTGCCATTGTTTATGAATATTGCTAAAATAGGTAGATAATACAATTATTTTAGGAGGACCAGCAGCTTGATGAAGTAGGACAAGTGGAGGAAGAACAGTTAAGAGTTCATGACAGGTTGAGTTTGAAATACTGGTGAGTTATTCAATTTGAGGGGCACAATATAGTGTTATATATAAAAGAATAACTTTGGATAAGTTGTTTGGATGAGACTTTAAATATAGATTTTGGATTTGTTATGTAAAGTCATATTTTTAGATGTAAAGACCCATGAACTGTATGAAAAGTGAGTCCTGGAGACCTAATATAAAGACAAACAGAGATCTATAAAGGAGACTAAAAAAGAAACTGAAATGTGTAAGAGGAATGAGTAGAAAATAGTGTCACAGAGTGTAGGTAATAAGGTAATAAACAATTTCCAAGAGTGAGTCATCAAAACTGACTATACCTTCTAACATCTTACAGAAGGCAGGGGTAAAGAAAGAAAGATAAAGACCATTGAGTTATGAGGTACTTAGAAAATCAGTAACAGATAAAAATGATGAGTAAGCTGTAGTCAGGAGGAGTGGATCAAATAAACTGAGTATGAAGCTCATTAGATTTTAAGAATTACAAAATGGTTAGACTGTCAGTTATTCCCTATGGTGGCTGCTATCTGGTTACCATTAAAAAATAATTGCTAGAGAGTAGAGCTTAGCTACTTTAATAAATTTTATAACTTCAGGGTGCACATATACAAGTATGTATTTAAACTTGTTTCTGTTTATTAAAATTATCTATGGATTTATTTTTAATCAAATAAGATTGTTAAAAATCAAACATAACATTTTCTTCCCTCATCCCTTCACACATTCAATTCTTTAACTATTTCTCCTGGGAGTTATGCCCATATTATAGATTAATATATTAATGTTGCTACTTCTGCCTTTATAAACTTCATGAAGTTGGGTTTTTTGTTATGATTTATTCAGCCAAGCCCACTTTATCTTTTACTATCAGCATAATTACAACACCAAATTTATATGCTTTATTAGTTAGTTTTGGAAAATGTAAATAATATTGCTCATATTTTTATTTCTTAATCTACAGAATATATAGTATTCTTGGCTCTAAACATTACCATATTAAGATATGGGTTTTATTATCCTTCTGATTGTCTTTTTTGTTTATCATTTTGTCCTTCAACTTGCCACATGTACATTTATATGGTCAAGGGTGATTCCTTTCAATTAGTAAAATTAGATCCACTTCTCTGGCTTTAAATTGATTTTAAAATTCTGAATGAATTCATTAATCATGTTAATATGAGTATATAAAACATTAATTATTGGTACATTGAGAATTATACTTTTATGATTTAGTGTTAGACAGTTTTGTCTTTCTTACAGTTACTAATTTCCTTTGAGAAATATTTAATCTGTTTGCATTTTTAGTTTTTTATTTCTGTTTATTTCTTTATAATTTCTCTGAAAGTAACATGCTAAGGTAGGATGCATGATAAACAAAGATTATAATTGTTTAAATGCCTAAAAATGATTTCTTCTATCTTGACATTTGATAATTTCACTGGTCATAGAATTATCAGTAGAAGAATAAACAAATTTGAAGGCATGTTTTTACGGTTCTTTTATTTGTTTTTTCATGAGCTGGGTCAGATGGGCCACATAATTTTATTTTTATATTCAAGTCATTTTACATAGCAGAAATAAAAATAAAGAGGCAGTGACATTTCATTAGAAAGTTTTGGTTTTGGAGGAGGAATCAAGATGGCCAAATAGAAATAGCTCCAGTCTATAGCTTCCAGTGTGAGTGACGCAAAAGACTGGTGATTTCTGCATTTCCAACTGAGGTACTGGGTTCACCTCACTAGGACTTGTCGGACAGTGGGTACAGGATAGTGGGTGCGGCCCACGGTCTGTGAGCCAAAGCTGGGCGAGGCATTGCCTCACCTAGGAAGCACAAGGGGCCGGGGAATTCTCTTTCCTAGCCAAGGGAAGCAGTGACAGACAGCAACTGGAAAATTGGGACACTCCCACCCTAATACTGCAATTTTCCAACGGTCTTAGCAAATGGCACACCAGGAGATTATATTCCATGCCTGACTCAGTGGGTCCCATGCCCACAGAGCCTTGCTCACTGCTAGCACAGCAGTTTGAGATCAAACCGCAAGGCGGCAGCAAGGCTGGGGGAGGGGCGCCCACCATTGCTGAGGCTTGAGTAGGTAAACAAAGAAGCCTGGAAGCTCAAACTGGGTGGAGCCCACCACAGCTCAAGGAGGCCTGCCTGCTTCTGTAGACTCCACCTCTGGGGGCAGGGCATAGCTGAACAAAAGGCAGCAGAATCTCCTGCAGACTTAAACATCCCTGTCTCACAGCTTTGAAGACAGTAGTGGTTCTGCCAGCATGGAGTCTGAGATCCGAGAGCAGACAGACTGCCTCCTCAAGTGGGTCCCTGACCACCAAGTAGCCTAACTGGGAGGCACCGCCCAGTAGGGGCTGCCTGACACCTCATACGGCCGGGTGCCCCTCTGAGACGAAGATTCCAGAGGATCGATCAGGCAGCAACATTTGGCGTTCCGCAATATTTGCTGTTCTGCAGCCTCCACTGCTGATACCCAGGAAACCAGGGTCTAGAGTGGACCTCCAGCAAACTCCAACAGACCTGCAGCTGAGAGTCCTGACTGTTAGAAGGAAGTCTAACAAACAGAAAGGACATCCACACCAAAACCCCATCTGTACATCACTATCATCAAAGACCAAAGGTAGATAAAATCACAAAGATGGGGAGAAACAAGAGCAGAAAAGCTGAAAACTCTAAAAATCACAGCATCTTTTCTCCTCCAAAGGAAAACAGCTCCTCACCAGCAATGGAACAAAGCTGGATGGAGAATGACTTTGACGAGTTGAGAGAAGGCTTCAGAAGATCAGAAACAACAAACTTCTCCGAGCTAAAGTAGGATGTTCGAACCCATTGCAAAGAAGCTAAAAACCTTGAAAAAAGATTAGGCAAATGGCTAACTAGAATAAACAGCATAGAGAAGACCTTAAATGACCTGATGGAGATGAAAACCATGGCATGAGAACTACATGATACATGCACAGTCTTTAGTAGCTGAGTCAATCAACTGGAAGAAAGGGTAGCAGTGAATGAAGATCAAACGAAAGAAATGAAGTGAGAAGAGAAGTTTAGAAAAGAAAGAGTAAAAAGAAATGAATAAAGACTCCAAGAAATATGGGAATATGTGAAAAGACCAAATCTACATCTGATTGCTGTACCTGAAAGTCATGGGGAGAATGGAACCAAGTTGGAAAATGCTCTTCAGGATGTTATCCAGGAGAACTTCCCCAACCTAGTAAGGCAGGCCAACATTCAAATTCAGGAAATACAGAGAATGCCACAAAGATACTCCTCGAGAAGAGCAACTCCAAGACACATAATTGTCAGATTCACCAAAGTAGAAATGAAGGAAAAAATGTTAAGGGTAGCCAAAGAAAAAGGTCGGGTTACCCACAAGGGGAAGCCCATCAGACTAACAGCGGATCTCTCAGCAGAAACTCTACAAGCCAGAAGAGAGTGAGGGCCAATATTCAACATTCTTAAAGAAAAGAATTTTGAACCCAGAATTTCATTTACAGCCAAACTAATCTTCATAACTGAAGGAGAAATAAAATCCTTTACAGATGAGCAAATGCTGAGATTTTGTCACCACCAGGCTTGCCTTACAAGAGCTCCTGAAGGAAGCACTAAACATGGAAAGGAAAAACTAGTACCAGTCACTGCAAAAACATGCCAAATTGTAAAGACCATCAACGATAGGAAGAAACTGCATCAACTAAAGAGCAAAATAACCAGCTAACATAATAATGACAGGAACAAATTCACACATAACAATATTAACCTTATATGTAAATAGGATAAATGCTCCAATTAAAATGCACAGACTGGCAAATTGGACAAGGAGTCAAAACCCATCATTGTGATGTATTCAGGAGACCCTTCTCACATGCAGAGGCACACATAGGCTCAAAATAAAGGGATGGAGGAAGATCTACCAAGCAAATGGAAAAAAAAAAAAAAAAAGCAGGAGTTGCAATCCTAGTCTCTGATAAAACAGATTTTAAACCAACAAAGATCACAGGAGACATAGAAGGCCATTACATAATGGTAAAGGGATCAATTCAACAAGAAGAACTAACTATCCTAAATATATATGCACCCAATACAGGAGCACCCAGATTCATAAAGCAAGTTCTTAGAGACCTACAAAGAGACTTAGACTCCCACACATTAATAATGGGAGATTTTAACACCCCACTGTCAACATTACACAGATCCTCGAGACAGAAAGTTAACAAGGATCTCCAGGAATTGTACTCAGCTCTGCACCAAGCAGATCTAATAGACATCTACAGAACTCTCCACCCCAAATCAGCAGAATATACATTCTTCTCAGCACCACATCACACTTATTCCAAAATTGACCACATAGTTGGAAGTAAAGCACTCCTCAGCAAATGTAAAAGAACAGAAATTTCAACAAACTGTCTCTCAGACCACAGTGCAATCAAACTAGAACTCAGGATTAAGAAACTCACTCAAAACCGCTCAACTACATGGAAACTGAACAACCTGCTCCTGAATTACTACTGGGTACATAATGCAATGAAGGCAGAAATAAAGATGTTCTTTGAAACCAATGAGGACAAAGACACAACATACCAGAATCTCTGGGACACATTCAAAGCAGTGTGTAGAGTGAAATTGATAGCACTAAATGCCCACAAGAGAAAGCAGGAAAGATCTAAAATTGACAACCTAACATCTCAATGAAAAGAAATAGAGAAGCAAGAATAAACACATTCAAAAGCTAGCAGAAGGCAAGAAATAACTAAGATCAGAGCAGAACTGAAGGAGATAGAGATACAAAAAAAACCCTTCAAAAAATCAGTGAATCCAGGAGCTGGATTTTGAAAATATCAACAAATTTGATAGACCACTAGCAAGACTAATAAAGAAGAAAAGAGAGAAGAATCAAATAGAAGTAATAAAAAGTGATAAAGGGGATATCACCTCCGATCCCACAAAGATACAAACTACCATCAGAGAATACTACAACACCTCCACACAAATAAACTAGAAAATCTAGAAGAAATGCATAAATTCCTGGACACATACACCCTCCCAAGACTAAACCAAGAAGAAGTTGAATCCCTGAATAGGCCGATAACAGGCTCTGAAATTGAGGCAATAATTAAGAGCCTACCAACCAAAAAAAGTCCAGGATCAGAAGGATTTACAGACGAATTCTACCAGCGATACAAAGAGGAGCTGGTACCATTCCTTTTGAAACTATTCCAATCAATAGAAAAACAGGTAATCCTCCCTAACTCATTTTATGAGGCCAGCATCATCCTGATACAAAAGCCTGGCAGAGACACACAAAAAAAGAGAGTTTTAGACCAATATCCCTGATGAACATCGATGCAGAAATCCTCAATAAAATACTGGCAAACCAAATCCAGCAGCACATCAAAAAGCTTATCCACCATGATCAAGTGGGCTTCATCCCTGGGATGCAAGGCTGGTTCAACTAACACAATTCAATAAACATAATCCATCTTATAAACAGAACCAAAGACAAAAACCACACGATTGTCTCAATAGATGCAGAAAAGGCCTTTGACAAAATTCAACAGCGCTTCATGCTAAAAACTCTCAACAAATTAGGTATTGATGGGACGTATATAAAAATAATAATAGCTATTTATGACAAACCCACAGCCAATACTGTACTGAGTGGGCAGAAATTCGAAGCATTCCCTTTGAAAACTGGGACAAGACAGGGATGCCCTCTCTCACCACTCCTATTCAACATAGTGTTGGAAGTTCTCGCCAGGGCATTCAGGCAAGAGAAAGAAATAAAGGGTATTCAATTAGGAAAAGAGGAACTCAAATTTTCCCTGTTTGCAGATGACATGATTGTATATTTAGAAAACCCCATCATCTCAGCCCAAAATCTCCTTAAGCTCATAAGCAACTTTAGCAAATCTCAGGACACAAAATCAATGTGCAAAAATCACAAGCATTCCTATACACCTATAACAGACAAACAGAGAGCCAAATCATGAGTGAACTCCCATTCACAATTGCTTCAAAGAGAATAAAATACCTAGGATTCCAAATTACAAGGCATGTGAAGGACCTCTTCAAGGAGAATTACAAACCACTGCTCAACGAAATAAAAGAGGACACAAACAAATGGAAAAACATTCCATGCTCATGGATAAGAAGAATCAATAGCATGAAAATGGCCATACTGCCCAAGGTAATTTATAGATTCAATGCCATCCCCATCAAGCTACCAATGACTTTCTTCACAGAATTGGAAAAAACTACTTTAAAGTTCATATGGAAGAAAAAAAGAGCTTGCATTGCCAAGACAATCCTAAGCCAAAAGAACAAAGCTTCAGACATCACGCTACCTGACTTCAAACTATAGTACAAGGCTGCAGTAACCAAAACATCATGGTACTGGTACCAAAACAGAGATACAGACCAATGGAACAGAACAGAGCCCTCAGAAATAATACCACACATCTACAACCATCTGATCTTTGACAAACCTGACAAAAACAAGAAATGGGAACAAGATTCCCTATTTAATAAATGGTGCTGGGAAAACTGGCTAGCCATATGTAGAAAGCTGAAACTGGATCCCTTCCTTACACCTTATACAAAAATTAATTCAAGATAGATTAAAGACTTAAATATGAGACCTAAAACCATAAAAACCCTAGAAGAAAACCTAGGCGATACCATTCAGGACATAGGCATGGGCAAGGACTTCATGTCTAAAACACCAAAAGCAATGGCAACAAAAGCCAAAATTGAGAAATGGGATCCAATTAAGCTAAAGAGCTTCTGCACAGCAAGAGAAACTACCACCAGAATGAACAGGCAACCTACAGAATGAGAGAAAATTTTTGCTAACTAGGCATCTGACAAAGGGCTAATATCCAGAATCTACAAAGAAATTAAACAAATTTACAATAAAATATCAAACAACCCCACCAAAAAGTGGACAAAGGATATGAACAGTCACTTCTCAAAAGAAGACATTTATGCAGCCAACAGATACATGAAAAAATGCTCATCATCACCAGCCATCAGAGAAATGCAAATCAAAACCACAATGAGATACCATCTTACACCAGTTAGATTGGCAGTCATTAAAAAGTCAGGAAACAATAGGTGCTGGAGAGGATGTGGAGAAATAGGAACACTTTTACAGTGTTGGTGGGACTGTAAACTAGTTCAAAAATTGTGAAAGACAGTGTGGCAACTCCTCAAGGATCTAGAATTAGAAATACCATTTGACCCAGCCATTCCATTACTGGGTATATACCCAAAGGATTATAAATCATGCTGCTATAAAGACACATGCACATGTATGTTTATTATGGCACAATTCACAATAGCAAAGACTTGGAACCAATCCAAATATCCATCAATGATAGACTGGATTAAGAAAATGTGGCACATATACACCATGGAATACCATGCAGCCATAAAAATAGATCATTTCATGTCCTTTGTGGGGACATGGATGAAGCTGGAAACCATCATTCTGAGCAAACTATCACAAGGACAGGAAACGAAACACTGCATGTTCTCACTCATAGTTGGGAATTGAACAATGAGAATACTTGGACACAGGGTGGGGAACATCACACACCGGGTCCTGTCATAGGGTGAGGGGAGGGGGGAGGGATAGCATTAGGAGATATACCTAATGCTAAATGACGAGTTAATGGGTGCAGCACACCAACATGGTACATATATGCATATGGAAGAAACCTGCACGTTGTGTGCATGTACCCTAGAACTTAAAGTATAATTTAAAAAAATTAAAAAAAAAGTTTTGGTTTTGAAAGTATATGTATTTAATGTTTTCTAAAAGCAACTAATGCTTCATCAATTGTCATGTATGAACCAGAAGTATATGCATCTTCTAAATATTGATTCCAGGTATCAAACACATCCCTAATTTGTTCTGACTTATCATTATTCTGGCTCTTCTTGAACTGACATCATCAAAATGCAGCACACCTGATGAATTTTTTTCAACCTTTAGTTCATAGTTTTGATGAAGAAAAAAAGGCCATCTTCTTTGTTCCATAGTTGCAAAACAGTTTCATTTTTACACTTATAACACCACTTATAGTTACCAATTAATAATTTTTTTCATTTCTACATTATCTATTTCCTTCTAGTCACCGATGTATGTATATATATTTACCTTCAGTATTTGTTCACTTAGGAACCATATAAAGTAAACCTGAGCACAAAATCATAAAAGATTAAAGAATATGTTACCTGTCCTTCTAGCAAAATGCGATGGTTCCGGTTCTTGCTGCAAAATATTGTGTGATCAAGTCTTTCCTGGTTTTTTTAAATATATATACTTTAATATATATACTTTAAGTTCTAGGGTACACGTGCAGAACGTGCAGTTTTGTTACATAGGTATACATGTGCCATGGTGGTTTGCTGTACCCATCAACCCATCATCTACATTAGGTATATCTCCTAATGCTATCCATCGGGGGCCCCCGCCCCCAACAGGCCCTGGTGTGTGATGTTCCCCTCCCTGTGTCTGTGTGTTCTCATTGTTCAACTCCCAGTTATGAGTGAGAACATGTGGTGTTTGGTTTTGCGTTCTTTTGTTAGTTTTCTGAGAATGACAGTTTCCAGCTTCAACCATGTCCCAGCAAAGGACATGAACTAATTCTTTTTTATGGCTGCATAGTATTCCATGGTGTATATGTACTACATTTTCTTTATCCAGTCTATCATTGATGGTCATTTGGGTTGGTTCCAAGTCTTTGCTATTGTGAACAGTGCTGCAATAAACATATGTGTGCATGTGTCTTTATACTAGAATGATTTATAATCCTTTGGGTATGTGTCCCATCATGGGATTGCTGGGTCAACTGGTATTTCTAGTTCTAGATGCTTGAGGAATTGCCACACTATCTTCCACAATGGTTGAACTAATTTATACTCTCACCAAAGGTGTAAAAGCATTCCTATTTCTCCACATCCTCTCCAGCATCTGTTGTTTCCTAAATTTTTAATGATCACCATTCTAACTGGCATGAGATGGTATCTCATTGTGATTTTGATTTGCATTTCTCTGATGACAAGTGATGATGAGCTTTTTTTCATATGTTTGTTGGCTGCAAAAATGTCTTCTTTTGAGAAGTGTCTGTTCATATTCTTTGCCCACTTTTTGATAGGGTTGTTTGATTTTTTCTTGTAAATTTGTTTAAGTTCTTTGTAGATTCTGGATATTGGCACTTTGTCAGATGGAGAGATTGCAAAAATTTTCTCCCATTCTGTAGGTTGTGTGTTCACTATGATGATAGTTTCATACAGTTTTGGCTGTGCAGAAGCTCTTTAGCTTAATTAGATCCCATTTGTCAATTTTGGCTTTTGTTGCCATTGCTTTTGGTGTTTTAGTCATGAAATCATTGTCCTTGCCTATGTCCTGAATGCTATTGCCTAGGTTTTCTTCGAGGGCTTTTATGGTTTTAGGTCATATATTTAAGACTTTAATCTATCTTGAGTTAATTTTTGTATAAGGTGTAAGGAAGGGAATCAGTTTCAGTTTTGCTCATATGGCTAGCCTGTTTTCCCAACACCATTTATTAAATAGGGAATCCTTTCCCCATTGCTTTTTTGTGTCAGGTTTGTCAACGATCAGATGGTTTTAGATGTGTGGTGTTATTTCTGAGGCCTCTGTTCTGATCCATTTGTCTATATCTCTGTTTTGGTACCAGTACCATGCTGTTTTGGTTACTGTAGCCTTGTAGTATATTTTGAAGTCAGGTAGCTTGATGTCTCCAGCTTTGTTCTTTTGTCTTAGGATTATCTTGGATATACAGGCTCTTTTTTGGTTCCATATGAAATTCAAAGTAGTTTTTTTTCTATTTCTGTGAAGAAAGTCAGTGGTAGCTTGATGGGGATAGCATTGAATCTTTAAATTACCTTGGGCAGTATGGCCATTTTCACAATATTGATTCTTCCTATCCATGAGCATGGAATGTTTTTCCATTTGTTTGTGTCGTCTCTTATTTCCTTGATCAGTGCATTGAAGTTGTCCTCGAAGAGGTCCTTCACATTGGTTGTAAGTTGTATTCCCAGGTACTTTATTGTCTTTGTAGCAATTGTGAATGGGAGTTCACTCATGATTTGGCTCTCTGTTTATCTGTTATTGGTGTATAGAAATGCTTGTGATTTTTTCACATTGACTTTGTATCCTGAGACTTTGCTGAAGTTGCTTATCAGCTTAAGGAGATTTTGGGCTGAGATGATGGCATTTTCTAAATATACAATCATGTCATCTGTAAACAGAGACTATTTGACTTCCTCTTTTCTTATATGGATACTCTTTATTTATTTCTCCTGCCTGATTGCCCTGGCCAGAACTCCCAATACTATGTTGAATAGGAGTGGTGAGAGAGGGCATCCCTGTCTTGTCCCAGTTTTCAAAGGGAATGCTTCCAGTTTTTGCCCATTTAGAATGATATTGGCTGTGGACTTGTCATAAATGGTTCTTATTATTTTGAGACACAGTCCATCTATTCCTGGTTTATTGCGAGTTTTTAGCATGAAGCGGTGTTGAATTTTCTCAAAGGCCTTTTCTGCATCTATTGAGATAATCATGTGGTTTTTTTCATTGGTTCTGTTTATGTGATGGATTACACTTATTGATTTGTATATGTTGAATGAGCCTTGCATCCCAGGGATGAAGCCAACTTGATCGTGGTGGATAAGCTTTTTGATGTGCTGCTGGATTCAGTTTGCCAGTATTTTATTGAGGATTTTCACATAGATGTTCACCAGGGATATTGGCTTGAAATTTTCTTTTTTTGTTGTGTCTCTGCCAGGTTTTTGTATCAGGATGCTGCTGGCTTCATAAAATGAGTTGGGGAGGATTCCGTTTTTCTGTTCTTTGGAATAGTTTCAGAAGGAATGGTACCAGCTCCTCTTTGCACCTCTGGTAGAATTCAGCTGTGAATCCATCTGGTCCTGGATTTTTTTGATTGGTAGGCTATTAATTATTGCTTCAATTTCAGAAGTGTTATTGGTCTATTCAGGGATTCAACTTCTTCCTGCTTTAGTCTTGGGAGGGTGTATGTGTCCAGGAATTTATCCATTTCTTCTAGATTTTCTAGTTTATTTGCATAGAGGTGTTTATAGTATTCTCTGATAGTAGTTTGTATTTCTGTGGGATCAGTGTTGATATCCCCTTTATCATTTTTTTTTATTGTGCCTGTGTGATTCTTCTGTCTTTTCTTCTTTATTAGTCTGGCTAGCAGTCTATCTATTTTGTTGATCTTTTCAAAAAACCAGCTCCTGGAATCAATGATTTTTTGAAGGGTTTTTGTGTCTCTATCTCCTTCAGTTCTGCTCTGATCTTAGTTATTACTTGTCTTCTGTTGGCTTTTGAATATGTTTGCTCTTGCTTCTCTAGTTCTTTTCATTGTGATGTTAAGGTGTCGATTTTAGATCTTTCCTGCTTTCTCTTGTGGGCATTTAGTGCTATAAATTTTCCTCTACACACTGCTTTAAATGTGTCCCAGTGATTCTGGTACCTTGTATCTTTGTTCTCATTGGTTTCAAAGATCATCTTTATTTCTGCCTTCATTTCGTTATTTACCCAGCAGTCATTCAGGAGCAGGTTGTTCAGTTTCCATGTAGTTGAGCAGTTTTGAGTGAGTATCTTAATCCTGAGTTCTAATTTGATTACACTGTGGTCTGAGAGACTGTTTGTTATGATTTCTGTTCTTTTACATTTGCTAAGGAGTGTTTCACTTCCAATTATGTGGTCAATTTTAGAATAAATGCAATCAGGTGCTGAGAAGACTGTATATTCTGTTGATTTGGGGTGGAGAGTTCTGTAGATGTCTATTAGTTCCACTTGATCCAGAGCTGAGTTCAAGTCCTGAATCTCCTTGTTAATTTTCTGTCTCATTGATCGGTCTAATATTGACAGTGGGGTGTTAAAGTCTCCCACTATTATTGTGTGGGAGTCTAAGTCTCCTTGTAAGTCTCCAAGAACTTGCTTTATGAATCTGGGTGCTCCTGTATTGGGTGCATATATATTTAGGATGGTTAGCTCTTCTTGTTGCATTGATCCCTTTATCATTATGCAATGCCCTTCATTGTCTCTTTTGATCTTTGTTGGTTTAAAGTCTGTTTTATCAGAGACTAGGATTGCAACTCCTGCTTTTTTTTTTCCTTTCCATTTGCTTGGTAGATCTTCCTCCATCACTTTATTTTGAGCCTATGTGTGTCTCTGCAAGTGAGATGGGTCTCCTGAATACAGCACACCAATGGATTTTGACTCTTTATCCAATTTGCCAGTCTCTGTCTTTTAATTGGGGCATTTAGCCCACTCACATTTAAGGTTAATATTGTTATGTGTGAATTTTTTCCTGTCATTATGATGCTAGTTTGTTATTTTGCCCATTAGTTGATGCTGTTTCTTCATAGTGTCAGTGGTCCTTACAATTTGTTATGTTTTTGCAGTGTCTGGTACCAGTTGTTCCTTTCCATGTTTAGTGCTTCCTTCAGGACCTCTTGTAAGGCAGGCCAGGTGGTGACAAAATCTCTCAGCATTTGTTTGTCCGTAAAATATTTTATTTGTCCTTCACTTATGAAGATTAGTTTGGCTGGATATGAAATTCTGGGTTCAAAATTCTTTTCTTTAAGAATGTTCAATATTGCCCCTCTCTCTTCTGGCTTGTAGAATTTCCGCTGAGCAATCCGCTATTAGTCTGATGGGCTTCCCTTTGTGGGTAACCCGACCTTTCTCTTTTGCTGCCTTAACATTTTTTCCTTCATTTCAACCTTGGTGAATCTGATGATTATGGGTCTTGGGGTTGCTCTTTTCAAAGAGTATCTTAGTGGTGCTCTTTGTATTTCCTGAATTTGAGTGTTAGCTTGTCTTGCTAGGTTGGGAAAATTCTCCTGGATAATATCCTGAAGAGTGTTTTCAGCAAGGCCGCTGTGGCCAGATTGCCTCTCTAGCTTCCTTTTCTCTGGGCAGGGCATCTCTGAAAAAAAGGCAGCAGCCCCAGTCAGGGGCTTATAGATAAAACTCACATCTTCTTGGGACAAAGCACCTCGGGGAAGGGGCGGCTGTGGGTGCAGCTTCAGCAGACTTAAATGTCCCTGCCTGATGGCTCTGAAGAGAGCATCAAATCCCCCAGAACAGTATTCGAGCTCTGCTAAGGGTCAGACTGCCTCCTCAAGTGGGTCCCTGACCCCCATGTATACTGACTGGGAGACACCTCCCAGTAGGTTCCGACAGACATTTCATACAGGAAAACTCTGGTTGGCATCTGTAGTGGACCTCCAGAAAACTCCAGCAGACCTGCAGCAGAGGGGCCTGACTGTTAGAAGGAAAACTAACAAAAAAGGGAACAGCACCAACGTCAACAAAAAGGACGTCCACTCAGAGACCCCATCCAAAGGTCACCACATCAAAGACCAGAGGTAGATAAGTCCACGAAGACGGGGAGAAACCAGTGCAACAAGGCTGAAAATTCCAAAAACCCAAATGCCTCTTCTCCTCCAAAGAATCACAACTCCTCGCCAGCAAGGGAACAAAACTGGACAGAGAATGAGCTTGATGAATTGACAGAAGTAGGATTCAGAAGGTGGGTAACAACAAACTCCTCCTTTTCTTTAGCCTTGTTGTTCTCAATGTTCAAATATGGTAAATAGTTACTTTAGTCTATATAGATCTTTTAATCTAAAGTATTGTGTGATTCAGCTTGAGACATTTCCTACATTATTTCTTTGAAAATTTTCTCTTATTTTTTTTATTTTCTCTTCCCCAAGCTCCAATTAGTTGGATGTTTGACCTCCTGTTTCAATTATATATTTCTAATTTTTATGTAACGTTTTGTTATTCCCTTACCAAATCCATCTTGTATACCTGCGTATATAGAGTTCTTTTCTACTATTTTTTTTTCAAAAATCTGATAATCTTCGGTCCTAAGAGGGAGACAATACCTAACTGAGTGTGACTTTTCAGTAGTTTGCATGTCTCATCAATCATTGTTCTCAAGAGGATTGGGATTTCACACTTTGGGACCCCAAAACGAGGATGTTCTGAGACTTCTGTGTCCACACTAATTACCTTAGTTCTCATCAAAGAGTGCATTCAGTTTCTTTAGTGATGAGCAAGTTGTGTTAAATGTCTAGAATGGAGAGAGGTGACTAGTCAACCATATTACCTACTAATTTGTAATTAATCTCCTTCTTTTAATCCCCATTCTTTAGTTGGCATGTCAAACACCAATCCTTCTGCCTAAGATCTACAAAGCACATCTGCCACCCTCCTTGGCTACAATTTTCTACTTTCTTATCCTAGGCTGCAGTTCTGACTTCATTAGCAAGCATTCCTCTATTTCCTTTCCATATACCTAAAGAATGTTGACCTCATTTCTTTAGTCATTCTCATTTTCTTCATCACTGTAAATGTAAACTTTTTTTATTCCATTAACATCATCTCAATGTCATCTCTGGAGGTAAGAAAGTTAAAAATACATATTCAATCTCTCACTCTGATCCAGAATGCACATTTCCATTAATAATTTTTGAAAAAAGTAACAATAAAACTCATGATGATTTAATTGACCTTATTGGGTAATTAAAGTGGTACTGTAAAGTGGTAGTAAAGCAGGCACTAATTTTTTACAAGTAAATAGTCATTCTTTCTCTTACGATGCCTAACTTTGTGCTTGCTTAAAAATTTCTGGAACTTGTCTTGAGATAAAATCAAGGTTGGAAAACACTCCCTTGTAGAAAATGCTGAGCAGCTAATCTACAATACCGTTGCAGTCTAGCTGACACCAGCCAGACCACCAGATGGCCCACTCAAGATAATCATCAGAACAAGACATGCTAACCTGCACGTAGTTTCCCAAGGCCATTATCCTTTAAAATTCATTCAGCCAGCCTGTGGAACCAGAGATGGCCTTTGTAACACTAGACTACCATCTCCTCAGATTGCCAGTTCCTCAATAAACCTGCTTTTCCTTCCACCAACTCTTGTCTCTTGAGTTTGGCTTTCAAATGGCAAACAGTGGAACCTAGATTCTCAGTTAAAATTCCTGGCATCCAATGTGGGAGGTGTGTCTTGGGTGGTCCTGTCTGCCTGGTTTCCAATGGATGGAGCAATAGGCCATGGAAGTGTGCCAGAACTTATCTGTTCACACTACCAGACAGGATGACAACTACTCATGAGTACCAATTGCTCATGGCTAGCTAACCCCCTAGCTGGGATTTTAGGAACACCTTAGCAACTAACAAAACTTTTCTTGAGTATTTTGCTTCTCTGCATGGCCTCTGCTGCTTGTAGTGCTCAGCTGGTGCAAGGGAAAGCAGCATCTGAGGAGCTGACGGCCTCCAAGACTGGGTAAGTCAAACTAGTGTGCACACCAGGATTCCTCTGTTTCTGCTGTTTGGGCTTCTGTGCCATTTGGACCAGGCACAGGTTGTTTGTGGTACAATCTGTTGTGATATAAGATTCTAAAAGACACATCTCTGGTGTCCTTTTTCAGAAATTAGTTTGGGAGTGCTACATTTGTTTTGTTTTCTGTGTGTTTGTAGGTTTTTAATTGTTTAAAAACATGAAAAAGTTCAAAGGCATGCCAGATTTTCTGGGACTCCAGCTGGTTACATATTATGGCTCATTTTTGTGTGCATTTTTAAACTAGAGGGCACATTACAGTAGGAAAAATTTAGAGCTCAAATGGTTAACCTGCAGCTATAGAGTTAAGTAGGGTCTTCCAGAACTCTCTATTTTCCTATTTTCCTTCCTGCCTGCTTTGAATCTGCTGTTATTAACTTATTGGTGCTGAGATAAAACTCACTGTTTATGGTAACACTGATTCAAGGACACTTGGAGATTTTGTTTGCCTTACATAGCCCAGCCTATTTGAGCTAAAATATAGACAATGAAAATTAATTTAAAACTGAAGAAAAAAAGAAGGTAAAAGAGATTTAAAAAAAAAAAAACTGCCATGAAAACTGCTTTGCCAAAAAATTTGGTCTACACCCTGTGTTAGGTTACCTATAAGAGAAAACAAGGTTAGACATGTGGACAGGTCTCAATTTTGTCAAAAATAATTTGGATCCAGCTACTTTTAGTAGGCTAGTGAATTTTCAATGCTGTCTCATGACTAGTTCTGAGGTAAAAGCTATTTGATCTTCACTTACATTTATGTATATACGTTTAGATGTGTTTATGTATATATACATGTATTATATTGTATGTTGTGTCTACAATGCTACCAAATTGGGTTACAAATAAATGAATACTCATAAATTAAGTGTTGGAAAAAAAGCTGAGGGTTGGGAAGAAAGCTGAGGCAGGACATGCATGACTGACATAATGTCCTCTGGAATGTGTCTAGACTTGCTGGCTCCTTGCTTCTAGCCCTCCTAGGCTCCTATTCCCATTATCTCAAGTAGCAGAACATGTTTCTTATAAATGCTAAACCATCACAGCTGTAGATCATGTGCCTGCCCTTTTGACCTCCACATTTTCACCACCTGTTTCCCTGTTGGATTACCAATAAATAGCGTGGGCTCCCAGCGCTCAGGGCCTTCGCAGTCTCCACGATCACGATGGTCCTCTGGTGTCCCATCTTTCTCTCTCAAACTGTCCTTTCCTCAATCCTTTGACTCCGCCGGACTTTGTCACCCCCACAACCTGGTTTTGGGTCTGGCCACCCCAACATTAAGTAAGTGCAAATGCTTTTCAAGTTCATATGAAATGAGTAATCTTTAGTAAATAAAAATGGTTTTAAAATTACTAGCAAAATAAAAATGTCTTCAGAATTGTCAACATAGATTTTTGTATGGGTTTACTGGTTATTTTATATTTGCCTCTGGTAGAGATTTTAAGGTGCTAGAGTATGGCATAAAGATTATAATACTATGAACTCAACCAAAAAACAGAATAACCTTTGTTTGGGTGGGGTTTTTTTGGCAAATAAAACTAATTTAAGATTGTTGGTTCAATGAAATAAGAAGAATTTTCGAAGTTATTGGCAAAATACCCATGAGTTTAAGGTTCTTACTTAGGTGAACGCCTGATGTTCACAGGCTTTAAAAATGGTTAACAGGGAAATAAACTTAAATGATGATGAACTGTGTCTAATTGCAGTATCTCAGTTTTCAGAAGTCACCTAGATAAACTGTTAAAAATGAAAGAATTGAGTACATGTAAATGGGAGGAATGGTTGTAGGTGAAGTTTTTGCGTAATTTATTTTAAAATTATTCTGAATTTCATTATGGATGCTCATTGGATGTCTGGTCATTTCCAGTGAAGAAAGTTTTATGATATGGGGAAATATGCTTCTAAAAATTGTGCAGTAGTTTTATCTATAAAATGCTAACATCCAAGATAGTTCAACATTTCTTTCTTCCTAGGATTTCACTAAAATTTCAGGTCATTAAGAGTAAGAATTCTAGTTAACATATAATTCTATCAGTTGTGTTCTTATTGAGAAAATCAATAATGTTACATAATTTAGAGGTTATTTAAAAGTTATGTATGAAAGAAGTTAGAAATGGACCATTAAGTAGAAGACAGAGGTGTCAAGAAAGTTATGAATATGAAGGTGAATTTTTGGTAAGAAAGATTATTAGAATAAATTTTTTATGAGAAAAGATCTTATATGATAAATTTTTGTCCTAAAGTAAAATGACTGGTTATTTAGGAAAGAAGTAGTATAGGATAACTCAGAAATTTCAAGCATGTTGTAAGTAGTCTGTGTACATTGTTATAAGGTTTGTGAAAGAGCATTTATAAAAAGCATTTTGTGTCATTAAATTGGCTATAATTAAAAGAGAAACATTTATAGCGTTCTCTCTAAGATTGATTCCCTATGTTAAAACAAGATTTTCTTAAGGTATTGATTAATGAATATTCTTAATGAAACTTCAAAAAGGTTTTATTTTTAATTATATTACCTGTTTCTTTTTGAACACTTTCAGATTTATATCTAAAAAGTTCAACTTTTACTCTGTCTTCCTTCTTTCAGTTTTTTCTTTCCTTGATAATTCTCTCCAACTTTTTGTAAGCTTCCTCTGGATCTAACTATTGTTGTGGCCTGATGATGAAAAGTTTTACCTTGAAGATCTAGAAAAACAATGTTTTTTCCCCCTGAATAACTTGATTCTATACTTTTGGCTTTTCTTTACATGACTAATTTTTTCAATTTATTTAGGACAATTCTCATACAGTTACTAAGAATTATATATTCCCCTGCTATACTCATAACCTTGAACACAGTCTTCCTAGGTTTGATGAAACACAAGTACTTTTTTTCATCAGCTTTGGTTTCCAAGTTATCTAAATGAGCTTTCCATAGGAGAAGCAATCACACTGCAAGTGTTTTTTTTTTTTTTCTTTTTTTTTAATAACTGGCCTAAGAAACAAAGATTTTACATTTTATCAAGATAATTCCTGTGTTGTCTTCTCAGGTTTTTGATTTCTTAGGAAAACTGAACTTTAAAAGAGTTAAGGTTTTATATTCGTGTAACTTTCTGTATTGATTTTTAAAAGTTTTTTATTACTATTGGTTACATGAATAACTATATTTCATTGGCCTCTGATTCCATTTTGATCACTTATTTTGGAGCTTTTAACATCTTTGACAAACCTCCTCAAAATAAAATAAATATTGCTCATTCTTTATATTTTTTCCAGAGACAGGAAAATCTTTTTTCTTTTAACTATTTATAGCTTACAAAAATTGAACATAACAACAAAGATTACCTTTCTCTCTCTACCTAATAAGTTCAGAATTTCAAAACTGTTCAATCCTAGTGGGCCAGTCTGTTTTGCATTGCCAATGCACTGCTGCTAAAGCTAAACAAGATTAAGCACCCTTTGTTTAAGCTCAGGGACTATCATGGAAGGGGTTGGCGTGTGATATTGTAAGGATCGGTTCTGAGGGATAAAATTACTTTAGACCCTTCAAATCAAAGACAGATACACAGGTGCCTAAACAGCTAATGGCTCAATACATAAGACTTATAGACAAGTCAACTTTGTAATCCTGCTTTTTGGCTTTTGTTTTCTGGCTCTTGTGTTACTTAAAAGGGGTCAAAGTGTTAATTAATGCCTGCCCACTTCTATTCCTATCTGGCTCAGAATGGTTACTTGGTCTAAGTCTTTTGACTCTAAGTCCCTTGGCCATAGGGGTCCTACAAAACAACATGATGAACTCAGGGCAGGTAGCCACACCACCCCAGCATCCATTTGGAATAAAATAAAACTTGACCACCAATACTGCCTCTGGCATATCTTTACCAAAAAAGAGGGAATATAAAATAAAGAATAAAATTATAAGACCATCACCAACTGAATGGAAACTTCCTTGGTCAAAGAAACCCCAGGAAAGGAAACCTTAAAAACGGTTTCCAACATGAAATGGGAGAATCAGACACTCCTCATTAAACTCCTTCCCTTTTATGGTTTAGACACAAGTGACCAGCACTAATGTTTACATAGAAATCATGAACTGATAGCAGACTCTCTGTGACAATAAGATACTGAATTAAAAACAGAACCTAAGGCTATACCAGGCAAGGGTCTCACGGCACACACCCCTACACTTAAAGAATATGCTATGTTCTAACTGTCACAAGGTTTTTATTTTTCTCTAGCAGCTAAACAAGCACTGGCCTTGCGATAAGCAGTATTAAAATAATTTGAAGTTCCCCCAGATGTTGACTGAACCCCAGCTCCTGTGTCACCAGCCATAACTACAACTTTGATTGAACAAGAGACTGGTTCCAGTAACTTTTTCCTGATACCACTGACCATGGATTAGTTCTGGCCAGTTTACAGAAATTATGTACTTGTGTGCTTTTGTGTCCTGAAAAGAACCTTTAACATATAGGGCCTAATTGTAATACAATTAAATGTTAAGTCTCTACCCCAAGGTGAACATGAGTGGTGTGTTACATGCATATTTGTCTAATATACGTGTGTCAGGACCACCTTAATAAATATTCATAGCTCTTCCTATAACCTGTTAAATACGTATGTTTAATCAACATATCATTATATTCTCACAGGAGACCCAAGTATAACTGATAGTGGGGAACAAACTTATTGACTTTCTTATTGACATGGAGGCCATATATTTTGTAGTTAATACCAGTCTATCCCAATTTTAAAAAGACGATGGTAGTTGCAGTAATGTCAGGAAAAGCTGTAACTCACCCCTTCCTGCAAACTTTAAATTGTATTTTGGAGACCATAATGGTGGAAAAAGCTAAAACGATAAACTGTACTCTTAAAAAAAATCCCTATATATGTCAAAAAAACTAATTTGACTCAACACAAGGTACTGACAGTTGCCCTGTTGTAAATCAAAATGGCTCCCCAAAATAGGCACAAATTGACTCTCTTTAAAGTTATATGGCTGGTTATTCCAAGTTTCCACACTGGGAGGAGAATCTACTAATACTTTAAGAAATCTAGCAATAGTAAAATATATTAAGGCTCTAAGGACTAAATTAATTTCTCTTCGTAAGTTGCTTCTAGCAGGACCACTCAACCCACAGATGTGGCCCAACATCTTTTTCAACTGGGAGATCAATTCCTAAAAACCTGAAAACAAACAAGATCCTGAACATCAACTCACTGCCTGGCCAAATGTTTTCATATCTATGTCCCCAGTGGAGCCCCCATTCAGCAGGAAGTAGCCAGAATAGACTTGCTCCATTTCCATAGAAATGGATTTAAAAATTGGCAGTGAGGAATTTGTAACCGAAGCAGTCACTCCATTTTAGAATAACCATTCTTTCTCTTCCAATGCCTAATCTTTGTGCTTGCTTAAAAACTTCAGGAAGGAGCCCTGAGATAAAACCAAAATTTCAAAATGCCTTCTCAAAATACAAAGTTGAGCATTAATCTACAATCCTCTTATAGTCTAGCTGAGACCAACCAGACCACCAGATGGCCCACTACTCAAGATAATCATCAGAACAAGACATGTTGACCTGCACATAGTTTCCCAAGGTGCTTCCTTTTTAAAATCCCTTCAGCCAACCCGAGGAACCAAGATAGCTTTCGTCACACTAGTCGGACAACTTCTCGGGTTGCCAGCTTCTTGAATAAACCTGCTTTTCCGCCCACCAACTTTTGTTTCTTGAGTTCACTTTTGAACAACAAGCAGCTAAATCTGGGTTCTGTTACAATACTTTGGCCAAAACATACGACTCAGCCATATAGACCAAAATTAATTGAGAGGAAGTATCTGGAACATTACATGCCCTCAATAAATGGGTTCTATTTGCTAGGAGAGTTAACACTTTTTTAGTCTTCTGGAATAAGACAATCAAATTAGCAAGGAAGATGTTTGTTTTTATTTGTACATATCTTGGGTAGTCCAAAAGCTATATTTCCATATGTAACATTAATCAAGACATAGCACATTTTATTTCCTTGGTGACCACTACCAGGATAGCTTAAGATTATGTAACTGATCTCTATATCCAATTTTCAAAAGTGAGTGGCTTTCAGACTTAATTATTTTATCCTACTTCTCTCCTTGTCAATGTGAATTTGAATATGCATTTAAAGTATTATACATCTTAAGGACTCTCCATTATCTCCCTCACTCCAGTCCCAAGTTGATCACACCCAAATGTACATCTGAGAATTCTAAAGCACTAAACCACACGTAGTTTTTTCACAGCAGGTTGCTATATGACTCCTTTTGTTTGTAGTTTCCTCTATCTGAATTTTATTCCTCTGTGCTCCACATTTCTATCCACTTTTTCTCCACTACTTGAAAATCTTTTCTTTCAAAACTCAAGAATCATGTTACCACTTGTCCCACCCCAATCTCACAAAAAAAAACTCCTGTGGCTTTCACTGACCCTCCACCATCTCTGCAATCCCTGTGTAATTCTATCTAAGGTTCCTACCAAATAAGTTAAATGTCTGCCCATGTGTAGTTTAGCCTCCTCTTATGTGCTATAAGATCATGAGTCTTAATGAATGCACTTCAAAATTAATTGGAGAAGTTTTAAAATTAAGCTAGTCACTATCTTCTGTGGTAGAGCTCAAAGTAGTTTCCAAGCTCCCCGGCTGATTCTAATGTACAGACAGGGTGGAGAACCACTGCTATTAGGACCTCTGGTGTGGAAACATGTTTTATTTGTCTTTGAAATTTTAGTTCCTGATAAAGTGCCCAACACAGAGTAAGATATGAAAAGGATACAATATTAGCCCATCACATTTTATTAATCAAAGTGAAATGACTTCAAAAGTGTATTTTAAACTTCTAACGCTTCAAAACACTGAAAATTAATCAGCTATGTTTCATCAAATAATTCAGTTGCTTAGTTGAAAAAATCTTTCCAAGGGTTATTAAATAACGATCCATACAAGCCAATCTATGCATAAAACATTGTATGAAAATATGAATATTTATCCTTGTATGTGTATATTGCTCTATGGATAACCAGTTACACATAAAACTAGCCATGCACACACATAGACACACACACTGGAAAATCTAGATTGTGTACAACATTCTGATCTTTAGGTTTTCAATAAGCGGGGCTGGGGGGGCTAGGGGGAGCTATAATAGTTTCCAGAAATTAAATAAGACTGCTGTGAAACATAATTTAAAAGAGTCTGATAGAAACTAAGTAGATATTAAAGCATGCCGTCATAACGGGATTAGTTACATTTTTCCATCACATTGTTAAAATAAAAATAGGAGAGAAGAGGGATGGTAGGAAACAAATACAAAATAAAGTAAATCTTATCTTGAATTTAAAGCTAAAGATTAGCACTGCAGGTAGACAAAGATTTTACTAAAGAAAACATTAACAGAAAGCTTGGATTTCTATTGCCTGACACTGGTGCTGAAAAGAAAAATACATATGGATAGACTGATGGATTGATAGCTTTATTTCACACAGAAAACAGGACTCCAGAAATAGTTTCTAATTCAAAAGAATAGGAAAGTATTTCGTTTTGTTTCTGTTATTGCTGTCAGCACCCATCTCAAAACTGTCTGAATAATAGAGATTGTTTTAAAATGCCTTGTGTTATAAAGAAAGCATTCAGCAACCTTATCTGAAATAATTCGAAATGTAGAACCATTCATTGCCCTTATCTAAAAGAATCTAAAGTATAGAATACCTTATAAAAGTTAATTTATCACATTAGATAAAATACTTCATTTTAGGAAAAAAAGTCTAAATATTATTGAGAACTCAATAAAAATAATGTGGTAACTGTGTCAGCAGTTTGTGAAATAATCTAAGAATCATGTATCTGAATCCTCCTTTTAAAAAGGCAGGACTGTTTGTCCTCACCCATGTCTTACTAATGACATCTTGTGATGTGTTAGAAAGACACATTCTGCCATTTTTAAAAAGTTCTCACAATGCAGCCTTTCAACATTAAGAATGGGAGAACAGCTTTGACTCGTTAATGGCTAGGACATTTTTACAACTGCAGTACAATTTTCTAGGAACAGAGCATTTGAAAGCGTTTTTAATACCAGATATGCACCTCCCATTTTTCAGTAGTGTGGGGATATTTGAGCGTGAGACATCAAAAATAAAAAATGCTCCAGAGTTCAGTAGGGAAGGAAGACTACATTGAAGACTGTTGCAGGAGGGGAAAGAGATTGAACTCAACTCCACAGAAACAATTAGAGGATTTTTAAGCATTAGGGTGAGCAAGTGGAAAATTACTGGAGGATGTGATGGGGGCGATTGGCCAAGGTGACTAGGCTATCTATGTTTGCTAATTGTTACTTATCTATTTTAGGGTTCTATGCTGCCACAGAAACTGGGAGATAGAGGCTCTTTCTTTTTGGTGATTACATTTTAAAGTGGCAACTCCCACTTCCTTGAGAAAGAAGATCTTGGGTCATGAAATTGGCAGGGGGCTTAAATAAGAGTCACATGTCAAAGAGACAGAAAAATATATATATACAATGGAAAGTTCTGTAATGTAAATATTCTTTAAAAAGGGAGGTCAGGAGCCTAGAGTCATGAAGAAATCTGTCTGAAGTTTGATCAAGCTGAGGGAAACATTTAGACAGATTTTGTATGACATAAAGCAACAAGATTAGCTCTCAGGATATCAAAAGGCTCACAAGGATGAGGACCAAAAATAGTATTTCTATAGTGCAGCCACTAAGTGTGGGAAAGTGCCTGGATTCAAATCTAAGCTTTGCCATTAACTGGCTATGTAATTTTATCATTCTAAAACGTAAGCAAAAACAAAATAATTACAGGCAGATGTCAGCATTTCTGAGTAAGAAATTTGTTATATTGTATAAATTGTCTTAATACATCATCCAGACGCTGGATAATTAAACTTCAGGCCCTAATGTGGGAAGACTTTGAAAAGAGTCATTAAAAGGAAAAATGTTTTCCATAGCGAAATAAGTATTTGATGCATTTGGCAGAGGATAGCCAGTGGAAAGAAAGAAGAAAAGAAGTAAACTTAGAGAAATATTGTGAGAAGGACCAGATCCCTGATAGGAGCATGGAATCTAAAAAGAACAGTAGTCTGTGAAAAATTGGTGGTGGCATGGAGGGAAAAAAGACTTTGAGAACAAGTATGTCTATCACTCAGTTTTAAATTGTTTGCAATTTTTTTTTTAATTATTAAATTTTGGGGTTTTGTTGGTACGTAGTCTATATATTTATGGGGTACATAGGATATTTTGATAGAGGTATGCAATGCATTATAATCACTTAATGGAAAATTGGGTATTCATCCCCTCAAGCATTTATTCTTTGTGTTTCAAACAATCCAATTGTATTAGTTCATTCTCACGGTGCTGATCAAACCATAACTGAGATTGGGTAATTTATAAAGACAAGGAGGTTTAATGGACTCACAGTTCCACGTGCTGGGGAGGCCCCACAATCATGGCAGAAGAAAAAAGTCATGTCTTACATGGAGGCAGGGAAGAGATAATGAGAGCCAAATGAAAAGGGAAGCCCCTTATAAAACCATCAGATCTTATGAAACTTATTCACTACCATGAGAACAGTATGGAGAAAACCACCCTATGATTCAATTATATTCCACCAGGTCCCTCCCACAATATGAGGGAATTGTGGGAGGCTACAATTCAAGATGAGATTTGGGTGGAAACACAGCCAAACCATATCATTCCTCCCCTTGCACCTCCCAAATCTCATGTCCTCACATTTTAAAACCAATCATGCCTTCCCAACAGTCCCCCAAAGTCTTAACTCATTTCAGCATTAACTTGTAAGTCCACAGTCCAATGTCTCATTTTGTCTATGAGTCTGTAAAATCAAAAGCAAGTTAGTTACTTCCTAGATACAATGGGGGTATAGCAATTGGGTAAATACAGCCATTCCAAATGGATGCAATTAGCCAAAATGCAGGGGGCTACAAGCACCACGCAAGTCTGAAATCCAGTGGGACAGTCAAATCTTAAAGCTCCAAAATTTTCTCCTTTGACTCCTGTCTCACATCCAAGTCACACTGATGCATGAGGTGGGTTCCCGTGGTCTTGAAGAGCTCTATCCCTATGGCTTTGCAGGATATAGCCTCCCTCCCAGCTGCTTTCACAGACTGGCATTGAGTGTCTGCAGCTTTTCCAGGTGCACAAAGCAAGCTGTCAATGCATCTACAATTCTGGGGTCTGGAGGATGGTGGCCCTCTTCTAACAGCTACACAAGGCAGTGCCCCAGTAAGGACTCTGTGTGTGGGCTCCGACTCCACATTTCCCTTCTGAATTGCCCTAGCAGCGGTTTGCCATGAGAGCCCCACTCCTGCAGCAAAATTCTGCCTGGACATTCTCTGAAATCTAGGTGGAGGTTCCCAAACCTCAATTCTTGACTTCTGTGCACCCACAGGCTCAACACCATGTGAAAGCTGCCAAGGAGGGTTTGTACCCTCAGAAGCCATGGCTTGGGCTGTATCTTGGCCCCTTTTAGCCACAGATGAGACATGGGACACCAAGACCAGAGACTGCACAAAGCAGGGGTCCCTGGGCCCAGTCCATGAATCCAATTTTCCCTTTTAGGCATCCAGGAGTGTGATGGGAGGGGCTACCACAAAAGTTTCAGACATGTCCTGGAGAGATTTTCCCCATTGTCTTGGTAACTAACAGTTGTCTTCTCATTACCTATGCAAATTTCTGCAGCTAGCTTGAGTTTCTCCTCAGAAAATGGGTTTTTCTTTTCTATCACTTTATCAGGTTGAAATTTTCTGAACTTTTATGTCCTGTTTATTTTTCAGAACTGAATGCTTTTAACAGCATCCAAATCACCTCTTGAATGCTTTGCTACTTAGAAATTTCTTCCACCAGATACCCTAAATTATCTCCCTCAAGTTTACAGTTTCACAAATCTCTAGGGCAGGGGCAAAATGCCACCAGTCTCTTTGCTAAAACAAAGCAAGAGTTGCCCTTACTCCAGTTCCCAGCAAGTTCCTCATCTCCATCTGAGACCACCTCAACCCAAACTTAATTGTCCATATCCCTATCAGCATTTTGATCAAAACCATTCAAGAAGTCTCCGGGAAATTCCAAATCTTCCCACAACTTCCTGTCTTTTTCTGAGACCTTCAAACTGTTACCTCTGCCTGTTACCCAGTTCCAAAGTTGCTTCCATATTTTCAGGTATCTTTACAGGAGTGCCCTACTCCTGGTACCAATTTACGGTATTAGTCCATTTTCACCCTACTGATAAAGACATATCCAAGACTTTATAATTTATAAAGACAAGGAGATTTAATTGCCTTACAGTTCCATGTGGCTACAGAGGCCTCACAATCATGGCAGAAGGCAAAAGGCACATCTTACTTACATGGCAGCAGGCAAGAGAGAATGAGAGCCAAGTGAAAGGGGAAACCTCTTAATAAACCATCATATCACATGAGACTTATTCATTACCATGATAACAGTATGGGGGAACCACCCCCATCATTCAGTTATCTTGCACCAGGTCCCTCCCATGACATTTGGGAATTATGAGAGGTTCAATTCAAGATGAGATTTGGGTGGGGACACAGCCAAACCATATCACCAATCATTCTGTTCTAGCTATTTTTAAATGTACAACTAAATTATTATTGATAATATTCACTCTGTTGTGCTATCAAATAGTAGGTGTTATTTATTCATTGTAACCACTTTTTTTGTACCCATTAACCATTCCCAATTTCTGGGTAGTATGGACATTTTAACAATATTGATTTTTCTTTTTTTTTTTTTTATGGACTATGATAACAATTTTATTGTGAACATTTCTTTTTTTTATTTTTTTTATTTTTTTTTAATTTTTTTAATTTTTTTTTTTTTTATTGATCATTCTTGGGTGTTTCTCGCAGAGGGGGATTTGGCAGGGTCATAGGACAATAGTGGAGGGAAGGTCAGCAGATAAACAAGTGAACAAAGGTCTCTGGTTTTCCTAGGCAGAGGACCCTGCGGCCTTCCGCAGTGTTTGTGTCCCTGGGTACTTAAGATTAGGGAGTGCATGTTGATTTTGTATTCTGCAACTTTACTGAATTTGTGTATCAGTTCTAATAGTTTTTGGTGAAGTCTTTATGTTACTCCAAATGTAAGATTATATAATCTGCAAACAAGCATAATTTGACTTATTCCTTTCCAAGATGGATGCCCTTTATATCTTTCTTTTGTCTGATCACTCTAGTTAGGACTTCCAGTACTATGTTGAATAACAGTTGTGAAAATAGGCATCCTTGTCGTGTTCCAGATGTAAGTGGAAGGGCTTTCATTTTTTCCCCATTCAGTATGATACTAGTTGTTTGTCTGTCATATGTGGCTTTTATTATGTTTAGGTATGTTCCTTCTATAACCAGTTTTTTGAAAGTTTTATGAAGAGGTATTGAACTACAAAAGATTTTTTTAGCATCAGTTGAAATGATAATATGGTTTTTAATGTTCCTTTTGTTGATATGATGCATTGCATTGATTGATTTTTGTATGTTCAACCATCCTTGCATCCCAGTGGTATCACACTTGGTCATGATGAATGGTCTTTTTACTGTATTGTTGAAATTGGTTTGATAATATTTTGTTGGGGATTTTTGCATCAATATTTATCAGAGATACTAGCCTGTAGTTTTCTTTGTTTTATATATCTGTCTGATTTTGGTATCAGGGAAATATTGGCCTCATAGAATCAGTTTGGAAGTAATCAATTTTTTTGAACCATCTGAGTACGATTAGTGTTATTTCTTCTTTAAATGTTTGGTAGATTTCAGCAGTGAAGTCATCAGGTCCTGGGCTTTTCTTTACTGGCTCATGTTTCAAATTTCTTTCTGGTTCAATCTTGGTTGGTTGTACGTGTCTAGAAATTTATTCTTTTCTTCTAAATTTTCTTATTTATTGACATATACTTGTTCATAGTAGCCATAAATGTACTTTGATTTTCTGTGATCTCAGTTGTAATGTCTCCTTTCTCTTTCTCAATTTTATTCATTTGGGTGTTCTCTCTTTTTTTTAGACTGGCTAAAGGTTGGTCAATTGTGTTTATCTTTTCAAAATAAACAACTTTTTGTTTCATTACTTGTTTTGTATTTTCTTTATTTCAAATTTACATATTTCTTCTTTGCTCATTATTATTTATTATCTTCTACTAATTTTGGGTGTGTTTTACTCTTGCTTTTGTAGTTCCTTATGTTGGATCATTAGGTTGTTTATTTGGTATTTTTCTACTTTATTTATGTAGGCACTTATAGCTATAAACTTACCTCTTAGTACTTGTTTTGCTCTATCCCATAGGAGTTGGTATGTTGTGTTTCCAATATCATTTACTACAAGAAATTTTCCTTTTTATTTCTTCATTGACCAACTGGTCATTTGCATGTTCTTTAATTACTATGTGTTTGTATAGTTTTCAAAATTTCTCTTATTAATTTCTAGGTTTTCCTGTGGTCAGAGAAGATGCTTGATACTACTTTAATTTTTTGAATGTTTTAATACTTGTTTTGTGACCTAACATATGATCTACCCTTGAGAATTATCTATATGCTGAGGAAAATAATGTGTATTACACAGCCATTGGATGAAATATTCTGTAACTATCTCTTAGGTACATTTGTTATATAATTTACTCTGAAGCTTCTTTGCTATTTTTTTTGTCTGGGAGATTTGTCCCATGCTGAAAGTGGGGGGTTGAAGTCCCCAGCTATTATTGTATTGGGATCTATCTCTCTCTTTAGGTCTAATAGTATTTACTCTATATATATATCTGGGTGCTCCGTGTTGGGTGCATATATATTCATAACTATATTATACTCTTGCTGAATTAATCCCTTTATCATTATATAATGATCTTCTTTGTCTCATAATTTTGTCTTGAAATCCATTTTGAAATAAATATAGCTACTCCTTCTCATTTTTGGTGTCCATTGGCATTATCATGGGATCCTTGGGGTGTTGCTTCACCAGCTGCCAATCTCTGTGTCCAGCCGCACCTTCTGTTTGAGTATCTCTTGTGCTTTCTTGACTCATTCTGCCACTTGGCCTGGTAGGCTGCACTTGACTTGCTCTACTGGCTTGGATGCCACACCTGCCAAGAGCATGCCAGGCAAGCAAGGGGTATGTGGGCAAGCGAGCACAGGATCTGACCACAGCACAGAGCCAGGCACTGGTGGCTATGGTGGGATGGGCAGCTCCAAGCACCAGCACAGGTTCCGGCTCTGTGTGAGGCTGTGGCTGGACCACATGTACTGCACACAGCTTGCACTGCAGGCACCTATGTCTAGACAAGGGGAACACAGTGGCACTTGGAAGCTTGGAGATGCCAGGAACTGTAGAGCCCCAAAGACGCTGTCACAGCCTGGCTCGGGCAATCTGTAGATCTGGGCTCCCTGAAAAACTGCAGCTCTTCTCTCCTTCTCATCCACAACATGGTGAGTGGGTTGGGGGAGTGTGTTTCAGCTGTGTTTGTGTTACACCTCTTTCAGTTCTGCCATTCAGTGGGTCCCAAGTTCTTGTACCACATCCAGGAAGAATTAGGTATACGAACAACTGGAGGGTGAGCAACGCAGAGAGGAGCTTCACTGAGCAACAAAATAGCTCTCAGGAGGCCCAAACCGGGTAGCTCCTTTCTATAGGTAGGTCATCCCAACAAGTTGAGGTGGCCCTGGAGTGGGTAGCTCCTCTCTGCAGCTGGTCTTCCTGACATCTTTTTCAAGTCTTGCTTAGTCTTGGATTTTTAATGGGCTCAGAAGAAAGGAAATACCTGCTGATTGGTCCATGAGCAGCCATGGATGGACCCAGAAGAAGCACCACAAGTTCTCACTGTGGGCCATGGATTTCACTTGGAACTGGTAGCCTGGCCTCCAGGCTTCAGGCTATCCCAGGCTTGAAAGTGGGGCTTCATTGGGGACCCACTCCTTTCCACTCAGGAACTTGTCTGCCTCCTCTCCTGATGCCATCAACATGCTTTCCATGGCACCCAGGCTGTTTGTCCAAAGAAATGCCAGCAGGCTGGCACCAAGACACCCTCAGCCCCCTTCAGCCTCCCTCCCATGCTCTTCAGCACCCAAATTCCAGAGGGAGTCAAGGCGGCAGGGGGCTGGTGTGTCAATGCTTCCCTAAGCATGGCACACTTGGCTGGTTTGTGACAGGGTCTGTGCTTCACCTCAACTTTGCTCCAGAATCAGAGCTGGTGCTGGGAGCAGGGAGAGGCCAGGCTGTGGAAGAAGGCACGTCTGAGCCCGTGGGGGCAGTGGAGCTTCCTGGAACTCCAAGAGCACAGAGATGCCTGAGTCCAGAGCCATGGCTGGGCAGCTGCAGCTGAGCCCATGAGTGCAGGGCTCCCACCCTGCCAATTTGGTCGGGGGCAGGGCTCCCACCTGTTCTTAGCTGCTGCCAGCTCCACAGAGGAGCCTGGCCATGCCTTCCCGACTGCAGCAGGCATCTTCACAGTGACTCCTCCAGACAGACTGCTGCTGCCATCAGCATGGAATGTCTTTTTCCATTCTTTTATTTTCAGTCTATGTGTATGTTTATAGATGGAGTGTGTGTCTCATATACAGTAGATCATTGGGTCTTGTTTTTCATCCTTCAGCCACTCCATATTGTTTCATTGGAGAATTTAGTCCATTTACCATTCAATGCTATTATTCATAAGCAGGGACTAACTCCTGCCATTTTATTATTTGTTTTCTGATTATTTTATGGTCTTCTCTTCCTTCTTTCCTTCCTTTCTGTCTTCTTTTTAGTGAAGGTGATTTTCCCTAGTAGTATGTTTTAATTTCTTACTGTTTATTTTTTGTGTATCTGTTGCATGTTTTTTGGATTTGAGGCTACCATGAGGTTTGCAAATGGAATCTTATAACCCATTATTTTAAACTGATATCACTTTAACACTGTTTGCATCAATGATCAAACACACACTCAAAGAAAACTAATAAAAAATTCTACACTTTAACTTTGTCCCCCACTGTTTAACCTTTTTGTTGCTCTTTATTTCTTATTGTACTGTCCATGTCTTAAAAAGTAGTTGTAGTTATTAGTTATTATTTGCATAGGTTCATTATTTAGTCTTTCTATTTAAGACAAAACTAGTTTACACTCCACAATTAAAGTGTTATACTAGTCTGTGTTTTTCTGTGTGCTTACTATTGCTAGTGAGTTTTATAACTTCAGATGATTTCTTCTTGCTCATTAACATCATTTTCTTTCAGATTGAAGAGCTCCCTTTAGCACTTCTTCTAGGAAAGTTCTAGTGTCAATAAAACCATCCCTCAGCTTCTATTTATCTAGGAAGGCCTTTATTTTGCTTTCATGTTTCAAGGATATTTTCACTGGATATACTATTCTAGGGTAAAATTTTGTTTCCTTCAGCACTTCAAATATGTCGTGCCACTCTCTCCTGGCCTGTAAGGTTTCCACTGAAAAAGCTTATGCCAGTCATATTGGAGCTGCATTGTATGTTATTTGTTTCTTTTCTCTTGCTGATTTTAGGATCCTTTATTTATCCTTCGTATTTGGGAATTTGAATGTCAAATGACTTGAGGTAGTATTTTTTGGGTTAAATCTGCTTAGTGTTCTATAATGTTCTTGCACTTGAATGTTGATATCATTCTCCAGGTTGGGAAGTTCTCTGATGTTTTTCTTTTGAATAAACTTTCTATCCCTGTCTCTTTCTCTACCTCGTTTTTAAGATGAATAACTCTTAGATTTGACCTTTTGATGCTGTTTTCTAGATCTTGTAAGCAGGCTTCGTTTTATAATTTTTTTCTTTTGTCTCTTCTGACTATGCATTTTCAAATAGTCCTTCTTTAATTTCACTAATTCTTTCTTCTGCTTGATCAGTTTTGCTATTAAGAGACTCTGATGCATTCTTCAGAATGTTAATTGCATTTTTCAACTCTAGAATTTCTGCCAGATTCTTTTATTTCAATCTATTTGTTAAATTTATTTGATAGGATTCTTAATTCCTTCTCTGTGTTATCTTGAATTTCTTTGAATTTCCTCTACACATCTATTTTGAATTCTCTGTCTGAAAGATCATGTATCTCTGTTTCTCCAGGATTGGTTCCTGGTGCCTTATTTAGTTCATTTGGTGAGGACATTTACTGAGTGGTGTTCATGCTTATATATTTTCATCAGTGTCTGGGCACTGAAGAGATACATATGTTTTGTAGCCTGGGCTTGTTTGGGGTTGTCTTTCTTGGGAAGGTTTTCCAAGTATTCAAAGGAACTTGGGCCCTAAGCCCAATAATGCTGTGGTTTTTGCAGACTCATAGTACTGCCTTGGTGGTTTGGGATAAGACTTGGAAGAATTCTCTGGATTACCAGGCAGAGACGCTTTTCCTTTCTCTCTCTCTCTCTCTGAGTGAGTGTGTGTGTGTGTGTGTGTGTGTGTGTGTGTGTGTATAGCCACCTGGAACTGGGCGTATAGTAATGCAAGCACCCCTGTGACCATCACCAGTGGGAATGCACTGGGTCCATACTGGGTCAGCCTTGAAGCCAGCACAGCACTGGGTCTTGCCCTGGCACTTCTGTTGAGGGCAGCGAGCTCCCATAAGCCTCAGACATGTCCAGAGATGCTATCTGGGACCTAGAGACTGGAGTCAAAAGCCTTGGCAATTTACCTGATGTTCTATTCTACTGTGGCCAAGCTGTCACTCATACCACAATACAAAGTCCTTCCTGCTCTTCCTTTCCCTTTCCGCAGGCAAAGGATCCTCTCCTTGTGGTCACTACCACCCCTGGTCCACAGGGGGCTCTTTCAGGACACCACTGATGTTTACTTAAAGCCCAAGGGCTCTTCTGTCAGCCTGTGGTGAATGTTGCTAGGCCTGCGACTCACCCTTCAGGGCAGAGTGTTCCCCTCTGGCCCATGACAGGTCTAAAAATGCTGTGCAGGAGCCTAGGCCTGGACTTGGAAGCCCCAAGAGCTTGCTGGGTGCTCTATCCCTGTGGCTTGGTTAGTACCCGATTTTTGGGTTTTGTGCTAGTTCTTTTCTGTGTGCAGATAGTTGCTAAAATTTGGTATCCCAGAGGGGAATCAACAACGTAGACTTGTATTCTATCATCTTTCTCTGCCCACCTATTTGCGATTCTTGTAAAAAGTCTCTCTTTAGCCTCCCTCTGGCACCCTCAGAAAAACTGGCTACACACAACTGCCTTGTATGGGGGTTGCTTCAAGGAAATAAGTAAGGTGAAGGTAAAAAGCAGTCATCTTTTGTGAGAAAAAAAAGAGACAGGAAATTTAGTATAAACAGGAATTGAGAAGTACAAGAGGCCTCTCCCTGACAGCCACCCCATTCCCACCCTTTTCAGAAATACTAGAGGATAAGAAATATAAAATTTTCCCAGGCAGTAAAACTTAATATTACCTGAAAGGCAAAACTGAAAAGATACACAGGCAGTTGAAACTAGGTTATATGAATATAATAGCAGTAATCTACCAGATAGGATTAATGTAAACATTTAACAAGATTAGTGAATGTGCCTGGTTTCCGGTAATGTTAACCTATTATTGTTATTATTAGTTATTCTAAGTGTGGAATTAGGAAGAAGTACCAGGATCTATTAATGAGGTAGTTAGTAAAGATTGTAAATATAAGTCCCTCAAGTAAAATCAGAAAGGTTTTTTTGTACATTTCTATGAATAAATTGTCAGTAAGATTTGAATCCCAATAGTACACAATGACTAATATGCTAAAACTTTTGTAGATACAAATGCAGAATTCAGTGTCTACCACAGCAAGTATATGTCAAGAGTAGATTCTTTACTCCCAGTTTTTGAGCAGTTATCATAAGCATAAACATACATTGCAATCAACCTTTATAATTATTTATGTGTGTATACATACATATGTGTATATGTACACAGTAATTTCTGTATATGTATATAGAGCTCGGATTCATGTTCTAGTCCTTGCTTTTGAATATTTTAACTATATTGTTAGGAGATTTTTATCAGCCTACAAAATAAGTAGAGTTTATTGACTTCTTCATAATAGGTCTTATGGTTACATATATACACAATTTTGCATTTAATGGGCAGAAATAACACCTAATCTCAGATGTTGCAGGAAGTCAGGGACCTCAAATGGAGAGACTGGCTGGAGCCGTGGCAGAGGAACATAAATTGTGAAGATTTCATTTTGATATGGACATATATCAGTTCCCAAAATTAATACTTTTTAAATTTCTTACGCCTGTCTTTATTGCAGTCTCTGAACATAAATTGTGAAGATTTCATTTTAATATGGACATTTATCAATTCCCAAAATTAATACTTTTATGATTTCTTATGCCTGTCTTTAATCTCTTAATCCTGTTATCTTTGTAAGCTGAGAATGTATGTCACCTCAGGACCACTATTGTGTAAAAATTGATTGTAAAACATGCGTTTGAACAATATGAAATCAGTGCACCTTGAAAAAGAACAGAATAACAGCCATTTTCAGGGAACAAGGGAAGACAACCATAAGATCTGACTGTCTGCAGGGTCAGGCAGAATAGAGCCATATTTTTCTTCTTGCAGAGAGCCTATAAACAGACATGCGAGTAGGGAAGATATTGCTGAATTCTTTTCCTAGCAAGGAATATTAATAATTAAGACCCTGGGAAAGGAATGCATTCCTGGGGGGAGGTCTATAAATGACCACTCTGGGAATGTCTGTCTTATGTGGTTGAGATAAGGACTGAAATTCGCCCTGGTATCCTGCAGTACCCTCAGGCTTATTTGGGTGGGGAAGAAACCACCCTCGTAAATTTGAGGTCAGACTGGTTCTCTGCTTTTGAACCCTGTTTTCTGTTGTTTAGGATGTTTATCAAGACAATACGTGCACAGCTGAGCATATATCCTTATCAGGAGTTTTTTATTTTGCCCTTTGCCTTGCGATCTTTGCTTTGCCCTTTGCCTTGTGATCTTTATTGGCCTCAGAAGCATGTGATCTTTGTTCTCCTTTTTGTCCTTTGAAGCATGTGATCTTGTGAAATACTGCCTGTTCTTGCACCCCCTCCCCTTTTGAAATCCTCAATAAAAACCTGCTGGCTTTGCAGCTCAGGTGGGCATCACAGTTCTACCGATATGTGATGTTACCCCTGGAGGCCCAGCTGTAAAATTCCTCTCCTTGTACTCTTTCTCTTTGTTTCCCAGCCGGCCTACACTTATGGAAAATAGAAAGAACCTATGTTGAAATATTGGGGGCTTGATCCCCCGGCACTCAATTAATTTGCAATCTAGTGGCAAAGACTATCAAACAAATGAGCAAAAATAACACATGCTGTCTTTTGGAAAGTATGTATTTGTTTACCTCTAAGTTTTAGAGGTAACATAAACTACCTCCAGATTTTCTTTCAAGGAAACATAAATTCATATACAATTGCTGCTGATCCCACCTTCTTGAGAAACTCAGTTTGAGACTTCCTGGATCTTAAGAAAAACACCTCATTTAAAGACAGAATTCTGGTGAACAATTTGGACACTTTGCAGGCCATACAAATCAGTATAAAAGCCATCATTTCATCACATAAAATTTACTGTCATGATCAATCAAAAGGCAACCATCTCAGAAAAGATGAGGTGTCATTTCCATAAAGGTTTCTGTCATTCAAAAAATGAGTATGCACTTGTTGACTTTATCTGATAGATTGTTCTATAAAATTTCTACATAGATACTAGTAGGTTCTGCCTTGCCTAACTCTAGTAATTCCAATTTAAAGATATTCGTCTAACAAAATGAACACAAGAAGGTCAGTATCTAAATACAGTGTTCACTGAAGACAAGACCTATTCTTACTACAATTTGTGCTATATATTTGTACTTATCTCAAGTTTCTTTATATAGAAAGCCTTAACTATTAATTTCTGTGATAGGAAACATATACAAATGATAAGCTAGAAAGTAATTATCTTGCATATAACAACAATATAGATATTTTGTCTGTCTTATTTTATACGTATATATATTACCATGTGGTGAAAGTCTACATTTGTTCAAGATGTCATTAAAAGTTTTCCTTTCTTCATTATGTCCTCCAACTATTCATCAGCCTTTGAGGAAAGAATGTGCTTTAGGCTTAACAGCAATGGAGTTAAAAACAGAATATGCTAAAGAAAGTTAATATAGTAACACATGAAAGCCAGAAGCTCCAATAAAATAACTATCTTTTTCTGAAAAGAAAAGGGGAAAATAATTCAAGGGAAGACAAGTAGGAAAGAGGAATTGTGAGTTTAAGATTAAAAATGAAATGCATCATGCATATAAATGTTTGGATCAGAAAACAGAATGGCAAGACTCCTGAATGTTTAATCTTCAGAAGCAGCAAAAAGAAAATTAAAAGTTAAAAGGAAAAAAAAAAGACTGTTTGTTTTTGATCAAACCCTCATCTAAATAATTTGATGGATATGTTTTCCAGATTCAGGTTTTCTGGGGACACAATCTGTTAAGAGTCTTGTTAGACCTCACTCTGATGACCTCCATCTATGGCTCTGTTGCTCCTAGAATGTGAAACCATGAATGTTAGTGTCACTATTAGGCCAGAAATTGGTGACCCTTGAGTTCTTGCCCAAGGAATTCTTAAATTGCACTGCTCTTTTGACTTCACCTCTTGCATAGTTGGTGTTGGTCAAGGCCCTAATCAGAGATTCTAAACAACAAGTAGAATGCTTCATTATCTAAAGTTTTATTGAATTTTCTCTGTTGGTAGAATAATCATTCTATTTTTATTCCAAAAATAATTATTAAGCATCTCCTGTATACTAGGTTCTCTAAGGAGAAGAATACACAAATGAAAAAGATATGCAGTCTGAATGCAAGCTACATTCAGCGAGCTTATTTCTCCTTTGCTTTCTCTCTTTGGGTTTCACAATGAGTAAAATATTTGAACTGCTTCCATTTATTCAATAAATAATTATTCACCACGTACTGTTTTGTCAAGTACTATGCTAGAATCTGGAAATACAATATTAAGTAGATTAATATGAAATTTCTGGTAATATACGGAATTTAAGAACTGAGCTTTAAGGAGCTAACAAGCTAAAGATGCTACAAGAAAGCAAATAATATTTACAAGATTGTGGCACGTATTGTATTAGAGTAAGTACAGAGTGTTTTAGGAAAATTAGAGGGGAACATAATTCAGATGGAGATGAGTAAGGTGTCAGGAAATATTTCTCAAACTAGGTTCAGAAATATAAGTAAGAGGCCAGGCATGGTGGCTCACGGCCTGTAATCTCAGCACTTTGGGAGGCAGAGGCAGGCAGATCATGAGGTCAAGGAATCGAGACCATCCTGGCCAACATGGTGAAACCCCATCTCTACAAAAAATACAAAATTTAGCTGGATGTGGCGACACACACCTGTAGTCCCAGCTACTTGGGAGGCTGAGGCAGGAGAATCATTTGAACGCAGGAGGCAGAGGTTGCGGTGAGCCGAGATTGCACTCCAGCCTGGCAACAGAGCAAGACTACATCTCAAAAAAAATAAATAAATAAATAAATATATATATATATATATATATATATGTAAGAAAAGTGTCCTTAGCAGAAGGAATAGCAAATGCAAATATCTGGAGGCAAGTAAGAACATGAACAATGTGACTCAAAAAGATAAGTTTGTACTGAAGAGATGAGCAGGGACTATACCAGGCAGAACATTGCCTTATATTATAGTTTGTGTTGAGATGTGTGGACTTTATCCAAAGAACAATGGGGAAATATTTAAGCAAAGGAGTAATAAAATAATAATTATAGCTTAGAAATTACTACATTAAAAATGTATGATAGACAGCTAAATTAACTCACTCAACAAACATTTATTGAACTCCAACTGTGTGCCAGGCATTGTGACTCAAGAACTGAGATAAGAGCTATTAAAGAGCTCTTAGTCTACTAAGTCCCCTGCTATTAAAGAGCACTTAGTCTACTAAGGGAGCTGAGGGGAGGGAAAATAGTTAATTACAAGGCAGTATAAGACACAGGTTTTTCTGGGAGGTCCCTAACCTACTCTGGAATTCAGCGATGTCTTTCTAAGGAATATAGTACTTGAACAATGTGCGATATTAGTCTCAAGAAATAGGGGAGAGTGGTAGTAGAAGCAGCATTAACTAGGCCCTGAGCTAAAAGGTCATATGGTTTTAAAATAAGTTATTGCTGGAAAAATTTTAAGAAATTTTGCAGCAATGTTGGATTTGAAAAATTGAGTGTTGAGGAAAAGTATTCCAAATTAATGTAAACTTATTAACATGAAACAGAAATACAGAGGACATATTAAAAGAAGAATGAATCCACTTTGGCTTTGGCTGGAGTGTAGAATTGATAAGACAGCAAAGAGAGAAGTGAAGTTTTACAGGTGGGTTGGGCCATTTAGGAAATAATACATTTATAATAATTGCAGATTCTATGCTCAAGATTAAGGGGAGAAATCATTAGAGTCTGTTTTGTAAAGGAGAAAAAATCATATTTTCACCCGTAATATAGGTAAAAGACTCACTGAAAGCAGAAAAGCCTGTTAGCAGCTTGTTAAAAGGATACCCTAGTAGTCCAAAATATTCTCAACTCAGGCAGTGGCAGCTGGGATGAAAGGAAGAGAATGCTTCTTGGAGGTTTAAAGGCTTAATGATGTCTTTTCATAGCTTGATAGCTCGTTTCTTTTTAGTGCCGATTAACATTTCATTGTCTTGAATTTCCAACACTTTTGAGATCTTTTAGCTGAGAAAAACCTGGAGATGGTAAGATAGTTGTATCAAATTTTTAAAATTGCGTGTGTGTTTGTGTGGTGTGTCTGTGTTAAATTTTAGATTTCTTTAAGGATATTCATTTTAAAGTATTTATATTGCTTAATCTTAATATAACTTTATAAGATGGATGCTATTCTTTATGCTTTAAAAATTAGAAGTCTGAGCAAAAGAGTCCCTGAGTGAATTGGCCAAAATTAACAAGCCAGTATTTGAGGGAAAATGTCATGTGAACACATATGATCTGATTTTATAATCCACTCTCTTAGTCTAGACAGACTCAAAAGGAAAAAAAGGCAAATAGTTCCCTCTGCAATTCATTCTCCATATATGCACGTCTTTACAATGTTACTGAATATTAAGAAAAATTTTTAAGTAAAACTTTTCTCTCTTGCAAGATTTCTAACACTCTTTGCATTTCACTGCTTTATTTCATTATTTTTTCAAATGTTAAAGATTCATTATTATTTCAATAGCATTTTAATCTATGATAAAATATAATTAATATTGCAAATAATATACCAATGTACCATGCATTATTAAAATCATAAAAAAGAATATGAAAGTTTGAAATATGTATCTATAGAGTTCAAGTTCCAGAGAAATCAAAGTTAGTGCCTGAATGTAATTATGATTTCTTAAGATATAAAATCAAATGCGTTACTTTGTAGCCTGTAGAATGATGCTATTTTCTATGACAGTGAAACAGACATTCCTCTCTTTATTGGAACCCATATATAAAGCAAAAATTGAGCATTGACCCATAATGAGATTGAAATGTCAAGTATAGAAAAATAAATTAGATATGAAAAAATATTGTATATACACATGTAATTTGATAGCAATGCTTACATGCTATATAAAGCAAACATTCTTACTCAGAAACATCCATTTCTATGGCATTCATCACTCAGTCAAAAGGGTGCTTTTATTCCTTCATAATAGGTAATTTGCAGCTGAAATGGCTTTATTTAAGAAGAGGATTTCTAAAGGAAAATGTACCCACATTTTGGAGACCCTTTAAAATTGCAAACTCATGGCTGAAAGCTGGAAATACAAGCTAGACTGTAGTGTGGGAAATAGAGAATATTCTGGGAAACAGTGCACAGACATGCAATTATTCAAATCGGCACATTACACTTGACATCAAATAGAATTAGAAAATATTCTTAATAGCAATTCTTAATTACCTAGCAAGTATCCTAAAGGTTTTGTTATGAAATCTTCCCAACAATAAAAAGTATATAAAAGCTATAGTTTAAGTGTGTGGTTTTGGGGGCAGTTTTCAGATATGCAATTCTTTCAAAGTTTAGAAACTACATGGATGTCAATGCTTATTGACACATTTGGCTCACAGATGAAGCTAAATTGCTGAACTACAATTAAAGTTTTACATTTATTCTCAGCCAAAAGTTAGGGACTTTTAAATAATTTTAAAATTCTATTGAATTTTAAATTCCAAAAAGTACTTTTTAAATACACCTAAGCAGCCCAAGCATGATAGGAACAGTAAAAATTGAGCTTTATGGAAAAATCTAGAAAAAATAATTGGTTCCTAAGTTATAGAGACATGTTTGTAACTGTCTATAACTTTTATAAATCATTACTTTGCTCCCACATACCTTCATGGTCTCAAGAACTTGCCTATATTACATTTCCCATTTTTTTTTCACATTACTTTCTGTGGAAAGATTTTCAAGATTATCACACTACAGCATCCTTTTGGAACTGCCCAAATATTCATACTATTTATTAGATTTTTTTTGGATAAGGAATCATTTATACAAGAATGAAAGAAGAATTCTAAGTTAGAAAATTCAAACATCAAATATATTGTCCTTCTTTGTTGTTGAACATATCTCCTGAGAACAAGAAACAGTGGCTTAGCCCCTGTAAATATAGGCTACAATTGCTATATGTTAAGGCCAATTTTGTGTTATTATTCTCCAAGGTGAAAGTTATTGTCTACTGTTTATATTAGGGGAAGAAGATAGGAAAGACCATGACTAATAATAGGAGTGAAATTTCTGATAAGTTTTGTGTCAATTAAAGAAAAAATAATGTCTTTTAAACTTCTCCTTGTTAAAATAGTTACTCCTTACAACCTAGTTTACATCTATTATTTTATTTAAATTAGAATTTTTTAAACACATATTTTGTTCATATAACCAGTGTGAATGTACCCCTAAAGTCAGTATGTAAATAGAGTCAGTGCTTATTCATTTCTTCAATTAATTATCTGAGGCCCCACACACCTTAGTAGCAGTATATTGAGTACTTCTATCCTTAGGCAACGCTGCAACAGCCCCAAGTACCAGGAGAGGTAGTATAGCTGTTATACCTAAGCCACAGGATGAGCCCTCATATCTGATGAGTGCAACCCACTCCTGCTTTTCCTGGAACTTGGTGTTGCTGTGGAAGCTTAAGGGGTGCAGACAGTGCTCCTCTAAGTTCCCTGTAAGAAACTTCCAGGCCTGTGCATGGGTCTGAACAAGTGAGGCATTAGAGGAGTGTGATTTATGTGGTCTTTTGTGACTGGCTTGTTTCAATTTTTGCAAAATTCATCCATGTTGAAGCATTCATCAGTGCTTCATTAAGTTTTCATTGCTGAATAATATTCCATTGTATAAACATGTCACATTTGTTTATCAATAGATGAGTTGTTTCTACTTTTTGACTATATGGAATAATGCTGCTTGAAAATTCATGTACAAGTTTTTTGGTTGTAGTATATTATCTTGTATCTTGAACTTGGAATTGCTGAATCAAATAGTTACTCCATGTTTAACTTTTTGAAGAATTGCCAGAAAATTTCCAAAGCAGCTGTATCTTTTACATTCCCACATTCAAGATGTGAGCGTCCTGGTTTCCCTACATTCTCACCAACGCTTATTATTGGATTTATTATTATTATTATTATTATTATTATAGTAATCATAGTGGGTCATAATTGGTATCTTTTTAAGGGTTTGATTTGCATTCCCAGATAACTAATTATCATAAGCACTTTTCATATGTGTGTTAGCTATTTGCATGTATTCTCTGTAGAAATGTCTATACAAATCCTATACCTATTAGTTGGGTTATTTGTGTTTTATTATTGAGTTGGAAAAGTTCTTTACATGTTTTTAATATATGCTGCTTATAAGATATATAATTTTCAAATAATTTTTCCCATTCTATAGTTACTTTGTATTTTCTTGAAGTGTCTTTAGAAGCACAGAACTCTTAAATTTGTATTAAGACAAATTTCTCTATTTTTGCTTTAGTTGTTTGTGCTTCTGGTTCTGTATCTAAGAAAGCTTTGCCTAATTCATGTCACAAAAATTGACTCGTGTTTTCTTCTTTTTTTTTTGACTCCTGTTTTCTTCTAAGTTATATAGTCTTAAGAATCTTAAGCTCTTACTTGTAGACGCTGATTTATTTTTGTATAATTTTTGTTCACACTGAGAAAGGTCCAACACAATTTTGTCACATGGGTATATCCAGTTGTTTCAGTACCACTTATTTAATTATTTTCCCATTGAATTATCTTGGCATCCCTGTTGAAAATCAATTGAGTATTTTCAATTATGCTTCTATAAAACTGGGAGGAAGAAAAAGAAAATAAATTGAATATAAATATGTATTTATTTCTAAATTCTCTATTTTAGTCATCAATGTGTCTATTCTTTTTTACTTTAAAATATTTAATTGAAGGAGATTGTATATATTCAAAGTGTAAAATGTGATGATGTGATACATGTATGCACTGAATAATTATTACCATGTTCAAATTAATCAACACATCCATCAAACCCTTGCCGTGCGTTAAATCCCATGAATTTGTTCATGTTATATTATAACTTAAAGTTTGTATCCATTGAACAACAGCTCCCCATTTTCCTCACCCCCAGGCATGACAACCACCTTCCTACTCTCTGCTTCTATGAGTACATTTTTAGATTGCACATGAAAGTGAGATCATGCAGTGTTTGTCTTTCTGTGTTTCATTTATTCTACTTAATATAGTGTTCTCCACATTCATCCATGCTGTTGCAAATGGCAGGATTTTTTAATATCTGAATAATATTTTGTTGTTTATATGTGTATCAAATTTTCTGTATCCATTCATCCATCAATGGACATTTGTTTCGTTTCTGTATCTTGGCTATTGTGAATAATACTGCAGTGAACATGTGGGTGTATATATCTCCTCAATTTACTAATTCCAACTCCTTTGTATATAAACCCACAAGTGAAATTGCTGGATCATATGGTATTTCTATTTTTAATATTTTTTATAAAACTCCATATTGTTTTTCATAACTGTACCAATTTACATTCCCACAAACAGTGTATAATGGTTTCTTTTCCCCACATCCTCACTAATACTTGTTATCTCTTCTCTTTCTGATAATGGCCATCCTAAAAGGTGTCAGGTAGTAGCTCATTGTGGTTTTCATTTGCATTTCTCTGATTAGTGATGTTAAGTACCATTTTATATACCTGTGGGCCATTTTCTTGTCTTCTTTGGAAAAATATCTATTTAGGTTATTTTCCCATTTTTAATAGGGGTCTTTTTTAGCTATTGAGTTGCTTTGGTTTCTTATGTATTTTAAATACTAACTTCTTATCAGATATATGGCTTGTAAATACTTTTACCCATTTTGGGTTTTTTTTTTTTATTTTGTTGATTTCTTCCTTTGCTGTGAAGAAACTTTTTTGTTTGATGTATTCTCACTTGTTTTTGTTGCCTGCGCTCTTTGTGTCATATCAAAAAAAAATATTGCAGAGACCAATATCAAGGATCTTGTTCTTTTTGTTTTCTTCTAGGAGATTTATGGTTCTAGATCTTACATTTAAGTCTTTATTTTGCTTCAAATTAATTTTCCTATATGGTGCAAGACAAGGTTCCAATTTCATGCTTTTTCATGTGGATAACCAGCATCCCCAACACCACCTGTTGAACTGACTTTCCTTTCTCCATAGTGTGTTCTTGGCAATCTTGTCAAAGCTTAGTTGACCATAGAGATGTAGGTTTATTTCTTGGCTCCCTATTTTGTTTTGTTCGTCTACATGTTTTTTTCTTTTTTTGTTTTTGAGACAGAGTCTCGCACTGTCACCCAGGCTGGAGTGCAGTGGTGCGATCTCAGCTCACTGCAACCTCTGCCTCTTGGGTTCAAGTGATTCTCCTGTCTCAGCCTCCTGAGTAGCTGGGACTACAGGTGCACACCACCACACCTGGCTAATTTTTTATATTTTTAGTAGAGTCGGGGTTTCACTATGTTGGCCAGGCTGGTCTCGAGGTCCTAACCTCATCATCTGCCTGCTTTGCCTTCCAAAGTGCTGGGATTACAGGTGTGAGCCACTGCACCTGGCCAGTTTACATGTCATTTTTTAATACCAGTCTCATACTGTTTTGATTAATTATTTTTGCAATACAATTAGATATCAAAAAGTGTAATGAGTCCAACATCGTTTTTTCTCAAGATGGCTTTGTTATTTTGGGGGTATTTTGTGTTTCCATATGAATTTTAGAATTTTTTTCTATTTTTGTGAAAAATAATGTTGGTATTTTGATAGTGGTTACATTTACTATGTAGATTGCTTTAGGGAGTGTGAAAATTTTAACAATATTGATTATCCTATTCCTTACACACTAGATATATGTCGATCTATTTGTGTCTTCTACAATTTCTTTTATTAATGTCTTATAGTTTTCAGTGTCAAGATCTTTCAATTCTTTAGTTAAAATTGTTCTAAGTATTCTATTGTTTTTCATGCTATTGTCAATGAGATTATTTTAATTTCTTCTTCAGATAATTCATTCTTGGTATAAAGAAATGAAACTGATCTTTGCATAATTATTTTGTGTCTTAGAACTTTACTGAATCTGTTTATTATAACTATTTCTGGGTGGAGTCTAGAGCTTTTCAATATAGAATATCATGTCATCTGCAAAGAAAACTTAACATCTTCCTTTCCAATTTGGAAGCATTTTGTTTCTTTTTCGTGTTTAATTGCTCTAGCTAAGACTTCCAGTCCTATGTAAATAGAAGTGGCACAGGTGAGAAAACTTGTATTGTTCCTGATCTTAGAGAAAAAGCTTTTGGCTAATCACCATTGAGTATGGTATTTGTTGTGGGCTTGTTATATATTACCCTTATTATGTTGAGTTACATTCCTTCTATACCTAATTTGCTGCGGGTTATTATTATGAAAAGATGTTACGTTTAGTCAGATAGTTTTCCTACATCTTTTGAGATGATCATCTGGATTTTATACTTTATTCTGTTAATGGGCTGTATCACTTTTATTGACTTGCATATGTTGAAACATTCTTGCATGTTGTTTTAAAAAAAACACAACTCTTAGTTTTGTTAATCTTTTCTATTGCATTTCTAGTCTTTATCTCCTTTATTTATTCTCTGAGCTTGACTATTTCTTTCCTTCTGCTGATTAGGAGTTAAATTTGTTTTTCTTTTCTAATCTCTTTATGTGTGAAATCAGGTTGAGATCTTTCTTTTGAAATTTTGAGGTTTTTCTTTTTCTTTTATTTTGTATTTATTTATTTATTTATTTTGAGGCAGAGTTTCACTCTTGTTGCCCAAGCTGGAGTGCAATGGCGCCATCTCGGCTCACTGCAACCTCTGCCTCCGGGGTTCAAGCGATTCTCCTGCCTCAGCCTCCCAAGTAGCTGGGATTACAGGCACACGCCACCATGCTCAGCTAAATTTTGAGGTTTTTCTTTAGAGATTTTGAGGTCTTTCGTTTGAGATCCTTCTTTTGAGATATCTTGATAATATATCATTGTAGTTTTGATGTGCATTTCCATGTTGATTCATGGTATTGAGCATATTTTCATATACCTGTTGGTCATTTGTATATCTTCTTTTGAAAAATATTTATTCATGTCATTAACTCACTTTGTAATGGGATTATTTGTTTTTTAATGTTGAGTTGTTGCTTTTTTTTTAGAATTCTCACTTGTTTTACTTTTTACACTTTGACTATAATGTGCCTTGGAGAAGACATTTTTGAATTTGTATCTTTTGGGGAATCTCTGGGCCTCCTGGATCTGGATGTCTAATTTTCTTGCTAGACTTAGGAGGTTTTCATCTACTGTTTACTTGAATAGGTTTTCTAAACTGTTGATTTTATCTTTGCCTTCTGGGACTCTAAAAATTTGAAAATGTGGTCACTTTATAGTTTCTCATATGCCACACAAGCTTTGTTCATTCTTTTTTTTTTTTTTTTTCTTTACTTTTGTCTGACTGGGTTATTTCAAAAGATCTGTCTTCAATTTCTAAGGTTCTATTTTCTGCTTTATCTAGTCTACTGTTGAAGCTTTCAAATGTATTTTATATTTCATTCAATACATTCTTCAATTCCAGAATTTCTTTTTGGTTCTCTTTTAGGATATCTATATTTTTGGTCAATTTCTCATTTATTTCCTGAATTCGTTTTATCTTCTGTCTTACTACCTTAAATCATAGTTTGAACTCTTTTTCCAGGATTTTATAAATTTCTTTTTGAGTGGGATTTGTTGCTGGGGAAATTATTGTATTCCTTCAGTGGTATCAAGTTTTCTTATTTTTCTATGTTTCCTATATCCTTACCTTGATATTTGCGTAAGTGGTATAACAGTTACTTCTTCCAATGTTTTGAATTTGCTTTCATAGGGGGGTACTTTTTCCTGAAGTGGACCTATGGTGTTGATTGGGTAAAGCACTTTGGCTTTGATTGTGTGTGCATGGAGTAATGTAGTCTCTGTATTATTCCCATGGCTGTAAACAGCATTAGTTGAATTTGAGATTTCCATGGATTCAGGTGAAATTGAGCGGAGGCTGTGGTGAAGTTGTGCTTGGTACTGGGACACCAGGTCGACCAGTCTTTGGGCCCCAGTGGTGGTAGCAGTAGGCTGAGCATACCTGTCCTTGGGCCCCAGGGTGGCATAAGCTGGCAATGGTTTTAGCAGACCCAGTCAGGGTAATTATTAGGCCTCCAGGTGACTTGCTTGGGTTCTGGGAGTGGCAGCAGTGGGCCAGGTAGGTGGACAGGTTCTCAAGACCCTGGGCAGTGGACATGGCATGGGCAATGGCAGTAGCACTGGTGAAACAACCCAGGTGTCTGGCAGTCTGTGTTGGTGTTGAAACAGGCTGTGACAGGCTGGGCAGCCAGTCCTTAGGCTCACATCTGGCACAAATGGGTGGGTGCCAGCTGTGGCAGTAGTGGCATGTTGAATAGGTCTGACCTCAGACACTGAAAAGAGTGCTTAGGTGCCAATGGTGTTACTCTGGGCTGGGCAATTTCCAGGTCCCTGGACAGTGTGCTCAGGGGTTGGCAAAGCCAGGCCAGGTGGTCCTAACCTCAAGCCCCCACAGTGATTCATTCAGGAACTGGCCATAATAGGCAGGAATGGGATGATCCCCAGGCTCCCAGTGGACTGGTGTGGCTTTCAGTCATTCCATAAGTTTTTGTATGTTATGTATTCATTTTATTTTGTCTGAAGATAATTTTTGATTATATTTTTGATTTTTTCTTTTAACAATTAGTTGTTCAAGGGTGTCATTTTTAATTTCCACATATTTGTGGATTTTCTAAAATTTCTCCTATTGTTTATTTCTAGTTTTAGGCCATTGTGATAGGAAAGGATACATGACTTCATTGAATCTTCTTAAATTTGTTAAAACTTATTTTGTGGCCCAACTTATGATGTGTCCTGGAGAATGTTCTCTGTGTGCTTGCAAATAATGTGTATTCTGCTACTGTTGGTTGGCATGTTCTATATTTATCTTTTAGGTCCGTTTTGTCTATAGTGTTATTCAAGTGTACTGTTTCCCTATTGATTTTCTGTCTGGATGGTCTATCCATTGTTGAAAGTGAGTTATTAAAATCCCCTTCTATTATTGTATTGCTGCTTATTTCTCCCTTTAGTTCTGTTAATATTTGCTTTATATATGCAAATGCACCAATGTTGGTTGCACATATAGGCCTATTTTTATGACAGAATCACATTGCTTTGAATATTGTAGCTTTGTAGTAAGTCCTGAAACAGCTTGGTATCAGGGTAATACTAGCCTCATAGAATTAGTTAGGAAGTGTTCATTCCTCTTCTTTTGTTTTGACTTATATATGAAGAATTGGCATAAATATAGTAGACTTTACCATCTAAGCCTTTCAGACCCAGGATTTTATTGGTAGAAAGCTTTCTAATTTCTAAGCCAGTATCGTTACTTTCATAGACCTATTTAGATGTTCTTTTTTTTTTTTTTTTGCTAAATAAGATTTATTAGTTTTGTTTTTTAAGAATTTGTCTATTTTATCTGAATTATCTAATTAGAGAGCATCCAGTTTTTCATACTATTACTCTGTCTTTTCTCTTGATCCTTGATTTTATCTTTTACTATACTTCAGCATGTCTTATATGAAGGGTTATACATTAGGAAGAAATCAAATTTGTAAAAGTATAAATAATTATTAATGCAAATTAGTAAAAGTAAATTTGTAAAAGTGTTTATAAACATATATATGAATAGATAAATATATGACTATACACATACATATATGTATATATGTAACTTTTTGCAACATATATTTAGTTTATTCAGTTCAAAATACAATAGAATATTAGTAAATATATTTGTGCTTTTAGTATTTTATTTAAGTTCTGTTATTTTATTTTTTATGACTTTAATGTTGTATAATAAAAGTATCAAATATAGTCATATTAAACAAACAAAAACCCAGGAAACTATGGTATAAGTTGGGGTTAATCAAAACGCCATAGTCACTGGTGAATATTAGCTATTTTTCTCCCTAAACTAAAATATCATGAAGAACCATCTATTACTATTTTGAGTCCATATTTTTGGTAATAATAGAAATTTTGATGCTTTCTATGTGCTAGGAACTATGCATTTATCTTATTCATCCCTCACAGAAATTATATAAGGAATGCTTTCAACATCACCATTTAGTAGAAGACTTGAACTTGTAGATAATATTAAGAAAAACAAAACACCTATCTAGATGGTGAGGTTCAGAGTTGTGAGTTTCTGCTTTCTCTAGGAGTCATAGAAAAGCTCTCTGGCCCAGACAGAATCCATTAGCATTGAGAAGTTAGTGGTTCAAGAAATATATATGTGATGTGATCCATAGTAAATTACATTAAAATTGTTAAAGTGACCAGAAATGTGTTCATATATTCACCACATCTTTTGCTAATTCCCCACTCTTTTTCTTGGTCTGCTCTCTCAGGCAGCATTGCCACCAAATTATGGTAGTGGACATTCTAAGTAAAATGCTTAACTATTATTTTAATTTATTTAAAATAAAGTAAGCATCTTGGTTTTTCTGAAATAACAGCATAAGGAGGAAGGTTTAGTCATTAAACTTATCACTGGTTTGCTTTGCTACTTTTGTCTTCTTTGTGGCATAATATAGGCTCTCATTCTGTGCTGAGTACTAGGATGATGTCCATGGCACCAAAAAAAAAAAAAAAAAAAAAAGAAAAGAAAGAAAGAAATAAGAGCTTTTCTTTCTTTTATTTGTAATTTTTTTTTCCGTCCCAAATAAGAAAATCATTAGAGGAGCATAGTAGGGAGGTGTCTCCACTTCCTATTAAGAATCACATATTCTATAAGCAGACGATATTGAAGAAACAAGCTCTGTATTTTTAGAATATTATTTTATTTGGGGCCCATAAAAGTTTAGTTGTTGATAAGGTTCTAAATATTCTAGGATGATTCACACAATTATTATAAGATTGTAGTTTTTCTACTTTGTGACCTATTTACTAATTGTAAAGGGTTGACATTTCAAAATTTTATAGATTCATTTCAATTCTTTTTTGCATCTGAACTAAGCAGCTTCTTCAATAAATCATAAATAATGGGAAGTAAGGTGCTTAAAAATACCAATAATGAGATAATTATGTATAAAATGGAAAGTGTAATGGGAATTTTGTCTAAATAAAAAATATAAATCCCATTACTTGTTGCATTTAAGAATATGAAAAGATACATTATGAAGAAAAATATAATTTAAGTGTGCATCTAAGCAGCATTATTTCTTCATATGTAGTCAAGTAGGAAAATTAAGAAAAAGCTGATTAGATCCTTAAGAATTAATCAGTAATTTCTGAGAATGAGAAAGAAGAATCAGTGAACAGTAGCACAACTGAATGATTATGTACAAGATTCTTTATAAGCTAAAGGGTAGCTATTTCTTTAAATAAGACTTACAAAGTGGGAGAGCAGAATAAAAAAGTGTATGGAAACAGAAAATAAACAGATTCTGACAAGAGAATTATTCAAAACGGACAAATTACAAAAGTAGCAAACATGCACTCAGGCTGTGGATTTGCCTTTGGAATTTCACTTAATACAGTATTGCCAGTCAGTCATTCTTGCAAAAACAAAACAAAACAAAAAAATAAAATATGTCAGACATTAAAAAGACAGAATGAGTTTCCAAGTCAGCAGTGTTAGTCTAAACTCTTAAAGGGAAGGGGGAGGGGGAACCTATGTTTCAGTGATGCAAATAGCATATAAATCAGTCTAAGAAATTTCATCTGAGAAATGAAACTTCTTCCAAAATTGTCAAAATGCCAGGAAGATTTCATTAAGATAAGAGTTCTGAGCAACATGATACAATTTTTTGTAGTGTTACAATGCAATAGATTATCTTTTCCAAGTAGATGGACAGTGACCTTAGAAATTAAGTTTAACAATGGTGAATGTCTCTGAAAAGTTCAAAAGTGTAGGGCTTAGCAAAAACCTATAATTCTTTAAGGAGTTTCTTTTCTCTTCTCTTCTCGTCTCATTTCATTCGCTTCTCCTATTTCTTTTCTCTTCTCTCTCTCTCTGTTAGTTTATGTGTTGCACTAAGAAGTACTGAAAGTTTAATTTTATATTTATTCCAATATAAAAGATACTAAGTCATCATATTATTTGTTTCTGATGCCGTGTAAGGATTTCTAGGGTGAAATTTCTTACTAAGTTGCACTTTCTTAATTTTAGTTTTAAGTTGAGTTTATTCCTAGCCTTTTTGCTTATCTTTAATTGGAAAGAAAATTTAGCTCATACAGAGTTGGTAGATGTACAGTTTTACTGATTCCTTCTCCACTAGCCCACAAGAAAACTGGGTATGTGGTTAAGCTTAAAGGTCAAGGAAGAGCAATCATTATGTTGTATAAAGTTATAATAAAATGGTTAATTCAATAGACAAGATCACCTCACTCAATGCATTGAGTTTGTTTTGATCTTGAAAAAAAAATTTCACCTCATACCATTAAAAATTGTACATATCATTACATGATTGTACAAATAAATTTGCAAGAACTTACATAGTTAACCAAACGATAAAGACAGCTTGACAAATTTAAGACAGGGAAAAATGTCACTTTTGCAGGGAGGGAAAAAAAAATCATTTAAGCAATCCTATTTACATGGTAGTTCAGTTTTAATGACAGCATATGAGCTTTGGCTGAATGCCCAGATGCTGTAATTTTTTGCCTTGCTAGTGTAGCGAGTGCTGAAATCCTAAAGTAGCCATAGAAGCAAGTGATGGAACAGGAATGAGTCAAGAGTCTGGAACAACTGACTTTTTACCTTTTGCTACATTTGACTTTACAGGTTTTGAATTCAGGATAATATGTTTTTATTAAATATTCTCCTTGTGGAAATGGCTGTCACACTAAAAGCTGTAAGAAATTAAGAAAGGAAAGACATGCTTTTGCCCTCCAAAACCTGTCAGGGTATTGAAAGCATATCTATATCTAAACAGGGAAAGTGAAATTGAAAGTTAAGAAAATGTATCTACGTGACCTAGAGAGAAAATTTCCTCTTCTATTAAAGAAATGAGAAAATGTTTCAGGGTGGATGATTCAGGCTAAATGTCTATATTGTTCAGACACCTGCTGTAACTCACCACACCTGGTAAATGCAGTGTTTCATCCTTATTGTACTTAAAATACCTATCATTAATATAAAAATGAAAATAATGTCCAGCGTTTCTAGTCACAGCCTGAAAACAGACCGAGTCATTTTTCAGTAGTAGAGAAAAGGTTTTTGGAGGTGCTTTTGCAAATGATTTTGGTGCTGGCTCTCTATCAGGCCAAGTAGCATTATGAATCATGGGCTTTAGAAAGTGAAACTTCTCATCTCTCTGATACATGATGAAGAGATGGCATGATTATTAAATGGAAGATTGTGCTGTGAAATGGCACACAGCTCTGGCAAAATCAAAATAGCTGCTCTTAATGCAGGAACTGTGCTATCTTTAGATATTCTTAGATATCAAAACTTTACACTTTTGCCACAGTTTCCCTATTGAATTATGAGTCTACTATTCACACAAGAAGTTTCCTTTTTATATATAACTGGCAAATTAACACTTAAAAATCCTGATTTATTATCTATAAGTCATTTGATGAGTCGTGAAATTAATGTATTATAATTATTTAGCTCATTTTTCTCTCCCATTACACCATGGACAGGAAGTCTCATATTGTATTCATTGTGTTTCTAGTGCCTGGTAATGCTTTAGAAATATGTCTGAATGAAGAATTATTATTTTGTTTGTTTTTATTTATACGACAAAATCAAAGAAAGGAAGGAAGGGGAAGAGGGAAGGAGGGAGGGAGAAAAAAGGGAAGGAGGAAAAGAGAGAGAAAGAGACAGAGAGAAAGAAAAAAAGTTTCACTACCGAAGACACTCATTTATTGTTTGTTTCAGCAAAGCTTACTTGAATGGACAGGAATACTAACACAATACTTTTGACTGTACAGATAAATCTTAGGAGAAAACGTTAGCTTCTCTTTTATGGAGATGCTCAGAAGTATACAGTATGATTAGTAGGCAGTAAAGAGAAATAAGTATCACAGTTGCTCTAGGAATGTCACTGGGGTCATCAATCCATTTAAACCTTTCAAGCACGAGTCTGGCAAAGATAGGTCTAGCTGGATATGCTTTTGATCCATCTTGAGTGGTAACAGAGGTTACCACTCAAAGGATAATCAGGAATGATTACAGGGGACTGCTGATGCAGTCTAAAAGAAGTTATCTCTACTGCTGCAAGCCTTCTGAGTCAGTGTACCATCAGCAAGAACAAACCCTTGTATGCCAGTAAATGAGAGTAATTTGGCTTTTATTCTCTGCCATAATATCTCTACAGGAGGAGAATGATTTTAAATTAATTGTGTATGTTAAATGTCATTTAGAGTGAATTTGTTTGTGTGTGTACCCTAAAAGGATTTCAAAGAGGGGAATTGTTAATAAGTATAAATAATGAGTAAATAAAAAGAATGGCCTAATTTCCACCCTTTAGCTGAGAATTTATATATCTGCTCTTGACCAGCCACTGGCAATGAAATAATTAGCTACTTAATGGAGTACTGTGGGATCATGGATAAATTATAGATACCCAATTAAAACATATATGATCAGGTCTTAAATTCATTGACATTATAGCAACATATACTAAAATCGTGGTTAAAATAATACCTTAGGAAATATTATTAATTTAAGGAATGCCACAAATGTTCAATATTCAGAATTATTATAATTGCACTATAACAGGTAAAACTAGATCAAAAGTACACTTTTTATTTTAGTGTCATTAAATTAAAACATCAGTTTGAACAATGCTCTGAGAATTTTTGCCTCGAAACATACCTCAGTTGAGGAGAAAATAAAGTTGAGTTGGCTTGATTTTTATAGAACTAGAAATACCATTTGACCCAGCCATCCCGTTACTGGGTATATACCCAAGGACTATAAATCATGCTGCTATAAAGACACATGCACACGTATGTTTATTGCGGCACTATTTACAATAGCAAAGACCTGGAAACAACCCAAATGTCCATCAATGATAGACTGGATTAAGAAAATGTGGCACATATACACCATGGAATACTATGCAGCCATAAAAAAGAATGAGTTCCTGTCCTTTGTATGGACATGGATGAAGCTGGAAACCATCATTCTCAGCAAACTATCGCAAGGGCAGAAAATCAAGCACTGCATATTCTCATTCATAGGTGGGAATTAAACAATGAGAACACTTGGGCACAGGAAGGGGAACATCACACAGTGGGGTCTATTGTGGGGTGGGGGGACGGGGGAGGGATAGCATTAGGAGATATACCTAATGTAAATGACGAGTTAACGGGTGCAGCACACCAACCTGGCACACGTATACGTATGTAACAAACCTGCACGTTGTGCACATTTACCCTAGAACTTAAAGTATAATAATAAAAAACTTAAAAAGACATATTAATATGCATCATTTATTTTTAAATGTAATTATAAATTTTTTAATAGACAATAATAACCAGCCAAAGCTTATGTAGGTCCTTTCTACTTAAACCTAAAGGGAAATTAACTGGAGCTTATTCTGAGCCAAATTAAATAGAAGCAAAAATTAGTGTGATTGAGACTGCTTCAGATACTCAGAGCCATAAGTTTGAGCATACTGTCCAATGTGTGGCTGCCCCACTCAGCAGAGCATGTGTACATGTGAAAGAGGTGACATAGGAAGCTTATGAAAGTTACACAGAGTGTTAGGCCATCTAGAACAGAAAAGTACTGGTCTTAAAGAAGAAATGAATTGCTGGTTTTGTTTTTTCTATCTAAAATGTGAAGTAACTGGGATCAGTTTTGAGGATTTGCATCACTCTTCTCCATACGTGTATTATAGATCCTGTAACACATAGTTATCATACCTCCACTACTTTCCCCTGATCCAATTGGTTTTAAACATAGCCTATTGTTACTATTCTTAAACAGCTTAAATCTGTTTAAGAATAGTAGTTATTCTCCAAGTGAGTCATGTTTGGTAATTTACTCTCTCCCATTTGCAAATGGCAATCGATCGATAAAAATGTCAGAGTAATCCCTGACTCCCATTGCTTAAGCCCAGTGAAATATTTTTCCAGCTGGTTGATCATAGGTAGTTCCCATTCCTATAGCTTTTTTTATTAATAATAAACTTCTTGATGACCTTCATTTATTCAAAAATACATAGATCTTCCTTCACTGAGCAATATGAAAATCCCAGCATAACTCTATTATCATTAATTTAACCCCTTAAGGATGAATATGCCTATTTTATTTTATTTACACGTGTAAACTACATCAAGATTACCTTGGAAACTTTAGGATAAATGAATATAACATGTCTTTTCCTACTGCAGTAATTTAAGGCTTCCATTTCTTTTGCCATTTCATTTTCTCTTATGACCCATACTACTCTTAGCCTTTCTCCAGGGCTTAGATGAAGGAATGTTTCAGACTAATGGTAAAGGACGGAAGAAGGAGCTCCACTTCCCTCCTAGTGAAAATGTCATGTGTTCATGCCTAAGCCTGGGGAATTCAACACTCCCAATAGCACATCTTCCCATAAGGCCTATAGCGCTAGGCTTATTTTTCTCTTGGATATTTTTCATATTCCAGATCTATCAAAAATATTTAACAGAGCATGTCTCTGAAATGTTATTAAATGTAACTTCACATTTTTGTATATTAAGTATTCCTATAACAGTCACAGATTGCTTATCTTTTTTGAAAGTGTAAACTTTGAAGAAAGAAATGAAATAGGAACAGGTGAGAGAGTCTTTTATGCAATTTTTCCTCATGGTTGCTTACTCTTTCAAAACTTCAGAAAGCTGTGAGTTGTTGAGGGAAGGAGAGCAGGACAGATACTGTGAATCTGCATTAGCAGGCAAGAAAAGAAGGAACCGTAGTCAGAAGCAGTTGGATATACCACAAGAAAGGATGGAAGCATTAAAATGTGTCCTAAAGAAAGGCATGGCAATCAGAATTTATAACACCTAACCTAAATGGGAAGTAAGACTTTTTTGTCAATAAAATAAATGTTAAATAGGAAATATAAAATTACAGTAAATATACATGGAAAAAACAGGAATCAATATTTTATTGTCTAAATGGAGCCCTCCCTACTATAGATGACGCCAAATAGACAGCTGCTTCAGTTCTTCATGCAAAGTGCTAGGGTTGTATAAGCTTGGTCAGGAGCAGACAGAGATAAGAATGGATTTCAGCGGGAGGTGACATGTTCACTAAAGTTTAAAAATGAAGTTAGCAATCAAATGTGTAGATTTTAGCTATCAAAATGGCCAGGAGCCAAAAGAGAGAGAAGTCAAGCAGAGGCATGAATAGGCCAGAATCACAGACTGCAATTAAGATAATTTAGAATTGTGGAATCGAGCAAATTGTGTTGACCAAGTTCTAATGCCACTGAAAGATGATGAGCCCATATTTCATCTACTATGATTTTCCTGGACCTAAATATAGTGCTGGGTACTTGGCAAGTGTTCAATGCATGCTCCTTAGAGTACAATTCCAGATGAGGAAAATGAATAAAGACTGATGCAGAAGTAGGAATACATGCAAAGACTGGGAATACATGCAATGACAAGATTGGTTTCTCTGAAACAGAATAGTAGAGACATGATTTAAACCTCACTGTAAATCCTAATAGGATATGGCATTTGCCATCAGTTTTTCCCAGTAACTGTTTTTCCATCCTTCCTTAAAATTAATCAAACCTTCCTTACTTTTAATTAAGCACACAATCCCCAGACTGTCCAATGAGAGAATTCTCCATGGTTCTCTCATGCACGTGTTTCTGCACATCATCTTTTGTTCCAGGATAGCATTTCAGAGATATTTGTGTAGCAAATAGCCTTGGGAACTATAGATAGGCTGTCCCTCCAGGTTAGAGGACAGATACATTTCCTAAGCATATAATACAAATAGTAACTTAGTGTGGGCTAACATTTTGACAGGTTTGTTAGGAATTTCCTTATAAGGTTGGGAATTTTCTCACCTTAGATTTCCTCAACCATGACACAGACCCACTGTGTATATGGCATCCATGTGGGCCCACATATGTGTGTGCCCAAAGGGAGTTGGGGAACAAGGAAAACTGATATACATATAAAATTCATAATGCCTGCTCTATTGTGAATAATAAAGTCCTCTGGCTTTTTTCTGGAGTCTCATGTCTCCTGTCAGCACCTATTAAACTATGGCAGACTAAGTGGTAGGCTTGTAACTAGGATCAAACATTTTCTCAGTTTTGGTATAATCAAAACTATATTTATCAGCCTACCTTCAATTAGGTAAAAGACACAGCTAACTTCTAACTTCTGACTAATAAGGTTTTATTGAAAGTGTTTTATGATTTTCATGACACATTCTTATCATTAGAGACCATGACATTCGTATATTCTTCTTGCTGGATGAAATATAGATGGAGGTGTTGGGGCTTTATCATCCACCTTGGAATATAATGTGACTTTAGAAATAGAATCCATGCAGGACTGAGCAGTAAGATAAGTTTCATGATCTCTGAAACTGTGTAAGACTTTATACAATACATTTACATAATATTCTCTTTAAATTAAGCACCACAAGGTACCAGTCACTTGCAAAAAAACACCACTTATTCACTCAGCCACACCTCTCAAAAAACTGTAATGCAATACTTATTTTATAGATGACATAAACTAATGGTTATCAAACTTAAGAAACTTTGCCACCTGGCAAACTGCATAGAGCTAGAAAGTGGCATAAAACTAGCAAATGGCACTGAATTAGAATAGAGAAAGGCTAAAGTGAACTCAGTCTTGTTGATGCTACCAAGCACTCTATTACCCTTTTAGCTCTACAGGGGCAAGGGCCGTGCCCGCTCATTTCACTACCATATACCCAGCATCTAGCTAAATGCCTGATACAATCTGGTTAATCATAATTTATTGGCTCAATTAGAGATGTGAAGTCATTTAGTCACTCTGGCCCTCAGCCCCCTCATACATAAAACAAGAGTAATAAAAATTTTGCAAAAGTTGTTATTGGGATTAGAAATAATACGTGAATAAATGTATCATATATTCAATTTATAATTAAAGGTTTTTGAAATTAGTGAACATATAAGAAAAGTGGCAGTTGATTCATTCTGCTCTTTTGTTCTTTATTGACCAATTTTCCTTCCAGGGTTTAATTATGACAAACATATTAAACACAGAAAGACCCTACTTTACTTGACATCTAAATGTGAATGAATTTATTAATGTCACATGTTGCAACATTAAAGGGACAACTTGACACAGTAAGTAATTATAGCATCTATTGGACTTTAGTGTTGTTTTATTTTTCACAGTTTTATTTTTCGCACTTTAAGTATTACTGAGGTCAAAAATTGTCTTCTCTGCAAAAACAAACAAAAAACCAAATGCCAAATTAGTTAGCCTTTACACAATAATGAAGCCTAGAGATGAATATATTCCCAAACAGCTGCAACACATAATTAAAATCCACATGTTGGTTGACAGCCTGCGTCTTCCTAACCTCCAGCATTTCTCACAAGTCTGTTTTTACAAGCAAACAGAAAGAATGAGCTATTTCTAAAAACAAACAAACACACACACACACACAAACACACACAACTCTATACCCAATATTTAAAAACATTGAGCAATTACAGCCTGAGACACTGAAAACTCGATAGCTAAGTTATCAAATCTAATATAAAGAGAGGGTCATTCCAAGATGAATGGACACAGGTCAACAGACTGTAGAAGATAACAAGGATGAGAGAAGCAGCACAATTAAAGACAAGGAGGCAAATGGAAGAAGATAAGTATTTCCTTTGTTCTTCCTGGATAAAAGCTCAACTAGGTGCCTATTGAAATGAAATTGGTTGAATACCAAATAAACTCAATTTTTAATTTGCTGAAGATCAAACAAGAAGTAAGAATTCAATCTCCAGAATTATTTGTATAGCTAAGACATTATGACTGCTGTAATGTAGCTTATTCAATAATGTGGGCTCATTACTTATCAAAGAGAAAAAAAGAATAATAATTTTGTCCTTAAGATTTCTATAAAATCCCAACAATAAGTAAATGAAGCTGATTGTCCCAAATGATAATTATCATTAACAGTCTACTAAATATATGGGAATATTATATTTTAAGATGGCATCTCCTATAGATGGTAACTGCACAGGCCCTTCTAAGCTGAGAATGCCTTTTCTTGAAAAACATATGAAGAAATCTAGTAATTTCTAATAGGAAGAGATTAGAAAAGGATATATATAACTTATATATGCAAACAAATATTTTAGATTATTATTTGGTGTTTCTTTTTAGACTAATCTCTGTCTTATTTAGACCGTAAGTCTATAGAATATATTTCTATAAAATTAATACTTTAAAAATAAGAGAGAGACTTAGTAGATCATTAGTATAATATTTTAGATCCAATTTTTCCTCACATAGCAAGTATAAAATATTATTGCTGCCCCCATTTCTTACTACAGATTTTACAACTATTTTGGGATACGGTCTTATTTCAGTCAGATTTAAACTCATTACTAAATTCACTTGGTGGAAGAGAAATTATCTGTCATCTTATTTTGACAGGATGTTCTCCTGGGCTGTATATTTTAGTTCAAATATAGATTCTGCCTCCTTCTGTCGTTTTGAGTCTTGTCTAGTTGGAAAGGGTAACCAGGTAGAGAATATGGTATTTATTTAATGCTTACATCTATTGATGATCTAAAATAGTCGTTGATATTTTCTTTTATTTCAACACTTTAAATGTTCAATTTTTTCACTATTTGTTACAGCTTAAATCTTAGATGCATACTAATCATTGTTTAAGAAGTAGAATCCACACATTTCATATAACTATGAGAGCTTGGCATGAAAGCTGGGACAGCTATGTTTTGGAAGACATACACTATTACTAGTTCTGATATATTTGTATGATTTACTATTTTTGAATGCATCTTATGAAAGAACAGTCATCCCATGGCTAGAAGATGAAGTCATTTCAAGCTACACAATAAGAAAAAAAAGTAATTTTTCCCTTAAAACCAATTCTGCAAGTGTTCAACAGAATTACTGGCTACAAAATTAAATGTATTTCCCATTTTGTGTTATTAGTACTAGTTTTTTTTTTTAAATTTCAGCAGTGTTAAGGTTTTCTATCTATTTCAGTGGCATTTTGTCAATCTTCTTTTATAACATTATTCTCAACTTATGTTAAAATATTAAAAATAATTATTACAAAATGTAGGTCCTTTACTAAACTTCTGACCTGTTTCATATTGCCACCAGTGTCTTGTTTTAATGATTCTTGAGTACTACTCTTTCTCAGATAGAAAATTCTTATTTCTAATATTTTCCGACAATATTATAAAACAAATTGATCTTAAATTCATCTTAAAATATAATTCAGATCATCATGACAAATTAATTTTTCAAACATATAGCAAGTAAGCCAACTATATCAAATAGAAAAAAATTCTAAATTTCAAAATTTGTAGATATGTAACTATAAATACAATAACTGTGAAGTGACAGCATCAAAACTCAGTAATTGATTTCTAAAAAAAAATTTGCAAGAATATTGCAAGAATTAAGCCCTAACCACATTAGGGCAAAATATTGCCAACATTTGTTAATGTATTTAAAAATATGCACATATCTGTAAAACTACATTTTCAATGCCAATGTTATTTCTTGGTAGGTAATAGGAAAGGACTCTCAGAAAGTAGGCAGACAAGATTGTGGTGGGATAAGAAAATGGCATTGGCTCAAAAGTTATAGAGGACAAAAAAGTAAATTTTAAAAAATAGCAGCAAGGAGAACTATAATAAAACCTTATTGCTCCTTCTTGGTCAGTTTTGAGTAAGTTGGAAGTTAATGATCTGAAGATTTGCCTTTGACTAGAGTGACCAAATAAATATTGTCCAAACTGCAACAGTTTTGAGAGAGAAAAGAGTCTCTGTTAATCACAACAGGACAATAAGTGCAGGCACAGACTGTCCCAATCAAATCAGGAGTATGGTGAGCAGACTACCAAAGATAAACGAACAAGTTCTGGAGATACTGTTAAAAAATAGAACTATTAAGGTGGGCTAGACACTGTATGAGGCCAACTCAAGTATATCCTGAGATTTATGAACTCCAATCTGAATATATACATATATGTATATATAAGAAAAAAATAATTGATCATATATATACATATATATAAAAACATTATATATATACATATATATGTATATATAAGGAAGGTTTATTCCTTTTCCACAGTTTAACAATTTTACTGTTTTAAACTAGAATATATCCACAGATTTTAGTTAAATGAAAAGTGATTTCTAGGCATTTCCTTCCTATTTCCATTGAACCCTTCTTTCTCTCCACAATAACTGTCAAATAAGAAACTGAAGAGGAAAGTATGGCTGAAATAAATACTGAGAGTTTTGACCTACTGATATTGTAATAAGAGAAGCAACAAATTCATAGATAAAACTGCAAAGAAGACTGTGACTTATGAGGAATCCTGAATCTGTAAAGTGGGTAGTAAGTCATTTCTGATCAAAGAGTATAATGGGATAAACTAATAGGTTTAATGATAAGATTAATTTTTATTATTATTAATGGCTAACACAGAAACAGCACCTAGTATATAGCAGGCAGTCCTCTAAACATGCCACATATACAGCCATGTATCACTTAATGATGAAGATACTTTCTGAAAAATGCATCCTTAGGCAATTTTGTTGCTGTGGGAACATCATAGAATGCATTTACCTAAACCTACCTTGGTAAAGCCTACTACACTGAGGCTATATGGTATAGTCTATTGCTCCTAGGCTGCAAACCTGGACAGCATGTTACTGTACTGAATAATGTAATGACAGCTATAATGTCAATAAGCAATAGGAATTTTTCATCTCCATTTCAATCTTAACAGACCACTGTCGTGTATGTGGTCAGATATTGACAAAAATGTCGTTATGTGGCACATGACTGTACAACTATTTTAAACCTCATTTCAACCTTACGAAGTAGATATAACCATTAAAGCCATTTGACAGATGAAGAAACTGAAGTACAATATAGTTTGTAATTTGCTAAAGGTCAAACAACAAGTAAGAATTCAATCTGGTCAAGTGAAAGTCATCCCAGGGATGCAAAGATGGTTCAACATACACAAATAAATACATGTGATACTTCATATCAGTAGAATGAATGACAAAAAACAGGATCATTTCAATAGATGCCAAAAAAAGCATTTGATAAAATTCAACATCCTTCAGGAAAAATACTCTCAAAAATGGGTATAGAACCTCAATATAATAAAAGCCGTATGTGACAAAAGCATAACTAGTTCCATATTTAATGGGGAAAGATGGAAAGTCTTTTCCCTAAGATCTTTATCAAGTTAAGGGTGTCCACTTTTGTCACTTTAACTCAACATAGTACTAACAGTCCTAAGCAGAGCAATTAAACAAGAGAAACAAAAAATGGAAAAAAAGTCAAATTACTAAATTGGAAAAAGAAAGTCAAATTACTCTTATTTGCAGATGATATAATCTTTTATTTTAATGACTCCACTAAAAAACTATTAGACCTGATAAACAAATCCAATAAACTTGCCGAATACAAAATCAACATACAAAAACCAGTAGCTCTTCTATGTGCCAACAGTAGACAATCTGAAAAATAATCTCAATTACATTAGCTAAAAATACCTGGGAAAAAAAAACCTAACCAAAGAAGTGAAAGATATCTACGGTGAAAACTATAAAACAATGATGAAAGAAATTGAAGGAGATACACAAAAATAGTAAGATATTCCATATTCATGGATTGGAAGATCAGTACTATTAAAATATCCATACTATCTAAAGCAATCTATGGATTCAAAGCAATTCCTATCAAAATACCAATGAAATTTTTCACACAAGTGGAAAAAACAATCCTAAAATGTATGTGGAACCACAAAAGTTCCAGAATAACCATAGCCATTCTGAGTAAAAAGAACAAGTCATGTAAAAACAGTAACTTGTATAAAGTGCAACTCAAAGAAATCAAAGAGAAAATTACAAAAATACAAAAATGTGACTAAAGAACTCATGTGAAAGAAAAAATTGGACAGTAAAAGCATGTTAATAATATGCCAGAGGATGAGGCAATTGGAAGATTTAATGTGTAGTTATAATTCAAATAGGAATAAAAAATTCTAAAAAAGTATTATTTTTATGGACAAAAATCATTCATCACATTCCAAAGTAAATCAATTAAAAGAAATCTTCATCTATGTACATATTGGCATTGTCTGTTAAAACTTACAAATCACAATAGATAAAACAACATGCTTAAAATACAATGTGATAAAACATGAGATTAATGAAAATTACCTAAAAATCCAGTATGTTTCTTTTAATCAATGTGATAAACATTCTTAATGTTACGTAGAAATTAAAACTGCAACTAATCATTATAAACAAATAAGCAAATAAGAAGCTATGTATAGAAATACATTAGAAAACAGGAAATCAAGAGAAAGGACTAAAAACTAGTTCCACCTCTGCTTCTTAAATGCACGCACACACACACACACACACACACACACACACACACACACAGAGAGAGATTCAAGACAATGTATTCAAAAGAAAAATGAAAAAAGGCCAAACTATATAAATTATACATAAGGAAGGCAATATATTCTCCGATATGGAAAAGATTTTAAATGAATAAAAAGATTGAAATTAGTATGTATTCCAATATAGTTGACATTCTCCATGAAGTAAATGTGTTTCTATAAATGGTAATCAAATTTCTTCAGAAGAACAGGCCAACAAAAATAGAAAAAAAATAAATTTTCTTTAAGAAAAGCCATGGGATTAGGTGATTTAAAGGTAATTTTTTAGCAAGTCATTCCAAGAAGTTAGTTATCATGCTATGTTAGCTGTACCTTAGTATGAAAAATGTTGACTTATCAATTCAATACAAAAGATACTGCTGGGTATGGTGGCTCACACCTATAATCTCAGCACTTTGGGAGGTCCAGGCAGTAGGATCACTTCAGCTCAGGAGTTTGAGACCAGCCTGGGCAACCTAGCCAGATCCTGGTTCTACATAAAAATTAGCCAGGTGCATTGGCATGCATTTCTGGTCCTAGCTACTCAAGAGGCTGAGGTGGGAGGATCACTTGAGCCTGGAAGATCAAGGCTGCAGTGAGCTACAATTACACTGCTGCACTCCAGCCTGGGCAACAGAGCAAGACCCTGTCTCATAAAAGAGAAAGGTACCCAACCTCACCAAGTACAAGAAATGGTAGTATGTATTAGTATTATTTCCAAAATAAATACAGAAACAGTAAAATAAAATGTGGGTAAACTGATTTTGACTTTATATTCAACAGTGATACAACATGACTTTTTGGACTCCCATGATTATTTGATGCTAGTAAATCTAACTTGTAAATAAGTTCAATATATTAATACAGAAACATAATCATTTGGATCCAGGACAAAATATATTTTTGATATCAGAAATATTACTGGATTCAAGGGAATATAGTTTTAGATTTTTAAAACAACTAAATATTTCTGTAAAAATGCATATTCACTGAAAAATAATTTATACGTTTAATATGATTCCAATCAAAATTGTCAAATATTTGTGGGAATCTAGCAAAATAATTATCAGAGTCATCTGAAAAAGTGCATCTGGAATTACACACCCCTCAAAAAGTGGGATGTATAGATATCCTTGTTAGTTGACTACTGCAGCTCAAAATTTTACCAAAGACTTAGCAACTTAATACAAAACAACTTTATTCTCTCACAGCTTGTTTGTTCAGGATTCTGGGCAGGACCTAGGAGAATCCTCCTCAGGGTCTTGAAATCAAGTTGTCAGCCAGACTACCTTTTCATCTAGAGGCTTGACTGGGAAAGAATCCACTTCCAAGCTCATTTAGGTTTTTGACATAATTAATTGCTTTTTATTTTATTTTATTTTAATTTTTTGAAATGATATCTTGTTCTGTCGCTTAGGCTGGAGTGCAGTGGCATGATCTTGGCTCACTGAAAACTTCGCCTTCAGGGTTCCAGCGATTCCCCTGCCTCAGCCTCCTGAGTAGGTGGTGTTACAGGTGCCAGTCATCACAACTAGCTAATTTTTGTATTTTTATTACAGTCGGGGTTTTGCTATGTTGGCGAGGCTGGTCTCGAACTCCTGACCTCAAGTGATTTGCCCGCCCCGGCCTCTGAAAGTGCTAGGATTACAAGCGTGAGCCACCGCACCAGGGCTTAATTCTCTTTTAATTGTATGACTGAAGTACCCAGCTTCTTACTGACTATCAGATGGAGTCCACTCTCTGGCTGTAGAGACACCCACAACTTTCTGCCATATGGCCAGTCAAGGTCAGCAGAAGAATGTGACTCTCCAGTCTAAAGCTAAGACAAAGTTATATATAGTATAACATAAGTGAGTGCTATTCCTTGCCATGTAAAGTAATGTAATCAAGGAATTGTCATCCCACTACTTCAGCCATATTCTATTGGTTAAAAGTAAGTCACAGGTTCTACCCACATTCAAGGGGAGGGAATTATACAAGGCCATAACTTATTGTGAGTCAGCTTTGGGAATGTCTGCCACAGTGTGTACACTAATAGATATCACTAGGTCACAGTATTTAAAACAATATAGGCAAAAGCATAACTGCATTTAAACAAAATATAAAGAATAGCAATGGACTGTATGTGTGTAGTACAATTTAAGATATACTAAAAATAGCATTTAGGATAGAATGCAGCTGAAAGAAAACATGGTTGTATAAATAATGGATCTTTGAGTTACATAACAGATAGGGGGGGAAATACGAAATAAATTTTTAATTGTTTCTATTGTATTATGAAGATTTTAAATATACCTGGGCAAGAGTTTCTTGGACTAGATCCATTGGCCTCATATATGGAGAATTTTCTCAGAATGTGGTAATAGGTTAGCTTTCCATCACAGTTTCCAGCATTGTATTGGGTGAGTGAATCTGTATGTGTGTGTGTGAGTGCACATACATACGTATTTTAATGGAAATTGCTAATGATTGTATTAGTGCACCAAGCCAATACAGATTTCTGATTACAAGAATTTTGTACCTTATTCCATTACAGTGATGGTATATATAGAAATCAAAAATTTGAAGAGCCAAAATTACTGTGGGCATTGTCAATATTGGAATGGAAGTGAATTCAATACAGATTATAGAAGCAAATATGTTTTTCTCTGTTCTGTTAAAAATAAAAAAGAAAGAAAAAGAAAAACAAGACCTCTTCTAGTAGACAACTAACTTGCTGCTAACATAAGTTGAGCCAGGCAGGTGGCTTGTGTCCATGAATCCTATTTACTTGAAAGGCTGAAGCAGGAAGATGGCTTGAACCAGGAGTTCAAGGCTGCAATGATCTATGATCATAGCACCACATTGCAGCCTGGGTGACAGACAGAGATCTCACCTCTTAAAAGAATATATTGATAAGTTGTAGTGAAGGGATAAATTAAGACAACAACAACGAAAATCATAGAAAGAATAATTTAAATGGCAGAATAAAAATTATGTTTTAGTAATCTTTTTAAATCTAAAATTGATTTTTTCCTTAGCCATCTTATTTGCCTGTCTCAGAAATGGTCATTTTTTCTATAAATAAATCACATAGACATTATAATAATCAGCTATCTCTTGATTTCTGAAAATCATGATAAAATTAGCAAAATTATAGAAAATTAACATTTTCACAAACACTGATAGCTCTCTAGAAGATAAAATTTCTAAATGAAACAGGAACAAATGATAAAAAAGATTTTAAGACAATAAAAATGATCTGACAAAAAGATATTAATGTAATAATATGGAAAGCAAGCTTTACAACTTAAAAAATATAAAGTAAGTAGAGAAACAAGTTTTAGAAAAAGCAGGGGGTGGAAAGAGGAAGAAAATATTTTTTTCTGGATTATAAAAAATTATTTCCACAGAATTTTTATTCAATTGTTATATTTTCATCAAAAGTAAAAAGGTTTCTCATCTGTTTTTTAAAGGATACATTCGACTTGTATCTCCAGTGCAGTCCTTCTAGGTTATGCAACCTAAGTTCTCAAAGTCAAAAATAAGTTTTTTTAGAGAACTAAAAGTTTCCAAATGTAAAAGCTAAGATCACTATTTGGAACAGATTATGGTTTAATTTTACACAAAGTAAAATATGATTTAATTTTAAAAAAATGCATAAGATTCAAAAGTCCATCTCAGTCATGAAACATAAAAAGCACCACCACCACCAACCCATAAATAAAATACATAGGCCGGGCACGGTGGCTCATGCCTGTAATCTGAGCACTTGGGGAGGCCGAGGCAGACAGATCACCTGAGGTAAGGAGTTCAAGACCAGCTTGGCCAACACGGTGAAACCCCATCTCTACTAAAAATACAATCCCAGCTACTCGGGGGGCTTAGGCAGGGAGAATTGCTTGAACCTGGGAGACGGAGGTTGCAGTGAGTCGAGATCATGCCACTGCACTCCAGCCTGGGTGACAGAGCGAGGCTCCATCTCAAAAATAAATAAATAAATAAATAAAATACATAAATAACTATAAAAGATATTTGGAAGGAATTCAAACATGTCTTTTTTTTGGAAATATCGAATTGTTACTACATTTATGTCTATTAAAATGTATATTTAACAGGAAAAAAATCACTGGATATTTTCCCAGAAGCTTCAATTTTGTGAAGAGGAGATACTGTTTTTTTTTCAGCGTTAATATTTCAAACTTAAAAAATACAAAGCAAGGTTTCAAAAGGTCAACTTTCTGGTAACTACAAGTCTTCAGATTGTGAGTTCAAAAGCAATACTGAATTTCAAAGAGAAAATTTTTTTTTCCTTTCTTAACTCCAGATTCAAGAACATGACAACTTAAAAGTCAATCTTAAAAGTCATTGTAAAGAACACCTGGCAGTGAAATGGAAAGTGCTCACTTGCTCAGTTGTACCTAGCCAAAACGAGCAACACATACCTGTATAAAACATTCATGCATGGAGACACAGCTAGTACTAATCCATCTGTTGTTGAAAAATATATAAATGAAGTCAAAGAAGATGAAATAAACAATCCGAATATCCCTCTGAAGGAACTTCTCCGCTCAACGTTCTGTGGCAGCTGGTCTAATATGATTCAACTGGTCTTCTGTTTATGTTTCTTACATTCTAATTTTGTTTTGTTTTGTCCATTTTTCCCTGTGAAACATGACATATTTTTCAGAAGACTTCTATGTTGTTTACAAATATGATGTCAGTGTGATTAAAATTTCAGTAGATGGAAAAAGCAAACTAAAGCATTCTTTAAATTAAAATTAAATAGTTTTTCCATAAATATTTCTAAAGAAGGAAGAAAAATCTTATGAGGTACACTGTCTGTTTTAATAACGTGTAATCTGCTAGTTAAACATCAAAGAATAAAATCTGATAGAATGATTTATGGCTATGCAATAAAAATGTACAAGTCATTACTGGCAAATTATCAGGATAGCTTAACACACTTGGCAATTTTAATGAAGCCTACATAATTCCTGTCTTATTTATTTATATTTTAATAATCTGTGCTTTTATGTAATCATTGTTGCCATAATAAAACAACATGCATGCAGAAGTGATGGCAGTTAGATACATAGACCAAGATTCAGAATTGAGCATTGACTTTATCCAGATATTTGAAGTTATCTATCACACATAACAGATAAGTTTTGAGTAACTAATTCATCAGATGTGTAGGAAATTTTACTCCTGAAATGGAGTTACCATTGAAATATGCTCAGGTCTCTAATGTATGTTTCATTTATTTAATTAATTCAACACATATTTATTATGTGACTACTAAGTGTATGCTAACACTGGGGAATATTATTTTGAAACATTCTCGCTCCTTGTTGAATTTACAGTTTAATGGAGGAGGATAACAAATTTTAGTTCAATGTTATAATGTACATAAGATTCAAAATTGCACCTCTTTTTGTGTATAGAAAGGGCTTAAGGGTGTTAGTAATCAGTAAGATCAATATGAGTAATAAATATGATGAGCTATTCATACAGAACCAAAATTCACTAAGGAGTTGCTAATAACAGAGCAGTTTCCAGAACAAGAAAAGCAATAAAATGACTTTTCCTGACATTGATCCCACTGCTCTTTAATTATCACATCCTATTATATGTAAAACGTTGGAGAGTGACCACAATACAGAAGCAACATGGAAGTTATGTTATGTGAATTTTCTCGTGACTTAGTGAACCAAATCTATTTAACGTTTTTTCTATATTCAGGCATTTATATGGTCTCCAATTTTTCAAATTCAATAAACATTCTTCATTTTATAAAATTTTTTCATTTTTTTTTAGGTTTCAGGGTACATATGCAGGATGTGCTGGTTTATTACATAGGTAGATGTGTGCCATTGTGGTTTACTGCACCTATCAACCCATCACCTAGGTATTAATCCCAGCATCCGTTAGCTCTTTTCCCTAATGTTCTCCCCTCTAGCAACAGGCCCCAGTAAGTGTTCTTCCTCTCCGTGTGTCCATGTACTACATTTATTGTACTTACCATGCTATTTTCTTACAATAAAAAGCTAAATTTGAAATTTTTAGGTTAAAGAGAATATATTTGGATAATTTTGATGCATATGGTTGGATTTCTTCAAAAATGCTATGTTTGAGCTGGGTGCAATGGCTCACACCTATAATCCCAACACTTTGGGAGGCCAAAGCAGGCAGATCACTTGAGCTCAAGGGTTCAAGACCAGCCTGGTCAATATGGTGAAACCCCATCTCTACTAAAAACACATAAATTAGCTGGGCATAGTGGCGGGAGCCTGTAGTCCCAGCTACTCAGGAGGCTGAGGCAAAAGAATCACTTGAACCCCGGAGGCAGAGGTTGCAGTGAGCTGAGATCACACCACTGCACTCCAGCCTGGATGACAGATCAAGACTCCATCTCAAAAATAAAATAAAGTGGTATGTTTCGGTCATACTGATCATATGTGGAAAAGAATATATTTTAGTGAAAACTCTGTAACTGTACTTTCCAGTAAGGTAGTAATTATCCTTAGAGGGCTATTCAAATTTTAATTAAAAAAAATAAAATTGAATTTTAGTTTCTTAGTTACTTTAGTCATATGTCAACTGCTCAATAACCATATATGTCTGATGGCTTTCATACATGATATTAAAGATATGAAAGCATTTCCATCATATAGAAATTTCTGCTGGACATCATCACTTTGTAATATACTTTTGTCAATATTTTTAGCCCTTTTCTATCTACTGTACTAAAGTACTTTTTTGTTTAACATTTTTTAATGAGGTTGAACACGTGTGTGTTTTTCTTTTACATTTCAAGAAATTTTTACATATCATAGATATGAACTTATGTCTTTTAAATATCAGTCATTTTATTTATTTTCCATACAGAGATTGTTGCTGTTCTTGCTTGATATAGAAGGTAGTTGTAGAGGGGGATGTTTAACAATGAAAATATAATAAAACCTTCTTTTATTCTGAGTTTGTGTTCCTATCAAACTCTCTCAAAAACAAAAATTATAAAAATTATTTTTAAAAAGTATGTCTTTGGTAGAGACCTGGGAATAATTCATGTTACACATGAGGTAGGGGATATAACTTTTATATTTACATATGGCAAATCACCTGTCCATATATTTATTGACTAATTTCTCCTTATTGTATTATTTTGAAAAACTTCCCAATATAATTCCCTAAAATTTCAACTATATCCAGGTTCTTTTCTAGACATACATATTTAGTTACATTGGCTAGTCTACTTTTGTACCTTGCTGACTAGTGTTAAATAATATGTTTTAAAATATGTTTCAAAAATTTAAAAAGCTAATCCTCATCTATTATTCTTTGTCTTAAATGTTCTAGGTATTTTCACATAACTCTTTGTAGGTGATATCAGAAGTGATTTAAACTGGTTTCATTTTTGAACTTAAAATTAAAAATGTAACTGGTTGATATAATGTACATATAGTCTTAAATTTTATTTTTATTTCAATTTAATAATATAATGTTTAGACTATTTTATTTTATCAAGAAGTTACATTGCATGTCTCTATATTTATTCTTTTCTCTTCCTAGGTAAAATTGTATATATAGTCTTTTCACGCAAATCTTACACGTAAGAAAAACTATTCCCAGCAGATGACATGATTGTATATTTAGAAAATCCCAACGTCTCAGCCCAAAATCTCCTTAAGCTGGTAAGCAACTTCAGCAAAGTCTCAGGATACAAAATCAATGTGCAAAAATCTCAAGCATTCCTATACACGAATAACAGACAATCAGAGAGCAAAATCATGAGTGAACCACTCACGATTGCTACAAAGAGAATAAAATACCTAGGAATACAACTTACAAGGGATGTGAAGAACCTCTTCAAGGAGAACTACAAACCACTGCTCAAGGAAATAACAGAGGACACAAACAAATGGAAGAACATTCCATGCTCATGAATAGGAAGAATCAAAATCGTGCAAATGGCCATACTGCCCAAAGTAATTTATAGACTCAATTCTATCCCCATCAAGCGACCATTGACTTTCGTCACAGAATTGGAAAAAACTACTTTAAATTTCATATGGAACCAAATAAGAGCCCATATAGCCAATACAAACCTAAGCAAAAAGAACAAAGCTGGGGGCATCATGCTACCTGACTTCAAACTATACTGCAAGGCTACAGTAACCAAAACAGCATGGTACTGTTACCAAAACAGATATGTAGACCAATGGAACAGAACAGAGCCCTCAGAAATAATGCCACACATCTACAACCATCTGATCTTTGACAAACCTGACAAAAACAAGCAATAGGGAAAGGAGTCCCTGTTTAATAAATGGTGTTGGGAAAACTGGCTGGCCATATTCAGAAAACTAAAACTGGACCCCTCCCTTACACCTTATACAAAAATTAAATCAAGATGAATTAAAGATTTGAACATAAGACCTAAAACCATAAAAACTTTAGAAGAAAACCTAGGCAATGCCATTCAGGACATAGGCATGGACAAAGACTTCATGACTACAACACCAAAAGCAATGGCAATAAAAGGCAAAATTGACAAACGGAATCTAATTAAACTAAAGAGCTTCTGCACAGCAAAAGAAACTATCAACAGAGTGAACAGGCAACCTACATAATGGGAGGAAATCTTTGCAATCTATCCATCTGACAAAGTGCCAATATCCAGAATCTACAACGAACTTAAACAAATGTACAAGAAAAAAACAACCCCATCAAAAACTGGGTGACAGATATGAATAGGCACTTCTCAAAAGAAGACAGTTATGTGGCCAATAAATATGAAAAAAAAAAGCTCATCATCACTGGTCATTAGAGAAACGTAAATCAAAACCACAATGAAATATCATCTCACGCCAATTAGAATGGCAATCATTAAAAAGTCAGGAAAGAGATGCTGGAAAGGGTGTGGAGAAATAGGGAGGCTTTTACACTGTTGGTGAGAGTGTAAATTAGTTCAACCATTGTGGAAGACAGTGTGGCAATTCCTCAAGGATCTAGAACCAGAAATACCATTTGACCCAGCAATCCCATTACTGGCTATATACCCAAAAGATTATAAATCATTCTAGTATAAAGACACATGCACATGTATGTTTATTGCAGCACTATTCACAATAGCAGACTTGGAACCAATGTAAATGCTCATCAGTGATAGACTGGATAAAGAAAATGTAGCAAATATACACCATGGAATACTATGCAGCTATAAAAATGACGAATTCATGTCCTTTACAGGAACATGGATGAAGATGGAAGGCATAATTCTCAGCAACCCAAACAAGAACAGAAAACCAAACACCTCATGTTCTCACTCATAACTGGGTGTTGAACAATGAGAACACATGGACACAGAGAGGGAAATGTCATGCACTGGGGCCTGTCAGGGGGTGGGGAGCTAGAGGAGGGATAGCATTAGGAGAAATACCTAATGTAGATGACAGTTTGATGGGTGCACGAAACAACCGTGGCACATGTATACCTATGAAACAAACCTGCAGGTTCTACACATGTATCTTGAAACTTAAAGTATAATTTTAGAAAATTCCAGCTATATAATTATCATTCCTGTTTAAAAATGAGCATTTTAATTTTATTTTCTAAGCAATTATTGGTGATTTTTAAAGAATCTTGATGTTTCTATATTAATCTTGAAACTGACCAGGACCCAGACCTATTTTGTTAATTTTAATAGTTTTACTTTAATAGTCCTGGATTTTTAGTACACATGATCATTATCTCTGCAAATAATGATACTAGCTAGAGAGAGAAAAAAATCTCATTAACATCATCTTTGGTGAAGATGTGTGTGGTTCCTTTGTGCTTTGACTCCTCCATTATGCAATTAGTCCTAATAGATCATCTTGTCAGTGGTATGCACTTGTTTCCAGACTTAACCCCTCTAGGAAGTATTTTCCCACGTAGGAGTAAATTGTTTGTATTTTTAAGAACCTGGTTTAGAGGGAGAAAATGGCAAGAAGTAATCCTGTTTTATCTTAGAGCTATTGAACTATTAAATGCTGCTTATTTATGGCAGGGGAAGGAATATTCCACTTATTCTATGGTCTACCCATGCATCCATCATCAATCCTTCCAAAACAGGTAATGGTGATGGAATATGCCAAACTGTCTTTAATTTCCTTCCTGAAAAAGCGAAATACTTTCCCAGAAAGAGAAATCGTGTATCAGTTTCAAGTGTCTTCATCAAATTACCTACAGCATTTTGTATCTGGCAAAATTTACTTGAGGCTGTGATTTGCTCCCGTTTCATTTTGCACTTCACTGCTGATGAATTCTTCGTTTTGTGTTTACTTTTATTTTCTTATCTCTTTCCTCTTTTTTTTTTTCTAGATTTATTGGGTGTCTTTGATCAGATTCTGTTTCATCCCCTGTAACTGTAGAGTTTGGGTATTTACCTATGTGTTACAGCTACTCCTCCCCTAATTAGGCTGTAAAGCTCTATGTAATTCCCAGCTAACCTCCAGCACCATCTTAGTGTTTCCAAAGGTTTTTACAGTTAAACACTGTTGTGAAACTAAAGGGGGAAATAAATGTGAAGTTATTCAGGTTTCAGAATGGTATAAAAATTTTACAGGAATTATGACTTTAGTACTTCCAACCATGTTGATAAGATGGCATCTTGAAACCAACATGAGATCTTCAGCCTTAGATTCTTCTGACTTAATTGACATTCTGTCTACCTCATCCCAGAAGTAAGCTTGTTCTCTTTTCCACTTCCTGAAGAATTTTATCCCAGCTGAAAGGCATTCTGGAATGGAAAGGGCAAATAATAATAATAATAACAATAAGCCTCAACTCCAGGAAAGTTCTGACTTTTAGGATTTCCAGCACAATCACCACCACCACCACGACCACCACCACCACCACACATTACCTTATAGAAGAGATTTTCATCTTCCTTGTAATTCCTAAAAGAATCACTGGTCCCAAAGGCTAGAGATGCTGGGGAGGGGCTGCCTGTTTCACTCACGCAGCAGCTTCCGCCTCCCCCATCCTGGGCGCCCATCCTCCAGCTTAGGTGTCAGCTGTCCATCACCTCTACCCCCACTGTCTCATTTGTGCTTTTTTTCTCTCGTAATAGAAAAGTGGGGAGCCGCTGGGGAGCCACCCCATTCATCCCCATATTTCCCCCTCTCATAACTTCTCCCCATCCCAGGAGGACTTCTCAGGCCTGGCGTGGGGCTCCGGGTGGGTTCGGGGGCGATTCAACCTGTGTGCTGGGAAGGACGAGACTTCCTCTTGAACAGTGGGCTGTTGTAAAGATATTTGAGAAGTTTTACTAATAAAGTTTTATTTAAAAAGAATCAGTGGTATCCAGCCACGCACATTCCAAAGGGTAAACACATATGCACCAAGAAGATTTTCTTGCGTTAATATTTCCAAAATAATGTGTCTGGAATTCCGGTTGATATTAGCATCTTTATAAGAAACTAGATAATTGTAATATCACTGTGTACTAGAAGCTGTGATAAAAAGTGATGCAGAATAATGTGACAATTGATTACTGAATACACATATAGTATTTCTCAATATTCATTTTTTATCTCAATATTCATTCATTTTAAAATGAATATTCATTTTTCTCAATATTCATTTTATTGCAAAGTATCAAGATGTGGTTAGATTCATATTATTCTGAAAACACTGATGAGCTCATCTTTTTCATGTCTACATAGAGGCCAAATTGACCAGGTTCATGACCAGTACAAACATTTCAGCTATTTTAGCAGTCAGTACCAATCACTCTAGCTAAATTGGTCTGTCCATGATTAATATCAATTGCTAAGCTGAAAAGTTTATGTGAATGCTTAGGCTGCAGTCAAGTGGTCATGTGAGTTAGGTAAACATCAGTGGGGTAATATTATCGATAATATGTTATCTGTTTTCCCATTATAATCTTTATTGGATTAAGAGTCTAACATATATTAATAGCTTGATTTTTTAATTAGAAAAAAATTAAAAATGTTTTAACATTATTTAAAACAGTATATTTATGTTGATCTCTTCCCTTCCTCCATACTTCCCACATAAAAAAGAGAATGGATGCATTCAATTCATATCAACAACATTTATAATGCCACTTACAGCTGTGCCTTAGGCCCAGAGGAGAACTTGGGAAAAGAAAGTATTTTATTTGTTAAGTGTGAAAAAAGCGTTTTGGTGTTCCTTTTATATTCTACATGTTCATTATTCTTATTACCTATGATTTCTCAATATTTGAATGTAACCAACATTGTGATTTTCCTATAAACAAATTATTATTTTTCTTTATAGTTCATCACATTTTACCCAACATTAACAATCTATCGTGCTGTTAACTGACGTGAATGTCTCTAAATAGATTCATTGGTATTTGTTCTTATTTTAACACATTTTATTTAATATAAATAATATTTTTTAAACATTTCCAATTATTTACAGAGTTTAAGGAAAATGATTGAAGCACTGTTAAATACCTAGCAGCAACACTTTGTGTTCTTCAGGTTTTGTCTGGGTGTCATATCCTGGTCAACAGCCCCAAAGTATTTCTTGGAGGTAGAAAAAAAATGGAGATCTGATAAACAGCAAAACTGAAGGGCAGATTGCAAGCAAGGACCCAGGTTTCTATCAGCGTTGACTTTTGAACAAAACACGATCGTTTAGGAAGTCTGCTTCTGTTTATGTACTGAAAATATCTGTTCTATATTCTATAGTGATCACTGGTCAATTTAAAGTTAACACACGCACGCACACACACAACATATGTATTCGGTCCATCATATGGATAAGATAATTTGAATACAGATTTGCAGTCCATAATGAAAAGAGAGACTTGAAATTTTAAATTCTGAAGTTATAAGAAAGATCATATACTTCCTGAGTTCTATAAATTCACCAAGCTTTATGGATGAGTTGAAATCATCCATAAAGGCCCTGAAATAGACTTCCTGTATGCGTCCCTCCACTCTTCACTCCTCAATATGCGGGCAGGAGCCATTAAAGAAATGACATCTGCCCAAGGAAAATACATTTTGTTCATAATCTCCTCCAAGTTTCAGAAGGTAAATTCTTTGAAATCTTTGTAATTATGGCATATTGATTTATGTGTTCATGAAGATATCAAATGTATTGATTTGAGTTTCCTTGTAAAATTATAAAAGACTAATAAAGCCATTCTACAAACACAGTAAAACAAAACAAAACAAAACAAAAAGTGCACTTTTAATCTGGTCTCTATCTACTCTTGGCTGAATCTGTCATTGAAGAATAATGCTGATGTTTCACCCGCTGTTTCTCAGCCTGCCACGTTGCCTAAAGACACTCTCCAGATTGTTCCAATGTTTCCTTAGTATTTTTTGTTAGCGATCTATAATGTCAAATATGTTTTGTTAACTAATACAATGAAAAGTCTCATTTTTCTTTAATATATTGCTACTCTGCCACTATTTGGGAATAACGTGACTTTTGCTCACTACCAGATACTAAAGTTTCATAAAAGAATATGTTGTTGCATTTGACATTTAGTCACTGAATAAAAAAGTAGTGGCCAAGATATGGCCAGCCGCTGAGAATAGTACTTTGTATTGGTTAACTTAATTAATTTACCTTTAATAATAATGTCTGAGACTGGTGGCTATCATTTAAGACTCTATGCCCATTTGTCGCTCGTTACTTCAGCAGACATTTATTGAGCATCTAATATAGTTTTCATATGGGTCAAGACTAAAAAGATTAAATACTAGTGCTTTCATGTCCTTTGTATAGTTTAAGACATATTTGTCCAGAAAGTGCTATGTTTAATTAAATGTAGTTAAGTACTCTGAGTTAAAAGAGAAAATTTTTAATAAATCTTTCATAGTTTCTAATTTTATCTTATCATTCATTATATAGGTGTACCCCACAAACTAGTCTATCAAAAATCAGTCTGTTAAAAACTGTAACATAAATGAATAATCTTTGTGGTGACCTGCAGAACCTTGCTTTGGAATCAAAGAAAATAATGCCATAATTGAATAGCCAATTCTCTTCCCTGTTTAATGCACTGAGTAACAATAGGCATTAACAGCCTTATCAAATAACTACTTCAAAACCAGAGTCCAATCTCTTACAAGTTATGTGATCTGAGGTAGGTATATCAACTATTTCAAACTTCCGTCCCATTTTCATGTGAATATTTCTCCCCATAAGATTGTTGTAAAAGCATTTCACAAGTAATAATCATTTTGCATGTTGAAGAAATGATAATAATAATAGTAATAAAATATAATAATTGGAATGTTCATGCCTAATCTAAAAGCTACAAACTTAATGCTTTATCTCTGAAAAAATACAATCCATTTAAAGTTAAGCATATATTGCTTTCTTTCTTAGAATGTTGTACAACATTCTAAAGTTTTTACCGATTATGGGTGTATATGGTACTAATATATAGCAGACGTATAGAGACTGATTATTTCTAACCCAAATATCACCATTAAATGACCTTAAATTAGGGTTTTGTTCACCTTGAATTATGTGAGCAGTGAAAATTTTATGTACGTATTTTCAGGATTGATTATCTGATTATTGATTATCATCTAGAGACATTTTTAAATTATAACTTGCACTCAAATGCTCCTTATAGTTAGTTATAGTGCTAATAAGCTATTTGTCTTAACACTAAGCACCAATCTATTAAAAACTGTGACATAAATTAATAATCATTGGTGGCGATTGGCAGAAAATAATCTATATAAAATTACCGCAAAAAAAAATCAAGGGTGAAGTTACAAAAATTGAAAACGAATGCTACGAAATGTTTAAAAATGGGGAAGCTAATAACAGTAAAAGTCTTAACATGTTACTATTTCTTATTTCTGGAAGCAGAAAGGATGTTATGAAAAATACAAGTGCCATTATATAAGACTAGTAGGGATCTGTTAGTGCCTGCTCTTATCTAGAAAATATTACATATTATCATATCTGTAAAGGCAATCGTTTTTATGACTTTTTTTGTAACTTTGGTTATTGTTAACATTTGCTTAACTTTTTTTGTTAGACTTGTATTTTTCTTTTTTTTTCTTTAAATTCAAACTGTGGTAAAACACATGTAACATGTAAAGTTACAATCTTAATGATATTTAAGTTTACTGTTGAGTAGTATTAAGTACATTCACATTGCTATACATACAATCCCCAGAACTCTTTTTGTCTTGCAAAATTGACATTTTTACCTTTTAATCAACTCCCCATTCCCTTCTTCCCCCAGGTTCTAGCAATTACCTTTCCACTTTCTGTCTCTATTAATTTGGTTATTTTAGGTACCTCACATAAATGGAATCATACAGTATTTATTTTTTGTGACTGTGTTGTTTCACTTAATGTACGTCCTCAAGTTTCATCCATGTTACAGCATGTGTTGAAATGTCCTTCCTTTTTAAGGCTCGATAATATTTCATTAACATACATATCATTTTCTGTTCATCCAGTTATTCTTTGATGGACACTTGAGTTGCTTACACCTTTCACTATTGTGAATAATGCTGCTGTGCATGTAAGTGTACAAATATCTTTGCGATGCTGCTTTTATGTCTTTTGGGCACATACAGAGAGACAGAATTGATGTATATTTATTACACAGTAGTTCTATTTTTAAATTTGTGAGGAACTGCCTTACTGTTTTCCATAGTGGCTGCACAACTTGACATTCCTACCAACAGTGTGTAAAGACTCCAACTTCTCTGTATTGCACCTAACACTGGCTATTTTCTATTTTGTTTGTTTTTAGTAATGATACTAATGAGTATGAGGTTTTATGACTTTCAACCAATAGCTGGTTGTTACACATTTCCATTTATAAATTTGCTTCAAAATGTAGTGGCTGAATCATTTATTGTGTGCTTTACTATACTTTATTTTTTAAAGGAAGATCTCAGATCCACTAAAATGTCAACATTGAAATCAAGATAAAGAGGAGAAAGAGGAGGAAAAAAGAGGAGGGTAGAGGAGGGGGTAAGAGAGAAATGTTCATACCAGTGGGATAGAAGAGTATGTGAACTAAATAATGCAGTGGTAACTGCATGAATCAAATTCTAAGTGGTATGACAAATGGTAATAACTGATGAGTACTCCCCACTCTTAGCATCATAAAGATGTTGTATCTTTAACCAAATTATGAATGACTGAAACAGGATTATACAGTGGAGAATCAATGTATATTTTTTAAGGACAAAATTATTTTTGTAGATTTAAAATATTACAGTAATTCATCTTGGCATTATGCTAGATATCCATACAGAAAAAAGACTCTGGTGTCAAATAAATGACTCCAAATTCAGTTGTGCTACTTAGTAGTACTCATATGAGTTTTGTAATTCTCATTTTTTCTCTACTTCGTAATGAGACTAATAATGCCTTTGCAGACTGAAGTTAAATAAAGCTATCTCTATTTGCAGATGACATAATCTTGTGTATATGGTATTCTAAAGACCCACTAAAATTGTTTAAGAACCAATAAACAAAGGTGTCAAAGATGCAGGATACAATATCAATGTACAAAATCAATTGTATTTCTATACACTATTAGACGGATAATTAAAAATAAAATCAAGGGTTAATTCTATCTACATTTACATAAAAAATACCTAAGAATAAATTTAACACAAATTAAATCAGAGTATGCAAAGCACATACTCTGAAAACTACAAGACATTGCCGAAAGAAGTTAGAGAAGTAAATAATGCAAAAAGAAGTCACGTTCATGGATCAAGAAACTTAATAGTGTAAATGTAGCAATGTTCCTCAAATTGATCTACAAAGTAAATGCAATCTCTATCAAAATCCCAACAGGCTTTGTTTCAGAAATTGACAAGTTGATCCTCAGACTGGTATGGAAATACAAAACAATCCTTAAAGAGCTAAAATTATACTTAAAAAAGTGAGGATTTAAACTACTCAACTTCAAAAGTTATAATAAAGCTACAGTAATCAAAATTGTGTGTTGCCAGGTACAGTGGCTCATGCTTGTAATCCCAGAGTTTTTGGAGGCCAAGACAGAACTGCTTGAGCTCAAGAGTTTGAAACCAGCCTGGGCAACATAATGAGATCTCATCTCTACAAACAATTAAAGTATTAGCCAAGCAAGGTGGTTTACATGACTGGCTACTAGGGAAGCTGAGGTGAGAGCATTGCTGAAGCCCTGGAGTTTGAGGTTACAGTGAGCTATGACCACGCCACAGCACTGCAGCCTCTGTGACAGAGAGAGACCTTAACTCTTAAAAAAAGTAAAAGAATGTGTGACATACTGGCATAAAGATATATATCAATGGAATAGAACTGGGAGTTCAGAAATAAACTCTTAGGTTAATGCTCAGTTGAATTCTGACAAGGGTGACAAGACAAATCAGAAAAAATAATTTTTTCAACAAGTAGTGTAACATAACAGGATATCTACGTGCAAAATAATAAAATTGGACACGTTCCTCATGCTATAAACAAAAATTAACTGAAAATGAGTTACAGACCTAACTAATAGCTAAAACTATAAAAGCCTTAGAAAAAATATACTAGTAGTAAATTTGTATGTCCTTGTGTAAGACAAAATCTTCTTAGATATGGCACCAAAAGCATAAAGGACAAAATTAAAAATTAGATAAATTGGACTTCATTAAAATTAAAAACGTATTGCTTCAAATGATAAGAAAATGAAAAGGCAATCTAAAAATCCGAGGAATGCTTGCAAATCCTTATTTCCAGTAAGACACTTATATCTACATAATATAAATAATTATTTCAATTCAATAAATGAAAAGATAAATAACCCAATAAAAAATGGGCAAAGAATCTGAGTAGACATTTCTCCAAAAAAGATATGCAAATGTCCAATAATCATATAAAATCACGTTCAACAACATTAATCATAAGATGATTGCAAATGAAAACCACAATGAGATATAACACCCACTAGGATTGTTGTAATAAAATAGACATAATAACAAATGTTAGAAATGATATGGTAGAATTGGAAAATTCATACAATTCTCATAGAAATGTGAAACGATACAACCAACTTTGGAAAAATGTCTGTCAGTTCCTTAAAACTTTAAACTCACAGTCACTACGTGAACCCGCATTTATACTCAGTATTTGCCCAAGAGAAATAACAAATTCGCACACAAATATACATAGGAGCATTATTTATAATAATCAAGACATGGAAAAAGACCAGGTGTGGTGACTCACCCTTGTAATCCCAGCACTTTGAGAAGCCAAGGCAGGAAAATCGCTTGAGCCCAGGAATTTGAGACCAGCTAGGGCAACATAGTGAGACTCACTACTAATTTTCTAAAAAAATTAAAGATTAGCCAGACCTGGTGGCATGCACTTGTAGTTCCAGCTACTCAGGAGGCTGAGGCAGGAGCATAGTTTCAGCCCAGGAGTCTGAAGTTGCAGTGAGCTATGACTATGCCACAGTACCCCAGCCTGGGCAATAGAGCAAGACCTTGTCACCAAAAAAAAAAAAAAAAAAAAAAGTAGAGAGAGTCCAAATGTCCAACTGGTGAATGAATTAACACAATGGGACACACACACACACACACACACAAGCACACACATAATGGAGGGTTGACTATGCTTAGTGGCTTACTTTCAAAGAGTAGAGTATTCAAAATAAAATTGTGGAGAAACATGAAAACTGCTACATTGGCCAGGCGATCAAAGTGAATATTATAATTGATAAGTCAAGTAAATAACATGTACTTCCACTATGCTATACCATCGATGCTTCACTTCTATGATATTCTTTCTAAAAACCTGTAACCCTAGTCTAACCATGAGAAAAACACCAAATCATCCCAAATTAAGGATGTTGGATGAAGTGCCTGTCCAATACACAAAACCGTCAAGTTGGTGAAAAACAAAGTCTGAGAAACAGTCACAGTCAAAAGGAGCCAAAAGAAATCTGAATACTAAATGTTATGTGCTACCTTGGATGGGATCCTGGAACAGAAAAAAAAAAAGGTAAAAACTGAGCAAATCTGAATAGAATATAGACATTTGTTAATAATAATGTATCAATATTGGTTTATGAATGCTAACAGACCACACTAATATGTTAATAATATAAGAAATTGGGTATGCTGTACTCAATTATATCTTCTCATTTTTTCTAGAAGTCTATAAAATTCCACAAAGTAAACTTTACTAAAATATCATAATAAAAAATAATGTTGCTTAATAACAAATCTAGTCAAAAATAAGCATGACACTCATTAATATAATTGTTTAAATTCACTGACTTAAAATGGTGAATTTTCTACAATTATTATAGATGAAAATATTACATCTTAAGTTCTCTTAAAGTTATTAATTCAATACAATCCAAAAAACTCAGTGTTTTTCACAAAATTTGAAAAGACCTACCTAAAATTTAAATGACATAGAGCCACAAGAGCCAGGACATTTTTAAGAACAAAAATTGCCACTATTATATTTCAAGAAAAAAGAGTATTTCAAACATTGTGGAAAAGATAATTAGACCAATGAGGCCAGGCGCAGTGGCTCACGCTTGTAATCCCAACACTTTGGGAGGCCGAGGCAGGCAGATCACGAGGTCAGGAGTTCAAGACCAGCCTGGCCAACATAGTGAAACCCAGTCTCTACTAAAGATACAAAAAATTAGCCGGGCATGGTGGTGGGCACCTGTAATCCCAGCTACTTGGGAGGCTGAGGCAGGATAATCGCTTGAACCCGGGAGGCAGAGGTTGCAGTGAGCTGAGATAGCACCATTGCACTCCAGCCTGGGAGACAGTCCGAGAATCGAGAATCCGTCTAAAAAAAGAGAAAAAATCATTAGACCAATGAAGCTGAATAAAGAAAACATACAAACCCACACTTTAATGAAAACTTGGTATATATCAGCAGAAGCATTACACCAGTCTGAAAAAAATGAACTATTCAATAATTTGGTGCTTGTTTAATTGAAAGTCTAGGTGGAAAGCTCTAATTTGATCAAACTTGCCATCAAAAATATGGAAAATCAGGGTTTAATTTATATACTTGAAGGTATCAGAGAGCACCAATTTAGCCAAGTCCGGAAATATCAAGATCCTAAAGAGAAGGGAAATACAGATTTGTGACAGACCAGTATTTATGATTCCTTTTCTCTACCTTTTGCAGAGGCATTTTCCCAACGCAAATGGCAGCATAAGCATCTGAGAATCTGAGCAGCCCTTGCAAGCACCTCACAGAAGCTGAAGAAACAAAAGTTGGAGTTCAGAACCTATCAATGTGGAGGCATTCTAGCAATGAACTCTAGAGTTAAGATGGGTCTCCCAAACAAATGAAAACAAACTGTGAATAAAACATTCCTTTCAGAAAATAAAAGCAGTCACTGAATGACCTCAATCATTGACCTTAGTATGGACATTTGCCTTTGTCTTAGCTATGGCTGAAAAGCTGAGCATGGTTGCCAGTCCCACACTTAAGACAAAAAGAGGAGCTCAGGATCTCTAGGAGGAGGGCATTGTTAAATACTCTTGTTTTTCAGTTAGTCTTATAAAAGACTCAACAGGGGACTGAGTATGAAGTAGAAAAAGAGAGAAAACTGATAATAGAAATAAACCCAAAGGAGATCCAGATAATGGAATATCAGATCTGTCCTTTATAATACCAGTATTTAACATGTTGAATTAAATGGAGAAAATATAGAAATTCAGCAAAGAATGGGAATATAAAAAAGGAACACAAATGGAAATTTCAGATCTGAAAGATATAATAACTAAAGCCAAGAAACCAATAGAAGAGTTTAACAGCAGATGAGACAGCCTGTATTCTCTCCAAAAAAGAAAAAAAGACTAATGAGGTGGAAGATAGTTCATTAGATCCAGATTCAAGCCTAGAAAGAGAGGAGGGGAAAAAGGATGGAAACTATACTAACGTGCTTAAGAGACATATGGAATGTGTTAAAAATGCTTAACATCATCTTTAAAAATAGAGTCTCAGGAGGAAATGGAAAGAAAAGGGTTCATAAGCAATATTTGAAGGAAAATAAAAGATAATCTTCCAAAATTTGAAAGACATTAAACACTGATTCAAAAAATATAATGAATCACATGCAAAATAAGTGGAAAGAAAACAACTACTAGGGACATTTTAGGATACCAAAGTTTTAAAAAATATTAAAAAGCAGGCAGAAAGAAAAACATAGATCCCTTACCTACAAGTAATAGAACTGACAGCTGACTTTTCTACAGAAACAATGAAATCAGATGATAATATAACTGAATTTTCATAAAACTGGTAACAGGGCACTAACTTAGAATCTGATTCCAAGAGAAAATGTGCTTCACAAGTGAAGATAACATAAAGGCCATTTCAGATACGTGAAAATGAAGAAAACTGATTACTAATGGATCCATACTAATAAAAATACTTAAAGCAATAAAAAAAAAGATCTCATGTGGAAGTCTGGAAATTCAGATAGAAATAAAAACAAAGATTAAATATATGAATATATGTAGAGAAATCTAAATGAATATTGATTGCATTTAACAATAATATTAATACATGTGTGCATTTAAACATTGTGAATAATTAACTGAAAACCACAGGAAAAGAAAGTGGAGGTGAAAAAAGATATCAAAGTGTTTTTAAAGTCCTTGCATTGTCAAGGGAATATTAAAAGCATTAAGTTAAATGAAACATTAATAAATCCATAATGCATATAGTAATTTCTCATGTAAACACTCAAACATTGTTTTAAAAATATGGCAGATAAGATGAATATTAAGGCTGCACATGGTGGCTCACACCTTTAATCCTAGCAATTTGGGAGGCCGAGGCAGGCAGATCACTTGAGGCCAGGAGTTCGAGACCAGACTGGCCAAGATGGAGAAATCTCATCTCTACAGAAAATACAAAAATTAGCCAGGTTTGGTGGCGCACCTGTAATCCCAGCTACTCCAGAGGCTGAGGCAAGAGAACGAACCTGGGAGGCTGAGATCACACCACCGCACTGCAGCCTAGATGACAGAGTGAGACTCTGTCTCAAAAAAATAAAAAATAAAAAATAAAGATGCATATTAATAGTCTTACTTAATCCAAATATGAAAAAAGGATAAAATAGGAAATATAAAGCAGGTGGGAAAACACTGCAAATAATAAGATGGCAGATTTAAACACAAATTGATGAAGAACTGTACTAAATGTACCAACTGAAAGATAAAAATTGTCAGATTGTATTTGTGAAATAAAGACATAATTCAAAATTTAATAAGCCAAAAAGAAAAACAAGCAGGCAAAAAAGGATTTCAAAGAAAAGACAAAGAGCAAGATGGTAAATTTAAATAGAAATTTATTAATAACTGTTCAGCATGAACAAAATAAATACCCTAATTTAAAATAAATAAAAATGATTTTGCTTGATTAGAAAAATGAAATTCAACTATAGGCTGATACTAATATTAGAAGTAATAGACACTAAAATGACAAGCATGATAAGAGATGCGGCATTTTGAAACGATAAAGGAGTCAACCAACTCAGAAGTTATTCCATCCAAAACATGAAAATACTAAATACAGTGGTCTCAAAATATATAAAGTAAAAATAAACAAAGCTGCAACAATACTGACAGAAGGCATGAACCTCTTGGGTCAAAGTCAAAGGGACAATTTATTACTCAAATAATCACAGTAGACAGAATATCACTTGTAGTACTTCCCGATCCTCACTTCCTACAACGTATCTCAACGTATCTCATCATGTGAAGCCTGTACAAGCAGTAAGATGCATTATAGGGATAGAATCCAAGTTCAGAAAACCCTCCATCTTATAAAAAGGCTGCCAGTAAATGTAGCCAAACTGTCCCCGAGAAGGAGACATTAAATATATTCTTTTTTTTTTTTTTTTTTTTTGAGACGGAGTCTCGCTCTGTCGCCCAGGTTGGAGTGCAGTGGCGAGATCTCGGCTCACTGCAAGCTCTGCCCCCCGGGTTCACGCCATTCTCCTGCCTCAGCCTCCTGAGTAGCTGGGACTACAGGCGCGTGCCACCACGCCCGGCTAATTTTTTGTATTTTTTAGTAGAGACGAGGTTTCACCATGTTAGCCAGGATGGTCTCGATTTCCTGACCTCGTGATCCACCCGCCTCGGCCTCCCAAAGTGCTGGGATTACAGGCGTGAGCCACCGCGCCCGGCCTAAATATATTCTTATCCTGGTCAGAAAACAAATTTTCTCTCTGCCCACAGGAAAGCACTATCTATCTTCCAAGTTTTTTTCTATACATTTCTAAAAAGACAGTCTGAAATAAAAGCTGATTCCAGGTGGTGGTATGCAGAAACAAAACGAGGGCTTATTGCTCATATCGTGTGTGTGTGTGTGTATATATATATATATGTGTGTGTATATGATATATATATGTGTATACACACACACACATATATATATTCAAAAAGCAAAGAAAAACACAAAAGATGCAAAAAGGTAAATGAGAAATCAAACCCAATAGTGAAAAAAGATATTGAAAGTGTATATGATCTAAAAAAAAACTTGTATCCAGAAAACATAAAGAACCTCTGCAAATCAGTAAGAAAAAGAGAGCCAACTCAATTTTCAAAAACAGACCAAAAGCATAATCAAGAAAGTTACAACAAAGATTAAAAACTTATTAAAATGTGATCTATTTTATATATCATCTGGAAATGCAAATTAAAACCCAAATAGCATACCAGTCAATATCCAACATCATAGCTAAAAGTTAAAAGATAGAAAATACCAAATTTTAGTAAAGATCAAGTTTCATCCCTAATAATGGGATGATCCATTATGGGACTATCATGCCCTGCTAATGGGAGTATAAATTGGTATGATTATTTTGGAAAGCTGCTTGACAGTCTTGACTAAATCTAAAAAAGAGCATGCCCTATGACCTACCAATTCTACTCTTGGTATATAACACGAAAATTGTGTGCATATGTGTATCAAAAACTTTCTAAGGCAAATTCACAGCATCCTTACTCATAATATTCAGAAACTGGAAAGAGTCCGAATCTACATTAGAAGTAGAAAAAACAAATACATTGTGGGGTATTCAAAATGTAATACTATAGAGTGATTAAATAAATAAACTGATGCTACAAACAAAAACACAGATAAGTCTTACCTAATGTTGAGGAAAATTATTCAGGCACAGTCACATAAAAATACTGAATAAATTCCCTTTATATAAAGTTCAAAAACTGACAACATTAATCTATTAGACTAAAAACTAGAATGCTAGTTAACATTGCAAACAATAGTGAGAAGGACAGCTTTTGGTGTAATTCTGGGGTAATGACAATTTCTATTTCTTCATCTGGATGGTAGTAAAAGATGTACGTTCACCTTGTGAAAATCCATCAAGCTTCACTCTGCTTTGTGTACGTTATTCTTCAATATAAAAATTTACCTTAAAATTAAGTAAATTTAGGATAATATTATTATGACTTTGTAAGACTAAATGTGATAAAGGAAAACATTGATAAATTTGATTCCGTAAACAAAGATAAAAGGTAAGCCTTAGATTGTAAAAGATAATTGCAATAGTTAAAAATAATAAAGAACTAGCATCAAGATTTTATAAACTCTGACAACCAAATCTAAAAAAAGAAAAGAAATTGTTCATAGGTTATGAACAAGAAATTCATAGAAGATAAAAACTAAATTGTCAATGAGAAAATATTTAATCTCCCTAGAAAACAAGGGGTTGTAAAACCACCACCACACCACCACCACGAGATATCACTTCAAACCAATATTGGAAAAATAGGAAGTATATTAATATGATAAGATATTAATAAAAGTCTTAATAGTTCTGAAGCTGCAACTTATAAATTTGAGCATTCTCATTGTGAAAAAGAATATGTAAATATGTTACTTTTGAAAATTTTACATAACTCTAAAGTGTGAAAACAAGGATTTGGGTGGGAGCCATTTCAGATGAAGATGCCTGTATATATCTTAACTTTCATTAACTTCATGGTAGATCTGCTTCTGTACCCAAGCAAGAATGCTTGGAACTCAGAAGTAGTGTAAAATGTGGGGGTGGTGAGGAATAGAAATAGGTATGGCCAAGTTGGAATTTCGGGAATAATAACACCCATTTGTTAATCTAATTATTGAACTAAGTAAGATACATAAAGTCATCAGGCAAAGAAGATCAAAATCTTGTGCTTACTACTGAAGTCTAACTTGGAGATCACAGCTTAAATGCATGATTGTATTGTGCTTCCTAGTACTGAATCCCAGGATGAAGCTGACTCACCAATCAGCCACAGCCAGTGAAAGTAACTGCAGGCTTTCTCTTCAGTGGCCTTTACTTAGCCTCTCACGTTGCCAAGAGTAATCAGGAAAGAACACATTCAGGAAAAGTCCTAAGAGAATTAAAAGAGGAAGATGGGAGAGTTATGAATGCCCAGTTCCTCATTCCAAAATCACCAAATAATCCTTTCCATTTCCCCAGAGGAGGAGCAAGAGAGAAGGTGGGAAGAATTCAATTCTATAATTGTCTCTTCATATGAAAGGAAACATCAAGCTTGGTATATTGTTTCCTGCACTGTCAATCTGCTTAGAAGAGAATGTGCAATATTAAATAAAATTGAAGACTACATGTCCTATGATATGTCTAGTCTACTATAACGTCTATATCCTAGAACTGTGATTCTACACAAAAGGTATGCTTGGAAAGATAAGCACATAAACAAAACAACTAATGTACTCCCTATGCAGCTAAATCCCCAAATTAGGGCTAAGCCCTGGAGTGTTATTGGCTTTGCTTAGGAAGGAATTCAAAAGCAAGCCAACAGTGAAGGAAAAGTTTATTAGGGCAACAATGTACAGCAAAATGGCTACTCCATAGACAGAGCAGGGCTATCCCACAGGCAGAGTGGCCAAGAGTAGCACTCATGGGCTGCTGGCTAGCTATAGTTATATCCACTCTTAGTTATATGCTAATTCAGGGGTGGGTTATTCATGAACTTTCTGGAAAAGAGACGGGGAGCTCCCAGAGCCATGTAAGCTAACTTCCAGGTCATTGCTATGGTGAGGTAGGAGGCTGGCAGGACTCGTCTCCAAACCAGAATGAATAAGGCTGAGACCAGGAAGCCACCCTAAGGGCAACCACTAGGTGCCCTCACTGCCCATCACCATGAGGCGCTCCAACCAGCAACATGACAGTTCACCAATGGCATGGAAACACCCAGAAGTTACTTCCCCTTACCATGGCAACAAATGGGAAGATATCCCACATTTTTGATCTATTTCTAAATGATCTGCCTCTTAATTAGCATGTCGTTAAAAGTGAGTATAAATATGACTGCAAACTGCCCATACACTGCTACTCCCAGCACACTGCATATGGCCTAGCCCTGCTCCTCAAGGAGCAGTTAACTGAACTGCATCTCAGCCTCTGCCTCAGTAAAGCTGCTTTTCTCCACCATCGGCTCACTCTTGAATTCTTTACTGAGCGAAGCCAAAAACCTGCCCTGCATCAATGGCGTCATTCGTAAACTGCCATGGTGCTGGTAAGAGCACCTTATGCAAATGTAGTATAATTCACATATAATGAGCAATGAGAGCAACTAATCATCATCTTGTTCCTAGCTGGTTTTGGCCCGTTTATTTGCTACATCTTGTTTAGATTAGCTCCTGTTTTGTTCAGCAGGGTCTTGTGAGGGGTGCTCGGAAAATAAGTCCTGCTGATCTTTGAGTTCATGTCCAAATGATGAAAAAACACACAGCACTTAAAAAGAATGAATTTACTACCCATCTGACAAGTGATTAATAACTAGAATATATAAGGCGCTCAAACAACTCTATAGGAAAAAAATCAAATGATCCAGTGGAAAATGAGCCAAAAATTTGAACTGATATTTCTCAAAAGACATAAAAATGGCAAACAGGCATATGAAAATGTGTTCAACATCGCTGATCATCAGAGAAATGCAAATCAAAACTGCAATGAGATATCTCACACCAGTTAAAATGGCTTACATCCCAAGTCAGGCAATAAATGCTGGTGAGGGTGTGGAGAAAAGGCGACCCCTGTACATTGTTGGTTGGAATGTAAATTAGTACAACCACTATGGAAAACAGTTTGGAGATTCTTCAAAAAAACTAAAAATTGGCTACCATGTAATCTAGCAATCCCACTCCTGGATATATACCCAAAAGAAAGGAGAGCAGTATATTGAAGAGATAACTGCACTCCCATGTTTGTTGCAACACTTTTCACAGTAGCGAAGATTTGGAATCAACCTAAGTGTCCATCAGCAGATGAATGGATAAAGAAAATTTGGTACCTGTACACAATGGAGTACCATTCAGCCATAAAAAAGAATGAGATACAGTCATTTGGAACAACATAGATGGAACTGGATAACATTACGTTAAATAATATATATGTTAGGCACAGAAAGACAAATATTGCATGTTCTCACTTATTTGTAGGATCTAAAAATCAAAACAATTGAACTCATGGACATAGAGAGTAGAAAGATGGTTACCAGAGGCTGGGAATTATTGTGGAGGCTTTGGGGGAGGTAGGGATGGTTAATGAGAACAAAAAAAGTTGTTAGAAAGAATTAAGACCTACTATTTGATAACACAACAGGATGACTATTTTCAAGAATAATTGTACATTTTTAAATAACTAAAAGAGTGTGATTTGATTACTTGTAGCAAAAGGATAAATGCTAGAGGGGATGGATACCCCATTCTCCAAGCTGTGATTATTTCATATTACATGTCTGTATCAAAACATCTCATGTACCCCATAAATATATACATCTACTTTGTACCCACAAAAATTAAAAATAATTTTTTAAAAAATATATAGGGTTACCTACATTAATGATAATGAAAAAAATTTTAAAACAAATGAAAAATAAAAAGAATAAATTTGATCTGCATGGAACCAACTTTGCATAGAACAACTTTGGGAAATGTTAAGAAATAATAGCAAAATTTTAAAGTAAATTACTGTATACATTTTAAAACAAAACAATGTTTGGTATGGATGAATACATACATAATAAAGGGATTAAAATACATATATAGTGTACCTATCTAATTCAGAATACCTGTAGAAGGGAAGAATGGAGAAAAGGGCATGAGATATCCAACTCTCTAATGCTTTAGTCTTTAATAACTAACAGAAATACTGAAAACACTATAGCAAAACATAAACATGTATTAATTCAAGTGTTGGGCTCACATCCATGTCAGTGCATTAGCATATTTCATGAATAAGTTATTTAAAATATTTATTACAGAAAGGGAAATGTACCAGGAATATAGAGAAGAGCAGTAGGTCAGCATCTTTCACCTTATGTAGGACTCTGCCAATCTTTGCAGCCTTAGCTTCCTCCCTTCCCCACATACATATCATATTCCAGCTGCATCAAAGCACTTGAGTTTCCAGAATTTTTTTTGGGGGGGTGGGGGGTACAATTTTTATCTAGAATTGTCCATACACGTACTGGTGGATATTTAGCTCACTTTCAATTTGTTGCAATTATAAATAATGCCACAATAAATTATCTCCTATGTATTAATTAGAGAGTTTGTCTCGAGTACTGGTTCTCACTCTACATGTAAAAATCACTTTGGGAGATATAAAAAAATACTATTGCCCAGGCCCCCTACCTCCACACAAGTGATTCTTATTTTATTAATCTGAGTGCTGACTTCAGCACTCATGCATATTTTCCACAGACTATCTAGCCGTTTCTCACGTGTAGAACCACTGCTCTAGTGAACTTGTATTGCCATATAGTGATCTTCCTGGCCTCCTCTGGGTTCTCATTGCACCCTGTTCAAGAATCTATTGTATTACATGCAGCTTTTTTATTTTATAATAGGTAGATGATAGACTCCTCTATAAATTTAATCTATATGAATATGAGGATCTATCAAAATAATTGTGCCATGAGTGCTAAGAAAGGGGAGCAATACAATTACAATGAAATAATTTTCTAAGTTGGTAAACTGGGAAAGTTGCATCTGATCAAATGATGTGTTTCCAATCACAGGGCTAAACGTAGCATGCAGTACAAAATAAAACTAATAAATATTTGCTGATCAATTAAATGTGTGACTAACATCAATGGCTTATTGATTCTAGATTATAAAATTGTACTGGGTATTTAAAATTACAAGTGTCTGAATGTTTCCTAATATTTATCAAACTAAAACTACTATGAAGATATTTTGAGTTTGTAATAGATATGGTTTGGCTCTGTATCCCCACCCAAATCTCAGCTCAAATTGTAATCCCCATGTGTTCAGGGAGGGACCTGGTAGAGGGAAGTGATTAGATCATAGGGGTGGTTGGTTTTCCCCATGGTGTTCTCCTAATATTCAGGGAGTTCTCATGAGATCTGATGGTTTAAAGTGACAGTTTCCCCTGTGCTTTCTCTATCCTGCCACCATGTAAGACGTGCTTGCTTCCCCTTCACCTTCCACCATGATTGTAAGTTTCCTAAGGCCTCCACAGCCATGCAGAACTGTGAGTCAATTAATCCTCTTTTGTTAATAAATTACTCAGTCTCAGGTAGTATTTTTATAGCAGTGTGAAAAAGGACTAATACATAGTTCAAACTCTAAAAGTTTCTGAAAGGTATGGTTATGGTAGAGATTTTGGTATGTTTTTATATAAAAATAAACAAATCTTTAAAATTTGATATTTATTGTGTTTACATCAAACTATAGGCCAGTACTACCTGAACTTATTTGACCAAGACAAAAGATGTAAGTTTTAGTATTGTTATAATTGTATGGATAAGAAATGGAATCTCAGAAATGTTAAATAATGTCCAAGAACACTTGGGAAGTGCTAGGATGCAAACTCAGCTTCATTTCTTTATAATACCATATAGTATCTATTAAAAGGCAAAGATTTTTAACTAATATAAAATCTATTTAGAGTAGATGTTGAACACTAATTTGAATTGTTGTTGAATTTTGAATGCTAAGAAATTCTTAGTATCGATATGTGTGGATTTGATCCTGCAATTGTGCTATTAGCTGATTATTATGTTAACTTGTTTGTGTGGTTGCTTTACAGTGACACTGGCCTGTGTGTTTAAGTGTGTTCTTGTATTATCAAGTAGCAATCTTTCCTTTCTATATTTAGGGCTCCTTTCAAGATCTTTTGTAAGGTAGGTCTGGTGGTAATAAATTTCCTCAACCTTTGCTTATCTGAAAAGGATTTTATTTCTCCTTCACTTAAGAAGCTTAGTTTGGTTGGATATGAAACTCTTGGTTGACGATTTCTTTTCTTTAAGAATGTTGAATATAGCCCCCAATCTCTTCTGGCTTGTGCAGTTTCAGCTGAGGGGCATGCATTAGCCTGATGGGGTTCCTTTGTAGGTGACCTGCCTTTTCTCTCTAGCTGCCTTTAACATTCTTTCTTTCACTATGGCCTTGAAAAATCTGATGATGATGTGTCTTGGGGATGATCTTATGTAAAATCTTGCACAAGTTTTCTGCATTACTTGAATTTGACTGTTGGCCTCTCTAGCAAGATTGGGGAAGTTTTTATAAACAATATCTTGAAATATGTTTTCCAGATTGTTTGCTTTTTTCCCCTCCCTTTCAGGGATGCCAGCAATTCACAGATTTGGTCTCTTTACATAACCCCATAATTCTTGGAAGTTCTGTTCATTTCTTTTTATTCTTTTTTTCTTTATTTTTATCTGACTGTGTTATTTAAGAATACCAGTATTAATGTTCTGAGATTCCTTCCTCGGCTTGGTTTTCTCTACTATTAAAAGTTATGATTGCATTGTGAAATTCTTGGATTGTGCTATTCAGGTCCTTTTTTTATACTGGCTATTTTATCCTTCAGCTCCTGTATCACTTTATTGTAATTCTTATTTTTCATGGATTGTGTTTTGCTGTCCTCCTGAATCTGAAGAATCTATGTTCCCATCCAATTCTGAATTCTATTTCTGTCATTCTAGCCAGTTCAGCCTCATTAAGAACTCCTGTTGGAGAACTGGTGCAATCATTTGGAGGACATACATTACTCTGGCCATTTGAGTTACCACAGTTCTTGAAGGAAGATAATTCAAAATAATAAGAGTCATCTATGACAAACCCACAGTTAACATTATACTGAGTAGGCAAAAGCTGGAAGCATTTCCCTTGAAAACCAGCACAAGACAAGGATGCCTTCTCTCATTACTTCTAGTCAACATAGTATTGGAAGTCTTACGCAGCGCAATCAGACATGAGTAAGAAATAAAGGGTATTCAAGTAGGAAGAGAGAAAGTCAAACTATCCCTGTTGGCAGAAGACATAGTTTTATACTAAGACACCCGATAGTCTAGGCCCAAAAGCTCCTCCAGCTGATAAAAAAACTTCAGCAAAATTGCAGGATACAAAATAAATGTATAAAAATCACTAGCATTCCTCTACACCAACAAGGGCCAAGCCAAGAGCCAAATCAGAAAGGCAGTCCCACTAACAATTGCCACATAAAGAATAAAATACCCAGGAATACACGAACCAGGGAGGTGAAAGATCTTTACAATGAGAATTACAAAACACTGCTAAAAGAAACTAGAGAAGACACAAATGAAAAAATATCTCATGCTCATGGATAGGAAGAATCAATATCATTAAAATGGCTATACTGCCCAAAGCAATTTACAGATTTAATGCTATTACTATCAAACTACCAACAACATTCTTCATAGAAATAGAAAAAACTATTTCAAAATTCATATGAAACTAAAAACAGCCCAAGTTGCCAAGACAATCCTAAACAAAAAGAACAACAAAGCTTGAAGCATCACGTTACTGAACTTCAAACAATGCTACAAGGCTAAGTAACCAAAACAGCATGGCACTGGTACAAAAACAGGCACATAGACCAAGGAACGGAATAGAGAGACTAGAAATAAGGCTGCACATCTATGACCATCTGATTTTCAACAAAGCTGACAAAAGCAATGGGGAAAAGACACCCTGTTCAATAAATGGTACAGGCGTAACTGGCTAGCCATATGCAGAAGATTGAAGCTGGATTCCTTTCATGCATCATACACATAAATCAACTTAACATGAATTAAAGACTTACATGTAAAACCCAAAACAACCTAGGCAATACCAGTCTTGACATAGGAAAAGGCAAAGATTTCATGACAAAGTTACCAAAAACAATCACAACAAACGCAAAAATTGACAAAATGGATCTAATCAAACTAAAGGGCTTCTGTACAGCAAAAGAAACTATCAACAGAGTAAACAGACAATCCACAGAATGTGAGAAATTTTTTGCAAAGTATGTTTCTGACAAAGGTCTAATATCCAGCATGTATAAGGAACTTAAACAAATTTAAAAGATAAAAATGAACAACTCCATTAAAAAGTGGACAAAGGACATGAACAGCCACTTCTCTAGAGAAGACAGTCATGTGGCCAACAAGCATATGAAGAATAGTTTAATATGATTGATAATTAGAGAAATGCAAATCAAAACCACAATGAGATACCGTCTCACAACAGTCAGAATGACTATTATTGAAAAGTCAAAAAATAACAGAGGTTGGCAAGGTTGCAGAGAAAAAGGCAAGCTTATACACTGTTGGTGGGAGTGTAAATTAGTTCAACCATTGTGGAAAGCAGTATGGCGATTCCTCAAAGAGCTAAAAACAGAACTGCCATTCAACCCAGCAATCCCATTACAGGGTATATACCCAGAGTAATATAAATTATTCTACCATAAAGACACATGCACGTGAATGTTCATTGCAGGACTATTCACAATAGCAAAGACATGAAATCAACCTAAATGCCCATCATTGACAGATTGGATAATGAAAATATGGTACATATACACCATGGGATATTATGCAGCCAGAAAAAAAGAACGAGATTTTGTCTTTTGTGAGAACACAAATGAAGCTGGAGGCTATTATCCTTGGCAAACTAACACAGGAACAGAAAACCAAATAGAACATGTTCTCACTTATAAGTGGTAGCTAAATGATAAGACCTTATCAACACAAAGAAAGAAACAACAGATACTGGGAGCTACTTGAGAGGGGAGGTTTTGAGGAGGGAGAGGAGCAGAAAAGATAACCATTGGGTTATCTTAATACCTGGGTGATGAAATAATATGTACAACAAATGCCTGTGACACATGTTTACCTATGTAACAAATATTCACATGTATCCCCAAACCTAAAATAAAAGTTTTTTCTTAATTCTTGTATTATCAAGTAGCAGTTATAAGGCAAAAGATATATAGAACACTATAATTTGTTTTGTCAATAAATCTAATAATGACACTTTTTTTTTTTCAAGTCACAGGAATTACATTTAATGGAAGGAATTTCTCAATTTTAAGTTTTTCTATTTAAATTTTTTGTTTTAAGCATTGGCAACTTCTGCCACTTTCCTGATAGCATGTTCTAGCAGATGGCAAAAGGGAATGTGTAAGAAGGCAAGCAAATATTCATAGAGAAATTGGAACCATTTATCATGCATAGATGAAAGCTAGGTTTTTTTTTCCTTGAATGCATCCTCTTGGTAGTAATTTTATTTGGATTTACTTAATATAGTCATACTTTCTAATACAGTAAAAATCATTTCATGTTTACATGCTAGAAGAAAATACATCCATTTTAATGGTGGTCTCCAAGAAGTACTAGGACCATTGTTCAAACAAATTTGAAATGTACTCCTTTCTTTAGCTCTTTCCACCCATGCATCAGAGATGAGAATTTTCTTCATTTTGGTGATTTTCAAACTTCATCATTATTTTGCCAATGATGAAGGCAAATATTACCCTTTTTAGGGCGAATATTACCCTTCCCATTTCTAACTTCCTCCTTTGTCTTTCTGAAACCATTTCATCTTAAATGAAACTGGATTTTCTTCCAGCATTCAGTTTAGTTATATTTAGTTACATTTTTATGTTATAGATATATTTAGCACTCTCATTTAGGTACTGTGATATTGTGAAATATATATTTGGCCTTCATCCCCATCTGACATACAAATCTTAAAATCCTTGGAATCTCCAAAGTGTGTTTTGAATGCTAATATGGACTGATAGTTTTAGGATGGGGTAGCTCACCAGAAAGACCAAGGCAGTATTAAAGGGTCGTGACCTTCAATCCCACTCCCCAAGATCCAGAGAGGAGAAAGGGCTGACCATCAAGTTGATCACCAATGGCCAATGATTTAATCAATCATACCTACTTAATGAAGCCTCCATAAAAACCCAAGAGAACAGGGCTATGGAGAACACTGAGCTTGCTGAACATGTGGAAGTTCCTGGGGGGCGGAATCCAAGGAGGGCATGGAAGCTCTGTTCTCCTTCCTCCATACCTCACCCTATGCATCTCTTCATCTGTATCCTTCATATATCCCTTTTAACAGCCAATAAACATAAATAATTGTGTCCCTGAGTTCTGTAAACTACTCCACATATTAATCAAACCCAAAGCAGAAGTGGTGGAAACCCCAGTTTGAAGCTGTTTGATCAGAATTCCAGAGGCCCAGACTTGAAACTTGTGACTGATATTTGGAGCAGGGGGATGTCTTGGGGACTGAGCTCTAAACCAGTGTGATTTGACACTATTCTCAGGTAGATAGTATCAGAATTGAATTGGAGAATATGTAGCCTGTATCCACAGCTTGTTGATGGGGAAAAACCCACACACATTTTATCACAGAAGTCTTCTGTGTTGACTGCTCTGTTGCTGCAAGTTCAAATAAGGAACACAGTATGAGAGTTTTTCCAAAACATATACACTTCTTCATTTTCATTTATATTACCACCTGTTTCAAAAAATGCTGACTTCTCTTACCGTACAATATTTTCATTGTTTACTTTCTTTTGAAAGGCTAATGTCTTTTCTAAATTCCTCTAATTACAATTACCCCTCAAACAGCAACATCATTGAGATTTTTGTCTTCTAATACTGTGGCATTTTCCCACAGTATTCTCACACAGACAAAATAGAGATAGGTTTGTCTTGTAAAACACTGAGAGAGATCATTTAGGGAGCATGAAGTGAGCTCCAATAAGACTTACAGAAGAATATCATACTTATTAACAAATGCACCCCTGATTAGAGTAAAAGGGACAAAGAATGTTCAAAATGCAAAGGGCTTCCAACTTCTAAGGACAACAAGAAATCTGAGAGAGTTACTCAGCTGCAAATGTCACCTATTTCTTTGAGAATAGGAAAGATGACTGAAATGAAGTCAAGGTATCTGAAGAAATAAATGGACTGTGAAGCCACTGTTAGGAACCAGAACTATACCTCACTCAAGTAACGTTCCTTGCACTTAAAGTAGGGGAACCTGGCCACAAATATCCAACTGGATTCAGAATTGCCATGGACTAGTGAGGAATAACTGCTTCCTGCTCTTCTCCTTTTTAAATGCAAATGTCTGTTGCAATTATTTTATTTGTGCTTCCCACAAAAGGGATCCTAACCCATATTTGTACACCCATATTCATAGCAGCATTGTGCATAATCACTAAAAGATAGAAGCAAACCAAGCATCCATCGATGGATAAGTCAACAAAATGTGGCATACATATAAAATGGAATATTATTCAGCATTGAAAAAGTAAAATTTTGACCCATGTACAACATGGATGAATCTTAAGGACATTATGCTAAGTGAAATAAACCACTCACAAAAGGACAAATATTATATGATTCTACTTAAATGAGGTATTTAGAGAAGTCAAACTCATAGAGATAAAAAGTTGAATGGTAGTTGCCAGGAGTTAGTGGGAGAGAAGAATAGGTGGATAGTGTTCAATAGGTACAGTTTCCATGTATGGAGGTGGAAGTGTTGCAAATGGGTAGGTGATGGTTGAACAACAATGTGAATGTACTTACTGCCCCTGAACTGTACACTTTAAAATGGTAAGTTTTTATGCTATACTTTACCACAAATAAAAAATTATTTCAATATATCCTTTATTATATAAAAAAGGGTAAGATAACTAAAACCAAAGATAACACCTTAGTCTCACATTTAACCAGCTGGCATATGTACTCTAATTGAAAGCTTCTTCTTAAATAACAAATGAATAGAAGATAATCTCATAGGTCTCAAGTCTGTGAAAAGTTAATGGCAGTAATCTTCATATTGAAGACTATCCAAATTACTAACACAAGTGCACTCTTGTTTTTCAAGCTAACATGTTTACCAAACAAAAGATACTAGCTATAAATGTTAAGGCCATGTACTGACTTCAGTGGAATAAAGGAAGGCCATCTTCCCCAGTGCTGGGCAATATTTCCACTGGGATTTTCCAACCCAATAGGTATATGATAAATACTTGATGCATGATTATTGTCAGAATGCTCACTTCAGAGGTTTTCTTTATAATTATAGAAGCATTAGAATAGGCTTTACTTTGTAAAATTCTATTTTTTCTTTTACTTATGTCATCTTCACATTGAAAATCATTTTTGAGGCCTTACATTGCAGTAGGCTTGAGTATTTACTAAGTACTCCAAACCTTCAGACTTCCTAGTATTGCTGAAAAGAGAAATCATAATGAAGGAGAAGACAATTCAGCCCGGAAGTCAAATCCAAATATCCTCCAAATGCTCTGTTCAGCATTTTTTTAATTAAAAGTTTTATAAAGTAAAAATATTACAGTAGGCTAAGGTTAATTTATGATTGAAGAACAAAAATATTTTTTATTAATTTTGTGTAGCCCAAGTGTACAGTGTGGGACTCATACAGTTAATGGGCACAGAATTTCCATTTGGGGAGATATATTTAGATACACCTAATACACATAATTATAATCCATTTTACTCCTTCTCAAAATTGAGGAGTAAAGTGGATTATAATTTTTTTCAGTACTGCTGAAATTATTTAGTGCTTAAAGTTACATAAAGAGTTCAATCTATTTTGAGGACACTTCTCCTGCTTCTTTCACTGAGGTCACTGGAAGACTAAATAAGAAGAAAAGAGGGCGTTTAGGACATAGAAAATTTAAAGTACCTTGTAAAAACTAATTGAAAAATAATATTCCATTATTTCAGAAAAATAACACATTTTTCAACAAACAAAATTTACATAATGCAAAAGTAAATTTTAATGAGATGACAAAAATAACAAAATTAATAATATGATTAGAACAAGAAAATCTTCCATGTACTCCATAAATTTTAAAATTTTATTGCCTGCTGTGGTTAAAAACATTGTGCTAATTGTCTAGTTAAAAGTCAAATGTTTTATAAGTTTTCAACTAATAAAGCTAATTTTGAAAAACACAGACTAGACAACCTTCTTACTGATACTAAATGCCGTTTTTCTAGTAAAACTGAAGAATACATGTGCAGTCATATGTTGCTTAACTATGGAGATACGTTCTGAGAAGTGTGTCATTAGGCAATTTCACCCTTTTGTGAACGACACAGAGTGTACTTGCAACAAACCTAGATAGTATAGCCTCCTTCACACCCAGACTAGATGGTATAACCTATTCTTTCTAGGCTACAAACATGTACAGCATGTTACTGTATTGAATACTGTAGGCTGTTGTAAAATAATGCTAAGTAGGCCAGGCGCAGAGGCTCACGCCTGTAATCCCAGCGCTTTGGGAGGCCGAGCAGGCAGATCACCTGAGGTCAGGAGTTCGAGACCAGCCTGAACAATATGATGAAACCTCGTCTCTACTAAAAATACAAAAATTATCCGGGTGTGGTGGCATGCTCCTGTAATCTCAGCTACTCGGGAGGCTGAGACAGAGGGAGACAGAGGTTGCAGGGACCCGAGATTGAGTCATTGTAGTCCAGCCTGGGCAACAAGAGCAAAATTCTGTCTAAAAAAAAAAAAAAAACACACAATGGTAAGTATTTGTGTATCTAAACATATCTAAATGTTTAAAAGGTACAGTTAAAACACAGTATAAAAAATTAAAAATAGTGTACTTGTGTAGGGCACTTACCATAAATGGAGCTTGCGGAACTGGAAGTTGTTCTGGGTGAGAGAGTGAGTGAGTGGTGAGTGACTGTGAAGGCCTTGGATTTACTGTATACTTCTGTATACTTTATAAACACTGTACAATTGGGCTACACAAAATTAATAAAAATTTTTTGTTCTTCAATGTTAAATTAACCTTAGCACACTGTAACATTTTTACTTTATAAACTTTTTAATTTAAAACATTTTTGACTCTATTGTAACACTTAACTTAAAATACAACACATCTTACAGCTGCACAAAAATATTCTCATTCTTTGTATCTTTAGTCTATAAGCTTTTTACTATTTTTAATTTTTTTATTTTTTTTTTAGTTTTAAACTTTTTAATTAAAAACTAAGACATGAGCACACACATTAGCCTATGCCTACACAGGGTCAGAATCACTAATATCACTGTCTTCCACCACCACATTTTGTATCCCTGAAAGGTCCTTCAATGACACACATGAAGCTGTCATCTATAATAACAATGACTTCTGGAACACCTCTGAAGGGCTTGCATGAGGCTGTTTTATTAACATTTTTTAAACAAGTAGAACAAGTATACTCTAAAATAGTGATAAAAAGTATAGCATAATGAATACATAAAGCAATAACATATTAGTTTATTTTCATTATCCAGTATTCTGTACATAATTGTATGTGCTATATTTTTAAAAAATTTTAGATTCAAGGGTACATGATTGGGTTCTGTTTTTATCCAATTTGCTACTCCATATTTTTGAAGCGAAGTATTTAGGCGATTTATGTTCTAAGTTAATACATGAAGTTTTGTTCCTATCATAGTGTTGTTATTTAGTTGCCTTAGAGTTTCAATTGTGTAATTGCTTTATAGGATCGATGAGCTTTCTACTACATGTGTTTTTATGATGGCAAGTATCATTCTTTTGTTTCCATATTTAGAACTCCTTTAAGCATTTCTTGTAGGTCTAGTCTAGTAGTGATGAATTCCCTTAGCATTTGCTTGTCTGGGAAATACTTAATTTCTCCTTCATGTATAAACTCTAGTTTGGAAGGATATAAAATTCTTGGCTAGCATTTTCTTTCTGTAAGAAGGTTAAAAATAGGCCCAAAATATCTTCTGGCTTGTAAGATTTCTGCTGAGAAGGCTACTGTTAGTCTGATGAGATTTTCTTTACAGGTGATTTGATATTTCTCTCTACCTGCTTTTAAGATTTGTTCTTTCATGTTGACGTTAGGTAGTCTGATGATGATATCCCTTGTATAGCATCCTCCAGGTATTCTTTGAACTTCTTGGAACTGGATGTCATACCTATAGCAAGATTGGGGAGATTTTCCCATTCCCTCAAATATACTTTCAAACTTTTTAATGTTTATTCTTCTATCTCAAGAATGTATATAAGTTGTAGGTTTTTAAACTTTCATTAATCCCATATTCTTTGAAGGATTTGTTCACTTATAAAAAATTATTTATTTTTGTCTGACTGGGGTAATTTGAAAGACAAGTCTACAAGGCTGGAAATTTTTCTTCTGTTTGTTCTAGTTTATTGTTAAAGCTATCAACTATGTTTTGAAATTCTTTTAGTGAATAGTACATTTCTAGAAGTTCTATTTGTTTTTTTAAATATATCTATCTTGTCATTCATCTTCTAAGTTGTTTTCTTATTTCTTTATGTTTGCTTTCAACTTTCTCTTGGATCTCACTAAGTTCCTAACATTCCATATTTTCAATTCCTTATCTGACATTTCAATTTTCATTTTGGTTAGGATTTATTGCTAGAGAGCTAGTGTGGCCCTTTGCATGTGTCATGACCCTCTGTTTCTTCAAGGTTTTGGGGTTCCTCTGCAAGTTTCTTCTCATCTGGAGGTGCTGTCACTTCTTATTTTTGAATCAACTTTCATTTGGGTGGGGATTTTCCCCCTTGAGGGTGTGATTGTTGCATATGTTGGATAAGATCCTTTGGCTTTGCTTCTGTGCTTTTAGAAGGCCAAGGTTCTGTATGAATTCCTTGGTTATACATAGCCTTAAAGTAGTGGATTTTCCTCAAATGCTAGTTGTTTTTAGGTTGTAGCAGCAGTGGCTTGTGGATAATGTCAGGCTCACTGTCTCCTACAGAGACGGGGAGGTGGAGGTCTCAGGAGGCTTATTTCATTCCCCAGTGCTGTGCTCGTCTGTCAGTGGAATTATATTGGGTTTTACAGTTCACCCTAAAGGACAGTAGGTGGTGACTCTGGGTAAGATCTGGCTGTGGCTGTACAATGATGTCAGCAGGAGTTGTGGTGGGCCATGCAGGTTGATCCTCTGGCTAGTAAGTGGTACTTGCAAAAGAGTCAGTTGCAGTGATGGCAGTGGAATTTTTACTTGGCCTTTGTTGAGAAGGGGAAGTACCATGCTAACTCTGGTGACGAACAAGGCATGGGGCTCCCAGGTTGTCCCATTCTATGCTCTGCCACGAAGGCAGCTGGAGGGGGAAAGCTGGGTATGGCTGGGTTGGGAAAGCCTGTAACCAGGATCCCTGAGGTATATGCAAGTACCAACCTTGGTAGACATCTAGGTGCAGCTCTTAAGCTGCTGGAACAATACTCCAGGGAGGGGGAGAGGCTCCTCTCTGGCACCACAGAGCCTGCTCAGTGTTAGAGGGAATGACAAGGGTTTTCAGCCTAGCAGATGACCATGTGGTCTACCCAGCTCTTACAACCCCAACTCAATGGGTCTCCATCTGGCATCTGGCCCCAACAACAGGTCCAATCAGTTAGGCTGGTTCCAAGCCATCCATATCCAGATTGCTGAGCCATTCAGGTTTCTGGACTGCTAGGCTCCCCATGGCAGAAACTGCAGTTCTCCTCCCTGGTCCAGTCTCACAAAGGGAGCAGCGACCACCTCCCTCATCACCACACAAACCCACACTACATGCTTGTCTGTGTTCTGACAGTGAGAGCTCTTTCCCCTGTTGAGATAAGGCCATGGCTCTCATCTCCATACCCCTGGGTGGTGTGCTCAAGGCCTGGGGAACTGGAACCAAGCTAGTGGATTGTTCCACTGGCCCCTCAGGGCCAAGTACCAGCTGTGATTGGGGGTGAACTGTCCCCAGGCTGCCAACAAAACATTAAGGTGGGATAATGGTAGTGGTGCTATGGTCTGCCCCTGTAGGAACAGCCAGACAAACAGTCTTAGGAGAGACCTGCAAGCATGGGGCACATGGTTTGGATTTGCCTCGGTCCCAGAGCAGTGGTGGCAAGGCCTCTCAATGGGGTCTGAAAGTGTGCCTGGGGCTGCTATCTCCTGGCATGGCAGACAGCAGGAGCTGTAATTTACTCTTACTCTTACCTGCCTAAGACAAAACGCAGAGCCTTGTGGGATAGGCACGCAGAGGTGCATCTTACTGCACTGCCCAGAACACTGGAACGTTTTGGGCTCCATGTGGAAGCCTCTCCATGGTCTCCAGGCAGTTCCCTCTGCCAGTCCAAAGGCCTGCATAGGTTGTGGGAACTCCTGTATCTGGAATCTCAGAGATCAACAGCAGGATTGTGGTGCTCTTGAGTTCTTTCACTCAGTCTTTCCTTGGGTCCAGGTCCTGCTCCATGGGCTGGTCCTGGTGCCTGGCAGCACCAAGCCCTGCTTCCGCCCTTCTCAACCATGGTGTCTTCTGACTCATCTCAACTGAATTATAGTGTTTCCTCTCAAAAGATCTGTTCCCTTTTGGTCCCTTTCCATGGAAGAGGCACATCCCAGCTGCATCTAGTCAGCCATCTTTAGGAATATCTTTATTCATCTGTGCTACACTTTTATATCATTGGCAGTACAGTAGTTTTGTTTATACCAGCATCACCACAGACTGAGCTATGATGTTATGTCAGCTACAAAGTCGCGAGGTGATAGGAATTTTTCCGTTCCATTATAATCTTGCGAGACCACCATTGTATGTGTTTCCTCCTTGATCAAAAGGTCATTATGCAGCACATGACTGTGCATCTCTATGCAAGAGTGACACTATGCCAATATAATTAACTGATAGTAATTATTCCTAAACTTTTAAAAGTTGTGAATTCTTTCAAATATTAAAAATATTTAAGCATTTATTATAATCTTACTTTTATCTTATAAGGAAAAAGTAATTTACTCTTACAGAAAGTGTATTTATAGACAAAAGTGGTAAGTTCTGTACTTCTATACTTGATGTTACTTTAATCTTAGCAGTTATAAGCAACAGACTTTAAATTGTGTCATTATATGATTGTTATGATTACTTTGATCTTGTTTAATTTTTAAAAGAGTTACCTTTTTACAGCCTGTAGCAATGTCATTTTATGATTCACACTTTCATAGGTAATCATACTGATGGCTCAGAAAATCTTTCTGTATTTTGAGAGCCCATATTAAATCAATTTATAAAATAAAGAGGAGGGATCAATCAGACAGCAATCCAGAAAACGTTTGTAAATGTATTATACCTTAGGTGTCTTAAGAAAAAAAAACAAATTGAAAATGAGTTCTACCTTCCAAAGAGAGGCTGTTCTCCTTTTTCACTTTGGCTTCTGTAGCTTGTGGCAGCATTTTGTCCACTGGTCTTGGTTGACCTGACTCTAGATTTAGATGTCTCGCTGGACCATATTTTATATGTAGAACCTGTATTTTATTACACTTTGAGACTACAACTTCTTGCTTTATTAGAAAATAATTAAAATGTTGAAAATTAGGTTGGAGAGTTGCCAACCTTTCCGTGGTTACTTAAAGGGCAATGGTTTGATAACATTTGCAACTAGGGAAACATTAAGGAGAAAGATGCACAGAAGATGCACTTAAATTTTCTATGAAAATAAAGTCTAAATGTGATTACACACAGAAAAAGTTTTTGTAGCTTGAATGATCTACTAAATAGGAAGTTAATTAAAACACAAACTTAACGTAAGATAACTGTCTGTATTTATTGAGCACTGATCTTCATGAACTTCAGATTATTTTTTGACTTGCCAAAAGTATCTAATATAAATTTTTTAAAAAGTAAAGAAAATTGATAACAATTCATTCTATAGTCAGAATGATATAAGAATCCAATTTTAAAGTGAAGTCAGAAGAGGAAATTTCATGTACCTCACAAAAATAAATGTATAAAAGTTATTAAAAATATTAAATAAAAATGTTAATCACATTCTGTGTTATTTGATGTTTCACAGACTGTAATTGTGTTTCCTTATACACGTTATTTGTGTGTGAATATTAAGATTTTTTATGAATTATAAATTGTTTCTCAGTTTATACAGTTGCTTTTGTTTACTTTTCAATGTCCTATGCCAAAGTCAAACTCTCTGATTTTTACCAAAATAATAAAATGTATAGAATTTAACATTTTAAATGTTAACTATATTGGTGAAATGTTTGTGTTTTTACCACCCTTGACAAAAATGATAGCATATTCTTTAAGATCTTAAAACAATGAATCAGCATTTTAAATGAATGTTAAATTTAAAGGTAATTATTTGGCACTATTATAACTCATTCCTTATGAACATTGAGGACTCATAGATAATGACATGATAAAAAATTAGAATTTAACAAAAATGTTTACCAAAAATAATATATTTGCCAAAAAATAAAAAGTCTATTGACTGGATGTGAAAACTTGAGTGTATTATACTGCACTGCTAATTTCTTTTTGTTATTTTAGTAGTTTACAATCAAAGCCTTACATGCAAAAGATGATGCTCAATGGTTCATGCTCAGAAACCAGCAAGACAAGCCTAAGAGAGATTCCCTATTCACCTCTACACTTTCCCAACGTCAACTCAACTGCTCATTTTCTACCAGTAACACTCCTTACCCTTGGTGTGTGCTTATGTATGTAGGTGTGTTTGTGTGTGGGCATGCACACAAGTAGGCACACAATAGTATTTGAACTTAGGTATTATCACTTACATTTTAAAATTTCCTCAGTTAAACTGAAATAATCTAATTCTCTATTTGCCTTAATTTGCAATGAGAAAAATAATGACTGGTTTATTTTTATGTTCAGAATACTTTTTCCCCAAAACAATTGTTGTGTATGTAATTAAGTACTATAAACTGTTTGAAGGCAGTGACTGAATTTTGATATTGTCAGTATCTCTCCCGGTGGAAAACAAATATCAGATATTCAAGAATGACTTAATGAATGAATGAATGAATGGACTGTCCTGCTAAGAAAAAGCATTTTTCTTATTTTTTAAAAGGGATTACTGGATGGAAATAAAAAATAAATAGCACTTAGACTGTCACCGGAATTTAATATAGCATTTGACCAGCTTTCTCATAATATATTTGTAAAAAAATTTATATAGAGGAACATAGATGAGATTTTAATGCCAATTACGTTGACTAGTGAGTGATTAATCTATTATCAAGATCGATTAACACCAATTTTCAGACTAGGATGGAGGTCTTTAAATGGACACTCTCTATTCTTGATCCTGCCCTGTTCAATATTTATATGAAGAAGATAAGGAAGCATATTTGTGGAATTTGTACAGTGATTGAATTTTTATTCTGCATACTTTTATTCACACACACTCTATCTGCTCTCCATATTTTCCAGAATGTGATTTCCAAAGCTGGATAAAAAGTGTACTTGGTCCTCCAGGGCTAAATATAACATATGTAGAAAATAGTGCTTCTAAGATTTGAAGCAACCATTTTATGATAAACTAAAATACCTCATCAATTTTTAATGTTATTTGACATTCAAAATACACACCCAGAATAAGTAAAAACAAATAAAAGCAATAGCAAAAAGGTTAACTTTTATATCATCTCCCCAGACATGCCTTTCTCTATATAGGTCAGGTTTCTTGCTTTTTGATAATTAAGTTCTAGATTCATCCATGTTGTCACAATAACAATTTGAACCTGTAAGAAGTTATGGTAAGTGAAATAAGCCAGAAACAGAGAAACTACTAAAAAGATCTCATTTATATGTGGAAACTAAAAAAGCACAAACTCATAGAATTAGAAAGTAGAATAGTGGTTACCACAGGCTGGGAGGTGGGAGGTGGACAGGGAAAGGAGAAATGTTGTTCACAGGGCACAAAAATTTAGTTAGACAGGAAGAATAGGTTCTGATGATCTGTTGCACAGCATGGTGACTATAGTTAATAAAAATGTATTGTATATTTCAAAATAATGAAAATAGTAAATTTTAAATGTTCTCAGCACAAAGAATTGAAAAGCATTTGAGGTGGTGGATATGTTCATTGGCCTGATTTGATCATTTCACATGTATATACGTCTCAGAACATCCCATTGTACCCCACAAATACACACACTTATTATTTGTTCACTAACAATAAAATAAAACTTTAAAAAGAATCAAGATCTAAAAACACCTTGAGAACTAAGAGTTCTGATTTTTTTAAAAAAAACGATAAATATAAAGGCACTACATGTAAGTGAAAATAAGCATAGGAAAAAATCCTAATAACCAAAAAAAAAAATATACGACTTAGTACAATCTATGATGGTCCCTTCTAATCCAGCTTTATCCTAATTATATTGAATGTTGGCTATTGATGGATCAGACCTACAGTGTCACAGGATCTTTAAGGTGTTGCTTTGCCAGCCAGAAACCTCGTGGCTGGCGGCACCTCAGTTTGAGTTTTCCCCGTGCCCACTGGGCTCATTCCACCCACTCAGCCCGGCAGGATGTGCTTGGCTCGTCCTACTGGCCCACAGCCCATGCCTGACAAGGATAAACCAGGTGTGGAGCTGCAGGGAGTGTGTGAGTGAGCAAGCGTGGGGTCCGGTCACTGCACACAGCCAGGCACACTGGCTGCTGCGGCAGGGCGGGCAGCTTCAGATGCCGGCACAGGTATCGGCTCCATGCGAGGCTGTTGCTGGACCAGATGTACCACAAGCAGCTTCTACTGTAGGCACCTGCACCTGGAGGAACGTGGCAGCACTCAAAAGCTTGGAGATGCCAGGAGCCACAGAGGCCCAAAGAAGGTGTTAGCCCTGGCTTGGGATCCCCGAGGTCTGGGCTCCCAGAAGGGCTGCAGCTCCTCTTTCCTTCTCATTGCCTGCAGTCTGGCGAGCTGAGGGTGTGCGTCCAGGGGGGCCGCGTTTCAGCCCATTTGTGTTACTGGGACACGTCCACATCTTTGCTTCACTGTGGAGTGGGTGCAAGGACTGAGGAGAGGCCAGGGAGCAGGAGCAGGCACTTCCAAGCCTACGGGGGCCGGGGGCTTCCCAGGCCCCCAAGAGTGCAGGAATGCCTGGGTCCAGAGCCACAGCTGGGCAGCTGCAGCTGCGCCCGGGAGTTCGGGCTCCCACCCTGCCAACTTGGTAGGGCATGGGGCTCCCACTAGGATCATCTGTTCCTGGCCCCCACTGGCTCCATGGAGCACGCAGGCCCAGCCGAGCCTCTCCCGCTGCAGCTGGCGTCTTTGCAGTGGCCACTGCAGACAGTCTTCTGCCGCCATCACAAGCACACTAGGAACCCTCTACAAAAGTCAGTGAAGTGTCCAAATAATCTGTTTCCATTTGTGTAGTGTCTCAGAGAGAACACCATCTGGTATCCAGGAGAGTATATATCTATTGCACTGAAAATATTCTTTTTATAATGCTTAACTCATCATATATCTAGAAAGCCTAGTGCCTAGGTTTTTGTTGTTGTTGTTTTGTTTGTTTGTTTGTTTTTTCAGTTAGTTGGTTGGTTTTTCCTTATTGATCCAGTCCCTGGTTTTCTCTCTTCTATGAGAGGTAGGAAGGAAAACTGATATTTTTATCAATTTTACTTTACAACAATAATACAAAGACAAATTAACACACATTATAGTAAATTGAGTTCAAAACAAAAGTTGAACAAATACCTATTGTGTAACCTTTGAATCCAAAACTGCATAAAATACTGGGAAATGTGAGGAAGATGTGCTATGTTCAAAAAGCAAATAGAAGATTTAGGGAGACAGACAGGAATTCAGGTAATTCCAATACTCTGTCACTGCTGCTATGATAGAAATATGCACAGAATATTATAGCAAAATGGAGAAGACACTGTCTTAACCTAATCTGCAGGGACTTATGAAAGATTTCCTCTAGAAGATAATTCCTGAGTTTCATCTTTAAACCTTTTCACATTTGACCTGAGAATACTTGCTGTTTGCACTTGTGGCTGCAGTGTTTACCCCGAGATAACTTTGCCACAAAATATCTCGCTTATATTATTATTTTCACATTGCTCTAGTATATCAACTTTGGAAAGAAAAGACATCATTCTATTTATAAAATTCTGTTTTTAGTGTTATTTCCATTCACAAAATGTAGTAATTCTCGATTGCTGAAAATGTCAAATCCTAGAAAATGTACCATTCCTATGCATGATGTTAACATCGTTCTCGAACCATTGTTGGCTGAAGATTGATTTGATGAATCTGATTTTTCCAAAATAGATGATTCTTATGACTCAGACTATTCTGATGTTATGTTTAGAAATAAACTCCAAGAATAGTTTTTATATTTTATTTTCACATTGAAAATCAGTCAGATTTGCTTCAGCGTTAAAGAGTGTGTTTATGTAAAATTAAATGAGTGCTGGCAGAGAGCTGCACATTTTTTCTAAATGGGAAAAAGAGGCTGAGTTTAACTGAACCAAGCAAATAAACAAAATGGTATGATTTGTAGCATAATTTTTGCCACAGAAATGGCATTATTTGAAGCATGATCTTTGAAACTTTATTTATACATGTATATTTGAATAGTCCAATATTTCTCATGTAGAAAATGTCATCGAGATGAATGTGGAGCCATGGAATGGAGAGAATAAAGTTGGATAGTTTCTTAGGGGTCAAATTGAAGGGTTTTGTGTGTCATGCTAACAGAGTACATTTTATTTTATGGATACATTTAAAAACAGAGATATAGTCAAATACTAACTTTAGTTATATTTCTATGTAGTAAAAATTCAAGGGGGTCTGGGAAAATAGGGAAACCAATTACTACAATAGTCAACAAATCACTACAATAGTCCTGGCAAAAGATGGCAAAAGTCTGAGACCCAACAATGACGGATGAGAAGGAACTAAGTAGAAAATAATTAGTAGGTTAGATTATAATAGGATGTTGATTAAATGAAGAAATTGAGAAAAAAGTCAGGAGGCAAGAATCATCTAAATTTTTCAGAATTGGGTGATGGGGGGGTAATTATACCACTAAATAAATTAGAAAGCCAATGATATTGTTCAATATTTAGATGTTTTGAATTAGAGTTAATTATGAGACATTAAATTATTGATATTTATGAAAACTTTGAATTATGGTTTTGAGACCCTCAAATTTCTGGTTTTGAGACCCTTAAGAGACTAAAACTGAAAAGATATTTTAGGCAGTTATAAGCACAGAGAAGGCACAAATGCTCCTCAACTTACCATGGGATTACATCCTGATAGTCATCGTAGGTTTGGAAATATTGTATGTTGAAAATTAATTTAATACACTTAACCTCCCACACATAATAGCGTAGCCTAGCCTACCTTAAGTGTGCTCAAAACATTTATATTAGCCTGTAATTTGGCAAAATAATCTAACACAAGGGCTGTTTTATAATAAAGTGTTGAATATCTCATGTAATTCATTGAATGCTGAACTAAAAGTGCAAAACAGAATGGTTGTAAGTGTATTCAGAGTATGGATTCAACTGAATGTATATCACTTTTGCACCATTGTAAGGTTAAAAATTCATAACATCAAGTTGAACCATCATAAGTTGGAGACCATCTGCAGTTAGAACATTGGAAGGTTATTCTGGGATAGTTTAAGTATGTAAAGAGAAGTTAGCAACAGCAATATTTCTGGAGTTATCACTTTTTTATTATTGCTTATAAAACCATTCTATAACTTAATTAATTAAAACAAAAATGATGAGATACTTTTCAAAACCTTGTGGATTAACTAAAGGAATCCTTTGCTAGTCGTGCCTAGGCTCACTGATGTGGCTACACATTATATATATATATATATATATATATATACACACTTACAGATCACCTGGAGGCTCATCTCAGGTGACACACCTGGGCTGACTGGGCTCTATTTGTCTGCAGGCTTTTTTATCACGGGCTGCTTCTCACCATAGGAACCTTATGTCAATATTCCAAGAACATGAAGGCTGTCCCTCTAATGCATCTTGAGAACTGGGCTCCGGATCCCAACAGTGTCACTTCTACCACATTCTCTTGGTATAAGCAAAACCCAAGGGCAGTCCACATATGTGGATGGCTGGGCAGGGTCAGGGTAAGGAGAATCTACCTCCTTTGGGAAGGAGCTGAACAATGTTGTTTAATCTACCATCTCTGGGAAACTCAATATGTAAGGGCAAGATATAGAAAATCATGCTTAAAAAATAAGACAATTATAATAACTGTAGAAAAATAATAAGTTACATCGTGGAAGCCAAAAGAAGAAAGAACACTAAAAAGAAGACGTTGGCTAACAGGATCAAATTTTGTTGAGAATGAAATTACCATTTGACCTAATGAATAGGTGTGCCTATTAGAATGAGTAAATTGAAGGTCATTTGTGATCATAATGAGAAAAGTTTTTGTGGCAGAGTAGGAATAAAATCCAGACTGCAGTTTACTGAAAAGTAAGTGAAAATAATAAATGGAAATAGTCATGTTAGGTTATTATCTCTGAAATTTTAGATGAGAAGGAAGTAGAGTGAGATTCAGAATCATGCAATTTTTTAATGGGAGTATATGAATATATCTACAGGCTTAGGACAAAGAGCCAATGGAGATATAAAGAGTGGAGAGAGACAGACATAGCAAGGAGACAGAGGCAGAAGCAGGGGAAGGGGTAGGGTTGCTGTGGGAGGAGAGAAAGTTGTGAGAACAAGGAGAGAGATGAGACAGAGACAGAGAGAAACACAGAGACAGAGAGATAGACAGACATGCACAAAGACAGAGACACAGAGAGAAACGAATTTAGAGATAAGGAGACACAGAAAATAGATACAGGAACAGAAACAGGGACAAAGCCATAGAGAGAGATATAGGGAGATGTGGAGATGGAGGTATACACACCAAATCACAGGCTCAGAGAAAGTCAAAGATGGATTAGAGAGAAGCAGTACAGAAACTGACACAGAGGATAAGAATAAATGTTCAATAACAAAGTTGAAGGAATAGGGCATGGTCAGGACCAAGGATCAAATGCCTGAGACTGGAAAGTTATTAGAATGAGTGTTAATACATATAAGTCTATAATAAGTTGAGGGAAATAAATGAGGAATCCAACTGTGGTTGTCTCAATATCTTACAGGAGAGGAAATCTTTCAGCTGAAAGGAAACGTTGAAGATGTATTAGAGCCGTGGTTTCAACCATAGGCGCAGGTTAGAATCAACTGGGAATTTTTTTTATTTTTACATACCATTGCCTAGCCAACCCTCAGGGATTTTTCTTTAATGACTCCTGTGTGAACCTGAGCATTAGAAAATAAATCTCTTTAGGTGACTCAAAACTACAGGTAGGCTTAACAACCCCTAGGGCCTTGATGATAGCAAAAAACTTTTAAAATCGTTCTTGTGGATAATATTCTGGGGAGCAGACCATGAACGAGTGAAAGGATAATGGGTGCACTGACAGCCCTATGAAGATTAGACCCCTCAATAGACAAGGGCACTACTCCCGCTGGTCGTATGAGTGTCTATGTTAGCACTCAAGCTGCCCAACCAGAGAGGGAAGAGGATTGTAGGATTTCCTAGGAATGGCGAAGCCTAATGGGATGGAATAGAGGAGTTTGCTGAAACATTAGTGCCAGTGAAAATCAATGATACGGGCTAGTTAGGGAAGGAAGCCAGATGGACTGGAAGAAAAAAAAAATCATGAAACTGTAAGTATAAAGTCAAAGGACAGTTACAGTAAAGGCATGTTTAAGGTAACTATCCAGAAACTTGGGCCTAACGATGGTTTACGGTGTTTAGAAATATCTAAAACGGGACAGCCCTTGGTTCAGGGTGTGGAATAGATGGATAATGTGAAATGGAGGCGAGATCACCTGAAATTAAAGAGATTAAGCTACTGTGCAACCACAGTGCTGCAGAGGTACTGACATTAAAGATAAAGTCACTCAGGATAGTTTTTGTAGAAAATTATCTTTCTTCTTGTGCATCAAATAAGAGGGGGATCAAATAATAAGAAATAAGAAAATACGAGAATGTAGATGAGTTAAGCCACTTGTTTAAGGTCATGCAACTAGATGTATTGCACCTAGATCAGGGCCTGGTACATAACAAGCATAACAAGCTAATAGTTATTCATTGCTTGTTATCAGCAATAGCTAATAGTTATTCAGTGTTTGCTATGTATTAGGCCCTGATCTAGGTGCAATTACTATTGCTATTGCTATTGCTATTATTATCATTAAGAAACAGAGGCAACAGTTAAGAGTATTCAACTCAAAGGTATGTGTCTTTTTTTCAAATATACCAAGAAGTTTCCTTTTCTGCCTTACAATTATCCCCCAATCCCCACTAGTTCCCTGTAAGTGATAAAATTCTACTTTAAACTCAGGAAGTTGGCTGAAGTTGCTAACGTGAGAAACCTTGTCTGTATCATTAAAACACTCTTACACACAAACCTCTCAGATTAATAGAGGTTGGTAAATGCTCCACTCTCCCCAGGGAGCCCTTTCTGGCTACCATTTCAGAAATTACCACTGTCAACCCCAATGACCTCAGGAAGGCACTGCTTTTAGCATTTCCATTTGGGTGAATACAGTCGGACTAGAATATTTAAACATTTTCTATAAACTCTGGGGAATATCTTAATTCACATCAAAGAGTAGCATGCACATTCAGTGGTTCGCAAGCCTGGTGTGCATCAGGATCTTGGGTAGATCTGAATCCTAACATTAGTGAAGACTTCTAAGCTTATTTCCAATAAGCTCCTCAGGAAAGCAGATCCTTACGCATTTAGCTTGGCTGTGGTCTGAAGATCAACTTGGGAAAAAACTGCATTAACTCCATATTTTGCAAACTTTCTAATCTTAAGAACCACCTGAGGGAATTACTAATCATAAAAAAAATTCTGGGCGTTTTCTCTAAAGAATATTATTTGGCACATATGAAATTGGATGTGGGAATCTATATTTACATGAGCCTCCACATGATTTTTATAAGAAATAAAGTTTGGGAAATTCTGCATTAACTAATTCTATGGACTGAATATTTGTGTCTCTCTCAAATTTATATGTTAAAATTTGAATCGCCAAGATCATGGTATTAGGAGGTGGGACTTTTGGAAGATGATTAGGTCATGAAGATGGATCCCTTATGAATAGGATTAATGCCCTTATAAAAGAAGCCTGAGAAAGACCCCTCACACTTTCTACCATGTGAAGACACAGGAGGAAGGTGCCATCGATGACCTAGAAAGCAGGCCTTTGCCAGACACTGAATCTGCCAGCACATGGGGCTTGGACTTCCTGGACTCCAGAACTCTGAAAAACAAATTTCTGTTACTTATAAGCTACCCAGTTGATGGTATTTGGGTAATAACAGCCCAAATGGACTAAGAAAACTAACCTGGCTCAATAGATTCTCATTCTCCCCAGTCAGTAAAATTTCAGGTTTCCTAGAGCCTTGTTCCCCTAGGTGAGGAGCCACAGCATTGACTTAATCTGGAAGATTTTAGAAGTTCAGAATCTTGGACCTAACCCCAAACTAGTGAATATGAATCTTCATTTTACCAAAAACACTAAAGAATTACAGGTTAAAAATTTGAGACCCTCTGCCTCAAGAGTTCCCTTTCTTCTCACTCCCAGTCAATCTTAATTTGGAAGAGGCCATCTTTCCTTTTTACTGGGGAGCATTTCCTGATTCCTGTTAGCTCTTTTTCAACAGGAATTGATCAAGCAAGAGTCTTATAACATTTAGTAGTTCATCTCAGGTAGGCCATTTCTAACTCAACTCCCCAGTTCACAAAAGCTGAGAATCAAGCCTGACCCATGGCCTTGGATGATTTTTCTCCTGTGTCACCAACTCCCCTGGAGAGAAAATAGAATTAGTACCACTGGGAAACCACAGAAAAATATATTCCAATCAATATTAGAAACAATCAAACTAAGAATCAGAGGTAGCCATGGATGTCAAAAAAACAGATATCAATGAGTAACTGTGAGTTGCATTTCACAAGAAGCTTCCAAGAAAGTGCTGGAAGACTATCTGACAGAATGCTTAAAAAAAAAAAAAAATCCAGAACCTAATGCAAGATTATGATTTCTTACTTTTAATACCCCTCTCAGTCATTTTTCTATTCTTACAAACATTAATAGGTAACATTTGTCATGTCCTAGAAAACAGAATGAGATTATCCTTTATATGAGCACTTTCCAAATTGTATTCTACATTTAATTTTATGTAATGTTATGTTTTTAAAGTACGCAAATAAATAAGTTTGAGGATCAGTCAGTGAACTATCATCATACTTCTTAGAGCCTTTTTAATACATTAATGTTCTCTGTGGCCACCTCCCACCCCCAGATGAATAGGGAGAAAGCAGGGATTTTAACAATGCTTGACCATGGATTGCTTTTTTTTTTTTTTTTTTCACAGAAACTCTCATAGCAGTACATACAATTTGAAAAATGAAAATATATAAATAAGTCCTCAAAAGCATCAAATCTACATACAAATTGTATTGTTTTCCTACCTAGCAGAACATCTATATATTCTGCCACCTTGCATGGGAAAATGATCCTGCGAATAAACATACGTCATCACCACCATGTAGTATGTGCCATTTTAACTTTCACTTTTTTCAAAATATAAAGTACTACAGTAGTATTAATAACCTTAGTATTTATTTACCCAAATTTCACTACATTTAACATGCTTAAAATACTGGAAAACAATATAATATTGGAATTTTCTTCCCTTATACTTAAAAACTGGAATAATGATAAGTATACATGTTTTTAGTTGTAGCTAGAAATTTTAAAACAATTATCAAAACCATAGAAAAAATGCGTTTTAAACTTAGGTAATCTTCCTGGAAATAGATAATTGGACCGCGTTCATTTGAAAAATCTGACACTTTCCCAAATGTACTGTCGGTAATAGTAACTCAACATAAGGTCTCTGGAAAAGCTCAGATTACCTCACTGAGCTCCAATTGTGCATGTACAAACTTGGAAATACACACACATACACCCATACGCATGATAACCTGATATAGTGTTCCCAATACAATCATGTAGGCTGTCCTAATGATAGATGTTGATCATTGCACAATTGCATCAGCAGCAGCCATTGGAATCAATTATTGAGATGACTAAAATAGTCATGTTGGCTTTACTGTCTTCTGGTCATTTTGTGTTTATAGCTCAGCCTTTGCAAAGTCATTTTAAATGGATGTGAAATAGGAGCATTTCTTCAATCAGCCTTCATGACAACTGGTTCCATGGCCCCTACTGATGCAATAAAATTATTGTCATTTTTCCCTTTGCAGCTCAAGAATGGAATAAAACATGCTACATGAACATTTTTATATTGTCATGATTTATCATCCAGAAAAAAAGGAGATTTTAATACTACTTTGAAGGAGATGGGGAACTGCCAAGGTAAATAGAAATGTCATTATGCTGAATTGTGAGCTCTTTTGGTGTTTTTCAATCCATAAGTTACAGAGTGAATATATACTTTAAATAGTTCTAATGTAAAATGAAAATGTACAATTTTGAATGACCAACACACTTCATTTTAAAAAATCAATTTTGAAGTTGAAACAAGGTACCAGAAATAAATTTTAGAAATTCCTTTAAAAATAATCACTAAAACAATTTCAATAGTAAAATATCAATTTATAAATTTATTTTGATAACATTAGAATGCTTGATAACTCTTCTGTCCAGCTTTCTAGAAACAGGGTTATAGATCAAATAACTGGAAGTAAATGAAGGTTACAGTTACATCTGAGAATATATCCTGTTTATGAGACCAAGGTTTGGCATATAGAGTTATGGTGTCTGTATATAAACTATGCACATTAAAATAATTTTATCTTTTAATATTCATATCTGTGGCATGGATCTAACCATTTTAATTACCCAGAGATAAAATTAAGTCTGCACAATATCAGTAGCCTGAAAATAAACTAAGCCATTTTTCTTCTACATTTTCTTTTTTTTATTATTATACTTTAAGTTTTAGGGTACATGTGCACAATGTTCAGGTTAGTTACATATGTATACATGTGACATGCTGGTGTGCTGCACCCATTAACTCGTCATTTAGCATTAGGTATATCTCCTAATGCTATCTGTCCCCCCTCCGCCCACCCCATAACAGTCCCCAGAGTGTGATGTTCCCCTTCCTGTGTCCGTGTGTTCACATTGTTCAATTCCCATCTATGAATGAGAACATGCGGTGTTTGGTTTTTTGTCATTGTGATAGTTTATTGAGAATGATGATTTCCAATTTCATCCATGTCCCTACAAAGCACATGAAATCATCATTTTTTATGGCTGCATAGTATCACATGGTGTATATGTGCCACATTTTCTTAATCCAGTCTATCATTGTTGGACATTTGGGTTGGTTCCAAGTCTTTGCTATTGTGAATAGTGCCGCAATAAACATACGTGTGCATGTGTCTTTATAGCAGCATGATTTATAGTCTTTTGGGTATATACCCAGTAATGGGATGGCTGGGTCAAATGGTATTTCTAGTTCTAGATCCCTGAGGAATCGCCACACTGACTTCCACAATGGTTGAACTAGTTTACAGTCCCACCAACAGTGTAAAAGTGTTCCTATTTCTCCACATCCTCTCCAGCACCTGTTGTTTCCTGACTTTTTAATGATTGCCAATCTAACTGGTGTGAGATGGTATCTCATTGTGGTTTTGATTTGCATTTCTCTGATGGCCAGTGATGATGAGCATTTTTTCATGTGTTTTTTGGCTGCATAAATGTCTTCTTTTGAGAAGTGTCTGTTCATGTCCTTCGCCCACTTTTTGATGGGGTTGTTTGTTTTCTTCTTGTAAATTTGTTTGAGTTCATTGTAGATTCTGGATATTAGCCCTTTGTTAGATGAGTAGGTTGCGAAAATTTTCTCCCATTTTGTAGGTTGCCTGTTCACTCTGATGGTAGTTTCTTTTGCTGTGCAGAAGCTCTTTAGTTTAATTAGATCCCATTTGTCAATTTTGGCTTTTGTTGCCATTGTTTTTGGTGTTTTAGACATGAAGCCCTTGCCCATGCCTATGTCCTGAATGGTAATGCCTAGGTTTTCTTCTAGGGTTTTTATGGTTTTAGGTCTAAGGTTTAAGCCTTTAATCCATCTTGAATTAATTTTTGTATAAGATGTAAGGAAGGGATCCAGTTTCAGCTTTCTACATATGGCTAGCCAGTTTTCCCAGCACCATTTATTAAATAGGGAATCCTTTCCCCATTGCTTGTTTTTCTCACGTTCGTCAAAGATCAGATAGTTGTAGATATGCGGCGTTATTTCTGAGGGCTCTGTTCTGTTCCATTGATCTATATCTCTGTTTTGGTACCAGTACCATGCTGTTTTGGTTACTGTAGCCTTGTAGTATAGTTTGAAGTCAGGTAGCGTGATGCCTTCAGCTTTGTTCTTTTGGCTTAGGATTGACTTGGCAATGCAGGCTCTTTTTTGGTTCCATATGAACTTTAAAGTAGTTTTTTCCAATTCTGTGAAGAAAGTCATTGGTAACTTGATGCGCATGGCATTGAATCTATAAATTACCTTGGGCAGTATGGCCATTTTCACGGTATTGATTTTTCCTACCCATGAGCATGGAATGTTCTTCTGCTTGTTTGTATCCTCTTTTATTTCATTGAGCAGTGGTTTGTAGTTCTCTTTGAAGAGGTCCTTCACATCCCTTGTAAGTTGGATTCCTAGGTATTTTATTCTCTTTGAAGCAATTGTGAATGGGAGTTCACTCATGATTTGGCTCTCTGTTTGTGTGTTATTGGTATATAAGAATGCTTGTGATTTTTGTACACTGATTTTGTATCCTGAGACTTTGCTGAAGTTGCTTATCAGCTTAAGGAGATTTTGGGCTGAGACAATGGGGTTTTCTAGATATACAATCATGTCGTCTGCAAACAGGGACAATTTGACTTCCTCTTTTCCGAATTGAATACCCTTTATTTCCTTCTCCTGCCTAATTGCCCTGGCTAGAACTTGCACCACTATGTTGAATAGGAGTGGTGAGAGAGGGCATCCCTGTCTTGTGCCAGTTTTCCAAGGGAATGTTTCCAGTTTTTGCCCATTCAGTATGATATTGGCTGTGGGTTTCTCATAGATAGCTCTTATTGTTTTGAGATACATCCCATACATTCCTAATTTATTGAGAGTTTTTAGCATGAAGGGTTGTTGAATTTTCTCAAAGACCTTTTCTGCATCGATTCAGATAATCATGTGGTTTTTGTCTTTGGTTCTGTTTATATGCTGGATTACATTTATTGATTTGCATATATTGAACCAGCCTTGCATCCCAGGGATGAAGCCCACTTGATCATGGTGGATAAGCTTTTTGATGTGCTGCTGGATTTGGTTTGCCAGTATTTTATTGAGGATTTTTGCATCAATGTGCATCAAGGATATTGGTCTAAAATTCTCTTTTTTGGTTGTGTCTCTGCCCGGCTTTGGTATCAGGATGATGCTGGCCCCATAAAATGAGTTAGGGACGATTCCCTCTTTTTCTATTGATTGGAATAGTTCCAGAAAGAATGGTACCAATTCCTCCTTGTACCTCTGGTGGAATTCAGCTGTGAATCCGTCTGGTCCTGGACTCTTTTTGGTTGGTAAGCTATTGATTATTGCCACAATTTCAGATCCTGTTATTGGTCTATTCAGAGATTCAACTTCTTCCTGGTTTAGTCTTTGGAGAGTGTATGTGTCCAGGAATTTATCCATTTCTTCTAGATTTTCTAGTTTATTTGCGTAGAGGTGTTTGTAGTATTCTCTGATGGTAGTTTGTATTTCTGTGGGATCGGTGGTGATATCCCCTTTATCATTTTTTATTGCGTCTATTTGATTCTTCTCTCTTTTTTTCTTTATTAGTCTTGCTAGTGGTCTATCAATTTTGTTGATCTTTTCAAAAAACCAGCTCCTGGATTCATTGATTTTTTGAAGGGTTTTTTGTGTCTCTATTTCCTTCAGTTCTGCTCTGATTTTAGTTATTTCTTGCCTTCTGCTAGCTTTTGAATGTGTTTGCTCTTGCTTTTCTAGTTCTTTTAATTGTGATGTTAGGGTGTCAATTTTGGATCTTTCCTGCTTTCTCTTGTGGGCATTTAGTGCTATAAATTTCCCTCTACACACTGCTTTGAATGCGTCCCAGAGATTCTGGTATGTTGTGTCTTTGTTCTCGTTGGTTTCAAAAAACATCTTTATTTCTGCCTTCATTTCATTATGTACCCAGTAGTCATTCAGGAGCAGGTTGTTCAGTTTCCATGTAGTTGAGTGGTTTTGAGTGAGTTTCTTAATCCTGAGTTCTAGTTTGATTGCACTGTGGTCTGAGAGACAGTTTGTTATAATTTCTGTTCTTTTACATTTGCTGAGGAGAGCTTTACTTCCAACTATGTGGTCAGTTTTGGAATAGGTGTGGTGTGGTGCTGAAAAAAATGTATATTCTTTTGATTTGGGGTGGAGAGTTCTGTAAATGTCTATTAGATCCGCTTGGTGCAGAGCTGAGTTCAATTCCTGGGTATCCTTGTTGACTTTCTGTCTCGTTGATCTGTCTAATGTTGACAGTGGGGTGTTAAAGTCTCCCATTATTATTGTGTGGGAGTCTAAGTCTCTTTGTAGGTCACTCAAGACTTGCTTTATGAATCTGGGTGCTCCTGTATTGGGTGCATATATATTTAGGATAGTTAGCTCTTCCTGTTGAATTGTTCCCTTTACCATTATGTAATGGCCTTCTTTGTCTCTTTTGATCTTTGTTGGTTTAAAGTCTGTTTTATCAGAGACTAGGATTGCAACCCCTGCCTTTTTTTGTTTTCCATTTGCTTGGTAGATCTTCCTCCATCCTTTTATTTTGAGCCTATGTGTGTCTCTGCACATGAGGTGGGTTTCCTGAATACAGCACACTGATGGGTCTTGACTCTTTATCCAATTTGCCAGTCTGTGTCTTTTAATTGGAGCATTTAGTCCATTTACATTTAAAGTTAATATTGTTATGTGTGAATTTGATCCTGACATTATGATGTTAGCTGGTTATTTTGCTCGTTAGTTGATGCAGTTTCTTCCTAGTCTCGATGGTCTTTACATTTTGACATGATTTTGCAGTGGCTGGTACCGGTTGTGCCTTTCCATGTTTAGTGCTTCCTTCAGGAGTTCTTTTAGGGCAGGCCTGGTGGTGACAAAATCTCTCAGCATTTGCTTGTCTGTAAAGTATTTTATTTCTCCTTCACATATGAAGCTTAGTTTGGCTGGATATGAAATTCTGGGTTGAAAATTCTTTTCTTTAAGAATGTTGAATATTGGCCCCCACTCTCTTCTGGCTTGTAGAGTTTCTGCCGAAAGATCCACTGTTAGTCTGATAGGCTTCCCTTTGTGGGTAACCCGACCTTTCTCTCTGGCTGCCCTTAACATTTTTTCCTTCATTTCCACTTTGGTGAATCTGACAATTATGTGTCTTGGAGTTGCCCTTCTCGAGGAGTATCTTTGTAGCGTTCTCTGTATTTCCTGAAAGTTCTCCTGGATAATATCCTGCAGAGTGTTTTCCAACTTGGTTCCATTCTCCCCGTCACTTTCAGGTACACCAATCAGACGCAGATTTGGTCTTTTCACATTGTCCCATATTTCTTGGAGGCTTTGTTCGTTTCTTTTTATTCTTTTTTCTCTAAACTTCCCTTCTTGCTTCATTTCATTCATTTCATCTTCCATCACTGATACCCTTTCTTTCAGATGATCGCATTGGCTCCTGAGGCTTCTGCATTCTTCACGTAGTTCTCGAGCCTTTACTTTCAGCTCCATCAGCTCCTTTAAGCACTTCTCTGTATTGGTTATTCTAGTTATACATTCATCTAAATTTTTTTCAAAGTTTTCAACTTCTTTGCCTTTGGTTTGAATTTCCTCCTGTAGCTCAGAGTAGTTTGATCGTCTGAAGCCTTCTCTCAACTTGTCAAAGTCATTCTCCGTCCAGCTTTGTTCCTTTGTTAGTGAGTAACTGTGTTCCTTTGGAGGAGGAGAGGCACTCTGCTTTTTAGAGTTTCCAGTTTTTGTGCTCTGGTTTTTCCCCATCTTTGTGGTTTTATCTACTTTTGGTCTTTGATGATGGTTATGTACAGATGGGTTTTTGGTGTGTATGTCCTTTCTGTTTGTTAGTTTTCCTTCTAACAGACAGGACCCTCAGCTGCAGGTCTGTTGGAGTACCCTGCCGTGTGAGGTGTCAGTCTGCCCCTGCTGGGGGGTGCCTCCCAGTTAGGCTGCTCGGGGGTCAGGGGACAGGGACCCACTTGAGGAGGCAGTCTGCCCGTTCTCAGATCTCCAGCTGCATGCTGGGAGAACCACTGCTCTCTTCAAAGCTGTCAGACAGGGACATTTAAGTCTGCAGAGGTTACTGCTGTCTTTTTGTTTGTCTGTGCCCTGCTCCCAGAGGTGGAGCCTAGAGAGGCAGGCAGGCCTCCTTGAGCTGTGGTGGGCTCCACCCAGTTCGAGCTTCCTGGCTGCTTTGTTTACCTAAGCAAGCCTGGGCAATGGCGGGTGCCACTCCCCCAGCCTTGCTGCTGCCTTGCAGTTTGATCTCAGACTGCTGTGCTAGCAATCAGTGAGACTCCGTGGGCATAGGACCCTCCGAGCCACGTGTGGGGTATAATCTCATGGTGCGCCGTTTCCTAAGCCCGTCGGAAAAGCGCAGTATTGGGGTGGGAGAGGCCCGATTTTCCAGGTGCCGTCTGTCACCCCTTTTCTTGACCAGGAAAGGGAACTCCCTGACCCCTTGCGCTTCCCGAGTGAGGCAATGCCTCGCCCTGCTTCGGCTGGCGCACGGTGCGCTGCACCCACTGTCCTGCGCCCACTCTCTGGCACTCCCTAGTGAGATGAACCCGGTACCTCAGATGGAAATGCAGAAATCACCCCTCTTCTGCGTCGTTCTCGCTGGGAGCTGTAGACCAGAGCTGTTCCTATTTGGCCATCTTGGCTTCTCCCCTCTTCCATATGTTTTTTTCCTCCCATATCTGGTGCCCCAAACTGCATTAATATTCACATTAAATTGTAATTATTACTCTGAGATTTTTCTTGTTACCTCAGGTTCAATCTTACGTTTCTCAGCAGAGGCACTGTCAGTATAGCATAGTGAAAAGAGTGTGGCTTTTGAGCTAAATAGCCCCAGTTTTGAATCTTAACACTCCCAGGTATTCTTCTTCCATTAACAGGTAACTTTATTCTGCCAAATCCCAGTTTCTTTATTTGTAACATAATAATAATAAGTGCCCCACTAGCCAGATTGTTTAGGGAATAAAGTTAGCAATGTACATGCACCACCTTGCACATATGAAGTGCTTAAATGTAGAGGTTATTGCTCTTAGGGTGATTTTATTATTTCTTTTCTTTACTTAATTACTTTTGAACTATCTTTTATTTATAATTATATTGTTTTAATTTTTGAAGAGTCTTTCTAAGCAACTTTGGTGAAGTTTTTAAGAAACCAATATGAACTTGTCGTCTTTCTAATAAAATAAATTTATGATTTAAAATTACTAGCATAGTTGAACTAACTGACCTAGCTCCTGCCACTGTGTCTTATTATTCATATATCATAATTTTTCTATTTTATTATATATGATCTAAAAGATGGAATAAGATTTCTTTGTTTTTTTGTTCTCTGTGTTCTAAATCCCATTTATTTAAAATTACTTTTCATTATTACCCAGTTTTCAAAAACACTCTTTAAGTAATGGATTTATAACCATAGATATAGAATATCACCAAATAAAATATTAGTGTATGAAAACTAGATTGTATTCCAGGAAAGAAGGAGAGGTCTGCTTTTGGAAATCAATATCATATGTCACTATTTTATTGTTTTAAGGAAATGAAAAACATAGATATCTTGATGATAAAGTAAAAGCTTTGAACAAAACTTTAACAGCTATGCTTAGAAGCAGAAAATTTGGTAAATCTGAAAAAGCAGGAGAGGTCATTATTCTGAATAAGGCTTATCAGAAAACTATAGGAAATATCATGCTTGATGTGAAACAATCCCTTTAATGTCAGGAACAAGATGAAAAGAGCCAATAGTTGATATTGTTCTGAAATGCTAACTGCATGTAATAAAGCAAGAAAAGTAGTAAATAGTACAGATATAAGAAAGGAAGAAAACACACTGCTATTATTTGCAAATTATATATCTACGCACCTAGGAAATCAATGACAACTAAATGGAAGTATTTTAAAGTAAGAAGAAAGTTGAAATGACCTTTGTTTTTTAAGACCAATATAAAAAATGTCATTTTCTGATATCAGGACAACAGAGATAAATAATTATAAAATGTAATAAGTAACGGTCAAATTTATACACTAAGAAATAAAAGAGTAAATACCTTGAATATTTGTTAGTTATGTAAACAATTATAAAAATCAGGCCAAATCATACGTGAAAAGGGGAAATACTGTATTTCTGTTTCAGAAGACTCAAATATCAGACTGATATGGTTTGGCTGTGTCCCCAACCCAATCTCATCTTGAATTGTAACTCCCACAATTCCCACGTGTTATGGGAGGGATCCAGTGGAAGGTAATTGAATTATGGTGGCTAGTCTTTCCCATCCAACTCTCATGATAGTGAATAAGTCTCGTGAGATCTGATGGTTTTAAAAGTGGAACCGCTTTCTCTTGGTTCTCTCTTCTCTTCTCTGCTGCCATGTGAGATGTGCCTTTCACCTTCTGCCATGATTGTGAGGCCTCCCCAGCCACATGGAACCATGAGTCCATTAAACCTCTTTCTTTTGTAAGTTACCCAGTCTGATGTATGTCTTTATCAGCAGCATGAAAATGGACTAATACACAGACCAACCCCAAATCTTATTGAAATGTCAACCAAAATTTTAAATGTGCATACTCAACACTTATAAAACTCAACATTTGTAAGCTCAACACTTGTAAAACTCAAAAGAATAAAATTTGTATACTTACATACCAGGACATTCAAGTATTGTTTGTATTACCAAAAGATTGAAAAATAACTGGAAATGACACAAATAACATCAACAAGAAAATGGCAAAGATTGATTTTCACTCTTTAAATCATTGGTTAATGTATTGTTGGTATGTATGCAGTAAATGACTAACTCAGTAACTGTTTGTTGTCCCTGCCTATCTCAAAGAAAGGTATGACACTTGTTCCTCACTCCTGAAAGGAAATCTCTAAATCCCTGGAATATCCTGTTTCTGAAGAATGTCTTTGTTTTCATAGAGACTTTGGGCCATGACAGAAAGGGCTTGGAACACTTGACATCAGCTTGACCTACCTTGGAGCTTCCCTGGTTTGGAATATAGTCTCGCACCACATAACAACGTTTTAGTCAAAGAGACTGCATAAACAACTGTGCCCATATTTTTACTGTACCATTTCTACATTTACATCTGTTTATATACACAGATGTTTACCATTGTGTTGCAATTGCCTACAGTATTCAATAAAGAAACATACAGTTTTGTAGCCTAGGAGCAATAGGCTACACCATGAGCCTAGGTGGGTAGTAGGCTATGCTATCTGTTTGTGTAAGTACACTCTATAATGGTTTCACAAGAATGAAATTACCTAACACACACACTTTTCAGAATGTATCCCTGTTGTCAAGCAACATATGGCTGTACTTTGTGCATGTTGCCATGCATCATTGCTGGTAGAAATAAGCGCTATCCCTTCAAATCCACTGGGAGAGGACAACCTAAAGCTTGTTCCTGGTATCTCCTAGACATTGCCATGTGTGTATTTTTCCTATTCTTATTTTAATCTACATTGTTACACCATAATAAACAGTAAACATGAGTCTAATGGCTTTCCTTAGTTCTGAGAATCTTGCTAATGAATCATTGAACGTAGGGGTGGTCTTTGGGACTTCCCAAACTACAGCATGATTTTACACTGAGGCGGTTTTTATGTCATACTTTTAAAATGTTTTAAAACACACACACACACACACACACACACACACACACACAAAGAAAGAGAGAGGATTTCAACAAAAGGATCAGCCTCTTGTCAAATCATTGTTTCCAGGTTGCTTTTAAATTATTTTTACATTTGAAAATTTACATGTGACAAATTTTCTACAAACATATATATTTATCTGGTTTCAGTGCCGCATGCCACGACCATTTCTGTGGCACCACAATTTTTGAGGCAGCATAGCAGAGTGAGTGAGGTCATAAAGCCATATATTGCCTAAAGTTGATCCTGGCTCTTAACATGAATTTAGTCTATTATGTAACTTAACTCTACCTTGATTTCTTTATTTATAAAGCAGAGATAATTCTAGAGTTTTGTTATTATTGTTAAGGTTCCATTAATTTGTACGTAAGAAGTCAGATCAATGTCTTTAGTTTAGTATTATCAATAAAAACTTTTTTGCTTTAATTTTAAAATTTTATCCTTAAATAATTTTGGTTTGTTTCAGCATACATTTTCATCCAAAAATGTTGAGTATGCATACTAAGTTATTTTTATGCTAATTAGCAGTAAAATTGGCTATGTATAACATTTTCAGTTGATGACATTTGTTTTAATTTTATAATATTTCTTCATTGCTCCAGGAATTTAATGTAGCACAAGAAAAAATTAAAATGACTTTAATTTTTATTTCTTCATAGTTAGCATTTTTTTCTGTTTGGATGCTTATAGGCTCTGGACTTTATTTTTAATTTAGGGTTATTTTTATAATTCAAATTTTTGTAAAACAAGTTTTTACTGTATTGCTTTGGATTCTTTCTAGTTATTCCCATAATTTGAATCTCCATATCAATCACTGTCTCTCTCATTATTTTTATTTTATATCCTTTCTTTCAAATTTGAAAAATATTTTCTAGTTTGTCACTTCATGAGTGATCTTTCCCCCAGGATTAATAATATTCAATAAATGCTCTAATGTTGATTTTTGGTTATTATGTTAATTTTGTTATTTTACAAATATTTTCATCTTCTTCACCTCCATTTTTATCTTAGCCACAGACTTGGAAATTCATTCTGCTCTCTATTCTTCTTAGCTTATACTTTGGTTTTTGCTTCTGTTTGACAGAGGCTATGTATGCCATGAAAATCTTCAGGATAAGCCTTTAATTTCACTCTATAAGCTTCTGTCATAGGCCTCATTATTGTGTCTATTTTTCCTCTAGCTAGAGGGGATTTGTTCAGATAGGGTGTTCACTAATAAGCATAATGTGACTCTCCATTTACACCACTCTAGATTTACTTAGACATAGGTAAAAATATTCTTGTGAGGTCTACACACAGAAGGCAAGTTTAGATGACCACCAACCATTTTTGCAGTTTCTGCGGGCATGTCTTTAGTACCACTTATGCCTCATGACCAGAACTCTCCCTTTGCACTCCAGAACACCCAGACATCCAAAGCCTACATATATAGAATTTTATATTTGAAGCCAGATGCTGTGACTCACAGTCAGTTTCTCATCTCAGGTTCTGTTGTTTCTTAGTTATTCATGTGACCTATAAAATGAAGTGCTAATGGAATTTGGATCAGGAAAACCTACTTTGGGTTTTTCTTCAAGCAGTGTTTACACAATAGATGTCTGACTACTTAGAACTGTCTTGCTGGAGGAATCTCCGACCAGCATAAAACAAACACAACTTCGCTCTACTTACTTTCAGAGCCATATATTTGGGTTTTCCTGCATTTCAGGTGCTAAAACATACATGCATCATCAATCTCAGGAGTCCATTCAGCACCAGGGGTTTTGTAGACAGTGGAAAACCATCTCATATGTTGCCAACCTATTGACTAAAAAACCTAATGATCAGTACTATTAAATGTTCTCTTCTGAGATAGGTTAGCTGATAGTTGGTTCAGGCTAAGAAAAGAATTTCTAAGAAGTTACCGTTTTAGAAGTCTTCTTTCAACTGTTTCTAATGCAATAGAAAATATATATTTACGCACAATAAATAAGGTAAATAATAGATTATCATTAAAGCCTGAAATATAGTAACATAATTAAGCCTTAAAGCAATAGAAAAAGAGCCAAGGAAGTTATCATTCCTTTATAGGCTGTAATTGAATCAAGCACACTTAATGATAACAAAATTATATGGGGTTCTACATTTATAACCTCTTTGCCTCTTTTATTGCCAAGGAATGCTCAAAGGAAGAGAGGAGGCAGAAGGAGTTTGAACTAATTAGAGGACATACTAATTACTGTGTTGATGTTTCAGCACAACTAGCTCACTAATCAATAACAGAGTCCAAGTGAATGTCTACAGTTTAATGTTGCCTTAAATATCTCAGTGAATTTTCAAAGGCACATTTAGTATCCTTGTAGCTTGCCTATGACCTTGTTAATTTGCAGCAAAGCATCTCAAATACAATTATTTAAGAGTTTTCACCATTAAAAAGTAGGTTTATAAAGATCTGGGACTTTGTAACACACAGGCTGTTTTTATCTGCTGGCCTTGACACTTTATTTCATGGCTGTTTGATGACCCTTGGCATTGATACAACAGCATTTGGTTTTGTTTTTCTTTCTGGGGAAGTGTCTGGTATTGACCTCAATCTCTTGCTTTTATTGCCTAGTAACTGGTATATTCCTATATCTCTCTTTAGATAAGCATATACCAATTAACCTCAAGTATCCTAATTCAAAGCTGATACTTTTCATAAGCTATGAACTCTGAGTGCTTTGAATTGACCTGAAGGCTGACATTAGAACTTGTACAGACCAATACATGTCTTCCCTAGTTTTGAGTTATAATTCAGTGTTTTGGAAGAGAATTTGTAAAATTTCCCTGTATGGGACTAAAAAAGACAAGACAATATGCCTCACCTCCAACCCTCACCACACAATCAATTTCCCCTCCATCTTCAGAAAAAGAGCAAATTAAGATGTGAAACTGTATCATGTAGCAGGTCTTAGAATACAGACTCTGAGGCCAGGCAACTTCAGTCATAATACTAGTTCACGTACTTATGAAGGAGTAATATTGTATAAGATATTAAAACTTGTAGCAGTTCAATAGAACAAACTTCATAAGATAGTTGCAAGGATTATGTAACTTTATGAAAACAATTATGCCTGCAAAAATTTTGTAAGAATTTGTTTCCTTTAAAAACACTGCCTGCTTGATATTTTCATATAAGTAATATGGATTGAAGAAGGATATGCCCCCTGAACTGTTTCAAATAACGTAGTAAATTAAGTCTTACTGGATGTTGTCTGTTCACTTGTTTTTGGTAAAAGAAGATTGATAAAATAAGCCAGAATATTTACACCATGTGAAGCAGCTGTCAAGTGGTAAGCATAAACCAATGATTCTCTTTGCCTTCTCTGTAACATAAACAAACAAACATACATTTACAGTCTTTTAAAAAATTAATGTTTCAACTAGGGAGCTGAAATTAGTGTGAATGATACTAATTGGTTATTAATTTATTTATTTCTAAGTATTTATTGAGTGTTGATACTACAAGTGGCAAGCATCATTCTAGGCACTAGGAATACAATAATGTGCAAAGCTAACAATTATCCTTGCCCTATAGAACTTACATTCTAGTGGCAGGAGACAGACAATTAATACAATATTTAAATTATAACCTATAAACGTTTGTGAGTAAATGCAGATGCACACGTGTTAGAAGGTAATAAGCTATATAGTTAAAATTTTTAAAGTAAAACATAAAGTTTAAAAGTAGAACAGTGTAAGGAGGTAAAGGATGTAGGAAAGCTGGTAGTGAGGTTGCAATTTAAATAAGATAATGAGGTCATCACTGAGAAGGTAAAATTTGAGAAAAGACTTGAAAGAATGTTTATAATGCCATTTTGGATAATGAATAAAATGACAAGTTGGGGGGATGGTTTAAACAATTCATGATCCAGAAATGTTGCCTAATTACTTGAGTAGTTCAAGCCTAGAAAAATAAATAAACTTTGATTTTGACAAGGACCTAAAACATGAAATAAATATTGATAATAAAGCATCAGGGAAAGGTTGTGGTTTTACCTATTCTAAGTAGCAGAGTTTTGACTAAAATTGTCTTATAGAGCAATTTCAAGTCTGGTTTCTAACGTTTGTCTATCCATCATTCTATGTGGAAAGATTATTTTATTTGAGGCCATTTAGAATTATCAAAAAGGTGAATTGAAATAGGAACTATACACATTTTTGGAGAGCCAACTTAGGTGCATATTTTTATCTATACAATAATGCAGGGCCTATAGCTGAGGCTAGGACATGAATACTAGACTGAACTGAGGAAACAGGTCCTAATTATGGGTCTATTTCTTCTGCTGATTGTCTTTATGATTTCATGTCTTAGTTAGATTGGTCTGTTGTGTTTACCAAAGCCCTTATTATCACTCACCAATCAAGAGCTTGAACAAATTTCCCTATGAGTGAGTTTTATTAATAGATTGCTGTATAAGTTGTTCCCCACACTAGAGTCTACAACAAGCTAAATGCCTGCTTCTTCACTCACCCATGAATGGATAAGTTCTGCTCCAGTCATTTCTATGAATTAGGACTGCTGAATCTTGCCTCCTTGGTGGATCCAGGAGAGCATGACAACTTCGTACTAAAGTCAGACACAATTTTGACAGCTGCCTCTAATACATAAACATCTGGGTAAACTTGGGCAAATTCTTTAACTTGTTTATGTCCAATTTTTCCTTATATGAAAATGGAAACAATAAAAATATCGACCTCAAAGCATTATAATGAGAATTAAATAAAATTGAACACAAAAATCAGGGCCGTGTCCAATAGATATTTAAAGATTTATAAGCATCTCTCTTAATGAGTTTTGCTAAATTCTTTTCCAGACACTCAAGTAAAACCCATGCAGGGGAAATTCGATCTAGATGTCTCTAGTATTGAATCTAATCCCCTGGGATAGTACTGTATAGTCTCAATTGTGAGCATCTCCCTTTTGGGAATTACAGAAATCTTGAGACTTTCCTAGTATCCAGTCTATAACTATTCCCAAGAGACAAAAGTACTGAATAACCCTGCTCAAAATGACTGGATGGAACCGAACCAAGAAATGTCACTTCAAAATTGGTAGTGAAATTAAATAAAGGGAATTAGGCAAAATAAGTTTTTTCCTATATCAAGGATGTATTGTGTTGTCATTCTCAAAGAAGAAAATGTTGTTAGATGATGAGACTGATCTCAAGTATATGAATAATTATTAAATAGGAAATATTTAGCAGCAGGTTTTTTAAACAAAAAGTAAAATAAGAAGAAATAGGTTTAGCTGGTAGCATCAGAAGAAGTCATTGAAAGAAAGATGATATCTCACACATTGCAAATCTTCAAGATACTGATTGTCTCATTATCTGGGGTAGTTTAGGTAAATCCCTGCTGCTGATGGAAGAACAAGTTACATAACCCATCTACCGAGTTCTCACTGCTTCTATGATTCCTCAACTGCACTTTTAGAGCCAGCATGTAAAAGTAACAAGAGAGGACATCAAAGTTTCTCCTGGAAATAGACAATTTCCTGACATCTACAACATTTATATATATAAATAGATATATATAAATGTGTATATATATTTTTTTATTTTTTAAAATTCCTGTCCTAGGAACAGCAGCAGAAGACAAACAGGCCCAGGCACTGTTGTAACCTGGCTGGGTGTGTGCACACTGGGGGCAGCACTGACATGCTAGCCCCCTGCCATCTCAGCCCCCTCCAGACTTTGGGCACTGAGGAGCACAGGAGAGAGGCCAAGGTGGGGTTGAGGGTAGCTTGGCACTAGGCTGCAGATGCCCCTTGGCACAAACAGCCTGGGTTTCAGGAACAGCAGCAGAAGACAAACAGGATCACAGATGGAAAGGGGTGGGTCCCCAGTGCAGCCCCATCTCCAAGGTGGGGAAGGCCTGAAGCCTGGTGGCCAGGCTACTAGTCCTGTCAACCATATATATATATATACCTCCACAAGGTAGCTGATTTTTGAAAAACATTATATATTCAATTTACATTTTGCTCTCTAAAAGTTTAAGTGCACATTACTCATTACTAGTGAATAAAAATTTACAAAGAAGTCAATTTGCTAGCCTACCTTCACCTTTGGGAATAAGAAATATTTTTTCAGATGTTAATACATTACAGTAACAGCTATAATGCAATGTAGTATTGAGTAGTTTGACTTCTTATAAAGAGCAGTGTACTTTTTTTTTATTTTAAAATAGCAATAACTTCTATTTTCTTAGAAAATCTTCCTTGTCAGTAGTAATAAACCACAGCCACCTCTAAGTTATTAAGTGTAATTGTCTGCACTGTGGAGCACTTGACCTGGTGTTTCTTCCACTCACTCCTCAAGATAACTTTCATTTTGGCAATTTCACTACTCATCCAGAACTACCCCAGTAGGTGAGCAGAGAAATAAAAAAGAGATATAAGATCCATCAGCTAATTGTCTCCTTTTTAATAGCTTAGGAACAATTTGATGGAGCTTGAATATAGTTGGTAAAATAAGGTTTGAGAATTATCTGTGATTGACATAACACTTTCTGTAGTCAGATGAATTACAATGCATGATCAAGGTTTAATTGAACTAAACTATAATTAGGTTTCTGCTTTGTATGAGGATTCTATGTATCCCAGATCATTTTTGTCATGAATTTTTAAAAATTCTGATACCCTCCAAATATTTTCATTTTACCTTTTCCTTTTAGGCATTCAAAAGTTGTCCCCACGTGACTTATTTAAATAATCAAACATAAAAGAAATAAATAATATCAGGATTGATACTTATCTTCTGTCTTCATTGACAATAGCCAAGAGCATATTCTGTTTTGCTGCTTCTTGATTTGGAGTAAATCAAAACTTTGCCCAGGGAATATTTGTCTTTCCCTCAAACTGATACACTTCACTTTAAATAATTAGCTAACACTGAACTTAAATTTGCTTTCTTATAGGTCCACCTCCTTGCCACTTCATAATGCCTCTAAACTACCTACCATGAAGGATTATCTCCTCTAAGAATACAAATATTTGTAGTCAGTCACCATAGCCTCCTGAGTTGTTTTTTCAGAAAACTATCCATATTCAGTTATTTTAATATTTTTCCAAAGTCAGTCCCTCCAACCACTACATTTGTATTGCTCTTTTTAAAATTCATGTCCTAGTTTTTATTGTATGTTTTCAAGGTTAAGAAGTCAATGAAATATTTTAAGCTATCTCTCTGGAGCTGTGCAAAAAAGATTGATGACCTTCCAGTTCATTCCAGAAGTGGTGGCTCCCCACAATTTCTTATCAGTTTATATAATAATGATAGCAGCCATGGCCAGACTCTAGTGGTGACTGTGATGATGCCAGCTGTAGTGAGGGAGGTGCAGCCCACGCTGCACACTTCAGGAAACCAGCAGGACCTGAGAACAAGTGGAAGCCTCATTCCCTTCTGAGTTGGCAGGGTGGGAGCCTCTCTCTCTTCGGGTGTAGCTATAGCTGCCCAGCAGTGGCTGCAAACGCAAGCATCCCTGTGCTCTTGGGGGCAAGCAGCAGGAAGGAGCCTTGCTCTCACAGGAACAGCTGCAGCCACCCAAGCCGTGCTGCAGGCCCAGGCACTGTTGTAACCTGGCTGGGTGTGCGCACACTCGGGGCAGCACTGACACGCTATCACCCTGCCATCTCAGCCCCCTCCAGACTTTGAGCACTGAGGAGCACAGGAGAGAGGCCAAGGTGGGGTTGAGGGTAGCTTGGCACTGGGCTGCAGATGCCCCTTGGCACAAACAGCCTGGGTTTCAGGAACAGCAGCAGAAGAAAAACAGGCTCACGGGTGGAAAGGGGTGGGTCCCCAGTGCAGCCCCATCTCTAAGCTGGGGAAGTCCTGAAGCCTGGTGGCTAGGCTACCAGTCCTGTCAACCACCTATAGCTGCCCATGGACCAATCAGCATGCACTTCCTCTTCTCTGAAGCCCATAAAAACCCTGGACTCAGCCAGGCTCAAAAAGAGATGATGGGACAATCAGCTGCAGAGAGGAGCTGACAAGCTGTGGAGAGGAGCTACCCACCCCAGGGTCTCCTCTCTACTGAAAGCTGAAAAGACATTGGGACATCCAGCTGTGGAAAGGAGCTACCGACCACAGAGTCTCCTCTCTGCTGAGAACTGAACACTCATCAGGACACCTTGGCTGCAGAGAGCACCTACCCATTGTGGGTCTTGTCCGAGCTGTTCTATTGCTCAATAAAGCTCCTCTTCACCTTGCTCACCCTCCACTTCTCCATGTATCTCATTCTTCCTGGGCCATGGAATAAGAACTCAGGACCTGCCAAATGTCAGGGCTGAAAGAACTGTAAAACAAATGGGGCTGAAACACACCCCTTGCTCACCACATTGCAGGTGACATGAAGGAGAAAAGAGCTGTGGCCCTTCAGGGACCCCAGACCTAGGAGCTCCCTGGGTCAGGGCTGTGACAACCTCTCTGGGGCTCTGCAGCTTCTGGTGTCTCCAAGCTTCCAGGTGCCATCATGTTCCCCAGTGCCAGCCCTGGAAGCTGCTTATGGTACATCTGGTCTAGCTGCAACCTCGCAGCATGACTGGCTGTGCGTGGTGTCCAGACCTCACTCTCACTTGCTCACACACCCCTTGCTGCTTTGCTCCCAGGCATAGGATCCAGGCCAGTAGTGTGAGCCAAGCACAGCCTGATAGGCCAAGTGGGCCCAGTGGGCCCAAGCAAAACTTGGGCAAAGGCTCCATTGGCCAAAGAAGTTTCCAGCTGAACAAGCTACACTCCAGGGATCCCATAACAAAAATGTACCAATAATTCAATAGAATCTCATTCTAGATGAAAAAACAAAGAGAGAGTGGGAACAAAGGCAATTCATTCCATAACAGTCATTGAGAGCTCATTTTTTCTCCCAAAGGACTGGAAATGTGAGGAATGATCTGATCTATTGGGAAATAGCCCTGAAAGAAAATTTCTGTGGGATTTCTGAAATGCTTTCAAGACTTTTGTCTAAAATTACTAATATCATTCAATTTGTTCTCAAAAATGAAAAGTGATCTCCAGTCTTTTCTTCAACCCAACCTAAAAATAAGGAAGTAATAAACATGACTGCTTTAGATAACTTGTGTTTCATTCTTTTTTTTTTAAGAGACAAGGTCTCTCACTCTCTGCTGCCTGGGCTGAAGTTTAGTGGATGATTATAATTCACAGCAACCTTGAACTTCTGGGTTCAAGTGATCCTCTGGTAAGGTGAGCTCCTGAGAAGCTAGGACTAAAGAAATTTGCCACCATGCCTGGCTAATCTAGATAATTTCTAAAGATACAATTTACATAATACAGTTGTGACTGGAGTTAGCTAGTTCATTTTAAAATATATTGGTATCAATGAAGTCTACTATGGGTGCAGCACTTCTTCCCTATGCCCTACCTCCCACACCAGCACTCCCTTTCTCCAACCAAACTCCCACACACAGACAAACCCTTAGATAACAATCTCTAAACAAACTCCCCTGAGTAAGTGCCTTTGTAAGAGATGCTTTTTATTCATCTATTCATTCTTGTATCCTTTGAACCCAAATAGGTATGTAAATACAGGTTGTTGATTCAATTAATTGTTTACTGAGTGAAAATAAGATAAATGAGACTGCGTGCATGATCAAGGCTAAAACAAACGCTAGGAAAAGAAATCAGAAAATATTTTTAAAAATCAATACCCATGTTCAAAGCCAGAGTCTAGAAATCACATTTCTAATTGTCTTCTTGATTTTTCTTTTATTCTGGAAAAGATTAAAACACAACTTTTTATATGTATTTAATCCTCTGTTTTCCACCCATTTCATTTAACCTCTGAAATATAGATATCTTGCTTATTCAAAACAGCACACAAAAAGTTAGTTACTGGAAAAAACTATTCTAGTAAGTGTCATTACCCTAAGTAGCACCTAGATCTTTTCACTTATTATAAACACTCTGATAAACCATGCATATGGGGAAAACCCATAGGCTCAAAATAGAATACAGCATACTATTAAAACTTGCAGAAGCTTTATTTAAAAAATAAAAATAAAAAATCAGCTAGATTGGAGGTGACTAAATGACCCATCTGATTAGTGATTTCCCTAAAACAATGTACAGTGGATTTTGCAGAATAAAATGAATTTATCTTGCAAAACACTCAGACATGAAGTTCATATGTTTTCAGTGATGTAATAATAAAAAAAAGTATTCTTTTGATCTCTCTGTGATTTTTCTCATTGCAAAACATAAAGAAGGCTAAAATTAACTCTTGTTAAAGCTTATGTGATGATGTATCCTGATCTCATTTATGAATATATACTTTTTGAAATTTTGGACATCGATTTCCAAACTATACCAGATAATGAGTTTTTTATATGATTTTCTAATTTTCCTATGAATAATAAATACTTTTCCTGGAAATTAGATAGATAAAGCTCTATTATTTTACTTCAATGCTCTTCAATGCTTTTCAGTGACCTTCTATCTCTCATCTCTTGTCTTTGTCAACGATTTCTCCTTTTCTGATACTAAGAAGCTTATTTGGTCCTTTGATTCTTTTCTCCTTTTTTTTCAGGTATAATTTGCAGCATGCATTTCACACTTACTAAAATTCTCTATCTTTTATGATAGAAAGCAACATAATTTTAATATTATTCCTTAATGTTTGACCCAGAAAAGCCCCTCTGCTTATGACAAATATTGGTTAATAATTTCCCTATCAGTTCTAGACTCTTATTGAATCAAAACTGAAGCAACTGCAGAAATCTTTTGGCTTCTATTGTTCTTGATTCCTAAACTAACACGTGCTGGCCCTAAGCTATAACAGGCTGAATGTGACCATAGTGGCCAGAGGTAAGAAGCTGAATTTATATCTGCTGCAGAGTCTTTTGATGACTGTACATAAATTTCATTAGAAAAACCAATATAATGTTGACTAGTAAAACTAATGATATGCCAGGCACAGTGGCTCATACCTGTAACCTCAGCAGCTTGGGAGGCCAAGGTAGGAGGATAGCTTGAGCCCAGGAGTTCAAGACCAGCCTGGACAATGTAGTGAGATCTCATCTCTATAAAAATGTTAAAAAATTAGCTGGTGTGGTAGCGCACACCTGCAATCCCAGCTACTCAGGAGGCTAAGGTGGGAGAGTCACATGAGCCTGGGAGGCAGAGATTACAGTGAGCCATGATTGTACCACTGCACTCAAGCCTGGGCAACAAAGTGAGACCCTGTCTCACATACACATGCAAAATCTAATTATATTATAAAATTATGTAAATTAATTTTAATATGTGTTTTGTTTCTACATGATAACTAACATTAATCTAAAACCTTTTAAGAGGTAGAAACTTATAATCATCAGGTTTGTTTTTTCTTAATTTAAGTAAATAGCATTTTTGTTTAACCATACTGCTTCAAGGCCAAAGTTTCACTTTCATCTTACTAGTTCTATTCCATGCATCAAGTTATTTTTTCTTACGTTTTTAAAAACCAAAAGCTAACCCTTGATACACATATCTGTCTTGATGATACTTCTTTTCCTGTTTCTTGGGAGATAAAATCTGTTCTATTTCTCAAATTTTTATTAATTTGATATTTTAAAATATTAGCAGTAAATCATGACGTTATATTTTAGGTGCATCTGTTTCACACCTTTCATCATTAAAAATTAAAATAAACTTAAATCACATATTTACATGTGTCTGTGGGAGTGTTTACAACATTAATATTAAAAATATGCCTGATAAGTGAATTTTGCAAAATACTGTTAAACTTCATATTTGCTTTTGTTTAGAGAGTAATATTTAAATGATATTACAAATAAACAAAATCAGATTATGTTTTTCAGAATACAACCATTTAACAATTTACAATAATACTATACATGTGAAGGGCATAATAAGGGCTTATGCTGACAAGTTGGACATAAAATTGAGATCTGAGATTTTAAGTATAAAATAGTACATAACACATCACAGGAGAAATAAGCAAAGTCATGTTGAAATACATAAAGTGTTCAGGGTCAATATAAAAAATTTATTTTAAGGAGATGCATTAGCAGTAGAAGTCAAAAATAAGTATTGGAGAGCCATGTTTTGGCAAGGATCACTGAAGCCCTGTCCAAAGGAAATGGCTTCACTGCCAATGGCTCAATCACACCAGGTCCTCTGGTAAATCTAGTCCTCTCATATTCAGATGCCAACAAATATCTGGATCGTAAGACTTTCCTGCCCTGCTTCAGCAAACTTCAACATATAATTTGGCTTCCAATGTAGACCAGCTTAAAGGGAAAGATTGTGCTGGCTACGCTCCTGTAAATATGCATGCACACATGATAGCTCTATTTATTTTTGGAAATTAGCATATTGACATTCTGGTTTTAAATTTTTTGCGATGTATAATTTGAACCCATACTCTGATACATGCTAAGGGCTAAAAGTCATTCATTACATAAATAAATGAATAAATAAAAGGTAGATCTACATGCATTGTTCTAATAAATTTAATATTGTGAACCTCTCAATGTGAAAGCCAGATCAAGTGAATTATTCAAGGTATAAGATGACAGGTGAAGCTTATTTGCAATCTGACTGCCCTCTTTTCCTAGAGGTACATCTACCTCATATAGTGTTTTTCCTCTAAACTTTTACTTCAATCATATCAATGTCTCTGAGAACAACAAGAACACTTTTGCATTTTCCCATAAATGAAGAGAGAACAATACACACTCTAAAAACACATAAATTTGGTGGATCAAAAACACACACTTAAGTATTTTCTCTGCCAAAACCTAGCGTTAAAATTATTTTTAGATATAAATTTACAAGGTCAAATAGTAACTAAGTCTCACAGGACAGTAAAAGAGACACTAGAATAGAAGTTTGGAATTGGAAAGCAGAAGAAATGTGGGAACTCATTTAGCAAAAAGTAACACATTTTAAAAAGTTAAAATCTTGGTATCTAAAACTAGTACTATAGGGAAGGCAGAGTAAATTCATTCTGAACTTCTAATAAGCCTGGAAGCAGGTGGCATCAGGGCTTCTGGAGACAGAAATGAAAGCTGCAATAAAGGCAGGAGAGCTGGCTGAAAGTCTAAGCGGTTAGGCCACCCCACAGGTCTCCTACCCACACCATCCAAATGAGTCATGGTGCCTACTCACACTGGCAAAAGATTGAAGTTCAATTCTCTGAAGAGAGTAAATCAGAGGATCTGTGGACTGGGGATACCAAACATGATTTGCAGTCAAGATCTTTTACTGAAAACAGCATTAAACATAGGCTTATAAACAGAATGTTCAGATCCCAGCCCTCTTTTATTATTCAGTCCTTAAAACTCCACTGCCAAGCTTATATCTTATTAGAAGATAAGGGGAAGAAACCTTCTCTGGAGAATCTGATCGGTCAATGAGAAAATACATAAGCATCTTGACATTAGGTTTTCCCCAATAAATTGGCTGTTCCGCCAGCTCAGCTTGCAATCCATTTATTCAATAATCACTAGGCCCTGCTCACATACAGAAATTCTTGTAGGATTATTTAAGTGAAGTTCATTGAAATAAATTTGTATAAAATTGGGTCTTTCTAAGTGTACGATTCAATGACCTCAGACAAATATATACTGTAACAACCACCACCAATATCACAATATGAAATATTTCCATCACCTCAAAAATTATCTTCTGTCCCCTTGCAGACAATCACCTCCTGACACTCTTGAGTTCTTGACAACTACTGATTTGTCTTTTGTCCCCATAGTTTTTTTTTATAAATGTGATACAAGTGGAATCGTAATTTATGTATGCTTTAGTATCTGGTTTCTTTCAACAGCATAATAGTTTTGAGATTAATCCATGCTGATGCATGTATTAGTAGTTTGTTCCTTTAATTGCTAAATAGTATCCCATTGTATAGCTATCACAGCTTAGTTTTCCATTGACCAATCAATAGAAATGTGAGTTGTTTACCGTTTTGTAGATATTATGAATAGTGTCTAATCTCCCATGAACATTTATGTATGTATGAGTGCCTCTATATATACGTGATATCTTAATAATAGTGTTCTGATATATTAAATATATATATATTTATTTATCTTGGATAGTACATAGTTGTAGAATTGTGGTGTCATATATAGTAAGTTTACTTAACTTTAAAAGAAACTGCCAAATTATTTTCCAAAGTGGTTGTATTATTTTGCCTACTTACTAACCATGTATGAGTATTCCAGTTGCTTCATATCCTTACCAAATATTGGCATTGACAGTCTTTTAATATTATCCATTTCACCTATATGTAAACTGTCGACTTATTGTGATTTCAATTGCATTAATTAATTTGATAACTTATGAAACAGAGCATATTCTCATGGGATCAATTGCTATCAAAATATTTTACTTGGTAAAGAATCTGCTGGATGTTTTCTTTTTGGGTTTGTGTGTGTGTGTGTGTGTGTGTGTGTGGTTTCTTATTAGTGTCTTTCAAAGGGCAGAAATTTTTAATTTTGTTGTAACCCAATGTTTTAATTTTTTGTTTATGTGATTGGTATCTTCTTCATCCTAAAGAATACCATGCTTGCCTAACTCAAGATGCAAACGTTTTTTGTTTTGTTTTGTTTTTTTCTAGAAATTTAGCTTTTATACTAATTCTCTGACCTGTTTCAAATTAATTTTTTATGATGACGTCAAGGTGATGGTTACGGTTCTTTTGTTTGTTTTTTGTTGTTGTTTTGTTTTGTTTTGTTTTTTACCCTTTTTTTTTTAACCCAGCTTTATTAAGGTACAACTGCCAAATTCTTTGGCTTTATATTTCATTCCATGTGTCAGTTGTTAAGCCAATACCACACTGCCTTGGTTATTATAGTTACATAAGTATCTAAATCAGGTAGCATAGTGTGAATTCTCAGCTTTTTATATTGAAAATTGCTTAGCTTTTCTAGGTCTTTTGAAATTCCATATAGATTTGTTATCTTATCAATTTTTATAGAAAAAAGGCTTCTAAAATTTTACTGAAATTGCACTAAATTTGTAGATCAACTTGCGGAGAATTGGTATCTTAATAATACTTAGTGTTCTGAGATGTGAAAACAGATCACCATTTACTTTACTCTTTTTAAATATACCTCAGTAACAGAGTGTAAATTTTAGTTTACTTGTCTTGCACATATTTTGTAAAATTTTCCTAATTATTTCATATTCATATAATATTCTAAATGACATTATTTTCATATTTTAATGTTTAGGTACTTCTTGCCACCCCACATATTTTATTTTTGTATATTGATCTTGTGTCTTGTGAAATTGATAAACTTGCTTATAGCCCTAGTATTCTTTTTTTTATATGCCTTAGGGTTCTTCTGTATAGATGACCATGTCATGTATGAAACAAGATAGTTTCTGTTATTTTGTCCCAAATTTATTTTTCTTGCCACATTGAAAAGAAAAAAGCTATGTAAATGCTTATGATCTCCATCACAAAGTTGAATAGAAGTGGTAAGTTGGTAAGTTTGGACATCCTTGTCTTATTCCCATCCTCAGTAGGAAAGTATTCAGTGCTTCATTATTACATATGAGGTTAGCTATAGATTTTTCTTAGTTGCCTTTATCAATTTGAGGAAGTACCAATCTTACTAATTGCTTAGAGTTCTAAATGTAAACTGATGTTAAATTTTATCAAGTTAACAAGTTTTTCTCCATCTATTAAGATTATTATAAAGTTATCACTTTGTCATGTTTTGAGGATTTTTGTTTTGTTTTGTTTTGAGATGGAGCCTGGCTCTGTCGTCTAGGCTGGAGTGCAGTGGCGCGATCTCAGCTCACTGCAACCTCTGCCTCCAGGATTCAAGCAATTCTACTGCCTCAGTCTCCCAACTAGCTGGGCTTACAGGCGTGCACCACCATAGCCAGCTAAGTTTTGTATTTTTGATAGAGATGGAGTTTCATCATGTTGGCCTGGCTGGTCTTGAACTGCTGGCCTCAAGTGATCCACCTGTCTCGGCCTCTCAAAGTGCTGGGATTACAGCCGTGAGCCACCGCTCCCGGCCTGTAGTGTTTTGATATCATAAAATACACAGAATAACTTTCAAATTTGAATCAAACTTGCATTCTTAGGGTAAATTTTACCTGGTCAAGATGTTGTGAATCATTGTATTGGTTATTAGTTGTTTAGTTTAGAATTTTCATGTCAATGTTCATGAGGAAAAAATAGTTGATAGCTCTCTTTTAAGGTCTGTATATTTGGTATCAGTAATGCTGACCTAATAAAATAATTTGGAAACATGTCTTTATTCTTCCAGTTCTAAGATGAGTTCTTGTAGAATTGGTATTATTTCTTCCTTAAATATTTGGTAGATTTGTCCAGTGAAGCCACTTGGGCCTGATGTTTTATTTTTAGACATTTTTGGGTATTATGGTTTGTTAAAAAAAAATTGTTAGTTTGTGTCTTCCAAGGAATCTGGTCATTTTACCAAGTTGTTGAATTGGTTGGCACTAAATTGTTTTATGTTTCCTTATTATTAATGGCCTTAGAATCTATAGTGGCATTCCTTAATTTTGGTGACTTGCATAGTCTTTATTTTTTTCTTAATCCATCTGGCTAGAGTGTTCTTTCACTGTGAAATTTCTTCTTTGACTTATAGATTCTTGAGAAATGTATTGTTTAATTTCTAAGCATTGCAGATTTTTCAGGTATTATCTATAAATTTATTATTATTTATTAAATTTATAGCTTCATGTTCTTTTGCTCTGAGAACATACTTTGAATGGTTTCAACATTTTGAATATATTGAGATTTACTTCACGACCCAACATAAGGCCTATTTTGTGAATATCACAGTTACACTTTAAAATAAAGTTTATTCTTGTCTTTTGACTTTAGCATACTAAATGTCAATAAAGATAACTTGATGAATTGTGCAGTTAAATATTCTGTAATGTATTATTTGTTTGCTTGTTTATATTGTCTATCAGTTCTTGAATACTCTATTTTGTTGATTTTTAAATTTTTTTTTTCTTTTTGCTTTACTTTGTAGAATTTTCACTGACCTTTCTTTCAGTTCATTGATTTTTTTCTCAACCCTGTCAAATGTCATGATAATTACATCAAAGGTATTTTTCATTTCTGACATCATGTTTTTCATCTTTAACATTTTCTTTGCACTCTTTAATGAAGTTTCTATTTATCTGTTAAAATTCACCATCTGTACATGAAGGTATTTTACTTTGTAACTTTTCATCTTGCATTATTTAACATATTAATGATAAATAATTATATTAAATTAATGATATTAAAGTCCCAATCTATAATTTTCAACCTTTTGGTTTTTCTCTGAGTCCAGATTTTTTGTTATCTGTTTGTTTTGTTTGGTCTGTTTTGCCCTCTTAGCAATAGATTCTACTCCTATGCTTTGTTTCCTTGCACAGGTAGTCCTCAACTTACAATGATATGACTTACAATTTTTTGACTTAACAGTGGTGTGAAGGCAATGAGGATTATGTAAAAAACATAATTCAAATTTTGTGTTTTGGTTCAAAATAGTTTATAATAACTTTACTATAAAATAAGCTTTGTGTTAGATGACTTTGACCAATTATAGGCTAATGTAAGTGTTCTAGGTTTTAGGTAGGCTAGGCTAAACTATAATATTCAGTAGGTTAGGTATGTTAAATGCATTTTCTACTTATAATATTTCCAATTTAGGATTGCTTTATCAGGGTGTAACCCTATTGTGTTAGTCAGAGAGCATCTGTATATCTTGTATTTTTTACTGAATGCCAGATGTTATACTTAAAATAGTAGATGCTGATTTAAATAATATTTATGCTCAGAAATATGCACATCTGTTCTGTTTCTTTCTATTAGTAGAATCACTGTTGAGTCAATCAGTCTCAAGTTGAGCTGTGGTTGGATTTTTACTGTTACTACAGTTATTGCAGTGACTTCCAGTTTCTTCAATTGTAAGCTGCTACTTTTCTGTGCAGAATGTGACGTCTGAAATAGTGGGAGGTTTTTCTGAGTATTCACGTTGTACCCCAAATAGGCCCTATATAACTTTGCTACAGAAGTGTCTCTCTTCTCTTACCTATTCCATAGAAACAGGCTGCTTTTTCTTCTTAGTCATTATAAAAATAGTGGTATGACACTGAGTTTCTCAGTTCCCCGGTTCTCTTAGGAAAATCCTCAGCAATTGAGCTCAGAGGTAGAGTTTTGTTAGAATTCTCACTCTTCACACAGTGATAGTAGAATTCTGCTGTATATGAGTGCAGGATCCTGAACCTAAGCAGATTGTTCTCTTACACCGCTCCTCTCCGATGCAGTAGCAGAACTCCACTGCATATTGCATATCGATTAGGGCAGGGCAGGGGGGAAGGTCATCAGCATGGGAGAAAATACGTGAAAGCAAGTTTCCTGTCCTTCCCCTAGTAGGTCATTCAAATTACATTGTCATAATCATAAACCAAAATGTAACCTTTACTTATGACAAACTTGGTAAAATAATGATAGGTGGATGACATGTTTAAAACAATTTGAGATAAATTTCTAGTGCCTGAGCTCCTACATCACTTAAATTATCCTCAATTTTTTTTAATGGTGTGCTCATTACAGTACTTGTTTCCTCAAAAAGCTTATGGAGTGTAATTTTTATAAACAATTGGTGCAATGAGGAGGAACAAAATCAGCCAACAATGCAATGTTTTCAAACACCAGCCTAATGAAAAATCTCAAATAATTTAATTGACAAAAATTCTGAAGGTATTAGAGCTTGCCTCATAAACTGAAGTTAAATTTACAGTGCCAACGAATAAATGAAATTCCCAGTTGATAGCAATTATCATAAGGGGAAAAGCCACTGTAATAGGTGCCAGTTGGCAAGTGGTACATTAGTTGGCAGTCTCTGTCAATGCCACAGACTGAATCGACATCCTTACTGAACTATCATCTCACCCATAGAGGTGTTCTGTATACAACATGGTTGACACATTTTTATAAGAGTACTGAAAAGCTCTTTTGCTATGCCTATTCAGTGTCTATTCTGTAAAAACATCATAAAAAATAAAGAGGATTTTGTTTCATTAAAATATATTTTATGTCTAGAAACACTGGCATATTTACTTTTTCAAATTTTATTGACAGGTACAATGTTTTTTAAATGTGCATGTGTTACTACAAAAATAGGTTTGCCATTTAAAAAATATTTCTACTTTACTTACCCAGAAACCTAGGCTAAATTCATGCCAAAATCTCAGGAGCAATTGCTTATTTTATTGAAGTTAAAAAAACATTGAGTTGCTAAACTACAGAGAGTAGTTACAGTGTAACACAGTAACAGAAAGGCTACCAGCAGGAGGAAGAATTTAAGAAACAAGTTGACCCAAATGAACAGGCTCTAAACATAGAACAGCTGAGCTGCACCTTCCTAATATTGCCAGGCAGTTTCTGGACAAATGGGGAATATCCTAGAAGGAAGGACTTGCTGCCTAGTGGGTAAACTGAACTCCAGACTCACTTGCTGAACTCAAAAGAGACACTTTCACTGTGATTAATTGACATGTTTAATATAAAGCCCATAAACAGGAGAAACCTTTTTACTTTACCAAGGAAGCATAAACATGCCATTCACAGACCATTCCATTCCAAAACGCACTTAATGCTGACAATACTGCCTCTGAATCCAAACTTTACCTATGGCTAATCCTCAAATCTGTCTTTTGTACCTGGAGATAAATGTAATAAACATTGGGCAAGTTATTCATAGAAGGAGCTTGAAACTTAGTGTCATTATTTGTGGTTGCTTCCTGGATCTATGCATCCAAAATAATTATTAATATCAATTATAACTTTTATTTGACTAGCATTTTTTTCTTTTATGTTATTTTAACTTTTATATAGATCTATTAATATAGATAGATATTAATAATTCAAATATATATGTATACCAGATAAATTAGATTAAAATGACTACAATGTGTATAAAATAAAATAATTTTTCTTAAAGTGGTTATTCAGTTTTCTTAATTTTTTCTATGCATACAAAATAATCTATACTATACAGTATTCTATAAAACAAAATGGTTCTATAAATTTTCTATATTCTTTACAACAAAATATTCTATATTCTATACAAAAAAATGGTTGTATGTTGTTTCATAAATTTTTTCACTCAACAGTTTTTTAAAAACATCTATCATGAAAATATTACACTTCCACAACATCTTTTTGTTGTTTACACAGTATTCCATTTCAAGAGTGTTTCATATTTTGTTAAATAACTCCACATAATGAATTTTTGGTCAACAATGGACCACATTCTAAGACAGTGCTCCCGTAAGATTACAGTGGAGCTGAAAAATTTCTATCACCTGGGGATGCTGTAGCTGTCATAATGCTGCAGCGCAATGCTTTACACAGGTGTTTGTGATGATGCTAGTGTAAACAAACCTACTCCACTGCCAGTCGTGTAAAAGTATAAAACATATAATCATGTACGTAATACTTGATAATTATAATGAACGTCTAAGTTACTGGTTTATGTATTTAGTATACTATACTTTTAAGTGTTTTTTACAATATACTCATTCTACTTATGAAAATAAAGTTAACCGTTTAACAGCCTCAGGCAGGTCCTTTAAAAAATATTCCAGAGGAAGATAAGGTTGTTATGGGAGATGATAGCTCCACGTGTATTTCCCCTGCAGACCTTCCAGTGGGACAAGATGTGGAGGTGGAAGACAATGATATTCACGATCCTGGCCCTGGGTAGGCATTGTATTATGTGTGTGCCCATGTCTTGGTTTTTAACAAAAAAGTTTATAAATTTAAAAATAAATTTAACAAATTTAAAAATAGAACAAGTCTTATTGAATAAGAATATAAAAAATCGAAACCTTTTCGTGTAACTATGCAATATGTGTGTGTTTTAAGCAAAGTGTTATTACAAAGGAGTCAAAAAGTTTAAGAAATAAACATCTGTACAGTTAAAAGTTTCAAGTAAGCTAAGTTTAATTTATTAAGGAAATTTTTAAAATAAATTTAGGATGGCCAAAGTATAGTGTTTATAACATCTATAGTAGTGAATAGCAATGACCGAAGTATTCGCATTCACTCACCACTCACTCACTCAACCAGAGCAACTTCCAGTTCTGCAGCTCCGTTTATGGTAAATACACTATACAGGTGTACTATTTTTCACCTTTTATATGGTATTTTCACTGTACTTTATTTGTGTTTAAATACAAAATACCTACTATTGTGTTACAATTGCCTACAGTATTCAGTACAGGAACATGCTATACAGGTTTGTAGCCTAGGAACAATGTATACAGTACTCTATACTATCCAGGTCTGTGTAAATACACTCTATGATGGTCTCATAATGACAAAATTACCTGACGATGGACTTCTCAGTAAGTATTTCCATTGCTAAGTAACCCTGTGTGTGTATGTGTATGTGTGTATATGAACCTGTCTTTCACTAAAGTTTTGTATACATATTTGCGCCATTTTCTTGAGCTAAATTAATGAATTTTAAAAGGGATGCAAAATATAACTTGAAACTTTGGGTCTACATTCAAAATTCAAAGGTTACTAAAATGTTCTATTTATATGTGGATAATTATTTCTGTCTTTTAACTTTTATCCTTTTAATTATTTGTATTAAAGTTATTGTATATTTTTTCCTTCAAATGTAAATGTCTTACAAACATGGACCATGTAAATTTCTCCATTTATACTTAACTTGGTACCTGGTAAAAAGTAATTTACACCAAACACTAAATGGTGGCAATTATTCATTTCAGTATCATTGAAAATATTTGTGAAATTAGTTTGATCATAAGAGAAACTTAATAAGTTATTGTTTAAAAAATCAGACTTAGGCCAGGTGCGGTGGCTCACGCCGGTAATCCCAGCACTTTGGGAGGCCGAGGCGGGCGGATCACCTGAGGTCAGGAGTTCGAGACCAGCCTGGCCAACATGATGAAACCCCCGTCTCTTCTAAAAATACAAAAAATTAGCCGGGCGTGGTGTCGGGCGCCTGTAGTCCCAGCTACTCCGGAGGCTGAGGCAGGAGAATGGCGTGAACCCGGGAGGCGGAGCTTGCAGTGAGCCGAGATCTCGCCACTGCACTCCAGCCTGGGGGACAGAACGAGACTCCGTCTCAAAAAAAAAAAAAAAAAAAAAAAGAAAAAGAAAAAATCAGACTTAACTTTCCCATCTAGATTTGAATCAGTTAATGTCTTAAGACGTTTAAGATCTTAAAAAGTAAGCCAGGTAAGAAATGACCTTAGCTATTTAGCAGCTTGAAGAATAAGTTGTCTTGAACAGGCAGATATCCCAAATATACAAAAATCTTTATGATTTGACATTTCTGGCAATTTCCTTCTTAAAATATATCACATCTATTTTTTTCTTGATAGCAAGCATAGTTATAAAGATACATGCAGACTAAATTGAAATGGTGCATATAGTTTATCTTTAAATTTATTGCAATGTTTTAAACATCTATTGTATGTTTGATGTTAGATGTTTGGAAACGTTACAAGAATGAATAAGCTGTAGCTGTCAAAATTGTTGCGATTTAGGAGACAGGTAGGGAAAATCACAAAACTATTGATACAAAGTAGAAATTAATAAAGAAAGTAAAAAACATTATCTTGATGAGTCACAAAAAGGGATTCGTTTTATTTGAAAGATTAGAATAAATTTAAAAGAGAAAATAACATTTATGAGAGCGTTGAAGAATGCATAGGATTCTGAGAAAAGAAAAAAAAAACGGAGATAAGGTAACCAGATCAAATGTTGGTCTCCCAGTTAAAGGTGCTACATTTCAGAGAAACAACAAATATTACTGATACATAAATATGCCCCGTGCAATAAATGGGGCATACTTAGTGTGTTTTTAAATTTTTTATCTGAAATTAAAATTTTATTGGTGTTCTGTATTTTTATTAGCTAAATATGGTGACCCTTGAATGGAACAGTTACAGATACAGCAAACTATTATAAAATGTAGGAAGTTGGTGAAAAATGGGTATTGTTTTGAAAACCGCATGCCATTCAATGTGACCAACAAAGAGAAGCAATGCTGATAAATGGATGGCACTAGAAGATCTAGGTTCAAGTCCAGATTTCCACACTGGCCTGTACTTGCATGATGTTAGACAAGTTGTCAAACATCCCAGTTTTGTTCTCCATTGATGAGATTATTTTTCATTATCCTCCTGATTTCATATAATTATGAATATTATGAGATGGGGATTCATGATCCTACTTGGAGGGTTATGAAAGTTTTATATATCTACCTATCTATCTATACACACATATATATATATATATATATATATATATATATATATATATATATATTTTTTTTTTTTTTTCCCTCCAAATATGAATGTCCATGGTATAGGAACAGGGTAACATGTCCAAGGCCATGGTATAGGAACAGAGTAACAGGGACTTAATGTAGAGTAGAATTTGATCTCTAAATTTAAAACAAGAGACAGCAAATAAAGTTTATATTTGTCACAAGCGAGGAGATAGTCAAAATATTTGGCAAAGACTGTGATACTGACCAATCAGAATAGATACAATAAATAATCTAATTCTTTTCTTCATAATCACATGAGCCTGTCTTGTCATATACCTGGCTGTCTCTATAATGTGAAACTGCCAGAGCTTAAGTGCAAAATCAGGAGCAAGAAAAAAAAAAAAGCTTACAATTTACCATCATAACTAACAGTGTTCTGATTTTATCACATCCCCAAAAGCTCTTCATTGGATATCTTTTAAACAATACTTATAGTTTCATTTTCTGATTGCAAAAATATTACATATTTGTAGTGGAAAATTCAGAAATACAGAGAAGAAAAATGATATATTTGATTGAGTGGATAAATAAAAATGCTATTTTATAGAATTAACAATAGTTAAAAAAATTTGGGAGGAGACTTGACACCCTAACAGTGATGACAACAATAATATATTCGCACACATATACACATACTATGCTAAAATCTACAAATAAATGGAAAATAACATTTTAGACAATCAGTTTAATATACACAAAGGATAAGAACAGGAAATTCAAGGTAGAAATATAAATTATCAATAAATATATTCAAGGATGTTAAATCACAGTCAAAGATATTAAACACAAATGAAAATTTAAAAAAAAAAACAATAGTTTATCTTAATATTATGAGATGGGGATTCATGACCCTACTTGGAGGGTTATGAAAGTTTTATATATATAAATATACAATGAAATAATCTTTGTTGTTAAATATATGGGGATATTGGCAGTACCTTCTCTTGGAGATAGGGCAAATTCTAATATCATTTATGGAGGATCACTTGAAGTATCTACAAAAATTTTTTAAGTGCAAATTCAAATAGTTGATAATACAAAACTCCATTTCACAGGAAAATAAAAATCGTGTATAGACATATATGTAAGGATATTCTCTGTTACATTAGTTGTAATTTTGAAAACATTAGATACAGTCTAAACTTCTATAATAACAAAATCACAAAATCAATTATGGCACATCCATATAGTATCATAACATGAAGGTAATAGAGACTGATATATAGCTATACATGCATTTCATTTAAAAGGTGATTATGAACTATTTTACATAAAAATAAATTTATATCTATTAATACATGTGTATCAAGATATATTGCATTATTATATGATATGTACTGACACTCATTATATATTGCATGAATATATATTGCATTATTATTTTTAAAATAAGAAGTATATAATTGTGTGTGATTGTGTGAGAATGTGTCTGTTTGCATATGTAAAGTGAAATTTCTTCTGGGGCTAGAACACGAGGAAGGATAAAAAGAGAAAGCAGCAGCTTCTGGACACAATGAAAACAAAGTCTTATAAATGTGACATCTTTTTGGATTAAAGTATGCACAGGGACAGAATGTGAGAAAGAAGAGATTATCACAGATTTTTAAAGAAAAGAAGCTATCTGACGTTGTAAAAAGAGGCTCTTCCATTATGAAAAATGGATAAGTTTATATTAATATGTATGTGGCCCTAAAGAATGGTTGACGCCAGGGCTTTAAATTGAAGAGTTGTCTTCATAGAAATTATAGGCCTTGGAACTGATGAGTTTGTACCAGAGGAAAAAAAGTATTGAGAATAAAAGACTCATGAATTTATGAGTCATGGACTCAAGGTAGTCAAAAGTTTGATGAAAACTAATCTGATTTATCATTACACACTGCTGCTTTCTCCCTGCAGGTAAAATTCAGATCTCACTGATAGGCTTTCCTCCTTTTAGAATGCAGATCTCTGAGGCATGGGACTGTATGTGATCCATAATGCTGAAGGCTGCCAACCAGCCAAGATGGATGACAAAACTTGGAAAGCACTCGTTTAGGCCTGGATCTCATAGTCCTCTTTATTTTATTACGATTGGTATATTCTCTCATAGTTTATATGTATATTTACTGGCTACTTCATAATGATTCTTTCAATAATGAAAATATAATCCATATATAATTCTTCGGTAGTTTAGTCAAGGTTTGAAATGTCAATAATTAACAGGAAAAAAATGAAGGAAACACCTCTTGTGGCAACTTCTTCAGATTACCATCAGACTTTAAAGAGATACTCTAACCACTGAAATGGCACAGCTGAGTAATGACATTTCACCATATATTTCAGTACTGTATATTGCATTAAACCAAACAAGGATAATAATCATCTGAACTAAGAAACTGTTTGGCACACTGAAGAGGGTAAACTGCAGACCTTTAAGTATTAGTAATTGAGCATATTTAAAAAATTCATGGTGAATTCCAAGTCTCCATTTTGAGTGTTTATTAGGGTCCCTAGTTAAAATAGGAAACATAAAAAATACGTTAATTTCTGAAACATAGTCAGCTGATGTTGCTTTCTTGAAAGTCAACTAGAGATTACCAGTAAACTATTTTTATCCTGAGCATACAGAGTTGGAGTGGGTGAGGGAGTTGGAAATGGAATTTCTTTTTTTTTTTTTTTTTTATAAAACTAACTTTTTTTTTCTTTTTTTTTTTTAATTATACTTTAAGTTTTAGGGTACATGTGCACATTGTGCAGGTTAGTTACATATGTATACATGTGCCATGCTGGTGCGCTGAACCCACTAACTCGTCATCTAGCATTAGGTATATCTCCCAATGCTATCCCTCCCCCCTCCCCCCTCCCCACCACAGTCCCCAGAGTGTGATATTCCCCTTCCTCTGTCCATGCAATCTCATTGTTCAATTCCCACCTGTGAGTGAGAATATGTGGTGTTTGGTTTTTTGTTCTTGCGATAGTTTACTGAGAATGATGGTTTCCAATTTCATCCATGTCCCTACAAAGGACATGAACTCATCATTTTTTATGGCTGCATAGTATTCCATGGTGTATATGTGCCACATTTTCTTAATCCAGTCTATCATTGTTGGACATTTGGCGTGGGCAAGGACTTCATGTCCAAAACACCAAAAGCAATGGCAACAAAAGCCAAAATTGACAAATGGGATCTAATTAAACTAAAGAGCTTCTGCACAGCAAAAGAAACTACCATCAGAGTGAACAGGCAACCTACAACATGGGAGAAAATTTTTGCAACCTACTCATCTGACAAAGGGCTAATATCCAGAATCTACAATGAACTCAAACAAATTTACAAGAAAAAAACAAACAACCCCATCAAAAAGTGGGCGAAGGACATGAACAGACACTTCTCAAAAGAAGACATTTATGCAGCCAAAAAACACATGAAAAAATGCTCATCATCACTGGCCATCAGAGAAATGCAAATCAAAACCACTATGAGATATCATCTCCCACCAGTTAGAATGGCAATCATAAAAAAGTCAGGAAACAACAGGTGCTGGAGAGGATGTGGAGAAATAGGAACACTTTTACACTGTTGGTGGGACTGTAAACTAGTTCAACCATTGTGGAAGTCAGTGTGGCAATTCCTCAGGGATCTAGAACTAGAAATACCATTTGACCCAGCCATCCCATTACTGGGTATATACCCAAATGACTATAAATCATGCTGCTATAAAGACACATGCACACGTATATTTATTGCGGCATTATTCACAATAGCAAAGACTTGGAACCAACCCAAATGTCCAACAATGGAAATGGAATTTCAAATTTCAGGGTCATCAACTTCAGTCATCAGAGGAGTCAGTGGGATTAGAGTAAGAATATGTAAAAAGAGAAGAAAATAAAAGATAAGGTACAAGATGTTGGCAGTAGAAAAGTATAATCTAGTATTATAGACTGATATGGAATATTCAACTTAAACTACACAAATATCATATGGAATAGCTAATGTTACATTTTTTACTTTGCCTTGTCTTTGAGATTAAAAAACTTTTATCTGTTATTTCACTTTATGATAGTCAGTAGTGTTCTGAATCAATCCCTGTTTCTTTCTAAACCTGTTGCTTTACAATTGTCTTTTCATACCTAGTAACAGTAATTGTAATTTGCTAGGACTCCCAACAGAGATTATTATTTCATACATATGTGTAATATATTTCCTATTTTAAAAGTAAACATTAGCACTAAATTCCTATAATGTCAAGTATTTTCACTGTGTATACATTAAAAATAAAGAGCAAAATTTGATATAATTTAACATAAAGGATACCTGCTTGCTGCATCTTACTTTATGTGATAACAACAAATTCACCCAGCAAGTAAGCTGTTCTATCATGCTCATTCAAAAAACTTTGCTGTTCAACAAAGATATTATCTATAGAACTACCTTATTTTGTAAAAAAAAAAAAAAAAAAAAAAAAAAAAAAAAAAAAAATCAGCCCCACTAGCCCATCAAAGTGTGTATAAGTGCCTATCATAGACCTCCTGAAAAAGGGGATTAACTTATATCTACATCTGGCACATTACTGTAATTTCACAAAATTCCAAATCCCACAGACTTTTGTAAACACTTCACAGATATGCAAGAAAAATCTATTTTTTTCACGGTGCTCCCAGCTCAGTAATGATAACTGGTGCCAGGATTGTTCTGTTACTGTTCCATATAACTTGAGTGTTCCATAGGAGCAGTAAGTTTATGACTACAGAATATGATTTAGTGTTTTCTACCTTCCACACAACATGTTATTTTTAATCAATTTGAGTATATAAAAATGTAATATATATTGAAACATTATATTCAAAACAACCAAAATTATCTTAACCAAAACTCCAGGTTCCAAAGAACTTCTTCCATAGAGAATTTAGTTTTAAACATAATTATTTCCCATAGGACAGATCTTAAGACCCTTCTCTACTCATTTTTAACATTTTGATCAAAGGTATCAATTTTCAACTAGCATTTAATCAGGACTGGATGTTTGTTTGTTAGAATCTCTATGACTAGCCATTACACAGCTTACCTGGGGCTTCATAAATTAGAAAGTTGAATTTGTTAGTGTTGTATGGATTTTCTTAACTTCCAAAGTCTAATAATAATCATGCTACTAGTCAACCTGGCACTGAGCTGGGACCTGTGTACACTTTGCCTGTAACTCTTACAGTATCCTGAGAGGTAGATCATATCAAGCTCATATTATTTATAAAGAACTGAGACTCAGAGATGATAAGTAAATTATACTAAATCATATAATTAGTGAATGATAGAGAACAGATACGAAACCAAGATTTTCTCTTCTAAAGCCCAATTCCAGGGTCAAGATAGTACAGAGATGAGTTTGTTCATTTGTTTGTTTCTTTGTTTTGTGTGCTTCTTAGCAGTTGCGGTTATTGAATAAGTCGGCCCAAGGGGCTACTTTAGTCAAAAACTCAAAAGTATTTCAAAATTCTGAAGAATGACCACATAAATCTCCCCTTGATGGCACATAAATTTTGCTTTGCAAGTCATTGTCATAGAGCAAAAGTAAAATATGGTAATTGTATATTCCCAGCCGTGCAGTCTCTAAATTTTTACCTTTCTAGTCATATATCAGGAGTTTTGGGGAAAGTGCCTTTTTTATGCAAGTTTTCCTCTTAACATGACTGTCACTGTACTTTGAATAAATTCAAGTAAAACAGTGGGATACTCAAAGACTATAGAATAATTGTGTTTTTTTTTCAGCAGCTGCTTGTGGCTGACCAGGAAAATTACAATTAGGAAGCAGACACTCTAGCGGGCCCCACAAGAATACAAGATGACAGAAAAAAAAATCAAGACTACAATGAACCAAACATCTGCATAATTTTAGCTACTATGCAAACAATAGGGCTGCAGTGTTTTGTGCATACAGAAAAGACACAGACTCCTGCCAAAAATGAGAAAAGATGCTGAATTTATCAAAAGTGGGAGGCCTGCTTCAAGGATTTGTTACATTATGCTAATAGCACTGCAAAAAGTTTAACTTCCTTTTAAATTGTGCTTGCCTCCACCTCTAATAAAACATGAACCCTATGCACTCTTTTCATTAATTTTTTCCTAAAATGTGAGATAATGCAAAAGGATAAAATGAAGTGTAGTACTATCCAAATTGTAATTAAAATGCTTCAAAATGAGAACTTTATTAATATTTTACATGCCTCTTCTAGTAAAGATTCCTAACATACAGAAAAACCTTCAACCAAGAATAAACTCATTATTCCAAATCCATAATTATTATAAATTGTGAAATATAGCTTTTTGCTATAGCTTATAGCAGATGATAGCTGCGATTGTAGCATTTAGACTAAAATCATGTGAAGAAATATATTTGCAAAATAATTGGTTGGTTTTTTTCCAAGCACTGGAGATAAAGTAGGCTACTGCAAACTTTAAGAAGGGATGCAGAAGTAGGCATAAGAGAGAGACTATTTCTGCTATAGTACAGTAGTCCCCCTTACCCAAGGTCTTGCTTTCCACAGTTTTATTTACTTATAGTCAACCACTGTACAAAAACATGTGAGTGTAGTACAATAAGGTATCTTGAGACAGAGAGTGACCATATTCACATAAATTTTATCACAATGTATTAGTATAACCATTCAGTTTTATTATTTTTGTTAGTCTTACTGTACCTATTTTATAAATCAAACATTATTATAAGTGTGTCTGTATAAGAAAAACAGTATATATAGAGCTCAGTACTATCCATGGTTTCAGGCATTCACGTTTGGTCTTGGAAAGTATTCCCTCAGATAAGGGGGGACAACTGTAGATGGATTATATAAATAGCCCCAATTCTTTGCCTCTCACTGTAGTCACACTCACCCATGCAACATTCAAGGTGTCTCAGAATTATCTTACCCAACATTCCACCCCCACCAACACTACCTCAAATATGGATTAGTCCTGTGACTTGCTTTGCTTAATGGGATGTTATCAGATATGATGCTAGTAGACATAATGTAAAAAGAGGCTTGGAAATGTATTTGTGCATTTTCCCTTGCCTTTGGCTCCTCTTTCAGAGAACATTCCTGGGCCACTGTTTTGGGGGATGAAAGACATGTGAAACAGAGCCAGCTGAGGACATCCTTTATAAACCATTAGTTGTGTAAATAAAACCAGGCAAGGTGAGGAGAGCTGCCTATTTGACTCACTACTGACCATAAAAGCATGAATGAAAGTAGCCAAGATCAGTGGAGCTCATTCCAAATAATCCAAATGCTGTAAACTTGTGAACCAAATAAATGCTTATTGCTTTATGCTACTGATATATCTTAGTTCTGTTATACAGCATTATTGTGGCAATAGATAAATGATACACCAATCTAATGCATTAAGTAGCAAAATATAACCTATCTGCAGTTATCTCCAATGAAATAATATTCCATTATTAGTGGAGTGGAGGCAGCACTCGTAGTAAATAACCATGAGCTAATGTTCTGAATGAATTAATTGTCCTCTTTGTCTCTTCCTACTAAATCTACTTTTCTTTGGAATTATGATTTTTTTTTCTTCTGGGTGGATGAATTAGTCTGTTTTCACACTGCTGTAAAGAACTATCCAAGACTAGGTAATGTATAAAGGAAAGAGGTTGACTCAGTTCTGCGTGGCTGGGGAGGCCTCAGGAAACTTACAATCATGGTAGAAGTTGAAGGCAAAGCAAGGCACATCTTACATGGCAGCAGGAGAAAGAGAGAGAGAGAGCACAGGGGAAACTGCCACTTTTAAACCCTCAGATCTCATGAGAACTCACTCACTATCATGAGAACAGTGGTGGGTGAAAACAAAGAAATGAATAGTTTCATCCACACTTGTGACGGTTAATTTTGGATGTTAACTTGACTGGGTTAAGAGAAACTCAAATGTCTGGTAAAGCATTAGTTCTGGGTATGTCTGTGAAGATGTTTCCAGAAGACATTTGCATTTGAATTACTGGACTAAGTAAGGAAGATCTGCCCTCATTCAACATGCGTGGGCTCTATCCAGTCGGTCGAATCTCCAGATCAAACAAAAAGGCAAAGGAAAGGTAATTCTACTCCCTCTTCTATAGCTGACACACTCATCTTCTCCTGCCTTTAGATATGACAATACCACATTCTTTGACCTTCAGACTCAAGAACTTGCACTAGTGGTCCTCCAAGTTCTTCTTTGGACTTGACTGAGCTATACTGCAAGCTTCCCTGGACCTCCAGCTTAGAGACAAATTGTGGGACTTCACAGACACTATCATTGAGAGTCAATTCCCATAAAAAATCCCCTCTTATACACCAATGTCTGTTTTTCTTTCTATCTATCCATCCATCTATTTATTCTATTGGTTCTATTTCTGTGGAGAACCCTAAGACAATACCAGTATTCCTATCACAAAATGATGTATTGCTGCCATTATTTCTTCTAGTGTGAGTGTCTGTGTGCATGTATGTAGTCTGCCACCAGAAACACTCACACTTATTTCAAGTAAAATGGATGAAGGGAATGCCAAAGAAAAATTGCACCAGACAAGTAAAACAGGCAAAGAAGACTTTTTTTCAAGACTATTTAAATAAGGGAGCAAGATTAAACTCAAATCTTATTAAACAAAATGGAGGATAATTTTTAACTGCTGGAATGAGATAGCAAAAACAAAAAAATACTGTAGAACATTAGGGGAGAGATAGAGCAATGTGATTAGGCACCTGTGTTTGTTAATTGGCCTTGATGAAGTTAGGCTCCTACCCTCCCACAGACCCTGGGAGATGGAGGTGCTGTACTTTTTTATGATTACTTTTGAGAGAGATGACTCCTAGTTCCTTGATAAAGACATTCCTGGGTTGTAAAACTGGCAAGACGCTGGGCAAACTTTTACATAACAAATGGATAGAGAAAGAATAAGTTTGCAAGTTTTCTTTAAAAATGCTCTGAGGAAAGCAAGCTTGTGGTCCTATAATTACAAAAAACCTGTCTGAAGTTCAGTCAAGCTGAGGTAAATGTTAAGATTTTCTTGGTCAGGAATCACATGGAAACAATGATAGAAAGAGAATTGAAAAATTATATCCAGCCATATTCTTTTTACTCCTTCAATTTGGGTATACTTGGTTTCTTGGTTCTTCTTGTCTCTGCTAATTGACTGCATTCTTCTTTGCACAGAAAAATTTTCTCTGGTCTTTCAACAAATATACCAGTAACATCAGAACATAATTTTTATATATCAAAGAATTAACATTGGCCCTGATGCTATCTATGCCATTGATTCTCATTATGTTTTATGAGATCACTGTGAACACTGAATTAGAGAATACTGAACCATTGCTCTGAGGAAAAATATAGGGTCTAGGTTTCTGTGAGCCTCTGATCACATTTTTGTCAACCAATAAATATATCACCTTGTTTTATACACATTTATATTTTAAAATGTTTTACTTATTAACTATATATTATTGATCCAATAACATTGAAATTATGGCCAACAGTACCTTTTTGACTATTTTTTGTTGCAAAAAGAAGCACCTCAAAAAACACAAAGAAAAGTGAATTCTGATGTAAGTTGAAATAAAGAAAGTTAATGAAAGAAATACTTTTCAACAACCTATGTATTTAAGTAGAAGACAAGTTCATTTCAGATCGATCTACAAAATAAAATGAATAAGTAATATTTTCCCATAATAACTCAATTACATTTTTTTTTTTTTGAGGCAGAGTCTCGCTTTGTCTCCCAGACTGGAGTGCAGTGGCGCGACCTTGGCTCACTGCAAGCTCTGCCTCCCGGGTTCTCAATTACATTCTTTTAAGAATAAAAGCCTGTCAGCTGTGACATTCAGTTAAAAGTTACTTTACTATATATCTGGCAACAGGTATCAATATAGCATATACTTCAGGCTAAATATTTTGGAAGCAAAAATTCTGTGTATTTGTTTGAACCATTCTAAATTGCCTCTACTCTGGCTTCACATTATGATCAAACTGACCTATGAAAAGAATGAAATATTTCAAAGTCTGGAAGAGATCTTATTCCTCATTGTTTGATTATGTATAGCTATTATCCTAACTTTAGTCATAGATGTTTGCCATTGTCAAAGTGATTGTTGACTGATATGGTTTGGCTGTGTCCCCACCCAAATATCATCTTGAATTCTGACTCCCACAATTCCCACATTGGGGAGTTACAATTTCCACATCGGGGAGTTACAAGTCATGGGAGGAACCTGATGGGAGGTAATTGAATGATGGGGGGGGGGGTCTTTCCCATGCTGTTCTCGTGATAGTGAATAAGTCTCATGAGATCTGATGGGTATAAAAAGGGGATTTTCCCTGCACAAGCTCTCTTCCCTGTCAGCGGCCATGTGAGACACGCCTTTTATCTTCCACCATGATTGTGAGGCCTCCCCAGCCACATGGAACTGTGAGTCCAATAAACCTCTTTCTTTTGTAAATGGTCCAGTCTTGGGTATGTCTTTATCAGCACCATGAAAATGGACTAATACACTGACCTAAAAATATATGGCAAATCAGGAAATACATTAAATGAAGCACATTTATTCCTGTTCTAAAATACAATGGTTATATAAAATAACTGACAACGTTTCTCTGTACCTATGATAGATTACTTTGAATATTATTTTTAAGATACATTTTATATATGCCATGTTAGAAGTGGAGGAATTACTATAACTCTCATGTAGTCTTATCCACCTAATCAAATCATGTTTCTGATAGCAAAGAGGGGGTGATTTTTTAAAAAAACAATAAAAGTTGCTACTTTTTTGAAATCTAATACATGTATTTTAAATAAGTGAAAAAATTCAAAGCCAGAAACAAGCAATGAGTATTCAAAAATATATCACTTTAAAACAAGTGGCATTTGGTAAGGAAATAAGTTAATTTGCAAGGGTAAAACAAATTATTTAAAAGCAATTTTCCTCTGAGCTATAGGTTTGCTTTTAAAAGTACGACTGAGGGAGCATTTTTAAATTGATCAAGTATCTAACAATGAGATGTTTTGGTATAGGCATGCAAAATGTAATTATGACATCATTGTAATATAGGCTACTCAGCCCCTCAAGCACTTATCCTTGGTGTTACAAACAATCCACTTACATCCTTTTAGTTATTTTTAAATGTACAATACATTACTATAAACTATGATCACTCTATTGTGCTTTCATAGGTTTATTTATACTTTCTATTTTTTGTACACACTAATCATCCCAATCGCCTCCCACAACCCTCCCACTACCCTTCCCAAACTCCAGTAATCATCTTTCTACTCTCTATCTCCATGAATTTAATTGTTTTGATTTTCAGATCCCACAAATAAAGTAGAACATGAGATGATAGCTTTTCTGTGCCTGGCTTATTTCACTTAGCACAATGACCTCTAGTTCTATCCATGTTATTGCAAATGACAGAATCTCATTCTTTTCATGGATAAATAGTACTCCATTTTGTATGTGTACTACATTTTCTTTATCCATTCATCTGTTGATGAACACTTAATTTGCTTCCAAATCTTGGCTATTGTGAAGAGTGCTGCAACAAGCATAGGAGTGCAGCTATCTCTTTGATATACTGATTTTTTTTGTGGGGGGGGAGGGTATATACCCAGCAGTGGGACTGCTGGATCATATGTTAGCTCTATTTTTAGTTTTTTGAGAAATCTCCAAATTTTTCTCCATAGTGGTTATTTTGGCCAGGCTGAGTGCCTCACACCTGTAATCCCAGCACTTTGGGAGGCCAAGGTGGGTTGGTCACCTGAGGTCAGGAGTTTGAGACCAACCTGGCCAACACAGTGAAACCCTATCTCTACTAAAAATACAATAATCAGCTGGGCATGCTGGGGCACACCTGTAGTCCCAGCTGCTAGGGAGGTTGAGGCAGGAGAATCACTTGAACCCAGGAGGTGGAGGTTACAGTCAGCAGAGACTGCACCATTCCACTCCAGCCTAGCTGGCAGAGCAAGACTCTGTCTCCAAAAAAAAAATAAATAAATCAACTTTTTTTGCATTGATCTTTCATATTATTTTCATTTCAATTTCATTTATTTATGCTCTAATCTTTAATATTTCTTTTCATCTACTAATATTGGGTTTTGTTTTCTCTTGCTGTTATAGTTATTTAAGATGCGTCATTATGTTATTAAAACTTTTTCCTTTTTTGATGTAGGCACTTATAGCTATAAACTTCCCCCTTATTATTGCTATTGCTGTATCCCATAGATTTGGTATGTTGTGTTTCCATTATCATTTGTTTCAAGAAATTTTTCAATGTCTTCTTAATTTCTTCATTGGCCCACTGGTTATTCTGAAGTATAGTATTTAATTTCTATGTATTGGTATAATTTCTAAAAATTATCTTATTAATTTCTATTTTTCTTCCATTGTGGTCAGAGAAGATGCTTGATGTTATTTCAATTTTTTAATCTTTTAAGACTTGTTTTGTGACATAATATATGTTCTATCCTTCAGAATGATCAATGTGCTAAGAAAAAACATGTCTATTCTGCAGCCATTGGATGAACTACTCTGTAGTATCTATTAGGTCCATTTTTACTATAGTGCAGATTAAGGCTGATGTATGTATATTGACTTTCTGTCTAGAAGATCTGTCCGTGCTGATGGTGGAGTGTTGAAGTATCCAGCTGTTATTGTGTTAAAGTCTATCTCTCTCTTTAGCTCCAATAATATTTGCTTTATATATCTGGGTGCTCCAGCGTTGGATGCATATATATTTAAAGTTGTTATATCCTCTTGCTGAATTGACCTTTTTTCATTATATAATGACCTTCTTTGTTTCTTACAGGTTTTGTCTTGAAATCTATATTGTCTGATATAAGTATAGCAACCCCTGCTGCATTTTGGTTTCCATTGGCATGGAATATCTTTTTCATCTTTTCATTTTCAATCGATTTGTGTCTTTACAGGTGTAGTGTGTGTTTTGTAGGCAATTAATCATTGAATTCTTGAGTTCTTTTTTTTTTTAAACCTTTTCAGCCACTGTTTGTCTTTTGATTGCAGAGTTTAGTCCATTTACAATCATGTTAATAATGACAAGAAAAGACATATTCCTGCCATTTTGTTTTTTGCTTTCTGGTTGTTTTGTGGTCTTCTCTTACTTCTTTCTTTCCTTCATGTCTTCCTTTTAGTAAAGGTGATTTTTCTCTCATGATATGATTTAGTTTCTTGCTTTTTATTTTCTTGTATCTGTTGCATGGTTTATGGTTTTGTGGTGTGTGTGTGTTTATTTTGAGACAAGGCCTCTCTCTGTCACCCAGGCTGGAATAGAGTGGCATGATCATGACTCACTGCAGCCTCAACCTCACAGGCTCAATCAATCTTCCCTACTTAGCCTCCCTAGTAGCTGGAACTACAGGTGTGCAATGACATGCCCAGCTAATGTTTGTATTTTTAGTGGAGATGGGGTTTCAGAACATTGGCCAGGCTAGTCTCGAACTCCTGAACTCCAGCAATCCATTTACCTTGGCCTCCCAAAGTGCTGGGATTACAGATGTGAACCACAACTGCCCAGCCAGATTTTTGATTTCAGGTTACCTCAGGCTTGTGGACAAACAACACTGTTTGCATAAACAAACAAACAAGGAAAAAAAAAACTCATGAAGACTCTGTGCATTAATTCCACACCTTGACTTTTAACTTTTTTTGTTTCTATTTATATCTTATTGTACTGTCTATGTCTTGAAAAGTTGTTGTAGATATTATTTTCAATTGGTTCATTATTTAGCCTTCTATTTAAGAAAAGAGTAGTTCACATACCACAGTTGCAGTGTTACAATATTCTGTGTTTTTCTGTGTATTTACTATTAAAATACCAATGAGTTTTTTACCTTCAGACAATTTGTTATTGCTCACTAACATCCTTTTCTCTCTGATTGAAGTACTCCCTTTGGCATTTCTTGTAGAACAGGTCTGGTGTCGATGAAATCCCTCGGCTTTTATTTGTCTGGGAAAGTCTTTATTTCTCCTTCATGCTTGAAGGAAATTTTTGCCCTATATATTATTCCAGGGTAAAAGTTTTTTTTTCCTTCAGCACTTTAAATATGTCATTCCATTCTCTTCTGGCCTGTAAGGTTTCCACTGAAAAGGCAGCTGCCAGATGTGTTGGAGCTCCATTAATGTTTCTTTGTTTGTTTATTTTCTGTTACAACTTTTAGGATCTTTTCTTTATCCTTGATCTTTGAGAGTTTAATTATTAAATGACTTAAAGTAGTTTTCTTTGGGTTAAATCTGCTTGATGTTCTATTACCTTCGGATATTGATATCTTTCTGTAGGTTTGGGAAGTTCTCTGTTATTATCCCTTTGAATAAACTTACCCCATCTCTTTCCCTACCTCCTCTTTAAGGCCAATAACTCTTAGATTTGCCCTTTCGAGGCTATTTTCTAGATCCTGTAGGCATGCATTGTTGTTTTTCATTCTTTTTTTGTCTCCTCACCATGTATTTTCAAATAGCCTCTCTTCAAGTTCACTAATTCTTTCTTCTGCTTGATCAATTATGCTATTAAAACACTCTGACACATTCTTATGTATGCCAATTGCATTTTTCAGCATGAGAATTTTTACTTGATTCTTTTTAATTATTTCAGTCTCTTTGTTAAATTTATCTGCTACAATTCTGAATTCCTTCTCTGTGTTGTTTTGAATTTCTTTGCAGTGATTTTGAATTCTCCGTCTAAAGGGTCACATACTCTGTTTCTCCAGGATTGGTCCTTGTTCCCTGGTCCCTGGTGCCTTATTTAGTTCACTGGGTGAGGTAATGTTTCCAGGATGGTGTTGATGCTTTCAGATGTTCTTTGGTGTCTCAGCATTGAAGAGTTAGGTATTTATTGTAGTGTTTGCAGTCTGAGCTTGTTTGTTCCCATCCTTCTTGGAAAGGTTTTCCAGATACTCAAAAGGGCTTGGGCATTGTGACCTAAGATGTATGTGCTTTAGAAGGCACCCCTAGCCCAGTAACACTGTGGTTCTTACAGACTCAGAGGTACCACCTTGATTTTCTTGGACAAGATTCAGAAGAATTATCTGAATTTCCAGGCAGTGACTCTCGTTCTTTCCCCACATTCACCCAAATGGATGGAGTCTCCTGTTCTGAGCTACCTGAATCTGGGGGTAATATGACACAAGCACCCCCATAGTCATCACCACTGTAACTGCACTCCATCAGACCTGAAGCCAGCACAACTCTAGTCTCACACAAGGCCTTCTGTAACCACTCCCTGACTATAGCCCATGTACTCTCAAGGTCCTGGGGCTCTACAATCAGCAAGTGGCAAAGCCAACCAGGCCTGTGTCTTTCGCTTCAGGGTGGTGAGATTCCCCAGACCGTGGGCATGTCCAGAGGTGCTGTCCAGGAGCCAGGGACTACAGTTGAAAACTTAGAAGTCTACCTGCTGTTCTATAGTACTGTGGCTGAGTTGGCACTCAAACCACAAAAGGAAGTTTTCCCCACTCTTTCCTCCCCTTTCCACAGGCAGAGGAGCCTCACTCCCTAACCACCACCACTTCAGGCCCATGGGGAGTACTGCCAGATTTTAGCCAATGTTTCCTTAAGGCCCAAGGGCTCTTCAGTTTGCTTGCGGTGAATTATGCCTGGCCTGGGACTCACTCTTCAGGAAAGTAGTCTCCCCTCTGGCCCAAAGCAAGTCTAAAATGCCATACAAAAACCAAGTCCTAGAATTAGGGACCCCAAGAACCCACTGTGGTTGAGCTAATACGTAATATGCAAGACAAAGTCCCTTTTGCTTTTTTCTCCACTTTTCTCAAGTGAAAAGAGTCTCACCCCATAGCCACCACAGCTGGGAATGTGCTGAGTGGAATCTGAAGCCAGCAAATCTGAGTGTCACCCAAGGCACTTAATGTAATACGTAATATGCAAGACAAAGTCCCTTTTGCTTTTTTCTCCACTTTTCTCAAGTGAAAAGAGTCTCACCCCATAGCCACCACAGCTGGGAATGTGCTGAGTGGAATCTGAAGCCAGCAAATCTGAGTGTCACCCAAGGCACTTAATGTAATACCTGGGTATCGCTGTTGGTTATTCAGAGCCCAAGAGCTCTTCAGTTAGCAGGTGATGAATCCTGCCAGGATTCGGTCCTTCCTTTCAAGGCATTAGGTTCCTTTCTGGCCCAGGAAAATGCCTGGGAGCTAGGGCCTGGAAAAGGGGCCTCAGGACTCTGACCGAAGCCTTATCCTGCTGTAGTTGAACTGGTATCCAAGATGCAAGACAGTCCCCCCGACTCTTCCATCTCCTCTCCTCTAGTGAAGGGAAGCAGTTTCTTTTGCAGCCATGAGCTGTGAGCTGGGATTAGGAGAGGTGATGCCAGCACTCCCTTGGCCACCCCAGATGGTATCTCTCAATAGGTCATGTGCCCCGGCACCCACCCAGTCCACTGACTCTGGGCTCAGTTCAGCACTAGGGTTCACCTAAGTGTTGCAGTTCTTGTGGCCTAGAGTGCCTTTCAAGATTATTTAGGGCCCCAGAGAACTTGAGCCTGAGGTGGCAAGGCTTGCAGGAGCTCAAATTCTGAATGCTGGGATAGAAGATTGTGACTAGGGCTAGTTTAAATACTACCTCCTCGGGCGGGCAACAGCTGAGTTCGGTCTGGTTTAGTTTTCTGTTATAATAGGGCAGCACTGAGTTTAATTCCTCTCAAATACTGTGAGCACCTGATCCCCAGCACACAGAAAGACTCTCCACGGCACACCGCTGCTGCCGGGGATGGAGGAGGGACGGTATCGGCGATTCGAGACTGTTTTTCCTTCCCCTTCAGTGCCTTTTTCAGCAATATGAAGTTAAAACCAAGTACTGTGAGTGCTTTCCTGATATTGGGTTCTTATGAAGCTTTTTTTTTACACGTGTGTAGATAGTTGTTAAACTGGTGTCCTTATGTGGGGGATGATCAGCAGAGAATTCTGTTCCACCATCTTGCCCTGCCCCCTCCCTGTAGATCAATTTTTAAAATGGAATTTAGGCAATATCCCTTTATGTGTACTCATTGTTCTTTATCATAATCATGATATTAATAGAAGCTGTTACATATGTCATATACCAGGGCTTATATAACGTGAGCCAGATATAGAACCTACTTTAATACACTCAGAGACCTAAAAATGATGTTTATATTTTCAAAAATTAAACAGAAGATATTTTGATGTTACAATTATATAGACTTCAAATATAAATGTCCATAAATAAGGTTTTATTGGAATGCATTCACACCCAATTATCTGTGTATCATCTATGAGTGCTTTTGCATTAAATTTATAGAAATGGCTGGTTAGGATGAAAATTGTATAGCCCACTAAGCAGAAAATATTTACTAGCTGTCTCTTTACAGAAAAAGTTTACCAACTCTTGTTATACCCTATAATGTATGCAAATAATATAAAAAACAAACTTTTATTTACCTCAAGTGATTATAAACAAACATTTATCCATTCCCACCTTGAGCCTTTCAGAATTTCAAAAACTACCAGGAGAAGGGGAGCAAGCAGATGGATGGAAAGTGGGAAGAAGTCAGCATTCATTTAAATCTCTTTCCATCTTTCAAAAAACATGGAATAATTTATCTAAAAGAAAGAAAGATAAAGAGATAAAGGGGAAAAAGAAAATGTCACTTGAGAATAAAATGTTTGATTTTTAATATCTTCAAGCAATAGAATTTAAAGTTCCTATGATTATGTCACTTGATTGCAGAACATTTAAATGAATGAATTCTGAAAATAAGTAGTGCCAGACTCCCAAAAATGTGTAATGTATTTTATAATAAGGCTGATAGGTCAATTAACTTGGTAAGAGATGAAATTTCATACATACAGCCTTAAAAATTTTATGTGTAGCTATGTAGTTACTTCAAAGATAGGTTTCACCTTCTGTGAAACTCCTAGTGGCAGCATACCTATTTAGTAAGGACAAACCACCAGGCCTGGAAAAGGAAAATAATGTGAATAATCAATTTGTCAAGAACCTGTAAATAAATAAAAGTGTTATTTTACTTATCTCATACACCCAGAGCTTATTTATTAATAAATTTTCTGAGCTCAAAAAGGAAAATGCTCAGCTAGACCTGAATATTTTTCTACCTTCACTATAAAATCTCAACTTTTATGTTCAGTGTTAATGAAAGTGATATAAGTATATAGAAAAGAGAACAGGCACTGAATTATTTATAAAGGTGAATAATAAAAAAGCGTAGGGAAACTGGGTACCTTGGAAGATGGTGATGAAATATGAATCATTGTCTTGATGACTTCTGATCACTGGTTTGATTAATAGACCTCCGTAATCATCAGATTAAATCAGTTCCCTTACCAGAATGCATATATAAATTTGTAGTAAGAATAACTAATTTGTTTTACTCCATATAAATAGCTTTTGTTATGTTCAAAATTTACTTTGGAAGCCAGCATACATGGCAAATTAAAACAGATATATAGTGTGTATCATAAGGCAGGAAGGAAAATATGCATTGCTAAAATTGTCAACCCTTATATTATCTACAATCTTATGAATACTTAAACAATATCCTCAACTCATCCTTACTTAACAATGTGATGTGACAGAAAAAAAAAATGCCACAGGTTAGGGATCCTCCGGCAACTGTAGATCAGTGCATATGGTACATCATTACCAGGCTGATTTTAATGGGGTTTTAGAGCTTTAAATTTGACATCACAGTTGGCGCTGATATGCATTTTACTGTTATTGCCTTCTCTTTGGCAAATAAGGATAATTGATGATTTTAGTGGATTTTGAGATTTCAAAGCAATGTCTATATTTAGCTTTGATTTTGATTTTTTGCACTATCTCCAGTTGTTCCCAAGTTCAATTTTCATGGGTAATTGTTATTTAAACTGAACACCAGGAATTCAGTTTTAAAATCATTTTAATGTTTAATTCATTTATTGTCAGGTTGGAGTATCCAACCTAATACCATCTTTTTGATATTAGCATATAATATCTGATTCTCTATTTTTATCATGTAACCAAATACATTATGAAAATTCTAAAATTTTATTGTAATTTTTATTCTTGATTTTCTGTTAGTTCATATCAAATAATTTAAGGAGCAAAAATATTAAAGTTGCATATACTGACTTCTAAGTCTTCCAATTTGTGAAAATCATCATAATTTCTATATTTTCTGAACTCTTAGGAGGTATATATTTAATATCAGTAAATTTAATACAAAAGTATATTATAAATCTTTTCTAAATCATTTAGATGTATATCCATAATGCTTCCATAGTAATACTGTAATTGACCTAAGGACCAGGAGTGTATCTCACACTACCTTTATATTTCTCAAAGCTAATGACATAATACCTGGCATATAAGACTTTCCCAGGGAATTTCTACTAGAAATACTACAGATTGAAAAGGATCAAAGGAAGACATCAAGTTCCACCCTGACCTTTCCATTTTGAAATAGTGAAATTTCTGGAATACAAGTGGAGCACATTCCACCTGAACTAAGGTGATGGCTTCTCACTAAAAAATGAAGGCAGGAGACCTGACCATTGTTTGGGTAAGGATGTAAAATAGAAACGTACTTACTCCCTTGGGAAATTTTCTCCACTAAACTTTGATTGCATGTAAACTATTATTTCATGTAACCTCATTTTTAGCAACACATTTCATGTATTATTTCATGTAACCTCGTTTTTAGCAAAACATTTAAGGCAATAATAATCAACTTGTAATAAGTGCTCTGTAAATGTTTTTATTTGTAAGGAATTGAACACAATTAAGTTATAAAATGAATGTAGTTTCAGAATAATACTACACTTCACAAAATGAATAATTGGACATTCTGAAGCTTATTAAAATATATAATATTTAAAACATTTCAATTTCTGTAACATCAATATTACCAACACTTCATGAATTCTTATGCAGATCATAATTATAGGCACTGTGATCTCAAATGCACTCTAGGACATGGTATATCAGTTGATTACACTGTGGTCATTTCCCTTTCTTCTTTCTCTGTAGAAGCCTGTCTTGTAAAGGTATTCCCCACCCCTTCTTCCAATCTCAACTCTAATTTTTACCAAATGGAAAATGTCTGAACCAGCCTTGGGGAAAGCTAACATCACCTTTGGAACCAGGGGTTCAATAATGAACATGAACAAATTCAGGACAATCAGATGCAAGAAGTATGTTGTGAGCCTTTAGACAAAATTCCCACTGTCTAAAGAGGAAGACTTAGGAAACAATGATTTCTTTTTTTCCTTTGATTTTGCCGAGTTATGATGTATGAATATGGCCCTTGCAATCACAGCAATGTTCTTACTATAGGCGCATGAATGAAGCCATATAGTGAATGTTGGTGATTGATGGGATTCTCATTGAGCCACTATATTAACCAATTTAAACCACCTTTCATTTATCATATACAAATACCTTTGGACTTCCTGCTATGCACAAAAATGCATGTTATTAACATTACATGAGCCAAGTCTGATGGAAGTTTTTCAGTTATTTGCAGATCAAACACATCCTATCTCATGTCCCATGAACTTCAGTAACTCTTGAGCATTTGTTGAGAAATACACATAAAATTATAATAATTGACATTGAGAGTTTACCATTTGCCTGGTACAGGACTCATTACTTTTAAGTGTGTTACCTCAATAATCCTCCCACCAACACACAAAAGCTAAGATATATATATGCCATATTTTATGAACAGAGAAACTAGGACTTATATTCTAAGTCACAGAACCAGGATTTGAACTCAGACAGTTTGACTTAAGAGCTCAAGTTATGCCTCTTCTCTAAAAGGTTATGTATTCTCACAAGAAACTCAAAGATTTAGTGAGTTCCATATACTATTTCAGATATGGAATTTGCAAGTCAGAAAATAGGAAACAAATTGAGTATAAGGTTGGTCCAAAATTAATTGCTGTTTTGCTGCTGTTTTTAATGGCAAAATTAAAAACTCAAATTCTATCTACCAACCTGATAGAATTTGAGTAGGAAGCATGAAGAGAAGGTGTATTAGTCTCATCATAGTGCTATGACAAAATACCTGAGAGTAGGTAATTTATTGTTTAACATTTCCTTCATTTATTGTTTGCAGATGATTATTTAATTGTCCCAATGTCTTTTTTTTTCAACTTTATTTCAGGTTCGGGGGTACATGTGCAGATTTGTTACATGAGTAAATTGCATAATGCTGGGGCTTAATATCCAAATGATTACATCAACAAAGTAGTGAGCATAGTATCCAACAGTTAACTTTTCAAAACTCACCCCCTTCTTACCCTCCCCTCCCGGTAGTCCCCATTGTCTGTTGTTTTCATCTTTGTATCCTTGTGTACTCAATATTTAGCTCCCACTTATAAGTAAAACCATGTAGTATTTGGTGTTCTGTTACTGAGTTAATTCACCTATGATGATGGCCTCCAGCTCCATCCATATTGTTGCAAAGGTCATAATTTCATTCTTTTTATAGCTACCTAGTATTCCATAGTCTACATGTACCACTTTTTTTTTTTTTTTTTTATCCAGCCCAGCGTTGCTGGGAAACTAGGTTGATTCCATCTATTTGCTATTGTGAATAGTGCCATGATAAACATGAGCTCAGGAGAATTTCTGGTAGAATGATTTTTTTTTTCTTTTGGATATATACCTAGTAATGGGATTGCTGGGCTGATTGATAGTTCTAAGTTATTTGAGAAATCTCCAAACTGATTTCCACAGTGGCTGAACTAATTTACCTTCCCACCAACAATACAAATATTCTGTTTTCTCCAGAACCTCACCAACATCTTTTATTTTTTACTTTTAGTAATAGCCATTCTAACTTGTATAAGATAGTATCTCATTGTGATTTTGATTTGCATTTCTCTGACGATTAGTGGTGATGAGCATTTTTTCAGTTATTTGTTGGCCACATGTGTCTTCTTTTGAGAAGTATCTGTTCACGGCTTTTGACCATTTTTTAATGGGGTTATTTGTTTTTTGCTAACTAAATTGTTTAAGTTCCTTATAGATCCTGGATATTAGATCTTTGTCACATGCGTAGTTTGTGAATATTTTCTCCCATTCTATAGCTTGCCAGTTTTTTCTGTTGAAAGTTTCTTTTGCTGTGCAGAAGCCAGTTAGTTTAATTAGATTAGGTCCCACTTACCAAATTTTGTTTTTGTTGCCGCTACTTTTTGGGGCTTACTCATAAATTATTTGTCAAGGCTGTTGTCCAGAATGGTATTTCCCAGATTTTCTTCTACAATTTTTATAGTCTTAGGTCTTACATTTAAGTCTTTAATCCATTTTAATTTAATGTTTATATATGGAAATGTAGGGGTTCATTTTCAATCTTTTGCATATGGCTAGCCAGTTACCCCCGTACCATTTATTGAATAGGGAATCCTGATCCTGGATAATTTATAAACAATATACATTTGTACCTCACAGTTCTGGAGGCTGGGAAGTCCAAGATCAAGATGCCATTAGTTTTGGTGTCTGGTGAGGGCCTGGTCTCTGCTTTTAAGAAAGCACCTTGAATGCTGTGTTCTCACATGGTGGAAAGGATGGAGGGTACAAAGAGACTTACCTATCTCTCTCCAGTCCTTTTATAAGAAACTAATCCCATCCACAATGGCAGATCCCTCATAGCCTGAATACCTCCTAAAGGCCCCATCTCTTAAACCTGTTGCACTGGGGATTAAGTTTCAACACGAAAGTTGGAGGAGACACAAATATTCAACCTATAGCAGAAGGACAGGTAAAAATAGCCAGGATACAGTAAAAAAAAATTCAGACAAAGGGCAGGGTGTGAACAAAAACAAAGGTGGAAATGAGGTTGTTCTTTTCTTTTCTTTTCCTTTCTTTTCTTTTGAAGGGTGGTGATAGTGCCACGATTCATGAGAAGATTGAGATAAAGAACACTTAGAGGACTGGTGGGTAATATAGCCGAGAAAATAATGCCGCTTCCCCCACAAAGATGTTCACACTGTAATTCCAGATACCTGTGAATATGTTATCTTAATTGCAAAATAAATTTTGTAGGTGTGATTAAAAGTTATAGACCCTGAAACGGAGGGATTACCCCAGAATATATGGGTAAGATCAATCTATTCACATGAGCCATGATTCCAGTCATCAGAGAACTTTCTTCTGCTGGAAGAGAATAAGAATGAGGCAGAAAAGAGAGCCAGGGAGATTTGAAGTATGAGAAAGGTTCAACATACCATTAGTCTCTTTGAGGATGGAAAAAGTGGCCACAAGCCAAGGACTGCAGATGGCCTCAGTAAACTAAGAATGATCCACTGGCTGACAGCCAGCAAGAAAACAGGGAACTGAATTTATAGAGCTAAATTCTGCCAACAACTTGAGTGTCTCTGAAAAGAGATTCATCCCCAGAGCCTCCAGAAAGACTCTCAGACCTGCCTACACCTTGATTTTTGCCTCGTGTAACCCAGTGTGGCTGAGGCACACTATGCCAGGAGTTCTAACAATTAGGAGATAGTAAGAGTGTTGTGTTGTTTTTAGCCCCTAAATATGGGTAGTTTTTATAGGCAGTAATAGAAAACTATTAGAAGTGCTAAACAGGTACAGAACATCAGACAAAGTGAACATAAAATCATATAAGCTAATGTCTTTCATATGATGTTCTACAGAAAACTAATTTTTGAAGTAAAAATTCCTGCATTAAACAGAATTAACAAAGTACTTAATCACTTCTTACATTTAATTTGACAATAAAATGCTAATGTGAATGTCTAAGAAAAGGAATATGTGGTACTTTGTAAACTTTAGGTTCACATTGTCTAGGATTTATGGTAAATGGCTGATCTATTCATCCCAGTTAAAAATGTATTCAATTAAACAGTAATTTTAAAATTATCTGAAACTATATTTACCTGTTAATTTACTTATATGACTTCAAAATTTGTTTTTCAGATTATCTGATTATTTTCTGAGATCTGAGTTTTTATCTTTTTTCATTTTTCTTTTTTAAAATTTTCTTCATTATTCCATATACTTCATTAGCTATCAGCATTTTTTAGAGAAGGTTAAAAGTTACTTACTATTTACAAACATGTAAAGTACTCCCATCATCATAGGGAAACATTGTGGAATTTCTATGTAGTTATATGTTCAGTATTTCAGTCTAACAAAATTATATGTTAAAAACAAAGCACTAGGGTATGAGATTTTCTAACCCATGAGAATAGAATGTTTTCCCATTTATCTATGTTGTCTCTGATTTCTTTCAGCACTGTTTTGTAGGTCTTCTTGTAGAGATCTTTCACCTCCTTGGTTAGCTGTATTCCTAGGTATTTCATTTTCTTCCTATTTTAAATGAGATTATATTCTTGATTTGATGCTCAAGCCTGGACATTAGTGGTGAATAGAAATGCTAATGACTTTTGTATGTTGATTTTGTATCCTGAAATTTTGCTGAAGTCATTTATCAGTTCTAGGAGACTTTTAACAGTCTTTGGGGTTTTCTGGGTATAGAACCATATTGTCAGCAAAGACAAATAGTTTGACTTCTTCTTTTCCAATTTGGATGCCTTATATTTCTTTCTCTTGCATGATTGCTCTGGCTAGCACTTCCAGTACTATGCAGAGTAGGAGTGGTGAGAGTGGGCATTCCATGGTCTATTTCCAGTTCTAAAATAGACTAGTTCCAGCTTTTTCCTGGTCAGTGTGATGTTGGCTGTGGGTTTGTCATAGATGGCTCTTATTATTTTGAAGTATGTTCCTTTGATGCTTAGTCTGTTAAAGGTTTTTAACATGAAGGAGTATTGGATTTTGTCAAAAGCTTCTTCCGTATCTATTGAAATGATTTTTTTGTTTTTAATTCTGTTTATTTGGTGAATCACATTTATTGATTTGCATATGTTAAACCAACCTTGCATCCCAGGAATAAAGCCTAATTGATCATGGTGTATTAACTTTTTAATGTGTTGCTGGATATGGTTTGCTAGTATTTTGTTGAGGAATTTTACTATGTTCATCAGGGATATTGGCCTAAAATTTTCCTTTTTCATTGTGTATCTGCCAGATTTTGGTATCAGGCTGAAGCTGGCTTCATAGAATGACTTAGAGAGGAGAACTTCCCCTTTGATTTTTTTTGGAATAGTTTCAGGAGGATTGGTAACAGTTCTTTGTATGTCTGGTAGAATTAGGCTGTGAATCCATCTGGTCCAGGAGTTTATTTGGTTGGTAGGTTTTTTATTACTGATTCAGTTTCAGAACTCAGTGTTGGTCTATTCTAGGTTGCAATCTCTTCCTGATTTAATATTGGGAGATTGTGATTTTCCAGGAATTTGTCCATTTCCTCTAGATTTCCTAATTCGTGTACATAAAGTTGTTTATAGCAGTCTCTGAGGATCTTTTATATTTCTGTGGGATTACTTGTAATGTCTTGTCATTTCTGATTGTACTTACGTTGATCTCATTTTTCTTTGCCAATCTTATTTATTCTTTCAAAAACACAACTCTTGGTTTTATTGACCTTATGTATAGATTGTTGTATCTCATTTTTGTTCAGTTCTTCTTTTTGTGCAAAAAGAAGATTTATTTTATTTATTTATTTTATTTTATATAAGATTTATGTTGTATCTCATTTTTGTTCAGTTCTTCTTTTTGTACAAAAAGAAGATTTATTTTATTCTGCTAGCTTTGGGTAAGTTGGCTCTTTTTTTCTAGTTCCTTTAGGTGAAAAGTTAGATTGTTAATTTGAGATCTTACTAACTTCTGGATGAAGGCATTTAGCACTATAGACACATTTCTTAATAATGCTTTACCTGCATCCCAGAGGTTTTTGGTAAGTCGTGTCCCTATTTTCATCAATTTAAAATAATTTTCTATTTCTGCTTCAATTTTCATCTTCATCCAGAAGTTACACAGGAGCAAGTTGTTTAGTTTACATGTATTTTTTGCAGTTTGAGGGATCTTCTTGATATTGATTTCTATTTTTATTGCACTGTGGTCCAAAAGTGTGCTTGATATAATTTCAATTTTTTTTTGAATTGAGACTTGCTTTATGACCAAGCATGTGTTAGATATTAGAATATGTTCTGTGTGCAGATGAAAAATAAATGTATATTCTGTGGTGGTTGGGGGAGCGTTCTGTAGATATCTATTAGGTCTAATTTGGTCAAGCATCAAGGTTAAGTCCAGAGTTTCTTTGTTAGTTTTCTTCCTTGATAATCTGTCTAACACTGTCAGTGAGGTTTTGAAGCCACTCACTATTATTGTATAGCTGTCTAAATCTTTTTGTAGGTCAAGAAGAACTTGTTTTATGAATCTGGGTGCACCGATGTTGGGTGCATACAACTGTAGGATAGTTAAGTGTTCTTGTTTAATTTTACCCTTTATCATTACAAAATGTCCTTCTTTGACCTTCTTAATTGTCATTGATTTAAAGAATGTTTTGCCTGATATAAGAACAGCAACTCCTGCTATTATTGGTTTTCTGTTTGCATGATAGATCTTTCTCCATCCCTTTACTTTGAGCCTGTGGTTGTCACTACATGTGGGATGGGCCTCTTAAAGACAGGAGATGATTGGTTATCATTTTGTCATCCAGCCAACCACTCTAAGTCTTGTGAGTGAGACATTTGTTCCATTTACATTCAGTGTTAGTATTTCTATGTCAGATTTTGATCCTATTATTGTGCTGTTACAAGTTGTTTTGTAGACTTGATTGTATAGTTGCTTTATAGTGTCTATGAGCTATGTGCTTAAGCGTGTTTTTGTTGTAGCAAGTATTATTCTTTTGATTTATGTTTAGCACTTCCTTAAGGGCCTTTTATAAGACTGGTCTATTTGAACCAAATTCACTCAGTGTTTGCTTGTCTGAGGTGGATTATATTTCTCCTTCACTTATAAATCTTAGTTTGGTGCGATTGAAAATACTTGGGTAGAATTTCTTTTCTTTAAAGATGTTTAAAATAAGCCCCCAATCTCTTATGGCTTGTAAGTTTTCTGCTAAGAGGTCTTCCACTAGCCTGCTGGGATTCCCTCTGTATGTGACCTGACCCTTTTCTCTAGCTGTCTTTCAGAATTTTTTTTTTTTTTTGCATTGATCTTAGTGAATCTGATGACTATGTTTCTTGGGGAGGGCCATCTTGTATAGTATGTAGCTGGGGTTCTCTGTGTTTCTTGAGTTTCCATGTCAATCTCTCTAGTGAGATTAGGAAAATTTTTGTGGACTATGTCCTCTAATATATTTTCTGAGTTGTTTATTCTCTCTCCTTTTCTCTCAGCAATGTGAATGAAACATAGATCTGGTAATCTTACACAATCCCATATTTGTCAGAGGTTATATTCATTTTTAAAAATTTTTTTAAATTTATTTGTTTCAGACTGAGTCGACTTGAAGAACTGGTCTTTGAGCATTGAGATTCTTTTGACACCTTGGTCTATTCTGCTGTTAATACTTCTGATTATATTGTGAAATTCTTGTAGTGAATTGTTCAACCCTGAAAATTCAGCTTTGTTCTTTCTTAAAATGTCTATTTTTTTATTTCAGCTCTTAGATCATTTTACTGGATACCTTGAATTCCTTGGATTGGGCTTCAAGTTCCTCCTTAATCTTAGTGAGCTTCCTTGCCATCCAGATTCTGAATTCTATGTCTGTCCTTTCAGACATTTCAGACTTGTTAAGAATCATTGCTGGGGAGCCAGCAGACTCATTTGAAGATAAGGGGACACTCTGGATTTTTGAATTGTCAGAGTTATTGCACTGATGTTTTCTCATCTGAGAGGGTTGGTATTCCTTTAACTGTGGTATAAATTGAGTATAGTTAGTTTGCTTTGTTTTTGGGTGTTTTCAGAGGGCTGAGGCTCTGTTTAAGGTCTTTCTTTGTGGCTGAATTATTGCCCTTGGTTTTACAGGAAGGTATATTCACAGAATAATTTTGTTGTTATAGTTTGAGCTGCAATCCATTAGATGCCACTTAAGTTTAATGGCCAGTAGATAGGCTCTTACTCAGCCACACTCTTTCTTTGTTTTTCTTCATGTTTAGAGCCACGCTTTGCAGTGTGGTGGAGAGAAAGGTGACTCCCCTCATCAAGTCCGGTCCTGGGCATTGGTCAAGGCCCTTCCTATCACTGACACCATGCTCTCATTTCTTCTGTTAGGTGTTCCAGGCTGCAGGTCTTCCTCGGGCAGAGGAAGATAGGCCACAGCCTTTCCAGAGCCACTCTGTGGAGGAAGGCATGATTTGCTCCTGCACCAGCCTACAAAACCACACTTCTCACCCCTCTCAGTGCTCTGAGAGTGTGGGCTCCTCCTTTCTTTGAGTTCCAGGCACAGATTTAAGCTCAACACTCTCAAGCTGCACACCACAGCTCTAAGGCACTGGGACTGGCTTATGGCTCCATCCTCTGGATTCTCATTGTTGAGTTCTGGATGCACTGGGGGGTCTAAAGTTCTCTCAGGTCACTGGGAACATACTCAGATAAAGCAAAGCACACAGGCTGGCAGTGGAGGCTGTACTGTGCACATGCTCCTGTGGGATGCCCAGGCAGGGCCCCCGGGAGGGGCTGGCAGTCAAATGGTCCAGCATAACAAACATGCCCCAGTCCTTCACAGAAGCCACCCCAACTTTCACCTGGCCCAGCATTCATCTGGTAATAGACTTTCTCAGAGGGAGATAAGGATCTCTTGGGGATGGGCACCTATTACCACCACATGCACAAAGGACCCTGGCACCATGCTGGCTGAATCCCTGTCTGCCTACTCTCCTGGTAGATCCCCCTGCCAGTTCAAACATCCATGGGGGAAGTAGGATCCCTTGTAGCTAGGATCCCAGAGTTTCATGGAAAGAGTGGGCAATCCCGCAGTTCCTTTACTCCTTCTCCGGGAGCTATATGGGGCTAGAAACTAACCCTAGAATTTGGGTACCTCACACAGGCTTCCCAGCTTTCTCCCTATTCGGCCTCAGTGTCTACATGGTATGTTCATCCACCCTTGGCATTTTCTATCCAAACATCTGTTCAAATTATATTGGTTTATTCAAAATTTTGGTCTCTCTCAGTGGGAGCAATGCATCCTGGCTACATCTAATTGGCCGCCTTATCCCTCTCTCTCAAGATTCAGTATGACTGCTCAAGAATTCCTGGTGAAAATAACTAGAGTCACAGCCACACTGAAATAAGAGGGAGTATTCTTTCTGGCTGAGATTTTAGAACATGCATACACACAGAAAACTTTAAATGAATTATTGAATAAGACTAAAGAAGAGTCTCAATAGAGAACCATCCAAGTAATAAATAAAATGATGTCATGCATGAATAGACATAGGAAGCAATAAAAATTTATTAGGGCAGAATAGCAGAAATCAATAGCAATATAGTTTTCATCTGTCAAAGTGGAAATTAATGTGTAGTATTAAAAGATTTAATACATCAGGTTAATATTACCAATCAATTACCAGTTATACATTTTTATGCATATAGGCTGAACAATCCTGAATTAAATATTTTAAAATGTCTAAACAATAGGAAACAATGAGCTTTTTATACAATGTCTGTGAAGTTTATATGCTAAACATGCAATTTGTTCAAAATCAAGTATGTCTGGGTTTTTTTTGCAATTTTTTTTATTATACTTTTAAGTTCTAGGGTACGTGTGCACAATGTGCAGGTTTGTTACATATGTATACATGTGCATGTTGGTGTGCTGCACCCATTAACTCGTCATTTACATTAGGTATATCTCCTATGTTATCCCTACTCCACCCCATGACAGGCCCCGGTGTGTGATGTTCCCCTTCCTGTGTCCAAGTGTTTTCATTGTTCAGTTCCAACCTATGAGTGAGAACATGCAGTGTTTGGTTTTTTGTCCTTGCGATAGTTTGCTGAGAATGATGGTTTCCAGCTTCATCCATGTCCCTACAAAGGACATGAACTCATCCCTTTTTATGGCTGCATAGTATTCCATGGTGTATATGTGCCACATTTTTTTAATCCAGTCTATCATTGTTGGACATTTGGGTTGGTTTCAAGTCTTTGCTATTGTGAATAGTGCCGCAGTGAACATACGTGTGCATGTGTCTTTATAGCAGCATGATTTATAGTCCTTTAAGTATATACCCAGTATTGGGATGGCTGAGTCAAATGGTATTTCTAGTTCTAGATCCTTGAGGAATCGCCACACTGACCTCCACAATGGTTGAACTAGTTTACAGTCCCACTGACAGTGTAAAAGTGTTCCTATTTCTCCACATCCTCTCCAGCACCTGTTGTTTCCTGACTTTTTAATGATTGCCATTCTAACTGGTGTGAGATGGTATCTCATTGTGGTTTTTATTTGCATTTCTCTGATGGCCAGTGATGATGAGCATTTTTTCATGTGTCTTTTGGCTGCATAAATGTCTTCTTTTGAGAAGTGTCTGTTCATCTCCTTCGTCCAATTTGTGATGGAGTGGTTTGTTTTTTTCTTGTAAGTTTGTGTGAGTTCTTTGTAGATTCTAGATATTAGCCCTTTGTCAGATGAGTAGATTGCAAAATTTTCTCCCATTCTGTAGGTTGCCTGTTCACTTGGATGGTAGTTTCTTTGGTTGTGCAGAAGCTCTTTAGTTTCATTAGATCCCATTTGTCAATTTTGGCTTTTGTTGCCATTGCTTTTTGTGTTTTAGACATGAAGTCCTTGCCCATGCCTATGTCCTCAATGGTATTGCCTAGGTTTTCGTCTAAGGTTTTTATGGTTTTAGGGCTAACATTTAAGTCTAATCCATTTTGAATTAATTTTTGTATAAGTTGTAAGGAAGGGATCAAGTTTCAGTTTTCTACATATGGCTAGCCAGTTTTCCCAGCACCATTTATTAAATAGGGAATCCTTTCCCCATTTCTTGTTTTTGTCAGATTTATCAAAGATCAGATGGTTGTAGATGTGTGGTATTATTTCTGAGGGCTCTGTTCTGTTCCATTAGTCTATACCTCTGTTTTGGTACCAGTACCATGCTGTGTTGGTTACTGTAGCCTTGTAGTATAGTTTGAAGTCAGGTAGCTTGATGCCTCCAGCTTTGTTCTTTTGGCTTAGGATTGTCTTGGAAATGTGGGCTCTTTTTTGGTTCCATATGAACTTTAAAGTAGATTTTTCCAATTCTGTGAAGAAAGTCATTGGTAGCTTGATGGGGATGACATTGAATCTATAAATTACCTTGGGCAGTATGGCCGTTTTCACGATATTGATTCTTCTTATCCATGAGCATGGAATGTTCTTCCATTTGTTTGTGTCCTCTTTTATTTCATTGAGGAGTGGTTTGTAGTTCTCCTTGAAGAGGTCCTTCACATCCCTTGTAAGTTGGATTCCTAGGTATTTTATTCTCTTTGAAGCAATTGTGAATGGGAGTTCCTTCATGATTTGACTCTCTGTTTGTCTGTTATTGGTATATAAGAATGCTTGTGATTTTTGCACATTGATTTTGTATCCTGAGACTTTGCTGAAGTTGCTTATCAGCTTAAGGAGATTTTGGGCTGAGACGATGGGGTTTTCTAAATATACAAGCATGTCATGTGCGAACAGGCACAATTTGACTTCCTCTTTCCCTAATTGAATACCCTTTATTTCTTTCTCCTGCCTGATTGCCCTGGCCAGAACTTCCAACACTATGTTGAATAGGAGTGGTGAGAGAGGGCATCCCTGTCTTGTGCCAGTTTGCAAAGGGAATGCTTCCAGTTTTTGCCCATTCAGTATGATATTGGCTGTGGGTTTGTCTTAAATAGTTCTTATTATTTTGAGATACGTCCCATCAATACCTAATTTATTGAGAGTTTTTAGCATGAAGTGCTGTTGAATTTTGTCAAAGGCCTTTTCTGCATCTGTTGAGATAATCGTGGTTTTTCTCTTTGGTTATGTTTATATGATGGATTACGTTTACTGACTTGTGTATGTTTAACCAGCCTTGCATCCCAGGGATGAAGCCCACTTGATCATGGTGGATAAGCTTTTCGATGTGCTGCTGCCATCACAAAACACCATCACATTTTGGCATCACAAAATGCCATCACAAAATGGCATCACAAAATGCCATCACATTTCGGTTTGCCATTATTGTATTGAGGATTTTTGCATCGATGTTCATCAGGGATATTGGTCTAACATCCTCTTTTTTTGTTGTGTCTCTGCCAGGCTTTGGTATCAGGATGATGCTAGCCTCATAAAATGAGTTAGGGAGGATTCCCTCTTTTTCTATTGATAGGAATAGTTTCAGAAGGAATGGTACCAGCTCCTCTTTGCATCTTTGGTGGAATTCGGCTGTGAATCCGTCTGGTCCTGGACATTTTGATTGGTAGGCTCTTAATTATGGCCTCAATTTCAGAGCCTGTTATTGGTCTATTCAGGGATTTGACCTCATCCTGGTTTAGTCTTGGGAGGGTGTATGTGTCCAGGAATTTATCCATTTCTTCTAGATTTTCTAGTTTATTGGCATAGAGGTGTTTATAGTATTCTCTGATGGTAGTTTGTATTTTTGTGGGATTGGTGGTGATATCCCCTTTATCATTGTTTTATTGTATCTATTTGATTCTTCTGTCTTTTCTTCTTTATTAGTCTTGCTAGCGGTCTATCAGTTTTGTTGATCTTTTCAGAAAGACAGCTCCTGGATTCATTGATGTTTTGAAGGGTTTTTTGTGTCTCTATCTCCTTCAGTTCTGCTCTGATCTTAGTTATTTCTTGCCTTCTGCTAGCTTTTGAATGTGTTTGCTCTTGCTTCTCTAGTTCTTTTAGTTGAGATGTTAGGGTGTCCATTTTATATATTTCCTGCTTTCTCTTGTGGGCATTTCGTGCTATCAATTTCCCTCTACACACTGCTTTAAATGTGTCCCAGAGATTCTGGTATGTTGTGTCTTTGTTTTCATTGGTTCAAAAGAACATGTTTATTTCTGCCTTCATTTCGTTATGTACCCAGTAGTCATTCAGGAGCAGGTTGTTCAGTTTCCATGTAATTGAACAGTTTTGAATGAGTTTCTTAATCCTGAGTTCTAATTTGATTGCACTGTGGTCTCAGAGACAGTTCGTTATAATTTCTGTTCTTTTACAATTGCTGAGGAGTGTTTTACTTCCAAATATAGGGTCAGTTTTGGAATAAGTGTGATGTGGTGCTGAGAAGAATGTATATTCTGTTGATTTGGGGTGGAGAGTTCTGTAGATGTCTATTAGGTCTGCTTGGTGAAGAGCTGGGTTCAATTCCTCGATATACTTGTTAACTTTCTGTCTCATGGATCTGTCTAATGTTGACAGTGGAGTGTTAAAGTCTCCCATTATTATTGTGTGGGGGTCTAAGTATCTTTGTTGGTTTCTAAGGACTTGCTTTATGAATCTGGGTGCTCCTGTATTGGGGGCATATATATTTAGGATAGTTAGCTCTTCTTATTGAATTGATCCCTTTACCATTATGTAATGACCTTCTTTTTCTCTTTCGATCTTTGTTGGTTTAAAGTCTGTTTTATTAGAGACTAGGATTGCAACCCTTGCCTTTTTTTGTTTTCTATTTGCTTGGTAGATCTTCCTCCATCCCTTTCTTTTGAGCCTATGTGTGTCTCTGCACATGAGATTGGTCTCCTGAATACAGCATGCTGATGGGTCTTGACTCTTTATCCAATTTTGCCAGTCTGTGTCTTTTTAATTGGAGTATTTAGCCTATTTACATTTAAGATTAATATTGTTACGTGTGAATTTGATCCTGTCATTATGATATCAGCTGGTTATTTTGCTCGTTAGTTGATGCAGTTTCTTCATAGCATCGATGTTCTTTACAATTTGGCATGTTTTTGCAGCAGCTAATACCGGTTGTTCCTTTCCATGTTTAGTGCTTCCTTCAGGGGCTCTTTTAGGGCACGCCTGGTGGTGACAAAATATCTCAGCATTTGCTTGTCTGTAAAGGATTTTATTTCTTCTTCACTTATGAAGCTTAGTTTGGCTGGATATGAAATTCTGGGTTCAAAATTCTTTTCTTTAAGAATGTTGAATATTGGCCCCTACTCTCTTCTGGCTTGTAGAGTTTCTGCCGAGAAATCCGCTGTTAGTCTGATGGGATTCCCTTTGTGGGTAACCTGACCTTTCTCTCTGGCTGCCCTTAACATTTTTTCTTTCTTTTCAACTTTGGTGAATCTGACAATTATGTGTCTTGGAGTTGCTCTTCTCGAGGAGTATCTTTGTGGCATTCTCTGTATTTCCTGAATTTGAATGTTGGCCTGCCTTGCTAGGTTGGGGAAGTTCTCCTGGATAATATCCTGCAGAGTGTTTTCCAACTTGGTTCCATTCTCCCCATCACTTTCAGGTATGCCAATCAGACATAGATTTGGTCTTTTCACATAGTCCCATGTTTCTTGGAGGCTTTGTTCGTTTCTTTTTACTCTTTTTTTCTCTAAACTTCTCTCCTGGCTTCATTTCATTCATTTGATCTTCAATCACTGATACCCTTTCTTCCACTTGATCAAATCGGCTACTGAAGCTTGTGCATTCGTCGCATAGTTCTCGTGCCATGGTTTTCAGCTCCGTCAGGTCATTTAAAGACTTCTCTACACTGGTTATTCTAATTAGCCATTCGTCTTATCCTTTTTCAAGGTTTTTAGCTTCTTTGTGATGGGTTCGAACTTCCTCCTTTAGCTCAGAGAAGTTTGATCATCTGAAGCCTTCCCTCAACTCATCAAAGTCATTCTCCATCCAGCTTTGTTCCGTTGCTGGTGAGAAGCTGCGTTCCTTTGGAGGGGGAGAGGTACTCTGATTTTTAGGGTTTTCAGCTTTTCTGCTCTGTTTTTTCCCCATCATTGTGGTTTTATCTACCTTTTGTCTTTGATGATGGTGACGTACAGATGGGGTTTTGGTGTGGATGTCCTTTCTGTTTGTTAGTTTTCCTTTTAACATCAGGACCCTCGGCTGCAGGTCTGTTGGAGTTTGCTGGAGGTCCACTCCAGACCCTGTTTGTCTGGGTATCAGCAGCGGAGGCGCGGAACAGCGAATATTGCTGAACAGCAAATGTTGCTGCCTGATTGTTCCTCTGGAAGCTTCGTCTCAGAGGGGTACCCGGCCCTGTGGGGTGTCAGTCTGCCCCTGCTGGCAGTGCCTCCCAGTTAGGCTACTCAGGGTTCATGGACCCACTTGAGGAGGCAGTCTGTCCATTCTTAGATCTCACACTCCGTGCTGGGAGAAGACCTACTCTCTTCAAAGCTGTCAGACAGGGACATTTAAGTCTGCAGAGATTTCTGCTGCCTTTTGTTCAGCTATGACTTGCCCCCAGAGATGGAGTCTACAGAGGCAGGCAGGCCTCCATGAGCTGCATTGGGATCCACCCAGTTCGAGCTTCCAGGCCGTTTTGTTTACCTACTCAAGCCTCAGCAATGCTGGGTGCCCCTCCCCCAGCCTTGCTGCCGCCTTGCAGTTAGATCTCAGACTGCTGTGCTAACAATGAGTGAGGCTCCGTGGGCATGGGACCCTCTGAGCCAGGCGTGGGATATAATTTCCTGGTGTACTGTTTGCTAAGACTGTTGGAAAAGTGCAATTGGGTGGAAGTGACCCAATTTTCCAGGTGCTGTCTGTCACAGCTTCCCTTGGCTAGGAAAGGGAATTCCTTAACGCCTTGCGCTTCCCAGGTGAGGTGATGCCTCGCCCTGCTACGGCTCATGTTTGATGGGCTGCACCCTCTGTCCTGCACCCACTGTCTGACAAGCCCCAGTGAGATGAACCCGGTACCTCAGTTGGAAATGCAGAAATCACCTGTCTTCTGCATTGCTCATGCTGGGAGCTGTAGACTGGAGCTGTTCCTATTCAGCCATCTTGGAACCACCCCTATTTCTTTTATTTTATGCCCTATATGTTTTTTCACATTGACAGTATCAACTAATTCAAAAGTTAGAAATCAGGTGTCATGTTTCTTTGTTTTCTCCTTCTTCTATTTTTGGTTTTTGGTTTATTTTTTCATAAGCTCATTGATGTATGCTTAATATGATTTTTGTTATTGATATAAATTGGAAATACTATGTGGTGAAATAAAGTATTGACTCTAAATATAATCCAGATAATAAAATACATGTAGTGAGGCTTAATTTTATTCTTACATTTTCAAAATGATTGACTCTAAGTATTTTAAATAATTTCGTAAATATTTATACACTATATATTAAATATATACTATGTATATATTTCTATTGACAAAACCTTTATAAATATGGTAACTTTTAAACACAAAACACCAGTTGCATACTTAACAAAGTAGATCATATGCTTTTTTTAAAAAAATCCCAGGTATAAAATTTATCTGAGATTAATGTTGAAAATTTTATATTATAAACTAACATCAAATAAAATTTTTTTTACACAACTTTCCACTAAAAATAATTTGAAGATGGCAAACTCCTTAGTCCACCAAATATAAGAATTGATAGGTACTGATGTTTTTTGTGGTTACTACAGAGAGCTTAACAGCATTAATATTCAGAAGAACTTTTCTCACAAGAGTTTTTATTGATGCACATTTATTTAAAATGATTTGGTTATCATAAGTTACAGAAACATGGTAAAATTTCAGTCATACATATTTACAAATAGACATGATTTTATACTTTTATTTTGTTAGTCCACATTTAATTTTTTCCAATAAGTAAATGTGACTTCCTCCACTTATTTTTTCATAAAATGTAGCATCATTTATCATTATATCTGTTCTCCTTCTGTCTCTTATCATTTCTTTCCTTTTCACTACCCTGATTCTCCCTTATATATACAGACACGTCCTCCCCAAGGGACTATTGAAGATGCCTGTGAGATGCAAGTCACAAGCTGAGGCTCTGCAACTTGCTTGTATACAATGTACTAGGTAGCATGGGATACTTACAATATCTTATAAATTTGATAATACAGAGGCTTGACGAGACTCTTTTAGCCTTAAATGAAACCAAAATAATTTCACTCACTATTTCTCTTTTGGTTATTCTGAGGTATAAAGAAGGAAAATATACAAGTGTTCATGTGATGAGAGGTACTGAATCACTGAAAATAAACTGGCCTAGAAGCAATACCAGGATCGAGAGAGGTAAGTGACTGAACTCCATTTAGACAATAACCACTCTGGGATGATCCTTTAAGACCAAAACCAGCCTTAAAAATGGAAAATAATTCAAAGAGTGAATGATTATATAAAAGTAAAATGAGAATAAGTAAAAAACTAATCTCAAAGTTTCTGCTTAACTTTCTAATTATCATATTTATTTTATCATTACTAAGGATTATATTTGTAATATTCATAAATTTAAGAAACAGTTTTTGGAGTCTGGAAGTGCAGGCACAGAAAGACGAAGATTGTGTGATCTCACTTGTATGTGGAATTTTAAAAAGTCAAACTCATAGGAACAGGTGGTTGTCAGGGGCTGCTGGGGAGAGGAACAGTGAGAGGTTGGTCCAAGGGTAAAAAGAGTTAGTTAGATAGGATGTATAAGTTCTAGAGACCTATCGTATGGTATGGTGACTATAGCTAATGCACTGTATAATTGGAAATTGTTAAAAGAGTAGATCCTCAATGTTATCTCAAAGAAATAAGTATATAAGGTGATAGATATGTTAATTAGCTTGACAATCGTTTTTCTATATATATACATATATATCAAAACATTACATTTTGTGCCACAAGTTTATACAATTTTTATGTCAATTATACATTACTAAAACTAGAAAAAAATTAAATTAAAAACAATCCAAACAGATCTTTTCTATTAAAAAAAGCAAAATGGTCTCTATTAAATCATATGATTGGTTTTCTCTGCCATCTCTAAAATAAGTACAATTATAATGTTATGCAGTTTTTTTGCTTTTGTTTTTGTTTTTTTTTTTTTTTTTTGACAGAATCTCTGTCGTGAGGCTGGAGTACAGTGTCGTGATCTTGGCTCACTATAACCTCCACCTCCCAGGTTCAAGCGATTCTCCTTCCTCAGCCTCCTAAGTAGCTGGGACTACAGACACATGCCACCACACTGGGCTAATTTTTGTGTTTTTAGTAGAGATGGGGTTGCACCATGTTGGCCAGGATGGTCTTGATCTCTTGACCTCGTGATCTGCCCCCCTCGGCCTCCCAAAGTGCTGTGATTACAGGCGTGAGCCACCACACCCAGCCTGTTTTACAGTTTTGAACTTAAAATTTATGAGCTGTGGAGACACACTTGAGCTGCAGTCAGAATCCGGGATGGAAGGAGCTACTGGGATGCTTTTCTCCATGTTCTCTGTAGATCCATTGACTGCCCTTCTCTGCAGTGATCAGTGCCTTGGGTGTTTATCTCCTTGGTCTGCAATAAGTGAATTTCTTTTATCCACTTTTTCTGGTAAGTTTCACCCAATAAGAGGCATAGCCAGGAGGTTATAAAACAAAAATGGAGCTCAGTATTTCTTCTTCACTTTCTTCCTCAAGTTTCTGACAGTAGCTGAAACTTTCTATGATGAAAGCTTCAACTGAGAAAGCCCCTCCCACATGAACTTAACAATCCCTAGGCTCCAGCAATACTCTTTCTTCCTCCTTGCTCCTTCAGGCCAAGGAGTGGTAATGGCTTGCCACTCAACGTATTAGTACCCTGGAGTCTAAATATTTGTTGTTGCATCCTCTAACTTCACTTTTACCTCTCTAGTCTGTTTAAATTTCCATCAGAATGCGCCTTTTCTTTCTGTCTGGAACTATGACTGATACAGATGAGAACACTGTTGGCTTATAGAAATGTATCAAGTGAGAAAAAAAGTCACAAAATATTGCAGCACAAAAGTCATTGTCAAAGACCTTACGACTCATGTGGAATTACCTCTGTATTTTTAAGGTCTACTATCTAAGATAGTTAGGAAATTGGCTTCAAAGGAACCCACTAAAAAAAGAAAAGAAAAGGAAAAAAAGTAAGATAGAAAAACTAGAATAGCCAAAACAATTTTGAATAAGAATAAAAATGAAAGATTCACTCCACCTAATGTCAAAACATGCTATAAAAATTACTATAACTTACATTAAAAACAATAATCAAGACTATATGGTATTGGTGAAAAGATAGATACATTAATCAATGAAACAGAAAGTCCAAAAATAGATCCACATATAAATGGTCAATAGATTTTCAACAAAATCCAAAGACAATTTTATGTAGAAACAATAGTGTTTTCAACAAATGGTATTAAAACAATTAGACATGAATATGTAGAATAAAAACCTCAATCCATATCTTGCATTATATAAAAAAATTAACAAAAAATTAATCATAAACCTAAATATAAATCTTAAAACTATAAAACTTCTAGAAAGAAAAAATTGTAACCTGTGTGCAGGAAAGATTACATAGGTATGATATTAAGAATATAATTTGTAGAAAAACTGTATGAAATGGATTTAATAAAAATATAGAATTTTTTTAAAAAAAATGATAAAAGACATCCAACAGACTGGGAGAAAATATATGCAAGCTTAATCCAAAAAGGAAGTTGCATGCAGAATATAAGAATATTTAAAGAATTCTCAAAATTAAACAATAAAAAAATCTTCAATTTATAACTGGCCAAAAGATTTGAACAGACAAATCACAAAGATATGCACATGGCAAATAAGCAATGAAAATAGGCTGAGTGTCAGTTGTTAGGGAATTGCTAATTAATTACAATCAGATCCTGTATACCCCTAGTAGAATGGTTAAAATAAAAGAAACTAACAATTCCAAGTGCTGACAAGGATATAGAACAAATGGAACTTTCATAAATTGCTAGTGGGAATCCAAAATGGTATACCTACAACAGTTTGCCAATTACTTGTAAAATTAAATGTACACTTATCATGTGACCCAGCCACTCTTTGGTGATTATCTGAGAGAAAATTAAATCTATGTCCCCATAAAAACCTGTCTGTGAATGTTTATGGTGTTTTAATCATAATAACCCCAAACTCAAAATCACCCTGATTCAGTTGTAAATGATTAAACAAACTGTAGTGAATCCACACAATGGAGTACTACTCAGTAATAGAAATTAATTAATTACTGATACATGTTAAAAAGAAAATAAAAGATTGAATGAAATATTGATTGTGCTAAGTGAATGTAGGCAGACTCAACAAGCTACATACTTTATGATTCCATTCATATAGTATTGTTGGAAATACAAACTATAGGAACAGAAAAAGGATTATTGATTTCTAAGGAGTGGAATTGGGGAATTGGGAATTTATGGCCAAAATAATTTTGAGGAAAATTTGTTTTACTTAAACAGTTTCATATGTCGATTGTGGTGGCGATTACACAATCAGGTACATTTACCAAAATTCATACAACTTTATACACACACACAAAAACACAAATTTGTTGTAATAAGTTCTACATCAATAAACCTTACTTTAAAAAATGAACACAGACATTTTATCAGACAGTAAGGCAATCTATTTGGCCAGAGACAATTATTTTTATTTAAAAAGATATTGCTAATGCGGTCTGACAAAAGTATAATGAAACAAATATTAAATATGTCATTGGGAGAAGATATATTCATTAATGGATGATTATATTAGCTTTCTGGGCAACAAACCTAAATATATCTGCTGATATTGATCTTCTATTCAACTCAAAATGGATAACGTAATTTGTTCTTAATATAACTTACTTGTTTTTTAAAGCATTATTTCATGCCCTTATTTTATTTAAACTGAGATCTTCTTGGTTTCAGACCTTTATCTCAACCTATAGGTAAATATGTTTACAACTATAAATCTTCTATTAAACATATTATCTAACTTCTTCCACTTAGTAATCTTCATATTCGACAACTATAGCTTAGGTATCATCATACTAATTATATTCAAATTTTCCCTATTGCCTTAAAGGTTTCTTTTGGTAGTTTGTTTAAATGAAGACCCAAAATTCACATATTTCCTTTTTTATGTATAACATTCTAATTCCAAAACAACATTTAACCATTAGCACTTTTTATTTTTGGTCCATTCAGTTTTGAGAAAAGGTTACTTAGGCTATGGAATATTCTATATGAGATTTGATTGATTGTTCTTTGTAAAATTATTTAAATTATTTATTTATCACAGCTGGTAGCTCCTATAAACATCAAGTGAACTTTAGAGTCTTGATTGATTCAGGTCTATATTTTTAGACAAAAACTCATCAAAATATTGCTGTGCATTTCTTAGCATCATCATGAGCCACATCTCATTGCCCCATTTTTAAATGATGCTAGGATTGATCACTACTCAAGTGGTATTAGCTTCAAACATTCATTATGAAGTTGCTCATCACTCTTTCACCCAATGACTTTGGCTTTCAATGATGGCCATTGCCTAGATCCATTCTTTCAGTAAGAATTACTAAACGGTGATTTTTCTATTATTTCTTCTGCATTTATTCTCTAAAATTCTTCTATAAAAAACTCTCCCTTATCAACCACTTTGCTACTCTGAAATTCAGTTTATACAGAAAAGGCAAGATATAATAAACAGTTGATTCTTTACCTTTATTTGTAGATGTGTTTTAGAATAATGAATTGGAACCCAGTCTCCAATGGTGACTAAGGAACTTTATACAAATTTGTAAGCATGTGAGTTTAAATGGAATTATGTAAACTCATGAAAAGTTATATATACAATGTGATCCAACCCTTTGCAGTTATTTTATTTTTTTTCTCCTTCAAATGTTGCCATATTATTCCAGCGTGAATTCAATTGAGATGGCACCTGTTTCTTTTTCATATGACTTCGTTATGCCTTGAGAGATTCCTCGCTTTTTGGCACAAAATTGTGTCACAATTTTATATTTTGTATTTATTTCCCAAATGAATGTTCTTGGCACCTTTGTCAAACAAAGAATATATTTTTTGAAGTAGCCCAAGATTGTTTCACTAAGAAATGGTAGTATGATATCACAATTTTTGGTACTAGAAATTCACATTGATTGTCTTTGCTTCTAGACATTTTCAATGTCATGTTGGGAGATCATATTTATAAGACAAGAAAAGCTATGACTTGATGCTGATGTTGCCAAATTTGAGTAAGGACTATGTAAGACTTTTAAATACTATTTACTATTGAATGCAGTTTGGAAGGTCTTTGTAGTATATTTTTTATTTTTTTTTATTTTTAATTATGGATATATAATAGTTACACATATTTATGGGGTACATGGGATATTTTGATACAAGCATACAATGTGTATTAAATTAGAATAAATGGGGTATCTATCACCTTAAGGACTTATATCTTTGTATTAGGAGCATTTCAATTTTATTCTGTTATTTTGAAATATAAAATAAACTATTGTTAGCTATAGTTGCCCTGTTGTTCTACATAACACTGGATCCTATTCCTGTTATCTAACTGTATTGAACCTATTGCCATCCCCCTTTTTTCCCTCCATCCCTCTCTACTCTTCCCAGCCTCTGGTAACCATCATTCTACTTTCTGTCTACATGAATTCAGTTTTTTTAGCTCCCACATATGAGAAAGAACATGCAATATTTAACTTTCTGTGACTGGCTTATTTCATTAAACATAATGTCCTCCAGTTCCAACCATGTTATTACAAATAACAGGATATCATTCTTTTTTATGGTTGAATAATATTTCATTGTGTATATGTATATTTTCCTCATTCAGACGCTGATGGACATTTATATTTACTCAATATCTTCGCTATTGTGAATAGTGCTTCAATAAATGTAGAAGTGCAGATATCTCTTCAATATATTGTTTTCCTTACTTTTGATATATACCCTGCCGTGAGATTGCTGGATCAAATGGTAGTTCTAATTTGTAGGTTTTTTTTTGTTTTGTTTTGTTTTGTTTTTTTTTTTGAGGAACCTCCATACTGGCTGTACTAATTTACATTTCCACCAACAGTACAAGAGTTCCCTTTCTTCACATCCTCGCCTGCGTCTATTACTGCCTGGTTTGTTTTTTGTTTTTGTATAAAAGCCATTTTAACTTGAATGAGATGATATCTCACTGTAGCTTTAATTTGCTTTTCTCTGATAACTAGTGATGTTGAGCATTTTTGCATATATTTTTGGGCATTTGTATGTCCTCTTTTGAGAAATATATATTCAGATCTTCTGCCCATATTTTTATTGGATTATTTGATCTTTTCCTATTGAGTTGAGTTTCTTATATATTCTGTTTATTAATCCCTTGTCAGATGGGTAGTTCACAAATATTTTCTCCCATTCTGTGGGTTGTCTCTTCACTTTGTTGTTTCCTTTGGTGTGAAGATTTTTAGCTTGATGTGATCCCATTTGTCCACTTTTGCTTTAGTTACCTGTGCTTCTGAGGTTTTACTCAAAAAATTTTTGCCCAGACCAATGTCCTGGAGTGTTTTGCTAATATTTTTTTCTAGTAGTTTCATAGTTTCTGGTCTTAGATTTAAGTTTTTAATCCATTTTGATTCGATTTTTGTATATGGTGAGAGATAGGGGCCTAGTTTCATTCTTAATATGGATATCTAGTTTTCCCAGCACCACTTATTGAAAAGACCATCCTTCCCCCAATGTATGTTCTTGGCACCTTTGTTGAAAATGAGTTGACTGTAAATGCGTGAATTTATTTCTGGGTTCTGTATACTGTTCCACTGGTCTATGTGTCTGTTTTTATGCCAGTATCATGGTGTTTGGGTTTCTATAACTCTGCCATATAATTATAAGTCAGGTAATATGATGTCTCCAGCCTTGTTATTTTTACTCAGGATGGTTTTAGCTATTCTGTTTTTTTTGTAATTTGATATAAATTTTAGAATCTTTTTTTCTATTTTAGTGAAGAATGTCATTCGTATTTTGATAGGGATTATATTGAATCTGCAGATTGCTTTGGTTCATATGAACATTTTAACAAAATTGACTTTTCCAGTCTATGGACATGGAGTACTTTTCCATTTTTAGCATATATTTATTTAATTTATTTTATCAATATTTTTATATTTTTATTGTAGAGGTCTTTCACTTCTTTGGTTAAGTTTATTCCTAGGTATTTTATTTTATTTGTAGTTATTGTAGATGGTATTACTTTCTTGGTTTCATTTTCAGAATTTTTGCTTTTGACTCAGAGAAATGCTACTGATTTTTGTATGTTGATTTTGTATCCTGCAATTTGACTAAATTTGTTATCAGTTCTATTACTTTTCTGACAAAATCTTCAGGTTTTTAAAAATATAAGATAATATCATCAGCAGATAAGGGTAATTTGACTTCTTTCCAGTTTGAATGCCCTTTATTTCTTTCTCCTAATTACTCTGGGTAGGACTTCTAGTACTAAATTGAGTAAAAGTGATGAAAGTGGGCATCCTTGACTTGTTGTAGCTATTACAGGAAAAGCTTTCGGTTTTCAATCATTCAGTTTGATACTAGCTGTGGATTTGATATACATGGCTTTTATTTTATTGAGATATGTTTCTCTATATCCAGATTACTGACAGTTTTTATTTTAAAGGAATGTTGAATTTTATCTAATACATTTTTGGCATCAGTTGAAATGATTTTATAGTTTTGTCTTTCCTTCTGTTGATATGATGTATTATATTTACAGATTTGTATATGTTGAGCCATCCTTGCATCCATAGGGTGAATCCCACTTGACCATTTTGTATTACTTTTTATGTGCTATTAAATTTGGTGTGCTAGTGTTTGGTTGAGGATTTTCTTAATCTATGTTCATCAGAGATATTGGCCTGTAGTTTTCTTTTTGTTGAGTTGTTGTGTCTTTGTCTAGTTTTCATATCAGTATGATACTTTCCTCCTAGAAGGAGTTTATAAGTATTCCTTCCTACTCAATTTCTTGGAATATTTTGTGTAGGATTGGAATAGTTTTTCTTTAAATGTTTGGTAAAATTCAACATAGAAGCCATCAGATACTAAGCTGTTCTTTGATTAAAGCCATTTTATTACTATTTTTATCTTGTTATTTGTTATTGGTCTATTTGGATTTTTTTATTTCTTCATGATTCAATCTTGATAGCTTGTGTGGGTCTAGGAATTTATCCACTTCTTCTAGATTTTCCCATTTATTGGCATTTACCAGCTCACAATGTTCTCTAATGATCCTTGAATTTCTGGAGTGTCTGTTGTAATGTCTCCCTATCATCTCTGATTTGATTTATTTGGATTTTCATTCTTTTTTTCTAATTTAGTCTGAATGATGGTTTGTCAATTTTATTTTTTTAAAGCAATGTTTTGTTGATCTTTTGTATTTTTTAGTCTCAATTTCATTAATTTCTTCTCTGAGCTTATTATTTTTTTTCTTCTACTAAATTTTGATTTGGTTTGCTGTTGCTTTTCTAGTTCTTTAAGATGCATCATTTGGTTGTTTATTTGAAGTTTATTTTTTATATTTTTTATTTATTGCTATAAGCTCCCTGCTTTTGCTATATCCCATAGGTTTTCGTATGTTGAGTTTCCACTTTTGTTTGTTTCTTGAAATTTTTAAATTTTTTTCTTAATGTTTTCATTGACCCAATGATTGTTCAGGAGCATGTTGTTAAATATCTATGTGTTCATATAGCTTCCGAAGTTTCTCTTGTTATTGATTTCTAGTTTTATTCCATCGTGGTCAGATAAGATGCTTGATATGATTTAAATATTATTTGAATTTTCAAAAGACAGTTGTGGCCTAATATATGGTTTACTCTTAATAATGTCCAGGTGCTAAGGAGAAGAATGTGTACTCTGTAGCTGTTAGATGAAATATTTCATAAATGCCTATAGAATCATTTGATCTATAGGGAAATTTCAGTCAAATGTTTCTTTGTTAATTTTCTGCTTGGATATTCTCTATGTGTTAGAGCATTTGCATTCCTATAAGGAAATATGTGAGTCTGGGTAATTTCGAAAGAAAAAGTCTTATTTTGGCTCACAGTTCTGCAGGCTGTACACAAAGTAGTGTCAGCATTTGCTTCTGGTAGGGCCTCAGAAAGCTAACAATCATGGAGGAAGGTGAGCCAGCTTGTCACATGGTGAGCGAGGAAGCAAGAGAGAGAGGGGGAGGTGCCAGGCTCTTTTTAAATGACTAGCTGTCAAGCGTGAACTCACAGAGCAAAAACTCACTCATCACCATGGAAATGACACCAAGTCATTCATAAGGAATTCACCTCCATGACCCAACAACCCCCACCAGACCTTGCCTCCAACATTGAAATTACATTTCAACATAAGATTTGGGGAGGACAAATATCCAAACCATATCATTATCCAATGCTAAAAGTGTGGTGTTGAAGTCCTCACTTATTATTGTCTAGCAATCTATCTCTCTTTAGCTCTAATAAGAGTTGCTTTGTATATCTGGGTCCCTAATATTGAGTGCATATATATTTACAATTGTAATATAGATAATTTTAATGGATATAATATTTGAAGTTGAAAGGTTTTTTTCTTAAACATTTAAAGTATGTCATTCTACTCTCTTCCAGCCTGAAAAGTTTCTATTTAGAAGTCTGCTGCCAAATGTATTAGAGTCCCTTCATATAGTATTTCCTTCTTTTTCTGTGTTTTTAAGATCCTTTCTTTATCATTGACTTTTGAGAATTTGAATAATATATGCCTTTAACTAGTCTTATTTGGGTCGAATCATCTAGGTATTCTACAAACTTCTTTTACATGTATATTCATATCTTTAGGTTTGGAAATTTCTCTGTTATTATTTCTTTGAACAAATTTTCTACCCTAAACTCTCTCTACATCCTCTTTAAGATCAATAACTTAGATTTTTTTTTTCCTTTTGAGGCTATTTTCTAGCTCTTGGAGGTATGGTTTGTACTTTGTTCTCTTTTCTTCTCTGGCTGTGTATTTTCATATAGCCTGTTTTGAAGCTCGTTAGTTCTTTATTCTGCTTGATCCAGTTCAGCTCTGGAATTTCTGCTTGATTTTTTAAAAAATCATTGGGCTCTCTTTGTGAAATTTCTCTGATAGAATTCAAAATTCCTTCTCTGTGTTATTTTGAAATTCATTGAATTCCCTCAAGACAGTTATTTTGAGTTCTCTCTGAAAGATCATGTATTTCCATCACTCCAGGATTTGTCACTGGTGATTCATTTAGTTTGTCTGGTGAGGTTGGGTTTTTCTGGATGCTTGTGAATGGTCCTCAATGTCTGGGCATTGAAGAGTTAGGAATTTATTCCAGTCTTCACAGTCTGGTCTTTATAGCTGTCCTTCTTGAGAAGGCTTTCCACATATTCAAATCGAATTGAGTGTTGTGATCTAAGCCTGTGGTCAGTGCAACCATATGAGTACTAAAAAGTTCCCTAGGCCTAGGAATGCCACAACACTTGCTGAGTTCTAGAGGTACCATTTATTGGTTGGGTTGGGTAAAAAGAGAATTCCTTGGGTCACCCGGCAAAGTCTCTGGCTCTCTTCCTTCTCTTTCCTCCAGTCAGAAGGAGCCTCTCTCCAAGCTGGGCTGCCTGGAGTTGGGGGAGGGGTGATATAGGCACATCGTTGGCTACCACAGCTGGTGTTACACTAAGTCACATGCACCACAAGTCCACTGCCTCTAAGCCCAGGGTAGCTCCAGTGTTTGCACAAGTACTGTAGTCCTTGTGGTCTGACTGCCACTAAAATTGAACCCAGGACCCAGACCACTTTAGTCAGCAGTAAGTGGAGCCAGGCTTAGGTTCCTCCTGATGGGACTGAGAATTCCCCTCTGGCCCAGGGCTGGTCTAAATGTTCTCTCTGTGGGAACTGGCAGAATTCTGTTGTGTTCTGCTGTGAGAGGGCAGCACTGAGTTCCAATGCAAAGTTTCACATTCACTTTTCTTTCCCTCCCCCAAGAATACAGATTTCCTCTCCCTGTGGCACCGATGGATGATAGGGCAAGTGTGGTGTAGGAAATGCACAACTGTCTTTTCTACCCTTTTCGATGCCTCATTTCTTGATATTATATTAATATTAGGTACTGTTTTCACTCATCTGATTTTTTTGGTTCTTATGAAGGTATTTTCTTGTGTGGATAGTTGTTCAATTTGGTGTTCCAATGGGGGTACAATTGCTGGAGGGTTCTATCCAGCCATCTTGCTCCCTATAAAGATATTTTATAGCAGACATACTTGGAAGACAAAAATAAGATCTCCCTCCAAGCCAGAGGGCAGATTTGTTTGCTGACTAGGAGAAAAAAGAAATGCCTTCCTCTGGGCAAAGTTTAGGCAGACTTTCCAGCATCCTTTTAAAGATTTGGGGATTCCAAAGCTAAAGGTTTCTAATCTGTGACACAAATCTATTGTATGTGCTACATTCACCAGGGCCCCCTTGTGTCACCCAAGGAACTTCGGAGGCAAGAACAATTTACACAAAGATGATACCCATGCTTCTTATTATGCCATGAGTTATAAAGTCCTTTGTCTCTGTTCTAGGAATATCCTGTCTTCCTCTAGCATTTGTGAAACTAGAGTAGTCTAACTTGAGTAAAATCTCAGATCCTTCACAGTTCTTCACATAGCTCAGTAAAAAATGAAAACAACTTTTTCCAATAAGAAGCTCAGTGAAGTTTTTAAGTGCTAGGTAAAAATAAATCAGAATTTAACATGTTAAGAACAGTATACTGCACAAATAAAACAAGCGATCAATATACATGGAAATGTTAATAGTGGTTTTTCTCAGATTTACAGTATTGTGAGTAATTTTTTATGCATTTCACATTTTCACTTTTCTCATAGTAAGAATGTATTACTCTTATAATAAAAAATTCAATGATGTCCCAAAATTTACCATTTTTAAAATAGTATAATTGTATATTTTTAGTTATTTAAATGCAGTTAAAGTAGTTGAAGGAGTCATTAGCATATTTTTTAAATGAAGAAAAATGATTTCTTCTTTCAATCAATGAAAAGTCTGATTTAGCTTTTAAAAGCTATATGAATAAATATGAAAACAATAGCAAAAGCTTTTTTATAAAACATGTTGAATTCAAGATAAACTATAAAAAGACATTTTATAATTAGCAAATTTTGAAAGGAAAAAGAAAGGGTGGCTCAATGAAGGTTGTAGGCTGCCTTTCTAAAATAATGTTTTTCACAACCTATTTAATCATGAACCTTTAAAGGAATCATACCTGGAAAACTAAAATATAAAACAGATGAAAGGCAAGTTGCCATTGTTGAAATAGGGCTGAGGTGACACTTGCCAGCAGTCCCCTCTATGATAACCCTGGTCACAGTCTAAATGTCACTTTTCTGGAATATAGAAAAGAGCAATAAAATTAGAATTGAAAACGTTAATAACAAGGAAGCCATGGTATATACAAGCATTATTTAATTCTGTGGATAATAAAATATCCCAAATCCTTGAGATGAGTCTGTGAACAATAACAGAAAAGAAAGGAGAAAAAAAAATCAAAAGAAAGTATCTAAAGCCTAGAAGCTTATTCTGGCTAAAGGGCAGAGATTTATGTTGGCAGCAGCTAATGAAAAGAATAACAATGCTGTGTGGCAAGAAAGCAAAAAAAGAATACATTTTCATAATCACTACCTTACAATAAAAAAATCCTCAGATTTTGAAAGCAAAATTGTATAATATGACTGTGATACGCATAAGGTCCAGAAAGAGCAAAATAAGTTTTATAAGTCCTTAAAGATCAGTTTATTCATTGGAAATGGCATTATGTACATAATATACACTATAACCATATGTACAGGCAATTGTGCCATAAGAACAAACTTAAGCATGACATAGCTATAGAATACTAAACTGAAGAGAAACAAGACTAATTCCAAATGATATAAACCAGCTAGAATGTGATGCACACAGATGCAGTTAGTATGTTGAATGAGCAGGACTGGATTTAGAAAATTTAATTGTTCTCTCTTTGTTCATTTAAACCCATTTAGTGGAAAGATTCTTCCCCTTCCCCTAGATGAGATCTAACACAAGCCCAGTAACTTTTCCACTCATTCTCATATAATAAACAGGCCTCCAGGTTGAATAATGGGTATACACAGTCCTGTGTAACAAAAATAAATAAACTTGTTGAAGTCAACTTCAACTTTCATCTCCAGTTTAGGTTCAAGATCCTGAATCTCCAATTCTTTATTTTAAGAAAAGAAAGGAAGGGGGAAAAAAGCTGAAGAAATGAAAGTTGAAAGAAGAGAAGGAAAGAGAAAGGAATAGAAAGCAAGTCAAGCGAAAGGAAGATAAATATCTAAACTTCACTTAAAGGTAGAGCTCCCCACCCCACTTGGACCTGCTTCAAATTGGTGGGTTGAGAGTAGATATCCTTAGCTCATCTCTCTTTCCTGGTGACCATCTCATCCCCAGGAGGCCTCTGGATTCTGCAAGTCTCAAGAGAAAGGGATAGCAGGGGATGGGAACTAGAGGTAAGGTAAAGAAAATGTCATACTTGAAAGTGTCAATCTAATCTGACTTCCATTTCTGATGACTTCTGCAAACGTTTAAAGCAAACTGTTTATTTTATTATTTCAAGTTCTAGTATACATATGCAGGATGTGCATGTTTGTTAAACAGGTAAACGTGTGCCATGATGGTTTGCTGCACCTATCAAGCCATCACCTAGGTATTAAGCCCCGCATGCATTCACTATTTATTCTGATGCTCTGTCTTCCCCCATTGCACCCCTGACAGGCTCTAGAGTGTGTCATTTCTCTCCCTGTGTCCATGTGTTCTCATTGTTCAGCTCCCGCTTATAAGTGAGAACATGTGGTGTTTGGTTTTCTGTCCTTGTGTTAGTTTGCTGAGGATAATGGCCTCCAGCTCCATCTATGTTCCTGCAAAGGACATGATCTTGTTCCTTTTTATGGCTGTGTAGTATTCCATGGTGTATATATACCACACTTTCTTTATCCAGTCTATCATTGATGGGCATTTGGGTTAATTCCATGTCTTTGCTATTGTGGATAGTGCTGCAATGAAAATACACATGCATGTATCTTTATAATATAATGATCTATATTCCTTTGGTTATATACCCAGTAATAGGATTGTGGGTCAAATGGTATTTCTGGTTCTAGACATTTGAGGAATTGCCACACTGTTTCCACAATGGTTGGACTAATTTACATTCCCACCAACAGTGTAAAAGCATTCCTAATTCTCCACAACCTCACCAGCACCTTTTGTTTCTTGACTTTTTGATAATTGTCATTCTGACTGGTGTGAGATGGTATTTCATTGTGGTTTTGAGTTTCACTCCTGTGATGATCAGTGATGTTGATGTTGAGCATATATATATATATATATATATATATATATATATATATATATATATATATATATATGTTGGCTGCATGAATGTCTTCTTTTGAGAAATGTCTGTTCTTGTCTTTGCCCACTTTTTGATAGGGTTGTTTTTTTCTTGTAAATTTGTTTAAGTTCCTTGTTGACTCTGGATATTAGACCTTTGTCAGATGGATTTCATAGATTGCAAATTTTTTCTCCCCTTCTGTAGGTTGTCTATTCACTAAGATGATAGTTTATTTTGCTATGCAGAAGCTCTTTAGTTTAATTAGATCACTTTTGTCAATCTTTGCTCTTGTTGCAATTGCTTTTGACATTTTCATCATGAAATCTTTGCTCATGCCTATGTCCTGAATAGTATTTCCTAGATTTTCTTCTAGGGTTTTCATAGTTTTGGGTTTTACATTTAAGTCTTTAATACATCTTGACTTAATTTTTGTATTAAGTGTAAGGAAGGGATCCAGTTTCAATTTTCTGCATGTGTCTAGTCAGTTCTCCTAGCACAATTTATTAAATAGGGAATCCTTTCCCCATTGCTTGTTTTTGTCAGGCTTGTCAAAGATCAGATGCTTGTAGATGTGAAGTCTTATTTCTGAGTTCTCTATTCTGTTCCATTTGTCTATGTATCTGTTTTTGTACCAGTACCATGCTGTTTTGGTTACTGTAGCCTTATAGTATAGTTTGAAGTTGGGTACCATTATGCTTCCAGCTTTATTTTTTTGGCTTAGGATTATCTTGGCTATCTGGGGTCTTTTTTGGTTCCATATACATTTTAAGATAGTTTTTTTCTAATTCTGTAAAGAATGTCAATGCTTCTTGAATGGGAATAGCATTGAATTTCTAAATTAGGCAGTATGGTCACTTTCACAATGTTGATTCTTCCTATCCATGAGCATGGAATGTTCTCCATTTGTTTGTGTACTCTCTGATTCCCTCGAGCAGTGGTTTGTAGTTCTTCTTGAAGAGTTCCTTCACTTCCCTTGTTAGCTGTATTCCTAGGTATTTTATTCTCCTTGTAGCAATTGTGAATGGGAGTTCATTCATGATTTGGCTCTCTGCTTGTCTATTGTTGGTGTATAGGGATGCTTGTGATTTTTGCACATTGATTTAGTATGCTGAGACTTGCTGAAGTTGCTTATCAACTTAAGAAGCTTTTGGGCTGAGATGGTGAGGTATTCTAGATATAGGATCATGTCATCTGCAAACAGAGACGGTTTGACTTCCTCTCTTCCTATTTGAGTACCTTTTATTTCTTTCTCTTGCCTGATTATCCTGACCTGAAATTCAAATACTATGTTGAATAAAAGTGGTGAGAGAGGGCTTCCTTGTCTTGTGCTGGTTTTCAAGGGGAATGCTTCCAGCTTTTGTTCATTCTGTATGATATTGGCTGTGCTTCTTAGTGGCTTTTCTCTCTGGGGTGTGTACTGACTGCAGCTGCCATAGAAGTGGCGATCTTGTCTTTGGCTTACTGCTTAAATTCTCCCCTCAGGGTCTGCATTTGTCACCTCTCCTGATTAGGATGCCATTCCACATCTGGCTGCCAGGAATCACACACCTCGTACCAATCATCAGTATGAGCAATTTAATAACCCCACAAATCCTGCTCTCTGCTGCCTGGGCTCCTTCAGCCACTGTCACCTCTAGTTCAGTTTGTTTATAAATGTAAGTCATGCATTTGTCTACTGTCTTTCAAACACCCAGAGACACAAGTTAATTATCATAGCAGTGTTCCCTTGGAGGCCCTGTTCCCAAGGCTTAGGGTGATTGGTAAGTAAACTTCACTCTTCCCCACAGAGAAGCAAGGATATGGATCATGTCAGAACACTCGAACAACTTATCTAAAGGAATCCTCTCCCTAATCCCCAGAGCAATGAAACTTCAAACCTTTAATACCTCAAGTGGGTGAGTGTCTACAAAACCAGTCTTCAGATGTCCCTTTTCCAAGTCCTACCACTTTTTTTTAGATTGTACAGGGACAATTTATAATTATATAATTTTATGGGGTACAAAGTGGTAATATAATTTACTAATACAAGGCGGAATAATTAAATCAACAAGTATATTTAGAATGTGGAAACACTTAACCACCTGCAGGTTATTATATGTCCTTTAGGCTTCAACCAAAACTAAGAGAAAAATAGTACAGTTTTACATTTTGTAATATTAATTAATGAGGCAAAGATGATTTTTGTGCACATGAAATATTTCTCTTTCAGTGGTGACAGAAAACTATCTGAAATGAAAACGTGGTTATGAACATAGAGAAGACTGAAAGTGGGAAGAGTCCCTTCATGATATTAAGAAATAACTTAAAAACATCAGACAAAACTATCGGTGTATAGGAATGCTTGTCTGTTGTGACTCCGGGTGTTTGAAAGACAGTAGACAAATGCTTGACTTACATCTATAAACAAACTGAACTAGAGGTGACAGTGGCTAAAGGAGACCAGGCAGCAGAGAGCAGGCTTTGTGGGGTTGTTAGATTGCTCACACTGATGATTGGTATGAGGTGTGTGATTCCTAGGAGGCAGATATTCATATATATAATCATTTTATAGATAATACATATACACACACACCCCTCTGGGAGCCAGACATGTGTATATATATATATATGAATACACATGCACACACACATATATATATAATACTGGTAAAATAATAAATCACCTCTTATTAATACACTTAACTTTAATAAGCAAGATATTACAATACAGATTGAAGGTCAAATTTTAAACTCAAGCAATTGTCTCCCTGAGGTTGAACTATAATATCTCCTGAAGTTGAACTATAATATCTCCAATATTCACACCACACATCTGACATATGCACACATGCTGTGCTGATCAAATTGATGGTTATTTCCTGTGATTTGGAAGTGGTTCAGAACACAAAGATTCTAAGTGTTTCTGAAGGTTTGGATAATGACTCTGGAACTTGGGATACCACAGTAAAACAAAACCAAACACAAAATATGTGTAGTAACAAAAAGCAAAGTGGATAATTGAAACAATTATCTTGAGTATTCGTGACTAATTTGTTGAAATAATCCACAAAATATTCAGATAATAACAATTACAGACTGTGAATGTGAAGTGTCTGGAGAAAGGCATCATCTCAAACCAGCACTACACTGTTTGGCAATGAAGTACTCCCGTTTTGAGGGGGAAACAAGGCTCTCTTTAACAATTTTTTGTTTAACATATGGTTACTGAAGGCAAGCCTCTTTCTGCAGAAAGAAACACTTAGGACCATATGCAAAAAGAACTGAAATATAGTAGAAGGATCTGAAGACACAGGACATTCTTAACACACTGATTTACCACTTGATAATGGGAGCAAAATGTTTAGAATTTTCTGAAGTTTGTCCATCCAGGAATTGATTTCTCTATTAATTATTTCTTCCCTTTTTCTTTTCCTTCCCTCTTTCCTTTGTGTCCTACTGAGTTGATAGAAGTACTCAAGTATGTTGGAATATATTTTTAATAGATATTTTAAATTTTAGATTAGTTTTTGATTTGCAGAAAATTTGGAAAAATAGTTGCCTTATACCCTCACCTGGTTTCCCCATTGTAACATCTTACACTACCAACGTACATTTGCAACAACTAGGAAACTAACATTGGCATATTACTATTAACTACACTTAGATTTTATTGAATTTTCAAGTTTTTGATTTTTTTTCATTCCAGGATCCCACCCAGGATTCTATCTAGGATAACACATTACAATTAGCCATCTTGTCTCTTTAGTCTCCTCTGATCTGTCACTGTTCATCAGATTTCTCTGTTTTTTTATAACCTTGACTTTTTTTTGAATACCAGTGAAATATTTGGTACAATATTTCTCAATTTCAGTTTGTCTGATGTTTTCTTATCATGGCTCAGCCAGAGTTTTAGGTTTCTAGGAAGAAAAAGGTAAAAGTGAAGTCTTCTTGTAGAATAATAAGATAACATGTTATCGACTTAATCACTGATAATATTACCCTTGAACACCTCCCTGGCCAAGGTAGTGTTTTCCAGATTTCTCTGCCATAAATGTATTTAGTTTTTCCTCTTTCCATACTCTACTCTTTGGAAATAAGCCACTAAACACAGCCAACAGTTAGGGTGGAGGGAGAAGAGTAAAACACAGTTTAAAGCACATCACTGTCCTTAGTAATAATCTTGAATGTGATTCTTCCACTGGATAGAAAATGTATAAGTTTGGCTGCGTTATATTTTGAGAGGAAAGCAGAGCTATTCCATGTAGATTTTCATATTGTTCAAATTCAGACAATTTTGCCTTCTTCTTTGTTGATGCTCAGTGTATATGACACATTAAGGTAAATATTTCAAAAATAAATTTTAATATTTAAAGGTAGTAGAGTAAATTTGTAAATGCACAATACCTAATATCTGACAGTAATTTGGCAGTATGTCAGTGGTCTTAAAAGCTGAATATACTTACAACTAATATATACCAATATTCAAAATAATTATTTTTATTACATTATCACTTGTTAATACATGTTCTTTGTAGGACAATATAAAATAAAAGAAATATAAAGGAAATTTAAATTCTGTCTGATGTAAATGCACAGAATTATAATTACCTGGGCATCAATTATGTGTATGTATAAGTCTTTCTACTCAATGCTTTTTAGAAAGATTGTTCCAATTTACATTTTCTCTTACCATACAGTAAGCACCCTTTTCTTCCATAAGTAGTGTAAAAATCAGTATACCCTATAAACCATAGGTCAACTTGTCACAAATAATTGGAAGTATATTTTTAGCTTACATTTGTAGAAACCATGCTGCGTATATTTGGCACAGAATTTCCTCTTGCCAAGATAAGGTTTCTCACTATCCACGTTCCATCTATCAAATGATGTGATTCCTTGTACGTAAAGAATAATCAAAATACTGCATCAAAAATGGAGGTAACATTGCTAGTTGAAAAATAAATTTAAAATGTGACATAATAGAACACCTTAAAGACACATATTAACTTTCAATACAGAATAAGGTTTTCTACAATTTAATTGAAGATAATACCATTCACTTACATAATCAATAATTATTTATTGACTACTTACTACAAGACAATAACTCTTCTAGTTAGTTTTAGGAAGAACCGCCTGCCTTTTCAACGTCATATCAGAGAATTGTTTAACAGGCACACCCAGGATTATTGAACTATCTAAGTGAATGTGCCTTTGTTTGACTTGCTAGTTCCTGTTAACTAGTGCTCACATGTTATGACATTAGTTGGTACTTGCAGATTTTTGCCTAGTAGAGATTTGAATTATTTTTTTCTGATAAAAAATTTAGCCCCAAGTTTATGACTGTATTGCCCTGAATGACATTAACCACTTTTATACCTAAGTTATCCATATTATTCTATCTTTAGTGCCTAATATACTCAGTTTCTCAAATGTGTTTTACCAGTTTTACCACCTTGTCGGTCCATTTATTAAAAAGCCAAATAAAATTTTAATGCGGGTTTATTCAATATCGTTATTTACTTTGGCAGAAGGACGCCTTAGTGAACAAAGCAGTCAAAAAACCATGTGTTCTTTTAAACTGTACCATAGTGCGATAGAAACAATACAAAAATAAGTAGGATATATTGTATGCTGAACTTGATAATTCATTTTGTGAAATAAAAGTAAGGAATTGGGGAAAGGAATGCAGGATTGGAAATGGTAATGTAAAATAGGATGGTAAGACAAGATAAATAGGATATTGTGACACTATTTGAGAAAAAGTGAGAGAACAAGTCACAGAGATTTTGGGGGGAAAAGCATTCCAGGCAGGAAACAGTATGTTCAAAAGTCCTGTGGTGGGAGCATTTCCAGCCTGATGGAGACAAGCTAGCAGGAATACATGGAGGCAGAAGAAAAGGGTGTTATAGACTTTGGGGTTTACTGTGATTGATATGGGAATTATTGGAGGTTTCTGAGCATTGGCTGACATAAGCTGATTTCCTTTTTGATAAGATTATTCTAGATTGTTAAGAATAGATTGTGGGAGTCAAAGGGCAGAAAAAGAAAAACCAATTGGAAGGCTATTGCAATAGCGTAGGTGAGAGATGGTGGGGGCCCGGACCAGTGTAGTAGTGACGGAGGAAGTGAAAAGTATTCTTTTCTGGAATATACTTTGTCATATGTAACAAAATAATGGGCCATCTACAAAAGAGATTCATTAGTCTGTCCACAGGGGGAAAAAGGCAGAGCTAGGGTATGAAGGAATCAGCATTATGTCAATATAGTAGGAAGTAGAAGAAAAACTGAACAAGAAAGAGGAGAAAACCTTTATAAGATTTCCTTTACGTAGGAAATGAATTTTATGCTACCTTAATTGAGGGATTTTGTTAGATTTTATTTTCTGATGAAAAATACAACATATGGCCAGATGTGGTGCCTCTTGCCTGTAATCTCAGCACTTTGGGAGCATGGCAGGAGGCTTGCCTGAGCCCAGGAGTTTGAGACCAGCCCGGGCACATAGTGAGAACCTGACTGTACATAAATTAGCCAGGCATGGGGTACATGCCTGTAGTTTCAGCTGCTTAGGTGACTAAGGCAGGAAGATCACTTGAGCCCAAGAGGGGGAGGTTGAGTCTGTAGTGAGCCATGATTGCACCACTACACTCCAATTTGGGGGACAGAGTGAGACCCTGTCTCCAAATAAATAAATAAATAAGTATAATATAATATATGCCTATTAAAGAGCAATGGAAAATACAAAACCTGTATGTATTGTCAATTTTCCTGCTGCTATAAAGATACTATCTAAGACTGAGTAATTATAAACAACAGGAGTTTAATTGACTCGCAACTGGGGAGACCTCAGGAAACTTAGAATTATGGCAGAGGCCGGAGAAGAAGCCAGTATTTTCTTCACAAGGTGGCAGGAAAGAGAAGATAAGAATGAAGGAAGAACTTCCAAACACTTTTAAAATTATCAGATCTCTTGAGAACTCACTCACTATTATGAGAACAGCATGGGGGAAACAGCCCCCATGATCCAATCACCTCCTTCCCTTGACATATGGGAATTACAATTCAGGATGAGATTTGGGTGGGAAACAGAGCCGAACACTATCTATGTACAAAGTGTAAAAATAAAAGTGATTAATATCTGAAAGAGTACAAGAGAAATTCATGCAGTAAAAGCCTTCAACTCAAATACTGGAACAGTGTATTTGGAGTTTTGGTTTTGTTTTAAATTTTAAGTCAATCCACTAGCAAATAATATCTTAATAGGGAGAGAAATACATAAAACTGTCAAAGGCAAAGCTTCTTTACTTAAAGCTGGGATTTGGGAACAAGAACACCAATTGGTTAGAAATTTTTCCTCTGCACCAATCCTTGATGCATCACTGGGGCCATTCAGGGTTCAAGAGAGCATAACAGCTTCTCAAACCTATTGTCTCTCCACTAAACCCAGATAAATACATACTTTCATTAAAAAAATATATTCAGTTACATATTTTTTCAATAGATTATGGATTAAGAAAATAAAATCTAAAGCAAAAGAAAAAAAAAGTTGGAGATACTCCTGAACTAATCTTTTTTCTATTTAGCATTGTGAATAAATTAAATTATTCTAAGGGTTTTAGAAGAAGCTGTCCAGTAAAAGCAAGCCTGGGCTACAAAATGGGACATTAGTTCAGTAAGCCAGTCCAAAATGTGCTACATATTTATTTCTCTGATTCTCAGTAATGTTATCTGTCAAATTTAGTGGCAAGATTACAGTAGACTACTTTCAAAATACTACAATAATTTCTTCACAAAGGAGTTAAAATTTTGGATCAGATTTGAATTTTTTTTTTTTTTTTTTTTTTTGAGGCAGAGTCTTGCTCTGTAGCCCAGGCTAGAGTGCGGTGGTGCAATCTCGGCTCACTGCCACCTCCACGTCCTGGGTTCAAGCGATTCTCCTGCCTCAGCCTCCCCAGTAGCTGGGATTACAGGCGTGCACCATCACACCCAGCTATTTTTTGTATTTTTAGTAGAGATGTGGTTTCACCATGTTGGCCAGGCTGCTCTCGAATTCCTGACCTCAGATGATCTGCCAGCCTCGGCCTCCCAAAGTGCTGGGATTACAGGCGAAAGTCATGGCACCCAGCCCAGATTTTTAAAATAAAAATAAAATGTCAGAAAAGGAAAAAAGCATGATTTACATAGTATGTGCTATTGGGCCTCTATTCTGTTATCCATCTCTCAAGTGCGAAAAGTTCTATAAAAATAAAGAGCATATTGAATTCATAAATGAAAAATTAGGAAAGGGGGAAACTGGACTTTTTGGAATGTCCGTTAATCATCTAGTATTAATCTTATCAGATTGTGGTCAATCAACATCACTATCTTTGGCTTTATTTTAAAGATAAAAACAATTAAAAGTTTTAGGGAGACCTTAGGACAGATAGAAAATAAAATGTCACCCAGGAATTGATTAACATTCACTATCTATCTATATCTATCTATCTATCTATCTATCTATCTATCTATCTATCTATCTATGTAATAGATTGTTTTACATGAAACTGGGTCATCACATGACCAGGTTCAGTACTTTGCTACAATACAAGAAAGAAAAGTCAAGAAAAGTCAAAATTGAATAACCTTGCTCAGGACTATAGACCTTTCCTGAAGGCCTCTTTAGTTATCTTTTCTTACTAATAAAGCCTCATCTTGCTTACTTTCCTTCTGCCTTTCTCCTCAAGCCACAAAACTGCCACCAGCCCTATTGCTCTCTTCTTATCTTAACATACGGGATCCCAACCTCTTCCCATCAAACACACACACACACACACACACACACACACACACACACACACTCAGAGTAAATGCTTGTACTTTCTAAAATACTTTGATCTCCCCATTCCTTTAGCGTCTCTCATGTGAATTCCTGTGCATGACCGGCAAAATTTTTAAAAATGCTTTTTTAAAAAAGAACCTTTCTAAGGACTCACCTTTAATAATGGTGAGGGTGGGTGTCATTTTTAGTACTTAAGATTTAATGTTTTGTCCCTGTCACCTACATTCAACAGAAATAAATCATGCAGCATATATTATAAAACATTTTTATAACTTCTCTCCTTTTGGCCAAGAACAGGTGTATTATAACATATGTCTTTAGTTATAATTATGTTATTTTTCTTATATTTTAAATATTTATAACAATATTTCATTTAAATGACATTCGGCATTTATGGTGTCTCTAACTTTCTTTGATATTCAAAGGTACAAATGGGTTCAAATATTTAATAACATCTGTAATCTCTTAGGAAAAATTCTTAGAAATCAAATTTGAAGATCAAAGTACATAAATATTCTTAGGGCTGCTAATATATATTACCAACAGTCCCTCTGGAAAGCTTATGGATATTGATTGTGTTGCCTACCAAAACATTTTCACCTCTTATTTCTCAGATCTTGTTTAGTCAAGTTATTAGTTTTATTGTGAGCTGATTTAGTCCATTTTATAGTTTTTAGCCAATTATAGTTAGCTCTCAAATTAGACTCTAGGTAACTATTGCTCGTTTTTATGTTACAGGTCCTTAATATAAAAATTTCTAAGACAGATTCAGCAACTTAAGTAGTTTCAGCAGTTATGGAAAACATCCAGGCTCTTTAGTATTTAATCACTGCCTTCTTTGTATATATATACATTTTTTTTTCCTGGAATGGCTTTCAATTACTATTTAAGAATGCATAGATTCAGAGATTTAGTATTTCTGCTTTCAACAATTAGACAATAACAATGAAGGTCTAGGTCATAAAATTATTGATAATTTTGAGGAAGCAGATATTTGAATGGGGCAATGTTAGTTTAGGTTGGGAGTGAGTCATTTAGTTAACGTGTCTGCCTCTCTCTGCACGTTTGATTCACTGGCAGACTCTTCTCTGCTGTCTCTAGGGAGGGATTAATTCTTCTTTTTACTGTGAGAAAGTGAGAAATAGGACCTAGAATAAAAATTCACCTGATAGAATTGGAGCAGAAACAATAGAGAAAATGAGTTCCAAAAGGTTATGGATATTGTTCAAAAAATGGAAGTCTTTGTTAAATCAAGTGGCAGAAATTCTAATTTGGTTGTGGATCTTGTCTAAGGTATTTTTACATTTACTCCATGCTGAGTATAGAAATCAAGGCAATTCTTGCGCTTTTCAGCAAGGGCCCTGACAACATGGTTCATCAATATAAAGGTGAAACCGTGGAGAGTTTAAAACTGACTAACCTGGTTTTTGAGGATATTGACAGCACGCACCTCTCTTTTAAAGAAAATGTAGTTCAAGTGAAAACTCAGGAATCTGTACATAATCACAAACCTTCTGAACAACATATTACCATAAATAAAAGTTGATGTCAGAATTTCAAAAAGAAATTAACAAGAGAAGCAGCTTTAGCCAAATATGTGCCTGCCAAAGCATAGCATCCATAAAAGAGAAGGACCATAGGCCAGAAACAAATAGTCAATGAAGACAAACCTGTTTGTATTGGAAGAAAGTACCTTCCTGACCAGGAAAGCATTTAATTCATGCAGTGCTCAGCAGTAATAATCATTCATCACCATTGATTCACTTTGCTGACTCAGAGAAGTTCATAGTTAGGTTACTACAGTAATAATGTAATGTACTTTGGAGTTTATTTTAATGGCATAATTAATTTTAACAGCTTTATAAATTACTTTAGTTCTGTATTTATAGAACCATTAAGGTTATGAAAGGGTCAGTCATATTTTCAGTTATACTTTACTGCATTTATAAAGCAAATTATATGTTATGTTGGTATGGGTGAAATAACAGATTCCAATAGCTGTAAGAACATAGCACTGAAAAAATCTACTATCTTCTGAAACAACTTATGAGTTTTCACAACCCCAGCTGTAACTACTAGTTTATTTTTACACGTAACTGACTATTCTCCCCAACATCTGCTTTCTCCTGGGAATCAACAAATTCTGAGAAATCTAACCACCTTTAAAAAGAAAAATGCTGATTAACTAAAGGTACAACCAGGCTTCTTTGTAAATGCCTTCCTTATTTTTCTTTTTCATCCATCATGTCCTCTTGGTTTAAGCATAGGCTGTGACCAGCCGCAGAAGATATGAATTAGAGAAGCAAAATGATAAAGAAAAAAACATACAAAATGGTTACTCCCTCCAACATATGAAGTGTAAGAGTTATACTCAAATGCACACAAAGTACACTTGCTTATCAAAAAGGATATAGGAAAAGGCGTGCTCTATGGTAACAAGGTTTTACAATACTAGAGATTTTATATGTTGCCACTTTAAGCTCATGTTTAAAATTAATTGAGATATTGTCTTAAGAATAAATATCTCTCTGACTAAGGATCCTAGAAAAATAAAAAGACACTGTCAAACATATTTCCATAAGCAGCAAATGAACCTTGCTTGCAGCCATAAATCATTAATCTTTAATCACCAGCCAATTTCTCAATAAGCTCATTGGCATGGAAACTCTAAGATACTCAGAGGATAGTTCTCACAGAACTGGCATGCATTGTTGGCTTGTGTGTTTAATTACTGTTTATGCATCAGCAGAATCCAGGCTTTTGTATGTAATAAATAGAATGCTGTCATAGTGTCCAGATGGTTTTAGATTCAAGGCCCAGGGAGCATGTTTGGAGATTATACTACTGATTTACTCCCTGTTTGCACCAGTTGAATTGTAAAAAATCATGCTAATATAATAGCAGGCGTATCAAGAATTCTGAATTGTGGAAATAAATGTATTGCTGTAGTGGTAATTTTGAAAGTCATTTAAATTTAACTGTATCTTATCAGAAAAGGTAAAGAAACCTCGAATCTAAATTTATTCCTTTGTCTAATATGATGTTCCTTTATTTTTGAAGGAGATTTAGGGAGAATACTGCCTAGAGTCCAATAACTATTCCATAAAATTCAGCTTTTAAACTAAATGAATAGGCTGGGTGCAATGGCTCATGCCTGTAATCCCAGCACTTTGGGAGGCCGAGGTGGGAGGATCACCTGAGGTCAGGAGTTTGAGACCAGCCTGACCAATATGAACAACCCCCTTCTCTACTAAAAATACACAATTAGCCAAGCATGGTGGCGCATACCTATATTCCCAGCTACTCGGGAGGCTGGGGCAGGAGAATCACTTGAACCTGGGAGGCGGAGGTTGTGGTGTGTCGAGATGGCGCCATTGCACTCCAGCCTGGGCAACAAGAGTGAAACTCTATCTCAAAAAAAAAAAAAAAGAAAAGTAAATAAATAAATAAATATAGGAACATAGTTGTTTTCTAATAACACCTTAAAACAATCTTTTCATAAACTAAAAAAATTCTCATTATGACAGACTTCTTACTGATAAATTGTAGGAGTAAGGAAAGTGTATCCACTGAATCACATTTCTCTCACTTTTTTTGGCTTATTTTAATATCACAACTTGGCTTATTTTAATAACACAACTTGTAGTAAAACCTTGTGTTTTTACTAACACAAGTATGAAATTAAAAGTGAATTAGATAAAATATTTACCCATTGATAAAATATCTAATATTGTATTCGATACAATATTTACCTATTTATTGATTGATATTTGCCTATTTTCTCATATAAATTATCACTTTTTTGAAAATTTAAATCCAAACCTTAAAAGTCTACTTTTGCTAAAATAATAGAGATTTTTCAATATTTGAATAATTTAAGATGTTTTAATATTATTCTAACTGGTTTGAATCCTGAGTTTAGTTTTTTCTACTTTTACTTTAGGTTCAGAGAGTACATGTGTAGGCTTATTACCTGGGTAAATTGCATGTCACTGAGGCTTGGTGTACAAATGATCCTGTCACCCAGGAAGTGAGCATAGTACCTATTAGGTAGTCTTCTAACCCACGCCACCCTCCCAATCTTCCCTGTCAAGCAGTCCGCAGCGTTTATTGTTTCCATCTTTGTGCACACCTGTATTTAGTGTTTAGCTCCCACTTAAAGAGAACATGAGGTATTTGGTTTTCTGTTCCTGCATTGGTTTGCTTAGAATAATGGTCTCCCGCTGCATCTATGTTGCTGCAAAGGACATGATTTCATTCCCTTTTATGACTGCACAGATTCCACGGTGCATATGTACCACATTTTTTTTTAAATCCAGTACACCATTGATGGGCATCTTCATTGATTCCATGTCTTTGGTATCATGAATAGTGCTGTGATGAACATACAAGTTCATATGTCTTTTAGGTAGAACAATTTCTTTTCCTTTAGCTACATATCCACTAGTGGGATTGCTGGGTCAAATGGTAGTTGTTTTTAAGTTATTTGAGAAATCTCCAAACTGCTTTCCACAGCGGCTGACTAATTTACATTCCCAAAGCATTCCCTTTTCTCTGCAACATCCTTATCATCTGTTGTGTTTTGACTTTTTAGTAATAGCCATTCTGACTGGTGTGAGATGGTATCAGTTTTGATTTGCATCTCTCTAATAATTAGTGATGATGAGCTTTTTTTCATGTATTTGTTGTCTGCATATATATCTTCTTTTCAGAAGTTTCTGTTCATGTTCTTTGCTCATTTTTTTTTCATGAAGCTATTTGGTTTTTGCTTGTTTATTAGGCCTTTATTGGATGTATAGTTTGCAAACATTTTCTCCCGTTCTCTAGGTTGTCTGTTCACTCTGTCAATAGTTTATTTTCCTGTGCCAAAGCTCTTTCTTTTGATTGGGTTCAACTTGTCAATTTCTGTTTTTATTGCAATTGCTTTTGGGGAGTTAGTCATAAATCCTTTGTGAAGGACAACATCCAGAATGGTATTTCCTAGGTTTTCTTCTAGGGTTTTTATTGTTTTAGGTCTTATATTTAATTATTTCGCCTGTCTTAGAGTTAATGTTTCTGCATGGTGAAAGAAAGGGTTCCAGTTTCAATCTCCTGCATATGGCTAGCCAGTTATCCCAGCACTATTGATTGAATAGGGAGTCCTTTCTGCATTGCTTGTTATTGTCAACTTTGCTGAAGATCAGGCTGCAGGTGTGTGGCTTTATTTCAGGGTTCTCTAGACTTTTTGATTGGTCTATGTGTCTGTTTTTGTACTAGAACCATGCTGTTTTGGTCACTGTAGCCTTGTAGTATAATTTGAAATCAGGCAGTGTAGTCTTCGGCTTTGTTCTTTTTGCTTAGGACTGCTTTGGCAATTCTACCTCATTTTTGGTTCCTTATGAATTAATTTTTTTTTTCTAATTCTGTGAAAAATGACTTTGGTAATTTGATAGGAATGGCATTATATCTATAAATTGCTTCGGGTAGTATGGTCACCTTAACAAAATTGATTCTTCTTGTCTCTGAGCATAAAATAATTTTCTATTTATTTGTGTCATCTCAGAATTTTTTCAGCACTGTTTTGCAACTCTCATTGCAGAGATTTTTCACCTTCTTGGGAAGATGCATTCCTAGGTATTTTATTTTATTTTATTTTATTTTATTTTATTTTATTTTATTTTTGTAGCTACTGTGAATGGAACTGGATTCCTGATTTGGCTCTGAGCTTACATATTTTTGATGTATACAAATGCTACTGATTTTTGTACATTAATTTTGTGTCCTAAAACTTTACTGAAGTCATCTGTCAGTTCTAGGAGCCTTTGGGTGGAGTCCTTAGGGTCTTCTAAATACAGAATCATATCATTGGCAAACAGAGATAATTTGACTTCCCTTTGAATTTCAATAATATTAGAATTTTTATGAGAAGGTTCTAACTGTTATTAGTCAAGAGGACACAAGGACCCAACAGAGAACTCCTTGTCATGGTACATCCACACTGGAAAAAACTGTTTAGTAGTATGTACTAAAGCTGGTTATGTACTTACTTATGATTTAGCAATTCTATTCCAAGTTTATATTCAAATAGATATTAGTTCATATGTTGACAAAAAGACATGCTAAAATATTTATAGTAACATAATTCATAATATTCCTAAGTGGAAACTACCCAAATGTCTACAAACAGTATATTTACAGCAATGAATATAAAATATGACGTGCAAAATATGAGTAAGTCTCACAAAAAACATAATATTGAGGAAATAAAGGTAAGCATGAAATACACTTTGTAATGATACCTTGTATTTAAAGTTCGAAGAGAGTTATAACTATGCAGTTAGAAATCAGTATTTTTTTCCTACTTTTACTTTAGGTTCAGATGGTACCTGTGCAGGTAACCCTTTGGTAGGATCAATGGCTAAAAGAAGACACAGTGGGGATTTCTTATGTGCTAGTAATGTTCCATTTATTGGTCAGGGTCCAATAAGCATAACAGTATGTATGTAACACACATGTATGTATGCATGTTACATGCCAGTAGAAAGTTTTAAAATATACTATTTTGTGACCTTATTATAAGCTGACAAATGCATTATGCCAGTTTTACATATTACATATTTAGGCCTAAATTTGGTATAAATAATATAATTTAAAGAGCAAAGTGGTAGATTATCTTAATATAAAATATATGTTTATATATACTTTTATACATGTTTATAAGGTTTTATAAAATAAACATGTATAGTCATTTATAGCATACAGCTGCTAATTCTTTATGAACAGCAATAAGAACAATTTATTTGTAAGTAAACTTCTTACCATATCATAATACTGAAGTTGGTTTACTTGTTTTGCTTATTGGGGTTTTTTTTGCTTGTTTGTTTTTGTTTTATTGAGATGGAGTCTCTCTGTGTTGCCCAGGCTGGAGTGCAGTGGCACAATCTCAGCTCACTGCAACTGCACTTCCAAGGCTCAAGTGATTCTCCTGCCTCAGCCTCCCAAGTAGCTGTGATTACAGGTGTGAGCCACCATGCCCCGCTAATTTTTGTATTTTTAATAGAAGCAGGGTTTCACCATGTTGGCCAGGCTGGGCTCGAACTCCTGACCTCAGGTGATCTACCTGCCTCAGCCTCCCAAGGTGCTGGGATTACATGGGCGAGTCAGTGCACCCAGCCACCCGCTTTTTATATGATTAAAGATGTACACTCAAAAATTTAAAAGATGTTTGATCATAAAAACAGAAATATGTTTTAATTATAGGTTCATCATTTATATCTACATTATTCAAAGTGAAATACACACAACTGTTTTGTGTTCTGCAGAAAAATGGCTCACTGAGAGATTGATATTGCCCAAAATCTTTGGAATTGAGTAGCTGGAACACCATGTGTGGGATGAAGAGACCCCCGAAGAATTTTAGGAGAAAAAAATTGATAAGACATTATTACTAGTAGTAAATCTCTGCATCCTTGATTATATTTTCTACAATCGACTAATCCCTGAATTTAAAAATCACTGCTGAATAAAATATTGGAGTCAACAGTAAGATACATTTTGGGCAATTTTGCTGAGCAAACATACTTTGACCCTAGTGTTTAATATTTACACATAGGAATAATATAAATAACACTATGAAGTAGGTATTATATCCCCATTTTATAACTAAGGAAACAAAGATATAGAATGGTTAAATGCCATGTATAAGGTGAATAGGATGTAGTAGATTCTGAATTCCAGACAAAGAATATTTGATTTCAGAGCCTATGCTCTTAGCCATCATGCTATACTTGCTGCAATAGAATCAAAACATTCCACAGAAAAGTGTTGCAGACACTTTGGAGCCTAAAAATATAATTTCCCATCAGTTCAAAATGGTGGCTAAAACTCAGCATAACAGAGGTAAATATTTTTTATATCTTAATATGGCAAAGGAAAAAATAGACATTCTTTTAAAAGCTCAGAAAAGAGAAATTGACATTTAGCAACTGCTTTTGAAAGTCCACATACTTTCAAAAAGGAATTCTGCCTGGAAAAGGAAACCCTCGTGCTAGGGTTGAATGACTTAAAGGCTTACCACAAACTTCATATTTAAAAGAAATAAGAGTAAATTGATGAAATGAAAACAAATACAAAACTACAGTTGAGTAAAGCCTACAAGATAAACTGATTCCCAGATACCATACACACTGTATTTTATATCTTTACTGCAATGTTTTTACTTTGGCTGTAATGGCTTCAACTTATAGTGCAGCCTATATTCTCTCTACTTATCTAAGCTGATTCTTCAGTTAGGATGCATTAAACATTTGCAATATAGTATAATCTAGAATAAAAACTGTGAATTAAAAAATACATAATATTGGCCAGGCGCAGTGGCTCATGCCTGTAATCCCAGCACTTTGGGAGGCTGAGGCAGGTGGATCACAAGATCAGGAGATCAAGGCCAACATGGTGAAACCCCATCTCTACTAAAATACAAAAAGTTAGCCAGGCGTGGTGGCACGTGCCTGTATTCCCAGCTACTCGGGAGGCTGAGGCAGGGGAATTGCTTGAACCTGGGAGGCAGAGGTTGCAGTGAGCTGGGATCATGCCACTGTGCTCCAGCCTAGTGACAGAGCAAGACTCTGTTTAAAAACAAAAACAAAAACAAACAAACAAACAAAAATATATTTTCTATCCTCAAGATACCCTCAATCTGTAAGACCAATTTCACTTGTAATAATGATTTTAATACAGTATAATTGCTTTTATTTCATACAGTAAAGGAAAGATGACATTCCCCACTGCCCTTCTCAGAAATCACTTAAAGTGGTTAGAAGAGCATGAATAAAAAACCCAAATATCTTCTATGAAATAGATAGATAACTATATCTCTGGACTAAGTAGCAATCAAGGTCAAAAAGAAGTGTCACACGACATTGAGAGAGGACATTCGTCACTGCTGACATCAGATAATGCTAGTAGAAAATCATACTTTGAGAAATGTGGCACATACCTGAAGACAAAACAAAACAAAACAAAAAACATAAAACAATAACAACAAAAAACCTTGTCTAGAACAATGAAAATCATCACAATTACTTGCTTGAAAAACTTTCCTAAACGAAATAGACAAGTCAAATTTACAGAAAGAGGTTTATAGATGAAGCATGGTGAAAAAGAACACACTGTAAGCTGACCCATGATTTCAAACCTCTGTGGCATGAAGAGGAGTGAAGCCTAAATGATCTCTCTTCTCTCTCTCTCTGACACACACATACAGACACACACACACCCACACATCTGCATCACAGAGAATTCTTGCTAGTCAGAAACTAGGTTCTATCTTTTTCTCCTCAATGTAAGTTTCTTGGTCCAAGACAATCTCTTAGAAAGGAAAGTCATAATCAAAAGAAACCTACAGGAACATAAGATGTTTCATGGCAAAAGGAGAAAGGAAATAAGAAAGGCAAATGGCAAGTAAAAATCTTAGCCAGAAAAATATTTTCATACCATAAATCAAGCTTATACCCATACACATGGTCATGAATATACAAAACAATACAGAAATCATAATTATAAAATAAGGAACTAAGGCACAGATACAAGAATTCAGGGAAAATATGGCAAGACAAAAATAAATAAACCAGGAACTGGTAGAGCTCAGAAGAAATGCAATAAAAATTCAAACTAATAGGATATGACAAATGTTATAAATTAACTGACATTGGCTGGGATGAGAGGGAGTCTTTAAAGAAGAGAAAAAGTTTGATAGGGATATTAAAGTGTGAATGGATATGAGGACAATCAGAAGACAGAAAGAAGTCTGGCCAAAGGTAATATAAAGAAAGTCTTAAGTGTATTTTCAGGAAACTAAAGAGGATTACTTATATCTGAAGTGCAGGCTATGAAAGAGAAAGATGATGGATGGGACTGGAATTACAGAAAATTACTGGATTTTGGAGAGTATTTTATATACTAATGAATATAACTTCGTGTTATTAATAAAGATGATCCACTGTTGGTTTAAATCAGAGGATTAACATGATGATTCTTATTTTAGAACAATCACCCTGCCAATAGGTAGGTGAAAACATTGATAAAAAATAGGGGGCAGATAAAGCTGTGAGAATAATGGAAGTTTCTTTCAGTAATCCAGATAAGAGATAATGTTCATAATTGTTGACAATGGCTGTAGGGATAGAAAATAGTAGCAAAAATCAAGAAATATTTAATGAAAAACATCCACAAAATTGTGTGATAGATGGAATATAGCATGTAAGGAAAAAAACTGAAGAATAACTCCAAGTTTCCAAATTGCTTGATTGATTTGTTGACGTTGTAACAATCAATATAGAAACACTGCTGGATATACATGTTTGGTAAAGGGAAGCAGGAAGAAGAGATAATAAGTTACCTTTAAGTGAGCATATTATAATAAACCAAAGTAGTACAGATAATAAACTGAACCAAAAGCTAAACATCAAAAATACATTTGACAATTTTTGGTTATTAATTAGGAAAACAATCATGTTTTCACATCATATTTTATAAAGAATTTTTACCTAGCAAGGTTTTAAATGTCTTGGAATATTAAAATTATCATGAACTCTGCCTCTCAGAAGCAGTAAGATCTCAGAGGAGAATTCCCGCAGAAATTACAAAATTTTGAAAAGTCAATCTTTTGGGAAATCAGCCTAAAATATTGAAATCATGTTATAAACTTGGCTAGAAAACATTAGTACTTTCCAAAAAAATACTTTTCTTCTTTTCTTTCTAAAGTTAATATGTTCTCTGTTAATTTATTATAACAAAAGTCCATGTCATAGCAAACACTTTCTACTTATTTCAAACTTTCATTTAACTTTTAGTTTAACATTGACTTACATGGTAGATATAAACCAGATTTTCTATTGTGCTCTAGAAATTTAAGGATGCCTGGGACGTGATTCAATAAAATGCCGTGAAATGTTAGCACCAAGCAAGGCGGTCAGTGACATGGGAAATGCAGAGAAATAAAATGGGTTTCTCTGTTCACAGGCTATCAGCTCTGTATTAAATAGCACCACATTTATTTACTTACCTTTAGTGTTTCTTACTATGATGTAATGAAAGAAATACTTTGTCTTTTTCTTAGCATGAGTCTTTCTTTAAATGCTTTTCTTGGCTTTGCTTTTGTGATTTACTTTTCACCTTTATTTTTATTTCTATTTTTAATTTTGATGATGCTTCTTCCTACATAATTATGAAAGACATAACTTTTGAACAGATGTATAGTAATATATTTCCAATATATACAGGTCACAGCACAAAAGGCTTAGAACAGAAAGAGATATGTGATAGCTTTAACATGTGTAATTAGAATTAGGTTGAAAATGGTAGGTATCCATAAGAAAATAATGTTCCTGATCATGCAGAGCTGTGCTGGTGGCTGTGGGATAAGCAAAGTTACACAAGAAAATCTCTGCCCTTATGAAGTGTATAATATTCTTGCCATGAAAAGTAGGTGCTATGGACTGAACTGTGTTCCCTATCCCCAATTCATAGGTTGAAGCCCTAACCCCCTGGTATGACTGACTATATTTTGGACTTGGGCTTTTATGGAAGTAATTAAGATAAAACAAAGTCATGAGGGTGGAGTCCTGATCTAATAAGATTAGTGTTATAAGACAAGACACCAGAGAACTCGCTCTTTCTCACCTCCATCCTGTGAATAGAGTGAGAAGGCAGTGCTATAACAGCCAGGAAGAGGGTTATCCCCAGAATCTGGCCATGCTGGTTCCCTGATTTTAGACTTCTAGGTTCCAGATCTGTGAGAAAATATGTTTCTGATTTTTGAACCATGCAGTCCACAGTACTTTGTTATGACAGCCCAAGCTAAGACAGCAGACTTACAGCTAAGCACACCAGGTAGGCTACATGTGTGTCCTAGGGAGCACTGGGTGCCTATGGCACATATTAATTCTGTCTTGGGAACAGAGCCAAGGAGAAAAGGAAGATGCCTTTATAGTGAATCATAAATGATGAGCAGTTTTTCTATGAGAATAATGTTGCAACTGGATTAACTTGAACAAAGGCACAAACTATGAGGTATGTATGGAGAATTATGGGTCACTTGTGGTGACTGCAGTATAAGGTATGAGCATGTGGGGAGAATAGAGTAGGAGCAGAAAGGAGAGGAGTCTATAACACAAGATAAGCTGCAAGTGGCAGGTTTTGGGCTTTTGTGGGAGTAAATACATAATAGCCCTCGTTGACTGGACAAATTAGAATCAATTTAAAAATAATATTAAAAAGTAAGGCATATTTAAAAAATAGCATATTTATTACTGACAAAGCTGATCATTTTGCTATTTATGAGACTCATGCTAATTATGCTACTCATATCGTTATGTAAGGGAGTTTTTCAATACTGACATACCCAGTCATGAGCAGCACTAGGTAATGGAAAGTCTCTCCATGCAAGAGCCTGTGACCATGTTAAACCTAAAACAGGCTGCTCTGTCTATGGAGTAGCCATTCTTTATTCCTTTACTTTCTCAATAAATTCACTGTCACTTTAAAAAAATAAAATTAAAACTAAAACATAGAAAAGTGGAACAGAATGAATACTTCCCACAGATAGCTGGTTCAAAAAATAGGAGACGAGAAAAGAGTAAAGTAGGCATGTTCAATTTCTCTCCTGAACATATCATCTAAAGAAGTCTCTTGTCTCCGGGCACAGCAGATCACACCTGTAATCCGAGCACTTTGGGAGTCTGAGGCAGGCGGATCACCTGAGGTCGGGGGTTTGTGACCAGCCTAACATGGAGAAACCCCGTCTCTACTAAAAATACAAAATTAGCCAGGCGTGGTGGCATATGCCTGTAATCCCAGCTACTCGGGAGGCTAAGGCAGGAGAATCGCTTGAACCCGGGAGGTGGAGGTTGCGGTGAACCGAGATCATGCCATTACACTCCAGCCTGGGCAACAAGAGCGAAACTCAGTCTCAAAAAAAAAAAAAAAAAAAAAGAGCAAGAAGAAGAAGTCTCTTGTCTTTACCAGAAAAGAAGAGAGCAAAGAAGCAAATAGAGGCCAGGAATGTAGGCTAGTGAAGCCACCCTAAGCTAAGTCTGGATCAGGGGCCTTTGAGATAGCTCTTTTATATAGTACTTTTGAAATTTGCAGCAAATGAAATCCAATGGTTAGGTCTTGTCTGAGGTACCTGTCATGTAATAAAAGCTTATTAGTTTGCATTTGCCCTTTCAGCCTGTGTTTACTGAACCCCCACACCGCATGAAAGGTGGTTACAAGGGAGAGAGGCTTAACTGTCTTTTGTGAGCATTTTTATTCGTGTGCCACAGTAGTTTGAATGAGTTCCTCTGCCTATGGAATTTCTTAGCCCTTTGCAACACTAAAGGTGATTTCTCTCCTCTCTTCCCATTTTTTTTTTTTTTCCACTGGACGATCATCCTCAGCAAAGTCCTGATCTAAAGTTGCTTTGTTTCATCAGAATCAAACACATTTAGAATCTTTGGGGATGGATACTTAGCTATGTACTTAAAACTTTGCTCTTCCTTAACTTTTGCACATGCTAGTCTCTCAGCATCTTTTCTTTCTGCCACAGTTTTTTCTAAAGCTGTGGGTGTGGAGTAATCATTTTATTTCCCACCATTTTCTCTATTCCTTTAATGCAGTCTCAGTGTACCACAATTTTGCTGAGCCCTGTATACTCTTCCTCACAGTCAATTTAGCAAATATTGAAACAACCTCTAGCCTGTGGTTAAAGCTGCCATAAGCTGAAGTGTACATTGAAGTAAAAAATCACATGACCAAAGGATTAAAAGTGTTTGTCCAGGCCATATCAGTTTTTTAAAAAAGTTGATTAGACTACTATAAAGACTAGCCGTAATGCACAATATAGGCTATTGTGAACTTCCAGGGTACTAACCCCATATACCCAGCCCAACAAAAGCTTGACATTCGAGTCTTTTTTTTTTTTTTTTTTTTTTTTTTTTACAAATTTCACTCTTGTTTATTCCCCAAGATTTCAGCCCAAGGCCAGGAGAACGTTATGGTTTTGAGGAAGTCAATATATAACATTTTGTTTTCCTCATTTGGATTCTAAACCAAATAAAAAAGAAAAATAAGACATATTGAGATTGCTACTGGACATGTAACATATATTTAAGCCAGTAGGCTTCTTAATACTGATGGCCAGAATTAGAAAAATTTACTCACTCAGCTGTCTAGAGCTGGAATGAGCTGAAAAGGACTGAATTATCAGATATAGTAATTGTGTTAGGTTGTTCCTACATTGTGATAAATAAATACCTGAGACTGGCTGATTTATAAAGAAAAGAGGTTTAATTGGCTCATCATTCTGCAGGTTTTACAGGAAGCATGGCATTAGCATATGATCAGCTTCTCAGGAGGCCTGAGGGAGTTTATAATCATGGTGGAAGGAGAAGGGGGAGCAGGCACATCATATGGTAAAAGCAGGAGCAGGAGTGAGAGAGAAGTCAGGGAGGTGCCACACACTTTTAAATGACTAGATCTCACGAGAGTTCGCTCACGATCACAAGGACAGCCCCAAGGGGATGGTGCTAAACCATTCATGAGAAACTGCCCCCATCATCCAATCACCTCTCCACAGGACCCACCTCCGACATTGAGCATTACATTTCAACATGAGATTTGGGCAGGAACAAATATCCAAACTATATCAGAGGCTTGGTGAAGGGCTTCAGTAAAGAAGCCAACAAATGAAGGTGCCTAGGCTAGGAATGCAGATATGTCTAAGATCATGGTCGGTGTGAAGAGAAGAAGGAGGTATGGAAACAGCTGCTGAGTCCTTGACTGCAATTTCCTTCAGAAACTGCAATGCACTGGTTGTGTACCAGGTTGGTGTGGGGAGGGCAGCTTTCCTGAGGAGTCTACAGGTGGAGACATTGCAATTGCTCAGCAAATCATTTTGAGATGAGCAACAGCAATCAGTAGGGTGATCATAAGTGGGATTTAGGCCAGGAGTTAGACCCCTTACCGGTCACAACAGAACTGACAACTGAAGAGTACTCCATCTCCTTCACTTGAGGTCTTGTCCCTGTAAAACTCAAAGTATGAAGGTGTGTTTCTCATAAGTAGAAGGGATAATGTAAAGGCACTGCACATGCACTCTATTTTTTTGTTTCTCAAGCTTAGCAGCAAATATGTCATTTCTCTCTCCCAGGGACATTGCAAGTAAAGGAGCAGAAAGACGCTGGTAGTTGAACATTGATGAAGATCCCTAGATTTTTTTAACCTTATTTTCTATATAAGATGGCAACTTTATTCAAATATTTTGACCAGTAGCATACTATGATTAAACAATATCAATCAATTAATAAAGATGCCCACAGGTATCCATAATTTGTCAACATTTGAACCAAGCATCTTTTTCCAGATTTTATTATTCTCCTCAGATTTCTGGTATCAAGTAAAGTCAATTCAACTTGTAAAAGTGAGAGAGGAATTCTGGAAAGAAAGCAGACCAACCATACAGAGCAATTAGCAAAACAAAGACATCGACAGTATCTACAGAAAAAAAAATCGATAATGTATCCTTGTAATTACCAAAATGCAAGTGGGTGGAGGCAGACCTCTGATAGTCTCTTTGCATGAGAACAGAAGAAAGCGAATGGGCATCTAATAAGTCTGAAATCACACACACACACAAAATAGTACTTAATTGAAAGCTTAGCAAATTATTTTGAGACTAGTAGCTGTAATTGGGAAGGTGTACGTACCGATAGTGGTTGAGAACAATGAATCTCTGTGAAGTCCAGTGTAGGGTATCCTGCATCCTAAGAGCTCTTGAACTAGTTTCATTTCTTTTCCATGATAATACTACCTGATGAGCAGAAGTTTACCTAACTAGAATTCAAATAAATTAGAAAAAAATAGAGGCAAAGGAAAAAGGAATTTGGATAAAATTGATAGGGAGAAATAGCCAGGAGTTCTTAGAAAATAAGTTGCTATTTTTTAACTCTTTACAAAAATAACAGAAGAGAGAGACTTAGATCTATGAAATTAGAAATTCTATTTTAAAGTTTAATACAATTAAATTGACAAAATAACTCCCAAATAAAACATAAAACAAAAATTAAATTCTAAGCCCCCCAACCAACTGAATAGACCCCTTCTTTTAGTCAAGGGGACGCCAAGAATACCTGATAAACTCATTCAGGCCATAATGGGAAGGAGAGGTCAGATATGTCTCATTAAACTCTCTCCCTTTTGGATTTTACATGTAACTGACCAGCATTAACATTAAAATAGAGACTCTAAGGCTGACACTGATACTCTTCATAGCAATAAGATACCAGCTTATAACATCACATGACAGAAAACAGGCCTTAAAGATTCCAGCTCTTTAGATAATAAGTTAACTTTTTCAACCAGTTGCCAATCAGGAAATATTTGAATCCACATATGACCTGTAAGTCCCTGCTTCAAGTTGTCCTGCCTTTCTGGACCAAACTAATGCATATCTCACAGTATTGATTGGGGTCTTATATTTTTAAAAAAATATCTAAAACAAAGCTACATCCCATCCACCTTGGGCATATGTTCTCAAGACCTCCCGAGGCTGCATCATGGGCCAAGCTCCTCACATTTGGCTCACAATATACCTCTTCTAACATATTACAGAGTTCGGCTTTTTCATCAACAACAATTATTGTGAAAGAGAGAGGGACAGAGTCTAAGAAAGAATGAATGATGTCCATAGAGGCAATGAAAATAGGACAGAAGAAATGTCTACAAAACATCAATACATTAAAATAGCTTAAAAGATAAAGGAAAAGTCATTCAAAGTTTAAGAACAATATAATTCAGAAATGAGGGGATAGAAATCAGGAAAGAATCAGAAATAAAAGAAGGAATTGTTTCTAAAATAAAGACCAAAAAGAGCAAATACGCTGGCAATATTTTCAGGGAAATAGAAAATTTTTAAAAGGAAAACAGATTAAATTTAAAAAATGAAGAAAATGATAAGTTTATGTCTAGCCAAACTTATTTTCAAGCATAAAAGTTGCAGAAAATTTGTCGTCAAGAGTATGCAAGTTTTCAAGGAATGTTGTTTTAAAAAGTATTTTCTTAAAATCTACTAAAGAATGAGCTTCAGGCAATCAAAATGCCTGGAGATACTTTGACATAAAGACTTCTGGTGAGCATTACAGATGCTGCAATTTACCTATAAAATGAAAACTGACAGAGGATAAAAAGGAGAGAGTATAATTTGTATTGACTGTAGTGTTCTGATCATGGGTACAATAGGAGAGAATGGATACAGCATTTACAGAACATACTTTTAAAATGTAAATCAGTGGCAATGTTGGTGTTATTATTCTGAAGAAACTTTGTGTGTAATCTAGATTACAATAAACAATTCTACTTTTTTATTTTATTTATTTTTATTTTTTGAGATGGATTCTCGCTCTGTCACCCAGGCTGGAGTGCAGTGGCATGATCTCAACTCACTGCAACCTCCGCCTCCCGGGTTCCAGCGATTCTCCTGCCTCTGCCTCCTGAGTAAACTGGGATTACAGGTGCACACCACCATGCCTGGCTAATTTTTTTATTTTTAGTAGAGACAGGGTTTCACCATGTTGATCAGTCTGGTGTTGAACTCCTGACCTAGTGGTCTGCCCACCTTGGCCTCCCAAAGTGCTGGGATTACAGGCATGAGCCACTGCACCTGGCCACAATTCTACTTTTATCATTTCTGGTATCCTTGCAATTCTTAATCTTCTTTGTGGGGAAAAGGAGTTACACACATAACATTGAAGAGGATAAGTTTTACTGAATATGAATAGAAATTTCAAGTAACATCAAACGACATTTTATTTTTAAAATACCTACATGTGTATTTCTTCTTCTACATGTATGTCTATATTAATGTAGATGTATGATAGAAAATTATAAAGGTTGGAAAACACACGTGCACATGCACATGCGTGCACACTCACACACACATACACACAGAAGTTCTAATATTGTTCACCATTAGAAATGACACTCCTTTGCCCAAACTGTGTTTTCTAAATACTGTCTCCCATGAAAAGGAAACAGAGATACTAGGATAATTGGCTAATTCCAGGTCTGAGGCATAAAATCTACAATATATGATTGTTCTACAATATTTCTGGAGAAAGTTGTTCTGATAACAAGGTATTTGAAGAGAGACATAACTGACAAGGGAGAGAATAACCTGAGTTTCTGGGAAATAACATTCTAGATAAAGGGAACAGCAAATGCAAAGTCCACATGTGGAACTGTGCTTGTTGTACTGAGAGTAAGTAGGGAGGTTTTCTTGGCCATAACTCTGAAAGTGAGGTCAAGAGTAGTAGTCAATGGTGCAATGGACTGGAAGTGTGCGAGGACATGAATTACTCTGTAGGCCATTTTCAGTACCTTATTGTTTCCTTGAGAGAAATACCTCATGGAATATTTTGATCATATAAGTAACATGATTTGACTTCTGTTTTAAAAGGGTCATTTTAGCTCCTATGTTGCATTAGACTATTGGGAGAGGATACTGGATGTGGTGAACCTACTGCTGTAATGTAGGAAAGATTTCACAGATGCTTAAAGTAGTATGAGAGAGTAGTGGTGAGTGAGAAGTGGCAGAATTCCAATATCTCTTGAAGTTACAATGAATGAGGTTTTGTGATGGCTAGATGCAAGGTGTGTAAGAAAGCAAAATTAAAGGCAATCTCAAGATTGTGGACCTGAGCAAGTATAAAAATGGAGCTGGTAATTCCTGAAATATGAAGAATCTGAGAGGTACAAATGTTGACAGGAAAAATCAAGTGTTAGATTTTGCACTAATTTCTCACCATGATTATTATTACTAAAATTGTGTAAAATATATTCATTTTGAAATATTGCTTTCTTCCCACTACTACATTTTATTTCAAACTGTAGTCAATCTTTAAAAATACATCTTTAATGTCAGAGGCTTTGTCAAAATAAGGATGAGTTTTCAAGCCATCTCACACATTTTTAAAAGATCATCATCTTCACTTTCTTCTGAGTTGTAAAAAATATCACCTTTTCAATTTAGGTGTGATATTGTCCCTGGAGATTTTATCCCATATAAAAAGTATTAAGACAATCTTTTGAAAAATTTGTCTTATAAGTGTGAATATGTGATCTCAAAATATAAACCACTTATTATACTATAATAAATTTTATAGAGTTCTATAAAGTATTCTTTAAAGGACTGAATTAAAACACCATGAACATTTGCAATGTAGATACTGACACTTTAAGAAAATATTATTCAAACATGTAAAGTCCTTTTGAATTTTTTCTAATTGAAACTGATGATCTCATTCAAAATGAACAGTGGTTTTGATTAAGGTTATTTTAGAAGAGTATGTCTTACCCAAACAGTATTAGCTTGTTCAAAATAAAGTAATTGTGAAAGTACCTTTTAATATGAAAAGCATCGCAAGTACAAGCATAAGAAGCTACTCTGTTTTCAAAGTAATAATTTTTGGTTGTGAGGGAATAAAAACATAAGCAAACTGAAATACATTCAAAAATAAACAGTTATTCACTGACCCAAATTTTTAAAAATCTTTGTATTTTTTAATCCATGTAAAATATATCAATCTAATATTTAAACATTTGTATTAATCTCTGGAATTTCAGGGACATAACTATATTTACACATACCTTTATAACCCACAAAGGAAGAAATTTAAAACTACCAAACCCCTTCTAGTTAACAACATTTTATAGACAAGATAGCAGCATCAAAAAACATTCAATACTATAATATTTAATACAAGCTTAAATATCACTTATGTTCAGCAAGTTAAGAAGGATTAATAGCCTGGTAGCTTTCAATTACTGCTCACTTACATTTTAAAGTAATTGCTTCATAAAGCTTGTTCCCAAATTTCACATATTCTCAGTATACAGAGGATAAAATTAATGCCATTATTTTTAAGAAACCAATAGCATTGTTGGAGAGTAAAATTTGAGACTAACTCATTATAACCCAGAGAAGAGTTATGTGACGCCTCCCTAGGAAACAGTACTCCTGAGGTCAAGATATTCTGTGACAAAACTGAATGTATTCACATATTTAAAGAAAGAATGTGTCAGTTGGAAAGAGGTGGAGAATCTATGGAATACTAGAGAAAAAAACAGCATTGGAAACACTGGTATATCCATCTTCCCAGGGATGACAGCATTTTACCTAAGGGTCTCCCAGTATGTCCCACTGAAAAACATTCCTATTATAAAATAAATACAAAGGGTCTATGTTAATTTTTCTAACCCCATTCATCCTTATGACATGTTTGTCAACAGAATTTCTATTTATGGATTCTTTGTGCGGAGAGAATCAGCTGATTGTATCAAAATATATTGAAATAATTCACAGCATTTTTTAAAGTTTGATCTCACATACCCCTCCTTACTATTCTCTAATTCTTTGTTTCCTTCTACATTATTCTTCTTAATAGTTTTCTGTAGTCTCTTGATAATTCTTCTTATTTTCTTTTGAACATATCCAAAGCAGAATTTTATCCTAGTCTGACCACTGAAACAGTTCTTGTTAAGTTGACCACCATAATGCCATGACCAACAGTCAATTGGTCCTCTTATTATGTGATATTAGCAGCTTTAAGACTATTAATAGTTTTCAACATATAGCAAATAAAAAATAATACAAGACCCCATATAACCCTTACATATTTCTTTATTATTACGCATTATAATTTGCTAAAAATACTTCACATGAGATCTACTCTTTAAAATTTTTAAGTGCACAATACAACATTGTTGTCTATAGGCACAATATTATATAGAGGTGTATTAGTCTGTTCTCATGCTGCTAATAAATGCATACTTAAGACTGGGTAATTTATAAAGGAAAGAGGTTTAATTGACTCACAGTTCCACATTTCTGGGCTTCAAAATCATGGCAGAAGACAAAGGAGGAGCAAAGTCAGGTCTTACATGGCGACAGGCAAGAGAACATGTGTAGGGGAACTCCCCTGTATAATATCATTAGATCTCATGAGACTCATTCACTATCACGAGAACAGCACAGGAAAGACCCACCCCTATGATTCAATTATATCTATCTGGCCCTGCCCTTGGCACGTGGGGATTATTATAATTTAAGGTGAGATTTGGGAGGGAACACAGCCAAACACTATCAAGTGTCTCTGTTATTTATTCATCTGTGTAACTGAAACTTATTATCCATTGAAAAGCAGCCTCCTATTTCCTTCTCTCTCTAACCTTTGACAACTACCATTCTACTATCTGTTTCTTTGATTTTGACTATTTTAGATACATTATATAAGTGGAATCGTGTAGTATTTGTCCTTCTGTGATTTGTACACTGTTAGTGGGAATGCAAAATAGTACAGCCATTATGAAAAACAGTACAGAATTTCCTCAGAAAATTAAAAATAAAACTGTGATGTGATCCAGTAATCTCCACTTCTGGGTGTATATATACAGATATCCCAAAGAGATATCTGTACTCCTATGTGTATTGCAGCATTATTCACAGTAGGCAAGGTATAGAAATAATCTAAATTTCCATTATAAGTAGATAAATAAATTGTGAGATATATAAAACATAAAATATTATTCATTCTCATAAAAGAAGGAAATTTTGCTTTGTGTATCATCATGGATAAACCTAGAAGGCATGATTCTAAGCCCATACATACTCAAACCATGCTCTTCACCTATTTCTCAGATTCAAGCATTATGAAGATTTTTTTACATTTGCATTTTTTTTCCTTTGTTGAAGTATTTAAAGAACATGGGGCTGAAACATTTTAAAGCAAATGCTTCATGTTACAGCATTTTGTCACTATCTACTTCAATATGCATTTCTATAAAATGGAAACATTTTTCTGCTGTAGACATTATCACATCTAATAGAACAAACAATGACAAAGTTAACAATAAAGTTAATATTTATTTGGTAGTCATACTTTGCCTATTGTTTCAAAAATATGTCTGCATAATTGATTTATTCTAAAGAGAATCCAGACAAGATTCACATATATTTGGTTTTTAGGTGTTTTACGGCCTTTTTAAATAAGCAGCTCCTTCCGAATGTTTTATTGTTGAAGGGGAGGGGTGGCTAATTTGTTGTGTTTTATGTCATTGAAAATTAGTTGTTATGTACTTTTTTCTTGCATATTTTTGAATTGGTTCCTAAATGTGACAGGGTCAAGAATAAATGCATACATTATTTTTTAATTATTGCTCAGTTTTTCTCTGTAGAGGTTATATTATTGTTTATTCCCACCAACAATAGGAAGGCTTTAATTCCCCCACAACTTTCCTATCAGGGAATATTGTCAAATTTTTGCATGGTTTTCAAACTAATAGATAATAAGTGGTATTCCAATATAGTTCAAATTTATATTTCTTTTATTAGGCATAATTAGTTTATTTTCAGATGCTGAAAGGACATTTTTATTTCCTCTTCTGTTAAGTATTTTTGTTGTCAGCAGCTTTTGAAACCCTTGATCACTACCTCTTTGATAAAATACTTTTTTCCTTTCACTTCCAAGACAGACCACTCACCTTGCCTCTCCTCTCCTTCATGACCCATTCTTCTCTCCTCTCTCCACCAGGTGATTCTTCTCTTACCGATCTCTAAATATCAGGTAGTCCCAAAACTCAGTATTTGAACATCTTTTGTCCATCTATATTCACTCATTGGGGAATTTCATCCTGTCTTGTGGCCTTAAAATACCATCTACACACTCATGGCAATTCCCAGATATATACTTTTAGACCCTAACATTCCCCTAAATAATATAAAAATATGTAATTGACCGCTTGACGTTTTCTTCAATATTAAACCATACACTTCTTCACTCTCACACCTTAGGGTGAACCGCTCCTGTTATCCCTCCTCTTCCTGCCTCTTTTGCTGTAATTGCTCAAGCCAAACTGCTTAGAGTCATCAAGAACTCCTCTTTCTCTCTCAGACTCCACTTCTAATCCAGAAACACATTTAGTTAGCCCTACCAAAATCTGGCCATTTTATCACCATCTACATCATTACAATTCCAGCCTGAGATACCACCATCACTCTCTTTGAATTTGTCAATAGCCCTCTGGCTGGTCTTCCTGTTTTTATGTTATTCTAGCTTTCACCTTGTCTTCTTGCCATACAGCATCCAGAATGATCCTTTTAAAATATGTCAGATTAAATCCAACAATTTCATCTCTGGATATATGCTCAAAAGAATTGAAGACAGGGTTGTGAAGACCTGTTCATAGCAGCCATAGCCAATAGGTAGAAGCTTATTGTCAAATGTCCACCTACAGATGAATGGATAAACAAAATGTAATATATACATGCAATGGAATATTATTTAGCTTTAAAAAGGAGGAAATTCTGATATATGCTACAGTATGCATGAACCTTGAGGATATTATGCTAAGTGAAATAAACCCCTCACAAAAAGACAAATATGATTCCACTTATGTGAGGTATCTAGAGTAGCCAAACTACTCTAGACATGAGATATCTAGGCGTATCTAAAAATGGAAAGTAGAATGCTGGTTGCCAGGAGTTAGATGCGGTGGAAAATTGAGAGTAATTGTTTAACGAGTATAAAGTTTCGATTTTGCAAGATGAAAAAGTTCTGGAAATTGGTTGCACAACACTGTGAATGTACTTAACACTACTGAACTGTAGACTCAAAAATAGGATGGTAAATTTTATGTTTTATGCATTTTAACCATAATTTTAAAAAATAATAAATTAAAAAATATGTCAGATCATGAGGTAGATCTTCTTCAAACCCACCCATAAATGTCCTTTTCACTCAGAATAAAGTCCAGAATTCATATCAGAACCTTCAAAATGTTATATGATCTGCACATCTCTGCCCACCACCCACCCCTGACCTCATCTTCTACTAGTCAGTCTTTGTCTCAATTTGCCATTGTTTTCCCACTGATCCTTGAGCTAGTCAAAAGTGTTTCTCACTTGGGTCCTTCACACGTGATGTTTTCTGAGATATTTATATGACTCCATTTCCCCTCTTCAGAGAAGCATTTCCTGTCTACCCTATTTAAAAAGAACGCTCTTCTCATCAGTTGTCAGCTCCTTACTTGGTTTATTTTTTTTCATATCCCTTAACAACACTTAATATATAGTATTTCATTTTTGTACTATTTTCCTCTCCCTATGAGAATATAAACCAAAAAACTATTTAATGTCCTATGGTCAATCAAAAAGTCTTATAAAAATTTATGATTGGCTGGGCTCAGTGGCTCACGCCTGTAATCCCAGCACTTTGGGAGGCCGAGGCGGGTGGATCACGAGGTCAGGAGATCAAGACGGTTAATACGGTGAAACCTCGTCTCTGCTAAAACTACAAAAGATTAGCCGGGCTTTGTGGCGGGCACCTGTAGTCCCAGCTACTCAGGAGACTGAGGCAGGAGAATGGCGTGAATCCAGGAGGCGGAGCTAGCAGTGAGCCGAGATCGCACCACTGCCCTCCAGCCTGGGCGACAGAGCAAGACTCCAACTCAAAAAAAAAAAAAAAATTGTGATTAACTGGTGAGGGAAGAAGAGGAGAGTAGAGGCAAGGTGATTGGGCTGTCTTGGAAGTTAAATGAAACAAGTATTTTATCAAAGAGGTAGTGATCAGTTTCTGCAAAACGAAAAAAAAAACCAAATATTTTACTTTTTACACAGTACTATTACATTTCCAGCAGCAGAATAGTGTCTGATACATAACTGAAGCTTGACAAATAATTGTTAAATAAATGAATAAGTAGATGAATAAATTGTATAAATTAAGTGTTCCAATTCCTGGTACAATTATATTTTTCAAAATATATATTTTTCAAATTTATATTCTGATATGGGAGGCTTTGTTTAAAGCTACAAATAGACATATTGGTTTCAAGTGCTGATAAATTGCATTTTTTGTCATCAAGACCAAGGTAGATGATAAATAATGATAGATGTCTTTAAAATAATACATTCTATCTCCTTATGTCTTCAGAAACCACCTAGGGTTTCTACTCCATGGGTTGCTTTTCCTTCACCTGATAATGTCTGAGTATCCAACTGATGTTTCTACTCTTCTTCCCTCTGCAGTTGATCATAAGACTTTTTGATTGATTGACTATAACCAGTAATGGTGCCAATTTACTAGAGTCCCATTAAAAATAGGATCCTATAATGTCCTAAGAGTAAGAAATATATTTAGTTGAATATTTTTGTTTTGAAAGAATTGTATTATATACTGTGTATATAAAGCATATATATAGTTTAAAAAGTGATAATATTCACACATGTTCACAAACCCAGCTTGGTAAATAGAGCATTACTATACCTTTGAATCTCATGTTCTCCTTCCAGATCATGATCCCCCTGCCCCTCTGATAGTAACATTTTACTATCCTCACAAAAAATGTTATCACATGTGTATAACTTTTAAAACACTACTGAATTTTAAATGTATTTTAATATTAGCATTTGAGGGAAAAAAAACAGTTAAAACATTGTTAAAATAGGGCCAGGCGCTGTGTCTCATGCCTGTAATCCTGTCACTTCGGGAGGCTGAGGCAGGTGGATCACCTGAGGTCAGGAGTTTGAGACCAGCCTGGCCAACATGGTGAAACCCCATCTCTATTAAAAATCCAAAAAAAAAAAAAAAAATGGGCCAGGCATGGTGGCAGGCACCTGTAATCTCAGCTACTCAGGAGGCCAAGGTAGGAGAATTGCTTGAACCAGCAGGCAGAGGTTATAGTGAAACGAGATCACGCCACTGCACTCCAGCCTGCGTGACACAGCAAGACTCTGTCTCAAAAAAAAAAAAAAAAAAAAAAGTCGTTCAAATAATATAAGTAAGAACACCTGCAGAGATGAAGAAGCTGAGAAACAGCTCAGCGGACTTAAATTGGGAAGGGAGCATAATTAGTATTATTTATTTGTTCCTACAAGTATATTTTTTACATGTACATTTTTCTAGGGGCTGCAGATACAAAGATGAACAGCTGCCCCCCTCACAACCATTTCACAAAACAAAAAATGACAATATCCCTGCTGTCATGAAGCTTATAGTTACTAATCAAAGATTGACACAAATTGACATAAAATTACAACTTCGATTAGTGTTTGTAAATAAAATGCATGGAGTTCAGAGAGAAGTAAACATACTAGTCACTTCGTAGATCAGAGAGGCTTCTCAGATAAAATAATAACCAAGTATTATTCTGAAAGGAGAGTAAGAATTGACTGGAGAGAGAAGCTGAGGTGGAAGGGTGGTGATGAAGGCTGCAGACCTCAGGTTTGAGGCAGGAAGTAACGTGGGGCTTTCTAGAAACTGAAAGAAGGAAGGCCTGTGAGCCAGGAGAAAACATTGGGTAGTAGACTTTGTCAAGACTTAGAGCATTTAGAAATTTAGGTCCTTTTTTTTTTTTTTGAAAAGCAATGGAAGTCTATGGTATAATACTTTGTGCTTGGGGGTAGTGGTAAGAGAGGGGTGAACAGACGAGCTTTACAAAAGCATCAGTTTCACTGCAGATTGAAAAGGAACCATAGTGAGTCCAAAGAAACGGTTAGTATGCTATTATAGTAGTCCAGGAAAACGATTATGATAGTTTTAAGGACTAGAATTACGAACAAATTTGATACATACTTAGAAAATAAAATTAAACATGAAAGTAGTCAGTGAGTTAGTATAAGGGTTATAATGCTAACTGCTGCATAAAGTATTTCTTCAGAATATTTAATGGAGCAGCAAGAGTGGGAATAATTGACCAACTAATGTGGAAGGAGACTAGATTATGGTTAGAGAGAATACATGGCTTATGAAGGAAGCAGCGATGGCAAAGATTGAGAGAGTGAGGTGAAAAGCAAAAGGAGAAGGAAGGAATTTGAAACTGACGCAGGGTAAGACAGTGGGGTTCAAACACTGGACGGTTCATGCATATCAACATGGAAGTCACCCAAGGTAATGGAGTTGAAGACTGAGAACTAGATACAATGTCTCGGATAAGTAAAAGAAATGAGCTTTTGGGAGGCAATATTTAATGGACAGAGAGAGAAGCTTGCCAATGAGCCTGAGAAGCAGCACACAATTTTTTTTGTATGGGTGGAGGACAGTCTATGTACAATGTAATTTTTTCTGTGAGGAATAAAATCAGTCTGGCAATAGAAACAGACTAAGTGTATAGAGCTGGATGACACAGGGTCAGTGTCATCTTTAAGTATGACTAGTTGCAGTATAATTGAAAACAGGGGATGACTAACACTTGTCCCAATTCTTCCATTTACATTTACTTCTTTATGTCACATCCATTTCAATATCTCCCACAAATGCTGAGGTTTCCTTTTCTTTACTTTTGGTTGTCTGTGTGGAACACTGGGATCATTGTCCATTAGCTGCAATTCTTTTTTTTTTTTTTGAGATGGAGTCTCACTCTGTCACCCAGGCTGGAGTGCAGTGGTACGATCTTGGCTCACTGCAACCTCCACCTCCTGGGCTCAAGCGATTCTCCTGCCTCATCTTCCCAAGTAGCAGGATTACAGGGGCCTGCCACCACACCTGGCTAATTTTTGCACTTTTAGTAGGAACGGTGTTTCAACAAGTTCATCAGGTTGGTCTCGAACTCCTGACCTCAGGTAATCCACCCATCTCAGCCTACCAAAGTGCTGGGATTACAGGCGTGAGCCACTGCGCCTGGCCCAGTTGCTGTAATTGCGTTACTGCCTTTCTAGTTGTGTTGCAGGAGGAAATTAGGTCTCCATACTTTAATTCTCATAATATCATTCTAGAAAGCTGTATATATGCAATAGAACTACCTGAAGGCTTAGGGCATGCCTGTGTACGTGTGTGTGTGTGTGTGTGTGTGTTTGCGTTTGTGCCCAGCTCCAGCTATCTAGGGCCTCTTGTATTAAGGTTCACCCTTAACATTCCTCCACAGGAGATTTTTTTGGACCACTCTTTCAGGGAGTCTCCATAAACAAAGTCGTGTGTAGTCAATTCAACATAATTTTAGTGACAGGCCATTATTCATCATTGTGCTTTTCTTGTATATTTAATACTAACATTTGAAATCTGAATAAAACAGAAATTTCTAAAAGATTGAGTTACAATTAATTACCCAACTGATCAATTAGTCAATCAACAATAATATTTAGTAGTATCTTATGCAATGTATAACATTAGAAAACACTGTTGGATGCAGAAAAGAATCAGAGTCATTCCTCCCTTCAAGAAACTTTTATGGCTAGGTGTGGTGGCTCATACCTGTAATTCTAGCACTTTGGGAGACCAAGACTGGAGGATTGCTTGAGCAGGAGTTTGAGATCAACTTGGGCAAGAGAAGAGAGACTCTGTCTCTACAATTTATTTTTTAATTAACCAGGTGTGGTGGCTTGCGCCTATAGTCATAGCTACTGGGGAGCTGAGGCAGGGTATCCCTTGAGCCCAGCAGTTCAAGTTTACAGTAAGCTCTGATGACACCATTACACTCTAGCCTGGGCAACAGAGAAAAAGCCTGTCGAAAAGAAGAAAACAGAAAAGAAAAGAGATAAGAAAGGAGGGAAGAGGAGGGAACAGAAAGAAAAGAAAAGAAAAAGAAGGAAGGGAGGAAGGAAGGAAGAAAGGAAGGCAGGCAGGCAGGAAGGTTTAATCTAATCAAATAAAACACACATATATGTCATATATGCACATAAAAGAGTCCATTTATTGAGCTGCCATTTATGAATATCCACTATTGGCAAGGAACTGTGATAGAAATATATGTCATTTCTAATCTATCAAGGTAGATAGTTTTATCCTCATTTAACATTTGCAGAAACTAAAGCTCAGATTTTTGATGATAAAAAGTTAACTTTTAGTATTAGAAAATTAATTCATTCATTTTAATAACAGTAAATGGCATTTTGATTAAACGGTAATATAGTTAAGCGCAGAAAATTTCAAAATTGAAAACGTACAGAACTTACTTTCTGACAAAAATAAAATTAAGTCAGAAATTTTTAAAGTACTAAAAAGAGATATAAAATAATTCTAAATTATCAGTAGTTGATTTAGAATCAGTGTAAGCATTTAGAAAATACTTAGCACTGGTGATAATAAAAGTTATTCAGAGCAAAACGTGTGGTATGCAGTGAAAGAAAAACATAAATATTTTCATCAGAAAAGGAGGAAGTCTATAAATAATGGCTTATACATCTAATTAATGAAGCTACAAAAAGAAAAATGCAAAGACAGAATAAAAAAAGAATAATAAAAAGCAGAATTTAATATTTTAACCTATGATGCAATAAAGAAGATCTGGAAAGCTAAATTTGTTTTAAACAGCATCTTGCAAGACTGATAAAGAATGTACATTAAAATGTATTAGAAGTAAAGCCCAGACATGTAAATGCAGCAGAGATTTTCCAAATTATGAGTGAGTATTATGAGAAACTAGATGGAAATAATTTTTAAAACATGAAACAAATGATTTTTAAAAATATATAACTTACCAAAATTGAGCCAAAAAAATAGAATATCAGCCAGAAACCTAAGATTTCTTAACAAAAACTCTTGGGAATATTTTTTGTTTTGAAATTAAAGAGTTTTTCAGATTTTAGAGCACGATATGCTGCATATATTTTATATTGTATAACACTGTTCATATGTAAACACATATTTCTGATTGTAGCACTCCAATTACAGAAATTAGAACTACACAATCATTAAAGAAATGGAAGCAATATTTTAAAATGTATCTACAAAGTAAACACTAAGATCAGTTTATAGACTAGTTTTGAACACAGATTTCAGAAATGGAAAATTACTATCTTGTACATGCCTATAACGTAATAAAAAAGGAAAGCCTTTTTCCAACTTTTCCTTTTTTCATGGCATTAGTTTAACGTTGATGGCAAAAACAGAAAATAACCCTGTAAAAATGAAACATTATAAGCTGATCTCTCCTACATACAAAACAAGATGGGAACATCTTTTTTAGATATTAGCAAATCAAATCTAATAAAATAATAACACAGCCAAGTTAGATTTATTCTAGAAATGCAAAGTTAATTCAGCACTAGAAAATATATTAATATAATTTATTGCATTTACAAGTTAAAGACAAAAGTATGATAATCCCCACAGATTCATAAAACAACCATTCATGAATTAAAACAAAACATGTTTAGTAACATAGGAATAAAAGAGAACTTCTCTAATGTGATAAAAATCTGGAAAAAAATAACATTTAATAGGTTAAAATAATTCATCTCTTAAAGAATATGACAATGATATCCACTGTCCTGATTGCTATTCCATATCATTCTAAAAAGATTAGCCAGAATAAGAAGAAAGGAAAAAACATAAGATTTTTGAGAAGGAAACAAAGCTATCAGCATATACAGGTGTGTTGTTTTCAACACGGAAGCCCCAAAAGAATCTTCAGACAGAATTAATAAGAGTGATTGGGATGGTTGCTACAGATATAAGATGAATTATATGAAATTTGTCCACATTAGAAAATAAAATAAACTCATATGAAAATATTTGTTATCTCTGAGCACAGCAAAAAATATAAGGTAGTAAAAATAAATCTCACAACATATGTAGACGTTTTTTATAAAATCATAACCTTTATTGAAACATGTTAAAGACCTAAATAACTTGAATCATATATAGAAACATCCAGGAATGTAAAAGTGTACCTTTTCCAAGAAAATGATGTAAAAATTCAATTCTATTTCAATTAAAATTTCTACCAATTATTTTCATGAAGCTTGAAAAGCTGGTTCTTAGATTCATATGAACAATTAAAGAGAAGAGACAGTGGTAGCAAACTGGAACTCTGCTGGCTACACGGGTGTCCTCTAAGTCCATGGAGGGAGACTGCCTTCTCTAGAGAAGAACTATCTTAGAAAAGTTATTTCAGTAACTAATGCCCCAAATAAAGTCCAAAACTCTCTAATTTATAATTAATTCAGAGATATATTTTGGCTCTAGTATATTTTATTAGAAAAGAAGTCAATATTCTGACAAAGTCTCCAGCATCTCAGTCAAATGTATGTAATTGCAAAATAGGGAAAATTAGTTTATAATTTTTTAGATCACTAAATAGTAACAAGGTAATTTCATATTCTCTCGGTCTCTGTGAGAGAATAAAATTATTTCATTTGTATACCAATTGGCTTGAAAACAAAGAACATATCCAGACATAGACGACGAAACATATGTGGCAACCTAATATATGAGCGAAATTGGAAATGAGAAAATAGTTTTCAATAATGAAAGTTAGAAAAATTAGTTAGCCAAATGAATAACCACAAAAGAAAATGAGAGAGAAGGAGAGAGAACAAGATTAAGAGAGGCCAGGGAAAAGAAAGAAAGGAGAATAAAAGGAAGGAAAGGAAAATAAAGGAAAGGTAGAAAAGAAGGAAAGGGAGGTATTGACGTTTTACTTTTCGCTATTCATGAAAATAAAACCCAAATAAGTACATAAGAGTGAAAGGGAAACTTTATTAGAAAAAAATCTAAGAAAAAAATTGATTTGGAAATAAGGGTTTTCTAATCAAGACATAATCTCAAATCACTGAAGTGATATTTGAGGAATTATACTTAAGAACTTATGTTCATGAAGATACCATTAAAAAAGGATCAGAAAGCCACAGATTTAATAAAAATATTGTAACTCATATATAGTAATTGAGATTCCTGTGATAATGCTGTGTAAAAAATAATTCTAGTAATCAACTACTGAAATTATTTCAGTAGTTTTCAATAACAAGCATTTATTTTCCACTCATATGTCTACAGGGGAGTGATGAGATGTAGGAAGTCTGAGTTGGGCTGCACTTGGTCAAGAATGCTTTAGGTCAGCTCCACGTGTTTCCTCCATCTGAGAAAAGTAGCTGCTCAGCACATACAGAGACTTATGGCAGAAGATGAGATAGCAAGACAGCTGTCAGCTATTTAGTATTCCTCCTATCATGTTAGCTTAGAACAGAGACATTGTGACTTCCATTCACACTCCAAAATAAGACAAAGGGCCAAGCTCAACCTGTCCTGTTCCAAATAAGAGAGAAACATATTTGTTAAACAATGATTCAATCTACCATAGACATAGTCAACAAGTCCCATTTCTAGAATAAACAATCATAGTGAACTGATATGGGAAAAAGAGAGTAACTGGCAGAAAACATGAATAGGCAATTTACAGAGAGGAAACATAAAGGGCCCAATCTCATTGGTAATCAAGAAAATTCAAACTAAAGCTACAGAAGAATACCATTTGTTAATATCATATTTATAAAAATTTAAAAGTTTAACAAAAGCATGTGTAAGTGGGAATGAGAAACATGTCTATTGTGAGTTTGAAATGGTAACTCTCTTTGGAAGTTAATTTGGCACAGCTGAAAAGCTAAAGGCGTTCTTTGCCTCATGACCTTTTAATATACCCTAGAAATTTCTGCATATCTACAGCTGGAGACATGTGCAAGAATGTTGATGGCTGTGTATTTTATAATAACAAAACATGGATATATTCCAAATATTTTTGATAGAACAGACTGTAAATGGAAGTATACTAAATTGATGTCTATACAGCAATGATAGATCAATGAAATAAAATATGGATAACTCTAAAAAATACAATTTAAGGCAAAAATATGAAAGTTCCAGAAGAACATAGAGTGTGATTTATTTATTATAAATATTAATAAAGGTCTTATCCATTTAGAATTAAATGCTGTGTTTTTTTGTTTGTTTGTTTGTTTTAGATGGAGTCTTATTCTGTCACCCAGGCTGGAGTGCAATGGCATGATCTCGGCTCACTGCAACTTCCGCCTCCCAGGTTCAAGAGATTCTCCTGCCTTAGCTTCCCAAGTAGCTGAGATTACAGGCACCCACCACCATGCCCAGCCAATTTTTGTATTTTTAGTAGAGATGGGGTTTCACCATGTTGTCCAGGCTGGTCTCGAATTCCTGACCTTGTGATCTGCCCACCTTTGCCTCCCAAAGTGCTGGGATTAGAGGCGTGAGCCACCATGCCCGGCCTAAATGCTGTGTTTTTAAGTTTATGCACATGTGGTCACATTTTATGTGAGAATAGTGGTTACTTGTAGGGTGTTAGGGGAAACATGACCTGGGAGGAGTGCATGGGATTCAAAAGTATAGTAATGCCTGATTTGTCAAGCTGAGTTTTTGAACATGTGAATATTATCACTTTTTAAACTATACAAGTGGTTTATACGCACAGTATAAAATACAATTCTTTCAAAACAACAAAAAAAGTTCAACTTAATAAATTCCTTTACTCATGACATCTGAGAGTCCTGTTTGAGTGGTACTCTAGTAAATTAACACCATCATTGGTTGTTTGATATGGCTCTTTGTGGCTTGAAACAAGCCCTCCAAAATCAGAATGCCAGAGCATTAATTTAAAATGAAAAATATAATTTTACTAGGAATTAGGTTATTTAGTTCACACAATTTATTCATCTACTTCTTTATTTATTTAACAAATGTTTGAAAAGTTCCAGTTCTGTATCAGGCACTAGTCTGCTGCTAGGAATGTGTCAGTGCTGCATGAAAAATAAAGTCTCTGATTTTTGCTGTTTATATTCTTATAGGGAGAGGAAAATAGTACAAAAACTAAATATTATATATGAAGTGGTGATAAGAGATATGAAGAACACTAAATCGAAGCAAGAACTCAGTTTTGAGAAGAGGTTGCTGTATAGATAGGGTAGACAGGAAATGCTTCTTAGAGCAGTGAATTGAAGAGAGAAAACTGAGTCACGTAAATATCTTGGGAAAGATCACTTGTGAAGGACCCAAGTGAGAACCATTTTTGACCAGCTCAAGAGACAGCAGGGAAAAAAATGACAAAATAAGACAGATACTAAGTAGAAGAAGATGAGATCAGGAGTGGGTCGTGGGTCAGGAGATGTGCAGATCATATAACGTCTTGAAAATTCTGATAAGAATGTTGGTCTTTACTCTGAGTGAGAAGAAAATATATGGTTACTGCCAGTAGGTCAGTGTATTTGAAGAGGATGGTTGTGGGGCAGGGGGTGAAATGAAGGGTGGTGAGAAGAGATTAGAGAGAAAGACAGGACTCAGATCCTCGTGTGTCTTTTTAGAGAATGTGGAATTTATATTGATGATCCATTGGTGAACTACTGCATGCCCCGTAACATGCCATGTGCCACATAACATTTCACGCAACATCAGACCACATATACAGTGGTCCCATAAGATTATAATACTGTGTTCTTAATGTACCTTTTGTATGTTCAGATATGTTTAGATACACAAATACTTATTATTGTGTTACAATTGCCTACAGTATTCAGTACATTAATATGCTGAACAGGTTTGTAGCCTGGGAACCATTGATTATACCATGTGGCCTAGATGTGTTGTAGGCTGTGCCATTGAGATTTGTGTTAGTGCACTCCATCATTTTCACACAATGACAAAATTGCCTAACAATGAATTCTCAGAACGTATAAAATACAGTGACACGACTGAATTTTAAAAAGGAAAATCATATTATTGATTTGTATTTCCAAAAGATCATTTGAGAAACTGATGGAGTACAGTTTGTGGGAAAATGACTTGGCAGTAAAGTAGCTGTCATTATAATATTTCAATATTTGCTAACTGAGTAAATGAGAGGAAGAATAAATTAACATCTATGTTTACTTCTTTTCTTCTTTCAGTAAAATGAGCCCTTCATCTTGTCTAATACTCATCACTTCACCTATGTGCTAAATTCCATTCTTTCCAGTCATCTTCTGACAATTTTGATTCACAAATATTGCCCCCTCTCTCCTTTTATTTTGAACCTGTCTATGCAGCAGCACCATATTTTTAACATGTGAATATTCTCAAACTAGTGTTTCCAATCAGAAGCAGCAACAGCAGGTACTTCATCCTATATCCTAATCTAGAATTTCAACTTTTTTCTTCTCTCCTGAACCTTCCTCTTTGCAATAAGAGTTGGCATTCTTATCTTGACTTTGTCACCAACGTTTTTCATTTTTTTCCTCAACTCTTAGGAACCTGGTCTCTCACTCATTCTTCAGTTTTTTGTTGATGTTGTTTGTTTTCTTGTTTGTTTTTTTTTTTCTTGTCAAGAGTACTCATCACGTTCTATTTGCTAAATCTGAAATATTTGTCAGTCCTTATCTTATTTTGCCTCTTTACTTGACCTTTCTACTGACTTGACTTCTCCATGTCTAACGCTTAACATACCTGAGTCAGAGGTAAAACCCAATTTTCCCTTCATTAGTTAAGCCAATCAATACAGAAAATATATGAATGTGCTTGATTATTGTACTTTCGTCTGTTTTTATTATCTATTTACTTAAATTAACATTGTCAATTAAACCGTTTGCAACTTGAGCAAAGATGTCTAGATGTTTTTCTATTGATACTGATTATTCGGTATTAATAACCTCCCTTGACAAATATACAAAATTAGTATTTTAAAGTGTTTACAAAAATTCCATAAAATTAATTGATGCTATTAGAAATTTACCATCCAGTTTTAATATAATGTATTTCCTGATAATTTTTATGCTTCCTAAGTGATGATTTTTGTATATTTAGCCACATCTATTTAACCAAACATGACAATAAGGGCTATATAATATGTATATCAAAGCAATTTATTAAGCATACTACAGTCATTATGATAGCTCTAGAGGACACTGCAGCACAGAAAGTCAAAAGATTTTTTACCTTGGCCATACATTAGAAAAGAGTAAAACATCTCCAAAGTTTTAAAGGAAAAAATAGTAACAAACAGTTATTTAATCCCCAATTTGACTCATATCCTTCTATTAGTCAAATATAAGAGAGGTTAATAAAAGAATAGTCCTCCAAAAAACTTTGAAATGCCCTTTGCGTACAGCTCTTGTTTCCCACTTAACTTTTCTCCATGTCAGCTGCTTTTGGGTGTGTGTTTGTTTGTTTTAATACTTCCACCACAGTAGTTCTACAGGTTAAAGTGTTACATGAAGTTGATTGCAGCTTAACTGCATTGTATTAAAACAAAAAAAGCATTAGCGCTTTATTCAGTTCCTCCAATAATAAAACATACAGCCATGAAAAAATAATATGAAAATTGTAAAAAGTCATACAATCAGAAAAAGCCTAAAAATGTTAAGCTTTATCATCATATCCTGGAATTTGTTAAATGAAGGTAGCATATATTTATTATCATATCCGTGGCATTTTTTTATAGAGCAGAGTAGAAGAGGAAAAAAGAGATGCTACCAAGAATAATTACAATTCTTTCCCTCAGCACACTGACAATTTTGTTGGGAAAAGTCAAGGAGAAGGTTAAGCCCTTATTATGTGCAATGTGCTGTGCTGGACTTATTGAATGTATCATCCAACCTAATCTTGTAACCTCCTGAAAGGAAGCATTGTTTTTTTTTTTTTTTTTTACAAACCAGAAGAATGAAGCTAAAAAAAAGAGCAAATAACTTGGCCAACTCACAAATCTAGTAATCGACTTACTTGGGATTCAAGCCTAGATCTACGTGAATTTAAAACTTATCCTTTATCTATTAGGGTACACATCTTTTTAAAAATGCATCAGATTGTAAATGATCCTTATGTCCTCATGAAAATCAAATGTATAGAAAATTGAAACTAGGCTTATAGTTTCACGGTTTATAGTTTCGTTCTCCTGAAATGAGATTAGTTGGTTCAAATAATTGTATTTGTTATTCTGATTGCTTGGACAAAATAAAGTTTTGGATATCAAAAGGCCATTAATAAAGTCATTTGTATTAGGCACAAATCAAAATTGTAACAGATAAAAAGAGAAATTATTTTAAAGATGTGATCATAACATTTTAAACTTGTACACATGCCCAGATAGTTATATACTGAGAATATTTTATAAAGTGTGAAAAAGCAGAGTAGGCATAATATCTAGCTTCCACTGAAATAAGCAGAGTTTTCAATGCCAGTTTTGATGTTTGGCAATTTCTCTAATTTGGTGACAAAATATATAAGCCATTCTTTTGATATCTAATGTGCCATCATGCTTGTCCTTCATTATGATGTTAATAGCATTGTTGCTGATGGTGCTTGATAAGAAGCATCTGGTACATTGGGACTGAGGCTTTGGAATTTGAAGCAGATCTCGGGCACTGCTATGTGGGCCCACTTATTGAATGAATTAAGGAATGGTAATTTGCATGACTTTTGTACTTATATATACTTAATATTAGAATTTCTCTTACTAGGTTAAGCTTTCTAAATATCCTTACATATTGTTAAGTATTCATGGGGTGGGAGCTTGGAAAATCAAGTGACAAACTGCTGATCATAGGAATAGGGGATCATAGGTAGGGAAACTATGCATTTTATTATCTCATTCAGGGCCTATTTTGGAGTAAAAATACTAAAATTTATTTAGACATCAGCACAACAGATCTAAACTAGGACTTTCCAAGGAAAAGCAATGTATAATTCCAGACTAGCTCCAAGTGACATGAATCACTAAAGGGATCCATGCACCCTAAAAACACCTTTGCCTTTTCTGCTTCTAATCTACTCACATGGTGGTTTGTCCTTGCTGAGTTGAATTGGTTATCAGAACTCATGAAAGTAAAAGAGAAAATTTGAGAATATCTCAGGAAAAATCAAGAGTTTAAAATATTTAAAACTATTATGAGACTGTAAGTTTCTTCAGGATAATTTTTGATTAATGTTTTTAATACTGTAATTCCTTTCTAAATGGCAAACAGAGAAAATTTTGGTTGTGTGATTATTACTTAGTTAAAACTATTTACTGAACACCTACTGTGGACTTAGCATTGCCATACTCTGTGATAGGAGAATAAGTTAGATATAATTTCTGTCTTCACAGACAAGGGCAAAAGAATGCAATTTGTTCTATAATAAAAGAATTTAATATATTTTTAGACAAAGTAATTTTATAGGCACCCCACAAAGCTGACTAATTCACAAAATGAGAAACAAATTTTTCAGTTTGCACATTAATATTGAAAGATTGAAAAGAATTAACATTGAAAATAATTTCTAAAACTCTCTCAACTCCTTAATGATATAAACTCTTCATAAACATTTCCGGGCTTATCACTAATTTATTTAGCTAAGGCCTTGATTTTACAACAATAAAAATAAATGCACAAATGATGCAGAGTGTGGTCTCAATAACTGAAACAGATGCAATTACTTATAATTCAATAAGAATATAATAATTCATACAGTTTATCAAATGTAAGGATCATTTGGCAATGCCACAGAGAACATAAATTACTGGATAATATGCAGAGTATAGCTAATAGCAATGAAATGGTCTCAGACCAATAACAGTATTTCATTTAATGCATCTAATATCTAAGATGTAAACAAGGAAATAAAATTAAGTCAAGTAAAAAGCACAGTGTTACATTGTTATATCCTACACCATTTATTTGTTTAAAAGAGATCATTTTATGGGTCATACTTTTCCTTTAGACATAAATACTTCTGAAAGTGAGATGGAGTATGGCACAAATTGATAACTATCTTTCATACTATAATACAGTATGGAAGGAACAACACTCAATAAATTTTTGTATACATTGGAGCACCACAAAAGAAAGAGAACCTCCATTGACTCAAAATAAACTCAAGTTTTATTTAAGAAATGCAAAGAGTACCCTTCCTGTGGATTTTTAAATGTAATATAACTTAATGTTAATTTAAGTTTATGTTAATAGACATGGTAGAAAAAAACTATAGAGTCCTTAAGTCATGTGGCCTCTGCATAATTCAAAATTATAACTCATCTGTAACATATAAATGTATAGGGTTTCTCAGGTTATTTGAGTATTTGGCAACACTGTTTTTTATTATTATATTTATATACCATAAGACATTTCTGGTTGATAGAAAGTGTAAAGGATGGAATCATAAGCATAATATAGCAAACTAGCTAAGACCAATGATAATATCTGTTTTGCTGATTAAATACCTAGTTATTTGTTACCTAAAATAAGTGGTAAACAATTAAGATAATCAAAGGTGATCTCATGGAATACTTTGCAGCCATAAAAAAGAATGAGTTAATGTCCTTTTCAGGTACATGGATGAAGTTGGAAGCCATCATTCTCAGCAAACTATGACAGGAACAGAAAACCAAACACTGCGTGTTTTCACTCATAAGTGGGAGTTGAACAATGAGAACACCTGGACAGAGGGAGGGGGGAAGGGGAGGGAGAGCATTAGGACAAATACCTAATGCATGTGGGCCTTAAAACCCAGATGACGGGTTGATAGGTGCAGCAAACCACCACAGCACATGTATACCTATGTAACAAACCTGCACAATCTGTGCATATATCCCAGAACTTGAAGTAAATTTTTTTTAAAAAGGAAAAAAAAATCAAGGGTGATCTAAGATAACTTTATGATTCTTCCCAAGCGGTTTATTTCCCATTGGTTTGTCTTATACAAACCATACCATAGTATAACTCAAGTCTCCGTTATCACAATGCCTTTCTATATATTCTGATCCTCCATATCTCTTATTCACACTTTAATAATTTCTTTTTTTTTTGACTTGGACAATTTATACTAGCATATGCTTATTACGTGTCTTTTTTATACTAGACTCATTTTGGAAGTGGGCTCACAAAATCGAGCAAAATAGACACAAACTCCTGCTCTCATGGTGTTTATATTCTAGTGGTGGAGACAAACAAGAAACAATATAAATAAATAAATTGTAGCCTAATACTAAATGGTGATAAATGTTATGGAGAAAACCAAAGCCAAGAGGAGTAGGAAGTGTTGGAAGGTAGACTACAATTTTTAACAGAATGGTTAGAGATAGCACTAAAGAGAAAATGACATATGAGTTAAGACCTGAAGGAGGTGAGGAACAAACTTTGCAGTGCATAGGTCAAAAGGTATTCCGAGAGAGACAACATCAACTGCATAGGCTTTGGAGCGGGAGTGTACCTCTCCTGTTCCAAGAGCAGCAAGAAAGTCCTGAGCTCATGTGGCCTGAACAGAGAAACCAAAGAGAGGGTAAAGAAATAAAGTAAATGAGCAAATAATACAGCCCATGTAAGGATTCACATGTCAAGATGGGGAGGTATTTGTTTTTATCTGACTTAATTCAACAAGATAATTATGACTGCTGTATTGAAATAAATGAAAAGAAAAAGATGTTGTCTTAGGGAATTTCAAATGAATTTTATTGAACCCACAATTTATTGAAGTTATAAATTATTTAATACTTACAGTTTAATAATTTCATTATATACATTATCTTGCTAGTACAACTAAATTTTGAAATACATAAAAATATCAACCTATTTTCCAGATTCAGAAACAGATTTAAAGAGGTTGAGTAAATTGTCCAAAAATCACAGCGACTAAGAGGCAGAGCTAGAATTTGAAACCAAACTACCCAAATCCTGTCATACTTACCCAACAGCCCTCTCACACCTTCATTTACCACTGATGAATGTGGCAAAAATTGATCTTGAGGTGAGTCGCAAAATAAGAAACTTTCAAGGTATGTTATTGCCAGGGCATAATTATCATTATGATTAATTATTCAAATTTTTAACATTTTTACTAAGTCTGACTTCTTGATTTTACCATTTTTAAGCTCAACATTTTGCTTTTGCAGATTTTGGGTTTCCTAAGGGGAAGTCAAATTTTTATCAGAGAATCTTGAAATATTAACTATAAGAATATTAAAACTGGAGAGGTATTCTGAAGCAATTAGTTGAGACCAAAAAAAAATAATGAAAACCATTAATGAAAACCTTAGGTCATTTCAATCTATCTTGCCTCAAGAAAATAGTAACATATCTCTGGATAAATCACTTAGAGAAAGATGACAGGGTCAGATTCAAAAGGTTTTGAGTCTTCTATGTAGTTCATGCCAATTGTGTTCTAAAATTAAGCTGTAATAATAGGTTTCAGCCTCTTTGGGCCTTGAACTCCTAATACTCTTTAATTGTTTCAAATCTTTAAAGCATGAACTTCTGTAAAAGCACCTAGCATAGTGCCTAGTATTTAGGAGGCTTTCCTTAGATAGCTGTTGACTGAATTGATAAATTAATTAATGAACAAATGAATAATTAGGGTTAGAAAATCCCCAACTATGCTCGGTCTCTATGTCTAGAAACGATTTGACATATAATCCTTGCTAACCTTTTAAAGATAAATAAATTGCAATATCAAACAATTCAGAACATCTCAACCCTAAGATTCCACATTTATGTGTTAATATTGCCAGTAGAGCAGATTGCATAAAAGTTGTTTTTTTTTTAATTAGTGGAGAAAATGGGTGAAAACTGGCCTGAAAGTCTGAAGAAGGCAGTTTTAGAATGACAACAGCAACAACCACAAAACAGCAACAATGGCTAGCATTCACTGAGTGCTAAATATATGCTGAACATTGCACAAAGTGGATTATCTAATATACCTTTTCATCACTTCAGCGTACGAAGTGGGTGTAGTGTAGTAGTTGTTAAAAAGTAGAGCTCAGATCAGATTTCTAGTGCTGCTGCTAGCTAGCTAAGTGAGCTTAGAAAAATGACAAACCCTCTGTGTCTGTTTTTTTTCTGTAAAAACAAAAAGAATGATAATAATATTATATACCTTGTAGATTAAATGTGTTACTAGATGTAAAGTGCTTAGAATCATGCCTAAGCAATTGCTATATTCATATTAGCCATTTAAAATTTCATTTTTAAGATTGATATTGATCAGGTCAATCATTTTTTATATGGTCCCAAAGCATAGGCAACAAAAGCAAAAATAGATAAATGTGAGTATATCAAACTGAAAAGCTTCTATACAGCAAAGGAAACAATTAGCAAGGTGAAGAGACAATCTACAGAATGAAAGAAAATATTTGCAAACTATGCATCTGATAAGGGGTTAATATCCAAACCATATAAAGGACTCAACTCAAAAGCAAGAAAACAAATAACCCAATTTAAAAATGGGCAAAGGACCTGAATAGACATTTTTCAAAAGAAGACATCCAAATGGCCAATAGGTATATTAAAAAATGCTCAACATCACTAATCATTAGGGAAATGCAAATTAAAATTGCAATGAGATATTACCTATTAGAATGGCTAGGTGTAAAAAGACAAACAAAAACGTGAAGATGTGAGGATATGAAGGAAAGGGAATGCCTGCACAGTGCTGGTAGGAATATCAATTAGCATGGCTATTATGAAAACCAATACAGGGGTTCCTTAAAAGTAGAATTACCATATGATCCAGCAATCCCACTTCTGGGTATATATCCAACAGAAATGAAATCAGTATGGTAAAGAAATATCTGCACTCCCATTTATTTATTGCATTGCTATTCACGATAGCCAAGATATGGAATCAACCTAAGTGTCCATCAATGAATGAAGAAAAATTGTTGTATATATACACAGTGGCATACTATTCAGCCATAAAAAGAAGAAAATCTTATTGTAACAACACAGATGAATCTGGAGTTTTTTTATGTTAATTGAAATAAGCCTGGTACAGAAAGACAAATACCATGTGATCTCTTTCACATGGGGAATCTAAGGAAGTTAATCTCATAGAAATAGAAGGTAGAAAAGTATTTACCAGAGGCCCTGGCAGTTGGAGAGGAGGGTTTGAGGAGATGCTGGTCAAAGAATGCAAAATTTTAGGTAGGAGGAATAAGGTCAAGACATCTATTATACAACATGGTGACTGTAGTTAGTAACAATATACTGTAGTGTTGACAAATACTAATAGAGTGGATGTCGTGTTCTCACCACAAAAATGAGAACTATGTGAGGTAATGCATGTATTAATTACCTAGATTTTTGTCATTCCACAATGTATACATACTTCAAAACATCATGTACATTATAAAAACATGCAATGTATCTGAAAATTTAGAAAGTAAGAATAATATTGTAATATAATTTAAATCAATTGAAAAAAGATTGAAGAAACTGGGATCTCACATTAAATATACGCATTCTAAGTTTAAAAAGTATGGTTCAGAGAAAGTAATCAAATTAACCCCAAATCAACAGCTTATTATTACTTTCAAAGCTACCAAGCATTCTAATTAAATACCAGTAGGTATTAAATAGGAAATAAACTGAGAAATGAGGAAATTCCAATAGAGAAATGATAGCATTCATTATTTTCCAAACTTATAGCCATCTGCAAGGTAATTCTGAAAGAACACAACATATGACCAGTGTAAAGACAAATAAAATTGTAACAACAAATACATGAAAAAGAAGAAGCTTAACACAGACACAAACACACACAAAGGTAGCTATGTGAGATAATAAATAGATAATTAGCTTAACTGTGGTGATTGTTTCACAATGCATACTTATATCAAAACATCAGGTTGTACACTCTAAATATATTCAATTTTTATTTGTTAATTATATCTCAATACAGCTGGAGAAAAAAAAAAAAAAGACCTAAAACAGGCAAAACCGCCAGGCAGGCTAAGTGGGGATAGCGGAAGTGGGGGGGATTGCAGAGGCGTCTACTTGGATTGATAGAAATAGTCCACATCTTCATTGTAATGATGGTTACCTGAATATATACACTGTCAAAATTCATTGAACTGTACAATTAAAGATGAGTGAACTTTATTTTATGCAAATTATACCTCAATAAACCTAATTATTATCCCAGAACCTAAAGTTCTTGGGATACATGTGCAGAACGTGCAGGTTTGTTACATAGGTACACATGTGCCATGATGGTTTGCTGCACCCGTCAACCCGTCGTCTACATTAGGTATTTCTCCTAATGCTATCCCTCCCCTAGTCCCCCACCCCCTGACAGGCCCCGGTGTATGATGTTCCCCTCCCTATGTCCATGTGTTCTCATTGTTCAACTCCCACTTATGAGAGAGAACATGCGGTGTTTGGTTTTCTGTTCCTGTGTTAGTTTGCTGAGAATGATGGTTTCCAGCTTCATACATGTCCCTGCAAAAAACAACCTAATTATTTTTTAAAAAATAAATAAGAAGCCAGGCGCGGTGGCTCACGCCTGTAATCCCAGCACTTTGGGAGGCCGAGGCGGGCGGATCACGAGGTCAGGAGATCCAGACCGTCCTGGCTAACATGGTGAAGCCCCGTCTCTACTAAAAATACAAAAAGTTAGCCGGGCGTGGTGGCGGGTGCCTGTAGTCCCAGCTACTTGGGAGGCTGAGGCAGGAGAATGGCGTTAACCCGGGAGGTGGAGCTTGCAGTGAGCCGAGATTAGGCCACTGCACTCCAGCCTGGGTGACAGAGCGAGACTCCATCTCAAAAATAAAATAAAATAAAATAATAAAATAATAAAATAAAATAAGCTTCATCTCCCTGTTGAAAATGAGGAAATATATTTCCCTCCCCTCCTTTTTCTTAGAGAACATACTTTAGAAAAGTTGTAAGTACTTTCCACTCTATTTGAAATGTATATAAATCCTTTTGAAACTAGACAGGCTTTTTGTCAGCTTTATGACCCAGGAATGTCTTTCTCAAGAACCCGGGAGCATTCTCTTTGAAATGTATATATCAAGGGAGATAGCATCCCTATCAGCCAAGTTTAACTTTGGTGGGCACCTTGCTCTTGCAAAGCTACCTTTTTCATAAAGATTTGAGAAGTTTGTTTTTCCTCTGGATAAAACTCATTAGGTAACATAGATGATTATCTCAATTGTCAGGTGAATCTAGGATGAACTGTGTGTGACAAAATGGTGCTCTCAAGTCTTCTTACTTGAGGGCTTGCCTATATAAAACAGTTAGGTTTCTTTCTGTCTTTGCAACCTCTTAGCAGATTGCCTATGATGCATATCACATTTTGGTTTAATGCTTATTTAATCATAAAACTGTGTTCTTTATTTGTTACTTTTGTGGAGAAATTTTTGAGTCAGGAAAACATGTTTCTCTAATACACTTCCCCCAACAGCAGTTAACTGAGAAAGTACATATCTGTTATCAGGATGGCATTAAATCAGGTAAATAAATCATTTAGAACCAATATTTGGTGTAGCAGGAATACTGTCTCTAGTCATTAGCCAGAAATTATTTTCAACTTCTTGAATATAAATTTGGCCTTCATAATATATGAAGAAATATACAAAGTGAGATAGGAATTGTATCAAAATAATTCCAAGTAATTAAAAAGCAAAATGATAGAACAGTTTTATCATTTTAATTAGGCATCTACCTAAGCATCCTGGATAATTAATATTTAAAGGTTGCATAGTACAAAGAAATCAATAAAGTGACTGCTATGAAGCCAGTTGCAAAATGTTTTATCCATCATTTAATCAATTCATTCATTGAACATTTTTCTTTGAGTGACTAATGGGTGATAATCATAATTCTATTTCCTATATTGAATGCATTATAATAAGATATAATGTTTTTAAAGCACCTGAGAATATTAACTGTAGACCGTGATAAGCTGTCTCACAATTTCACCAGTGTGGATAAAAACAGCCTTGACCTAAAGAGATCCATACTAAGGAGAGCATGTGTTTTATTTGACCAACTTCTAAGTGTAAACCCTTGTGTAGAGCTTATTCATTCTACTCCACTCCCCTCCTAATACTAGAAGAAATACAACCTTTAATAAGAAAAAGACATTATTTTTTTAAATTATAAATTAGATAATCAATACTGGTAGAAACAATGTTCACATTGCTGGAAGCTAATTGTGTTTTCTCATTGATCAGCCTGAGCTCTGGATCAACTAGGGTTTTAGCCTTGCTCCCAGACTTACCACCAATACCTTTGAAAAGTAAAATGATTCATTACCAAATGAAAGCCAGAATGCATGACCCAGAATCTGGATTCTCTGAAATAAAACTATTTCAATTTTTTAAAAAATCTATTTCTTTTCTAGCAAAATTTATATTAGATTGCATGACTTTTTAATTTTGCTTTATTTTATCAATTTTGAAGCACTTATTAAGAATAAGGAAATACTTAAAACTTTAAATATTTTTATAAATAAAACATAGTAGAGATCTATATAATCTATCTAATCTATAAACCATAGTAGAGATCTGTATAATCTATATGATCTCTACCATGTGTTAGAATATTGACCTAAAATTATTCAGATAGTTATGTAACTTGACTGATTTATTTATTCATTCATTCTTTTATTTATTCAACACATATTTATCCAATCATATATGGGCAGGTCCTGGCTATGTTAAAATTAAGATAATTTTAGATAAATTAGATAAATAGAAAAGACAATAGATGGCTATACTGTCAAGCTGCCTAAAAGAAAGATCAATAGATGTCTATATAGTCAGAGTTGCCTGAGGACTCAGAAACCTAACATAAGAGAAATGTGTCCAGACCCGAATCCTCAATATTTGCACAGAGAAACTTAATTATGTCATTGCAAGATGATGGCAGGACTCTAGAGAATATGTGAGCCCAATCAAACCAACAGCAACAAATGCTCATTGATTTACAAGACAACTGCTGAAAATATCTGACCTAACGATCCTAGTGATTTTATTCTCTATTAGTGAATAACATGTAAGCAATCAAATTAATTCGAGATTGTTTTGGTATCATAGTAAAGCAAAAGCTCACTTCCACCAAAATTGGGCAGCCTGAATTACTCATCAGAAGAAGAATAAGGTGTGTTCAGTGTGGTGGAGACAATGACTTTTAGAATCAGATAAATCTTGACAAAAACCTTAGCTTCATTCTTTAGTGCTGAGCAATCTCTAGAAAATCTTTTTTTCCTCTGAACTTTCTCATTTGTAAATTTGGTGTGGTTTGTACAGGATATATCAATCTGACATACAGAAAAATTATTTAAATCATGAATAAAATTTCTTGAAGAGGCACCAAAAGGAAAGTCCTTTTATGATATGCAACAAAAACTTCCTAAAATCCTTTATCTCTCTAAATATTCCAGAGGGCAGTGCACCCTGAAGGGTAGTCAGGGCCCTGGAGAAATACTTCTGGTGGGTCTCTGCCAATGTAAACATTTTAATTAAAATAAGTAACACAAAACTCATGGCCCTACATGAGGTATTACTATATATCAATAACAATTTAGACTAGCAGATGGAAAAGCAAGGATTACATAATTGTTTACTGTTCAGTTAAGGCATGCAAAGATCCTCCAGGCATCTTTTTATGTCCAGAAACCATCTCTTCCTGTTCTTTACTTTCAAATGTATTATTACTAGAGAATTTTATATTTATCCCCACAAGAAAAAGTTAATAACACCATTATTACTTACAATGTCATGGCTCTTTGGAACCTATTCATAATGAAGTAGTATGGACCTTCTTATCTCTACAATTCCCTGATACCATTTACTTAACACTGGTTACATCTTTACCCATGATTCTGGATCATCCATCATGGTGTCTTGGTATATTGGCTTCCAATAACTCTCCCAAAAGTTATTGTTGTGCTTCCTGTCTCCACAGAATGCAATCTTAACCATGGAATGAAGAATAAATGAGAAAAATAATTCATTTTCTGATCATGTTAAACTTAACCATTGTAATTTTATTGACTAAACATAGAACACCTCTTCCAGCCATATTTTCTTTTGAAATCTTTAGGCAATAGTAACTGCATTCCTAGAAATTGTTCTCCTTTTTATCATCTTCCTAAGGATTTCTATAATAGCCAGGACCATGAGCATTTTTTTATAGCACTGGACAATGAAACAAATGTTGAAGAGGAGGGCTTTTCTACTTGTTTGCAGACTCACAACAGAAAATGTGTCAATTTTATTAGCAACAAGCTTATTGCAATATGTCACATTGAGACAAATGCAGTTATGAAACATGTAAGAGGCAAAGGTGAAATTCAAATCAGAAAAGAGAGCATTTCTTTTACATAGGATAAGTGATAAATCTACGAGCACTTAAGTAATAGTAGAGAAAATGTCAAGCAAGCACCAGGTGAATGTGCAACATTTTCCAGGACTTTTTAACATATGGCAATCCTGAGCTATTAGAATCCAGAACTACCCTGTCTTATCCAAAATAATTAGTTGAAATATTATAGATACAGTCAATATTATTCTGCATATTTCATTTTACCTTAATAATATTTTGTGCCTCTGATAAATGAAGTTTTTTTAAGCATGATACCTCCTTAGGTGCAAAGTCTGGGGGCTGCACTTTGGTCTAGAAGCCCTAAAGGAAAAGAGTATAGCACCCTGGCCCTCCATCTCTAAACTATCTCCTAAATTCTCAACTGCCAACTCCTCTCCATTTCCTGTTGGCTTCTCATCCCACAGTCCCACTCCTCCTTTTTGCTTTCTGAATTTATTCTTCTTATCCTGGAGTCTTTTGTCAAATTAATCAATTTTACCTTAACCTTATTTATTGCCTTTTGTTTCCACTTTCAGTATTAACCAAATCTATGAAATAAAAGACCTGGAAGCTAGGAGGAGTGCCACAGGAAGTACTGAGAGCACCAACACCCATGAATCCTCAAATATTAACATTCGTGTGCCTGTCATAGGATAGTAACGTTCAACAAATAGTAGTCAGCATTAGCACTACGACATTACACAGGTTGCATATAAGGGTGTTAGCCAGAGTAGATTCTTCCTTAAATTAAGGTAGAATTTAAACTAGAATGACTCAGTTGAAATTTTGACTTTGAATCCTGGGAGAAGTGACTTGACTTCTCTGTGCCTCAGCTTTCTCATCTCCAAAGTGGGGATATTTATCATTTACCCTTCAGTACTTGTTTTAGGGACAGTGCTTGGGCATAGCAAGCATTACACCAGTGTTAACCATTATCATTATATGGGAAATGTTAGCATTTAATAACTTTTTCTGGTTCTCATGACTTGTCAGAAACATTAATTTCCCAGATTATCACTTACCTTACCTGGCTTTTCATTCTCTGGCAGTTTGAAGAGATTTATGGAATCTGCAAGATAATTATCAACACATTTTAGAACATCTCTGGATGGAAACCTCCTGCAGATGGGTATTTTAAGGCATTTTATGTTTAACCATGTTAATTTTTTGATTGATATTGTGTAACTTTTTCTAATTCATTTCCCTAAATTCAAGCAAATACATATTTGTCTAAGACATAATAGGGAAAAATATAATTTAAAAAAATGGTTGCATGTTTGAAAAGTTCCCTTCAGAGTCTATAAAGTACTTATGGCTTAAAATCTGCATGTGCTGTCTAGAAAAAGAAGCATAAGCCACATCCCTGCTTGGCAACTAATTCATCACTTAGATGAGGAGACAAGACATAAGGATAAATATTACAGACTAAACTTCACATAAATGATACAGAAAATGTCATGTGCTAAAATAGTTTGTTGACAAAAGAGAGAAAACACTGATGGTGTGATAGGAAATAAATTGCTGACAGGAATTTATTTTTAGCATTTGGACTGGGTTTTGAATATGCCTTGCATACTGAATTGTATTTAGGACATGATGGTAAAATGTGTAAGTATTGCAAATTCCTGTGGATGTAGGTATAGATTTTGAATCATCATTCTCCTGTGCCCTGGCATAACAATTTAGCATAAGGAGGGGAAATAAACCCAGAAAATGAATACCTTTCATTGATTCAACAAATAATATTCTTGAAGATCTTCACAAGTAGGTGGAATCCCTTAGAGAAAAGCACTGAGTACTTTGTATGAATCTTCAATTAGAATTGATGTTTGTCAAAATACAAAATAGTTACAGTCTAAGACTTTCCATAATAAATCAGTCTAACTATTCTACCCAAGAAGAGAGATCTCCTCTTATGTTTTGTGTTTTTCTTGAATTTTCTGCAAATACATTTGCTCAGTACTAGTATCATGCTTTCTAGACCATATCACCTAGCAATAATCTGTCACATTCCATGATCTTTGAATACCAAATCAAATTCCTCTCCAATTTGGAGACTATAACCAGGTTTCACATAGGATGGAATAATTATTTTTTAGCAGAAATTTATTGCATTGTGCAGTGAAGCCCTTGCTTATCAATCCTGACTTACTTATAGGCATCGTTCTCTTTGTGCTCAAAGGGACTTTGAGTCTTTGTATCTCCAGAAAATATCACCAATCATCAATTTGCCGAACAAATCCTAGATCACTTGGCTTGATGGAATCATCTGGAGAAAGAAAGAAGCCTAATATTTAGTGAATGATCACTACATGCCTTGCATAAGGAGAAATTATTTTATTTAATTTCTAGAAAAAAAAAAAAAAACGGGATAGGCACTGCAATAATTCCTTAAGCCAAAGGCTTTGGATCAGCTTTTCACCTTATAAAACAAAGTTTAGAAAAAAGTTCAGCATTTACACCTCTACCTTGTGGCTGTGTGATCAGGTTTTCTCTACTGGGATGTAAGCACAAAGAATGTGTATGATTTCCGCCTCACATGCTTAAAAGGAAATTGCTTGCCCAGGACGTCTTCTTTTCTCTTTCTCTTCCTCTGAGCTGGAATACAGAAGTGTCAGGGACAAAGCTTAGAGCCAGACTAGGACAATGCTGATGAATGGGTGGACTAAATAGAGAAAGAGAAATCTACTGGGTTTCACAATGATGTAAAGCAGACATGCCCACCAACCTAGACGTGCCTAACTCTTATATGAAAGGAAAGTAAACTTTCATCTTATTTAAGCCACTGCATTTTTTTATGTATCTTTTTGCTACAGCCACTTACCCTTTATCCTTCTAATTAACACAAGTGCCTTTTATCCTGGATGAGCTAGTTACCTAGAATTGGCTTTGAACTTGTGGGTTCTAACGGCATATAGTGTATACTTTATGCTTAGCGCTTGTGCTCCATTGACTAAATTACCTGCAATTTCAATATTATGTGCATAGCATACTGCTGCATTGGTTTTGTTGATGTAGAATTATAATATATGAAATGTGAGCAAACGTTGCAAATGGGGATAATTATCCATTAAATAACTTGATATCCACAAGTTATTTAATAACCACAAAATTATTTAAATGATTAACATTATCTACGGCAAATGTTACCAATAATTTCAATATATCTCTGTGTGATACTAACAATATTAAGAGGAGAATTCCATTGCTTTTGGTTTTTAATAATTGTCTTAAAGTCATTCAATAACTCTATTTAGTGAGCAGGAAGTTTGTTCATACATACAAAAATACACATCTATGAATATAATTTTTATGATAGACATCTCATGTATGTGATTCACATAGGCACCCCAGCAATCCTTCTAGAAGCCATTTGTTTGCTCTAACGTAGAGTTGAAAAATTTTGGCACATACATGAAATTATCACCCTTATTCAATGACTAATAACCCCAAATTCCTACCTTTAGAATTATCCCTTTTGGTTATGATGCTATTTGTAGAATTTTCTTGCTAAATCAAAGGATATGTTTGCTAGCAAGAAGCTAGTAACACCATAGCAAAATTAAAAAGTATGAAGGAGGCATTATGGCCCACACCTGTAATCCCAGCCATTTGGGAGGATGAGGCGGGTGGATCATTTGTGGTCAGGAGTTTGAGACCAGTCTGGCCAACATGGTGAAACACCACATCTACTAAAAATGCAAAAAAATCAGGTGGGCATGGTGGTGCATGCCTGCAATTCCAGCTACTTAGGAGGCTGAGGCAGGAGAATCACTTGAACCAAGGAGATAGTGGTTGCAGTGAACTTAGATTGTACCACAGTCTGGGCAACAGAGTGAGACTCCATCTCAAAGAAAAAATTACGTAGGAATGGTACCAAAGAAAGATACTTTTGCTGTTGATGGAGAAAGATGGTATAATATATGAGGCCAGCTGAGGAAATGTAGATCTGAGTGCTAAGGTTCCATGAAAGGTTTTGATTACTCACATGGGCAGGCATAAAAAGAAACTGATCTATAAAAGCACTAAGAGGGAAAGTAAAGGAGGTAAAATAATGCTTACATCACATTTTGCCTGTTTCTCAGGGTTTCCATATCACACGATATCAAGACCCTTGTTCTAGTTAAATATCTTAGAAGATATATAGCTGACCTCAGCTTCCTGTATTTATTCTCATAAAATAATCACTTCTTAAAAGATAAGTGTGATCTCAAGGGAGAGATTATAGCTAAAAAGATATTGTCCAAGATATTCAGGAAGAATTACTGTATATAAGGTTAGAAGTTAATCTCTGCTACATACCAAGTCTCAAGGGTGGGACAATTCTGAGGCTGTAAGCATTCTCAATCACTTTGATTTATCTCTATGCCTTATAAGTTATAAGAAATTGTTCTGCTAGAGACCATCTCAGATTTGTTATTGCAGATGAGATCACATTTTCCAGTTGACCTGAATTAATCTATAGTTGAGATATGAAAAGAATAGATAAGTATTGTTGGGAGAAGAATATACATATTTGTAGTGGGATTTATGTTCCCCATCCTTAAGGGTAAGGTATCTACATAAAAAAAATTACTTAAATTATTTGAGAGATTTGTTCATTCTCCTACTATTTATATATTAAATCATTTAGTTATATTAGTATGGACTTATGTATATTTATCTTATATTTTGGGTTATATTCCAACATAATTTTATTTTCTTGCTCAATTTTATTTCACCTTTAGCCATTGGGAGCCTTTCAATTGACTTTTGTGTCACATTGACTTGATCTCTTCAATGCTGTGTGTGTGTGTCTGTGTGTGTGTGTGTGTTAGTGATTAGGAAGGAAGATTATTTCTACCATTCAAGTCAACTGCAGCTACATTAATGTAGTTACATAATCATTCTTATTAATTACCATCAAAGCATGCCAATGTTGGGTTTATAGTATTACATTTTTATAATCTCTCTGTCTTCAGAGCTTCCTAGAAATCCTGATACAATTTATGTGGAGTTAGAAACTACCTGGTCTAACTGGGCCAGCAGTTAATCTAAATGAAAACCAAGGGAGGGACTCTACTAGTTCTCAAACTTGGTTGCACATGGAAATCTACTGGTGAACTATAAAAAGTACTAATGCCTCAACTCCAATCTGCAGATCACATTCAAATTCTAATTGTCCCAATAATACCTTTTATAGATCAATTTATTCTGGTTCAAAATCTAGTCCAGTATCACATACTTTATTTAGTTATCATATCTTCTCTTTAGTCTTAAACAGTTCCAGATTTGTCTTTGCTCTCAGGATCTTGACTGTATTGAGGAGTATAATCCAATTATTTTCTAGAATGTCCTTCAATTTTATTTTTTTTCCTGATGTTATCTCATGCTTGAATTTATATTACATATTTTGGCCATGAATAGAAGTGATGTTGTGTCCTTCTCAGTATATCAAAAAGCATAGACAAATTTAAGGCACAGAAAAATGTATTTGTCCTATTTTTGGTGATGTTAACTTTGATCACTTGCTTAAGGTGGTGACTGCCAGGTTTTACCATTTTAAAGATACTTTTATTCCCCCTTGCCGTACCCTGCTCTTTGGAAGTAAATCGTTAAGCATTGTCACAATCTCTATTTTACTCCCTGTATCCTTGACTTCCTGGTTGATTTTTATGAAATTTTCATATATAAAGTTTTACTGTTTGTGCTGTAGGTTCTGTGGGTTTTGATAAATGCAGAGTCATATATTCATGACTCCACTACCATATGGGTTAGTTCCATCACTGTAAAGAATATCCTACGTTTTCCCTAGGAAATCTTCCTTTCTTAATTCCTAAAAACCACTGATCTGATTTTTCATCCCTCTATTTTTGCTTTCTCCAGAATGTCTTATGAGTGCTATATATTCAATATATAGCATTTCTACTCTCTGTTTTTCTCACTTAGCAAGATGTATTTTAGATTAATCCATGTTATTGTGTGGATGAATAGTGTTTTCCATTTCTCTGGCTGAAGACTTCTCCCATGATATATAACACGGTGTGTTTATCCATTCACTTATTGAAGGACATCTTGGTTTCTTCCAATTTTTAGTAATTATGAATAAAGCTGCCATAAACCTTCACATACAGGTTTTTGGGTTAACATAAGTTTTCATATAAGTTGAGTTAATATCTAGGAGCTAGTCTATGATTAATATTATTAAAAACTAGGAAACTGTCTTCCTAAGGAGCTGTATCATTTTTGCATTCCTATCAGCAGTAGAGGACAGTACCCTTGTTCCAAATCCTTAACAGAATTTTGTATTATCAGTTTGCTTTTTTCTTTTAAATATTCTAATATTTATGTAGTGGCACCTCATCGTTTTGTCCTTTGCCTTTTCCTTAATGACCAATGATGTTGAACATATTTTCATGCATACTTGCCATTTTTTATATTCCTTGGTGAAGTATTCTATATTTATTTTCCCCGTTTTTAAAATTGAGCTGTTTGTTTTCTTATTGTTGAGTTTTAAGACTTCTTCATATATTCCAGATATAAATCCTTCATCACACATGTGATTTGCAAATATTTTCTCCCAGTCTGTGACTTGTCATTTATTTTTGCTTTTATTATTATTTTTAGTTGACATATAATAATTGTACATATTTATGAGGTGAGTGTGATATTTTGATACATGTATACAATGTGTAAAGATCAAATCAGGGTGATTAGCATATCCATCACCTCACCTCAAATATTGATCATTTCTTTGTGTTGGAAACATTCAAAATCTCCTTTTCCAGCTATTTGAAAACATAACACTAAAACTTATTTCTCCTACCTAGCTGTACCGTCCCATCCATTAACCAATCTTTGGCTATTCCCCCTTTTCCCCTATCCTTCCCTGCCTCACTAACCACTGTTCTAATCTCTACTTCACCTTAACATAAGGGGCACATGACCCATTGTGTGAGCTGTTGGAAAGCGGGTAGAGATAGGACAAAAATTTGTCTCAGAGGTCTCACCATCTTAATTTGCTCACTTCTAATGAAGAAAGTAAAAAAATATAAATAAAGTTACCCAAAGACACCTTAAAGCTGAAAACCTGGTCCATCATTCTGATTGGCTCATCCACCTTTAGGCAACAGGACTCATAATTATTGAAGGAGACTTGGAATCCACAGAGAAAGGAGCTGAGCTGGCAGAGTCCTGTTGCCTAAAGGTGGATGAGCCAATCAGAATGATGGACCAGAACCTGAAATGTCTGTGTGTTGCCGAAGAAAAGCACTCTCAAAAAGAAGCCAAATAAGAGGAAGAGATCAAGATTCTTACTGATAAACTCAAGGAGCCAGCATTTCATGCAGGTTTTGCTGAGAAATGAGCAGCCAAGCTGGAAAAGACAATTGATGATTTGGAAGATAAACTGAAATGCACCAAAGAGAAGCACCTCTGTATACAAAGGATGCTGGACTAGACTCTGCTTGAAGGAAATGTGGAGCACCCTGGTCCAACCCTGCCGCTGCTCTTCCCTCTGCCGCTGACTCCTTTGGAGGCCAGGCTTTCCCAAGCTGACATTGAAACTGAGGGCTGATCTTTAACTGGAAGGCTGCTTTCTCCTTTCACCACCCCTCCACCCATCTGTGTCTTTTTCACCAAACTGTCTCTGCCTGGTTCCAGAGATTCCAGCGGCATTAGAAGCTAAGCACCTATAGGAACAACATTGAACGGAATGCAAGAACAATGCAAGATGTCTTTAATAGCATGTTGTGATGTAAACACTTTGGTTTTTCTTTTTTTGTTGTTGTTTTTTGTTGTTGGTGGTGGTTTTGTGTGTTTGTTTGTTTGTTTGTTTTTTGAGACAGGGTCTCACTGAAATGCCTAGACTGCAGTGCAGGGTTGCAATCGCTGCTCACTGCAGCCTAAACTTCCCATGGTCAGGTGATCCTCCCACCTCAGCCTTCCAAGTAGCTGAGACTACAGGCGTGCTCCACCATACCTGGCTAATTTTTGTATTTTTTGTTGAGACAGAGTCTCGCCATGTTGCCCAGGCTGATCTCAAACTCCTGAGCTCAAGCCATCTGCCCCCCTTGCCTCTCAAACTGCCGTGATTACAAGTGTGAGCCATGTCACCCTGCCCTACACTTCGTAATTACTTTTTTTTGTTGTTTTGCAGCAACTGTTTGTAAACTATTCCAGATAATTCTACAGCTTTGAAACAGCAATGTAATTCTTTCCTCACTTTTGGAAGGTGGCTTTTCAGCTTAATGCATATTACCCTCACCATAAAGGAGGGAAGACTATATGGGCCTACCTTACTGAGAACCAGAGCTCCGGGAAAGACTCCACCACAGGAAACCTCATTGTTCTGCACAAAGTACCAGACAAACCAGAAAGGTGATTCCAGGAGAAGTTACCCAAACAACAACATATAATAACTTGTTGTTATATTCACCGTATAGTACTCTAAAACAACAGGATTCTGCCAGCTCAGCTCCTTTCTCTGTGGATTCCAAGTCTCCTTCAATAATTACCAATATATAAACCACTTCTTCACACTTCCTATCTGCCTTTTCTTCAATATGCTTAGCTTCTTTGAGTTGGATTTCCCGGAGTTCCATCTTTCCTTCGTCTTCTTTTCTTCCTCTTTCTGTTTTTCTTTCTTCCCTCTCTCTCTCTCTTTTTTTTTTTTTTTTTTTTTTTTGAGATAGGGTCTCATTCCAATGCCTAGGTTGGAGAGCAGTGGCATGATCTCAGCCTACTGCAGCCTCGACTTCCTCTGCTGAGGTGACCCACTGACCTCAGCCTCCCAAGTAGCTTGGACTACAAGCGTGTGCCACAAGGACAACTATTTTTTTTTTTTTTTGGTATTTTTTAATAGAGATGGGGGTTTCCCATGTTGCCTGGGCTGGCCTCGAACTCCTGGGCTCAAGTGATCTGCTGGCCTTGGCCTTCCAAAGTGCTGTGATTACAGGCGTGAGCCACCATGCCTTGCCTTTCCTTCATCTTTTAATGCCCAGTTTTCAATAACCTTTATACCTTTCTTACTTTTTTTTTTTTTTTTTTTTTTTTTTGAGATGGAGTTTCTCTCTTGTTGTCCAGGCTGGAGTACAATGGCTTGATCTCGGCTCACCACAACCTCCGCCTCCCGGATTCAAGTGATTCTCCTGGCTCAGACTCCCAAGTAGCTGGGATTATAGGCATGTGCCACCATACCTGGCTAACTTTGTATATTTAGTAGAGACGGAGTTACTCCAGGTTGGTCAGGCTGGTCTCGAACCCCTGACCTCAGGTGATCTGCCCGCCTCGGCCTCCCAAAGTGTTGGGATTACAGGCATGAGCACTGTGCCTGGCCTATACCTTTCTTACTCTTATCAGAAGCTTTTCCCACTTCTTCCAGCTTTTGCAGGGCAGTGGCCACACACTCCTGAGTGTGATCCTGCTCATCTTCAACCAGTTGGACCCTAAGGTTCAAGGAGGCTTCTCAGCCTCAGCCTATTCCTGGGACTGCCTTTCTCCCTACACTTCTCACTGGAAGCACTTGGCTCTCTCCTCAGCATCATCAGCCTGTTGCTGCAGAGCTGGGGTCTCCAGCTTTATCGCTTTGATGGTGGTGGTCCCAGCCATGGTGACCATTCAGCTGCTGCTCACACTTCCATTCCTGCCTCTTCCTTATCAGTGGTGTTGTGCATTTATCTATTCTTTTGAGAGATGTTTATTAAGCTCATTTTCCCATTTTTAAATCAGACTATTTGTTTTTCTGTTTGTTTTTGTTTTTTTTTTTGAGCAGTGTCTTATTTTCAGGCACTACAAGGTGCTCCAGGATCATCTTGTGTATTTCCTGACCCAGATTTCTACAATGATCTCTGGTTCCTTTTATTAAAGAATAGTGTTAGAAATCAAGATCTGGGTGCTGTGTAGTTGACTCACTTTTTTTTTTTTCTTAAGAGTTGGAGGTCTTGCTATGTTGCCTGGAATGGTATCAAAATCCTGGGCTCAAGCAATCCTCCTGCTTCAGCCTCCCAAGTCTCCCAAGTGGCTGGGACGCAAGTGCCACCACGGTCAGCTTAACTACTCCCCTTGTGAAAATCTTAGCTCTATTCATTTCTCAAGCACTGAGAATTTCTGATCGTATGTATTGTTTCAGGTTATGCTGTGCCCACCCCTCAAATGTTGATTTTCTAAAAATCCACAATCCCTGTGCTGTTCATTCTACATGCTATTTGAAGGAGTTTATCTATTTTCTTGTCTTACATTACTGCCTGAAGCTGCTGGCTCCCAAATCTGTTCCTTGATCCTGACTCTTACCCTGAAGTAAAGACTCCAACTGCCTGATGAGCATAAATAATTGAATTCCACAGGTGCCTTAACCCAGACATTCCAAAATTGAATCCACCATCTTTCCCTTACTAAATCAGCTACTCCTGTTTTCCTAATCTCCATTAATACCACTACTGTCTACCCAGCCAACTCACCAGTCATCAAAGTCATTCTAGTCTCTTCTACATCTCTCATTCTCCCTCCTACACAATAATTAAGTCCTGTTCATTCTACTTCCTGAGATGTTCAAAGGAACTTCTTCCTATTATTTCTACAAATTTTTAACTCCAGTCTAGTTTCACTCTTTATCAGCTGTCACTTGAGCTATTCGAATTTTCACTGTCTACAACTTTGCCTCCTCAAAACTGTCCTCTAACCTGAGGTCGTAATGATTTGTTGTAAGTACTCTTCAGACTCTATCATTCCTCTACATAGTACATATAATCTATATCATCAGACAGTTTTTTTAAAAAAGTAAAAGCCAAATAGTCAGTGTTCTTTTCATTATTGTTGTTCAAGTGCTTGGCAAAAGCCTGACACACAATAGAAGTGCATATAAATAAAACATCTTGAACACACCAATATTCTCAATTTTTATTAGCACTCTGGCACATTCTGGAGCAACAAAAGGCTTCAGAAGAGATCTCTCAAGGCCTGTCAACACTACCAAAAAATGAATTTTAAAGGAATCATTAATGTGGAAAGCATCATGGTTACCATGAGAGAAGAGTGATTATAGAATCAATATAATAGCACTTTAAGGAAAACCTAATGATCAAAATGCAATATTGTTTATTTATGCAGCTGTTCTTAATTGCTGTGTAGTCAGGCTTTGATATAATACACTTTTCGAGGTTACAGACAATTTGTTACTACTTACAAAGACTTGAAATATATATGTGATTTACAAGTTTAATAAATTATTTTCTAACATATCCATAAAACAGTGTCTGTTTGACTCATTTGTGTGGCAATATGGTTTCTTGATAGGAAGAATAAAGCTGCACTTACAACTAGCAACATGGTAACCCTGGGGAGAGCTGCATGCATTTGAACAGCCCTCTCCAATGGAAAATAAAAATAATGAGGATTGCTACTCTATGTACCAACAAAATAGAGCTGCCACTGATGTCTTTATGACTCTGAATTGTTTTCACCAACATCAGGCCAACTCAACATGATGGATCCCATACATCTTTTTCTGAAGCATCATTTGCTTATGCCAACTATTTGTTCAACAAGCATTTGTTGCTCAATTAAGGAACTGAGCAGAAATCCAGTGCTGGTGGCCATCCTGTCTAGAAATGGACATTTATGTGTGTAATCCAAGTTTTTTTTATTAATAAGTATGAATTATGCCTTACATAACTAAATGTAACTAAAATCTGCATGTGTGTATGTGCCAGAAGTTTAAAGAATACAGAAATAATAATGCCATGGATTAACTCCAGTATCCCATATTTGATTCCAGATCCCACTACTCAGCTTATTGTTGAGCAATATACTGTGTTTATTTTTTTACTCTATCAACTGTTATTATTGTGTAGGGTGCAAGTTATACAGTGCTCATCTGCTCTCAGTGACTAGAATCTAGTTAGAAAGATGAGTCTCTCTCTCTCTTTCTCTCTCTGTCCCTCTCTCACACACACATACACAGCAAGAAAGAGATAAACACAAACACAGATGAATATTTTCAAATATTCTTAAATAAATGTGTTACATTATCACAAATCAAGCATAATAATACAGTAGATAACCCAAATGTGTGGTACACTAAAAGTCTGTGATTTCCTCTTTTGGCATCATATGAATAATATGAATTGGCTGGGTGCAGTGGCTCACGCTTGTAATCCCAGCACTTTGAAAGGCTGAGGTGGGCAAATCACTTGAGGTCAGGAGTTTCAGATCAGCCTGGCCAACAAGGTAAAACCCGTCTTTACTAAAAATACAGAAATTAGCCAGGCGTCGTGGCGTATGCCTGTAATCCTAGCTACTTGGGAGTCTGAGGTAGGAGAATCGCTTGAACCTGGGACGTGGAGGTTGCAGTGAGCTGAGATTGCGCCACTGCCCTCCAACCTGGGCAACAGAGTGAGACCCTGTTTCAAAAAAAAAAAAAAAAAAAAAAGCATGAATTGATTTTTAATTTCAAGAGTAAGTTTGAACATAAATACAGGCCATGTGGCACTCATGGAATTCACTTTCCATGCCCACGTTACAACTTTAGGCGATCAAAATAATGCCAAGAGTAACTGAAACCTTGATACCAGAGGCCTATGTGGATACTAACTGTAACAGACAACAGACTCGCCATAATGTGTAGACAACATGAACAGAGATAATGCTGTTTTCAAACATGAGGTTCAAATAAAAAGTCATGAGGCCAGGGACTTGAGTTTATAAGAATCGATTTATAATTAAGCTGCATCTTCCATAGGGAACTCCATGAGATATGCTTCAAAGTAAAGAGCAATAGGGATTTATTCATATAACTATGGTTTATGAATTTCCAAAGCAATATTGTGAAAATAAGCTAATTGTAAGTGTAATAGATTCAGTGTAAGAAGAAATTGTTTCCTAATGGTCACAGGAAAGTTTTATAATGTGATTTTAATTGAATTTGGCTCTTTAAAAAATGACTACATTTTGGGTTATAAACAATAAATAAAGCTTCTTAAGACAATGAAAGAGAAAAAGGAAAATAACCTGTGTTGAGTGCAGACTCCCAAGCCAGACCATTTTGTTAAAATACTACACTGCTGCGTTTGTGATGTCTTAGCCCAGGCTTCAGTTAATTTCACCTCCCATATTGCCAAATGTCCATCAGGCAGTTCCTTAGAGTTCCCTTCTCTAAGAATTCTGCCACTTAAAAAGCAGATACATTCCCCTACGCAATAAAACTTCTAAATATAAAATTCACTAAACTACGTCACTGAAAGATCATGTCAACCAATCCTTTTTCAAAACCACAATGGATCCATTCCTACAACACTTACTTTTTTTTTAATGAAACAAGAAAAAAATTTTTTAAAAAATTAATCTTCTTTCAGTAACTTTTCTTCCCCTCCTGCAGGGATTTTCTTTCTGTACTTTAAACTCCCTTGTAACCCCACAGAAAAGAACTCCTTCCTGCTACACTCACTTTCTGGGAAACTACTTGATTCGTTGTATTTTTCAGTTCATGTCAGTTAGAGGATTATCCTTTACACGTAAGGAGAGCAATTTACATTCTTGTGCCAAGGTGTTCTTCCTTATATGTGTATAGGATTTCTTCACCCTGTTTGTGTGTGTGTGTGTGTGTGTGTGTGTGTGTGTGTGTGTGTGTATAAAATTAGTTTCAGCTGCTGTGTATTATAAATTTCCAAAGGCCAAAATATAGTTATTACTTTACAATAACTCTCATTTACAGGAACGTAAAAATGTTTCTTTGTAATTATTTGTTTTGTAATTTTTCATTTTGTGATGTCCCTAAGGGGTCCAATGGTCCAATGTGAGTATAAGATATTTTAAAAAATTGTGTTCATATAATGATACCCTAGGTTTTACCAACATTTTTATTTTATTTTAATTTATTTTATTTTCAGAGGTACACGTGTAGGTTTGTTACGTGGATATATTATGTGATACTGGGGTTTGGGGCTTCTGATGATCTCGTCACCCAAACAGTAAACATAGTACCCAATAGTTAGTTTTTCAACCCTTTTTTCCTACCTCCTTTTAGAATACCCAGTGTTAATTATCCCCATTTTTGTGTCTCTATGTACCCATTGTTTAGCTCCCACTTATAAGTGAAAAAAAGCAGTATTTGTTTTTCTGTTTCTGCATTAATTCACTTAGGCCAATGGCCTCCAGCTGCATCCATGTTGTTGCAAAGGACATGATTTCACTGTTTTTTATGGCTGTGTGGTATTCCATGGTATGTATGTACCACATTTTCTTTATCCAATCCACCACTAATGGGCACCTGGGTTGATTTGTTGTCTTTGCTATTGTGAATAGTGCTGCAATAAGCATATGAATGCAATGTCTTTTTGGTAGAATAATTTATTTTCCTTTGGGTATATTCCCGGTAGTAATTCAATTACTGGGTTGAATGGTAATTCTATTTTTAGTTCATTGAGAAATCTCCAAACTGATTTCCACAGGGGCTGAACTAATTTGCATTCCCGCCAGTAGTGAATGTGTCATTTCCCTTGCCAACATCTGTTATTTTTTGGCTTTTTACTTATAGCCATCCTGACTGGTGTGAGATGGTATCTCATTGTGGTTTTTCCAAGGCTCTTGTATTGGTTCGAACCCCAAGAGCATGCCAATGGACAACATGAGGTGGTGTGGAGCAACATGCTATTTTAATGAGTGCCTGGGCTGAGGCCTAAAATGGTGTCAGCCCCAAGTGAGGACAGGCAGGGGTTTCATAGTCCTCTGTAAACAGGAAGTGTCCCAGTCCGACGTAACTGCTACATAGTACCCGGATGGCCTCCCTCTAGATCTTCAGGGGGTATGTGTCTTCTGGCCAGCTCTCTTCCTGCTTCTGCTATCTTGCCTGACGCACGCTGCTGGAGCAAGTGGCCTTGCACCTTGGGACTGGGCCTGAGGAGGGAGGAGTTATTCATCCCCTTAAGCTTTCAGGCCCCGGGGAGAATCTTTCAGTTTTGATTTGCATCTCTCTGATAATTAGTGATGATGAGCACTTTTTCATATGTTTGTTGGCCACTTGTATGTCTTCTTTTGAGAAATGTCTGTACATGTCTTTTATGGGGTTGTTTTTTTCTTGTTGATTTGTTTAAGTTCCTGATAGATTCTGGATATTAACCCTTTGCCAGACGCGTAGTTTCCAAGTATTTTCTCCCATTCTATGGGTTGTCTGTTTATTCTGTTGATACTTTCTTTTGCTGTGCAGAAGCTCTTTCATTTAGTTCGCACCCGTTCTTTTTTTTTTTTTTTTTTTTTTTTTTGCATTTGTTTTCGAGGACTTAGTCATAAATTCTTTGCCTACACCAATGTCCAGAAGAGTATTTCCTAGGTTTTGTTCTAGGATTTTAATAGTTTGAGATCTATTGAGATTTAAGCGTTTAATTTATCTTGAGTTAATTTTTGTATATGGTGAAAGTAAAGGGTTCAGTTTCATTCTCCTGCGTATGGTTAGCCATTTTTCTAAGCACCATTAATTGAATAGGAAATCCTTTCCTCATTGTTTATTTTTGCTGACTTGTCAAAAATCAGTTGATTTTAAGTGTACAACTTTATTACAGAGTTCTCTATTCTGTTTCATTGATCTGTGAGTCTATTTTTGTACTAGTACCGTGCTGTTTTGGTTACTGTAGCCTTGTAGTATAGTGGCAAGTTGGGTAATGTGATGCCTCTGGCTTAATTCTTTTCTGCTTAGTATTGCCTTGGCTAGTCAGACCCTTTCTTAGTTCCATATGAATTTTAGAGTAGTTTTTTTCTAATTTTGTGAAAAATGGTTACCAACATTGTAATATTACTAATATGCAGCATCACAATGCAAAGACTATAACAAACATTCTAAATAATAAATATTAGCCTATTAAAATAAATATAGACATTTTCTTTGAATATACTACATGGACATTATAATGTATAACAGTTGAGTGACAAAACATGTTTTTTTGATGATTGGCTTGAAATTTTGATTTTAATAAAAAATTGGTGTTTGAGAAGCCAGTTTTATTATTTTTTCATAATGCAGAAAAGTTTGTAATTGTGCTTTTGGATCCATGTGTTTTACCTTAAATATGCCAACAATTAGTTTCTGCTGACAAGAGTTGAAAATATTTTTCTCTTTTGATAAGTGAGCATCACATTTAAGAACAGATATACCTGTTTCAAAAAATTATGTGATCAGTTTTATTCTAATTATGTTAGCATCCATAGTTTTATACTCTACTACACCTTCTTACTATGTCAATATAATTACTATTTGCAAATATTCTAAGTTCATTCTTTCCATACATGTACATTCTTTTAAAAATCTCCATTTTAAGAAATGATTCCTAAAACCTACTGATTTTAAATTGATTTTATATTGCTTCCTGACGGTTGCACTTAAACTGGCTATCAATATCATTATAAACTCAAAAAAAATGCTGCCTTTCTGAAGAGATGAGGAGACAGTAGAAAGGAAAGGATCACATGAATAGCAATGCAGTTTATCATAACTTACATCCATCTTTAGGATTCAATGAGAACAAAGAAATGAGCATTTTAAAAAGGTTAAAAAAAAAGAAAAGGGACTGGTCATGGTGGCTTATGGCTGTAATCTTAGCATTTTTGGGAGGCTGAAGCAGGAGGATCACTTGAGTTGAGTTCAGGTCCATCACTTGAGGCAAGAAGTTTGAGACCGCAGTGAGTGAGCCATGATGACACCACTGCAGTTAAAAACAAACCAAAACAAAAAGATTAAAAAAAAAAAAAAAAAAAGAAATGCTCCTATCTCATCATTATTTAAAATTTACAGTAAAAAAACCTCAAAACATATGTTTTTAACAATCATAACAGAAATTTTCAGTCATCTTTCATTTTTATAAACAATATAGCATACCGCATTGCTTCCATTTACAATTAACTTCTGATTTTTTTTGTTTTGTTTTGTTTTGTTTTGAGACAGAGTCTTGCTCTGTCACCTAGGCTGGAGTGCAATGGCACAATCTCAGCTCACTGGAACCTCTGCCTCCTGGGCTCAAGCAATTCTCCTGCCTCAGCCTCCTGAGTAGCTGGGACAACAGGTGCCCACCACCACGCCCAGCTAATTTTTTGTATTTTTAGTAGAGACAGGTTTTCACTATGTTGGTCAGGATGGTCTTGAACTCCTGACCTCAAGCAATCCACCTGCCTTGGCCTCCCAAAGTGCTGGGATTACAGGCGTGAGCCACAGCGCCCTGTCTTCTGATTATTCTTAGAATGGGAAATATAACGCAGAGAAAATAAATTGATAAAAGTTCAAATATCCTCTTTTATTGACCATTTATTCAACTTTTAAATTTCATCTTAAAAAAAAAGTTAGTAGTTTTGCTGAATGTTTTGTATTCTTTTCCCTAAATTTTCTGCAACATTCAGATGATTTCTTTATTGAGTAAATAAATATTAAGGGCTACTCTTGGAGTCCCTGTGCTGTACATCATGGATCTAATTAAATATTCTAAAAGACATGGAATCCCTGCTCTATTACTTCTCTGAGTATCAGATAAGTAATTTATCTGATAAAAGTAATATATCTGGCAAACACTGCTAGTTGCATTAATAATACCTATTCTCCCCTTCTTTGCTAACAAAATCCTTATTTTACCAGGGGCTGGGAAGAGTAGTGGCGTGTTGGGAGGAGGTGAGGATGGTTAATGGGTACAAAAAATAATTACAAAGAATGAATAAGACCTACTATTTGATAGCACAATAGGGTGATTAGAGTCAGTAATAATTTAATGGTACATTTTAAAATAACTAAAAGTGTATAATTAGGCTGTTGGTAACATAAAGGATAAATGCTTAAGGGGATGAATACACCTTTCTCTATGACATGATTATTATGCAATGCATGCCTGTATCAAAACATCTCATGCACCCCATAAATATATTCACCTACAATGTACCCACTAAAATTAAAAATTAAACATTTTTTTAAAAGATGGTCACTTTCCTGGCTTCCTTTACCTTCTGACCTTTACACCTTCCTGTTGACCAGAAGCAGCAGTTTTAGCAGCAGGATAATGAAAGCCACAGTCTAAGCATAAAAGAAAAGATGCATAGAAGAGATCTGGTCTTTGATGAGATCTTTAGATGATACCCTGGCCCTGGAAAATTGGGATGTTGGGTATTGGGGCAGAATAGTGTGAGAGGGAAATGTCAGCAAACAATTCTGTATATCATTCTTTGTTGCTATTAACTGAATTCAGGAAAAAGAATAACTTTCTTTTTGTTCGAATATTTAAGTTCTGTTAATATTTCTTTTAATTTGAAACAAATTTCATTGAGACCCTTAAATCTTAATTTTAATTGCTGAATATATAAGCAAAGACATACTAAAAAAAATCTTTCAAGTTTGTTTCATATTCAAACTGCAAAATACAAAGATTAGGAACATATCAGATTATGCCATCTGCAAACTTCAGCAAACTAAGTTAATTTTTCTGGCTAGAAATCCTTAGTTTGGGTGCATTTTATAATTCCTTTCTTATTCTAATTGAATAATGTCAAACAGTTGAAATAAAATTTAATTTTTCTAAGATGCATTTGGACTTATTTTCACTGTCAGCCCCCACCACCTTCCAGGAAAGACAGTACATGCCTTGTTATTCATGCCAGCTTTGGTACTGTTTCAATTATCTCATGGTTCAGGGAGTTGTTGGGTTTTAAATGGATACTCCCGCTATGGGAAATGGCTGCTGTTTTTCACCATATTTTCTCTTATCATCCACAGATAATTAGTTCTGCCTGACAAAGCGCATCACAAGGGACAACTCCATAGCTTTCATAAGCATCTCAGCAGTATCTTCCTTATGGCTAATTCTTCCTGAACCTGTTTAAAACTGCTTCATTGTAATTATTATTCTTCATCACTTGTTCACATTATACATGTAGGCAGTATTAACAGTACATGTAGCAGATATCTGCATGTCATCATTTTTAATGCTCCTAGATATTTGCAGAGCAGGAAATTGGGGCTTTAAAAAAATAAGCTTTCTCCTCTGGTCCTCAGTATCCATGCTTATGCACCATTATTGGAGCTCTGAACAGGTTACTAATGGATCTTAAATTCCTAAATATATTACCTCCTCCCACTCTACATAAACTGAGTTAACATGAAGGATAACAAATAATCTCTCCTTTACAGTAATAAAATATGTATAAATCATAAATGAAAGTCTATGAGTGCTTGTAATATATATTTTTAAATTCTAAGAAACCATCAAATAAAAGAAACATCTATTTAGTAAAACCTTATCAAGAATGGGAAAGAAATCTCTATATTAAATATCTATATCTGCTATAAAATATAATCCAAATAAAACTTGTTAAGTACAATTTTAATTCTTATAATCAAGGAAATCTGGTAATAACATGCTTAGATTGTATCTGATAATCACATTTTGAAGAAAAAAATTAGTGAAATATATATGCTCTCTACTTAAACTCCCTAACACCTCTTTTTCAATTTACTCCCTTGTCTCATTTTCCTCTTTAAATCTGGATTCTTGAAACTTTAGCCCCTGTGATCTCTCCAGGTATTACATTTGCAGATCTCATCCATTCAAAGAGCCTCAACTCTCAAAATCTGTGCGAATTACTCTCAAGACTCTGAAGAGACAACTGGGAAATTTAAGCTACAAGAAGCACTTTTTCTTATTAGCAACCGGGTAATTCTATCTGTATCTCTTCCTGTCACTTCTAGCACAACATGTCCCCAAACTAAATTAACAACTTTTTCCAAGACAAGTTCCAACACCAATTCATCCCCCAACTCCCCCGCCTCTTTTTTTTTTTTTTTTTAAAGTAAACAAGGATACCTTCATTCTCTCAGGAAAAAGGTGACATCAAATTACCTTCTCTTTTTTCTTCTCAATCTTCCAAAACCTTTTCCCAAAGTCATTTCAGTTCTCACCTTTACACCTCTCTAGTGACATTGCCATAACACCGGTGATGTTTTTCCCTTAAGGACGGATAGCAGTAACAACCTTCTATGCGATGTGGGGTGTTCTGATTGCAAAGTTCTCACCAAAGAGATATTTTTAGAATCTTTCTAATGCTTTTCTTCTGTATCATCTATTTCTGCACAAAATCACCTCTTTCTCTTGAACTCTCAGCAACATTTGGCTCTCTTGACCACTCTTGCCATCTCAAAACTCTTCTAGTTTCCATTGCATTTTGACAGTTCCTTTGCAGTCTTAAACATTGGTGTTTCTTGGGAGCTTGTTAAGAGCTTCAAATCACACTGCAGATGGTGTGTAATTGCAGACAAATTACATCACCTCTCTGCATACCACTTTCCTCATCTGTAAAATGAGGATTATAATAGTATCTATGCCATATGGTGTTACAGTATTAACTGATTTTATCCATATTTATTAGCCCTAATCTGGATCACTCTCTTGAGCTCCAGATAAGTATTTTCCAATTGTGCAATAGAGATTTTCATTTGAATCTTTCACAGATACTTCTTTCCTTTGTTGTCTGTTCTTCTCACAGCTTCCTTCACCTCATTTCTCTATAATTTCTCCTCTCTTCCAAAACTCCAAATTATCCTACAAGTTCTAGCTTGGCTATAGCCATAATGTAGGAGATAAGATCATGTGTAAGGAGAAAAGAGAGTAATAGAAGTATAAAGGACTTGACTTGAATAAGGGAAGCAGCTTCTTTATGTGAAAAACGGCGGGGGGAAAGCGTAGGCAGGACTTGTAAAAGACCACACAGCTGCAATTGAGGATGCTTTATCTTGAGGCATGTGCTGGACATAGCAACTTGCGTCCTCTATTTTTGTCTCCCCTGCATTGAGCTAGTAGTGTGGGGGGTGTTGCATGTCTGGAAAAAAGCTCACTTTAATGAGTGAACAAAACACATGAATGAGCAGAGAAATATATGAATAAGTAACTAAATGATGGTAGCCATGGACTGTGAAAATTTTTGTTCCCTGGCATTTCAGAAGGGGCACAAACTGGTAACAACTACAAAAGCCATTTAGCCTTGGGATAAAAGTTTCATATTATTGTTGAATTGCTATTTGGGGCAGGATTCTTACATTGTTGCAAGGATAATGATAAGTAATCTCAAAGATAAGCATGTGGATTTGGATACTTCCGGGAATGCTTTTAACCTTGACATCCTGTCAGATGCTTAAGGATACAATTCTATTCAATATCAGAGCTATTTTTCCTGATTTGATCATTCCACAACGTTTACATGTATCAAAGTTTCACGTTGCACCCAATAAATATGTGTAACTATTCTTTGTCAATTAAAAATAAAATAAAACTTTTTTAAAAGCTGCCCTTTTGTTTGGGCTGCTTATTGAAATACTTGTCCTTAAAACTGTTTGGGACCTTACTTCTTCCTCTTGACAGGATTCTGCGTCTTCATAGAACACATAGCCAAATTACCCAGTGCTTTTTCCAAAGCCAAAAACGTACCTAGTTACTGATATCTACCCTACATCACACCACTTTGAGGGTGTGGCCCGGCTCTCTACCTGATTGACACATACAAATCAGGCCCTAAATTTTCACAAGTGATATCATTTCTACTACCTGAATGCTTGGTATCTTAAGCATATGAATTTCTATTTAGCACTGTATCAGCACTTCAAGCATTTGTGAAATAATTCAACCATGATTTGACTGTGATCCAGTATTGGGGAAAGGCTTGCTTGAAAATCTGATATTTATCAATATGTAGGGGACATATTAACTGTCCGTTACTCCAGGTTCTCAAAAACCAAACCCTGTGTAGTTACAGAATAGATAGAAAACAGAATCCTGCAGACATGCTTTTACTAAGTTGAAGTTTAATACTAGCTTCTCAATCTTTATATAAAGATAATATATAAATAATATTTCTTTGAAAGTCTTTCTTTATTGCAAAAGTATCATTACAAGCATCTAATAATAAACTCTTTTGAGATTTTCGTACTAAAATAAAGTTAATATTGCCTAGTAAATTTGTGCGTTTCCTTCATTAGTCAATGAGAACAAAGATTCTCAGGTGAAATAATATTTTGTTGAGGAAACTAATTCATGCCAGATGCCAGCTATATTGATTTCTCTGCAAACTTTAGGAAATTTTTTAATATTATAAAAAACTTTAAGATCATTTTTTAAAAAAACTTAAGGATAATTAAGTACAATCAATTATGGATCCGTTTACATTTTAATCTGAATTTAAAATATTGAGAATCTTTACAAATGATATGAATGATATACTGCTTTTCTGTGATGTGAGGCTTAACTGGAATGTTTATTTGTAGGTTTGTTGTTGAAATATTCATATTTTGTCCAGTGGCTTACTCGTAGTTCATTATATTTTTATTGGGAAAGCCTGTGTTTGATCTTTGCTCCTGTTTTCTCTGGAGCTTGAAATGAATAAAACAACAAATAATTTACTGCCCTGAAGCCAAACAGCTGAGGGCTGTGATCTTCTCAGGTCTTAACAAGTTTGACCCCCACTACACTGAAGAGGGAGAAATATCCACAGGGGAAAAAGAAGGAATTTGGGGAATACAGACATATACATATCACATACATAATCACTATTTCCTATAATTATCTTTACCAAATGCCTATTTACACATCTGTTAGTATAAAAGGTTACTGTCCTATCTCACCCCACGTACATACCTAGAATATGTATAGGAAGATATAAGAGATCTGAGTTCTGAGAGAGAGTAAAAAGAGAACAGAGGGTGTCAGAGGAAATTAAGAATATAAAACAGAAAAGTTATACAAAAACAACCTATTTATGGTTTCAATGAGACCAAAAAGAATACAGATCTGTACATACCACAACTTAATCAACTGTTTCCTGTAACTTTTTTTTACCAAATGTCTATTCACACATATGTTAGTACAAAGGATGCAAATGAGTAAATATTAATTATTTAAATGTTCAGCTGTCTCATTAGAGGCTGCAGAGAATATTGTCACATGATTGTCATAATAAAATTATTTTAATATACTTACCTAGCCTTTGAAAATCTGTTAATTTCATTCCTAGAAAAGGAAATTTTATCTTCCACTTTTAAGATTATTATTGATAAAAATAAATAATTTACTAAATTTCACAGAAATTACAAGTATTATTGACAGGAGACCGAGACTTGATAATAATCAACTGATGCCATATATTCATCTCTTGATTGCTATAATCTTTAAACAAAGAACAAATGAATAACCCCTAACTCAAAAAAATAATTTGAGTTTAATTAAATTAATATCGATACTTAAAATCCACATAATCTCTAAACCTAAGGTTTTAAAAATGAAAACAAGTAAACAAATGAAAAAAAACCAGAATAATAACTTCAGCTCTCTGTACCTGTAGGTTCTGAATCCTCACAGATTTAATCAACCATGAATTGAAAATATTTTGGAAAAATAAAAACCAATAAAACAATAAAGAATACAAATTTAAAAGCAATATAGTATGACAACTATTCACATAGCATTTACATTGCACTAAGTATTATAAGTAACCTAGAGATGATTTAAAGTATGGGGAAGTGCATAAGTTATATGCAAACAATATACCATCTTAAAACTTGAGCATACAAGATTTTGGTACTTGAGGAAGCAGTCCCCCATATCTAGGGATGACTTTGTATCATGGTATACAAAGGGACAACTTCATACCTTAAAATCTTGTGGGTGGACAGTAAAATGTCAGTTTTCTCTGTACATCTTCAAGATTTTTCTACTTAAAATTACTTTTGCAGTGAGATCAGTCTGGTCATTCAGATCAACAAATCTCTTGATTTGTAGATATAAATAAAGGTACCTCTTTCTGTTTTTTTCTCTCCCTTTTTTAAAAAATGTTACTTCCTCTGATTTAGAGTTTTGTTAACCTCAGCAACATTGTTTCCTGGAGTTTTTAGGCAAAAACATTATTTTTCTAATGTGCTTTTGCCACATGCATTTTAAGACTCATCGGTATGACCCAAATCTGTCCGGTGTTTGCACTTGTCATACATTTCTCAAGTATTATTTTGGAGATTTTCCAGGCCCGCAGTGCTCTTGGTCATACAATTTTCCTTTCTCTCTCCTCCTCTCTTTTCTATCCTTACTTCCTCTATGTATTTTTAAATTAGTAATATTTTTAACCTGTAGAACTTTTACGGTGCCTATTTCTGGCTCCAGAATAGCAGTATTTATATCTTTAGCTCCTAAAATCTGAAGAAGCGTCTTGGATGAATTCACAGCTGCTAAATTTATAAAGTGACATTTTAAACTGTGTTTAGAATGGATTATTGTCAGATCAGTAATCAGTGAATAATAGCAAATGATGCAGAACCCTAAACATGTCTTGTTCTTTTTTCTCTCTGTGCCTCAAGTATATTTATCAGGAAACACCTCAGTGATTTCTTTTGTACACACCCTGTCACTATTGCAGGCTACTGTATCATAGAACTATACTCCATGTATTTAATTCAAAATAAACATATTGATACAATAATACTAGTAGACATTAATTTGTTCTACATTAACTTTCTAGAGAATAGACATTTTATTAATTTAATATGGAAATAAATATGAGTGTACCTAAATCATAATAAACCTTAACGTATTATGTATTTTAGTCTACATATCAGAATTTTTTGAATTCCATTAATATACAATGTGAAGAGTGAAATAAAACACTTGGGCCTCTTCGAGGGTGGAGGGTAGGAAGAGCGAGAGGATCAGGAAAAATAACTAATGGGTACTAGGCTTGATACGTGGGTGATGAAATAATCTGTATAACAAATCCCTATGACACAAGTTTACCTATGCAACAAGCCTACACTTGTACCCCTGAACTTAAAGTAAAAGTTAAAAATATATTTAAAAAAACAGTTGAAATATATTAAAAATTAAATTACACAGAAATTGTGGTAGTGCTTCTTGCTTTATTTTACTCATGACATATTATAATGTTAATATTTGTTTTCATATATTTTCTTTGGTTATTTGTACACATTATTTCACATGTCTTTGTCTTGGTATTTGTAGTTTCTCCAAACAAAAGTATTGGAAAAAATGCTATCAGACGTTGAAAGAGAAGTATCAGTAAAGTATAGTAATAGGCAGAGACAGGACAAATAAGGAAAAAAATTAATCAAAAATAAAATTCATAAAGTTATGAAAAAAATTAGCAAGCAAAATGAAAGAAAATGATTTGAGGGTACTGAATGTAAAAGTATGCATTTAAACCATGATATTATAACCTAATTTCTAAGTGTATATTTATATTTTATATATATATATATAGTTATGGTTCATATATCTTCAATATTTTCTTATGGAAACAAACATTGAGATTACATAGCATAAATTTTAAAATAGATTTTTTTCCTCAGTTACCATCATTTGTTTTATCTTACATTTAGTGTACTTTTCAATTATACCATGGCTTAGCTTGGAATGGACATGAACAGTTTACATGAAAACTTTGTTTTAAAAAGTCTCTGTAGTCAACTCCTGAAGACGTAACCACGATAACATGACCACATCTTTTGTACAGATTTTTCGTTAAGAAAAATTTAACCCCCTCACTTCTGCATTTCGTTTATTTTCTTCAGGTATTTTATAGAATCAAAAAGGTGAATATAAATATGTGTACTACAATGGTTATTTGTGGCAATAATAGGACTAAATTAATTCTCACAAATCTATTTTAGATCTACTGAATTTGAGCAAATCATGCCTTTGTTAATTGGCTTTGATGACATTACTGAAGAGTATTCAGTATCTTTGATGTATTTTTTGAATTTTTTTATTCTAGCTGTAAAACCAGATATAATTTTGGTTCAATCCTGTTTTTCCTGTGTACTAACAATAGAATCATGTGCAAATTACTCAAAATCTCTGACTTTATTTTTCTAATGGTTAAAATGAGTATAAAGTCAATGTCATGGAGCTGTTACAAAAATTAAATGAGTGGCTATACTTTCTAAATACCAGTTGCCTCAACCTGACTTTGTTTACTCTTGTTTATAATGCAGTGATACAACCCAAAAAGATGAAAATGGCACACTGGAAATAAACGATAGTGGAATATTTTGAGTACTCTAATGTAATTATATAAGTAAACGGGAAAAGTGCAGGGAGGATATTGATGTCTTGCTTTTCTTCAGCAGAGCTGCATTAACATAAAGGGGAGTCATTTTATTGAATAATAAAAGACTGACAATCACTGTGATTGGCTGACAGCCATTAGTGCAGTGTAATTCTAAATAGCTTGTTTTTCAAAGTTCTTCTTGAATAACTCTTCCCAGCCTGGTTGAAAGGTTCAAAACTCATTTTTAAAGTGAAGTTTTTCACATTTGAATACCACTGTGATATGAATGATGGAAAAAGATATGCATTAAAATATTTTCTTCTTAAATGTTTAGAATCAGATATATTTTCAAATGGAAGAGAAAATGTGGAAAATTTAACAAACTAAGTTTTAAATCCTAGATAAAATTAATTCAGGACTTGTGGAAGAAAAAGATCACGTGTAAAGAGATCTTACTTAATAAAATAAAATAAAATAAGTCCAACATGTTTTACAGCGAGAGCACAATATTTGATCTGTATTAGCCAGCTTAAAATTCTGTGATTTCCGAGTAGAACTCAAGGCTTCCAAAGTTATCAAATCCACTTTGATGTATTCATCTCTCTCTGTCAGTATTCCTAATCAACAGTCCTCCCTGGAAAGTATGTATAATAAGTGGGTGTACAGTTGGCAACTCACCAAAATAAATATTTAGTGATATTTTAATGGCTATTTTAAATCTCTTATTTAAATTGCGGATTAAAACTTTATTTGGCCAATGAATTCTGAGCACAATGTTTGAGGACCATATTTGCTACTGAAGCTCTGTGTGAAGGATGTGTACTTAATTTTCAGAATGTCGAGGTTAGATCATCTCTGATGGAGGCATTTTATATGAAACGTCAGCATTGGAAACATTGAGATAAAGATCGGGAGCAGGAATCTTTGAACTGCAGAATTGTGTTAATTGCTCATTCTCAAATATAGAGACGCCAATTAATTCCACACAACCTAGATTCAAAGCAGCACAGGGAAATGGTCCTGAGGTGAGTATTGTACAAAAATGAAGAAAAATAGATGTGTTCTAGCGTCCACAAAGCTGATTCTTCAACAGGCAGTAATAGAAGCCCAATGCACCCAGCGATTGGCTGATGGCATCTTTGTTCAGGCGATCGATGAGCGCCCTAACCCACACGCTGGGTGGAGAAATCCCTCTGCCACCCTCACCTTCAGAATCCACTGCTCAGCCACCTGGCTCCCGCGGGGTGCGCCACCGCCTCACTGCTGGTACACGTCTCCCCCTCTCGACCGCCAAGTGCTTGCTCCCTCCAGGCGAGCACTCACACAATGGACTCACTTGTTTCCCATGCCCCTCTCCTTTGACTTCCAGCCTCAGCGAACAACTTGAGCAAGAGTCAAACAGGAGTCTCTGCCATGGAGCATAGACCCTTGGAGCTTTCCAGACCAGCTCAGAAGCACGGGCGCACACACAGACAAAACAATGCCTTGTCCACGAATGAATAAAGGACACCCATGCCCCCACCCACCGCTCCGCAACCCGCAGAAAGAAACCCGGGACGGGGTTTCCTAAATAAGAGATTTTGTTGTGTCTTTCAAACTGCAAGCATTCCCCTTGAAGACGGCGAAAGAGAGGCTGTGCGTTCAGATGGCAATAAAGATTGACAGTGGCTTTGCCCGTGACAACGCCCCCAGCATCGCGCTGAGCCAGGTTCCCTGAGAACCGGGAGGGGGAAACGCAGATCTAGGGAGGAGGGAACAGCAGAGGCAAAGGCAGCTTGGGAGGGATGGGAAATGGAAAATCAGGGAAACAAACAAACAAACAAACAAAATGAATGAGTGAATGTGGGCTTGAATAGTAAAACTTCCAGAGAGAAGACGATGGGATCTCTCCCCAGGTAACTACCTGTAGATGAAAAATAGATGAAATACACAAGGAAGTGGCAAGCAACAACTTTGAGGTGAGCAGCAAGTTGTGCACCTCCTCTCAAGGCGCTGGATCAGCACCCCTGAGCTGCCCCCACAGCACACACTCCCAATGCGAGGCGGCGGCGGCAGCAACAGAGGCAGCAGCAGCAATCGCGGCAGCAGCGGCAGAGGCGGCGGCAGCTGCGCGCCTCGGGCCCAACCCCGCTCGGCTCCCCCTCTCGCCGGCGCCCTGCCTGTCTTGCGTGTGCGTGTGCGTGTGCTCAGCCTCAGCGTGAGGGGCACCTGCTCGTCTGGGCTCACAGCGAAGGCAGCCTCGCCGCGAGCTGCCGCTGCCGCTGCTGCCGCCACTGGTGTTGCCGCTCTCAGGCGCCAGGCTCCCCGTCGCCGCCGCCGCCGCCTCGCCAGCCAGAGTTGGGCTCCGTGGGCTTCCCCCCTCGCAGCCTCGGTCCTTCCCCGCTGCCTGCAAGTCAGCCTGGCTCCGAGTCACGTGTCAGTGCCTGAGGCAGAGACTGCGAGAAAAAAACGCGCTTCATTCCTTCTTCCACCGCCATACTGTATTTTATACTAAATCTCATTTTTATTCCAACATTTTACTCCCGCTCGGTGAGTACCTTCTCAGTGGCATTCTTGTCCTATTCTTTTTTTTGTCCTTTTTTTTGGTTTTTTGTTTTTTTTGTTTTTGTTTTTTTTCTTTTTTTCCACTTCTTTGATTATTGTTTATATTTGGGAAAGCTGGAGGAGCATGGTTTTGAGCCTTTTCCTGAATCCAAGTTTTTCTAGCATGCGATCGTTCTGTAGACAAGGCGCTGTGTCTCGGAGTCCGCGGCGACCGTGCCCGCTGGGAGCGTCTCCCAAGTCCAGCAAAATGTGCAACTGGTTTTATGGAAAAAGCGATGTGAAGTATGGTGCCTATTTTTTTCCTTTGTAAAAATAAAAAGCATGTTTCTAACTCTTTTTTTGCATACTCTTTTTCTGATAACATTTTTGTATAGGTGGGATTTTACGGCAGTGTTTACAAGTTTGTGGTCTTGCAATACTGGTGCAAACCACTGAGCAAAGACATTAATTTTATATTTTTTGTGCCCTTTTTGGAAGCCGGTGAAAACAAATTCGTTTTTTTTCCCTCCTGTTTTTGATACCCATTGATAACATGAAACTTTTCTTACAGCTGGTGATTGGGATCATTTTTAAGCAAAATACTTTTTTCCTCCTTTAAATTAACTATGACTTTTGCACATTTGACTTTTTTAAAAAACCGAGATAATTTTATGATAGATATCCTGATATCTATATCTATATTGTCCCTTATTTCTCCCCCTTCCCTCCCCGTAAATCAATTTTCAAATGATGGCAGTGGAAGGTTTTTCTGGAAAAAAAAAAATGAAGTGCGGTTTGGTTTCCTTGTCAACGGAGGATGAAGTGAACAGCTGAGCAGCTCGCAGAGAGCAGGTACTTGGTCCCCTTGGAGGCGTTTCCCGGGTGTGCAGTGGCAACACTGGTCCTAGCAAAGAAATGTGTGAGTGTGAGTGTGTGTGTGTGTCTGTGTTTGCGCGCGCGCATCTCCGGGCAGTGTCCGAGCCCGAGGTGGGGAGAGCGGCGCAGGGAGCCAGGGAAAACCAAAGTCCGTTCCCTGCTTCAGGATCGTTTTCTAGATGTGCGCAAAATACAGTCCCCTCCCCCCACCCCTCCCACGGTGAGCTGCGCCCAGGTCGTCTCCCGGCGGGGCGGGTGGCGTCTGCGCTGCGGGCCGCGCCGGCCGGGCACTAGGCGGCCGGCGGGCCCTGTAAGTTCTCCGAGGGCCACTTGCACAGCAGGAGGGGCGAGGGCCGTGTACGTGGCGCTGGCCGTCGGGCGGGCTAGAGGGGACCCTCAGAGCACCCGGGAGATGGGGGTAGAAGCGGCAGAGACCGCATATTCCGGAGGGGCTGGCTCCAGGCCACGCGAGCCGGAGCTGGAGACATTTCCAGAGCCTTGAGGATGGCACCGGCCCTCGCACGCTCAACTCCTGCTCCTCCTCTTCGCAATGAGTAAACGACGCAGTAGGTCCTACCCAGCCTATTTTGCTTTACCAAAGGGCTTTGCTTTCTTAGGGATGCTGTCTTTGGATCTTTTTTTTCCCTGTTGTGTTGCGTTGGTTTTAAGTGCCTGCTGGTGTCGTCTTCCAGGGGATGGGGAAATAGTTTCTTATAAGATGATCACTTGGGTTTAATGTTGAGGACGACGCTGTTAGTTTGCAGTAATGACCCTACACCTCTAAGGTATTAAAAAAATGCCTTTTATTTAAATTTTGTTAAAGGGGCAGAGTTTTCCCTCTTTTTAACCACCTGATACTGGCTCTAAAGGTTTTCCCCTGAGAACTGTGTACAGGGCAGGAGTGAGGGGTTGGTGATAGAGGTGATGATTTCGTGTGTTGGTAGCACTGACGTATTCAATGTTGAATGTATTCTATGATATTTTATGATTATCCTGTTACATGTTTTCAGTATAATTTAGCATTACTTTTCAGAGACGTACCAGTTGGCAATAAAAAGCCTTTTCTGTATTTAACACTGTGACCGAATCTGCTGGAAATTTTTCTGTCCAAATAAATTTCCTGAAGGCATACATCTTAAAATCTGGAGAGTCACCATTATTTAAATACTTTGATTTTGAAGCTTTGATTTTCTTACCTTTTCCCCCCTTAAATGAAAAGCTTAGCTTTAAATTACCATGTGTATATACTTTGAATTCTGTAAAATAAACATAAAGCAAATGAAACAACAACTTTTTACCTCTCAGATGAAGTTTTCTTCTAGGTAACTACAGAAATAAAAACTGACTGCAACATACAGAGGGGCCCATGACAAAGGGGTTTATAACATACACTGGCTTTTTCAAGCAAATATTTCACTGTCTGTAACCTCAGTTTGTGGAATGAAAGGTTTTACGCCTTAGTTTTTACTCTTTGTGGTCAAAAAGTAAGGCGTGCAATGGGCCATTTAACTGTAGAAGATTAAAAGTTAGTGTAATATCTGGAAAGTTGTATATATTTTTTATTCACAACTCATGCAAGTATCTCAAAAGTCTTTGGACATTTCATTGTATTTCCTGGCGGGGAAATACAATGTATGTGAGTTATTTTGTTCTCCGAGTAGCTTTTCTCTGTGAAGGAAATCCTGTTGCATTTATATAAAGAAGATAGTTTATGTCACTGTCTGTGGACACCATATTTGATATCTTGAGGTGTATAGTTCTAAGATTTGAAGCCAATATGATGGCACTAAGCCTGAAATTAGGATTTTCTTATTTTGTATAGTGAGCTAATTACTAAAATACAGTCTTTCATATGCCTCAAACAGCTAACATAAAACATTAAAAAAGCCACTTGCAACATTCTGTGATTTTAAAAATCATTTCAATTATAACAATGTATGTACATAGAAATGCTCATTTATTAAAATGCAAGACAATTTATGTGTATAATATATTTTTGTATGTTTTATGTATTGTAAGTCGTTTAGTTCTTTTAAGAGAGAGAGAGACAGAGCAAGCAAGCAAGAACTTGAATGATCGAACCTGCATTTTCATTAAGAGAATCAGTTGCTGCCCTAAGGTTGAGGTAGTATGTGGTTTAAGATTGGGCAAAGCACTAGCTGTACTGTGTGATATTTCCCAATGAGATTGAAACAATTAATGGGACCAAAGACGATTTTAATGTGAGGACAGAGAGGTAGTTGTGCTTTAATTTCTGTAACTTAAGATCATTCTAAGAACCTTTAGTTATCTATGTTTTCATTTATTTAAGATTCATTTTTAATTATATTGTAGACTTGTATTACATTTCTATCTATTACATTCAAATTTTTCAGATTTCTTCCTGTGTGAATCATTCTGGGAATTCTACAACTCTTAAACTGGCCACCTGTTTAGTTTTTGATTTAAAATTGTTGAAGGTAGTATCCTAGATTTAGCACCGCCTACTGGCTTCTCATGGAAAAAATGTATTTTTTCATTCGCCAAGCGACCCACAGGGATTTAGATCAATTTAATTGTGCAGATCTTTTCAACTGCTTACTAAGCGAGAAGGAGGGAAAAAAAAGTTTCTATTTTGTAATGAGAGAGGGTTTCCAAGGTAAAGGTGGGGACTGAGGGAAATAAGACCCACAAATTAAATTGGCATTGGATCACTATCTGACCTCAAACATTGTACTATCTAAACTGTGACAAAGAAATAATCACAAAATGAAAACCTGTTAAATTTTCAAGAACTTTTTATGGGATAATAAAATGTGGGTATTGTTTAAAATCTTGGATTACTAAATTAATTTTTCAATGTCTATCTCAGTCTTGATATAAAGAAAGAAAGTTCTAGTTGGAATTCTGTCTTGAGTGTGTGGTCTGTTGAAGAATATTTAAATGAATAACTTTTCATCATTGAAGATTAACAGTTAATTATTTTTCATATTTATTTTTTATGGTCATAATCAAGTAACACCCTGATTTTTTTCTTAACATGCATCAAATAGCCACACCGTGGTGGTGTATATACAAGGGGGAAAAGTTCCAAACATAAAATTATAAAGACACATCCTTAGCCATAATAGATGTGTTACCTTTCTTAAAAATGATAATTGGTTTATTTTCTCTAATTTATATGAAAGTCTAGTGGTTAAAAGAGCTACTATAATAATACAAATAAATGATGCCTTAAGAATATACAAATTGTTAATTAGAAAAATAATTTGATATGCTAAAATTTTCTTCCTAATTAAAAGAAATGTGAAATATTTGGATAGCTGTTCCTTAAATGCAATATTGACTTATTTTAAGAGCCAGTAGTAAGTATATAGAAATTCCAGTGAGAAGTATAGGTCTGTTGCGTTTTTGCAACTCTACCCCAGTAAAAGTGTGGTCATGTTTTGTTTACTGTTTACTGATAGTGTAAGCAACTAATTAAGCAGGGCATTCATTGATATAACTCTACATTTCAAGTCTTCAAAAAGCTCCATTATGGAAGTAGAAGAGAAGTGAAGTGGGTATGTAAGATTGTTTGAATAGTAAGGACGAATTTGAGAAAAATATTTCAATTACAATTGATTTTTCTCTCTGACTTTTGAAACTTTTATTTTTATTTTAGTTGTTTATTTTTATTTTTTCTTTCCAACTTTTAGTTTCAAGGGGTACATGTACAGTTTTGTTACATGGCTAAATTACATGTCACAGGGGTTTGCTGTACAGATAGTTTTATCGGCCATGAAATCTTTATTTTTAAATGATGATTAGCTGAGACTTTAAAAATAGTTATTTCTTTACTTCTTTTATCATACTGTCATTATGAAAACTCTGTGTTTTGCTATGAAAACCTGAAGTAATGATTAATTTTATTCTTCAAATTTTTATGGACTTCCAGAAAGTAAATAATAACATGTTTAAAAAGGTCCTTATTGATCTGCAGTTATTGTTATTATTCTCTTATTACTGTTACTATCTACTACTTCCAGTGACCTGTACGAATGCTTGTAAAGATGCCATTTCCATAATTCAGTTTGATTCTTTGATTTAATAAATTTCTCTTCAGTAATTGGCAGGCAACATAAACTTTCATTTTATTGGCAATAACAACAGTTTGTTTTGCTAAATCATGATTTTGAAAACAATATTCAATAACATGTAAGTAATATCTGATTTCTGAATGTATCAATAGCAAGTTACACTGTTAACAAGTTTACATAATTATACTTGTCATCACCCTTCCTTTTATTATTAAATTTTGATGTGCAGACTGCATAGATATAACACAGCTATTGCCAACTTTAGTAGTTTTGCTTATCCTCATTGCTTTTAGATTTTCAATAATACATTGGGAATTTTGTTTTCTTTTGTTAGACTTATGTTAAATATCAAACTTACCTTGTGGAAAATTAACTTTGTGTTTTTCTAAATTCTTCCTTACGTTTAAAAAGATTTTTGTTTGCTAGTTTTGAATTATCCTGCTATTTTTCTGGGACTGAGTCCTGGAAAATAGAGGCATTGGTTTAATGTCTTTTTCTATCCATTTGTAGCCACAGAGATGGCAGTTGGAGGACTTGAGTTAGTATTTAGGATTTACATTTTCTGGGCTGTCCTTGCAGACTCCTCAGCTGGGGGTCAAGACTCTAAGAGTTATTTATTTGACCATGTAAAAATCTAAATAGAGAGGAAAATTATGGAGTAGAACGTGGAAGTCTTGCACTGGTCTTCTGAAAGATACAATAGCATGCATCACTAAGTGCTCTTATATTACAAAATACTAGAGATTTTCTGTGCATAAATATGTTTGGCAAAATTCCATTTAACTCACTAATATGCTTTTTGCTTGAATTCTTTCCCAAACTTCAGAGTGGGAATTGATTGCATTCATACATAATCCATGTGTTTAGAGAAAATGTTTATACACATTTTGATAGCCATATGCTAAATAATAAGAGGAGCAACACATTTCTGAGTCATTTCGGAAATTATTAACAGGTGGGAGTAAGGAACGGCTATTTTTTCATTAAATCAAGATGAGAGGGAAAGAAATTGATGTGTCAAATGAATGCAATTCCATTTGTACTTCCCTTCCGTGATTAGATAATAGTATTATTTTATATGTTGGAGGAAACTGAGACTTGGAGCTCAGAGCTCCATAGGTGGTAAAGGGAAATTTGACATGTAGGAAGTCTTAACTGACGACTCATGTTTTTTTTTTTTTTCCTACACAGATATGCTTCATTTGTGGAGATGATTTTTTTGTTTCTTTTGTTTTTCCTAATATAAAACAACTGTTATGTATTTATTCTTGATACATTACTTAAGATGTCTGTAGTTTGGCAAGTTTTCAACAGGGAGTGCTTTCCACTAGTGAGTGCTTTGAGCAGAAACAAAAGAATATTGCCCCACACAGATACTCTTAACTGGTCCTGAAAGGACCTTTCTGTGACCATGTCATCACACATCTCTTCAAGACGGGTTTTCTGAAGAGAGCCAATGCATGGCATCACATTTGTGAGTTACCACTGTTGCTCTGTGGTTGGGTCAGAAGAGACGGTTCTCTGTCCTTAGTTGCTTTGCAGAGAGCCTGGGAAACACATTCAGCATTTACTTACTGAGTACAAAATGTAATCTCTACTCTTGGAGCTTTTGCAGTGTGATGTGGAAAATTAGTCTTTTGTGCAAGGAAAGCTGAACAGCTAATTCTTTCATAACACAGAGCTCTGTAAATATAGGTGTCTTGTCTGTCTACCAACATCTCACCATCAACATCATAACACCTCACAATTTTACTGTTACACATATTTGTATGTGACATTTATCAAGCTCATTTTATGTTAGTAACATAAAACACATATAAGTGTAACATATTATTTGAGGATTCTGTGTTTAATTGCCTCTTCAGATGTGCAAGAATGTCTTCCATCATTAGTTTCCTTGGAACTTGAAAAAGTGAATACTTTCAATGCAGAATGGGAAACATAAACTATAGTGGAAACAGTGTGAATGCACATGATGAGATGGATTTTTAAAGACTTGGTCATAAGTCCTCACGTTCATAAAATCAGTGGATTTAGAGGTCAAAGTATAGGGAGGGTTAAATGCTGCCTTTGAATTTTGGAATCTGGATATCTTGAAAACAGGTGGTATAAAACAAAACAAGAGAAAGTAGTATCTGTAGGAGAGCCTTATTTGGTTGGAGGTGGGAAAATGATTCAATTTTGAACATAGTAATTTGAAGTTCTGACATTAACTTCTGGATTAAATGACCAATGTGCAATGGAAATTCAGGTCTAGAGCTGGGAAGCACACTTAAGGCTAGAAGGAGATATGACAGTATCATCTACATTAAAACTCTTTAAGTGGGAATAAGTCCTGCACAGGTAGAAATTTGGGAACATCTGCTTTTTTTTTTGAGTGAATGTAAAAGGGGCTGATAAAGGGCAGAAAAATAGAGTTAGGATGATAGCCACTGAAGCTCAGAAAAAGTATGTGGGGTGTGTGTGTGTGTATGTAAGTATTGTTCAACAGAGCTAATGCTGCATAGGCTCAAAAGAAGATAAGACCTGAGATAAAAGCTTTGTAATCTGTCATTAAAATCCATGAATTTTTGAAATAAACTAAATGAATGTGATTGATGATCCTCAATATGATGTGGCAGCGTCATAAAGAGGGCTGTTGTTCCCAGGATTGTATGTGTCGTGTGTGTGTGTGATTGTGTGTGTGTGTGTGTGTGTGTGTGTGTGTACAGTGATAACATGATCTAAATAGGAAGACCAGTAGGAAGTTTTTCCTGAAACTAGCTAAATTGATTTGAAATTTATATTTATATGCAAAAATAGCAGAGAATATTCTGAGAAAGAAGAGAGGGCTAACCTGTTACATAATAAAATACACTATAAAGCTTTAAAAATAAATATATTTACTAGCTATGTCTACTGAAAAATCTTCAAAGCAATGTCTTTCAGGAAGCAATGAGCCCTTCTAGTGCACAAAGCATGGCTTCTTAATATCATTCCCCATTCAAGAGGACAAGAGCCCTTTAGTCTTCCTTAACCTAGAATTGGCTGATTCTAAGTCTGGGCAGAAAAAACACAAGATGAGCCTGGGACAACTCACTGCAGAAAGTAAGGAAATGGTCAAAGACAAATAAGGCTGTATCATTGTAAACAAGTGCTAGCTTGAAGGGCCTTCCAGTTGTGCAATTTAAATCAGTTTGAATTTCAAGAGTGAATATAACAAATTGTAAACGTTGAGTAAAGTAAAATCCATGAGTGCATAATGATACTCTAAATAAATATATAAAAAAGAAAAATGACAATTAATAATTAAATTGAGATAATTAAATGATTAGCCTGCCTTTCTTAGTTGATGAGGGACAGCTTTTTACAAAATAATGTGAATTAAGTGTAAGAAATGTAAGAATTAGAAAATTACTATTTGTAACTCTCAGTGAAGTAAGTGATTCAGTCAAAGATGATCAACAAGTGATAAAATAATCAATTAAAATTATTTTGATGAATAACATATTCTCATAGTGCTCAAGTATTAATTGCATCTGCAAGTCATCGTTTTAAGTGACTGAATGATTTAACCCAACATCACCAATAGACAACCTGACACTATGAGCCTCCTGACGAGATGCCATATAAAGGCTATAGTGCCATTTGTGAAATATTGTTGCTAGAATGTCTAACCTGAATCTAATAAAACCTGGTTAGATTTAACTTCCAGTTTATAGAAAAATTCAGAGAAAGGACCAGTTAAACTAAACCATGAGGAAATAATGAGACAAATGCATAAGGTGAGGTATTCCACATTGAAGATACATACCAGCCCTGTGGCCTAGACTTGTAAAATGTCAGTGCCACTGTGGGAGGACTTTTCCAGATTAAAAAGGACTAAAGACAAACAAATGCAGTGCTTGAAGATTTATTTTATTTCACTTTTTAAAAATGTGGTCTATAAAAAGTCAAATTTTGGTAGAATTGGGAAATTTTTCATATGGGCTAGAAAACAGATGATATTAGCAGATGAGTGCTGAATTATTTGGGATAAATGCAGTGATACATGAAACTGAATTTTCTTTTTTTTTTTCTTTCTTTTTTTGAGACAAAGTCTTGCTCTGTTGCCTAGGCTAGAGTGCAGTGACACGATTTCGGCTCACTGCAACCTCCGCTTACCATGTTCAAGCAATTCCCCTTCCTCAGCCTCCTGAATAGCTAAGATTACAGGCGTGTGCCAACATGCCCAGTTATTTTTTGTATATTTAGTAGAGACAGAGTTTCACCATGTTGACCAGGCTGGTCTTGAGCTCCTGACCTCGTGATCTGCCTGCCTTGGCCTCCCAAACTGCTGGAATCACCGTGCCCAGCCCGCAACTGAATTTCTTATGAGTCATCAAAGGAGTGAGGGAGGGAGTGTGTGTGTGTGTGTGTGTGGGGGGGGGGGTTGTGTACGTGTATATGTAAAATAATCATTTGTTAACCAACTTTAAATCAGGGAGTGCTTATGCTGGTTTTATTGTGTTATTCTTTCTAGTATTCCATCTATTTGAATTTTTTTTCGTAAGGAAAGTTGAATAGTCTATTAGTTGCCATTGAGAAAAAAATATGTTTATTGAGGCTAAATAGAAGCAGAAGTCCAATTGCCCATGTTTAAGGTCATCTGGGATCTTGAAGATATGGAGACAAAAAAAATGAAGTTTAATGTTAAATTGTGGGAATGAAATATTACTCATCGAAGTAATATTATTGAAGGAAGGATATTTTTAAAGCCACAGTAAGGAAAATATGAATGCATCTTTATGTTTTTCAGGATGGAATCCCCTTGCAGGAAGAGGTGGAGGTATAATAGAAAGGAAAATAATTTTTCAGGGTCAATTTCAGAATGTTCTAAGAAGGTTGGTGTGATTAGTAGTAGCGCAAGGAGATGCTGGTTACGTCTCAGAAGAGGAAGAGAATTGAATCAGTTCATTAGTTAAACTAAGTAACTCATTATTTATTTAACAGATATTTCTTGAGCATTTTCTTTGTAAGTACTGTGCTGGAGGATGAGGATTCTGTGGTAAATAAAACTGATAACAATGCTGACTGCAAAGAGTTTGCCATTTAATGGTGACTTCAGTCTTCTCAGATAATTGTAAATGAGGTCCTAGGTTGAAATTAACTGGTATGGAGATAGGAGCTAGGGGAGTGTAGTAGGGAATAAGCATGAAATATAGAAAGATTCTAGAGCTGTAATGAGGAACTTGGCAAAATTAGCATTTGTTGTCACTTTAGTCAACACAGTTACATCACTTCTCTAGGAACACTTAGCCTGTAATCTGAATGGGTTAAGGAAACAGTTGAGGATTACTTGGTTAGAGACTAGAAAGGCATCCACTTTGTGTAAAACAAAGTGAGGAGCTTTCCAGAGGTAGTGGATATGAAGATATAAATAAATCTGGGCTGAGAAAGAGAGCAAGGGCAGCTCTACGAGATGAACAGAATAAGAACTGGTAAGATTTGAAAGCCTGAAGAGCAGGATGAAAATGAATAGCAGACTCACTAATTTTAATAGAATGAGAGTAGTGCAAGGATGGATAGGTTTGGTCAGAAAAGACTATTGTATTTCTAGCGTTTGACAGTGGAACATCGTCAAATGGTGAATAAATTTTAGAGTATGGTAAAGCATGTGGCTAAGAAAGGAAGACACTGCTGATTTTGAGAAGTTAAGATATTGTGAGGTGAAGCTGAGTATTAAAAGTGTAATTTTGAAAACGTGATTTAAAAAACCTGTAACAGGATGACAAGTGAGGAGGTGGAAAGGAAAACTATAAATGTATCAAAAGTATCAGTGATATTTTTAGAGCTTTACAATCAACTAAGACCAAAACAGATTTTTTTTTTTCATTTGTGACTTCTAGGACTTTAGTCCTTTCTTTGGAACATTTTGAAGGAAGCTATAGATATGTAATGTGTTTGTGTATCTTGCTTACATTTGAAAAGAATTTTCAGTTACTACAGAAATAAATTCTGCAGTGGATACAGCAATGCAACCCTTTGTAAGGAAGTCTCTTTTCAAAACCAAGGAAATGAATATAGGATCCTATAATTAAGTATAACAGTGAATGATTCAGATTGAAAAGAAAGCTATGGAGTATTTGTTAATACATTTTTATTAACATCAGAAGTCCAGATAGCAGGTATATAGCTATATTTACTGCTAGTTCTGTTGCTGCTGCTCTGTTGAGATCTCATTCTATTTATGAATCAACATTCTGGACCAGACTGACTGAGAAATGCTTAGTCAGATAGAGCCTCATCTTTGCAACACTAGGAGAGTATATTACCATAGATAATAATATTTAGGAGAAAAGAGAGGATCAGACAGTTGACTTGTTAAATGTCTTCTTGCTATTAAATGGCTGAGTAAAGATCTGAACCCAGGAGTTTTTGGCTTCACAACTTGAATGTGGACTACTGTATTTTGTTCAACAGATGGAAAAAAGGAGATACTTTGATTGGTACAGCAATAGGTCAGCAACATTTGTCCAATAAAATAGACACGCTCACATAATTAATGCCCTCACAATAGCTCCCTCTGCACAGCATGTTAAAAACACACAATGCTTACATTTAGAACTGTAGTGCAATTGATTCTGATTCTAGCCCCTCTTTTCAGAGTCTTCCATAATGTCTCTTCTGTGGGCATAATGGGTGAGAATTTCAACAATTGTTTGTATATTTAGACAATATTTGTCGGGGATCTATTATATGTAAGTCACTGTATTTGGGTCAACATGGTGTGAAACCCCATCCATCTCTACTAAAAATACAAAAATTAGCTGGGTGTGGTGGCATGCGCCTGTAGTCCCAGCTACTCAGGAGGCTAAGGAAGGAGAATTGTTTGAACCTGGGAGGCAGAGGTTGCAGTGAGCCAAGATCGCACCATTGCACTCCAGCCCAGCGACAGAGCGAGACTCCATCTCAAAAAAATAAAAACATAAGTTTTTAAAAATCAGAAAACATTGGTCTTACCCTCCTGAATAGACAGTTTTCAGGAAAAGGAAATGCTTTATGTGAAAAGTGACAATGCATAAAGTTATGACTATTAAGAAAAGTAAAGATGATTGCTTGTAGTTCTTTGGGTTATTAAGGCACTTGAACAAACTAGCATGCAATTTCTTTCTCCCCTTTCTAGTGACTTGGTGAGTCCTCAGGTTGGGAGATTATGTATTACTCTCGTTCCATTGTATTCCAAAGCCAGGAATGTATGACAGTGTAGAGAAGAGGTGTGTAGACAAAAAAGTAAAGGGGGCCAAGTGAGAGGAACAACAGCAACAAAAAGATTTAGAGCAAATTGTCTGGAAAAAAAACTGGAAGATGAAAGTAAATGGTGAAATTTTGAGGAAAATAGGAGAGAGTCAGGGTAGAGGTACAATTAACATGAGTTTGCACCTTTGTATTTATCCTTATTTTATGCTTTAATATGAAGTCTATTGTTCAGGAGAGTGAAGTTTATCCTGGAATATATTGAGATTACTCAAAACTTCAAATAAACTTATTAGAAACTGTTAAGTACTATAAAATATATAAAATGAATTTAGAAAATATCTATGCTTTTAGATTTTTTACAATGGCTCTAATGATATAGCTTTATTGATAATTTAAAGTAGATTAGTGAACCAATAGTATGAAAATATTTTGTTTTATTCTGAACCCATTTCATCATGTATGCAATCTTTTTATTTCATAATTGCTGGATCTTTTTCCCTGTTCTAGTCCTCCCACTGGACAGTGGTACAACTTAAAAGAAAAAGGGAAGCGTGGAAGAGGGGAGAAAGGAAATGGAAGAGAAAGAAGGAGGTCAACAATAGCCATGAACAAGCTTTCTCTAGATCACTGTTCAAAAGAAACGATGCAAGTCATGCAAGCCAGCCACATATGTAACTGTAAATTTTCTAAAAGACATATTAAAAAAGTTAAAAAGTGAAACAGCTGAAATTAATTTTCATAAAGATTTTATGTAGCTCAGTGTATCAAAAATTATTTTAACATGTAACCAATATAAAATTACTTTTAAAATATTCTGTTTTTTGTGCTAAGTCTTTGATATCTAGTTTGTATTGTATACTTAACAGCACAGAACAGCCACATTTCAGGAGCTCACAGGCCAGTGGCTATCACATAGAACAGTGCAAATATAGAGTGTTCATAGAGGCTTCAGGGCTATGTCATGTTTTCAAACTCCTTTTGGCATTTGTTCCTTATCGGAGATTATCCAAGATAGATTTTTTAAATACTCTCTGATCATTTCAATTTCAGCTTTCACTTTTTATTAAATCCTAAATAGAAATCCATTGAAGTTCATATTTGCCAAAAAGTTATCCCAAAATATGGTCCCATTGACTAAGAAATATTAAATTTATCTTGATACTTATTGTTCTTCAGGAGCAAGATGGCCACTTTTACTAAATTTGCTCTTTCAGTCTACTCATTTGTTATTTGGCCCTGGAGGTAAGGAAATAATGCAATTGTCAGAAATTGGTAACATCTTCATAGGATAGGCTTCTATATTAGTGGTATTTGCCTAACACCTAATTTAATGAGAACTATCCATGGCCTTGCAGAGAATCACTCATTATTTTAAAAACAGAATGATATACTTAACATGTAAATTTGCTAACAGATTTAACACCAATTGAATACCAACTTAGTTTCAGAAGTTATTTGAAAACATAATAGAAAATCCTGTATCTAGTTATCTGTTTCCTGCATTTTCGAAGTCCATAAATGTGGAAAATCAAGAGGCTTATATACTGTGAAACCCCGCAATCTACACAGCCTCATTTTCTTCCCCACATTCTTTTCTTCTTATCAGACCAGTTTCTTCTGAGTCTCACATGTTTTCTAATATGGAGTTAAAGACATGTTTACCCATTTTTAGGTCCTGACTTTCATACAAAGAAGATAATCCTACAACTTCTAACCTTCCATTTTTACATCCTATTTACATTTTTGAGATGAATGGTGATAATAAAGATATTAACAACCACCAAAACAACCAACACTTATTTAGTATTTAGCATGTATCAGGTGTTGTCCTCCAAACCATTGCTTTATTTTTCTACTTCCCCTTGATCTCCATCCATTGAGCTCCAGAAGATGAGACTATCTAAGTATGAAACTTATTTTGGGGCCGGGCGCGGTGGCTCACGCCTGTAATCCGAGCTCTCAGGGAGGCAAGAGGCGGGAGGATAGCTTGAGCCCAGGAGTTCGAGACTGCCTGGGCAATATAGCGAGACCCCATTCTCCAGAAAAAGGAAAAAAAAAAAAAGACAAAAAAAATAAGCGAAACTTATTTTGGATTATTTATCAATACCTGAAATTTTATTTCACTCTTTTTTGTTTGTTTGTTTTCTTGTTTGATGCCTTCTTCTCCCATTAGGCGATAGCTTTATGACAATACAGTTTATCTTAATGATGATTTCCAGTACCTAGACAGTACCTGGCACACAGGAAGCACTCAATAAACCTTTTTGAATTAATTAATTAGTGAAGTAGTTCCTCACTGATGTTTTACTGCACTTGAACTCTTTTCTAGATATTTTCAATATCTATGTACACACTCTTTAGTAGGATGTAGGTAGAAACTGAAAAGAAAAGATTTTTGAGGAACTTTCACTACAATTCATGACAATTATCTCTAAAAATGTGAAAAGGAAAACATAATTTCTCCAGCATGAAGGAGAAAGGACGTAACTGCTAAGAGCATATGTGTACTGAAATGATAATTTGTCTTAACAGTTATTCTACATTTGTAGAGGGCTTTATCATTCAAACATATTCATATACATTTTAATTTTATTCTCACTGCTTCATTTCTGAATGTTGAAATTTATTTGTATTTATTTATTAATTTTTTATTTTGTGGGTACATGATAGGTGTATCTATTTATGAGGTCCATGAGATGTTTTGATACAGGCCGGCAATGCATAACAATCACATCATGGAAAATGTGATATCCATCCCCTCAAGCATTTACCCTTTGTGTTACAAACAATCCAATGATACCCTTTGGCATTATTTAAACATGTGCAATTAAATTATTATTGATTATAGTCACCTTGTTGTGCTATCAAATACTAGGTCTTATTCAGTCATTCCATTTTTTGTACCTATTAATCATCCCCACCTCCCTGCCACCCTTCCCAGCCTTTAGTAATCATGCTTCCACTCCCTATCTCCATGAGTTTGGGGACGTTTGGATCCCCAGAATAAGTAAGAATATGCAACATTGATCTTTCTGTGCCTATCTTACTTCGTTTAACATAATGGCCTCCAGTTCCATCCATGTTGTTGCAAATGACAGGAACTCATTCTTTTCTGTGTCTGAATAGTACTCCATTGTGAAGTAGATAGTATGTTTTCTTTATCCATTTATCTGTTGATGGACACTTTGGTTGCTTCCAAATCTTGGCTGTTGTGAACAGTGCTGCAACATAGGAGTGCAGCTATCTCTTTGATATACTAATCTTCTTTCTTTTGGGTATATACTCCAGAGTGGGATTTCGGGATTATGTGGTAGCTTTGTTTTTAGTTTTTTTGAGGAACCTCCAAACCGTTTTCCATAGTGGTTGTACTAATTTACATTCCCACCAACAGTATACAAGGGTTCCCTTTTCTCCATATCCTCGCCAACATTTGTTATTGCCTGGCTTTTGGATGTAAGTCATTTTACCTGGGATGAGATGATATCTCATTGTCTTTTCGATGTGCATTTCTCTGTGCATTACTCTGATGATCGGTGATGATCGGTGACCTTTTCATATGCCTGTTTTCTTCTTTTGAGAAATGTCTATTCAAATATTTTGTCCATTTTAAAAATCAGATTATTAGATTCCTTCCTATAGAGTTGTTTGAGCTCCTTATAAATTCTGGTTATTAATCTTTTGTCAGATGGGCAATTTGCAATTTTCTTCCAATCTATGAGTTGTCTCCTCACTTTGTTGATTGTTTCCTTTGCTATGCAGAAGCTTTTTAACTTGATGTGATCCCATTTGTCCATTTTTGCTTTAATTTGTTATGCTCGTAGGATATTACTCAATAATTTTTTGCCCAGACCAATGTCCTGGAGAGTTTCCCCAATACTTTGTTGTAGTAGTTTCATAGTTTGAGGTCTTAGATTTAAGCCTGTAATCCATATTCATTTGATTTTTGTATATGGCATGAGATGGTTGTCTAGTTTCATTCTTCTGCATATGGGTATCCAGTTTTCCCAGCACCATTTATTAAAGAAACTGTCTTTTCCCCAATGCATGTTCTTGGCACCTTTGTCGAAAATGCGTTCACTCTAGGTGTGTGAATTTATTTCTGAGTTCTCTATGCTGTTCCAAATGTTGAAATTTAATCTCAGAGGTGAAGTGACTCAGTCTGCTTACCTAGTAAATGTCATGGAAAGAACTTATCTCTGCCAATTGCATTGGAAGGTAATAGTGTAGCCTGGGAGTTCTGTAGATCCTCTAATTTAATTTTAGTCAGCTATTTGGAATAGTTTGAAAATCCCAGTACTTATTATGTAATTTTGGGTGCTTCTTATTACATTTATGATAAGCAATTCAAAATATTATATATTCTTATGATTCAACCTGAAACCAAAGTTTTCTGCTTTTACTCGTTTGAGCTTCTGTAACAGTATTAGTGTAGCATGAGATTCTAATGGTTATCATGAACAGTTAAACTGTTACCATTTACAAATACTTAATTATATTGATAAGAATTTTCGAAATACAGTACACTAAACAAAATAAATACATTGGATGCTGAGACTGATATAGGATAGCAGTGATGATCAGTGGACTCCAGATACAAAGCTTTGTGTTCATCAAAGCAAACGTCATTTCAGGTATTGATTAACTTTAAAATAGAGTTTCACAAATGTAAATTAAAAAGTAATTTTAAGATAGAAGTTACTACTTATATCTAATTTAGGATATTTTATATAGATTTTCATTAAAAGGAAGTGTCCTAAGACTAAATACATTTTAAAATCATTTCCTTCATGCAGTTTTTGCTAAGAATTTTAACTATTTGCAAATAAGAGTATCTTAAAATAATTTTAACTGTTAACTAAACCACAACAGTTTTGACATTTGTTGCTTGAAAAGTGTAGATACTTTTCTATCTATATTAATTAAAGCTTGAACAAATAGGATTAATATTTATTTAAAAGATGATCTTGGTGATGTATTTTAACAGTTTCTTGGGCTATTTTGCAAATAGTTTGTGAGTGTAAAATTAAAAGGCTTGAAAATGCATTCCTACTTTTAATGGGGGGATGGGATGACAATTGTGTTTTTAAGGTTGAATAATCACTGGTTTATGGCACTTAACTCTTTTACTAGTTCACAAACTATGAGTATATTGTTTACATTAATTTAAGCAATGCATTATGTTCACATTATTTCATGAATGTTTTAGTGTAGTTATCCAACAAATATTTCATGAAAATTCATTTTTTTATCCTTCTGTGTGTCACAAGGCATTATATAATGTATAAGAATGGAGCTTACAGTGCAGAAGGAGCTGATGGTGATAAATTTCACAAGTAAAAATAAAGTTCAGGGTTAAGATAGTATCTTATTCTCTATTAAATCAGAGGATTAACCTTCCTATGCATTTCCAGCTACAAAATGTGACCCATGATGAGGTGAGTGAAGTCAAATCAGCTTTTCAAGACTATATGTAAAATAACATGAATAGAAAGAAATACTTCAAATTTATAGAATGTTAATCTGTATAGTCTTTGAGGTTAAATTGATTTAGTATCTTTGACTAAAACTTATGAATCAGTGAGAATTTGATGGGGAAATATGAGCATGTAATTTCGATCCATCATCTATCTTTATTTGTTGGTTTAGAGCTAAGCATATGTCAGTATTCCCAGTATAGGTCTTTCAAGGTATGTCTCTGTATGTAAGGGTAATATAACCTTGTGAGTATGAGTATGAGTGTGAGTGTGTGTGGAGAAATCAATTGCTTATTAATAGCTTTAGGAAATGGTATTAGTTATTTAGTTGCCTAATTGGGGGAGTAGTTTTCATTCATTTTGCTTTTCTTTTTTTTTTTTCAAGACAGAGTCTCACTGTCATCCAGTCTGGAGTGCAGTGTGGCATGATCATGGCTCATTGTAATCTTGAACTCCTGAGCATAAGGGATCCTCTTGCTTTAGCCTCTCTAGTAGCTGGGGCTGCAGGTGTGTGCCACCATGACCAGCTGATTTTTTATCTTATTTTTTGTAGAGACAGAGTTTCACTATGTTGCTCAGGTTAGTCTCGAACTCCTGACCTCAAGCGATTCTCCCACCTCAGCCTCCCAAAGCACTGGTATAAAAAGTGTGAACCACTGTTCGCAGCTAGCATATTTATTTGATACTATGTCTCTTTGTCCCTAAAAGATAAATGATATGTATTACATTTAAGTAAATTATATTATGTCATAGATTTCCTTTTTTTATATCCAACCCTCACAACAGGTGTTAGGATTTTAATGGTTATACAGCATTCCATTGTAATAATGTACTTTGTCATGCCCCATTGTGAATATTTTAGTTGGTTCTTTTTTCACTTTCTTTTCATTGCTATTTTGAATAATGAGTATTTCCATACACTTTTTGTGGTTATTTTACTGTAATATTGCAGTTTTGTATGCACTTTTATTTTATATGAATTTATAGACTTAATTTATATTTTTGGTTTAAAAAAAAAAAATAAAGCCTAGCTCTTCACCTAGTCTTCATCTAAAGGACTTTACCTTCTTACCTAACACTGGTAGAGAAACTGGCTGGGTTAGATTTACTTAAAGATGATATAAAACATATAAAATCATGTATAAGTATTATATGATCTATTGAAGGGATTTTTTTTTTTTTTTTTTTTTTTTGAGACAAGTCTTGCTCTGTCGCCTAGGCTGGAGTGTAGCGGTGCAATCTTGGCTCACTGCAACCTCCGCCTCCCGGGTTCAAGCAATTCTCTGCCTCAGCCTCCCGAGTGGCTGGGATTACAGGTGCCCACCACCACGCCCAGCTAATTTTTTTGTATTTTTAGTAGAGACGGGGTTTCACTATCTTGGCCAGGCTGGTCTTGAATTCCTGACTTTGTGATCCACCCACCTTGGCCTCCCAAAGTGCTGGGATTACAGGCGTGAGCCACCGTGCCCAGCCCTGAAGGGATTTTTAGAAGTAATTTTTATGTATCTTTCATGGTGACTTTAGACTCTAACCACTAGGAATTATGCTACAAAATTGCATTTTGTACAGTATTTTCCTGGTGTAGGCATGACATTTTGAACATTTACTTTAAAAACTTGCTAAATGTATTTTTTCATTAAATTTAAAATACTATAATGATTTCTTAATATTTTCAGTACGTACATGTATATTAGCTTTTGAGTACAAATAGTAACACATTTTTAGTAATTTATCATTCATAGGTGAAAATTGCTTGAAACCCATAACATAAAAACAGAATTACACAGGAACGGAGTAGAGAGATCAGTCCCTCATGTAGTTGTAAATTATTTCTAGCCACACAACAAAAGAATGTTAGTTATTCGCAAAGGAAAAAGAATGGAAATGAGAACTGTGCTTATGACATTATCACTCAAGTGGTTTGGGTTTCTTACTTACCATAAGGAGAGTGTTTGATAATGTGGAGCCTTTCTAGGGAAAAGGAGATGTAAAGTACATTCTCCTTTTGAGTCCTGCAGAGTTGCCAGGATGACTAGTTTGTTGAAAAGAACCATTTGGTGTCCTTCCTTCTTTTCTTTCTTTCTTTTTTTTTTTTCTTCTCACTTGAGTGAATCACTATAGAATTCTGGAAAGTACAGGAAGAAAATGATAAATTTTCCCAGCAGATTTTTCTAAACTAATCTTAATGGAACTTTTCAAGTGCTTTTATTTAATTTACCCATGTGTTAAGTGGGGTGTTCTCCCATCATGTTGTTCATAGTGATAGTAAAAAGTGGTGCTGCTTAAAATATATTCTGTAGCCTGTTGGTTTCTGTTCTGAAACAAGAATTGAGATTTCCACAACAATTTTACAGAATAATTTCATGTTTCATTATATGTCTTTGTGTTTTCTCCCTCACTTTTCTAGTAATATATTTTCATTGTATTCTGTAAAATACTGGTTTGTGGTTGATTGGAAATGGAAAATGAGCTTCTCAAGTGCAATATAGATAGCTTGAGAAGTTCAGGTACAGAACACACACTGCATTTACACAGTTTTAGTTTTTCCTAGATTATATGCTTCTTAAAGATAGGTATTGTGAAATTCAGTCATTTATTTATTCTCATATTCTGGCATTCATTCAATAATGCTATTGACATAGTGTTAGTCACTGATGCCCTGGATGAAAAAAACATCATCCCATTCTCAATGGACTCAAAATATCCAGAGAGTATCTCACTATGATACTCTCTTATAGTGCTTATAGATTAAGTAAACATTCCTGGAATTGAATGTACTTCTTTAAATGTATGTGTGTGTGTGTATGTGTAATGTATATCATATATACTCAGTGTATAAGTTTTTTTGTTTTTTAAGCCCGTGGCATTCTGTGTAAATTGCCTAAATTTCAAAGTTAATCATCACATATAAATAATACTGAATTATTCCTATAGTTTAAGAATTCTGAATAAGAACACAGAAATATCATGTAGAGATTGATAGTCTCAGTAGTTTACCCAAAAGATCTGAATAAATATTGGAATGATCTTTTAACAGGTTGACTCTAGCTCAGAAAAAAAAAATGAGAGGAAGAGCACCACAAAAATATATCTTTTTATCATTGGATTAAAATATCTAGAAAAACACTGATAAATAAAATCTATAAATAATATTCTGCCGTTGTCTTAAAATTTAAAAAATGGGGAATAAGGTATTTTTTCTTTCTTACAAAGACTACACATATTTTGACCCAATCTGTTTCATGTTGAATGGAAACAAACTTGCATCATAACTGTGCATGTCATTACTGCCTGCTGGTTCTACCAGTATGCTTTTGCATATTCTTGATGAACAACAATATTACCTAAATCAAGTCACCCTGCTTTGTGTTCATCTGTTTGGTTTTTCTTGTTGTTGTTTCTACAAAAATGTTGTCTCACCATACTATGTTCCCCAAAGTACTGCTGTGATACTTTGCTCCTTTCTAATATTTGGTGAATTCCTAAATGTATCTACTTTGTGCATGCCATATGTTCAACTGCTGTCTCCAATTTCATTATAAAGCTTATGTATTTATATAATCATTCCAAAAATAATTCACTCTGAAGACATAATTTCAGTAAGCAGAGAGTGTTCAGCATTACTAAGTTAAATAATATATAACACTTATTTGAATTCTTACTGTGGGCTAGGCATACAAAGTATGTGTATTTTTTCTCAAACAGTCCTCAGAGCTTTATTGTTTTTATTCCTATTTTATAGATGATAAACTGGAGGCTCACTGGGCCTATGCTTCTTGCCCAGGATGACAGGGCTAGTAACTAGCAGAGCTAAAACTTAAGCCCAGGTCTGATTCTGAAATCTTCTAACTCTGACCCACTAGATTATTCTCATCTCATTTTATATGCTAGGTTAACTAGGATTTGATTATTTACAAATATGGCCCTTTCGTTTTATATACATTGTTATATTTTCTGCCTAATAAAACATATGTTGTTACTTCCAAATATCTTCAAAACCCATGGCCACAGGTACTGTTCTCGATATGCAATTACTGAATATTTACAAATGTGGCTCCAGTCAGCTAAAGAGAAAAATGTAATGATTTCCAGGGTCCACCCCTCTAATAGCTGTTGTCTTTAGTTTTTCAAGGTCAAATAAATGAATCGTGATGAGGAAGGCCACGTGTCTAGAAACCAACTGCATGAAACCCTTTTCTGTTCAGGATTTAAGCAGTGATCTATTTAAGTTTGAATTAGACAGGATTCCAAAAGGTATTATAACCTGAAAATATTACACAGCCCCCCTCTAACACATATACCACATATGCAAAGGGAAAGCCACTGTAGCTATTTTACTCGGAAGTTTTATCTTTTCAATATTCTTTGACTTCTAATGCAAGTATGTTACTTGAAGGAATAAATATAGTGTATATTTGGGTCTGAATATTAGCACTAGTTATCAATAAAGAGCACAAGTGGGAAATCCATGATGTCAAGTAATCTATCTTTGTAAATCTACCTTAACAACCTAGTCTGAGAAGGTGATAAAAGTAGCATCATAAATTCCCATCAGTTTAGCAAATAAATGCTGAACATTGTGTTAGTTTACTAGGGCTTCCATAACAAAGTAGCAGAGACTGGGTGGTTTAAACAGCAGAACCTTAACTTTCTCATAGTTCTGGAGGCTGGATGGCCAAGATCAAGGTGTTGCCAGGTTTGATTCTTCTGAGGCCTGTCTCCTTGGCTTGCAGATGGCCACATTTTTGTTGTGTCCTCACTTGGCCTTTCCTGTGGGTGCATGCCTCCCTGTTTTCTCAATCTCCTCTTCTTAACATATGTGTACACCAGTCTTATTGGATTAAGGCCCACCCATAAGACCTCATTTTACTTTTATTACCTCTTTAAAGGCCCTTTCTCCAAATGCAGACATATTCTGGAGTACTGAGGGTTAGGACTTCAACACATGACCTTTGTAGGGGATACAATTCAGTTCATAACATGTATGAATTATTCTTCTAAGCACTGTGGGAAATACTAAGAGTATAGATCACAGTTCTGGTTTTCAAGTAGTTTACCATTCTATGTGGGACCAAGTAAAATAGCCACAGCTTGAGTGCATGGGTGATCTGGAGGTAACTTCAGCCTTCCTCGTGGTACCTAAAGTCAGGTGACCTCATTTGAGTAGCTGGGAAAGTGTTCTTTGCTCAGTCACTCAAAAGCTCCTTATTTTAAGAGGGAACTTTTCTTATTAGAAAATGTAATTATTTCATCAAGGCTATATACACGAGACACTGAAAAAACAGTTTAGTGAGAGCATATGATTAAGGACTGAATTAGTGCTAAAAGTAAATTCAATTAGAGGACAATATGAATTCCGTTTTTCAAGTGAGAGGTATGAGGTGTCTCTAGAAACAGTAATTGATGATGCACTTTGAGGAATAGTTAGGAATGAAGAGAAAGATTTTAGAACTATCTGAGTGGAGGTGATATGTGATAGTTGAAATGAAAATGGATTTCTCTGGGAATAAGGAATTGTGGGCAGCAAAGAGATTGTGGCGCGACATTTAATCATGAGGCATGCTGAACATGAGTGAGTCAAAGGAAGGCACACCAGTGAGGAAGTTGAAAGTTGTGTAGCTTTATGAAAACTGAGGCAGAGATTATCATGCACCAAAGCCCCATCCTTGAATAGACATTTCTCAAAAGAAGAAATGCAAATGGCCAAAGGTATATGAAAAATGCTCAATGTTACATAATCATCAGGAAATGCAGATCAAAACCACAATGAGATATCACCTCACCTATTAAGATAACTATAGCAAAAAGACCAAAAAGATAAGTGCTGGCCAGAGTGTGGAGAAAAGGGAACTCTTGTGTGCTTTTAGTGAGAATGTAGATTAGTACAGCCATTATAGAAAACAGTATGGAGATTACCCAAAAAATTAAAAATAGAACTTTCATATGATCCAACAATCCCACTTTGGGAATTCAAAGGAAATTAAACCAGTATCTCAAAGAGATATCTGTACTTCCACATTCATTGCAGCATTATTTACAATAGCCAAAATATGGAAACAACCTAAGTGTCCATCAATGGATGAATAAAGAAAATGTTATATATATAACATTATATATATGAAGTATGTTATATATTATGCTGTATATAATATACATTGTTATATATCAATGAAATATTATTCAGCCTTAGAAAAAGAAGGAAATCTTGGCATGTGAGACACCATGGATGAACCTGGAGGGCATTATGCTGTGTGAAAGTAACCAAGCACAGAGACACAAATACTACATTATATTACTTATATGTATAATCTAAAAAAGTCAAAGCTGGAAGCAGAGAGTAGAATCATGGTTGCTTGGGAATGGGAATGGACAAAATGGGGAGATGTTGGTCAAAGGTACAGTGTTTCAGTTATGATGGGTGAATAAGTTTGGAAGATCTAATATACTCAGCACAGTGATTATAGTTAATAATACTGTATCAGATACTTGAAATTTGCTAAGACAGCAGGTCTTAAATATATTCACCAACCCCCACCCCCCAGGAAACTGTGTGAGGTAATGGGTATTTTAATTACCTTGACTGTGATAATCATTTCATAATGTGTGTGTGTGTGTGTGTGTGTATATATATATATATATATAGAAACATTGCATTGTACACTATACATGTATACAATTTTTATGTGTCATACCTCGATTAGGGAAAAAAAGTTTCATCAAAGGGAAATTAGGGAAAAAAGTTTCATCAAAGTAGAAATTGCAGTTCGCTCTTTGAAGAAGTTAGAAATGCATTTAACTTGTTAGGGGGTTATTAGGAGGGAAGATCTTTAGCTGCAGAGTTCTATTAGCAATAGTAAAGAACGGATCAAAGCCACCGTTTTTCTGTCAAAAATTTGAGTTTTCTTCATGGGCTGTTTGGTACACATATCGGATTATGATACTCTATAAGTAACACAAGATTGATCGGCTATATGAAGCTCTTTTCTGTAGAGTATTAAATTGTGAAATCAGTAATAAAAGTCTGTGTGTTAAAAATCGTTAGCACAGAAACAAAAATTTTAGTGTTTGAAATTTTTTAATTTCATTGACAAACTACCATTTTTCTCTTTAAATCCGATTTTTCTTTGTGTCTAAGTATATCGGATGTACTGGCAGATTAGAAACATTATCATGAGTAATCCTTCTCCCCTCAAAATATGATTGGTACCTTTTTTAGACCTACTCTCAGCTTCACTGTGTCTGGTAATTTTTTTTTAACTAATCAGTAAATAGCCCTACTGTTAGGTCTGTGATGGTTCTTAATGCCCTCGGAAGGAGCGTAAGCTTTCTGGGAGGGTTTTAAGCTTCTCAAGAATAGAGAAACTTGGAAGGGCCTGGGAGCTGGCAGGCAGGTGACCTGCCTATAATTCCTGCCCTGCCTTTTGAGCTCATCCCACACTTTTCTTGCTTGAGCCTCAGTTTCCTCATCTATATATCATCTATAGAAATGATGCCAAATTTTTTACCCTAATTAATAAAATGATTGACAGAACCACTTAGGCTAGTGTTACTCAAATGCATTATTATAATTACTTCCTATTTAAAATGTTTAAGTTTAAAAATTTGGGAAGTTTTAAATCAGGGGTCACAAACAAAGCGGAAACTTTCCTTTTGTGATATAAGAGACTTCTTTAACTCAGGTACCTGGGAGTAGCAGCTCTGTCTAGGAAGCCAGGGTAAAATAGATGAATAAGGAAGGAGACATTTTAGCTGGAAGACTGTATTGGCTGCATGAGGCTCTCATCCCTTTGGGAGTTAGGCGAAGGCTGTACTTTAGTTTTAAATTGGAGAGGCTTTGTATATGTACACATGCATACACACATTTAATAATAATAAAAACATTTAAAAAGATTTAACAAATATTGCATAAACATCCCACTCCTCCACCAAAAAAAAAAAAAAAAAAAGAAAAGAAAAGAAAAACTATGCATGCGAGATATTACAAGAAGCCTATTTTTAGGAGGTATTGTCTTGCTGATATTCCCTGATGTCCAACAGATGCATGTGCAATTTTCAAAGCATTGCTGCCGGTTGAACAAAACATAAGTGCTGGTTTTTTGTAACCTCCCTTTCTGTGGCCACTTTGTGGCCCCGGTTATGAAAGCTTTTTAGTTTTACTTTGATGTGCCGTAAAAAACACAAATTTAGAATCAGACATATCTAGACTCAGATACTAGCTTTGCATCCTACACTCTAAAAGCTTCCTTTTGTTGGAAAGAAAATGGGGATGGGAACATCTAACTCTAATTGTTATTGTGAGTGTCACCTTTTATAAACTGAGCCACTACAGGGCAATATTTTCAATAAATGATGGCTTCTTTTTTGTAACTCAGTGGCCCTTATGCCAAATTTAGAATTACCTGGGAGTTTTAAAAAATTTTAGTACTCTGATTGAAGACCCTAGACTTAGGTTCACCTGAGCCTAGGATGGAGCTGGAAATCTATGTGTTAGAAGTCCCTCAGTTTGTTTTACAGTGCTATCAGGTGGGAACCAGTGCTGTAATACCATCAGATAAATGAAAAACATGACAAAGTAGATTTGGCATTCAAGTATAGTGTTCTAACACCTCTTCATCCCCAACTACATGTGTATGTGTACATGTGTGGGTGTGTTCCAATACAATGACTATTTCTGAATAGGTAGCTATCATTATTTGCTCAGGATACTGCTTCTATGTATTTTTCATTTCGTATTTACTCCTCTTTGGCTGACAACCTATGTAGTGTGATTATGAATTAATGTAGCTACTTTTCTCATATGGAAAACTCACACAAAGGCAAAAGTAGTTATTAAAGAGGACTAGTGACAGCATCACTGGAATTAAATGTGTGCCTCTGAAGCTGATTGCTTTGGATTGACAGTACACAGCTCAAGGTAGATATTCTGATGTTTTTGAAATGCACCCTACTTCTTTATATGCTGTCTAGTCTTGTGGCTTCAGAATTACACAAGCTTAATAATAAATATGCATATATATATGTGTGTATGTGTATATATATATGTATATTCTTAATTACTTTTCAAATTATTTAAATTAATTTTACCGAGCCTCTGTATTGACAGCTGATAAATCTTTAAATCCTGTATTTAATATTTTAATAAATAATGTTTAATACATTATAGATTTCTCAAATTGGATTTTTTTTTTCTAAGCAACTCCTTATATCACCACAGGACCAGTAGTGCTAGTACCAGCACGAGTTGCTTCTCACTTAATTAGTGGGTCATTCATAAAAACAATACTTCATTGGCTTAAAAAAAAAGCTATTGTGATGTAATAAATATGTACAGGCGCTTATTCAAGAGTCAAAATAGAAATAAAGTATAAATCGCCTGCTCTTCTGGATCATTCCCTCTACCAGTGCGGAAAATTCAGGAATGTTCATAATATACAGTGTTTTATTTTATACATTGGCACAATCCATGCTGTAAGGTCACGAGCCACGGAAAGCTTATTGTATAGTTTGCTGAACATTTTTTATTATATTTTATTTTCACCAACTTAATTTTTCAGCAAGGCTCTATGCCATTCATGCTTGTACAAGAGGCAAATACACATGGATTATTCATTTCACTCTGTTTCCATAAATTGCATCATTTAGCATCAGTGTCATGTCATAGCTAGCTCTGTGTACCTAGTGTGTGCTCTCGGCATTGATGTATGAATGACTAGCATAATCTCCCTATTGCTTATATAATTATAGTGAATAATAATGCAGTTTTCTATAATGTTTAAATATTGGCTAGTTTCTTAATACTTTTTTATTATTTTATGATCACCAATAAAAAACATCGCCAATTCCTGAATACCAACTGTGTGCAGATATTGTGTGGTCACTGTCTTTATATAATCCCTGAAAGATCAGTGTGATCCCCATTTTACAGATGGAACTGAAAAATTAGGTCACTTGCTCATATCTGTCATCAAGTGGCAGAGCAGAGATTTGAAAATATATATCTCTGACTGTACCTGACCTCTTTCTTGCATACCTTTCTCGTACATCATCATAACTCCTACCACAAGATTGCTGTTACTTAAAGATCATAAGAATTAGAGTTCCTGAAGCCCCTTAGTTAATACTTTAACAACTGGTCTTCATTTGAAATGCACAACTACTAGCTTTCCACTCGCAGCTTGGACTGGGGCCTAGAATGGTCTATTGAATGTTTGGTTGTTTAAATGACTGCAGCAACTTGCCCATCTTCTCCATCAAGCTACTGAATAGTAATGTAATTAGATCCAGCACTTAGATTTTGCTTCCTCCCATAATATTTTTTATCATTTGGTGATTAGATTACAATGTCAATGATTAGCATGTAGTTTCCCCAATCTAAGCAGTAAGAAGCTCTCTGTTCTATGTTTGAAAATGGCTGTAAGGTTAATCCACTAACTGCATGTACCTTGATCCAAAATTATATACTGATGAATGGTGATGAATTCCATGAAATTCAGGAAACTGCCTTGTTGGCTGACAGCAAGATGTGTTATGATTTTATATAGCTGTGTATAAATGTTTGCAGTCAATCAGAACCATGGGAAAACAGATTTAGAATTATAGAAAATACATGAACCTGGAAAATTAACCCTAGGGAAAAATCTGTGGAGACATAATAATAATAGTAATAATAATAAAACATTATCAAAAATTTATTTGGTACTTGTATACTGCCAAGCAATATTATAAGCACATTGCACGAATTGTATCGCCTTTAATAGTTACAATAACCAAGGAAGAAATTGAGGCATAAGGAAGGTAAGTCCAAGGTCACAGAACAGAAAATTCACTATTGCAACTCAGGCAGTTTTAGTTCAAATTTTGTGTTCTTAACAATTGTGAATTCTGCCTCTTAGCTCTTCTGAGTATAAAATGGATGAAAATGCAGTTGAGTATAAGATGCAGATTTAATTTACATAAAGTTTCATAGCAGAGGTTAATAATTCTGAATATACATTTTGTGTAAAACATATTTTCTATGAATTACATCACTGTAGTGTTTTTTGACAAATAAATGGAAATTCCATTTATTTTACACTGTATATTTTTAACATAAAAGTGGTATTCTAGCTTTCTCCCTTACCATAAATTATATTATCATTTATTTACCTACGTTTGTATTTTCAAAATCATGCTTAATAGTTGATACCGTCCTCATGACGCCTTCATTTTTTTTCTGGGGAGATATGATTTTCTCAGTGTTTATTTTAAAAAATTATTCATAGAGACATGTAATAAGTAACATGAAATCACCAGCAAGTGTATCCCAGGCTTAAAATGAGAACACACATTGATCTCTGAAGACACAAAGCACAAAGGTTATTGCTTCATCTAAATTTTGATGAAATAATTTCAGAATTCAGGAAACAAGACTTGATAGGAATATCTGGAGCTGTAGGTGAAGTACAGGCAGTATAAGTGAGGTAAAGCAAATGTGAGCAATGTATAAATAGAAATCTTTCCATTGAAAAACAAGACTGATAATTTCAATATTTCCCTAAAAATATGCTCTATGAGTTTATGAATATATACTTGAAAAAGATCAGTATTCTCTTAGGCATGCTTTTCTTCAATTACCTTTGCATGTCTGAAACAAGCTGTTTTATTGGCAGTTTTTATCTTAAAAAAATTTTTAAGAAGATTTAGATAAATAACAGAAATGACAGTTCAGTCATAAATAAGTAATACAATAAAAAGTTATCTCCTTACATAAATGTACCAAACAAATGAGATTTTTTGAATCATTAGAAATTATTCTTTATAACATGCCTAATGAATTATCATTGTTCTCTTTTTTTACATTCTGGAAAATTCTCAGAGTATATAGATACAATAGATAACTGTCTTACTTACTGTATGAAAATAGAAATTTTCAGCTGGGCATGGTGGCTCATGCCTGTAATCCCAGCACTTTGGGAGGCCGAGGCGGGCGGGTCACCTGAGGTCAGGAGTTCGAGACCAGCCTGACCAACGTGGTGAAACCCCATCTGTACTAAAAGTACAAAAATTAGCTAGGCATGGTGGCAACTGCCTGTAGTCCCAGCTACTCGGGAGGCTGAGGCAGGAGAATTGCTTGAACCCGGGAGACAGAGGTTGCAGTGAGCCGAGATCCCTCAACGCCATTGCACTCCAGCCTGGGCAACAGAGCAAGACTCCATCTCAACAACAACAAATAAATGAATAAATTTTTAAAAAGCAAAAAAGAAAGTAGAGAATAGAAATTTTCTGCAAATAGTAAAAGTTTGTTTTATGTTTAATTATTTTGAAAACATGCATCACATTTTATTTTTAAAATTCTTATCTTTTAAAATATATTGTATTTGGAATAGATTAGCTTTTCTTCTCAAAAGGAAATTGTGTGTGTGTATATATGTGTCTCTTTTTGGTTCAAGATGAAAGTAATCACAACACTAACACAAAATACATGCTACAGAATATGTGTTACATAAATCCCACTTTGAAAACAAATCCCTGAAATGAATTTCATGTATTTCCATTAATTACAGAGAAGTATTACAATGACATATTTATATTTCGGTTCTGTCCTAAGAATATATGTTCGAATGCTCAATTGACATACATACATATTGGAAGTTATGTATGCAATAACGATCAATCTATGTATTGTGAATTCCCTCAATGTGCCTTATTACTATAAGAGTGACATTTCAATGATACATTTTATTGAACTTTTTCATTGATATTATTGGAATTTGAATGAAGAAAATGTGAACAGAGTTTAAGGATTATTAAAGTTCCTCTAATTTTATTTCTAAAGTATTAGCACATTATTTGGTTTTATCTTTAGCTAATTTTCTCTGCTATGGCTGTGGTTCATTATTGTTATCAATTGCCACAACCTGTATCTAGTACTTTAGGCCAATTATTTATAGAATATACTTAATTAGGTCAAATTACCTTAGGTTGTTAGGTTGTTACCTTGGGTGGAAAAGATAAGACAAGGTAATTAGGCAGCTTGTAAGTGAACTCTGAGTAATGAAAATTGATAAGTTGCATATAAGGAATTGGTATCATTTCATATACATATAATAAGAAATAGAATTGTGGATTTTCTTATGGTCAAACTATTTCTGATAATTAGATGGATTTATATAGCCTGGGATGGAATGAGTCTGTGATTTATCAAATGAGTCTTTATGCTTTATCAAATTTAAATAAACTAAGTAGAGAATATATAATATTTGCATATATATTCATATTTGGCATAAATAAAATTACATATTTACTAAAAATTCTATTTACCTAAATACTTCTAAAATGTGCAATAATGACTTATTTTGCCCTTTTAGTTATATGTTAAATTTTTCAAATACTGTGAGAGGCAATTTAATATCATTTACTGTAATATCCTTGATAACATTAATATACCTAACTGGCAAGAGTTAGTTGAGACATTTTTACTGAATTGTATATTAACCCTCTTCAGTGCTACTCGAAGTGTAGTCTATTCACTATATCACTGTCATGTTACCAGTGTCTGTTACAGATTTGTTGGGAGACAGAAAATAGGAATTAGCATTTAAGACCATTTATGCCAAACAACAGAGTAATTTTTACCTATTGCGTTTAATAAATATTTTGGATTTTTTTGTGTGTTACATTTTGTATCATTTTTCTAGTAATTAACTTTTATTTTTTTTTTAATTTTTATATATTTATTTAATTTTTGAGACGGAGTCTCACTCTGTCACCCAGGCTGGAGTTCAGTGGCATGATCTCCGCTCACTGCAAGCTCCACCTCCTGGGTTCATGCCATTCTCCTGCCTCAGCCTCCCGAGTACCTGGGACTACAGGCACCCGCCACTGTGCCCGGCTAATTTTTTGTATTTTTAGTAGAGATGGGGTTTTGAGGGGAAAGGAGAAGCCTGGTCCTTCCTCAGAGTTTTACAAGAAAAAACACTGATTTATCTGATTCATGATTCAAAAAGTTCAATACTACAACCAAAATATAGTACACATTTTAATATCATCATTGTAACAGGAAAAAACTGTCATATTTGAGTAAATGTCATAGCCATAATGATTTTTGACATATAAAATGCAAAAATTGGCATTATGATTCAAATATGGAAACATTTTATTGAAATGGCCATCAGCACTAAAATGTGTTCTTTCTGTTTATAAAGAAAATATTTTATACCTTACCATTTATTGATTCTGAATAATGTAAAAATTCTTATATTTAAAAGTTTATTCATTTAAAAGCAATGTATTATGCATTATATTTATATATGGATATAAATGCATATCTATTCATAAATATACATTTATTTATGCATAAGGTTTTTTTTTTTAATCCCAGGCCATATTTTTTAAATTGACCTCCTCTGCAATTTACATCTTCATTTTTCTATCTGTAGCTGCTTCTCTCTTTCCTGCCAATTTACTTCCTTGTCATATTAACAGTAGCTTGTTAATCTTAAATTCATAAGCCAGTCAATACTTTATTTTCTAATTCGGAGGTTTGGTTGGCTTTAGTGATTTCTGGGTCACACTGCCTATACTAATTGATCTGTCTGTAAAGTGCACAAAGAAGAACACAGAAAGAGGATCTTTAAAGAACATTAAATAAATGATACTTTTTGATAAGTAATGCGTACGCATGGCAAACAACAACGAATGCTACAAAAAGGGATAAAATAAAATGTGTGTCTCCCTTCTCATCACTGTACATACTCCCTGGAAGAAACTATGGCCAGCTACTTTTATGAGAAAATATAATATTCTCAAAATTTATAGTCCCAGAGTAACATTTGACAATAAATGATAACTTCAGTAAACAATGCCACATTTTGCACTTATCATATATTAAGGCACATGACCTCTTTTCAGTATGCTGTGACCCAGGGCTGTAATTATCTCTGTTGTACAGATAAGAAAACAGCTTTATAGATTGAAGATTTTGCAGGGATTTCAGATCCTAATTTTGAGACTTGACATATACAGATATTTCTGCTATGATGTATACATTTCAAATGTTTTGCAAAATTATACACTAAAATTTTGAAGGTTAACAGAAAAAAATGGACATTCAGTTATACCACCATAAGCCTATGTAGCAAGATCATGAAGAAATATAATATTATTTTAATAAAAGTCTCAGCAGAGTTAAGAGATGTAACATTTTTAATAGGGAAGTTATAAGAGACAACCTTTAAAAATTTTTTAGAAATACATTTTATTGTGTATACTTAAGGTATGCAACAAGATGTTATGGGCTATGTATAGTTAGTAAAATATTTACTACAGTGAGCAAATTAACATATTCATCATCTCACATAGTTTCTCTGTTTTGTGTGCGTGTGGCAAGAATAGCTAAAACTCAGTCATTTAGCAGAGGTCCCTGATGCAGACTCTTCACTTCTTGGGAAATATTAAGTAAGTGTCCACCAATGCTATCCAACAGAATTTTCTTCACTGAGGGAAATGTTCTGTATCTGCTATTTAGTACAGTAGTCACATGTGGCTAATGATCACTTGAAATGTGACTACTGTGACTAAAAAATGGAATTTTAAATTTTATTTAATTTTAATCTATTTACATTTAAACAGCTACATATGGCCAGTGGCTACCAAATTGGAAATAGCAGGTGTAAACCAATTGATTTCCACTTTGTGCTGACATCATTTCCCTATTTGCTCATCCATATGAGCTAATTCACGTGCTAGATAGAGGTGGTGTATAACCAGTATGCTCTGTTCCTTTCCTGAGATAAAATTGGAACTAGCTTACATCTATATGCTGCTAGCATAGATCAACTTTGTAATGACAACACAAAGGGTTATAATAGGTTATAACCCTTTTAAATAGAAGCCTGCTCATCCCTGAACACAGCTTAGCCTCTGAGCTTGTGCAAACTTTCTGTATCATTAATATGTAAATCTTACCCTCAGTAGGTAAGCTCTTTCAAAACTGTGATCCACTTAGTATGTCCTTATTTCCCTGTGAATAATCTTACCAGACAAGCACATTTTGCATTTTAATTTGCTGTGTGAGTTTAGTTTCTAGAAACTACTAAGCCATTTAATGTCAATATGTTTTATTAGTCAAAAAGAATGATTATGATTTCCAAAATAAAAATTGTCTAGCAAATACATATTAAAATGAATTTTGTAAACATATATTAAAATATTTTAAATACACTCAATATTAAATATATTTGAACTATATTATTTTTCATTTTGTATGTGCACCTAGACTATCTTAAATAAAATAGCCGTCAGAAGAGGATGACAAGTTGTGCAATGTTAAAAAGCTGGAGTGTATTTAACACTACAAGGTTAGACACTATAGTGTTACACAGAAAGGAAAATAATTATGAATTAAAGTTGGAAACGTAAGGTTTTTATACCACTCATATATACGATTTTTTAAAGGCTTGTGGGACATGGTCCATATGTAGTGGGAATTCTCAAATCCACCTGAAAAGCAGAATGCATGAAGATTTACAATAGATCATCCTTGGAATTACTTTGTCTCACTACCTGTTTTCTCATTAAAATGGTTGCCTTTAATATGATCTGCATAACTAGGCTGTAAAATGATGATTGAAGATAAAACTAGGAGCCTAATAGAATTTCCCACAAACTAGTTCTCCTCATTGACCCAATAGTTTTAAGTATTGTTTTAAGATGTTTTCTTTTTTAAAAACATACATGTGAAATGGCTATTATCAAGCTCATTAACATATCCTCTACCTCACATACTTACATTTTTGTGGTGAGAACATTTAAGATTTTTTTTCTTAGCATTTTCAAGTGATTTGAAACTATTTTTACAATATGTTTTAACATATTTTCTGAAAAAATATAAAGTCTTTAGAAGAGATATTCTAGAACATTTTACTTCACCATTTGTGGAAACTATGGATGAGTGGCAGCCATTGTTGGCAAGTAGAGAGACTAGTCATAGAAAATTTATTTAAGCCAATTTCCAAGTTAATATAGGTGAAATTATGATAGGATTTAAGTCTTTGTAGAGAGTAAGTGGAAGAAGTAACCTTATATAATTGCAGAGAAACTATCAGGGCCAGTTACACTATCCCAGCAGAAATATTGCCCAAGTGATGTCTTGCAGAATGATGACTTCCTATATATCATCAAGCTGAAGATGCCATTGACAATAAGATACACCATTATTTTCTTAAAAGGAAAAATGCTGTCAGTTCAACTGTGACATGCCTTCAATTGCAAAATATGGCCTGTGTTCAGAGCTGTTAAAATGTGATAAATATGTCCTTAAAATTACATGAAATAGGGTAATTTTTTTCACACAGATTACTCTGGTGCAATATTTTTTGTAAATAATGCAGACTGATATCAGGAAAATCCTTCATTCTGTACAGGTCAGAACTCCAGTGAGGTTTCACTCCCTCTGAAGAGTGTTTCTAACTCCAACACTGATTGGAATTAGGTGCCTGTCCTGTGAGCTCCTACAACACCTGTACACAGCTCCACTGAAGCTTACCTCAACAGTCAGTTTATTGATTTTCTGTACCTACCACAGGATTTCCAAAGCCCTGAGGGCATATGATAACCCTTTAAAAAATTGTACGATAGTGCCCAGCGTGTGGTTGGTGCTGAATGACTCCCATGAAGGAACAAATGGATGGATAATACACAGAAGGGGTGCTGATGTAGTGATGTAGTAGCCACAATGCCAAATTAAGTTTTTCCTTTTAAACTCTTCCAAAGACTAACTTCCCACATCTGAATCATGTTTCAGAGACATTTTCAAGTTATCCTAAAAGCTATAAAATTTAGTGCCCTCTTGGATAATGTGATGCAGAACTAAAACCTGAAGGTAGTTACAGTGAACTAAAATAAAAAAATACGTACAAGAAAAGTTGTGATTGTGTACTGATATGGTTATGCTTTGTGTCCCCACCCAAATTTCATCTTGAATTATAATCCCCATAATCCCCACGTGTCAAGGAAGAGACCTGGTGGAGGTAAATGGATTATGAGGCGGTTTTCTCCAGGCTGTTCTTGTGATAGTGAGTTCTCACAAGAACTGATGGTTTTATAAATGTTCGGTAGTTCCTCTTGCATTCATTCTCCTTCCTCCCTCCTTGTGAAGGTGCCTTGCTTCCCCTTCTTCTTCTGCCATGATTGTAAGTTTCCTGAGGCCTCCCTAGCCATGCTGAACTGTGAGTCAATTAAATCTTTTCCATTTATAAGTTACCCAGTCTTGAGCAGTTCATTATAGCAGTGTGAAAATTGACTAATATATGTATTAATAATTTATACATTTTGTTTTTGTGTGCGTGTGTAATGATCCACTTGCCTTTTTCACTCACACTTCGTATTAAGTGTAACTTAAAAATAAATAAGACATGTCTGTGTGTGTGTGTGAGTGTGTCTTTAACAAAATGAAAAGGAAATCATATTTCTTTCCAGAGAAATGGATGAGAATGCAGGGTGCAACATAGCATAACTGAGTAAAAGGAAATTAAAAAAGAAATTATAATATTAAAAATTATTGGGTAATAATAATTTTGACTGGGTCTAACAGGATAGTAGGACCTATAAGGTAAGGAAATGAAGATATTGGAAGCAGAAAATTACTGCTTTTCCCCTCTTAAAAGGTAATGATAACAGAAGACGTATAGATAGATAGATAGATAGTTAGAAATGAATCAATAATAAAAGATTGGACAAACATTCTTCTGATGCCTTGTGATGTAAAACTGAAGAAAATTGAGTCCTTTATATTTTGTCCATCACAACACTAACAGTTTGATTTTTTAGATGCCTGATGTCCCTAATTTAGTCATGTCAATGAATGTTCTACTAGGGTACTCAGCAAAGTTTTGCCATCCTGAGTTGCGTAATTTGGATATGGTCAACCAGTGCTTCATACCAAGATAGCTAATTGTGTGTGGTAATATAGTGCTCACTCCTCTCTTTAAAATTTTGTATTACTAAGTTATGAGATTAATGCTGCTACAGTTGTAAACAATTATGGGATCTTAAGTTCTTTAAGACTACATAAAGGTATTTGTACTATTTTTATATATTCAATAACTTGCTTTGTCATATATGTAAGCATATATTTTTGAATAATTTTGCTTGACATAACATGCATGAATTTGCTGTGAATTAAAGGCCAGTCCTTATATACATGGTGAAATATGGTATATTTTTGTCTCTGGTAAACCCACAACTGGGAAGCAGATAATATTCTTGTCCAGTAACACTAACTTTTGGGAAACATAGTTTGTCCTAGAAATGATTGACATAGGGCTCATGGTTTTAAATACTTTTATTGAAGATTATGGTAAATGATAATAAATCAAGAAAAAACATAACCAATTTCCAAATGTCTTCCTGATTTTTACATCAGAACATAATTTTTATGTACATATAATAACCATTTGAAACAACTTTTGAATTAGCCAATATTTTATTTCCCCCAGGTGATGAAAGTAGACACTTTTATGAGTTTCTTTTGCAGTGAGTTTCATGCAATTAAGTCAAACAAGAACAATTTTTGTAAACCACAGACTGGAAAAATTAAATGGAAGTAGTACATAAATGATTAAGAGTGCATTATTACCATAAGTAAAATTGTTCATTTCCTTTACTTCGTTAAAATTTTTATCATATATATTTACTTTATTAATATAAACTATACTATCTTAGTAAACCTCACCAAACTATAAATCATTAAAAAATTTTTACCAATATATTTATATCATGTAGTATTAGAATGTGTCTTGCTGAACACTTTATAGGAACACTATTTTCAACACATTCAGGTGAGGTAAGATATAATTTTCTTGTATTTCCTCCTAATGATATGGTTGACTGTAAAAGAACAATAATCACTATTGTCTCAAAGTAAATAGGCTTTGAGACTCATTAACCACCTTAGTTTTGCTTCAGCTATTAATCTGAGAAGGCATTTATTACTTTGCATATTACAGTCCGATAGAGAATATCAGTTAATTAATTCCAGTGGGAGATTTTGGTATCATCATAAACAACATTTTAAAAAATAAGCTAATCTTATAAGAAAATGGAAAGCGGGTGTGTGTGTGTGTGTGCATGTGCGTGCAAAGAGAAAGAACTGCAAGTAATACTGTTTTCACATTCATGGAAGAGACAAGTAGTTATAGCTCAGAAATTCACAGAACTGGAGGTGACAGGATACACTTTGATACGAAGTCAGCATATCAGCATAGTATGACAGTTAACTGTGTAAGCTCTGGGGAAATCTTGGGTTCAGATACATGCTTTATTGATCATTAGCTGTTAGACCTTATGCAAATTACTTCTCTTTTCTAAATCTGGGGTTTGTCAACATAAACTGGAATAAAAATAGTACCCCAAAAAGAGTGTTTAAAAAATTAAGGTACTGTATGTCAAATATTCACAGTAATGCTAAATAAATCTTGGCTGTTATTATTAGATACTAGGAGTCCACGTGATATAAATGTCTTCTTCCCAATCATATCATGACACATAGGGAAATCTAAAATTAAAGTGAGAAAAACTTAATATCTCTTATGTTTCAGTATCCCTATACTTGGATGTAGGTTCACTGGAATAAAAATGGAATGGAAATATCTATTCTGTATTCTTGGAATTCTGGTGTGGTCTGTCTTTCTAGAGTCTGCTAGTCTAATTTTTTAACACAAAGCAGACAGTTGCTGTGTTTTATGCATAATCTTAAGTATTTATTTTTGTGTAATTATAATTTATTTTAAATATCTATCTTTGTGTTTAGGCTTAGTATGACTGTTTTAAATATTCTGAGGTAGATGGATACTGTGCCTATGATATTGGGCAAGTAAAATTAGCATTGCTTAATCACCTATATCATGGCTGCATTAATATCGGCTCCTTCATGAGCTGATATTAATTTCCAAAATAGTGCATTGTGAAAGATGAGTGGTATGCAGAGGTAAATTACTATTATGCTTGCAATAATTAAAGAAAATAAATTAAAAATTGATTGCAAGTGTAAGTTGAAATTAATCCATATAGACTAATAGTTTATCCATATAAACCAATTTATTGAACCAATTATTTATTGAACACCTGTCACATTCAATTTTCTATGTTACATCTATGCTGTGTTAACACACTAATTTTATTTATGTAGAAATACATATTTAGCAACTGGAGATACCGACACAAACCAGATATAGTTTTGAGCCTGAATTAGATTTCAAAATGGTGGATGCCATAACAGAAGTACAACAGTGAGTCATGGAAGCCCAGAAATGGATCTACCTGATCACAGACTTCTAGGAGGGTTTTCTTAAGGCTCTGATGATTAAATTAGAGTGGAGAATATGCAGAATACTTTATCCCACCTTGGGAGATGAGGAAAAGACGGCACATGACTGCCTGTACCATTGAAATTTATAAGTAACACTATTCTATGGGATTAGGAAAACCTCACTGAAAGGGTGTATTAAGTCACTTTGGCCAATAGTAATCTGGTTCTTGCTGCATGCAAAGACCTTAAGGATTTGTGTACCATTGAGAACTAACCTCAGCTTCTTATGTAACAAGCAGAGGTGAAGGAGTGGGGGAAAAATGCTATAAGAAGATCGAGTCTTTGGTTATGAGATGAGAGTGGTGTGATTGGTCTTGACAAATATACTCTGTTCAAATAAATTCTGAAAAGGTAGCCTTGTAGGAATCCAAGTACCAGAGGAGCTGTTATTGTAGTGCTACTGCCTGCCACATCTATCTTGGATAATTTCTCCATTTAGAGAATATGGTGTCTTCAGAATTTAAGTGGGAATTTGGGGGCCAGGTAGAGGAAATGAGTCTTCTTATCTTGCTTCCCTTTCTCTCTCCCTTTGCCCTGCCTTTCCTTTCCTTTCCTTTCCTTTCCTTTCCTTTCCTTTCCTTTCCTTTCCTTTCCTTTCCTTTCCTTTCCTTTCTTTCCTTCCTCCCTTCCCTTCCCTTCCCTTCCCTTCCCTTCCCTTCCATTCCTCCCTTCCCTTCCCTTCCCTTCCCTTCCCTTCCCTTCCTTCTTTCCTTCATGTCTCTTTTAAATGTCTAGAATTTAATATTGAATGCTATTTGGGTGAATGGGTTATATTGGGAGGGTCTTAATAGGCTCTTTTGTCTCCACCTCATCTGACTAGTTCAGACTGATCACCTGGCATGATATGTAAGTCAAATAAAAGCATTTGCCTTTTTGGTGGCACTTAGGGATGACAGGGAACGATGGGCAAGGACCATGGTAGAAGTTTGGAATATTCACTATAAGAAAAGGGAGATGGAGGTGAGCAATGATATGCAGAAAGAATGCCAAATAGCAGGGTGTTGCACCATGAACCCTGATTGACCCATGAGTTGGTTATTGCCTTAATCTACACAATGCAGCATTTTCTCTAGTAGCTCTCAGAACAGAGTATTTGGTTGGAAGGAAGTTTGAGATTCCAGGTTGTAATCATGGGATTCTGAGGTTCTAAAGTTGAATGATTTTAAGCTGCACAGATGCTGCAACATCTTGTCCTGTACAACTTTTTAAGTTTTGTGGGAAGTGGCACATAGTAAGTGATCAGTAAATATTTCTGAATGAGTAAATGAATGTGTGAAGATCATTAAAGTCAACATGATCAAGAAAATGTGAGACCAGAGTGTTATGAATTAAATTATTCCAATATGTCAATAGAAGTTGAGATGAAAAGGAATCAGATACCCAACACTCAGGCATTACTTAGATATCCCAAATCCTTATGGCCAGTAGCTTACTGGATATCTTCACTTGAGTATGTGTAGGTATCTTAAGTTTACCCTAACTTAGTTAGAAATTCTGATTCTCATCTTTTCCAATCCTTCTGTTTCTCTAATACCACCCTTATACATAGATAAAAATGGTCCCTACCGTTGGCACTGTGCTTACTGTGACTTCTTTCAGCTATGGCTCACTTTTTGGGGCAAAATGGTCATATGCTCACTGCAAGGCAATATTTTCGTCCACATCAGAACCAAGCTCTAAGTATCCTGAGTCTAAGAGTTACTTTCCCAAATGGCCCATTTTCCACTTTTGGCTCTGTACAGCTCTCAACCCCAGGTTCATTCTCAAAAAGGTGGATGGTGTCACTAGTGTGCATACCTTGAGGCTCACTAAGTGAATATTTGCACCGGTGGGAGACTGGACAGAACTGGATATTTAAATTGGAGTGTCCAAATGAATGTGAGTGAGGGTACTGGCTGAGAAGGATATAGCAAGGTATGAAAAATAAAGGGTTTAGGCTGGGGGCCAAGGGCCAGTGTTCTCTGTGCACAGAGAACACAGAGAATTTTTCCTGCACAAAATTCCAAGGAATTTGAAAATTATATATTTAAGCTAAGTATAAAGTTTATTACCAGGTGTTTTTATGAATGTAGAATGATACAACATATTATTTAATGGATTATTAACTTCATTATTACTTTTTTTTTTTTTGACACAAAGTTGCACTCTGTTACCCAGGCTGAAATGCAGTGGCATGATCTCGGCTCACCACAACCTCTACCTCCTGGGTTCAAGCAATTCTCCTGCCTCAGCCTCCTGAGTAGCTGGGACTACAGGCGTGTGCCACCAACCCCAGCTAATTTTTGTATTTTCAGTAGAGACAGGGTTTCACCATATTGGCTAGGCTGGTCTCGAACTTCTGACCTCGTGCTCTGCCTGCCTTGGCCTCCCAAAGGGCTGGGATTACAGGCATGAGCCACTGCACCCGGCCACTTCATTAATACTTTTAAAACACTTAAGCACATGTTGAACTTCATTTGGAACCAAGCCTTGGGACCCACAGATATTATGGATGAGTCTACCTTCCTCTAAACTTTGCTGTCTCAGTTGATGACATCACCATCCATCCAGTTGCTCAAGATAGATAGTTAGAAGTTATCCTTAATTCTTCTCTTTGCCTTGCTCTTATTTTCTGATACAGAAGCCTTAAGATTCTGGTATAAAATGTGTGTTGAAATTTTATGTATTTCTTCCTATATCCATTGCCACCACCCTAGGCCAAGTCATGTCATTTCTAGCTTAGATTAGTTGAAATAGTCTCCTTAGCTGGACTTTCATGTTTACAAGCTCTAATCCATTCTCTACATAGCAGTTAGAAGTCATCCTTCCAAAACGCAAATCAGATCATGTCACAAGCTGGCTTAGTCCTTCAGCAGATTTTCATTACCCTTAGAACAATATCCAGATTCTTTGCAGTGGCTTACAAGGCCCTGGCTGACTTGGCTCCTGCTTATCTCTCCAACCTTGTCTTGTTTCCTCTTGATGATTACATTTCAGTCACACAGTCTTTCTCGGTTTTCAAAAAAAGCTTTATTTGTGCCCAGAATATTGGCTATTTCTCTCTCTGCATGAAATTTCTTTCCTCAGCTCTTTTCACTACTGGTTTTGTCACCTTTTTGATGTCTGAGATTTTATTCCATCTACTAACAGAAGCTTTATTTGGCCTCAAACTTGTGTGACTGCCCCCACTCCTGATTTCCACCTTCACGGTGTCCTCTTTATTTCCTGTGTTACACTTAGCACAGTCTCGAATGTGTGTGCTTGTTTATATGACTGCTCATCTAGAATGAGTACTGCATGAAGACAGAAACTATGTATCTCTTTATTTCTATTGTATTATTATCACTCAGACCCATGCCTGACACATTTGTAGAACCAATATGCTTTGTGATGAATGAATGACTGAGAAGAAATGAGAAGTAGGTTATTTAGTGAGTTTAATAGAAGGAGTGGAGCAGCTGATCATTATGGGTAGAGCAGGAGTTCCCAATCCCTGGCTGTGGACCAGTACTGGTCTGTGGCCTATTAGGAACCAGGTCACACAGCAGGGGGTGAGCTGCCAGCTAGGGAACTTTACTGCCTTAGCTCCATCTCCTGTCAGATCAGCAGTGGCATTAGATTCTCATAGGAGCGTGAACCCTATTGTCAACTGTGCATGCAACGGATCTAGGTTGCATGCTTCTTATGAGAATCTAATGCCTGATGATCTGAGGTGGAACAGTTTTATCCTGAAACCATCCCCATCTATACCCCACTAAACCCCTCCCTGCCATCCATGGAAAAATTGTCTTTCACAAAATTGGTCCCTGGTGCCAAAAAGGTTGGAGATCGCTGGTGTAGAGTATATCAAAACTATGTATTTCTTTTTTGGTTGTTTGTTTTTGTTTTGTTTTGTTTTTTGAAATGGAGCTTTACTCTTGTTGCCCAGGCTGGAGGGCAGTGGTGCAATCTCAGCTCATCGCAACTTCCGCCTCCTGGATTCGAGTGATTCTCCTGCCTCTGAGTGATTCTCCTGCCTCAGCCTCCCGAGTAGCTGGGATTACAGTGTATATACATATATGAAATAAATGGTGGCTGGGAAGCAATATGACTTAAAAGGAGATAATTTACATCTACATCTACTACCCTTTCAATTGTACTTAGCTGAAGACTTCTTTAGAAAAGTTCAAATTTTTTTTGAAAAGCAGTAGTAGAGTGTGTTTGAAAAATAGAGTTTATCATTGAAGTTAAGTTCTAATTTCTCTATACGGTGTTTAAGAACAATTTTCAAAATTAAAAATCCAGTTGGATTGTGACCAAGATTTAGTGACCTCCTTCCAGGACAGGATTTTTGGAGTGTGGATCACATTGCAATATGTTGCTATCAATATCTGTTAGTTGATCTCAGCTGATGTGTTATTAGTGAATTAATGGAGTGGACTAGAGTACCTTGCATGATAGGTTAGGTATTGTTTCATGGAATTTGATCCAGTTGTGTGTATGTACATGTTTATATTTTTTTCTGTGGTAGGCTTCCAGAAAAAATTGTATTTCTTTTTTTTTTTTTTTTTTTTTTGAGGCAGAGTCTCACTCTGTGGCCTAGACTGGAGTGCAATGGCATGATTTCATCTCACTGAAACCTCCATCTCCCGGGTTCAAACGATTTTCCTGCCTCAGCCTCCTGAGTAGCTGGAACTACAGGTGCAGCCACCACACCTGGGTAATTTTTGTATTTTTAGTAGAGACGGGGTTTTACCATGTTGGCCACACTGGTCTTGAACTCCTGACCTCATGATCCACCCGCCTCGGTCTCTCAAAGTGCTGGGATTATAGGCGTGAGCCACCACGTCTGGCACAAAAAAAATGTATTTCTTAAAAAGGCTCTAATAAAAAACATTTGAAAGCCACTGTTCTAGGTGATAATGATTGTAAGATCTTTGTGTATAGTTCTTGCTAGCTCAGTCTTATTAATAGTTTCATTGAGAGAGAATTCAACAGGTATTTGTTTGTAAGTACTAACAAAAAATTGTACATTCAATACTTATCAAACAAAAGTTACATGATCTTATTCTTCCACTATTAAATTTTTATTTTATTTTTAAATTTTGATTTTTTGGCATTTCACCTGCAAGTCTTTTTGTCTTATTAGAGTCACACTATGTGATGGTATTTTTTCTTTATCCACAATCTCCCCTGACTCCCCTGTTACTATTATGGAATAATGTAAAGTTAAGAATTAATTATGATTACAGTAGTTATGGGTAATTAGGTACTATGAATCAAATCTTAGAAATCACTTTCATTATTGTAATAGTGCCTCAGAAAACAATTTTTCCTCTTTGACTTTTTAAATTGTTAATACTATCATAAATGGCATTTATGTATTCATTTACCAAATATTGATCAAAAACTACTTTGTGTCTACCATCAGAATTTAAAAGACACCTTCCTAGATCATAGAGAAGGCTTACTGACATGGCACATACAGAATGGTAAACAGATAGCTACATTACACAATGAGATAAGTGCTTCAATAACAATATAGAGCTGTAAGGGAGTGAATTGAAGAGATACTCCCCTATTCTTAAATGTTCAGTGAAATTCCTTTGTCCCAAAGTGCTAGTTAAACGAAGACATAAAGAATAGTCTAGCAAAAAAAAAAAAAAAAAAAAAATGTGATTGTGGTAGTTAATGTTCCAGTCAGAGAAAATAGCATAGTATGGGAGATGAGGGTGGAGGAGGGCTATGAAATACAGTCGCAAGAATAAGCCAAGTTAAATAATTTAAGCTCCATCCTGGGTATATAGACTTTCAAGTGTGTGAGAGAGCACATACAAAATTACTACCATAGAAGAATTTTGATGGCACTTTTAATTCAAGTACACTTGACCATAGGTATCTGAGGTAGTACTAGATTCTTGAAAAGAGAGCTAATCCAAGACATAAAGGGTATCAACTGATAAAAATCCTGCAACTTTTGTATGCAGTTGGAAATGGTAAGAATACCAGCATTTAGAAGAGAATCTCCAAAATTGGCAGATAGAGGAAAACACTTCTATATGTCTTAGGATAGTAGGGAAGAGTGCATCATTTGCTATATAAATGGAAATGTTCATCTAAGCTGCATTTTGTATGCACACTCTGTATTGGTCTGGTCTCATAATGCTATGAAGAAATACCTGAGTCTGGGTAATTCATAAAGAAAAGAGGTTTAATTAACTCACAGATCTGCATGGCTTGGGAGGCCTCAGGACACCTACGGTCATGGCAGAAGGCACCTATTCACAGGGTGGCAGGAGAGAGAATGAGCGCTGAGTGAAGGGGGAAGCCCCTTGTAAAACCATCAGATCTCCGGAAAGCTCACTCACTATCATGAGAACAGTACGGTGGAAACTGTCCCCATGATACAATTATCTCCACTTGGTCCCACCCTTGACACATGGGTATTATTACAATTCAAGGTGAGATTTGGGTGGGAACAGAGAGCCAAACTATATCACATCCCCACATTCAAGATGCATGTAAGCACTTCTGCACCATTGCCATACTCAGGCTCCAGCTTTTTATGGAATTTCATCTCTGGCTATTCATTCATCCATTCATTCATACGTGCATACATACCTAAATGCATTTAGTCAATTAATCAATCAGCCATTTTGGTGGCCGAAATTTATAAGGCAAGTAATACTTTTAGTTTCTTTGATAGACACCATGATCAGAAACATAGTCTCTTTCTTAAAGGGAAAATAGGAAGTCTTCTGAGTCATAACAGATGCATACATAAATTTCTCTGAGTCTTCATAAGAAACACAAGCAAGATTTCACAGAGGCAGTGGAATTTGAACTGAGTCTTGAGAAATAAGCAATATCTGAACATGTAGAATGCAAAATAAAGGATAAGCAAGTGCTAATGCCCAGAGGGTAATACATATTAAATAACCAATAACCAATTGCTACTTGTGTTTCTTACACTAGAAGACAACTTGGAACTATTTATCCCAAATATTAATTTCCAGTTTGGGGTCCTGAGACAGTAACTTCAAAACAGTCGACATTAACTTCCAGTCCTTTTTTTCATTCCAGCCTATAATAATAATTTGTGTAGCTGCCCACATCTCTCACTAAATGTTAAGATAACTCTGGTTTAAAATATAAATAATTGAAGAATAATTAGATATTTTGAGATTAAGAAAGAGGATGGAACTTACAGAGGAAAGATAAATTATAGTTAGAAGTAACCTTGAGGTACTTCTTGCCCAATTTCTCATTTTACATATGAAAATATAAATTATGTGACATCCCAAGGTTGGGCACAATTGTAGTGGCAGAGCTGAGACTGGAACTCACAGTTCCTGACTTGCAGTGATTTTCTCCCCATGATAAATCTGATTTTGAAATATAGGATAAGAAGATTGCTTGTAGAATTAAAACCTGAGAACTTGAGTGTAATATAAGTGAAATAGAAAATTGCTAAAATAATATTTACACATAATTTTACTTGGATATCACTCCTAATTAGTTTGAGAAGTAGGTAGGACATAAATAACAAATAAATGAAGTAATGTATACTCAAATAAACAAAGCTTAATCTAATATAGTCCTCATATATAGGGTTAATTGTTGAAAATCCACTAGTGCCAATAGACTGTATATAAGTATAGAAATAGCTTCAAATTCCTGATTTCTAAAAATATATATGTGATATTTCACAAAAATTATTTTATGGTAGCTAATATAATTAAGGAAATGTGTATTTCATTCCATAAGTTAAATATTTTATGAAATTCTCAAAACAATGTATACATGGAGAGTTGCAACCAACCCTAAAAATAAATATTAATAAATATTGCAGGAGAATTTTTGAGGATGATACAAATTTATTCAGTTAATATGGATGACAAAAATAAACAAAATAACATGATTAAACAGAACTTTCTGGAAATTTAGTATACTAATGAATGTTATAAATATCCTGTGAATAATGTGAACAGGAGCAAATTTTGGTATTTAAAAACCTATTTATTTACATTAGTTAAAATATGAATTAGTTGTATAATAACTTACTCTCTAGTTATTCTCCTTAGAATTCTTACAAATCCTGAAGAAATGGAGCTTTAAGTTTTTCGACTTTCATACCAGTATAGTTACTACTATGGACACTACTTGTTACTACTATTTACTACTAATGGCTCTCATTTTTGAGCACATTTTTATGCCAAGCATTGTGCTAAGTCCTTTCTCTACATTTTCTCACTTAATTCTAATAATATTCTTGCAAGTTTGTTATTATCACCCACATTTTACAGATGAGGAAACAGCGTCTCATGGGGAATAAGGAAATGATTCAAGTCAAGCAATCATTAAATAGCGCAGTTGGTACTTAGGCCTAGGCCTCTCTGATTTCAAAGCCCATGCTCTTGACTTCCATGCTACACCACCTCTGTTCAGTTGCCACATATGTACGGAGCCTCTAGACACTAACACTCTTTTGGATATTAGGGATGCCAAGAACAAAAGAACAGCTTCAGCCTTTCCAGACTTTCTCCAGAAGAGAAGACATTTAACTAAACAATTGCAATGGAATCTTACAGTTGCTGTGGCAGTAAGGCATAAGAACATAGTCAGCTCATCAAAGAAGTCGTATCCTTTCTACTTACAAATTCCAAGGAAAGGCTTTTTCTAAGAAGTGATGCTTGAGCTGAGACTAGAAGATAAAGAAATGTTGGATGGATGAGAGAATGAATAGTTGTCCAGATTTGAGAAAAGACTAAGAACCATGACACGGCATGGGGAAAAGTGTAGTTTTCAAATTGACTGAAGTGAGAAATACAGCTAGAGAAAAAGGCACATGTATTAGCAAATATTGTATGACTTTTATTCACATTAATCACATATAAGAAAGGTTACAATATATTCCATAGTTATTGAGATACTGTTGATGACCTTATAGTACTGAAAAAATGGCCATGTTTGTTCTCTGTGTTCACTCTGAACGTAAAGCGCAATGCCATGAAAGGGGCCACACTGGGAAGAAGAAAACCAGTAAGGAGAATGTAAACATGACTCCCGGTGAGGGCTGGAGGGCCTTTTTAAAGATTTTACTTTTTCTGTTTTTAAAACATATTTCTTGGGTTAGATGAACCTAAGAAAATATATGGAGTTCTGTTTATTTCTTACATACTTTAAGTTACATGTTTACATCTGCAAATATCTCTGTAGTTGTTGGGTTATCATTGTCCATCAAACTCTTTCAAAGTAGTCATTACATCCTTTTCAAGTGCACATCTATTGAATAGTTACCATATACCAGGCCCTGTCCATGAGAAGATAGTTAAATATCTAGGATTCTGGGTAAGACTGCTCTTCCTGTTCAGAAAAGTTCAGTACAGATCAGGAAACTGAGAAACAAATATAACAATGTGGGATTTGTCAAAGATATCTGATATATAGGTATTTAATAAATAATAAAGGTGACATTTAGGATCATCATGGAAAAGGCAGATTATTCCAAAAAAAGGCTTTAATAAAGCCAGCTAATCATTTGGGGGAAAAAAGGTCTGGTCAGTACTCCGCCCTTTACACCAATATAAATTTCGGATGAATGGGATATTTAATTATGAAAACTGAAAATAACCCAAAATTTGGGTGACTTACCAACCCAAAATTTGGCTGACTTAGAATGTGGGGGGATTTTCAGTAAATTATACCAAAGACAGAAATCCATAAGGAAAAGACAAATTTGACTATATAAAAACTTCCAACTTCTCTGCTATGAAATAACATATACATGGTGGAAGAAAAATAACTGTGAAAGTTGTGTTCAACACAAGTGAGAGATGAAAGGTTACTATACACAATAAAATATTAAAATGTATTCAGACTTGCTAATAATCTAAAAAGTAGAAATAAAATGATAATGAGATATCATTTTAGCCTATCCAATTCAAAACTATTTTTTAAAAGTAAAGGATACAAAATTTCAGTTAGATAGGAGGAAGAAGCTAAAGAGACCTATTGTATAACATGGTGATTATAGTTTATAACAATATATTATATTCTTAAAAAATGCAAAGACAGTGGGCATTAAGTGTTCTCACCACAAAAATGGTAACTACCTGAGGTAATGCCTATGACTGTAATCTGACTAACTAGATTTAGTCATTCCACATGTAAATATACTTAAAAACAAAACTTCATGTTGTTTTGAAGAGAGACGGTAGGCATATATGTGTTGTATAACAATTTTATCTGTCAGTTAAAAAAGCTATATAATATGAATGTGTGATTATATTATATTAATATCCTATAAAGTGATCATATTATAACTGTGTGGAATTATAATGATGTCATATTTTAATAATATAATAAAACAGCCATTAAAAGTGGTATAGTAATATTCCTGAATATGGAAGAAACCTTTCGCATACTCAAGATAAAATTTCTTTCTTTCCTACATTTGCATTTTAAAATTTGTATTTTCTTTTTTTCTTTTTTTAAAGACAGGGTCTTGCTTTGCCATCCAGACTAGAATGTGGTGGTGCAAAATCATAGTTCACTGTAACCTCAAACCCCTGGGCTCAAACGATCCACCTGCCTTAGCCTCCCAAACAGCTAAGACTGCAGATGTGCACCACCACACCCAAATAATTTTTATTGTTTTTTTGTAGAGATGAGGTCTCACTGCATTGCCCAGGTTGGTGTCAAACTCCTAGCCTTGAGACATCTTCCCGACTTGGGCTCCCAAAGCTCTGGGATTACAGAGTCGCATTCATCCTATATTTACATTTTATATGTAATGCATTTTTATATTCAGAGAATACAAAAACTTCCATTTTGTAGGAAAAAAATCTGATGCATTTGGTGGAGACATTTTATTACTATGGCAGATCTGGGTTCTAGGTATACCCATAACATTGTGTCACTAGTGTGAGGGAGCTAGACTAACTCCCACCCCAAAGCACCTCACTCATTCCAGCTTTGGTCTGCTTTAGGTCTGGTGCTGAGTAGACTTGGAATTAATCCTTGCCTTTTAAATTTGAGATAGCAGAAAGCAAGGACTAGTACTGCTTCTTAGTCACCACTCTGCCACCTCCATTCTTCCAACCGTTCAAACTCAAAACCCTGGAGTTTTGGGTGAACTTTCCTTTTCTTTGTCTTAGCCAACATCAGTACTCACCAAGTCCTACTCATTCTTGCCTCCATTCTTTTTCCTTCACTTGGACCAACATTATCATATTCTGGGGTCTCATGGGTATTGATAATGCAATAACTTTCTAGTTGGTCTTGTTTCCCTCTGTCTTTTTCCCTTTAATTTATCCTAACATTGCTACTTAAATTCTTGAGAATAGCATGTTTCATCTTAGTCATTTTCTATTACCTTTTGGATGGTGATTTCCTTTCTTTCCTTACTTCAGATGAAAACTGTGAAACTTGTAGATGGCCAACTATTGTTCTAAGGATGTGCAGTGAGCTTTTCAGTCTCATTTGTCTGTAGTATCCTGATGCACCTTTGATTGTCTTGCCTTCCTTTCTTACTTGTTGGCATCTCTTTTACCTATTTATCTTTTTGTATCTCTCTGTGGAATGAAGTATAAACATAAATATCATAAGGAAAAGCCAGATAACTCCAATAATTTTCAGTGTATTAGGCATTTTTGGAAAAAAATCCAGAGTTAAATTGTTTATACACTTTCAAGAGTCTAGTCACTGCTAATTTCTCCTCTTTGCTCATCATTTCTTAGCTTTGGCAGATTGGCCCATTTGTTCATTTGTCTTTTGACCCAAATAAAAATGGTATCTTTTGTAGAAAGCTCTGTAAAGGATACCTTTATATATGTATTTTCTTATTCTCTGTTATAAAATGACATGCTTCTTTTTCACATCTTCAACAGAAATAACATAATCTTGCAAGACTTCTTCAACCTGAATCCTTGAGCTTAAACTGATGACCAGGATACAATGTGATATAAGGATTAAGTACTTGATCTTTAATGTTAAGATAGGAATTTATTTTAAAAAGCATGTTTCATAACTGATTCAGCTGGGTGACTTGGGGAAAGTTACTTAAGCATTTTAAGCTCGAGTTTCCTTCTCTGGAAAGTGCAACCATTTTTGAGCTATTTTCCTTCATCGGAATGTCCTTTCCTTTCTGTCCATCTGCCCACCTTTTAAACATTTTGAACATCTTAAAATCAATTTTCTGAGAGGACATGCAACTTTACTTCATTAAAGTATTTACTAAATTGCAAAATTTTATTTATTTATTTATTTTTTTTTTTTTGAGATGGAGTCTCGCTCTGTAGCCCAGGCTGGAGTGCAATGGCACAATCTCAGCTCACCACAACCTCTGCCTCCCAGGTTCAAGTGATTCTCCTGCCTCAGCCTCCCAAACAGCTGGGACTACAGGTGGGCGCGACCATGCCCGGCTAATTTTTGTATTTTTAGTAGAGACGGAGTTTCACTAAATTGGCCAGGCTGGTCTGGAACTTCTGACCTTGTGATCTGCCCGCCTCAGCCTCCCAAAGTGCTGGGATTACAGACGTGAGCCACCGCGCCGGGCCTAATTGCAAAATTTTAGAAATAGAAATGTTTTGCTTTGTTCTAAGTAGCATTTTCCATTTTGTTTATTATGAATATTTTATGACAATTGTTATTCAAAGTTTGCATTCTTCAGAGTTTCTTTTTATTTAATTATAATGTGAAAATTAATTGACAAGTGCAATTTTATTTTCATTTTAAGAATTTGTAGCAAAATACACAAATATTCAGATGAAGTTGAAATACAGGCTAAGAAGTCAGTTAGACAAACTGATTTGGGGCAACTGAACCACTTTAGACATAGATATTCATTATCAGCTTCCCCTCTTCCACAATAAGATTTGAAATATGCCCCTTTTACTTCATGTACCAATTATATTTCAGATTGCCAATTATGGCTCCTTGAAATATGATAAGAATTTGTATTAAACCATTTCTTGTTGCTGTAATTTGTAGTCAATTTGATGTTGGCATGGCCAGAAGATAACCTCAGAATGTCCTGCAAGATTTTGATGTGTAAGTTATATAAATCATAGAAGAAGAAATCCAGAATTGGAATCTTGAATATTAACAGTTTACCTTAGCAGAGATGCTAAAACCTCAACACAGCATTGGATAGTTAGTAATATTTTTAGTACATACTATGTTACTAATTCAAAGAGGGTGAAACTACATTGATATGAGTTGCTAAATATTATCCAATGCATTTCTTTTTCTTTTTCTTTTTCTTTTTTTTTTTTTTTTTTGAGACAGAGTCTCATGCTGTTGCCAGGCTGGAGTGCAGTGGTGCGATCTCGGCTCACTGCAGTCTCCAACTCCCTGGTTCAAGCGATTCTCCTGCCTCAGCCTCCCGAGTAGCTGGGATTATAGGCACGTGCCACCACACCCAGCTAATTTTTGTATTTTTAGTAGAGACAGGGTTTCACCATGTTGGCCAGGATGGTCTTGATCTCCTGACCTCATAATCCACCCACCTTGGCCTCCCAAAGTGCTGGGATTACAGATATTACCAACATGATTCCAGTTCATTAAAGCTGTTCTCGTGGCTGTGTTTCATTTTTATTAGGACATTAGATAGTTTAATTATATGACATCCAGTATAATCAACTTGAGTAAGATAGTTTGCAACGTATATATTACATTTTATAAAATGGACTAAAGGCATATTTGGAAAGATGAGAACACCATATTTATCAACAAGTTTTTGCATCTGCCCAGTGATATAAAGTAACTCAGGATCACAAAGCAACAATATACATAAATTACAGTAATCAAAATTTATGTTAAGCACAGGCAGTGAATTGTGTAAGAATAAAGTATTTTTCATCAGCTGAACAGTTACCAAGAATTTAGATTCACAGCCTTGGCTAAATGACCCTTCCCCACAGGAAGGGTTCTGTGGGGTTCCTTTATTGCCATTCAGTGGTGCTTGCTTGAGTAGTTTGAATCTGCCCATATGATAGGCACCTTTTTTATTGTATAATGATCCTGGCCAAGTCATGCGATTGGGTTGCCACCTTATGTCTCTAGTAAAGCAAGACACTAGGATTTGTGCTGAAAGGAAAAGAGATGCAGAAAGGGCACACTGGAACTTAAAGATTGCTCTGTGTGTGCCAGACACAGACATTGTAAGGGCTGTGGCTTTCCCATCACTCACTATACTTTTCCAATCAATATCGTCGTGAGGTGACTGCAGTGATATTATTTCACTGTGTCAAAAAATGAAGTGACACCTAATAAAAATGCAAAGGAAAAAGCTGGAAACCAAAAGAAAATGGTTTCATGCTTCAAACACAGGTAGAATATAATAAAATTATGGGAGATGATGTGTACTTCAATAAAAGTTTATTAAGCTGAAAGAAATAATATGGTGTAGTATAATTTACTTAATTAGCACCTAATTAGTAAGTAAATGTATTTGGTTCTTAGATGGTGAACCATCTAGGTTCCTGTAGGATAATGATGGCTGTCAAAATTTGATCTCTCCAAATATCCTACAGAAAAATCAACAAGGAGAGTAAATAAAACTCTTTTCAAGCAAGCTTACAGAATAACTAGCAGACCAAGAATACTGCACATTTTAAGATACTTCTTAATGGGAAATAAGTTACAGGAAACCTACACAGCCAGTTCCAAAGCCCATGCTGGAACCAGTGTAGGCAGAGAGAGAAGTGAACCAGGGAGTGCAGCAGGATTCTCTTGGTGGCTGGGCATAAATAAGATCACTCCCAAGAGGGAGAAGTACTGAGAACAGCTCTGGCAGCTGGTGGATGAGACCACTGTGTACTAGAGAATCCTAAGGAAGAATCTTAAAGGTATGCAGAGCAGAAGTGACAGTCTTGGGTATGCACTGCCTCAGCGGGAGATTCTCTTAGAGGCTGAGAGGTGAAGGGAATAAAATAAGCAGTTGGTAGAAATTTGAGGTATTAAAGAAAGGAATGAGTATCTGAAAATCATATGACTTACCACTCCCTTTCTGGAAATAATTTTTTTAAATACATTTTATTACACCGAAAAAACAAAGTTCTATTGACAACAACAACAATAAAATTCAAATTCTTCTTTCCTAGACAGACCAATTTTCTTGTTATTGAAGAAAACCCTCAGATAATTTAAAATAAATAGAGGAACATCAGGCTGTATTCAAACACCATTACTATAAGAAGAAAACAAAAAGTAAGTCTTTTTTAATCTGATGATTATGATTCCCAAATACAACCCACAACTCAGAAGAAATATTATTAAGCATTTGCATATGTGAAAGAACATTTCAGATTGAAAATTTAAAAACTGAGGAGATGAATTAAAGAAAAGCTGAAGGATGTGGCATAAGAGTTGATAAAATCAGGAAATTGAAGAGAAAGGTACACCAAAAGAGGCCAAAGATTTTTTTTAAAATGAAAGTAATTGGAAATCAGCTATTAAAATATGAATCTAAAAAAAAGAAGAAAAAAGTGCAAAAACAAAACAAAAGAAAAAAAACACTAAAAAATTTAAAAACATAAAATGTGAATATATAAGAAGAAATTAATAACCGTAATGTTAAGCTGAATTGCTTGTAAATCATTTAATAAGCATAAAATATTTTGTAGAATGACCCACACTTTCTCCTTCATAAAAATATAATGGTCTATTATCAGAGGTGAGGTACACATTTGTTTTCAGACAGTACGACATTCATTAATGAATTAAAAATTGGGAAATATTTATAAAATATTTCTTTGATGATGTCCAGAAATTGATCGTATACATATTATGAGGGAAATTATTTTGTTGTAAATATTTTCATTGCATGATATCTGTCCATACATATATATGTATATAGATTTTTTTTTCTCCGAAGACTCAAATCTTCTTGAGGGAAGACTTTGTTCTTTATTTATATTTATATTTCCAGAACATTTCATGATGCCACATGCATCCTAGGTGCACGGTTAAATTAACATTTGCTGCCTGAACTGTAGCATATATCAACCAGCTACTACTTACCTTATAACTGCGATATTCATATTTTTAGTAGAGAGAAACTTGTTATTTTATTATGTCTTGAAATTCATGGTGAACCTGGTGAGTAAGATCAGAGAGGGCGTTGACTGAGCTTGGCAGAGAAGCAAGGGGGAAGATAGGAAAAGTGATGAAAAGTCAAGCCCTTTGAAGGCTGTAGTGGTAGGGTATGAGAGAGGAGAGGGAAATTTTAGAGCTTCTTCCATCAAGCTTAGTAGGAGTCAGCACATCCATGTGGGCACAGAGTGACAGCAATTCAGAAAACAGGCATGGTGGTGGCTGCTCACACTCAGTTTGTGACTTCCAGATCTGTAATTAATATAATGAATTGGACATAGTCTAGTTTTATGACAATCTATAGCATGCATCTTGTTTCTTGTTACGAGTTTACAAGTTGTGGCTCAGAATTAGTGGTTCTACTGTGGACCATGGGGCTTTACCTAGGCTGACAAGGAGGTAAAGACATCTTATACCATGTTAGGCACCATAATGACCTGAGATGTGCAGCAGCTTTCTGTTATAGGTGCTGATGAACTATGCTTCAAAATGGCTTGAGGCTACATAACCACATTGCTAGTTTTTCTCCTCTTGATGTATGGTTTGACCATTCCATGGTTAGTAGGTATACAGAAAATGCCTTAAACATTATGATGTTTTTATTATAGAGAACAGAAGAAACTCTCACCAACTGAACACTTACATAGCTTATAATTCATCCATGGACAACTCAAATAAAACATAACTTGATAAATATAATTGAGTCCCCTCATGCATTGAATAAATTTGGGTCATTTTCTAATTCTATCAGAACCAGGAAATGTAACAAAATCCAACTGTAATATGCTTAAGTAGAAAAATATACCTCAGTTAATAATTTAAAAGAGCTGCATGTGTTTATACAATGCCTAGCCGTTACATGTCTCAGACCATTAAATCTCTATGGCATTATCACAGTAGTTACCTCATTTCCATTGTACAGATGAGGAAACTGAGACATAGGTTAATAGCTTACTCAAAATCACTCAGATAGTAGCTGCCAGGGTTTACATTAAGACAGCGTGGCTCGGTGGGGCGTGGTGGCTCACGCCTGTAGTCCTAGCACTTTGGGAGGCTGAGGCGGGCAGGTCATCTGAGATCAGGAGTTCCAGACCACCCCAGCCAACATGGTGAAATGCTGTCTCTACTAAAAATACAAAAATTAGCCAGACGTGGTGGTGTGTGCCTGTAATCTCAGCTACCCAGGAGGATGAAGCAGGAGAATCGCTGGAATCTGGGAGGCAGAGGCTACTGTGAAGCCGAGATCGCGCCACTGCACTCCAGCCTGGGCACAGAGTGAGACTCCATCTCAAATAAATAAATAAAAATAAATAAAAATAAAAATAAAAGACAGTCTGGCTGTAGTGTGTGTGCCAAAGTACTGCAGCACATTTGGTACTTTCTACTTAAAATTGATTTACACAGTAAAAGTGACAGACCAACAATAGAAAGCCAATGTTTTAATTCATTGTGGAAGAATCAGTGATAGCAATGACTAAATTTTTAAATATTATTTGTCACTGTTTGACAATATTATTGTAGACACACTAAATTTATATATTTTCTAAACCAGAATTGAGACAAATGAGTAATAAAAACTTCCCACAGTCTGTACATTTAGATAAAACAGGTAAAAAATTAAAAAGCAATTATACTTTTGATGTTATTGTTTTTTAAAAATTAAATAATGTTTTCTAGAAAATTGTTCTATTTAAAATTCTCTTTAGCTTTGATCCTTCCAAAATTCCAATTAATGTCAATTGAGGTATTGCTGATTTTGAACTCTTCACTTCTTGAGATCTAGAATATCGAAAGTCTGGCCTCTTTCTTGCAATCAGTTCTAATCAGCAGATATTTATTGAATGCCTATTAAGTGCAACACTGTTACTAAGAAATAAATATCTTCAAATAACATGCATTCTTGTAGGGAACTTTCATTCTTCAAGATGATAGAAGAAATGTCACAAGGTGAAATATGTGAATTCATTTCCACATGAATAAAACAGACAGGATGTACTATGGCATTTCTGAAGGAGAGGGGTCTTTATACTTCAGCATTATGGATAAAAAAAGTTCTCATGGAAAGACCAACTTGAATTAGGCATTTCTAAGAACTTTTTAACCAGTAACTTTAAAACACTTTCCAGCTAAGTTGTAGACTTTTGATTTTAACAGACAGGAATAGAAAAGATGTGATAAAAAGCTCAAATTTGAGAATGAACTATATCCCAGTAACAGCATTGAGTGTTGACAAAAAGATGTGTTCTTTTAAAAATCAAAGCAATAGATACACATAGCTTCAGAATAAAATAATGGCAATAGGTTTATAAACAGAGTCAGCAGACACCTACCTCATTCCCTACCTCCCTTGGTATTAACAGGGAAAAATTCTATTAAATATTAATTTTAATATTTAGCTGTGTGTATTAAAATAATACAGATATACTGTCATTTCTAAATATATATACTTATATATATTTATTTTGGACATGATCTGTTGATTTTTTGTTATAGTACTTACTTTGCTCACTTAAAAAAACATACACATACACACGTGTACATGAGTGCCTGTGCACACACACAAGTACCTCCCCTCCATATATTTCTCCAACAAATTCATTCTGATAAGTTTATGGTGAGGTGTATTGTCAGTATTATTGCCGTTATTCCCATGTGTCTTTTTTTCTTTCTCTATATAGTCTCTGCTTCCTCCTGGTTTGATTATCCTGCTTGTTTCTATTGGACTTTCTTTTTCATGTTGGAATACCTGATAATCCCTGGTTACGTTCTCCATTAAGAGTAAAGCACTGAAAAGCTCTGTGTGCTTGGTGTGGCGGCTGGAGAATGAAGAGAGAAAGTGATAGGCTTTCCAGCTGCTGAGTGTGATCAGTGAATTGGACTAAAATCTGTATGGAGGGCCTGGCGCGGTGGCTCATGCCTGTAATCCCAGCACTTTGGGAGGCTGAGGCAGGCAGATCACGAGGTCAAGAGTTCAAGACCAGCCTGGCTGATATGGTGAAACCCTATCTCTATTAAAAATATGAAAAAACTAGCCGGGCTTGGGGGTGCGTGCCTGTAGTCCCAGCTACTCAGGAGGCTGAGGCAGGAGAATCACTTGAATCCAGGAAGTGGAGGTTGCCATGAACCAAGATTGTGCCACTGCACTCCAGCCTGGACAATAGAGGGAGACTGTGTCTCAAAAAAAAAAAAAAAAAAATCTGTATGGAGGAGGTCTTACAAATATTAGTAACCACACTTTTTGTTTTTTTTCTTCAACTTTTCAGTTTTGGGGTACATGTGCAGGATATGCAAGTGTGTTACATAGGTAAACATGGGCCATGGTGGTTTGTTGCACAGATAAACCCATCACCTAGACATTAAGCCCAGCATCTACTGGTTATTCTTCCTGATGCCCTCCTTCCTCCCTCCCACACCCCCAACAGGCCCTAGTGTGTGTTGTTCCCCCCATGTGTCCATGTGTTCTCATCGTTCAGCTCCCACTTACAAGTGAGAACATACAGTGTTTGGATTTCTGTTTTTGCATTAGTTTGCTGAAGATAATGGCTTCCAGTTCCATCCATGTCCCTGCAACAGACACGGTCTTATTCCTTTTAATGGCTGCATAGTATTCCATAGTGCATATGTACCACATTTTCTTTATCCAGTCTGTCATTGTTGGGCATTTGGGTTGATTCCATATTTTTGCTATTGTAAATAGTGCTGCAGTATACATGTGTCATTATAATAGAATGATTTCTATTCATTTGGGTATATACCCAATAACAGAATTGCTGTGTCAGATTGGTATTTCTGCCTCTAAATCTTTGAGGAATTGCTACAGTGTCTTCCACAATGGTTGAACTAATTTACATTCCCACCAACAGTGTAAAAGCATTCCTATTTCTTCACAACCTTGCCAGCACCTGTTGTTTCTTCAGTTTTTAATAATTGTCATTCTGACTGCTGTGAGATATTTTGATTTTGATTTGCATTTCTCTAATGATCAGTGATGTTGAGGTTTTTTTATATGTTTGTTGGCTGCATGAATGTCTTCTTTTGAGAAGTATCTGTTCATGCGCTTTGCCCACTTTTTGATGGGGTTGTTTGTTTTTTACTTGTAAATTTGTTTAAGTTCCTTGTTGACTCTGGACATTAGGCTTTTTTCAGATGGATTTGATAGATTGCAAAAATTTTCTCCCATTCTGTAGGTTGTCTGTTCACTCTTAAGATCATTTCTTTTGCTGTGCAGAAGCTCTTTAGTTTAATTAGATTCCATTTGTCAATTTTTGCTCTTGTTACAATTGCTTTTGACATTTTCATGATGAAATTTTTGCCTGTGCTATGTTCTGAATACTGTTGTCTAAGTTTTCTTCTAGGGTTTTCATAGTCTTGGGTTTTACATTTATGTCTTTAATCCATCTTGAGTTAACTTTTATATAAGGTGTAAGGAAGGGGTCCGGTTTCAATTTTATGCATATGGCTATCCAGTTCTCCCAGCACCATATATTAAACAGGGAATTCTTTCCCCATTGCTGAAGATCAGATGGTTTAGATGTGAAGTCTTATTTCTGAGTTATCTACCTGTTCCATTGGTCTATGTGTCTGTTTTTGTACCAATACCATGCTGTTTGGTTACTGTAGCCTTGTATAGTTTGAAGTTGGGTAGCATGATGCCTCCAGCGTGTTTTTGTTGTTGTTGTTGTTGTTTCTTATGATTGACTTGGCTATCCAGGCTGTTTTTTTGTTCTGTATGAATTTGAAAGTAGTTTTTTCTAATTCTGTGAAGAATGTCAATGGTAGTTTAAAGTGAATAACATTGAATCTATAAATTACTTAGGGCAGTATGGCCATTTTAGCAATATTGATTTTTCCTATCCATGAGCATGGAATATTTTTCCGTTTGTTTCTGTTCTCTCTCACACTTTTTTTTTTTTTTTTTTTTTGAGGTCTATCAGTCAGCTTTTCAGAGTGGAACAATGTAGTTTTCAATCTGGGAGGTATGCATCTCTCTACTCATGTTCTGGAAGCTAGATGAGAAGAAACAGCAGAGTTAAATATGTAGACATCAGTTAATTACTCACTTTCCCACCCTCCATATGCATTTATTCATGTTTTAATTTGCATTGTGCTTTGCTGTGCCGAGTTTCCTCCAATCCATGATCTCTCAGATTTTCTTTTTCAAGAGAATACCCTTCTAGCTGGGCTGGTTAGTCACAGTGTAGTGGCATGAAAGATCATTACCTGGCTTCACAGAGTTGGAATCTTGCACTATAAGTTAGGAGTCTGGGAGGATATAAGTCAGGAGGACATGCACCCTCTCTTTGGCATTTCCCTTTGAAGTCAGACTTAGTCAGTTGCTATTATTCTAAGACCTTTCCATCAATGTAAATGAATATAGGTTTCTTACTTGTTCTTGTCTTTCTCCTCTTCATTTTTTCTATGTGGCTTAGTAAATTATTTTTTTTCTTTACTACCATTTAGTGGCTTTGGGGCAGGGGCAGGAGATTAATCATGCATATTCAATTAAATAGAAGCAACTATGTATCTTATTAATATGATTAATATGATTGCTATTCCCTATAAATTTTCCAGTAATCCTATGACATTATCCCATTTAGTGGATGAGTATATTAAGATTCAGCTAAGGTTAAGTGACTTACCAAACTGGGTTTGACTCAAAGATACAGAAACATAAGAATACAGAATTCTTAACATTTTAATTAAGGACAAAAGTTTAGTATTCTTTTCCCTTAGATAATATCTTCCAAATAATTTTGATATACCAAGCAAACAGTGTACATGAGGTTATACAACATTCCATTATTTCCCTTTTTACATTTATCTGAATACATCACCAAAGTTTCTGAACAACCTGAGTAGTCAGAATTGTACCACAGGAAAAGAGTCTTCTTCCTTCCAGTTTTCAATGTCACTTTATGTCACATTTCTTTAAGCTATTCTGAGGTACAAACCATTCCACTTTTTGCCCACTGTACTGTCTTACATCTGCTGCACTATTTCTTTTTGTCAGGACAGCACCTCATTTCCAGGTCTTAGTTGTCTTTGTTGTTAACCCAATTACCTCAAAAACTGCTTCAAACAAAAATGATCATTTATTATCTTTCACATTTTGTGGATTACAAATTCAGACACATCACAGTTTCTGTGGATCTGCTGGGAGAATGAAAGGTCAGGAGCTTGAATTATCAGAGGTTTCCTTCACTTATATCTGAAGGTGGATTCTTGCTGTTAGTTGGGACTTGTGAAGATGGTGAAGGGTCTGAGATTTTGCCAGATATGTAAACTATCATACATGCTGGCAGAAGACACAAGATTCCTGAGTCAGAGACAAAAGACTTTATTAATTAAGGCATAGAAGGGAGAGTGATTTTCAAGTTCACGCAATTACCCTTGTTCTTAAGTCCTACAAGGGGAACATGGAGTGACTCAGGTGGATACTGCACATATAGTATATATGCTTCATAGATGAGCAACCTTGAGCTTGGAAAATATCAATCTTTGCAATGGGCTGGAAGTGAACTTCCTTGAACTTTGCACTGAAGGGCAACATGATCCTCTGACTGGTCAGTAAACAAATCTACCCTTGCTCTAGAGAGGGACGCTGTTTCTGTCTTCCAGGGTTCTCTGGTATGCAAAATTCTCGGAAAGGTAATCTGGAACAATTGTCTCTGCTAGCAAGATGTGCAGAAACACAAAAGACTCATTGAGAAGTTTCTCCTCATAAAATGAAAGGAGGACAATGGACTTTAAACAATAATTGGCAGCTTCTGAAGTGTCTTTTAGGACAGATTCATATGAACAAATAATTTTACCAGATTGTAAAAAATGTAGAGGAATTTGGACTCCTTAGATTGGTGGTCCAAATGAAAGGCTGATAAATTCTGCTTGGGGGCCTTGATTCAGAGAAGACTTCAAATAGAAAATGCTTGAAAGGAGCAAATTAGATAATAAGGAAATCTTTACATACTCTATTGCTGTTCTTATTGTTGTTGTCATTAGCTGTTTAAGCGTATGCATATGACTTATCACATCTAAGATGCTTGAATAGTTTTGGATAGCATATATTCATAAGAACATTTGTTAACATTAAAGTAAACTTCTAGCCTGGAGAAGGGTAGACTCAGGGGTATGCATGATAGCATGTTTAAATAATCTGAAGGAATGCTGTAGGGTGGGTGGAGTGACAGGTTTAAACTGCTCCAGAATACAGAATCAGGATCAATGAATAAAGGTTATGAGAAGGCTGATTTACCCTCACTACAAAGAAGAACCTTTCAATAATTAAAGCACAGCCTGGGAGGAATCTTAATTGACAAAGAGAAAGTGCAGCTTTGAAAGCAAATGCAGAGAGAGCTTCACAGAAAAGAGAGCATGGAAAAATCAAGCCCTGAATAATGTAATATCATGTGTTGGTATTCAGAAGCCAAAGGAAGATGGTAAAATGGTAGCAGTGACAGTGGTCCTGGGAGAGAGATGTTCTTTGGATAATTTCATAATTGGGTAATTATGCCAAGAACACATGTGTACCCCCAAGAGGTAGACAACAGCACCAGTGAAGACAGATGGAGCTGACTTAGAGTGAGCTTTTCCCTTCCTTCCTCACCCTGCCTCATTCTCTCTCTTTCCTTCCCTTTATTACTTTTCCCCCACTTTCACGATATAAATATCTACTTTGTGTCAGACACTATGCTCAGACCTAAGGCTATAGTAGTGAATAGAAACTGTTTTTACCTTCAAGAAACTTACAAGTTAGTAAGAGAAACAAAACAAATATATGACAACAAATCATAATAATTTGCAAGGGAGATTTTCAAGGAAGAAACTTACAAGGGACAACCAAATTAGATTGAAAGACTAGAAAAGCTTCCCTGAAGAAGTGATATTTAAGCTGAGATGTAATTCCAAGTAAGAATTTTCCAGGTATAGAAAGAAGGGATTGCTATGGAAAATATGATAGGAAAGACCTTCTCACAATAAGAAACTGCCAGAAGGCCAATGTGGTTGGAAAAAAGCGCCTGTGGATAAATGATCTGAGAAGAGACTGGAGACTTAAGCAGGATCCTAAAGCAGAACTGGGCTTCTGCTTAGAGGACTGATTGGTGATGAGGAGGTGTATAGAGGGCTGACCCTCCAGGAGGCTGTTGCCACAGTCCAGGTGTGGTATGTACCAAATACCTGGATGTGGAGGAGGAGAGACATGGGTGGATGCTTTTCCACACCAATAAGTAAAACAACTGACCAATCTCCAAGCAAAAAAAAAGTGATCATCCATCAGTATTATTTTCTAATTGCCATCAAATGTCTATGACCCTCAGAAAGCATGATGGTTAACAATACAGACTTTGGAGTGAGATTGGCTATGTCCAGATCCTAGCTTTTGTATTTACTAGTTGCATGAACTTGTGCAGTCTGGCCTTCAGTGCATATACCTGTAACATAAGCTGCATAGACATGTCTGTTTTATAGGGTTAGTGAAATTATCCAAATGGCGATTATCCAAATCACGATGGTGATTTATGGAAAGACATCACAGGCAAAGTATACAAGTTTCTTTAAAGAAGTTAACAAGAACTGAACTGGGTAGAAATGGTTGTACAAAGCCAGAAGCTTTCCACATTATTCCTATTAGAGGAGCAAATATCCCATGCCATTCAAGTATGTCAAATGTGCCCTAGCATTTATTGGACCATTAGGTTTTTCTTGGTGTTTCTTTATCATTCTTCTGTGATGTCTTAAACCCTTTTGGTTTGTTTTAATATTTATGTATTTCTTAAGAGGTACATGTAACTGGTAGGCACACTGCCAACACATTACTGAATTTTTCTCAAGGTTACCATACCAAGTGTATTATCCTTTAGCAGGCCAAATATTAGGTTTTCTTGAAGTTTATTCCTGCAAGTTTGTGCAACAATTTAATGACACATTTTAAATTTAAAAAAAAAAAAGAAAAAAAAACTTGGTGCAAACCTGGAAATTTGTAAATATAGAATAGGACGCAGGCTTTAATTACTAGTGAATTGTTAAATAAATCTGTTTGGTTTAGTTTTGGTTATTCTAAATTCTATTCTAAAAAGAATTTCTTGTATTATTTTCCAAGAGCTTATAATAAAGTACCCCTTCAAGTGTAATAATACAGACACGTCTAATCGAAGTGAGCCAGCTCACCATCTGCTCACAGTTCTGCTACTTAAGCAGTGATAACACTAAAAACAGTCTGCCAGAGTTTCAGTTATGCAAATAAAATAAATGGTGGGACTCAGACTATCCTAGCTTTGCATTAATTTGTGTGTCTTCAGAATGACACCAAAGTAGAAACAGTTCTTCTGTGTATTATGTCAAAGGAATATATTTTATAAAAGCTCTCTGTCAAGTGGAAAATTAGTTTCAAGATATAAACAGTTTTTGTGCTTAAGTTTACTAAACTAATAAATTTTAATCATGATAATTACAACAATAATATACATAAATAAGGTACGTACAGCTTATTCCTCCTTTAATTTGCTTAGGGGAGGGCTTTATGTACCTGAGAGGAAAAAATAGGAGGATTACCAATTTATATGCTTGGTACCAAAATATGTGATTAAATTTAGTTGGCTACATCAGGCCATCATGAGATATCTCTTTAGGATGCTCATAAATAAATTGGCCAGGTGTAGGCTTACAGCCTGAACAACATTTCAGGGGGCTTATGGGAGTAAATAGAAGTAAAGATTAGTCAGTAGTAGTCCTATTCAGCAACTTTATCAAACCTGGACCAAATAATCTCCTGATAGGCAAACAATGCCGTGTCTTTCCCAAGGGATAGCACTTGATGTGTCCCTCTTAGTACACCTAAGAGCTCTTTGTGGTCAGAATTCATACATCATTAATGATTGTTCTAATATTGTTTCCACAAAATGGTAACAGCAGTAATTTGATGCTGTCTTTTGTTGCAAATATAGTCTGCTTTTGCGTAATCCTTAGTCATCTTGTATTCTCCACCAAAACTTTCTCTCCTGCTTTTAGATTTACATTGTGAGGCTGTAGATGGAGAAAACATTCTTCCTCTCACTCTTCTTTCTTGTTATCTGTTCTGATGCTATTGGACATTTTGGGTTGAGAATCTATCATATTGAATGTTGGCATGAAATCTGTGCATTATTCAAACTCATATTTAACTCATATTTATATGCTTCCAAAATGAAAGCATATAAGTAGCAGCAGTTTCATTTTGTGGAAGGATTTACATTTTCCTTTTGAGTTACAGAATATAAGGAAGAAAATCAACAAAGTCTTCAGAGACTTGATGTTTTAAAGGTAGCTTGAAATACCTCAAACATAAATTATCCAGCTTGATTATGTCAAGAAAAAAAGAAAGAAATATCACTTTGTAGTCATGGTTCTCTTTTTATATATTTGTTTATTTTGTAGTCATGGAACGAGCATTTCTTGAACAAAAGTAGTTATTCATTATGATAAAAGGGTCAATATTATTTTAAAAAGAACTGTGTTGGCAATATTGAGGCAGCGTAAAACAATATTGGAATTATTTAAAATATTGAAAAATACAAAGGAGATGATATTCAAGAAACCCTAACGTCACAAAATTGGGTAAGGAATTAAAGGAAGATTGCCTGGAACTTGATAAATTAAATTAAAAAGTTGTTATTTATGTTGTTCCTTTTTCCTACTATAATTTCACTGTATTTAGCCAGGCACAGTCAGCTAACCTGTTAGATTGCTGTAAAATTTGCAAGACAAAACTTGTACAAGAGTTTAGATAAATGTTTAGACCTGACCTATCTGAGTTCTACATCATTGAGAAGAAAACATAGTATAACCCTCATTTAAAATCTCTCCTTTAAGATAGTCCAGCAACTTATATCCATAAGCAATTAAAATTTGTAACTTTATCAAACCATTTTTGAAATAAGTGATTCTTTTAACTTTATTTTTACAATTCTACAATTTTAAAAGCCAAAACACAATTACTTGAGGGAAGTGATAAAGGTGAATGAGGAATCCTATAGTCTTGAAACTGAAAAATAGTTGAGTACATATTTTCTCTGCACTTTATGGAAGACTAAACTGAATTCTAGAAAATCAGAAGATGCCTCTAGATTGTTTTCAAGCCAAGACCACATGGGCATCTTGATGTCTTAGAGAGTATATATTCTACTGCACTATACTACATGTAGAAGATTCTAAGTCCATTGAAAAAAATTACCAGGGAGAGAAAATATAAAATAAATAATAGTACCTGGAGTTAATGTATTGTTAATTTTGAGTTCAAAGGTTTTTTTTTTCCTATATGCACATAACCAAGCTATTAATAATAAAATAACAAGAAGATATAAAAAGGTGATTTTTTTTTAGTAAGTAAAGTATTTTGAAAAATGTTCCAAAATTTATAAAAATATTGGTATGGGATTTCTAATTTTATTCGTGTTTCAGATTAATTTATTACAATATCCAGTGTCCTGCTTTATTAAACAGCTGAGACAATACAGAAAGGAAAACTAGAAATTAAATTATCTATTTATGCCTTTTAATTTTAGGGAAACAGAGGCTTCATAGCACTCAAAAAATTTATTATGGCCGTCAAACAGCGGTTCACAATAGTGTTCTAAAATTTAAAAAAATCTTTTTGAACTTCACATTACAATGAGCAACTGAGCAGATGGTACTAAGAAAAGCTTCAGGTGTGTCTTCCTCTTTTATACATATTTTGTTTAATTTATATTGAAATGCAGTCCAGAGATGTTATGTTTCGTTTTTATTTTATTTTATTTTTATTTTTTTTGAGACAGAGTTTTGCTCCCATTGCCCAGGCTGGAGTGCAGTGGCATGATCTCAGCTCACTGCAACCTCTGCCTCCTGGGTTCAAGCGATTCTTCTGCCTCAGCCTCCTGAGTAGCTGGGATTACAAGTGTCCACCACCCAGAGACATAATGGCCATTTTTGATATTGTTATGGACAAAACTTTGATTGGTATATTAATTATAGGCAATTTCAAGATAGAAGTATAGAATTATGTGAATTTTTGCTTAGAAGAAAATGAAAGCAAATAACACATACATGCTGCTGAATTGCTTCAAAAAATTATATGCAAAAATTGACGCTGTAGTCAATGCTGGTTTTCCTTAGTATGAAAAAGGTGACTTTTCAGTCTATCATGTACTTTCTTGGAGACTTTTACTAAAGATTTATCTGCAAATTAATGGAAAAATAGGGTGTAATGAATAAAAAAAGAGAACCAAACAGCCCCATTTTCACTCCCTCAACCTTTGGCTAGAAAGTAAGTATTCTAAAAGTTATACTTTGGAACCATATCTCCTGGGTTGATCTTCTACTCAGTTTTAGCATGTCAGTTGATTTTTATTCCTTCTTGCACAGTTATTTGTTCCCAATTCTTCAATATTAAATAGGTTCTTAAAATTCGAAAAGGAGTAATGGTGAAACAGTGTTTCCAAAACACAACATGACAGGTAAGGAGTTCTAAGAAACATTTACAAGTTATTTTTGACTGAGAATGCCTTTTTTACTTCCTACACTCTTGTATAAATGTAGATGGGGAAGGCATTATTATTTTCTTTACATAATTAAGAAAACCGAAGCAGATAACATATTAAATGATGGCTTTTGCAGCATCAAGGTTGTGAAATGTAGACCTCAGAGGAGGACTCAGAAATTCTGCTGTCCAGATCAAGTTTCCATTCTATTTCTGCAAAGATACTGTCTTGGGATACAGAAACAAAGTTGTTAGTATATTTATTATAAATTTTGATAGGAATTTACTTTCATTGTCAAATAGTAAATATGCTGACTCTTACATAATAAAATTGTCTCCTTGACACCACTTTTGAATTACGGTCATTTTCTGGCAGTGCAAACTGTTATTTTTTTTTTGAAAGAAGCAAGTTCTATCTAATTTTAGAGTCTAGAGTCTATTTAGACTGATACTAAACAAACACACCCATTAAAAAACATTCCACTTTGTCTGAAATTGATATATTTGTCCTTGAGTGTACATTTCGCCTTACCTTTGTATGACATTTTCTTTTATGGTGTTTTTGAAAACTGCATATAGTTGATTTTTATTCACAATCTGAAAATATTTGTATTTTAATAAGGGCATTAATCCATTGACTTTTACTGTCACAGCTGATAGGCTGTTATATTTGCTGTTTTGATTCGTGCCTTTTGTTTTTTGTGTGTATTATTACATTTGTTTTTTTCTTTTAATATGTGGAATTTATTTTCATTTCTTTTTTTTTCTCTAATGATTGGGGGGAAGTTTTAGAAAGATTTATTTTCCTTTTCAAATTCTCCTGGTAGTTCCATTTTAGTTTTTTGTTTGTTTGTTTCTTTACTTAATACTTGAACCTATATTTCTCTATTAATGTTAATGAGGATATTATATCAACTTAATGTATATTAAATGGGGGAATCTGTACTCTTTACTTCCCCTATGCCCTTAACTCACTTGTTTCACAGGTTTTGTTGATATATCCTTATATAACATGGAACCGTTATATTTTTATCTTTGAGTCCAAAATTTTTACAATTACATTTTGTGGTGCACCCTATTTGTGACAAACATTGAGAGAAACCTCCGCATTTTCACTGTTTTCAACATAGTCTACCAACACTTAATAAACTAGGTCTTCCCTATTACTATCATTTATTTTATTTATAGGTAGCCAGTGCTCATTTTTTGATATATTTTTCAGAGTTACATGAAGATATTATATCAGAAATCAAATTATTTTGCTTCAGACACAAATTAAATATTAATTAGTTATAAAATTCTCCATAAACTAGAGGTTAAAGAAAACTCACAAACGCCTACACGGTACAAGCTGGAAATGTAAATTGTGAAATATGCCTAATGTAAGATCATAGGTAAAGTCTATAGCATGATGCAAAGGCGCAGACCTATTCTGAAGGCATTCATATTCAACTATGTATTTTTAAGCTTGGATAGAAAAAAGAAATGACAACAGGCCATTTAGGGTCACAGATAGCTAGCGTTCCTGTAGACATTGCTTGCGTGATCTTTATCATTTAGTGGTGAAGAGAAGTCTGAGGCAAGTGTGATTCCTGGTGCACATGACCTGCTTTTCTCTACCTGACTTTTTTCATTATCCTCAAAGAACTAGAAAAAAATCCCTGAAATAGGCCTAACTGTTGATGGTTTTTAATTAAGTTGATGTATAATTGATAACCCCTTCAGTTTTGAAGGTTAGCATTCCAAATAAATTATTTAATTTTTGAATGTTGTGTCTGTGCCATGTGTTCTGCTGTTTTCTTTAAGAACATCAATATCCTATGTTTCATTTGCTTCCACATAGCTTTATTTCCTTGCATAATGTGAGAGTCTTCTCATTTGTAATTTATATTGTAGGTTTAGTTTTCTACATAAGGACTTTGTGTATGGCTTCTGATTTTGTTTTTGCCATTGTACTTATGTTGACTAAAACTACTTCTTTAACAGCCTGTGCCCTTTATTTGATATATACATACCTTTCAACCAATATTACTGCCCTTCTTATAAATATGCGTTTGTGTGTATGTGTCTGTGTGTAGTTCTGCAGTTTTTTTTTTTTTTTTTTTTTTTTTTTTTTTGAGACAGAATCTCGCTCTGTTGCCCAGGCTGGAATGCAGTGGTGCGATCTCAGCTCACTTCAACCTCCACCTTCCGGGTTCAAGCTATTCTCCTGCCTCAGCTTCCCTAGTAGCTGAGATTATAGGTGTGTGCCACCACGCCAGGCTAATTTTTGTATTTTTTTTTTTTTTTTTAGTAGAGATGGGTTTTCACCATGTTGGCCAGGATGGTCTACATCTCCCAATCTCGTGATCCGCCTGCCTCAGCCTCTCAAAGTGCTAGGATTACAGGCGTGAGCCACTGCACCTGGCCCTGTAGTCTCATTTTACTTTATTTACTGTTGAATGAAGAGGACTTTCCATGTCTGTTATTTGAATAGTAATTGATTGAGAAAGGTTCTAATTGTCCTGCTCTTCAACCCCCGGGGTGCTGTTACAGTTCTTGTATCAGACCTTAAAATAGAAAAGAAGTTGACAGGTAAACATTCACATCATCCTTTTTGGATCTTGTTTTTGCATAGGTATAGGTCTCTTGAATTAGGAAATCTCTCAGTTACCTCTGTCTGTCTAGGTAGAGTAGAATTTATGCTTGGATAATTTAAAACAGTATTTCTTCCTCTGACACTGTTGATACAGAAAAGCACTCTCACAGTTTTTCATTGCTTCATCCTTGCCTACTGCCAATCTCTTATTCCAACATGTGACATACTATTGCCTCTCCACTTCAGCTCAATCCATATTGTCTATCTGGAAACTGGTGTTGCTGAATAGCTGAAAATATTATTTCTCATATTTTTGTAAATAGGTTGACAAATGCATCATGATATGTTCAGCACTGTACTGGTTTTAGCACTGTAAATCTCAAGTCCTGGGGACCGCCACAGTTTTAGGCAAACCAAATAATTGTCCACTTTATAAGCAACCATAAAATATAAACTTCCCAGAGATTGTAACTTCTAGTAGACCATGTTCCTTTTACCTCATTACTAACATTATTTGCCTTTTTAATATCAACACTAGCTAAGTTAATTTTATCTTCTGTTGTATATATTTTTAAAAAGCAGTAAACTATTTTTTGCTTTAAAGATATAAGATTAAATTATAATATTAAATGTACTTGTTCAAATTGTTGGTACCACTCTAACTGAAGCAATTCTGAAACTTGGCTAGCCTGCCCTCAAATAATGTAGTCAGAGAAGTACAAATGGAAGGAAAGTAAAGATGAAATTTTGTCTCCTTGGCTAGCTGTTCTATAAAAGTCTGTGGGATCTGCAAGCCCTGTGATCAGTGAAACCCTTGTGCCTTTGACACTGGGACATGTCATGGTAGGAGGGGTGAGTAAATTTTCCTTTACTTGGATTTAGCTTGAGTATCTTTCCTGAGGGCTCCAATTGCCTTTGGCTTGTGAAAATTTTCCTGAGTTCTACAAATTAATATGTGGGAATGCCAAAGTTTGTGTGTGTGGGAGTGAGGGTGGTGTCAAATGGAATGAAAAAGTGAAGATGTAATAGTTCGTTTTCACACTGCTATAAAGAACTACCCAAGACTGGGTAATTTATGAAAAAAAAAAAAAAGAGGTTTAATTGACTCACAGCTCACCATGGCTGGGGAAGCTTCAGGAAACTTAGAATCATGGCTGAAGACGAACGGGGAACAAGGGACCTTCTTCACAAGGTGGCAGGAAGAATGATGAATGCAGGAGGAACTACCAAACAATCATAAAACCATCAGATGTCGTGAGTGAGCTCTTATGACAACACGAACAGCATGGGGGAAACTGCTTCCATGATCCAATTATCTCCACCTCGTCTCTCCCTTGACATCTGGGCATTATGGGGATTATGGGGTTACAATCAAAATGAGATTTTGGGTTGGGACACAGCCAAACCATATCAGAAGGGTAAGTCAGTTTCGTATCACAAAATGATATGTGCTTAAACTGAAAGTCTTAATTATTTAAAAAAACTTATTTCAGTAAATATTTGCAGAATAATTTGTATATGTAAGCTACTATGCTAGAATGTGTAGGACATAAAAATTTAGATATAGACTCTGCCTTTACAGAACTTTCTTATAGTAAGAGTTACCAAACCCACTGCAAAGTCTGAAATGTCATGTAAAAGTAATTTGAAAGTGCTGAAAAAATATAGATTATTTTTGATTGGTGAAGATCATGGAAAAATTAGTTAAGATAATATTAAAAGATATATTGAATTTAAATTGACAGAATTTGGGGAAACATCTCAAACCCTTAGAATAATATGTGAACTGGGTAAGTTCAGGATGTATTTGGAAATTCAAAAGAACCTGTTTTAACTGGTGCTTCAGATCATTGATGGAAGTTAGTGCAAATTTTTCTGGAAAGTTTGGTCAGGACCAGTGGGTGCAGAGATTTGAAATCCAGATTTAAGAGTCTGACATTTTTTTTAATCACTTGAACTTTTTCACGGAGAAACTGTGCCCTGTTTATCTTTCTATTCATCAAACATTGCCGCAGAATAAACACTCAATAAATATTTGTGCAAAAATAAATTACTAATGACATAATAGCTGCACATCTGAAATGACTGTGTCTGTGTTTACATGCACTTATGTAGAGTTTTCCCCGGAAAATTTATTTACATTTTTCAAAACCAATTATATGGAAATGAATGAATGAATGAGATATTGCATATAATTTCACTGTAGACTAAATTAGAAGATATTTTTTCCCTTTTATAACCAGGAGCATAACTAAGGATACCACTTAGCAAAATTATTATGATTATGAGTAAGGTTTCATTTAAAAATATTTTGAAAGGCATAGACAGAGTATCATGAAATAATCTGGGTGATTGTAAAATAAACAATTTGCACAATTACAGGTCCACCGAAGGCCAGAGCTGCAAAGGGTATGTCTGATTGCTGGTGAAGGGTATAATTATCTCTGAGGTTGGGAAGGGTTATATGTGCTGGCTTGTTTGCCAACATCTGTCAGCTGTTTCTGTGTACCACATTTTCTGTTCTAGTTTTGAGTCTTAATATAAAGTCTTCAAATATTCCTGGCAAGAGTAGAGTTATGTATATGCAAAAATATATTCAGGTTTGTCTCTTAACATATGTTCTTACACAGAGAATAACATTTCTACTTTCTGAACAACATTTTTAATTTTCTAGCAGAAACCTGTATTTTGCTACCTATTTTCATTAATTCAAGTTGTGTTCTTATATCGAATAGCAGGTAAGGGGCTTCCTATGTACCAACTGAGAGTGATTTACATTAAAAGACATTCCAGACATAAAATCATTTCTGAAGGTTATACTTCCTGTCCTGAGGACTTTTAGAGTAATTTTGGCACTACTTGATGTCCTTATCTTGGCTGTATCCTTAAAATAGTAGGCTCTCATGCAGCTGTGGTAGAGCAAGTGAACTGGACTTAGGTAACAGAAATTTGTCTGAATCAGGGCAATGTTATTTATTGACTTTGTAACTTTCAACAAATGAGTTAACCTCTTTGTGTCTCAATTCACTTTTCTTATTCTAAGGGCCTTAAATGAATTAACTTATTTAATTCTCAGACAACTCTAGGGAATGGTACCACAACGGTCATGCTCACTTTCTAAATTAGGAAACTGAAGTAGAAAGAGGTTAAGTAATTTACCCAGACAGGTGAATGCAAGCATAAGAATTGAATCGGGCTTCTGTCCCCTGATCCATAACTTTACCCACGTTCTTCTGTGTCTCGCTAATATTATCTATTTTATTATTTTGAGGATTAAATGAGATAATTTCTGGCCATGGCAGATATTTATTATATTGGTTTAATATACTTATTAAACAAATATAACCACGATATAAATATAATATATTCATTAAACCAATATAAAATATTAAACCAAGATTTTATATTGGTTTAATAAATATACTGATAAGATATTTATTATTTTGGATATTTATTAGTTTTTTTACTCTTGAGTATAAACTTTGGAGAATTCGAGATTTTTTTTAAAGTTAATTTTTTTACAACAAAAATTATTCTTGATAAACTTGCTGAGAAAAAGATTGCGTGAATCATCTGGTCAGTAAATGCAATTAGAAAATGTTCAGGTGGTTGGTAGAGCCCCACTTTCAGCATGAATTGCTTTATAGAGCATTAGGTCACAGATTATTGAATCTTATAATTACAGAAGAAAATTTATGCAGGATTTCATTGTTTTTGACTACTTAAATTCCAGTTACCACTGGCTATGCCTGGAGTTGAAGGGTCATACTTAAGAGCAAAGACACTTTGACAAAATGAAGACCCACTTAATTACTTAATGGGACTGCAAAATACCAGGTGCAGCCATAAAATGCTAAAAGTTCATAGCAGGAAAACCTTTTGGTGTTACAAATTTTCATCAACATCGTCATGGAGATATTAACATATGCCTTCTAAAACCAGGTCAGAAATTACATCATGCCTGGTTTGTGGCCAGTTGTTGGCAGGCTAGGAGTAACTCTAGAGCGTTAGGCAACAGACACTTGTCATACTCAAAGCATCTTTTCTCTGTGTGATTGCATAAGCTATCTAACTGGAAAGGTACGACTCCTGAAGCTGCATTGGCTTGGTTTTCCCAGTGAAAATTTAAAATAGGCAAAAATGTTTGCTACAAACATCAGTTTGTGGATATTTAAAACTTATTTGCTATTTAAAGAACAAATTATTTTGTGAAAAAAAGAACTGTCATTTCTAGATGAGACTATTTGGATAAAACTGCCTTTAAGCAAGTTGGATAGTAACAGGAAAATATTTCAGGGACAAATAGAAATAAAAAAGGAGTTTTGGACTACTGAATTTAGAGTTCTTGTTGGGTATCTACACGAAAATTCTAGAAGATATCTAGACATACAGTTCTTGAACTTGGAAACAGCTTATTTGGTGTCTGAAGCCTGGGGGCCGAAGTAGCCACATGTACGTAGTGTTGTTTATCAGGTGTTCAATAAGGTGGAGGATTGTGGTGGTGGGGTTTACTTGTGGTCCTCTTCCTTTATCTGTTTGTCTCATCAGTAATTTAGATGAGCACAGATAACATGGGTGAGTTTCTCAGGATTTCAAATATCATAAAAATGCGTGGCATAATTAATATATGACAAAATCAGAATTCAGTAAATTTTGACTAGAATCAGTGTCAACAAAGTGAAAATTTAAAGGAATAGATATTAAATTCTACATTTACATTGAAACAGTAAATACAGTCCTGCAGAAAGATTAGTGAAGCCACACTTTAAAGTGCTTAGTTGAAGATGAACTAGGTGTTCTTTTGATTACTTTTTTTTTTCTCACAAGTGGCTTCTACAACTCCTCCTCCTTGCCCAAATAAACAAGTTGCAGTATTTGATTGTATCAAAAAAAGGCATTCTTTCTATAATTTATGTCTGGGACTTTGCATATTGTTTCTAATTCTCATTCTTAAGATTGTAATACAGTCAGAGAAATTACAGTAGTTTTAATGGTTGGAAAGTAGATTATTTGCTGTAAAGATGATATATAGATGTTTTAAGAATTTTTTTACCAGGGTGATATTGGGTGCATATAATTCAACGATTGTTACTGTATTGCCTTTCCCCACAGTCACTTTTTAACATTTTCCCGCAAACTCATTCACATCATTGTCTTTGAAAGTTCAGGTCTAGAGATACCTCCTCTGTGAGGACTTCCTTAATATTCCCAGGTGTGAACCAATCCCTCTTTTGTGTTCTCTTTGTGTTTCTGTTCTATCTTTATTGTTTTAGGACTTACCATATTGAAAGACATTAATTTATTGATACTTGCGTCTGTCTCCTCTAGACTGCAAGGGATGTGAGAACTCAGACCTCATCTTACTAACATGTTATTTATGTCTGTGGCCTAAGTCTTAGCTCATTTCTGACAATATGCTTTTGTACCAAATTGAACTGGGGGCATAATAGAAATGTTCCATCGTTCTCTGGAGGAAAGAAATAGGGCCAGAGGGCAGAAGTGACAAGGACACAGATTATTTAAGCTCATTACTAATAATTAGAGCTGTCTGAAAATGAAATGACCCGCCTTTACAATGTAGGTCAAGCACAAGGTGAATGATAATGCAGAAGAAATGTTGCATAGCCTGACCTCTAAATTCCCCTCCAACTTCTGTATTCCATGCCTTACATTTTTCTCTTGTGTTATTAACTACCCTCACAGGTAGTCTTCAAAAGCACTTTCATATATGTTATCTCATTTATTTGAACAAATTTCCTGTGATGTATGTAGGGACAGGTATTATCATTCTAATTGTTCAGTAAAATGAGGCATAAAGAAGTTAAGCGACTTGAACAGGGATACTCAGCATTAAATGTGAGACCAGAATACAATCTTCCTCATGGCAGTTTAGTAATTTTTTTAGATGAACTATCTGAAATTATCAAGTTTGCACATTTTGGGGGACATAGTGATTCAAATATTCATTAAATAATATGTTTTTCCTGATTATGCTTGTATACAGCCTTGTGTTTTTGTGATCAAACTACTGTTTATCTTTTTATCCCACCTTTAATTTTCATACTTACTGATGATTCTCAACAGCCAGAAAAACAACAGAAAAGTGTATAATATAAAACTTAGTGCCTAAAAAAAGCAGTGATAACATGCTGTGTGTTTCAGCAGTCTGGTTGTGTGATGGAAGCTCATGAATACACACACTGCGTTCCCTTTCAGGATCCCCAAGAACGGAGACCAGGCTGTTGCAATTTGCTCATCTGATTTAGCAGGGATATCTGAGTTCACTGTATTCCCTGGAAAGGCTAAAGATACAGAAGAGTCATTCTGGCTTGCATTAAAAACTGACTGTGTATTTTATTTTATTATGGTCTATCTGGGTCTGGTCTGGCAGCTATACAAGAAGGATTGCACTTACAAGTTAGATATTTCCTGAAGAAGAGTTAAGACCATGTGAGAAAAGTTAACCGATTATTTCTGATACTTTTTTCTGTAAAAGAAACCACATTAGCCCCAGAAACATGCAATTTACCCATGAAACAAAGCTGCACATGTGCCTCCAGAACCTAAAATAAAAGTTGGAAGAAAAAAATAGAAACTGCCTTAAAATTTAGTGGCTTAACACACTGGCAATTATTTTTTCTCATGATGATGTGTATTTATTGTTCCTGTCCCAGGAACAAGACCACTTAGAGTGGTCTCAGGTGTGATCGCTCATGCAGCTACAAGTCAGCTGGTGGTCGGGCTGTGGTGTCAGCTGAAGCCCCTTAGTTCTCCTCTATGTGGCCTGCTCAGACAGCTAGTTTGTGCCAAGTTCTCAGAGAGAGAACATGGAAGCTGCCAGCCTGATTAAGGCTCAGACTCTGAAGTACAGGAATGTCACTTTAGTCACGTTCTCTTGATCACAGCAAGTCAAGTCACTAGCCCAGCTCAAATTAAAGAGGAGAAGTTGCCTTTTGAAGAGAGGAGCAATATGCATGAAAGGGATAAGGAGAATTGATGGTGGCCACTGTTGGTGACCATAGTTGCATGTAGCCTATTACCATGACCTACTAGGAAAACAGTAACATTCAGAAAGATGTGAGTTCTGGAATAGCATTGCTAATTTTCAAGATCATAGAACCAGTTACCTAAAAATCATATGAATGGTGTTTCTCCTCTATATGTTGATTAAAAGCCCTAAAACACCAAATTTCTTGGAGTAAACCAATTTGTGATTAATTCTGTTGTTACAGTTATGCTTTACTATTTATGTAGCAATTTTTGTAATTTTGAGTGTGATAAACATTTTCTGATAAGTGGCAGATGACAATTTTGGGATCTTGAATTTTTATGATCTATATATTTATTGTTTAACCGTTTTTGCTGCCTTAAGATACTTAATTATGTTTAAATATGGTTTGTCCCACTAACTTTGTGTAACTACAGTAGTTATTTACAGGTTTTTTTTTTTATAATTTACTCTTTGATTAATTCCTAAGTTTTATTCAGGTGGAATTAATTTTTAAGATTCCTTTAAAAATATCTGATTTAGTTATAAATTATCTCAGCAAAATCATGAATTGCATTTGCTTTTACCACTTCTTATCAATATTGATAGAGTTTGGCTGTGTCGCCACAAAAATCTCATCTTTAATTGTAGTTCCCATAATCCCCACGTGTGGTGGAAGGGACCAGGTGGAGATAATAGAATCATGGGGGCGGTTTCTCCCATCCTTTCCTCCTTATAGTAAGTTCTGAGGAGATCTGGTGGTTTTACAATGGACTTCTCCCTTTTGCACTGCACTTCTCCTTGCATCTACCATATGAAGAAGGACATGTTTGCTTCCCCTTCTGCCATGATTATATGTTTCCTAAGGCCTCCCCAGCCCTGCAAAACCGTGAGTCAATTAAACCTCTTTCCTTACCCAGTCTCAGGCCGTTCTTTATAGCAGCATGAGAATGGACTGATATAAATATTTAACAAATGTTCAGTTTTTTTTCTATAGAACACTATTTTGAAATCTGAATATATGGCTTTCAATATGAATCCAAATCATCTGAGCTTGCTTTTATTAATTTTACCTTGATTTATTCATTTTCTAGACAATCAATGCATGCAAATTTTATTTTTAATATGTTTTATTACTTTATTTGTGATATGGAATTAGAATAGCAATCTTAGTGTTTTTAAGATGTATATCTTAAAAACTTTAAGCTGCATTTTTGAAGTTCATCACATTAATTCAGATTTCATAATTTAAAAAAATAAAATTCACTATTGCTCAATTGCCTTGCAATAGACTTCACATAATAAAGACACTTGACAGAGGAAATTTTGTGTCATCACTTATTAAACTCAAAGTTATATAAAAAATGTTCTTCTACATCACTACCATACTCAGAATATTCTCATGGCAATAAATTCAGCTCTGTTCTGTTGATAGAAATTTGTATGACACCAGTGAATGTGGAGTCATGGTTCCAGAACAGGGATTTTTGATATGTTTTCTGTTGGTAGATGTTATTAATTTTAGTGTTTAAAGCCTAGTCCTCTGATTTAACATTTCATTCTGGCAACTGTGTTATTTCACGAGTGGAAAAATATAGTGCACTTTTTTTAAAATCATGGTTTTTATATGCATAAGAGTGTTTGTTCTGATTCACAATGGAAACTCAAAATAACATTTCAAGTTTCCTTATGTGCAAAGACTATTTACAAATCTAAACTGAAAACAGACAATCTTTCAATGTGTTATCAAAATGTTTATAGTTTCTTTTTCTGGAGATGCCAAATGATAATTATTGAATAAAATTCTAATCTGTTGAGCATTTCTGTAAATAAAAAGTGAATAAAACTATGATTTGTTGTTTTTTATAAATGTTTTATAATGAATGATAATACATTTACATATAATTTAACAAATTGTCCTATCCTGTTCTGTAAAATAACTGGCCTGAATTACTTTTATAGACTTTTGATACATAGAAATAATGTTTTTACATTCTTAGGTGAATTATATAGAATATTCTGCAACTAGAGTTGTCCAACCTGTTGGTGATCTATTAATGGGTCATGAAATCAACTTTGTTGGTTAAACTTGGCATTACCAAAAAGGAATCAAATTGACTAAAATAGATCAGAGTGAAGAATAGTAGAATACATAGGTGTGCAGTAAAGAGTAGATTTTATTTCATGAAGATTTTGTTTCACTTTTATACATCTATGTGTGGTTGGTCACTGTAAAATATGCCTCTAGCTAAGGGTAATGGTCAAATCAATTGGAAAGGTACCTGTTGAGAAGTGTCTCTAGTTTTTTAATAACAAGATTAAATTTCATTATTGAACTAAGTCTAGTGTTTCTAGCTGTAATTTGATCAGCCACAGACTGTTTTAAAATATACTATCCTGACTTCTCCAAAATGCAATATATCAATGTAGCAAAATTCCACTTATACCTTATGAATATATGCAAATAAAATAAAGATTAGCTATTATTAATTGGGAAAAGTGTGAAATTTTGGTCTTCAAAGTTCTAAGTAAATATTTGCCTCCTGTATTAAATGCTTTCTTTGATACTAAAATGCCTGGGACTCATGTATTGATTTACCTCAAATTTCTCAGTTTATTACTCATAACCATAGAACAGTTGTCTGTCATACTTGAAGTATTTTGACAGAAAACTTCCCATGTGTAAGAGTTAATGTGTTGACTTACACAACAGGAAGTGTTACAACATTAAAAAATAGCAAGTTTCTATTACTTGTATGTTGTGACATGACAAGTTACTTTCAGAATGAGGTGAAGTATAATGTATAAAAAATCTATATAGTAAAAATGCAAATTCCCTCATTCTGAATGCAATTTAAATAATTATTGTGGTTAAAAATCTGTAGTTGTTAACCAAAGGTTAATCTATTAGGTTAGTATTGAAGACGGATTTTTTATTTTTTATTTTTCATTTTTATTTTTAGTGCTGGGGTACATGTGCAGGATGTGCAGGTTTGTTACATAGGTTAACGTGTGCCATAATGGTTTGCTGCACCTATGAACCCATCACCTCAGGTATTAAGCTCAGCATCTATTAGCTATTTCTCCTAATACTCTATCCTTCCCCGACCTCACCCCGACACAACAGGCCCAAGTGTGGGTTGTTCCTCTCCCTGTGTCCATGTGATCTCATTGTTCATCTCCCACTTATAAGTGAGAACATGTGGTGTTTGGTTTTCTATTCCTGCATTAGTTTGTTGAGGATAATGGCTTCCAGCTTCATCCATGTCCCTGCAAAGGACATGATCTCATTCTTTTTTATGGTTGCATAGTATTCCATGGTATATATGTACCACATTTTCTTTATCCATTCTATCATTGATGGGCATTTGGGTTGATTCCTTGTCCTTGCTATTGTGAATAGTGCTGCAGTGAACATATGCATGCATGTATCTTTGTAATAGAATGATTTATATTCCTTTGGGTATGTATCCAATAATGGAATTGCTGGGTCAGATAGTATTTCTGGTGCTAGGTCCTTGAGGAATTGCCACATTATCTTCCAAAATGGTTGAACTAATTTACACTCCCACTAACAGTGTAAAAGCATTCCTATTTCTCCACCACCTCACCAGCATCTGTTGTTTCTTGGCTTTTTAATAATGGCCATTCTGACTGGTGTGAGATGGTGTCTCATTGTGGTTTTTATTTGTATTTCTCTAATGATCAGTGATGTTGAGCTTTTTTCATATGTTTCGTGGTTGCATGAATGTCACTTGAGATGTGTCTGTGTCCGTTGCCCACTTTTTAATGGTTTTTTTTTTTTTTTTTTGTAAATTTGTTTGAGTTCCTTGTAGATTCTGGATATTAGGCCTTTGTTGCATAAATAGATTTCAAAGATTTTCTCCTACTCTGTTAGTTGTCTGTTCACTCTGATGATAGTTTCTTTGGCTGTGCAGAAGCTCTTTAGTTTAATTAGATTTTTTAAATTCTTAGTAATTGATCAGTCATATAATTGTACCTTGGTTTAGTATACTGCTGAAACACCAAAGGTATGATTCTCTCTTCAAGAGACTAACATTTTAATTGAGGAGATAAAATTAAAACTCATGCAATATGTGAGCTCTTGAAATCAACAATGACTGATGTTTATATTTATAACTCTTATATCTTCAGTAGTTTCTTTAACAAAACCTCAGTATTGTTGAATGAATGGATTATTGAATGAATTGATTTACATGATGTAGGAAAACTGTGGTAATGTCTAAAATTTAACATGTAGTTAGAGAATGAAGGAGCTAATATGATCTCAAGTTGTTAGAAAAAGTATTAAAGGCAGTCAGATTAGATCTGAATGCTAATGACTAGTCTGATGTGTTCTAGATTAGGGGGAACTGCATAAGCAAAAGTGCTGTCATGAGCTAGATGTGCTTGTAAAGCCTGCCCTAATCTGCCTCTTTTCTTTTTCTAGAGAAAGATAATCTTTTTCATAGTCCTTGTTGGTGTACACATATTAACAGCCCCCTAAAGTTGTCTGTACCCTAATCCTCAGAACCTGTGAATGCCACCTTACATACAAAAGGTAATTTGAAGATCTGATTAAGGATATGGACGTTGAGATGGGTAAATTATCCTGGACTACACAGGTGGGCTCAGATGAATCACATGAGTCCTTAATGTAGATAATCTTTCCAGTTGTGGCCAGAAAGAGATACTATGACAGAGGGAAGAACAATTCCAACTGTGAGAGATACCCAACCTGCCGTTACTGGCTTTCTAGATGCAGGAAAGGGCCCTGAGGCAAGGAATGGTGGGTGGCATCTAAAAGCTGGGACAGGCCCTCAGCTGACAGCCAGGAAGGAGACAGGGACCTCAGTGCTACACCCAGATGGAAGTGAATCCTACCAGTAACCTGATGATTAAGGAAAGTGGTGCTTCTCTAGAGCCACCCGAAAGGAACACAGCCATGTGAAACTGATTTTAGCCTGATGAAACCAATGTCAGACTGTGATATACAGAACTGTAAAATAAAAAACTTGGATTGTTTAAAACACTAAATTTGTGGTTAATTTGCAATAGCAGCATATACCCCATCACAGTGATGGTTCAGGCAGCTGATAACTCTGTGATTGGTTTGATAGTACCATCCTTTACCTAATCGTTCCTGAATCTGTCACTCACCACCTTCTATACACAAACCTATAATTTTTTATCAAGATGAGATATTGCAATATTTGAGTAGTTCCAATTCTCATATTCATCCCTTTCTTTCCTTTCCTGTACCCACAGTCCTAATCCTGGGCTCATCACATCTTGACTTGCTAAGTACATGAGCCTCCTTTTAAATAAATTTTTTAAAACTCCTTTTGAACTTGTTGCTTCCCAAGTCAAGAACTTTAAATGATTCCTTGACGTTAATAGCCTCCTCTGTGGTATAGCTTTCAAGGTACTCTGCAGCCTGGTTTCAACTTACATTTATTATGTCTCATATCTCAGTATATTTCTACAGAAATCATCTTACCTAGCCAACTTGGCTCCTTCAGAATTCCCCAAATATACCTCTTGGTTTTTTGCCAGTGTGATTTTTTTTTTTGCCTGTCTCATTCCTCTCACCTTCAATGTATTTACTTCCTGGCATACTTTGCGAATTCAAACCCTAGTTCTCTTTTGTTTAGTGTCTTTCAAATTAGCAAAAGTTTTGCCCCTGGAATAGATTATGCTCCTATTATCTTAATAACAATGAAAAGGAAACTTCAGAGCTCCAAGAGAATGAGACCAATGAAATCATGTTTCCTTTCTTCCCTATGAAATGTAATGTCAGATAGTATTTCGATTTTTCCAAAATCATTTTCCTGTTTAGTCCTGAAGGCAGGAATCTGCAAATATCAAACTATCCTAGACTTCACAGCTGGGTCAGACAGATCAGGCTAGCCCTCTGGCAAGGGGTGTTTTGACCCTTTGTTTTTCATTACTTTTCCTAGACAGAGATTGAGAGTTCCTGGTGAAATCAAATTACAACCTCAGTAGGTAAATGCCAGTCCTTTAAATTGATGTGAGAATCACGCCTGTAATCCCAGCACTTTGGGAGGCCGAGGCGGGCGGATCACGAGGTCAGGAGATCGAGACCATCCGGGCTAACACGGTGAAACCCCGTCTCTACTAAAAATACAAAAAATTAGCCGGGCGTGGTAGCGGGCGCCTGTAGTCCCAGCTACTCGGGAGGCTGAGGCAGGAGAATGGCGTGAACCCGGGAGGCGGAGCTTGCAGTGAGCCGAGATCGCGCCACTGCACTCCAGCCTGGGCGACAGAGCGAGACTCCGTCTCAAAAAAAAAAAAAAAAAAAAAAATTGATGTGAGAAACAAAGGGATACCTATCTCCCTGATGAGTATTCAGGGACTTATACTGAGAGAGCGTATAAACATGAGGACTTAAGCAGCGGATGTGCTCATTATTCACTCCCAGAGCAGATCTGCAGGAATCTTAACAGGAAAGGGCAGAGTGATCTTGCTTGGCAGTCTTGCTAAAGGAAAATGACCAAAATCTATTCTTTTCCTCTTTCAAATAAGAAAGAAAAATTATTTCATAGTGATCTATGAGTTTTAGGATGCCTTTATTTTCCTGAGAATCCCTCAAAATATCCACTTCAAATATTAAACATTTTGATCCCGATTGTAAACTCCAGAAGCCTCTAACACCTGAAGCATGCATTGATGAACTTAACCGTGAATTGGCTGATGAGACTCATGATCTTTCATTCTTATTTAAATTATATATTGTGTTTTAATTATTACCTCCTTTTGTTACATTTCCTTAAGCAAATTATAAGTTCTTTGATGGTAGGACCTTATCCTTATTTTTTGCTGTATTCATAACGGTGCACACAGAACTATCACTCAAATAATGTTTACTAAATATTTACCTCAAGTCAAGCACGCTTCTGCCTATGTTACGCCATGTCTTGCCTATGTTAAGTTCTTTTTCTCCTGCCTGGAATACCATTTAAAACTATCTGCTACCAAGAAAGCCACACCCTTTCAGCAGACCCAGAGAACTACAGCCAAAAAAACAAACTGTTTATTAGTTGAATATTTTACAGACGTCTCTGCGCTGGATCCAATACCTTATAAAATCCTTGATTGGTCTAAAATAGTTTAAAGTTTGGGCACAAGAATTGAGAGGTGTTTTTTTGTTGTTGTTGTTTTTAAAGCAGAGTTTATATAAATCCTATCACTGCAATTGAAATCAAAGCAGAGAGAATTCCAAGAACTTTGACTATGCTAGATTCAGTATCAGGCAGTCTAGGCTACCCTATCATTTGTTTTATTTTACTGAATGCTTGCTAAAATGACTATCAGTGTTAAAACATTAAACTTGCTCCACTTGTTCAGGTCATTAAAGAATAGGTAATAAACAATATGGTTGATATGAAGAATAGAGGAAAACTACTTTGAATATCCCTGAGAATAAAATAAACAATTTGTGATGGCTGGGAGCTGTACAGCTAATCCTATATGACATGAAGCTATCAGAAATAGGTTACATCTTTTTTAGCAAATGGCTTCACAAGGTTGAGACTCAACGAGACAGTCAGACACAGTGAGAGGTTCTTGAAACAGTTTCAGTCATAAACCAGTGACAACATTCCGTATATTTATAGGGGCCATTTAGAGGGCCATTAGCTGACTTCTGCCCTTTTCAGTCATACCTGCATACTTGAAATCACCTCCATGAGAGACTTCACTTTTAAAACTCATTGGCAATTTAATATGTAATATGTAGGTTCAATTCTAGTGTTTTCAGGAAATAGAGTAAGCTCAGTCTAAAGTCAAATCAAGTCAAATCACATAATAAATAGTAATATTAATAAGAAAGAGTAATAATTGCATTATTGTGTAGTTTATTGTATTACTTGGAATTTCTGTTTCACCAAAACACAGAAATACCTCTTTTACAAATTAGTTAAGATACGCGGAACTACATTATAGTATAGCTACCATTTTCAATATTAATTGGAGGTACAAATGGAGACAGAGGTCATTTTAGGGTTACTCCTTTCTACTGAGAGTGATTGTTTTATCTAGTCCATTCAAGCAATTTCTATAACAAAGTATTAATAGCTGCCATGTGCTGTAGCCTTCTGAAGTAAGTGAGAAAACTGCATGGGTCTTTTGGTATCCCGTATTTAATAAATGTTCATTCTTTGGAATATAAGTTCCCATAAGGCAAGGGAAGCATATCATATATGAGAAAGAATTTTAAAAGCTTGAATGTTATGCGATAATCTACTAGCATATACAGTCAAATTAAGGGTATTTTTAAAAGTCACTATAACATGCCCACTACTAAATATGATAGATCTAGAAGATAAAAGAGTACTGAGTAGTAAGTACTGAGCATAAATGGTGAAATCACATTGCATTTACAGATGTAATAAACTTCTAGTGTTGCTTCTTTTCAGGTAATGAGCTTGTAATTCATTATTTTTCTAAATATTTTAGGTCTTTCAAGAGCAATACCTCTTATTTTACACTATTGAAATTATATAATTAATATGGGAAAGAATGACTCCACTGCATAATGATACTAGAATTATAGTGGTGAATATAGATTAAATTACCAACTAATTAATTTGAAATTTATGGACTGGTGGCCACTAGTGCCATGGCACACTGAATGCTTTAGTAAGCAATTGCATTATTCAACAGAAGTCTTAGTGGGAGTGATTGACAAATGTGGGATGCAGGTCTCCTATTATGAATACAGATTATGAATCAGAGGTAGAATTTTTATCTTGTGAATGATTATATCTTGTGAAATATATTATTTGTTGTCTGATTTAAACCTACTTTGTTTTGGCTCTCTGTTCTTTCAGTTTCAATTCCATTATCTATTTTAAGTTCTTTAGGAATTATAAACCACATGCTGTCAATGACAGGAAAACACTGCCCATTAAGTTTAATGAATCATTCAGACTGATTTTCAATGGCTGAGAAATATCAAAGTGGCTTCAGTAATGTATGTAATGTGTAGAAAATCTAAGTATAATTCTTAAGAAAGATCATCAACTCTGAGTGTTTGTGATATAATACTGTATGTATGGTTAATATTTTTTCTGTTTTTATAAATATTTCCTAGGAGAAATAGGTTCTAATATTGTGGATCATAGGAAAAAAATCCAAATATATTATTAGAAAATGTATTTAAAACTAATACTATAGAAGTTTAGTTGAAACTCATTATTTGATTATTAATATTTTAAAATTATAGTAGAAATGTTTATCTTTAACATTTCCAAAATTTTAAAGAGTAAATTAGGGTAAAGAACTAGTTTCTGATTGTATAATTTTACTGTTGGAATGCCTCAATTATAGTAGACATCTCCTTATTGTTCATAATAACACTGCTGTGGACAAAAGCCACAAGCAGAATGTTGGCATCATGTGAGCAGTACTGCATGAAGGTAGGATTGAGTGCTCACCAGCAACGGATTAAGTCATTACAGCCCAGTTCTTAACAAATCCAAAGAACAAATTGTCTTTTACACCTGCACATACCAGGACCACCTCTAAGATGTGCATTGTGATCAATGACAGGAAAGTAAAAACAAGTCACTCTGTGGGAAGGAAGAAGGAGCACAAATAATGGTCAAGGGACGTGGTGATGGTGGAACGCATTATAAGATACAAGCTTCAAAGGTGCTCCTTGAAAGGTTTTTGATAACACACACAAGACAAAGGCAAATATAGATTAGAACAGAGTTTAAGATGCATTTGTAAACAAAGATCTTCAAAGTAATTATTCAGGAAAAAGGGGGAGAATACTGACAGAAGAGCTGTAAGGAGATTCTTATGTCCAAAGGAGTGCAACATGAGGAAACTTCTGGCTTGAGGTTTCGATTAACCAGTGACATGAAATTCGTGTGTGTGTGTGTGTGTGTGTGTGTGTGTATGTATGTATAATTTTCACATATCTTTCTATAAAACATTATTACACAGTGTACTGTCCTAAGGATGACACTGTGACACTATAATATTTATACTGCATGTTTTATTCCACACTTTTTATTCCTACTTTCTAATATTAAAAATGAGGAAGTGAAATAAATTTCTTACACATTTCTTAAAATTTTGCCAATAGGTAAGTAAATGTTAAAAATTTAAAATTAATTTTGTTCTGAGTCTAACAAGTTATAGTGAATAGATGAACTTAGTGGTAGATTAAGGGATCTCATGGGATATTCCAGTGTCAGCATAAATCATTAGAAGTCAGAGGAGTCAAATGGAATCCCATGTGCAATAACATCTAAAAGACATGAATTCAGGAACTAAAATTATGAAATTCTTAAAACGTAGAGAATATTTGTAATCTGCAAATTATGGATTTTTTTAAGGACAAGAAGGTGTAAAAATGGCAAATAGAACTTTATCAAATTAAAAATATTTGCTCTTTACAAGATACCACCAAGAAAATAAAAACAAGCTAGAGTGAAATGAAACATTTTCAAAATGTGTATCTGATAACAGACATTTAAAAAAAAAACAGGTGAAGAGGAATTGCCACTAAAATACAAAAAGACAACACAATTTAAAAATGGGAAAAATATTTGAATAGACCTAACAAAAATATACAAATGGCAAACAAGCACATAAAGTATACTCAACATCATTAGGCATTAGGAAATACACATATTAAATTCACAATGAGTTACAACTACAAACCCATGAAAATTGCTAAAATTGAATACCAAGTATAGGTGAGTATGTGGGGAAACTAGGACCCTCATGCAGTATTGGGGATAGTTTGCATCTAGTAGCCACTTTAGAAAATAGTTGTGTGTGTGTGTGTGTGTGTGTGTTTTAACATTCTATCCAGCAGTTACATTTCTAGTATCTAGGTAAGATAAATGAAAACACATGTGCACACAAGCATCTTATAGGTAAATTGAATAAACCTAAATGACCATCATCTTGTGAATGGGTGAATAAATATGGTGTATCCATATGATGGACTACTACCCAGCAGTAAATGGAATGAATCACTGACACATGCGACAACATGAATGATCTCAAAAGTATTATGCCAAACAGAAGGTGCTAGACACAAAAGACTACATAGTACACTATTCCACTTACATGGAAGTTTTAGAAAAGGCAAAGCTATAGGGACAGAAAGCAGATCTGTGCTGGGAGGAGGAGTGGGGAAAGGCTGCAAATGGGCATAATGCAATTTGGGGAGTTATGAAATAATTTTAAAATTGCATTGTGATAATTATTGCACAACTATATAATGGTACTAAAATTGAATTGTGTGCTTAAAATAGATGAATTTTCTGGTAGTAAATTACCTTAGTAGAGCTTTAAACAATTATTAGGCTACCACCATAATGAGATTCTAAGATTATTTTCTGTTTTTAGTAGGAAAAGTGTGTACATGTTTTTTTGGTTCTTTGTTTTGTTTTATTTTTGTTTTTTTGGAGATGGAGTTTCACTATTGTTGCCCAGGCTGTAGTGCAATGGCTTGATCTCAGCTCACTGCAACCTCCACCTCCCAGGTTCAAGCGATTCTCCTGCCTCAGCCTCCTGAGTAGCTGGGAAAACAGGCGCCCACCACTATGCCCAGCTAATTTTTTGTATTTTTAGTAGAGATGGGGTTTCATCATGTTGGCCAGGCTGGTCTCGAACTCCTGACCTCAGGTGATCCACCCACCTGAGTCTCCCAAAGTGCTGGGATTACAGGCGTAAGCCACCGCACCTGGCCAAGTGTGTACATGTTTAATTGAAAGAGAGACATTGAAAGGAAAAGCATCCATCTGGAGAGAAAACTAGCAGGCTGCTGCTACCTGCAAGATTTCAGAAAGTGGCATTTTTTAACTTGGTAAACTTACTGTGATGGAATATCTGGCTGAGAAACTTGACTTTGTCAGCAGGATGACAAATATCATTGTCACATGGGCCAGGATACTAGCATACATGTAATAATTTTAGTACTGATAACAGAACTATATAGCAAGTAAAATGGCAATTTCATTTATCAGTCATAATGAAATACCTTGGTATATTTTAGGTAATAGCAATGGCAAAGTCAAGAATGTCAGCCTGTATGAATGGCTCATAAAATACATAAAAATTAGCACTTTGCTTGATAAGTTCAGACTCACAACTAGGGCAGTTAATTAGAAAAAGTTGACATTTTCTGGAACCAGGATACAATAGGATGGTTTCTTCATTCCACAGCAAGGATAGTGTTTTTCCATGTCTAACCATCCCCCTCAGAGAAATTATATAAACATAGACATAGATACATGTATAGAGATGTAGAGATGTAGACATAGTGATATACATTTGCTAGATTGATTCCTTTTATTCTAGCAATTATTCAGCCTACTTAGATGGATTTGCATTTGTCAGCACTGAAAATTTATGTTGATCATAACGTTTTATAGTCAGAGGACAAGTTTACTGCTTTTTCTATTAGTTATCTATTACTACACAATCAAAGCTCAGCACTTGAAAACACCAACCACTTATTGTCTTACAGTTTCTATAGATCAGACATCCAGAGTCTAAGTGCTTCTAACTCAGGGCCTCTTACAAGGCTGCAATTAAATCATCTCAGGGCTCTAGTGGGAGAGCATCAACTGCCAAGCTCACCCATGTGTGGCTGTTGGCAGGCCTCAGGTCCTCTCTGGCTTTGGGCCAGGTACTCGCCACATGGGCCTCTCCGTAGGGAAGCTCACTACATGGCAGCTGGTTTCCCTCAGAGCAAGTAACCAGAGAACAAGTGAAGGCACTTAGATGGAAGCCACAGTCTTTTTGTAAGTTAAACTCAGAAGTAAACTGTTACCCCTGCCACATACTTTTCAACAGAGAAGGGTCATTAAATCCCCATTCAGGGATATAGGATTACACAAGGACATGATACAAGGAGGTGGAGTCATCATACCATCTCAGCCATCTTCAAGGATGCGTACATGTCTGTCTTTATATGTTTTGGGAGAGGCTTCATTTTAGCTCTTAGTATTACTTGACATGTCATCCCTGGTGAAAATACGTAGTTCCTACAAAGAAAGTCTGAATTAAATATAGATGTAAGACTCCATTGTTAACAATTGAAGGGCAAGAGCCTTTTTATTAAAAATCAGGCAATATAATGATAAAGGCAGGAGGAAATATATTTTGTCTCAAGGGGAGGAATGAGAAGTACAGGGTTGCTTGAATAGCATTAAGAATCATGCTCCCGTGTAAATTGTTACTGTCTGTTTTCTCACTTAGCATCAATCTAGATGGAGACAGAAGAAAACTAGAAACCATATAAAACATGTATTTTATGCCTCGCTTGTCCACTGCGTTCTTCTTTTCTTTTTTCTCATTTTAAAACTCATACCCACTTTTAAATTAAATTGGCAAAAAACACATTTTTTTCATTAACCTTTTGTGATGCCCCCAAACTCTGGGGTCATGATTATATGCCTAGAATAACATTTTACTTGAATGTAAAAGTGAAATGTGAACTTTAAAAAACCATAGTACTTAAATGTGGTAGCGCTGGTGGTGGTGATGCATATGTGTGCCTCAGTTTAGGAAGCTATTGATAAATGTTACAAGTCTAGCAAAATGCCTTTACTTTCATCCCTTAATATGTTTCTAATGTATTTGATTTACTATTATCTTTGTTCTTCTTTTCCATTTAATGACTTTTATTAAACACAATAATCAAGAGATAAAATACACTAATATTCGCTCTGGTTAACTTCAGGAAGCTGAGCTGTGTATTCTGAGTATAGAGTACTCAGCATAATCAGTACACAGTGCCCTGAAACTAAGTTATTCATTCTTAGGTAATGTACCTAAGAAGAAAGAATAATGCTTTCATCTTTAAAGTAAAAGTAGAAGCACAAATTTTTGCGCCTGAGTCTTTTTTGGGCAATAAAGCAAATCAAAAACATTTAAATAAATACCAGAGGTGACATTAATAAAACTGTTGCTGACACCATAAGAGACTGCTCCTTTGGTGTTGGCATTTTTGTGTAATTCAGGAATTGTATCTCTATAAGTCATGAAAATCTAATTCAAATAAGCACAGGCAAAATTGTTGTTTTATTGAAAGTCTCCTATATTACGAAGAGAAGATTAAAAACTAAAGCTGTATAAATGTCTAGAACTCTGCCAAAACTCTGTCATCTCTTCTTATGGTAGTTTTTTTGCCATATGGCATCTGAAAGAGACAGTCTTCAAAGATCTGTAACTTAGAGCTCTACCATCAGAGTGAAAAAATCCCAGAGTTATATTCTGATTTGTCAGGTTTGGGTCACATTTCTACTCTGGAAACAATCAGCTGAGGCCAGAGAGTCAAGATACTGTGACTGACCATATTTGCATCTGGTGTTCCTCTTGTACCAATCAACTACAGCCAGCATGTAGTGCAATACACAAACATCAAAGTTACAAATCATCTTCTTTTGGTCTCTAAGCTTAATATATTTTCCTTATTTTTTAGACTTTTTGATAGAGAATTCTATTACAAGTATAACAAACACAGACTCAGTTCTCTGTGCTTGCATTAGAGCCATTGTCATCTCTAAACCTCTAATGTTTTTGAAATCTTAGCTTGCTATTTTTTGAGTATTTTGTGCATGTATATTAAATGTAATCTAACTTGTTGGTATATTTCATAACTGCACTGAGAAGTAGGAATTATACATGAATTTGCTGCCAATATTAAATTCGGAATTCATATTACAAGCAACTTACATTTGTAAAATCAGTACTAACTTTTTTGTTACTGCATTTTTAAATTGACAGATAAAATTATGTATTATGTACAGCATGATGTTTTGAAATATATATATATATATATATTATGAAATGGCTAAATCTAGCTAATGCACATAGTTACCACTTTCATGGTGAGAACCCAACATCCACTGATCATTTTTCAAGACAGTATATTGTTATTATCTATAGTCATAATTTTCTGCAATAGATCCATTGAATTTATTCTTTCTATCAAATCGAAATTCAATATTCTTTGACCATCATCTTCTCAATATGCCAGCCTGCCCAACGCCTGGTAACCAACATGCTACTTTCTACTCGGTGAGATCAACTCTATTAGACTCAGTTGAATATTTATTTCTTTTACAAGGATAGCCTTTGGAAAGATGAAATAGCCAATCTAGTCAGTATTTAAAATTTTCTTAGCAAGATCTTTACAAATGTCATGCTTGAAATGAGTTAACCAGAAGTCAGTAGCCTTGAGACATTTTTTGTTTTTATATTCTATAATGCAAAAATTAAATTTACTTTGGCAAACTAATTTTTAAAAAAAATATATCATTCATCTAACCAGTCTGCACTCGGTGGCATATAAAACATCACATTGCTTTTTTATTATGCTTTTATTCTTAAAACATAACATGTTAACTGTACTTTTGCCATCTATACATATTATTGATGTATGTATTATAACCTCTGAAGTCAAACTCCATTGGTAATACATTGTTTTATTTTTTGTTTGTTTCTTAATAATCTATGGTGTTTTGAAAAGAAGAGCTTTGGAGACTGACTGAATCTGAGCTCTGACACTTATTAGCTAATACGAATGTGGTCATGATTCTACTGTTTTTGAATCCTAAATTATCAAATACTGAAATGTGTTATTGGGAAGGAAAAGTGCTCTAGCATCTGTAAGGCACCTTTATGGACACCTTTATGGAACCTAATGTGGCTCAGCAAATGGGATTTCCCTCCCCTGTCTTTACTGAACCTCACTTCCAGTAATCTTTATTATTTTGCATTTTACAAAACATTTTCTTCTAATTCCTGCTTTTTGAACCATATAACATCTTCCTGCGGTAAGAAAGAAAGCTGTTATCTCCATTTTGCAATTAATCAAACTGAGAAGCAAAGTTGAAAATAGGAGACATAAAGTATACTTCTGGAAAGTTTATTGAGAGGCATCAGAACTAGGCCTGCTATAGTCATCCTATTGACTCAGTCCTTGTGTCCTTATAAGCAGATAACAGTGAGATGAAAAGGAATTTAAGAAGAATCCCTGAGAACAAGGAGGAGATGAGTGCTAAATGAGGTTTGATATTTGACATTTAAGTTGGACTAAATTTGGAATTGCTCTAGTCATTCTTCAGGGACAGGAAAGAGTTGTATTGTGACTGAAGAATAAAACAAAACTAATATTTGTTAATCTAGAAAAGTTTAGACTTTTCAATGAAACATTTACAATGACTAGGTTACAATTTTATGTGAAAACATATTGTCATCATTCTGTCTTCATGTCAGGGATAATCAAAAAATAAACAGATAATTTTTTCCCTAAGAAAAGCAATGCTGATGTAAGGTGAAGAAAGCACGCAGCTGCCATTGCACAAGGTTTGATGCTCATCTCTGTATATTTTTATATCTCTACTGTGTCTTTGCCTTATACCTTTAATATTAATGTAGCATTTACTGTATTAGTCTGTTCTCATGCTGATAATAATGACATACCTGAAACTGGGTAATTTATGAAAGAAAGAGGTTTAATGGTCTTACAGTTCCACATGGCTTGGGAGGCCTCACAGTCATGGTGGTAGGCAAAGGAGAAGCAAAGGCACATTGTGGCAGGCAACAGGCCTTGTGCAGGGGAGCTCCCATTTATAAAACCATCAGATCTTGTGAGACTTATTCACTACCATGAGAACAGTATGGGGGAAACTGCCCCCATGATTGAATTATCTCCACCTGGTGCTTCACACATGGGGCTTATTATAATTAAAGGTGAGATTTGGGTGGGGACACAGCCAAACCATATCATTCTGCCCCCAGCCCCTCCCAAATCTTATATCCTCACATTTCAAAACCAATCATGCCTTCCCAACAGTCCCCCAAAGTCTTAACTCATTTCAGCATTAACTCAAAAGTCCACAGTCCAAAGTCACATCTGAGACAAGGCAAGTCCCTTCTGCCTATGAGCCTGTAAAATTAAAAACAAGTTAGTTACTTCCTAGATTCAGTGGGGGTACAGGCATTGGATAAATACACCTATTTTAAATGGGAGAAATTGGCCACAACACAGGGATTACAGGCCTCATGCCAAGTCAGAAATCCAGCAGGGCAATCAAATCTTAAAGATCCAAAATGATCTCCTTTGACTGCATGTCTCACATCTAGGGCATGCTGATGCAAGAGGTGCATTCCCACAGCATTGGGCAGCTCCACCCCTGTGGCCTTGCAGGATACAGCCTCGCTCCTGGCTGCTTTCATGGGCTGGCATTGAGTGTCTGTGGCTTTTCCAGGTGCACAGTGCAAGCTGCCAGTGGATTTACAATTCTGGGGTCTGGAGGATGGTGGCCATCTTCTCACAGCTCCACTAGGCAGTGCCCCAGAGGGCACCCTGTTGGAGGGCTCCAACCCCACATTCCCTTTCACACGGCCCTAGCAGAGGTTCTCCATGAAGACCCTGCCCCTGCAGCAAACTTCTGCCTAGACATACAGGAGTTTCCATACATCCTCTGAAATCTAGGCAGAGGTTCCCAAACATCAATTATTGACTTCTGTGCACCTGCAGGCTCAACACCATGTGTAAACCAGGGCTTGGGGCTTGCACCCTCTGAGCAATGGCCTGAGCTGTACATCGGCCCCTTTTAGCCACAGCTAGAGCTGAAGAGTCTGGGGTACAGGGTGCCATGTCCCAAAGCTGCATCAAGTGGGGTCCCTGGGCCTGGCCCAATAAACCATTTTTCCTCCTAGGCCTCCAGGCCTGTGATGGGAGGAGCTGCCATGAAGGTCTGTGGAGACATTTCCCCCATTATCTTGGTGCTTAACATTTGGTTCCTCGTTAATTATGCAAATTTCTGCAGCTGGCTTGAATTTCTCCCTAGAAAATGGGTTTTTCCTTTCTATTGCATTGTCAGGTGCCCAGTTTCCAAAATTCCATGCCTTGCTTTCTCTTGAAGGCTTTGCCATGTAGAAATTTCTTCTACCAGATACCCTAAATCGTCTCTCTCAAGTTCAAAGTTCCACAAACCTCTAGGGCAGGGGCAAAATGCTGCCAGTCCCTTTGCATAGCAAGAGTGGCTTTTACTTGTCAGTGTCAGTTCCTAACAAATTGTTCATCTCCACCTGAGACCACCTCAACCTGGACTTCATTGTCCATATCACTATCAGCATTTTGGTCAAAGCCATTCAACAAGTCTCTAGGAAGTTACAAACTTTCCCACATCTTCCTGTCCTCTTCTGAGCCCTCCAAGTGGTTTCAACCTCTGCCTGTTACCCAGTTCCAAAGTTATTTCCATGTTTTCAGGTATCTTTATAGTAGCACCTCACTCCTGGTACCAATTTACTGTATTAGTCTGTCCTCAGGCTGTTAATAAAGACACAGACAAGACTGGGTAATTTATAAAGGAAAGAGGTTTAATGGACTCACAGTCCCACATGGCTGGGGATGGTGGAAGGCAAAGGAGAAGCAAAAGCATGGCTTACATGGCAGCAGGCAAGAGAGCATGTGCAGGGGAACTCCATTTATAAAACCGTCAGATGTCATGAGAACTTACTACCACAAGAACAGTATGGGGGAAACTGTCCCCATGACTCAATTAACATCACCTGGCAACACCCTTGACATGTAGGGATTATTACAATTCAAGGTGAGATTTGGGTGGGGACACAGCCGAACCATATCACTTACTATGTTTGGGATGTTCCTCCAAGTTCTGTGGTTTCTGCAGCCAACAAGATAGGTAAGTTTGATGTCCATATTAAAGAGTTTTTATTCAAAATTGGACAGATATATTTATGAGATTCAGAAAGCAGGAAATTTCAGGTAGAGGTAAGTGTTATGAAAGAAAATAAAAATGAAGTGTATTAATCTTCTATTGCTATTACTGGCTCAAAGTTTCTAATAGAAAGTTTCTAGTAAAAGTTCTAATATTAGAACAAATTCATTATCTTACATTTCTGGAGTCCAGAAGTCTAAAGTCAAGGTGTTAGTAGAGCTATGTTATTTGTGGAGGCTTTGGAGGAGCATCCACTTTCTTGCTTTTTTTCAGATTCTAGAGGCCCTCCCCTCAATTTTTTGGTTTATAGCTTTTTCCTAGTATCACTACAACCTCTTATTTCTGTCACCATATCTTTTTACCACTGATTTTTACCTTCTTGCCTCCCTCTTACAGGGACTCTTGTGCTTATACTTGTGGCCCACTCAGCTAATCCAGGATAATTTCCTACCTCATTCTCATAAGAATCCTAAATCTCATTTGCAGTGTATATTTCACTAAACAAGATAACATATTTACAGGTTCTTGGGGTGAGGATGTGGATATCTTAGTTGGGCAGAGTTTTTCAGCCTACTGAGTGAATATAGATAACAGAATAATCTTGAGTGGACAGGGCATTGTCAGATTGGATGTTCATGGTTGGTTTATTTGAAGTAGTAACAGTTCAGCTGAGGTAGAAATGCTGAAAGAACTGCTATAATGGCTTTCTCTGAAAAGAATTATCAGTACCTATGAGATGATACAGTCTACTGATTCCATGTGACTATACCATTAAAATCATGTCTCAATTATGAATATACAGTGGTATATTTCAATTTGCCCTTGAAAGCTTTTGACAGCAAAATACTTACATTAAATTTCAGCAACTTGTGATATCTTTAAAGTATCTAGATGAGAACTCTAGAAGTTTCTCATAGGTTAGAAAACAATATACCAAAATTTCTACATGGAAAAATATTAATTTACAGATATTTTTAAAATTTCATTGAAAGGGAAGATATAATATATCCACCTACTTTCCTAAAACGACTAAATAAACAGTATGTTACCAATTTTTATTTTATTTACAAAGTTTAAACAAAATTAGTTTATATTTCTAATTTAGGGAGTTGAAAAATTTCAGACAGAGGTATTATTAGAAACTTAGTAATATATTTTTATTTCTGGATTTAACACCACACACAGAGTACATCACCATACCATAATAAAGGTCAACAAAAAACTCAAAGACCCTGACTTTATCTTTGCAGCAATTATTTTGCCTTAAGTACATCATAGCTTAGCTTTGAATTCATAGTACCCAACAAAGTACATATATGTCTCTACATATACATATATAACACATATATAAATATATATAATATACATATATATGTATACATATTTTAACTGGAAGATGGTTAAACTCTTCCCACCCATTAATGATTAGTCCGTGTGAAAATACATTTTTGGGTAGGAGATAATATTTTTTATTATTCCATGAAGTAAAAATATGAAGAGTATTCAAACTGACTCTCTTGCTTATTTATTTTCCACATTTAAAACTCTGTGATGTTGTGAGCCTGTGTTTTCACACTTCAGTTTGCATAGGGAGGAGGTGCATTATCACCAGGATAGATGCTTGTGTGAATGAGCAGTCCAAGCTGATAGCTATGCAGCACTTTCATTAGCACTGGAAAGTGGTGTTAGCATGACTATACAGAGGTTTTTCTTTGGCTTGACTCCTAGCTTGCTTTTTGATTTTGATTCTGGATTGAAGACTCAATTTGTGGTGGGACATCTAAGTGGAGCAATTTCCTAAAATCACTTGGGATACTGGAATATCTCTGGATGCCTAAATATCTCTGGGTAATTTTAGATACATGAACAAACATGAGGTTATTTTTAATGTTGATTTTATTATATCAGTTTTGCTAAGTATCATCACTTGGAAGGAAAATTGAGATGGAGTATTTTATATCTCCTCACTTATCAACACTAAGATGCTTTGTTCGAATTTTTTTTCTCAAAATGGATAAAAGATGTAAGGTTTTACAACATATGAATGAAAGAATTTAATGCTGGAAGCTAAATATAACTACACAGAGTGTCCTCTCTTGAGCATATGGCACTGTTCATTCACCTGACTCTTGCCCTACCCTCCTTTCCAGAATTATCTTCTTCTAATTCCAGTATGTGAATTATTAAACATGTTTGGGAAAACTCAGCAGAAGCTAGTCTTCCCCAGATATCCATCCCCAAACTTTTCTTTTTCCTTCTTTAATCTACTCACCTGAAAGTAATAAGAAAAATTGTATGTGTATGTGTGTGTGCACGCATGTATATATGTAATCTCCAAGTGTATGTGTGTGTGCACCCATGTATATATGTAATCTCTAAGTGTATGTGTGTGTGTGTATATATATATTTACACACACATACACATATATACACATGCACACATACTCTTTCCCTTCACGGCCAATGACTCCCCATTTCATTTTGAACTTATGCCTGAATTCTACCATGATCTAATCCCTGCCTGCTTTTCACACTTCATGTTGATGCTACTCTTCTATTTGTACTCTATGATTTAGCCATTAATGTGCCCTTTCAGTTATCTGAGCATGTGAAGTTTGCTGCTGCCTAAAGAAATAGTACATGATAGTCTCTGTGGAAATCTCTTGCCCCTCCTCTGTATTTGCCTGTCCTGTTGTCCATGAGTCTTTGCCTTAAGATGTACAAGCTCAAAGAGACTTTTCTGTCCTGGGAATTTTCTCTAAGTGACTTCCTTCTTTTATTCTCTATCACTATAGGTATTATCTGACATATATTTACATGTAGCGTTGAAAAATTATAATTTTGTGTATGTATTTGTTTAGTTAATTATAGTCCCTCTTTCTCACTAGATTGTAAGTTCCACCAGGTCAGGGGTCCTTATTACTTTTGTTCTCCAGTATTTATCCAGTGCTTAGTGGTATGGCTGGCACATAGTAATTGCTAAAGGATATTTGGATGAATTTTTGAGTAAATAAAACAATATTTCTATTTTTATTTCTCTCTGTTCTATATTGTCATTCCTTTCAAAGTGTGAACCTTCTGAACTACTGGGAGTAAAAAGGCAGGAGGAGGTAGGGATGAGGGGTGGTTCATAATTTTAAGGCTCTTTCTTTAGCTGCACAAAGACCCAGCCAAAATTTTGCAAGGTCCTGTTTATTCATTTGTTCTGCCCTTTTGTTGAGGTTTTGGGATTATTCAGAGGAGAATGCTATGTTGATAATTGAGGAGCAGATATCTAAGCAAGAATTAAAACGTGTGTACATATATATGTGTGTATATATATGTATCTATATATGTGTATGCGTGTGTGTGTGTGTGTGTGTGTGTGTGTGTGTATACATATATATAATTTAGATCTATAAAATCAGTTGAGTATATATGTATAGGTCACCCAGTCTTTTTGGGCTAGACCAAACCAAATGTTGGAACTTGACAAAATAGAAGAGCGCGTTCAACTAAGTGGATTGTCTGTATCTTTCCTGGTTGGAATACAAGTAGGACACTGCTCCTCCCTGTTTTAATGGCATTATGATAAGATAATCCACATGGAAATATAGTAAACAATAATTAGAATAATTATAATAATTAGAAATGTAGTCATTCCAGCTAGCTCCTTTTTAAGAAAAGAACAAAGTATAATGAAGGAATTTGAAAAGCATTTGTACCATAAAGAATAACATAATGATATGTGAAACTTAAGTGATGTATAAGAGTTGTTATGTATAAATGTTGAGTTATGTATAATGTTGAGTTATGTATAAAAGAATTATGTGTAAAAGAGTTAACCTGAGTTTGCTATTGCATAGGCTTCCTGGGCATTGCTGACCTGTTGTCTTTCTTTTGCTTTAGTCAAGTCATTGTGGGCAAAAATCATATGTTTGCACATCCATGGAGTCTTTCTGCTCTGTTTCTCAGCATCACTACCTAGAAAGAGCCATCAAAGGAAAAAAGGCAAAAGCTCTCTTTCACATTAAAAGATAGTCCCATGAGGAGAAAATGATTTCCCTTGTTCCCTCTTTCTTCCTGTGATGCTGGTTTTAGGCTATAATCCTGGAGAGGTAGCATCCATCTGGGGACCGTCATGTAATTAACATGGGGAAGAAATCCCAACATGATGCTGTAATTAAGTAAAAGAGACTAGGTCCTTATTTAGTCACTGAAGGAATCCCAGAACCAAACACCATTTTAGTGATCAAAAACATTCCTATGGTTCTGGCCACATTTAGTTGGGTTTTCTATTATTTGCACCCAAAATAATCTTTTACAGATTTTTTGCCTTTAATATCACCCAATAGATTGGCTTACCCAAGAGAAATTGCAGGAGGGGCAGTCAGGGTGGGAAGGTAGCATATCTAAGGGATTCAGAATTTTCTGGGAGGTGGAGACTTGGAATATATTTATCACATAATTCTCACAGTCAGTGAAATGGCTGATTCCCAGAAGTGAATACATATCCTAGTGGAATTATAAAAGGTATTGGTTATATGTATTAAATGGAACCTTACATTAGACCAGTAAAAAAAAATGAAAGCTATTGTAGAACAGTAAATTAAGGAAATAAATTAAAATAGGATACTGACTATAATACAAACTATAATTTTGTTGTAAAGACTAAAGAAAAGATAGAGCAACAAATCAAATAGGCGGACATAGTTGAAATAGTTGACAAAGTAGTCTTTAGAGAATTATTCCTGTATTATGATAAACTCTGGACAAAGAAAATATTGCGATGAGATGCGGTCTCATTCAATGACAGACATACTGCATTTCCTTACCCCAGATTACAAGGTGTGAAAATATTTAGTAACACTGTTTTCTTTCAATTTTCCATTATATAGAAGGTTAGTTATTTTCAGAAAGTCAAGCAGTAATGCAGAAAATTGCTCGGTTTGAAAGACTGTTTTTTAGCTTCAAAAGTCATCTGTAGTTCAGCATTAGAGAAATGTATGATGTTAGGCTATATAAAATTCATTTTTATTCTCATAATAGTGACATTGGTGTTTTGTTAAACAAACTAGCACACTTCTAGCTAAGTAATGAAATCTTTAGATTCTGAAATAAGTCACTTAGAAACACATAAGGACCAGTTATGTAGCTTTCAATTTTTTCTTGTTTACAAATGTTTTCACCACTTCATAACAGGGTTGTTCAAGGAAAGAGCAGTTTTCACTGGAAAGGATTCATAGACCATTGGCAGTGCTTTAACCTTATCACAGTCAGGCTGGGCATCTCCTAGAGATTTTTGGATTAAAGGAACTCATGAAGTCATTAATTGGAAAGAGACACAGGTTAAAATTCATTTGGCAGTGATACTTCATATACTCAGTAATAGCAGAAGATGGTTAGGGCCAAGCTCTTTCTAACTAGTATTTTTTCCATTATCTTAAAATATGTACTTTGAATTATATTAATTACAGTGAAGGATATAATAACTAGGAAACCTAAAATTAGTGTCATTTCTAATGCTGAAAGCATATTAAACATGAGGTCTGCTTGGATGTCTATTTAAACTACAATATTCAAGTGAATTTCTTTCTGTGGAAAAAATGTGAAATGAAAAGGAGGGGTGAGTTGAAGAGAGGACAAGAAGGGAGAAATGAGAGGAGAGAATTATGATTGTATATGATGTTGGAAGGCCAAGGCCTAATAAGTTCATTTTTTTCATTCAAGCACATTAATGCAGTCCTCATGAGATTATGGATGCTGCGCTAATGCCAAACACGGCTCCGTGTCATCACTCTTATAAGCTAGTAGCTCTAACAAAACCTGTAATACTTAAAATAACTATAAAGATGCATTTCAGTGCTACAATCCCAAAATATTCTTACTAGAGTTCAAAGATCTAAAAAGTCATTTAAGTATATATTCTAGAGTATAGAAAATATATTTTGACATTTGAGAGTTATCACTCAAGTAAAAATAAGTAATATATAGAGGGCTAATTATTAGTGATAATTGTTAGTAAGATATGCACATCTTCCAATTTTTTAAGATACTAAGCCTAAGGACAAACATATTAATGGGAGAAGAATAATTTTAAAATTATATAGTGTGATGGATGGTTATAAATGCTATGGAACATGGAAGGGGGATCAGGAGTACAGGGATGGTGGAGCGGGGGCATTATCGTTCTAAATAAGGTTGTGACTTAGCCAATAACATTTGATAAAGGTTTGGAGGAGGTGAGAGAAGAGTTATAGGGATATCTTGGGAAGAAGATACTTCGCTCAAGGAATAGCAAGTGTAAAGGTTCTGGGGTAAAAGCATGCCTAACATGTTGGAGGAATAGAAAGGAGGTTGGTGTAACTAATGAGGAGTAAGCAAGGGAGAACAGCCAAAGGAAGTGAGGTCAGACTGAACAATACAGAAAATTGTAGTCAGTAGTGAGGACTTTGCCTTTTACTAAGTGAGAGTGGAAGTCATTGGAGGATTTTGAGTAGAGGAATAACATGATTTGATTTATAGTTTAGAAGGACCTCTGGGTGTTTTGTTGATGGACGCCTTAGGGAGATCACTGAGGAGGCTATTATAGTAAGAAACGTGAGAAATTTTGGTGGTTTAGATCACCCAGATCACAGTGACAGCAGAGGGTGGTGACAAATGATCAGATTGTAGATACACATTGACAGTTTAACTGGTGGGGTTTGCTGATGATTGAGTTTATGGTATGAGAGAAAGAGTGAAGCCAAGGATGACTTGAATGTTTTTTTTGAGACCTCGTGATCTGCCCGCCTCGGCCTCCCAAAGTGCTGGGATTACAGGCATGAGCCACTGCGCCTGGCCGAATGTTTTTAATTTACACAACTGAAAGATGCATCAGTTGGTACAGCTATGTCTTTTTCTCTGGTCATGTTTGGTTTGTGCAAGCGGAAATAAGAATATGGTGAGAGTTAGATGTAACCAAGATTGATCTTTTATTCATGTGGGTACAATGAGGCAAGAGAATGTTAGGGAGTGGAGTATATATGCAAAGAGCTATCATTTTTGTTACCGAACTGAACTTGGGTCCATTTGTCTGGTGCAGCAAAGCTAAACATTCACATGAGGATTGCAGCAAGAGAAAGTGTGACATTTATTGCAGAGCACCTCGCAAGGAGAATCTGGGAGCTCGTGCTTAAAACCCAAATTCTTGGATGGCTTGTAGATAAGGAGGTTTAAAGGCAGGAAGGCAGAGGTTATAGGTAAAGTCATAAATCAATACATGGAGACTATATATTGGTATGATCTAGAAAGGTGGGACATCTTGAAGCCAGAGCCCACAGGTCATAAGTGGATTAAAAGATTTTCTGATTTGTGATTTGTTAAGGAAGCAAAGCTTTTTCTAAAACGTTGAGATTGACAGAAAAAAATGTTAGTTCTGGCCTCTGGGTGTGACTTCCTCAGGCCCTTCAGAAGAGGCCATTTAGAGCAAAGAATGGCAGTCAGGGTTCAGTCATCAGATCCTCCTTATCTGAGGTCTACATGCCAACAAATCCATTTGGTGGGGGTCCCGGTTTCTGGAAAACAACTTAGGGATGTAAATTAAGATGTTATCTTTAGCTTTGATAGAGGACCAAACTTCTTGTGACTCTGACTTTCTTGGCTACTGTTTTAAGCTACTGTTACTTTCTTGCTTATCAGTACTTTCTTGCTCATTTACTTCTCAGGACCAGTGAGGTGCCTGGAATTTCCTTTGGAGGAACTCAAGATTTTATTTTATTTTATTTCCATGCTTGGGAGTAGGGGTCAGGGAGTAGGCCTCTAAGAGGGATCTCCATTCCATCTCATTATGATAGGCTAAACAATTTAATTTGGATAATAAAATGGTGAGGGTGAGTTGAGGATAGTAGTGGATGAGATATGGAAACTAAGTGCTCAGGAAACTACTGGGCTAGGTTATTAGGAAGATCATTGAAATCGTCAAAATCACAAAAAGTTACAGTTGGGCTAGGTTATTAGGAAGATCATTGAAATCGTCAAAATCACAAAAAGTTACAGTTAGTTTGGGAAAGAATGAAGTCATGATCTGAAATCCTCAAGGAAGGAGGGGAATTGAGTGGCAGTTGGTAGAAGAATAAAATGAAGAAGGGTCATGGGTGGCATCTTGTTTGTTACATGAGAATCGAAAGAGGAGAGTGTAGGGAGAATAGAAGGAAATGGTCTGGAAGTGGCAAACAGAAACAACCCATTGTTTCGAAGGCCATGGGGGAAAAAAAAGCCCCTTAATAGGGCTATAAGAAAACCATTATCCTCTGTGGACACATGGGAGTAAGATGATGATAGAAATATTCAAAGAGAGTGTGTAAAATAATTTTGCTGATAATTTGATGATTAATTCTAGAAGATCCAATCGTTTCAGGAATTGGAGAATGGTTAGAAATGGGGTCATTTGGGGGATGTAGAAAGATATAAAATATTTTCATTGAGGTTGAGATATAACTTTGGAGTCTAGGGCACTCTTGATGGCTGAAGAACAAACAATCCTCATTTGTCCTGGTTCTGTGATTACTGAGATCAAAGCATGTTACTATCAAATCTCAGTCATCACAGAGCTGTGCAAAGAAAGAACTATAAGTATTCTGAAATAAATGGAATGAGATTGATCCAGCTCTAGTGAATAAATAAAGCCCACAGGCTGAGTGTCAGGCTGGAAGTCAGGCCAGTGTGGAAACAGAGCTGAGCATCGGAGGACTTATGCAGAGGACCAGGAGTATTGGTTACAGAGGTGGTTCTCCTGTTTTTTTTTGTTTTGTTTTTGTTTTTGTTTTGTTTTTTTTCTGTGCCTTAGAAATGTCTGGTTGCTTTCAAAAATCCCGACACCCAGGCCACATCCGCAGGAATCAGCATTTTAAAAAATTCCCTAAGTTGATTCCAATGGGCAGCCAATTTGAGTGCCACTGTGCTACAGTATCTCTTAATCCTATCATATGCAAATCATTGAAAATATCTGTCATGTCATCATTGCCGATTTTCTCTTCTTCAGTTGTATCTATTCAAACTGTGACAGGGCCTCATTTTTCAATGGCTTAGCTTGTTATTTAAGTAGTTGCAGAACATCACATTCATCAATTACATGAAATTCTGTGTGGAAAGTTTTTAATGTCATGTTGTATCTTTTTTCTGCATTTTTAGTTGCATCTTTTTTCTGCATTTTTAGTTGCATATTATTGTTCTATTAAATTGTATTGCCCAGTTTGAAATAATAATTCACTAACAGATGTTAACCCCATGAATGAGAAGAGATGCAAGATATTTTCATCTTACAGTTTCTTTGCTTTTCTACCTAAAAACCTGTATGTAGAGATTTGTAAAAGGAAAGATATATTTTTTCTCTGTACATTTTATTTGCTTTACAATATTTATACTTTAAGTAATTAGTATAATTAGATATTTAAAAATTCTTTTTTGCTATCGTAAATAATGCATTAATGAATACAATAATATATACCGTTTTATGCTGTAGAAGTACATATTGCACTGAACAAAGTTGAATGGCAAAGAAGATTTTATTTAAAGCTATCACAATAGGAGAGAGAAAGACCAAAATGTAGTCTGAACTTGACTGTGCCAAAACAAAGGGTGGGAAGACTTTTAAGCGCTGGGGTGAGCTGGAGACCAGAGGCCATCAGTGTTTGCTAATTAGCTTCACCCAAAGGAAAAATAAATGTTCTCTTATTGTTGTGACAGGAGGTAGTTTCATAATTAAAGCAAGGCTCCAGCAGAAGTTAGGCTTCCAGCATCCCACAAAATTGGGAAACAGCAGCACTATCTCCCTTGATGTTTACATTTGAAAGAGATGGCTGCCAGGTCCTTGAGAAAGAGATTCCTGGGTTGTAAAACTGGCAAGAGGCTTTTAAAAATATTTACATAAGGGCATAGGAAAAATTTACTATTGCAAGTTTTTTAAAGTAAAGAAAAAAATGCTGTAAGAAAAGGGAAATCAGGGCCTAGTCAGAAGGAAGCAGGTACGGAGTTTTTCCAAGCTGAGGAGAACCCTAAGGTCTTTTTGATCAATGCTTATTTCTCATTATATAAGAGGAGTTGTAAATGGCTAGGTGAGTGCAAGAATGTTTTAAAACCAGTTGATTTGTATTGGGAAATTGCGTTCAGAATATTTTTTTTTTATTTATCTCCCACTAGTAGAGTATGAGGATTTCCATTTTGCTATGTGTGTGCCAACATGAGATTGTTAAAGAAACTCTTTCCAGATTTTATGTTTATTTGGACAAATGTTTAAATGAAGAATGAAATATCTCACTTCCAATTACCAGTGAAATTAAACTTTAAAAGATATATTTTTTGTTCTTTTGTAATTCTTTTTCCAGGACTTGCCATTTTGTAAAGTTTTCTACATTTTTTTATACTGTTTATATTATTTTTAAAGACAACTGTAGTATTATTCTGCTTACTGGTTCAGAAACAAGAGAAAATCTGTATTGTACCAAGAGCTAATGAAACCTGGGTATTTGTTTTTTCCCTGGAAATTTCACACTTTTGTTTCCACTAGATTCCTTAGTTTTGAATAAAAGCAACTGGGGTAGGAGACTGTCTGGTTTGAGGATGTTTTCTTATTTTGGCTTCAGGCCAAAGGAATTGCTATATCTTAGTTTAATAAAATATTAGACGCTGATACCACTGTTGCATAGAGACAATCACTGCTTGTTGGAGAAAGGAAAGTAAATATTTTACTGTATACATCAAATGATAAGCAAAACTATCATGAAGGAAAGACAAAACTTCTTTCATGTGGCATCCCAGCCTCTCTCCCAGCAACAACCACCCACCTACAACACAGCACACCAAGGTCCATATCTTCCATGTTTTAATTGTTACATTAAATATTCTTGGTTGTGGCACTTTGATAGTCACCTCTTGTTTTCATGCGCGTCTGTGTGAAGAGACCACCAAACAGGCTTTGTGTGAGCAACATGGCTGTTTATTTCACCTGGGTGCAGGCGGGCTGAGTCCGAAAATAGAGTCAGCAAAGGGAGATAAGGGTGGGGCCGTTTTATAGGATTTGGGTAGGTAAAGGAAAATTACAGTCAAAGGGGGTTTGTTCTCTGGCGGGCAGGAGTGGGGGGTCACAAGGTGCTCAGTGGGGGTGCTTTTTGAGCCAGGATGAGCCAGGAAAAGGACTTTCACAAGGTAATGTCATCAGTTAAGGCAAGGACCGCCCATTTACACTTCTTTTGTGGTGGAATGTCATCAGTTAAGGTGGGGCAGGGCATATTCACTTCTTTTGTGATTCTTCAGTTACTTCAGGCCATCTGGGCGTATACCTGCAAGTCACAGGGGATGCCATGGCTTGGCTTGGGCTCAGAGGCCTGACACTTGTTTACATACTTTGGCCTTTTTAAGTCCCCCTATCTTTATATGTTCATTAAATTCTGAAAGCTTCAGTGTTTCTCAGTAACAACCATAAATCATTGGAGAAAAGTAGTATATTGAAATTACTGTAATACTTTTGATATGTATAATACTTTTGATATCTTTCAGATCTCTAATACTTTTGATATCTTTCTATAATACTTTTGATATCTTTCAGATCTCTTTTCCATATCTATTACTTTTATCTCTTTTCAAGTAATGAATTGATTGCGTATTCTAAAATAAACACTATTCTATACTGTTGAAATACTGAAATGAAACCCTACAAGCTCATTGTAAGGGAACAAGCTTAAAAGTATGTAATTTCAGTGAAGTATATTGGAACATAGGCTTCATAAAAGGTATAAAAAGAAGTAAGGGAAAAGAGGACGGTGAGACTAAAGTTTACTGAGTGATTTCTAACTGCCAAGCCCTGAGAGAAATCCAGTCTTATTTAAAAAAGAAGCACTATTGGCTGAAAGACTTGTGAGAAACACTGTTTTGTTTTTAGTTTTGCCCACTTAGAATTTGCCATAGGATCTGGCACATAATGCTTAGTAAAAAGGTACAGAAGTTGGGAAAGCTAGTGACATTTGATCTAGTTTTAAAAGATGTGTAGAATAAATGGGCATTTAGAAAATCTTAAAAATTCTTTGTACAATATATGTTGTCAATAATTTTATGGTTATCAAAAATATCAGTTGAATTATATTTTCTCTAGGAAATATTAATGGTCAAAAGTTTAACTTTTAAAACATTGCTTAAAAACTTAAGCCAACATATTAATGACTGGTGAGTACCATGACTTTATTCCTGATGAGAATAATTAAAGCTAGTTAAATATTATGTATATTGATTATAAAAATGTGCTTACTATAGATATAATTGTCATCCAGTTTCAAGAGAGCTTATTGTTTGAATGGGAGGTCTTGTATTTTTTAAAAAAGACTGTTTTGATCTTGAATTATAACCAATAAAATGGCATTACGTTCATGCAGAGCCTCAATGAAGATAATTAAGAATAAATAGTGGTTTCTGATAAACTGTTAGTGAAGAGAAGATATCTCACATTTCCCATTGTTCAAATTTAAGAAGCTAAATAATAAAAAATAATATATTCATATATATAATCTAAATATACAAAGATTATATATATTATATAATACATGCATTAGGAATATATATTAGCTATATATGGAATCTATATGTGGAACATACATATATATGTACTACTCAGAAAAATAATGTTACAGGTTGTTTTGGTATAAAAAGTCAGGCTTGCTGAAACAAGAAAAATAGATAACTGAATTTTGGATATAATAAAATGTGGAGAAACAAATAAGAAGAAGAAGGTGAAGCAGTGAGAAAAGTTTCAATGCTTGGAGAATAGTTTGTGAATCTTAACCTTTATCATAAAAGGTGAGGAGGTAGGTATGTGCAATAGATATCCATTTATATTCTTAGCAGTTTGCAATCTGATTTACCCCAAACCTGCAAATTCCAGTTACAAGTGCATACTATTCTATTCTCCTCATATTTCTGTGTTGAAATTTTTGTCTCACAGATTTTCTTTAACCTACGTTAGATTATTAACAGAGTACACACAGATCACTTATAAAAGGGAGGGGAGAAATGCCAGGGGCGTGTGAACCAGAGCAACTCCCTCTTAAATAGGAGTGGGGTAAAATGAGGCTGAAACCTACTGGGCTGCATTCCCAGATGGTTAAGGTATTCTAAGTCACAGGATGAGATAGGAGGTCAACACAAAATACAGGTCATAAAGACCTTGCTGGATAAAACAAGTTGCAGTAAAGAAGCTGGCCAAAACCCACCAAAACCAAACTGGCGACGAGAGTGACCGCTGGTCATCCTCACTGCTACACTCTCACCAGCGCCATGACAGTTTACAAATGCCATAGCAATGTCAGAAAGTTACTTTATATGGTCTAAAAAGGGGAGACATGAATAATCCTCCCCTTGTTTAGCATATCATCAATAAATAACCATAAAAATGGGCAGCCAGCAAACCTCAGAACTGCTCTGTCTATGGAGTAGCCATTCTTTTATTCCTTTACTTTCTTAATAAACTTGCTTTCACTTTGCACTGCGTACTTGCCCTGAATTCTTTCTCACATCACATTTCTTTTGGTCTCAATCTCCAGTGAAATAACTCCTCACACATTTCTTACTTTCCACATCATGCTTCCACCTTCTGAATATAGGTAGTGCTAATGAATTCCTTTTAAACATTACTTCAGTATTACATTTGAATATGTAACATTCAAATTACATAATATGGTAATGGAAAACGTGGATGGCAGAAATGAAAAGGAACTACTACTAAGTTTAACTACTTTTTTAAGTTTAAAACTCAAAGCAGAGAATAACTAAATACCAACAGACTGAGCAATAGGGGAAATTTTTCAAAATAGGAAGAAAAAGAGAGCGAGAGAAAGAACAACTCCAATTGTTAGTCCTATTAATTAACGTTCATATGACTACAATGGTAGAACCATCGATCCCTTAGATGTTGGTTGCCTAGATGTTCCCAAATCCTCTGGTCCTGAGGGATTATTCTTCTTTAATAAATAAGTAAAATTCATGTTGGTTTCCATCCTAATGATTATAGAAAAGCCAGCATTTCCCTCACATCATCTATAGGAACACTTGGGATCTACATTTCTACACATCACCTCTTGGCCTGATTTCACATGGTCATTGAAATTCTCTCCTGTGGCCTGTTTTCTGTATTCTGTGTTGATATAAACACCTACATATTTTTTCTTTGATACTCCAAACCCATTGTGATAACAAAGCTCTTGAATTTAGCATAGTCTTTCTAAATCATTTTGAGTAGCACAGCGTAGAAAACACTAACAAATTGAATACTAGACTATTCTTATTAGTAGAATATTATTCTTAACAGTCTTTCTTTCATTCACACTGTTGGAATCCCTCACAGGCTGTCATTTGTCATCAAACATCCATGTCCTCATCTCCTCACCTTTTAGGATAAGTGTTGGGATTCACAAACAACACTCTCCAAGCACGAAACTTTCCTTACTACTTCTTCTTCCTCTTGTTTCTCCACATTTTCTTATGTATGAAATTCAGTTTTCTATTTTTCTTCTTGCAGCAGTCCTTTTACTTGTGATACCAAAACAACCTGTAACATTATTTTTCTGAGTAATCATCCACCCTGGAGAAAAATTATGTGCCTCTCTTAGAAGGCATATTATTTGTTTTGTCTTCATTCTGCATGAAGAACTGTAGGGTTTTCCCTCTCCACTCTATGTAAGAAAAATGATAATTTTATAATCCTTTATATTCTACTTTTTAATTTATTTTGGTGCCTGGTTAAAAAAAGTACATACTTAGAAATGTGGTTGGCATGTAAGAAGGGTTTAAAAGATAATAAAATCGACAATTTAGGATTGTTGTAAGTGGTGCTGAAGTAGAAAAAAATGAATTGTGCTTATCTAAGTACATGATAACTAGATGTGGAATTAGAGGATGCAAATTGAGAGATGTAGAAAAGTTATTTTTTTAAAAAGAGGCATGATTTGAGGATGATTTTTATACATGGATTGGATTAAATTGTTCAGCAATGCTTGCTTATTGGTATCTTCAGTTTCATATGAGGATAATAGTAGTATCTAAAACTCAGCTGTCCCTGAAACTCTTGGCTGGGCAGGGAGTTTACTAATTCCTGTTAAAAGCTTGACTGGAAAATTAATAATTCTGAAAAACATGCTATCAATTCATTATTCTAAAAGCTTCTCCTGTATTTTTCAAGTCCTGTCAAAAGCTGGCTCTCATAGAAAGCAAGGAAGGTCGCCAAAATGAGAGCAAATAGAGGCCACTCAATCAGACCTTGTTATAACAAAGGTCACCGACCTTCACTTGTGTGACTCACAGAAGTCACACTTGTGGCAGAGACTCAAAGGTAGACAGAGAAGTGGGTTAACTTTGTACTAAAAAAAAAAAGAATCTGGGAAGACCTCAGTTTTGCTCTGATTGGAGGTTGTTGGCATGGGGAAGCTGTAGGTGGGCAACCTAGAATGGGAGGCATCTTTTATGTTTGGCTAGGGAACATAATTGACTTTCTCTGGGGTTGGCCCTGCATTCAAAGCAGGGCAAAAATTGGGGAAGCTGACAGTCCTTGACCAAGTCCTAATTCTCCTGCATTGATTGCTGCAGAGGTTGTGCATCAGAGTTCTATTGTCACGTATGATCTCTCACTCCCCAGATATTACCTACAGAACCTGTTGGTTAGACAAACCTGAAATTGTTTCTTATCTGGGTAAGAGAGAATGCAATCTCACAAAGATATGACAGTGGATTGGGGTGGGGAGAGTAAAAGTCAGTTTGTTGAGAATTGGAAGTTTGATTTAAGGCAAGTCTTTCAAACAGAGAAAATTTGATTAGAGTTGGGTAAGGATAAGGATACAACTAAGACCGTTTGAAGCAGCAAGATAAGGATTTTGTGGTGAGTGAGTCAATGCCTGTTGATGTTTGTCATTGAGGAGATCTTTAAGGAAGTTCCTATAGTGAACAATCAAACCATTTTGCTTGGGCAGGAGACTCCTGCAAAAAGAGTCATGCTATTGACAAAATAAGAGCAAACTCATGTTTATAGAGACAGTGAGGAATGGTTTTATTTTATTTAATTATTTATATTTTCATTTTTATAGAGATGGAGTCTTGCTATGTTGCCCAGGCTCTTCCCAAACTCCTGTGCTCTAGTGATCCTCCTGTCTTGGCCTCCCAAAGTGCTGAAATTATAGGCATGAGCCACCCACCCAGCCTGAAGTGTGGTGTTCCTTTTCAGTATATAGACCAACTGTGGGAGTAGACAGTTTTTGCTCTCTTTTTACTTGGACCATATCTTCTTTCTTCCCCTTAGATAACACTGTCCTGTATTGAAGCTTGCACAATATATGAAATAGTCATGTCAAATTCATAATCACATTTTATGTGAGGAAATCTCTCAGAATTTTGCACTGCATTCTATTTCCTAGTATTATTCTCTACAAATACTGTTTATTCTTCCTAAAGGTGTTCTCTATGGGTCTAAGAATCCTTGCATTATTTGGAACTTGAACTTGTTTGCTTTTGCTGACTGTGGAAGGGACACTACCAGGACACTTTGAGCTAATGGGGAAAAGCTACTGAGTTGGGGAAGCAGTGCTACTTCTGGTGAATAGTATAATGTAGTAGCTTGGTGCAAAAGTAATTGTGGTTTTTGCTGTTTAAAAGTAATGGCAAAAACACAGCTATTTCTGCACCATCCTAATAGGTATTGTCCCTGAGGAGGATTAAGGATGGGTGGCACTAGAATGTCTATGTAGTAGAAGATTTTTTAAAGAAGTGATATGTCTATGAGAAACATGCACTCTATATTGCTGTATTTGTCTTTCAAGTAACTTCAGGGTGTATAACCACTAAAGCCATAACTTGGCATCTGCTACTGGCTGAATGCAGATTTGCTCAAAGGTAGTAATTATTCAAGATGTGGAAATTTTCCTAATGAAAGACTTAGATCAGAGAATTCAAGACTAAAAGGTTCCCAAGAAACCAGAAAATTATCTTAGTGAGCAGTACTTTCAGATCACATACATATATCCCAGGACACATCTTTCCTAGGTCTGTGACATCTTACCCTGTTCACCATGTTCATCTTTCCTTTCCTTTGAAAATGCCCCAGGCTCCTTATGTTAATTATTCCATCCAGTTTGCAGAGCTCTGCATGCAAAGATGTGACATGCCGAGTCACAAGAAAGGCCTGTTTTACCTATTCCCTAGAGCAGGAGACATCTTTCTCTCTCTTGCATTTTTTTTTTTTTTTTTTTTTTTTTTTGACTGAGAGGTGTATCTCTCAAGGAACATGTAGGAAAAGTTAAATCTGCTCCAAGGTTACTTGGTTTTGCACAAATCTAGAGTAATTACTTGTTTCTTTTGCTTAAAAATGATCAATCAATAAATGGAGTAGGAAGCATCTGGTGGGGACATGCATACACTACTTCACAAGTAAATGAATATGTAATGCTGATCAGCTGAATATTATACTTTGATTTGTTGCCTAAAGAGTCTTAGAAATATTGGCATTTTTTTAATGAGGTAAATGTACGTATGAGAGAGAGCTGAATAAGCACCTTAAATTCTATATGTGACAGATGAGTTGGTCCTGGAAGAAACTGAAAGACTTTGAAGAATAACGTGTTGTATGATTAGAATTAAGACAGTACAGGCATTTCTTCATTTACAAAAAAAAAAAATTTAGGGTCAGGGTTTCATGTGCAGGTTATATAGGTAAACTGCATGCCACAGGAGTATGGTTTACAGACTGATTATTTCATCACCCAGATGATGAGCATAGTACCTGATAGGTAGTTTTTCCTTCCTCTCCCTCCTCCCACTGTCTACCCTCAAGTAGGCCCTGGTGTCTGTTGTCCCTTCTTTGTATCCATATGTACTCAATATTTGGTTCCCACTTATAAGTGAGAATATGTGGTATTTAGTTTTCTGTTCCTGTGTTAGTTCACTTAAGATAATGGCCTCCACCTCCATCCATGTTGCTGCAAAAGACATGATCTCATTCATTTTTATGGCTGCATAGTATTCTATGGTGTATATGTACCACATTTTCTTTATTCAGTCTACTCTTGATGGGCATTAAGGTTGATTCTATTACTTTGCTTTCATGAGTGGTGCTGTAATGAACATGCACATGCATCTGTCTGTGTGGTAGCATAATTTATATTTTTGGAGGTATATACCCAATAATGGGATTGATAGGTCGAATGGTAGTTTAAGTTCTTTGAGAAATCTCAAAACTGCTTTCTACAGTGGTTGAATTAATTTACATTCTAATCAACAGTGGATAAGCATTTCTTTTTCTCTGCAGCCTTGCCAGCATCTTTTGTCCCCTGACTTTTTAATAATGGCCATTCTGACTGGTGTGAAATATCTCATTGTGGTTTTGATTTGCATTTCTCTAATGATTAGTGTTATTGAGCATTTTTTCATATCTTGTTGTTTGCGTGTATGTCTTCTTTTAAGAAGTGACTGTTTATGCACTCTGCCCACTTTTCTAATGGTGTTGTTTGTTTAACTGTTTAAGTTCCTTATAGACTCTTGATAGCCCTTTGTCAGATGCCTAGTTTGCAAATATTTTCTCCCATTCTGCAGGTTGTCAGCTTATTCTGTTGATACTTTCTTATGCTCTGCAGGTGCTCTTTAGTTTTATTAGGTCCTATTTGTTGATTTTTATTTTTGTTGCAATTGCTTTTGGCATCTTCATCATGAAATCTTTGCCAGAGCCTATGTTCAGAGTGGTATTTCCTAGTTTTCTTCTGGGGTTTGTATAGTTTTAGGTTTTACATCTAAGCCTTTAATCCATCTTGAGTTGATTTTTGTGGATGGTGAAAGGAAAGGATACAATTTCAATCTCTTACACAAGGCTAGCCAGTTATCCCAGCACCATTTATTGAACATAGAGTCCTTTCCTCATTGCTTGTTTTTGCTGACTTTGTTGATGATCAGATGGTTTTAGGTGTGTGACCTTATTTCTGCACTTTCTATTCGGTTCCATTGTCTATTGTGTTTGTATTTGTGCCATTGTCTATTGTGTTTGTATTTGTGCCATGCTGTTTTGGTTACTGTAGCCTTGGAGTATAGTTTGAAGTTGGGTAATGTGATGCCTCCAGCTTTGTTCTTTTTGCTTAGGATTACTTTGGCTATTTGGGCTCTTTTTTGGTCTCACATGCATTTTAGAATAGTCTTTTCTAATTCAGTGAAAAATGTCATTGGTGGGTTTGTTAGGAATAGCATTGAATCTGTAAGTTGCTTTGGGCAGTATGTCCATTTTAGCAGTATTGATTCTTTCTGTTCATAAGCATGAAATATTTTTCCATTTGTTTGTATCATCTTTGATTTATTTCAGCACAGTTTTGTAGTTCTCCTTGTAGAGATCTTTCGCCTCCCTGGTTAGCTGTTTTCCTAGCTTTGTGTGTGTGTGTGAATGGGACTATTGTGAATGGGATTTCATTCTTGATTTGGATCTCATTTGAATGTTACTGGTGTATAGAAATACTACTGTATTTTGTACATTGGTTTCGTATCCTGAAACTTTGCCCAAGTTGTGTAACAGATCTAGGAGCTTTTGCGAAGAGACTATAGAGTTTTCTAGGTATAAAACCATAATAATCTGCAGGCAGACAGTTTGACTTCTCTGTTTCTATTTGGATGCCTTTTATTTCTCTTGCATGATTGTTCTGGCTAGGACTTGCAGTACTATGTTGAATAGGAGTGGTGAGAGTGAGCATTCCTGTATTGTTGTGATTCTTAAGAGAAGTGTTTCTAGCTTTTCCTCATTTAGTATGATGTTATCTGTGGATTTTATTGAAAGCCTTTTCTGCATCTATTAAGATGACCATGAGGTTTTTGGTTTTAATTCTGCTTATGTGATGAATCACATTTATTCATTCCTATGTGTTGAACCAAACTTGCATCCTAGAAATGAAGCCTACTTGATCGTGGTGGACTAGCTTTTTGATGTGCTGCTGGATTCAGTTTGCCAGTATTTTGTTGAAAATTTTTGCATCTTTGTATATAAAGGATATTGGCCTGAAGTTTTATTTTTTTGTTGTGTCTCTGCTTGTTTCGGTATCAGGATGATACTGGCCTCATAGAATGAGTTAAGGAGGAGTCCCTTCTCTTCAATTTTTTGGAACAGTTTCAGTAGGAATGGTACCAGTTCTTCTGTGTAATTCCGGTAGAATTCAACTGTGAATCTGTGTGGTCCAGGGCTTTCCCTGGTTGGTCGGCTTTTAATTATTGATTCAACTTTGGAATTCATTATTGCTCTGATTAGAATTTCAATTTCCTGCTGATTTAAACTTGGGAGTTTGTATATTGCCAGGAATTATCCATTTATTGTAGATATTCTAATTTGTGTGCATAGAAGAGTTTGAAATGGTTTCTGCAGGGTTTTTTGTGTTTCTGAGACATCAGTGGTAATGTCCCCTTTGTGATGGTGTTTATTTGGATCTTCTCTCTTTTTCTTCTTTATTAGTCTCACTAGCTGTCGATCACATTTATTCTTTCAAAGAACCAACTTCTGGTTTCATTCATCTTTGGAATGGATTTTTGTGTCTCAATTACATTCAGTTCAGTTCTGATTTTGGTTTGGGGTTGATTTTGCTTTTATTTTTTGAGTTCCTCTAAGAGTGATATTAGGTTGTTAATTTGAGATCTTTCTAAATTTTTGATGTGGACATTTAGTGCTATAAACTTTCCTCTTAGCACTGCTTTAGATGTATTCCAGAGATTCTAGTATGTTGTATTATTGTTTTAATTAGTTTCACAGAATGTCTTGATTTCTGCCTTAATTTTATTATTTATCAAAAAGTCATTCAGGATCAGGTTGTTTAATTTCCATGTAATTGTATGGTTTTAAGCAATCTTCATAGTACTGACTTCTATTTTTGTTGCACTGTAGTCTGAGAGTGTGATTGGTATGATTTCAGTTGTTTTTTTTTAATTTACTCAGAATTGTATTATGGCTGATTATGTGGTTTTTAGAGTATGTGCCATTTACAAATAATAGGAATGTATATTTTGTTGTTTTTGATTGGAGAGTTTTATAGATTTCTGTTAGGTCCATTTGGTCAAGTGTCAAGTATAGGTCCTGAATATCTTTGTTAGATTTCTGCGTTGGGGATCTAATAATACTGTTAGTAGGGTGTTGAACTCTTTTACTATTATTGTGGGGTTATCTATGTCTCTTTGTAGGTCTCTAAGAACTTGCTTTATTAATCTGGGTGCTCCTGTGTTTGGTACATATATATTTAGCATAGTTTAATTGAGCACTTTACCATTATGTAATGCCTTTCTTTGTCTTTTGTATCATTGTTTGAAAGTCTGTTTTGTTTGAAATTAGAATAACAACCCCTGCTTTTTGGTTTTGCTTGGTTTGGTTTTATCTTTGCTTTGACCCTATGAGTGTCTTGAAGACAGCATACAGTTGGGTCTTGTCCCTTTATTCAACTTGCCAGCATACCTTTTAAGTGGGGGCATTTGTCCTATTTATATTCAAGGTTAATATTGATATATGTGGATTTGACCCTGTCATCCTGATGTTAGCTGGTTATTATTCAGACTTGATTGTGTAATTACTTTATAGTGTAAATGATCTATGTATGTAAGTGTGTTTTTGGTGGCTGGTAATGGCCTGTTTCTATATTTAACCCCTGTGTAAGGTACCTCTTATGAGGCAGGTCTGGTGGTAACAAATTTCCTTAGCATTTGCTTTTCTGAAAAGGCTTTTATTTCTCCTTTTTAAATGAAGCTTAATTTGGCTGTATAAGAAATCATGGTTGGAATTTCTTTTCTTTAAGAATGCTGAATATAGGCCCATGATTTCTTCTCACTTGTAGGATTCCTGATGAAAGGTCGACTGTTGGCCCAATGGGGTTCCCTTTGTAGGTGACCTGACCCTTCTTTCTAGCTGCCTTAAAAAAAATTTTTTTTTACATGTTGACCTTGGAGAATATGATGACTATATTTCTTGGGAAAGTCATCTTTTATAGCATCACACAGGAGGTCTCTGCATTTCCTGAGTTTGAATGTTGGCCTATGTAGTGAGATTGGGGAAATTTTCATGGACAATATCTTCAAACATCTTATCCAACTTGCTTGCTTTCTCTCCCATTTCTTACTTTTAACGATAGTGCGAGGCCATAAAAATGACTGTATGTTGAAACTCACAACGTGATCTTAATAATCAATGGGAGAATTATGATTGCTCTGTGACCTTTAAATTTTTGTCAAAGTATTTAAAACTCTTTTGCTCTAAATTGTACATCCATAGGGGAAAATAATAGTAAAACTTCCATTTGAGGGCTCTAGTTATCTTATAAAGTAACTAGATAATTTTACTAGTAAACTAATATTATTTAGTGCATTATAATTTAAACATTAGAAACATTGAGAAAGTGTTTTTTATATATAATTTAATTAATCCTAATTATCAATTTTGTATAAAAATTAAGTACTTATCTTTTTCTTCTCCTTATATAACTTATATCTAATGAGCATCCTTTCTACCCATTGGAAGCAATTTGGAAAATGTGTCTTTTGCTAATAGAGGATTTTCATTTCTTCAATTTAAAAAGTCATAGTTTGGGTAAGGGGAATTAAAAATTATCTGCACCTTAATTACAAATCAAGTCTTTACAGAATTATCATTTAGCCTTTTGGAGTATTAACCAATGCAATAATAGTTGAAATGTGGAGCAATTGCTGGGCTGTATCAAAGATTATCATACAACTGAGACATATAAGGGATGTGGAGTCACTTACCCCATCTTTTCCTCAATGTAGGGATTATCTTTTTAAAATTTGTGAACATTCTGATACTTTTGAAAGTTGTTCCTTAAGAGAGCTTCACATCATATCTAATACAGTGATCACTGAAAAATTTATTCTTGTTAAGTCAAAGACTTCTCATTACCTTTCCTTGGTCCCTTATTCTTTTCTCTAGATCTTAAGAACTAAGCCCACTTGTTGAACAGGATACTCGCTAAACATTCAGACAGCTTTCCTGCTCACGTCCCTCTTTTCTCTAAGCTGTAGTTTATTCTAGTGCCTTCTGATTTCTGAAAACCTCATAGGATACTTAGTTCCACCCTCTTTACTCTTTTTATAGTGCTTATCCCCAAGAGAGTTTATTAATTTGGAAATTTTATCCTTTTGGTAATCCTGATTGCTGTAGTGCCGAAGAGCAAGGTCGTACATCTTGGGAGATGGAATCTTGATTTGATCCTCAAGTCAGTGGAAAGCCATTTACGGGTTATATGTAGTAGGCAGAGGAGTGAGATAAACAGATTTGCATTTTTATGAAGATACCTGCGCAGCATTTTGGAAAAAGGAATGGAGTCGATGAGGGACAGTGGGATCTGCAGGGGAGTTTAATTATGAATTGATCAGGGTGAGTCTTTCAAGTACCTTTCTGTCAATGAGCATTTATAAGGTCTCTCCAATTATTTCTGGGAGTCTTTCTATTTCTGCTCTGGCAGAGTAAAATAGATGATTAGTTAAGATCTTACGTTAGACACCCAAAGGACTTGCAGAAATAGTTGGCGAGACTTTGAGATGGAGAATCTTAAGTCTTGTAGTTATGTAGGTAGGAGTTTGTGTACTAGAGAATTTTAATATTGATGTTAATATACTTTAATTTTTACCAATATGCTGTTGAGGTTAGGACACATTCAGGGTACATTTTCACTTATAATAAATTATTCTTCATATGTGTCTATCTCTCACTAGACTATTTATTGTCTGACTGATGTTTGAGAGACTGACATGTTAGTGTTTATGTCTTTGTAAATAGCAGAGCATCTGGAACATATTAGAAAAAATATGAATGAATGAATGATAGACATAATGTGTAGTTGTTATTGAAATTATGTATTTCGGTGAGTTGGATAAAATTTGTCTGTTATTTACCTTGTTTAAAAATAAATTGATGTGAGTTAAAATTTAGTAATGAAGAGCAGCATTGTAAATACTACAAAAAACATTTCCAGATAATATTTAATAGCTTTACAAGTGTGTCTTTAATGAACTTAAGATATACCTTCCCCTGTAATTGCTGACAACTGTGTTGTTGTAGGTTGGAGATCACACGTGCTTATCAGAGGTACTATTGACTTATACTTGTTCTGCTTATTGATTACTTAATTAGTTTTCTAAGATAGCTAATCAGAGAGAGATGTAGGTATTTAGGAGTCTTTCATTAAAACATGCTAAGAAATTTAAAACAGAAATGTGTGACCTGAAAGGAAAGCTCAGTAAAGGCAGAGTTCTTGAGGACCTTGGATATAATGTAATGTCCTACTGTAGGTAAAACTGGTATAATTTAATTTCTATTTTCTTCTTCAGAATAATGATATATTTTTTTGTTCCATTGGTTAGGGAAATATATCACATGCATGCCTCTATGATTTATGGGTATTTCCATTTCCATCTGAATTGTAGATTAGCAGAAGTAAGTGCACATTTCTACGACCTATATATTAAACACACTTAACTTTTGACACTTTCTCTTTTTATTGGAATTCTATTGATAAAATATAAAACTAATGGGAACTTTCTCTTTTTATTGGACTTCTATTGATAAAATATAAAACTAATGGGAACTTTCCCTTTTTATTGGAATTCTACTGATAAAATATAAAAATAATGGGAACTTTCTCTTTTTATTGGAATTCTATTGATAAAATATAAAACTCATATTTCATTATTTTTTAAAGTTTTGTTTGTTTATTTATTTATTTATTTTTAGATGGAGTCTCATTCTGTTGCCCAGGCTGGAGTGCAGTGGCGCGATCTCAGCTCACTGCGACCTCCACCTCCCGGGTTCACGCCATTGTCCTGCCTCAGCCTCCCGATTAGCTGGGACTACAGGCGCCCGCCACCAAGCCCAGCTAATTTTTTGTATTTTTAGTAGAGATGAGGTTTCACCGTGTTAGTCAGGGTGGTCTCGATCTCCTGACCTCGTGATCTGCCCGTCTCTGCCTCCCTAAAGGTTTATTTTTTAATCCAAATCCGTTTTGTGTTTCTGTTCAAATACTAACTAATATAATATGGGATATTAGTGAAGTCCTTCATCTAACAATTCTTTAACTTCAATTATCTTCTTTAGAAAATGAGTTGTTCTCATCTTCTTATTTAAATTAATTAATAAACACTAGCACTTTTACATCATATCCTGTGTTTTATGTAAAATAAACTCTCATAAAGTTTACACTATTTTTTTTAAAAGAAGTGACTTCTAATGTTATACTTTCCTCACAATCAGAGTTTTTAAAGAAAAGTCATAGGAATATTTTGCTCTTTCTACATATCTGTACATTTTATTAGTTGGTTTGCTGTCATGCTTTTTCTTAATATTAAAGTTGACCAAAACAAAACAGAATAGGTAAAACTGTGCAGTAATGAAAGCTGATCATTAATGACATGTCCTTAAATTGAGCTTTGAGATATGTACATTGAGATAAGAATATTTATTCTGGAGAATTCTAGATGCTGCACTTAACGGTAAATTTGCTAAATAGTTCTGATCTTGGAATTTTTACATACTAGTGTGGAAAGCTTTTATTGTTCAGTTATATCATTATTTTATTAAAACTGTTTATTCATATGACTTTTGGGAAACATTACAGAGCTGGTTTGTCACAAGTTCTTTGTACCTAACAGAATGAGAAATGAGATGATAAAATAGAATACAGTTTTATTTTTCTGTTTTAAGCTTAATACCTAAAAGATGTATGAACTATTAAGTAAAAAAACACTCAATTATTCATTCTTTCATCCAAGTATATAACCAATTTATTAAGCATATATGTGCTCATGTGAAAATTGAATAAGAGCTTTTTGTTTCAGAGCAATTTTTTATTTAAAAATTCTTAACATAAAGTAATACAAGACTCATCTATACCTCTAGCTTTCACTGATTCCTTGCTTTAATCATTCGTCTAGTAATTCAACTGATATTTATTCAGCAACAGCTGCTCATTTACATAAAATAAGAAACAATATGTTCAGGAATTGGAGGATATTAAAAAACAGTTATCTTAAGCTTAAGTTTGGAAAAATAACGTATATAGAGGATTACTTAAAAATTTGTATAGATTTAATTGTGTAAAATGTGAGAAAAGGGAACAAATTGCAAATGAAACAAATGAAGAAAAAGTACATGTTTTCCATCTTTCTTCAATTGCTGTTTTTTGTTGTTTGTACATAATTTAGAGGCATAGATTGGATTAGTAGTATATCACTTTTCATATAGTTTATTTGAAAACTTGTATTCCCTCTTCCGGTCTCATCCCCTATCTTCCCCTACTAATGGTAAGGAAAACAAGTTGGTTGGTAATTGAATATAATAGCATTCATCCCAGCAGGTTGCATAGTCTCCGCTACTGCAATAGTTCAAAACCAGTGGGATGATTTGGATTAGAAAATTGAAGGTAAAATGAACTATTAATGTAAATGAAGGAAGGCACTGTGATTTGTTGAGGAAGAAAACAAAGAGTATGTAATTCCAGTGTCCTAAGAGGCAGAGAGACTTTTAGAAAGCCCCACCCCTATCATGAGGTCAGGAGATCAAGACCATCCTGGCCAACATAGTGAAACCCCATCTCTACTAAAAATACAAAAAATTAGCCAGGCATGGTGGCGGGCACCTGTAGTCCTAGCTATTCGGGAGGCTGAGGCAGGAGAATGGCGTGAACCTGGGAGGCGGAGCTTTCAGTGAGCTGAGATTGCGCCACTGCACCCCAGCCTGGGTGACAGAGCGAGACTCCGTCTAAAAAAAAAAAAAACGAAAACCCCACCTCTTTCAGTGGCAAAGCTTATTCTAATAGTGTTCAAAATAAGTCTCAGGTACCTATGACTATAACAAATTGGGTTCTTAGGAAAATATTTTTGCTACAATTAGTTTTTTGGGGGATGCTTGTACATGATAAAAAGGAGGAGGAGTATTTCTGAAGTGATATTTTGGGTGGGTCTGCTAACTATATAGATTCTGGAACCATGTCTATCAGGCGAAGTGTTTTTAAACCATCTTTTGATAAGTATAGGTCAGACTTTGGTGTTATCATGGATTCATTGGCACACCTCCCTGATCCCTCTTCAGGGCCAATACACCCATCCATAATTACCTACAGTGCCTGATGCGCCTCACTTCAACTTCAGGAAAGTGCCTGGGACAAGGTTATACCTCTCAGGGGACAGCCTACAACCACTGACAAACTCATGCATGGACACAAATGTTGGGCCCCCTTGTCTCACTTCAGGACAGCTCTGCAGGAGCTGACACTGCTTGACAATGAAGATCCTTTCAGAAGTGGCCACTCAGCCCAAAGATGTGAGGATAAAGGGATTTGAACAAAGATGAGGATTAAAAACTTCCCATAACTCTGGGTAATTTATTCTACAAAGGCAGAATCTTCATCCTGAAGAGGTCAAGTTGAATTGCTAGGGTTCTGTATCCTGGTGTTTAGATCAGGATTAAGAAAATGGCACAAGCATTCTAAACTACCTGGAGGGAACTTTTCCCAGTCTTAGCATGTGCATTATATGGCATGGGCTTAACCAGCAAAAGCTCTCAAATTCCTTCTACTTGGAGTGGATGTGGGGGGAATGACAAGTTCTACCACACAGAGTATGTGAACAAGGCAGGCTTATATAACTCCTTTAGGATCAACAAGTGAGGCTTGAGGGTTCCAGTGGTTGATTCACACTGTCAGCTAAGGTGATGTTTTACATTAAGTACACAGGGAGGAATAGTGATCTTCCTATGAGTTAGGAAGAGAAGAGAAACCCCATTCAGATATTCCTCTGTGTATTTATATGGAGAGTAGACTTGCCTTTATTCCTTCTCTTTTTATTCAGCCATTTATGGGCACACTTCACCCTGGTTCATAGCATAATCAATCTCAAAACCTATCTTGGCAGATATATTTGCTGTAACACCTCAGAAAACACAAACAATGGATCTTTTATGAATATCATGAATCAGGGCTTAAGTTAAAGGTTAGCCCAGATGAAACAGAAAATTAGAGATTAAATAGTTTGCCCTCTCTTGTCAATTCCAGCTTATATCTTGTCACTCTTTATAGCCAAATGAAGAAAAAAAAGCACAACCACGTATATTTTAAATTATTTCATTGATTAAAGTAGTATCAATTCAAAATGGCATCAAAACCAAAAATTTCCTCTTTGCCATTCTGAAATTTACTCAAGGCCAGAAGGAGAATAGAACATAGACCTTTAATATTTTTGGTGACAAGAAGTTTGAAGGGCTGCTAAACAAAAGAAGGAGCAGGGGCGAATGGGGAAGAAAGAGGAGCAAGGACCGCCCCAGTTACACATCTGAGAAAACCAATCCAGTTCACTTTTCAAAGATGCAGGGCACAAATTGAGACACAGGACTACATCTTTTATTTGCAGAGATCAGAATGGGGTTATTAGCTTGAATCAGGAACTTTCTAGACTATAGTTTGTTTCTCACAAAAAAAGGGCTCAGATAAATAAGGAATGTTCACCAAAGCTGTAATTTCAGGAAGTAGCTGGAAGTCCTTGAGTTGTGTAAAGCAAGTTAGTTTCCTATTTCCATTAGCTGTTAAGAAGTAAAGGCTAATTGAGCTGCCGCTCAAAACCGTAGGTCAGAAAAAAAAAAAAATCCCTCTCAGACCATAACTCTGATTCTTTCTAAACAAAAGCCACATATAAATAGATCACCAAGAAAAAAATTAGGAACATAAAGGCTAAATAATCAAAAGGGAACCAACAAAGATTCTACACGGAAAAAAAAAGGAACATAAAAGACAAAGAGCAGAGAAGAAAAATACTTACAAAAATAATAAAATGTAGCCATGTAGCAGATAAAAATAAACCATCTTGACAAAAATTTAAAGATCGTATGCCTCTGTGAAGCACATACCAGAGTGAAACAAGTGCTCATAGAGAATATGGAGACATAAGAGACTTATTATATATCTTAATTAAAAAAAAAATTATTTAAAACAGTCTCAACTCCCAAGTTTTCTCATGCCATTGATTTGTTGGATGCTGGCACTTTCTAGGTCTCTTCCTCAAGTAGTTAATAACAAATAACCAAATGACCCACAAACAGATTTTTGACCACAGATATCCAGTCATGCCACCTTGAATAACATTGAGGTCACTTCACTTTTTAGATAGTTAATGCATGCTAGGGAGTGAAGTTGTAATAACTTCCAGTAGTCAAAAGCAATTGTAAAACACTGAAAATTGTATTACCCCATGGATTTTAATAGTACATCCCAATTTCAGAGTTGTTAAAAGTGTGATAAAATGTGTATTTTTAAATTTAAAGAATAGATTAAAATGTACTGTCAGAACTAAGACAAACATCTGTAATACAAATAAATAAAAATGGGTTGAATTTAACTATTGAAAGAAAAATGTGTTATATTTAATCACATATCAAAGTCCAATTTTGTTCTTTCAACAACAAATATTTCTAAAATAAGGCATTCTTATAGATTGATAAAAACATGGGCAAAGATATAAAAATAAAATGCTAATAAACAAATATCAAGGGTCATGATAATTATATCACCATATGTTGAATTAAGGCAATAATTACTAATTGACATAAAATTATAGTGCTAAAGTATATACTATACAATTATGTATAGCAATTATACTAAATTTGCATGCAAGCAATATATCAACATCCATAGAAGCAAAAACCATAGGAAAAAATATTAAATAGAACAAAATCACATTCTTATTATAAGTAAAAAACTTTAATTTGCCTGTCTTAGACCATGATAGATTTAAACAAACAAAATTTAAAAATATAAATTATATAATTAATTAGGTGCATTAATGTTGTATAATGCTATAACCTGAAAAGAACAAATACATATTATTTTTCATATCAATGGAAAATTCACAGGAATTGATAACATCTTAGATTGTAAAAACAGTCTTAATTAAGCAAATCAGAAGTAGTATAGAAAACATTGCTGTACTGAAGGTATACTAATAATGCACTGAAAAATATATTAATAACAAAATTAAAAAGTAAGATTCCTACCACTTTGATATTAAAAGATAAAAATCCTCTCTATAACACTTTTATTAAAAAGTAATTCTAAAATAAAACATTGTAGTAATTATAGAAAATTAACATAATGAAAATGCTGAATATCCAGATTAGTGAAATAGAGGTAGCAGTGCTCAGAAATATATTCATAGACCAAAACTATCTTCTATTAGTAAAAAAGAAGTTAAACGAAATAAGCATATAATTTATGGAAACATGGACCTATGAAAACCAAACATTAATAAAGGTAACACTGGAAAAAGGTGAATCAAAAAAATAAAAAGCAAAACAGTAAAAAACTTCATAAGAAAAGAAATCTCAGAGCTAAGTGGGTGTTTGTTTGTTTTTGTTTTTGAGATGGAGTCTCCCATTGTCACTCAGTCTGGAGTGCAGTGGCGCCATCTCAGCTCACTGCAACCCCCGCCACCACGACCGGCTAATTTCTGTATTTTTAGTAGAGACAGGCTTTCACTCTTTTGAGCAGGCTTGTCCAGAACTCCTGACCTCAGGTGATATCCACCTGCCTTGGGCTCCCAAAGTGCTGAAATTACAGGCGTGAGCCACAGCACCTAGCTGCTAAGTGTTTTCTTTTTTCTTTTTTTTTTTCTTTTTCTTGAGACAGAGTCTCGCTCTGTCACACAGGCTGGAGTGCAATGGCATGATAGCTCACTGCAAGCTCTGCCTCCCTGGTTGAAATGATTCTGCCTCAGCCTCCCAAGTACCTGGGGTTACAGGCACATACCACTACTCCTGGCTAATTTTTGTATTTTTGTAGAGATGGGTTTCACCATGTTGTCCTGGCTGGTCTTGAACTCCTGACCTCGTGATCCACCTGCCTCAGCCTTCCAAAGTGCTGGGATTACAGGCATGAGCCACCATGCCTGGCATATGTGTTTTTTTAAAGAAAAAAAAAATTGGCTAACCCAACAGAGAAAAATTGAATATATGTTAATTTAATAGTGGTAATCATCACACAATGTCTATGTATATCAAATAAAAGATGAAAAAGCAAAAAGAAAAATGGAAAACGGCAATAAATCCGAAAAGAAAGAAAATGGAAGGAAGGAAGGGAAGGGAAATGAACGAAAGGGATTAAAGGCAGGAAGGAAGGAAGGGACGAAGGGACAAGAGCAAAATAATATAAACAAGGATGAAAATGGCACAAATTATGTTCAATCATATAAAAATAAATGTGAAATATGAATTTGAGGAGAAAACATAGTTATCTGTGGATTGTCATAACAGCATTTGATAGAATTTTTTGTAAGGCAGAAGTAAATGGCTAATTCTAATGTATGATTAAAATGTATATTAGGCCGGGTGCGGTGGCTCACGCCTGTAATCCCAGCACTTTGGGAGGCCGAGGCGGGTGGATCATGAGGTCAGGAGATCGAGACCGTCCTGGCTAACAAGGTGAAACCCCGTCTCTACTAAAAATACAAAAAATTAGCCGGGCGCGGTGGCGGGCGCCTGTAGTCCCAGCTACTCGGGAGGCTGAGGCAGGAGAATGGCGTGAACCCGGGAAGCGGAGCTTGCAGTGAGCCGAGATTGCGCCACTGCAGTCCGCAGTCCGACCTGGGCGACAGAGCGAGACTCCGTCTCAAAAAAAAAAAAAAAAAAAAAAAAAAAAAAAAAAAAAATGTATATTAATGTATAGTATAAATATGTGAAACATATATAATATGGTTATTATGTATAATCAACTGTAAAAAGAATGTATCAACTCCTAAACTAAAATTATGCTTAATGTAAAAAACCTTTAAAAAGTCCCATTGAATTCAGAATTAAAGCAAGGCTATTCATTATCACCACTACTGTTTAATAAAAAGTCAGTTAAAGAAGACATTGAAACAATAAGTATAAAATTGAGAATGTTTTCCAGGCATATAAGCATTATCTTATCCAATAATGATGAATTGTCTGAAAAATAAAGAAAATAAACAGAAAATCTACTATAAACAAAATAATTCAGCAAATTAATAACTTTTTCTATTCATAAATGACAATGTTTAAACATAGAATGGGAGAGAAGACTCATTTTTTACTATGGTAGCAAAAAATACTATAAATAAACTTGAAGTAATGTGCAAAAGCTATATAAAGCTCTATGGACATGGAAGACTGAACTCTTATCCTAAAGAGAATTGGTTACCTGTAAATTAATCTCTGGAATTCATAGGATCCCAATAAAATACCATAGAGATTATTTTAGTACCTTATGTCATGATTTCTGGATAAGAAAAAAGAATAAATAACTAAAATCATCTGAAAATGAAGAGTAATGAAGGGAAGCTAGCCATGCTGGATATTGAAATTTATTACAATATTTCAATCATTTAAGAAGCATGGTACTGTACATATACTTAGAAAAAGAGTCAGAGCAACAATACCAAAAACAATAACAGAAATAGAACAAATACATCAAGGAATTTAGTAAAAGAGTGATAATCAAATCAGAGATTATACAATAAACAGTGTTGGAACAGTCTTGTGTTTATGAGTGTATTAGTCCATTCTCACACTGCTGTAAACATACTACCTGATAATGGATAATTTATAAGAAAGGTTTAATTGACTCACAATTCTGCATGGCTGGGGGAGGCCTCAGGAAACTTGCAATCATGGTGGAAGGTGAAGGGGAAGCAAGGACCTTCTTCATAAGGTGGCAGGAGAGAGATAGCAAGGGCAGGGGAAATGCCTGACATGTACCAAACAAGCAGATCCTGCAAGAATTCCCTCACTATCAAGAGAACAGCATAGGGGAGACTGCCCCCATAATCCAGTCACCTCCCACCAGGTCCTTTCCTGAACACATGGGGATTACAATTCAAGATGAGATTTAGGTGGGGACACAGAGCAAAACCATATTATTCCACCTTGGCTCCTCTCAAATCTCATGTTCTTTTCACATTTCAAAACCAGTCATGCCTTCCCAACAGTCCCCCAACATCTTAACTCATTCCAGCATTAACTCAAAAGTCCAAGTCCACAATTTCATCTGGGACAAGGCAAGTCCCTTCCACTTATGAGCCTGTAAAATCAAAAGCAAGTTAGTTACTTCCTAGATACAGTGGGGGTACAGGCATTGGGTACCAAATAGGAGAAAATTGGCCAAAACAAGGCACAGGACCTATGCACATCCAAAACATGGTGGGGGCAGTCATTAAATCTTAAAGCTCTGAAATGATCTCTTTGGACCCCGTGTCTCACACCCAGGGCATGCTGATGCAAAGGGTGGGCTCCCATGGCCTTGGGCAGGTCTGCCCCTGTGGCTCCAGAGTGTAAAGCCCTGGTGGCTGCCTTTCCTTTCCAGATGGCATTGAGTGTCTGTGGCTTTTCCAAGCACATGGTGCAAGCTGTCAGAGGATCTACCATTCTGGGGTCTGGAGGACAGTGGCCCTTTTCTCACAGCTCCACTAGGCTCTACTAGTGCCCCAGTGGGGATCCTGTGTGGGGACTCCAACCCCACATTCCCCTCTTTATTGCTCAAGTAGAGTTTCAACATGAGGGCTCTGCCCCTGCAGCAGGCTTCTGCATGGACATCCAGGCATTTCCATACATCCTCTGAAATTTACGTGGAGGCTGCCAAGCCTCACCTCTTGTCTTCTGCACACCTGCAGTCCCAACATCACATGGAAACCACCAAGGCTTTGGACTTGGGCTCCCCTGAAGCAACAGCCCGAGCTGTACCTTGGCCTCCTTTAGCCATGGCTGGAGGTGGAGCATCTGGACACAGGGCACTAAGTCCTCAGGCTACACAGAGGAATGGAGCCCTAGACCTGGCCCACGAAACCATTTTTTCCTCCTAGGCCTCTAGGCCTGTGATGGGAGGGGCTGTCTCAAAGATCTCTGACATGCCCTGAGACATGTTCTTCATTGTCTTGGCTATTAAATTTGGCTCCTCATTACTTATGCAAATTTCTGCACCCAGCTCGAACTTCTCCCCAGAAAGTGGGGTTTTCTATCACGGTCAGTCTGCAAATCTTCCAAACCATTATGATCTGCTTCCTTTTTAAACATAAGTTCCAATTTCAAATCATCTCTTTGTGAACACATATAACCATACACTTTCAGGAAAAGCTAGATCACTTCTTGAATACTTTGCTGCTTGGAAATTTCTTCTGCGAGATACCCTAAGTCATCACTCTGAAGTTCAAATTTGCATAGATCTCTAGGTAAGGTGCAAAATGCTGCCAGTCTCTTTGCTAAAGCATAGCAAGAGTCACCTTTGCTTCACTTCCCAAGAAGTCCCTCATCTCCATCTGAGACCACCTCAGTCTGGACTTCATTGTCCGTATTACTATCAGCATTTTGGTCAAAACCATTCAACAAGTCTCTAGAAAGTTCCAAATTTTCCCTCATTTTTCTATCTTCTTCTGATCCCTCCAAACTGTTCCAAAGTCTTCCTGTTACCCATTTCCACAGTTGCTTCCACATTTTCAAGTTATCTTTGTAGCAGTATCCCACTATCCTGGTACCAAGTCTCTGTATTAGTTCATTCTCACACTGCCATAAACATACTACCTGAAACTGGGTAATTTATAAGAAAGAGGGATTAATTGCCTCACAGTTCTGCATGGCTGGGGGAGGGCTCAGGAAACTTCCAATCATGGTGGAAGGTCAAGGGGAAGCAAGTACCTTCTTCACAAGGCAGCAGGAGAGAGAGCGCAAGTGCAGGGTAAACACTGGACACTTATCAAACAACCAGATCCTATCAGAACTCCCTCATTATCAAGGGTACAACATGGGGAAAGCCACTGCCATGATCCAGTCACCTCCCACCAGATCCCTCCCTTGACACGTAGGGATTATAATTTGAGATGAGATTTGGGTGGAGATACAGAGCAACACCATATCAATAAGGAAAAATAAATAAATTTTACATTATATATAATACCTTAAGCCCTCAGTATTTTAAATTGAGCAAATAAAAAGAAGAGAAAAGATAAGAAATGGAAAATATTAAAAGAAGATAATGACTATAAATATACAAGTATATATGTATATTTATGTATAAAAATATGTGTATTATATATATAAATGTCATACCAAAAAAGATCTTCTCAATAAATATATGTGAAACCAAAACCGAATTGAAGAAGATAATATGTAAACACATAAAAAAATAGTTGAGCATTGTGGCACATGCCTATAGTCCCAGCTATTCAGGAAGCTGAGGCAGGAGGATCACCTGAGCCCTAGAGTTTGAGGCTACAGTGAGCTATGAGGCTGGAGTTACTGCACTCCAGCCTGGGCAACAACAAAGTGAGACCCCATCGTTAATCAGTCAATCAGTTTTAAAGACAGCATCACCATAAGCGAAATATAACAAAATGACAGATTTTGATATGTATTTTCTTAAGATATTTATAAAGAGCTTTTGAAAAATATAAATTGATATGAAAAAGAACAGTTCAATAGAAAAATAGGCTGGAGATCTGACCAAACTGTTCACAGAAAATAAATAGCTCTTAAACATATCAGATAACCTCAAAGTCACTCTTTGGTGCATAACTTTGGAGAGACAGGTGTTCCATGAATAGATGAAAAGTGGTTTGACAACTGTTATTGAAATTACCATGCGCATCTGAAAATTTTTCTGTGGGTACATTCCTATATGTACAAGAGGATATAGATAAAACTTTACACAATATTATTTGTGATAACAAAACATTGGAAATAAACCAAATGTGCTTCAATAAGCCAGAGGTTAAATAAATTACAACCCATATACACAATCCATGTAAGATATATTATATATGCATATTCCCATATATATAAGTGAACACTGATTAAATAATTTATATTCATCCACATTATAGAATCAAAAGCAGCTTTCAAAAGGATTGATGAAGTCTCTATGTACTGATGGGAGATAATCCCCCAATTATACTAAATGATTTGCCAAGAGTATGTTTACTTTAATTTTTAAAACTATTTGTATATAAAAGAACAAAGAACATTTGTACATATTTGTTGAATATGCAACATTATATATCTACATACAAGAGACTGATAACAATTTGCAACTTTTAGGAAAAGGAATTGCAGGTCTAGGGGAGAATTGTAGGTTAGGAAACTTTCACTGAGTAACTTTGATACGCTTCCTGAATTTTGAACCATTCACAAATTATTAATTTCGGAAGCATCCAACATCTATCAAAATTGGTTGAATAAACTACCAAATTTCTTGTTAATGTAAGCTCAGTTAAGTAGATTTTATATATTGAAGTACAATGAGAATTCATGTAGCCTTTACAAGCATGTAGCCCAAGTGCATAGGAAAATCCATTAGCTGCATAATTTATAGCCAATTTAAAATATTTAATTTGAGCAAGAAGTTGACACTCTGCTATCCCACTGCCTGAAAAAAAAAAAAAACTTTCTGAATCAAGGACACAAATATTAAAATTGTATTGAACATCTTATTGAATTTTTAGCCTAAATGAAAATTACAGGTTGCTTTGGTAATAACAACCAAATAAAATCTGGGGTAGGATGAAGCTTTAAGCACAACTGATGCTATTTAGTCCAATTACTTGACTGAAATACAAAGAATGTAACACTTTGTAAAATTATCTTTACTTTGGGGTAAAAGTGTCTTCCACTTTTTATTAACTTAGATTCAGATAATTTTATATTTGGAAAGTCCTTAAAGCTCACGTTTCCATCAGGATTTTACAAAGCCATCTTTACTCTGATTTCCCAGAAATAACAACTATAACTTTGTTTGCTAACGATTTACTCTTTAGCATCTCTACCCAAAGTCAGCCTAAATCCCTCATTTGCAATTTACATTTATTTCCAGACGTTCTGGATGAGAAAGACATGGAAAATTTTGTACTGGTGGTATTTCTTTCTATAACAACCTTTCATATATTCTAAATCATTTATTATACTTTTCTCAAAGTATTTCTATAATATCAGGTTTAAAAATGAGGAAGCTAAATTATATTTCCATAAGTGAAGTCATCATTAGTACTTACATTAGAATGTTTTATTAGATGACATAAAAAATTACGCAGAAAATTGGAAAAGGTACTTTTCTTTGTTGTTACATGTACATTCTAGTAGGTATGATTAAATCTGAGTGATTTATTATTTTGGTTTATATGCTTTCTACTGTTTGCTTAAACGTTGTTCATCTGTAGTTGTTTTCCTGGCAGATCTATTTCTTTTTTATTAAAGCATGTTCAAATGTTTGTTCTCATTCTGCATCCGCAAATTCAATGTTTAAACTTAGCACCTTCTTAGAATTTGAATTTAGAAGGCTACCTTTCTTTACATCCATGATTTTTATCAGTCTCTATTCTGACCGAGTAAGAAATAGACACATATGGGAGGTTTTCTATTTTAGCAGAAAAATGGTATACTAAATCTTTTAAAAAATAAAACATCATTTGAAGTCAGTAGAGAGCTACTGCTTCTTTTTATGTGTCTGATCATTTGCTTAGCACTGTTTTAGTTATGTATCTGATTAATTTTGAATAGCACACATTAATTAAAATTTAATAACACTTCATTTAATTAGGTTAGGTATTCTCAAAAGCACTCCAGAGCTAGATTTCATGATTCATAGGAGCAAAAATACCCACTTCTTACTCAACATAATGATCCCATGTTTAAAAGGAATATAGTCAGAGCAGCAGGGATGAAGCACATAAAAACTTGCACTACATATTATTTTGTGATATTTTAGTTATAATCCTTTGTTTCTAAATTAACTCATCTTTCATAGTATGAGATACAGCAAAGAGATTGAAAACATTATGTTAGATGCTGGAGGGCAAAACAAAGAATGAAACAGTGTCTGACCTTAAGGATATTAAATCTAAACCAAAGGACTTTTATTATTGTACTTTCAAATTTCTGAATAGATGATCAGAGGCTGGGTAATTCAGCAACTGCATACAGATTTTTACCATCTTGCTGCCCTGTTATCCTGAGCTTGTTTCCTTCTGCATGATGTCAAGATAGCTGCCTCAATTCTAATGTCATGTGGCAAGCTCAAGTGGAAAAGGGTAGGAAAAGAGACTAGATGTGTCTCTTTAGCAATGAGAGAATCTTTTCAGGAACCCTTAAACAGACTTTTCATCCGTCAGAATTGCCGCATACCACTGTTTCTAAAGCAATAACCAACAGAGGGAATGTGTTTGCCATGATTAGCTTAGTTAAGCACATGGCCCTGTAAAAACAAGTTTTGACAGAACAAAATTGGGCTTTTGCTAACCAGGATGGAAGAGAGAAGGGATGTATATTCTGTAAGCAACTATCAGTGTCTGCTATATAATTGAAAATTTTTGAAGAGGGAAGTGTCATGATCAATCTGTGCTTTTTTGTCTTGGCAATTAAAATGTACGTTGACCTACTTGGAAAATCACAGTCCTAGGTTTCACGGAAACTGGCTATTTTATGCTTCTTTTTATTCTCTCTTTCTACCTTTTTTCTTTCTCTTCTTATTATCTTAATTATTATTTCAATTATTAAGTTTTTATGTCTATCACCAATATTTTCTGTTTTTCCTCTTAAATGCCATTACCTTCTATATTCACCTTAGTCTGTTCACATTATTTCTTTTGTAGACAACGAAAATAGCCATAAAACATGTCTACCTTAATTTACTATTATGCCTCTATGGTAGGACTGGCTACATCATTTGTAGGGTCTACTGTAAAAATAAGATGTGGGGCTTCTGTTAAAGACGTATTAAGAACTTCAGCGTGGCAACAGTAGAGTATCAAATTCAAGCATGGGACCCTGTGGGACTGCACAAGCTGCATGCCTGTGAGGCTGGGCCCTGCTTTCCAACTTGTCCTCCACCCAGTGCCCTCAAATATCTTTTCTGTTGCTCTCAGAATGAGGATCTACATCTTTAATATGAACTAAATGTTATCAGCTTAATTATCTTATCTGCATCTACAACATACCAGCCCCTGTTCTTACTTCTGTGCTCTAGCCATGGTAATCTTTCACTGACTCTCTTTTATCATCATACCACTAGACATTTGCAAATTCTGTTTCTCTCACAACATTCATTACATCCTCTTTCAACCTTCACTGACTTCATAAATTTGGCAAATTATCGTGTGATGTTTTTTGTAGCCATTGTAATATAAATTACAATATTTTTGCTCACTAATTTTCTTTTTCCTTCTTGTTATTGGCCATTTACTCAGGAAGTTCAAATTTATTTATTTATACATTAAAACCTTACTGCCTAGTACAGGGCCAGGCCTGTACAAGAGTCTCAAAAATACTCATCAATTGAATGGCAGTATAGGAGTGATAAAAGAGTTGAGAGTAGGACAAATGTAGTTTTTGTCATCATAATGTTTACAATATAGGAAAACTAGCAGGTAATTCTATGAAGCATGTCCATTAGTTTCAATATCTGTAAAATATTTGAAATTAAATCAATGAAAGATTATTTATTAATATTTTCCTCCTCATAAAAGTCTTACAGGCTTTATTTGTGGAGAATAGAATGGCCTGCCAACACATGCTGTGTTTGACATGGATAACACTGCTTTGCCTAGGAATGGACATTAACAGAGTTACGTGAATTTAAGTATTTAACATACTTTTTTCATTGATACTCAACGAAGAGCTATTTTCCTAAATAAATTTGAAATATACATATGGCTTACCCATGTGACTGATTATCAGCCAACTATACATTGGCATCAGGAACTGGAATGAACTTGGTGGGTGTCTTGAAGAAGGTTCATCTCCCTTCAATAGTCATAGAATAAATAGCTTGGTTACATTTATACTTAAAACAACAGAATTATTGTACTTATTCATAATGCTAAGTGTTTTAAGTGGTCTAGAAAGCATTTATTAATGTTATGTTCTGTCTTCTTAGTGACTATAGATGGTAAAATTTTTCAAAGAAAAGTTTCACTCTTCTAAAGGGTCCTTGGATTTTGTCCTTGGTTTGAAAGTAGTTTTAATAGATCTATTTAAAACAACCTAAAGTGCATGTATTTTGTGAATAGATGACCAATTTCATAACCTTCTCTCCTATCAAAAAGAAGACTAGTTGTTCTTTTTCATTGATGTGATATTCAGACAGAGGAAGGCTTCTTTAAGTTCTTGTTAAAGTTATTGCAGATACCAGATGATACGCTCAAAGAACTTTGCTTGTTGTCTTTTTAACTTTCCACTTCTTTAATCATAGCTAGGTGACAAGTCTTTAAAAAGTCTTAATATTTGCTAAGTGTAAGTAAAGCTTTCATTAATGATTCTTGAGTTATTGGTGCACAGAAGAGGCTTAGAAAAGGTGAAGCAATTTGAGGTGAAGAAAGCAATACTTTTTCTCTCCATCATTCCATCACTTAAATATATTAGAATATGTTTCTGTTACCCTTCCAAGGAAGATGTATCTTCTGAACTGTAGTCATAATTTTTTTTCAAAAAATATAAATTCTTTAAGGTAATTTGTAAGACAGAATTCAAATATGTAACTAGTTCTGTTTTCTTCTATAGCTTATATTTATGTATAAAACTCTTGCATTACACTTAAAATACATAAATGGTGTCAGTGTGTATAAATTCCTAAATAAAATATTTATTGTAAAATATAAGCTGGGTAAATGCTTTCTCCACGTTTGAATTCCAGTCTCTATAGTTGGAATTCTAATTTTCTGCCATAGTAGTAATTTTACAGTAAAGCACACATATCTATCAAAGTCAGAATAGTTGATGTCAGATTCAGATTTACCATATTTTGCTTAGGCTTTTCATGAAGCATATAATAACAACCATTGTTCTGTGTTGTCTGCGCTAGAGTCATATGAAATATAAGTGAGTACATGATGAGGGTTCTAAGCTTGACATTTCCATTATGCATTCATCTTCCTATTCCCCTTCTACCTTCTCTTGCTCTCTTTCTCTCACCATATATATATATGTATATCTTTCTCACTATATATCTATACACATATATACACTTGTGCATATATGTGTGTATGTGTATATACATGCACATACACACACTTATGTCTCATTCTCTATTTTTATTAAAAAATTCATTGTAATAAAGCTGTACTCTATAGTTATAGATTTATATAAAAGTATGTCTTATATGTTGGCTACATAACACAATTAAATGCAAATACCAAAGATACAGAATTTAAATGTTAGTTGTTGGCTTTTGAAGCTAAAATGAAATTATTTATTCATTCATGAAGCAAATGGTTACTTAATATCTGTTATGTATTAGAGTACAATAAATGACCTTCTTCCTATTTCTAGGCCTCTATTCCCCCAATGCCTTTTTGGGGTACTTTATTAATTTTTCTGGTTCATGCAAATAAAGTAGAGTTAGAGAACTAAAAACTAAAATATAGTTTTAGATTCTTCATGAATCCAGCCAAGATAGATTATCAGATTTTTTTTTCTCTTTCTACAGTGCCTCTGAGGCTAACTTAGGACCATCTAGGCATAAAAGAAAAGCTGATTTCCTGTCATGAAAGTAATTCCTACTTGGACTTAATGACTTACCATAGCACCATTCTTCAACCTTTTCATTTTTTGGCATATTGCAAAATATCTAAATTTTCTAGGGAAATGTCAGGGGTTAGGGGAGACTTCTATTTGTATGGTAGTGAAAAGCTTTTTCTTAGTATCGTAATAGAAAGAAGAAGAGACTAGATGGAAACGGAAGTGAATAGAAGAAAAGCAGTTTAAAAGACAGGAATGGTAAATTAGATATGTGTATTTTACCACCATTATAAAACAAAATGCACGAGTGGGACTTACAGTCTTTGCTTCAACATGTGAAGAAGTTGGAAGTCATAATTCCTGACTTTACCATAACAAAAAGCTGAATAAACTGAAAATCAATGACATTTTTTAGGCACATAAGAGAAATGATATCTTGGGGCAGACTGCCATGCTGAAATCTAGAGAGATGGGCTAATCCAGAGAGCCACATCAAAGATCTGCTTACTTGAAGCAGAAGCCACTGGAGCCATACCTGGTAGAGACACAAGGTAATTTTAATAAGTTGCTAGAGCCTATGGAATAACACAAAAGTGAGAAACTTATTGGGGCTACATTGTTGGTGGGGAGGTCATTGTATTTGTATAGGTTTTACATCCTGTGGAACTGAGAAATATTCTCTCATAGATATGGAAGGGGGATTTCCCCCACGACAGCCCACTCTATCTTTTCTTTGTCACCTAAGCTGGGAGAAGGGAGAAGCTAAGAAAAACTTGGGACATAACCAGGGACACAGAGCCACGAAAAGACTGAGATTTAACCATAAGGTAGTAGAATCTTTCCCATTCTCCACACCTTACCACACATCAACAAAGCTCTAGTATAATAATAAATTACAGCTGAAAGAGCTTTAAGACAGACTTAAAGTAAAGAAATGGTGACAAATATGCCATGGTCAAAAGAAAGCTGAAGTATCTATTATGATTTTAGAGAAAACAGACATAAGAACAAGGAAAATTATCAGAAATAGGAGAGACACTGCTTAATAATAAAGGGATCAATTCTCCAAGAAGACCCAAAAACCCTAAACATGCATGTACCTAACAACAGATATCAAAATATGTGACAAAAAACCTGATAGAACTGAAAGGAGAAACAGACAAAATCACTATTATAATTCGAGTCTTTAATACTCCTCCCTCAGTAACTGATACATAAAGCAGACAAAAACTCATTAGCAATATAATTGACCCAAATAGCAGTATAAATCAACTTCATCTAACTGATCTTTATAGAATATAAAACAGCAGAGTACACATTATTCTCAAGCTCACATGAAGTATCCACCAAAGTAGATCATATTCTGTGCCCATAACAGACCAGAACAGAATGTAGAAAGGGAAAGTGATAGAGGAGAAGATTTATCTCAAAATAATTTTGGCAGAAAAAAATTATAGGTAGGAGGAACAAAGAATAAAGCTAGGAAAACAGTAAAAGTAAATAATAGCTACCACCTCTTACTGAGCTTTTACTGTATATAGGTGGGTTCTGTTCCCAGCACATTATATACATGACTTGATTTAATCATCTTCCACTTTCATCTGGGCTTTTGTCATCATTTGCAGATGAGGAAACTGAGACTCGAAGAATATGAGCAATTTGTAAGTGACAGAGCCGAGATTTAAAGCCAGAGACCTAACCTTAACCAAGACTTGACTTTGTTGACTCTTTAAATATGGAGTCAAGGTACCTTTTGTGAAGCTGGGTTGGATGGCTTAAATCTAAAACTGATTCATTCATGAGTAAGAGTTTTAGAGAGTGACCAGTGCCTGGTAGAGTATTTGCATTTTTCTCAGGTCCTATTTCTCATCAGTCTCAAGCTTCCCTACTTCCGGCCAGCTATTCTTGGCTCTCATATTCCTACCAGTAAATCTTGTTTTCCTCTGCAGGTCAAGTTATTGCTGCTAGGATACTTTCATCAAATATCCCACGTTGATCACTTCATATTATTTAAAATATGTATGTGAAAAGACTATTGGTGACTTTGCAAATAGAAGTCACAAGTATATATTATTCTTGGGTAATGGGATGAAGATTGAGATACAAGTAAGATAAAGAAGATTGTTAAAATCAGACAGCATCTTTTTCTCTCCTAAATTGTGAAATAATGTTTTTCACAGAAAATATATATTGTGGTACATTCATGCTTCATAAGGGCAAGGACTATAACTTATTCAGCTTCGTTTCCTCCAGCTTGGGTCTTCATAAATAGAAGTTGTTTTAATAAATGTTAAATGAATTGTAATCCTTAATAATTATTTTAAATAGTAAAACATGCCTCAAGTTTTAGGAAAAGCTCATAAATATATTGCATATAAAATTAAGTATATTTTATACAAAGGAATGAAGTATGCTGTACATAGAGAACATAAATAATATAACTCTAATGTATCATAAATTTGGTCTAAAGCTAACAAGCTAGCTATAAAAAGCATTTCCAATTTCTTGTGCCTTTAAATTTAAAAGAGCTTGTTAGAAGGGTTAGGATGAACTAAGTTTCTATAAAAGGCTGACCTTGGAACTTTGAATTATACTTTCCTTTGATCTCAGTATATGTCCCTTAACAAACAAAAAATCATTTCATTTCTTGGTCTAGAGCTGAGCTCTTCAGAATAAACAGTCTAGTTTATTCTGTGCATTTCAATGCACAGTGTTAAACTGGTAAACCAGCACATCAGTAGGTAAAGGCACTTGAAATGTTCTTCTAGATTAAATATCTTCAGATAAACCAAATGAAGAAAATTATGGATATCCTATATGACCACACATATTAAATTCCAGGGTGTTACTATGAAAGCAACTTTTTCTTGGATTCTGATTTCCATCCTTCATGATCAAACAAGTATTTTGTCAGTTAAAAATTTAAATATGCCATCTTACAATGGATGAGTGCTACAATATGACTCAGTGCAGAAATTGTTCTTTAATCACAGGGTTGAAATACTAGCATGTGTTAAAATATATTGGAACGTCACTACAGCAGTTATATAATTATCCTTTAAATGTTTTCTTTTTGAGTCTCTTGTATTATTATAGTTGGATCATGTAATATAGTTATTAGTGTATGTGAAACAATAGAACTGTGCTGTACTAAATTTTAAAGTATGCACGTGTGTGTTTGTGATAGTGTGTGGGCTGTGAATAATATTTTGTCTAAGATACAAGTATTCTAATGTATCTTAGAAGGTCTCTTTATTTTCACTAATTGGTTTCAGAACGTGTGGTTTGAGCTATTCAACTAAATAGACTGGTTATTTGACTTTGAGTATCTTGATTGTTTTCCTGTTGTATCAACCAACTGTTTTGATTCCACATACAGTTAATTTCTTTTTTTTCCTTCCTTCCTTCCTTCATCTTTATGACTGAGGATAACATTACTCACTGTCTTTACTTCAAACAAAATGAACTTTGAGTGGTTGTATAGCTTAGAGTCATTTACTAGTGACCTTTTTAAATCATTCCATGCTTCAGTTTCCTCATTTAGAACCAACCTCGTGGAGTTCTTTTGAAGAATGCATTAAACATATTAAAGTTCTCAATATATTGAGAACCCATTCAAAGGAGTTTCATTACGAGGAATATATTCCTTTAGGAATCTTTCAGTTCCCTGTTTATATTTTTTCAGTAAATAGTTGTGTTTTTTTTTGTAAACTTTTCCAGGTTTTATTTTTTTAAAAAATTAATTTCTGGTTGCGGAGTGATGCTTTTGTTTTACATTATTTAATAGTACTATTATGGAATTATTACTGCTTCCCAAAATCCTGCTCCCTTCCCACTCCCACAGATTAGTGAAGGTAAACTTTTGGAAGATTTATCACTTGACGAATCAGGTTTCAGCTACTGTACCTCCTAGCTGGATTATGAAGGTATTAAATTCATAATTCTGTTACTAATGCTTCCCTCCTTCATAACCATAATAATGTGCTTTCATCAGGAAGCATCTTAAAATATATCATGTAAAGGCCCTTGTTACTCTATACCTCCCACACTGTCACTTCCTTGGTACCCTTAATTCTTTGAAGCTTGAATCATACTGTGTATATATACTTCATCCATGTCCAGCCTTTTAATAATCTTTCTCATTGTGGCATAAAGATTGTTGTACTAGTAGAAAAGAAGTTCCATTTCCCTTAAAGTTTCCTATGTCCACAATTCTATGAAACTTTTCAGTGGAGGTCACCAAGTCCACTTTTACAGATTTTCTGTTATGGGGAGAGGGCACCTCACAACTTGCTCTCAGATACTGTATTCAAAATTTCATTATCGTCAGGAAATATATCTCCTTTAAATCACCAAACCGTTCAGTTGCAGTTGTTCTCAATAGCCTAGTCAATTTCATTCACTGAATTATAGATTTCCCTGATTCTTAATAAATTTACTAATTATACTTTCCTCCTAACACCCTCTGCTATGACTGTAAAATCACTATTTATAACTGATAAAATTTGCCAAACTCAGTTTCCTGATGTACTCAACGCCTCTGGATTTTGACATTTCTTCATTTTAGCCACCCAGTGGCAATGCCAATTCTTCAAAAGTGTCAACTCTCAGAAATTCTCCACCTCTGATTTGACAGTCTCAAAGATAGACAAGGACTGCCTCTCCACTTTTTTGACAAGTGACAAACACTGAACTGACAACTGATAAATTTGTACCTGAATCTGGTCCTCCTGTATATTCTTTATTTGTCCACTTCTGTTGCTAGGTTAGAGATGAAGATAATTTGTTTCCACGCTGCCCAGTTAGTATCTGAGATGGCCTGACTCTTAGCATTCAAAAGTATCACTTTGCTAACACCATTCTACGTGGCTAGCAGATAACTTTTGGTCTGTGTCTCTTGTGGAAAATCCACAGAACAAGAATAGTTGTGTCACTTATTTATTAAAAAATAGGCTGGGTGCAGTGGCTCATGCCTGTAATTCTTACACTTTGGGAGGCTGAGGCGGTTGGATCTCTTGAGCTCAAGAGTTTGAGACCAGCCCCGTCTCTACCAGAAATATAAAAACTTAGCTGGGTGTGGTGGCCCATGCCTGTGGTCTCAGCTACTTGGGAGGCTGAGGCAGGAGAATCCCTTGAACCTGGGAGGCGGAGGTTGCAGTGAGCTGAGATCCTGCCACTGTACTCCAGCCTGGGCCACAGAGCAAGACACTGTCTCAAAACAAAGCAAAACAATAAGTAGTAAGCACTTACTACAAACTACTAGATTTATTCACTATTAACAATAAAATATACATATATGAGTATGCACATTATAGTGTCATATGTAATGTGTATGAATTACAATGCCAAAAATTTAATGAACATTCCACTTATTTATTCCTCTAATCCTTATACTGTTTTAGATAATATGTCTCTTATGGTCCATTTTAAGCTGTTTCAGATTCCAGCCTTTGTTGATTGCTTCTTTGCTAATGACCACTTACTGTCCCAATTGAACTGTTCACTGCTTCTCTAGGAGATAAAATTAGAGTATTTTCTCTTTGCATTTAGCTAACAGCTTAACTTTCCTGAATTGAAGTAATCCCTACAATGGGTAGACAGTTGAAATATTATTCGCTTAGTTGATGCCTCAAACATGTTAGCTATTTTTCTTTTAAAATAATATCATAACGAAAAGGAATATTTTTAAATAACATTATACCAGCCCAATAAATACATACGTTTATATTTCTGCAGCAACATGTTTCAAGATCAAAACATAAACATTAAATATATTTATGAATTACTACATTAAGTATATTTTTATATAACTAAGGTAAAATGCAATTATATGTGACAGATATCAAAATTAAAATGGTTTAAAAAGACAACTTATTTTCCCATATAAAAATCCATGTCTTTTTAAGGGTAATACTCAGAATTTTCATGTAGTATTTGTGTCTCAATCTCATGGGACAAAACTTATCAGCAAATCAGATTTTAAATGTAGACTTTATTCTAGGCATCCATGTACTTGTCTTGAAATAGGAAGTTCTATGAGGAAGGACTAAAGTGTTAATGGAGAATGGGGGGCAACTAGCTGTCTCTGCCTCTGATATTCATGAGATTTCTGTGGTCCTATTCCAAAAACACTTGGTTGACATGCTACCACATGTTTGATCCAGAGGATATAAAAATTAATGAAATATGGCCTTTACCTGGAAGATTATAAGCAATTTATTGTGAAAGGGGGTGGTAGAGCCTAGGAATGTAGTGCAGTGAAAACTCAGGAATGGAAATGATTAACTCAGTTTGGGGTGGGGAGGGGAAACAAAGCATTTCAGAGAAGATCAGGCACTTGTAAATGATTTTGAGTTTAATTAGGAATTTTTCAGGTGAAGTATAGGGTAAGATATTCTAGGTGGTCTGATACACAAGAAAACAAGCTCTATTATGGAATGGCACAATCTAGAGAACAGGCACAATTCCACAGTGGCAGCCTGTGGAGTCTGCAGAGGGAATGTGGGAGGAGATAGGTCTATAGAGGCAGCTTGTGGTGTGATGTAAAGGGCCATGTATGTTTGAATTTCAACGTATGGACCAGCGTCTTGCAACCTAGGGTCCATAGGCCATATCTGGCCTGCTACCTCTTTTTGGAAATAGTTTTGTTGGAACACAATCACATCCAGTTGTTTACCTTATGTATCTATGGCTGCGTTCCTGCTGCAATGGCAGACTTGAGTGGTTGTGACGGAGGTGGTATGACCCACAAAGCCCAAAATCCTTTCTATCTGGCCCTTCACAGAAAAAAAAAAAAATTGCCATTCCCCTCATCTGTCTCATCAATTGTTCTTGGAAGCTTTAAAGCAGTAGGAATTCATTAATGGGAGTTCTTTTAAAAAAGTGTGGAGTAACAGCTCATTTATTTTGAAGATCTTCATAGTTTTTTCTGTTTTGCTCTTTTTTAAATCTTTAATATAGACTATGCTTAGAAATTAGAATGCAAAAGAATCAGAAGAATATACACTATAAATAGTTTATTTACCACCAGTATAGAAAGCTAACTAAAAAATGATTAAAGAATTTGCCAAAAAGGTATTAAAGAATTTGCTTAAGGAGGGAAAGGAGGACCACACTTTCACAGTGAAAGCATGGATGGGCTTTGCCTGCTATTTTAATTAGTTTTTGAGGCTGTCTTTCATAGTCTTTCACTTAGAACTTATTACGGTAACATTAATTATTGGGAATTATATTGGCTGTATTCATTGTCATGTCAACACAATAGGAAGTGCTACAGTACACAAGTCTGGGCCATGACAACTACTGAACAACTGCAGAGAACATCTGGGTTAGCTCACCGTTTCTAGACCCAGAAATTTGTCAGTTTTAAGAATGACTTCTTTTCACAGCCAAGTCTTCCTAGGTTGTCTTAAACTTGAAGCCTTTTAAGTGCTCTTCATGAAGTTGTCATACAGTATGAATACACAATAAGCGTCATTCATTAACTCTACATTAATCTGACAGACATTGTACTTCACATAATTACTGCCTGCTGCATTACCTTTGTCCTTTGTAAGCTTTAATTTCACATGTCAACAGCAATCACTTTAGAGTGTTATATTTGTAGATACAGAAAAAGGCTTGCCATGGCAAATATGTACTTGAAAGGTAAGCCATAAACTCTTGCACTTTTGTTTGCCTCCCAGCTTATTATAGAGTTTTAATTTAATTTTATTTTTTATAATTTCAACTTTTAGACTTGGGGGTACATGTGCTGGTTTATTACATGAGTATATTGCAGGATGCTAAGGTTTGGGATACAAAAGATCCTGTCACCCAGTGAGCATAGTACCCAACAGTTAGTCAACCTTTGTCCACCTCTCTCCCTCCCCACTCTGGGAGTCCCCAGTGTCTATCATTATCAACTTTATGTCCATGAATGCCCAGTGTTTAGGTCCTACTTACAAGTGAGAACATGGAGTATTTGGTTTTCTGTTCCTGCATTGATTCGATTAGGATGATGGCCTCTAGCTGCATCTATGTTGCTGCAAAGGACGTGATTTCATTCGTTTTAAGGTTACATTGTATTCCACGGTGTATGTGTACCACATTTTATTTATCCAGTCTACCGGTGATGGACACCTAGGTTGATTCCATGCCTTTGTTACTGGGAATAGAGCTGTGATGAAGATACGAGTGCATTTATCTTTTTGGTGGAATGATTTATTTTTTGGGGATATATACTCAGTAATGGGATTGTTGGGTCAAATGGGAGTTCTGTTTTAAGTTCTTTGAGAAATCTCCAAACAGCTTTCCACAGTAGCTGACCTAATTTACATTCCCACCAACAGTATGTAAGCATTTCTTTTTCTCCACAGCCTCGCCAGCATCTGTTGTTTTTAACTTTTTAATAATAGCCATTCTGACTGTTGTGAGATGGTATCTCATTGTGGTTTTGATTAGCATTTCTCTGATGATTAGTGATGTAGAATATTTTGTCATGTTTATTGGCCACTTGTATGTCTTCTTTAGAGAAATATCTGTTCATGCTCTTTGCCCACTTTTTATGGGATTATGTGTTTTGTGCTTTTTGAACTGTTTAAATTTTTTATACATTCTGGTTATTAGACCTTTGTTAGATGCATAGTTTGCAAATATTTTCTCCCATTCTGTAGGTTGTCTGTTTGCTCTATTGATAGTTTCTTTTGCTGTGCAAAAGCTCCTTAGTTTAATTAGGTATTATAGGGTCCTGCAAGCTTGAGTTTTACTTGTATAATTTTTCCTGTTATATTGTTGTAAATAAGACTATTTGCTATTTTATTAATGAAATATAAAGCACTGTGATCTGTTATTAAATAAGCAGATTCTATTAGAACTTCTATATTTTTCACAATAATTTCCTATCAATTCCTTAGGTTTTAAATGACAGCCATACTATAGAACTATTTATTTTGCATATTGAAGATGTAAGCTAATTTGATGCCTTCAGATGCAGGCCTGAGTCTGTTTTCAGTGGAACTCTGTTTTATTAAAAATCATATTGAATAAATCCCTTCAAGACTTACTTTAAAAGCACTACCTTATAGTTAAAACATGAAAGACAAACTGGAAAATCAGAAAAGGGGATATTATTATGAATATGTAAAGAATTCATAAATATATTAAATAAAAATGTGTATCTCAATTGAAATTAAACAAAAACGTGGACATTCAATCCACAATGTAGATATAAGTAGCTAATAAATATGTGTAGAGATGCATAACTTCTCTGGAATAAAAGAAATACAAATTAAAAGCACAGTGTCGTATTTATATTTTTACTTACTTGATTGTAAAGGTGAGTGAAACATATTAGCTACAGTAGTAGCTAGGGCACATAAAAACATAAACACTCTACTGTTTATAAGAGCATAATTCTTAGTCTTTCTGAAGGAGTGTTTGACAATATATACTACATCTTAAATGTTATACTATTTACAAACTTATTTTAGTAATTTTGCAGGAATTTATGCTAAGGAAATGGTAGATCAAGGGCATAAAGATTCATGCATAAATTTGCTCATCATAGCATTGTTGATACTGTGAATACTAGAAACAACCAAAGTTATTATCTGCTGGGAGGTGGCAAAATGCTGTAGGATACACTCATAAAATGGATATTATTCAGCTACTATAAATGACAAATAAAAGTAAAACGTAGTTTCCTTTTCAAGTACTCTTCCCTTTCCTTCCATCACAGCATACTTTGGGTTTTCTTCTAATGCCTCTAGATTTTGCTTATCTTTGAAGGCCTGTTATCCCCTAACTGGCATTGAAATTTGGCATTTCACAAAATTCTACCCGACTCACTTCCTTTGTCCAGCTTTCTCCTTCAATCATACTTTTTCAAACTGTGGGTTTTGATAGAATCTTGAGACATTAAATCAATACAGTGGGTAATAATCAAAATTTTAGAAATGTATTAAAAAGAAAATAGCATGAGCAAGGGTGGTGTATTTGAAGAATTTCATGAACTTCTAGAAAACTGCATTATGTTCATTTGCACACATTCTAGGACTTGAGCCTGGCAGGAAAAGTAATGGAGAGCATTGTATGCTGTGAGAAATGGATAGCATTTGGTCTTGGAAATGATGAAGAAACACTGATATTTTAAGGTGAATTTTATTGAAGAATGTAATGTACTCAATCTCTTTATAAGCAGGAAGAACAGTGAATATTCTGCTTATTGGAAATGTATATAAGACATTCTAACATATCCTTAGCCTAAGGTGATATCCCAGCTCATCAATCATCTCCACAAAGACTGAACTTATGTCAGTAGTCTATCAGGGCCTATTAGAGTAGTTAGCCACCATAATATTGATCTTTGCACTTTTAGAGTTGTTGCATTGATAACAATTATCTTTGTCTTTACTATCAAGGCAATATCCAAGAGCATGTGTGTCTGAGTCACAGAGAAGTATAAGGCTCATCTTATGTTGTACAATTATAATGTGTAACACTGGAGCCACAGCATCAAATTACTATAATAATCCTCATGTCTTTGGGATTCAATAAAATCTGATGTTACCTTTTAAAATAATTACTATCTTAGACTGCTTACAGTCTCTGAACTTGGATGCCACATCTTTCTTGAAGCTGTCTTCAGAAATCCCATGAAAGTTAGTATTTCATTATGCATCCAGAAGTGTTGGTCTATGCTCATAGCCAAGGTCCACTGCAGGGATGAGGAAAGCATTCTGAATTTAAAAACAAAAACTTATCTGAAAGGTCTATATAAATTAGTTTTTTCCCAAGATATTTTTCATAGAAGTAAATTTAGCTATGACTAAGCAGTGCATAAAGCAGGTCAGTATATAATTGTCTTATTTTCTCATAAAAATGACAGTGTTTCCATAAATTCTGAAATGCATTAAACACATGCTGACTTATTAAGCATAATATTCTGTAATCAAACACATACCTTCTACCTATTCTTGATGGTTCAGAGTAAATATTGTAGTCATGCAAATCATAATAATTCCTTAAATCTCTGTAATGTATTATAGTAAACAGGCATATATTATTTGAATATTGTGCAATTATATGTTTATGTTACGAGGTTCTTAAAATAGCTGAAGTTATATGACCTGACATTTAACAACCCCATCCTGCCAACATTTTGTGGTCCCGAATCCTCTTTTTAATTTTTTCTCTGCCTTTCACATCTTACAGGATTTTAATTTTCTCTTACTGCTGCAGGCAACGTGGCTCCCTCAAATAATGCTCTTTTTCTTGTAAGAAAAAGATCATGACTTGTGTGTGTAGAAGAGAAGGGCATTTTACTAACGTGTCAGTCTGAAGTGTCATCTGACTCTTCTTTCAGCCTTATTGGTCTGATTGCCTCTCACATTACCTTTCTTTGTTTTGGAGGTATCCAGAGCTTGGTTCTTAAGAATCAGCAGAAAAAAGAAAGTACAGAGGACAGGAAAGAATCCATAGACTGAGAAAGGGAAATGTAAAGATTATACACAGTTTGACCCAATTGATTATTGTTTTATTATATATGCATATACAAGTTCTGACTGAAAAGACAGAGGACAAAGGGGCAGGGGAATTCTCGGAGCATGAGAAATGGAAATAGGAGGATTATACAAGGTTGGATCCTTTAAAAAGTCAATCTTACAGAAAACGAGAAACCAGTCAATGAAGGAACAAGGTAATAAAGAGAAATCTTATCTCCATTTATATTTTGTGAAGACCATTATTAATAATATTTCCCCTTTTTTATGTGTACAAGTTTATAATTTTTAAACTCCTACCTATTTTCCTTTTATTGCCTGCTGCCAGTGCCTGTCTTCCTAGTGACCTTTACAAGAGGATCCATGAGCAGAGAAAGACTAATGGAAGTATGCCCAGATAGTGGCAGCAAAGATGAGCCTCTGGAGGCCATTCTTTGGATTCAGAGAAAAAGAGCTGGAGGGGAGGTGACCTGGAAACTAAACTAAGATCCAGAAGTGAACCCAGACAATTAAATCTCACAGTGATCCCTGGGTGATTTCCCTAAAAACGTATCAGCAGCGCTGTTATTTCAAGCCACTTAAGCAGGAAAGCAGGCCTTACTCTAGTACATTCCTACGCTAACGAAGAGAATTTCCAGTATACAAGAATGCAGAAATACTCAAACATTTTACAGAAGAGTCATGATAGCTACTTTAGAATCCATTTACATTTGGTTATGTCCTACTTGTTATTTTGTTTTTGTTTTTTATTTTCCCTACCAAGAGAATGGTCTCAAGTTTAATGTTGAATTAACACTTGGAATAACCATTGCATGTTCTTACCTTATTGTGCTAATGTTGGACACCTCACTATATCATTTTAGTTGTTTGTTCAGTCTCACCATAAATATCATTGAGATAATGATGAAAGTGCCTATAAAACACCTGAGATGCACTAGGTGTTCTTTAATATTAGTGATCTGCTTGCAAATAAAACACACTGTGTTAGGCACAGTGAAAACTATTAAGATCAATTAAAATATAGTCTATCCCTTAGAAACATCTCAGTCTAATCGGGAAAATAATATAGGCATGTAGTCATAGTTAAAATGGAAAAATATTAGATAAAACTCTGATACAGTCTTTTTGCTTTGATTTTGAAATGACCACCCATTGCTCACTCCCAGTTCCCTCATAGCAGCCCAAAGGAATTTACCTTATCTTCTTTATCTGGCCGGGTCAACTTCTAATACAGGTGACTTGGCCTAGAAAGCCTGCTGACTCTCAATTTTCAGATATTCTGACATGTTCCCATTTGGATCAGATGAGCTTGGCTTTCTATAATTGAGTCACACAGCTTAGGTGAGAGTTGGAGACTGTAATCCCAGTTTTTGGAAAAGTCAATTGTTGCATATTTCCAGATGTAGATAATCCTCTTGAGTATATACCTCAATAGTAAATTAATTAATTTATTTATTTTAGAATTTGAACAGCAGGGGTGGGGGCAGCTTGAAAGAGTCTTATTTTAACTTGTTTTTTTCCCCCCTTGGGACACGGTCTCACTGTGTTGCCCAGGTTGGAGGGCAGTGGGGCGATCTCTGTTTCACTGCAACCTCCATCTCCTGGGATCAAGGGATTCTCCCACCTCAGCCTCCTGGGTAGCTGGGACTATGGGTGCATGCTACCACACAGCTAAATTTGTATTTTTTGTAGAGATGGGGTTTAGCCATGTTGCCCAGGCTGGTCTCAAACTCCTGGGCTCAAGTGATCCACCCACCTCAGCCTCCCCAAGTGCTGGGATTATAGGTGTGAGCCACCTCACCAGGCCATGTTTTAATACCAGGCCGTCTTTTTAAAAAATCAGTTTTAGCACTTTTATCTCACCATATTCAGTACTTTAAATCAGTCATGTATTTGATCATCAGGAAATGTACTGACAGGTAAAAAGTTGATAATTAAATTTTATATCAAATTATACTACATAACAATTTTATCAATTATGTATAATAATTTTATGTAAGCTATATAAATGAATTTATATAGAGAAATAAATTTAGAGCAAATTACAAACATGTTCTTTTATACATAAATGCTTCAGTATGTATTTCCTAAGAACAAGAACATCCTTTTACATAATTCTTAAATTATAAATATCATAAAATATATAATTAAATAATTACATATTAAAGTAAATTAAAATTGTAACTTAACATTTAATATTATGTGTAATTAAACTATGTAATTATAAAAATCAAGAAGTTTAACCTACAGTGTTTATATAAATTTTATTGGTTTTCCCTGTAATGTGTTTTGTAACTGTTTTCTTCCTAATCCACAATCCAATCCAGAATCATTTATTGCATTTAGATATCAATTCTCTTTATTTTACCTTAGTCTGGAACATAACCTCAGCTTTCTAGACCTTTACATTTTTTGCATTATGAAGAATTATAAAATATTTGATATTTTGTTCCATTAGCACAATCTCTAGTCCAGTCCCATTTAGAGTCAGAATTCCAAACATCTTCTAAATTAACCCTGTCCTCTTATCCATCTCAAGCCTACTTTGGACTGGATGCCTATCATGGTAAAGGAAGAGGAAGACAACGTCAGATAGTTTTCTGTTCTTTCCCTCTATTGTACTTTATCCTTCCCCTCACTGCTGTTTCTTTGTCGACTAACTCTTGTTTCTGACCTCCTTAGGGTTGGCAGAGGGGAGAGGCAGGAGGGAGGGTGAGCTACACATCACTGTTGTTGCAGTGGCTGGCATTGCTCATCTCTGGGTTTACTAAGTTCAAAGAATACTCTAGTGGAACATCTCCACAGCCTTCAGAGATTCCTCACAAGAGCTTCTGGTTGCAGCAGTCTCTCTCCTCTTGCTGGCCTCTTACGACATATTCTCAGCTTCTGAATGTGATGGGTGCATATCCATCTTCTCTCTGCTGATGTTTCCTTGCTCCCAGATGAAGCTGTCTCAGTCCATCAGCATACTGCATGGCCAGTATTCACTCGGTCCATGGGAAACAAGCATCTTTTGCTTTGTTGTCTTTGAAAGCACAGTTGCCTTCTAATATGGCTGTTTCTTTTCCCTCAACAGCTAAGCAGGCAGTTCCATTAAGGTTGTCTTAGAATCTTTGGGGACTATGAGTCAGGAACCTATTGTGCAAACTGTGGGGGACACAAATCAAATTTTCTGAATTTTGTATTGAATCGTCTCTCTTACCTGATTGGAGGGGAAGGAAAGCAATCTTCTCCCCTCCACTCCCGCAAGAAGATCAGAAAAAAAATACCATGCCATCATTTTGACTACCTCAAAGAGTGGTTTAATATTTCTAATATATGTGTTTTCTTACCTTTTTTTTTTTTTTTTTTTCCAAGACCTGATTTTGCCAAATCATTTGCTCATCTTACTTGGTGGGCAAACATTTCCGTTGGGAATGTAAGAGCATGTGCCCTGCTATTTTGGTTTCTGCTTTTTGGGCCTTCTGCCAAAACTGAGACAGAGGCCCTTGAAACATCCAGGATAGTGATTAAATCTAGCAAGTGCAATTAAGTAAACATTTCCAGCTCCTGTCCTCCTTTAGAGAAAAACAAATGAAGAAAAAGTTTAATTTCTAGAGGGAGATTTTGTGCATGAGCAGGACTAAATCTAATAATCCCAATAGTCTGGCATATGGCATACGTGGATATTCAGTGAGAATGTAAAATCATCCTGCAAGCTTTTCTGTATTTATTTTTGGGGATTGATTACAATCTCTATAGTACAGTGACTTCTCTACATGGATTACAGGAGACTGTTGTCTCAGTCCACAGTTCTTGGAATAGTCATATTTCTGAGCAACTGATTTTTTTTAACCTTATGGACACTGAATTGATTGTTTTTCACTTGTGATAACTGCTAGATCTACTGGAGCTGAGACGGTTTTTCACTTCTAGAAAATGTGCAAAACTGCAAGACACATGTTTGGTTTACAATTTCAACCCAGGCTTTTTTATTTTACTTTTTTTCATTTTTCTTTCTTCCAATGTCCTCACTTTTTTCTTGACATGTAGACTTGTATTTAAAAAATGATGTTTGGGAAAAAAGTAATGTATGAGTAAATAACTTTATTGGAAGGATAGCTATTAACACTTTCTTTTGTATCAGAGAAGGACCTCATTCCCAGTTTCTACATGCCTTAGGGATAGAATGGGATATTTTTAAAGTATGTAAAAGGATAAGTATTCTTATATATCCCTTTATAGTGGTTGGGGAATCATTTAAAAATAAAGCAACACAAATTGGTAATTGTTAGGGGATTGTCATGTGTTTGTTTTTTAAGATGAGAAGTTCCAAAGAAACAAGCCTTATTTCCTTTTCGTGGTATTAAACAGCTACTGCCAACAGTTTATACAGAGCCACAACCATCACTGCAGCTGACCCTGAAAACAGAAAGTGAGGGCCATCCATTAAGAGGTCCACGACTGCACTGAGTCTATGATGCGCAATGTAGTGGAGCAGAAATGATGCTTGCTGCACATTTAGTTGAGCCTAGGAGAGCAGGGCCCTCCATAGACACTAGTTTGAACATTGCTAGGTTTAAAATGGTTTAAATATAAGATGGAAATCTGCACACTACTAGTGTTTGTATTCATATTTTTTATTTGGAATAACCTGTCTGTGTATCTATGTATCTAGTTGCTTTAGTCTTCTCATAGAATTAGTATAACAGTTGGTTATGTATAATAATTATGGAAAAGGGTTAATCAAATTATTACATTTTTACTTGAAGCCTACATCACAGCATTACAATGGAAAGCTAGACTGTTACTATTTTGTTTTCACAAGTGTTTGGTGCATATTTGATTCATTTCAGTATTGTTAGAAAATTAAACTGGCATTATTTTTCTGATGATGTCTCACATTGTCGTCACTATAGAAATGAGGCTAATAATGCCAGCTCATTCGAGGAATATAGCTTCAGGAATGAATTGTTTTTTTTTTTTCTTTATATTGAAATGGTAGTTTTTTAATAGAGATACTGAATGGTGTATTTCAGATATCTTTAAAGGAACACTTAATTCAGAATTGAGTGCAAAAAAGCTGCAGAAGATCATTCATCCATGTAGATACAATTATATTGTGGTGGATAATGGATTTGTGTTATTCTTAATGTCTATACATGGCTACAGTAAGACTGAAGTTGTTTTTATAACTTTTCAGTACATTGAATGAAAGAAAGTATGACAGCAGAAAACATCTGATAAATTAAATGTGACATGTTTTTTATTCATATAAAATGGTTTCTGAGCAGCTGGTAATTGTGAATATTTCAGCAGTCATTTTTGATGTGGAATACTTCTTCTGTGGTAAACACTAATGAGTTGTGAGTTGTACTTCATCAAATTGACAGTTTCCTTACTTTTGTAAATAGGCATTTGATACACCTTGTAAAAGCTGGTAAAAGACACTCAACTCACCTTTTAAATGCATAGAATTTTCCCCTTATTCTCTTTCTACATTGTGCCATCCACTTTTCCTATAAGGAAGATAATGCAAAGAAAGGCTACCATTCACTGGGAGCTTAAAAAATTCCCAGAATCATTCTGGGTACCATAATATACACTATCCATTCATAATTCTTACAGCTCAAATTAGCTCAAAGGAAAAACTAAGACTGTACATTGGCTGGGAGAGTAAACGAGTGCACCAAGAAATTACCCGTACTCAGGTTTTGTAAAGTGTCTTAATGTGAAATAGTTGTGTTTCTTGTTATTTTAAATACTAGGTATTTTTAGAGAATGAGATACCTTACATTCCTCCATCTTAAAAAAAAAACTTTATTTATAATAATCCTGTAAAATAGGAATTTGATGTACTATTCTCATTTTATAGGTAAGAGAAATTACATAGAGATGAATGTTAGTCACAGAGTGGGACCATAGTGCAGACTCCTGTTCTTTAATATATTGTATTGTTTTTACTTAGAGAAATAAATTAATTGTACTAGGGACATGAAAGAACATAGAATAAGAATTGTCCGAAGAGAACTAAAGATGTTAAGATTAATTAATCAGGAAGTATATTTTAACAAATCTAAGAGGATAAAATTAGCTGTGGTACTGCAATTAAAAAAAAAAAAAAACCTCTTGAAACAGATTGAGTATTATTAACAAGATTAACCCAACTCATTCTTTGGGGAGGGAACATTATATATTAAGAGCTCTCTTAAAACATGAATAATGCTACATATTTTGAGTGGAAGTGTAACTTAGTGCTCAACTAGCACAGCTGAATTAGTACAGCTGCTGCTAGACTTTCAAATCAAACAGCCCTCTTTGGTCTTTTTTATACCTTGGTATTGTATATAATATTTCTGTGAGTAAAGAGTTCTGATACTAACACATTGTCTGACATAGTCATCCATATTTTAATGTAAATTACACTGATAATAATTTAGAATACCACTAATAGACATGATAGTGATAGCATCTTATGCTTTTACAGAATATTATTATTTTCCAAAAGAGTTTTATTTTGATGGTTCTGCCAATATGTCAAAATCAGTAACCTGCAATCCCTTCAAAAACAAGTGTATAGAAATTTTAAAAATATAACAAACCTATTTTATAAAGGCATAAATAAGTTCACAAAATATAAGAGGTATCCTCAGAAACCAAATACGAACAAGTCACCAAAAGTCAGGGTGGCGCAGACATGATCTGACGATGGGGTTAACTAGAGCTAAGGGGATTGGGGTCAATGTTCTCAGTCCAGAGGTTTGTGATGTCCCATTTGTACACATGAGCAAATTTACATCTTAGTTTTTTGCATAAATTGGAACCACCAAGAGACTGCATGTAACCTAGATGTACTAGAACAGGGGTCCACAATGCCCTGGCCATGAACCAGTACCAGTTTGTGGCCTGTTGGGAACCAGGCTGCACAGTGGGAGATGAGTAACAGGCAAACCAGTGAAGCTTCATCTGTATTTGCAGCCACTCCCAATTCCTCGCATTACCACCTGAGCTCTGCCTCCTGTCAGATTAATGGCAGGATTAGATTCTCATAGGAGCATGAATCCTATTGTAGGTTGTGCACTCCTTATGAAAATCTAATGCCTGATGTTCTGTCATTGTCTCCCAGATGGGACCATCTAGTTGCAGGAAAACAAGCTGTGGGCTCCCACTGATTCTACATTATGGTGAATTGTAGAACTATTTTATTATATATTACAATGTAATAATAATAGAAATAAAGTGTACAACACATGTAATGTTCTTGAATTATCCTGAAAGCACCCCACCCCCCAGTTTGTGGAAAAATGGTCTTCTGCAAAACCAGTCCCTGTTACAAAAAAGCTTAGGGACTGCTGGACTCGAAAACATTTCCCCCGTAAGCATAGGGATGTGACAGAAAAATTTGCAGTAAGCTGAAATCGACCTATGCCTCTTCCTAGTTCTGCTCACAAGACAACTTAGTACGAAATCTAGTGCTTCCTCCATGAGTTGTTCTTTCATTTTATGAGGACAGTTATGTGATATGGTTTGGCTGTGTCCCCACCCAAATCTCATCTTGAAGTGTAGCTTCTATAATCCCCACATGTCATGGGAGGGACCCAATGGAAGGTAATTTAATCATGGGGATGGGTTTTTCCCATGCTGTTCCCGTGATAGTGAATAATTCTCATGAGATCTGATGGTTTTATAAAGGACAGTTCTCTTGCACATGCTCTCTTGCCTGCCATCATGCAGGACAGGGCTTTGCTCCTCCTTTGCCTTTCACCGTGATTGTGAGACCTCCCCAGCCATGTGAAACTGTGTGTCCATTAAACCTCTTTTTCTTTATTAAATTACCTAGTCTCAGGTATTTCTTCATAGCAGTATGAAAATGGACTAATACATCAGGTCTTTGCTAGGTCTTGCCTTTTCTAAACTAAACTTAAAAAAAGTAGTAAGAACACAGTGTAAGATCTACTCACTTGATTTTTAAGTGTAAAATACAGTGTTATTAACTGTGGGTACAGTGTTGTACAGCAGATCTCTGGAACTTAATCATCTTACATAACTGAAACACCATATCCATTGAACTGCAACTCCCCATTTCCCTTCCTGCTAACCCTTGGTAACCACTATTCTACTCTTTATTTAAAAGACTTTGACTATTTTAGATACTTCATGTAAGTGGAACCATGCAGTATCTATTCTTCTGTTACTGACTTATTTTACTTGGCATAATGTCCTCCAGGTTCATCCATGTCATCACATTTGGCAGGATTCCCCTCCTTTTTAAGGCTGAATAAATTCCATCACTATTCAAGTCACTATTTTAAGACGAAAAAATCAATTGCTTGTATATAATACATTTTTTAAATTCATTCATCAGTGGGTAGTTAAGGTGTTTCCATATCTTGGCTGTTTTAAATGATGCTGCAATGTGCATGGGAGTGCAGATATCTCTTCTAGACCCTGATTTCAAATCTTTCAGATATATATCCAGAAGTAGAATTGCTGAATTATATTGTAATTCTATTTTTAAGTCTTTTGGAATTGCTATACTGTTTGTATACAGGCCACACCATTTTACATTCCTACCAATACTGTATAATGGTTCCAGTTTTTCCATAATTTTGCAAGTATTTGTTGTTATTTTTGGTAATAATAGCCATTCTAACAGGTGTGAGATGATATCTCATTGTGGTTTTGATTTACGTTTCCCTAATGATTAGTGGTATGGAGCATCTTTTCATATGCTTGTTGACCATTTGTATGTCATCTTTGGAGAAATGTCTATTCCAGTTCTTCCTGTTTTCTAACCAGGTGATTTTTTTTTTTTTTTTTTGCCATTGATTTGTAGGAGTTTTATAATTTTGGCTATTAACTATTTATCAGATAAGTGGTTTGCCAATGAGAGACTAAATATTACCATTTTATTTAAATATTATGTGCACAGTCATTAGTATTACAATATTATATTCCCCTTGCTCTTAACTGGGTGAAGCGTGCAGGTTAACATGTGAAATTCTGTGCTCAAATTCTAGTTCTTTGAATCTAGTTTCCCTGATTTTAAAATTGAGAGGATTGCTACCTGAGACATAAACAAGATTAGGAAGCATGTAACCCCTTAGCCCCTGATACATAGTAAATACTTAACAATTTCCTTCTTAAAATGATTATTTTTCTATAATGTATCGGTATCGCATTTATATATCTACAATTCTGTTATAACATACCATTTGTTTACAAACTAATTTAAATTGCCCTTGAAAAAGTTAACCATATATAAATAAGTTAATTCAGAAGAATGACTGCTTGTTTTATTTAAAATTTAAAACATTCCTAATAATAGAAATACATCATTCTTGAAAATATGCCCATAGAACCCATAGAAGCTTCTTATGTAAGGATTTTGTTTGAAAATATCAATGTGAACCAGCTGTAAAGATAACCATTGTACAGATACATTTCACCCATCTAGAAGTCACTATTCAAGTCACTATTCCAAAGTAATCAATATCTATCATTTGAGAGTTATGGAGAATTTCCCATATGTAGAATGTAATAGACAAAAGTAGCTCATACCTCATAAAATTGTGATAAGGAGGATTTAATTAGGTTGCACATGATAACCTAGTGTAACTAACACAGAGGATAGCCCATAGTAAAGATTAGATGCATTATTATCATTTGCATTATGATAAAATAGGCAAGAAAAAATATTGTTAATAAGACTGGACTGACAAGATAAATGAAATATGAACACACACATACACTAAAGTTGATGAAATTCATTTATGGGAGAACCAAACCTTTACTTAGGGAACTGTAATTCAGAAAATAAAAAGGACAAAAAGAGCAGAATCTATTAATGTCAGTCAAGTTCACAGCAGCAAAAATTGTTAACAATGCCTTAACAGTGAGTGAGGGTACAGAGCATCGTTCAATATATATATATATATATAAAACTCAAAAAGTGTGGTCCTCCCAAATCATTTAATATGAGAACAGCCAGGCCTACACACATTAATCGTCTGTGAAGGCATCAGCACAGTCCACCATAGGGCCAAATTGATGTCTATGGTTTTTATTTTCTGGGATAACAGAGGAATATATAATACACTGAACAGAAAATGAAAATTGAGCAAACCAAAAGCTTTGGTGCTTGAAGAAGCGAATTTCTATTATCTAGAAAAATCACTGAAGTAGGTGTTTCTTTCCAAATGATGATGGATAAGCCAAGCATTTCTATAATTGCATACTGAACAGATAAATGTTTGACCTAGGCTTCATATGCCAATTACTCCTAGATGTGGTACAGTGGGATCCAGCTAGCCAAGGTAATGCAGATTAATATCATGTCACTTCTGCATGCCTGGGTAATATGTTGTTTCATCAGATGGTGCTTTACCTTGGCTTCCTTTGGTGTATGAACATATTACAGCAGAAGAAAATGGTCTGGGTGGGAAAATCTGATGAAGCAGGTGATGTAAACTGTCTGTAATCACTAAATATAATGAGTGGACAAGTAGAACTCCTGTTAGGCCTCTAGCTTTTCCTACTGTTTGGAACTTGAATCAAAAGTCATAATAGAATTATGCCAATCTTTCCTATTTTTAAAGTGCACAGAAATTCTGCAAAGTAATATGATACTTAGACACTGACCATTTGGTAGGCAGCACAGAAGTAAAGAAGTCACTCTTCATTCAAAGTGGATCACAGCATTAACAGCTGTGATTCTTGCTATTAAAGAATAATTTTTATCAAAGGAGTATATTTTAAAGATTTAGTTCTATAGGTTACTTCTCTATGAAAATTTAAAGAAAATCCTTCCACAGAGAGGTATGGAGGATATTTACTGTCAATAGGTTTATACTATTAATGAGTTATATTCATAGTGGTATGAAATATTAGTTATGTCAGCTTCTTACAATTCATGGGACTTTTGCAGACCTTCAGAAATGCAGATAAGCATTGCTCTGCTCACTTTGAATATCGGATACATCCTCCTTGCACTTTGAAAAGCAAATAGAATACATACATTTATCAATGCTGACATTGATACCTTTCTACATAGCTCAGCAAAGAATCATCCAAATAATACAAAATTGAAAAACTGGAAGGCTAAACAAAATAAGCCGTCTTATATTTTACAGTTGAAATACTTAGATGTAAGTGAATTAAGTAATTCTACCCCTATATAAAGTGATATTTTTTCCTCCTCTTAATTCTTTCTTTCAGGAAGAAGCACAGATAAACAGAAGGCTAACACAATATGATTTATTTATTTATTTATTTATTTTATTTCATTTTTTTAAGAAAAGGTCTCACTCTGCCACCCAGACTGGAGTACAGTGGTGCAATCATGGCTCACTGCAACCTCAACCTCCAGGGCTGAACCATTCCTCCTGCCTCAGCCTCCCAAGTAGCTGGGACTATCAGCATGAGCCACCACACTGGGCTAATTTTTGTTGTTTTTGTAAAGATGAGGTTTAATCATGTTTCCCAGGTTGGTCTTGAACTCCTGAGCTCAAGAGTTTTTTTGTTTGTTTGTTTGTTTTTTTTTTTAACAATTGAAAACGAAACAGAAATAACTTATATAAAAGTTTAAAGATAACTGGATATGACCTGCGGTGATATATGGCAATTGTTTTACTGATTATGTTTAGAAAAATCCCCAACGTGTTCAATTTCATATTAAAATGCCTAGTATTTATGGTTTATAATTATCATTTTTAGTGCAATCTTGCGCAACAGGAATTTCATTTTTTATAAAGTTATTTGTCACAGTGGGAGGATTTGTTTTCTCTTTAGTTTATATTTTATAACAATTGCAACCCATGATTTCACAGAGGAGACTATGATTAGGTATAATACAGATTAACCTATTAAGAAATACTTGTAAATCTTACAATTGATCAAGATTATTTTGTTATGCAAAAAAATAGAAAATTTTATTATTATTGAAAGTGCTATCATCATACCTTTAAACTTTATAATTGTATGTATTTTTCCTTTATTCAAGGAAGATTATTTAAAGTAGTGTAACATACCTACATACTTTCAGGAGCTGGGCAGCGACATAAGTGAATAAATGAGTCTGTTGGGGAAGGTGTAGGATGATTGCATTAACCTGCTTTTAGTTTGACATAGTAACACCTACCTCATTATATTTACTTTCTTATTCTGGGGGTGTGTTTGTTTCGATTTAATTTAATTTTTTGTAATTTATTGTGACTAATTGTGGGGTACAGAGTTATGATATATGTATGCAGTGTGGAATAATTAAATCACACTAACATATCTATCATCTTAAATATTAATTATTTAATCTCTCAATTGCAACTTTCCACCCTTTGATAACATTATCCCATCCCAATTCCCATCCCCTTACCACCAATCTACCCTCTGCTACTATGAGTTCAACTTTTTTAGATTCCTCATATCAGTGAGATGAGTGGTATTTGTCTTTATGTCCTTGGCTTATTTCACTCAACATAATGTCTTCCAGGTTCATTCATGTTGTTGCAAATTATAGAATTTCCTTCTTTTTTCAAGGCTGAGTAATATTACATTGAGCTTACAAACCACATTTTCTTTATCCATTCATCCACTGATGGACACAGGTTGATTTCAGATAGTGGCTTTTGTAAATAATGCTGGAGTGAACATGGGAGTAGATATCTTTTTAATTCCTCATGATATATACACCAAAGTGGGATTGCTGGATCATATGATAATTCTAGTTTCAGTTTTTCTTTCTTTCTCTTTTTTTTTTTTTTTAGGAACTTCCATACAGTTTCCCATAATGGCCATACTATTTTACACTCTCACCAACAGTGTGCAAGGGTTCCCTTTCTTTACATTGTTACACATCTGGGAGACAAACAGAACATGTTTATGGGGTGTAGTGGGCCTCAGAAAGTCACCAACTATAGCCTCCTCTATTACGTTACTCAGTAAGATAGATGCTCCCAGGGAGATGTTAGGTCAATGGTATCTGCCAACTTTTCATTAGAAAGTATTACCCTCCCCTCACAAAGGCAGTTTAGAAATACTTCATCATGGAAGTGAAATAAAATGCTGTCATAATTTCTCTACTATGACATATCTACCTCAGTCTCTTCCTGTTCAATCCATATACACATTACCCTTGCCCCAGGGTTATCTTTAGATACATGAGTCTTTTTATGTATTCTGTAAGTAGTTAATGGATTTAATTCAATGAAATGATATCACCTTCAAAAGAAAATCTAAACTCTTAGACTATTACTAAAGCAGCCTTTGGGAAGACCCTCCAGCATCTCCCTCTCATTTTCATTTCTCCCTGTCTACCTTCCTTCACGCCCTAATATATAGAAACACATCTCATTCACTTCCCCACTAATGTAAATTGAGCACCACAAAGAAGTCAGGCACTATGCTAGATACAAGTGTTAAATATGAGTGAACGAGAAAGACTTCATCCTACTCTTGGGGAGCTTCACAGAGGCTAGTGGGGTTGACAGATATTAATCAAATAATTATGATGCATGCCGTGGAAAAGTTTAGGTACCATGGACTGTGCATCAGTTTTCCAAGTTGCTTTTTACTATTTTACTCATACCTGCCCTTTCCATCTGTGAAACCTTCACTCAACCCTCCAATCCTCGTTGATTTACCTCCTTGGGACAATTATTATAACTTGTATGCATTTCTCTTATTCAAAATTATCCTAATGAAATGGGTTGCTTGGTTGCTTATATGTTTTCACATGAGCAATTGCTCTATTTTCTCTTCCTTTGCAGATATAGCCCTTGGCGAGGTGCCTGGCTCCATAGTAAGTGTTCAACAAATGTTTGAATAAAATATTGCATTGTTGAATTTTAAATGTATTTAAGCAAATTGATAACCAACATCTGACCAGATTTCCCAAATTTAGATGCAATGTCAGATGCTTCTTTTAATGGTGTCAGAGATTGGCTGACAGGCTTGCCTGTCTTTAAAGTAATTTATTACCCATGTTGGTTTTTTGGTATAAATGGTTACTGTTTGTCATTGGAGTATGTTTGTATTCATGGTAGAGATTAAATACATATGTATTGCATGAATTAACAAATGGTTATGCTAGTTGTAGGAAAGATTGATAAGTGAAAGTTTCTAATGCTCTTTTTTTGAGATGGAGTCTCACTCTGTCACCCAGGCTGGAGTGCAGTGGTGCTATCTTGGCCAATTGCAACCTTCGCCTCCTGGGTTCAAGTGATTCTTGTGCCTCAGCCTCCCAAGTAGATAGAAGTACAGGTGTGTGCCACCATGTCCAGCTAATTTTTGTAGTTTTAGTAGAGACAGGGTTTCGCCATGTTGGCCAGGCTGGTCTCAAACTCCTAATTTCAGGTGATCTGCCCATCTTAGCCTCCCAAAGTCTAATGTTCTTTACAGGCCTATGAGTATTTTATGCCAGAATATTGATTTTATTGGAGAACTAAAAATTGATACAATCCATAGCTTGAAAGTAAAAATGTCAAAATACTTAAGACCATACACAAATAAGTATTCTAAAATAAGGAATTGATATTTATAAAATATTTTTAAGAAATAAGGACATTTGGCCAGGCACGGTGGTTCACACCTGTAATCTCAGCACTTTGGAAGGCTGAGGCAGGTGCATCATAAGGTCAGGAGTTCAAGACCTGCCCGGCCAATGTGGTGAAACCTCGTCCCTACTAAAAATACAAAAAAACTTAGCCAGGCTTGGTAACAGGTGCCTGTAAACCCAGCTACCTGGGAGGCTGAGGCAGGAGAATCACTTGAACCTGGGAGGCAGAGGTTGCAGTGAGCTGAGATCATGCCACTGCACTCCAGCCTGGGTGACAGAGCAATTTAAAAAAAAAGAAATAAACACATTTACCATTACAGTATTTTTTAGCCCCCCAATCTTGTTATTATTAATAACAATAATAAAATAATAAGCCCTTGACTTCTTTACTTTGCTGTCCTTTTCATTTATTTTGCATTTCTTCATTTTCCTTGTGCAGATTTTATACTCTGCTATCCTCAGCCACCCTATCCGTATCATTTCTATGGTATCTCTGACCTCAACTATGTTTAGATTTCTCCGTCTTCCCCTAATTACTGGCATCTTCCTTTTTTATGTGCTTCTGCTTTCTCTGATTTTGGGCATTAGATCCTTCCTAATCTGCCCTCTCTAAGGTTAATATCCTGTTCTTCTTGGTTAGTTAGGATCTCTTCCCATTTAGTTTTAATCTAATATATCCTTCTTCTCGTCTCTCAAACTAGTTTTGCCCATTGCTTCACCTTGGTTCTAATCCAGGGAAGGACATAAGTCCCTAATGTCTATTTTCTGAGCAGACAAAATAAAATATGCATAAACTGTATCTGAACATTTTAGTCCTCTAATTATTTGTGCTGTTTCACTGCAACTGAAATGAAAAACTCCAGCCTCTGCACAGGATTAGCATCAGCAGCTTTGCCTCTTAGGCTCTATTAAAAGAAAATCTGTAGACAAATTAAATTCAGCAAAGCTTGCTATTTGAGTAAAGAACAATTCATGAGTTGGGCAGCACACTGAGCCTGTAGAGGTTCAGAGAGCTCTCCCCAGTAGTAGATAGTATTTATAGACAGAAAGGGAATTGATGAAAAAAACCCAGCTTGATAGGTTAAAGTTTAGCATTTGCTTTTTTTGGGCATGGTGGGACAAGACATTTGCCTTATATGGACCTAACCTGATCAGTTGGCAGCCTGTGATGGCTGGAGTTTGGCTGCTGTGATTGGCTGAGACTTAGCTATTTGTTGGAGGAATATACTATTAAGTTAGATTACAGTTTATTTGCATACTAAGTAAGGTTGCAATTTGCTACATATATAGGCAGCTTTAAGACAAATTTAATTTAACAGCTCTATTGCCAAAATCACTTCTGAGGAAGTAACTCACTATTTGGTATCTTTGCACCAGGCTATACTGTCAAAAGGTATGGATTTTCAGAGACAGAGTTTGCTGACTGAGTAATGACTGAGCTGAAAGTTGGCTTGCATGCACTTTTTCTGTATTTTCTACTTACATTGTTGCATTTCACTTACCTTGCAAGAGCTCACTGCATGTCCCACTGACATTCATTCCTCCCAGGCTATTTTGCACCCCCATTCCCATCAGCATCACTTTACAAAGTGGGTTATTTTACCCAGCCAGTTGTCCATTTAATGTACAGAAGGGTCTGTATAAAGGGTCTGATCAAATCATTGCACAATGCCCAGGCAATTACACCACCAGGAACAATTACTGCTTTATCGACCGTAAACATTTTTCTGAAGTTAAAAATAACAAGAAAACCATATTCCAGCAGTTTCTCAAAAGGTATTCAATTTAAAAATTTAATCCAATACTACAAATATTTATTTAGAACCAACTTTTACAAGTTCTGAGCCTATAATAGAAAATTGTGAGGGAAAAGGATTATGGTGTATGTATGTTCGGGTGGTGTATGTGTGTAAATTATCATAAGATGCATGGAAAGTTTTGACATTTCTGGGCCAGGGTTAGGGTTAGGTGAGTTAACCATAGGTTAACTATGATTAACTAACCTGTGATTAACTCACCTATGGTTAGAGTTGCCCTCAATTGTAGGCTAAGTTATTCAGGCAACCCTGAAACAGGCTGGGTAGGGAAGAGAAGCCTAACACCACTGGTTTAGATTTGCTGCTTAAGGCTTGGGACAAGTGTGCCTGAGATCAACCTATGGATAGTCCGAGGTCCAGGGAACAGCCATTCAGAGGCAATTTTTCTTGGCTTTCCCTGGATTTACCTTCCTATTTAAGTTTTATCATATGTCCAGACCACACTTAGAACTAGAACCAACATTTAAAACCCAGTTTATTTGGCTAGGATTCCAGGTACTCTATTTAACACTTACCACCCATCCCTCTCCAGGGCTAGGTCTACAAATTAGATGATTCATTCAGAAAAATGCTATTGCACCTTTCTTATCTTTATAACAGCAACTTGTATTGTGAATTTTCATGAGTACTTCACGTAGATTATACCCAGTTCTCACAGGAACATTAGGTATTACAGTTTAAGAAACTGAACAAGGGGAAGAGCTGAAATCCAAACACACATCAGTCTTTGACTAAATTTTGGTTATCATAAGTTCCTGAGAACTACTGCTGTCCCCTGCCTACCACACTGGACATCTTTGGTTAGTAGGTCATCCTTATGCAGTTACTTGAGCTTCAAATTCTGGAGTCTGCCTTGATATTTTCTCTCCCCCCACCTACCCTTATATTCAGTCATTATCAGTCATTGTTCTTAATTGCAATCAACAGATGCAAACACTTAAGTATCAAATGTGTTCATTATAATATGCTTATTAGAATACAGAATTGACAAGAGTTCTGGGAAGCCAAGTTTGAGGCTACATCTTCAAGAGATATGCTTAGAAGCATATCACAAGGCTGGCCTTATATGAACATGAGCCTAGTAACTACCATGCAATGAGATGGAGGAATCACCCATCACCTTAATGAGGTTAGGCCTGAGCCAAGAACTTGACCTTGCATCATTTTGGTCATCATTGTCTCTGCTGCTGTCACCAAGTATATCCAGACACCACTGCACAACTCCCAATCCCCCAGCAAAAATATAAACAACTTCTTCCCATTACTCCCATTTGAATACAAGTGTCTCTTGATTTTTGCATTTGATTTCTGGAGCCTAGGTCATATGTCTGTATCACAACAGCAAAGGAATCTGCTTATTTCAAGTTGAGCTTCTGAACTGGAAAGGTAGAATTCACAGTTTGAAAATATATTCAGGTACCAAATGGCTTTTCGTAAGACACTGGGCAGCCCCATGTATGACCAATATCCACCACAGTTGGCTAGGCCTATAGCTTTATTCCCCCACATACCCTGACACTCCCAATATCTTCTGCAGTCAACCAGTTCACAGGGATCTAAAATGCACATCAGGCTCCAAATGTGAATGCTTATAACAGTTTGCTATACTGCAAAACTGCAGAAATAGTTGCTGTTGAGTGCTGTTTTTCAAGTGTTTTTGTAAAATGAAGAATTTTTTTAAATATTTGCCTATGAATTTAGTTTGCTTTATTTTTCTTGTTTTATAATGTTCATTTGAAATCTGTATTGTCCCTGGTCGAGACAGTACTACACTGGTCTGCTTGTGGGTTCCAGAATGAAATAAATAAGTCTGTAAGAAAATAAGCAACTAAGTAAATTAGTAAGTAAAAACAAGCCATGCATGTATTACCTCAGAACCAGGGCACTAGTAAACTTCACAAAGCCACGTTAATCAGAGTGCTACACCATTTACAGTGACAAGAGGCCCCTTCTCATTATTATTGGGACAATACTGCCAAATAAGCAAAACACAAATAAAACTGTCCAGTGGAAATTGGCTAAGAGTAATTAGGGGCAAGTAGTTTTATGTAGACTAAAATACTATAATTAGAAGGGAGGATTTGGAGCACTATTTGAAGGAGAGAAATCAATAGAAGAGTTGCTTTCTATGCTCCGAAGAGCTTTGCCAGCTATCTTTGTTCAGTGGTAAAATAGAATTATTTTACAGTAGGAAATAAACCTGGGCACTAAGGATCTCTGTTGGGGAGATACCTGGGACTGCCTTGGATAAGGAGGGGGTGAGCGGATTGTGGCATGACATTGTTTTTCATAACATGTTAATAGCAAAACAAAATACCAAAAATAATAATGATGAATAATTTATTCCTGTTTGTTCTCGGTTAACTCTTCTTTAGAACTTTAAATATCAATATCGAACAGTGTTACATTAAAGTAAAATGTTTATTTATAACAGACAAAACCAGTTCTATACTAAATAATAACTTAATGTCATCTTGAATCTGATTAAGTAGTTATTTTGTTAAGAATGTTCTAAACTGATCAATAAGAGGAAAACTTTAAGTATTCTCATATATTACTTTTCTGAAACTGTCATGATATTAATATTATGTACTTATAGTTGTGGTTTGTTCCTCAAACTATTACTTAATGTGATTTATTTTAAATGTGAATTTTGCCTTTAGACATTCATTTTAAAAAATAGCCTATTCTTTATTATTTTTACTTAGAATTTACAGAATCCTGTGGTACAGAGGGACTTTTCCAGCTCCCAGGGGTGCATAAATTTCCTTTTTCTGTATTACTGGCTAGTTGATGATTGACTTGCCTCTGAATTATCCCTACCATGTGGCCAACTAGATACCCTTCAATATGGCCCATTTTATCTTTGGACAGTTCTGATAGTCTCCCATATTGTTAATTCGATTTTTTTTCTCTTGGCAGCTTCATTTTATTTGTCCTTGTTAGGTCTCTTAAGACTACCTTGTTTTTTATTTTTATTTGTTTTGCAAGGATGGGGTGCACAATCAGTGGTACAGTATGGTTGTTCCATAACTTTATTAAAAGGCATATAAAGTACTTGATGCTACAGAGTATCTAGAAATATGCGTTGTGCTTATTCATTTGTGACAATAGGTATTTTGGCATTTTTAATACATTCATTACATTTGCAATTTAAGAAGCAAATGAATTAAGTTCATGATGACTGAATGGGATGGGAGTTAGAGTTTGTAAGGTGACCTGGAGAGGTTAATTTCACAGCGTGCAGTAATTGTGAATTTTTAGATGGAAATATATGTGTGTAAACCTGAATCTTACCCCACATTGGAGACGAAGCTGCAGAGAAAGTTGTTCTTTTGACCTTAAAGCAAGTTAAATTTGGAGAGCTGCCCAATTAAGAAATTTTTATCCACAATATATTTTTAATTTAATTCTTACTTTGTGGGGATATTAAAGACTTTTTTTCCCCTCCAATTTGCTATTTCAGTGCTAGTAATATAAATCCATTGCTAAATCCAGAGGAAAAGATTTCCCATGCTTTGGATTTTACCCGGTTAGTTCTCCAGTTATACTCTTAAGTAATTTAGAACCTCTGAAAAAACTGAGGTTAATAAGGAATAAGAAATTAATAATGGAAACTAATAAACAAGAGATATGGAAATTAAAAATACTCAAAAGAAACAAATCCTTGAAAATCCCAACATACAGGGTTCAAATAAAATTAGGATATTTGAAGGGCCATTTAGGATATTTGTTATGCTTTTGTAATATTCCTGAGAGTGTATACCACTTTTGTTCCTATTTTACAAATGAGGAAACTGAATGTCAGACAACTTAATAACTTTCCCAAAGCCACACAACTAACAGGAGGTCAAGACTGAATAGTCAGACTAAATCTGGAATTAGGCCGTTTTTAGAAACTATTAATGAAATGGAAGGGGAACTGAGATCCATCAAATGCAAAAATGAAAACTATATCATAAGTAATCTGCTGGCATTTGATGCTTATTTATTTCTCATTACAATCCTGTGGGTTAGCTATTGTTATCTTCCTTTTTCACATAATGAAACACACGTTTGGAAAGGTTAAACTATTTCCCCATGTTGGCCATGGGGAACTGATAGTCAGTAGACCTAGCATTTGAACATTGAGCTCTGGACTGCAAATCTTATGTCGTTTTTTTACTCTGCAAAAAATTGTAAACTCTTTTTAGTAAGAAAATACTGTATTTGAATAATCTATTTCATAGAAACCCAAGTTAGGTAAGGTGCCAATTGCCGCGACCCCTGTTGGACCACCCCTAGACGTTTCCAGGACACCTGCGGACTTGAAAGTGCCCATGCTACCATGCTGCCTAAAGTCATTCTAGTTTTTTGAAACTATAATTACAAATAATTTCCCAGATACAATCATATTAACATATACATACACAGTCCCTCCCATGTTACTGTCATTGATTCAACATATGTTTATTGAGCACCCTCTATGTCCCGGACTGTTTCGAGGTGCTGGGGAATATAAAGATCAAATTCTGGCCCTTCATAGAACTTGCATGGTTTTTACTCCCATCGTTTAGCCCACTCCAGTGAGTCATTCACTGTACTGTCTTGGTGATATCTGTAAACTTTCCATCTCCTACTAGCTTTTAAGCCCCCGTGGTACAGAAAGTGTTTTATTCATTTTTGTGTCTCCCACAGATCACCTGCCACAGCAATATTCCCAGTGCATCTCTTCTTTTACACTATTTTCAATCACAAGACTATAACATGCAGCTTCGTAAAATTCATCCCTTCACCTAAATAGATTCCAGCTGTGACAATGTTTATAATTTCCCTGTAGCTTGAAATTTTCATCAAATTTCTACTTTTAGATATGCAAATTTACGATTAATCAATGAGTCACTGAGAAAGTATGAATCATTTTTTGTTCACAGCACGTCAAGATATGTTACAAGGTGCAAGACTTAACATTAACTGCCTTTCTAACTTATGAAAAAAACATTTTAACCACCTAAAAAGGGTGTTTTGGTGAGCATTTGTTAGAGGACTGGGAGTTGTTTCTCTGAGCAGGGTTAATAGAGCTGAGTAATTTTTTACTTATAAAGTCCTCTAAAAATATAAATATTTTTGTCTTTATTTGATAGTGTCATAAATGTCTTTGTTCCTCTTTGAAAGCCATTATATAACAAAAGGATCATTTTGAGTAAGAGATTTTTGACTTTAAAGCATATAGTTATTTGTTATTGGATATCCCAGGATATCTTTTGAAAGTCTGGAGTTGTTGTCAATGACTCACAGTGACAAAGTGCTTTTGTGTGTCTTTATTTGCATGCCTGAGGGAATCACTATTTTTAAAAAATAGATTTTTTTTTTTTCACACAGCCCTTTAAAAGAAAGTGTATTGTGGCTACTGAAGAAATTCCCAGAGCAATGTTAAGAATTACAATTTGCATAATAATAATTTTTCCTTTGCCTCAACTCAGTGAAAGCCACCCTGATTAAAAACAGTTTGCTGGAAGTTGCTAGTTACTAGAAGGCACTTGAACTAAATGTATTTGGCAAATTTGTAACCCAATTCTGGGATGCAACTCTTTTTTTCCCTAAGGCCCATCTCAGCATAATTCTCCCTTAAAGTAAAATATAAAATCAACTCTAGACAGCTCTTAGGAGTTTTTACTGGATGCTTTTGGTGTGTGATGGGATTGGGATTAGACACCATACACCACAAAGTAAAACTTCTGAAGAAATTCTCTTCCAGCTTTATCTGGAGTCAGATCCTTCAAGACAACTCTCCACAGCTCTATTTCCCTGATTTCTCCTCAGTCACTTTTTGAAAATTCTAGCTGTAGCTTCAGGACTTTCTCATTCCAAGTTGGCCCCCTTCTCCTACATTCTGAATTATTCTTTTTCTATGGCATGTGATTCATTCTTATATAATTTAAGTTAACCTCTTAAGACTTCTAGTGTTTCTCTACATTAAATATCTAAGTCAATACAACGGAATCCTGGGAGCCAAGCTGAGCAAAGGAAGAGTCCTCCTTAGAAGACAGGGGTAGCTAAAAGCTTATGTCTATTTATACTTTGGGATTTTTATGTTTATTACACTGAGAGCTTAAGGTTTCAGTTTTCTTTTGGTTAATGGTTCTTTAGAAAAGCCGCACAATTAGGACCTCACAAAATAGCTCTACCTGGGTAAATGTACCACCTTCCTGCGAGAAACCCTCAGCTTTGTAATGAATCCTGCATTTTTGTCAGCATACCAAGAGTGCTTCTATCTCATGCGCATCACAAATATACAACCAGGATGTAAAATCACAGTAATAATTTACTTTGGAAATTATGACTTTTGAGAGGACAAGACTCTGTGTTTGATATGTCTACTTCATTTCCTCCATGAAGAAGACGTAAGGAGAGAGCCAAATTTTACTCTAGGAAAGTTATTTGATATATCTAGAATCATACCAAGGGGTCTTAAAAGTTCATTCTTCCATTGTTTCTATCACTGCAAATTCAGTACTTAATCTGAGACAAGGACTCTGCCGGGAACTAGGACTATAATGATGAATATGTCACATCAGCTGCCCCATATCGCATAGTTTAGTGGCAGAAACAGTATTAAATTAAGAACTCAAACTAATTCAGAAGGAAGAACAGTGTTCAGTAAGAGTGGATAACTTGTGGCTTTCCAAATATATGGGTTAGGAAAAGCTTTTCCAAGGAAGTGGAAAGTGAGTTTGTATGTAGTTTGTATGTAGGAATGGAGACAACATAGCTCATGCATAGATCATGGGATTGATCTTATGTACCAGCATAAGAGTTTAAAATTTTGTTTTTGAGCAAAAGGAATTTATCTTTTTCTAAGAGGACCAATATGGTCAAATTTGTATTTTAAAATGGTAAGTATGCGATATAAAGAGAATGTGGTAGAGGGTGAAGGAGATTCAGTACCATTAGGAGATGATAGCAGGAAGTGCAGATAGCATGGGATGGTCACTAGGCTTATGAGGATGGAAGTGGAAAGTGAGAAATCTAGATGGATTTCTTCATTTATGTGCAGTCAAATCAAGAGCACTTAGTATCTGATTAGAAGTTGGAGGTGAAGAGGTAGTGATAAAGGTGACTCTGAGGTTTTTGGCATTAACAGCTAGGTGAATGGTGGTATGAAATATAGAATGATATGGTTTGGATTTGTGTCCCTGCCCAAATTGCATGTTGAATTGGAGGAGGGGCCTAATGGGAGGTGATTGGATCATGGGGGTGGATTTCCCTGCCTGCTGTTCTCATGATAGTGAGTGAGTTCTTGGGAGATCTGATGGTTTAAAAGTGTGTGGCACTTCCCCCCTTCACTCTGTCTCTCTCCTGCCACCTTGTGAAGAAGGTGCTTCCTTCCCTTTCATCTTCTGCCATAACTGTAAGTTTCCTGAGGTCTCCCAGTCATGCTTCCTGTTAAGTCTGTGTAAATGTGAGTCAATTAAACCTCTTTTCTTCATAAATTACCCAGTCTTGGGTGGTTCTTTATAGCAATGTGAGAACTGACTAATACATAGGTAATAACCAGGTTTGAAGGTAGGATATTAAATTCAGTTTTGTATCAGTTGCAATTGATTTAGGCTGCATAAACTTAAAACAGTAATAGTTGTTGAAACCATACAAACTCCCCTTCTTTCACATATCAAGAAGATCAAGAGGGTAGTTCCAAGACGATACACTGGTTCAGGCCCTTTTATTCCATGCCTATTGCCTCATTGCTACATTGCTACAAAATGGCTACAACAGACATCATGTTATCATTAAAGGCAGAAGGATGGAACAGGAAAGTATTAACATGCTCTCCTCTTGTTCTTATCCCTTTTATAATAAGCAAATTTTTTACCTCCAAGACTCCAGAAGATTCATTTATAGGTCTACCCAGCCATGGCCTCTCTAAACTGCAAAGGATGTGGACTGTTTAGAAAAGGGGAAAGAGATCATCACAATTAGCTTAGAACAGTTGTTCTCAACTCTATTAGACACCAACTCTTTTGATTAGTAATCTGAAATGAAATTTACAGATGTAATTTACCTACACACATAACCTAACAAGAAAAAATGTTATGCTCTCTTTGTCATAACACAGTAAAATAAAAGAATATGTAAACATTTGGGCCAGATTCAAATTGAGGTAATTGGATTCTTGCAAATATATATATAGAATAATAGAGTAAATAGTGTTTGCAGCAATATATGGAATCACAACAAACACAGCAGCAGTGATGCAGACTGATATATTTTTGCTGTAAGGGCGTCACAAACATAATGAGTCCAGTTACTGTTGCTTTCTCTAAAATACTGGACAACTCTTGGTAACATTCCGATTAAGACAATGTATAATGTTTCCTGATTAATATTTTACTTGCAATCCTGCTGCACATTGGAAAGTGGTAGGAAATGCAGAACAATTATTTGATAACACACTTATGTCCCTTCACATTGTAGGATGACACTTCTTAGACCTCGCTAACAAATGCCAGTAATATCCCCAATCATTGTGACAAGCAAATTTCCAGGAAAAAAAGGTATAATTTACATACTATACATCAGAATAGAAATGTAAGATCAACTGAAAGCAAAGAAAGATTGATTTCCTTGATTTTGAGTGGCATCTCATGCATTCCCACTTACTGCCTATAGCTGTTACAGACATTCATTACAAAGTTAAATTAAAGGTTACTCTGTAATAATTTCTCATTATATGCCAAGCCCTAAAAGAATCTAATGAATTCTGTCTAGGATAACACTAATTGTAAGGTTAAAGTTTCCTGGGGAAATCTTGCCTGGTACCTTAGGCACTGGGGAAATGTATGCTAGTGATTTCAAAGTGAATTAAGAAACAAGTTTTTAATCCGTCTTTTCAAGAATTTTAATGAAATACCTAGTTTGTATCTTTAGAATTCTAGAAAAGTACCTCATCATTTTAGACTGTTTCCTTTTAAATCATTGGCATCTATAGGCTACCATCCTCTTGAACTAGATAGATTTTAACCTTTTTCCTTATTCATTCTAATTTAGCTTGTCGTATATATATAAATATATATATTTATATATTTATATATATTTTGATAGTGGCTATTTGCTCATTAAAAATCAAAAGTTAAAAGTAATTAATCTCAAAAAATGGTTAACTGGCTTACCTGAGAAAAAATAAATTTAGTTGGTAAAGGCTGATTTAATTAAAGTTTATATGTTTTACATTTCCTTTGCTCCATGATGGAAATAAGTATTTTTCTTTATGATGTGGTTCGCCATCTACATGAACATTTTAATAAGAGAAAGCAAAATAATTTTGAAGAATACATTAGTATTTGTAGGAGCCATTCATACTGCTTTCTGCATTTAAGGTAAATTAGAATTATTCACTAAGTCAAATAATGTCAAGTAGAAAACAGAAATAGATGTTGATGAATGAATTAAATATGATTAGGCATATTTTATTCATTGTTTTTTTCATTTTGAACTTTTTAATGAAGTCATTGAAATACCAAGTCATGGTCATAAAATTTCTTAATTCCTCTTAAAAAATTAATTTAATAATAAACAGTCATTTAATTAGTTTATAAAGCAAAATTGAAACACTTTGAGTATAGGACTTAATAGTGGAATTTAGAGAGTTCCCCAGAACTCTTCTTAGCTTTTAGGCTCTTAGAAGATAAAATTGTGTGTCTGTGTGTGTGCACATGCAATAAAACAATAAAATGGCCTACTAGGAATACATGAAACGATGTTGTTTATTGTTGTGATGTTTCAGATAAGGGAATATAAAGTAAGATTGATTAGTAAAAGATGAAAGAAGAGATTAGTGAATGATGGATTAGTAAATGATGAGCGTGGTTTTGAGCAGGGGCTTGAAGAAATGATGGGTATGTGAAGCCTAGAATACTGATATGAAATTACATGCTGAGAAGAATATGGAGAAAATAAGGCACTCCTGAAGTGCATATGTGAGAAGAATGGCTTAACTGCACTGGTGAAACTGTGTTAATGAGGAATTGAAAATTGCTTAGTTAGAAATAGAAATGTTGAGAGAATGAAGAGGTTGTTGATTTAATGTCTTAGATGTGGATAACAAAAATGAAAGACTCTTGCAGAGATTCTTTAGGCCCTAGCATTATAAGAACTATATGTGAGGTAGTATTTGTAGTAGCTTATTGGAGAAGTGCAGAGTTGGAAGGATCCAGAACATATGTAAAATTGCTGAGTACTTTACGCATTAGGTGATGAAGAACTAGATGATTAAATTGATGGCAAATACTTAAATATAAATATGTATACATAAATATAGAAATATATTTATGAACCTGGTAATGACAAATTGAAAAGTATACACACATGCACCACAAAGTATTTAACCATATGAATCCATTTTACTAAAATTGAATTAAAGAAAATATTATTTCTCCCCATTATTTCACAGTATGTAACCCTAATTTTATTTTCTTTGGGAACAGGGTGGGGGTTTGGAGGGACTTTGAACTATAGGTATTTAAATTATTTTGAGAGCTTTTTTTTTTTTAAAGAACAAACAAAAATTTTCATTATTGAATGCTATTATCTTTTAGGTTTCTACTGAATTAGCATAAACCACTTTTGTTAAGTTAACCATCTATCCTTGTGAAGTGACTAGAATGAAGGGTTAATGATATACTTGCAGGGTCAAAGATAAATTTGTTGTAAGAAAGTAAGACAATATTCTGTTTATAATATATTTGTATATATAGATTTAATATTTAAACCATTAATATCCTTAGCTATCTTCAGTAATGCTTTCTTTCACTTTTAAAAAAGAAGTATTTTAGTCATGTCTAATAATCATATCTGTACATGTTCTTTGTCTAATCACTTTGAAAATACCTATTTAACTAAAATCACTGTAGAATAAAACAAAGATCAGACTTTCCTCGTTTGTATATAATAAATTAATGCTTTTAAAATCTGAATTAACTCCTGCAGTAACAAGGCATGCTCTGAGAGGAAAATGAAAAGTCCTTAATTCTAAATTTAATAATTTGCAAATATAATCTCTACTAAACAATTTTGCATGTATACCTACTAGACCTGCCCTGTGTTATTCAATAGCCACTAGCCACACATGGCTTTTTATATTTAAATTAATGAAAATGAAATACAATTAAAAATATCATGTTTTTTTTTTTTTTCTTTTAACTTTTTTTCTTTTGAGACAGAATCTCACTCTGTTGCCCAGGCTGGAGTGCAGTGGTGTAATCTTGGCTCACTACAAATCTCATGCCTCAGCCTCCCAAGTAGCTAGAACTACAGGCATGCACCAGCACGCCTGGCTAATTTTTGTATTTTTAGTAAAGATGGGGTTTTGCCATGTTGCCCAGGCTGGTCTTGAATTCATGGCCTTAAGTCATCCGCCCACATTGGCCTTCCAAAGTGCTGGGATTACAGGCATGAGCCACCATACCTGGCCATGCGTTCATTTCTTGCTGTGGAGCACAAAGTGTTACTTGAGTATCCTTTGAACTTTTTAGAGATTACTTTTTGCAGCTAATGCTAGAATTTTGAAACCCCAGACCTTTGTCAACCATCAAGAAATATAGTTGATGCTAAGTAAGCACTTGTGCTGGACAATAAATGTGAACATTTTGTATTAACCCAATAAATGTTGTCTTGAATCTTACAAGAGATGTATCCACTTACAAACTTCTTACTTATAAATGACATTGAAGTGTTTAAGAACTTTACTTCTAGTGAGAAAGACACTGAAAAGTTCAAGAAAGTTCTAATGTGTTATTCATTCCAATGAATATCGAAGATTAATGAATAAGGCAATTAAGTAAGCATTCCTTCTTAATCTTGACTACAGGTAAGACAAGAGGAAGCAGGGGGCACAAGGATACTGTAGAAAAGGAAATTTTACTTAGATATGAAGAAATGTTTCCTGGTGTGGAAAGGAATTGCACATTGGAAGGATTTATTGAGTGAGGTTGTAGGATTTGGGGAAATCCTTAAAAATAGAATACATTTCAATCTCTCTAGGGAGGTATGTGATATGCCTGCAGGCATTGAGTGTGGGGATGAATTAGATTCATTGTCATGGTTTTCTCACACCAACAATTCTATGAATCTATAGAGGACAATAAAATTGGATAATTCTCACTGTGTTCTTCAGGGAGTCAGGTTTCCAGACTGATTTTTCTAGCAGTGAATCAGGCCCAAAATATTACCTTACATTCAACAACTTTTCAAATGCAGTAAAGAAAAAAAAAAAAAAAGAAAAATAAGAAATGCCAGCACTTTGCCATTTTAAGAATCAGTGTTTCTTGAGATGGATTAGTATTTCCTCTTCTTTAGTAAGAATGAAATGATTTGGGTCTGAGTGTAAGCACTACTATTGGAAGGAAAATCTTAAATTCCTATTATATAGCTGAGTTTAAGGGAAAATGAATTTAGTGTGATTTGAAAATACATATGAAATAATGAATTTTGCCTTTAATCTGAACAGTAAAATTAGTTTCACATGTGATAAGCTCTAGTTGCCATTTTGAGAATGTTCCATTAGAATTACACAAGTTTGGTGTTTCAGCCTCCTGGAATTTGTTCCAGCACTCCAATATTCAAGCCCTTGGCTGTGCTGGAAATGAGGCAGCAGGCACTCAGGTCAGAGCTGCAGGCAACCAGGGATTTGGGAAGTGGCCCAAATGCACTCACTGGAGAGGCATTGGAAGAAATTGTACAGAGAAGAAACTGGGACAACAGACCTGAGCATGCTGCTGTGGAGGATGGGGTGGCTACATCAGAGTTGCAGTGAATCTAGTCACATATTATTTACATCAAAGAAGAAATCCTAAGCCATAATTCATCTGAAAAGCCAATGGCTGAAGTTTTTGTTTTTAATCTAGTGATGTAATTCTTCGCCAGGTTTAAAATGGAAAGCAGAAGCAGGTCAAGCTGAGTCATACACACAAGGCCAAATGTGGGGAAAGCAGGAATCAAAGGCTGGAGGTAGGGGAAATTCTAAATCTGCAGAGCACCATCTTTGAGAAAAAGAAAAAGAATAAAAACCTATACTGGAAGGAGAACAATCACGAAGAGAACTGGTGGGTGAAGAAGTTGAGATAAATTGTGCAAGCCTTCACTAGAGATAATGTCCTTTTGATAGGCCGGTTGGTGTAGTAGAAGAAGCCCCTGTTTTAGAGTGAGAAGTTTATTTTCACATGCTGGCTGTGAGACTTTGAGCAAAATACTGAATCTCTGCTCCTTCATCTGTAAAATTCCCATAATAATTCTTATTTTCCAGGTTGCTGTATTTCAAAACTGAGCAGCCACTGTACCTGATATGCAGTAGAAAATTAATAACTAGTAGTCACTGTTATTTTGTTGACTTTTCAGTGGGTAGTGGAGTGTTCTTAGCATTTATTCATTCTTCATTCATTCAGTAAACATTTATTAAATATACACAGAATACCAGAGAGTACTAGAAACAGACCACAATCAGGAGTAGTTCATTAGTTCTTAAATTGCCTTACCATGGTTAAACTATCTTTAGAATATGGATCACTAGCAGCAGAGTATCAGCATTATACTAGCAATAGAGAGGGAGGCACCAAGATTGAAGTGAATTGAAGAGAGGAATTGCATCTGAGTTGGGCAATTTTTCTTATGGGATCATAGGGGTTTCAGATATCTCAGCATCTGATGTGTCCCTCTAGAGCAGGGGTCCTCAACCTCTGGGCTGCAGACCCATATCAGTTCCTGGCCTGTTAGGAACTGGGTGGCACAGCAGGAGGCAAGCGAGCATTACCCACTGAGCTCTGCCTCGTGTGAGATCAGTGGCATTAGATTCTCACAGAAGCGTGAACCCTGTTGTGAACTGCACATGCGAGGGATCCAGGTTGCACACTCCTTATGAGAATCTAACTAATGCCTGATTAGTTAATGATCATCTGAGGTGAAACACTTTTATCCCAAAAATCATCTCCCCAACCCCTAGTCCATAGAAAAATTGTCTTTCAGGAAACCAGTCCCTGGTGTAAAAAATTTGGAGACCACTGCTCTGGAGGGATTTCTTTATCTTTGGGAACAGCACCTTGGCTAGTCCCACAGGATTTGAGAATATATTGAAGGCTTTCTTATTTAAAAAAATTATAATTTGAGTAGAAAAATAGAAGAACCACAATGTGTGGTTTAGACTAAGGGATTTATGATTGGGATTAAACCTTATACAATTGCAGGACACAGTGGGGAAATAAGTGTCTGAAAGGGGGAGATTGAAGGATCAGAAACACACACACACACATACACACATGAACTTAAGGATCATGAAGAGGAACTTATGAAGAATTATGGAAAGCTGTCACCACGCTTTTGGTGATGGGCATGAAGTTATTGTAGGTGCTCTGGGCAGCTGGATATAAGACAAGGCAAAGACAAACTTGGACCCATGAGGACAAACTGGGACTGATGAGCACAAACAAGAAACCTTGAGAAAATACTCAAAGCCCCTACAACAAACTGGAAGCCATGTCTGTGTCTCATTTCTTCTAATCGCAGTGATGTTGGCCACCTGCAGAAAAATCTGGTCTCTTCATCAGGGATCTGCATAGGCACATGACCCAGGACTCAGAAACAGAAGGGAGATGGGGAAAAGGGGAGTTTGGATTAACTACCAGTTTGGCTGCTTTGTCACACCAATGAGGTAAACCTTCAGATGAGTGACAATGTGAGTGATGTGCGATGGGTAATGCCTTATCTCTGCCTTCCATAAACAGTGCATATTTCTTTATGATCAACAACCTAATACCACACAGGAAAGGGAGTTCTGGAGAATTTGCCTAATTTACTTTTTAGCTTAGCTATGTTGACACTGCAAAATCACTCCCAAGAAGAGAGAAGAGATTTGATATTATTCTTATAAGGGAGCATTGGCCTTTGATCTAACTCTTTCTGCTTTGGCAATTCTCAGAGAGGTATGAGGAGGGGTTGGGAAGCGTAAAAACGGATGAATAAGGAAGGCATCCCAGGATCATGCTGGGGACATTTTCCAGCTGATCACCTCTATTCTGTTGCTTCATCTCCCTGAACCCTGCAATTTTGATTACAGTTTCTTTAGAGGATGAATACACACCCCGCTGCTGCTGAAGAATCATAGCATAGCAAGTCACCAATACTGGTGTAAAAGCAGTCATTCCCTTAGGTGTATCTATGTGCAATAAAGCTGAGAACCACTGATTTATATACTGTAGTAGCTTTTGTATGTTTGTTTTTACCAATGTATTCTTGACTCCTTAAAGACAGGCATGCCTACCTATTGTTCTACAACTCAAGTTACCTATAGTCTTGTTATGCAGTATCTCTCAGTTTGCAAACTTAGGTATCCCCAAGGGCCAGACATAAACCACAAATGTTAGACCAAAAAAGATGGTGGGATTGAGGATTACATCTGGAGCATGCATTGCCTAACCTAATGCCATTCAAATGAGAGAAGAGAGGCATCAACCATCGCTTCTGACAAAATGAGGGAGGCTGCCATTTTCATATAAATAGCTCGCTTTTCTTACTAGTAATATAAGATTCACTTGGTATAATTCTATTAAGGAATCAATTATAAATTATACTGTGACCGGCAAATGGTGTTCATAAACAATGCAGATATTTATCTGCTTTGACAATAACCCTCTGATAGAAACTAAAAACATTTTAATATTTCAATGAAGTAGCAAATGACCTACTAAAAATGTTCTTTATTGAAATTTATTGGCATAAGTTGGAAGAAAGAAAAGAGGTATATTAGCTTATTCTTATTCTTAGCTTATTCTTTCACCTAAAATTATAAAATATAAAAAGTTTAATAACATGAAAAGTATGACCATGATTTAATATAAAACATCTACTGCTATGATTGAATTACTGAAAGAGAAAATAATACTGAATTATGTGTGTAAAAGTTGTGTATATTATGATAAAAACTCATGATTCATTAACACTAAGTTATAAATCATCACATAGCATTTTTTAAAATTTTACAAACAGTACTGTTTAGGAGAGTATATTCTACACTAGTTTTTCAGTTCAACATCTTTTCATAATTGTTCAGCTTAAGCTTTTCAATTGTTGCTAATGTGTTACATCACAAAATTAGTTGAACACATTTTAAGAGAAAGGAATATATGATTTAGAAAAGTTTACCTTCAATGAGGTATAGAAGTTTAGAGATAGTTATTTTCAGCTTCAAATAAATAGTTTTGAATTTTTTTTTACTTGCTAAACATCCCTTCCATGCATTTTGTTGCATAAATATCCTATGGGAATGATAGACGCTATTAAATAGTCAACAAAGCAAGAATGACAACTGGTACATGGTTGGTTCTTTGAACTGTTTATTAAATGAGCAAATCAATGAATGAATAATAAATGAAAAATTTTCACTCTTGGACTATTTACCTGGTTTTCTTAATAGTAAATTACTAGTCAGTTATGTAAAATAAATAGGTGTTTGGGCACTCTTGGGCATACATGTATGATACATTTTATATTTTCTAGAAGGTTCCACCAGTCTTCTCTTACATATTGAAGACACAAATATTTCACTCATATATTCACCCAGTATCTTTCTCATTTCCAGCTAAACATGTTTTTCCTTTTCAAATTGTGTTAATGACCTATAAGTGAGTCCTCATCTATAGGATGAACCAAATTTACAGTGTTGCAAAACTAATGTTGGCCATAAAAATCAATACATTGACTACAATCTATAAACTATTTATAAAAGAATTGATGTTCGTAATTATAACTCAATTTATATAATAAAAGGATAAAAATGAACAACTAAAAGGAAATTACTGGCAGCACTGCCACTGATATCTAGCACTACCACTGATAGTGTCTAGAAAATTGAAGCAAATGTATTTTATGAAAGCAGTGAGTTACTTAGAATGGAAGAAGAATAAAGTTTTAAGGTTTGGTGAATCTATGTGCTAACTCAATACTGATATCATATTAATCAAGGTTCTTGGATACAGACAACAGAAGGCAGTTATGGGTTTTACTCAGAAAATGAATTTTTTAGAAGGAAATGGTTAGTACATAGAATTGAAGGAAATGCTGGAAGATTGGCAGAAACCACAGAATTAGAAATGGTTAAGAACCTAAAGCATCTACTTAGCCAAATTGTGCTCTTGGAATAGTAGCTAGGAGGTCCCTGCTGCTGGTACTAGACCACACACTGACCGCATGGACACGTTGGCATTGGCTGCCACTCATAGATGCTTCACTGTAGCTTCTGTTGTAATCAGTTCTGAACTGTTCTTAATTCTTTGTATCACTTGCTCTAGATTCATGGTCCCAGATGATATCATCCAGTTGTTTAACTGGGTCACATGTTTATGCTCTGTTGTCTGGTGCCAGAGAGAGAGAGAGCAATTAACTGTAATTTTCAGATTCTGCTGTGGAAGGGAGGACCCTACCTCTAATAAAAACATGTAAGAAGATGATCTCCCAAAATTGGAAGGGAATATGTATGCATCAAAATGACTAATGAGCACTAACGCCATTAAAACGTTGTATGACCTAAGAGGGCAAATTATTCAACCTTTCTAGATATCAGTTTTTAAATGTGCAAAACAAAGATTGAGAAATGGATAAGATCTACCTCTAAAATAACTAATTTGCAGTTTAGTTAGAAAGATAATATAAGCACTCTGTAAACAACAGCTACAACTACCAAAGATCTGCAGTAGTGGGAGTGAAAATGAAATATCAGAGATGGAAAAGGATGTTTAAAAGGTGGCTGGAGGCCGAGTGCGGTGGCCACGCCTATGATCCCAGCCCTTTGGGAGGCTGAGGAGGGCAGATCATGAGGTCAGGGGATCGAGACCATCCTGGCCAACATGGTCAAACCTCGTCTCTGCTAAAAATACAAAATTTAGTTGGATGTGGTGGCTTGTGCAGGTAATCCCAGCTACTTGGGAGGCTGAGGCAAGAGAATCGCTTGAACCCAAGGAGTTGAGCCAAGATCACACCACTGCACTCCAGCCTGGAGGCAGAGTGAGATTTTTGTCTCAAAAAAAAAAAAAAAAAAAAAAAAAAAAGGGTATCCTGGGAGTTTGTCAGTCTGCATCTGTACAACATGTGCTGTTCACACAATATACAAACACATGATAACAGCTGGATACTATTCCTGTCAAATCAGATTTTCACAACAGTGGCAAAGGATTAAGATGATTGGAGAATAGTAGGAAATAGCCTCTATATGACCTAACATACTAATATCTTAGGTTATTTAAGACAGATGAGAGGACAAACTGTACCGTGGTGTTCGGGGAAAAAAAACACTCCGTAGAAATTCTCTTGAAAACAAAGCCACCTACATACTACATAGCAATTTTAGAGAAATATGTCTCATTTTCATTTTCTTTTTTCTTTTGTTTTCTTTTTTCTTTTTTTTTTTTTTGAGATGGAATCTCACTCTGTCACCCAGGCTGGAGTGCAGTGGCACAATCTCCGCTCACTGCAACCTCTGCCTCCCAGGCTCAAGCGATTCTCCTGCCTCAGCCTCCCGAGTAACTGGGATGCTGGGATTACAAGTGCCTGCCATCCTGCCCAACTAATTTTTGTATTTTTTTTTTTTTTTTTTTTTTTTTTTTTTTTTTTTTTTTTTTTTTTTTTTAGTAGAGGCAGGGTTTCACCATGCTGGCTAGGCTGGTTTCAAACTCTTGACCTCAAGTGATCTGCCTGCCTTAGCCTCCCAAAGTGCTAGAATTAACAGGCATGAGCCACTAGCGCAGCCTCATTTTCTTATAATACCATTATATGTTGTTTGATAATTTTTCATATCTTTCAATAAGGTTTATATCTGTCAGGAAAAATCACTATTTTTTCAGGTGCCTCACAAAATTCAAAGGCTAGGAAAAGCATAGACCTTTTCTATAATTTTTGAGAATATATTGATTTCTGTGAATTGTGTCACAAGACATAGCAATCTCTCCCATACTTTTCTTCCATTAAGAAATAACACTTTTATAGTATCTTTCATCCCAGACCACTTGAGTGTTATTAGAATTTCACCCTGTCCTTTTGCTTTATCTCATTATTATAGGTAAGATATCCTAGCAAATAAGTAATATTAAAAGGCCTCAAATCACAGTGGACTGGAATTTTAAAAAGCTATATCCCATTGATTTAAAGTTTAGAAAAATGATTCCAGATCTATGCTGTCACTTATTCTCTGAGCTTAAAAAAAGTCACCTTTTCCTTCCTTTTTAAATTTTCTCATGTGGTAATGAGGGAATGTCTTAAATGGTTCTAAGATCACTCTGATTTCTAAAACTATGTGATTCTATCATACCACTGTACTTCAACAAGTCTCCAACTCGTGATACACGCAGAAGTTTCATTGAGTTGATGTTTCTTGATGTATTTCACTCTTCTGCTGAGAATTTGTAACTGAAAAACGAAATAAGTCAAATATATAAGAAACATAAAAAGTACATGTATCTATTTAGATATGTGCAAGCGCTATTCTCTCCCTCTTTCTCAAAGAGAAAGAAGTCTAGATACAGAAAGATGTGTATATTACAAACGTAGTTTAAAATTTTACATATAATTTATTTGTAGGGATACTTAGTTATGTGATAATGTACTATTATAATTTTGATGCACAAAATTATATCTAAAATGCTTAGACATATGTTTTGGAATTTATAATTAGAAAAATAATATAGTGCATATACCATGTTTTACGCAACACTCCCAGTAGCATTTGGTCAGTGTATTAGTCTGCTTTCAGGCTGCTGATAAAGATATACCTGAGACTGGCCAATTTACAAAAGAAAGAGGTTTAATGGACTCACAGTTCCACGTAGCTGGGGAGGCCTCACAATCATGGTGGAAGGTGAAAGGCACGTCTCACGTGGCAGCAGACAAGATAAGAGAACTTGTGCAGGGAAATTTACTCCCCCTTATAAAGCCATCAGATCTTCTGAGACTTATTCATTATCATGAGAATAGCATGGGAAAGACCCACCACCATGATTCAGTTATCTCCCACCAGGTCCCTCCCACAACATGTGGGAATTATGGGAGCTACAATTCAAGATGAGATATGGGTGGGGACACAACCAAACCATATCAGTCAGCAACCCATAATCAAAGAAATTAACAGTTATACACTGAAATAAACTTAGTATTCATAAATAAACAAAACTACAATAATTCCCCATCAACTTCATGGCAAGTTTGTCTGGCACGTTAGTTTAGATCAGGTCAAGTTTTTCCATCGCATGAATTAGGAAACAAAGCTTTTAACTTTAAAAAGGTTTTAGGCTTGAGCTATATGCATAAGGGATTTTGAACCTATGAATACATGATTTGTCTGACCAGAAACTAGTCTTTTGGGAAAGAGTTTTTGAGCTTGCTTCTGTTCTAGACATGTATTTTGTACTGAAGTTTATCGCTGTCCTCAGGCCACACCCTCCCCTGGACACAGTGGAGAGCAGCCCTGATTATTTACTGAGCAGTGCTCACACTGTCCTCTTGAAATCCAATAAATTCTTGACAAGAAAACTGGCATCAAACTTAACAATTACAGTGGAAAAAACTAGTATTTATTTATTTATTTATTTATTTATTTATTTAACTTGATAAAGGTCAAAAGAAAGAGATATAGACAAGCCTCTGCAGGAAACTGTGGTAATTTTCTGTCAATAAATACCTCAGACTGAAAGTCTTGGTTCTGCAGATTGTTTCTCCTCTCTGACTGTGAATTCTCTCTTCAACCCAGTTAAGTTGTTTCCTACTTCTGAGCTGAATTTAAAGGAGACATGAAGGACATTCAAAGAGCTTCAGGGGGGTAGGTTGTGGAAGACATTACTAGGAGGATTTCTTCCCCCTTTAATCATTGGCTTTACTTTTCATTGAAACATGTTACTTTTAAACTTAAAAACAACCCAGCATTTTAATGCTGCAAATGAACTAGCTGAATTACTTATTCTGAAAGAATAAGGAAAATAAATGATACTAGTGAATAAAGAATACCTAGCTCTCACAGAATGCTTTAGTTTAAGTAGTTATAGGAAAGTGCTCTCCAATTGCAGTATATTAGCCTATAGCAAACCATTAAAAATTCTTACGAATTTTTTTCTTCCCAAAGAAAACTATTTAGGCATCAAATCAGTTAATATAATGAATTAAAACAGAACATCACTTTGGTGGCACAGTTTCAAAACAGACGGATTAGAGACATTCAGATACTGAACATGCAACACCAGCTATGATTTCAGCAGGGAGTCTTATTTGGCCTTTGTTCATCTTAATTCCATCAATTTCAAATGTTATTAACAACAATGGGACACAATTCCAACAGTGATGCTTTACACAGCCACGTAAATTTTGAATAATTTTAGTCCTTGCACCATTTTGTTTCTAAGGGCAGGTATACAATTTTTGTTCTAGGATGTATTAAAATAACCAGTATTTCTTCCAGTGAGCATTGAAGAATTAAGCTGTAAAAGACAATAAATATTTAGTTTTAGTGTTTACAGGGGAACTACTACTACTTACCTGATTTAACTTAGTTATGAGTAAAAATTTGGATAGGAAGACTAAGATGAGCATCCTAACCTACTGAACCTGCTGCTAAAGTAACAGGATTGTCAAGAATAAGAAGTTATTAATTTTAACGTAAATGAAAAGTAGTTTTAGAGTAGTTAGAACATGGGAAATTTTACATACAACCACACACACACACACACACACATATACACAACCATACACACATAAAGTGTTTTGTGCTTGGGTGTAAACTAATCATGAGTCTGTTAAACGGGGAACCATATGATATGTTCAGTAAAATTAGTATGTTAGAATGGTAAGAGTCAGAAACAGGAACAAAGAAAAGGAAAATACGAGAGCAGCAGAAAAAGGCAGTGTGCAGCAAGTGAATGGCAATGTAAAATCTGCAGTAAAGCTAGGTGGAAGTGTTTAGAATCTGAGTAATTACACAAACTACAGATGTTTAGGTGGTCAGAAATATTTTCAGGTCGTATAAATGTGCAAGTTTGTAGAAGCCTGGAAACAGAATGAGGGTATTTCAATTTATTCACTTTGTGGAAGCAGGAGGTGAGGGTCACTATGTGGGCAGTATATATAGCTGCCTTAGATTGTCAGAGGTTGCAAAATTGCATTGTTCCAGAAAAGTGAGACAAAGACAGTTTCATTAATAAGATTATTATGATAATAATAATGTTACCCATAATAATTTTTACCCATCTCTGGGTAAAAATCCTCAAAGAGTGGTAGTGCTGAAATTAAAGAACTGAGCAAACACAGCCTGGCCTATGATGTGAGCGAGAGTAAGAATTAATTGTGCTACTTCCTTATCCTTATAACCCCATCCTCTTGCTCCTCCTCACGGAAGCCCCAATGACAACCCCTGTAGAAGCAGATTCATTACATCCACATTCACTCAGTATTTACTCTGTCAAGACCTGAGCTAAGCACATTCATATATTTAATATTATCTGAGGAAATTAATTTGTGATAACAGGCATTGCTATTATTTTACTTTTCACTATGAAACAGATATACAGCAATATCCGAGGAAGATTTTAAAAGATTTTTAGTATAACGTATTTCGTGATGCACGGTGACATTCTGCGTCTCTCACTCTTTCTCCGTCACAAAAAAAGCCACAACAAAAAACTACTTGGAACTTACTTCCTCCTTGTATTTCTGCATTGAATTCCTTATGATTGTGAGAGTAACATCATAGATAAAATGAAATAATGTTTAACCTATGGAGCACAAGTTTATTAAAAATAGGGAATAAATTTATGATTATCACACACACACACACACACACACACACACACACAGAAAGAGAGAGAGAGAGAAGGGGGCAGGAAAATTTTACGTATTACTTAACTGAGTAGACTGAATACAAAATTCAAAGTTCCTAAGGGGGCTGCTTTGTGAAATACTGTGCTGTGATATACACATCATTAGAGATGAGAAAACTTTAGATTCATCAACAATTTAGAGAACTATTTCTAAAGATAAATCCTTTGAAGATAATGTCTTTATGAACAGGTTTCTTGGGAAAAAAATAAAGTTGTCAAATGCCAGTGTAGCTTTTATTATACATATATAGAGAGACAGCACTGATGATTTCAGGAAATAACACAAACACACATGCAGTCAGTGAGAATTCTGTCTTGTGGAAGATGATATTGATGCTGTGTGCAGCCCGCTAATAAAACACTCAGTTGTGATTAGCAGAAGAGCTGACCAGAGTATAAAGTTTCTTACATGAATTTTTGTAAAAAACTAAAAACAAAACAAAACAAAAAATGCTTTAGAGTGCTTGGCAACAAATGAAGTCATTCATATAAAAACCATACTAGGGGCTTCAAAATGTAAAGAAAGAGGGATAAATGTTAGAGAGGTGGTACTTCTTGGCTGCTAATGGAGAAAGTCTAGTATGACTTTACAAGTCAATAACAGCAAATAAAAATTACTGGGCTAATTTTAGTGAACATCTGTGACTGGAGTCCACTATTTTGGCAGAAAAAAGGGCAGGTATTTGCCTTCTGAGAACTCTGGCACGTGAGCGGCACACATTCACCTACATTCAGCCAATCAAAAGCGTTCTCCTAGCATTGCTTTAGTCTGAATGTATCATAAAGCAACAAGAATAGTTCAAAATCTATTCTGCATGTGGTAGCAGCAGCAGTAGCCTGCATACAGTAATAGAGGTGGGAACAATGGGGCCAGTAGCAATTTAAAAACTGTCTGCTCAGGAGGCCAAGGTTGGAGGATCACTTGAGGCTGGGAGTTTGATACCAGCCCTCACAGCATAGGGATACCTTGTCTCTTAAAAAATAAAAATAAAATAAGCTAGTCAGGTGTGCTGGCATGAGATTGTAGTCCCAGGAGGATGACTGGGAGAACCACTTGAGTTGATGAGTTCCAGCCAACAAAGTCAGACCTTGTCTCTAAAAAATAAATAAATAGTAGTAATATTCCTTTGGGTATATACCCAGTTATGGGATTGCTGAGTTAAATGGTAATTCTGATTTTAGGTCTTTGAGGAATCACCACACTGCTTTTCACAAGGATTGAACTAATTTACACTCCCACCAACAGTGTGTAAGTGTTCCCTTTTTCTCCACAACCATGCCAGCATCTGTTTTTTTTTTTTTTTTTTTTTTTTTTTTTACTTTTTAATAATATCCATTCTGATTATTGTGAGATGGTATCTCATTGTGGTTTTGATTTGTATTTCCGTACTGATCAGTTATATTGAGCTTTTTTTCATATGCTTGTTAGCCTTATGTGTGTCTTCTTTTCAGAAGTATCTGTTCATGTCCTTTGCCCACTTTTTAATGGGGTTATTTTTTTTTCTTATGAATTTAAGTTTCTTATAGATGATGGATATTAGACCTTTGTCAGAGGCATAGTTTGCAAAAATGTCCTCCCATTCTGTAGGTTGTCTGTTTACTCTGTTGATAGTTTATTTTACTGTGCCAAGCTCTTTAGTCAATTTTTGCTTTTGTTAAAATTGCTTTCGGCATCTTCATCATGAAATCTTTGCTTGTTCCTATGTCCAGAATGGTGTTACCTAGGTCATCATTGAGGGTTTTTATAGTTTCAGGTTTTACATTTAAATCTCCAATCCACCTTGAGTTGATTTTTGTTTATGATATATGGAAGGAGTCCAGTTTCAATTTTCTGCACATGGCTAGTGAGTTATCTCAGCATCATTTAGTGAACAGGGAATTATTTCCCTATTGCTTGTTTTTGTCAGCTTTGTTGAAGAGCAGATAGTTCTAAGTGTGTGGCCTCATCTTCGGGTCTCTATTCTGTTCCATTGGTCAATGTGTCTGTTTTTGTACAAATACTATGCTGCTTCGGTTATTGTGTCCCTTCAATATAGTTTGACGTCAGGTAGCGTGATGCCTCCGGGTTTGTCCTTTTTGCATAGGATTGCCTTGGCAATTCAGGCTCTTTTATGGATTCATATTAATTTTAAAATACTGTTTCTCTAGTTCTGTGAAGAATGTCATTGGTAGTTTGATAGGAATAATATTGAATCTTTGGGTGGTATGGCCATTTTTATGATACTGATTCTTCCTATCCATGAGCGTGGAATGCTTTTCCATTTGTTTGTTTCATCTCTGATTTCTTCAAGCTGTGTTTTGTATTTCTCCTTTTAGGGATCTTTCACCTCCTAGTTAGCTGTATCCTAGCTGTTTTATTCTTTTTGTGGTAATTTTGAATGGGATTGTGTTTGTGATTTGGATATGAGCTTGGTTGTTGTTAGTCTATAGGAATGCTAGTAATTTTTGTACACTCATTTTGTATCCTGAAACTTTGTTGAAGTTGTTTATCAGCTGAAGGAGCTTTTGTGCTGAGACTATAGGGTTTTCTAGATATAGGAACATGTCATCTGCAAAGAGTGATGGTTTGACTTCCTCTTTTCCTATTTGGATGCTCTTTATTTCTTCTTTTGCCTGATTACTCTGGTCAGGACTTCCAATACTATCATGAATAGGAGTGATGACAAAGGGCATCCTTGTCTTGTGCTGGTTTTCAAAGGGAATGCTTCCAGCTTTTCCCCATTTGGTATGATATTGTCTGTGAGTTTGTCATAGGTACCTCTTATTATTTTGAAATATGTTCCATCAATAACTATTTTACTGATCATTCTACCTTAAACACATATCAATGTTCATTGCAGCACTATTTACAATAGCAAAGACATGGAATCAGCCTAATTCTCACCAACGACAGATTGGATAAAGAATATGTGGTACATATACACAATGGAATACTATGCAGCCATAAAAATAAATGAGATCATGTCTTTTGTGGGAACATGGATGGAGCTGGAGGCAAACTAATGCAGGAACAGAAAACCAAGTATTGCATGTTCTCACTCATAAGTGGGACCTAATGATAAGAACTCATGCACACAAAAAGGGAAACAACACCCACTATGGCCTACTTGAGGGTGGAGGGTGCAAGGAGGGATAGGATCGGAAAAAGTAACTGTTGGGTACTAAGCTTAGTATCTGAGGGACAAAATAATCTGTACAACAAACCTCCTTGACATGAGTTTACCTGTATAACAAACCTACACATGTACTCCTGAACCTAAAAGACAAAATTTAATTAATTAATGAAAATGAAAATGAAAATAAATAGAACACTAAAAACACAGTCAGTGGAATCATTTTGCTTGTGGTTCTAACCAACCAACTTCCTTTGATTTCTGAACATTTTCAAGCCTGAATCACCTTTATTCTCATTGATTCCTTTTTTGAAAATTTTTACATTTTTAATTTTTGCAGGTACATAGTAGGTGTATATATTTAGGGGATACATAAGATATTTTGATACAGACACATAATGTGTAATAATCACAGCAGAGTAAATGGGGCAGCCATCACCTCAAGCATTTATGCTTTCTTTATGTTCTGTGAACCACACATCACTTATATATTTAGGTTATTTTCTGCTCAAGATATTCAGAGTCATTTTCTATTATTTGCCATTCAGTATCTTGACTGCAACCCACAAACAATACCCAATACTGTGGTGGATACAAACTGTCCTAGTTTCCAGTATGAGCCAAGTCCCTAAAGAACCATATGATTCTTTATTATTCTGAGCTTCTTAAAGTTTAGAGTTATCACTTACCATAATTTTTGCTTTTTACAGTCTGAGAGCACATTCTGATGTTTAATAAATACATCTTGAATGAAAGAATAAAGTAGGTATTTTATACCTAATTTAATAGAAGTTTTATTCTCACAGAGTTAAAGAACAAAAGCTATTTTATGGAACACGCTAATCCCACTATCAGGAACCTATAGGAAGAATTATTTGATCCCATTTGTAAGAATTGAACACATGAATGTTAATGGTACAAAAGTGGTACGCAAATTCATGCTTTTTTGAGGACTGTCCTTTCTAATGATTTTGATTCCTTTTGCTAATATTATAATAAGTAATAATAAGCATTCAACTTATTTGCCAAAGTAGATATAAATACTTTATTAGAATATGTCATCCAACGAAGATTTTGAAATATGTAAGAGTGAAATGAGAAGTCCTTGGCCAAAATAAATCGACTAGTCTTTATAAATTCTCAATCTACCAGAGCCTTGGCTGATTGAGAAACACAACTGCCATTGTAAAAATCTCCAAAAAAGACTGTGATTTCCATTTTCTTTCCTTGCAAACTGGTGGACTCAAATAAGCAGAATAGAATGAAGCAAGGTAACATTTTCCGAAAGTGAAAAGCTTCTAGAGTTATTTGAAGAATAAGTAAGTCTGTTTACAAGAAAAATGTACCATACATAATGTGTTTGCTTTAAAAAGCCCTTTGTAAAGGTGACACACCAAAGACCATTTAAAATCTAAGTCATTGTAAGATAGCTTATGTTGTCATGAATAGAAAATTGACTTATACTCAAGGAACAAGGGCAGGCACTTCTTTGAAAGAAAAAATTTGAACTAAGGCTCAGTACTTGGAATAGTTTTATTTTACATTTTTACAAAACATCTGACAGTGCTTGACCAGTAAAATTTGTAATTTAGCAGATAATACTAAGGATTTCCAGGTATGTCAGAAATATTTCAAGTGGATCTGAGTGAAGAAATAAAATTGTATAGAAGTTTTATTGTCAGCAAATACAAGATAATGCTTTAGAAGAAGGTTATATGTATGAGCCCAGAAAGGTTACCACTTACCTGCCTGTAGCAGAGGCAATTACTAGCACCAGAAAGAATGGGTAAGAGAAAGACAGAAATCTGTGTTATGGGAGGCTAGCAAGTATAAGGCATGACATCTCCCATTGAGGAAGCAGGGTACTTGGCAAGTTGTCAAAACTGAGCCTCAAATTACTGGAATAAAAGAAATTTGATTACTAGATGGAACAGGGATTAGAAGAGTAGTCAAATCAGAGGAGAAATAGGCCAAGTCAAAGCAGGACTCCCTGCAGATTCTCTTGACCCTGATGTTCATGAGTTTCTTAATTTCTTCTACATTGAGGGTATTTTCCTGTCTTTCTGATTAAAGTTCATATTAGTTTCTGACCTTGGGGGTCAGCTGGATTCTGCAGTTCCACATCATTCACTCCGGCAAAGGAGAGAACTTGTAACAAAGATGAGTGCCAAGTTTAGTCAATTTACCCTACCTGGAATACTATATACAACTCTGGGTCTCATGTGTGTTAAAATACATACAGTGAAGCTGAGGAAGAGCCACTGAAGTAAAAAGTATTGTTTACAAGTTGGAAAGGATGTAAAAATAATCTAAAGTATACTAAGTCAGGAATAAAAGGCAGAGTTAATAAAATTGTGGCTGGTACTGATAGACTAAACAGATATATTTTCTAAATCCTGGAATAATTATTAAAAAATTTTACATGTATCAATGGATTCCAGACTCCATATTTTAAGTATCACAACTAGTGTAATTTAAAAGTATAGTTTATTGAAGGTCTGGAGTCTGAATAAAGTACCCCAAGTGAGTCTTGTGAGAAGGTAAGTTTGGAACACACTGACTTACAAATTTTGTGCTTAATTTATGGATTTTGTGGCCCTCAAAATATCATGTGGGCTAAACAAAAGAATCTTGAAGAATTTAAAATAAATCATGTCCAAAATGAGTTGTCAAGAGAAACTGAATATATTCTTTTGGTAACAGCCTTAACATTTTGAGGAGATATCATCAAAGGTTAACTGTTTTTTTTTTTTTTTTTTTTTTTTCTTAAACTGATCCCATGAGATCAGTTTTCTTTTAGATGATACCACTTTCATAGCCTGAGGCAATTAAAAATGTATGCTTATTTGTTCTCTAGTAGGTAGAAAGTTAAGTCCTTAGGAATAGGTTGTGCTTTAGTGTTCTTGAACATGTGAGAGTGTCCTTTTCTATACTAATATTTCCCAAAGAAGACTCAGTATTTTATCCACCCACTCTGCTCAAATACACCCCATGCATCTTAGGAACTAGGAAAATAGAGTGATTTTCATGTAAACCATTGAAAATTCAGAATGAATACCTCCAAACAAATGTCAGAATTACACATCCATAAAACCAGTGTTCACTGACCTTAGGCTTAGCTTAGAGTTCTGCAAAGTTTTCAAGATACAAATAAATTATAATTATCAATATTAATAGAGTTGTCAATGTTCACCATCATGAAGAAGTAAATAATAGATTGTGAGAATGATATGTGAAATTTTCCTATGATTTATTTAAAGAATTTAACAAAGCAATGAGATTACTGGCTAGCGCTCTTGAAGTCATGTTTAATATAGTTGCCTCTTTCTAGAACACATGCTCTTCAATGTTTCCTTGGATAGATAAACTACGTTTTATTCTTTGATTTTCCTTAAACAACTACAATCAAAAACAGATATCCACTTAATTGTTTTACCTTCAAGGTAACATTTATGCTTATATCCGTTTATGCCTTCTTAATTCTCTGCAAACTATAACACATTTTAATGTGTGCCAATAAAGTTATAAGGTCAGCCATTTGGAGCTATCTCTGGTGCTTTGAACTCACAGTATCGAAGTAAGATTGGGCATGGCTTGCTATATTTAATCTTTTCAATATATATAGCTTTTGAGTTAGACAAACTCTTATTTCCAAAGATAAATGTGCATTTGAGAGTTTAATTATGTATTTCTTAACATTTCATGTATTTTAGGCATATATGAATAATACATTTCATGTATTTTAGGCATATATGAATAAATAATATATGTACATTTAAAGTTCAATTTCATAGAAACTAGTATACCCCTGAAAACAATAGATGTGTCTAGGAGACAGAAGAATTGTCCTTTGTAAAATTTCGCTACAGTTGCAGCAAAGTTATTTGTTGATAAATGAGAGAAACAGACTACTCATAAACTATGGCCTTTGTAATACTGAACAGAGTCTAGAATTATGATAATCATATGGTTTCCGCGAGATCTAGCTGATATGCCTTTTTGAGATGATAACTTCTGTCCTTGAGACACTTCACTTTTTTTTTCACTTATCTCCAGCATTGAATAAAGCCCCTCTTTTCCCTGTTTTGAGTTTGTTATCATATGTGTCACATGATTACTATCATAGTTTACTGCTTCACAAGAATTCATACAGTTTTCCTATATTTTGGGTGCTTACCACATCCCAGACCAGGTGTTCTAGTTCCGTATTTCTATATTTTCTCCTTTACAGTGAACCATACTTGGCTTTCAAGTTCCATTTTGCTCTTGGAACCTGCCTGTTCTCAGTCCCTGCTTTGCTTTTGGTTGCTGCCACCTGTTTCTCAGATGCAGCTCCATGTTCGACAGCCTGTGGATATATCCCAACTACTTCCTTATTTAGATCAGGCTTCAGCCTAGGAGAAGGAAATTTAGATTTGAGCAGAACATTTAAATAAAGTTCAAATTGTCTCCAAGGGTTATAATTATAAAGAAATCTTACTGTAGGAGGCATTGGGAAGATACAATTTTAGTAATCTTCCAATGGATTGGTTCATCTTAATTATTTAATTGTATTTCTATCAATAATAGCAGTGGCAAGAAAAGTAATAAAATTAGGCCTAGATCGTTTTTCACAGGTTTAAATGCAGTGGTTTATGTTCCCTTGACTGATTGTACAACTTCAGTCACATATGGTGAGGTCAATATTTATTAAACTATGCATCCAAGTGTTTGTGAGTAAAAATGTAGTACTTTCTAGCATTCATATTACTATGATAGTATGCTTGGAGATATTTTTGATATCAGCTTTGATAATAAATTTTATCTGGAATAAACCTAGCGAAACTTTTTAAATCCCTAAAGATGATAGCATATAAAACAACAAATAATATTTAAACTGCACTCTCATTTCCACTAATAGGGTGGACCAAGTTTCTTGACTGCTTCTTCCACTAAAAAACAAACAAACAAACAAAAAACAAAAACAAAAACAAAAAACTAAAAGAAGAGATAAAATGTAAAAGCATCCAAACATATAGAAGTGCAAACAAGAGAATAATCATCTAGGCCAAAATATAAATGCGGGCAGGAATTGAGTGAGAAAAAATTGCTTTTATCCTAAGGACATATGCCAAATCTGGAAACATCTTAGCTTTGGTTTCTCTCAAGCTCAAAAAAAAAAAAGAAAAAAACTGTACTCCTTTAAGATCTATAAAAATATGCTGTTTTAATACTGTTTCATTAAACATCATAATAGTTAGACTATTATGATGACTAACCTGATTTCACAGATGTTTGGCTATTGTGTTTTATCACCCATCAGGTGATAAGAAACTTTAATGGTGGTAGACTATATGCTTCTCAAAATTGTGTGTGTGTGTGTGTGTGTGTGTGGTGTACACATTTTCTTAAACTGTAGAAAGAGCATGCGTTTTGGTTTCAGACCTGTGTTGGAATTCTGACTTTCCTTCATTTGATGTGATGCAGATTATTTAATTCCTCCGAAGACTTGGTTTATTCATCTGCAAAATGGGGAGAAAGATACCTATGTCCCAGGTTCCCTCACTCCTCACATCCAATCCATTATTGAGGCCTGTCATTTCTTCTTTGAAAAAATATATAATAGGCATAATATTTCTGAGATGTAAGCCAACCAATGTATTTTCTTTCTTGGAAATTTCTGGTCCCTAGTTGTCTCATCAGTCTATATCAAGAGCCACCCCTGGTAGACCTTCATTGGAGAGTTAGTTTTATATTATGGAGAGGATACTGTTTCCACCTGAGTTTACTAGGTCATGAGGCTCCTGGCCTATAAGAATAATGGCCAAATGATGTAAGATAAATTCAGATTCGATGGAAAGAGAAACGGGAAAGCTTACTCTTTCTGGTCCTTTAGAATGTAGGAAAAAAAGAAGCAAGTAGTTAACCACATGTCTGTTCCTGTTTGAAATCGTAGAAGTGGAGAACGAAAAGGAGCAGATGCTTGTGTCTCTTCTTATTGAAAGGCTACTTAAAATAGGCCAGCATCAGTGGTGGGGGTCCAGTAAGAGTTAAAAAGTGTTTCAGAAAATGTTTAAGCACCGAAAGGATTTAAATTAGTCATCACAGGTGTCCTTAACAGATGCAGAAGTTTCTACCTGCCTTGTGGTGGGCAGCATGATCTATGCATTGAGAAGTAGGTTACCTGCAGCAAGGGCTCCGTAACTGAGAATGAGTGTCTTCCCCCACAGAATCTGAGGTCTGGCAGCTCAGACAGAAGCTGGGTGGAGGGTGTGATTGTGTTCAGAAGGTCCACCAGTGCACCAAGAGTCAAGATGAGACCAAGTCAGCAAAAAGAGGACCCCAAACATTTATCATACAAGAGAACAAAATTTCATCAAGTACAATCCCAGTAAGAGAAGCCAGGGAAACTCTCAGTGACCAGGTAGTAAAGGGAAATTCTCCAAAGGGAAGAGATGACCCCAACGACAGCCACGACCCTGTTTCCAACCTCACTAAGGACATTTAAGCCTGCTTGTTCTCCACAGAAGTCACATGCTCCTATATTAAATTCTACGATTTTAAAGTTTTAATATTTATATTTAGATCTTTAAGACTCTGTGAATTGTGTATGTGTGTATATCTGTATGAAATGTAGTCAGGATCTGATTTTACCATTTCCCATGTGGATAACTTGTTCCAGCATTCCTTCTTATCTCAGAGAAAAAGGGGTCCTTCTTAACACTAACTCTTCCACCTGTTCTTTCAGTTTCTCCATCTTTCCACCTTTCAAAATCCTACTCCATTACTTAACCTATTTCATTTCTCATCTTAATTTCTTTTTTTCTACCATTTTCATATTTTCTGTTTACAAATGGGCTTATGTTCCCTCTATTTCCTTCAACCCACATTTATACATCAGTTAAGGCCACTATTTTTAATTTCTATCAAGTTCTTTGAAATGATAACAAATGTTTGGTGTGCATGCTCTTAACCTTCTCCCAATCATACTCAGACTGCAGTATTTACCTATAACCTAGTTACTAAGTCAGTTAACCTGTTTTTGTCCCTCATCAAATGTATTATTTTTGCTGCATCTAATATGGCCTGTTTACTTCTTGATAGTGTTCTCACTTTTAGTTCTGTGACATTATTTTTCTTTGGTTTTCTTTCCATCTACCTGGTCACTGTTTCTGTGGCATTTTTCCTTGTTGTTCCTTTCTCTCAGTATAATGAATCTGTCCATAGGGAAAAATAGAAATAATCTTTGAAACATTAAAGTTCTGTTGATAATATAAATTTTATTGATGATTGGAAATATAGCCTATCTCTAATATAGTTATTTGATCCCTCCAAGTTATAAATAAATTATATAATCAAATTAATATCATAAAAATTTATTTGGTTTTCTATTGCAGATGTTTTCTTTCTCCTTTTATTTCCTCTATGATTGAGAAAATCATACTTAACATTGTCAAAAAATGAACACATGCTAGTTAAAATACATTTGGGATGGAAGTTAAATATGTGTTATTTATCAGCATCAAGCCAGCATTAGAATTAAAAAAAAAAAAAAAACTGCAGTGAGGTTCTTTTTATTAAAATGTAACCAAAATAACTCCTTTGAAATAGTTATCTTTAAGATTGTCACTGGTTATTTTTTATGGTTTAACACTCTCAAATAAATGTTCATCTTGCAAAAATCTGCATGTAATACATACTGATGCATAAAGAAAATGCATCAACTAAGCAGATTGTTCTGTGATGACTTGGATTATCAAACATTTGCAAGTTAAATTCAATATTACTGTATAAATTTGAAGAATTAACTAAAATTAACATAATTTATTTATTCTGTTAGTGAATAACCAAAATTTTAAAGTTCCTCAAGCTATTTTAAATGCTTATTAGGATAATTATAATTATTCATTTCTATTTAAAAATTAAATGATGTTAGCCCTACAGTGTTTGGTGAATATAAAAATATATATCATTGAATTATAAATCATTTTGTCTCCAGCTGCCAACTTGAAATGCCAGGCATTTCACTTATCTTCATATTTCATATAATGTTGAACTATTTATGGTCCCTGTGCTGCCATATGTAAAAGAGCAATATTCATTAACTCTTCATGCTTCATGAAGCAAAAAGGGTTATTTCATTTGTGAGCTTCTTTCGTAATAAAGACTCGTCAAATTTTCTACGTTATTTATCTTTGCCACCTTACGTGATTGTAGGCATCCAGAATTTTCCCACTGAGAGTGTTTATTAATTTGTTTTCTTCATAGTAATAAACCATAAGCCCAGTGAGGGTAGGCAACAGGTTAATCTTATAGTCATTATATTCTCAGTGTTTAACAAATTGCCTGATTGAGATGAATAAGTGCATTTATTTTCAAGCATTTTGTTTTTATTTTTGATATAGTTATTCACTAAAACGATCCACTCACATCACTTATTCATGCCTGATGTTGTCAAAACAATATTAAAATATATCGCTTCATGTCAGAGACCTTCAGTATTATATCTGAAGACACAGGTTAATACATGTGGATCACTTTCAGTGTAAAACATTGTCCTATTAATACTACTTGAATATCAAAGAGTACAAATCAAATAGGTATTCAGAAAAGAGGGTCTTTTATGGGGAATCAGACTCCTGGAAGTGACAGTTGAGTAAAGCTTACAAAAAGAAATATTTGCAACAAATAAGAGGAAACTTTCCTTTCCACATAAATGGAGCAAGACATTGAGGGCTTGAGAAAGGAAAGATCATAAACTATTGGAGGGTATAGGAGGCTCCAGAGCTTATTAAAAAAGAAAAGAGTATGTTTGGAAATTTTGTGTTATTTTATCTAGATATAAAGGATTCTGAAAGGCAGTGAAAGTACTTTTTACTCCAGAGAGTTAAAAAAAATATGGGTCTAATGAATGACTGTGAAGAAAAGATTGCACCCAGTGATGTGTTGAGGGAGGTTGAAGGTAGATTGAAAAGTAGATAAACTGAAGTGGAGTGTAGAATTGAGTCAGTGAAGATCTGGGTTAAGGTTGGGACAACAGCTGTGAAAGGAAGAAAAAAGAGGATGGGGTGATTGATTTGAGACAGTTACATTAAAAAAAAAAAAAAAGTGGCCAAACTGAAACAAAGGTGTCAAGTCTGGATAAATAAATGAGCAAAGGTGTTATACCAAGATTGAAGAATTGAGAGATGTGGGTAAGTTTCTGATGTATGAAATTTGAGATGATAGCCAGCCAGATACTTATATGAAAATATCTAAAAGGATAAAGAAACAACTTAAACTATGTTATGCAAAATAATTTCCATGTCCCACTTACCATATCAAATGCATATACATGTTCACACAGTTTTCGCCTCTTTAATTGCCTACTTTTTCCAGGAAATTTTCTTTACTTATTCTCATTTTTACAAAATATTTTATAATGCCTTTGTATCAAGAAGAGTAAGATATTACACAATCACTTTAAACATAAAATTACCTATTTGAAAAAGATATAAAGTTTCCTTTCCTTTAAAATGGGGATAACACTTGCCCTACCCAGCTCACAGGGTTGTTGAAAGGATCAGAAGAAATGATGGGTATGAAAGCACTTTGAAAACGAAAATCCTTTACAAATGCAAGCTATCATCATTATGATTATACTGTCTCCTCCATATGAACCTGAAGCAATTTCAATTTCCATTTATCACGTTACTCCCCTAATTCCTGTAGAGCATGTCCCACAAGATTTTTATCATGTGACTCTATTTTAATCAACGACAAATGCATTTTCATGAAAGCATAATATTATTTCTATTATAGATATTCTTTGAACTCTGGATAAAGAATAATACACATTTCAAGGACCATTATACTTCTGAGAGTTTTTTCCTATCTCTTTCATTTCATAGCTTCCTTTCTCCCATATTACATGGGTGCAATGAAATTTTCATTGAGTGAAGTACCTTATAAAAACTTGACTGTATGTCCCATCCTCCTTTCCCCTGATTTTATCTTTTTCTTACTCTGTGAATTCAAATTCTCTGATAAGCACCATCCTTCGCTCTGTGGATTGACACCAGTCCGTCCTAGGTACCAAATTAAACACTGAAGATGTTTTAAGGAGATGATAGCAATATCATGCTCATTATGTAGTGGAGCTTAAAATTAGAGCTTGGTACCAACCACATCCAAAAGTTGACATGTTAAAGAGAGTTCTAGTTATTTTTAAGGCTACCTATGCCTCTACTCCATTCCTTCTCCAATTAATACTACCCCAATTCTTGCAACATTTGTTTTGTGCCCTGGGCATAATAATGGCAATAAGATAAAGAGAACCTATTGGTACACATAGGTTGTACGAGGACCTAAATATTCTTCCACCCCCACAAAGTCCAGGAAAGTAAAGCAAAAGTTAATCCTTTAGTCAGCTTTTCTAGATGTGCAGTATATTTTCAAGCATTTTGCGTGTATATGAGTAATCAGATGATCCATTTACATATCTTAAAATTGTTATTTTGGAAAAAATAGCAAATCTGTTACAAACTAAACTACTTTTACATTCCAAACTTGTTAAAGAAAAAAAATGCTGATTATAATATTAAATGGAGGAAGTTAAATTCAATCAATTTCTAAGAGCTATATAAATTAGTTTTAGAGCAACCCAAATTTCAGTTATATAACATTATTTTTCAAAAGAAGTTCTTAAAAACCATCTAATTATATAAGACAAAAGATTAGAATAGAAATGAACCTTAAATATGATACTTACTTCATCTAATGTGTGAGGGATAGTTTTAGAACAAAAGGGACAAGGATGAGTACACCTTATCCATCTACTCTCAGTGGTTAGTTCTGAAGGGCTTCTTCCTAGCTTCCTGTCTTGGGTGTAAAAGCCACATTGCTGTAGACCATTGAACAATGTCTGTCTTCATTCTGTTACTCCTTTCCTGGAATCTTCCACATGCCTTCTCCTCAAGATTGACTCTCTTTGTCTCAGAACTTGATTGAACAGTTCATAGGTTTACGAATTACCTTTGCCACTGTATGGCTTTCCTAGCTGCACCTGACAGGGCTAGCTAGCCTTTGATGTTATGCACAATTCAGGCATCTCACAGACCACACTTAGTAAACTGATCTGTGGCTGGCCCTTAACTTGGCCATTCACCTTCATCATCTAAGATAGTTGCCAAGGTTCACCATGCTTCATCTCCAGGATGGCATGGTAAGGAACTGATTTTAGGACCAAGTAGCCACTCCCTCCTTTCTGTATCATTCTACTGCCTGTCAAGGTGGCTTTATTATATTTCACCCTGACAACTTTCACTCTGTCTCTCTCCTCTCTTGGCATTTATGCAAAGCAGTGTAAGCATTCACTTGGGAAAGAGAGGCATCTTGGCAAAGCTGGGTCTTTTCTGATACTTGAATTAGATCACCAGGTCACTGCAGAGTTATAGAGGAAATAGACTACATTTAAGAATTTTCTATAATTGCCAGAAGTCCAAACCTGTAATTACTATTGCCACTCTGGGAGCTTCAAGTGAAGCCTCTGTAGTTAGCCTTTGCCCTTATCCATCCTGACTTTCCTACCATATTTTGCTACTTTCTCCTTTGTTAGAATTTATATTAGAAATAGATATTTTAAAATTCAGCTCAAAGTTTTTAGACTAGTACAAAGAATATTGTTTAATTTACTTGTTACATAACATGTATCAACAAGCAGAGGGGAAATTTAATTGGTGGTAATATAATTGTTAATTTTAACAAAAATTGGGAACGTTTGACTTTGAAATTTTCAGTTTTTGAGCTCATAATAGAAGACCCATGACCACTTTGTAACTTATCATTTCAATATAGTTCCATTGGGTAGTAGTACCTTTATTCTGTTTTGAAGATAAGGACACTGAAGGGCATTACAGATGAGGATACTGGAGGTTCAAGAGTTCACAGATTTTCCTGGTTCAGCAACTGAGAGCTTTCAGACCCAAGTGCTATATATTGGTTACCACACTGGCCTGCCTCTTCCTCACTTAAATTCATCCATTGACTACATATCATCTTCAGGATAAACTACCAAGGAATGTTGCAAGGCCTTTCATAATATCACTCTTTCCTACCTCCTCTGTCCTGTTCTTGCTAGTTCACTTCCTATACTTCAGCATTCTAAACCTCACGGAGAGCCCTTCCTCTGAAAATGTTGCCTGTCCTTTTCACCTCAATAACTGACACCTATTTGTTGGGCCCAATCCTCTGGGGAAGCCAGTGTCATCAGAGTTGGCTTCAGATGGTGTCTTGTGAAATCTCTTTTAGCCGTTAGTGCTGTTAAATTATTGGTTCCCTTAGATAAGGCTTGTGAGGGTAGAGAGTGTCTCCTTCACTTTTGTTTCCTCTTTTCCATTGTCTATAAAATAAATATAATAATAGCTACCTTGTAGATTTATTGGAAGGATTAGAGGTAATGTATGTAAGTAACGTAACTAGCAGTGCCAGGGACATGGTAATAAAACCAACAATAACTCATATTTATTAAAATCATTTTCTGTGTGCCAGGTACTATATGGTAGGCACTTAACATGTATTATCTGTAATCCGTATGTAATGATTACTGAATGGCCTGAACTCACCGCCAAAAAGCACTTTTACTTTTTTTCTTCAAGCATGTTATCAAATCTTCTCATCTTGTGGTTTGATTCAACTTAGGCAGAGACCATAGCTTTTCTGATTTTGTCATAAACACAATGTAATTTCAATAATTAAAACTTATTTTTATTTATTAAAATTTCCAGGCTGTACTTAATTCAGGTAAACTTCAAAATCACTCCTCTCCCCTTAATTCAGTCCTGACTCCTGCCTCCAGCTCTGCATTGCAGAGTTTGTTGACTGTATTTTTTAAGTATCTCTCAGTAATCAGTGCCTCTGTCAATGGCAGGGATTGACTGCCATGTAGAATATATGTGTAAACTATTCAGAGAACCACTCTCTCCCCTACACCACACTATTTGGGATCCCATCTTTCTGACAAAGGACATATTCGCTTTAGCTACCACTCAGCTCCAGCTCTCAGCAGCAATTCCAGAATCTCCTTCTGCAGTTCCCTTACTTATTTGGGAAGGTGGTTCTTTTCTTTCTTTCTTTCTTTTTTTTTTTTTTTGATTGTAAGATAGCTACATTTTATTTTTAAAATTTATTATTATACTTCAAGTTTTAGGGTACATGTGCACAATGTGCAGGTTAGTTACATATGTATACATGTGCCATGCTGGTGCACTGCACCCACTAACTCGTCATCTAGCATTAGGTATATCTCCCAATGCTATCCCTCCCCCTACACCACGCCACACCAGTCCCCAGAGTGTGATGTTCCCCTTCCTGTGTCCATGTGATCTCATTGTTCAATTCCCACCTATGAGTGAGAATATGTGGTGTTTGGTTTTTTGTTCTTGCGATAGTTTACTGAGAATGATGATTTCCAATTTCATCCATGTCCCTACAAAGGACATGAACTCATCCTTTTTTATGGCTGCATAGTATTCCATGCTGTATATGTGCCACATTTTCTTAATCCAGTCTATCATTGTTGGACATTTGGGTTGGTTCCAAGTCTTTGCTATTGTGATTAGTGCCGCAATAAACATATGTGTGCATGTGTCTTTATAGCAGCATGATTTATAGTCCTTTGGGTATATACGCAGTAATGGGATGGCTGGGTCAAATGGTATTTGTAGTTCTAGATCCCTGAGGAATCGCCACACTGACTTCCACAATGGTTGAACAGTTTATAGTCCCACCAACAGTGTAAAAGTGTTTCTATTTCTCCACATCCTCTCCAGCACCTGTTGTTTCCTGACTTTTTAATGACTGCCATTTAATTGGTGTGAGATGATATCTCATTGTAGTTTTGATTTGCATTTCTCTGATGGCCAGTGATGGTGAGCATTTTTTCATGTGTTTTTTGGCTGCATAAATGTCTTCTTTTGAGAAGTGTCTGTTCATGTCCTTCGCCCACTTTTTGATGGGGTTGTTTGTTTTTTTTCTTGTAAATTTGTTTGAGTTCATTGTAGATTCTGGATATTAGCCCTTTGTCAGATGAGTAGGTTGTGAAGATTTTCTCCCATTTTGTGGGTTGCCTGTTCACTCTGATGGTAGTTTCTTTTGCTGTGCAGAAGCTCTTTAGTTTAATTAGATCCCATTTGTCAATTTTGGCTTTTGTTGCCATTGCTTTTGGTGTTTTAGACATGAAGTCCTTGCTCATGCCTATGTCCTGAATGGTGTTGCCTAGGTTTTCTTCTAGGGTTTTTATGGTTTTAGGTCTAACATGTAAGTCTTTAATCCATCTTGAATTGATTTTTGTATAAGATGTAATGAAGGGATCCAGTTTCAGCTTTCTATATGTGGCTAGCCAGTTTTCCCAGCACCATTTATTAAATAGGGAATCCTTTCCCCATTGCTTGTTTTTCTCAGGTTTGTCAAAGATCAGATAGTTGTAGATATACGGCGTTATTTCTGAGGGCTCTGTTCTGTTCCATTGATCTATATCTCTGTTTTGGTATCAGTACCATGCTGTTTTGGTTACTGTAGCCTTGTAGTATAGTTTGAAGTCAGGTAGCATGATGCTTCCAGCTGTGTTCTTTTGGCTTAGGATTGACTTGGCAATGCGGGCTCTTTTTTGGTTCCACATGAACTTTAAAGTAGTTTTTTCCAATTCTGTGAAGAAAGTCATTGGTAGCTTGATGGATATGGCATTAAATCTATAAATTACCTTGGGCAGTATGGCCACTTTCATGATATTGATTCTTCCTACCCATGAGCATGGAATGTTCTTCCATTTGTTTGTATCCTCTTTTATTTCCTTGAGCAGTGGTTTGTAGTTCTCCTTGAAGAGGTCCTTCACATCCCTTGTAAGTTGGATTCCTAGGTATTTTATTCTCTTTGAAGCAATTGTGAATGGGAGTTCACTCACGATTTGGCTCTCTGTTTGTGTGTTACTGGTGTATAAGAATGCTTGTGATTTTTGTACATTGATTTTGTATCCTGAGACTTTGCTGAAGTTGCTTATCAGCTTAAGGAGATTTTGGGCTGAGACAATGGGGTTTTCTAGATATACAATCATGTCGTCTGCAAACAGGGACAATTTGACTTCCTCTTTTCCTAATTGAATACCCTTTATTTCCTTCTCCTGCCTAATTGCCCTGGCCAGAACTTCCAACAGTATGTTGAATAGGAGTGGTGAGAGAGGGCATCCCTGTCTTGTGCCAGTTTTCAAAGGGAATGCTTCCAGTTTTTGCCCATTCAGTATGATATTGGCTGTGGGTTTGTCATAGATAGCTCTTATTATTTTGAGATACGTCCCATCAATACCTCATTTATTGACAGTTTTTTGCATGAAGGGCTGTTGAATTTTGTCAAAGGCCTTTTCTGCATCAATTGAGATAATCATGGTTTTTGTCTTTGGTTCTGTTTATATGCTGGATTACATTTATTGATTTGCATATATTGAACCAGCCTTGCATCCCTGGGATGAAGCCCACTTGATCATGGTGGATAAGCTTTTTGATGTGCTGCTGGATTCAGTTTGCCAGTATTTTATTGAGGATTTTTGCATCAATGTTCATCAAGGATATTGGTCCAAAATTCTCTTTTTTGGTTGTGTCTCTGCCTGACTTTGGTATCAGGATGATGCTGGCCTCATAAAATGAGTTAGGGAGGATTCCCTCTTTTTCTATTGATTGGAATAGTTTCAGAAGGAATGGTACCAATTCCTCCTTGTACCTCTGGTGGAATTCGGCTGTGAATCCATCTGGTCCTGGACTCTTTTTTGTTGGTAAGGTATTGATTATTGCCACAATTTCAGAGCCTGTTATTGGTCTATTCAGAGATTCAACTTCTTCCTGGTTTAGTCTTGGGAGACTGTATGTGTCGAGGAATTTATCCATTTCTTCTAGATTTTCTAGTTTATTTGTGTAGAGGTGTTTGTAGTAATCTCTGATGGTAGTTTCTATTTCTGTGGGATCAGTGGTGATATCCCCTTTATCATTTTTTACTGGAAGGTGGTTCTTTTCACTGGGATCTCATAAAGCTAGCAAATTACTTTCTGTGGGATGACTGAGCCCATGGAAACGCAGGCATTCTTGTCATGTCTAATAATGGGATGTAGTTCCTCCCAGTCCACTGTCTCCTCTCCTTGTTTTCTGCTGTTATAGACTGCATCAGCCAACATTATGCATTCTGAATTCTCCAGGAGGGACTGAAGCAGTCATCTCAATGTTCACACGTTCCTCCAAACTTTAGGGGCCACATGTCAGTTTGTTTCAGAATCTTCTCATCCCAGGGTTATGTGGAGATTTGGCTGCACATCTCTGCAGCTCAGCAAGCCTGAGGTGAGAATTGAGACACTGCTTTCTTTGCCTTGCAAAATGCACCACTCACTTAACATATGGGAGCACTTGTGAAAAGAAGACAAGTCAGAAGCCCTTCTCTTCCCTTGGATAACATCTCATTGCGTGGACGACTCTTTCTCTCTCAAAATACTCCATAATTCTGCATTTGAGAGGCCAGAGGTGGTAGGTTGGTAGCCGGTTTGGCTGCTTATTAGGAAGCCCTAGGAAAGGTGCCTAGTGAGTGCTCTTTAGAATCCCTTCTGTTAACTATTCTCAATATTTAGGGTTTAGCTGAAATGTTTGAAACAAAGAAAAGTCCTATTTCACATCTTGTACTTTTAAAGCACTCATTTACATCTAAAGAAATGTGACTGTAGAAGTTAGGTTATATTCCCTAAGGCCACAAAATTTACTTATTAAAAGTCAAAATCTGATTTGTCTGTAGGTTATTCTCACCCCAAACCTCCTTTTCAGTTCATTGTACTATTTACCTCCAAATATGATTGTTCAATTATAAGTGGTTACTGTAGGGCATGTGTAAGTTGAGATAAACAGCAACAGAACTCTTCAGTATTTATTTAGATACAGCATAAAATTGGGTTTTGATATTGTAGGCATATTAAGGCTAGCCAGCTTAATTGGCTCCTGCATTTGTGCTAACAACTATTAGTCTTTACCCCCCAGTAAGTGAAGAAAATACTTGATATAGCTAAAGTAGTACCTAGCTCATTCTGAGACTTCAGTAAATATTGGTTAAATGAGAGACTGCAGGAATTCAAAGTGAGCTGATGCTGCCACTCCCAACAAACAGTGACTTCTGCTGAGTTTTTTCTGATACTTTTACTGTGAAGGTCTCACTTTTGTTCATGCATCTGTCATCAACCCTTATATTCAAGGAAATGTCTCCAGAATTTTTATTGGATGACTGCATTTTCCTTACATGCAAGTAAAAGAAATACCAGGCTTTGAAAGCGGGCTGATTGAGTGAGAGTTGAACATTTAATCAGCAAGAACGCACTTAAAAGTGCCAAGTTGTAGCAAAATCTAGGGAATTTTAACTTTACATATGAAATCCTTTTCTGCTCCACTATAGCCTCAACTTTCTTTCAGTTTTTAAATTTAGAACATTCTGGTAAATGGCCACTGCAGAAGAGTTTAATATGGTACAATAATAATTCTTATTTTTCTCTTACTGCTCAAAGGAAAAAAAATCTGGATAAATCCCAGGGACCTTTAAGGAGTTTTAGAAACTGTCCTCTTCATTAGGTTAATCCACTAAAGATCAATTAGTTAAAATGCTATTTGAAATATTTAGTTCTTTTCTTAGAGATAAAGTATTCATTTGTAAATTGAATCTATTGAAGATATTTCCATATAAAATAAAGAGTGAAAAACAAAAAAAAAAATTGAATCACAGCTGCTTTATGTGGACTGATAGATACCTTAGTGCATTTGCAGCACAAATCCAACATTTAAAATATTTAAAAATACATCTCTGTATGTGGAATTTTAGAAAGTATTAAGCTATAGTGAGAGAAAGCTGATCAGCCTGAAGGAGTTGGGGAGGGGCTTGACTGTAAAGAGACATCAGGAAACATTTTCAGGAGTTAGAAATGCTGTCTATCTCGACTGTGATAGTGGTTACAGGAATATTTCCTAGTTGCCCAAATTTACCCAATGGTATACTTACACAATGGGTGAATCTTTTGTATGTACATTAAAGCTGGCGGGTGGGGAGAAGAGGAAAAAAAATCTTATTGAATTTGGGCTATTTTACTTGTAATATCTTTTATCCTGATAAAACAGATAGTACTGTGGTAGACAAAGTGTTTTATCATCTACATAGAATAATAAAATCTCAAATTTCAAATGTTATTCATTCACTGTTAGTCAATTGGCATTAAAGTGTTGCTTTCTGTGTTTCAGGAACAGTGCAATTTGTGAGGTACAGAAAGCCAAATAAAACAGTCTTTGCCTAAAGGAAGTGTAATTCATTATCCATTGCTATGTAACAAATTACCGCAAAGTTTAATGGCTTAAAACACCACACATTTCTCATCTCAGTTATCATCTGTGAGTCAGGTGTCCAGGTGTTGCTTAGTTGGTATCTCTGTCTCTACTTTGGGGTATCTCACAAGACTGCAATCAAGAAGTCACTCAGGCCTGGGATCTCATCTGAAAGCTAGACTGGTAAAGGATCCGCTCCCACGCTCACTTACATAGTCGTTGGCAGAATTCAGTACTTCAAGTGCTGTTGGACTGAGGGCCTCAGTTTCTTACTGGCTGTTGACCAGAAGCTGCCCTCAGTTCCTTGACAGGTGACCCTCTCCATGTGACTCCTTCATCAAAGAGTGCAGGCTGAAAAGGCAATAGATGGTCAGTTAGGAAAGGGAAGTCACAATTTTTTATAACCCAGTCACAGAAGTACATCCCTTCAATGACGCTATGTACTGTTGCTTAGAAGGAAGCTACCCAAGAAAAGGGAATTAACAAGGACATCAATATCAGGAGGAGGAGACCACTGGCGGTCATTCTAAAGGCTACTTACCACTAGAAGCCTAGTTGATTCAACTTACTATCCAGGATTAATACATCAAGAAGTCATCCAGCAAGTGCTTTAATCTTTTCTGCTACACAGAATAGTGTATAAGAGTGGTGGCTTTATAATCAGACTTCTCTTGCTTAAGTTGTCGCTAACCCTTATTAGCCATATATCTGGGAATTTATTAAACCTTCTAAGCATCAGTTTCTCACCATAAAATGGTGTATACCTCATAAAGTGTGAAAATTAAACACAATAATGAATATATAGTTCTGAGTATGGCACCTGGCAAATAGTAAGCATGCAAATAATGATAATTATTTTTTATTATATATCTACTTACTTTATTCCTCACTTGAAATCCAGCTCTCTGAATTTTCCTGTTGTTGAAATTAGTTTACCAACTTGGAACTTATTAATCACCATATCCACTTTAAAATCCTCACCCTGCCTTTAATTTACATCTGAAGACAGTGTATTTGTTGCCTTCATTTTCTCCCTACTTGTGCACACTCCAGTCTTCCACTGTTTCTACAGATGTTCCTTATGTAACATGATTTCAAGTGTCGTTCACTTCCTTCTGACCACATTTGTTGCATTATAACATAATGAATCTGTAAGTCATCACATACAACTAAATAAATTCCAGGTGTAGCTTGTTCCATGCAAAAGGAATCAAGATTATTACTAGTGATGTAAATAACCTATATGTATTGAACAATTTTAAGTAGTTTTTAACTAGTACAATGATATTCATGAATCTTTTTCTTGAAAATGATAGTAGTTTACAAATGATCTAAGGAGCAGCAAATATTATTAAACACTTTGCGTACTTCCATCCAGATTTATCAAAATTGTTATGAAGCTGAAAGCATAGTGCAAGAATACAGTTTGGTGCCTCATGGTTCTTTTTATGTACTTTGTTTAATATAAGGTGATTTAGCAATAATATGATTAGGATGCTTACTGTAAAAACTCCTTATCTCTATTATTGCTTAGGCACATAGTTTTTTTATAGTTGTAAGACATGAAATATTTATCTATATGCTATAATGAACTATTTACTGGATATACCATATATATGATGCTTATTCACTGGTGATAAACCCATGATTGTTTTTAAATATAGATTTTCATGATTAGATTAATAATGGAATTCACACTCTTTGATAGTTCACCATTATATGCAAAGGTTTTTTACAAAAATGATAGAAGTTCCAAATATTTTTTCCCAAGTTCACAATTCTTACAAGCTCACATAAAAATAGGAAGTGTGGTTTTTCTCAGGGGTGGCATTTTCTCATTATTCTCCTTAGAAAACATAATAAAGTGAAGTTCATTTACTCATTTATTTTTGGCTTTAATATTAAACACAAAATATATTTTTATTGGAAAGGTCAACATTGTTTATTTCTGCTTGTTAAAGTATACATGTTCCTGGTAAAACATTTAGGAACAACAAAAACACAAAGAAGAAAATAAATATTACCATAACTCATAGACAATTGCTGACCCATTTAATGCATATTTTAGACAATTATCATAAGATCACTTTTTTTCTGTTGGAATATTAGTATTTTATTAAATGATTTTTTAAAAGTCCTTGTATACATATATACATACATGTAGTGAAGATTTAGGCTTAAAGCATTTTTTATTTCTGTCTTTGTTGTCACTGTTAGGATGCTTTATTTCTGTTGCAACCACATTGTGTCCTCTTATTATTCCATTTCTAATAAAAAATATAGAATAACAATATTAAAACATAAATTTTTCCTTGTATGTTGTTTGTGAATTTTTGAGTGAAGTTGTTTTCAATAACTCAGAATTTTGAGTTGAAAATACGTGAGGATTTCTGTGATCAAATATTTGTTATCTTTTTGTAAAGAGTGCTGATTTGATTAGTTCTAAAAATCATCAGTGTAATCTGTAAATGATGTAATCCGCCATCAGCACTTGCACTTTTCTTCAGATTATTATAGAAATTCAAATCAATAACATTTTGTTGTTTTCTATTAAATAACATTTGGCACATTACGTATGTTCATATGGTTACCAATATTCCTTAAAAATAGCAAGGTTTTAACATGTTCATGATATCCTTAGGTAGAGTCTAATAACAGAGAACATTTGTGTGAGGATAACTATTTTAAAATATACTCTCTTTTTTGAAATAGATTGTGAAATAATCTTTGGTAAAATCTCTATCTTTGTTAAAAATTCCCAGAATGAGAAATGTGAATGTAAAATACTTAGAAAACTTCCTTTCCTAGGGATGTAAATTTCACTATTATAATCTTTATTTATAAGTCACTCGTTAAAATGGTCTTGCTTCTAGGATAAGAATGCAGTTCTTCATAGAATAATATCTAATTTGAAGTTTTGCTAATAGTTTTGGAAGTGAATGTATTTTTTTAAAGTTTTAAATACATTCATTTTAGCATATTGCTTTGACTATATGGACTAATTTATCAATTAAAATATTTCTATTTTCATTTGATAGTAATTTTTTTCAAAAACTTATATTGTTTATAAACTCAGCAAGTCTTCAGAAACATGTTTGAGTTTGTTGTATGCATCCAGATTAGGTCCTAGATCAGGATGCTTTTGAATTAACTTGAAATAAGAATAATATCTATGGTCTATTTTTATTTGAAAGTTTTACCTTCCCATGATGGGCTCATTTTGTTAAGGATTTCTTTAAAAATTTGTGGCATATATTTGAAATGAAGCTGCCTAAAAGATAATTTATATAGTTCTTAAAAGATCATCAAATCTCAGGTCTGCATTTAATATTTCAACCAGTAATGTTATTGTGCTTTAAAAACTCTGGTAAGATAAAAGTAGACTTTTACAAAATGAAATTGTTTCATTTATTCACTCATTCATTCATTCAATAAACATTAAAGAACCCTTGTTCATGTTCCAGACACTGGGTATATAATCACCTGTGGACTAGAAGGAAAAATGACAGACACAGAAACCATTTTAAAGAAGATAATACATTATTGTTAATTATAGTTAATTAAAGAAAATTAATGAAAATTCCTTTGATATAAATACTTAGGTCTTACCTATATTAGTAATGTCCACCTATTTTTAATTAATAGAGATTAGCAACTCTGAAATTTATAAATTGTTAAAGTTTTTCAGTAAGCTTTTAAGGTTGTGTGAGATATAGTTTTAGAAAATATTTGAAAAAAAAAGTCACATTAAAATGATCAGGATTGTCTTTTGTTTCTGTTTTATAATCAAGGGCCTAACATCTAATATGTAAATATTCTTCTAGTAAGCAATTAATGTGGTTATTATAATCTTATTATTCATAGAATATCCCCCCCGCCCCATAAATATCAACTTCCTAATCCCCAGAACTTGTCTAAGTTACATGGCAATAGGGACTTAGCTAATGTGGTCAACGATCTTGAGAAGGGAAGACAATCTTGGATTACCCAGTTGGGCCCAATGTAATTATACAGTCCTAGTAAGAGGCAAGCCAGAGGATCAAAGACAGAAGGAAATGGACAACAGTGGCAGAGGCCGGGGTGATGTGCCTTGAAAATAGAGGGAGGGCTCCAGCCAAGGGCACCTTCTGGGATCTGGAAAAGGCCAGGAAACAAAAATTTCTCCCAGAAGGAGTGTACCACTACCTATACCTTAATTTTAGTCCTGTAAGACTCCTTTCAGACTTCTGACCTCCAGAACTGTAGAAAATAATTTTGTGGTATTTTAAGTAATTTAAATGTATGATAATTAGTTACAGAAACAATAGGAAATTAATACAAACCTACACAATTATAACATTGTAAAATGGCCTCTGTTGTGACAATTTAACAAAATGCCAGGTTTTTTCCCCAGAAAAATCCCTGCAGAGATGATTAGCTATTAGAGCAGAGTGTGAAACCTTTTAACAAAGGTAGGCTAGCTGGTAACTGCCCATTATTACCAACTAAGTCTTTGAAGGTAGCAAAGCAATACAAAAGCAGGTACTCGTGTAACCTAGGCCAGAACCACCACATTTATTGATTTTTCATAGCTTCCTTTTAACTGAATCCCCAGATACCACTAGAATTTTATGAAATGACTTAAGAATAAGACATTTGAACATGAAAATTTAGGTGTTTCTTCAACTGTCACACATTCAAAGAGCCCCTCCTGGTAATCTGTGTGATCATGTTCTTGCATCAGTCGCAGACAAGCAAAAAGCTGAACTCAGTACTGCACCTCCTGTTTTCTGGGAGTATTTAATTTTAAGAGAGACCCATACTTCCTTTTATAAGGTGAAGGGAAAAGCTGTAATAGCTTCTTTGCCATTAGTTTTGAAACTCTAGAGTTCATTAAAACTCCCTTTGGCTTTCTTCACTGCCATCTTTCTTTCTTCTTATGAATTATTCAAGACAAATTTCACTTGAGGTAAATAGTTTGATTTGAAGGTTTTTGTATCTGGATTTAGATGCAACAAGAAGTGTTAAATGCTCAGAATTTTAAGTGTAGAGAATGGCACAGACTCAGCTATTAAGATGGAAGACATTTGCTGTTAATGTTCCAGGGCTGCTGTTGCGACTTCAGCTTGGTACTATTATTCATTCTGAAGTAGGCAGGCATTATGATGCCTGCAGTATAAATCAGATTTTACAGAGAGCTTGATCCGCAAGCACTTTGAACATTCCATCCACTTCTCAGTTAACAGAACATTTTTTGGTTTTACAAGGTAAAGTTTCTTTTTTTTTTATCCTTGCCAATACATTATTAATCTCTTTTTTTCATATATTGTATACCAAACCACAAAACAGTTTTAGACTATACATGTCTCTTGAATAAAGCGAAATTGTAAGTTTTGAAAGTTTCTTCTTTCAATAAATATTGTGAAAGATAAGAGGACCTAGAAAATATTTCATTTTTATAAAACTCAACGTAAGACCCTTTCTTCTTTCACAGTAGTAATATCTTTTCTAGATATTGTGTCATAATTTTAATCTTTTAAACACTTAGCTCATGGAGTCACACACCTGGAAAAATGATACATGGAACATATGTCTGAAAACTACCTTATTTTGGAACTTAAGAATTGGTTCAATGAATGTACCACATTTAAAAACCAATCCAGGCCAGTGCAGTGGCTCCCACCTGTAATCCCATCACTTTGGAAGGCCAAAGCGGGTCGATCACCTGAGGTCAGGAGTTTGAGACCAGCTTGACCAATATGGTGAAACCCCATCTCTACTAAAAATACAAAAATTAGCCAGGTGTGTTGGCATGCGCCCGTAGTCCCAGCTACTCGGGAGGCTGAGACAGGAGAATTGCTTGAATCCAGGAGGCAGAGGTGGCAGTGAGCCAAGATCTCACCACTGCACTTCAGCCTGGGCAATAGAGTGAGACTCTGTCTCAAAAAAAAAAAAAAAAAAAGAACTATGCAAAGAAATCTTATTATAGTTTTGTCTGCTACTAAAATTCACTTTCCTAATGTCAGTTTCTATTAAAGTTGCCTAGATAAAATTATGTTTATGAAATTATGCCCAGGTAGTACTGCTTTCAGGCAAAGCATTTCATTCCCGTTTCCTGCTCTAACACAATATCACAAGCAGCAGGAGTTTCATTACTAAAGAATAATAAAAAACATTTATTAATTGCTATATGATAGAACATGTGCTAAGTACTTTACATGCATCACCTAAGTTAATGCTCACAATGAGTCTTAGAAATAGTTTCTGTTAGTGCCCCCATTTTATAGCTAGACAGTTACATGGAGAGCACAGTCTTGTAATCCCTCTGTAGGACATCAGAATCCATGTCCTTAAAGACTACCAATAAGTGCAAACTCAAAATGTACAGGAACATAGATTTATGAAGTTGCCTAGTATAATGCAATATGAAATGGTGGATACTGTAACAAATTGTCAACAATTTACATGCATTTATATTTAAACTACAAATCCAGCAACCAATAATTTATTTGTGGGCTATATTCAGGTTTCAGCCCTCTGGTTTTTAACTCACCACAAAGCCACACTGCTTTCAAAACCGTTCATTTACATGCATAATTATTCCTTTATTTATTTCAATCTTATTCAGATTTTATCAGGCAATGGAAACATGCAGAGAACAGAATTACATTGTAATTACATTGTAATCACAATGTCTTATAACCCTTTCCATGGTAAAGGATTACCCATTAGCCCAGTCATGTAGTTTACCTGTTGTTAGAAGGGAAGAAGGAATTCTCTTCTAAGTCTGAAGGAGACACAGGTTGAGAATCTTTTATCCAAAATGCTTGGGGGCCGGGTGTGGTGGCTCATGCCGTGGGTGGATCACTTGAGGCCAGGAGTTCCAGACCAGCCTGGCCAACATGGCGAAACCCTGTCTCTACTAAAAATAGAAAAATTTGCCAGGCATGGCGGCACATGCCTGTAACCACAGCTACTTAGGAGGCTGAGGCAGGAGAGTCACTCGAACCCAGAGGCAGAGGTTGCAGTGAGTCAAGATCGTGCCACTGCACTTCAGCATGGGTGACAGAGTGAGACTCTGTCTCAAAAAGAAAAAAAAAATGCTTGGGACCAGAAGTGTGTCATTTTTTGGATTTTGGAATATTTGTATATACACAATGAAATATGTTAGGGATGGAACCCAATTCTAAACATAAAATTTATTTATGTTTCGTATACACGTTATACACAGAGTCTGAGGGTAATCTTATACAGTGTTATTAATAATTATGTGTGACCTGTCACTTGAGGTCAGGTGTGGAATTTTCCAAGTGTGGTGTAATGTCAACACTCAAAAATTTTCGGATTTTGGAGCATTTGGAGTGCAGATTTTCAGACTTGGGATGCTCAGCCTGTGCTGGAATTGCAAGAATGTTCAGACTCAAAAGTCAAAGAAAAAGTTGAGTTCTGAAGAGGGCACATTAATTGAAGGGGCCAACAAAATGTATTAAAATTTAGCCTGTAGTGCTCAGTGTCTTATTGCCATGAATATGAGAGTGATGGTGGCTAAGGAAGGGAACTGGAGCCATATTTCTAAATCGGGCTTTATATTTTGTAGGTGATTGTGCCAGCCATAGTGTAAGGCAGACATGAGTCATTTTTCAAGGGACTTGGGATGAAGTGCATGTAAATTTTGGACATGAAAATTTAAGGGCGAAAGAGATGTTTAAATCCTCTAAGGAAAGCTATGGGAAAGCTGTGTAGGCACCATTAGTTTATTTGGATCATGAAGTCCAGGTAAGAGATTTTCATGTTCATGTGTCAAGTAACAAAGATAAGTAGGAAAAGTGTTGTCATGTGTTTTATTATTTAATAAGGAAATACATTTTGTTATGAATGAATACATTTTTTTCTTGGCGTGTTTAATTGGTATTCCTTCTCAAAATGTCCAATGACTCATCAACTTAGTTATGGCAGGCATCTTAATTTGTTAAGTTGCTTAAGTTTTCTGGTTGTTCATTTCCATGAAGCTGTGTGTGGGATTTATAAGCTTTTTCCCCCAATGGATATGCTAATAAAATACAAAGTTTGAAAATCACTGAGACTGATTAATCATATTCCTGTCAGCTCTAAAATTCAGCAGCTCAACAGTCAGTTATGTCAAGGGTGTCCATTATCTGATCATTCTTTCTACTGAAATGTGCTTTCTTTTCTTCTTCTTTTTTTTAATCTTTTCTTCTATTCTGTTACTTTCTATTAAAAAATGAACTTCATTGAATCTTAACTCAATGTTTCAGTGTGGGGAAGGTTTACTCACCATTATGGAACATTTGAAAATATGTAAGAGGCCAGGCGCGATGGCTCACACCTGTAATCCCAGCACTTTGGGAGGCCGAGGCGGGCGGATCACGAGGTCAGGAGATCGAGACCATCTTGGCTTAACACGGTGAAACCCCGTCTCTACTAAAAATACAAAAAATTAGCCGGGCGCGGTGGCGGGCGCCTGTAATCCCAGCTACTCGGGAGGCTGAGGCAGGAGAATGGCATGAACCCGGGAGGCGGAGCTTGCAGTGAGCCCAGATAGCGCCACTGCAGTCCAGCCTGGGCGAAAGAGCTAGACTCTGTCTCAAAAAAAAAAAAAAAAAAAAAAAAAAAAAAAGACCTTACTATTAGCATTTAGTAACCAGTTAGGGATATTGTTAAACATCATGCAGTACATCAGAGAATATTCTTATGTAAAAGATCAATAGCACTGTTTTTGAGACATATTGAAATGGGTTATGACTCTATAGCCTGACAGACATTGCAGTAAAACTTTTTTTTTTTTTCTGATAAGGACTTTAATTTCTGGATTTATTTGGTCATGCTCTCTGCCTCAAGCACCTTTCTAGTTACCCTGTCAAAAATCTTGTTTGCTCTTGAAGGCTTAGTTCAGATCTCATCTCCTTTGTGAAATCACTTGTAACCCTTTCACTTTACTATAAACTCAGAGGTCTCCCTACTTTTTGATGGCCCTTGTATAATCTCTTGAACACAAGCTTGAATAATCTCCAAATGCAATGGCAAATTGAGAAAAATGGTACTGGCTTTTCCATTCTGCTTTCCGTGTGAGTTGTGTAAAAGGGCCAAGACATATCACTTTTGTTTTGTTTTATTTAAATTATTGTTCCTACAGAGAAATAGATGATAAATACTGAAATAATAGTGAGTCATCCTTATACACAAAAACATCACCATAGCAAATATGCTACCTAAGATAAACATGCTGCATAGCTCAACCTAACTTTACTTATTTGTAGTTAATTCACTATAAGAACTCATTGAGAGTACAGCATGAAACTTGTTTTTTAATATCCTTTCTTGCTGATTGTGTCTCAAATCCATAACTTAGATTTTAATATATAGACTACCTGATGATAATAATGGTGTTCTAGAAATAAAGGCAGCTTTCGGAGCTTCTCTTAAAAAAATTAAAGACCGTCTACATGATCAACTACCTACCAGTTAACTGAAACAAGACTGGGTATCACTGGCCCACTGTCCTAGTTCAAACTCAATGAAGGAATCAACACTATTCTAGATCATATTCTTAACACTATGATCTTAGTGTTAAGAAATAGAAAATCCTTGACTCCTGCCATATGTCAGTAGTGAAAATAGACCCTTCCAAGACCATTTCCAATCCTTACCTCTAGAAATTACATGCTGTTTCTGATTTTCAGCACATCTCAAAGAGATTCATATTTCCCTTGAGTTACAGTTGTTGTAGTTTGTAAAAATGTTCCTATTTCTCCATATCCTCTCCAGCACCTGTTGTTTCCTGACTTTTTAATGATCGCCATTCTAACTGGTGTGAGATGGTATCTCATTGTAGTTTTGATTTGCATTTCTCTGATGGCCAGTGATGATGAACATTTTTTCATGTGTCTTTTGGCTGCATAAATGTCTTCATTTGAGAAGTGTCTGTTGATATCTTTTGCCCACTTTTTGATGGGGTTGTTTGTTTTCTTCTTATAAATTTGTTTAAGTTCCTGGTAGATTCTGGATATTAGCCCTTTATCAGATGGATAGATTGCAAAAATTTTCTCCCATTCTGTGGGTTGCCTATTCATTCTGATAGTTTCTTTTTGCTGTGCAGAAGCTCTTTAGTTTAACTAGATCCCATTTGTCAATTTTTGCTTTTGTTGCAATTGCTTTTGATGTTTTAGTTATGAAGTCTTTGCCCATTCCTACGTCCTGAATGGTATTGCCTAGGTTTTCTTCTAGGGTTTTTATGGTTTTACGTATTACATTTAATCTTTAATCCATCTCAAGTTAATTTTTGGATAAGGTGTAAGGAAAGGGTCCAGTTTCAGTTTTCTACATATGGCTAGCCAGTTTTTCCAACATAATTTGTTAAATAGGGAATACTTACCCCATTGCTTGTTTTCGTCAGTTTTGCCAAAGATTAGATGGTTGTAGATGAGTGGTGTTATTTCTGAGGGCTCTGTTCTGTTCCATTGGTCTATATCTCTGTTTTTTTTTTTTTTTTTTTTTTTTTTTTTTAACCAGTACCATGCTGTTTTGGTTACTGTAGCCTTGTAGTATAGTTTGAAGTCAGGTAGCGTGATGCCTCCAGCTTTGTTCTTTTTGCTTAGGATCATCTTGGCTATATGGGCTCTTTTTTGGTTCCATATGAAATTTAAAGTAGTTTTTTTCTAATTCTGTGAAGAAAGTCAGTGATAGCTTGATGGGAATATCATTGAATCTATGAATTACTTTTGGCAGTATGGCATTTTCACAATATTGATTCTTCCTATCCATGAGCATGGAATGTTTTTTCATTTGTGTCATCTCTTATTTCCTTGAGCAGTGGTTTGTAGTTCTCCTTGAAGAGGTCCTTTATATCCACTGTAAGTTGTATTCCTAGGTATTTTATTCTCTTTGTAGCAATTGTGAATGGGAGTTCACTCATTATTTGGCTCTCTGTCTATTATTGGTGTATAGGAATGCTTGTGATTTTTGCACATTGATTTTGTATCCTGAGACTTTGCTGAAGTTGCTTATCAGCTTAAGGAGTTTTGGGTCTGAGACAATAGGGTTTCTAAATATACAAACATGTCATCTCCAAACAGATAATTTGACTTCCTCTCTTCCTATTTGAATACGTTTATTTCTTTCTCTTGCCTGATTGCCCTGGCCAGAACTTACAATATTATGTTAAATAGGAGTCGTGAGAGAGGGCATCCTTGTCTTCTGCTGGTTTTCAAAGGGAATGCTTCCAGCTTTTGCCCATTGAGTATGATATTGGCTGTGGGTTTGTCATAAATAGCTCTTATTATTTTGAGATATGTTCCATCAATACCTAGTTTATTGAGTGTTTTTAGCATGAAGGAGTGTTGAATTTTGTTGAAGGCCTTTTCTGCATCTATTGAGATAATCATGTGGTTTTTGTCATTGGTTCTGTTTATGTGATGGATTACATTTATTGATTTGCGATGTTGAACCAGCCTTGCATCCCAGGGATGAAGCCTACTTGATTGTGGTGGATAAGCTTTTTGATGTGCTGCTGGATTTGGTTTGCCAGTATTTTATTGAGGAATTTTTCCATCGATGTTCATCAGGGATGTTGGCCTGAAATTTTCTTTTTTTGTTGTGTCCCTGCCAGGCTTTGGTATCAGGATGATGCTAGCCTCATAAAAAGAGTTAGGGAGGAGTCTCTCTTTTTCTTTTGCTTGGAAATTTTTAAAAGTAATGGTACCAGCTCCTCTTGGTACCTCTGGTAGAATTCAGCTGTGAATCTGTCTGGTCCAGAAGTTTTTTTTGGCTGGTCAGCTATTAATTACTGCTTCAATTTCAGAACTTGTTATTGGACCTAATAGACATTTATAGAACTCTCCACCCCAAATCAACAGACCATACATTCTTCTCAGCACAACATAACACTTATTCTATAATTGACCACATAATTGGAAATAAAACATTCTTCATCAAATGCAAAAGAGTGAAGATCATAACAAACAGACTGTCAGACCACAGGGTAAGCAAATTAGAACTCAGGATTAAGAAACTCACTGAAAACCACACAACTACATGGAAACTGAACAACCTGCTCCTGAATGACTACTGGGTAAATAATGAAATTAAGGCAGAAATAAAGATGTTTCTTGAAACCAATGATAATAAAGACACAACATACCAGTATCTCTGGAACACAGCTAAAGCAGTGTTTAGAGGGAAATTTATAGCACTAAATGCCCACAGTAGAAAGCAGGAGAGATCTAAAATCCACACCATAACAATTGAAAGAACTAGAGAAGCAAGAGTAAACAAATTCAAAAGCTAGCAGAAGACAAGAAATAATTAAGATCAGAGCATTACTGAAAGATCCAGAGACATGAAAAACCCTTCAAAAATCAATGAATCCAGGAGGTGTTTTTTTGAAAAGATTAACAAAATAGATAGACCACTAGCCAGACTAATAAAGAAGAAAAGAGAGAAGAATCATATAGACACAATAAAAAATGATAAAGGGGATATCACCACTGATCCCACAGAAATACAAACTACTATCAGAGAATACTGTAAACACCTCTATGCAAATAAAGTAGAAAATCTAGAAGAAATTGATAAATTCCTGGACACATATACCCTCTCAAGAGTTACAGTTTTAAAGATGACTTTGATTTTCAAGTTTTAACAAGAGAATAGAATTGTTTCTTCAAATACACTAATATATTTTTGTAGGATATTACATAAAACTGTAGATAAGGATGTGTCTAAATAAATTCATGCTTAATTTTTAATCAGTTTAATAATCTAGATATTTTCATTCTTTTTTTTTTTTTTTTTTTTGAGACAGAGTCTTGCTCTGTCACCCAGGCTCAGTGGCACGATCTCGGCTCACTGCAAGCTCTGCCTCCCGGGTTCACGCCATTCGCCTGCCTCAGCCTCCCAATATTTTCATTCTTAATGGATAATTACCATAATCTAGAAAAACAATGCAAGACAATTGCAGACTTTTGTTAAATATGAAAAAGCAAGGTAATTCTGTACCATTTCATACCTAAAGTAAAAAAAAAAAAAAAGAATAACAAAAAGTTAACTGTACCACCTATTTTTATTCTAAATATGGAGCATAGTATTTTATTTAAGTAAGGAACTGTTATATGTATGCTTACATTTCCTAAGACATCTTCAGAGCATTACTTTTTTCATGTTCTTAAATGGCTATACAAGTAGTGTAAATGTTCAATAGCCAGAATTCTGTATGTAATATATCTAAGTGTTATATATGTATGCATATCTAAGTGCTTATTCTCTTTCCAGAGAGATTATGAATTTTCAGGATTTAGGAAGTCCAGTTATATTGCCTCTTGTGACCTTGGGTTGTACACCCACTTTGAAAATCAGTTTGGCAATATGAAGCCATATGGGAGTAGTGATGAAAAATAAATGGAGAAAAAACCCTATCTTCTGCTTGGTTTACTACCTAACATTTGGGAATATAATATTAGGTAAATATATTCAAATATATTGTGGATCAGAAAGTGCTGGGTAAGTGGAAAATAAGAGGTGGCACTTCTGGGCATTTTCTTTTGATATAACCATTTTGAATAAACCATTTACACAAACATACGCATACAACCTCTTACCTAGGAACATCAAAACTGAATATTTAAATTATGTAGTCAGGAAACATTTCGACTACCATGGGCCCTAGGAGTCTAAGGCATGTTGAAATGAATAAAATACCAATACTTTCTGGAAGCATTAAGGAACCTCATGCATTCAGTATTTGCTGGAATTTGTCCTTTTGGCATTGAAAAGAGATAATGGGTGATTACACTGTCAAAACTTCTAATTCTCAAATATAATCTTCAAAGGAGTGCCTGTGCAGACATAGGCAGAATAATTTTAATGGACCTTGAAGCATCTGGAAACATAGAAAGAAACCTTGCATAGCAACACAGGAACATTGCTGATATTTTTGTTTGTTCTCTCTCTCTCTCCCTCTCTCTCTCTCTCTCTATATATATATATATATACACACACACACTCACACACACACACACACACAAACACACACACACACACAAGAATATATTCTGTGTGGTCTTGAATGAGCTATTCAAAGTCTCCATCTGTCATTTCCATATCTATGGAATGGAAGTAATTATGATGATACAGCATGGGTTTAGTTTGAGTGTGAAATCAGGCACTGCATAAATGGCACGCAAAAGAGTGCCTGGCAAATGATAAGTACTCAATACTTGTGTTGGGAAGACCACACCACTACATAGCTTCCTGCCTTTCCTCATCATGGGGAATAGTTCCATATTTAAGAGAATATGAAAGCAGTGAACAGTATCTTATTTTGAAAAAACTTTTCATTATGACAGATTTCAAACATGCAAAAGTAGAGACAATGAGTGAATGAAGGAATCCCCATGTGTCTATCATTCTTATTCAATTATCAACAATTATCAGTATCTACAGTGTTAAGATAAATAATTTGCAAAGGTAGTGAAAATACCTTGGCTCAAAACTGAACATGTTCAGAACCCCATATACTTTACATATCTCTTGAGGTAATAGATTTCCCTATGTCTCTGTAACAAATAAATATATTTACCTATATTCTGTTGTTAGATAGATGGGTTTGAGGAAAACAAATTCACTAAATGCAGAATCAACTTTTACAAGAAAAAGAAATTATAAATGAAAAGCTTTTAAAATTGGTTCAGTTTGCAAAACTGATACTAAGAAAATATGTCAATACATTTTTCATCAGAATAATAATATTAGCTAAAATCATAGATTGCTTCTATGAAACAGGCTTAGCATCATCTCAATTTTCATAGCAACCCTATTAATTAAGGAACACTCTAATTATCATTATATAGATGAAGAAATTGAGGTTTTGTAAATGTAAACAAATTGTCCAAGGCAAGTGGCAAGACTAGAATATAAATCCAGGGCTGTCTCTAGAGATTATTCGTAACCACTATAACATATCTCAAAACATTTTAGTCATTAGCCTAATAAACCAAGAATAAGAACGCTATGAAACCTTATTTTACTTAAAAAAAAGTTTTTTTAAACTTATTTATTTTAATTATATCTGTAATGATACATTTTATAAAATTTATAAATGTTTAAAATGTCATCCACATGGGATTAAAAGAAAATCATAAATCTCATCAGGGACAAAATGGAAGGAATTTTTTCAGACCATTTTTCTGTTGAACACAATAGAAGTTTAGCTTAAATATGCACTTTAATTACCCCATATTTTGATTCCTTGATTTCAACAAAAAGTTCTGAGGTTACTTAGAAAAAAACCTAGCATACTCTAATGAGATTTTCAGTAAATAGAAAAACTCTGTCATATATGCCATACAAAGACAAATAAGGTTCAAAGTAATAAAATATGTCATCCAGCAAAATCTATGCTACAGATTTAATGATGATGACAATAATTTAGCCAAGGCCAGCTGCTGTACTAATAGACCCCAAATCCTTGTAATGGCACAAAACAACAGAAGCTTCTTTCTTATTTCATATAGCAGCATGGGGTGGATGAATAAGTGTCCATGGACGCTCTCTATGTAGTCATTCAAGAACCCAGGTGGGTTGGGGCTCTTCCATCTTCAACAGCTGGGTTCCTGAATGATTGCATGGAGGAGACAACCATGGACGCTTGTTCATCAGTTCATCACTAGTAGTCATCAGTCAAGAAATCTAAGAATAAGAATGCCATGGAGGCAGGGTTATCAGATAAAATGTAGAACAACAATGCTATATGTAGAACATACTAGCACTAAAATATTATTCTGTATTTACCTGAAATTTAAATTTAACTAGATTTTCCATATTCTGTTTGCTAAATATGGCAGCACTACATGTAACTATGTAAGAAAAAAAAAGAAACTGTGCATTAACCTTTTAAATAAATATTTTTAATAGTATCACCCTTAAATGCTTAGCACAATGCTATAATTAACTTTAGTCATCCTGATATGGAAAAAGTAGTGGGATAATTATCTCTTAATTATGTGACGAGGAAAGAAAATGTAATTTTGACCTCCCCAAGTGGGTAAATGACTAAGATTAGAAGCCATGTCCACTCATTACTAGATCCTGCATAATCTTGCATAAACTAATATCAAATATTTTAACGTTTGAAAGTATGCTAAATGTTTATCAGAGCAGGTGATTTTATTTCATTGAGTTCTCATTTACTCATGTATATGTTAATTTATCTATTATGTATTCAAAATTACTCAAATATTGTATTGAGTGCTCTAGGATAAATATTAATAAGTGAAAATTAACACTAATATATCTCTGATTCTTTGCAATGTGTATAATTAATTACCTGAACTGGACACTATTGAGAGAAAAGGGATGCTTTTAATAATCACTCCAGAACAACAGGGGACAGCTTCTGGAAAACAGGGACAAATAATTATTCTGTTGGTCCACCTGATTTTAAGTTTTCCAATAATAGAATTTCAGAGGAGAGCTATCATAGAGCTCATTTAATATAATTGCACTTTATAGACGAAGAAATCTGAGGCCCAGTGAAAAGAAATAATAATTTCTGTATATTAATGTTTCTCACTTAAGTTTATGACATTTTTTAATGAAGAATGATTGATATGAGACTTTTTCCATCGTATACTCCTCTTGTACTGGACCAAAGATTGTTGTCTTCTAAAACAATACGTACTTCAACTAAGATCCTAAAGACCATAATTAAATCTTAACACATTACCAGGTATCTCTATTTATTCTTTTAGAGCACAAATCCACTTTTTCTAAACCTATTAAGAACTAAGTATGTGTTGCATGAAGTTTTAAAGTAATATTTCATCTTACAATCCAGAAAACTCTTTTATATTCTAATGGCTCTATGATGTTGTAGAACAAATGACATGTCATTATTTGACCGAGAATGGAACTAAACCCAAAAATGGCCCAGCCACAGAATCTTAAAATCTTCTATTAATATGGTCTCTGGTAAATATAATGAGCTGAAACACAACTTCTATGGTATTTTTAGAGATAAACATTATTTTCTCTTGAAATTCTCACAGTATTCTTTTAGTGCTTACATGTCAGATGTAGGTTTTTAATTGTTAAACATGAAAAATACTCTGATAATTTAACTACTCCTAAATTTAAGTGTATATATGCTTTCTTTTTTGTTCACAGTAATGTAGGAGAAGCAGTGTTAAATGATGCTAGGAATCTGTACTCTAGAACCGGATTGCCTAGGTTCAAATTCTGATACAAAAACTCTATGGCTTTTGAAACAAGGCTTACATTTCTAACCAGCCTATTCATCACTGTTCTCATCTGTAAAATGGGATTCATTATGGTAATAACTACATAATCCAGAACAGATAAGTAAATGATTTAATTAATATAAAACAATTATCAGAGTGTATCTGTCATGTATTAGACATAATAAGCGTAAGCTTTCATCAGTATGTTATTTCTTTAAAAAAATCCCTCTTTTCTCTGCCTTATAATTTTTGGATAATTTTTTCCAAATATAAACTGGTAAATTATAAACCAGTTAAAATATCAGGACATTATTGTTTACAATATGTCGTTTTTAAAAACTAATTAAGATCACATTGCAGTGAAGAATGACCCCATTTAATATATATTGACATTATATTTTTGAGCATTTTGTAGATTAAATAAAACAAAAAAAGATTTAATACGAAACATTTTCTATGTTTGATAAAGTTGCATGTATATTATCACTGTTATTTTCTTACCTGTTAAGGAAAATATTACCCCAAATTTAAGTTGGAATTTTAAAAATGCATACTATTAAGAGTGAATAAGAGTTTATATTCTGCTTGAATTCCTGGTTTATGACATACATACAAAATGAGAAAGGAAATAAACTCTAGGATGAATCTTATTTTAGTAAGTTAATGGCCTTTTCACTGAAAGTAGGAAATATTTCTTCTTTCAAAAGCACCCAAGATCAATAAATAATCTTGATTTAGGAAATATGACAATGCAAACTTTTTTCAAAATCTGCTTAAAAATGTAATAAACACCATATCAATGGGAATGTGGTAATAATCAGAACAAATTTTCTCAAAAATATATCTTTTTTTAAGAATGAGCAAATCAAATATTTTGGACTTTATTTTTTCCCATGGTATTATCATTAAGAATATCTACCCCAATGTCTGCTTTCTCCACTTTCATGCCTAAACTACAGAACATCACTGGACAAAATAATAACATCTTGCTGATGGGGTCCACTACCCATGACACTTCAGATTAGCTCTCAGTTGGTGTTTTACAGTATTTTATTTCCTTGTTTTCATTTTCTAGTGACTCCATTTTACAGTTCTTTCAGTGACTTTTCTAAAATTTAACAGTTCTGAGTGTCATCATACTGCTTCTATTCCCTCTCCCTTTAACCAGATGATCTCAAATCCATCAATATGGGGAACATTGAATTCTTTTTACTTTTTTTTTTCCTGGTTTTGTTCTTTAGAAGAACAAGAAGTTCCCTTCAACAGTTTTCAACCAAACATCTGTCTTCAAGTTACATCTTCATCATCTCACCATCCTGAGGATTAAATGTGATAATCTATGTAAAGCACTTAACAAAATATCAGGCACTTAATAATAACTATTATCTATCTTTTCCCCTAGTGAATAGTGGGCAAAGTTTCAACCATTGATTATTTGTTTAAATACTTTTATTTCAGTAAAATTGCTTGCCTTTGAATATATTTTGCCAGTGCTGAAAATCGTCATATGTCTTCTAATATCCAAAAATTACTGAATAAAATAGTGGTTAGGAGCAAAGGGGCAGGGGCCAGACTTCCTAGGCTTAAATGTCACCTTTGCCACTTACAAGCTGTATGACAATTGTCAAAGACTTAAACTTGCCTCTGTATCCTCATTTGGTAAGTTATTTAAAAAAATTATCTCTAGTACAGTAAAGAAGAAGAAGTATGATAATATACACAAAATGCGTAGAACTGCCTGCCACATGCTAAGTACTAACAATACTAGCTGTTATTAATTTTCACTGTGTCTAAAATTCATTATTTCAGCAAATATCTATTGAAACCCTATTGAAAACTAATTGTGATGTGTGATTTTAAAGGACAATGATAATTATATTACTTATTGTCTAGACAGCAAAAAAAAATACAAAGATACAAATCAAAGTACAAATTATATTAAAAGCTATGAGGAAGTGTCAGGTTATCAGAGGGGATGTTATCAAATTTGGAAAATCAGGCAAGCTGAGATTCTTAGAGTTTGTAGGTGCTCATTACAATTTTATTTTATTTTTTCTGATAGTAGTAATAACATATTTTCTGACTATGATAAAAGCCAAAGTGTTATCTATGTTCTTTACGTGAAAGTTCACTTAGATTCTCTTTCTCATATGGATTATAGATTGTCCCTTATTCAGGAAAGCAGGACATTTTTTGGTCTGAAGAGATTTCCCTCTGGGTTTCATTTGTATCAAAAGTGAATTGTGAATCCCAAAGGCATTCACATTGTAAGATGATACTACTAGTTGGGATACTGAGGTTCCATTTTTATTCCTTTAATAGCTTCCTAATTATAGATTCCTTTTCCTTTAATTTCAGCCTCTATATTAATGATAAAACTAATCTGCAATCTCTCTCAAATAACTTTTATGCTAAAAGCAATTAGGTAGATATTTTCTTGGCTCCTTAGAGAGGAAATAGATTTAGATATGCAGAAAGAGCTTTGTCATTAAGGACCCAGGTAACTACGATCCTCTAACAGTTAATGACACAAGGAACTGGGCTCAAGTAGAGACATATAGTTTAAAGTGAAAACATTTTGACCTGAAATTCCAAGGTGCACCTGGTAATTGGTGACCTTAACAAGTGGTTATGACAGCAAAGTCCTACAGTTTGTGGAAGATAGAAAGCAAATTCACTAAAAGGAAAGGTAAGAGGAGGAAGCAAAGAGAAAGAATGCAACAGAGAAGAAGAAAAAAGAATAAAAGTTTTCCCTAATTAAATGCTTACTATCATCCCTTTCTCACTGCTATTTTATAATATTAATTTTATATATTACTAATTAAAAACTATATAATTATATACATAATTAATTTTTTTCTGGTTCTTCAAAATATTTGACTAAATAATTTAGAGGTCTCAAATAAAAATGGTAATTTTAAGACCACTGTGATCAAGTTCTGGAAATTTTTAAAGATCTAGGAACTTTTTAAAGCTTTAATATTTTTTGATTATTTTTATATTTTATACAACATTTTTACTAATTCCAAAGAATTATAAATGACTATTATGTATTTTTATTTGGAAACATTTTGGTTATTTGGGAAAAAGTAGGTGTTAGTCCAGCTATACATTGTATGTTTACTGATGGAGAAAAAAAAAATCCCTCTTGTTATTAGACACTGTTATTTTACTGATACCCAAATTCTATATATTTAGATATGGTTTGGGATGAGCTGTGTAACTTATTTGGACATGTGAACATCTTTCACTATATGTTTTGCATATGAAAAAAATTATCTCACTTTGCCTTTTATTTAATGATTCTTTGAAATATATTCTTTGTATAAACCTTATAAAGTTGTCAAAATTAATTTTCAATTAGAACATCCATAAAAGTGCCAAGTTATTATAACTACTGCCTTATGATTCACTCAAAGTAAAGGATAAATCCATAACATTTTCTATTAATTGAATAGATAATCTTCATTTTACAAATGATTTCCATATAGAATTAGTGTTACGATAGGCAGTTCTTAGTGAAATCAATATCAGCTTATTTCCTATTTTGAGTCATGAACCAAATCATTGTCGTCATCATTAAATCTGTAGCATAGATTTTGCTGGATGATATAATTTATTACTTTGAACCTTATTTGTCTTTGTATGGCATATAAGACAGGGTTTTTCTATTTACTGAAAATCTCATTAGAGTATGCTAGGTTTTTTTCTAAGTAACCTCAGAACTTTTTGTTGAAATCAAGGAATCAAAATATGGGGTAATTAAAGTGCATATTTAAGCTAAACTTCTATTGTGTTCAGCAGAAAAATGGTCTGAAAAAATTCCTTCCATTTTGTCCCTGATGAGATTTATGATTTTTTTAATCCCATGTTGATGACATTTTAAACATTTATAAATTTTCATGAAAACCATTTTCATATCTGTTAATATAAATTACTCTATCAATAATTATTTTTTGTAGCAAAGAAAATTAACAATACTTTGCCATTTTTGTTCACTTTGGCCTCCTCCTGATGTCATTCTTCATTTTATCCACATTTCATTAATGTGCATTTTATAAACTATGCTAAAAATAGCCTCTTTTGACCACATGTGACTGTGACTCAGAAAGTTTACTTGCATCTGTGCTTCAAATGACTAAACATTTTTGGTTTCTATAATGGCAGGTGAAGGGAATTAAAGAAGAGGTAAAGTAAATATTTTAACTGGTGTATAATATGGTTAGATCATCCTGTTTTTGTGCCTTCCACTATGATTTGATTACTTCTAAGATAAATGATTTCGAGCATATTTGACGTGCAAATATATTTAAGATTCAACTATCAACATTTGCTTAGTAATTAAAAATTTAGTTTTTCAAAAAATGCTGAGTGCCATTTTGTAGCTGCAGATGAAATTTCCTAATATCGGGAAATGAATTGTTTTTATTTGTTTGTGTGTCTGTTTGCATTTTCCCATGGCTTGCTGGTGCTTATACTTTATTTTTCCTCAATTATAAAAATATTGTTCTAAAAGAGACCTTAGAGTTCTACACAGCAACCCACTTACACAGCTCAGGAAACATGGGCCAAGAGAGATGAATGTTCTGCTTCTTCAGTGGTTCTTACCCCTGAATGTTTGTGGTAATCATCGGAAGCACTTGAGACCCAAGGTCAGACTTCTACCACTGGCAGCTCTAAAATCCAAGTTCGGGGTGGGTCCTGAATTGTAATTTTTAAAGTCATAGGTCACTGGAATGGTCTGTCAAGGCTGAAAATACCTACTCATGCATTTAGTCTTATAGAAAGGACATAAGGGTTATTGTGATTTCTTACTAGTAGAATTGAAATTAGCATTAAGGCACTTAATACTCCCTTCACTCTAATATTCTGCCTCTGTTTTTTTTTTTTTTTAATGGAAGTTATTCTACTTGCAGACACTCGTTTTTTTTTTTTTGTTTTTTTGTTTTGTTTTGTTTTGTTTTGTTTTTTTGATGGAGGCTCATTCTGTCACCCAGGTTGGAGTGCAACGGTGCAATCTCGGCTCGGCTCACTGCAACCTCCACCTCCCAGGTTCAAGCGATTCTCCTGCCTCAGCCTCCCTAGTAGCTGGGATTACAGGCGCCTGCCACGACGCTTGGCTAATTTTTGTATCTTTAGTAGAGATGGGGTTTTGCCATGTTGGCCATGCTGGTCTGGAACTCCTGACCTTATGATCGACCCGCCTCGGCCTCCCAAAGTGCTGGTATTACAGGCGTGAGCCACCGCGCCCGGCCGACACTCTTGTTCATCCAGAAATCTGGTCACCAGTTTCCTTGCCAGTATCTACCAGCCCATTCTGCAATTCTGACGGAATTATTAAACTCCTCTGTGCCCTAGGGGCACTATTGCCTTATGCACAGATAACATCTAGGAGACACTGGTTTTTTTTTCTGGTATATGTAACAAAAAAGTAACAAAAGCAAATTGCTGAATTGCCGTTACAATAGTACTTAATTAATATGTATGTATAACTGTATATGTGTATATTTATGTACTTAGTGTTTCTGTATTTGTATTGTTTTTATAGGAAATGCACTGATTCTCTAATATTAACACAAATCCTCTTCATTCAATAGGTGTTAAAAATCTCTAACACACTTGTCAGTGCTCTCAGATATGAGTATCTTTTCATTGTCAAGTCGCAGATTCATGTCTGATTTCAGAACTTTGTAAGGCCAGTGAAAGTGAGTGACGAAGGATCATTTAAAGACAAGGTACAAATAGCTTGTAGATATGTTTGTATCATATAAATTTACTGTTTATGTGGCATTTTGAGATCTCTTACCCAATTGACACCCTTTGGCAATGAAAGTGAATCCTTCATTTATCCACTGGTTTTATTTATTCACTATTTTTCATTCATTCAACATTTATTGAGCATTCACTCTGTACCAGATGCAATTCTAAAAGCTGGGAATACAAAAGTAGACAAAAGTATACCTCATTCTGGTCCTCATCACACCTAATAGCTACTGGTCAAGACAGACATTAAATATCATCCAAATAATCATAAAATTTACTGTGGTGAGTGCAATAATCCAGGGATCTAAACTAGTCTGTGCAGGAGTGGAGGTGGATAAAGGCCCAGGGGCAGGTAAGGCTCTCCTGAGAAGGTGGCATTTAGGAAGTAGTAAGTAGGCAAAGAGGCTGAATAATAGTTCCCATATGAAGAGAGAAGAATAAATGAAAAGGTGTTGGCACTTTCAAGGAACTGAAAGAAAAAGAGGGAAACTGGAAAGTGACATTTTTACAAGTATTTGAAACCTTTTTTTTTCATGTGTAAATGTGGGATTACTTTTACCTTTGCAGAAATAATATATTGGATTGTAAGAGTTGTTTTCCTGAAGGTCATCAAAAATTAGAATGGCCATTTTCCTAATTTGTCTTATTATGGCAGTCTCAGTATTAACAACAGGTCCAGCCCTCTTTCAGAAAACAAAATATTAATAGTGACCTTTTTACTCCTAAATGCATTCTAGTTTGGATAGTAAATCTTATGGTTAGCCTATCTAGAATAAAAGAATATACTTTACCCAATTCTTAAAGTTGCAAAGGAAGGAATTCTGGTAAATGCATACATAGGAAAGTGTAGCCTTCTTACTTTTTGTTTTGTATAATGTCTTGGTATAGGGAAAATAAGCTACCAAATAACCAACCAACATTTTAACTTCTCTTATTTTCTTCCTTTTTTCCTTCCTTTTCTTGTTACTTTTCAAAGTGCAAGTAACCAATATTATGGAATGTCTACCTTATGCATGGTGCAGTGCCAGGCAATGGGTATGTAGTAGTTAAATAGGCAGGAATTAGAACAAAAAAAAAAAAAGAGGAAACAAGATGAATTTGAGGGGGTGCTTTGAGAGGGCATGAGAGCAGCTATAATATGTGCTCTGGTTAGGAGAAGAAAAACATAGTATTTTTAAGATACTGTTGGAGACTAGTGACCTTTTCTTAACGTTTAAAAATATAACAAGAGAGTCAGTTTTTTCTGATTCTTCATGTCCTAAGACACAAGAATCTCTTGGGCAAGGTAGGATCCTCCTTGGAGGACAGAAATTAGAAAGTCTGAATCAGAATCCTCAGTATTTGGCAGAGGGAAAGAAGATACTGGGGAAAAGAGCATGGCTTATTTTCTTTTCATGGTGACACTACTTTTCTATTGGGTTGCAACTAAATTTGGGAGGTTGACACAGTATCATAAAAGCAAAGAAAGATATCCAGCCCTATAGTCTTTTTTTTTTTCTTTTATGATGTACCTTCCTAGGTCAACTGAGTTTTGCATATTCCTCATTGCTGGGACTGTAGTCACCTCTCTTTTTATTCTCACTACAATGGGAAATAACTGTCTTCAGATATCAACAGTGTGGATTCCTTTTAGGCTAGATTTCCCACACTTAAATATCCTAGTGTTATATCAGGGACGAGGAGACAAGACAAAGAGACATGCCATTTTCATATTTATATTTTTCCCCTCTCCAATTCTTTATTTTCCCTCCAATTCCAGAAAACTCCTAGCACTTCTCAAATGGGAACATATTAAAATCCTAGCAAGTATTTTAAAAATTCTATTGATAGTCTCAAGGCTTCAGCTTTCGGAAATTAAAATAATTTTGCTTCTCTATTTGGTTCTTCTTTCTTTTTCAGTAAAAGCACCTACTTGAAGACATAGAGATCTTTTCCCCTACTAAGTTGCCCAACAGGAGATGATCAGTTTAAAGAAAATGTGGAAATACAAATTCAATCTGTAATGCATCACCTGGTTTTTTCCAACACACAAGTAATTGACCTCTTTATATTCTGATTTAAGTTCCTAAGTATTTGTGTTTGACAAGATCTGTAGTGTCTGACATAGGGCATCCTCAAACAGCACGGTGCCAAAAAATATGGGGTCAGAATGGTTGGGTTTTAATTGTGACTCTGATAGTTACTGATTACGGAACCTTGGGCACAGTATTTAACTAGTCTATATATCTGCTTCCTCATCTGTAAATTGGAAGTTATTATAAAGCCTTCCATATAGACTTCTTATGGAAATAAAATGAAATAATTCATACGAATACCCTGGCACATATTAGGTACTCAGTGAATGTTAGCTAGTATTACAAATGTCTATGACAATTTAATTAGCATGATGTCTAGAACCGCCATTATTTGATTAGAATTAGTTTAGCAGGAGGATGAAAAAACTGAGAAGGACCCTAAAATGAGTAGCCATGCTGTTTTATTTACTCCTTTCTTTATTTAAGACATGAACAACACTCTAGGTACAGTTTTATATTTTAATGGCTATGTTGTCTTCTCTTCGTCCTTACATGAAATACCCTCACCCTCTCCCCCAGAAAAAAAGAAAAGAATCATTCCATTGTTAGAATGCAGTTTAGAGATTATAAACTCCAAACTCTGTACGTCATTAAAATTTATATTCACTGGGACCTTGAACTTAGTCTTCAACTTTTACATGCAATACCATTAGTTTATTTAAGTTCAGTTGATTCACTGTTTGTCTCCCTCCACAAACCAACCTCTTGCATCAGATGTTCTCCTTAACTTGCTTAGAGGCCTGCCATTTCTTTGGATTTTTTTTTCCATTTTATCACCTGAAACCTCATTTCCATCTTAAGTAGGCCTCCCATGCATTGTCTAAGTATCTCCCTAATAATTCCCAACATTTTCTTGTCCCAACTGCAGCCTAGTTCTCTCTTTAATAGAATTGTTTTACATCCCTCTCTTGTTGCAGATATGATTTCTCTCCAACTCCGTATGTAAAAAAGATAAGGTGAAAAGAGGATATTGTGAGCAACTCAGTTTCCCTTGCCACTTCCCAGATTGGTAGTCCAACCCCTTCTCTGTGTCTATTCCCTCCAGCCATGCTACTATTAATTTATTCTTGTGGTCTCCTTGTATATTCACAGAGGACTTTGCGTTGTGGCTCATAGTCTTCTTGTTCACCATAATTTATGACATCATGAGGGCTCCTTAAGTTTTCTTGAGCCTTTTGGTATTAACGTCTGTCAATCCCATTCTGCTTTAGCAAACTCACTGTCTGCCATCACTTCTGGGTTTTCTTCCTTTGTTTCCTTTGTTCTGCCTGGAACTCACTGCCTTTCCAACATTTTCATTGTCTTTATCCCATTCTGCATCTGTACCATTATCCCTAAAACTTGTCTTCATCTAATAATTTACTTGGCTAGTACTATCCTGAGAAGTCTATTAGAACTGCTACTACAAATTTATGGTCTTAACTTTTTTTTTTTTATTATTATACATTAAGTTTTAGGGTACATGTGCACATTGTGCAGGTTAGTTACATATGTATACATGTGCCATGCTGGTGCACTACACCCACTAACTCGTCATCTAGCATTAGGTATATCTCCCAATGCTGTCCCTCCCCCCTCCCCCCACCCCACAACAGTCCCCAGAGTGTGATATTCCCCTTCCTGTGTCCATGTGATCTCATTGTTCAATTCCCACCTATGAGTGAGAATATGCGGTATTTGTTTTTTGTTCTTGCGATAGTTTACTGAGAATGATGATTTCCAATTTCATCCATGTCCCTACAAAGGACATTAACTCATCATTTTTTATGGCTGCATAGTATTCCATGTTGTATATGTGCCACATTTTCTTAATCCAGTCTATCATTGTTGGACATTTGGGTTGGTTCCAAGTCTTTGCTATTGTGAATAATGCCGCAATAAACATACGTGTGCATGTGTCTTTATAGCAGCATGATTTATAGTCCTTTGGGTATATACCCAGTAATGGGATGGCTGGGTCAAATGGTATTTGTAGTTCTAGATCCCTGAGGAATCGCCACACTGACTTCCACAATGGTTGAACTAGTTTACAGTCCCAGCAACAGTGTAAAAGTGTTCCTATTTCTCCACATCCTCTCCAGCACCTGTTGTTTCCTGACTTTTTAATGATTGCCATTCTAACTGGTGTGAGATGGTATTTCATAGTGGTTTTGATTTGCATTTCTCTGATGGCCACTGATGATGAGCATTTTTTCATGTGTTTTTTGGCTGCATAAATGTCTTCTTTTGAGAAGTGTCTGTTCATGTCCTTCACCCACTTTTTGATGGCGTTGTTTGTTTTTTTCTTGTACATTTGTTTGAGTTCATTGTAGATTCTGGATATTAGCCCTATGTCAGATGAGTTGGTTGCAAAAATTTTCTCCCATGTTGTAGGTTGCCTGTTCACTCTGATGGTAGTTTCTTTTGCTGTGCAGAAGCTCTTTAGTTTAATTAGATCCCATTTGTCAATTTTGTCTTTTGTTGCCATTGCTTTTGGTGTTTTAGACATGAAGTCCTTGCCCATGCCTATGTCCTGAATGGTAATGCCTAGGTTTTCTTCTAGGGTTTTTATGGTTTTAGGTCTAACGTTTAAATCTTTAATCCATCTTGAATTGATTTTTGTATAAGGTGTAAGGGAGGGATCCACTTTCAGCTTCCTACATATGGCTAGCCAGTTTTCCCAGCACCATTTATTAAATAGGGAATCCTTTCCCCATTGCTTGTTTTTCTCAGGTTTGTCAAAGATCAGATAGTTGTAGTTATGCGGCGTTATTTCTGAGGGCTCTGTTCTGTTCCATTGATCTATATCTCTGTTTTGGTACCAGTACCATGCTGTTTTGGTTACTGTAGCCTTGTAGTATAGTTTGAAGTCAGGTAGTGTGATGCCTCCAGCTTTGTTCTTTTGGCTTAGGATTGACTTGGCAATGCGGGCTCTTTTTTGGTTCCATATGAACTTTAAAGTAGTTTTTTCCAATTCTGTGAAGAAAATCATTGGTAGCTTGATGGGGATGGCATTGAATCTGTAAATTACCTTGGGCAGTATGGCCATTTTCACGATATTGATTCTTCCTACCCATCAGCATGGAATGTTCTTCCATTTGTTTGTATCCTCTTTTATTTCCTTGAGCAGTGGTTTGTAGTTCTCCTTGAAGAGGTCCTTCACATCCCTTGTAAGTTGGATTCCTAGGTATTTTATTCTCTTTGAAGCAATTGTGAATGGGAGTTCACTCATGATTTGGCTCTCTGTTTGTCTGTTGTTGGTGTATAAGAATGCTTGTGATTTTTGTACATTGATTTTGTATCCTGAGACTTTGCTGAAGTTGCTTATCAGCTTAAGGAGATTTTGGGCTGAGACAATGGGGTTTTCTAGATATACAATCATGTCATCTGCCAACAGGGACAATTTGACTTCCTCTTTTCCTAATTGAATACCCTTTATTTCCTTCTCCTGCCTAATTGCCCTGGCCAGAACTTCCAACACTATGTTGAATAGGAGTGGTGAGAGAGGGCATCCCTGTCTTGTGCCAGTTTTCAAAGGGAATGCTTCCAGGTTTTGCCCATTCAGTATGATATTGGCTGTGGGTTTGTCATAGATAGCTCTTATTATTTTGAAATACGTCCCATCAATACCTAATTTATTGAGAGTTTTTAGCATGATGGGTTGTTGAATTTTGTCAAAGGCTTTTTCTGCATCTATTGAGATAATCATGTGGTTTTTGTCTTTGGCTCTGTTTATATGCTGGATTACATTTCTTGATTTGCGTATATTGAACCAGCCTTGCATCCCAGGGATGAAGCCCACTTGATCATGGTGGATAAGCTTTTTGATGTGCTGCTGGATTCGGTTTGCCAGTATTTTATTGAGGATTTTTGCATCAATTTTCATCAAGGTTATTGGTCTAAAATTCTCTTTTTTGGTTGTGTCTCTGCCTGACTTTGGTATCAGGATGATGCTGGCCTCATAAAATGAGTTAGGGAGGATTCCCTCTTTTTCTATTGATTGGAATAGTTTCAGAAGGAATGGTACCAGTTCCTCCTTGTACCTCTGGTAGAATTCGGCTGTGAATCTATCTGGTCCTGGACTCTTTTTGGTTGGTAAACTATTGATTATTGCCACAATTTCAGCTCCTGTTATTGGTCTATTCAGAGATTCAACTTCTTCCTGGTTTAGTCTTGGGAGAGTGTATGTGTCGAGGAATTTATCCATTTCTTCTAGATTTTCTAGTTTATTTGCGTAGAGGTGTTTGTAGTATTCTCTGATGGTAGTTTGTATTTCTGTGGGATCGGTGGTGATATCCCCTTTATCATTTTTTATTATGTCTATTTGATTCTTCTCTCTTTTTTTCTTTATTAGTCTTGCTAGCGGTCTATCAATTTTGTTGATCCTTTCAAAAAACCAGCTCCTGGATTCATTGATTTTTTGAAGGGTTTTTTGTGTCTCTATTTCCTTCAGTTCTGCTCTGATTTTAGTTATTTCTTGCCTTCTGCTAGCTTTTGAATGTGTTTGCTCTTGCTTTTCTAGTTCTTTTAATTGTGATGTTAGGGTGTCAGTTTTGGATCTTTCCTGCTTTCTCTTGTGGGCATTTAGTGCTATAAATTTCCCTCTACACACTGCTTTGAATGCGTCCCAGAGATTCTGGTATGTTGTGTCTTTGTTCTCATTGGTTTCAAAGAACATCTTTATTTCTGCCTTCATTTCGTTATGTACCCAGTAGTCATTCAGGAGCAGGTTGTTCAGTTTCCATGTAGTTGAGCGGCTTTGAGTGGGATTCTTAATCCTGAGTTCTAGTTTGATTGCACTGTGGTCTGAGAGATAGTTTGTTATAATTTCTGTTCTTTTACATTTGCTGAGGAGAGCTTTACTTCCAAGTATGTGGTCAATTTTGGAATAGGTGTGGTGTGGTGCTGAAAAAAATGTATATTCTGTTGATTTGGGGTGGACAGTTCTGTAGATGTCTATTAGGTCTGCTTGGTGCAGAGCTGAGTTCAATTCCTGGGTATCCTTGTTGACTTTCTGTCTCGTTGATCTGTCTAATGTTGACAGTGGGGTGTTAAAGTCTCCCGTTATTAATGTGTGGGAGTCTAAGTCTCTTTGTAGGTCACTCAGGACTTGCTTTATGAATCTGGGTGCTCCTGCATTGGGTGCATATATATTTAGGATAGTTAGCTCTTCTTGTTGAATTGATCCCTTTACCATTATGTAATGGCCTTCTTTGTCTCTTTTGATCTTTGTTGGTTTAAAGTCTGTTTTATCAGAGACTAGGATTGCAACCCCTGCCTTTTTTTGTTTTCCATTTGCTTGGTAGATCTTCCTCCATCCTTTTATTTTGAGCCTATGTGTGTCTCTGCACATGAGATGGTTTTCCTGAATACAGCACACTGATGGATCTTGACTCTTTATCCAATTTGCCAGTCTGTGTCTTTTAATTGGAGAATTTAGTCCATTTATATTTAAATTTAATATTGTTATGTGTGAATTTGATCCTGTCATTATGATTATAGCTGGTGATTTTGCTCGTTAGTTGATGCAGTTTCTTCCTAGTCTCGATGGTCTTTACATTTTGGCATGGTTTTGCAGTGGCTGGTACCGGTTGTTCCTTTCCATGTTTAGTGCTTCCTTCAGGAGCTCTTTTAGGGCAGGCCTGGTGGTGACAAAATCGGTCAGCATTTGCTTGTCTGTAAAGTATTTTATTTCTCCTTCACTTATGAAGCTTAGTTTGGCTGGATATGAAATTCTGGGTTGAAAATTCTTTTCTTTAAGAATGTTGAATATTGGCCCCCACTCTCTTCTGGCTTGTAGGGTTTCTGCCGAGAGATCTGCTGTTAGTCTGATGGGCTTCCCTTTGAGGGTAACCTGACCTTTCTCTCTGGCTGCCCTTAACATTTTTTCCTTCATTTCAACTTTGGTGAATCTGACAATTATGTGTCTTGGAGTTGCTCTTCTTGAGGAGTATCTTTGTGGCGTTCTCTCTATTTCCTGAATCTGAACATTGGCCTGCCTTGCTAGATTGGGGAAGTTCTCCTGGATAATATCATGCAGAGTGTTTTCCAACTTGGTTCCATTCTCCCCATCACTTTCAGGTACACCAATCAGACGTAGATTTGGTCTTTTCACATAGTCCCATATTTCTTGGAGGCTTTGCTCATTTGTTTTTATTCTTTTTTCTCTAAACTTCCCTTCTCGCTTCATTTCATTCATTTCATCTTCCATTGCTGATACCCTTTCTTCCAGTTGATCGCATTGGCTCCTGAGGCTTCTGCATTCTTCACGTAGTTCTCGAGCCTTGGTTTGCAGCTCCATCAGCTCCTTTAAGCACTTCTCTGTATTGGTTATTCTAGTTATACATTCTTCTAAATTTTTTTCAAAGTTTTCAACTTCTTTGCCTTCGGTTTGAATGTCCTTCCATAGCTCAGAGTAATTCGATCGTCTGAAGCCTTCTTCTCTCAGCTCGTCAAAGTCATTCTCCATCCAGCTTTGTTCTGTTGCTGGTGAGGAACTGCGTTCCTTTGGAGGAGGAGAGACGCTCTGTGTTTTAGAGTTTCCAGTTTTTCTGTTCTGTTTTTTCCCCATCTTTGTGGTTTTATCTACTTTTGGTCTTTGATGATGGTGATGTACAGGTGGGTTTTTGGTGTGGATGTCCTTTCTGTTTGTTAGTTTTCCTTGTAACAGACAGGACCCTCAGCTGCAGGTCTGTTGGAATACCCTGCTGTGTGAGGTGTCAGTGTGCCCCTGCTGGGGGGTGCCTCCCAGTTAGGCTGCTCGGGGGTCAGGGGTCAGGGACCCACTTGAGGAGGCAGTCTGCAGGTTCTCAGATCTCCAGCTGTGTGCTGGGAGAACCACTCCTCTCTTCAAAGCTGTCAGACAGGGACATTTAAGTCTGCAGAGGTTACTGCTGTCTTTTTGTTTGTCTGTGCCCTGCCCCCAGAGGTGGAGCCTACAGAGGCAGGCAGACCTCCTTGAGCTGTGGTGGGCTCCACCCAGTTCGAGCTTCCTAGCTGCTTTGTTTACCTAAGCAAGCCTGGGCAATGGCGGACGCCCCTCCCCCAGCCTCGCTGCTACCTTGCAGTTTGATCTCAGACTGCTGTGCTAGCAATCAGCGAGATTCCGTGGGCATAGGACCCTCCGAGCCAGGTGTGGGATATAGTCTCGTGGTGCGCCGTTTTTTAAGCCGGTCTGAAAAGCGCAATATTCGGGTGGGAGTGACCCGATTTTCCAGGTGCGTCCGTCACCCCTTTCTTTGACTCGGAAAGGGAACTCCCTGACCCCTTGCGCTTCCCAGGTGAGGCAATGCCTCGCCCTGCTTCGGCTCGCGCACGGTGCGCTCACCCACTGGCCTGCGCCCACTGTCTGGCACTCCCTAGTGAGATGCACCCAGTACCTCAGATGGAAATGCAGAAATCACCCGTCTTCTGCGTCGCTCACGCTGGGAGCTGTAGACTGGAGCTGTTCCTATTCGGCCATCTTGGCTCCTCCTGGTCTTAACTTTTATGAACTCTTATACAGCCACTTGTCCAATTTTCCAAAACAGCAATTCTAAACTTTTCTCTCCAGCTAATTATTAAACTTAATATCCTATCCTGATGCTATTGGAAGATTGTCACTCCAGAGACCCTCCAGAAACATGATCAATCCAACAATAGCATGCAATTGCAGCATCAATTTTTAGAAAGCCAGTTTTTCTTCTGTGTGTGTGTGTGTGTGTGTGTGTGTGTGTGTGTGTGTGTAAGTTGCTTGAAAGGTAGTCAGCTATTGATAGAACTTGAGGTGAGAATTTAACTGGGGTTTGGTTGCTACCAGTACAGCATTTTTGCAGCATCCCTTGGGTTCATTGGAACTAGGAAATAAAGAGTATATATATTATCTAAAATAGAGAAGAATTGAGGATAACCGTTTATCCATTTATATAATGTGTAGCTAAAATCTCTCTCATATCTCCTTGAACTGAGAACCAAAATGTTTTTACTAATTTATTTATTTAATGAAATGTATTATTTAAATAAATTGTAATGTGTGTATTTAAGGTATACAACATGATATTATGGGATACATATAGATAGTATAAAGGTTACTGCAGTGAAGCAAGTTAATATATCCATCATCTCACATAGTTACCCATTAGTTTTAGTTTGTTTTTGTGGCAAGAGCAGCTAAAATCTACTTATTTAGCATAAATCTCATATACTGCACAATTTTACTATCTACAGCCTTCATTTGTACATTAGATCTCTACACTCTTGCATCCTACATATTTGCTACTTTGTATCCACTGATCTACATCTCCCCATTCCTCCTGCCTCCTGCCCCTTGTAACTACTCTTTTGCGTTCTCTCTCTCTCTCTGTGTGTGTGTGTGTGTGTGTGTGTGTGTGTGTGTGGGTTTAGATTTCACATATAAGTGAGATCATGCAATACTTTCCTTTCTATGTCTGACTTAGTTCAATAAGCATAATGTACTCCAGGCCTATCCATGTTGTAGCAAATGACAAGATCTTGTCCTTTTTTAGTGGCAACTCAATTGTGGAAAAACAAATAAACTGATTTAAAAATGGGCAAAAGACCTGACTAGACATTTTTTCAAAAGAAGACATTGAAAATGGCCAACAGATTAATGAGCACCATTAATCATCAGAGAAATGCAAATCAAAACCACTGTGAGATACCACCTCATACCTGTCAGGATGGCTATTATCTATAAGTCAAAAGATAAGGAATGTTGAAAAGGATGTGGGAAAAGGGAACTCTTGCATGCTGTTGGTGGCAATGAAGATTGGTACAGCCGTTATGGAGAACAGTATGGAGGTTTCTAAATAAATTAAAAATGGAACTACCATATGATCTTATGGGCACATACCCAAAGGAAATGAAATCACCACCTCATAAAGATACCTGCACTCCCATGTCATGTTCATTGTAGTGTTATTTAAAAAAGCTAGGATATGGAAACAACTCATGGATGAACAGATAAATAAATTGGTACATATATATAATTTTACTAATTTCAAAGGCTTATTTTCTAAGACAAAATTTAAAGGGGCAGTTTCACCCCAGATATGCCCAATGGAAACTAGCAAGTGTGTGCATGAGAGATGACTGGTGCCTTGCCACAATGGCATGTACCATCATCGTTTGCCTCAGCTATGGCAATAGCTTCCCTACTAGACTTCCAGCTTCTCCCCTCAGGCCCTCCAGTCCATTCTCCACACTGCTTCCATATCCTCCTTTTTAGATAACAAAACTGATAATAGCAGGCCTTTCTCATTAGTGATTGGGAATTTGGTAAAATGAAGGTTTCTGGACTACATCCTACGGAGTTAGATTGTAAGCTTGTTCTATTAATCTGTGTTTTAATTAAGCATTCTGTGGTTTTCAATTGCTATTGCTCCACAAGTTATATTTTGAGAAAACACTGACCCACAGTATGATATCAAACATATGTATGCATTTAAAAAAAAACCTTTCAAGATCTGTTCTTTAGTATCATTTTTTACTACTGGCCCTTAGGCATCCTGTGCCTTAGCCATATGTATTACTCATCTTCCCATGTCCTGTCTCTCCTCTGTGCCTTTAATTATGCTCTACTGTTTCTTTTGCTCAGAATATCTCCTGTTCTACTGCTATCTGAGACGCGTTCTTTAAGTAACCTAGCCAGGTTAGACACTTGTCCTCTACCGCTCTAGCTTTGTCTTCATAATCCTTGCAAACTAGTTTTCACATTGTCTTGTAATTATCTCTCTCTCCCCTCCTCACCTGTGTTGACTGTGGTCTTCTTAAGCAAATATATACAGGTCACTGCTTTCATCTTCTGTATCTGCCACACTGCCTGGATAGAGGAGGCATTCAATTCATTATTGCTAAGGCAATGAATCTATCTTCAAATCTGTATGTCTCAGATTCCTTACCTGTAAAATAAAGATTGCCAGAGAGACTTTTTCACCAAACAAGGTCTTATTGATCCGGCTCGCTTGCGCTTGCTCGCTGTCTCTCTCTCTCTCTCTCTCTCTCTCTCTCACACACACACACACACACACACACACACACACACACGTGGTTCAATATATTTTAAGTTTATACTGAAACTATTTAAAATAAATAACTCTATAGAATATATAAACTATTAGTTATAGTTTTCTTTTGCTTTTTAAACCTAGTTTGTTTCCCAAAGCTAATGTTAGATAAAAAGATAATCAAAGTAGCCAGATGGTCGTTAATCATGAGGGCTTTTTATTCTATAAACATAAAAATTCCATCACCTCCGAGGAGTTTCACATGTATCTTGGATTCATCCTAATGTGGGGTATGAAAAATTGGTTTCAATTCAGATGTACGATTTAGATCACTTACCTTTTTCTTCCTTATTTTTCTTGAGTAGGGTTGTGAGAAATGGCTCAATGTAAAAGGCATAAACATAGAATTCTTGATGTAAATGGATGTAGTCAGCCTCAATCTAATTAAAGATTTCTCTCTTTCCTTTACCCTTTGTCAGTATCTTTGTCTCTTGCTTCTAGAAATTAAATTGGAAATTTTACTATGTTTCTGTCCTTTTCTAACCTTTACTTTTATTTGCTCACACACATATGCTAAGATGCACACAGATACACAGAGACACATACAGTGTAATTTGCAGATAAAGGAATTCACACAGAAAACATATATAGGGTGAAGTTACTTTGTATAGTATAATTACCATGGTACCCTCTACTCTACATTTCCTAATTTATCTGACCAACTTGGCATTCAATGTGAAGTATATTGTGTGAGTTATGTCTATTAATACATTATGACTTATAATTTATAAACCACCTTTAATGCAAAGCAAATACTATTTCAAGGGGAAAAATTGCATATTCAATTTTTCTTTATTTATACATACCCTAGGATTTACTTACACATGGATGATTTATAGAGATTTCCCCATTGTTTTAAAGTAATTTATGGCAACATTCCTTTATCTAATGAAAGCCAAGCAAAGGGAAACAAAACCAAAACCCCTTTTGATAGAGAAATGCTGAGTGAGAGGTACTAGGAAGGGGCACGAAAAAGCATATTCTATGGCTTAATGCTCTAGGCTTACAAAAGCATGGTGTTGGAATGGTAATTGGATTTCTGAGCATTGCTTTTGTGAATAGACTGCTTAAATCATTGAAAAGGAAATCATTGCAGAAAAGAAGCAGGGAAGAATTGCACAGGCTGTTTGAGTACTTACAAACTAAGAATAACATACGAACAATGAAGAACTGGTTTAGTGCTGTTGAGATTTGACATCTTTAAAAACCTGATATTGTAGCTGTAGTTTTGATCTTCGTTCCTTTGTTGAATGAAGTCCCAATGCATTTTGGACCAGTACTTTCAATGAGGGCTGAAACAAATGAGATTTTTAAAATGCTTTTTCCAGAAAAATAAAATTTTCCCCCAAGTCCACATTATATTTTTGTTTGAAAAACACAGATACAGATACATATGCATCTCTATTTTTAGTTTGTTTCACATGTTTATTTCTGCGGTGGTTGACTTGCCATTCTTAAAATGTTAAAAGTCCTCTATCCTCCCAAACTTTCATGTTAATAGAGTGACTGTCACACTGTAAGCATTCAAAAATTATTTTGATGTGCTAGAAGAGGCTTGGGAATTGGAGGTGGTGTCTGGGTGTTAGCCTCTTAAATCTGCATGTAAATTTCCCATCAGCAATTATAAAAGGAAAACATGTCATTTACTAGACAGAGTTAAAGGATGTCCACTATCTGCTTTTTCAACAATACCTATCCACTATCACTGGGGAATCGTGAACATGGACACAATTTTTACCTTCAGATAACTTATACGTATTGCCCCTCTGCCCAGTTTTTGCATTTTACTCTGAAAGGTGCAGAAAGAAACAAGAAAAGATAGGAAATAGACTTCTAGGAGAGTTTGCTTAAAAAAAAAAAAAGAGTTCCATTTTTCTTGGAGATAATACAACACAGATTTTTACTTGTCCTTGTTAAATTTGCCACAGAAGATAAAACATTTGTTGAGTGTGTAATTCCATGCTAAACAACTTGCTAGTTATATTAATCATATATTAAATATATTGGTCAGAATAACCCTCCCTTTATTTTATGGTGAGCAAATGGAAAACATAGTGATAAAAATTTTTCAGGGTCACCATAACTAGAATTTCAATCCAGTTCTTTTGGACTCCAAAGCATATATTTTCCTCTACCGTGCAGTAATTTATTTTAAACATTAGTTATTTGAAGACAATTGAAGTACTGTATACTTTTCTTTGGGGAATATTCATTGCTTTATGGAATTTCTTTTAATTTTTGTACTCTGTTGTTAAGTTCAAATACAATTGTACTTTTCTCTTTGTTCAAATAGAGGAAAGAAAGTCACTCACAAAGTGGCAATGTGCAAAGGACTACAAAAAACATCTATTCTCCATCTGAGACCTAGCTTTATAGAGACAATAAGAACCACTGGGAGGAAACCAGTGAGTGTCAGTGGTTTACTCTAGTGTAAAACATTTGGCTCTGGAAAAAATCATGTTTTTTATAAAATTGCACAGCACAAGACACAGAAGCACTTTTTATAAAATTATGAATGACAATTTTGAATTTTTAATGTTTTAACTATTTATTTTTAAAACATGCCTTACTAGATAGCTTCAGAATATATGAATAAAAATATGTAAATTATTTACTAACATTCAAAGCAGATTATGGTGGTAAGGAAAATGTTCCTGTAATATAACCTTCAATAGCAGGTGTTAATTTCACTGATTTCTCACTGCTTATTTAGATGGAACAGTGCCTTCCATACCGTCAATGACAGAGTGTGAGTCCCACAGTCACTCAGCTGGGCTTCATAATGTCCTACTTATTTCCTGTGTTATGTGAGGTTTGTCACTTAACATTCCTGAGTAAGAATTCTTCTTCTGTAAAGTAGGGCACTAATACCGATCTCATAAAATCTCTGGGAGAATTAGCTGACTGATGTAGGAATGTAATAATGGTAGCCAGCTTGTCCTGAGTACTTACAGTGTGCCTGGGATCTCCTCAGATTTACAGGCATTAGCATCTTTAGCCCTCACAACAGCCTATAAGGTTTTACTGTTAAGCCTCCTTCCACTGGGGAGACAACTGCAAGGCAGGAAGGGGCATCATAAAAAGATAGGAGTGTCAGAACCAGTGCTGGAAGCCAGGCATTTTGACTCCACAAATTGTGCACTTGGCCAATATACTATACTATCCTGACTCCCACCACTCACCACAAAGTTAGGATTTTTTTTTCGTTCATGGCCAACAGGTCTATGAAAAATTGCTCAATATCACTATGAGGGAAACGCAAATGAAACTACAGCGAGTTATCACCCCACACTTGTTAGGATGGCTATTATCAAAAAATGAAACAAAAGATAGTCCTCCTATCTAACTGAAATTCTGCATCCTTTGGCCAGCATTTTCTCAACTCCTACTAACACAACCACCCAAGACCTTTGTAACCACTATTCTGTTCTCTAGTTGTATAGTATCAACCTTTTTTGATTCCATATTTGAGTGAGATCATGCAGAATTTGTCTTTCTGTCCTGGATGAACTCACCTACAATAATGTCCTCCAGGTTCATTCATGGTGAGGCAAATGGCAGGATTTCCTTTTTCTGTGGCTGAATAGCATTCCATTGTGTGTCTTTACCACATTATCCATTCATCCATTTATGGACTTTTAAGTTGATTTCATATCTTGGCTAATGTGAATAGTGCTGCAATAAACATGGTAGTGCAGAGATCTCTATAACATACTGATTCATTTCCTTTGGTTATATACCCAGTGGGGGGATTGCTGGATAATAAGAAAACAAGCATTGGTAAGAATGTGGAGAAATTAGAATCCTGTACACTGTTGGGAATGTAAAATTCTGTAGCAGCTATGGAAAATAGCATAGAGGTTCTTCAAAATGTAAATATGGGACTACCATATGGTTTAACAATTCTACTTCTGGATATGTATCCAAAAGATTTGAAAACAGGGTCTCAGAGATTGTTTGCGCTCCCCTGTTTGTGGTAGCATGATTCATAATAGCTAAAACATGAGGTATAAATATAGAATGGAATATTATTCAGCCTTTAAGGAAAATCCTGTCATATGCAACAACATGGATGAATCTGGAAGCCATTATGCTAAGTGAAATAATCCATGCAAAGAAAAACAAGTACTGCAGTATTTCACTTATATGAGGAGTCTAAAATAGTCAGACTTACAGAGGCAGAGAATAGAATGGTGGTTGCCAGGAGTTGAGGGGAGGGGAGAAATAGGGAGCTGCTATTCAATACCTGTACAAATTATACGTGGTTCTAGAAATCTACTGTATTAAATCATGCCTAAGGTCAATAATACTGTGTTGTATACCTAAAAATGTGTTAAGAGGGTAGATCTCATGTTAAATGTTCTCACCACAATAATCTGCATGGGTTGAATTGTGTCCCCCAGAATGATATGTTGCAGCACTAACCCTGGTACCTCAGAATGTGACCTTATTTAGAAATGGTGTCCTTGCTGATATAATTAGTTAAGATGAAGTCATGCTACAGTAGGCTGAGTTCTACATCCAATATGCCTGGAGTTTTATAAGACAATGTGAATTTACAAAGGAAGATGCCACGTGATGATAGAGGCATAGATTGGAATTATAAAGTTGCAATCCAAGGAATAACAAAGATGACCAGCCTCCTCCAGAAGCTAAAAAAAGGCAAGAAAGGTTCCTACCCAGAGTCTCACAGGGAGCATGGCCCTACTGACATCACAATTTCAGACTTCTATCCTCCAGAACTGTGAAACAACACATTTCCATTGTTTTAAGCCACCCAGTTAGTGGTCCTTTGTTATGGAAACTCTTACACACATACATATATATATGTATATTTAATAGATATTTTAAGAAATATTAAGCAAAGTATTAGGTACAATAATTGCTCAAAAGCGATTGTTCCTATTTTATATAGTCTAATAGTGGGGAAGTCTGTGCTTATGGGAAACTTTTAAAAACATCAAACACTTCCTGTGTGTAATTTGCTAAAGTTAAAAATCTGTAAAACCACAGTGTTCTTGTGTAGTCCTTCAGGAGACAAATATGTGCCTTTCTTGACATGGAAGTTTCTTTCCACCTCAGCCAGTAGCACATTCACTCCAAACTTAGCATTCATCATTTATGGCAATCAGATCAGTATTTAGGTCTATATTGCCTTGTAGTATTTATTTTTATTTTAACCATCTTATTTTCTTTATGTATGTAGATTATAAATTCTTAGAGGGAGAGAATTATATTTTATAGTTTTGTAACATAGCACCTAAAACAGGACGATGTTTGATATGGTTTGGCTGTGTCCCCACCCAAATCTCAACTTGAATTATATATCCAAGAATTCCCACATGTTGCGGGAGAGACCCAGCGGGAGGTGATTGAATCATGGGGGCTGGTCTTTCCTGTGCTATTCTTCTGATGGTGAATAGGTCTCACGAGATCTGTTGGGTTTATCAGGGGGTTCTGCTTTTGCTCCTTCCTCATTTTCCCTTGCTGCCACCATGTAAGAAGTGGCTTTCACCTTCCACCATGATTCTGAGGCCTCCCCAGCCATGTGGAACTGTAAGCCCAATTAAACCTCTTTTTCTTCCCAGTTTGGGGTATGTCTTTATCAGCAGCATGATAATGGACTAATATATGTGTGCATGTATGTGTGCGTGTGTGTGTGTGTGTGTATGTGTGTGTGTATATATATATATATATATAATACCATGTGTAACATTTGAAAATATATATATTCAAATTTCAGTCTCTGGCATTCATACTGAAATTTGTTTGTGGGTACCTCAATTGGTCAGCTTAATGATGTCTTCCCTTCTCAAGGGAAGGTAGGTATATTAGTTTTCTAGAGCTGCCATAACAAAGTACTACAGACTGGGTAACTTAAAACAACAAAAATGCATTGCCTCACTGTTTGGGAGGCTACAAGTCCAAGATCAAGGGTTGGCAGGGCTGGTTTCTTCTGTGGATATCTCCTTGGTTTGTTGTTGGCTGTCTTCTCACTGTATTGTCACATGGCCTTCCCTTTGTGCCTGTGTCCTCATCTCTACTTTTTAAAAGAACACTAGTCATATTAGATTAGGGCCCACCCTAATGACCTCATTTTAACTTACCCCTTTTATAATCCATCTCCAAACAGAGTCATATTTTGAGATATCGGGGGTTAGGACTTTAACATATGAATTTGAGGGAGACGCAATTCAGCACAAAGCACAAGGCATAAATAACTTGTTTTTGTACAGATTCTTAGCTAAGGAACTACCTTTCTAGAAAGCCCTGTGAAATATTCAAAAGTATATGAGGTGACAGATACATGAATTAGCTTGATTTAACCATTTCACAATGTATACAGGTACCAGAACATGCTGCACACTGAGAATATATTTCATTTGTACGTGCCAGTTATACCTTAGCCATAAATTCATGTGGATAGATAACGTTTTTCTTTAAAAGCAAACTTAAAGAATATTAATCAAAGAGTATTCATATCAAATAATTACTGACAGTGTTGTTTTCCAACCTGATAATTTTCTTGAGGTAAGAAAATATAGATCACGGCTGACTTCAGCCTCGACTACCTGAGCTCGAGTAATTCTCCCAACTCAGCCTCCCGAGTAGCTGAGATCACAGGTGCACACCACCATGTCTGGCAAATTAAAAAAATATATACATTTGTAGAGACAAAGTCTTGCTATATTGCCCAGACTGAATAATATGCTTGATCAAACTGCTAATATTGATTTGGATTTGAATATAGTAATCCCTATTATTTCAAGTAATAATATCTTCAAAGTAATGAATGCAAAGGAGATAAACTGATATTTGAACACACTAACATGACCATTTCAAGAATATGACATGACCTCTTCAATTGCTCCATTCGGCTTTTAGATGGAAGGAGAATGCATTAGTCTCTTACAGGATGTACTGTCTTTATCTGAGGAACTTTGAAGAGTATGAAAAACAGCTACTAGGGAAAAAAGAAAGCTTTTATATTCTTTGATGTGGAGGATTCTGTGATTCTAACACTGTGATTATTTCTTTCTGTACCAGAGCTTACTAGCCTACACAGATATTAGAATTCATAGCTATATGTAATTCAAATTTATTTCTGTATGTGAGAAGGAATGTGATTCCCTTCTCTAAAAATCATTTACTGTATAGACATAACATAACATTATCCCTCTATTATTGGTAGAAATATTACAAATCTTGGATGAAATTTTTTCTCAAAGCACAAATTTATGCTGCTAAATATATTGATTCAGATCAGTCTCCAAAAACAACACTAAATAATTAGTAGTTTTCAGAAATTTTAGAGAAAAAAGGGAAAAATATTCAGAGGGGACTTTTTAATGAACTCTAGAGACATACATTAATGTAAGTAACTGTAAGTCGGTGATGTTCCACAATTACTTTTTACTACCCACCATATAACAAGATTGGATCATGTGAAGTGCTGTGCTTAAAACTTAATCTTAATCTCAACATATCACAGAACTACATTTGCCTTGTTTGCCAGTAATTGAATATTCAGGGTAATCACTACCATACTCACCAAAGAAACTAAGGCCAGCCTCTCTTTCCTGAATCTTACTAGATTGTAGTTCTAGAATTGGCCTTTTCTTTCACTCCTGAAAATAAGGCATTGAACTGTGTTTCAGGGCAGGACCCAGTCTTTCCTACTCACCCTACTGTCTCTAGATTTACTCAGAGCTGTCCCCTGATGGAGATGCAGGATTGGATAGAAAGGATGCTTTCTTCTCTAGAAATATGGTTGTTGTGGATTAAAAGTGTCTGGAGGTGAGGGATAGAAGACTTCACATAGGGTACAGTGTATACTGCTCAGGTGATGGGTGCACCAAAATCTCAGAAGTCACCTCTAAAGAACATATTCATGTAACCAAACATCACCTGTTTCCCAAAACCTATTCACGTAAAAAAATTAGAGATTCCCAAATCCATTTCCAGTAAGTCTGAAGTAGTTGATCTAGGCAATTTGAAGAAGATTAAATATTATTAAATACTCTAGATGATTCTGATATGGATGACTAAGAGCCCTACTCCAAGACAGGCTCAGAACTCCAGAATGCTGACAGCTGAATGAAAAGGGAACATTTGCTTCTCAGTAGAAACCAAGCAGTATTGAAGAGGTAGAGGGCTAGAGAGGAAGCCAAGAATAAAATTCCTTAAAAATGAATGGGTGCTTCTGATCCAAAATGATTTTTCAGAATTTACTACATATATAAGGCAGCCTATCCCCTTTTTTATGAGATCAGTTTTATATTGGGAACTTCTCACATTATCATGTCTTTAAAAAACAAACAAAAAATAAAACCTTCGCAGAGGCACTAAAAAGAGAGTGTCTTTTCAACAATCATGGGAGTTTTTTTTTTTTTTTTTTTTTTTTTTTTGAAGTTTTAAGCTACTTATTTATTGTTTGGGAAGACAGTGGTGGATGTACTTCTTGGAACATTTTAACTTAGTTTCTAAAACAGCTTTATTGGGGTATAATTGATATAAAAACAGCATACATATTTAATCTATATAATTTGATGAGTTTGAACATACACATACATCTGTGAAACTTTACTGCAAGATTATAATAAACATATCCATGACTCTCAAAAGTTTCTATGTGCCCCATCTCCTATTTTGTTGTAAGGACATTTAACATAAGATCTACCCTCTAAACAATTTATTTATTTATTTATTTTAATAATTTCAAGTTTTGTTTTAGATTTAAGAGGTATATCTGCAGATTTCTTACATGGGTATAATGAGTGATGCTGGGGTTGCTGCGATTGAACCTGTCACCCAAGAAGATAGCATAGTACCCAACAGTTTTTCAACCCTTGCTCCCTCCTCCTTACCCCCTTGTAGTAGTCCCAATGTTTATTGCTGCCATTTTTATGTCCATGTGTGTCCAATGTTTAGCTCTTACTTGTAAATGAGAACATGTTGTATTTGGTTTTCTGTTTCTGAATTAACTTAGAATGATGGCCTCCAGCTGCATCCATGTTGCTGCAAAGGACGTGATTTCATTCCTTTTTATAGCTGTGTAGCATTTCATGGTATATATGTACAATATTTTCTTCATGCAATCCACCATCAATGGGCCATAGGTTGATTTCATGTCTTTGCTATCGTGTTGTGATGAACACACAAGTGCATGTGTCTTTCTAGCAGAACAATTTACTTTCTTTCAGATATCTACCCAGTAAAGGGATTGCTAGGTTGAATGGTAGTCCTAAGATCTTTGAGAAATCTCCAAATTACTTTCCACAGTGACTGAGCTAACTTACATTCCCATCAACAGCACATAAGCATTCCCATTTCTTTGCAGCCTCACCAGCATCTGTTGTTTTTTGACTTTTTAATAGTAGCCATTCTGACTGGGATGAGATGGTATCTCATTGTGGTTTTGATGTGCATTTCTCTGATGATTAGTGATATAGATTGGATATTTGTCCCTGCCCAAATCTCATGTTGAATTGTAATTCCTAGTGCTGGAGGTGGGGCCAGGTGGGAGGTGTTTAGATCATGAAGATAGATCCCTGATGATTTGGTGCTGTCTTCATGATAGTGAGCTCTTGAGAGATCTGATTAAAAGTGTGTGGCACTTCTCCTTCCCCCTTTCTTTCTCTCGCTTGCACCTGCTTTCATCATGTGATGTGCTCCCTCTTTGCCTTTCACCATGATTGTAAGTTTCCAGAGGCCTCCCTAGAAACCAAGCAGATGCCAGCATCATGCATCTGCAGAACTGCAAGCCAGTTAAACCTCTTTTCATTATCAATTACCTTGTCTCATGTATTTCTTTATAGCAATGCAAGAACAGCCTAATGCAATTAGTGATGTTGAACAATTTTTCCTGTATTTGTTGGCCATTGCTATGTCTTCTCTTGACAAGTATCTGTTCATGTCTTTTGCCTCACTTTTTAATGGGGTGATTGGGTTTTGCTTGTTGAATTAACTTTCTTATATATTCTGGATGTTAGACCTTTGTCGGATTAGTTGCAAATATTTTCTTCCATTCTGTAGGTTGTCTGTTTAGTTTACTCCGTTGATAATTTCTTTTCCTGTGCAGAGGCTCTTTAGTTCAATTAGGTCCTACTTATCAATTTTTGTTTCTGTTGCAATTGCTTTTGAGGATGTATCCATAAATTACTTCCCAAGGCTGATGTCCAGGATTGTGTTTTCTAGGTTTTCTTCTAGGATTATTTTACTTATTTATTTATTTATTTATTTAGAGACAGGGTCTCACTCTGTTGCTCGTGCTGGAGGGCAGTGGCACAATCTCTGCTCACTGCAACCTCCACCTCCTGGGCTCAAGCCATCCTCCTGCCTCAGCCTCATAATTAGATGGGACTACAGGCATAGGCCATCTCAATAAGCTATTTTTTTAAAAATTTTTTGTTGAGCCGAGGTTTTGCCATGTTGCCCAGGCTGGTCTCAGATTCCTGAGCTCAAGTGATTCGCCCACCTTGACCTCCCAAAGTACTGGGATTAAAGGCATGAGACACCGTACCCAGCCCTTCTAGGATTCTTATAGTTTGCGGTCTTATATTTAAATATTTAATCCATCTTAAGTTAATTTTTGTATATGCTAAAAGGTAATGGTTCAGTCTCATTCTTCTGCATATAGCTAGCCTGCTATTCCAGCACCATTGATTGAAAATGAAGTTCTTTCCCCATTGCTTGTTTTTGTCAGTTTCGTCAAAGATCAGATGGCTGTAGGTGTGCAGCTTTATTTCTGGGTTCCCTATTATGTTCCCTTGGTCTATGTATCTTTTTTTTTTATCAGTACCAACGTAGGCCTTGGTTACTAGAGCCTTATAGTATAGTTTGAATTCCATTAATGCAATGCCTTCAGCTTTGTTTTGTTTTGCTTAGGATTGCTTTCGTCATTTGGGCTCTTTTATGTTTCCACGTTAATTTTAGATTTTTTTTTTAATTCTGTAAAAAATGATGTTGGTAGTTTGACAGGAATAGTGTTGAATCCATAGATTGCTTTGGGCAGTATGGTTGTTTTAGTGATATTGATTCTTCAAATCCATGAACATGGAATGTTTGTCGATTTGTTTGTGTCATCTATGATTTCTTGTCATTGTGTGTTGTAATTCTCCTTATAGAGATCTTTCAACTCACAGGAGTCATTTTTATTCCAGCTTGCTCCCTTTTTTTCTGATGTGTTCTCCTTTCTGCCTGGTAGGAATGTTCCTGCTGTGTACAATACAGGGGATGTGTTTAGAGGTGGCAAACTTGATTAAATATATACTAGAAATAAATAATACAAACAAGTGCACTTAGATAGAAGACTTTTCCAATCTGTATTTTGTCTAATATAAGCATTCTTTTAATTTGTCTTTTGGATCATCATTTTTGAGGGAATCTTATTCCAATAAGCTACATGCATCATCTGTCATTTTGTTTTCAGGATTTATTTTCTGCGTCATGGAGATTAGCTTAATTGTGATAGATATTTTGTTGTTTTTTTCATATATATGATTTTCTTTTGCTCATCATTTCTATTGATCTATGCTCCTGATTTTAGTAATTAAAACACAGTTCAGTATGCTAGCATTTTCTTCAGCCAAATTTAATAACCTGTCAGATTCTTATGGTCACAATTAAGAGAAAGGTGTTTGTAAGTGTGTTAATACTTAGATTTCTTTATAATTAAAAAATTATTTGATTGGCTATGCTGGATTTATACTTAATAATCCTTTGCTCATGCATGTCGGTAATCTTCACTGGTTACCCAAGGTTCAAACCCTTTTAACTAGTGTAAGCATAATGATATGTGCAGTTATAATTGGTTTCAGTAACAAAATTTAAGTCAGAATTGTAGTATAATAAAATCACAGTTAATTCTTAATATCTCCATATTATTTTACATTTGTAAGTCATTATGATTAAGGCAGAATGTTGGAGCTTACTGCAAAATTTCTTTAGAAAGAAAATACTTTTCCTAAGTTCATACAGACAAGTTTAGATATTAGAGTTTGAGGCAGGTAATAATTGGAATTCTTCAGTTCGCTGACAATATTGATATTTATTTTCATAACTTTATGCAAATATTTTCTTTAAGTACTAAAAAGATGTAATTGATAATGTTCACACTGGTCACTTTCATGACATCTGAAATTTTGGCATGTCCCTAACTTTGTGAGAGACAAAATGGTGAAGTGATTAACAGCAAGGGGCTAAGTTCAAATTGTGACTTTTTAAAACTTCAGTGGCTTCTGCAAAATGGAGAAAAAAATCGTTTGTACTTTGTACAGGATTGATTTGGAGGGATTGAATAAGATGCAGGTACATAGAAATCACTCAGGAAATGCAGCAACTCTTATAATTAATCTGCTATGTGTCCCAGCCCATAGTAATGACTGATTAGTTTTCTGTACCTGTAATTTTACCTTGGCAAGAATGTTATAAACATAAACCTACTCTCTTAAGTCTTGCTTCTTCTTTCACTAAGCATAATGCATTTGAGATTCATCTACTTTGTTCCTTGTTCCACATATTAATATTATTTTCCTTTTTATGCCAAGCAGTATTCTGTTATATGGATATGACACAGTTTTTTTATTCATTCCTGTTTGAGGGATATTTGAGTTGTTTCCAGGTTTGGAGGATTATGAACAAAGCTACATTAAGCTACATAATAGCTACATAAAAGTTTTTAGGTGAACATAAGTTTTCATTTAACTTGATTTAATCTCTACAAGAGGGATTTCTGGTTTGTATGGTTAAGTGTATGTTTAATAATATAAAAGAAAAAAATCCTTATTCCCAAAGTAGTTTTACTATTTTTCATTCCCACCAGAAATGAATGGAATTTTCCATTGTTCCACATTCTCTTTGTTACTTACTAGTTTCAGGATTTTGTTTGTTTATATGTTTTGCCGATCTAATAGGTATGTAGTAGTGGTGTATTTTTTTAATAATAAATGATACTTTAAAGCATATTAATGTATAAAACAGTCTTTAAACTAACTTGGAATTATAAATTTGTACATTTTCTTTTAAGAAGACTTCACATTTTCTTCTTTAGATATTTCCAGGGGAGAAACTTTTTGTGTTTAATTTTATTTTCTGTGCTAATGTGAGATCTCTACAGATTCAAAAGTAAATAAGAAACGGTTTCTGATTTCAAGTTGTTCATAATTTGTCAAAGGCACTGAGGTGGAGCCCAAAATTTTGGCCTCGGAATATATTGGAGAGAAAACAGAGTCCAGTGTAGCAACTGAATGGATAAATGTTGCTGATTGGTGAATAAGGATTAGAAAAGTAGTTGTGATGTTCATAACAATAAAGTGGAAGAAAGCTTTGAAAGGTCAGATTTAGAGATTGAAAAATAATTTTATTTTTGAGCTAGCTACAAAAATGTTTATTCTTTTGAGTTTGCTTTAAAGCCCTCAGGCATGAACGATCATGTATTTACATCTGTGGGAAAGGTGGCATAGTGAACTGTCGGAGCTAGAAGAACCAAAAAGAGGAAAAGAGCAGTGCACTAAATAAATCCTTAGACCTATGTCAAATCAGATCGGCAAATTTTGTTCACATTATGATTGATTTAAGTATCAATAATGTTTATAAAAGTTTAGTAGCTTATCTAAATTCAAAATAGGGGTTTTCATTGTTTTCTTTAGACATATACGTCAATTCCTCATCCCACTGCCCATGGCAATTCATATCTCAGGACTAGTATTGGGGCATTTGTAAGATTGGCTTTGGAAATTCCTCTCTGGGTTATAATTTATACAATGCTTTGCCCACAGCCACATATAGGTATATTTATTCCCTTGTTCACATCATAAAAATGAGCTGAAATTAAACATTAAGTAGAAAATATGAGAACAATGAAATGCTATTTAAACAAAAGGGAATATCACTGAACATTTGGATAACAGGGAGCACCAACAAAGGCAAAAAGAAAGAAATGGAGGAAGAACCATGGAAATGCATTTGGGATGTTTGTTACTCTCCTATGTGGTTTTCCTTTTCTATCTCCTCTAAAATTTAAATTTTCTTGTTATACTCATTTTTGTGTAAATATGAAAAAAGATTATAAATATACATCACTGTAATAACATAGCTAAATTTAAATGGTAACAAACTATTTTATGGCTGTTCAGGTTTTAAATTAGGATCAGTTTATGTTAGCACTTGCAATTTGATTCTAATTAAATGCTTCCAATTTAAATGCCGTACATAGAGTCTATTTTCTCTAGTATTAAATTCTTTATACAACGTTTATTGTCTGTTCTTTTTCTTTTCCTACAACCACCATTTTTGCTTGCCTTCTACATGGGAGGAACTATGAAAGGCTGTGAAGACACAAAACCAAATAAGACCTAGTTCCTAACTTCAAGGTGCTTACAGTCAAAGATGGGATAGTTTCCATGAGAGCTCCTCTGGAAGGAGAGACAGATGTTGAGTCAATAATTCCTGTGCTGCATTGAAGGGTGGGTAGGAATGCTTCTTCCCTCACAGGAAACAGCAAAAGGAAGCTGTGAACTACATTTTTGGTTGCAAGCTTGGAGGCAGAGGATACTCTGCGTATTGTTTTTGTATTGGAAAGATCAAAGCAGGGAATAACAGAAAACAGGCCACAAAAGAACTCACGTGTCATGCTACAGACGTACCAATCTACCTGCCACTTACCGAGTGACAGCCAGCATCTTCTGTTGGTCAAGGGTAAAATATAATGGTTTGTGGAACCAAAATGCCTGGCTTTCAGAACTTGTTCTCACACTTCTCTTATATGTGACCTCCTGTTCTACTCCTCAATTTTCTATCTGTAAAGGGAAGTGATGTGAAAGAGCCTACCTCATGAAGCTGTTGTGAAGGCTAAATATGTCAATGTTTGCAAAGCTAAGAAGGCTGTGGCCACATTGTAAGGACTTAGTACAAGTCAGCTATCATTTTTATATTACTACATTGGTCAGTTAATTCTTCCTACAATTTTATTAGGTGAGTGTTATTGCCTACTTTACAGAAGAGGAACTCATATTCAGAGACTTTACCTGATAAAGCTAATATTACATGGGAAGTAAACGGTACCACCTAACAAAGAGCTAGTAGAGACTGTCTTTTTCTGCAGTAAGGAAATAACGTCTCAAAGAGTATTACCTCTGTAACTGTTTGGATTAGGGAATCATTGACCCTAGTTACGTAAAAAACTCCAAATGAAGACAAGGAAAGTAACTAGCACATTGCAGAGATTTTTATTTTCAGTTAATGTTTGGAAACTCACATCTCACAGCCCAAAATGTCCATCTAATTTATCAGCGAGCATTAGAGCTGATTGGATGCCTTGTCATGCAAATATGAACAAGGAATCTCATCACAGTTGAAGAGCTTGGAATGTATGAGCTTAATGCATGTCTACTCAGTCTGTACATATGAAACATTTAGTCCCTTGCTTGGTATAGAGCGTGCTCTCACATGCAGCCTTGTGATCACAATCTCGATGCCTGTAGGAGCCAGGCATGAGGGCGCTAAGTGAAGCAGCTGGCCTAATTCTATGTAGGTTTCTTAAATTTATTTTTGGGGTACAGTATCTTCTTCTTTGAATTTATCTTGATGCACGTACCCCCTGTGTTTAGCTTTAAATTTTCCACTTCTGACGTAGGCATGGATATAAAAAATGCTTCACCTACTTCTTAATTACATACTAATAAATAAAATAACACAAACTCGATGATAGCAACCTCCAGTGGCAGCAAAATGGTAGAGAACAGGGCAAGTAATGATGAAACAGATACTATGTGTCCAATATTGTCAGTTTTCCTAACTTTTACCCAAAGCCAGAGGAGTGAATTTTTTGTTTTATCTTATTTTCCTTTGTGTGAATAAGTATTCAAATAAAAAACACAAAACAGGCTGGGTTCAGTGGCCCATGCCTGTCATGTCAGCACTTTGGGATGTCAAGGCAGGAGAATCACTTGAGGCCAAGATTTTGAGACCAGCCTGGGCAACATAGTGAGACTCCATCTCTACAAAATATAAAAATGTTAGCCGGGCATTGTGGTGCGTGTCTATAGTCCTAGATGCTTGCGAAGCTGAGGCGGGAGGATCCCTTGAGTCCAGGAGTTTGAGGCTGCAGTGAGTCCTGATCATTTCTCTGCACACTAGCCTGAGCAACAGAGCAAGAGCCTGTCAAAGAAAAGCAAACAAACAAGCAAAAAAACAACAATGAAAAAAAACACCACACACACCCAAAACAAGAACATCAAGACAAAACATTATATAGATCAAGGGTATCTGAACGAGAAAAAACAACAGGTTGTTTGATCTCCCAGTTAGCCTTCTTCTGTTTAGGTAAGGAGAATACCAGCAGAGTTTTCAGCAGGAAAGAGAAATGGTTAGGTATGCACGCTAGATACATCATTCTAGCAGATCCATTTGTCTACCTGTTTTATCACTCTAGAGGTGGTACTGAAACTATGGAAGAAGATATTTCTAGAAACCACAGATATAGTGGAACAAACAAGGAGGCTATGGCTTAACTCTGGGTAAAGCCAATAATAGGAGACAAGCGTCCATGCAAAAAACAATAGGAATGATCAGAGAGGAAAAGTAAATTTAAGTAATTTAATTGCTTAACACACTTCAGAAGGACCCAGTAAGATAAACTTTGAAAAATGCCATTTTGTTTTGGCACCTTGAATTTACTCAGAAATGGATATGAGAACTTTTGGTAGAGTGAAAGAATTATAATGGCTGATGTATGCTATTCTTTTGAGAACTTAGATTAGAAAGAAACCAGTGATGAAAATCAATGCTTAGACAGTGAATTAAGTACCAGGAAAGGGTTTATTTTTACAAAAGGGACTTAAAAGTGTTTATTATTAGAGTTATGTCTCTAATGTTTACCCAAAAGGTGGAAATAAATTGCCATTTTTTAGCAATGACCAAAATCCAGGTACTGATGCTCCAAGTGTTACTAGATTATCACATTAATTCTCACAACCATGTTGAAAGATAGCTTAACATTCTGTTTTAGATGTAGAAAACTTAATTTCAAAGACGTTAAATATCTTTCAGGAAGTTCCATGAAGCTTTTTAATTTTAATTTTTAAAGTGACATAAAATGTATGTATTTATCATCTACAACATGTTTGAAGTCTATATAAATTACAGGAAGTTACATGACTTTATAATCAGTATTTTTTCTTTTGTTTGCCATCCACTCAATAGTGGTTCTAGAAAAAATGTAAGTGAATTTAGAAGGATATCTAATATATAATTATGAACAGAAGACAACTCGTCTCTTTTTTCATCGCACACTGCCAGAACAATATATTTTACTTTTAAACTTTAGTATTAAAACTGTAGTACGTGTTTTATTTCCTTCCTGCATATCATAGTTCTATGTTTGTTTGGAAATTAAATCATTAAAAAGTTTTTCTCACTTTCCATCCAGATAAACAAAAAAAAGAATGGTTAATACTGATACTTAATAATAATTTATATTTTGTTATCAATAATGAATTATATTATAACATATATAGCTTCACATTTTGTCAGGATTAAATTACTTTCATTTCATTTACTTGCAATGTGTTTGCATTAATTGAAAAACGTGGGCTCCCTCTTGTGACAACATCAATGATTCTATATTTCTTTTGGAGCCACACTAAGTCACCTGTCTATGTTCTTTAATTTTTCACAAGTAAAGTTATATATAATTTTATATAATAATGTAATAGTATTCTTTTTTTGATAATTCATTCTACTTTTTTAAAAGGAGGCCAATATTTGATAATATTTGATTCTGATTATTGTTTAAAGATTTATATAATATTTAAAAATATTGATTTTCAAATTTATATTGAAAATATCAAGGAAAACAGGAAATGACAAATTTAGATTTCCTTGTTTTATATTTTATATGCGATATTAGCTGTTTTGGTTGGCATTCCAAGATATGCACATAATTTACTTTATATTCTACGTGTTCCCTGTGTTTGATATGTGTGCTTATATTTCTCAAAATGCATGGTGCTCCTCTCTGTTTTTCTCTGCAAACTATTCATGTGTATTATTTCCACATGCCTCAAGGAAGTAGCATACATATTGAACTACCCATAATGGGAATACCCATAATGAGATCAAAGAAAGAAAAAAAATCATAGTTCTTTTTTAAAAATGAAAGCATTATGTGCTGTTTATAAATGTGATTGTGTTTGTGTGCTTGAAAGAGTATAGTGGGTGCAAAAAAAAGGAAAAATACAGAATCGTTATATTCATGGATCTAGCTCTGGAAGGGCTTTTTAGGGTTATTTCAATAGTACGCTGTTAATTAAGAGACCTGGATTTAATCTTTGCTGTCTCATGGACCATCTGTATGGGATTGGGCAAGTCATGTTTCTTCCTGGTATGTCAATTTTATCATCTGTTTAATAAGATAATTGCATTAAATCAACTTATTCTCTGCATGAACACATCTGTAGGAAATAACATATTTTCCTGGCTCAGTTGAGTATTGATTATTAAGAATATGTCTGTGGGGTGATGGAATAGGGACTTTGGTCGTGGCAGGCTGTGAATATAAAGTTGTCAAGAGAGAGGGCTGTCCAAGGTGAATATGAAATTTCAGGAGCTGAGGGGGTGCCATGCAGGGGGCATTCCCATTCCCCACTTATTAATTATAAATAAGCTTGATTCTCAGTTCTGTTATCCAAGATTCTGTAAGGCCAAAAGCATTTTGGCAATGCCATACTGATAGGTAATATGAGAACCAAAACTGCAATAAAAATTGTTAATATTTTTTATTTCTATAATTCACACGCTACCGAGCATTTTGCCAGAGTCAAAAAATATAGGCTGCAAATTGCGCACTAATTTCAAAAGCTTAAAATGCAGTTCAGGAGTTCCCCTTTCCACCCCAGGTCCCATCAGTCCACATTTTTTTGTCACAGGTCTGCTTTAGTTCATTATATTACTTGTCTGATTCCAGGAGACATCTGAGTTTGTGGCCCTAATTAACATATCCGGGACTGTTTTTTATGACCTATGTAACTGTTGTTGGATTTGGTTCTGAGGACTTCTGTGCCACCTGCTCCAATAAGACTGAGACACAGACTCTTCTAGGGAGCAGCTGTCACTTTCTTCACCTACTCAGGAACACATTCCGGTTCTGAATCTTCGTGTCTGGATCCCTTCTTTCCTTTCTTTCATATTCCTGCATTCCTCTCTGTTTTGGGTGATACCTAAATGCGTGGCCTGCTTGGTCTTGGAGCTCACTTTTGTTTCAGCATGCCATGTCTCAGGTCACACACAGGCCCACAGTGTGTGGCCCACAGCCCAGTCTCTCCCTTTAACCTCTACCTTATCCTAGGCCTGATTTGTTTGAGAGAGTAAATCAGTCTCAGGCTAGGAATGAACAACAGCAATGGGTGGCTGTCCTCTCATGGTTAACACACTTCCATCCATTCATTCCTTCATTTACATCAAAAATATTTATTGAATGACTACGGTGTATTCATTACATTCTCGTTGCTTCAAGAAATTTGTGATTGAATGAGGACACTTTGTGGGAAGCTCAGGACAGAGAACTGGTTCTGATTGCTCAGGCAGATGTGACAAAGTAACGTGGTACTTTATTTGGGTATATTAGTGTGAATAGTCAGAGCTGAACTTGCAGTTATGTGTTTGTTCATTAAAGAAAATCTATGGTTCACCTTCTACATGAAAACTGTTTTAAGATTCTAGTGAGAAAGACTGACATGGAGGAAGTGAACGCATTATAATGTATAATATTACAGGGGCTAGGGGAAGAAAATGTAAGGTTTTGTGTATTAGCAACAGAGAGAGCGAGAGTGAGGAGAGAGAGAGAGAGCACTGCCTGGTAATCTTTGAGAGAAAGATTTTGTTTACTAGATCATTTGTCATAACATATAGTTAAATTTATACATGAGTGACCAGGGAATAATGTCAGTTTTCTGTTAAATTACTGGTAAGGGACTCCAAAAGGGAAGGAGTGGCCTCTCATATTATCTTTATTAGCAACCACCCTCCAGCCCACCCTTCCACACATACCTAGTGTCATATCCTAAGTGTTATGTATGTATGTATGGCTTGTGTTTGTGTGGAGGTGTACAAGCATGAATGAGTCTATGCACAAATACAAGCCATATAACGTTGTGCCTGTGGTGGGCAGAGAGTTTAAGCATGCTCCAATTTTAGTTGTTGAGACGTTTGAAATTATGTGCAACTCATGGACAATTTCAATTTGATAACTCGTTAAAAATAATGTTAGTTTTTAAAAAGATACCTATTCTCTTGCCTCAATTGCATTTCTGCCCCCGCCCCCATATAGTGCACCACTTATGAAGAGAGGTGATGAAAAACCTTCATACAGGATTATTCACTTGATAGAATTGTTGTCATTTAACAAAGCACTGCTACACGCTTTTTCTTCAGTAAGTAACTAACTTCAAGGAGTATTGCCTCTATTAACTCTCTGAATTGTGGGATCCTTGACTCTAGTTAGGTAAAAACTGCAAAATGAAGACAAGGAGAACAAGTAGCTGTCTTTTTTGACTCATAGAGATTCATACATTTTGTTTTTAGGACCTCACCTCTTATAGCGTAAAAATCTTGGGATATATGAGCTTTGAGTATGTCCATTCCCTCTATGGATTAAAAACCCTGAGTGCCCTGTTTGGTATAGAGTAGGTGTTCTGGTCATGCTAGGTTCTTCTCCTTTCTTTTTACTTTGCATTCTTCAAAAACAAAACAAAGCAAAAAACCGTCAGAATCTGCAGCCTGATTATAGGTAACTTTTATCCTCAGGTGTCATGTTAATATGCGAATATCCAGCAAGCATGTGGTCCAATCCCATTCAGATAATGGAATGTGAGTATTAAGCTTGTAGCACAGGGCTTTGTTAGCTGTTAGTTTTTTTGTTTTTTTTTTTTTTTTGCTGGTGTGCTAATTGCAAAGTGATCTCCTCTCAGGACATTAAAAAATAAGTCCTTAAAAAACATAAGTTTGGGTCACCTAAAATCTGTGTGTATTTACATTTCTTTTATTTTTTTCTTTTAGTTAATTGCTATTTTAATACAGGGCAGAGCAGGACTGCAGGAGGTGAGGTCCCCTTAGCAAATGGCAACAGTGGGGAGCTTTGAAGCACTTAGCACCCACTACAGCAGGAAGAGCAGGGATGTCATGTTCCTTGATTATTCCTGGAAAAGAAAAAGCACAGGATCCTCCTTGAGTGCTGCTTGCAAAGCTGTCTCTTAAAACCCCTTTCATTTATGGTTGTATTGTGCCTTCCACCTTAAGTGTCCCTGTATGTTGTTTGACTAAATCTAGGGGCTGAAAAAGGGATTTTCTCCTTTTAACTGTTTAGTGCCTTCATATAGTGGTTCCCAATCCTGGCTCCCTGGCTTAGCTTTTGGAAGCTTTGCTCCCCCTGAGACTTTCTAAATCAGAATTTCTAAACTTCAGCCTCTTGAAGCTAAGGTTCAGAGCCAATGCATTTTCATAGAATGGATGTTTAGTAAATCTCAACTGAGAAACATGGACTGAATTAAATTTTTATATTTTACCTGAAATATACTCTCTACCTTGATTGATTTGTTTTATAAATTGTATTCCTCTCATCTAATCTTTTGAATTTGTTCATAATATGAGAAGGCACTAAGATGAGGTGACATATGGTAGTATGTTGTATACATAGAGTTTCTCTCACTTGCATCATTATTGCATTTACCACATTTTTTGCAAATATTTAAATCTTCAGTAGACTAAGAAATCTATAATTCAGGGACCATATTGTCCTCATTTCATGTCCCAGGACACAGGCTCATGTCTGAACGCATAGAAGGCGTTCAGAAAAAAAAATGAACAAATGAGTTATAGCATTGTTGTAGATTTGTGTCTAAAATATATATGAAAAGTTCTATAATTATTTTAATTTTTACATATAATTAAAATTTATAGATATTGCTCCAGAAACTACTACTAAAATGATACAGCTTATGTTATTGGATCAGAATTCTATAAAACTAATAAAGGAAATATAATTTGGTTTTGATGCAGTTTACATATATATTAGGGAATGATTACTAAAAAGATGCTTTTTAGTAATCTGGGAGAACTGGGAAACTTTTGACAGGGGAAATCAAAAATTTGCAGTCCAGTGAAGAATTAAACTACTGGGAGTAATAATATGGGCTGATGCACTCAATATAGCAGTAATGCCCTCTGAGAAGGATAGGAAATAATTCAGTTCCTCCAGGCTGCATGGAAGCTAAATACAGTATGACAAGAAATAGTAGCAGTACTCATTATGTCTGATTGCTAATTACCTCTTTGAATGATTCAGTTATGCCTGCTACTAGATAATTAGTTTAGTAATTTATGGCTGCGGCACAAACTAGTATTTTAATTTTTGCAGCACCATTTTCACAATACCTACAGTTCAGATAATACCTTTTTAATTCAATGTTAAATTGCTTTTTTGAAGACCTATAAAAGAGCAAATATTCTTGCATTTTTTTCTACTTGTATTTCATGAAAAAGTTAGGCACTTTATGGAATTTTATTTAACTTTAAACTCCAGAAAAATAACATCTTCTTAAGTCATGTCTTATTATGGTTAATTTTGCCAATTTTGTGGGCAAAGGGGTGAAATTTTCAAAAAGATTCCATCAAATTACTCAATATAACAGTTGCCAAATTTCATTTTTCAAAAAGACATTAAAAAATTGATAATAAATCTTTTCTTTTTACACATTTCTACTTCATACATGGGGTTCTGCTTATGTCTGGGTGTCTGTTCCCAATGCTCAGGAGCTGCAAACTGAGTACAGCTTTTCTGCATTCCCAACCAATTTGGTGTGGTCCACAGGCAAGTCAAAAGCTATCAGATTAAGTAAGAATATTTCAAGTAAGCATTTCCAATTTCTATTCGGGTAAATAAGATTAACTCTAGCCAAAGAGAATATAATTGAGTCTCTATGGCTTAAAGTTTGGCCTTGGGTCAGTATCCTCTTGAATTCACTTTTTTGTTCTCTAATATTCCAACTATATTTCTGGGTTTTATTGGTGAAATAAATATGTAATTATCTAAAATTATTTTGTCATCTTTCATAAACATTCATTTTTAGTTCCGTATCCCCACTACTCTAGTGCAGTTAGTGATATAAAAATAAATCAGAGCAAGAGAGAGAAAGACGGAAACTGATATAGTATGCTCCCCAATTCTGATGACTGTAATATATTTTCAGGTCACAGCCCAAAGACAACATTGATCAATTAAATTCACATGACAATTTCAACTTACTCATATATTTATTTTCATTTATATACAGAATGTACATATTTGCCAAATTGTTGAGTGATATTGTGAGTTAGGAATTGATTTTAAAATATCCCTTGCCTAGGTGTTGGATTATCAGGCTTGAATTCTTAGTAGCTGATGGAAAAGTTGCCACTTTAAGATCAATATAATTAAGACTAGATAATTTTCACAATGAAAGAGAGCATTGAAATGCTTAGAATAACAAATAAAATTTTGCATTAAATACTGGGTTTTGCCATCCCTAACAGATCAAAATGAATGCTTTAAAATTAATAAGGGGCACTGCTAAACACATTGCCTTATGGCTAAGAGTTTATACCTAGCATCTTAAAATTAAGAATATTTGGCATTACTTATTCCCATTTGCTTTCTACTTGGTGCTTTGTTTTTCTCTATAACTCAATTACAAAATGCTCATGGTTTTATTTGCTATGTTGTTCTCATACTCGATATTTACCAGTACTGGATCAATGTTCTAAAGGGCAGCCCTGATATTTCAGTGAACATCAGGCTGATGTTTATTACAGACCAAATCTGTGCCCTTTATTGCCAACAGTCTTACTGGAAATATGTGTTCCTTGACCCATTTAATAAATGGTTACCCACAGATAGGGCAGTGTGACTCTTTTTCTTCCATACATGCTTTTTAACAAAAGTTTCTTACCCGTAAGGCAGTCTGTCTAACCATCAAAACATCATATTGACCTTTCCAACTTTGCTCAGGGTGACAGCTTGGTTTGTTGTTGATACTACTTTTTTTTTTTTTCCCCTAAGTTGCTAACTAGAGCTCTCACAAAGTTATGTGCTGTCAGAGTTTGAGGCAAGTCAATTGCTTTAGATTCATAATTCATTCTTTTTTTGCTTGTTTTAATACTATTTATATTCTAAAATAAAATGTAGCCCTTATAAAGTGTATAAAAGTATCAGTATTAAAGTCAAAACTTATAGGTGATTACCTCATTGCCAATTATGAAAGTCCAATAATATATTTTCTTTTTGTCTATATTAGGAAACTTTTTTGGTTCTCATCTCACTAGTAAAAAATAAAGTAAGCACTGGTTATCAATATAAGGGTGACACATTTATAAATGAATTAGCAACCAACAGGTAGTACTCTTTAGAAGGAAGATGCTATAATGCCTGTGTTTCCCTTACAAGTCTCAGAGAGCTGAAATTTTTTAAAGAGTTAAGGAAATGTTGCCAAAGCTTTCGTAATTGCATTGTTCAGTGAACATTGTTGTATTTAGCATAGAACTGTTTATGTATTTTTGTACATTTCTTTCATTACCTTCTTTTCTAAATATAAAACAGGATAGATCACTGGATAAAAATATCCAAAAGAAAGTCAAAGCCTTTATTTTTGAATTTGTGTATATATGTATATTTATGATTAAGATGTTTGTGGGCATTTCTCCTTAAAGGGAAATTCAGCCAATTTCCTGATTTTATATTCTTGATATAAAGGGGCTGTGTTTACCTCGTTTGAATACACTGCTTAAAATAGATGCAGTACAGTATTTCCTACTGCGTCTCATCAGAGCTTTTAAAGAATTAATTAGACTATCATAGAATTTGATACTTTGGAGTGCTAAGAATTCTCTTCATAATTTCTTGATATGTGATATTATGTTATTTCGTTTGAGCAAGTAGCAATTTTAAACACATGTGTATATGTCCATACAAATATAATAGCTCTTTGGAGTTTAAACAAATGCATATATATAAACATATACATATATACACACATATATAATTAGAGCTCTTGGCTATTTAGAAGCTTAATAGCACATATAATTCTATCTCAAGAGGTGCTTAACAATTTCCTAAACTGGAGAGCCTTCAATATGTCTACTTCAGACATGATATCTATGAAGGTAATAGGATACAGAAAGAGAAAATATGTATATAATGATAGGAGAGAAAGCAGTATTTTATCATGCAATTGATTTATTTGTCCAGTTAAGCTTGTTGAGCTACAAATCAAGAACACATTTTAGTATAAACAAGACCAAACCAGAGTTCAGGTCCACAGAGTTTAATATCTAACGAGAGAGAGAAATAAACACATATAATTTACAAACAACTCAAAACAAGAGATTGCAATCACAGAAATATATTCAAAGTGCCAAGGCAACTCAGAGAAAGGAAAGGACAATTAATTTAATCTTGAACAATTGTCTTAGACTGATGCTGATATTGTCTGAATTCAGGGACACAGTGTCAATGACATTGAACATCTCTTATTCAGAAATGAATTAAATAAGCTGACTAGTTTCATTAATACTATCTCAAACAACAGGTTTTGTTGGCTTAAAAAATAAAATCTTGGATGCTCTGAGAGCATGTAGGTAGAAGCAGAGAAAGAATATTTTAAAGCCTTAAGTGGAAGCAAAATGTTGCCTACCATTTTGCAAAATTGGGTACTATTATTTTTATTTGTTTATTTATACCAAATCCAGATGTAGGCTAATTCAATCTCAAACATGAAAGGTGGGCAGATTTTATCATTAAGGTATAAAGTCATGCTGAAGATTACATATAATAAATGGACTTCATGTACTTCCAGAATTCCAATGTCAGAAGTAATGCATCTTTGGTATCAAGTCAGTCTGGACACTTCTAAAAACAAAATGAATATACTGTGATGTGGGGTGTGTGCCACGTGGGCATCAGCAAGGAAGAGATAGATTATCTTTCAGGTAGGGCAGAGAGCATGGATGGAAAGCTAGCTAGAGCAGAGTCAGAGTCATATTTTAGAGATGTAAGATGGGGGAAGTGGTGACTAGCATCAGGTAGAAAAATACTTAGATTTCTAGAAGCTCTGTGTTTGTTTGAGGAGGTAGGGCAAACCTTTTTTAAAAATCTGGTATCAGGTCAACTCTTCCCAGAAAATAGCACATACATGCACACTGCTATACATAACTTCATAGGCTTCATAGACTACTTGCGATCTTTAAGGATCAATGAGTTTAAGTGGAGGAAGGGATAATGGAAGTAGAGTATTTACCTTCATTTATAAAGAGCCTCACATTTTAAATCAACTCGATTTGTGTTCGAGGTGGGGTCCTTGTTCCAAATGGATACTACAGTTAAAACTACGAGCTAGGGGCCACATGCACTGGCTGAGGCTTTGTGGCCACCTCTTTGGTGCTCTCCTTCACTTGGCATTCGCCTTCGCATCTAGTTAAAAAACATTTCATACATCTACTCTTTCAGGAAGCTCTCTTTTAACATTCAATGTTAGGTACTTTCTCATCCCAAAAGTCTCTCCCACAATAGAGTCACAACTTCTATGGAAACAAACAATGTCTCACTCATTTCTGAATCCCTGTTCCCAACACAGTGCAAGGCATGTGGGAGGAGGTACTCAGGAAATCTTTATTTTATGAATGAATAAAAGCTAACAATTGTGTATAGCAGGTTTTGCTATGTACTAGAAATTAGAAGTAGAGAATACTCTTCACACTGCAGAAAGACTATATCAATGCGTAAAAGATTCACATAATCTGAAGCAAGTTATTTTATATGGAATGAATTGGGGTAACTATACATAGTATAATATAAAATTCTTTGCCATGCAAAGGGGAATAAAAATGAGCCAGGCGCTGCACAGAATTTGGGAACATTGATTGGGGAACAGTTCTGAAGTAGAGGCCTATTGTGTAAGTAAATCTCTGGCTGAGTTCATCGGTCTCCTTTGATTGTTCAGCTAATGTCACTTCAAAACAGACTATGCTTTCTTCATGTTAACCCTTTTTTAAAAAAATTGAAACTGTTCAGGGCTTCAAGACTAGATAAGGTATACCTTATGTCTGGTATAAAAGATAAGGCATTCACTGTGGAATACAAAACCAGAAAAGTGGCATTATTTTTTTCCAAAAGGAAAAATGAGCTCATTATGAGAGAAGAAGAAACCTTTCATCAGAGCAAAGAAAAATAGGTTCAAATAGAATAAATCTGTGATTTAGCCATTTTCCAAAAGTACTGAGTTTTTGCTGAAAGAATTATCCCAAATTGCTCAGATTTTGGTGTTTGTAGAGAAAATATAGTTTCTATAGGATTCTGTTTTCTTCATATCAAAGAATTGAGCCATTCAGGGTTTAAATATTGAAAAATGAATTTAACCTAGACCTAATAGAAGACAAAGTCAATCACAAACATCCATAATAATCAAATGGGCAAAGCTCTCTTACATGTATTTATTTTCTTAAACATTAACAAATCAATTCAATTATTCAGTCTCTTGCTTTCAGGATCTCTAGATTAACTGGGCTGAAATAATCCTTAAGTCCATTTCTATATACATTTCTGTATCTGTTTTATCAGAATTCTTGGTATCTTGGGAATTTATTTTTCCTGAAAACAATTTACATCAGAACTTAAACATGGGCAGTTCATCTAGTCTGATTGCCTAGAATCTTCCTGGTTTCATCTCAGTTCCACTCTATCTTCAGCCATGCTATTTCCTCTGCTTAGTACCCCAACCTCAACCTCAAATCTATCTGATAAGTAGCCCATATTGTTTCTTTAGAACTCAACTCAGGCATACCCTCTCTCTTCTTTCAGTCTATTTTAGATGTATTTTTCTCTCTGTTCCGAGGGTAAAATGTACACAATTATAAAATGTAGTGAGGAAGAGAGACCAATGGGGCAGAGAGACAAGCATGTAGCTCTCTGAAACAGACTGGGTGAGGTGTTGCTCACTGGTGCCTAGCACAGATGTTGGACCATTGCAGGATCCCCCAAAAGTTTTTGAATACATTAAAAAATGACCTTTTAAGCTGCAATCATATGCCTTTTCTAAGCACTGCACATTAATTAACTCGTTTAACACAACACTCATCCGAATTTGGTATCACTGTTATACCAACAGGAAGCCAAGAGGATACTAAGGTTCACCAATGGTGTATGACTTTTCTGTAGTCACACAACTAGTAAGTGGCACAAATGCAATACTACTCCTGGGCATCCAGCCCAAACCAAATGTTCTTCTTTATTATGCTCCATATTCTGACCTGATTATATTATTGAAGGTACTGGATAATTGAGCTTGCTTCTAAAGAAAAAAAAAGGTGAATGAATGATTCATTGTCTGTCATGAATTCCCTAAGTATTTATTAACCTCTCTCTAGTCATTAATTCAACAGATAATCATTGCGTTCCTACTATGGCACAGGCACTGGGCATCTACAAAAGAATAAGATACATTCTGAATACAAGTGACTGAGATTCAGAAGGGGAAAGCATATTATATATTGTGTTTTGTTCACATTGCATCATAGGAAGTTTCAGCCTACATTACATCATCTTAGAATAAGTACAATTACATCAGCCAGAAAATTTTTAAATTAATATTCTTTATCATTTAGGCATTTAACTCTGACAAAGATACTATAGTACATTTTGTAGTGAATTGATGTAATTGCCCTCCTTGGATACTCAATTTTAGGAGTCGCTTTGAGCATCCACACATTTCTGCAGTATACAGTTTATGAAACTTACCAGAAAATAAAAGGACCAATCTAAAATAAAGAATCTCTATTGTATTTTTCTACTGACAATGCAAATGCTTATCTTAAAACATCTAATTTTTTCCCCCTTTTCACAGGCAAGCACAACTGTAACACTTCCAGAATCTCAGTTCCTTGCCAGTTGTCATTCTGAAGCATAAATGGAATGCAGGGTTTGGAAGTTGTATTTGCTCTGCATTAACAAAAGAAGTAAAAGCTGTTTTTCCCTCACCCCTAAATGATGTACCATAACTCATAGAATAGACAAGTAGTATTACAAGATATCATTTTCATAGACACTCTTCTAAACCTAGCTCTGGATAATATAAATAATAGAGTTCACTTTAAAATTTTTAAATACTTTTTGATGGCAGAGTGTCTTTCATTTTTGTTTTCATTGATAACGTTCTCTATCCTTAAATTAACTTTAATCATGTAGGCCATGTTGCCTTTTACCAAATGTCTTTAGCAGTTCTAATGATATACAAAGTGTTGTTTTTGCAGTATTTTGAAAAAGGGACATATTAATGTTTCACCTTTAGAAAGTTTTTTTCACAAGAATTGAATCACTTTCTGATTGTTCTGTATGACATCATTGTAGATGTATAACACTTTTTGGCTTATTTAAGTTTATTTTAAGCATTCTCTAATATCTTACGCCTTGTCTTAACCTCAGTATTAATCCTGTTGATTACATAATTTGTATTCTTTGAAGCCTATTTCATTATTTGCACGTCTTTCTCCTTTCTACTCATCTTGAGCTGATGAACTTGAATTACCCTTTTGCTCTAAACCTTAAGTCAGACCAAATTAGAATAACTCCTCCTTTTTTTCTATAATTATTTTTCCTTTCTTGTATTATTACTCCTTACCACATTGTATTGAACTTGTTTAGGTAATTATCTGTCTTCTAAATTATGCTGTGTCATTGACAAGATATCAAACTGTATCTTATTTACAGAGGATATTTTATGCTTTTAGCCCCAGTGCCAAGCACAGCTTCTGACATAGAGCACATCCTCAAGAAGCGTTTTTTAAATTGTTGAATATAAATAGCCTAAAAGACCATTGGCATCTGATCAAAATTAATTTTTACAGCCAAATAAATTAACATCATGTTGACCTCAACTTAATTCTTTCATTTGTCAGGAAATAAAATTTGAATTGTTTGAAATAATCAACTTCATCTGTACTTTGCTCTAATAGTTCCTTGCATGTGACAATTGATGGTTTGCTATTTAAATAATATTACAAATGTCAAAGATGATAAATGTGTAGTCCTCCATCTTCATACCCTGGCTGAGTGTAGATATTGTAAAAATGTCCATTTAAGTAAAACAATGAGGGCATAAAAGTACAATTCGGTATTTCCAACCATGACTCAAAATTAAATCTTTTCAACACATGTTTTAAAGAACACATAGGGTTCTATACTGTATCTAGAATTTTTCTTATATTAATTGTTGATTATATCAAGTCTTGAGTCTTGTAACAGAAATTCATTTTATTTCAAATTTGGACTCACATGATACTGTGATATGCTTTCCCCTAATTACAGAGCTCCTCCATTATCTTTCCTTTCTTTCTTCTTGAGGAAAAAATTCACTGAAACATGTTTTAAGGACAAAAGATTTCAAACTTATAAAAATATTTCAGTCTTATAAAAAGAAAAGGTAAATCAAAGTTGGAACCTAATGGTCTTCATAATGCCACTAAAAGTTCATAGCTGATAGGAAGAATGATCTATCACATAAAAAGTAGTTTAGTTAACCTAACAAAACAAAAATAGGTTATATTTTGCTTGTATGGTATTAAAATATAAAATTATAAACATTAGTATTGATAAAGGTTATTTCTAAAGCCATCTTATATTTTAAGTAGATGATTTTCAGCAGATCACCTTCTGTCTTAGATGAAGTATGTATGTACTTTTTTATTTAAATGAAATGAGATACCATGAGAATGAAGAATGCTCTAGGGAATAAAAATCATTATGAATTATTAATTTTGATTATATTTTAAAATTAAAGCATTTGTTACTAAAAAATCTTGAAACATAATGTGACAAGAAGTAAAAATAATTAAGTCAAACAAATGCAAGCTAATTTATAAATATTTTATAACATTTATTGAGTTTCTAGATTGTATATGAAACTAATGGAACAGATGTCAACCTAACAGAGAATTGTATGTAGTATGATAAGGCAATGATTAAAGTCTACAAAAGGGATTATTAAATCATCTAAAAGGGACAGTTAACCAAGACTGAGAGGTCTAGGAAAACTTTTTAGAAAATGTTGCATCTGAGTTGAAACTTGAAGAACTAGGAGGCATAACAAGGCGAATAGGAAATAAAAGGAAATACATTTCAAAGCCATGATTAGAAGATTAGGACAAACATGGTCAATCAGGGAATTGTGTGGGAGTGTAAACTGCAAATAAAAGTAAACAAACATAAAATGGGGAGGCAACTGGGTTTAAATCATTAAAGGTGTTGTAGGTCATGTTGAGGAGTTTATCATGACAGCAATGGGGAGTCATTGAAAGAGGTTAAACAGAAGTACCAACACCAGTATATGTCCTTTGCAATGGAGGAATGGAGGCATGGGTGGTAAAGATGTTTCTAACTGTGGGAAATGGGAGCCAAGGGAGAGGACAGTGGATTGAGAGAGTTTCTGTTTTGATGGCTTCTATTTTCTCTATAAATAAAATTGCTGAAATCATCTCCAGTAAGTGAGAGAGAGGATAGTGGAGTAGAATGTTTATGGAATGTGGTGAAGACATAAAATATCATCTGTTGGGAAATGGCACTGAGAACTCATCTGCGAAGCTATAAGGAATGATTGCTGGGTGTGTTGAACTTCCTCTTCAGTTTTTTAGGACACTGCTTCACATATTTCTTCTGCTTCTTTGGAAGTTCATAGGAAAGGACAGAAAACACAAATTCTTAAACTATAGAAATCTAGATAGGTTGATACGAAATTTAGATTTTACTTTATATAAAAAACAGGAACAAGGTTTAAAGATGTTGAAGTGTAGTCGAAGCAATGAGATGTGAGATTTTGGCTAAATACAGAAGGGAGTGAAATGTATTTGCAAGTATACAAATATACCTGGAGGTTATACACACAGGTATGAAAATCTTGAAAGGATAAAATGGTATTTTGAAAGGGTAGAATATAGGATTTTAAAATGTGCAATAACTGAGGAGGGTTTAAATAAATTATGGAAGATCTATATTTGTGGAAGTCTAAATGGGTAGAATGCTTATGGAAGCAATTTAACCTTGTCCATCAACTTCAAGTGCAAATATCATTCAACCCAAAAATTCCACTCCTACAAATTTCACCTCCAGGTATATTTGTATACTTGCAAAGTGAAGGCTGTACAGGGTATTTTGTTGCTGCATTGTTCGTAAGAGTAAAATGCCCATCATAGAGAATTGCTTAGGCTTATTATGGTGCATCCATAAAAATGGCATTATGAAGCTGTAAAAAGAAATGCAAAAACTCTTTATGGATGTAAAATGTTCTTCAAGATACAAGGTTAATTAAAAAAGAAAAACATCAAGGTTCAGAACAGTGTGGTATAATGCAATCTAAAAAAGGGGGAAAAGCCTATATATGTATTTGCATACCTGTGTATAAGATACTTTCAAATAAATGTATATGAAAATAATATAACTAGTTGCTGATGAGAAGTTGGAGGGTCGGGGAACAAAAGTGGAAAAAGAACTTTCGTGGTCATTTCATTGTATATTTTTTCATACAGTATAAATTTTGAATTAGAATGTATTACTATGGGGTAATTTTTAAAAATCAAACTATAGATATAACAAATATAAGCATATAAGCTTTTGTAAATCTTAGTAGCTTGGAAATATATTCAAAATAATGAGCTTAGGGCAGGGAAGAAAAAAATTACACAAGAATATACCTATAACACTGACATAATGCAGGCATAGTAAAATGATAAGAGAGTACACCCAAAATATCAACAGTGTTTGCTAAAGGTGGTAGGATTGGATTGCAAGCAATTTTTATTCTTTGCATTTTGAATATATCTTAGTGCATATGCATTATTTACATTTGAGCAAGTTGGCCCAATATGCTATGAATGTTATTACTAAAGGAGAAAAATTTCTAAAAGATTACTCTGAGATAATTCCTGAGACTCCATTCTTTTAAATGTGGAAACCCTGTTTTTGATAGTTTGCAATGAAATATAATACAGAGAAATGTAGAATCTTCTATGATACCTTCCATTTTAATCAAAGATCAAAATGTGACAGATGTGCCTGCTAAGAACTTTTATCTGTTATCATAAATAAAATGCATTCACTCATCTAAATTAAGAGAATATTGCAAGAATGAGGCTACAAGACAAATCTAATGAAGGGTAATATAGAATGTCAGAAGGCCCACGGAATTCACAAGTAAAATGAATAACCATTCACTTTTATGTTTTCAGCATAATTGACAATAAAGGAATAACTTCCATTAAACATTCAGATAAACAACCATATTCTCTAAGTACAGTGTCTGCAAAATCTTGTTTTCTGGTACAAGCTAGGAATTTTAGTACAGTTGTAAAATCTTCTGAAACATGTCTGTTTTTTCAGTTAATAATTCACAAGTCTATTAAATGTATGGTCATGAGAGAGGTCAAAAAAGAATGTTATACTTCTTCATGGCAAAAAATAATTATTTAAAAGTTGATGTTTAATGTATTTACTGTAATTGGGATTCGATTTTTTGAAATAGCCTTCAATTGAATGGTAGAAATGTGGAAACATCTAAGCAGTAAGATTACATATAAGTCTTCATCCCCCTTCCTCATTTCTCCCCCTATCATTAACATCTTGCATTTAGAGTGGTACATTTGTTGCAATTGATGAGCCAGTATGGATATGCTATTATTACCAAAAGTCCATAATTTACATTAGGATTCACTCTTTATGTTATACTTTCTGTGAGTTTTACAAATCATAATGACATGTATCTACCATTACAGTATCATACAAAATAGTTGCCCAGATTGCAGCAGTGCCATTTTGTATTTCTACCAGCAATGAATGAGAGCTCCTGTAGTCATACTTCCGTGCCACCTTTTGGTGTAATCAGTTTTTTTTTTATTTTTATTTTTTTTTATTTTAGCCATTCTAAGGTGTGTAGTGATATCTTGCTGTTGTTTTAATTTCCAATCGCCTAATGATGTATGTTCATTGCTTATTTGTCATCTGTTTATCTTCTTTGATGAGATGTTCTTCAGATATTTTGTCCATGTTTTAATTAGATTGTTATCATATTGTTGCATTTTAAAGGTTCTCAATATGTTTTGGACACCAGTCTCTTTTCGGATATGTCTTTTGCAAATGTTTTCGTTTCTTCCTAATCTGACTTGTTCCGTCCTCTGAATTGTATTTCAAAGAGCAGTTTTTACTCTCTTTGTAAAAAAAAAAAAGGCAGTTTGACCTTGCCAAACCTAAGGTCACCTAGATTTTCTACTAGGTTATCTTATAAGAGTTTTATACTTTTGCATCTTATATGCAAGTCTATAATCACTTTTGAGTTACTTTTTGTGAAAGGAATAAAGTATGTATCTAGATTCATTTTTTTTTTTTTTTGCATGTGGATATCCAGTTGTTCTGGCATCATTTGTTGTAAAAGGCTTCATTTTGTAAAACTTATTTTTCTTCATTTATTTACTGAGTTTCTAGTCCCTTCATAAAATATATGGCTTCAAGCTCATTTTTCTCTCTCTACTCTGTTTCCTCCAAACTATCCCACACTTTTAAAAGGAATCTTCCATATTTTTCTAGCCACTTTTATAATGGGGAATGTCTTCCATAACATCCTGAAGTTCATCATCAAATTCACACTAAGGGATAGGTGATGATTTTATAAAGCAACCCACCTTTGTTTTGTATAACCTGAGTTATTCATTCATTCATTCATTCAACATATATTAAGCACCCATTTTTAAACAGATATTAGTCCAAGAAATTATTATACTGAAGCTAAAAGTACTATATCCTGGTTCATCCTTTTGAGAAATATACAAATATTTGTACTCTTAAATGTCATTGACTTTCATATTTGTTAGAGTGTCTTTCACTCTTTCTCATAGTTTAGCAGTTTTCTGTTCTTCCAAACATTCCTAATGTGACATTGATATACTTGTATCTGGGTGTAATTTCACTTGTCTATGCTCCTCTCATGACACTGTTTACTCAGTTACAGACAATTGCTCTAGAGGTCTTCCATTAAGTGTAGTGTAAAATGGGTCTATTACTTTCTGTGACATGGACAACATCCTGTATTAAGCTTTAAATCACTGGTATTTTTGCTGCCAAAATAGCATACTGCACTATCATATTAAATTCATTATAAAATTAACATTTGCCTGTTGGTCATATTCAATATTTTTCAAGTGTGGAAAATCTCAATATGAGGTGCCTTGAGGGAATGTAGTAGTGGGGGACTAATTTTAATTAATTTTAATTTAATTGTGTATTATACCAAGGTATCCAAAGAGGCAATGTACTATAATAGAAAAATGCTGCATTTGGCATTGTGAAATTCAGATTTAGCGTGTGTCTGATACATATTAGCTGGTTGTGCTCAGTAAGTTATTTAACTTCTTTAAGCTTATGTTTATTCCTCTGTAAAATAATGATGATAACAATGCTTGCCTTTTCTACTTTCTAATGTGTTTTGAGAGATTAACATTGAAATATATATGAAAATAATTCTAACTAAGGTTTACTGGGAAATAATTTACATACCTTAAAAAATCACCCTTTTTAGTGTACCATTCTATTGATTTTAACAGATGCACATAGTCATGTACCCACAATCATGGTGTAGAACAATGCCATCACCCCATATATTTCCACTTGTCTCTTTGTTTTTTATGCCTGGCAACCACTGGTCTGCTTTGTATCCCTATAGTTTCGCCTTTTCTAGAATGTCATATCAATGGAATCATTCTGGGTGTGGCTTCCTTCACTTGTCATAATTCTCTGATATTCTTCCATGCTGTTGCATTTATCAGTAGTGAGTTCCTTTTTTATTAATATATTTTTAAAGTTTTTAATTTTATTGAAGTCCAGATCATTATTTAAAAACATTAAAACAAGTTTTTTTTTTGTTTTTTTTTTTATTATACTTTAAGTTTTAGGGTACATGTGCACATTGTGCAGGTTAGTTACATATGTATACATGTGCCATGCTGGTGCGCTGCATCCACTAACTCGTCATCTAGCATTAGGTATATCTCCCAATGCTATCCCTCCCCCGTACCCCTACCCCACAACAGTCCCCAGAGTGTGATATTCCCCTTCCTGTGTCCATGTGATCTCATTGTTCAATTCCCACCTATGAGTGAGAATATGCGGTGTTTGGTTTTTTGTTCTTGCGATAGTTTACTGAGAATGATGATTTCCAATTTCATCCATGTCCCTACAAAGGACATGAACTCATCATTTTTATGGCTGCATAGTATTCCATGGTGTATATGTGCCACATTTTCTTAATCCAGTCTATCATTGTTGGACATTTGGGTTGGTTCCAAGTCTTTGCTATTGTGAATAATGCCGCAATAAACATACGTGTGCATGTGTCTTTATAGCAGCATGATTTATAGTCCTTTGGGTATATACCCAGTAATGGGATGGCTGGGTGAAATGGTATTTCCAGTTCTAGATCCCTAAGGAATCGCTACACTGACTTCCACAATGGTTGAACTAGTTTACAGTCCCACCAACAGTGTAAAAGTGTTCCTATTTCTCCACATCCTCTCCAGCACCTGTTGTTTCCTGACTTTTTAATGACTGCCATTCTAACTGGTGTGAGATGGTATCTCATTGTGGTTTTGATTTGCATTTCTCTGATGGCCAGTGATGATGAGCATTTTTTCATGTGTTTTTTGGCTGCATAAATATCTTCTTTTGAGAAGTGTCTGTTCATGTCCTTCGCCCACTTTTTGATGGGGTTGTTTGTTTTTTTCTTGTAAATTTGTTGGAGTTCATTGTAGATTCTGGATATTAGCCCTTTGTCAGATGAGTAGGTTGCGAAAATTTTCTCCCATTTTGTAGGTTGCCTGTTCACTCTGATGGTAGTTTCTTTTGCTGTGCAGAAGCTCTTTAGTTTAATTAGATCCCATTTGTCCATTTTGTCTTTTGTTGCCATTGCTTTTGGTGTTTTAGACATGAAGTCCTTGCCCATGCCTATGTCCTGAATGGTAATGCCTAGGTTTTCTTCTAGGGTTTTTATGGTTTTAGGTCTAACGTTTAAGTCTTTAATCCATCTTGAATTGATTTTTTTATAAGGTGTAAGGAAGGGATCCAGTTTCAGCTTTCTACATATGGCTAGCCAGTTTTCCCAGCACCATTTATTAAATAGGGAATCCTTTCCCCATTGCTTGTTTTTCTCAGGTTTGTCAAAGATCAGATAGTTGTAGATATGCGGTGTTATTTCTGAGGGCTCTGTTCTGTTCCATTGATCTATATCTCTGTTTTGGTACCAGTACCATGCTGTTTTGGTTACTGTAGCCTTGTAGTATAGTTTGAAGTCAGGTAGTGTGATGCCTCCAGCTTTGTTCTTTTGGCTTAGGATTGACTTGGCAATGCGGGCTCTTTTTTGGTTCCATATGAACTTTAAAGTAGTTTTTTCCAATTCTGTGAAGAAAGTCATTGGTAGCTTGATGGGGATGGCATTGAATCTGTAAATTACCTTGGGCAGTATGGCCATTTTCACGATATTGATTCTTCCTACCCATCAGCATGGAATGTTCTTCCATTTGTTTGTATCCTCTTTTATTTCCTTGAGCAGTGGTTTGTAGTTCTCCTTGAAGAGGTCCTTCACATCCCTTGTAAGTTGGATTCCTAGGTATTTTATTCTCTTTGAAGCAATTGTGAATGGGAGTTCACTCATGATTTGGCTCTCTGTTTGTCTGTTGTTGGTGTATAAGAATGCTTGTGATTTTTGTACATTGATTTTGTATCCTGAGACTTTGCTGAAGTTGCTTATCAGCTTAAGGAGATTTTGGGCTGAGACAATGGGGTTTTCTAGATATACAATCATGTCATCTGCAAACAGGGACAATTTGACTTCCTCTTTTCCTAATAGAATACCCTTTATTTCCTTCTCCTGCCTAATTGCCCTGGCCAGAACTTCCAACAGTATGTTGAATAGGAGTGGTGAGAGAGGGCATCCCTGTCTTGTGCCAGTTTTCAAAGGGAATGCTTCCAGGTTTTGCCCATTCAGTATGATATTGGCTGTGGGTTTGTCATAGATAGCTCTTATTATTTTGAAATACGTCCCATCAATACCTAATTTATTGAGAGTTTTTAGCATGATGGGTTGTTGAATTTTGTCAAAGGCTTTTTCTGCATCTATTGAGATAATCATGTGGTTTTTGTCTTTGGCTCTGTTTATATGCTGGATTACATTTCTTGATTTGCGTATATTGAACCAGCCTTGCATCCCAGGGATGAAGCCCACTTGATCATGGTGGATAAGCTTTTTGATGTGCTGCTGTATTCGTTTTGCCAGTATTTTATTGAGGATTTTTGCATCAATGTTCATCAAGGATATTGGTCTAAAATTCTCTTTTTTTGTTGTGTCTCTGCCTGGCTTTGGTATCAGAATGATGCTGGCCTCATAAAATGAGTTAGGGAGGATTCCCTCTTTTTCTATTGATTAGAATAGTTTCAGAAGGAATGGTACCAGTTCCTCCTTGTACCTCTGGTAGAATTCGGCTGTGAATCCATCTGGTCCTGGACTCTTTTGGTTGGTAAGCTATTGATTATTGCCACAATTTCAGCTCCTGTTATTGGTCTATTCAGAGATTCAACTTCTTCCTGGTTTAGTCTTGGGAGAGTGTATGTGTCGAGGAATTTATCCATTTCTTCTAGATTTTCTAGTTTATTTGCGTAGAGGTGTTTGTAGTATTCCCTGATGGTAGTTTGTATTTCTGTGGGATCGGTGGTGATATCCCCTTTATCATTTTTTATTGCATCTGTTTGATTCTTCTCTCTTTTTTTCTTTGTTAGTCTTGCTAGCGGTCTATCAATTTTGTTGATCCTTTCAAAAAACCAGCTCCTGGATTCATTAATTTTTTGAAGGGTTTTTTGTGTCACTATTTCCTTCAGTTCTGCTCTGATTTTAGTTATTTCTTGCCTTCTGCTAGCTTTTGAGTGTGTTTGCTCTTGCTTTTCTAATTCTTTTAATTGTGATGTTAGGGTGTCAGTTTTGGATCTTTCCTGCTTTCTCTTGTGGGCATTTAGTGCTATAAATTTCCCTCTACACACTGCTTTGAATGCGTCCCAGAGATTCTGGTATGTTGTGTCTTTGTTCTCGTTGGTTTCAAAGAACATCTTTATTTCTGCCTTCATTTCGTTATGTACCCAGTAGTCATTCAGGAGCAGATTGTTCAGTTTCCATGTAGTTGAGCAGCTTTGAGTGGGATTCTTAATCCTGAGTTCTAGTTTGATTGCACTGTGGTCTGAGAGATAGTTTGTTATAATTTCTGTTCTTTTACATTTGCTGAGGAGAGCTTTACTTCCAAGTATGTGGTCAATTTTGGAATAGGTGTGGTGTGGTGCTGAAAAAAATGTATATTCTGTTGATTTGGGGTGGACAGTTCTGTAGATGTCTATTAGGTCCACTTGGTGCTGAGCTGAGTTCAATTCCTGGGTATCCTTGTTGACTTTCTGTCTCGTTGATCTGTCTAATGTTGACAGTGGAGTGTTAAAGTCTCCCATTATTAATGTGTGGGAGTCTAAGTCTCTTTGTAGGTCACTCAGGACTTGCTTTATGAATCTGGGTGCTCCTGTATTGGGTGCATATATATTTAGGATAGTTAGCTCTTCCTGTTGAATTGATCCCTTTACCATTATGTAATGGCCTTCTTTGTCTCTTTTGATCTTTGTTGGTTTAAAGTCTGTTTTATCAGAGACTAGGATTGCAACCCCTGCCTTTTTTTGTTTTCCATTTGCTTGGTAGATCTTCCTCCATCCTTTTATTTTGAGCCTATGTGTGTCTCTGCATGTGAGATGGGTTTCCTGAATACAGCACACTGATAGGTCTTGACTCTTTATCCAATTTGCCAGTCTGTGTCTTTTAATTGGAGAATTTAGTGCATTTACATTTAAAGTTAATATTGTTATGTGTGAATTTGATCCTGTCATTATGATTATAGCTGGTGATTTTGCTCGTTAGTTGATGCAGTTTCTTCCTAGTCTCGATGGTCTTTACATTTTGGCATGATTTTGCAGCGGCTGGTACCCGTTGTTCCTTTCCATGTTTAGTGCTTCTTTCAGGAGCTCTTGTAAGGCAGGCCTGGTGGTGACAAAATCTCTCAGCATTTGCTTGTCTGTAAAGTATTTTATTTCTCCTTCACTTATGAAGCTTAGTTTGGCTGGATATGAAATTCTGGGTTCAAAATTCTTTTCTTTAAGAATGTTGAACATTGGCCCCCACTCTCTTCTGGCTTGTAGGGTTTCTGCCGAGAGATCTGCTGTTAGTCTGATGGGCTTCCCTTTGAGGGTAACCCGACCTTTCTCTCTGGCTGCCCTTAACATTTTTTCCTTCATTTCAACTTTGGTGAATCTGACAATTATGTGTCTTGGAGTTGCTCTTCTCGAGGAGTATCTTTGTGGCGTTCTCTGTATTTCCTGAATCTGAACGTTGGCCTGCCTTGCTAGACTGGGGAAGTTCTCCTGGATAATATCCTGCAGAGTGTTTTCCAACTTGGTTCCATTCTCCCCATCACTTTCAGGTACACCAATCAGACGTAGATTTGGTCTTTTCACATAGTCCCGTATTTCCTGGAGGCTTTGCTCATTTCTTTTTATTCTTTTTTCTCTAGACTTCCCTTCTCGCTTCATTTCATTCATTTCATCTTCCATTGCTGATACCCTTTCTTCCAGTTGATCGCATCGGCTCCTGAGGCTTCTGCATTCTTCACGTAGTTCTCGAGCCTTGGTTTTCAGCTCCATCAGCTCCTTTAAGCACTTCTCTGTATTGGTTATTCTAGTTATACATTCTTCTAAATTTTTTTTCAAAGTTTTCAACTTCTTTGCCTTCGGTTTGAATGTCCTTCCGTAGCTCAGAGTAATTTGATCGTCTGAAGCCTTCTTCTCTCAGCTCGTCAGTCATTCTCCATCCAGTTTTGTTCCATTGCTGGTGAGGAACTGTGTTCCTTTGGAGGAGGAGAGGCTCTCTGCTTTTTAGAGTTTCCAGTTTTTCTGTTCTGTTTTTTCCCCATCTTTGTGGTTTTATCTACTTTTGGTCTTTGATGATGGTGATGTACAGATGGGTTTTTGGTGTGGATGTCCTTTCTGTTTGTTAGTTTTCCTTCTAACAGAGAGGACCCTCAGCTGCAGGTCTGTTGGAGTACCCTGCCGTGTGAGGTGTCAGTGTGCCCCTGCTGGGGGGTGCCTCCCAGTTAGGCTGCTCGGGTGTCAGGGGACAGGGACCCACTTGAGGAGGCAGTCTGCCCGTCCTGAGATCTCCAGCTGCGTCCTGGGAGAACCACTGCTCTCTTCAAAGCTGTCAGACAGGGACATTTAAGTCTGCAGAGGTTACTGCTGTCTTTTTGTTTGTGCCCTGCCCCCAGAGGTGGAGCCTACAGAGGAAAGCAGGCCTCCTTGAGCTGTGGTGGGCTCCACCCAGTTCGAGCTTCCCAGCTGCTTTGTTTACCTAAGCAAGCCTGGGCAATGGCAGGCGCCCCTCCCCCAGCCTAGCTGCCCCCTTGCAGTTTGATCTCAGACTGCTGTGCTAGCAATCAGCGAGACTCCGTGGGCATAGGACCCTCCGAGCCAGGTGCGGGATATAATCTCGTGGTGCGCTGTTTTTTAAGCCCGTCGGAAAAGCGCAGTATTCGGGTGGGAGTGACCCGATTTTCCAGGTGCCGTCTGTCAGCCCTTTCTTTGACTCAGACAGGGAACTCCCTGACCCCTTGCGCTTCCCAAGTGAGGCAATGCCTCGCCCTGCTTCGGCTCGCGCACGGTGCGCGCACCCACTGACCTGCGCCCACTGTCTGGCACTTCCTAGTGAGATGCACCCGGTACCTCAGATGGAAATGCAGAAATCACCCATCTTCTGCGTCGCTCACGCTGGGAGCTGTAGACAGGAGCTGTTCCTATTCGGCCATCTTGGCTCCTCCCTCCAAAACAAGCTTTTTTATAAGTTGTTTTTAAATTACTTGATTAAAGATGTACACATCCACTTGCATAGAATATAGAGGCAATAACATTAAGAGAATGATTATTCTCTTAAGGCCTACACTATCATTTTTGGAAATATTTTTCTATTTATTTCAGATGAAAACTGAATTCCCAAGGGCATGTTTTTCAAAAAATATAACTTTGTAATGTTTGTGATCATATAGTTTGAAATGAAATTAAAAACAGGAGGTGGTTTTCTTGAAAAGTGTGGATTGAAAGGCCAAGGTGTGACTGATTGTATGGGTTTTTTTTTTTTCTGTTGCCAAAAAAAGCCTTTTTGAGCTGAACAAGAAAGGTATAAAATTAAAGTAAATGCACTCTTCAAATTTTAGTAGCAACATGAAATCTTGCTGGCAATTTGATGTTTTACTGACATTGTGTCCTGCCAGCCTATTGTGAGGTACATCAGATGTGAATGCTGCTTATTTTCCCCAGTGACTTCTAAATGGTCTTGTGGAGTAGCTCTTATGATATGCCAGCAGTGTGTCAGCAGAATACCAGTTTGTGTTCCAGAGCCTGCCTCTTTAAATCTGAAAGTTATCCCATGTCCTTTTCTTGTTTCTGCCAAATTCTCTACTCATAGTATATAATTATATGTTAGAGGGATGATTACACACCAATGAATTACAATCAAACTTGGCTTGTTAGTATATAAAGCTTTGGTTGTTAATCACAATCATTTAAATAGGAGCTCACCCTCCCTGAAATGCAGATGTCATGTTACTATGGGTTAGCCTTCCCCAAATTGGAACCTGTTATATATTAGAAAGAACACTTTGGAGTCATATGTTCATCATTGCCTCTTTTCTGTAACATTGAGCACTGCCTCTTGGCTCTGAGTTACTTTGTGAAACTGGAATCAATATAAGAGTTTATCGAAAGAATGACTTCTCCTACAAAGTAAGTGTTGATTTTCTAATTTCTTGGACAGAGAAAGTCAAATCACACCATGTCTGGTAGAAAATATATTGAACTAATATATTGCAAAGTTATTGCTATTAAGAGAAATGCAGGTTTTTAAAATTAGCTCTTTGTTTAGGCTTTTTCAAAAAAGATAGAAAACAACAACAACAACCAGCCAGGGACAGTGTCTCACACCTGTAATCCCAGTGCTTTGAGATGCCAAAGTGGGAGGATCGCTTGAGGCCAGGAGTTCTAGACCAGCCTGGACAACATAGCAAGACCACATCTGTACACAAATTAAAAAAAAAAAAAAAAACTTAGCTGAGTGTGGTGTTGTACACATGTAGTCCTAGCTACTCTGGGGGCTGAGGTGAGAAGATGGCTTGAGCCCAGGAGTTTGACAGCCTGGGTGACAGAGAAAGACTCTGTCTCCAAAATAACAATAACAGCAACAACAAGAAGACTGGTTTCTCAGTCTCACACAGGACACACAGAATTGTATAACAGTCAACATTGTATGAAAATAAACAAATAAGCATTATCTAATGCAAACTTCATTAGATAGATGCAGCATAGGCCTCATTTATCATAACACTGTGACCTTGACAAATTTCTTAAACATTGGGTATGTCATGTTCTGCATCTGTAAAATGGCAATACTAATAAAACATTTCCCAATGGATTTTGTGAGCAGGAAATAAGTTAATATTGCTAAAGTTCTTAGGACACTTACTTGGTACATAAAAAATACCATGAAGTGTTTGTTATATAAATAAACTTGGTAATCCTAACATTATATTGAATTACAATACTTTGGACAATACTTACACATAGAAATTAGAGGCTCAGTGTTTGTCTAGTAAACAGAACTGCAAAATTCTCAGTAGGAACACTTTCATTACTTTATTCATAAAATAGTATGAATAGTACTTTATTTTTTTATCGTTTAATCTAAACATTCTAATTCTTTGTTCAGGATGGGCTAATTTCTCATCTGCTGCTTATCTACTGACCATTCAAATACCATTTGTAAAATAATGCTTTTCATTCCTTTATTTGACCATTCATTCATTTATTCATTATTCAGAACTTCCTGTATCCCTGGCTATGCAAATTTGTGTGTATAAGGTATGCTTCCTCTTATTTCCTCTTTTAAGGGAGATAGGTATATGAATTTTTATAATACAGGACAAAAAGAGGATGTTGGAAAACAGATGGAGAGCAAAATCCCTAGTGAGTTCAAAAGGCTGGGACTGTTAATTCTCTCTGAGAGATGGAGGAAGACTCTAAATAGCGCCTGAAGAAATGATAGGATTTGGACACGCAAAGAGAAAATTCTAGAGAAAAAGAACTATGAAATCTCAGAGGTCAAGAAATGTACCTTAGTATCTTTGTGTTTAGAGAAACTAGTCCATTTCACTGGAATACATAAAGTACAGCTGGGGGATATGAGATTGGGAATAAAATTTAGACCAGATCATAGGGAACTTTGAATGCAAGTGAAGGTTTTTACTTTATTCATTGGACAGAAAGGGACCTTCCTTGAATGTAAACTCAAGCCTGAAAAAAAAAGTAGACAAGTTCAGATCCTTGAGTGAAATAAATCTGGCTACTAGTTAGAGTTTGAATGATGAAGAAAAATGTTTTTGACTTAACAGTTTTTACTTTTTCAAAATCTTCCCTTCATTCTAACAGCTCTGAAAGTATTATTTTCTTCAGGAAATGGCTCTATGCGGACTGCCTGCTAGCTTACTCCCATGCAGGGATTTATTTTCATGGAATAATCTTTGAGACTGGATTGCAAAACTCTTCTTTTAGAAGTCATCAGACCAAAATTCTTAACCTTGCTGAGCCTCAGCTTTAGTACTCTGTCACTCAAAAGTGGTGAAAAAATTAGGAAGCTTTAAATAAATTCCTTGTAGTTCTTTACATTTTTGTGCATATCTGTTGGGGGAAATGGGCAGGGCTACCCAGGTTTATTTAGAATAATCCAAATAGTAATAGTGTGGTTTATTTTTGAAGCTGACTAAAATATTTTTAAGAATTAAACTCTTAATATATAATACATGTGCTGAACATTCTTAACGACTCTAATTTAAATTACATATGTAAAAGTAGAAGAATATTAGAGAAAAAGTTTTACATTCATCAGATAATTTAGTTAGGCAATAATATTAGATTTAAAAATATTAGTTTTTAAATTTAATATTGATTTATTAGATTTAATATTTAATTTAATATTAGATTTAAAAACATCATCATGATCATCTTTAAAGTGCTTTTACCAAGAGCTAAACAAAAAAATTGAAAGTGAATTCATGTAATTAGCAATATTTGATATAGAATAATCAAATGCCAATTAAATTTATTACTTTTAAGAAGTTATCCTTAAATGGTTTTTTGAATGTGAATGTTATAAAGAATAATATCTTTCACTTTATTTAAGCTTTTTCTTTAAAAAAATAGTCCTTATGTGGCAAATTAGTTTTAGAACAATATACAGCATTGTATGTATGGAACATTTTTGGGTATGTTCATTTTGTGTACATTTTTTCTTTTATCAGTGTCCTTTGGGTTTTCATTGGTAATTAGTAGAAATATTTTCAGTTGAGAAAATGTGATCACTATGTCACTTAATAGTGTTATTTTTAATAAATAAATTATTAATATGTTCTACACTATATCTGATCTATCATGTGAAACCATATTAGGCCAATAAACTCCTCTTATATATTTTGGTTATTAGTATTAATATTACTATACATACAATTATCACTTTTCATTAGAATAAAATTTTTAAATTCTTTGTCTCAAAAATAAAATGGAATTTGGTTCATTATATGAAATTCTTGTTCATATTACTTAAGGTGACTTGTAATTCAGAGAGTTATTGATTCTGATGCATTAAGTAGCAAACCCATGACATTCTCTTTATTATGAGCTCTGATATCAAATAAAAGATGGGTTTACTTGCTCTTTCAAAAATTGATTTATTGCCAGTTTCACCACTGTAGATACTATCTTTAAAACAAAATTAAACATGCGAAAGAAATGGAGGTTTAGTAATGAAATAAAGTGTTGACTAATGATTACTTCAAAGCAGAAAGGTTAAATATGATATGAGTAAAATTTTAACAGTACATGCTTTCCACTTGATTAGTTTCATACTTGTTCATGCAAAAGGTCATATTGTCATTTACCAAAAATATGGAAATCTTTCGAGTTGTTTGTGTAAGCAAGGTTTAAAAAAGTTACTTTAAATAAAAAGTAGTAAGAATACTTTAGGGAAAAGTAAATTTCTAATTATTTTTCCTACTACAATTTTATGTTAATTGGTTATAAACTATGGGGCAAGTGCAAGTTTCTGAGAAAATTTCATAGTACTAGAGTATATTTCCTAGCCCTTTAGAGCATTGTATATGTGGAATAAATTCCTCGATGGAACTTCAAGCTCTGATTATTACCTAAGAGATTTCTTTGCAATTGTAGTGTGTAATAATCTCTCAAGTTTTATCTTGGTGGGATTCTGATGGTGAAAGTTCAGTCTCATGACATTGTAAAGAGACGTCCCTGTAAATGTACCTGAATCAAATTTTTCTGCTAAGAAACTTGGATATTTCAAACTATCTGCATTTATTTAGACTAAATTTTGTGTGGTGAATGTGAAACACACTGTACTCTGATGTCTATTTCTTCGAAAAAAGGAAATAGAAAAATCACAAGTGTAACTGCAATTCCCCACCCCCACCCCCAGCCCCACCCCACCCTTTTTGGTTTGTTTGTTTGTTTGTTGTTTTATTATACTTTAAGTTCTAGGGTACATGGGCACAATGTGCAGGTTTGTTACATAGGTATGCATGTGCCATGTTGGTTTGCTGCACCCATTACTTGTCATTTACATTAGGTATTTCTCCTAATGCTATCCCTCCCCCAGCCCCCCACCCAGTGACAGGCCTTGGTGTGTGATGTTCCCTGCCCTGTGTCCAAGTGTTCGCATTGTTCAATTCCCACCTATGAGTGAGAACATGTGGTGTTTGGTTTTCTGTCCTTGTGATAGTTTGCTCAGAATGATGGTTTCCAGCTTCATCCATGTCCCTGCAAAGGAACAGGGTCTCACTTTCATTGCCCAGGCTGGAATGCAGTGGCACCATCTTGGCTCACTGCACCTTTGACTTCCAGAGCTCAAATAATCCTTCCACCTCCCACCTCAGCCTCCTGTGTAACTGGGACTATAGGTGCACATCACCATGCCCAGTTAATTTTTTGTAATTTATTGGAGACAGGTTTTCACCACATTGCCCAGGCTGTTTAAACAACTTATTTTTAGAGACATTTAAAAATATATAAAACAAGTGTTTTAGGCAGATTAGAAAACTCTAATATAAAATTTTTGAAGGCAAATACCTTTAGCTTAATCAAGGGCTAGAAAGATAGAAATATGTGTTTAGACATACACCAAAGAAAAGGGTTTATAATTTATTTTCTTTTATGAGAATTGTGAATTATCAGAAATTGTTAGCTGGTAGATTAAACAATTAGTGTTTACGAAGAAAGTGTTTGGTAAAAGAAAAAAAAGGCTTTTGAATCTTGTGGCTAAGAAGTTATTGAAGGTATGGTCTCCAGAATTTGTTTAAACCTACTATAGTTGCTGTTGTCCCTTTACTTTGGAGTGGATCAAATCTGTTGCATTAAGATTGTCGTAGTCTAGGCTGGCATAGTCTAGGTTGAATATATGATATATAAAAATACTATTTCATCAAAGGAATTACAATCCAGAAGTTTTTAAATTTGGCATTAATGTTGCTAAATGATATGTGGAGAAATACAAATCCAGGTTAGGAGGTCAGAAGGATTATAGTAATAACAGGCATTCATTCAATAAATATTTGTTATTACTACATTTCAGGGATAAAATGGTGAATGAAATGGATACAGTCCTTGAAGTCCTACAACTTACAGTCTGAGATAGATGTGGTACAGAGGGGAACATTTCATAAGGAAAATTGCCAGTAAAGAAATAAGGTAGTAGAGAAGGCTTCTAGTGGAAGTTGTTAACCTTAAACAGGGAAGCCAGATTCTATGCTAATTTCAATGTGAGATGAATCTAATTCTATTTCATATATCCAATTCATTATATCTATATCAAGGGAAAGCTAGCCTTGAATGATTTCTTGCCAGTACTTTTATATTCCACAGACAGTACATCTAGTCAAAACTCTTTTCAAGCTTCCACTCCCATACACAATGCTTTGACTCTTATGGAAAACCTCTTTTGCTTTCTATAAAAAGCAAAGCCATGCAAGGTAAAGTATTTTATTCTTAATCTTCTTTTTATCTTATCAAATTGCTGCTACTTCAGCTCTTACTGTTCTTGCCTTAAGGTTAACAGAAAGGTTTACTTTTTAATAATCTCTTAAAATGTTGAGCCAATGTCTTATTCCTACTGATACCTGAAGGTTCTTGTCTCATATTTACTCTCTCTTCTAACCATACATATCAATATTAGTATATTTATTCCCTCGTTGCCAAATTTCTCAAATAATCTGTTTATACAGACATCCATGGAATCAGGGCAAACATTTTTTATTATGCTCTCCCAGGCTTCTGATGTGTTAATGATTTAGGGGAAATGTTGGTCCTATGCAGTGATGCAGCAGATGCGGAAAGGAGCACAACATTAAGGAGAAGTTTTAATTCAATTGTGAATATTTTCAGTTTGAAGAAGTCCAGGAGCTGACTGCAATAACTACACTTGGGGCTCATCTGAATATACATTCATAGCAAAACAGACTCTGTTATATCAGATTTTTATGTGGTAATGAAGACATGGTTTTGGAAGACGTGGCAGAGAAATAATAATATGGAATAAAAGGAACACAAAGTAGAGCTCCTTGATCCTCACACAGGGCAAAAAACATGGTGATAAATTTGAAATCATGCTATGAGGCTTTCTTTTCTTTGGTGTCATTCACTTATTGCTATGTAAAGTACCAATCTGACTCATACTTTATTTTCTAGGTAAAATTTCAAGTCTTTATTCTCATTGCCACATGTTAGCTGTATTCATCATTTTGACTTAACTAGCAGATAGCCCTAATTCTTTACAACTTCTTGCATCCATGTCCTATTTTTAACTAAATTGGATCGGGAGTTAGGGTATCTCCTTTAGCATCTAACGCTGTTGCTTTTTCATCATAAGCACTGTGTGTGTGTATCCATCTATCTATTGATTTACATATATTTTAATATAATGTACATATAAATATATATTTATTTATTGATCATTTATATAATGCTCATTATTTCTGCCATTGCAGAAAGTGAATATGATAGAGAACTGGAGGTTATCATTATTGAATTTATATATACATTCAATATATATATCAAATGTATATATATCAAATAAAAATGATACATGTATATTAAATAAAAATACGATATATATTTTTGCTTACAGATTTATTATAAATAAATAAATATATACATAAACTCAATAATGATGACCTCCAGTTCCCTCTCATATTCACTTTCTACAATGGCAGAAATAATGAGTATTATTTGAAAGTTGAATTTTAGTGAAAAGAATTAAAGCGTCACAGAAAGTAATTTTTACCATTTTATCCTGATCCTTAGAGCAAAGGTAATAACATTTCTAGCTTTATTTCTCATAAAATGAGTGGAAGTGATATCCTTAACACCCTTATGGAGTAAGAGGAAGATATGACACCAGTCAAATAGGCTTACATGAAAATTGTATCAAACCATGCAAGTGTAAGAATATCAGAAAAAGAAACTCCTTTTTTAATAGATAAGAAATAGTTTTCATTAATTTTTAATGTCCCTAACCAAAATACTTGTTGAATAAATGAACAGTTTTTAAAATTTCAGAAGTCAAACAGTATTTTTATTTATATTTTTAATATTTTAAGACTCCTGTCTCATTTCTTCAAGCGTGAAGTCTCAGTAAAAGATTGTCAATAAAAGCCTTTGTGATACAGAATTTATATTAATATTGTAGATTTTTTAAATGAGTTAAAAACCCAACAATTTACTTTATGTTGATACATGCTTATTTGTAATGTTTATGTCTTAATGAAATCCACCTATATATCTATTCAAATATACTGATTGAGCACTACTAAGACCACAAATACAACCTGATAAAAAGATTGTCCCAGAGAGTGAGAATTTGTCGCGAAATGGAGGAAAGACAAAGATGAATAAATTAAAAATTACAAATGAGTATAATGTGCTCTGACAGAAGGCAGCAATTGAGCTGAATAAAAGAATAGAAAAGTTAATGTAATGAAATGTCTAAATGAAAACACTATAACATCCAGTTTTCTATACTAATCACTTTCTGCACAAGAAAAATACTAAGCAGTCCATGGATATTCTCTACATATCAGATCATATATTTCAGCTTTTAAAAGTTATATCTGGCCTTACCCTAAATAAAATGAACCAGAATTCCTGGGTATCGATACTGCTCCTCTAATCTTAATAAAACCCTAGCTATTTTAGTGAGTATTCCACATAGGGTAACCACACATCTTTTCATCTTGTTTGCCTCAGATGGTCTCAAAGCTCGTGTTCTCTCTTCCTTGCATAGTTTTTGCACAGAGGCTGTCTTCAGATATTCTCTTTAGTTTATCTTGCCTTAGGAATCAATACACAGGCTGGGCGCAGTGGCTCACGCCTGTAATCCCAGCACTTTGGGAGGCGGAGGCGGGCGGATCACGAGGTCAGGAGATCGAGACTATCCTGGCTAACACCGTGAAACCCCGTCTCTACTAAAAATACAAAACATTAGCCGGGCATGGTGGCGGGCGCCTATAGTCCCAGCTACTCGGGAGGCTGAGGCAGGAGAATGGCGTGAACCTGGGAGGCGGAGCTTGCAGTGAACCGAGATTGCACCACTGCACTCCAGCCTAGGTGACAGAGCAAGACTCCGTCTCAAAAAAAAAAAAAAAAAAAAAAAAAAAAAAAAAAAAAATCTATACACAGGGTTCTGTATATCCTTTAGGATTCTCCTTTAATCTCATATACTTTTGTAGATAATCCTTTTATTAAACTTTCCTAAATTACTTGCTTTTCCCGAAGATTCTGTTCATCATCATTATACACAAATGTTACATGAGAATTTCATGCTTAAAATAAGTTTTCTCTTTTGAATGCAAAAATCAATATTTTTCTCTTCCTTTCATAGACATTGTAATCAAAGATAGGCAACATAGCCTAAACATTTATATATTAAAGTGAAAGTTTGGGCAAACCATTTTATTAACCATGAAAATGGCACAGATTTGTTTTCCTAAAATGACCAAAGCACGTGTTTTAGGATTAAAATAGTGCCTGAAATTCCAAAGGACCAATTTTACCCTGAGAAACAAGTTCAGTTATTTTCAAATCATTTTATTTCCTAACTTTAAAATGATCAATTGATTGATTGTTTCTGTGTCTTTGTTCTGGAAACTATTATATCGTTGGTATATCTAATAATTATTCTTACAAAAAAGGAAAAATGTACTGCAGTGAGAACACATACTCTTTTTAAGATTACTGGGCTACTGCTTACATTCTTGCCTCCTCCCCTTGAATCTAGTTTTCAGACATTAGAAAAGTGTATCCAAATATTCCTTAAGTATTCTCTTAATAAAAATCCTGCTGTTTTCTATTTGAGCTTCTTTTCCCAGGGTAGATTACAGAATCTACCTCATCTACAGAATTTAGAAACATTAATGACTTCAGATCACCAGGGTATCATGTAATGTCCAGCAGTAAGTTGTTAGAGACTGAAATATGACTGAAATTAAAAATTGCTTCCTGAGATTTGGAGTTTAAAGCTGATTTGAGCAAATGGATTTGATCCATAGTAGCATCATAGGCTAATTTAATCTTGCTGGAAAAAAGTGTAATATCTGATATGTGTCGAATACATATGGACGAGTAGACCAGTGAGTTCCAACCTGACTCGTTATTCTTATTGTGTCAAATAAATAGTATTTGATTATTAATTAATTATATTTTAAGCTGAGTATAAATAATATTCTGAACTGATCAAGAAATATCTATCTAATGTATCTGCTAAATTTAGAATATCATTAATATCTGGAAAAGATGAAATACAAAGAGTGCACTTTGTTCTGAGTAACTCATTACTGACTCATTATCATCATCAAAAAGAAACTAAAGTGGGTTAATGAATAATCTTGCCTTTGACTGTACTTTGTGCTTCTAATGATCTTACCTCAATGAGAAAATAAAAATGCTTACTTTAAGATCTGTTTGTAGGATTCCCTTAGGAAGACAACCTTCTTTGTTTAGGAATACACCTTAATGAGTGTTTTTGGTTTTGTAATTAAGGACTTCTGTGCGTATTCTAAATTGGATAGAGCAAGAAAAACAGCTGAAATGCTTTTTGGGAGAAAACACAGAAAAGTAAACAGGGATTTTTACAGGATGTAAGCAAATTAATCAAGAGGAGATGGGAAGAAGAAAGCCAAGAAATGTGGTGATAAGAGAGCGTTCAAGATAGGGGACTTTTGGAGTTCCTATTGTGTTGAAAAAAGAAGCCATTTTCTGGAGATCCTAGTAGAAAGTAGAAGGACTAGTGATAGCAGAGATGACTTTTATATCTGTACAGATTTCTCATTCTGAGTAATAAAGCACAGCTATGAAAATATGCCCAAAGTAGACTTAATAATATTTGTTGTAATTAATTTTATCTGCAACTGATGGATGACCTTATAAAGTAAGGAGCTCATAAAATAGAGATATTCAGAGAAAAAAAAGTCTAAAATAAATAGAAAATTTCCATATTCCTGCATTGTTTTTATACTATTTTAATGTTTAGTATTATCTGGGCTTACAGATCTCTGAACATATTTACTACAAAATACATACTTTGTTATCATAGCCAAGTATTATAAATAGCAGAAACAAAGTTCAGTGTGCTAGCAGGAGATGTAGAAGCCTTGGCCAAAGCAAGATAAAAAGAAGAATTAGGATCTGAGAACAGGTCAATTTTTAAGAGATGATTAATGACTTTTATAAATTACGTTCTTCTAAATTTCATTGTTCCATTTTCACTAGATTACATAGAAATACAATTTTTTTTGTATATTGACTTTGCATCCTGTAACATTATAAAATTGAAGTATTTGTTTTTTAGGTTTGTTGTAGAATTCATGAGTATTTTGTTGCTGTTGTTTGTTTCTGAGACAGGATCTTGATCTGTTACCCAGGCTGGAGTGCAATGGCACCATCATAGCTCACTGCAGCCTCAAATTCTTGGGCTCAGGTGATCCTAATAATTCAGCTTCCCAAGTAACTAGGACTACTTCTATTCCTATTTTGAAATTTATCAAACAGACTTTATTATGAATGTTCATAGAAATTCTATTTACAATGCAATTTAAATATAATTTCAACTTAGAATCTGAATATCTATGAGACAATGGATAAAAAATGATTGGATAGTGATGATATATTCATACAACAGCATACTCGGCAATAAAAAAGAAAGAATAGATGTACAAACATTGATAAATACTACAGGCATTATGCAAATCATACGAAGGTAGGCACAAAAGAGTTCACATTATATTTCATTTGTATGAGTATCTAAAACAGTAAAACTAATATATGGAAATATAAGTTAAAAAGATGATTGTCTGAAGGCCAAGGATGAGATTTCACTGGGAATTGACAAGAAAATATTCTCAGTGGTAGAAATGTTCTATATTGTGATTGGATGCTGTGGTATAGATATATACAATTATCAACTCTCATAAAATTGAATATTTGAGTGTTATATATTTTAATGTATGTAAATGATACCTCATTTGTAAAAGAGAAAAAGCAAACTAAAAATTAAGAAAGGAACTTTGCAAGAACATGTTATTCTAATATTGGTCTCATACTTATATCCAAAGCTGTGAAAGGAAAATTGGTAAGTTTATTCAGTAGTAGATTTTCTTTAAATAATATGCTTACACTTTTAGTACTTAACAAAACCAGAAATTTTTAAAAATAATAAATTGATGAGTAGAACCACATTGTTGAGAGCAGAGGAATACAGCTCTCCTTTGTTTAATTTTTTCAAATGAGGATAAAGACAATATCCCATAATAGATAGCATTAGTGAAAAAGTATCCTGTGTAATCAAGTTATTTCTATGTTTAATCCTGATCTTTAGTAAAAATGCTTTGCTGATCTGGTTATAGTGAATATTTAGCACAACCAATTTTATTTTGTTTATGATATTTTTGTGTGTTCATTTATGCTTAAATAATAGCTTTCTGGTTTCCTTTTTAAACTGTTAAATAATTGTCCTGTTTATTTGTCCTTGTTTGCAAACAAGTAGCCTCTCCAATTTCACTCAACATTTAACAACTTAAAAAATCTCCATTAGTCTGTAACTGGCCACACTTAAGCCACTCAAAATGGTCATGAAAAGAGACCATAATGGTCATGAAAACAGAACACAGATATCCAAAACAAAGAGCTGTATACCCCAAAATATATGTTTTTCAGTAGTCTTTACAATACTTGTTTTTACTTTTTAAATTTCTCTAGGGAGCTGTGTGTCTGTTTCACCTCCGTTCTTGTAGATTAGATGATCTCCACTAATGCACTCATCATTAAAAAATTGCAAGATAACCAAATTGTTTGGTTTGCCATGGCATAAGTTTAATAGCTTGTGCACTATTATCAAAAATAATGACACTCTTGTAGGTCACTGATTCACTGTTGAGACATTAAAGTCCTATATAGCCATGAAGTGAAAATGGCACATTTGATTTTGTGCCTAGATTGTTAGATACAGAATATAAAAATTATGCTTAGTACTATTTTTCTGCATTGGGTTCAAATTAACCTCTTTATGTAAAAGTTAATTTTGTGATTTTTTATTGTACAGTACACTTTGAAAAGATTTTGAAGATATATAAGCTGGAGAATTAGAATATAATCAACATGAAATTCACTATTCAATGAGAGCTAGCATTTAAAATAGAGATAACATTGTTTCAATTTCTAATTGCAAATTGCAGTGTTACCTCTAAATGTGATTTTATTTTTCTCTAACTTGCATGGCTACATAACATGCTATGATACTTTTCTAATACTCTAAAAAGATATAACTTAATTTTTTTCCTCTGGAGATTAGATATAAACTTTGAAATACTAGACTTGGTGTGTAACTTTTTACTCTTCATCTTCTTCTGGAGGTGTAGGGTATTCATTGCTATTGCAATATAGACCTTGTGAAGTTACTGAAAGCCTCTGAGTACTTGTGGTCAATTAGGCCATGTTGTGGTGACTGATCGATGACTTTCATAGGATGGTGATATTCTGGAAATTTCAACTTTGCCTTAATAGTCCTCTGTTCTTTATTTAATAATAACACAAATAATTGCAAGTCCCTTAAATAATGTACCTTTGTCCTTAAGCTTAATTTTGCCTATATGCAACCAAGCAAAGATATCTTCAACTCAAAAGGTGGAAAATGTAATAATTGATGAAAAGATGAGACGATTAATTGGGAGGGCAGATATTATCAAACTACAACAGAGATATAGAAGCTATTGTGTTTTTGCAAAGCTGTTCAGAGACAAAGCATGCTGAGTTGCAATTGAAAGCCATCTCTGATCAAAAGCCAGCCATTTTTACATGCAGTGACATTTTCTAAAACAGAATATACAGTTTTACTTTGGAATATTTCACATCTTGTTTTATTCATTTGTTTTATACATTCTCTGTTCTGTTTTAATATGTTTAGCTCTCCTTTTGGGTAGACATTAGTGAATTACATCAATTGAGATATGTAAATTTTTTTTCTATTTTAATGTTTCTTAAATTAAGATGTGTTTTTAAAATCGGCACATGTTTAATGCAGCTTTTCTTTTTTGAAACACTTTCATTGAGTTGACAGGTTTTCTTGCAATAGATAGCACCTTAGAAATCAAGAGAAAAGGGTTCAATAAACTAACAAATTCAATAACTTTAACATTCAGTAACTTTTACATTCAATAACTTTAACATTGAATAACAAATTCAAAAACTTTAACATTCAATAAACTTTAACAAATATTTATTGAGTGTGTCTGCTCTGCAAGGGATAAGGCTAGGTACTAAGAAAACCACAGCAAGAAGGACAAACCAGGTCTTAATCTTCTCAGAGTTCTTGAAAGTAGAGTAAATTAAATAGGCTATAGTCTAGTAAATTACCACTGTGGTATGACAGAGATATATTTTAAATGCTATAGGATAACCAGAGAGGCAATGTATAATTCTGTCTGTGCTTTTCAGAGGAGAAGGAACTCTCAAGTGGAAGGATAACAAGCGGAAGAAAGAACGTAAGCAAAAGCAGGAAGGTGTGAAATGTCAGGGTGTGTGCTGGGAATGATGAGTAGTCTAGTGGAACTCTAGTTAGGGCACTTTCTCTCAAACATGAGTAATGAACAGAACACGTTAAAAGAAAAAAAGATCTTGCCAATCTACAGTATTCATTCAAATTATTTTTGTTAACTTTACATATGTAATATTTGTTTTTACAACAGTTAAACTCCAAAATACATCTATTCATTAAAAATAAACAACCTCACAAAAACAATTAAAATTTAATTATCAACATTAACTAAAGTCATATGTGAGTTTTTATTTTGGGGCATGATGAGCTTAAACTAAACAAGAAACTAGCTTTTTCACTAGTTTATTCACTGATCTGTGAATTGAATAGGCCAATCAATTTAAGTACATGTCAAAATATCACACCATAATAATGCTTAGCAGCTAGTGTTATTGAGTTATTATATGTCAAGCTCTGTAACAACTGTTTTAATCCAGTATCTTATTATTCTTTAAAGACTTTTTCAAGTGGCTTCCCCTACGGTACTTATACTTTAATGGATGTCCTCTTACCTCTCTGCCGCCGCCTTCTTGAGCATCGTTGTAGCTTTATCCTCTTCTAACTTTCTAATATTGGAATATTTAAGGGTTCCATTCTTAGTTCTATATACTCTGTCTTTTGGTGATCTCATTTAGTTTCATGAGTTTTATTTTTCTTTATATCCTAACAACCAAACTCATATATTAAACTAGCTCCTTGATGTCAGCACCTGGGGGCCTAGCAAACATCTCATACTCAATATGCCCAGTTTTAAACTACTGATATGACTGGGAACGGTGGCTCACGCCTTTAATCCCAGCACTTTGGGAGGCGGAGGCGAGTGGATCACTTGAGGTCAGGAGTTTGAGTCCAGCATGGCAAAACCCCATTTCTATTAAAAATGTGAAAATTAACCAGGCATGGTGGTGCACGCCTGCAATCTCAAATACTCAGGAGGCTGAGACAGTAGCATCTCTTGAACCAAGGGAGGCAGAGGTTGCAGTGAACTGAGATCATGCCACTATACTCCAGCCTAGACATCAGAACGAGACTGCCTCAAAACAAACAAAACAAAACAAAAACTACTAGTATCTCCAGACCTATTTATGTTTCAGTCTTCACCATCTCTCAGTTGATGGCAATTCCATTTCAGTTATTCAGGACAAAACCTTGGAATTTTTCTTGATTTATTTTTTCTCTCATCCAAGATTCAAAATCTTTGGAAATTAATGAGTTTATATTCAAAATATATCCAGAATATGAAGCCTCTTCTCACGACACCCTCTGTTGCCATTCATATCCAAGCAGCCATTATTATCATTACGTCTTGTCTACATTTTTACAATAGCATCTTCCTAATCAGTGTCCACATTCTACTGTTGTTCTCCCACAATTCATTGCAATGGATTCTCAAGAAAGTTGCCAGTGTCTTCATTCTATTATGTAAGTTATATCAGGATGTGACTCCTGTAATTTGAAAATCAAAAGCTTTTTTTTTTTTTTTTTTTTTGAGGAAGAGTTAGAATTTAGACAGTAGCCTACAAGGCTCCACATGGTATGATTCCCCAACTTTCTTTTTATAGAATACAGCAGCAGTGTACCTAGTGTGCATTTGACACATACATTGGATTATTGTTTAGAACTTCTCTCACCTATACAACAAGAATATAATTAATAATAATAATGAAATAAGTAATCAGAATAGCCAGGAAATAAACCAAAACAATATAAAAATTATTCAACTTTTGTCATGATTATATATACATATATATAATTTTAAAAATATTCTTAGAAAAGCAAATAGTTAAAAATACTTAAAAGCTTAATATTTTAAAATTATATTTATACTTTTTTGAAAAAAAGGAAGCTTGTATCTGCATTTATTTGGTTATAATCATAAATAGTATCATTCTGTTTTCCAGCTTTAACCTCTGCATACTGTCAATGACTTTGTCTAGATTACTCTGCTTTGCATATTCATAATTAATAGAGGATTTAAACAGATATGTTGATCTGTCTATGCTCATATTTGGTCAGAGGATACTTTTTATTGGTTTTAATTTTTTATAGTTTCTTTCATATCAAATAAGAGATACACAAAATTAGAAAAACATTTAATATGCAGCTAAATTTGAAAGAGATGTATAAAAATCCCACTTCACAATAAATTCCAGAAAATTCATAAAAAACAATAAGTGGTTACATTGAAAGTGAAATAAATTTTGTTTTCTTTTTATAATTACAATATAATTTATGTTTATATAGAATTAACTGAGTTTTTAAATGTATTTTGTTGTGGTTAAAAACACTTAACATAAGGTCTACCCTCTTAAAAAATTTGTAAGTGTACTCTACAGAATTGTTAATTATAGGAATAATGTTGTACAGTAGATCTCTAGAATCGATTCATCTTGTATCATTGAGACTTTACGCCCAAGGGGGAGTTGCTGACCTGATCTACTGTTTAAATTCAGGCATAGTTAGGACCACCACAGGCACTGGATTTATAAACTGTGCCAAGTGGGTTTAAAGAATCTCAGAACTTCATGAATTTACTCTTGATTGATTATATAATGAAGTTGTCTGAATTAGCATTCATATAGAATACAGTGCTTTATTTCATTTTAGTGATACATAATAAAACATGACAGTTTGAAACTAATAAGCAAAGTATTAAAATTCAAAAAATAACCAAATCAGTTTTTTAGAGCTTAGATCAATAAATAATTTTTTCAGAAAAATAATTTTTCACTGACCTTGTTTTGAGTCGCCTGCACCCTGTTGGACTGTTCCTACTGTTCCACCTTTGGTAGGCCACTGAATTTTGAGATAAGAAATTCAAGATAAATGTTCCGTATTTAAAAGAATTTTTTAATACATTTGCAGAATTCAAGTTCTGCTTCACTGCACTTCTACTTTAGCTGAACCTTTGGCCTATAATAAATATATTCTGGAAATGGTGGTTGGTTAATAGAAAAAGTCCTTTAAAGTATTAGATTTGTTGCCAGTTTTTAAATATATGATAGGGGTCAAGAAACCAAGAATCACAGAACAAATATGGCCTGCCACCAGTTTCTGTAAGTTTTATTGGAAAATGGCCATGCTCATTCTTTTACATATTGTCTATGCAGCTTTCGAGCTGGAAAGAAGAATTGAGTAATTGAAACAAATATCAAAAAATGGACTGCAAAGCCTAGAATTTAAACTATCTGTCCTCTTATAGAAAATACTTGCAAACCCCTTCTTATTGTGTAGAAAGAATTTGGTGTTAAAGTTTACTTTATAATGAATTTATTTATTGAACTGTGTTAATGAGAAACAGAAAAGCAAATAAAATTGATCTAGTTTGGCCAGATTGTATGCAGTGAATGATTTACTATCTGAGAAAAGTGTTACTGAGGCAACAGTGTTTTTAACATGACTGTGAAGTCAACAGAGGAAAGATGTTTATATCCATGGTGTGAGATTATGAAACATTAACTTTGCATTTTCATTAATATTGGAACCAAAATAGCTTTTATTGAGGAAGAATGATTGAAGTGTTAGCATCCATACAAGGTAGAGTAACAGGAAATAATTTATCATGAGATGATTTATAACTCCACTTTATAGAGACGAATATTTTCATGGTACAAATATTTCATATCTGGAAATGATTGTAACAAATATGATTTTCCCCCTTCAGCATAAGTTGTATGAGCAGCTTCACCAGTTCAGTGATACAAATACGGTTGAATATTGCACTTGTCCAATTAATTGCATGAGTTATCCCCTATCTATTTTACCAAGAAGGTTAATATCAACTTTTTGAGGTCTCAACATCCAGAATTGCTGTTTGTAGGCTTTCTTAGTCTAAAGAACACACAGATGGATAGTTAGAGAGCCCAGGAAGTACACAAAAGTTCCCATTTTCAAAATGTCTCTGCATCCTGTTGTTGCTCCATGTTCTGCTGTAAATTGCTCCTGAATTTTCAGTATTCTGTGGGTTCTGATGTGGACCTCTGAACCTTGCTCCCTTTCTTCCCAATAGGCTGCTTGAACTCTAAATTTATCTAGTTCCTCCTGTACAATCATTTCCATATACAAAGGAACAACTGTGTAGAGCAGATGTTAGTCAAACCACTGAAGTTCAAGTTATCCCATTTCCCATTCATAGAATGGTGATTACTTGCATACATTTGTGTAAGTGAGAGGGCCACTGAGTTGGTGCCTAAAAAGAACATTTTCAAAGTAATACTGGGCCCACCTTGCCAAAGTGGTGGGCAAGAGCTTCTTGTTTCCAAAATAATATTTAATATCTACCTCATAAGATATATTTTAAGTGGTATTACTAGGAATTATAATTTTATATTTACAAATAGCATGTGTGTTTTAGTTATAAGAGCTGCCAAAATATTTTAAAAGAACTACTTCTTTAATTGAGAGGAAACAGTGAAATTAAGACAAATTATAATAAAGGAAGCCATGTAAAGATTGAATAAGCTTTATTTGCTTAATGATATAGTCACAGATATCCACGTGTATTCACTATTTTCACATATTGTGCCTCGCTATTATTTGTGTGCTCAAGGTCTCTATCTTCAAGTGTTATATACTGTAGAGTTTCCTATCAAATATGAGCATAAAGGAATGTTTCATCTCTATCTTTACAGTGTAATCTTAAAACTGCTAGCTACTATTGGCTTTTCTTTCTTTTTCCTTTTCTTCCCTTTGGCTTTTGTGTTATTGTTGAAATGATGTATCTATTCCTTTTAGCATGGCTTATACTAGGAGCTCTGAAACCCAGTTCAGAAACCTGTGAGTTATTTATTGATGTTAACAAAAGTTAAAATCAATAAGCCAGACATAAAAAAGAAACTTCTAGATCTAAGACGAATGTTTAGTTAACTTTGAATACCGTATATGAAATTCTCAATATTTTCCTGCCAGATGTTCATGTCATAGAGTTAGCAAACAGTTATTGAAAACTTACTGTTGCAAAGTTCTTGGGATTCAAACCTAAGACACAAAAGACCTTCAGGCAATTTGCAGTCCAATTGCAGAAACTGGCAAGCTGAAAAGGAATTACTGTGTATTATATGTTTTATTATTGGATAGAAGTAACAGAGAGTGCTATGGGATCACCTAGAAAGAGCAACTGAGGAAATTGTAGATAGCAATAAGAAGAGCCAATTGTCAGAACACAGTTGTCAGGCTGACTCTTGAAAGATGAGTAGTAATCAGATAGACAATGCCATGCCATGAGAAAGCAATTAAAAGAAGTTGGAAATTCCATGTTAAGGACACAGAAAGACCCAAAGTGCATGGAAATAAACAAGTGTTGGCCATTTAGAGAGCACAAGTGGTTTGGAATAACTAGAATTCATATTTTTGTTTTAAAGTGTCAAGAAACAGGCCGAATTAGGGAGAAGGAACCAAATCATGAAAGACCATATCCAGAAATAAAAGTTTTTCTAAAGATAAAGAATGAAGTTGAATTTTAATGACAGTAACACAATCAGATTTACTTTTGTAAGAATTACATTCAGAGAATAGTGGAAGTCAGAGTGCTTGCGTGCATGTGTGTGTGTGTGTGTGTGTGTGTGTGTGTGTGTGTGTGTTGAGTGGGGAGGGAATAATTTTCATACTCCAATAAGAAATGTTGAAGACTTGAGCTTTGGCAAAATTTATTAATTTATGAGGATTTTGAGCCTTTCATCTCACCCTGCCCATTAAAAAATTTTCTAAATTTGCCTTTATACCATCTCTTCTGCTTACTGGGGCGATTTCAGAGCTGCCACCTGGCTGGAAACTTACTCACATAAAGCAAGCAAATCCCTCAAGGGGCCATAGCAAAGGAGATAATCTGCTCATGGGTCAATGGGAGGTGAAATAAAAAAGAATATGCAGAAGAAAAGATTGAAGGTTGTTGCCTGGAATGATTCCTGAAGCCAAGCATCTTCGGTTGTTATTTTAATACTTCCTTTGGACACTGAAGGTTGGAACTGTTAAAAACTGTTAAATAAGAACATAGAGTCAATGAGAATAGACAAAACTGTTAATTCATTTGTCTGTGGAAGGAAAGAAGGAAGGCAGGGGCTAGAGGAGTGTTTGGAAAAGGTGAATCAATATTTATTAAAGGAAGGAAGTGGGCATTTCCAAGAATATATTTTAGGATAAAAAAGATGTGGGTATTTTTTTATAAATATATATATTTTTATTATTATTATTATACTTTTAAGTTTTTGATTGAGGGTGAATCAGAGAGGGACAATTTTAAGTTCTAGGATGGTAACTGACTGTGGAAGATTTCTGTGGGGAAAGCAAGGACATCTAGACTATTGGTAGAAGAATCCTGGAGGGATCATTCAATGTGATTTAAATTTATATTCAAATATACTTTTAATAGCAATTCATATTTTTAGAAACCGCTCATGTTGGAGGAAGGATTCCATTTATTTTTGTGGTATTTTTTAAGCAGAGTTGAAGACCCCTATGAAGAAAGTATGAGGAAGCATTTATGATCAAAACGGGGAAGAACGTTTTTTGCCCAAAGTGACAATAGCTGTATTGTTTCCTCTGTCTATATAAGTAATATATGCTAATTATTAAAAATGAAAAAATGACATAGAAAATACAAATACTTTTGAAATTTCAATGCAAAAATCTTTTTGTTGACTATCTTTAATACTACTTGCTCACTCTCTGTCTCTCTCTATCCCCTACACATACAGCTTAGGTAAGTGGCATCTCATCATATGTGGTGTTTTCACCAGAAATAATTTTATAAAAACAGCATTCAAAATATGGCTTATTTTATTTTTCCCCTTTTTCTTACTCTCTCTAATCTTACCTGTTTTTGAAACAGATAACCAGAATTAATTACAAAGAGAAATGTATTTAAATTCAATGCCTGAGGTGGGGTATATTCTCTAGGTAGTCAATGTTTGTTTATTTCCATGAACTTTGGGTCTTTCTATGTCCTTAACATGGAATTTCCAACTCCTTTTAATTCCTTTTTCATGCCATGTAATTGCCTAGCTGATTCCTACTAATGTTTCAAGAGTCAGCCTGATAACATTCTCAAAAGTGATTTTGAGCTGATTTTCTCAGAATTTCCCCTTGCTTTAACGAAAACAAAAGAAGGAAGCTCAGGAAAAAATAAACAAACAAACAAAACAACTTTTTGCTATCTAAGAATTTTCCTTTAAAATGAATTTGGATTTCTTGGATGTCTTATAAGATAAATAGTTTCCTACTATCAGAATTAGTCTTAGATATATTTGATGATAATCTCTCGTACATTCCATAGACTCAATTTCTAAATTGAGAAGGAAGTTGTCCTAGAGCACTTGTAGGTTTCTTTCCAATTTTATGTTTTTATTGGAGCTTTATATCCAACCCTATATCCTTAGAATCTTCATTATTTGTAAAATTATGAAATACAGCAAGTGATGGGCAATTTGTGTTATCCCAGTTTTAAAAGAAAAAAAATTCATATAAATAAAGCATTTTTTAGAAGTCATAAAACAGTTCTATTATGGAAGCAGAATATAACTTAAAACTATAAAAACTATAAACTTTTTTCAGTCTTCTAATGTTTCCACTTGCAAAATAACTGAGAGAATGCAAAATTTGAATATAGTGTACAATACAGTTTTTCTCAGTCTTTTCCACTTTACTTTTTAAATCGCAAAAGTAAAACCTGTCATGGTTAATTTTAAAAAGTATACAACTAAAAGTAACTTTCCATCCCCAAACCAGAACACCAATCCCTACATTTAGAAGAAACCACTCTTAAGAAACCTAATTTATGCATATAATTCAATTGTGTAACTATAGCAAAGCTTTTAAAAGAGATTTGATTACAAAACATTTTTTGCAAAATTTACTGTATCATATCCATGTTCCAAAAGCAAACTAAAAAGATCTCAATAAATCTTCCCTGTTTACTGAATTACATTGAAACTCCTTTGCTTAGCCTTCAAAGTCTGCAGTCTGACCTTACTTTATCTTTTTAGTGGATCTCCTGCTGCTTTTTTATATGTGTGTAGTGCACTCATCAAACTGAATATTTTATGAAACTGCTCATGCTTTTTTAATCTGTTAAAATCCCTTCTTTTTCACTAACCTTTCAAATGCAACTATCTCCATAAAATGTACTGGATACCAGAAAAAGATTGTGTTTTCCCCTCTTGTGATTAACCATAATACAAATGGGTACACATTATGCATATAAATGAATAAATATATCTTTCAAAAGGTATTACATAATGTAGTTTCTTGCATTATATTTGTCATTATGGTTGTATTTGTCCTTTAATAAATTTTACATTTTCAGAAGAGTCCCATTATTTTACATTTTGCACACCAGAGCACCTACTTAGAGTAGACACAATATATATCCATCTTTTTTTAAAAACTCTAAGTTCTGGGATACATGTGCAGAATGTGCAGGTTTGTTACATACGTATACGTGTACCATGGTGGTTTGCTGCACCTGTCAACCCATCACCTAGGTTTTAAGCCCCGCATGCATTAACTATTTGTCCTGATGCTCTCCCTTCCCTCCCCTGCCCTGCTGACAGGTCTGGTATGTGTTGTTCCCCTCCCTGTGTCCATGTGTTCTCATTGTTTAACTCCCATTTATGAGTGAGAAAATGTGGTGTTTGGTTTTCTGTACCCGTGTTAGTTTGCTGAGGATGATGGCTTCCAGCTTAATCAATGTCCCTGCAAAGGACATGATCTCATTCTTTTTATGGCTGCATAGTATTCAGTGGCATATATGTATCACATTTTATTTATCCAGTCTATTATTGATGGTCATTTGGGTTGGTTCCATGTCTTTGCTATTGCGAATATTGCTGCAATAAACATATGTGTGCGTGTATTTTTATAATAGAATGATTTATATTCTTTTGGGTATATACCAAGTAATGGGAATGCTGGGTCAAATGGTATTTCTGGTTCTAAATCCTTCAGGAATTGCCACACTGTCTTCCACAATGGTTGAACTGATTTACATTCCCACCAACAGTAAAAGCTTTCCTATTTCTCCACAGCCTCACCAGCATCAGTTGTTTCTTGACTTTTTAATAATCACCATCCTGACTGGTGTGAGATGGTATCTCGTTGTGGTTTTGATTTGCATTTCCCTAATGATAAGTGCTGTTGAGTACTTCATATGTTTTTCATATGTTTGACCACATAAATGTCTTCTTTTGAGAAGTGTCTGTTCATGCCCTTTGCCCACTTTTTTTTTCTTGTAAATTTGTTTAAGTTCCTTGTAAATTCTGTATATTAGATCTTTGTCAGATGGGTAGATTGCAAAAATTGTCTCCTATTCTGTAGGTCACCTGTTCACTCTGATGATACTTTCTTTTGCTATGCAGAAGCTCTTTAGTTTAATTAGATCCCATTTGTCTATTTTAGCTTTTGTTGCCATTGATTTTGGTGATTTTGTCATAAAATCTTTGCCCATGCCTATGTCCTGAATGCTATTGCCTAGGTTTTCTTCTAGGGTTTTTATGGTTTTGGGTTTTACCTTTAAGTCTTTAATCCATCTTGAGTTAATTTTTGTATAAAGTGTAAGGAATGGGTCCAGTTTCAGTTTTCTGCATATGGCTAGCCAGTTTTCCCAGCACCATTTATTAAATAGGGAATCCTTTCCCCATTGCTTGTTTTTATCAGGTTTGTTGAAGATCAGATGGTTGTACATCTGTGGTCTTATTTCTGAGGTCTCTATTCTGTTCCATTGGTCTATATGTCTGTTTTTGTACCAGCACTATGCTGTTTTGGTTACTGATGCCTTGTAGTATAGTTTGAAGTCTGGTAACATGATGCCTCCAGATTTGTTCTTTTTGCTTAGAATTGTCTTTGCTATGTGGGCTTTTTGGGTTCCATATGAATTTTAAAGTAGTTTTTTTCTAATTCTGTGAAGAATGTTCATGGTAGTTTGATGGGAATGTTATTGAATCTGTAAATTACTTTGGGCAGTATGGCCATTTTCATGATATTGATTCTTCCTGTCCATGAGGATGGAATGGTTTTCCATTTGTTTGTGTCCTCTTATTTCCCTGAGCAGTGGCTTGTAGTTCTTGAAGAGCTCCTTCATGTCCCTTGTAGCTGTATTCCTAGATATTTTATTCTCTTTGTAGCAATCATGAATAGTAATTCATTCATGATTTGGCTCTCTGTTTGTCTACTATTGGTGTATAGGAGTGCTTGTAACTTTTGCACATTGATTTTGTATTCTGAGATTTTGCTGAAGTTGCTTATCAGCTTAAGGAGTTTTGGGGCTAAGATGATGGAGTTTTCTAAATATAGGATCGTGTGGTCTGCAGACAGAGACAATTTGACTTCCTCTCTCCCTATTTGAATACACTTTATTTCTTTCTCTTGACTGATTGCCCTGGCCAGAACTTTCAATACTATGTTGAATAGGAGTGGCGAGAGAGGGCATCCTTGTCTTGTACCGGTTTTCAAAGGGAATGCTTTCAGCTTTTGCCCATTCAGTATGATATTGGCTTGGATTTGTCACAAATTGATTTTATAATTTTGAGATATGTTCCATCCATACCTAGTTTCTTGAGAGTTTTTAATGTGAAGGGATGTTGAATTTTATCGAAGCTCTTTTCTGCATCTATTGAGATAATCATGTGGTTTTTGTCATTGATTGATATACAGAAGAAACACTAAGACCTCCATTTCAGCATCATCTTTGAAGAATAAATTTCTTTTGAAAAATAATCACCTGGAAATTAGCATATGGTGCATAGTTTCATGTCTTTGTTAGATGACACTAGAGTAATACACAGGTTCTACCTCTTTTCGGGATAACTAAAACAGTGTCAGAGGGCGTAAAATACTTTGAGACATCAACTTGAAAAATGTCATTTTCATTTTGTGATGATTTATTAAAAGCCCAATTGATTTAAAATTTTTTATTTTCTGTTTTAATTGTATTTCTCAATTTATATTTTAAAAATATCTAACAAAAATGGATATTTAAAGAAATACACCTTGAAATTAAAAAATGTGCAGATTTCATAATTTTTCACATTTTCCTGGCATACGGAAGCTTTTAGAAACAGGGAACTAATTCATTCATACAAGGTATGTGATATTTGAAAATAATTTTAACTATCTCATTGACCTTTCATTTTTGTTTACCTTTACTCTGAAAACTTTGGGTACTCACCTTTCTTTTTTGTCTTACATTTTTACAGTCTTAAGCAGTTTAATATTTTCTTTTCTGCTTATTTGTAACCTTTGACGCTTTTTCAGCATTACAGCCAGAAGCAAATGCATAAAGTGTCTCTTCAGATGTAACAAGGATAGCAAAACCACTGGGCTACCGGTTACAAGTTGTTATTAGTATTTTGTAATGGAAAGATAGTAGACTTTGAATATAGCCAAATAGACCACTTAACTACTCACTGGCCATATTTTTTTAATAAGTTGTACTTCTCTGAATTTTGTCTTTTATTTGTAAAATATTTTATGTCATTTTGTGATATTTAAGATAATAAGTGAAAGCACTATGCATTATACAGGTAGATATTTATTTATTGAATACTGTTTGCCTGTTCTACTAGAAAAATTGATCTTTGTTCATGGTATCCTAGAGGTTTTTAGTTAATGAGACTATTAATAGCAGCAAAAAAAGAACTCCACAACTCTACTAAATGCTTATTCAGTTTATTGTTTTTCTTTTAGGTTTAGTCATGGTGTTAGTGTATATTGGTCCATTTGGACCCCAGTCTCATCTACATGTGAATAAGCAAGGTAGTTAAATAACAAATAAATATGAAATATCAACAATAGTTGTGGTCTCAAGTTTGCAAACATGTTGGTACCATCACTGGGTGTTTAGTTTCAGATAGGATGGCAGCATTAGAATGCTGCAGATTCTGTCTGAAGGAAGATTTACACAACTGACAGGATATTCCCCCTTGTAATTCTGGTTTGGTACCCCTATAATGTGATCATCTCACAACCATGGCATTATTGGCATAGTTCTCTAACCAAGCAAATGAAGCTGCTATATATACACTTAAATCATTTGGAAACATGACTGTCATTTACAGACTGAATCCCCTTAGTAGTGCAAACATAAGTTTACCTATATGCACAACATACATTATTATTCTTATGTGTATCTATGAATATATTTCTAAAATATATCTGTATCTATCATCTATCTATCATCAACTATCTATCTATTACATATAAGTTATGTAATCCAACCCTCACACTTTCCAAAAACACTTCAAACCACAGTCAGTGATACACTAAATAATGTAATTGCAGTTTTGTCTTCAACCTTATCCCATTTTTAAGCATTTATTATAATCAATATGTGTTAGGATAATTTTGGAATGTTTTCCATGGCATTATGACCCAGAAATGCAAGAAAACAGAAATATCTCCCTCTTGTTTGATTGGAATTTCTAAAGAAGCTAAACATATGAAGAATAACCTGTAAGAGCCCAAGTATGTTTTTTATTAGTAACTGCTTGAGTACTCAATATTCTAATGCAAAACTCTAAAACCATGAGTCCTGGAACCACTTAGGCTTATGGTCTAAGATGAGGCCGCTTACCATCCATGAAAACCTCCATCCATATCTTAGAATTTTCCTACCTTGTTTTAGAAAGTACAGAACTGATAGGCACTACAGAATCATACAGAAACATGTCTCTGATGGCTACTCTCAAGCATGTAGAGGGAGGCAAAACCAGAGAGAGGAAATCTGCAAGGTCTTTTATGAGGGTGAAATCAATTTATTCACTCAGGTCCATAAAACTGGAGCAAAGTGTGACTTGTACCTTTCACAATATGGTGACTATACCTTCTAGTAACTATGAGTAACTATGGTTTATTTGATGAACCAAAATTAGCTAATTGGTTCACAAATTTAACTACTCCTTCACAATATACACGTGCTTGTGGAATGCAAAGAATACAGCTTGGGTAGAGAAATTAACTTTCCACTTTTCATAATATGCCAAATTTCTAAGATTTATAAGTGAGGATAGTATCATATAAGTTATTAACAATATGTTTTTTTCATACACACAATTTCAGAAATGGAAATGAATGATTTTTAAGGTTTTGTTTTTTTTGTTGTTTTTGTTTTTGTTTTTTTTTTTTTTTTTGAGAGACAGTCTCACTCTATCACCCAGGCTGGAGTGCAGTGGCATGATCTCAGCTCACTGCAACCTCCACCTCCTGGGTTCAAGCGATTCTACTGCCTCAGCCTCCCGAGTAGGTGGGACCACAGGCTTGTGCCACCACAGCCAGCTAATTTTTTGTGTTTTTAGTAGAGACGGGGTTTCACCATGTTAGACAGGATGTTCTCGATCTCCTGACCTTGTGATCTGCTCACCTCAGCCTGCCAAAGTGCTGGGATTACAGGTGTGAGGAACCACGCCCAGCCTAAGGTTGCTTTTTAAGTTTTTTTTTTTTTTGTTTTCAACTTTATTTTAGAATTGAGGGTACACATGCAGCTTTGTTACAGAGGTATATTGTGTGATGCTGAGGTTGGGGTTTGATTGAACCCATCACTAAGGTTGTGAATATAATACCTAATAGGTAGTTTTTTAAATTCGATTCCTTTTTGCTGGAAGCCAACATAACTCCATTCTAACCAAGAGCCACATGCTTACCATGTATCAACCAGTAGCTACAATAATACACAGATGTATAAATTTGAAATTTATAAAAGAGTTTTGCGGTCCAAATGAATATGCTCTCTTCAGCTTGCGAGTTGTAGACTATCATTATCCTAGGATATTGTTCCCATCATATGATTAGCTCTTCAAAATTCTAACCACTTTATTGAGCAATATCAAGTCTTTTTTATATTCAATGCCATTTCCTATTATTAAATTGAATAATAACCATTATTCATAATTCCATTAATTACTTACTTTGACTAAAAAGCCTCATCGAAGCTACTAATGGATCTCCTTTCAAGGCTTGTTAACATGGCACCTCAAATAAAATACTCAATGCCTGATAGCTAGATGCACTTCTAACCTTTCTAGTATTGAATATACCTCATCAATAGTATTTTTAACTGCTGCTGAGGAAAGTAGGAGATGCTTGAATTGCTGTATATTTAGTTTAATCATCAAAGTTTCCATAAAGCTGTATACATTCTATCTTATTCACATCCACATGAAACTGCCCTTTCCTAATACACTCTTTTAAGAGAAATAAAGTAATGATAACACACTTTTCAACAGATGACTCTTATATATTATCAAAGATGTAAAAGAAAATCATAAACACAATGCTATGAAAATCATATGATTAAATTTCCTGAGGAGTTAGAAAAAATTTTAATAACTTTAAAAGAACTAGAATTAAAAAAAATCCAGCATAATAATATTCATAGTTTTTCTAACCTAGTTACAATTAGTTAACTCCTATTTATCCAAGGAAATAAAGGAAAAAGTGATTTGGAAGTTATTCCCTTGGATAAATAGGAGTTTTCTTTAGGGAAAACTATAAAATACCCACTGGGGGAGCAGTCTTATAAGTAAAAGGTGAATGTAACATATAAAGACTATGCCATCTGTTTTCTTTTTTTTTTTTTTAATTATTGATTCAGAGAGTAAATGCGCAGGTTTGTTACATGGATACACTGTGTAATGTTAAGACTTGAGCTTCTAGGGCACGCATCATTCAGTGAACATTGTACCCAATAGGTAATTTTTCAACGCTTACCTCCCTCGCGCCTTTATCATTTTGCTTTCTTAAGTAGTTTACAATTATGTATTTTTTAAACATCACCCCCTCAAACTAGATGTTTGTCTTTGTTATCAATAGAATACTTGTTTTGGGAAATGGGAGTAAAAATTAAGTTAGTGCCTTGTGAAGTTTATCACCAAATCTTAGAGAAACAAAATGGGAAACATCGAAAATAACTGATAAGATCTGAAGATTATTTTTAATTTTAAATCGTATTTGCCAATATTATTGTCATTTAACAAGTTAAGCAGTTGCATGTGGCAAACACTGAGCAGAGACAACAGAGACCTGTTATATAATGTACTTCTGTAGTGTGATTCAGGAGCTCCCAGGTAAGGCAAAGCCACCCCAGAAGTCATGGTGTTTCCTCATGTTTCTAGCAAAAAGGTCTAACCTTGGACTCCTGTGAATTGAGAGACCTTAAAACACATTGGCATTTCTTGGTGGGAATGGGGAGACATATTTTCTTGATTTAAGAGTTTATAAATGATGTGATTATTTATTTATTTATTTGAAATAGGGTCTCACTCTCTTACCAAGTCTGCAGTGCAGTGGCACCATCATGGCTTACTGCAGCCTCAAACTCCCAGGCATAAGTCATCCTACCAGCTCAGCCTCCAGATTAGCTGAGACTGCAGGTGCATGCCACCATGCCCGACCAATTTTCTCTATTTTTTGTAGAGCTAGGATCTGGCTATGTTGTCTATGGCTAGTCTTAAACTCCTGGGCTCAAGTGATCCTCCAGCCTCAGCCTGCCAAAGTGCTGGCATTATAAGCATGAGCCACTGTGCCTGGAGTGATTTTTAAATAATTTATTTTCTACCACATTTAGGCCTATATGACACCGTATAAATTTATCACCATGTATGTAATACTTAAGACAAATTTCTATAAAATTGAAATATGATGATTTAAAAACTGAAACTTTAAAATGTTGCAAATGGCTGCTTTTCAGTGTCTTTGAGAGTGGCGGTGTTTATTTTGCAACCTTTTTCTGGCCTTTTACTTCGTGATATCTGGTAAACTTTACTGATAATCAAGGCTGAATAACATAACATCTACAATCAGTATGTAATCAAATCTGATGAAAAAACATTTACACACACTTATCACATATCTATATATGTTTTTAAATGAACTGTTTTTAAGTACTGCTATTTAAGACCTTACGCAGTAGCTCTTGAACTGGAAAATTTATTTTTTGTTATCAATGTCCTAGTATGAATGGGAATATTCAAAATTATTCTGGTATTCATGATGACATTTAGAATCTAGGTTTTCCTGTTTATTTTGCTTGTCTTTGTCTCCAGTCTGATACTAATTTGGAAGTTAATATGAATATTTGTAGGAAAAAACTGCATTCTGAGGAGTCACTTCTAAATACTTGCATCCAAAATGTTACTAAATGAAAATTAATTGCTTTTCATGAAAAAGGGACATTTTACAAGACTGTGTAATCATATTAGAATAATGACTGGCCTCACTAATGGAAATTAAATGTGATGCTGGGTGTTCTGGCAGGGTGGCCTGGGAGCTAGGTTTGCATGTAAAAGTGTAATTTCTATCCCCGCTGAGTAGATTTTGAATCTCAAAATAATTAGTTCTGTCAAATAATTAATTTTGTTGACAGGATTAAGTAGAGAATATACAACCTCACACACATATATTATAATTATTTGGAATGACAAGATGATATAAAACAATAATCTTCAATTCTGGCTCTCAAACTTGATCAGATCATTTCTGTGAGTACTTTTGAGATTCATGTTAATAAACCTTGAATGTAACATATAAGTCATCATCTATGGCGCCATTTACATATGGAATTCTTATCATAGTCATTAAATGTGCTTTATATGTGGGTGTATGTGTTTGTAGGAAAGTTATTGTTTTTATAAAACACTGCAGTTCACCAGGAGGTAGTTCTAAGCAAATGTTAATTTTCTGAAACTCTTTAAGAAAGTGCAGCTATGTAAATTGTGTGTTTCTTTTGCTCTCCGAAGTTAGATAACATTTAAAAAGACATATTGTTTAAAAATGCGTATTGTTTGCCCTTCAAATGTAATTACATATCTAATTTAACTTTCCACATAGATTTTCTAGAACACTAGAAGAAATAACATTTCTTAACATACACTTACATATGCACACAATTAATTTTAATAAATAGCCAGTGTAATTCTCTATAAAACTGAAATGTTGGTAATATTCCAATAAAAATCACCCACATGTATCCTATTTGACATATTCTGTGATGTCATGGTCATTTCCATAAGATATAAACATAATATATATTTCAGAGCAATTATTTGTAGCAGACAGCTGGTAAACCAACATATACAAATTGGAAAATCACTAGGATAAATATGAGTGTTCAAGAAATTTAGATTATATCGACCCATGTCTATATTTAAATCTATATTTATTTATAAATCTACATTTATCTGTCTGTCTCTTTCTCTTAGGAAATATCTCTGGGGATGGCTCACAAATGGCAATTTTTAAAAACTCCTCAGATGGTTCTTTTGTATAGCCAGGATTAGGACCTATATTAATAAATAATATATTAATAAATAATATAGATCCTAAGCCTATATATAATATCATATTATGTTATTCATAAATAATAAATTGGGATCTATATTAAAAATCATAGAATTTTACTCAAGAATGAAACATGAAGCCTTAGACCATTGAAAATATAGTAGCCACTTTTCCAGAAGACAAAATTGATTATTGTAAAGGTGTAGATTTTTTTCACAAACTATTTTGTAATTTATATAACAATCCAATCAAAATACCATTTTTTGACAATTTGGCAAATGACAAATGATTCTAAAGTTTTTAAGAGTAAATAGTTATATTTCTATATGCTATTTTGAAAGAATTTCAGTAAGAAGAATAAACGTTTACACAGATACATATATGTGTACATGACAATTAGCATAATCTTTACATATATGTGTGTGTATATATATCTATGACTATATAATATCTTGTGGGATACATTGCAGTCCATTAACTGATCAAATAATTATTCAATAAGTAGTGCTAGAACAACTGGCTACTTTTAGAAGAAACATCAGATGTAGTCTCACTCTGCATGAAGAAGAAAGTCTATAAATCCCAAGCATCCCTTGACCAAGTTCTTTTTATTCTGAGAACAAATTCTGAGACTAAAAAACCAAGATTTATACTTAATTGCTATTTGCAACAGGAGAAAAATAAGCAACTCTAAATGTCCAATAATAATTAAATGCTTGTGATAGGAGATAAACCTATAAAAAATAGAATAAAAAAGGTTTCTTTGTAAAAAGATGACTAAGAAATAAATTGGAAAGAAAATATGACAAGAGTTAATTATATTTGTCTTGAGGTTATTTTTCTTCCTGTGTGTTTTCAGTTTTCCCAATCTCCATGAATAAGCAAATATGAATTTATAATGAGACAAAACAAAACAGAAAAAAAATTATACCAACTACTATTTATTGGAGTTAATTTGTTCATAAAAACTTGGAATTTCATCGAGTATTGTAAAATTACCTAAATAATGGCTTGATAAATTTTGCTGTATAGACATACTTAATAGTATTGAAATGCCCTTTTACTTTAATTAATATATTTATTTCTGCTTCAATCAAAGACCCACTCTTTAAAAAAAAAAAAGGAAAAATAATTTAGAGTATAATTTGAAGAATAAACCCGAAAGAAGGTTTTGAAAGGAAAAATACTGGAGAATCATTTGAATAATCAGTTTTAGTAATGGAATAAGAAGAAATATTGGCACGGGAATAGAGAAAAATATACTGATAAGTATTAAAAATTCCAGAGCAAAATCTATGTGAGTTTTTAATATGTAAAAAGGCAAAAAGGGCCTCACTCATTACTTTTCTTTCTCTTTTTTTAGAGACAGGATCTAGCTGTGTTACCCAAGCTAGAGTGCAGTGGTAGGATCATAGCTCGCTGCAGCCTCAAACTCCTGAGCTCAAGGGATTCTTCAGCCTCAGCCTTAGACTCCCAAGTAGCTGGAACTACAGGCACACACCACCATGCCTGGCTAATTTTTTTTTTTTTTTTTTTAACAGACAGGGTATCACTATGTTGCCCAGGCTAGTATCAAAGTCTTGGCTTAAAGGGATCTTCCCACCTTGGCTTCCCAAAGCACTGGGATTACAGGCATGAGCCACCATTCATACCCACTTCACTTCTTTTCAATAGAATAAATAATATTGTTAATAGATAACATTGAAATATTGGGCCATCTGTCAGAAATCAATTTTATTTCTAAGCCTATAGAAAATGAAAGCAAGGCCGGGCATGGTGGCTCACACCTGTAATCCCAGCACTTTGGGAGGCCAAGGAGGGTGGATCACAAGGTCAGGAGTTCAAGACCAGCCTGGCCAAGATGGTGAAACCACATCTCTACTAAAAATACAAAAATTAGCCAGGCGTGGTGGCAGGTGCCTATAATCCCACCTACTCTGAAGGCTGAGGCAGGAGAATCGGCTTGATGATCTCCTGCTGAGGCAGGAGAATCGGCTTGAGTGCAGTGAGCCAAGATTGCACTGCACTCAAGCCTAGGCAACAGAGCAAGACTCTGTCTCAAAGAAAAAAAAATGAAAACAAACCAAAAATATAGAGAAGATTATAAAGATCCAAAAGTAAAGACAAAATAATCAAATATTAGAAAAAATATAGGGATATTAATTCAGACAGACATGAAATCCAGGTGATTTAAAGAAAAAGATGACCATACCTGATTGCTTGGGAATATAAATTCCTTGCAGATGAAAGTCACCATAAGGAAAGAGAGAGAATCCTGGGAGATACTTAACTAAAATAAAATAGTTACTATAAAGAACAACATTAAAATTGATAGGAAAAATAAAGTTTTAAAATAGGTAAATGTTGTTTAACAGGCAATTCAAAAAAGAAGGAAAAGCAAATGGATACTAAAGAGATGAGGTTAAATATGTTTAATAGAAGAATATAAAAGGAAATAACAATGACCTATTCATTTCACCAATCAGATTGATAGAAACTAAATTTTTGTTCATATTGAATACTTTTGTGGGAATGGGGAAATTGGTACCCTCATGTAATTTTCGTGGAACTGTGAAATGCTATGAATAATAATAATTTTGGAATTTAAGAGAGCAGCATCTAATAACATTTTGACTGTGCATATAACTTTACCCTATAATTACTTTTGATAATTTTTGTACATAAATAAAAGGCCAACATATTAATATACATGTCAAATATTCTAAAAATATTAATTCTGCTGGCAAAAATCAAGAACAGTTTCCATGGTGGTTACATAGGGAATGGCTAATCAAATAATATTTTATCTCTTATAGGAAAAAGGCAAGATTTAAAAAGAATGAGTAACTGTGCAGTAGCCTGAAAAGATGTCCATATTACATTGTTAAGTAATGTAAGCAAGTTGTACATAATGTATGTGATATGATGCTCCAGGGTTTTAGACACTTTATGGAGTGTTGAGACACACAGATGGACACATACCAAGTAAAGCTATATTAAATTTCAAATTTAGTTAGTTAAGGATAACAAATCAGTGCAGAGGAGTAAAGGCAGAATACTTCAGTATGTATACTCTTGGCCCCAGGGTCACAAGCTGGGAGATTGAAAAAGCTCAATTATTGCTACGCCCGCACCCCTATTTTTCTCAACATGTAAGTCACCAATGGGGAAGAATTTAAACCATCCATCTAAGTGATGCTGTGTATGGGAATGTTACAGATATTGGGCTGTCTTGCTTGTGTCCCAAATTTAGTATCAGCAATACTTCACTCTCATCTTAGGGCAGAAAGGGGAGTCAGATGCCATGAGTGCACGAACAATACACCTGCCTCCATCTTTTCAGCATCCTGAGATTCCTATTTGCCATCAATCTGCACCTTACCTCGGTTTAGTATCCAGTTCATTTTCTTTCTCATATCACAGTTTGATCTGGGCTCTGAGATTCCAGAAACATTTTCCTTATGTGACAAATTTTTGCCTTAAAATTTGATACCTTCTTATACATGCTCCTTTATGTTTATATGTGCTTCAAACAAGATAAACAAATACTCAGTTCATATTTTAATCTGGGGAGGAGAGAGGCATGTTAGTATTGGAAGGAGTCATTTTTATTTATACATTTTCTGTGTTGCCATACATATTATTTACCAACAATAAATTGTGTTATTTTTGTTGGTTAAAAATATTTAGAGGAAAGGAAATAACTAAAATAAAAACACATACAGAATAATGTGAACATTTTATATATTTTTAAAATTTCAACTTTGATTTTAGGTTCAGGGGATACATGTGCAAGTTTGTCACATGGGTATATTGCACGACACTGAGGGTTAGGGTATGAATGATTCCATCACCCAGGTAGGGAGCATAGAACCCAATAGGTAGTTTTCGATGATTTAATATTAAATGGAAACAATCTAAAACTGCATGTGATTAGACATATTTTTAAATGGTAAAGTTAGAATAGCATGCTAGAAGTTAGAATAGCAAGCTAGACGAGCAAGCATTAAAATTTTAATAATATTATTAGATGGTAAGGTTAAAGATATAAATTTCATAAAAATGTTGGCATATTACCTGGTATAGGGTGACTTTTGATTTATTTTGTCATTTTTACTCATATTAAATACCATGTGTGCTAAGTTTTTCTGATTTTTGTACTTTCCTTACACATGCTAGTGTACTGTGAAATAGAACTCCATAATTAGTATTGTAATGGTAGGATTGACAAACCTAACACCGATTAAATTGATCACGACATTAGAATACCATTCTCTGGAATTTCTGGTTTATTTCTAAGCATCATAATTACTTTTCCCTGTTTTCTAACTAGGTCACCATGCTGTCAGTAATATTTTCAGTGTTACAGCTACCCAGGTTTTATAATAATTGCCTTCATCTCCACTGCAGCTTTATAAAGAAAGTGATACCATTATCCCAATTATATTTTACAAATAGGGTAAATGAAGATCAGGAAAGTTAAATAACTTTCATAAAGACGCACAGCTTATAGAGTACATTGTTGTCATTTGAACCAAGGCCACCTGATTCCAGGTTCTATGATATCAATATTCTGTGATTACATCCATAAGTTAATTCATAGAAAAATGAAGTTCTTCTAAATTTGCTTTCTGTAATATAATTACTATGAAGTTTATAATTCAAATTACTGTTTTCTAAAATGCTAATAATCAAAATATTTTGTAAAGTATTCGGTTATTGGATGTTTCAGGCTTGGAAATGTATTTAGTTGTTCTAAATGAAATAATGGAAAGGAACTTAAGTGTTTAGTTTTTCTGAATATCATAAAAATTTTAAAAATAATTTTAAAATATCACAACAGACTAATTTTGAGTTACTTTTTATTTTATCTAAAATATGATAAATTTTAAATTATTTAGCATATTAAGAAATCTTCATAATATCCCTGTACTGAGTTTATTTTAAATAGTTTAGTTGAACTAGAATACAAGTAAAATTTTACCTGGTTGAAATATTATTTTTTTGATTGACCCCTTTAAGCCTAAGCAACTGTGCACTTTAAATTTTCCAGATAACAGATATTTTGCTCTCTTCTGAAGGTAACAAAGGTAATGAAAGTTTTTACATCTGAAACCTGTCACGGCACAGCCCAATTTAACCATAAATTGTATGTATTTATGTAATCAGAGTAAGACTGTCATCTAGCTGGCACTTACCTAGAAAGTACCATATGTACTTTCACAAAGTGCCTAGAACTTACTATAATCATTTTTATTGACCTGGTAAATTGACAATAGTAGAGTTTTTATTGTTCACCACTGTTTCTACTCTGCACTTTTCCTGCCCCATCTCCTTTTCTTAAACAACAACAAATTCTGCAGTTACTAGGATACTATCACCAAAGCCTATTTGTCCATCAGATATAAAACTACAATTATTTGTGCATAAGTTTCTCTTTTGATTTTTTCTTATTGACTGCAGGTACACAGAATTAAATTCATAATAATTCTGGGTTTGTGAAACATGAACATCATTGGTCCATGCATGACCCATTTTACTATAATTAATTATTTAATTACTAGATACCAAAGTATAATTATGAATTCAGTAGGTATGCAGTTCTAAAGTAAGACAACGCCCAGAAATTGTGGTTCGGTGAGATAAACGATCAGGCTTTTAGTCTGAAAGTCAGGCTGTAGCATCTGGTTAGTATGTTGCAATTAGGAGGAAATAAAAAGGTCTACCTAAGTACGAAGTATATTAATTTGCCATCAAGTATAAATTGTCAAGTCTCATTAAGCACGTAGAGTTTTTGTTTGCTCCTTGTTGCTCTGTGACACAGGAGATAAGCTCAAATGACTTTATAGCTAACAGAGGTTTATTTTTCCCTCCAAAGGCAGAGCACATGTTTGGCACTGAGAAGATCTCACCTTGTATCCACAGAGGTTTGCACTAGCCAATGGCTGTGGACACTGTTGTCAATAATTACAAGCAGTTTATTTGAGTTTACATTTCATACAGTGATTATTAGGTCCTGAGGACAGTACATTTCACAATTAGCTGAAAGACAGTTGTAGCCTTTTGTTCTGGCAGACCCTAAATACATTGCTAATCCTTTCTGAAGGAGGAAAATTAAGTATGTATTTAATGAGTTGATAGCTGGAAGTAGATAAATGACTGACATATCTAAGCGTCTATGTCAAAGAATCGAAATAAACACTTGTTAACTTGATGCATTAGAGTCAATATGTTCTTTTCACTATCATTGTAAAGGGAAATAATTAGAAAAGAATAAAAGAAGTTATATTAGACACATGTAAAGGTCTTACAGTATTTCAAAGAGACTATTTTTTAGAGATTATTATCCCTCAGATTTGAATTATAATAGCATGTGTTGTTCAAGTTCACATGCCTTGAAAAAAAATAAGATCTCTAATTTATAAACAGGATAAACACTCATCCCCCTCAAGTGCTTGAGACTATCCTTAGCAAACAGTGATTGAGTTAACCCTATGGCTTATACTAAGCTGCATCACACATAGGAAGGCTGTGTAAGTGCTAAGTTAGGTCTTAGTTGGTCTTGGACTTAGCCCTTTAGCTGGATGATCAATATCTCCAAATATTTTAGCCTTAGTTCCTTTCTGTAAAAAACAGCACCAACAATACAAGTTCCATCTACTTCACGAGGTTATTATTAGAATCAAGAAGATAATAATGGTGAAGTATTTTGTAAGATTTGAGTGCTATATAAATATAAAACATAATTTAAATTAAAAATCTTGAAAGGATCTGTAGTGTGGCATATATGCTGATTATTAAAACTTCTTAAGTTAGTACTGCATGCCAAGTACTGCACAAATTATATACATATATATATTTTTTTAAAAAAAGATGAATTTTTCCAAGCGTTTATGATTGGGTTTTATCAAAAAAAGTGTTAACCATTTCTACTTGGAGGAAATTGAGAATACAACGTTGTTAAACATTTTGCCTTAGATTATGATTCTCAGACTTCTGCTATTCCCCTTATACCAGGCTGATGATGCATTATAAAAATTATAATAAAAACAATCTTTTCAAAAAGTCGTGTATATTTTTATAGAATTGAAGGATTAATTGTCACTAGGTTTTTAGAAAGGAATGAATAATCATTAATATGTAAATGAACATAATGACTGTTTCTTGAATAACTAAATTTGCGATTCCAAAAATATTTTTCTGCTTATACTTTTGCTTGTTTGTATACTTTAAAAAAATGTACAAAGCATGTTGACTACATACATATTATATCAAAAAAGATATTCTATTGGAGAAAGAGAAATTCCTAAAAATAATACCTTGTATTGTGTACTACGTTTATTGAAGTAAGGGAATATCTGCCTGGATGAACACATTCTTTGATGTATAGACCACTTGGGTTCATGCATTTGATTTAATTTGCTGGGTAGCAATTTTTTTCCCTTATTTTCAATGTGTCTTTGTAGAAAAATGGGGTGCCTCAAAGAGAAGAATCTTCTGAGAATGAGAAAAATATCCCTTGATTAAATGCATTTATGATGCTCTGAACCCTTGTCAAATCCTCCAATATTGAAATTTTGAAATAAATTGTACTGCTGTATGAGGCCATAATTGCATGATGGAATTGCAGACTTTTGCGAACATTTTATCCTAGGCTTTGGTTTGTCTTCTCATTCTCTTGACAATGTCTTCTGCAGAGTAGGGGTTTTTAAATTTAATAAAACTCAGCTTATCAGTTATTTGTTTCCTGGATCGTGCCATTGGTGCTGCATCTAAAATGTCATCACCAAATCCAAGGCCATCTGTATTTCATCTTAGGTTGTCTTCTAGGTGTTCTATAGTTTTCCATTTCACATTTAGGTCAAGGATCCATTCTGGGTTAATTTTTATAAAGGGTGTAAAGTGTTTGTCTAGATTCATTTTTTGTATGTAGGTGTCCAGTTATTCCAGAACCATTTATTAAAAAGACTATGTTATGGTCTATAGTTTTGCTTTTGCTACTTTTTCAAAGATCAGTTGACTGTGTTCATATGGGTGTATTTCTGAGCTCTCTATTCTGTACCACTAAGCTATTTCTCCATTCTTTTGCCAATACCAGTCTTTATTACTGTAGCTTTATATTGAGTCTCAAAGTTGGGTTGTGTCCCTTCCAACTTTGTTCTTCAATATTAGGTTGCCCATTCTGGGAACTTAGCCTCTCCATGTAAAGTTAGGAATCATTTTGTTGATATCCACAAAGTAATTTCCTGGAATTTTTATTGAGATTGCATTGAATCTATGGATAAAGTTGGGAAAAGTTGGTATCTTGGCAATATCTATGAACATGGAATATTTCTCCATTTATTTAGATCATCTCTGATTTCTTTCATCAGAATTTTGTGGCTTTTATCATATAAGTTGTATACATATTTTGTTCGATTTATACCTATGGTAAATTTACACTTGATCTTAGCCAAAAGGCTGAGAAGCGATCCCTATGGCAAATTTAAATACTGTATTTTTAATTTCAACTCCTCTGCACTGATTTGTTATCCTTAGCTAACTAAATCTGAAATTTAATGTAGCTTTACTTGATATGTGTCCATCTGTGAGTCTCAATACTCCACAAAGTGTCTAAAACCCTGGAGTATCATATCACATACATTATGTACAACTTGCTTATGGCTTCCAAGAAATCCTCGGTAGCAATTTTTCACCATGCTCTGATCAAAAACATACCAGCTTCAGCCAGGCACGGTGGCTCACGCATGTAATCCCACCACTTTGGGAGGCCGAGGTGGGCGGATCACCTGAGGTCACGAGTTCAAGACCAGCCTGACCAACATGGAGAAACCCCATCTCTACTAAAAATACAAAATTAACTGTGCCTGGTGGCACATGCCTGTAGTCCCAGGTACTCTGGAGGCTGAGGCAGGAGAATTGCTTGAACCTGGGAGGTGGAGGTTGCGGTGAGCTGAGATCACACCATTGCACTTTAGCCTGGGCAACAAGAGTGAAACTATCTCAAAAAAAAAAAACCATAATTGTATAAATTTATGGGGAAGCTTGTGATGTTTTGATATATGTATACAATGTGGAATGATTAACTGAAGCTAATTAATAGATCAATCACCTCACTCACCTATCATTTTTATGCTGAAACATTTGAATTTTACTTATTTTGGAATATACAATCATTTATTATAGTCATCCTGCTGTACAATAGATCTCAAAACCTATTTCTCCTGTCTATCTGAAACGTTTTACCCTTTGATAAACAGCTCTCCATTTCTATCTTTTCCCTAGCCCTTAAGCCTCTTGTAACCATCCTTCTACTCTACTTCCATGAATTCAACAACTTATTCTGCTTTCAGGCATCAATTTTCTTCTTTTACCATGGGAAATAGCAAGCACTGTGCTTATCAAAGATGTGCTTAAAGTTTAGGCTTCTAGTGAGACAGAATATCAGACTCTCAAGCTGAATTGCTGGAGTTAAACTTAGGCATTTGCTTGAAATATCTTCAGTTTGCATTCATGCATAATAGGTATAGAATTAAGTGAATTAATAATGTCAAGTTATTACAACAATGCCTGGCACATAGTACATTTTCAATAAGTGTTAGAATTCTCTTATTTTTTATTTATACATGGTAGTTGTACATATTTATGGGGTACATGTGATATTTTGATACATGTGTACAATGTTTAATCATCAATTCAGGGTATTTAGAATATCCATCACCTGGAGCATATATAATTTGAGTTTGGAACATTTGAAATCATTTCTACTAGCTCTTTTGAAATTTACAATATGTTATTGTTTATAATAGTCATTCTACTGTGCTATCAATAATTAGAATTTCCTTCTATCTAACTGTATGCTTGTATCCAGTGAACTACCTCTCTTCATCTCACCTCTCCCCATACCCACATATGCCCTTCCTAGTCCCTGGTAAGTATCATTCTACTCTCTACCTCCCTTAGCTCTCATGTATGAGTGAGAACATCCAATATTTGTCTTTCTAGGCCTGGTTTATTTCACTTAACATAATGACCTCTAGCTCCATCCATGCTGTGCAAATGCAAGATGTCATCCTTTTTATGGCTAGATAGTATTCCATTGCGTATGTACACCACATTTCCTTTATCCATTCATCTCTTGCTAGACACTTAGGTTGATTCCATAACTTTGCTATTGTGAATAGCACTGCAGTAGACGTGGGGATACAGGTTCCCCTTTGATATGCTGAATTCCTTTTCCTTCTATAAATACCTACTAGTGAGATCGCTGGATCATATGGTCATTCTATTTTTAGTTTCTTGAGAAATCTCTGTACTATTTTCCATAATGGATATAATCATTTGTATTCCCCCCAATAGTGTATAAGAGTTCCCTTTTCTACACATCTTCATCAGCATCTATTTTTTGTTGTTGTTATTGTTGTTATCTTTTTGATAATGGCCATTCTAACTAGGTAAGATTATATCTCATTATGATTATGATTTGCATTTTCTTGTTAATGATGTTGAATGTTTTTCATATACCTACTGGCCATTTTTTTGGTTTTCTTTTGATAAATGTCTATTCAGATCCTTTCCCTTTTAATGTGATTGTTTTCTTTTTGCTATTAAGTTGTTTAAATTCCTTGTATATTCTGGATACTGGTCCCTTGTCAGATTTTATCCCATTCAACAGATTGTCTCCCCACTCTGTTAATTGTTTCCTTTACTGTGCAGAAGCGTTTTAGTTTAATATAGTCCCATTTGTCTAGTTTTGTTTTTGTTGCCTGTACTTTTGAGGTCTTAGCCATAAAATATTTGCCTTGACCAATGTCCAGGAGTGATTCCCTTATGTTTCCTTTAAGTGGTTTCATAGTTTCAGTTTTACATATATTTATTTAATCCATTTTGGTTTATTTTTGTGTATGATAATAGACGGGTCTAGTTTCATACTTCTGCATATGGATGTCCAATTTTCCCAGCACCATTTGTTGAAGAGGGTGTACTTTCTCCAATGTATGTTCTGGCACCTTTGTTGAAAGTCAATTGGCTATAAATATGTTGATTTATTTCTGGGTTATCAATATTGTTCCATTGGTCTATATGTGTGTTTTTATACCAATACCATGCTGTTTTGGTTATCATAGCCTTGGAATATATTTCGAAGTCAGGTCTGTGATGTTTCCAACTTTGTTCCTTTTTCTCGGGTTTGCTTTGGCTATCCAGGGTCTTCTTTTGGTTCCATATAAATTTTAGTATTCCATTTCTGTGAAAAATGTCATTGGTATTTTGATAGAAATTATATTGTAACTGTAGATTGCTTTGGGTGGTATAATCATTTAAAAATTAACTTTTCATTCAATGAGCATGAAATGTCGTCCATTTTTTTGTGTGTGTTCTCTTCAATTTCTTTCATCAGTAGATGTTTTTCCTTGTAGAACTCTTTTACCTGCTTGGTTAAATTTATTCCCAAATATTTTTTGTAGCTATTATAAATAAATGCTATTGCTTTCTTTGATTTATTTTTTAGCTAGTTTGTTATTATTGATTTTTTGTGAGTTGATTTTATATCCAGCAAACTGTTAGCAATTTTTGTAGCTATTTGTCAGATTTGGTTAAGATTCTTGTTCTTATTTTTTTAATTTTTAAAAATATTAGACACAAAAATTATTTAAGAAAAAGCCATAACACAATTGAAATATTAACCTCTGGTAAGCACATTCAATTATGAGAGATAAACATGTAATCTCAAGTAAAAATTTACACCTTGATTAAGGACTCCAAGGTTTAAATCCATTGGAATGGACTTTGTTGCTGACATTTAATTAACATTTGTAACTTTTATTATCTTGTTATATTTAAATAAACGTTTAGTTTTTTTAATTAGATGCATATTCTATAATTGTTTCCTATTGTTAATCACTATAATAGGTAGGTAACATTGACTCTTAAGATACAAAATATAGAAGAAACAACATGAATGAAATGGTACCTATAAATAAACTCCTTTGAAGATAAGAAATGCCAATAGGACCAGGTGCAGTGGCTCATGCCTGTAATCCCAGCACTTTGGGAGGCCGAGGCAGGTGGATCACTTGAGGTCAGGAGTTCGAGACTAGCCTGGCCAACATGGTGAAACCTTGTCTCTAATAAAAATTAAAAATTAGCCAGGCATGGTGGTGTGTGCCTGTAATTGCAGCTCCTTGGGAGGCTGAGGCAGGAGAATCACTTGAACCTGGAGGTAGAGGTTGCAGTGAGCCGAAATCACACCACTGCACTCCAGCCTGGGTGACAGTGAGATTTCATCTAAAAAAAAAAAAAAAAAAAAAAAAAGAAAGAAAGAAAGAAAAAAAGAAAAGAAAGGAATACCTAAATACCTATGTTGTGACACCTAGATCTTCTGACTCACTTTAGCTTTACAAAGTAAGAAAGTGTGTTGCTACTTCTAAAAGTAATAACACAGTAATCTGTTGTCATTGAAGAGTCATGAAAACCATGAATGTGTTAAGATGTTTTGAATGTTACATTTTGTTTGGTCTCCAATATGTTTAAAATTTAACAATAGGTAAGTGGCCGTCTATCTATGCTGGTATAACAAAGTATTTGAGATAGAGTAATATATAAATGATAGAAGTTTGTTTCTCACAGTTTTAGAGTCTGGAAAGTCCATGATTAGGGAACCAGCAAGTTCTGTGTCTGTTGAGGGCCCACTCTTTGCTTCCAAGATGGCACCTTGAAAGTTGTGTACTCACACAGTGAAAAAGAGAGAGAAGCAAAAGGGTCTAGTTTGTTCCTTCCAACTATATCACAAGGTCACTAATTCCATTCATGAGAGCTCTGCCTCATGAATCACCTCCTAAAGGACACACCTGTTAATACTACCACATACGGGTCTAAATTCCAACATACAAATTTTGAAGAGACACATATAGCAGCATCAGTTTATTCTCAATCTAAGAATAGTCATTATGTGCCCTTAGCCCGAATTGTGAGTAGACTTTGTGTTGTATGTGGATTGTTGCTTGTAGGTGTGGGCCACCCCAGTAATAGGTTTTTGCAGGTGCTAGTATTATTAAAGATGAGAAAGTCCTCTAGAGAGCTCTTATAGTTCTAGCAGTTGGTTCCCTAGAAGTGGCTGTTATAGGTAAAGTGTTTTATAGAACCTTAGAGATAATCAGATAACACTACAAATAATGCCTGCTGAGTATGCAGTAGGTTAGAGAGTATCAGCACTCTTTTAAAAATCAGTTTGGCTTCTGGTCTCTCAAGCCTATAAAATCTACTTATGTAGTTGCAATAATTGTGTTTTTCTGTATAAATCTCTGCAAAGTTAAAGTCATTACTGTTTATGTTTACGACCCTAAGCAATATTCCACTTTATTTTACCAAATAAACTTCACAGTGTTCACCTAGAAAATAGCTACATAGTGACAGTGATTATTTCTAAATATACTTTAGTAAAATACAGGCTTTTTCTTTATGCATGAAGGGAATCACTCCCTGTCTAATTTTTTAAAAAGCTCTATTTTCCTGTGTAATTAATTATATTGTATATAGTGGGCACTAGCATGTTTTTGCGTGGAGGAATGTTATATATACTGTCTTAAAATGAGATTCATTTGAAATAGGAATTACATATCCCTTAATTCAGTACCACAGCATATATTCCTTTCAATGTGGTTCCTAAAATTTGTGAAAAGGCTTAAAATAACACCATTAACAACAGTAGTCAAAACTATTTTTTACATATCTCTGAATCTCTGATTCTCAAAATTGTGCTCCTGCTCTTTCCAGAAATGTGATAATATCTTCTAGATGGTGTCTTTCAATCCATTTAATTTACATAGTCTCTTCTATTTGATTTAGATTGTTGGTCTTGCCAGAAAGGACAGTGATTACCATCTTTGCATGTATAGTACAAAAAAAATTATTAATATACTCTGTCTAAAAATGGAATAAATTTTCAGTTGACACAACAGGGAAAAGAAAAAAATATTTTTCCAGCCCAAGAGGTATGACAGATCCTTTTACAAATGTTAACCTACCAGAAAGATTTCTCCTCTGGTAGAATCTGTGATTGCTCCTGTTCGGAATTTTGACTCTCAACAAAATTCATCGTATGATTATTAAAGGCAATGGATTTACCAGTGAATGCTGTTGCTATAAGATTATCTCAAATGATAAAAAGAATATATTCCAGATGCTATTTGCCTGGTTTGTGGTGGTCGGGGGCAGGGTAGGGGGCGGTGTGGGGTGGGGCTGAGAGTGGGAGAGGTGGGTGGGGATATAGTTAATTCAAATTGGCAATATCAATAAGAACTAAAAATAATAGTAGACATCTGGGTTTCCAGTCATACATTTTAGATGGTTGTAAACACATTTAATGAACTCAGCAATAATTAATATCTAATATGTTCAAAACCATGAGCTAAATTATATCACAGGGTTAAAATGTGTATGACATATACACATAGAGTTTATAATATATTTCATCCATGCACTTAATAAGAAAAATAATATACCTAATATGCATAAGTGGAGAGATATACACCAGAAGTATTTTACTTTTTTTTGTATAATATTTCCTTAATTAAAAGCCAAATCCATATATTTAAATTTCATAAATGAAACCCTAGTCTGAAGAAGCTACTTTGTGGCTCGTTTTTAGAGCTGTATAATATATTTAAGCACTACAGTTTGAAGCATTTTAAATAATAATATAGTACTGTAAGAATAATTTATGTATGAAGTTCATTTTGAAACTCTTTGGTGACAACTCTATTGGACCAAAATTGATATCAACAAACCAAGCAAAGTTGTATTTTTAATATGAAGAAAGGATAAATGAACTTAAATATAAGCAGGAGACTTCACACCTTTCTCCACTTTGCTGGGGTGAACATCCCTGGTTATCAAGTCTGCATTAAGATATCCCAATGCAAGAGGGTATCTGTCTCTGTTCAGGGTGGATCTCTCTTCAGCTGGGGATTCTGGTTTCTTATTCTGCTGAGAGGTCTAGAGCTGATATGGGTATTCTATCTTCTTATTTTAATACCGATATTTGTAAATTAAAAGCCAGCCATATCAGTGTGTGAGTGTAATTTACTGTTTGAATACTACTTTCTGTCTCATCAGCGTTGAAGTTAATAAGACATACATTGAATATTTCTGCAAAAATAAAACAGCCTGCATAGAATTGGCCAATCTCTGGAATCTGACCTCTCCTGAGTATTAACCCTACAGACTGTCTCATTATTTGTATTGTAATGGTATCAAATTTGTAGAAGAAATTTCTGACATAAATTCTCAAAAAGATAACTGGCCAAACACTGTTACCTGAGTGCATAAAATATACACTCCAGTTGAATCATAGATCCATGCAGTCATTCTGGCCCCAATGCAAGCTATCACAGGATTTGCTTGCAAAATCAAGGAGTCAAAGAGAATATGCATAAAATATGGAAGTCATTCCTGAGAGTATATATATGGGCCATAACAAACACCAAAGCTTATATAACATCATAACTTGATTATGTATATGCTGGTGATACCCAAAGGCTAGGTCATAATACTGAAGGAAAGATACCTGTAGAATCACAACTGCTCCTGAGTACAAGGTAAATATCAACCAAGGCTGTTATATGTCATTTGTGAATTAAAACACTCTCCAGCAATGTTGATCCACAAGAAACTGTTGAGACCAACATGCTTACTTCAACATTAAAATTATATCAGATAAAATACTAGAGGCTGTGTCATATATCCAAAGGAACCAGCAAATGCATCTGGGAAGGAACTTATGTAAAGCACTAGTAATCAAAGTCCAAATTCAGCTTCAGAGAAGTTATCAGATTGCTGGAAAATTGCCTGAGAATGTGGAAGTATTCAAAAGGGAGATGTAAAACGTCCTTGGATAAACTCAATGTACCTGAAAACATTTCCACTGAAGAAAAATAGTCTAGGGCATGAATTTCTAACTTATCCATGTATTCTGAATAATAACTAAGCTAATATTTTAAAATTACCTCTTATATGCCAAATACTGTGCTTAGTACCTTAGTGCATCTCATTTAAATTTCTTAAAAATCATATTCATAGTTTCTATCACCATTTTTAAAATAAAGATGGGAATCTCAAGATCAGAGAGCCTAAATAACTGCCAAAAGTTACTCAGCTAAAAAGAAGTAGTTCTGAGCCTGGAATCCTTGTTGGCATAACTCTAATGGTTAAACATTCTAAAAAACTAAGGTAGACTTATTCTCCGAAGTTTGAAAATCTTCTATGTTATACTATTTATGCTAACATTAAAATCTAGTGCAAAGTCTAAGGCCTAAGTGGAGACAACAAATGTCTAGTGAACTAAGACGTAGTGGTATAGTTATACCTATAGTCAACCATCTCCTTACTATTATTTCTGGAGTAAGATCTTAGCAAACTTTAACCTTGACTAAGCTTAAACATTAGCTTTTATTAGAGAAAAAGCATCCATAATTTTTAATTTCTACATTTCTTAGAATTTTCCAAAGTTTTAGGGAAATTCTGCTTTCTATAGCTAAGGGGAAGGGAGAAGTGGAAACTCACTCATGGATATCATGATAGACTATTGCATCAATAGGAATAAGATTTATTTTACCAATGAGAAATTACATTCTAAGTCAGTATTTGCAATAATGCATTGCTAGATGCTATCATTTATGACATTGCATCTACAGTCATAGCAGTTGAATTTAAGGAATGTGTAAAAAGGAACTTTATCTTATCTAGACATACAGTAGGCATTTTCACTGTATCATTTTTGTTTGCTGCCTAATGCAACTCCAAACATTCAAGTTGGTAGGAAGAAATTCACCATTGCATCTATTGTAGCACGTTTATTTTTATCTTAGAAGAATTCAAGAAATTTCAGGGGATTGATTATGGGATTTAAGACCTTTCACTTTAGGGCCAGTCTTCCAAAGCTGCATCAGTAATGACTGAAAGTTGTGCATCTCTGTGGCCAGTATAGTAGCCTACATGAAATCACTTAGCGATCTTAACTCCTGAGGGAGCTGTCATGATTGACAGTTTGAACAAAGAGGACAAGAATAGAATGGACCTATTAACTAGGACTGAGTGAATTTCTCCTGTGGGCATGACAATGTTTACCTCCTGCAATTTAGCTCTTTGTGACAGAGAGTTTTAAAATGGAGAAAGATGTTTTATTCAGTGGAGGAATAAGAGGGATACAGCAGAGTTTGATTCCAGTGAATATACAAGAACAGTCTTCTTATTCTTTCTACATTGCTGTCTTCATATACTACATCAATTATAAATGAATATAATGATGCTTTTGCCTTGACTCTCCAGATTTGCTTTGTTCAAGTTCATTAATGTGAACTGTCATACCATTTATTATTAAGTAACAGAAGAAGGTGAATATACAGTTATATGTCATATACTCTATTTTACATATTTTAGGGAAATTTAGCTGGAGTTTGTAGATTTGCGGATCTTATAATTTAAGAAAAATGATAACAGTTTCTGGGCATTCTCAGGATACTTTTTAAACGGCCATCCTCTCTCTTAATATGAATCATATAAATCACAAAGTCTTAGCAGTTTGTAGCTATTCTCAACATGACATAAATAGGTTTGGCAGTAAATAAGTCCCTCATTGTAGACTCCTTGGGTTCTGTAGTGATTGGTGTCTTCTCTAAGTAACTTAGAACACTATTTGAAAATAATCCAGATCCCAGAGGAAACAAAAGAAGTGAAACCCTTCCCTCACTGCTGTAAGTGAATGAGTATTTCATAATCACTTAGACCAATGGCAGATATACCCTAAGTGTTTTGTGCTTATTAAATATAAACTAAGCATTTCAGAATTATTTTTGAGATAGTTTTAATGGCTTCTAGACCTTCTTTTAAAATGAGAAATCTCCTAAATGGAACCCCTTTTAGCAATGTCTACAACAGGCACTAAAACAAGGGGATGATATGAATAAAGAATTAAAGTGTCACTGATTTCTTCTTCTCCACTTTAGTCTGACTTCCCAGTCTCAGCCCAGTAAGGGATCTTTCCAAATGGGTTTTGATTTTTACAGGATGTTGCTGACCAGTCACCAAACAATGTAATGGAGTCCCATGGTCCTCGGCCCTCTGCCAAATATGATTCAAATAGCAATCAGTGACACAGGGTTGCATCTGTGCTTGGTGCACAAACCCTGATAGTGTAGACATAGCACCAGTCACAACATCACCAATCACTAAAGGAAGCTTGTTTATTAATTGCTTCATTTCTCAAGATCCTTATATCACAAGTGGGTACTGACCTTGACTGATCTATTTCCCGCAGTAAAACAAAACAAAAAGTCTAATTATTGTTCATTTGACTTTTCTATATAACTCAAAACTATCTTCTTACTAGGTCATCTTGATGAGCGGAAAGTTATGGAAGCATAATTGCGGTCAGTGTATTTAGACAATATGTATGATTTAAGCTTTGTTTTGCAGAGGAAAAATGCTTTTCAGATTATCACATGTGCTACATTTCCTAGAATTATATCAGTTTGGTCACATTCCAGAGAATATGGAGAGAATATGAATGTACTTTAGGAGAATCTCTTGAAATGAATACTTCTTAGTGATACCACCGTATGATCTTACTTCTTTAAGTCTCTTTTATTTTTAAAATTGATATTTAACTTTTCTTCTTTGTAAAAATTTCATCGGAATATTTTATGTGATCTTAGTGATTGGATACATAGACATTCTTTAGATAGGGGTCCCTAATCCCTGGGCTCCAGACAGGTATCGGTCTGTCACCTGTTAAGAACAGGGCTGCACAGCAGGAGGTGAGTGGCCGGTGAGGCACCATTACTGCCTGAACTCTGCCTCCTGTCAGATCAACAGTAGCATTAGATCCTCATAGAAGTGTGAACCCTATTGTGAACTATGCATGTGAGGGATCTATGTTGCGTGCTCCTTACGAGAATCTAACTAATGCTTGATGATCTGAGGTGGAATGGTTTCATCCTGAAACCACCTCACCATCTCTCACCCTTGTCCCACCACCTGCATCCTATGGAAAAATTGTCTTCCATGAAATCAGTCCCTGGTGCCAAACAGTTTGGGGACCACTGGTTTACACGAGCCCTCACAGAATAAATATAGCAACAATCACATTGCCTCTTATGGCTCAGAGGGAGCTTATTCCATTTCCCCAAAGCTTCAAAACGAAAAGTGGGTTCTTACTGTTGGATAATATGAACTGCTGTGGATTGAAATATGTCTCCTCAAAATTCATATATTGAAGCCCTAACCCCTAATGTTATGATATTTGAAGGTGGGGCCTTTGGTAGATAATTTGGTTTAGATGAGGTCATGAGCGTGAAGATCCCATAATAGGAATTGTGCCCTTATAAGAAGTGGAAGAGAGGCCAGAGCTCTTTCTCTCTTACATGTCAGACACAGTGATAAGGCAGTTATCTGCAAGTCAGAAAGAGAGCTGTCACCAGAACCCAAATTGGCTGTCAGCTTGATCTGGGACTTCCCAACCTCAGGAACTGTGAGAAATAAATTTCTGTTATTTAAGCTACTCAGTATGGCATTTTTAAAAATGGTAATCTGAACAGACTAATACATCAACATAGAAAGGAGTTCCATTGGTTATTTGTTCCATTGGTTATTTATTCTCTATTTTTGGCCTGACCCAGCCAGTTGTGTTGTTTCATCTGCATGAATGTGTTTAACCCCCTTATGAACCAAGGTGATGGTTCCTTATAGAATAGAACCCTCTGCCAAATTACATTTGGATCTTCAGCACTTCATTAAATGTTCCCCAAGAGATAGTTTACCACTTATTATTACTCTTTGTTTACAAAATGTCAGTCATTTAATTTATATTTAACAAATAATTGTTTAACATGGAAGTTTATTAATATTCCAAATTCTCAACTAAGTTTTAAATATTGACTTACCAATATCCATTGATTTCCAATTTTGTAGTTAAAATAACCAATAAGAAATTATTAACTTTTTATAACTATAGTTGTAACATTATCTACAATTATATATTTATTTTTGCTTTCCAATTACTTAATCTCAATCTCCAGATGAAAACACCTCTTTCTTAGTACCTAATTGTTCTATTCAAACCTAGTCTCTCCTATTAAGATATCTTAGCTAACATTATTTGCTCTAACAAAAATTAATGCATTCCCATTATTCTACAGTAATTTCATTTTTATGTTGCTTACGATAATTTTAATAAATTTTGATGAGCTGTTGAAGGAAATACTATCATTTGCCTAATTTTTAAAATATTTCTAGATTCCATTTAGTGGTATTTTAAGCTATTTTTATTTATAAAATCTCTTACATTAATCAGTTTACTGTGAAATTTATCATGTGACCTCTATTTTCAGCGGGTTCTTAATAAAATATTTTATATCTTTAATGCTTTATACACAAAATGATAGAAAGGAAATTTTTTTTTTTTTTTTTTGAGATGGAGTCTCGCTCTGTCGCCCAGGCTGGAGTGCAGTGGCGGGATCTCGGCTCACTGCAAGCTCCGCCTTCCAGGTTCACGTCATTCTCCTGCCTCAGCCTCCCAAGTAGCTGGGACTACAGGCGCCCGCCACTACGCCCGGCTAATTTTTTGTATTTTTAGTAGAGACGGGGTTTCACCGTTTTAGCCGGGATAGTCTCGATCTCCTGACCTCGTGATCCGCCCGCCTCGGCCTCCCAAAGTGCTGGGATTACAGGCGTGAGCCACCGCGCCCGGCCTAGAAAGGAAAATTTTTATAATATTGTTTAATTCAAATATCACTCACTTTAAGAGATTTTCTCTGATATTTTTCAACTGGATATGATCACTTTCTCTTTCAAAAGTGACAACTTTAGTTTGTATTTATTGCAGCATTTTCCATGGTTTATCTTAAAGTACTCACTTGAGTAATAGCTCTAGACTTCAGCAGATTATAACTTTTAGTGTATGATCCATTCTTTCTTAGTCATTTTTGCCTCCCTTTCATCCTTTCCTGGGTTTTTGAATAGTGTATATATTAATATTGCTGGTGGACTCTCATGAATACTTGATGTATTATTCCATTCTCATGCTGCTAATAAAGACATACCCGAGACTGGTTAATTTATAAAAGAAAGAAGTTCCATGGATACACAGTTCCACATAAACAGGGGGCCTCACAATCATGACAGAAGGCTAATGAGGAGCAAAGGCACATCTTACATGGTGGCAGGCAAGAAGCCAAAGTTGCTTCCACATTTTGGGTATCTTTACAGCAGCACCCCACTCCCAGTACCAATTTACTGTATTAGTCCATTCTCGTGCTGCTAATAAAGACATACCTGAGACTGGAATTGATAAAGGAAAGGGGTTTAATGGACTCGCAGTTCCACATGGCTGGGGAGGCCTCACAATCATGGCGGAAGGTGAATGAAGAGCAAAGGCATGACATATGGCAGCAGGCAAGAGGGCATGTGCAGCGAAACTTCCCTTTATAAAACCATCAGCTCTCATGAGACTTATTCACACTCATGAGACTTATTCATGAGAACAGCATGGGGAAAAAAAAACCCACTCCCATGATTCAATTACCTCCCACTGGGTCCCTCCCATAATACATACAGATTATTACAATTCAAGGTGAGATTTGGGTGGGGACACAAGGACAATCCATATCACCTGGGTGTTTTTTGATATTTCTGTTGTTGTTTTTTATTTTTTTATTTTTTTATTTTTTTTATTATACTTTAAGTTTTAGGGTACATGTGCACATTGTGCAGGTTAGTTACATATGTATACATGTGCCATGCTGGTGTGCTGCACCCACTAACTCATCATCTAGCATTAGGTATATCTCCCAATGCTATCCCTCCCCCCTCCCCCCACCCCACCACAGTCCCCAGAGTGTGATATTCCCCTTCCTGTGTCCATGTGATCTCATTGTTCAATTCCCACCTGTGAGTTAGAATATGCGGTGTTTGGTTTTTTGTTCTTGCGATAGTTTACTGAGAATGATGCTTTCCAATTTCATCCATGTCCCTACAAAGGACATGAACTCATCATTTTTTATGGCTGCATAGTATTCCATGTTGTATATGTGCCACATTTTCTTAATCCAGTCTATCATTGTTGGACATTTGGGTTGGTTCTAAGTCTTTGCTATTGTGAATAATGCTGCAATAAACATACATGTGCATGTGTCTTTATAGCAGCATGATTTATAGTTCTTTGGGTATATACCCAGTAATGGGATGGCTGGGTCAAATGGTATTTCTAGTTCTAGATCCCTGAGGAATCGCCACACTGACTTCCACAATGGTTGAACTAGTTTACAGTCCCACCAACAGTGTAAAAGTGTTCCAGAGTGAACAGGCAACCTACAAAATGGGAGAAAATTTTTGCAACCTACTCATCTGACAAAGGGCTAATATCCAGAATCTACAATGAACTCAAACAGATTTACAAGAAAAAAACAAACAACCCCATCAAAAAGTGGGCGAAGGACATGAACAGACATTTCTCAAAAGAAGACATTTATGCAGCCAAAAAACACATGAAAAAATGCTCATCATCCCTGGCCATCAGAGAAATGCAAATCAAAACCACAAAGAGATACCATCTCACACCAGTTAGAATGGCAATCATTAAAAAGTCAGGAAACAACAGGTGCTGGAGAGGATGTGGAGAAATAGGAACACTTTTACACTGTTTTTTATTTTTTATACAATGTAAGTGTCTTAGTGACTCTATCATTTAGATGGAAATTCAAGACCACTAAATCAGCAGAATGGTAGAGTTTACTAGCTGGTGATTTTGTCTGCTCCAAAAAAATATTTTATCTAAAGCACATTTTTGAGCTGCCTTTAATTTATAATAAATGTATCATATATGGATCCAAAGGTAAAAATCTCTCTCAAATAGAAATTAAAAGGCTTTATTTATTCTGATCACATTTCTTTATAATTTTACAGAGCATTTACCACCTCAGCCTGATATTTCCGGAATGAACCCTTAATCTTTTAAATTAGTTATCATATGACAGATACTTGAACTTTTTATTCTTCTGAAATACAGCTACACTATTGTATCTTTCCTAAGTTTTCAGGACCAAAAACAGCCGTTCTCTAGGTTTGAATGAAACATAAATAGCTAGATGTATTTCTGATTTACTTTTATCCTATATGTCTAGAAGGCAAGATCCCTGTTAGCCTTTCGGGGTAGAGCAATTCATTAAAATACGGCCTCAATTTTAACTAAGTAAAATTAAAAATACAGTGTCTTAATCATACTAGCCAGATTTGAAGGGTTCAAAAGTCACATGTGGTTATTGACTAACTTTTTGGATAGTATAGATATCAAATGTTTCCACCATCATAGAAAATTCTTTGGAACAACAGCAACAGTAGTTTACAGTTTATCTTTTATTTTACAGGAGTTTTCATAGATAGACACTTTACATGAGCTCCATCCAAACTTCTAAATTAAAAACAGACAGTTTGTTTGCACTGAAAAATTCATTTTCCCTTGTCATTTGTTTTTTAGTTGTAACATTTCTTTGACTGTTATACACCATTTTTGTGTCAAAATATAGATATTTTTTCCAATGCCTGACAGCTCTCTATTTTTTCTTTTTATCACTTGTTTTTAGTAATTTTATTATGATGTGTCTGGTGTGGTTATATACATATTTATTCTGCTTGAGGTTCATTGAGATTCTTAGATCTGTGGGATTATCATTTTTATCAAATTTGGAATATTTTGGCCATTAATTTTCTTGAATATTTTTCTACTAGCTCCTTGGAGACTCCAGATTTATATATGTTTAACGGCTTGACAGAGTTAAATATTAACTCACTGAGGCTCTGTATATTTTTTCAATGTTTTATCCCTATACTACATTTTACATATTCTCTATTTCTACAACTTCAAATTCACAAATTCGTTCTTCTGCAGTTTCATCACCATTCAGTGATTTAAAAAAAAGTTTTAGATATTACAGTTTTTATCTTTAAAAGTCCCATTTGATTCATTTTTTAACATCTTTAATGTCTCTTCTGGTCATGGGTCATATTTCAATTCTTAAGATCTGTAGGAGTTTTTGTGTGATGGTGAAAATAGTGTATTTTATGTGATTGAATGACTTCTATTTTCTCTTTTCTTTTTTCTTTTTTTTTTTTTTTTTTTTTTGAGACAGAGCCTCACTTTGTCACTAGAATGCAGTGGGGCACTTTCTGCTCACTGCAACCTCTGACTCCCAACTTCAAGCAATTCTTCTGCCTCAGCCTTCCGAGTAGCTGGGATTTACAGGTGTGCACCACCACACTTGGCTAATTTTTTTGTATTTTTAGTGGAGATGGGGTTTCACCATGTTGGCCAGGCTAGTCTCAAACTCCTGACCTCAAGCCATCTGCCCACCTCAGCCTCCCAAAGTGCAGGGATTACAGGCGTGAACTACCACACCTGGCCCAATTATTGTTTTTAAAGAAGTGTTATACTTTTCTTTGACAGACATTTGGGTTGTTTCTGGTTTAGTTGGATCATCTTAAGCCTTGTTTTCAACTTTTGCTAGGGTGGTCACAGAATACCTTTACCTATTGGAATCTTTAATCTCCATTACTAAGGCTCACCCTTCTGATGCCTAAATTTAATTCTCCAGGTAGTCAATTTGGACTCTGCACTGCTGCTGGTAGGAACTTGAATGATTCTTGGCCTTCTGCAGTTCTTGGAATCATTCAGTTCACAAGTTTGCAATAACTTCTTGCCCAGCCTCGTGAAATTATAGCGTTTGCATACATGACTTAGAAATCAGCATAGGTTCAAAGGACTTTAAAGCAGATTTCTAGAGTTCTTTGTCTGCATAGCTCTCTTGTCTCAAGAAACCTGTCACACAAATTCCAACTGCCCCAGATGCTCTGAACTCTGATCTGTATCTCCTCAACTCAGTAGGGTCACTGTCTCAGTTTGCAATATCTTCCCCACTCCACGGACACTGCTCTAGACCTGAAATATGTTTTACAGGCAGAAAGCTTGGCTGTCCTATGTTTTACTTTCCTTGTCTCTTCTTTCTCAGATGTAATGGCTCTGTACTGCCTGTAGTTTAATGTCTTAAAAACAGTTGCTTCATCTATATTTCCCTGGTTTTCTATTTCTTTGAGTCAGGAGGGTTAATTTAGTCACTGTTACTCCATCGTGGCTGAAAGTGGAAGTCTTTCTTCAACTGATGTAAAAGTTTATGTAATAGAAAAGATATTAAACTATGAATTGAGGCCTAACTTTTAGAGAATGTTGAAATGACAGAATACAATACTACAACAAAACTTACTCTTATAAACACTGATAGAAACTGACAAGTCGGTGGTTGTGAAGAAAATTAGATATATAGATATGTATAGATTTTAAGGTAAGTAAGAGTTATTAATTAGAATTACACAGTTGTCAGTTTGGAGGTACAGGTATGAGTGTCATCTACACAGAATAAAAGAACAGAGCAGAGTCCAAGATAGCATGTTGACATTCACAGTGAGGATTCAGAGTACAGCTGTACCCTCGAATTAAATTTGACCAAGGGTTATCAATGGCAGACCACCGGGCTCTGTAAACCACAGGTCTGATCTAATCTAGCAATTCTTGTGTTTGCATTTTAACCAATGTATATCTGTCCAGGAAATAAAATGTCAACTATAAGAATTGTTTACCCTTGAAAATAACTCTATGGTGTTTCTAAAAATATATGTCACATGAGATCACAAACAAAGTAGTATGCTTTCTGTGGATTGTATTACTGGTGTTGGCTTGGAATGGTAAGAAAGGAAACTGACTCTAAATTACCTATCTTGATTTTTCTTGTTTCATTAATTCTCAGAGCATTTGTCTTGAGATATACAATATCTCAAATTGCAAGATAAAAAAATATATATCAACTTTTCTTTCTTCAACTCTACTTTGAATAATTCATAAAGGAACCACTTAAAGGTAGCTAATCTGAATCAATACAAGGCAGTGTTATAATCTTTGTTTCTAATGGTGTTTTACTCTTAATTTTTATGTAAATAACTGAATGTATTGTTTATTAAACTGATCTTCATTATAAGGAGATATTTATAATGTTGGCTGTCCAATATGAAGTAAAGCTTTAAAAATCCCAGATGTAATATTGAACAACTTAATTTGAAACATTTTATGCTACTTGGTTGCTCTTGATTTCAGGAGTATCTGTTTTAAATGCATAATAAGTACATTTTCAAGCATATCCAATTTACATGCCTTAAAGACTTCCACCGCCTTAATGCTTAATTTAGAAATATCATTTTAAATGATTCTTAAAAATCAGATGCACTTATTTTTGTAGCTGTAATATTTTAAGAGAGCCTTCATATAAAAATATAGTTGTCACTGACAAACTGTATCAATTAGCTAATGTTCAACAATGATCATCAATGTCAGGGACTGTTACCTTGTTGAAATTTTAGTTTAGCCTTAATGGTGTCTATAAATTAATAGGTACTGTAAATGATGCATGACAAAAAATGGGTTGTTAGCAAATGTTGTGGAAGGAAGAAAGGAAGGAAAGAAGGGAAGGAAGGAAGGAAGGAATTTTCAAGGCCTTAAGAATAAATCTATATGTGCTGGAATACTTAGAAATAAAAGTTTTGTTTAATTTAATTAAACACAGATATTCTACCAAGCTCACAAAATGATTTTTAAAAATACTAGCAATCATTAGGCAACATAGGAGCCTTTAGTTAAGTGAATTAGAAAGTGAAGTTAAGAATAAAATTTCAACAGTTACCTAATCTACTAATTTGCTGATCATTGATGAACACTGGCTCTTATGTTTTGTTTTGTTTTGTGTTTTTATGAAGCTGACATGTACTATTGGTTCAAATAAATAGCATATATAGTATTCTGGCTAAGTCGCTTATTTTTAAAATTGTGGTTTTCTTATGTTAAATTTTTGAATTGAATTTCTAATACCATTTTTCCTTTTCCACAGCCTTTAATGGAACAAATTGTTAGTTTCTGACAGAAGGGTTCTGATGTTGAAATAGACAGTATGTCTACCTATTACAGAAATATAGAAATAAAAATGCATGTACTCAAACAGAAGATGGAGGTTACATTTCTTTATTACATCTATCATCAGACCTTAGCCATGTTGGATTTTTGGTTGCTGTTGATAGAATAAGGCAGATTTTCCTCAAACTTTCTTTTGCAAAATAGTTAGACTTAAATATAAAAACAACTGCAAAATATTCAGTCATTAACAAATCAAGAATCTTTATAACTGAATGTTAAGTGATTATGTTTTTTCTACTGTATTTAGCAATGCAATACTTACCTTTTATATTACTAAATATATTAATTTTATTCTCAAGAAAATCATTAATACTTAGGGATTGGAGGTTTCCTGAGTGTAATATTGAAAAACTGTTAAAAAGCCACTGATACCCATTCGATCTAATGATTTACCTTTTGATTATTTGTTTTGTTTGTTTGTTTGTTTGTTTAAGGATTAAAGCAAGGAGAGCCAATCATGACTGGCAAAACACAGACCAGCAACGTCACCAATAAGAATGACCCCAAGTCCATCAACTCCCGTGTTTTCATCGGCAATCTAAATACGGCAATTGTCAAGAAAGTTGACATTGAAGCCATTTTTTCAAAGTATGGAAAAATAGTTGGATGTTCCGTTCACAAAGGTTATGCATTTGTACAGTACATGAGTGAGCGACATGCAAGAGCTGCAGTGGCTGGAGAAAATGCCAGAGTCATCGCCGGCCAACCACTTGGTAAGTCATGCTCAGACATGGATCTCACGTTATTGTTCATATATCTGGAAATTGTTTTATTTCACAAAACCCAACACCACTGTTGTTTCTACCTCTTCTTTAACCAATTAGAGTGATTTTATATTTATTATTTATATTTTTTCATCCTCATATTGTTTTGTATATAGGTATCTTATTTTCTGTACAAATTTATAAATTTGAGATCAAGGCTACTTTGCAATACTTATTACCTCCACCCATCCTAACACAGCCAGGCAAATAATAAATATGCATCAGGTTTAACTTTATTTGACTTGAGATAGCATCTGTCTTCCAGGAAACACTATCCTATGCAAAAAATAACTTCACTTGTCATACTTATAGCATTTGATCTGAGCCTAATGCATTTTCCTCATTTCCTATGTTTTGGAGGAGAAGGGGTAGAAAATAGCGAAAGAAAGTAAATTTTTAGAATGGGGAAAGGAATATAATTCACATTTTAAAAATCTAGTTAAGGATTTTGTGTATTATACCTGTATAATCATGCATAATAATCAGATTTCTGTCTAATGTTCAAGAAATAATATAGTTTTTTTCAAAGAAAGGAAAACAATGCAGTCTGAAATAAAAAGACTTGGAAAAATATTTTATAATTAATGTGTAGATAAAAATCAAAATTAGATAATTATTTAGATGTTTTTCTACCTTAGGAAAAAAATATGGTTAATATATTAATGATTCCTCAATTTATGTTTCTTGTTCTGTCTAGATTAATATATCAAACTCATTGTACAGCATCTTCTCATGGATACTCAAAAGGCATTTCAGCTTCATATGCCCAGAACAAAACCCATGATTTTCCATACCCTCAACCTTCTCCACTCCCAAATTTCCTCATCACAATAAAGGGAACCCCCAATTTATCCAGTTTAAAAAAAAAAAAAAACTTTGATTCTTAACTTCCCCCATCATCAAGTTCGCTTGTCAATATATTACAAATATAGTCCAAACCCAATCTCCTTTTAAATGTGTGCTGAAGGCCATCTCATACAGCCCATGGTTGTATCTCAGGGGCACTGAAATAACTCCCTAGTTGGTCCGCTTCTTTTTACTCTTGCCAGAGTGTCTTTTAAAAACATTGATCAGATTATGTTCTTAACCTGCTTTTAAACCTCTAATGCCTTTCTCATACAGAATAAGATTCACATTCTATACCATACCTACAATGCCCTATACTGCCACATCTTCAATTCTATCTCCTTATTCTCTCTCCCTTCTTGAACCACTCTAGTAATGCTGGCTGCCTTGATAATGCCTCAAGCATTCCAAGATTGTTCCTACTTCAGAGGCTTTGTATTTGCTATTCCCTCTGCTCAGACAACAGGTCTTTGCTAATTATTTGCTCCTTTCTTTAGAGTGTGCTGTGCTAAAAATTTACCTCCAGTGAGAGGCCTTTACTGACCAGCCTATCTAAAATAGAATAGTCATCTTCCTCCTTCTTTCACTGTCTATTCTATTACTGTGTGTTAATTTTTTTCATAGCACCTATCAGAATCTGGATTACATAGTTCAATTTATAATCTTACCTGTGTCATGACCACAAATATAAAGATGAAGAAGCATACAAAAGAAGCAAGTTAAAAGTATAGAGAAATCAAGCTAGGAGAGTGTTAAGAATATTGTGAATATTATCAAATGATATAACACAATTAAAACTATTTGGGAAGGTATGAATTCATTAAAATGTAGGAGAAGTCAGAGGGAATAGTCTTGAGGGAAAAAAGCAAAAGATGTTTTGGGTAAGTGCCTGATATTTAACTGCAAACAAATCACTATCAGATAGGAATATAGTTTTTATTTACATTGGTCCCATCGAACTTTCTATATTTTAAAGAAAGGAAAGAAAGGAAGTGCTTTCCAACAGACATTGGTATATTTTCCACTTGTCTTTTTGTTTTCCTTAATGTCTCCATTCTGCTTGCTTACTTTGATATGGGAATTTTCTGACATTTGTGTTTTCCTTTTTAAGTTGAAAGTCTTAATTCAGGGCCATATCCCAGCAGATTTCAGGGCAAGCTCTATTTACTGTCTGTATCCTGATTGTTATGAAACTAACAAATACTTGAGGAAATGCATTTAATTATTTTTGTTGTTTGAAAAATTAATTATCAGTTTAAGATCAATTAAAAGCCTGATTCACTTTTTAATGAGCTACAGCTAATTTTCTGGAGTTCTGTTTCCTATCACTACTCAGTTGATTGCTGTCTTTTTGAGAAGAATGCAATGGGCAAAGATAAATACCACACTAAAAATGTAGTGCCTTACATGCACAAACCCAAGGAAAAAAATGATGACACCAAATTGCTTTGCTTTGAGAGGCACAAAGTTAAATTGTACCTCTTCTAAGATACCATTTCTCATTCTCAGTCATTCCTCTTAGATCCTCTCTTAGTTTTGTCCTCAGGTAAATCTTTAGAGCATATATCCTAATCATCTATAATCACACTTTGTGCCTGAAACCAAGTCTTAGACTTTATTTCTTTAGTTCAAATCTCGTCTTTCACTACCTCTGTCCAAGCTGAATGACTTCATACAAAGCAAGTACATTAAAATTTATCTAACAACTTTGCTTTTCAGGTCAAGTGCTTGAATATACCCAGCGGTTTTTTTGTTTGTTTGTTTGTTTTTTACTATGTTGCTAGAAACTCAGGCAAAGACATGACTTCCAATTGTTCCCTATAGAAGTTAGTTCATCCATCAGGTCCCGAAGAAGACCCTCAGTTTGTAGGATGTATATACATTTCTAGCTTTAAGTATTATACCTTTGTTTTTGATGATTTGAGCAAAACTTAGGTTCAAGTATATTAATCACTTGCTTCTTGAGTTTTTTGATTCCCAAGTAAACTCTTTCTAATCTGCCCTCCAACAAACCCCGGCCAGTTCTTAATATGAAGTGCATTTTTATGGATGAAATAATAGGCTATTATTATATGAAGTTATTATTAGTGTCAGGTACCACGACCTATCTAAGCATTCTCCTTTCTCTTAAGAGTGAGAAGGAAATTAATATTGATTAGATCATGCACTGCATTAGTACTTTACCTTTATTACCTTATTTGATCTCAAATAATGCATATTTGTACATCATTTTCTGAAAAGGAACAATCTTTTATTTACTGCATGTTTAAAATATTTATATATGATTTAGAGATTAAAAATTAAACATCAGTAGTACCAGGAAAAATTAAACACTCTAATGTCAGTTCTTAAAGTTTTATGAAGACTATAGATAACTTGGCCATAATTTAATTTACTTTCTTATACATTTCCAGTTGTTTGGCACGTCTTTCGCACCATGATAGAGGGTATCCATGTTTATTCTTAGCTTCTGTCTTTGATATATAATAGAAGACTGCTAAAACCTCTGTGGAAAAACAAAAAAGATTGCATTTTGACTCATATTACTTAGGGATTCCTAAAATGTCAGAATCTATCTATGAAATTATTCATTATTCAGAATTTTTTTAAATCACAATTCCTATAATGTAAAAATCCTCATAAAACTTTACGTCTATATTTGGTTATTTAATTGATTTTAATACAATTTAAATATAAGCAGGTGAAATTTAACATATCCTCTTAATATTTAATTGAGTTTGAATTCTAAGTTTGTTAATATTGGAAATATTTATTGCATTTTTCAATCTAAGTGTAGTCATTAGAACTTTTTTCCTCAAACACATTATATGCGAGATAAAAACATTTTAAATGCTTAATAGAGACAATTTTTATGAGTAGTCACATACGAAGTGTCCTTTTACACAAAATGTTATGCAGAGGTTAGAGACTAAGACTAGACAGTGCCAATTTTATGTATCTATTGATTACATTGGCTTGATTACAGACATGCTATAAATAAACATTTGCAATGTCTTTCTTTATATTCGGATTATTTTACTGTTACAATGCTTGTAAAAGATACAATTTATGAACTTGAGAAGCCAGCTGTGGATAGTAGGAGGAACCAAACACTGAAAAATAATTTATCTAGAGCAATCATTTTTGTTCTGAAACCCATATGCAGGCCCCTGTCCTTAAGAAGCAAAGTGTGCTTTAGGAAAAGAATATATAAAGCAGAGAATTAAATTAATTGTATCACATTGTAAGTGTCTTGCAAATGCAGAAAGAATTCAAAGTGGGAACATGATGAATAGGGATGGTAAATTTTAAAGTAAATATGGTGAATATACTTAACTAGATCCTGAAGGAAGTAATGGAATTGTCTTAGTAGAGAGGAAGATGTTTGAGAGAGATATAAGAACAAAGAAGAGAACATTCAAATGCTTGTAACAATTCCCGTCAAGCATGTGCTGAGAGCAATGGATTTCAAATGTCTTTTCATCCCCAACTGTTTTGCATCCAGAGTGATCTTTTCAAAATGCAAATCTAATCATGTCACTGTCTTTTAAAACTTTCAGGGATTTCTCATTGTTCTCAGAAAAAAGAATGAAACCTTTGCTGTGGGCTACAAGTTTCTACCTCATTTGTTTCTTTGTCACCTGCAGACTCACATCATAGCCCCATCAGCCTTGCTTAGAGCTACAACTACATTCACTTCTTTCAGTTCTTTGAACAACTTGTGTTCTATCGCCCAACAGGGCCTGTGCACATGCTATCTTGACTGCTCAGAAAGTTCTTCCCTATGAAGCTCTGCACCACCTCACCCTACTTCCCCACTTAATCCCTTTTGCCTGGCTAATCATTCTTCAGATCTCAAATGAAATTTCAGTACTTTAGTGAAACCTACTTGTGTCCCTCAAAGCTAGCTGGAGTGTTTTACTTCACTTTCTAGCAAGTATCTTCTTTTCAATTGTATTTTTATATTTATTATTTTGTAATTGATATCTGTCCCTTCTCCCTCTAAGCTATAAGTTTTTTAGGGCACGGAATATATATGTTTTTACTCATCTTCTTAGCACCTAACAAAATGCTAACACTTCCATGGCAAATGCTCAGTGAGGATGTACTGGATGAATGATTGGATAGATGGTTAGTAGGAGGAATGGATGGACTTGGCTAAAGGGGTCCCTCACATGGAAAAGAGCACCACAGGAAGAAGACAAAGAAGCAGGAGGAGGAGAAATAAGAAGAGAACAGGGAGAAGAAGGAAGGAGAAGTGGCAATTACAAGTTCCCCAGAAAGTGAGGCGATATAGTTGGGGTTGCTGCTAAGCGAAGGCAAAGTGATCATGATCAGCTTGCTAAGGAGACTAGGTATTTAATCTTGAAATTCTTCAACAGACATTCCAAAGGTAACTGTTTCGTAGGCCTGATTTCAGTTTTTTATAAATATAATCCAATCTTTAATAAGCATGAAATATTAACACATATATACTTTATTCAAAAGTTAGAGTGAAGGATATATTGGTTTGAAGAAAGATTTCTATTCATGAAAAACTTCCTACACATTCCTTAAAATGTCATCCTTTCATAGTTTTCTCTTATTAATAGCTGGATATTTGCATGGCACTTCATCATTGTCAAAGTTCTTTCATGCACATATTATCTTCTTTGATTTTCACAACAATGCCAATAAATAATATTAGTATTTACGCCCATTCTGCTGGTTAGGAGCCAAAGCACAGAGAAATGAACTTAGTCTATATCACACAAATGGTGGTGCAAGATTGTTGGCTCACATTTTCTGACCGTAATTATTTTTACTATTTCTCTTTCCAGAAATTTATTCCATTTCAGCAGAGTGATCATCAACTCTGTCATCCAAACAGTAATACTTTTGAGAGTAAAAAGTTACTCTCATTGATTTTGCTTTGTTTGTGGAGCCTGTCCTGTGCATGGTAGGATGTTAGTAGCATCCCTGCCTTTTTTTTTTTTTTTGAGACGGAGTCTCGCTCTGTCGCCCAGGCTGGAGTGCAGTGGCGCTGTCTCGGCTCACTGCAAGCTCCGCCTCCTGGGTTCACGCCATTCTCCTGCCTCAGCCTCCTGAGTAGCTGGAGCTACAGGTGCCTGCCACCACGCCCGGCTAATTATTTTATTTTATTTTATTTTATTTTATTTTATTTTATTTTTTGTATTTTTAGTAGAGATGGGTTTTTCACCGTGTTAGCCAGGACGGTCTTGATCTCCTGGCCTCGTGATCCGCCCACCTCGGCCTCCCAAAGTGCTGGATTACAGGCGTGAGCCACCGCGCCCGGCCGCATCCCTGACTTCTACCTGCAAGATACCTATAGTACCCCTTCCAAATAGTGACAGCCAAAAATTGTCTCCATGTTACCAAATGTCTCCTGGGAGGCAAAATCACTCCAGTTAAGAATTACTGTTGTAGGGTAATCATACCAAAATAAACTCCATTAATTTTCAGAATTGTTCTAATGGTCTTAGGATAAACTATATTAAAACAATGCTTTGAATTATTTTGACAGTAACTCATAATTTATAATAAGAATGTATCTTTTCCAATTGTTCAGGAAATAAAACTCAGTAAGTGCGTTTCAGGGCAATTTTAATGTATTCATGACCATAGCTTACCCACTTATATCACCAGTTTGTTACAAAGCCTTCTGTCTCTTCACATCTTTAATACACTGACTTTTAGAGGTGTGATTTTTCTCCGTTAGATCCCTCCATTCAAACATGTCTAATCGCCACTAGAAATGATGAAGAAAAAGAAAGTATCATGGAAGAGTTAAGTGAAAAATACGGAGTACCAAGATTACTCAGAGGCTCAGGACGATCTTCAAATATATATTATTCAACAACAACACTAAAAACTTGTTAAGACAAATACAGAATTGTAGTATCCCTAGTTGATGTTGTCTCTAACAAATACATTAGTTTTACCAAGCATCCATCCTATTTCACTTTGGTAAGTATTATTCTTCTGCATATGCCTCCAGCTTCAAATTAGATGGAGTATCTGAGCATCTAGCAAGGACAGATTGACAGACAGCCTGGGGTGAAATGAGTATGGATAATCATTTTTGACAAAGTAGTCTATCACAGAACCCCTAAAGAAGCACATGAACCTTATGGAGATTTCTAAGTCATGAAAAATCTTGTAGAAAACATCCAAAGAATGCTGCAGGTAATAAATAGCACTTTCAGCAATGCACCATTATGTAATTCTATTACCATTTGGACTGAGAAAAAAGAAGATAATTTTTAGCTTTTGCCTCAGTGTCTAAAGAAGATATTGTTATCATAATTTCTTAACTTGATAGGTTAACAAAACTTCCACTCTCGAAGATACAAATCAAAAGTTAGTGCTTCAGCTACTTTAAATATTCGCTGCAATAAGCATACAAAAATATTTGAATATGTAAATCTTGGAATTTTTCTTAACAACCTTTGAAACTATTCATCATTCTAGCTTTTTCCACTAACTAAACGTTCAACTCATTCCTATATTTTAAACATCCAATTTTCCTACCATATTTTATGTTATACAGATTATGCAAAGTAGTTCATCAATTGCAGAATGCTATGTAGAGATGGCTACTATATTTGTTTTAAAAACTCTATTCAGGGTGTATACGTGCACATGTACCCTAGAACTTAAAGTATAATAAATAAATATATATATTAAAAAAAAAAAAAAAAACTCTATTCACGGGCCGGGCGCAGTGGCTCACACCTATAATCTCAGCACTTTGAGAGGCCGAGACAAGCTGATCGCTTGAGCCCAGCAGTTTCAGACCTGCTTGGGCAACATGGCAAAACCCCATCTCTGCAAAAAATACAAAAATTAGCTGGGCTTGGTGGCATGCACCTGTGATCTTAGCTATTCAGGAAGCTGAGGTGGGAGAATCACCTGAGCCCGGGAAATTGAGGTAGCGGGCTACAGTGAGCTGTGATCATGCCACTGCACTCCAGCCTCAGTGAAAGTGAAATCCTGTCTCAAAAAAAAAAAAAAAAAGTCTGTTCACAAGGCTGTGGAGGGACTTAAATGGTATACAAATGAGTGGGAGTGTGAAAAATTACTTACGAGATGGTATTCAGTACAAATCACTTTTGTTTCATCTTTTCTGAGATTCATAGAAATATATTGCCATCCTGTATCAGTGGCTTGTAGTAATGTTTTTTATTTATATATCATTTTTTCCTCATCAACCTTCTCAAAGAAGATCAAGGTACACTTCATTACATTTTTAAAAAATTATCTTTCCAGCATCCTTCAAGGAAGTTAGATAGTAGATTTAATTAAACTCATTTTACAAATAAGGGGAATTCTATAATGTACTTAAAGAGAGCAGGTTTTATGAAAACAAAAATCTCAGAAATTTCTTCCAATATTGTGCATAATTACTGTAAGTTTCCTTAATTCTACTTCCAAGGTTTGTATGTATGTATGTATAAATCTGGTAATTGTTTAAGAAGTCTTCATCCTCATCTTTCACTGTCATCAATTAATAAGTAATAAAAACAATACTATGTGGGTTATAAAGCACAACAGACATTTAAAGTTTTCAGTAATTAAACAGAGCTACTTAAAATGCTGTAAACAAATGCTAATTAGCAAGCCTCCACGATAGAGTGAATTGTAGAACTAACGGTCTGTCAGCCAGGGAGATACATGGCCCCACATATGATAGAAAGCCCGGGGGATTTGCTTTCTATTTCTAAAATTGCTTATTTGACTCAATCACTGAACCTAAATTAGCGAAAGCAGTGGTAGAGACTGTAAATAATTTTTTTCATTAAAACTATCATTGGAAACTTCTGAGCAACATTTAAAGATTGTATTAGTTCTAACTTGCTTGTTGTTACTTAATTCCTACTACAAAGCTAAATAATATATAAAATAAATAGAAAAAATCAGTGTCTCAAGTTATCCTTTAATGTGGGGAATAAAATGTCTGAAAGTCATTTATGAACTAATTTTAGAATGCTCTACTACTGGAAATATTTATTCTTTCAACACTACATTTGTTGTTTTAGATGCTTGCCAACATATATGTTAAATTCTAAAAGAGAATAAAAACATAGTGCCTCCACCAAAATGAAATAACATAAAATATAAAGTAAAATAATAAAACAAAATAGATTACAGCTCTTGGAAAATATTCTAATTGTGGAGTAAAATATTTATACATAAGATAACATGCAGATGAAGATGATAAATACAAGATAAAGCATGATGTAATACAGATCAAATACCATAAAAGGATGAAGTATTGTAAATTTATTTAAGAAAGGCTTATGCGCCAGTTGTGGAGTAAAATGTTCACCTATAAAACAACACACAATAGGAAGTGGGAAACTCAAGGCATTACGTAACACACATCAAGTGCTACCGGAATTTTAAATAAAAAGTATTATAAGGTTGTTTGGAAATGTGGATTATAATAAGGCCTGTTAGGAAATGTGGATTTGAATTTAACTGTTACTCTAAAATATGTGGCAAACAAATTGAGTATAATCATGAAGAAAATCTTTATAGGCTGCAATTCTTAAGTAATTTTAATTGGAACCAAAACACAGAATTGAAATATAGCTTGCAATGTTTGTGAAAGTTGGTGGTTTCGAGTTAGGCTCAGGACTCACGATTCCTATGTTAGAATCCTAGCTCTCCACTTAGGACATGTGGAACTTTGGACAAGTTACTAAAGGAGCAGCTGCTGTTGTCTTGTCTGTAAAATGTAGGTATCAGAATAGGGCCCACCTCATAGAGTTGTGAAGATTAAATGCATCAATATGTGTAAAATGGTTAAAAACATTTCCTGGGACATACAAAGTGATGTAAAAACCTAAAAGAAGGCAAAAGGGCTAGATATCCAATTAAGTCCTACTGTTTAATGCCTTCTAAAAATGAATTTAGAAAACTGGAGAAACAGGTCCTAGATCTTTAGCTTTTTGAAGGTGTTGGTCGTGTTACAAGAATTTATGTTCTCTGGCTCTAATTTTCTCATTTGTGAGGAAGCCATGGGACTAGGTGATCAGTAAGATCCCAAAAAAGACCAAATAGTCATGATGGTTTCTGCTTTTTCTGTCTTGTTGAAAAAAATCTTTGCCTCTTCTTTGGCCATAAAGACATGCTTCTGTGTTTCCTTGTAAGGGACTTTTGTATTGGTTTTACTATTCACATTTAGACTTTACTACCTCTGGAATTGAATTTTTTGGTATGGTATTTGATAGTGAAAAAGATTCACTCATTTCCATGTGAATATCAAGTAATCCCACAGGATTTGTTGAAGAGACTCTTGTTTTTTAACTGCCCTGAAATGTCTCTCTGAATATATATTAAGTGATCAAGTATACATATATATATATATATATATGTATATATATATATATATATATATGTATATATATGTGTGTGTGTGTGTGTGTGTGTACATGCACAGACATACACACACACACACATGCACATTTTAATTTACATGTAATTAAACGTATGCTGCAAATATGATATTGTAAATAATACTGATAAATACTGTAAATGACACCATTTTGGACATATTTCCTAATTGTTTATTCCCGGTCTATTTATTGATGTATTTATGACCTTCTAAAATCACGTATTAATTTTAAGCTTACTCTAGATTTTTAAACCAGTGTATGTGTACAACAATGTCTCTTGCAAAAAATTGAGTTTTATTTATTATCTTCCAATACGTACTCATTTCTTTCCTTGCTTATTCTAGAATAATATTGAAGAGCAATCATGATGGTAGGTAGCTTTGTCTCATTACGTGAGAAACCTGTTAATATTTTGTTATTATTGTTTATCATAGGATTTGTGTGTGTGTGTGTGTGTGTGTGTATGTGTAAACTTTCTATTAAATTAAGGAAGTTATCTTCTATTTCTAGTTGGCTAACAACTTTTACCAGGAAATCATGATGAATTTTATCAAGTATATTTCATGCACGCATTCAAATGAATTTTTATTTTCCCTTTTATTCTGTTAGTGTGATGAACTACAACAATTGATCTTTGATTGTGAAATCAGTCTCATACTTCTGGAATCAACCCATCATGATAAAAAAAAGTGTTGTCTTGTGTGTTTTTTTTTAACCTCTATGTTCATGATAAACTATTGGCTTATAATATTTTTTCTGGTTATGTCCATGCCATTTGTACTGTCGAGGAGATGCTGGCCTCATAGAACAAACTAGGAAGCATTCCTACTTTTCCTGTTATCTGGAAGAATCTGCATGTGATTGGTAACATTTCATAACATTTGGATAATCCATCAATGATGCCAATTGGGTCTGGAATATTTTGTGGAACTATCTTTAATACAGATCTAATTGCCTTCATTGAAAAGTACTATTGAGATTTTTAAAATATTTTCTTGTGTCAGTTATGGAAAAATGAGTTTTCAAAAAAAAGTGTACATTTGATACACATTATCAAATATATTAGCATAAGATTAAGAACTTTAAGCTATGTCTTTTTGTTTTTTTAATCAGAATAGTGATAATTTTTCCCTTACCTCTTTCATTTTAAGTCAGATTAGTCATCTATTCAAACACCCAAATTATGGCTTTGTGTATTTTCTCTATGGCATGTTTGTTTTTGCTTCATTACTCTGGAATAATATCCTTTTTTTTTTCTTCTACACTTTGTGGGTTTAATTTGCCACTCTTTTCCTAACTTCATGAATGAAGACATAGATCATTGATTTTTAGCTTCTCATGTTTTCTAAAACAGCATATAAGTCTGTAATTCTCTCTGAGCACAGTCTCAGCCTCATCCCACATGTTCTAGTATGTCATATTTTCAGAATCATTTAGTTGATAAATATTTTCTAGTTCATGTCTATATTTCTTCTTTGACCATGGGTTATTGAGAGGTTTGTTACTGACATTATAATTTTAAAAATTGATTTTAGCTTAATTTCACTGTAACCAGAAAATAATATATAATAAAATTAATTAAAATTCAATGAGAACTTTTAAATAGCCCTAGATATGGTCAGTTTTAGTTAGTGTTCTATATGCAGTTGACACACAGTACATATATTCTATTGTTGTTCTGGGTATCCTTCTTTATATGTCAAACAGGCAAAAATCGCTAACTGAATTACTCTGACCTTCCGCATCGTTACTGATTTTTGTCCTCTTTTCCATCAGTTATTAATAGATGTGAATTACGATTATGGATCTTTCTGTTTATCTTCTTAGTTCTTTATTTTGTTTTATATATTTGAAGCAATATTTAGTAAATACAAACTTGGAATTGGTGTATCTTCCTAATGTAGTCATCCTTTCATATAGTATGATATATCTATATCTTTAGTAATTATTTCTGTCTTAGAGAAAAGCTTGGTTTAATCTTAATATTCCTTAACTCACTTCCTCTTGATTTGTGTTTGTATGGTATATCATTTTTCATCCGTTTTAATTTCAGTGATCCTGTGTCTTAATATTTAAAGTGTTCTTGCAAGGAACATAGAATCTTCCAAATACAGTAGGACAACCTTTGTTTTTTTAATTCTAATAACCTATTCACATTTAATTGCGGTTATATTTGAATTTGTGTCTACAAGTTTGCTGTTTTTTAAATTTGTTCCATGTACTGCATGTTCATTTGTGGCCATTTTTAGATTAATGTTTCTTTTATTGTTTTGCCGTTTCCACTCTGTTAGCTCCTAAGTTCTGTATACTTTACTGTATACATCTCAGCTTATACCATTTTACTTTTTTTATACATCATCCGTTTCCTCCTCAGTACCTGGATTGTTTTGAAGTAAATTCCAAATCTCAGATTACATCATTTAATCTGCAAATATTTCAGCATGCATGTGTGTATATGTATAATATATGTTTCAGCATATATGTATATATGTAAATACATACATTATAATTTCTTAAATAACCACAATATTATTATCTGATACGGTTTGGCTGTGCCCCCACCCAAATCTCATCTTGAATTGTAGTTCTCATAATCCCCATGTATTGTGAGGGGGACCATTTGGGAAGTAATTGAATCATGGGGGGCAGTTACCCTCATTATGTTCTCACAAGAACTGATGGTTTCATAAGGGGCTTTTCCCCCTTTTGCTTGCCACATCTTGCTGCCACCATGTGAGGAAGGCTGTGTTTGCTTTTCCTTCTGCCATGATTGTAAGTTTCCTGAGGCTTCCCCAGCCCTGAGGAACTGTGAATGAATTAAACATCTTTCCTTTATTAATTACCCAGTCTTGGATATTTCTTCATAGCAGCATGAGAATGGACTAATACATTATCTCACTGAATATAATTGCTGTAATCCCTTAGTGTAAATCTAGTAACAATCGTGTTTTCACAGTTCCCTCTCATAATCATTTAATTAATTTGTTTGAATTGAAATTCATAAAAGATACAGAGATTGAGATTCATTGACACGTCCCTTAAGTCTCTTAGTTTAAAAGCTCTCCTAATATATCCCACATCCCCTTGTATTTTATGTTGAAATACATTTTGACTCCATTGAAAGAACAAAATCATTTGTCCTATATAATTGTACAGGTCTACAGTTTGATTATTGCATCCTTCTGGTATCATTTAACTTGCTTCTCTGTGTTTCTTGTACTTCCTGGAAATTATTAATTATATCTAGAGGCTTGATTAGATTCAGGTGGAATTTTTTAAAGATTTATTCCTGGTGACTGTGAACTTCCATCAGAAGGTACATGTCTGATTTTCTCTCCTTTTTTGGTGCTAACAGCCAGTGAATATAAAATTCACTCCTGTCTTTTTTATTGTTTTTTTTTGCTGGAATTATTCTAAAAAGAGAAATATTTTTCATTACATATTTGATTACCATGAATTATGATTGTATAGAAAAATAAAGTAACTTACTATTTCCCCTTTATAGTAGTATTCAAAATAGTAAAGTGGTGGTGTATCACTTTACAAAATCTCACAAATCACCACTAAAGAACTTATTTATGTAACCAAATACCATCTGTTCCCCAAAAATCTATGGAAATAAAAAAAATAAAAAAAAACAACTTAGTAAAGTGGTTTCCTAGTATTTTCTAAAGACTAAAAATGAGTTTTAAAATATTCTTAATAATTTTATGAGCTCAGGGATTAAACATAGTAGATATATTTCAGTACCTTGCCATTATCTCAATTAATGGTCAAATTATTATGACTTTGGCTTTGACACCATATTTATGTTGGTTTCTGGGTCGTTTTGACATAACTCTAAGAGTCTTTGATAGTTTCCTTTATTTCTGATATGACAAAATGTTTCTGAGTCATAATTTCCTGCCCCATGTTGGGAATCAACCAGTTCTCTAAAATACTCTGGTATCATTTATTGGGGAATACTATTTAGATCCAATATTCTGGGTGCTAAGAAAGCTCATTAACCTCATCAATCTTACAGTGACATCGATCAGCATTGTCAGAAATATCACTTCTCAATGACACTATTATGACTGCTCATTTGCTTTATCCCACAATACACCTATAAGTCTCAGAAAAACAGTACCACCAGCACCAACATCATTATGATATCTGAAAAGAGTTTAATAATTTTTTATTTGAGGGCTGCAGAATATTCCAGAGAATATTCTGTTAGGTAAGAACAACAAAATTATTATGTTTTAAAGTCACTTGGAGTGGTTCTCCTCTGTGAGGTTATGTCACCAAGTAAATACACAGTTTTAATGTTTGATTATTATACTTGCTTTTCTTTAATTTTTTACAACCATATATGATACTTACACGATTCCAAAATCAAATTAAAAATATATATATTCAAAGAAATTTAGCTTTTTTTCCCTCTGCTATCCTCTCTCTCTTCCCACTTGTAAACTTTTATTTTTTTAAAAATCTAATCTATTTTTCTATCTACATACTCTCCATTTTAGATAAATCATGATGTGTTAAACATACTTTTATCCATGTCAGATTTTTTATTTGTCTTTTCTTGTAAAAATTTCATATCTTTTGGAGATACTCTCTTTTTATCATTGCATAGTATTCTATTGTGTAGATGCTCCATGTGCCATAGTTTATTAAACCAGACTACTGAGGTGATGACTGACCTTCAAATGTTTCCAGTCTTTTCTTATCATTAGTTACACTGCAGAAAATAACCTGATGAGTATGCTCTTTCATATTTTACATAGGGTACACTGAGATAGATTCCAAGAAATGAGTGTGGGATCAAATAGTAAGAACATATTACATTTTGCCAGATATTTTCAACTATCTATCATATTATTCAACTTCACATTTTATCATGCAATGTTTGACAGCATCTGTTTTCCATATATTCCATATATCCATATATTTGGAATATATTTTACAACACAAAATATATTTGTAAAACTTGAATTTTTCCCCATCTGATGGATGATGATAAGTAGTATCTCATATAGTTTTAATTTGTATTTCTCTTATTATAAGTGAAATCAGTTGTATTTTTCTTATACATTAAGAAAATAATTAAATTCATTAACCTTTTCACTGTTGCTCCTTGAATCATATTTCTGAAAAAAATTCCCACTTCTAACATCTATAAAAACTTGCCTTTTTTTCTCCTCATGCAGTTTATGTCTCTTATCCATGTGGAATTTACACTGATATGCAATATAAGAAATTGATCAATTTTTTACCATATCCATACAGTTATCCAGCTACACCATCATCACTTATTTTATAATCCATCTTTTCCTCTATAGTTTAAAATCCTGCCTGTGTGGTATTTAAAATTTCCGTAAGCAACCAGTTCTATTTTTGGATTTGCTTTTCTGTTCCATTGGTCTGTCTGAACTAAAACCTGTCAATACTAAATGATTTTCATTGGAGAAGAGTAGTTTTATCATCTGGCTGGACAGTCCTACTCCATGCTGTTCTCTTTCAAAACTGTCCTCTCTGTACCTACTAGATTTTTCTTTCAAATAAAATTTTTATTCAAAATTTTTAGATACAGAACAATATTATATTCTAATTGGGCTTGCTTTAAATTTGTAAATAAACATAAAGGGTTGACAACTTTGTGATATTGGAACTCTGCAACTAAGTACATAATATGTATTTCCATTTGTCCAGATCTACTTTTGTGTCTTTTGGAAGTGTTTTATGGTTTACTTCATGTATGATCCTCATGTATATTTATTATGTTTCTGTTTTAATACATTCTTTTAAATTTGTTAGCATAAATAGAGTATTTTCTCACATTATATCTTTTTTTCTTTATATCTTACAACTGATTTTGTTTTCATATATGAATGCTACTGAGCTTTGGGGGAGTAATATTATAATGACATACTTTACAAGTTGTCTCTTTCTTAAGTGGTCCTGTTGATATTTTCTGCTTCTCAAACTATATAGTCATATCTACAAGTAAAGATATCTTACATTTTATTATCAAATTATTATGTTTTTCCTTGTCAAACTGTATTAACTGATAGCTCCAAAAGGACTTTGGTATTAGTAACAGTGATGAACATTCTTGTGTTGCTCCTGATTTTGCAGTAAATTTTCTAACATTTCCACATTAAAATTCTGACTTTGGGACTGAGTTTATGTGTGTGTACTGTATGTGAGAAGGAGGAAGTGGCAGGGCGGGATGAGACAGTGGAGAGAGACAGAAAGAGAGAAGAGAAAAAGATATATATTTTTTTTTGACAAGGTCTCTGTTGCCCAGGCTGGAGTACAGTGGCGCAATCTCGGCTTACTGCAGCCTCAACTTCCCGGGCTCAAGTGATTCTACTACCTCAGCCTCTGGTGTGACTACAGGCACATGCCACCATGCCCAGCGAATTTTTGTATTTTTAGTAGAGGTAGGGTTTTGCTATGTTGCCCATGCTGGTCTCAAACTGCTAGGCTCAACTGATCTGCCTAACCTCAGCCTCTCAAGATGTTGGAATTACAGGTGTGAGCCACCACGCCGAGCCAAGAGAGAAATCTTAATGTAAATATGTACTTATGTACTGAATTTTGTCAAACGTCTTTTTAGCATCATGGAGATGACCATCTGACTTTTCTCCACAACTCTACCAATGAGATAGATGACTGTGAATTAATGAATTTCTTAATAATAAATGCCACTTGGCTGTGATGTATTTGTTATTATGTTGCTGAATTCTGTTAGATAAATTTTACAATTTTTGTTTATAAGTGAGTTGATTAGTTGTTTACTTTTTTGGAGAAATCTTATACTCTGGCACAATATGAATTCCTAACATTTCTTATTTTACTATGCTTGGGTTATCTGATCTTTAAAGAATTTGATAGGATTCCCCTGGATAACCAAGTGTATCTAGGGATTTTAGGGGTGGGTAGGGCTCTTGAATGACTTTATTTCTTCAGTAATAATTGTGCTTTCTTACTCTCCTTTCCCAGTTATTTTGGTTAGGATAGATAGTGCTTTGTCTATTTTGTTGGAGTTTTCAAATAATAAGCTATTAGATTTACATCTTAGTTCTAATTTTAATTTTTTTAATTTTACCTTAAGTTCTGGGATACATGTGCAGAACGTGCAGGTTTGTTCCAAAGGTATACATGTGCCATGGTGGGTTGCTGCACCCATTAACCTGTCATCTAGGTTTTAAGCCCTGCATGCATTAGGTATTTATCCTAATGCTCTCCCTCCTCTTGCCCTCCCAACAGGCCCCAGTGTGTGATATTCCCCTCCCTGTGTTCTCATTGTTCAGCTCCCACTTATTTTTAAACATTTTTTTCCATCTTTTTAAGTGGGTGTTACTTTTTATTCTTAATTTTTATTTTCAAATTAACATAGGTATTTAGCGTTATTTCTGGCACTTGATATGCTATATTTTTCTAAAATTCTGTAGTTTTAGTAATTCTTTTATCCAAGGACTGTTGTTATTTTTTTTCTTTCTTTTTACTTATTTTTTTAATTTTTTTTTGAGACGGAGTCTCGCTCTGTGGCCAGGCTGGAGTGCAGTGATGCGATCTCAGCTCACTGCAACCTCTGCCTCCCGGGTTCAAGTGATGATTCTCCTACCTCAGCCTCCCGAGGAGCTGGGACTACAAGTACCTGCTACCACGCCCGTCTAATCGTTTGTATTTTTAGTAGAGACAGGGTTTCATCATGTTGGCCAGGATGGTCTCGAACTCCTGACCTTGTGATCTGCCCACCTCAGTCTCCCAAAGTGCTGGGATTACAGGCATGAGCCACTGTACTCAGCCAAGTTTTTTCCTTTTATCTCTAGGAAGACCTTTTCATTGTCATTAATTTATTGTATTATTGAAGTTTTCTTTGTGGGATAATATGCCACAATTTGGTAAACATTCATATGATAAAAGTTGATATCATTTTTGAGAGTTGAGTTCTCTGGTAAATGTTTACCATGGGTCCTTACCCAGGTTTCCAGTGGTTTTCATTGTCTGAAGCTTGACTTTTAGTATATTCCCCAGAAAGGCTAATGGGAATAATATTCCCTGAGTTGTTGCTTTTATCCTCAAAGTTGTAGCCTTTATCCTTGAAGGTCACTTTTACTTGTTAGCTGTTCTCGGTCAATTTCTCCAGGTTAAAAATGTGTTCCCTTAGTATATATTTTCAAATTAGATTTTTTTTCAGGAATGTGTTCTCAACTTATAATTTATGGTAGCTAATTTATATCGTTTAACATTTCTTTGCTAACTTCTACGTTTATCACTTTTTCTCAAATCCTTTTTATCTTTTTTTAAAGTTTATTTTTGATCTTTAAAATTTACTTCCTTTCCATCTCGTATTTTTCTTAAGTATGATTTTCTGTGTTTGTTTGTTCACATGTCTCTTCTAGCATAGGCTTTCTTTATGAAATTATTTTCTGTAATTTTCAAATATTTCGAGTTCTGTCGCATGTTTACAGATACCTTTTTCTCCACTCATGTCATTGTAGGGACTTTCTTATTCTAATTGCTATACTTATTTAATAGTTACTACCATTTCCTTAAAAGTTTTAGCACATGTTGAAATTATGTGTTATAATTTTGTTTTTTTGTGGCCATGTATTTCCAGTGTGCTTTTGTCATCTGTATGGATGTATTTCCAGTTCTTGTTTACTTTCATTTTCTCTTAAAACCTATTTGGAGACTTGAATGTGATCTATTCCTGTTGTACATCTTAAAAGGAAATTCACTTTTCAATGTTTTCAGAAGGGATAAAGTAAGGCAGAATAGATTTTCTAGCTTTAAATCATTAGAATTCTCACTTTTGTTGTTTTCAAAAGTGATTTTAAAATATGTCCTTTTAGAACTTGAGTTCTCTTTACTGCTCTTTCTTCCTCAATTTTATTTGAGCCATTTTTTCTCTTTTTCTTTTTTCTTTTTGGACCTAATTTGCTTTCTGTTCAACTTGGAATTTATTCTATGCAATTTCTTTTCACTGTGATGTTTCGCTTTGCTTGGAAGGAAATTACTGGTTGTTAATTGAGAGTTTAAAAAGTCAAAACCTCTCTAGAATGAAGAACTTTCCTCAAAATACAGACCCTTTTTATGTACTCGCAAATTGGATCATGAGAGCCCTCTGCAAGTTTTGGATGCTGTTTCCATATGGATCTACTACATCCAAAGGGAGTAGCTGTTTGAACTGTCCTGTTCTCAGAGAGGCCCAGTTATTTTTATTCCTCTTTCTCCCACACAGATACAGCTATGCTATGTAGACCTTGCAGCGGGTAATAATTTCTCTCCATGTGCTTACTCATCTTTGAGGGTTCATGGCATATTTTTGTCAGGAGCTCAGCTAAGCTGGAGAAAGTAGCCAAGTAAAACAACAAGCCGAAATGAAGATAACAGTCAACCCTTTAATCACTTACTGTGATAGTGTGAGCTAGAAACAAAACAGAGGAAAACAATGCCACCCCCTTCCAATCCATTTTCCCCATGGATTGGTGTGATGGTTGAGGTTCAGGTGGATCAAAACAGACTTGAGGGTCATCTTTTTGATGACATAGCTCTAAACAAAATGAGTTTGCCATTTTATGGATCCAGGAGGTGGGAGAGGACAAGGGGCTAGGGCTAGAAGTGGAAAAATGCTGAGTACTGAGTCTGAACAGAGAAAACTCCTTCAAAATGTTTTGCCTCTCCCCTGATAAGGAGGTCTTTGCAAAAGCTCTGAGGAAGGCCTCTGGGAAAGAGCTAAAATAAGTAAACTACTGAATGGAAACACCTGATCTAGGAATGCAGATATGCATGAGAGTATGGCAGGCCGGGGAGCCTGAGTCCTTAACTGCAACTCCCTTCAGAGACTGCAGTGCCCTGGCTGTGTATCCAGTCTAGGGTAGGGAGGGCAGCTTTCCCCCAGGAGGCCTGTCCAGTAAAGCCTTTGTAATTGCCTATGTTTGAGCCTAAAAAATTCACACACAGATTTTTTTGATCAGAAGCTAAACTCCTCAACCTTGTCACCAATATTTGTTGTATATATTGGATTTGGATTTTTTTTATTTCACCATTGTAATTGTGGTGTCTGTTTTTATGAGGAACATTTGTGGAGTACTGCCACCACCACCTATCCAGAACACTCTCTACATACACTTTAGCAACAGGAGACCATATTGTCATTGTTTGGTGGAGCCAATACTCATTAACATTTACCCAGATAGCTACCCTTTCTGCTACTCATTGTTCTTTTCCTTCATTTCCATGTTTCTTTCCAAAGAACTTTTTAGTATTTCTTTAATATTAATTGAGAGCAAACATTTCTCTCAATTTTGTGTTAATCTGGGTCTCTCTCTCTCTCTCTATCCTTCTCCCTCTCTCTCCCCTCCACTTTCTCCTTTTCCTTTAGCTTCACTTTCAACATTATCTTCACAAGCTATAAAAACTAGATTGGCAGTTATTTTCTTTCAGAATTTTAAAGATATCAAAGAAGTTGCTACAATTAACAGTAAAGATATTTTCTAAGAATTGAACAGCCTTGCTAATGTAGTAGTTAAAATTTAATCAACACATGAGCAAACTTATTTTCCTTATGTTCCTCTCATGATATTGAAAATATTTATAAGTTCTAGACTGCAAATAGTACCATATTTTTCTTTAACTACTAATAATGAAAAGTGAAGCTGAAAAATTACCCACATAGACTTAGTTAAAATAATGTTTCTTTAATAAAATATTATATATTTGATTTATTATATACCTTTTTATTTTATTTTATAAGAGCAAAAGTAGGCTTATATTATAACAGAAATATGTTTGTCCTTTAGAAACTTATGACAGTCTATTTCAGAGTATAGCCATTATGAACGCGGTTCCTATAAATACTATTATTCTGACAATTTTCTGCAATGTTGAAAGTAAATTAAGGCTCATTATTAAAAAATAAAGTTTTCCAAATTTCTTAGTGAATTTTTACCTTTGATTACTATCTATAAAATAATCATAAAATCACCATGGAAACAGAAATTGTTGTTTCAATATTAAGAAAACAACTATTTCATTGCGACAAAATCTAGGTCTATAACCATTACCCAAGGTATAAATATAAACTTACATTAAATAGAGAAATTAAGAAAATAAAGCATAAACAAGATTTTTTAAGGGTAGTGACATTTACACACAAACTAAGGAGGCACAGAAAAGAATATGGCAGGTTTTTTTCTATTTTTCCACTGAATAACTCTAGTTTTTAAAAATAGAATTTTTATTGGTATTACATTTATTACATTGTAATTTTCTGTTTTATGTTGAAATTTAAATTTCTACTAGATAAAGGCTAGAGAAGAATATAAACGGTACCTGGAATCAGTCTTTTAAAGTAATTGTAATAATTATGTCAAGTTTCTTTAACAACATAACTTTTCACTGTTTCCATTAACATGCATTTCTTTTAAAAAATGATTTATTGACCAACATAATTGTTTCTGGTTTGAAGATGGGAATTGTGTGACATGAATTCTAACTCAGAATCATTTGAATTCAAATCTGGCTACAGTCCTGGAGTGCACAAATTATTCCATATAGATGTGCTAGATGAAGATGGTATAAATAAGAGAGGAAGTTGAAATGGAGTTAATTAGATCAGGCTTTTCCTCTTTAAAAGACGACTTTTGAGTTGAAATATTAAGTAATTAGAGACTTGATAGAGTTGATAGGTAAGCACATTCTAGTTAAGAGGAATAGCTTGATTTAAAAAAAATGAGGAAAGAGAGTCAGAAGTGGATAATAATAGAAAGAAGTATTTAATAGCAGTGAGGGATTATGTTGGAAAACAGCAAAAGATAATTCTAGAAAGATAGTGGGAATACACTGGGGGCAGAGAGCCACGTATAATTTATTCTTGGCTGTATTTCTATCTCCTAGGCTGGTGCATGGTGCTGAATAAATATTCATTGAAATAAAGCTATGCCATTTTTACCCTAGCTTGGACCAAGATGGTAACTGTATAAATGAAAAGGAATCATTTAATCTTTCATTTATCCTAGACTTTGCTCTGAATGCCTATTGCAAAGGGAATAAAACATTGCCTCAGTACTATAGATACTCCCATTTTTCCAAAGGCTACAGAATAACAGGAAAAAAAATACACATGCATGTGCACACATACACATACAGAGAGAGAGAGTTCAGTACATTTTGATAAGTTCAAAAGTAGAGTGATGAATAAAGTGGATCGAGTAACTCTGTCAGAAACTTTTAGGAGAGGAAGTTTTTTTTTTTTTTGACTATCAGATTCAGAAAATGAAAAAGAACAGTGAGAGGAAAGTTTTAAAATATCTCCAAAGTTGTGCAGAACTGGGAGAACTGTGGTTTCAGAAAAGTGCTGAGAAAATACAAATAAGATGGTTGTATTTCCAATATTTTCAATTAAATTTAAAGCATTTTCTGTTGTTTTACCTATTGTGTAAACTATAGTAGGATGTGTGTGTATATATATATATATATATATTTTTTTTTTTTTTTTTTTTTTTTTTTTTGAGAAAGCAGAGACAGCAAAGGTAGCTCTGTCAAACTGGTGCCATTGTTGGTGATTAACTGGATGACTCTGTCTCCAATATGAACTCACTCATATACACACTTATTGCTTAGAAGACAAGGCAAGCAAACCTGCCCAATTTTACAGAGGAGAACAATTTCACTTATAAGCTAAAGTTAACACTCCTGATACTCCTGGTTCATGGTGCTCCAATATTTGTTCCACTTTTCATGATTTGACCCTACTTAGTCTTAGACTCCTTGCTGTTGATCTAACCTGGTACTCTGATTTTGGCTCTTTGTTTTGACTTTGGTTTCCTAATTAGACCCCTTTTTTTTTTCACATTCCAAAAGTTGACTTCTTGTTGCAACTTCATATAATGAAGTGCATGTTCATGTCAATTAAATTCACCAGCCTCAAATTTAAAATATTTCCATCAAATTTTTATAGTAAGTAGCATTCAAAATGAGGAAATTATTATATTAAGATCCTTAAAATAAGACAAAGTGATAAATAAAGAAGTGACTAGTCAATAACATGATTAAAGATCCTGAGGTAGGGGTTGAATGGGCGCAAGGAGGGAAAAAATTCACACACATACATACATAAATGAACTAGATGAGGGATAAAAGGAAATCTTATGCAATTATATGGAAAAATACTTAAATATTGTAAGTTTACAAATTTTAAACTACTTTGAATTTATATAAAGTAAAAACAAATCTTAATCTTAAATAATTTGTTTAGGGAAAGACTCCACTTCTTTCACTTCTTTTTCTTTTTTTGGGAGGGGGACAGCATCTTGCTCTGTTGCCCAGTCCCTGGAGTGCAGTGGCACAATCATAGCTCACTGTAACCTCTAATACCTGGGCTCGAAGGATCTTCCTGCCTCAGCCTCCCAAGTAATTGGGACTACAGGCACACACTGCCATGCCCAGATAATTTTTAAATTCTTGGTAGAGACTGGGATCTCACGATGTTGCCCAGGCAGGTCTCTTGGCCTCAGGTGATCCTCCCATCTCAGCCTCCCAAAGTGATGGGATTACAGGTGTGAGCCACTGTCCCCAGCCAAGACTCCTCTTCTTATTGACAAGAGTTGAGTAAAGGTCAATGGCATGTACTGGTGCTGAGGAAATTGTTTCTTGCAGGTTCCATCTGCCAGCCTCACAACATCCCTCAAACGAGACATGTTTTGGGGACTGAGATCTGTACCTCAAATTGTTTCAAGGTAAAAATAGCACAGTTAAGAATTGGAAGTATTTCTAAAAGAATATCTATTAAATTATTTTGTAACCTCTAAAGTAACATTTTCTTATTGTGCCTGGAAAAAAAAAAGGAGTGAAAATTTATTAAATATCCAAAGTAAAATCAAGCTACAGGTGGCAGTGGTCCTTTAAGAAAATTAATGTATTTTGCCTATACTGTCTATTTTATTTCTTACGTGTATATCTATGTTAATATTTAAATATTATTAGCCAAGTGACTTTAAGTAGTAGAAGCAGAAAATTTAAGTGTTACACAAACATTTGCTGTTAAGATGAATCATCTTTCCATACACATAACTATTTTCAAATACTTTAGAATACAAAATGCTTTTTAAAATGCCTTGAAAACAAAGAATTAATCTGACATAATCACATCCCTAATAGAGTTTTATTTTCTTATATTTCTTTAATTCTCTTACTGAATTGAAACTTAATAGGTTTCTTTTAGAAACTTGATTGTCATGATACAATAGTAGTTTTGTAATAACAAAATTCCTAAAAAAATTAAGTAATCATGGCTGAAAGACATTTACTCGTGTGTAGGCAACAATGTTCTATCATTAGCTCAAGTCATCTCCATATTTTTCACTTTAAGTTAATTAGACTATCACACATTTAAACACTGGAGATGTAACAATTTACGGTAGTTCATTGTGTTTTGTTTTCCAACCAGAACATGTTCTCTTAAACATGAGAGTGCATCTTTTGAAGAGAAAAGATATCAAAATAATGGTGTTAATTGTTGTCTAGTGTTTCTGTTATATGAAAATATAAATATTACAAATCTAGGAGCCACATGTCTATGTAAGGAGTATTTTCAAATGAATAATCCAAAGAACCAAAAATATTAAAACATTCCAAGTTATATTTGAATCACTGTATGTTCATCACCAAATGTCAAAGAGATGGAGACACATAGTCCCAGTAATACTTACAGCCCCTCAGAGCACTCCGTTTCTCCAGCACCTGGTAATTTCTGGGATTCTTGCTCTCCTAGCTCAGAAGAATCCTTTTAGCCACAACACATCCTATTTCCATATCACAAACCAAATACCAATCATTCGAATTCCCATTTCAGCAGGTCCTCACATTCAACAGTGCCTCGTCTCTTAGGACGAATAATACTATATAAATGCAAGTAAATAAAATAAAATGTCTAAAATATTCTTTGGACCCAGTATAGAAATTTTGATAAATTATTTCTTCAAAACAAAAGAGTATGACAAAGTGTCAGTTTTCATGTGAGTCGCCCATTTTTTTATTAAAGAATTTTCAAGGATAATTTTGAGTCATAACTCTTTTTTTACCTTTATATGCTGACTTTAGATCCTAGCTATAAAATATGTTGGCCTGGCACAGTGGCTCACGCCTGTAATCCCAGCACTTTGGGAGGCTAAGGCGGGCAGATCACGAGGTCAGGCGTTCAAGACCAGCCTGACCAACATGGTGAAACCCCACCTCTACTAAAAATACAAAAATTAGCCGGGCGTGGTGGCACACGCCTGTAATCCCAGCTACTCAGGAGGCTGAGGCAGGAGAATCGCTTGAACCCGGGAGGCAGAGGTTGCAGTGAGCCGAGATCATGCCACTGCACTCCAACGTGGCAACAGAGTGAGACTCCATCTCAATATATACATACACACACACACACACACATATATATGTTGGCTCCCACATGATTACTTGTTTAACACTTCTCTCCTCATCTAGACAGTAATTTCCATGACAATATGGGAAACCTCTGCTTTATACACCAGGGTGGCTCTGATGACTGGCAGGTAGTGGCATGCTACATAAATGTTCATTCTTGGGCTCTTCATTCATCCTGTGGAACCTCTTTAGGCTGTTTCATGCCACAGACTCACTGGAAGAAATTGCCGTCTTCTCTTTCACTAACTGGTACAACTTCATTCAAGGAAACATTTCCTGAATCAGTGAACATTTGGATAAATAAAAGTAATGTGAATGTTCTGTTTTGACATTTTAATTTAATAATACGTTCTAAAGTTTCCTTTAGGTTTTTGGAATTATATTTAGCTTCTAAAATTTTGCCACTTAACATATGCTAGAAACAGCCCCATTCTCACCACAGAGATAATCTCCCAAGTATATGATAATCATTGTAGCTTATATAACATTTTCTAAATTTAGATATCCCATCAGTATATAATGATCAAGCTATTTGCTAACAATTTAGAATGGAATAAAAATAATAATATGGAAATTTGCACTATAAAGAGCAGGTGAAGGGTAGTGTACATAATTTTCACTGTTTTAGATAATTTGCTTTTGCAATAGAGTCATAAACATTAGAAAGAACACCAGAACTTAAAATAACCTGCTCACTTGGGCTTGCCTCTACAGCATGTCTGTATGGTCTGCACTCTCTCCCCAGATTAATTGCTTTCATATCATGTACATTTGCAGGAACAGTGTGACAAATGATAAAACAAAATAAGGTCACTTAATGTGATTAAGGACAAGAGTGATTTGTGCAAAATATTATTGAAAATTACTATTTAAGTTGCATTTTGCGTGTACTTTTCAGAATTTTAAAAAGAGTGATATGATGTGTGGAGATGATGGATGAGGGTGAGATGGAAAGCATATTAATGTATGAAGCCACTGAAACTTCTGAAAAGATACTCAAGAGTTTTACATTAAGCATCTCAATACCTAAAATAAAGCTGTGAGATAAGCATTATTAATTTATTTTCAGATCAGAAATCTAAGGCACAGAGGGTTTGCTCAAAACCAAACAGCTAGTAAGTGTCAGAGTTGGAGTCTTATTAAGGCTATTTGACTCCAAAGACTAAGCTCCTATCGACCATGAAGAACTTGTAAAAGACAAAAAAAAATAAAATAAAACAAAAACACATCTTTATTATTTATTCACATCCCTAACACATTACTCTGGTAATTTTTATAACATTGGTCTCCATTTTTGACATCCTTGTAATGACTTTTTGTAGACAGAGTTATTTCTCTTTCCTGATGTCAGTATTGGCCATGAAACTTGCTTTGGCTAATAGAACACAAGTGAACATGATATACACCACCTCTGAGTGGTGCTTTAAATGTGCTCACGTGGTTTGATTTTACCACTCTGTTTCTACTCTTTTTTTTGACAACAGCATGTTTTGGGAAGAGCTGCTCTTTCAGCCTGAGTCTCTAAGACACCTAGCACAGATCTGAACACCGACCACACCGACCAAAGCCTGAAACAGAGACTCAGCAGAACTGTCACAGGGCATATTATTTGAATGGGAAATAAATATTAAAGCCACTGATATTTTGGGGTTACTTGACGCATAGCATAATTTAGAGAAAGCTAAATAATATGCTTTTCAAGCATTTAGGAGATACAGCCGCAGATCTGAAAAGCTAATTGGTAACATTTTTACAATAGGAAACCTAACTTGTCACAGTTTTCTTCTACTGCATGTGAAAAGCAGAAAGTTGTTGTAGAGATATATTTTCACCCCGTGTAGCCAGAATAGTTTTGTTGCCCTGGTGCCAGGAAAAGACTTCTTTGTAAATATATATCCCCACTATGGTACGAGATCATAGAAATTAATTCATCTTGCTTAAGCATTGTTTCCTCGAAGGAGAGAGTTTTTATAAATAATCCTGGGAGAAGTTACTCAGTATGTAAGCAATGCCTTACTGTGCATATGTTTGTCAAAGTAATTTTCCCCGTGACTGGACAGGCCTGGGATGGACCCACAGCAATCAGCAGTTACTGGGTGGAAAGGAAATAAGAGTCTCAAAGCAGAGGGAAACAGTGACACAGGCTGAGGAATTAAATGACTATTGTGACTTCTTTTATATCATTGATTACTTTATATCGCAATCTGAAATCAGCAAAAATATTTCTAGAGCTTATGCATTCTCTATGAACATTTAAACATTTATTACAATATGTTAATTAAAATGATGCATGCATAATCTGACTCATACTTTAATTTAAACATAGCCACCTTTTAATTGTGTCTATCACACAAAGTGTGTATTTACAATAGAGTTGGCACTATTTACTATATTTACTATTTATTCTAGAGTATTTAGAAGATCTATTTACTATAGAAAATTGTTGCTATGATTTCCTGGCCTAATGAGAAAAAAAAAACAAATGCTGATTAATAGGCCAGTGAAAAATTTGAGTGAAAAGACTTCAAGTCACACTGCCCAAAAGAAGATTTTGCAATAATTTTACCAGAAAAGCCATACAATGCAGTCATTAGGAGCATTACTTTGGGAAGTAAGACAATGTAGAAGTCTACAGAACCTGAAGCATACAAGTAAGTATGTTCATCTTGTAAGCTGTTACTTAGTTTCGTGATCCATCCCATTAATGTAATGTTGCTGATTTGAATTTATGGATATTATGGCTTTATTTCTGTTTAATTTATAAATGAGTTTTATAGTTGCTTAAATTATAAGTGTAAAGAAGCTATACTTAGTTTCACATTTATATGTATTTTAGTAGTGCAATAAATATAATTTAAGTCAACACTGGGGTTAGCAAGAATTGTACTTTTCCTTAATAAGGCTTATTCCTTTACAAGAATTGTGCTTTTCCTTTATATTCATTGGTGAAAACACTATTTTGAAAGCATAAACTTGCCTGGTATTAGTTGTACAAATTTAAAAATAAACTGGATCTGACAAGTTTCCAAATTAGGTATTCATTTACTATATTTGGCATGTTTCTTGTGTTTTGTAGTATCTGTAAATCATCTGCAAAACTGACAGTTAAAAGATGAGAAGTTACTGTTTGTGAATCAGCCTAGTTGTTTCACTTGAAGACTTTTTTAGTTATAAGAGATTAGGGCATTTCTTTGTATTTCCATTTAAGAACAATTTTTAAAAAAATTGTTGTGGAATGATAGTTTCTATTTCTGTTAGCTGAACTCACTTCTGTGCTATTTCTGTTAGTTTAAATCACTTCTGTGGATTTAATTTATTTCCCAGTTTTGCAATTATGAGGGTTTTTTTCTGGGTTTATGTTGACCTATATATACTAAAATTTGAATTTAAAATTTCTGGTCGCTGGAGAGGAAAAGTTCTCCTACAGAGATAATTAGGCAATATGGATGTAGTTTTTCAACATGTGCTGTAAATTTCAGTGAGGATTGTCCTCTGTAATTGCTTTTAGCACTTTCTGATTTTGTCCTTGGCACCATGGTTTGAGTTCAGGGCACCTGAAACACATCATTCTCTTTCTTCTAAAGAAGGTCACTAGCCTTTGTCCTCTGCACTGTACCGAGTCTGTGAAGGAACACAATAGTAATCAACAATACTACAAATAATATAGTAAAATCTCATTAAGCCTTCATCACATTTTCATGTCATTACCATCATGTTTTTTCTGAAAAATAATTCCATATTCTTTAACAGAGACCCAAAATAGCACTTTCTGTTTGTGTGGTTCTTCCTCTAACATTTTTTTTAAATTACTGAGTGATATTTTTTTTAAATTACTGAGTGATATTTTTTATTTATTTGGGAGAAAAAGATGATAAAATAATGTTTTTCTGTTCATATTAATTTAATTATTGAAGTGTTTTTAATAGTGGGTTTATAAGTATTTAATGTAAGAATTATTTTGAAATCATAAAAAGATACAGTAAGTGTGAAAACATTAAAATAATTATACTTAGGGAAGTCAGAGTGCAATTGTCTTAGAAGCAATTAAGAACTATATTTATTCTCTTATTCAACCACAAGTATCTCTTAGGATAATCTCAAAAAGCAGAAAACAGATCCTTTGTCCTTTGTTTATATATTTTTTAATTTTGAAGTCATTAACATAGCTTTTTATGTAACCCATTCAGTGTCTGGAAAATACTTATTTCTCATGAAATTAAATTCACATTTCATGGTGATTCATTTTTCATGTAGATGATTGTGAATTTAGTTTGGTAGGTTGGACTATTTTGATTCATAATTAGAAATCAGGAATGGCGTAATAGAATGGAAAACTAGTAATATGATTACTAATTAAAGAGTAAGCAAAGATCTGGCTTGTGAAAATAAAATTATGTTAATGAAAGTGATAACTTATTTCAGGATTTAAGGGGCTCAGGTGGGAAAAAATTAGACATCTCAGGATATGACCAAGCTGTGGTTGAGCATTTCATATAGATAAAATCAGGTCAGAGTAGCAGCTAACACAGGTCAGCAATAAAAGAGTAAGAAACAGGGGGGAAAGGAGGCTGCTAGGAGACACTGGGCTGGGTTATGAGCTCCAAGAGTACTGTAGAGGCATAGTACAAGAGAGCTCTGAACTCCTACAATCAAGTGTAGGCAATATATTAGGTTTTTTTTTTTTTTTAATTGCCTCAAATGGATGCTAACTCTGCCTAACCTAAACAAAAATGAACGTATTGGAAGACTATGTGAGAGTTTATAATTTCCATGAGAAGACTGGAGAATCAGACCTGGGAAATGATAAATCTAAAGTAACTACAAGGTCTGAAAAGTCTAACTGCGAGCTAGACTTTCATTCTTATGCCATTATTTAGATTATAAGGAGAGAGTGTCCAAATATCTGTGCCAGGTTACCAATCTATCTCTTGGCTAGGGAAGGGTAATATACCTTAAATAAAATGTTCACTAGGCTATAAACAATAGGAAAAGAGACAATTTCTCAAAAAAGGGGAAATTATCAAAAGAAGGTGAAGTAGAAGTTAAACAACTAAATATACTGATAATAATAATGTCAGCAACAAAAGGTAGAAACTATCCAGAGCCATGGGTATTTCTATAGATACCAAAAGCTTGTGAAGGGACAATACAATAACAATAGAGACAATGTAGCCTGGGATATAATTATGTTTTTATTCCATTCATTGCTATTTCAGTGTCTTAATTGTGATTACTATTTCTAGCAATGCTCCCCCACCACCAAAATTTAGTTGTTCTCTTTGCCAGAGAATTCTCTTCTTCTGAGAGACTCACCTCTTATTTTGCATCCAAAAATATTTTGGTTTAGGATAATACAGATTAGGGTAAATTATTGTATCAGTGGCAAATGATACTGGAGACCAAATTTCAAGTGAAGAAGAGAGGATAAGGTAGACACGGATGCTTGGGTTGACCACCGCAGAGAGGCAGCCCATCACCCTGCTTATCTGTTTGGGGAAAACATTATAAGAGGAGGTTTCAAGTCAGAGAACTTGTCAATTAAATGCCCTTGGCTAACTCTCTTCATAGAGAGTTACCTATTCTCTATTTCTGGTTCTCTGTAATTATCAAATGGATGTTTTCTCCTCACTGCTAGATTTTGTGATTGTGCAGCAAAGGAATCATCTTTTGTGTTGAATTTAGGGAACCACTGAAATCCTAGAAGTTTGAATGTATTTTTCAGAAGCTCCTTCCTGTCTTCACTCATTAAGTTTTATTGAATACAATATGCCAGGCATTATGCCAATTAACAATAATTAATACCAATCTCTGAAAATCTAATTTTTCTTAACCTAGGGACCTGACAATAGTGTTATTTAGGATTGCATATGCTGCCTACTACATTTTCTTCTATAAATGGCAATTTTATGAGTGAAATAAGTCAGACACAGAAAGAAAAATACTGCATGATTTCACATATAAATGGAATCTTAAAAAAGTATAATATATAGGAACAGAGAGTAGCAATGGTAGTTACCAGGAGTGAGACTGGATTGTAGAGGGGAAGAGCAAGATTTAGCTAAAGGCCACAAAGTTACTATTATGTAGGATGAGTATGTTTAAAAATGAGGTCCGGTAGTCCCCCCTATCTGTGGCCAATATATTCTAAGATTCCTAGTGAATGCCTGAAATCACAGACAGTCCTGAGCCGTATGCATACTATGTTTTTTCCTATACATACATAACAATAATAATCTTCAATTTATAAATTAGGCACAGTAAGAGATTAACAACAATTATAATAAAATAGAACAATTATAACAATATGCCAGCATCACTACTCTTGCACTTTGGGGCCATTATTCAGCAAAATAAGGGTTACTTGAATACAGCCACTGCAATAGTGAGACAGTCAATCTTATCAGATCTGAGATGGCCACTAAGAGACTAACGGGCATGTAGTGAAGACAGCATGGATACACTAGACATAGGGACGATTTGGGTTCTGGAATGGAGTGGGACCCTGTGAGATCTCATCAGGCTACTAAGAATGACACACAATTAAAAACTTACGAATTATTTATTTCTGGAATTTTCCAATTAAAATTTTTGAACAACAGTTGACCTCCAGGTACTTTGAAGTATTACTAAAGCCGATATATCTAAGAACTCTTTTCAACCTGGCCTTTTAGATTTCCACCAAACAGTTGTTCTTTGATTTCAGTATATAAGACTTTTTTCCTACTGTCATTTCACAGCTGAGCAAGCCATGTGAACCTTTGAAAGCTATAGTACAATTTAACTTCCAAATGCTTATGTTAGGGATTAAAAATGCAAACTCAGTAGTCTCTTGGATTCAAATCCTGACCAAAATACTTGCTGTAAAATCCCTTATGTGAATCCCATTGTGTGCCAGCTATCATGTAACCTCATCCCTGACTGATATTTATTTTAATTGCATGTGATCTTACTCATTATAGTTCATTTGCATAAAGAGAGTGAACTGTAGCCGGCCAGCAAGTTTAAAACCTGCAGTATTTTTTTATTCCCTGTGATAAACTTTGGTCATACCACTGATGTCCTCTACGTTTAATGGTATCAAAAACTCATAAGCAAATATTAACTCGTTAACATCTTCACATATTGTTTTGACCAACACATATTCTCCTAAATTTGCCAATTTAATGTTTCTACCAATATATTAATAAAATTTGTTTTTTCCTTATAGTTATAATTAGGAGTTCCATCAAGTAGGTGAAAGATGGTCATATAAAATGTATGGGAAAAGATTCCTAAAAAATGGAACAGATGGGCATCCAGCTTTAGCAGTGACCACTATTCACTAATATAGCTACTTGCCACTTTTGCCTTTAAAAATCACTACTAACTAACAACCTTCTTGCTATACAAAATGTGGTCTGCAGACCAGAAACATCTGTCTCACTTGACAGACACTGGGGCCCAACTAGAGGCCTACTGAATCAGATTCTGCATTTTAATAAGGTCTCTAGGCAATGACTGTGCTAATTAAAGTTAGGGAGGCATTACGCTAATCTACCAAGGTGATCAGAGACTGGGAATACCATGCAGAGAGACCTTGGGCACGAGACTCAATCACCATATGTGCATTATAGAAGCCTGTGGCTTTATGGCATGCAGTCCTCTGGATGAGGGTCTGAACACCTAGACAAAGCTTTCCTTGCAGAGAAATGTAGATTCTGGAAAGGAATGGCAGTCACTCTTACATGGGCAGTCCTAGGAGTACCTGATGACCCCTTTGTAACAGATGAACTGCACAGGAGACCTGGATCTCTTCTGGCTCCGAGAATATGACAGTAGTGGCTTTGGCAGCAAAGAAACTCAGGAGTAGAGCAATTTCCTAAGTCCTTCAGTGAAGGACTGGTGGCTTTCCAACTGGTGTATCACAGAACCACAGGGACAGATACAGATAATTTCTACATAAGATTCCATAGCATCTTGGGTTGATTCTCATGAAACATAAGCTCATGAGGAAACACAAAAACAAACAAACAAGAAAACAATGCCATTAAGAGCATTGAGAAATTATACAAAGGAAAAAGAAGAAAACTAAACAGCACAAGCATCTTCTAGGAAAGAAGAACTGGAGGAGGCAGACTATTACATTGGCACTCACACTCAATTTCCTGAGAACCTTTATATGAGTTAAGTACAGTCTCTTCTTAGAGTCTTATCTTAGAAGAACCAGTAGTTTGGGGCAGATTTAGAGCCTTTAGTGTAAGCAAAGCTGACTGATTAAATTGGTAAGTTTTTTTTTTTTTAAATTACCAGCGGTCGATATAGCACAGCGAACCTAGATCTTTTCTTTGTTGTTTTTATGTGCAGGAAATTGCTCCACTAGAAATAAACCTTCTTTTCCTTACACTGTGGTTAAAGATAATGTTTTAAAAAGATGTCTCCCTGTTATTCACTTTTACGTTTTATGATATTATGATTCTGTTTCTTATTTTGGTTACATGATTCTATATGTATTTGGGGTTTATGCTTTATTATAGATTTTGAAAAATGTAATGCTTATTTGCTTTGTTTTTAATTTTTACATTTAAGGAACATTATTTTAACAATATAAAAATATTTCAATGTGATTTCAGGAGTTTCTAGAATGTTGCATTTATGTAAAATTTTTACAGGTATGTAAAAATGTATTTGAGAATTTCCCTGGGGGAATTGAAGACATATATACACAAAAGAATACAAAAAGAAACAATTTCTTCATATAAACTACTTTCTAATGACTAAGTATTATCTTATAATGGTTTTACCTCTCTTAGATTTAATTCTTATAGTCATGTTTCTTCTGTCAATTCTAACTTCAATATCATTATACTTAATTTTAAAAGTGGTACAAAATATAAGTTAGCTCTGCCTTTCTTTATCATCTCTTGACATAAGTTTCCTCCTGTAGGTGCTCTTATGTACACTATGAAATAGAAGTCTTAGAAAGCAAAAAGTTATTATGTATCCTTAGCCCAATCTCATACTCTGTAGAAACACCCATATTAATATATGTCACACATAATAATCTGGCTTCTCTTGAACACTTTCAAGAATGATTATTATTATTGGGAAATATTTCCTGGACTAAGCTTCACCCTGCATTTTCATAATGTTAACTTCTTCCCAAGCTTATAACCTGCATCTTTAGAGAAGCTTAAGGCTCAATCCATATGATAGCCATTCAGAATTTTTAAATTGTCAACATTTTATTGCTAAAGTCTTTTATGTTTTGCTGTCTGCCACAATCCCTTCAATGTGTTTCCCATTCGTAGTTTCTAGATCTTTTATTATCTTCCTGCTAATCGTTGCATGGCTTCTCCCTGAATTGTCGGTTACTTTTGTAAAGAGTAGTGATTTTACAGACATAAAGGCTTCTAAAATTATTGTCTGAACACCAGAAATAAAAGCTTTCCTAGGTCCTGAATGTCCCAAACTACATTTCATCGTATTTATATTAGTGTGACCCAAGTTTAATTACCTTACTTAGCAATAATTTTATTTTGTATTGTAATGATTGTTCAATCAACAAATATATGAAAATATTCATATAAAGATTCATATAAAATAAGTTCATAAAAAGCTCATATAAAATACTATTTAGGCAAGTATCTGCTCATGCCGCATTCATGCAATTTACTTATCTGAATGTAAATCAAGGCTTTATATTTATCAAAGCTGATATTCATTTTGTTAATGTGCTTTCATAATTTTCCTTTACAAAAATTATTTTAAATGTCTTATTCTGTTTTCTAATATATTAGCAGCTTCCCTGAGATTTGTTTTATCCACCTTCTGGTGACCAATGAATGGAACAGTATTAAATTATATCCCAAAGAATCTCTCTTCTGGACTATATAAATTACATATGTAGTTAATGACAAAATAGATTAATTAGCTAATACTATTTGAGTGCAGAAGCTCAACCACTTATAAATTTACCAAACTATGTGTTTTCATAGCCATTTTCTCTTATGTTGCCCATTTGGCTGGCACAAGATATTTTTATTAAATATCTTGGCAAATCAAGATAATCAATTTCTGTAACATTTAACTTATGTAGCATCTAGCATCTCAACAGGAAATATTTATCTAAGTATCACTGGGTCTTATGAAATTAAAGCTAGTTTCTGAAGAGAATTCCTATAATTAAATAAGATTATGCTGTATATGAAAAAGGTTTTATAAATTTTGACAGTATTATGCATTGTAAGGGATTACTGAGGGTTGAAAAAACGATCTGCTTAATAATAGTCTATCCTAGAATTTTTTTGAAAAATTAAACAATAGGATTATTAGTTCAATGGATCTTCAACAACTCTCAGGAAAAGAACTAGTAATAATAAATGTCAATAAATAGTTATGGAATTAATGTCTGAATGCCTGTTGATTGTGATGAAGTGCCAACTAAAGAAGGATTTAAGGTTACATTAATTTAGGTGCAAATTTTAACTTTGCTATTTACTTATACTGTGAATCCTGAATAATTTACGTAACTTTTCTGAGCATCCTCAACTTCCTCATTTGTAAAATGTGTTAATACCACCTACCTTGGGGGATTAAGTAAAATAATGTATATGAAATAAATAAAATAGTGCAAAATTGTTTATTTCCTTCTTTCACCCCATCTCTTCCTCCAACTAAAGATGAAATGAATTAATTGCTTTGTGCCTTAGTACATTGGACACAAAACCAATTCATTTGAATTAGGTCAGGCAAAAGTTCAGTCATTTGGCTACTAGTATCCTTTGATAATGGAAGTATTATGGTGTGTATTTTTTCACAGGGGCCATTAGACTGTAGGTCATTTGGATGTCATTAGGAGAAAGAATGATGATCTTGAATTGCATAGAACATTTCGTGCTTTCTCATGCTGTGCTCTTTACTCTTTCCCTTTTTAAGAGAAAATCTACAAAAAAATTTTAAACTACATTATAATAATATTATTCTATACTGGAACAAAAAAATGACAAATATACAAACAAATTCAAACTATGGAAAAAGTTGGTGGGGCAGGGGTGGAGACTATGAAAAATAAACAATCAAAACAGCAGATATGTTCCTAAATTAAAAGAAAATTAAATATTAGAATGACTAAAGACTTCAGCAAGCTACAACAAAGCCAAGGATTTTTTCTTCTCTGTGCATACTAGAGCCACTTATTTTCTCTTTAATTCACATTATACTTTATTATATAGTAGTAGACACTTTTGCTTTCTTTGAACATTTTATTCATTTACTACAAATGTATATTGACTCTGGATGTCTGTTCAGAAATCATGCAACTAAACAAGAACTCATAACCGTGATTTTTTTTAGATGGTTGAAGACCTTTATGGTGCAATTATCCAAGTTAATGAAGGAATAGAATCAGACACTAACCTTGAGAGTACATAATCCAAAATTTACTGGATAATATACTATTTTTAAGAAACTGAAATAAGAGCCAAACAATGGACCTCTAGTTTTTCTAAAACCAGTAATTACTTGTGGGTAAGTTATCTAAATTATTGAAACTTGGCCCCAATTTTCCCAGCTTTTTAAATTACAGAATTATGCTGTCTATGATTATATTAGATTTTTCAAAGTGACTGTGTTAATACATTTGAATATAATTCTCTCATTTACAGTTTCTTTTAAAATTTTTCTACCAGCTTATCCCATCTCCTTGAACAATTTCCTCCCATTCCTCATTTGTATTGAATATGGAAAGAATCACTTCTTAAAGTAATTAAAGTTATCAGCCTAAGAATTGACCTTTTTTGAATAGGGTTGTTTATTTTGTTGTTGAGTTATATGAGTTATCTATAAATTCTGATCATTAATCACTTATCAGATATAATATGTGCAAATGATTTCTCCCATTCTGTGGGTTTTCTAGAATTCAGTTCATATTAACTTTTAAAATTTTGTTTTAATTTTAGACAGCATGTCTAAATGCATGTTCATTACATGGGTATATTGCATAATGATGGGGATTTGGCTTCCAGTGTACCCAAAACACAAATAGTGTTGTACCCAGTAGGTAATTTTTCAAACTCACCCTCTACCACCCTCCCTTTTTGGAGTCCCCAGTGCCTATTATTTTTATCTGTATGTCCATGTGTGGCCATTGTTTAGCTCCCATTTATAAGTGAAAACATGCAGTATTTGATTTTTTGTTCTGAGATATTTTACTTAGGTCTCCATCACCATCTATATTGCCACAAAGGAAACAATTTCATTTTTTATGGCTACATAGTATTCCTTGGTGTGTATATATACCACATGTTCTTTATCTAATCAACCATTGATGAGCACTTAGGTTGGTTCCATGACTTTGCTATTGTGAATAGTGCTGTGATAAATATACGAGTGAACGTTGTTTTTTTTTTTTTATAATGATTTATTTTCCCTTAAGTAGGTACCAAGTAGTGGGATTGCTGGATTGGATGGTAATTCTATTTTTAGTTCTTTGAGGTGTCTTCATACTGTTTTCCATAGAGGTTTAACTAACTGAGATTCCCACCAACAGGTCATAAGCATTCCCTTTTCTCCACATCCATGCCAACATCTGTTATTTGTTGACTTTTTAATGGTAGCCATTTTGACTGTGGCAAGATGATACTTCAGTATGGTTTTAATTTGTCTCTCTCTGGTTAAATGATGTTGAGCATTCTTTTCATGTGTTTGTTGGCTGCTTGTGTGTTTTCTTTTGAGAAATGTCTGTTCATGTCCTTTTCCCAGTTTTTTTTTAAATTTTATTATTATTATACTTTAGGTTATAGGGTACATGTGCACAATGTGCAGGTTTGTTACATATGTATACATGCGCCATGTTGGGGTGCTGCACCCATTAACTCGTCATTTACATTAGGTATATCTCCCTAATGCTATCCCTCCCCCCTCCCCCCACCCCACAACAGTCCCCAGAGTGTGATGTTCCCCTTCCTGTGTCCATGTGTTCTCATTGTTCAATTCCCACCTATGAGTGAGAACATGCGGTGTTTGGTTTTTTGTCCTTGCGATACTTTGCTGAGAATGATGGTTTCCAGTTTCATCCGTGTCCCTACAAAGGACATGAACTCATCATTATTTATGGCTGCATAGTATTCCATGGTGTGTATGTGCCACATTTTCTTAATCCAGTCTATCATTGTTGGACATTTGGGTTGGTTCCAAGTCTTTGCTATTGTGAATAATGCCGCAATAAACATACATGTGCATGTGTCTTTATAGCAGCATGATTTATAATCCTTTGGGTATATACCCAGTAATGAGAGTGGCTGGGTCAAATGGTATTTCTAGTTCTAGATCCCTGAGGAATCGCCACACTGACTTCCACAATGGTTGAACTAGTTTACAGTCCCACCAACAGTGTAAAAGTGTTCCTATTTCTCCACATCCTCTCCAGCACCTGTTGTTTCCTGACTTTTTAATGATTGCCATTCTAACTGGTGTGAGATGGTATCTCATTGTGGTTTTGATTTGCATTTCTCTGATGGCCAGTGATGATGAGCATTTTTTCATGTGTTTTTTGGCTGCATAAATGTCTTCTTTTGAGAAGTGTCTGTTCATATCCTTTGCCCACTTGTTGATGGGGTTGTTTTTTTCTTGTAAATTTGTTTGAGTTCATTGTAGATTCTGGATATTAGCCCTTTGTCAGATGAGTAGGTTGCGAAAATTTTCTCCCATTTTGTAGGTTGCCTGTTCACTCTGATGGTAGTTTCTTTTGCTGTGCAGAAGCTCTTTAGTTTAATTAGATCCCATTTGTCAGTTTTGTCTTTTGTTGCCATTGCTTTTGGTGTTTTAGACATGAAGTCCTTGCCCATGCCTATGTCCTGAATGGTAATGCCTAGGTTTTCTTCTAGGGTTTTTATGGTTTTAGGTCTAACATGTAAGTCTTTAATCTATCTTGAATTAATTTTTGTATAAGGTGTAAGGAAGGGATCCAGTTTCAGCTTTCTACATATGGCTAGCCAGTTTTCCCAGCACCATTTATTAAATAGGGAATCCTTTCCCCATTTCTTGTTTTTCTCAGGTTTGTCAAAGATCAGGTGGTTGTAGATATGCGACATTATTTCTGAGGACCCTGTTCTGTCCCATTGATCTATATTTTCCCAGTTTTTAATGGGGTTCTTTATTTTTTTCTTGTTGATGTGTTGAGTTTTTTGTAGATTCTAGATATTATTAGTCCTTTGTTGGAGGCATAATTTGCAAATATTTTCTCTCATTCTGTAGGTTGTGTGCTTACTCTGGTGATTATCCCTTTTTCTGTGCAGACACTTTCCAGTTTAATTAACTGTCATTTGTCTATTTTTGCTTTTGTTGCATTTACTTTTAGGGTCTTCATTATAAATTCTTTGCCTAGGTCAATGTCCAGAAGAGTGTTTTCTAGATTTTCTTTGAAGATTTTTATAGTTTTAGGTCATACATTTAAGTCTTTAATCAATCTTAAGTTGATTTTTATATATGATGAGGGACAGGAGTCCAGTTTCATTTATTTGCATATGGCTAGCCAACTTCCCCAACACTATTTATCAAGTAAGTTGTCATTTTGCCATTCTTTATTTTTGACCCTATTGTCAAAAATCAATCAGTTGTAGGTATGTGACTTAATTTCTGGGTTCTATTTCCTTTTCCATTGATCTACATGTACATTTTTGTGCTAGTACCATGCTTTTATACCTACTGTAGCCTTGTAGTATGAATTGAATTCAAGTAATGTGATGCCTCCATATTTCTTCTTTTTGATGAGGATTGCTTTGGTTATTCTGGCTCTTTTTTGCTTCCATGGGAATTTTAGGATTGGTTTTCTAATTCTGTGAAAAATGACATTAGTAATTGGATAGGAACTGTGCTGAATCTGTAGGTGGCCTTGGGCAGTATAATCATTTTAACAATATTGATACTTTCAATCCATGAGCATGGGATTTTTTTATTTGTTTGTGTCATCTATGATTTCTTTCATCAGTATTTTTAGTTCTCCTTGTATGAATCTTTCACCTAGTTGGTTAAATGTATTCTAAATTGTTTTTTTTTTCTAACTATTGTAAATGGGATTGAGTTCTTGATTTTGCTCTCAGCTTGAACATTATTGATGTGTAGAAACGTTACTGAGTTGTGTACATTGATTTCAGTATCCTGAAATTTTACTGATATCATTTATTGATTTTTGGAGTCTTTCAGAGGAATCTTAGGGTTGTCTAGGTATACAATGATGTCATCAGGACCAGAGATAATTTGACTTCCTCTTTTCCAATTTGGATGCCTTTTATTTCCTTCTCTTGCCTGATCTCTCTGGCTAGAACTTCCAATACTATGTTGAATAGGAGTGAGGAGTGTGCCAGTTCTTGTGCCAGTCTTGTGCCAGTTCTTAGGGGAATGCTTTCAACTTTTCTCCATTCAACATGATGCTGGCTGTGTATTTGCCATGGATGGCTCTTATTATTTTGAAGTATTTTCCTTTGATGCCTGGTTTTTTGTGGGTTTTGTATCATGAAGCGATGTTAGATTTTATTGGATGCTTCTTCTGCATCTATTGAGATGATTATATATATATTTAATTCTGTTTATGCCATGAATCAAATTTATTGATTTGCATATGTTGAACTATCCTTGCATGCATGGAATAAAACCCACTTGACCATGATAAATTATCTTTTCATGTGCTTTTGGATTCTGTTTACTAGTATTTTGTTGAGGAGTTTTGCATCTAGGTTCATCAGGGATATTGGCCTGTAGTTCTGTTTGCTAGTATTTTGTTGAGGAGTTTTGCTTCTAGGTTCATCAGGGATATTGCATGTAGTTCTCTTTTTTGTCTGATTTTGGTATCAGGGTGATATTGATTTCTTAGAATAAGCTAGGGAGGAATCCTTCCCCCTTGATATTTTGAAATAACTCTTCCTTGTATGTTTGGTAACATTTTAGCTATGAATCCATCTGGTCCTGGGATTCCTTTTGTTGGAAGATTTTTTTTATTATCGATTCAATTTTATTACTCATTATTGGTCTATTAAGGGTATCTATTTCTTCTTGATTCAATCTTGGCTGGTTGTAAGTTTTTAGAAATTTATCCATTTCCTTTAGGTTTTCTAGTTTTTGCAAATAGGGGTGTTCATAGTAGTCTCTGATGATCTTTTGTATTTCTGTGATATGAGTTGTTAATGTCACCTTTATAATTTCTAATTGTACTTGTTTGAATCTCCTTTTTTCTTGCTTAAGCTAGGTAGTGGTCTATCAATTTTGTTTATCCTTTCAAAGAACCAACTTTTTCTTTCATTGGTCATTTGTATAATTTTTTTGGTCTCAGTCTCATTTAGTTCTCCTCTTATCTTTGCTATTTATTTTCTTATGCTTGCTTTGTGTTTAATTTGTTCCTGTTTTTCCAGTTTCTTAAGGTGTGATATTAGGTTGTTAATTTGAGATCTTTCTCTTTTTTATGTAGGCAGTTAGTGAAACCAACTTTTCTCTTAGTAGCCCTTTTGTTTTATTCCAGAGGTTTTTGTTTATAGTTTGTCTATTTTCATTTGTTTTGAAAAATTGTTCTGATATCTGCCTTAATTTCTTTATTTACCCAAAAGCCATTCAGGAGGAAATTGTTTAGTTTTCATGCATTTTTGTAGTTTTGAGAGCTCCTCTTGGAATTGATTTATAATTTTATTCAACTGTAGTCTGAGAAGACATTTGATATGAATTTGATGTTTTTGAGACTTGTTTTATGGCCAAGCATATGGTAAATTCTGGAGAATGTTCTATGCATATATGTATATTCTGCCTTTGTTGGGCAGAATATTCTGTAAATGTCCATTGGGTCCACTTGGTTTGTAGTCCAGTTTAAGTCCAAAGTTGAGTCTGTTTGTGTCTTTAGCAATTAGGTGGGTCTCTTGTATGCAGCAGATGTTTGGGTCTTGTTTTTTTTGTTTTTGTTGTTTGTTTTTTGTTTTTGTTTTTTATCCTTTTCCACTCTATCTTCTAAATACTGCATTTAGGCCTTTTATGTTCAAGGTTAATATTGATATGTGAGAATTTTTCCTGTCATAGTGTTGTTAGCTAGTTGCCTTGAAGTTTCATTTGTGTAATTACTTTTTGGGATCTGTGATATTTGTGCTTACCTGTCCTTTTATGATGGTGAGTATTATCCATCCATTTCCACTTTTAGAACTCCTTTGAGTATTTCTTGTAGGGTTGATCTCATAGTGATAAATTCCCTTAGTGTTTGCTTGTCTGGGAAAGACTTAACTTATACAGTGGTATTGGCAAAATTAGGCAAATCATCTTTCCTATCATTTTAACTCATTTCAATTCTCACCACTCTCCTCTTCTATTTACAATAACAAATAGAATCCTCTGTTCTGATTTATTCATGTATAGATTTTGAAGAGAATTCTGATTTTGATGCACGTTAGAATACGTGAAAGAGCAAAAGAAGCAAGTGAAAAATTTTGCAGTGACATACAAGAAAATGATTCAGTCTTAAGATATCTGCATTTTGAATAATAATGTACTTATTATGGTTACATTTAAATTTACTATCTTAACTGCCTTCATTTGTCCACTCACTGTTCTATTTCCTTTTTTTTCCCAATCTTCTCAATAATTATTTCCTAGAATATAATTTTATCTCTACTATTGGATTTTTTTGCTTAATTTTTTTATGGTCGGGTTACAGTTTAAAATTTGCAACTTTATATAATCCCAGTGTATCTTCAAATCCTTTTATTTCACTTCATATATAATGTAAGAATCTTACAACAGTGTACTTCCATAACCTTTTATTGTTTTTTCCTATTTTCACATTATACTTTATGTATATTATTAACACAATATATATTTTTTTACTTTATCCCTTGTCTTTTAAATAAATTTAAAAAATTTTTTATTCATATATTTATAATTTCTGTTATTTTGTATTCCTTTATGTAAATGGAAATTTCCTTCTAGGGTTCTTTTCTTTCCATCTGAAAAACACCTTGCAGATCTAGCAGCAAATTCTCTCAGCTATTTTGTCCTCATTTTAAGAACAGTTCTGCCAGATAGAACTTTAGTATTATAGTTTTTATTCCTATCAGGTCCTCCAAAATGGAATTTAATTGATTTCTGACTTAATTTTTGATGAGAAAACTGTGGTAATCTTTGCTCCTATGTACAAAATATGTATTTTCTCCTCTGACTACTTTCAAAATTTTCTTTTTTTCACTGGTATTCAACAATTTCATTAGAAAATACTTTGGTATCGTTGTCTTTAGATTTATCCAGTAAGGTTTTTTACAGATCTTGAATCAGTAAGTTTATTTGTTTCATAGAATATGGAATTTTTTTAAGCACTTATTTTTCTCTCTTTTTGAACTCCAATCCACGTATGTTTAACATCTTGATATTTTTAAGCTGTTTACTGAAGTTCCTGTCAGTTCTCACCATTTATCTTTCTCTCTTCTTCACTTTGGATATTTGCTATTGCTGTATTTTCTCTGATCTCTTTTGAATAGTGTTAAATCAGCTATTAATCCCATCCACAGAATTCTTCACTTCTGATAATTGTCTTTTTCACCCACACAAGTTCAATTTTTTCTTTTATATACTTTTCATTTCTCTCTTCGTTATTTTTATGCTTTTCTTTTAATTTTAGGCTTGCTTATATTATCTCCACCTGCTCTTTCATTTCTTTCTAAGATCTTTTTCTACTAACCTTTCTATTTATTACAAATTTTAGATTCTTCCACATGTCTGTTAAGCTTTAATTGGATACCGGACCTTATAAATTTATGTTGATGTCATTGTTGAGTTTAGTAGTCTTTAAAGAGTTTAGGCTTTAATCTGACAAGCAACTAAAGTTACTTGTGGATTAGCTTGTTTCTTTTTGAGGCATATTTTAAAAGTTTTCCAAAATGGCCTACTTTTACCCTACTATTAAAATATGACTCTTCTAATGTCTTTCCTTAATTCCTTGGTTGTTCAAAAAAGTCTTATCAGAACCGATATATTTCCAGTCCTTTGTGAATTCTGAGAATTGGTGAACTCACCTTTATAGCTCCCACAGTTGTTCTTTGGCTGGCCTTCTGAAGTTTTTCCATATATATTCATGGCTTAATATTCAGTTACACTCTCAGGGAGACTCCTATGCAGATTTTTGGATCTCTTTTTCCACAGTGCTCCCTTTTCTCCAGCACTTTGCCCAAGATATTCCATGTGCCTCAATTTTCCCAAACACTTTTCTCTGTCTCCTCGACCCAGAAAGCCTATTATCACTAATTATCCCTCTCTCTACCTTTCACACCTTTTTTTCACTATGATCTGAAAAAATCCTGGCAGAAAGCTTGGATGATATCATAGGACATACCTCACATGTTTCTTGTCTCTGTTTTCTCAGTCTTGTGCTGCCTACTTTTCAATTTCAGAACACGTTTGTTTCCTATATATGTAGACAATGTATGTAGTTATTTACTGCAGTAGGCTCGAGGTGATTTTAGTAACTCTGTCATGGCTGAAAGTAGAATTAAGTAATGTTTTATTTGGCATATTTCTAACCATTATTAAAGTTAAATATTTGGTTATATCTCCATTCTTATGACATCAGACTAAAACTTATGAAGAATCATATATTTTTGTCTATAATTTTTAAAAATAGTTGTTTACGTGACATATAAGGTAAAAGTTTCTGGAATCCACAAAATTCTGGCTGTTTTCACTCAGTGTCAGAATAATCTAAGATTTTACTTTCATTTCTTCCCCCTTGATGATGCAGATAACTTCAACCTCAGATTTTTGAATTATAAAAGCAAAAAAGATTATGGTTTATAATTACAGCATTACATTTTTATTCTGCAATAGAAATTAAAAATATGTCTTTTCTATTTATTTCAGTGCTACTGAATCTCCCATTAAAACCCCCACATGTGCCTGTCACTTGTTTATAAGCCAGACCTAAACATGTGTGCCAATTATTTGTTTATAAACATAAACATAAAACATAAACATAAACATAAAATCTTGTATTTGAGATATATGTGTTTTATATGAAATAGTGAAGATTATTCAAAAAATTTTAAACATAACTTAAGATAATTTGAAAGACTTACTTTCTTCTATAGAATTATAAAAGCAGTATAAATCTTTTGCTTTAGTTTGAGGATAAAATTTTTAATGAAATAATTTACTTTACATTTTTATGCGTTACTGCTGGTCAATAATTGTCTAGTGCAGCATGGAAAGTGTTCTTCCTCACAAGATTGAGGTTGACAGTTTAGTCAATAAAAGATCATTCTTTTGGGGCTTATCTTGCTGACACAGCAAAGGCTCATTCTTAATGCACAGGGGCATAAATGGGAACTCTGTGCCTTGATAGATTCAGACATGGACATCCTCTGCTTTTTTATTAAGCATGTCGAACTAATGGGAGGGGATTTTATCTCATTGGCATATCCAAGAGTCTCTACTTGAAAATTAAGGTAAGTGATTTTGGCAACCTAAATCTGATGACTGCTGTGGAGACAGAAAGTGATTGAAGGCAGTTCTAGCTTTGATTACCCTATAGTTTTAGAAAAGAGAATATTGACTGGGCATAGTGGCGTGCACCTGTAATATCAGGTAATTAGGAAGCTGTGGTGGGAGGATCACTTGAGCCCAGGAGTTAGAGACCAGGCCTGGGCAACATAGCAAGATTTTGTCTCAAAAAAAAAAAAAAAAGGAATGACAATATTGGATATGAAACAAGTTATTATTCTATCATATCCTTCCTAATTATAAAGTAAAAAGAATATTTTACAATGGCATAGCCAATGGTCAATATTAAAAAGGAGAGTGTCACATATTTGACCACAAAATAAAGAATAATCAGTGATTTTTTTTCTTCAAGCGTTTACTTGCTTGTTTAAAATCAAAACATTAAAACTGTATTTTGGACTGTGAAAGTAAACAATATTCATTTCATATACTGTGAAATTTTTATGTTAGTTTCTTTATCCTATGAATATAAACAAAAAAAGCACTGAACATAAGCATTACTGTAAAGAAATTGTAAGTAAAATGTGTTTTGATTACTACAAAAAATTGAGTTTTACAGTTAAATATTTATATTTAATTTCAGGCTGCATGAGAACACATGGCTGGAATTTAGAAAAAACAATTGTGCCAACTTTGATTTTGTAGACAAATCACTAGCTGAATTGGGATGGCAGATGCATTTGTTTTATGTGGCCAAAATTGAATGCCTTAAGGTAATACATTTGCTCTTCAGGTTGACACAGGTGCCACCACTCCCTCTAGCACACAGTCTCCAGAAGTAGACAGTTTAAATTTGAATGCCACACTTCTTGCTTACATGGCCTACACCTCACTATACTTATCCATAAGGTAATGAAAATCACAGTGCCTAACTCATAGCATTTTTTAAAGATTAAGTAAATATCCAGATCTAGATCTAGACCTATCTGTCTATTGCTGGAGACAAAATCTGACATATAGTAAGTTCTCAATAATTGTAATAGTTGTAGTAAGAGTAAGAGTAATATCTGGTCTCTCCACAAATACGTCTTACCTCCCTGGCTTCTGAAGACATTTGAATTTGTGACTGCAACTCTAAACCTTAATTAGTCCTTTGCACTGGTCCACAGCAAAATGACTGTTGGTTATTGACAGAACTCCTGACCAACCTTCATGTTAGTTTACAGTGCCTATCTCTCTCATTGTAATTCCACCACCTTGACTGTCTTCTTGTTCACTGAACTTTTGACTGTACATAGAAGGTGACAGGTGTTTTCCCAGAAGTGATACCAACCACTTCACACAGCTTTTATCTGACAGTTTTTAGGTCTTTCTGAGGAGAATTTATGACAGAAACGCCATCAGACAAGCAGGCCAACAGTTGCGTTTGGCGTAATTACGCACTTCCTTGAGGGAAGGAAACAGTCAATCTCACAGTTTTTAGTCAGGCTGACACTATCCACATATTTTGCAAGGTACATTCACAAAGTTCAAGTAGTTGATTGACTGAAGCTGAGCAGGAAAGGCTAAATGTCAGGCTTTTAAGGTGAAACTAGTGGCAGCTCTGTAGCAGCGTGGCAGGTAGAGTGAAGTCTGGAATTAAGAGTGACAGACGAATGGTGGGTGGTAAAGAAAAGACTGTGTTTGCTGGCAGAGAAGGAAGTTGGGCTGTGCTCAGAGCATTCATGGGGTTTGATTAGTGATAGAAAGGCTAAAATATATACAGATTTAAGTGTTCAAAATTATCTTAACATTCCAAAGAAAAACTGTCAGAATTTTACTAAAATAATAACTTTTAATCCCTTTACTTTTAAAATGTTAATATGAATTCCCCTTTTTTTTAAACAGTTTTCAAGATGTTGAGATTTTTGTCTAAAGATTATTGTACTTATTGCATTTTGTCACTCTAGTCTCTGCTTTAAGAGCTAGGGAAATGTGAGAAAATATAAATTATATCTTAAAGGGGCAGAGATTAGAGTAAATACATTTAAAGATAATGAGAAAATTAAGAAAATTTGTGAAAAGTTTTGATTCATCATATTTTTGTGTGAAAATGAAAAAGATATCCTAAGCCAATCAAGATTTTGAATAGTCTAACAAAACATAGTAAATAGAGCACCCTTAACTTAATAAAATAAAGTATCTAATGTGACACTGGCATGGGAAACTTAGGGTATTGCTTTTACAGCTGGAAACCTCTGTGGCTGGTGGTGCCTTTGCCTGAGTTTTTGCTTCGGCCCACTGGGCTTGTTCCACCCACTCAGCCTGGCAAGTGCACTCATCTCATGCCACCAGTCCAGATCCCATGCCTGCCAAGGGTGAGCCAGGCACAGAGTGGCAAGGGGTGCATAAGTGAGTGAGCAAAAGGTCTGGCCACTGCACACAGCCATGCACACTGGCTGCTGCAGTGGGATGGGCAGCTCTGGGTGCTAGCACAGGCACTGAGTGCAAGCCTGCAGCTGGATTAGATGCACCATAAGCGGCTTCTGCTGTGGGTGTCTACATCTGGACAAGGGGAATGCAGTGGTGCCCAGAAGCTTAGAGCTGCAACCACAGAGCTCCAAAGAGGGTGTCACAGCCCTGGCTCAGGGATCACCTAGGTCTGGGCTCCCAAAGGGCTGCAGCTCTTCTTTCCTTCTAGTTGCCTGCAATGTGGCAAGTCAGGGGTGATGTTTCAGCCCTGTTTGTGTTACAGCTTTTTCAGTTGTCCCACTTCCAGGAAGAATGAAGTACATGGACAACTGGTAGGTGAGAAAGGTGGAGAGGAGCTTTATTGCATGACAGAACAGCTCTCAGGAGACCTGAAGTGGGTAGCTCATTTTCACTAGCAAGTCATCCAGAGTGTCCAGATCTCAGCAGAAAGGAGACCCAAAGTGGGTAGCTCCTATCCACAGGCACGTTGTCCTGACAAGTCTCCAGCTCTCAGTGGAGAGATGAACCACAGTGGGTAGCTCCTTTCACAGGCAAGCTGTCCCAACAAGTCAAGGAGACCTGAAGTGGTTAGCTCCTTTGGGCAGCTGTTAGTCTTAACGTCTGTGTGAGTCTGGCTGGGTCTGGGGGTTTTATGAGCTCAAAAGGGAGGAAGTGCATGCTGATTGGTCCATAGGCGGCCATGGGCAGGCCCAGAAAAAGCACCATACATTCTCACTCTGGGCCACAGACTCCACGTAGAACTGATAGCTCGGCCCACAGGCTTCAGGCTGTCCCCAGCTTGAAGGTGGGGCTTCACCAGGGACCACCCCTTTCTGCCCAGGAGGCTGTCTGCTTCCTCCCACCATCAACATGTCATCCATAGTGCCCAGGCTGTTCATGTGGAAGGGTGCCTGCAGGCCCATGCCAAGCAGCCCTCAGCCCCCCTAGGCCTCCCTCCCATGATTATTGGTGCCCAAAGTTTGGAGGGGGCCAAGGCAGCAGGAGGCAGTCTTGTTGGCACCACCCCAAGCATGCACACACGTGGCCAGGTTGCAACAGCACCCAGGCTTGGCCACAACTTTGCTCCGCCCACTCCCGGGCACCAGGAGTGGGCAGAGGACAGGCAATGGGAGCAGGCCCTTTCAAGACTGTGTGGGCAAGGGGCTTCCTGGATTCCCAAGAGTGCAGGGATCCCTGGTCCAGAGTCATGGCTGGTCAGCTGCAGCTGTGCCCAGGAGCGTGGGGCTCCAGCCCTAATGACTTGGTAGGGGGCAGAGCTCCTGCCTGTTCATGGCACTTGCTGACTCTGTGGAGTGTGCAACCCTGGCTGTGCCTCCTCTGTGCACCCTGCATCTTAGTAATGGTGGTTCCAGACAGGGCTGGCATCAGCAGTACCATCAGCTTTACTGTGCATGTGTTTTTGACACCAAGTCTTTTTTGCTTTCTTATTTTGGAATGACAAGCATCTCAAAGTCATTATTTTAGTTACTTGGGTTATATAAATCATTGGATAAACTAATATCTATCTTCTCACTTTTTGGAATTGGAGAAAATTGTGGCAAAATAAAAATTATTAATCAGATTCTATACTATTTTCTTTCACTAGTTTTAGTATTTTCCAAGATAAAATAATGGTCAGTCTAGTGCTGTCACATAGATAAACAATATGAATCACAGATATGAGCTACCATTACATTTAACTTTTCTTAGGAACCAAAATTAATAAAAATTTAAGAAAGAAACTGATGAAATTAATCTTCATAGTGTATTTTATCATGTAATCAATATAAAAATTCAGATATCCAAAATATCACTTCAATGGTTAATTAATGTAAAATTATTGAGATAATTTTACATAATTTTTGGAACTGTCTTCAAACACTTGTATTTTATACTTATGGCACATCTCTATTTGATTGATAGCCACATGTGGCTTGTGTTATCATATAAGACAGCACAAATTGGGATAGTTTTTATCTTCATTCCATTCATTTATTCATTATGTGCATGGAAGTCAACAAATGAAATATTAATTAATGGCAAATATATTTTTATTGTCTATGTCTTAATCCATTTTGAGTTGCTATAAAGGAATACCTGAGGCAGAGTAACTTATAAACAAAACTTATACATGAAGGAGGTTTATTTGGCTTACAGTTCAGCAGGCTGTATAAGAAGGAGGGTGCTGACATATGCTCAGTTTCTGATGAGCACCTCAGGCAGCTTTCACTCAAAGTGGAAGATAAAGTGGACCAGCATGTGCAGAGAAAGGAATGGGGTGTGGGAGTGCCAGGCTATTTTAAACAACCAGCTCTTATGGTTACTAATACAGCAAGAAGTCATTCACCTGGTGAAGGATCCATCACCATGACCCAAACATTGTCCATTAGGTCCCGCCTGCAACATTAAGAATCAAATTTCAATGTGAAATTTGAAGGAGACAAATATTCAAACTATAGATATTTTCAAATTATTTTCAGTAATATTCTCCTTTCGGGCTAAACAATGTCCAGTAATAGTAATGTATCTTATTATGAATATTGTTTAAATTACTAAAAACATTGCTGCAATTACTATTGCTGCATAATAAGTCACCCCAAATTGTATTAGTGTAAAATCACCATTTTATTATGCTCATAAATTCTGTGGTCAGGATATGAAAAGGCAGAGCAGAGGTGACATGTTTCTGCTCCACAGGTTCTACAGCCTTGAAGGTAAGTCTTGTTGGCTGGGAATGGCTCAATATCTGGGATCTAGAATCTTCTGGAATCTTGTTCACTCACATATCTGTTGCCTAATCTGGGTTAACTTAAAGACAAGGATGGCCAACTTTAACTACATGTGGCCTCTCCATGTAGTTTGACCTCCTCACTGCTTGGCATCTGAGATTGAACTTTCCATGTTGGGGCTCAGGACTCCAAGTGCAAGTGTTGCAGCAAATATGACCAAAGTTGCATTGCCTTATCAGACTGTGCCTTTGAAGTCACACAGCATCATTTCGATTTCCTTCCACTGGTTTCAGCTAAGTCATTAAGTTCAGTTGTTATTCAAAGGAAGGTGACATAGATCTTCCCTCTTTACTTAGGGGTCAGAATTTTAGAACATGTTTTACAATGATCACACAACTTTTCTTTCTGAACACTTTGCTTCACACCTTCTCATATCCACGGTTATGAATTCTCCTGACTATATCTATTGTAACCCAAAATATTGACTGTACTCAGAGATTCATCAGAGATTTCATGTCTATATGCCCAGAGCCTGATATAATGCCACCTTATTACACACATAATATAGAATCTGAGGACTACGTTAACTGATACATGTTAAGTATCCTGCAGAGAGCTGGCACATTGGATGTGCTCAATAATTGTTAGCTTTAAGTATCTTAAACAGCTATTATTATAATGATAAGTCTTTGTTCATGTTTCATCTCCATGACTTGTCATGTGTTTTGCTCTGATTACATTACTTGAATTCTTGAAGCCTCTGTTTCTCTTTTGTAATGTAGGTAATAATAGTATATTTTATAGGATATTAATAGTATATCCTATAAAATGAGATAATCCAAATAAAGCACTTACTGTAGTGTCTGGTACATAGTAAGCCAAGTATCTTATGAAAATTTGTCTAGAAATTTTAACTGAGACAAATTTCTCAATGAATTATTCTTTTTAATCAACCAAGAGGAGGAAGTAGTAATTTATTCCAAACAATAGATAAAGAAAAATTCTGGCCAGTTTAATTCTGATGTATTTTATTACATAAGGTCATTTGTGTTCTGGAAATAGTCTGAGACTAATTAAAATCAAGTAAGTGTCCAGATTGACAATAATAATCATTGGGTGTCTATTGGAAACATTTATAATTAATTAAACAAAATTAGGATTGTTAGCTATTTTCTTACATGTCTGATTCTTACCTTAGTACAGAACATTAAGAACAAAGTTGACACAAAGTTATATTGTCATTCTCCTATCTATATATTTCAATATATTCAAGTCCTTCCTAAGTGGTTAAGAAATTGCTATTCAAATGTGTTTATAATTTTATACTCCAGTAATGACTATCACAGTTTAAAATTGGTTAATTTTACCTATAACCATGTGGAGAGTATTTGAATGGTAATGAGAACTACTGTTATAACAAACGTAACTCATTTTTGTTTAAATTATACCTTTATTTTCACAACAGTTCAAATGCATGATCTGTAATGAATCATACCATATTGGAAACGCTCTATCAGGCTGGTGTGTTAGCTGCAGTCTTTCCCCACTCTACAATGTAACTGAAAAAAAAAGGCCAGATATTCCACTTAACTAAATCTAACCCTTGTTGAAGGATCTCTCATTCATGATTTTTTTCATACCACCCACTTGATTTGTATTTCAAATATGCAGTATTTTCTGGGACATTGTTATTATCTTCTTACATATGGTTCACAGATGATATTAAAACTCTTCGAAAGTCTAGATGAAGCAAAGCTGTTAGAAAGCATCACTGAGCTAAGTTAGGAGAGCTGGGATCTAGTATCTCTCCATTGCTAACAAAATAACTGATTTTAGGCATGCTACAGACCCCTTCAGGATGATTTGCTCTATAATTGTTGGTGTGGTATAGAATCTATAAGGTCAATTACCTACAAATGTATTTAATTTCATAAAATATGCTATAGATTTATGTCTCATCATAATGACCAATGTTAATTTTACAATGCTTTTATAAACTAAAAGTTAGATATAGTTTGGGATGCTGTGAGATACTGATTTAAATTCCTTTATTCTTAAGTAATCAATAACATTCTTGACTTATTTCCTGACTCCATCTATCTATACACTAAGATAGAGCTGCCTTAGTAACAGAGATCGATGATAGTGATTTGGATCTTTGATTTCTTTGTCTCTTCATTTTCCTGGTTCAAAACTGACACAACATTTTCTTTAACTTCTGATAAATAACAGTGCCTTTTAAATAAAATACAGTAATGTTAGTCCTCTTGTCCTTCAGTGAACATATGAACTTACTGAGATCAGTATCATGGATGATTAGGTTAAGAATGATTTGAGATTGGTGAGTTGGAAGGTTTCCAAAACTAATTGTTGAATTCCTGAATATGACTAATAAAATTAATGAGTGAGATCTGTGCCTATGTATAATATTATTTCACTTTGATAAAAAATGGATCAGATAATAAAATCTAACATGTTCAGGCACAATGCAGTGCCATACTTAGTCTATTTGTAAACTTTTCAGTACAGCCAAGTGTATTCAATAATTTTCAGATATCATGTTCCTAATACATTAAACTTAATTTAATAAATAATCAAATGTTAGAATGTATTTCAGTAATTTTTGGAATGACTAAGATTTCTAGAAGTCCAGTAAAATTTAGGTTATTTTGTATTAATGAAAAATTAAACAGCAAAATTGCTCAGTAAACTCTTTGTATTTACTGTCAGACCTTACAGGGAACTTAAATTATTTTATATTTCTGGAAGAGTGAAGGAGACATCCCTGCACAATTATAAAATATATTCTTAAAAAACACATTTTTATTATATAGTATATGCTAGGCACTGCTAGGAGGCTAAGGTATCTTGCATTATTAAATCCTTGCAACAACGTTGAGATGTAAGTTATTATAGGACTGTCATAAAAACAGAGGCTTAGGAATAGTGAAATTATTAACCCAGTTTAGAACCTGAATATAGCCAATGATTTTATGATTTAGTATGACCACATATTTGATGATAGTGGAATATTTTTAAATTTTTTTATTTTAATTTCTGTGGGTACATAGTAGGTGTATATATTTATGGGGTACATGAAATGTTTTGATACAGGCATGCAGTGCATAATAATCACATTATAGAGAATGGAGTATCCATCCCCTCAAGTATTTATTTTTTGTGTTACAATCCAATTATACCCTTTTAGTTATTTTTGAATGTACAATTAAGTTATTGAAGTCCATAGTCACCCTGTTGTGCTATCAAATACTAGTGGACATATTTTAATTGGAAAAAATCTGGATGATATAAGAATAGATCATATGGCAGAACATATACAGAGGAACTTACGGAAACAAAGTACCACATTCCCACACCTTTTACCATTTTTAAATTATTGATATTTAAGGCCAGGCGTGGTGGCTCACACCTGTAATCCCAGCACTTTGGCAGGCTGAGGCAAGTGGATCACGTGGTCAAGAGATAGAGACCACCCTGGCCAACATGGTGAAACCCCATCTCTACTAAAAATACAAAAATTAGCCAGGCATGGTGGCGTGCATCTGTAGTCTCAGCTACTCAGGAGGCTGAGGAAGGAGAATCACTTGAACCCAGGAGGCAGAGGTTGCAGTGAGCCAAGATTGTGCCACTGCACTCCAGCCTGGCAACAGAGCAAGACTCTGTCTCAAAAAAAAAAAAAAATTGATGATTTAATAGCTATAACATTTTATTTGTTCTTAGTCCTTTAAAAAGTTGTGAATATTTAGGTGTGTCTTTTTTACGTTTCTTTTTCCATTAACTAATATTATTTTATAATAAGAAGACATGCAGAAACAACAGAAACTTTGCTAACGCTTGTGTTAAAGATGTGGGATCCCTAAGTTGAGAAAAAAAGAAAATGAAAATAATCACAAAGAGATAATAGAACTGCTAAAACATAACTTCTTTCCATCTCTTCATATCTTCTTAGGATCATAAAGAAACTGCTAGTCAGATGATTTTTCTCTTCCACTAAAAGCTTTTTATGAGTGGTTTGCCCTAGAGCAGCCCTGTTCTATGCCATATTATTCAATATCTAGGGTAATGCAACCCTTGTTTCTGCCTCACTAGCTGTTCAGTGATTAATATATTCAGGGTCCTCACTTGACGTGAGACTTTTAGGTCAACCTTCTCCCAGCATATGTGCTTGAGTCCTTGTGGTTGTTATGGGTATTTTTTTTAATAATGGTGATAAATTGCATTAAGTAATTTAGATCTCTCACTTTCCTTTTAAGTGTCAGGTATTGATCTATATGCCATGATGTCAGTCATTCTTTCCCTGAATGCATTAACCTTCTTTCTCTATGTTTGTGTCTGATCTGCCTGTCTAGTTTGGAATAAAAGCCCTCTGGGAAAAGTCTAATTCAGTGCTGTGTATATTCTTAAGTGATTGTGTGAGCCCATTAAATGTTTATTAATAAATATAAATTGTCAACATTATTAATATTTATTACTGATTCATAGTAATGACAATAGTATACATGAATTATGGGAATCAGATAACTAGATCTAAGTTTTATTTTTGTTAATAAAGGAAGTACAGTTAACGTGTATATACAAATATATAACCATATAATATGTATACATATTCAATAATTATTGTTTTTCATGTTCATATTATAGTAGAAAATGCTTCCTCAGTGACTGTTTTACATTTCATTTAAATATACTTTACTCTTAAACAACATAGGCAAAATACAACTAAATGTTGTTTGCATTGACATTGTAGTTAATCCCAAAATGCCCTTTTTTTATACATTAACAAATATTCCAAATGTGCTGAGCACTCTGCTACATGTTGGAGACAAAAGGAGAAACAAAAAATGGCCCCTCTCCTCAAGTTGCCCAACATGAAACATACACACAAGTAAATGGGTGCTTGCAGTCCAGGGTGCCGAATGCTGAGACTGGGATCAGGCGTGGAAAGTTCATCCAAGAATTCCTTAAAAAACGTGATGTTTGGCCAGGTGCGGTGGCTCATGCTTGTAATCCCAGTACTTTGGGAGGCCGAGGCAGGCAGATCATGAGGTCAGGAGTGCAAGACCAACCTGACCAACATGGTGAAACCCCGTCTCTACTAAAAATGCAAAAATTAGCTGGGCGTGGTGGCACACACCTGTAATCCCAGCTACTCAGGAAGCTGAGGCAGGAGAATCACTTGAACTCAGGAGGCAGAGGTTGCAGTGAGCCAAGATCATGCCACTGCACTCCAGCCTGGGCAACAGAGTGAGATGCGTCTCAAAAAAAAAAAAAAGAAAGAAAGAAAAATGTGATTTTCAAGATACTCTCCTGATTTCAGAAAGGCACTGTCCTTGTTAAACACTATCATGTACTAACTAAATGCAAGCTTCAAAAGAACCTTAGCAGATATTTGGTTTCAATTTTCATGTAAGAAAATGAGAACTTAGAGAAATTTGTGATTAATTTATCCAAAGACATAGAGCAGAAATTTCATTCCAAGTCTGCCAGGCACATCAAGGCTTAAACTCTGGCTGTTTACTAATGACTCTCTATTTAAAGTCTTAAGAATCCAATAAATCAGAAAGTGTACTTGGATCTATGTAATAGAAAGTCTTCTGTAATTTCATCTATTAAGGATGTATAATAAACCTACAATTTGAGTGACTGATACTTAGGATCCACAGAAGAATAACAACTAATATTCAAATGCTTAGTCTCACAGCTACTACAGTTGAGCTAGTACAGTTGAGTTTGAAAATCATACTAAGCAATGTTTTCCCTTCTCAAAAAACTGCATGTTGCTGATTTCTATATATTCCTAGGGTTAAAGGTCAATCCCATATACTTATTAAATTAAAAAAAAAGTCTCATGACCCTAATAATAGTCTAAACTTATTGGAGAAGCATGTTCTTTTCTTCTACTTGGACCAACCATTGCTAAAGCACCATATGATTTTTTGTGTGTGTGCTCTCTACATCACTGTTAGAAAATGACTCATTTGGTTCATTTTTTCTGGGTCAAAGAGCAACATGGGTGTCTCAACTGTCCAAGCCTAAAATATTGACTGCTACTGAACGTATCATTAAACACAACATTCAGTAACTTCAGCCCTGGATTTCAGTGGCAGTACTCACACTTAAGAAGCAGAAAGGAACAGACATAGCCCAGTTAAATACAGCTAGAACACAGGGTTATCAAACGAACCTACATTAAAAGTGGACCTTTTCTTGACACATTCTGGTGGCAAAACTGAGATACAAACTTTTCAGCTAAATGTTGCTGTAGTAGAGTTTATATTAATTTCTAGAATTTCTTGAGGTTGAAAGCTTTTTTGAGGCGTAATGGCAAGAGAGTAAGTCCTAGAGAATTATTCAGTTCTTGAGGAATTGATAATTGACTTTAACTTACAGTTCATTATCCCTTTACAATGATCATATTGAGTTTCACATTGCTTTATCTTATGTATTAAATGTTATTTCAAAATATGTTTTCCAAATTGTGTTCCAGTGATATTTGTTCTATAAGATAGCAGTTTATGTAGAAAAATGGAACAATGTCAAAGAATTCTGGGGAAATCTAAGTTAAACAAAAAGTATGTTGTTTTAATAATATTTTATAGAGCTTTTCATTCCCCAGATAAGAGTTATTCTACAGCAGCATTTCTAAACTAATTTGATCAGAAAACCTCTTTTGATTGAAAGCCAAAATTAAGGATTTTTTGGACAAAGTACTACAATATGCATAGCATACTGTAGTTACTAAAATTTTAAATTAAATATTTATATGAATTAAAAACATGTAAAATACAAAGAGCTGTTGAATGAGACTTTCCATGTGTCTCAGTTTATTGCTGAAACTCCAAAACTGAGAGCATCAGATTATGAGTAGCCCACATTCTACTAAGGATGGCTGGACACATTCACAATAACTGAGTACATGATGACATGAAAATGGGTATGCTCAGCAATTTTTAGCCTTCCTCGAGCACCTATAATAGAAGGCCAAAAATTCCAAAGGATGGTAGCAGAGTGCTGTGGAAGTAGAGTTGTCAGCCTCCTAAAGAGTATGATGGCATTTCATATTTTCTACCCACACACCCCACACATAGGAGGTAACCTCTGCTCCCTCCCCTAACCCAAGAGAAACATTGACAGAACTTTGGGGTTTGCTTGAAGGTCCAGGGTGGCATCACTCTCCTCAGCTGGTGAAGTGCTGGGCTGTAGAAATGTGTAGGACCAGTATGTGCATTTCAGGGGAGTTAAGCAAGATAATTTTTGAGACAGCCTTACCTAGGTTGTTAAATTAAGGAATGTACATGGACATCTGATTCCCCTGTCACCTTTTTGCCAAGCTGTGAGCTGTTATGGTAAAACACCTTTCTTTATGCCATGATAAGGAAAGAAATCTGTGTTTCTGCATTTTCAGATTATGTGTTGGCTCACTCAGAGGGCCTACCTAATAAGGCAGAAAGAAGCCATAAGGTATGCCACTGGAAATAGTTGCCAGGGTGGGAGGTGTGTTCGGGTATATATAATGCACTTAGGAAACTGCAGTACTATTTATGTGAGGTGTGTAACAGAGCAATGTTCTCTGAAGACATCACAAATGTGACTCACAAAAAAGCCAGCGTTTCCAGATATGCCATGGTGGAGGGTGTAATGCTCAGCCAGTATTAATGCCAAGTGAGAATTATAGCAGAATTAGTACATAAGACTTTTGATGTCTACCTGAAATTCCTCTTCCACTGCATTGACCCTGGAAAAACCAAAAGAAATAAAGAGGTGGAAGGAGAGCTAAAGACTGAGCCAAATTCCCTCCCACTGGGAGTACCAGAACCACAGCCAGACCTCAAATGGAGGGAAAGGAACAGCAGTTAACTGAATGTAAATGCGAATATTAAATGTCCCCAAGACTGGAGTTATTCATAAAGAAGAGAGGTGTTTTTTGTTTTGTTTTTTATTCTTTCCCCTGTCTCCCAACATAGGACTTGTTTTTTTTTTGACATGGAGTTTCGCTCTTGTTGCCCAGGTGGAGTGCAATGGCATGATCTGGCCTCACTGCAACCTCCGCCTCCTGGGTTCTAGCGATTCTCCTGCCTCAGCCTCCCGAGTAGTTGGGATTACAGGCATGCGCCACCACGCCCAGCTAATTTTTGTATTTTTAGTAGAGATGGGGTTTCACCATGCTGGTCAGGCTGGTCTCAAACTCCCAACCTTAGATGATCCGCCCGCCTCGGCCTCCCAAAGCGCCGGGATTACAGGTGTGAGCCACCACGCCCGGACTTGTTTTAAACATCAATAGTGATTATGAAACTACAGAATCTCAATGCGATGTCTTCCAAGGATCTGAAAGGGATTCCTGAAAGAAAATCTTAAACATATGGATAGGAGAAAAATGTAGCTTTTTTCTTACTGTATCCTGTTAGATTCAGCCTGTCCAGTAAGCCAGTTACAGAGATCATGTTTAATTTCCAGGTAATTAACTTTATGTTGAATTACCAGATTACTGTATTAATAGATTAAAACAATACAAATTTACTAACTTACTGTGAGATTAATTACATGAAAACCATTGCAGTAGCATATATTTCATATGTATAATTTATATGAAATAGCTTATGAAATATTAATGAACATAATTCACTGTGAAAAATATATTTTAGAACTTCAGGTTATGTATCAGGAAAATACTTTTAAATAGCTAATATTATACTTTATTATCTTAATTCATAGCTAAAGTCCAATTATTATATTAATTATTTTCAGCTGATCATATCTGGTAACATCAGAACCAGAGGGCAAATGCCAACCTAAATTAACTCTCTGTGTCACATTTTAAGAGAAGAGCAATAAGAACGCTAAAAGGGGAAAAGAAACATATGAATGTGAAATAAACTCAGCCACTCTGTTGTTTAAAATTATTAAAAAGTCATATATAATATTTCTATATCATGTAGCTTGTGGCAAAGACATCAGTCATCACATTATCTGTACATTGAACATGATAAATTGATTGTGTTCTAATGAGAGGATCTAATTACTCAGAGAAATGAAGAGGGCATATGAAAGCTTTTTAGCTCCAATAGCCATATATTATCATTGATAACACTGAATCTGGTGTGGTTTAATTCCTTTGTTCTGTACATTTTGGAAGATATAATCTTCCTAATTCATTTCTTTAAAGAGACATCAGATCATCAATTTATCATACTCCTAAAAATAGCAAAAGGAAATATCACAGGAATATGAAATCTGTGCAATGGTCATCAGAGGTTTTGTACTTGGGTTCCACCCCGCCCATGCCAGGCTTTGCTAAACTTCCACAGGTAGCAAACTAAAGCTTCCACATAATTATTGTTTCAAAATATAATTGTAAAACTTATTCAGTAATTTCTACAGGATATCTCATGATCATAAAATTATGTTGGAACCCTTCTATAGTCACAAAGTAGAATCAAGATTCAGAATTATCTCAACAGTGTGTCACTCAAGGTCAAAATAAACAAGATGAAATATAATAGCAGAACTGAAAACTTGTGTATTTGAGTTTCAATGATCATTTGTTCAAACGTAGCATAAGGAGATATAAGGTGTGAAATGAGTGACTGAATGAGCTCATTCTCAGTTGAGAAGGAAAATATTGCACATTTGAAGGACGCTCATGTGGAAGGAGGATTAGATCTACAGGCAGGTGAACCTATGGAATTTACCACTACACAGTTTTTAATTCAAGAAATAGCATGTTAACAACCAGAGCTATCAAATAATGGAATTGACTGCTTTGTAATGGGGTGAGTTTTCTTCCTGGTGTCCTTGGATACTGCCAAGCAATAACTGTATAACTATGTCGGGAAAGTTGATTATATAAAAAGCATTTCTGCAGTCAAACCTGGAAGTAATGATTATATGACTTCTAAGCTGTCTCCTCTGACTTTAAGACTTCCAGCTTGTATTTTTTTTCACTTATGTAACCTTTCAACTCTCTCACTGGTATTTATATTTCGTCTTATTAATTATAGGCATAATTGCACATGTCTTTAGTTCCTTTATAGATGTTTTTCTATATAACAAATTTTATAAGATAAGTAACTGCATTGTTTTTATATTCTTCTCTTCTGTGGGAAGTCTAGAAGCCTTGGACTTAGAACATGCCGAAAGCATTTGAGTGTATGGTGAAATTAATACAGGATAGTATTTTTTAAAATAGCATATAAGAGAAATATTTATTATAGTATTAAAATAACATTTTCCTGAGTTATCTTTCAAAAACTGTGAAGAGTCTGAGTTTTTACCCAACTGGCATGTTAACAAGGTAACGTAAGTCAGTTTTATGGATGCTGATTGAATACCTGAGACATCAGGGTCAGAAGGTACCACAGTTTCGTGGATGTTAACAGAAGACTCAAGACTCCTGAGATAAAGAAAAATGACTTTATTATTTATAATACAGCAAAAAGCATAGACATCAGCATGTTTGGGTCGCTTCGCCTTGCCACCAGATCTCAGGGGTAAGATGCAGATGGGCCCAGATAGTGCTTACACACTCAGTAGGTTGCATTACAGAAGATAAACCTAAGTTTGCATAAGGAACCCAATTTTTAAATAACAGATAGTAAGCACACTTTCCCTCTTCTCCAAGGGAGAAAATATCTATTATCCTGGGCTGTTTGTTATACCAATATCCTTGGAAAGATGGTCCAAAACAAAATTAGGTCATTGCCTTTCTCACAAGACATGCAGAAACATGAGAGAGCCATGGCTAATCGTCTCCCAATATCACTCATAAAATACTTCTACATCGTGAACTGAAGAGGGCAGGACTTGAGCCAGACCTGGTGTAGGACTGTGTGATGATGATGGGGAAAAAGAAAGAACACGGAAAAGCAAATGAAATTCACAGATCCAGTGTGTCGAAGTGACTTTGAAACTATAATTTACCTTTAGTTAAATAATCTGTATCTAGAATTGGCAGTGGCTATATATTGATATCTATGATATTTGTGGCTTTTATTTCTTGATAGGACGCCTGATTCCATCTTCACCATAGCTCTTTTCTTTTTGTTGTTCAATGTGAATTTTGTACTATAGCTCTTTTATATTTTATTGTTTCTATGTGCCCCACACATGAGCAGCTAACCAGTGCATTTTGGTTTATTTTTTGGCCAGGCGATTCTAACCAGGATGGGTGACTTAACAGAAAAAGAAAAGCAAGGACAATCTACATAACCCATAAAACCCAATTTCCAAAAGGCCAGGTCCTCTATTTAACATTCTCATAACTTGCTCTGTTTCCATACCGCAGGGAATAGCAATTCTGTTTAAAAACCATAAGGAAATGGTAGCAGATATTATCAGAAATATATACCAGGACAGGACCCTTTTTTACTTTAAAAGTTTTAAAGATAATAAGTTTCCTTTCAAAAATAACCGTGCTCACTCTCTTCAGGAATAACCAAAGCTTTCATTTTCTTTGCTTTCTTTCTTTTTTATTTTTGCTGTCTTTTGAAAGGCAAGACTTGTAGATTGATACAGATCTGTCTATATAAGATATCCAAAATATATAGTTTAAATTTCCTTAAACTCTGTGGAAGTTTCTGCCATAATTACTAATTTTAATCTCACCAAATCTGTTGTTATCATTAACACCAAACACTATTTATAAAGCACTTAATTGAATGTGGGCCTGTGAATACTATTGAGCAAAGCTAATTAATGCATACCAAAATTAAGTAGGCTATTATAATGGGACATATCCCACAATAGTACATGGAACAGAGGAAATATCCACCAATTTATGGTTAAACCAAGAAGACTGGGTTTATAAGCACAAAGCATAAAAATGAAAAGTTTCAGAAAATGTTTCAGTAACTATGAAAATAAATGAATATCATATTTTCTTTATTAAATTTATTAGTTCTGCCTTCATTACTCTCAAATTTGCACACAAGGATAAGGATATTGCCCACTAATAGATAAAGTTATCTCATCTAATATACACATATTTAGCTTGAAGGTTGTTTGAGAATCAAATCACTAAGACAGGCTTCTTTGGGTGAATATACTGACTGCACTGGTGAACTCCAAAAGTATATTAGAGCACCAGCATTAGACTCTGTATTACATTACAACATATGACTGCTTTTTTCACATTACCTACTTATAGTGCATTTCTAAGTACATTAGTTTGGATCTTATCTTTTTAATCTTTGTATATGGTGTAAGGTAGGGGTCCAAATTCATTCTTTCTGCTTGTATAGTCCCTTCTTCACCAACAATCTACTTTAAGCTCTCCCCTGTATGTCTGGTCTTCCCTATATTGTGAGTTCTATTCACTCATAATTTGTGATTTCTTATAGTTTCTGCAGTTCAGGCTTTCAGGTCTTCCATATTGTCTGTGTTCTTCTTAAGCCTTCTTAGCTTCTGTTCTGTCAACTGATAAACTTTCCTCATGCGTCGCCAATCTTCAATTTAGAGTCCTGAATAAAAAATCTGGCTGACACTAAACACTGTGATCTCTATTTGGGAAGAATTTTCAAAAAGATCTCTAGTGGCTTATCAATTGGCTTTTGTCCAGTAGGACACAGGCTTTTTGCATTTAACCTCTAACAGGGTATCATATGAAATAGAATGGGATACTTATAACATGTAGCCATGTGCCTTCTCACAGAGTAGAAGACTTTATGAAGGTAAGCCTTAGCTGTGTCAGGCATTTGTGGTTTTAAGAGTCCAGTGTAAATCTCTGTACATAGGCCATTTATAATTTCACAGATTGTGTCTTTTATCTCCAAGTTGATTCATTTAAAGCAGAGGTCTGAATAGTTTATTCATTCTTCACCTTAGACCTAAAGGAACTCTGCATATATTCCTTTGGTACGAGATAAAACTTCTCCTTTGCAAAGTGAACAATTACCTCCATAACTGCCTAAACTCAGGTCTAGTCTCTCTTTTGTCCAGATTTAACACACCATTATATGCACTGCCCTTCCTCAGAACCTTTCCACCCACTTGTTTATGATCATCTTCCTTGTAGCTTTGCCTCATGGACAACTATTTCTTCACTGCCTCACTCATAGTAGCATTTGTGTCCACTTTAATGCTTCTTGTAGCTTTTTCCACATCAGCTTCCACCATGTTTTCTGTCCTACTGATCTCAACATTTTCTATTTAGCCTCCTTTACCTGCATTTCTCTACCTAAATCCTCATTCAGTTCATATTTCTGGCTTCTGATTTCCCATCCCACTTTAAGTATTATCTGTCCATCAACCCCAATGCCTAAAAAGCATTAACATCTCTGAAATATGTATTTTCACTTAATAGTGTAGTTCACTTTTAGGAAATAAAAGTCACAGTGCAGTCTACAATAAATTAGACAAAATAGGATATTATAAGCAATATAATCATGTTGCCTAGCATATAAGGATGTATTAAAAACAACATAATTTATTAAATTATTGTTCATAAGACAGAAATGTTCTTTCTTTTTTGATCCAAAGTGAGAACTTTTTAAGGGCTTATTTTATAAACAAGATTGTACTGAAATTCATATATAGATAAAAATGAACATGATTTATTATGAACAATTTCAGTATTCAGCATATTTATATTGTTATTAATAAGATTGGGAGCAGAGAGCTAAAGCATTTTACTTTGCCTTAAAAAATGCACCAATTATCAGCCTGACCATTTTAATATAAAAAATGTTTATATTATAGTATAAATTATTAATCAATCTGCCACAATCATTACTTTAGTTAAAACTGAACGTACTTGTGGCTAGCATAGGAAAGGAGACATTTTCATGTTAACGTGAATTTTTTTAACCTAAATTATTGCAGCCTATTGATCCTAGATCTGAATCTTCAAAGAAAACTGATTTATTTCATTAATTGGAATATTTTAACCAGAGAAGTCTATCAAGTTGGGGTTTCAACCTGAATGAACCTTTTCCATTTAGAAAATTGATCTTCCAGTCACACTTTTATGAACCTTGAGCTTTTAGAGCATGGTTGCTTTTAAAGACAGATCATCTCCAGTAACATCTTATATCATTGACAGGTTGGAGTATGGATGTTAGAGCAAACTAAGTTTGTGATATATAACCACCCACATACAGACAAAATGAACAAGGCATATATTTAAATATGCAAGCTAGACAACATGCAGAGCAGTGAGTAAGGAGTAAATACTGAGTCACCCTTAGAACATAATATATGCTGGTAACTAAAAAGGTGGGCACGGGGCAGGAACTCCATAAAAATAATAATTCTGCCATGATGTCTTTTATTTACCAAATTACATCTCCAAATACATTGCTGTACCATCTATATAAAGAATTGAAAGTGTCTTTGAACACAATTACTTGTGTTGCCTATTGACTCATTAAGAGAAGAGCATTGTTGGAATGTGATTTACTTAGATTAACAGTGGTCCCTACAGTTAATTGGGCACAGAGTGAATATCTCAAAGTGAACAGCTCACAAAGTACTGGAATATTTATCAGAGAACTAAATGACTGATGTACAATGAGTCTACTTGTTAGAGTATCTACAGTGTAGGTTTGGAGTCCCAAAAAACAAGATTTGAATTCTGGCAGCAGCACTTAAAGCCATGTGCCCTTGGGTAACTTTAAACCACCTTTAGTTTTTAAAAGTGTGAATAACGGGCACTTTTAAGAATCTTAATGTTAAACAAAATGTTTGAAACTGTTCTTTCAAAAAAGGAGGCCCTCTACAAATAGGTCACAATAAAATATGAAACATAACTGACAAGGGTCATAGAAAATCCATTTTCTAGCAACATTATTTTTTCCTCTCTAGAAAATCACAGAGAGTGAAGTTAAAACCATAAGTTTTTTTTTTTTTTTTTTTTGGCATCCAAGAAATCAGAGCAAATGGGATTTGTAGTATGAGCCTGATCATTAAGGCATGCATCTCCATAATGGAAGAAAACCACACGCTCATGGGAACAGCAGGCAGGATCCTGAGCAAGAGTAAGCCCTTCCAGAGGGCAAGGTGAGAGAAACTTGCATTCCTTCTCAAACCACTCATTCTTTCCTTTCTGAGCACCAAATTTCAGGTGACACACACACATTCTTTAGGCATGATATGAGATTTGCTCAGCTAAGAATTTCTTAGATATTCTATGAGTTTACTATCAAATGGACAAGAAATCAACTACATAAATTGTGACACCTAAGTCACAATTCTGTTTACTTGAGCTCAGTGTAAATTTTGAGAAGATGTCAGGGTTTTTGGTTCTACATAAATATATTGACACTCAATCAAGTCATTATTGGTGTGTCCCCTTGCCCATTTATCCAAATTGCTGCTGTTGGCAGTTTTGCTTTGTATTCCCATCACTATCTATACTTCAGTTGGTCCATATTTTAGCTCTTCAATTGTGTGAGTTTTTTCTCAGCAACTGCCATATTTGAAAACCATATCCCTCTTCTGTGTCGCAAAGACTTATTATGCATGCTTCTCTGACACCTGGTTTTAAATTCTCAGGAAATACTGGACAGGAACCATCAGTTTTTCAGGGTTAAGAGAAACCATCTTGTCCAGCAAATAATCCCTTCTTTTTCTTTTGTTAAGCTAAGCCTCTTGCCAAGAAATTCTAATTTAAGAAGTCTAATTTGCTGGTCTTAGCTGTTTGATTGCTTCTGGTTCCCCTGTGATGAGTCTGTGGAAACAAGGGCCACAGTGAAGTCAACCCAACCCAAACTGCAGAAGTGAGTTACTTTTCTCAGTGTCTGTGGTTTGTCTTCAAGCGCCTGTTAGACACCTATGGAAAATTTTTCCTGATCTCAACTCTCCTGGATAATTCTGAATCAGCTAATTAGGTGACTAGAGAGGTAGCAAATTCCTGGGTTTACAAGCATTTTTTTCTTCCATTGATTTTCTTTGATTTGCTCTTGCTCTAACTTCTTTCCTTCTATCCTGGGACTTGATTTGTATATAGCAAATATGACAAATCTTACTGATATCAATAGAGCAGAAAGGGGGAGGCTGGTAGAGTCTCTCTGTTACTTAAAGAAGCAGGATGAGGGTTTAGGTGACAAAAAAAATGATAGTTGATAGAAAACAAGAGGCTACAGATTCAACAGAATATATGCTTTAATAGGAAAACGAACCTTTTAAAAGCTAGCTTTTCTGAGGAAGGAAAATCTAAAATAATGCAAGTCATCTGACTAAGACAGTGAAGTTTCTTCACTTCTCACAAAAGCAAGAAGAACAGGCAGAAGTTTTTCTAAAGTAATGAAACATAGTCCAGTGGAATAAGTCCTTTATCACCGTGGCGCTTAGTTTCCTCAAAATTCTCTGAATCTATCATTTTATGATTTAAGGTCCTAAACCAGACTTTCTTCCCCAATTCTCTATGATATTTTATGGCACCACCATCTACCTAGTCATTCGCTCCAGAAAACTTACATAGATTTTGTGATTCCTCCCTTGTGCTCACCTCTTAATTATCAAATTCTGTTTTATTGTCCAAACATTCTTGATTTTTCTCCCTCCTTTCAAGCTTTACTCCCAATATCCTTGTTCAGCCTCACATGAGTCCTATACTGACTGACTGAAATAGCACTGTAATAGGTTTCTGTGACTCCAGTCTTGTCTCCTTCAAATCCATGCTCCATGGATTTCACCCTAATGATGTATCTAAAGTAGGGATCAGCAAACTATAGCTTACAGGACATATCTGGGCTTCTGTTCACTTTTGTATGGTCCATAAACCCCCAAAAATGTTTTCTTCATTTTTAATGATTTCAAAAATCAAAGAGGAATAATATTTTGTGACACATCAAAATGACAAGAAATTTAAATTTCAGTGTCCATAAATAAAGGTTTATTGGAACACAGCCACACTCGTTTCTTTATGTCCTGTCCATGGGTGTTTTGTGCTATAACAGCAGAATTCAATAGTTGCAACAGAGATCATAGAATCCATGAAGTTTAAAATATTTAATATCTGGCTCTTTACAGAGAAAGTTTGTTGATCCCTGCTCTTAAGCACAAAGACTATTGCATCATTTCTCGAATCAAAATATTTTACTGATATTCTGTCACCTGCAGGAGAAACCTAGCCTCCTGAGCATGACATACAAACCTCTGCTATCTGAGCCCTATTCTCTCCAGCCTCACCCTTGTTTATACTGTTGCCTTGCACTAGATTGTTCTGCTCTGCCTTGGTTCCTATGCTTGTCTTCATGGAATGCCTTACTCCTCCCTCTTTATCATGTAACTTTCGCATTACTTATTTATTTTTAGGGGCAGGGTCTTGCTCTCTCACCCAACCTGGGTTACAGTGGTGCAGTCATAACTCTCACTGCAGCCTTGAACTCCTGAGCTGAAGCAATCCTCCTGCCTTAGCCTCCCGCTACAGATGTGCACAATCATGCCCAGCTTGTACTACAGGTGTGCACCACCATGCCCAGCTCTGTTTCTCATTTCTGTAGAAGGAGTATTGAGATCATCTCCTCCAGGGAAACTCTGTAGACCTCCATGCAGAATAGTAAGTCCTCCCTGACTTCTCTTGTCCTACATACCACATTATTTTATGAATATCGATTTGTGCTTGTGTCTAAACTGCAAGCTCTGGATTTTGAGCCCATCAATACTTGGAAAAGGATCTCATTTTTTTTAATCCTCAGCAAATATCATTGTCTCACACTTAATAGTGGCTCAATCAGTGTTTGTTGAATAAATTAAAATGTCTTATATATATCTCAACTAACAATAGTCTTTTAGGTTTAAGGAGGACTTTACATAATACTATAAACAGTATCATCTGATAACAAAAATGTAGCATTAAAATTATTTGTAAACATTTCTAATCTTTTCTACTATGAATAATGCTACAATAAATATAGGAGTGCAGGTATCTCTTTAACATTTTGATTTTCTTTTCTTTGGAAAAATATCCAGCTGGATCATATGGTATTTCTGTTTCTAGTTTTTGGAGAAACCTCCATGCTGTTTTCAATAGTGGTTCTCTCTCCACGTTCTAGCTAGCATTTGTTACTTTTTGTCTTTTTGATCATAGCCATTCTAATTGTGATGAGATGACATTTCATTGTGGTTTTGATTTGTGTTTTGCTGATGATTAGTGATGCGGAACATTCAATTTTGGTATGTCATTACAAAATATCTGATTTTCAGTTTAGGGACACTGTAAAACATATAACCTTAAGATTATTTAGATGTAAAAATAAATTGCTCTCATAGGGCTGAATAACACATTTCATAAATATTTAAACAACTCTGCTTGCCATTCTCTTTATTATCATGTATCACTGACCACTAAAAATTTCATATATGTGCTATGATTATAGAATAAATTAAAACCTCATACATGTGAAATATTTTATATATTTAATATTAGCTAGAAGAAAATATTTAGCATAGTTAAATTTAGCATTAATATGTCATAGCATCACTTTGTACTTCTTAAGTATATATATACAATTGTAATTTGTCAATATGCAATAAAATAAAAATTCAAGATAATACTTTGTATTTATTTTGTAAGTCAAAAAACAATATAAGAAAATAGGCTTCTTCCTCCCATAGAAGTTAGTAGAATAACTGTAGCAAACATATCACTAATTAAACATTAGTGAAATGTCATTTTTAAAGAATCTAAGGCAATATATATCTATTGAGCTTCCTACCATGGTTAAAACCTACTGTTAATTATTGAGATATTCAAAGGATTTACTCCCTTTGATCTTGCTAATGAGAAAAAAATATTTAATTCTTTAAGTGTTTTATCATTCATTCTTTTCACCCTCTCCCTCAACAACAACAACAACAATTTGGATTGATTCAATTGCATTTGTAAATGTATGTGTATGTGTTTCTTAAACAAAGGAAATTTTATTTTAGCTATACACTTTTTAGATCTCTTTTTCTTCAAACTAGTTGTTCCAAAAAGAATATTTTGCTTTTGTTATTTGCGGAGGGATGTGAGAAACTTGTTCAGGGGTTAGCAGGAGGTGTTTTTTTTTTTTTTTTCTTCTGCCATTATCTGTAAAAGTATGAACTCTCATGACCTAGCCTAATCTGATGATGGGTCACTTTCTGTTTTGAATCTAATTTTTATGTTGCCAATCTTTGCCAGACTGATCGGTAATATCCTAAGCACATACACTTATAGATTTTCACAGTGCTGTCTGTCAATCTTTGACTTATTTCATCCCAAAACTTTTAACTTGGGAATTTGCTGTTATTATTTTTGCTTTAATATTGGTTTTACTATTTTGCTTTTTCCCTTCTAATACAGAATAGTGTAATGTTTAATTACATTCCATCCCCTAATACTCATCCTCAGTTCATCAAATATCGTCCTTTTCTTTTTTTAATCATGTGAAATTAGAACACCTCTCCAAGGGCTAAGGTGAAGCATTTGGTTCTTTATATATAAATACAGACAAATCACTGATTGTGAGCTATTTTCTGACATTTTTGGTTTATGCTAGACTGTCTCTTGGCTGGACTTATTTAGTTTATCTTGTGACCATCCACTTTCTGTTATTTGCCTGCTGAGCACACATTTTTGCTTTTGCAGCCTGTGTAGAAAGGTCTGCACTTTAAAAAGTTAATAGGTAAAAGGAGGTTGGTATTTGAGGCAAAATGTTTTCCTAGGAGGATCCCCATAGCTGACATTTGCTTTCCTTCTAGATCTCACAGACTGAATTTGCAGGCCTTTGGGACTCTGTGCACAGCCCATCTGTTAGAGCAAAGCTATGCCAAGCTGATCTGGATATGACTGAGAGGAATGAGGAGGGGATTTTTAAAAATTACTTTTATAGTCATTTTCTTTTTCTTTAAATACAAAGCCACATTGTTAGGATGAACTTGATTCTGCCATCCAAGGCAAACTGACAGTGTGGTATTAGAAATAAACATCAAACAGAACCTGTTGAAATGTCGGGTTATATTGGAAAGGTGTCAGGTTTCATGTCATATGTGTTTCTGTTCAATGATTTCCATCATGATGCTATTGGTTATCAACAATAACTGAATTAAGTTAAACAATATGTTCAGGAAACATTTAGTAAGTGCCTATAATGTATAAACTATGTGGAAAATCTTAGATATGCAAAGATATCTGAGATGTGGTTCCTTCTTTCAAGAAGTTTGCAAACAGGGGATAGCAGAGCACAGATGTATCCAGAGAATAAAATAAATGTCATTTAATATGCACAAATAGCATAGTTTTAATATTGATGCCACTTATATCTTAGTACTATGGATAAGCAATTCACTAAAGTGTGTTATGTATGACCTACATTTAATCTTATAACAAGTTATGTCCATTTTAGAAGGGAGGAGATGAGATGCAGACAAGTTATGGCCCCAGATATGAGAGGTCATCAGGAGGATAATGCTTTGTCTCAAAACCTGTGTTTCCCAAAAAGCTACAATGCCTAGGGAAAGCAAAGACAGAGAAAGAGAAAATCAAAAATGTACTTAACAGTGGGGCAGATGCTGGCCTCTATGAGAAATTACCTAGAAACTAAACATCCACTTTCTCGGCCTTCCTGGGACAGTGGCCTTGGAAGAGTTTCTGCCGGGAAGCCTACTAATGGGATTTAAATTAGGTCAGATGAAGCTGGTTTTGCTCTGCTTCACCTAATTCCATCTTCCTGCCTTTGAACACAGATGCAGTGGCCATAGCTGCTGCCACCATCTTGCAACATGAGAAAAAAAAAAAAGAGAATTCCATGCATAGACCTTGGCTCAGTTGAGTTGTGAACATAGCATAGCCAGCAGCTGTCTTCCTCCCATGTTTATTGTTAGGAGAAAAAAAAACTAAAGCCCTGATGGTTTAAGCCATTGGAAAATCAGATTTTTTGTTATTTGAAGCTTAATGGAAACTTAAGTAACAAAATCTATCTTTAACCTAAACTATTGAGGCTATGATGCTATTGTATTCTTCCTCTTTTTCAATATTTTAGCTTCCTTGATTTGTATAACTCCACTTACTTTTGATTTTGGAATAACTGTCTGGTTAGTCACACTTTATTTTCTCTGTAGACTGTTCTTTCACTTCCTACATCTTAACGCTATTTCCCAAAGTTCCCTTCTTGTCTCGTAATTTTCTCACTGCCTTCAGCATTTGTACTGCATACTCTCTCTTCGTGACCTCATCCTTCTCCTTGTTGTTAAAGAGGCATGTAGTGTTGCCATAAAAATGCCTTAACCATGACATCATATGCAGTGACTTCCCAAGCTGTATTTCTAGATCTTTCCCTCGAGCTCCAGACTGAAACATATCCAATAATTGCATCAAATTCAAAATATCCAATAACTGTTTTTCATCTTTCCCTACAAATCTTGTTTTCTAATCTATTCACTTGCCCAGGTCAGAAATCTATAAGTCATTTTGGACTTCTCTAGATTGTCTTTTTATTTCTAGTCAGACACCACATTCTGTTCAATTGTAATAACCCTTGACTCTATTTATTCCATCTTTATAGCCACTAACTTAGCCTAAGCTTTTGCAGTATTTCTCATCTGAATTACTGCAGTCAGACCCTTAATGGATCTCCCTCCCTCAGTTCTCTCATTCCAGTCAATTCCCCTACATTCTTATGAGAGTGATTTTCCTTAATAGAAACGTATTGGAGGCATTTGTCCACTGAGATCCTTCAGGATTTTTCCAGAGTTTTAAAGATTTAGTGCAAACGTTTAGCATGGCATTTCCTGACCTTGGTTTAGTTATCTAATCTCTTCTGTATCTATCCTATCACTTGCATTCATTTCCATTTATCCAGTTAATAAATAGCTATTGAGTAAATGATATGTATGGAAACCAGGCTAACTAACTGCTGGGGCTACAGACTTTGTCCTGGCCCTCGTTGAACTTACTGTCAAGTAGGAGAGACAGATAATAAAGTCAGCAAAATAAGTTCAGCCTGTGATTAGTAAAATAAAGAAAATAGATTTCTGTCTTTGAGAATAATGGTAGGGGAGAGTGATTTATATTACATCATCTGTGAAGGTCTCTCTGAAAAGGTAATATTTAAGCTGAGGCTTGAGAGATGAGGATTTAGCAATGTGAAGTGTTGAGGATTGAAATGTCCTAGACATAAAGAACAGAAAAATAAAGAATATAAATTTAGATATATTACCACTGAACTGTACACCTAAAAATGATAAAGATGGTAAATTTTATATGTATATTGTACCTCCAAAAAAAGAACAGCAATTATAAATGTCATGAAGAGGTAAAGAATCTGGAAGTTTCTAGAAGTGATCAGGCCAGTGGGGTAGGAGAATAAGGAATGAGAAAGGTGGTGTTAAAATGAACTATTTGAAATTCTTAATTCCCCCAAAACATGACACACTGACTATTGCTTCTTGCTTATATGAGCTTGCTATTATTATTGTTGTTATTATTGTTACTTTATTATAATTAATATTACCTAAAAAGCTTCCTCCTTTTGTCTTTGTCAGGTTAAATGTTACTCTTCTTTTAAATTCCTTTGGGATTTAAATGGATGAATGAATGAACAATTGGCATTGTATTATTATTATTACTATAAATAATTGAGAAAATATTAAAAGAGTCAGAAAAGGAGAGTGGGAAAAAGGCCTCTGAGGTAGGTGTGAGATTTCACTTGGCTTCACAGTCACACCGTGAGGCTTACCTCCTGCCCACTGTAGACAAGAGGCAGGAGAAGTGAAGTAACACATTCACATTGGCACATGAGTAAGTGAAAGAGCTAGGTAATGACTCCCTGCCTGGCTGGCTGCAAAGCAAGTGCAAACTTTAATTTAAAAAACAGACCTAAATAATAAGTAACATTTAATCTGACATACATGGACATTTGCACTATGGGCTGCAGATATGTTGGTGTTGTTATGGTTTGATTAATTGTCTGGGTGGCTTACTGTCACTTCATGAAGGTGTCTGCTAAAATGTCACTTCCTGAAAAATGTTTTTCCTGAACCTGTCTTAAGGAAACTTCACCACCACTGCTCTGGACCCTTTTATCAGGTTTTTTTTGTTTGTTTGTTTGTTTGTTTTTAATATCTGACAATTTCTATTCACTTTCCTACTATTTATAAGAGCAGAGCCTGGAGCTCAAAAACTTTATGGAACCAATGACTTGAATACTTGAATAAGAAAGCTAATCATAGCTTCTTCCACCCTCACAGTTTTATCTTACCAATTAAAAATGAATGGATATTTTTCTCCTTTTATAAAATTGAGTGCGCTTCTGACAGCACAGCTTTAGATTAATCTATTTGAATCTCTTACAATAAATAATCAGCTTCCATGCCCTATCTGCCCAAATATTGTATTTTAGGTTGCTTGTAAGCCGTGAAATTCAGGAAAGTATACTAAGTAACATGTGGCTTATTGTTAGTCTATACAAGAAAGACCTCGATTTTGGCTGCCTTTTGTTTATCTCAACCACTTTTATCTTAAGCCTTTGCTATCTACACAAAGGGCACATGTCAACACATGCAATAAGGTAGATCCAGAAGTTCCCTCCGTGCAACTGTGAGGCTGATGTGAAATGTACTGACAACTGTCCCTAACCCTGGTGCCAAAAACATAGTCCCATCTCGCTGCTGCTGCCGGCAGGGTGGGCTGTACTTTGCTGCAAGTATTCCTACATACTTCTAATTTGAATTTTTGCAAAGCATTTAAAGTATTTCTGTAAACATATCAGAAATACAGGAAAGCTTGCCACACCCTGTTTAAGAGGTTATTGTCTCTGATACTGTAGTACATTTTAATAGGGTTGTTTTCCATCTATTCTTATTCCCTCCCTTAACCTCATATCAATTTGAGATCCATCGATGTGTCACATTCGGGATTTGTTACCAAGAGAAACTTAACTGTCAGGTTTCCTGTTCTTTTTTAGAAGACGAAGAATGCTCTGTAGCTTTTACTTATTATATGTGATAGATGAAGGAAAACAGTTGAGTGCAACAAATGTATAAAAGCAGAATGGTAAATCTTTGAAAAGCTCTTTGGTGCCACCATGTGGATAAGATTTGGTAGTTTTGAAACTATGCTGGGACATTCTGTTCTTCAAACAATTCTACTTGCATACACAATTTTTGTTCCACTACCTTCCTAAAATCTAGTTCTCCCATTACCCTTGAAAAGATGAATTTTTATTATAAAGTAAATCAAGGGAAGTCTCAGAAATTGATCTGAATAACATTTAACTTTTCAGCCAGAGCTCACTTGCTCTTTTTTTCTCCCTTTGAATGTGAAATAGGGGGTAAGACCTCATTTATAAGCTTCATTTGAGGATTTTCAATAAAAGAACATTATATCTGAACTAAATCAATAACTTTTACTTGGGTTTTCATCCTCATACACAGCCTCAGGCCTGAGTACCTCTGCATTCTAATCAAAGAACATCGTCTTTTTATTTACAAACATTAATATGGCTTACTAGAAACTATTCTAAGCAATCCACAAAAACCAACATTTGCTCTTTTTGACAACCCTTTGTGGTAGGTACTGTCATCATCATAAGCATTACCACCACCACCAGCAGCAGATTCTGTGCTCTTAACCTCTGTGCTCCATTCACCTGGTGCTCATTTCAATCAGCCGATGATTTGAGGAGCCTCTCACTTAACACTCATGTTCTCAATCTATAGGCTCAACCCTGTTCAGTTTTCTAGGTGATCCTGACTCAGGCAGATAGGTTCTATGCCCACAGCCATGGCATCATTGTGTACATTGGGTCTATTATTAGTCCATTTGCTCCAAACCTAGATTCTGTAGTGCCATGGGCATGCCCTGTAAATCCCCAAATGTACTGGCAATCTTTTTCTCCCTCCCTATTGTGTTGGCCCAACCGGTATGAACTCCTGCCTCAGTAACCTAGCACACCATTTACATACTGGGGGAGAACACAACCCCGGATTCTGACCTCCTCTGAAAGGCTGAACTATGATGCTCGTGGCTAAGTAGCATAAATATTTCCATTGAAATGCCCCTGCTTCCAGGTTAAACCTAGGAGAGCCAGGTTTAAGTATAGCCAGAGTTATTTGTGAGATTCATTAATCTGCACACATTCCCTGTACAAACAGCCACACACTTGGGTCCATTCTGCGAGCCCCTGGGCCCCATCCTAACTCCTCCTCAGTGCATGTTATTAAGATCACAGGAGGTTTTCAACCCAAATCAGTCCAGCTCTTTTCCATTGCTCTGCTATATAATAACTGTACTTCTTTTGGTATTCCCCTATTCCTATGGTGCTCTTGCACTCTCATACACACATCAAGTATCTCCCCTCAGTTTCTTTAAAAAGGTGCCAATCTGTTCCACATTTGACAAAGCTTTCTCTGATAATTGGTCTGCAGCAGAGAGTTTACTAATTTCTTCAATCATAGGAAATTGAATGAATCGTTTTCAGCAAAAATCCCCCAGTTATTTGAGCAGGAACATGCTTTGGTCACTACTGACCTTGAGCTTGTAAATAATCCTTAATGTTAGTCTTTGGTTTCATGTGTGTCTGCAGAATTGGGAGACACTGTCGGTACTTTTTTACATTGTTTTAATTTAAAAAACACAAGGACATTGCTTTAGAGCCTGGAACCATTCTGTGAAAACAGAAGACAACTTAATATGGAGTCTTTAATAATTTAGTTGAATATATTTAATTTAATTTTCTCCTGAAGACATCAATATATTTTAAGTTTTTCTCTAAAGAAGTGGAGGGTCTTTCCATTGCATGCACGTAATTCAAATATGGCTGGTGTGTGCTTCTAAGTGTCTATCCAACCTGATGTTGAATGGCTGGGAATTCATACATGGACCTTTGTTTTTTACAATTAGTAGGTGTAGTCTTGTGATAAATGAATGTTTTTTGAAAACTGAGTATTAAAAAGGCATTAAAGGGCAATATACCATACATATATTTGTTTAAGGTCTTTATATAAGGGAAAAGCTCAGTGTAGTGTAGAGGAAAGATTTGGAGTCATAGAATTGAGTTCCAATTCTGCTCTCAACTGTATTAACAACTTAATAATATTTTTATTTCAGTGAAAACTTTTTATGTAAATGGAGAAAATAATGCTGTCCTTCTAGAAGTGGGGTGTGTGTGTGTGTGTTTGTTTAAAGATGATAAATCTAAAGTGCCACATTCGGGACTCATACATTTTAATTGTTTTATAATGATTATTTGTGTTATTTTTAACTCAATAAAACCCAAACAATATCTATCTTTTCTTTTCCTGTGTCTTTTCCAGATTTTCTTCTTCCTTCTCTTTTCCCCCCCCTTTTCTTCCTGCTTCTTTCTCCCAAAAAGCAGTAAAGTATGGAGAAGAAGCAATACATATCACATTCTTACAGACCAACTGCTTCATTTCATTTTGACCCTCTCTGGCCAAAGTGCATTTATAATTTACAGTAATGCAATAATAAATTTAGGATAATTTACAAAGGCAATTTTGGTTAGAGTAATTAAATATGAACTCAGAGTAATTATAAATTCAAAATGATTTTTAAACTGTGAGTTAGAGAAAAATCAGCAAAATATTTAGCAAAATCGTAATTCAAAATGAAGGAACCTTTGCATATTTTCATTTAAAATTTAAAATCAGTTTAGATATCTGACAGTTTTCTCCAATGTGTCCCAACATTGCCCATAGGTAGACCACAGAATCCCCAATCAGTGTCTTGCTCCACTCTTAACCATTAGGAAACTGCAGAAAGCAGAGTAATTCGGTCCACTTGGGCATCTGGATCGCCTGCCCTGGACACTGAGCATTAGAGAGCTCTGCTCTGCTCTCTTCCCAGCAATATTTTCCTCTATCTGTATGTCCACTACCAATGAGGAACCTATTGTGTATATACTTAGATCCTCCGCCCTTCTTGTCAACCTGTGTTTCTCAAACCCTCTGGGGTCAAGGTTCATTTTTCTCTTTACTGTTTTGAGGATCAATATGTTGATAAAAATACAATAAAAATAAATTTCTAAAAAGACAAAATGTAATTTAAAAGAAATATAAGCATCTAGGTTTTTTTTTTTTTATTAGCTTCAACAGACATGTAAGTACTCAATCGAGTTGCTGTGAAGTTTCTGAGTACTCAGTCAATTGCTGTGAAGTTTCTAAGCTCTTATTCTCAATTTTGTATATATCTTGTTGCGGTCTAGAAACAGTTTCCAGACAAGCTGTTTATGGACATGCTTTGAGTAGCAGTGTTCTAAATCACACTCCCAATATTCAGGCCCCCCGAATTTCCTGCACAAAGGTCCCAAGCCAGCCACAATTGCCTAGAGCATCTCCTCCAGGATCATTCTCCCAAGAGTGGTGAAGGAATCCCTTGGCCCTCGGGATAACCTAGGGTAAACTGTTGGTGGATGTTGTGGGCTTGTGGACAGAACTTGGACGTATGGGCCAATCTGTCCCTGCAGGGAGACATGGGCACCTCATGCAGGACTGGGATGGGAATGGGAAGAAAGGGGCCCAGGATCCTAGCAATTCCTCCTCTTACCCTCTTGCTCCATTCCCAGGAAACATTTGAGTGGAGATGCGATTGCTGTTTTGTCAGCTTTTTCTATATTTCTGAAGGCCCTGTTGTTCCTTGAGCCTGGACTCCCTGGATCTGCTAGACTAATCCTGAGCTTTGCTCCTGCCTCCCACTTTGCCCTTCCCCAGGGCTGCGGGTTTTCATGTTCAGTGCATTTGCTCCATATTACTCCTGTTTCCTTTTCTGAAAATGAATCTTTTAAACTATTAGGATAAAGTGTGCCTATCCTAAATTCATGGATTTCTAAGATTTTTATAGGAATGACACAGAGTTTCTGAATTCTAGCCACTGTAACATCTCATTGCCATGCCACCTCTGAAATGTCTGTGTTGATGACCCTGATTTAGGACCCAGATCTGCCACGAATCCTTGGTTCAGTTTAGCTCAGCAGAAATGTGTTGCATATCTGCAGTTGAGCAGGCACCACGTTGCGTTCTGGGATTACGATGCTGCATAAGACCAAACCCATCCACTCAAAGAGTGTAACATCTAATAGGCTTTTTTTTTCTTTTTTGTAAATGTGGAATCTGAAATCCAGAGAGTTGAAGCAATTTGCCCCCAATCCCACAGCTAGTGCAAAGAAGAAGTTGCTTCAAACCAGATTTTTTGGCTCAGTGTCCAGGGACCTTTCCAGTATATCATTCTTCCTCATATGTCTCAGAACAAAGCTAGTAGACATTTCTGAAAAACGTTCACCTTTGCTGCATTGCTGCTCCATACATCAAAGAGATTTACACAATCTTGAGGTTCTATAAGATCTATTGAATCCCTCCCAATGTGTAGGAGGCACAGAGAATTGGAAACAGTTAAGGGGTCTGAGTTTAATTCTGAGGAACTTAAATTTATAGTTTTTCTTTGATCAACTTAACCTGTTGCCTTCAGTTTCCTTGTCTGTGAAGTAGGAATCATCTATGTCATAGAGTTGGTATGAAAATTAATTATATACGTGAAAGTATTGGTACCATTGGTGCTACCTCATATTAGGAACTCAGTGCATGAGAATTCCTTCCCCTTTCTTGTCTGTTTTGTGAAACTCAAATCCTTTAGTCACTAGATGTAAATGTACACATTAAAAGTATTCATTAGAAGGTGCAAATTCACTATAGCCACTGCCTAGTTAAAATTCACTATAACCAGTGCCTAGTTCAAAACTTGATTTTTTAAAACGATTTTTTGAAACAATTTCAGTTTAACAGAAAAATTGAGCAGACACTGCAGAGTTCCTATATAATCCTGAATGCTCTGCATACAGTTTCTTCTATTATTAGCATCTTATATTAGCACAATGTATTTCCGGTAATTATTGAACCAATGTTGATGTGTTAGTCTGTTCTCATGTTGCTAATAAAAACATACCTGAGAGTTGGTAATCTATAAAGGAAAGAGGTTTAATGGACTCACAGTTCCACGTGGCTGGGGAAGCCTCACAATCATTGTGGAAGACAAAGGAAAAGCAAAGGGATGCCTCACGTAGTGGCAGGCAAGAGAGAGCGTATGCAGGGGAACTCCTCTTTATAAAACCATCAGATCTCATGAGACTTATTCACTATCATGAGAACAACATACGAAAGACCCGCCCCCATAATTCAGTTACCTCCCACTGGATCCCTCTCATGTCAGTCACATGGGAATTATGGGAGCTACAATTCAAGATGAGATTTGGGTAGGGACACAGCCAAACCATATTAGTTGATAAACCATTAACTAAAATCCAAAGTTTATTAAGATTTTTTTCTTTTAGTTTTTACCGAATGTCTTTTTTATGTTCCGGGATCCCATTTAGACTACCATGTTATACTTAGCTGTCATGTCTTCTTAGGTTCTGCTTGACTGCTTGACTCCCAGACTTTCTTTGTTTTTGATGATAGTTTTGAGGAATACTGGTCAGGTGTTTTGTAAGATTCTTTTCTGTTGTATTTTGTCTGATATTTTTCTCATGATTAGACTGCAGATAGAGTTTTTTGGAAGGAACATCACGGAGGTAAGGCAATTTTTAGCACATCACAACAAAGGATACATATATCCTTTATGTATAACTGTTGATTTATAACTGTTGGTGCTGATCTGGATCAACCAGCTGAAGTAGTGTTTGTCAGATTTTTCCACTGTAATGTTATTCTTCGCTGCTCTTCTTTGTGTATTGTGCTCTTTGAAAGGAAATCATTATATACAGCCCACATTCAAAAAGAGTGAGTAGTTATGTTCTCTCCTTTAGAGAGGAGTATCTACATAATTTATCTGGAATCCTCCTCCCGCATTTATAAGTTTATTAAACCACTTGTTTATATCAGTATGGAATGATGGGTATTTGTTTTATTTGGGGGTTATTAGCCATGATATATTTTACTTATTTTGTTACTCAAATACTTCCAGCTTTGGCCACTCAGAGCTCCTTCAGTGGGTTCCTGTGCACTTCGACGTCTCTCCGTCAATGTACATGTGTGTATGTGTGTATATTTTGTTTGTTTAGCATTTTCTTACTTTGTGGCAGTACAAGATGCTCCAGGTTCAGTTTGGATATTTCCTACTCCAGTATACAATCAGCTATTTCTGCAAGCATCCCTAGTTGTTTCTAAAGGAGAATGGCATTTGAAACTAAGATCTGGACACTAGGCATGCTTGTTTCTACTGCAGTACCATTTCCTTTAGGCATTTGGATTTTAATGTCCACATTCATGGTGTTATTATTATCACAGTTTATCCTACTTTACAGAAAACTAAAAGTGGTATAATAAGATGCCACTGAGTGCATTTTGGAAATTTTTTATTCACATAACTTTTTCCAGTTTTTTGTGATTTGATTGATGAAAGTGTCATTAACTTCCTAAAAATTATGATGTACATCAAAGAGGTGAAGTGATTATCTTTACAGCAAATAAATGTTTATATACACATTTTTCCCATTTACCTAACCATTTTCTTCCTAGCATTATAACCATCCCATTTTCTCTAGGACTGAGGCAGTTCACAGTTTTAAAACCAAGAAAGTCCTGGGCAAGAATTAATCAGCCACTCTATTCACAGCTCTGATAACCATTATAATTAGGTATTAAATAGAGACACTTAGAGATATGCGGGTGTGTGTTCATACATGTATATGAATGAACACATACACACACACAAAAGTTGACATTATGTCTGAATATTTTCATCATAGTATCCCTAACTTATTGACTGGTTCACTCTATTAATATTTGTAAGTTAAATGAGTGACAAGGTTAATTGAATGAATTCATAGCCTGTTTGATTAACGCAATAAATATATGGTCGTACATCATATAAGTATTTACACATTACATGTCTGTTTTTAGAATACTTTTCACCTACTTTCTCATTATCATTGTATCTCCACTTTCCCTAAACTGTAGTAATGTTGTAATATTTGGGATAGTTTAAAAGCTTTGTTTTTATAGCCATGTCTATAGTGGGTTCACTCCCCCAATTACACAAAGCACTCTCATACTAGTAAACAAAGTGTTGGAATTTGCATTTGTGGATGTGAACATTTTTTTCTGTTTTTGGTTATTTGTCTCCATTTTTTTAAATAAATTTACTGTTCCGGTTTTTTTGTTAATTTTTGTATTTGTATTTGTCTTACTAGTCACAGCTCTTTTCATAGTAATGGTATTAGCCTATTTTCTAACATATACTAACCTTTTTCTCTTAGATTGTGGTTTGAATTGTTTGCTATGTAGAAGATTTATATTTTGGGATTTTGGGGGTTTGTGTGTTTCCAGTAGTGAGATTTATTTATTATTTCTTCATAACTTCTGGCTCTGGTGTCATTTGTAAAACTTAAAAAATGCTATTTGTTAAAAAAAACAGCATGAAAAGTGGTCCATGTGGTTGTCTGTATATTACCCAAGTCATGAATACCTAGCAATATCAGTTATCAGAAATGACAAATATCATAAAGTCACATCAGGAGAGCATAGTAAAGGCAGGAGAGCATACTTAAGTTGTAACACTTTCCCTGTGACAAACTCCCCCTTTTGTAGGCTTTGTTGCTGGCATATACCGTATTTATCTATGAGCCAGGACAAGACCACTAATGAATCTTATAAAGCTTGAGAAAGTGACTATGCAAAAGAAAATAGATCCAGCCTGTTACTCTACTCCAGAAGAGAGATGTGCAAGGACTTTAAAAATAAACAGTCTTCAATATTCCTTTCCGGAGATAATACGATTCTTTTATGTGAGATATGTAACTTTCTTTTCCTTTAATTACTACAAAAATAATTTGAATTTTAGACAACTCTGTGCTATTTGGGAGTATTACTTTGTGTGAGTTGGTGCAAAATGGAAAATTACAAACATCATTTAAATGTCCTCTGAATAAACTAGGTATAAAAAGAGTAAGAAAACCAAGTTCAATATCCTTGGAACAACATTGCTAATGTTATTTTTAAATGCATGTTTATGAATCCATAGTGACACTGCACAAAGAAAAAAATCACCACTGCATGTAAATTGCTTGCATTTTCCAGTAAATACCACTTTAGTTTTCGTAGTAAAATTTACTGTGCAAAATGGATTATACTCACTCTTCCCTTTGAAGGTGGTTGCAAAGTGTGTTTTGTGATCCAAGTTCATGGATTGCAGAAGCTCTTGAAAAGATTACGGGTTTATGAGTTGCTTTAGGTAAAGAAGTTAATCAAATACTAGAAAAAATAAAATATCTAGGTAAACACACAATTTCAATATAAAAAATTTAAGGTAGGCAGAGTTATGCTTGTCTTATAGAATTACAGTCTGAGACCTGAAAGCCTCAATTTTCATAAGAACTAAAAATGAATCATTTCAGAATCAAGTTTAACACAGTAAACTTAGTTGCAAATAAAGGAAAAACATAAAATATATACTTAAAGAAATAAACACCCTTGAACTTTTTACTGTGTTCTTTCACAAAATAATTGATGCTAAACATAATCACAAAATTTGGGCAGAAAGCTCATGTGACATTATCCTGACTCTTAATGATAATAATAATGATAACCATAGAATCCACCGGATGTTGAAAATGTGCAAGACACTGACACAGGTACCTCGCATGTGGTAACTAACTGCATCCTCTTAGCAACCTTAGGAAGGAACTGCTATTACTATCCCCATTTTAGATGAGAAAATTTAGACACACAATGGTGAAATAAGTTATCCAAAGTCACACACTAACTGAAGTAGGCAGAAATTCAATGTAGATATAATAGGTAATATCCATTTTTATCACTTATAGAATCCTGTTGATCCCATACAATAATGTACAGGGAAAAAAAGCCTTTTGAAAAATTGTAATGCCCAACAACATAGCTAAAGCATTAACATCATTATAGGTTTTTTAGTCTCTCAAATATTTTCCTAATTCATGCAAAATTATTACTTAAGGTCAGAAATCCGCAGTTTTTACTTTAAACAATTTTCTTCAGATTTATATATATATATATATATATAATACACAAATCTTGCCATTTATATTTCAATGGCTACAGAACTTGTAGCCTACCAGCCACCTTCTCTCGTTGGTCTAAAAAGTATAGAATCTTGAGTCAAGGGGTCTTCTCTTCCAAATTCATCTCCACAATTTATAAGCTTTTACAGAATAACTAAATTGTTAGGCCTTAGCGTCCTCATCTGTAAAATGGGATCCACTAATAGTACCTATGACACTGAATTACTATAAAGATTAGTGTTTGTTAGCATCAATTTTCAAAGATAATTAGTTGAAGCATATTGTGCCTGGCACACAGTAAGAACTCAGTAAGCCTTAGCTGTTGCTGTTGTTATTAATATAAGTACGAGTATCAGTATTACTCTCAGAATAGGTATTATTGTTGGTGTTGGAAGTAGTCTTATAAGAACAAACTAAAAGTTCTCCCTACACTCAAATTCTGAGCTAATATTATAGGAATGAAATCACAAAGGCCATCTGACAACATAAATCTTCCTGACTTGAGATTGCTTTTCAGAATCTAGAAGGACACATAAGAGATGGATCTCCTGCATGGAAGAGTGGTCACTAAACTTTAGATTACATCTTCCCTATTTCTCCAGAATGACTGTGCCTCCAGCCCTTCAATCTCCCTCAGTAATAGGCTGTTTAACTTACTTGTGGAATATTGTATAGATTCTCAGGTATTTAAGGCTGGAAAGAACCTTAGAAGTGAATTATTAGGTTGGTACAAATGTACTTGTAGTTTTTGCCCTATTTTTAATGGCAAAAACCACAATTACCTTTGCACCAACCTACTAGTTCAACTGGTGGGCTCTACAGAGGGCTGTAAAGTCAGGATTTGCTGCTATGGAAAGAGCTAAGACTACAGTCAGATTGTTCCTCCCTTCTTTCCTTTTTTTTTTTTTTTTCATTTTCTTTGTTTGGAAACATTTGCATATTTTCTAAAATCTTATAAAATATGCTGGTAGATTTGAACCCACAGAACAGTTTCCCCAGAATTATCCAGGAGGATATGGTACAGGCACTGTACATGGCATTTTACGACCTCAATAAAATATCTTCCTGAAACCTGCCCTTGAGGAATGATGGCATAAATTACTGTAAAATGAGGCTTTAGAGGCAGAAACCACTTATTTCCTTATGTGCTACTATATGTTCAGTCCTTGTCACAGTGCCTGACAGCTAATAGGTATTTCAAAACCATATAATCAATATGTGTGCTTTTTTAAGCAGCACTTTTTCATGAAGTTGCACTTTAAGATATTTGTAGTTTTTTACGGAAATATTTCTAAAATGAATTGTTACTTTTTTGCTCTACTCTTTTATTAAACTGAGTTTACCTAATTTAGCTAGTCCCAGAGGACTGTTAGAGATTCTTTCTCTCCTGTTAGCTCTTATTTCCCAGTTGTATCAGCTTTAAAGAGCCCCCTTTCCTGCTATCATGTTAAATACATTGAAAAAAAAAAAAACAGAACGTCCTTATGCGTAGCATGGGCATCTGCATACAATAGACTATCAATGTCAGTATGTATTTATATACCATCTTATTCCAGAAAAGAATGACACCTGCTTAAATGCTCAATAAAGGTATTGCAGAGTTAAATTAAATGTGATTAATCAGTTTAAACAGTGTACTACAAATATAAGTCAATACGTTCTAAGAGAGCCTGACTATAGAACTTTCGTCTTTTTTTTTTTTTTTTTTTTTTTTTTTTTTACTTATTATTATACTTTAAGTTTTAGGGTACATGTGCACATTGTGCAGCTTAGTTACATATGTATACATGTGCCATGCTGGTGCGCTGCACCCACTAACTCGTCATCTAGCATTAGGTATATCTCCCAATGCTGTCCCTCCCCCCTCCCCCCACCCCACAACAGTCCCCAGAGTGTGATGTTCCTCTTCCTGTGTCCATGTGATCTCATTGTTCAATTCCCACCTATGAGTGAGAATATGCGGTGTTTGGTTTTTTGTTCTTGCGATAGTTTACTGAGAATGATGATTTCCAATTTCATCCATGTCCCTACAAAGGACATGAACTCATCATTTTTTATGGCTGCATAGTATTCCATGGTGTATATGTGCCACATTTTCTTAATCCAGTCTATCATTGTTGGACATTTGGGTTGGTTCCAAGTCTTTGCTATTGTGAATAATGCCGCAATAAACATACGTGTGCATGTGTCTTTATAGCAGCATGATTTATAGTCCTTTGGGTATATACCCCGTAATGGGATGGCTGGGTCAAATGGTATTTCTAGTTCTAGATCCCTGAGGAATCGCCACACTGACTTCCACAATGGTTGAACTAGTTTACAGTCCCACCAACAGTGTAAAAGTGTTCCTATTTCTCCACATCCTCTCCAGCACCTGTTGTTTCCTGACTTTTTAATGATTGCCATTCTAACTGGTGTGAGATGGTATCTCATTGTGGTTTTGATTTGCATTTCTCTGATGGCCAGTGATGATGAACATTTTTTCATGTGTTTTTTGGCTGCATAAATGTCTTCTTTTGAGAAGTGTCTGTTCATGTCCTTTGCCCACTTTTTGATGGGGTTGTTTTTTTCTTGTAAATTTGTTTGAGTTCATTGTAGATTCTGGATATTAGCCCTTTGTCAGATGAGTAGGTTGCAAAAATTTTCTCCCATTTTGTAGGTTGCCTGTTCACTCTGATGGTAGTTTCTTTTGCTGTGCAGAAGCTCTTTAGTTTAATTAGATCCCATTTGTCAATTTTGGCTTTTGTTGCCATTGCTTTTGGTGTTTTAGACATGAAGTCCTTGCCATGCCTATGTCCTGAATGGTAATGCCTAGGTTTTCTTCTAGGGTTTTTATGGTTTTAGGTCTAACGTTTAAGTCTTTAATCCATCTTGAATTGATTTTTGTATAAGGTGTAAGGAAGGGATCCAGTTTCAGCTTTCTACATATGCCTAGTCAGTTTTCCCAGCACCATTTATTAAGTAGGGAATCCTTTCCCCATTGCTTGTTTTTCTCAGGTTTGTCAAAGATCAGATAGTTGTAGATATGTGGCATTATTTCTGAGGGCTCTGTTCTGTTCCATTGATCTATATCTCTGTTTTGGTACCAGTACCATGCTGTTTTGGTTACTGTAGCCTTGTAGTATAGTTTGAAGTCAGGTAGTGTGATGCCTCCAGCTTTGTTCTTTTGGCTTAGGATTGACTCGGTGATGCAGGCTCTTTTTTGGTTCCATATGAACTTTAAAGTAGTTTTTTCCAATTCTGTGAAGAAAGTCATTGGTAGCTTGATGGGGATGGCATTGAATCTATAAATTACCTTGGGCAGTATGGCCATTTTCACGATATTGATTGTTCCTACCCATGAGCATGGAATGTTCTTCCATTTGTTTGTATCCTCTTTTATTTCCTTGAGCAGTGGATTGTAGTTCTCCTGCAAGAGGTCCTTCACATCCCTTGTAAGTTGGATTCCTAGGTATTTTATTTTCTTTGAAGCAATTGTGAATGGGAGTTCACTCATGATTTGGCTCTCTGTTTGTCTGTTGTTGGTGTATAAGAATGCTTGTGATTTTTGTACACTGATTTTGTATCCTGAGACTTTGCTGAAGTTGCTTATCAGCTTAAGGAGATTTTGGGCTGAGACAATGGGGTTTTCTAGGTATACAATCATGTCATCTGCAAACAGGGACAATTTGACTTCCTCTTTTCCTAATTGAATACCCTTTATTTCCTTCTCCTGCCTAATTGCCCTGGCCAGAACTTCCAACACTATGTTGAATAGGAGTGGTGAGAGAGGGCATCCCTGTCTTGTGCCAGTTTTCAAAGGGAATGCTTCCAGTTTTTGCCCATTCAGTATGATATTGGCTGTGGATTTGTCATAGATAGCTCTTATTATTTTGAAATACGTCCCATCAATACCTAATTTATTGAGAGTTTTTAGCATGAAGCGTTGTTGAATTTTGTCAAAGGCCTTTTCTGCATCTATTGAGATAATCATGTGGTTTTTGTCTTTGGCTCTGTCTTTATGCTGGATTACATTTATTGATTTGCGTATATTGAACCAGCCTTGCATCCCAGGGATGAAGCCCACTTGATCATGGTGGATAAGCCTTTTGATGTGCTGCTGGATTCGTTTTGCCAGCATTTTATTGAGGATTTTTGCATTAATGTTCATCAAGGATATTGGTCTAAAATTCTCTTTTTTGGTTGTGTCTCTGCCCGGCTTTGGTATCAGAGTGATGCTGGCCTCATAAAATGAGTTAGGGAGGATTCCCTCTTTTTCTATTGATTGGAATAGTTTCAGAAGGAATGGTACCAGTTCTTCCTTGTACCTCTGGTAGAATTCGGCTGTGAATCCATTTGGTCCTGGACTCTTTTTGGTTGGTAAGCTATTGATTATTGCCACAATTTCAGAGTCTGTTATTGGTCTATTCAGAGATTCAACTTCTTCCTGGTTTAGTCTTGGGAGGGTGTATGTGTCGAGGAATTTATCCATTTCTTCTAGATTTTGTAGTTTATTTGCATAGAGGTGTTTGTAGTATTCTCTGATGGTAGTTTGTATTTCTGTGGGATTGGTGGTGATATCCCCTTTATCATTTTTTATTGCGTCTATTTGATTCTTCTCTCTTTTTTTCTTTATTAGTCTTGCTAGCGGTCTATCAATTTTGTTGATCCTTTCAAAAAACCAGCTCCTGGATTCATTAATTTTTTGAAGGGTTTTTTGTGTCTCTATTTCCTTCAGTTCTGCTCTGATTTTAGTTATTTCTTGCCTTCTGCTAGCTTTTGAATGTGTTTGCTCTTGCTTTTCTAGTTCTTTTAATTGTGATGTTAGGGTGTCAATTTTGGATCTTTCCTGCTTTCTCTTGTGGGCATTTAGTGCTATAAATTTCCCTCTACACACTGCTTTGAATGCGTCCCAGAGATTCTGGTATGTTGTGTCTTTGTTCTCATTGGTTTCAAAGAACATCTTTATTTCTGCCTTCATTTCGTTATGTACCCAGTAGTCATTCAGGAGCAGGTTGTTCAGTTTCCATGTAGTTGAGCGGTTTTGAGTGAGATTCTTAATCCTGAGTTCTAGTTTGATTGCACTGTGGTCTGAGAGATAGTTTGTTATAATTTGTGTTCTTTTACATTTGCTGAGGAGAGCTTTACTTCCAAGTATGTGGTCAATTTTGGAATAGGTGTGGTGTGGTGCTGAAAAAAATGTATATTCTGTTGATTTGGGGTGGACAGTTCTGTAGATGTCTATTAGGTCCACTTGGTGCAGAGCTGAGTTCAATTCCTGGGTATCCTTGTTGACTTTCTGTCTCATTGATCTGTCTAATGTTGACAGTGGGGTGTTAAAGTCTCCCATTATTAATGTGTGGCAGTCCAAGTCTCTTTGTAGGTCACTCAGGACTTGCTTTATGAATCTGGGTGCTCCGTGTTGGGTGCATATATATTTAGGATAGTTAGCTCTTCTTGTTGAATTGATCCCTTTACCATTATGTAATGGCCTTCTTTGTCTCTTTTGATTTTTGTTGGTTTAAAGTCTGTTTTATCAGAGACTAGGATTGCAACCCCTGCCTTTTTTTGTTTTCCATTTGCTTGGTAGATCTTCCTCCATCCTTTTATTTTGAGCCTATGTGTGTCTCTGCACGTGAGATGGGTTTCCTGAATACAGCACACTGATGGGTCTTGACTCTTTATCCAATTTGCCAGTCTGTGTCTTTTAATTGGAGCATTTAGTCCATTTACATTTAAAGTTAATATTGTTATGTGTGAATTTGATCCTGTCATTATGATGTTAGCTGGTTATTTTGCTCGTTAGTTGATGCAGTTACTTCCTAGTCTCGATGGTCTTTACATTTTGGCATGATTTTGCAGCAGCTGGTGCCGGTTGTTCCTTTCCATGTTTAGCGCTTCCTTCAGGAGCTCTTTTAGGGCAGGCCTGATGGTGACAAAATCTCTCAGCATTTGCTTGTCTGTAAAGTATTCTATTTCTCCTTCACTTATGAAGCTTAGTTTGGCTGGATATGAAATTCTGGGTTGAAAATTCTTTTCTTTAAGAATGTTGAATATTGGCCCCCACTCTCTTCTGGCTTGTAGGGTTTCTGCTGAGAGATCCGCTGTTAGTCTGATGGGCTTCCCTTTGAGGGTAACCCGACCTTTCTCTCTGGCTGCCCTTAACAATTTTTCCTTCATTTCAACTTTGGTGAATCTGACAATTATGTGTCTTGGAGTTGCTCTTCTCGAGGAGTATCTTTGTGGCATTCTCTGTATTTCCTGAATCTGAATGTTGGCCTGCCTTGCTAGATTGGGGAAGTTCTCCTGGATAATATCTTGCAGAGTGTTTTCCAACTTGGTTCCATTCTCCCCATCACTTTCAGGTACACCAATCAGACGTAGATTTGGTCTTTTCACATAGTCCCATATTTCTTGGAGGCTTTGCTCATTTCTTTTTATTACTTTTTCTCTAAACTTCCCTTCTCGCTTCATTTCATTCATTTCATCTTCCATTGCTGATACCCTTTCTTCCAGTTGATCGCATCGGCTCCTGAGGCTTCTGCATTCTTCACGTAGTTCTCGAGCCTTGGTTTGCAGCTCCATCAGCTCCTTTAGGCACTTCTCTGTATTGGTTATTCTAGTTATACATTCTTCTAAATTGTTTTCAAAGTTTTCAACTTCTTTGCCTTTGGTTTGAATGTCCTCCCGTAGCTCAGAGTAATTTGATCATCTGAAGCCTTCTTCTCTCAGCTCGTCAAAGTCATTCTCCATCCAGTTTTGTTCCATTGCTGGTGAGGAACTGCATTCCTTTGGAGGAGGAGAGGCACTCTGCTTTTTAGAGTTTCCAGTTTTTCTGTTCTGTTTTTTCCCCATCTTTGTGGTTTTATCTACTTTTGGTCTTTGATGATGGTGATGTACAGATGGGTTTTTGGTGTGGATGTCCTTTCTGTTTGTTAGTTTTCCTTCTAACAGACAGGACCCTCAGCTGCAGGTCTGCTGGAGTACCCTGCCGTGTGAGGTGTCAGTGTGCCCCTGCTGGGGGGTGCCTCCCAGTTAGGCTGCTCGGGGGTCAGGGGACAGGGACCCACTTGAGGAGGCAGTCTGCCCGTTCTCAGATCTCCAGCTGCGTGCTGGGAGAACCACTGCTCTCTTCAAAGCTGTCAGACAGGGACATTTAAGTCTGCAGAGGTTACTGCTGTCTTTTTGTTTGTGCCCTGCCCCCAGAGGTGGAGCCTACAGAGGCAGGCAGGCCTCCTTGAGCTGTGGTGGGCTCCACCCAGTTCGAGCTTCCTGGCTGCTCTGTTTACCTAAGCACGCCTGGGCAATGGTGGGTGCCCCTCCCCCAGCCTTGCTGCCCCCTTGCAGTCTGATCTCAGACTGCCGTGCTAGCAATCAGGGAGACTCCGTGGGCGTGGGCGTAGGACTCTCTGAGCCAGGTGCAGGATATAATCTCGTGGTCTGCCATTTTTTAAGCCCGTCGGAAAAGCGCAGTATTCGGGTGGGAGCCACCCAATTTTCCAGGTGCCGGCTGTCCCCCCTTTCTTTGACTAGGAAAGGGAACTCCCTGACCCCTTGCACTTCCGGAGTGAGGCAATGCCTCACCCTGCTTCGGCTGGCGCACAGTGCACGCACCCACTGACCTGCGCCCACTGTCTGGCACTCCCTAGTGAGATGAACCCGGTACCTCAGATGGAAATGCAGAAATCACCTGTCTTCGGCGTCGCTCACGCTGGGAGCTGTAGACCGGAGCTGTTCCTATTCAGCCATCTTGGCTCCTCCCCCGACTATAGAACTTTCATACAGTACATGAACTTCATAAAAACAATTTCTCTGCTTAAAAGGCTTTTTCTAATTTACTTCAAGGTTTCCTATCCTAATGTAGACTTAGGTTAGCTGTAGCCTTGTAGGATTTAAAGAGAGAATAGATTGTAAGAGATGAGTTCTAAATTCAGACAGATTCTCAAGGGCATGATTCTTATGAATATGTATAATGTCAACTCTAGCCTATGTGGATTTCTAGTCCTTTGCAGTGCTAATTTAGCCATTATTTTCAAGCTCTTTTTCTATGAAACCAATTTACTATGACTTTTTGGTAAGGCTTTTATAACATTTGCTAATTACAAGGTGACATCTGCATAATTATTAATTATGAAGTTACATCTGCATAATGAATATTACCAATAATTTAACTTAAATGTTTCAGTTAAAACTTTAAATGCATGGAATTAACCAGAAGTCACAATGAGTTGCTACTGTATCAGTTATAGAATTGAGAAGGAAACAATTCAAGACAAACATAGTAGTGAATGAAAATTTGAGCTTTAACACTGCATGAATGAGAGGAAAGATGAGTTTGATGCCACAAAGAAAAAGGGGTCATACGTGGTAATAACCTGGTAGAGAGTTAAGAGAAAGTCTCATCCCAAAGTATATTTCAGCATGAAGGGCTTGTTAAAATTTATTCTAGGAAGAATATAAAAGTGTTTGCTTTATTGGTAATGTTAAAGAAATCTACACTGTGATTTTCTTTGAGCTCAGAATTCAGCCTCAGATATGAGCATCGTTTACTAGGCCAGGCTATGTTCTAAGTATTTAAAAATTTTGGAATCTTATCTGAGCCACTAAATTTTGAGCAGATTTTACAGAGAGTGGCATCATTTCCTAGAAAAACAGCAGCAACAAATGTGGGGAAAAGAGGGATGTCCTCAGGGTTAGTGTGTCCAGGGATCAGGACAACGCTCCACAGAGTCGAGGGGCATTAGTACATATAATTATTCCAGGGAAGTCTCTCTCAGAGGCCATAAGACCAATTTCTATTTAGTTTCCTTGCTGTCATATGGAAGAGATTGAAGTCTGCTGGCATCAATGAGGTAAGGACTCTGCCATCATAAAGTCCTGTGGATTATGGAAAGCCCATGTAGAAAATAATGGGAAATAAAGGAAACAACAATACTGTTTAATTTGAAAAATAGACATATCTGTGTCTCAAGATGTAAGAATTGACGAGTACACACCAAGTCGTTGTTATCTACGTGGAAAAAAATAGTAAATGTATTTATTATTAGAGGATGTGAAGTTTGGTTGTGACAAATTAAAGACTGCACCTTTTTGAGATAGTCATGTAACATTTTCAGTGACTATCTCTTAAGGCATTGTGCACACCATACTGCTTAAAATTCAAGATCCTTGTGACTGAAAGCCAGTTCTGATTATAATAGACACAATTCTCAATGCTAAGTTCTAACAAATTAAATGTGTCCCTGAATGTGACAGTAAAACTTCTAAGTTTTATTCCATTTTCAAAGATTAGCTCAGTTCCACTTGTCAGCTGGGACATGCTGTTAGATTTGTTGTTTTATTGTATTGTTTAAATGTTCAGTGGGCACAAGTTTTTCATAGGTAAAGAATTAATGTGTCATGTTATCGTGACACATTAATTTTAGATACATCAGTCTAAAAGCATGAAAGTTTATTTTGATCCAGTTCACCGCATAAAATAATCACTACCCATTTTCACTTCAAAGGGCATATCTTGATATGTATAGAAGGATAGTGTTGAAAATAATTGTGTTTATGAAATTAATAAATCTCCAAAGTAGTGGTCCAAAAAATATTTTACCCCTTAGGTCATCCTACTGTCCTGTAAGTTACCAACAGTAAGTAGAATTAAATTTACATACTCTTAATATTGAGATGATTGCTGACCTTGAGAATAATTATTTTAGAGAGGTAGGGAGAGGAAGTTGTCAATTGGGGTGCATTAAGGGGAGAGTATGAGATGAGAACATGAAATGAAAGAATACAAACAGCAATTCGAAGAAGTTTTTCTCTAAATAGGAGCAGGAAAATCATGTGGGAGTTGATGGTGAGGAGGGATGTTGGTACAAATAGTTACCCTTTCACATGATGAGGACTATCACAAATATGCTGTGGGAAAAAAAGAGTGAGAGGAAAAAAAATTTAAAATATCCTTGAGCAAATCAAAGAGCATGGAATCCAAGCCTAAGCAGAAGGATTTGTTTCAACAGGAAGGGACCAATGGCCCCATCATGAACGTGGAAAGTCTGACCATCCTAGGTACATGAGGTTGGTAGGTCTGATAGTGGGAGATGAGATACTTCTCTTTCGACTGGTACTATTGTCTGTGTGAAATAATCACTTGAATAAACAAGTCTTGACAGAAAAGAGTTGAAGTTTTCACTTTGGGTTATTGTTAGTCTTTAGAGATCATCATATTCAACATCCCTCTCTGTCCAGGAATCAGATGAATAGTGCTCAGATATTTTGAACATGGCCATCCAGCAATGAGCAGCTTAGTTTTTCAAGGACAGCCCTTTCTGTGTTTAGACATCACTAATTTTTAGAAAACCTTTTCTTACTGTACTAGTTCTCTACTGCAGCTCTAACAAATTACCACAACTGAGCTGCTAGAAACAACCCAAGTGCATTATCATACAATTCTGTAAGTCAGAAGCCTAACGTGGGTTTTACTGGGCTAAAGTCAAAGTTTCAGTAAGTTTTGTGTTCCTTTTTGGAGGCTATAGGAAAGAATCCTTTTCCTTGTCTTTTCTGATTTTTAAAGGCCATGCACATTCCTTGGCGCATGGCCCCCTTTTTCATCTTCAATGCCAGCACCATTGCATCTCTCTGTGTGTTTCTGCTATGGTCATATCTTCCTCTGACTGACTGCACTTAGAAAAGGTTCTCTGCTTTTAAGGATGCATGTGATTAGATTGAGCACTTCTGGATAATCAGGACATCTCCCCATCTCAAGGTCCACAACCTTAATGCCATCTGCAAAGGCCTCTTTTTGTCTTGTAAGATTACATATTCACAGTCTACAAGGATTAGGACATGGACGTCTTTGGGGAACATTAGTCTGCCTACCACACTTGTTTTAGGTTTAAATCTTTTGCACACTGCCTCTTGACTTACCCTATCGAATTGTGAAACAAAATAGAGTCATTCTTTCCTTTTCCATAGAATAATCCTGTCAGATGTTTCAATGTAACCTTCAGGGGCTCTTGTCTTTTACCTCCCAAAATTTCTCCTAAACTTCTGTGCCCATAAGTAAACATAAGTCATACTGACATCATTGACATCATATAGTCTTTTTATACATATAGAGAAATGCATTCATAGATAATTTGAAAGTCACAGAGTACACAGAAACTGGAGTTTATTTGAATAGTGTTACAGTATATCTTAGAATTATGTCATAGTGTCCTTTTCAAAATATGAAAAACAAGTTTACATGTAAAATTATGTTGAAAAGAAAGTGATGAAACTGTCTTTCAAGCAAGTTGATTTTAATTTGGTTCAATTTCACAGTCCTTAATTGAACATTACTGGTACCTTATGAAACAATCTCTACCCTAATGACCTGGGGCTAATTGGGATGATGGGCACAAATGGTTTTATTGTATTATAGTAAATGAAATGATATAGTAATTATAGGATGCAATAGGAAAATAGCTTCGGGCAGAAGTAAAGAACTCTTCCTGGAATTGTCTCCTGTGCTAAATTTTAGTAGATGAGAAGTTAGGAAAGTGTACTGTATGGCAAGCACTTTCCAGACAACAGAAATAGAAGAAGTAAAAACACTGTGAAGCACCAAACATTATAGAGAGAGTGTATTTGGTAAGTATCAAGAAGCTCATGAATAGTACTAGTAGTAGCTTTAAATTCTGATTAGCATTTACTATTTATCAGCTAACTTTTCTAAGTGCTTTATTATTTTAACCTTCATAGAGATCCCATAAAGTAGATACCATAATTACCTAAATTCATTAGTTCAGGGAACTGAGGCACAAAGAGGTTAAGCAACTTGCCAACAATGTATAGCAAATCCAAGGTTTAAAACTCTGGAAGTCTGAAATCAAAGATTCTGTTACACCATACAAGCTCTCAGGATGACCAGAATATAAAGAATAAAGCAAAGAGTGGTGAATGATAAGGAATGTCAGCAGGAGTTTTTGTTAGAGCTGGAACCTTAACCAGTGGTGGAGGGGCTCCCTTGATGGGGTTAAACAGAAGAGTGTCATGGTCAAGTCACATGTCACTGTGGTTGTCATTGTGGTTGTGGTTATGTGGAGGGAGTGGGAAGTGATAAAAAGAGAAACACGCTAAAAGGTAATTCAGAGACAGGGGCACTTATCCAAGTAAAATATGACAAAAATATAGCAGAGTTAGCAAAGAAAAAAAAGGCTGAAAATGATAAATATTTAGGAAGTAAAATAACAGGATGTGATATTTGTATACAGGAGTATGTGATATAATAAAAATGAGATAAGAGATAACACTCAGTACTATAGTTTGACTTTTGAACTTTTGTAATTTACTAAGTTAGAGAACACTTAATAAGAGCGGAAAATACGTTTAAGTTGAACATACTGAGATAAAGCTGCATGTGAGAATTCCAGGCTGTGCCACTAGGCGGCGGCATTTGTGCGCCTGCATTGTGCGAATTCCGCCCAAGCTTTACTCTCTGCATGATTTGTCAGTGAAATTCTGAATGTCTAAAGACCTCTCATTCTCCACTTCTGTTGTATTATTAGTTTCTGACCACACGATGGAGTCATTTCTTCACATTTCCTCACACTGATTTTGTTTATTAAGAAAATCAATCCAGTCAAACACTAGCTGGAATAAAAGACATTTAAATTTTCAGAATATTCCTCTAAAAATTTAGGTTCTCTTTGACAAGGAACATAAAAATTAATTCAGTGAGTATTCAGAACCAGCTTCAGATTATTTAAAATGAAAATTGAGATTCCTGAAAAACATTAATTAATCCAGGAATATTGATTTTAAAAATTGTTTAGAGACACTGAAAAAGCATAAATATATAACTACTTGAGAAACTTTGTTAAGTCTGAATCAAATTTGGAATTCATTTAAAGCAGGTGATTGACTGTACACAAGTATATTGTCAAGCTGCATTCTATTTTGTGTATGATCCTGCCAAGTTTTAATAAATATTAGTCTTCAACCTTTAATCAATAATGTTTTAGAAGAGAGTAACAATAAATGGTATTGGTAGAGCACCTTACAGTTTGCTGCGCTTTCACAGCCTTATTTCGTGTGACACTGACAGACCAGTCAATTAAACCCCTATTCCAAGGAAAATGTAAAGAACTGATTCTAGACAAAGAAAAAATTAGTACTATTATCTCCCTTCACCTTACACATTTATACTGCCTCTGGTACACTCTTGCTCTTTAACAATGTATCTTCAATTTAATATCCAAAATCTGTTACAACGCTTTTAAATTACTGCAACAATAGAAGCATATGGTTCTTAACCTTTCAGGGTTGGATTGAATGACCTAAAAAGGGCTTCTGAAGTCTTCAACTTAGCATTCGTCTTTCCAGGTCAAATAATCCCTCCTATTTTTTCTCGCAGGGTGATCAGTCTTTTTGGAATGATCTCTCTCTTAGACCATGATAATTTTCCAGTTCTTTGTTCAGAATCTGGGTACCTGAAATCCCTATCCCAGATGATGTTTTTATACTAAGGCATAGCTGGGAGGAAGCCTCAATGGAAATACTGTCATTCTTAATTTTACAGTCATCTAGTGTGCCTTTCACTGCTCTCCAGAGAGAGGTCTTATCGAGTGGCTAGGATTCCAAATTCATGGACAATTTTCAGTTTTTATCTCCTAGGGTCTCTTTAATACATACAGCATTTCTTTCTTCCTGCAGAAGAAAGAAACACTTTCTTCCTGTGTTCTCCTAGATTTCTTCGTGCATTTCTGGCCACTCTTTCTCAGCTTCTTTTCCCCTGTCTCTTTCACTTCTTTCTCTGTATTCTGTTAAATACCAGATTTATTTCTCTAGCTCAGACCTATTCTATGAGCTGAGGTCTTATAGATAAAATTGAATTATTGATGTTTTTCACTTTCCCACCATAATGAATGATATGACCATCCATTCTTTCACTGTTCAAATGAGAAATCTCACACCCGTCTGTTTCCTCTCTCTTCTTTAATGCCCATATTTAAATTCAATCCTTCAATGTACCCTATCAAATCTATTTCAAATTGTACCCCACTAAATTCATGTCTATTTCCATTGTCAAAAGTTGATCCACTCTAAAATTCTCCATTTGGACCGTTATATTAGACTCCTGATTGCTGTTTCGTCTTTCTCTTTTGCCGTCTTTCAATCTATTCTCTGGAATCTCAAAGTAATCTTTTAAAAATATAAATACAACTAATGCCACTCATTGTGTAATACCTTTCAATGACTTACTGTTAGATGCAGAGTACAATCCTAACTACTAAACTTGATACAGTTTGGCTGGTATTTTTCGCTCCTCTTTTCTTAAGTAACTCTTTCCTCTTTTCATTATTCCATAGTCACCAACATTTATGCAACTTCTCAGCCCATGAATATTTTCTTCCTGCATTCACACATCTTAATTTTAATTAGTTCTTAGTTTCCCTGGCTCTTCCTCATCTTTCAAGTTTCAGATTTAGTAACACCTCCTCAAAAAGGCCTTCCTCACTCCCTATCCCATTATGATCCCCAATAGGCATGATTGTGTATTTTCTTCACGGTGCTTCCTAATTTGTGAACATTTATTTGCTTGTCTATTTCCCTTGTTAGAATATAAATTCCTTTGAGGGTAGACAAACTTACTTTTACCTACTACATTATTTAAGTCCTACAGAGTAGGTGATTATTAATATTCACCAAAAGAGTAAATGAATATATTTTTACATCAACTCATGTTGCAGTTAAATTCTGAAGAAATCATCACAGAAAATGGTAAGTAAAATCATAACATTTTGTTGAGAAATATCGGGGGATAGAGTGCTGATGGGGAGGACCATCACGGTAGGGTGCTGCTGAAGGAAACACCAAGTAAGAAGGGTGGATAGAGGGGCCTAGCAGGAATAACAGTAGCAGTCTCCATGAGCATCTACAATCTCAGATTGAAATACTGATGGAAGTTATTTTGGAAAATAATTTTTGTTTATTAAAACCAAAAATTGTTAATGGTAAAAAACAAAAATATTAATGGTGAAAGATCTTATTTCAGATGGTCTGTCCAGTAAAAAAAAATGTGGAGGATAATCTTTTGAAACAGATAATCTAATAGGCATAGATACAAAAAATAACTGCCATTATAGACATCTCAACTATCTGGATGCCTGATTGACTCAGCAAAAAGCACAGCATTTAATTACACCTAGAACCTTGACTCAGGATTATAATACACTGGAAGTGGCTACAGAAAATCTAGGCTGTTATTGAAATTGAATCCTCTAGGTGACTTCCCTAGTTTTTCTCTGTTGTGCATATCACCTTCTAATATACTAGGTATTTTATTTATCTGACTATTGACTGTCCTGCCTTATTGAATGTATGCTCCAAGAAGGCAGAAACCTTTGTCTATTTTGTTAACTTTAGTATCTCCTTCACCTAGATAGCAGGGGCTCAATAAACTTTTCTTTAATGGACAGAAATAAAAGTGACTACAATATTGTGCTGGAAATAATGTGAAAGTGTGGGAAAAATACTTCCAAAATGCATATATTCTGAGACTTAGATACTACTTCTGGGCATTCACCCTAGGAAAATAAGTGAGCAATACAAATATATAAGGATATTCATTGTGACACTTCTATAATAATAGTGAATAAGACTTAATCCTCAATAATGGCAGATTCATTAAACAAATTCTGGAAATTCCATGGAATGCAAACCTAAGCAAACAATGAAAATGGTACAGTGGAGATGTAAAGATATGTTACATATATTGCTCAGGGTAAATTCAGCTCATATGACAGAACAGTCTGTGTAATATGTATAATAATATACAATAGAGCATATATTTGTGTGTGTGTATATACACACAGTATTTCATAGACTAAAGCTTGAAAGGTTATGCACTACAATACTGAAAGTGGTTTTCAAGTGGAATTATGTGTGATTATTTTCCCCTTTTGTGTGTTTTCTAATTTTCCTACAATGAGTATGCATTTTTGGATGAAAAACCAAAAGGATATATGGTTTTCTAAGAGAAACTTTACTCCAGAAATTTTATAAATGACTATGCTGACATCCAAAAATGTTAAATGACATGCTAAAGGTCATGCAGCATTTTAATTTTCCTTTCAAAGAGCATCAACTCTGAGTAACTGAGAAAAGAAATAAGGGCTTGAAACTCCAAGCTTAATTCTGATTACCAAGAGAAAACATCATTTAAGCAAAGGGAAGTTTAGGACAATCAGGCTATATGATTTAGAATTTTTTCCAGCTAAGATTAGCACAACAAATGACAAAAATAATATTAAAAACAAAGATAGACTCTTAATTGGAAATGGAATTCAGAATGAGTAGAAGGCTCTGAAAATGGAATATTTGACATTACAAATGTTTCACTAATTAGTAACAGGAAAGCCACCCTAAATACAGCTTGGCTACCTAGTGTGCTCTCCAAAGAACTCTTAGTGTAACTGGGACCTACTAGTGTGGAGGGTTGAGTCATAATTCAGGACAGGTACATGAAGATAGCCAGGGAGGCCACCAAACTTTAAAAAACTTCAAACAACAACAAGAAGAAACCCTATATTCAACCAAGAAAAAGGGAAGTATGATGAGTCAGTTTGATTGCTTAGAATATGCATAGTTTCAAAAGGAATTTTGGGTGGGTAAGTGGGAAGGATGATGCAGTTTCTCCGCTGCTTCCATGTTTCTCCTCAATAATGCTCATCTTTAAATTAGGACGTTGAGGAAACTGAAGGCCCAAATGTTTTTTGGCCTCACTAAACTAGAAACTGTTAAATGAAGTTGATTTGAGAAAACTAAACACCAAAATATTTTTGCTGACATTACCAAACTAAAAACTGTTAAATGACAGTGGTAATGGCTGTATTCCCTGTGCCCAGCTCAATGGCTGTTGGAGAGTAGGTACTCCATAAACATCTGTGAAGGAGAGTAGAAATGTGAAGATTATCAGAAAAAGCAAAATAATTTAACCAATTCATCTGCATTTTCCAAAGAATTTAAACTTGGAATGCAAGAAGAAAAACTTGCAAATTAGATTAGATTTTATAAAATTAAGGAGATTTGGAGAGCATCAGAAGATTGAAACATAAACGTTTTTATTATCAGGATGCATTGCATGAACAACAGACAGGTGAACCTGACACTAAAACCAGGTAAAAATTCTAGAAGGCATATAGTTATTTTAGAAACATCGTGGAAGAAAAGTGTGATCATAAGGAGATTACCAACAAGTCCCAAACCCTATTTCATGTTTTGATAGTGTCACTAGGTTGATAAATTTTATAAATGCCTTTATAATGTTTCTGCATTTCAGCAAGGTCTTTGCCTATCTTAGCAAAGTCTGTCTTTCAGAAATCCCTCTTATTGTCCAAGAAAAGAAATATGGACTGTATGAAAATGGTATTAGCTTAGTTCATGTTGTTCTCTTAAGGTGACTCCCGCCCAAAAATCATTCAGTTTATTTTTTGTGGGTTCATATTTGAGTTCTGACTTGATCTTTTAAAAGCCTTTTAGTGTTTGGAAATTGAAGAAGTATTAATCTCTGAGTGTCACTTTCTCGTTTGAAAAACAAAAATACCAACAAAACTGCTTAAGGCTGTCATGGGATGAAAGATAAATTATATGAAAATCTTTTGAAACCTGTGTAACACTGCTCAAATACATGAGTATAATTATCATAATTTTCAAGATAGCACTGTTTTCAAGATGGTAGCTTCAGAAGGTAAACAGGGTCAAAAAGACAGTTTTTTTTTTGATATGAAGATCTGTACATAAGTGTAGACTGAGGTATAGAATTCAGGATAGAGGAAGACTGAAAGTACTGGAAAGAAAGAGGGTCAGGAACAGAGTCTTGGGAGAAAGTCAGTAGTAGAAACTATTCATTGATTTCTCCAACATCCTTCTTTTTGATATAATTGATGGCATTAGGACTTACATTCTGCGGATTCATATGGTCCTGGAAAAATTATACACAAAATTATTTGTATGATTTGAACAACTGTTACTTAAAGGTGAAGACATTTTATTAATCTAAATTGGCATTACTTATTTATATTATTAAACAAATTCCATATTATTAAGCAAATTCCAAACTGCTATGTTCTAAAAGCTTGTTTCCACCCCACCCCCCTGCCAAATTCATACGTTGAAATTGTAACTCCTAAAATGATATTAGGAAGGGCATCCTTTGGGAAGTGATTAGGTTATGAGGCTGGAGGCCTATTGAAAGGGGTTAGTGTCCTTATAAAATAGCTCATTATCCCCTCCCACCATGCGAGAGGACAGCTGGAAGATGCCGTCTATGAACAAGAAGGCAGGACCTCATAAGACACAGAATCTGCCAGTGGCTTGACTTGGACCTCCCAGGCTCCAGAACTGTAAGAAATAGAAATAAAATAAAATGTTTATTGTTTATAAGCTACCCAGTTGAGAGTATTTTGCTGTAGCAGCCCAAATGAACTAAGACACATATCTTAGACTTCCATTTCCATCTTTAAAATGGGAAGAAATTTTTTTCCAACTAAATATTTGCTATGTTTAAAGCAGATGATAATATTAGAAGTCCATTCTAGAAACTCTGAGTATTTGGATATAAAAGCAGTGTTGCACCATGTCCCATTTTATTTGTATCTTTGATTGTGGCAATTAACAACCTGCTTTGTCATATCCTACAAAAAAATAACAGTTGTCAATTGAGATATTTGGTTGTGACTTTATATAGACCTGTGTGTGTGTGTGTGTGTGTGTGTGTGTGTAGTTTTCTTTATTTTTCTGTCTGAACTTTACATTTAGTATATTCCAGTACAGTGGTGACCTTGACTTATTCCGGATGAGATCAGGGCTAAATTCTACTATTTTGTAAAGTACCCCACCAAGTTTTGTAGAAAGCCTTATAAATATCTCCAAACAACATTATTTTGAATAGGAAATGAAGGAGAGCTTTTCCCAGAGGAATATACAGTGTTTTCATTTCAGCAACATTGAATTGCCACTGCACATAGCCCCATGGCCTTGAGTAAGTAACTGACTCAATATGATGCTATTTTGAGAACATGACTTTATAATGACTTCATGCTATGTGTATCATGTTTCCATTCAGAATGGAATAGATTCAGTTTAAATATCTATCCCACAAATGTTTATGATAGCAACTAACTGCAATTGGCTGCATTTTTTTCTGGCCATAAAATTTGAGGGTTTAGCCATAGATACAGATTTACCATAAACTAATTTCTTTACTACAATTGATAGAATTGAGGTTTTTTTTTTAATATTGCATGCAGTTTATTAAAATGTTAAGAGGCTGAGTCTTTAGTAAATCTCCATTTAATGTACTTTTCCAGTGGTATACTATGTTTGTATTATTCAGAATGTCCTGGTTCAGCAATAGAGTTTATAGCTAGATGAGATTACAGGCTGATAACACCCAGATAGAGTTTGGACAGTAGGAGATAACTATTTATCACATCAGGCAAATAAAATGGAAACTGGCTCTCCGCTACTTCCTTTCCCCCCTGACTTTAAAAAAAAATTTTTAGCTGCACAATTTAAAATAGAAAAAGGCTGTCCCAATAAAAACACATTTTTGTATTTATTTGATAGTGAATTGAAATACAGCAACTTTTAAGAAAAAAGAAGTCCTGAGTAGTTTCACGCATAAACATTCCTTTTGGTAAAATGTTATTTATTTTTAATTTGAGAGATAATAGTAACAAATCAGACGTGTTTAAAGCAACAAAATAGTAACAGTAACAACAAAACATTGTAAAAGAGGCTATGAGTCAATACTAACTAAAGATTAAATTACATATGACATTTGGGAAATGAGGACCAAACAGCTTACTTTTTGTATATATGCAAACTGTATGGGTCATATCACTTCTAAATTAGGAAAAATGTGTATGCCTATCTCTCATGTGTTTTTACTATTAAGACAGAGGTATTCTGCCACCATAGAAAGATCCATCAAAGTCTATGCAATCAACCAAACTTAGACTTGAATCCAGTCCTACTTATAATTGTTTGGCTTGGGAAAAGATACTTAATTTTTCTCAAGTCTTGACTTCACGAAATTACAGGTTTGTACCTTAGGAAATGTTGACTGATGTTAAAATGATATAATGAATATAAATAACTTAGTACAGTTCCTGTCAAACAAAATACCTCATTACTTAGTAAATGTCATAACTGTACTTATAAAGATCACAGATTAAACTAAGCATCAACCTGACAGTGTTAACTTTTATATTGTTAGATTAGATTAGAATTTGTATTATTAAATTTCGTATTCATGATCTCCACATCTAAATAAGAGTACACATTATAACATGCTCTAGTCACACGGATTTATGTGTTGACCCTAAACATATCTCTTCACTTATGCTTTTCTTTCTTTCCTCCCTACTTTTGACCAATATCTTTTGTCTGCCAATAATACTCTTCCCCTGTCTTTGTGTCTGCCTTTCAAAGGCCTGTGCTCTGCATTTATGAAAACCCCGATGAACCACTATATTTTCCATGAAGCTTTTTAGAAAACACTTCTAAAATAAACCTGTCCCTCTCTGCCATTCCTACAGTATTTGTCATTTTATTTAACTTCTGAAGCTATTTATGAAATATTCGTCCTATTGGACTGTGAGTTGCTGGCATCAAAATACATTTACTGTACTCTATTTTGCATTATCCATAGCTTATAACACAGTCTCATGTATTCAGTACATTTATTAATAAGGGCTTAGCAGCCCTTATTATATTTATATATTCAATACATTTATTAATAAGGGCTAAGAAGTCAGGAAATATTCTAGGATTAAAGTTTAAACAATGGGAAAAATTGATAAAAGACTGAGGAAGGGCTGGTCAGAAAGATAGAAGAGAAGCCATAGTATAGTGTGTCCCAGAGAGAAAGAGAACTTCAAGGAGTTGGAGGAGGTCAACACGCTAAATTGACAACCACTCCGATTTTTCTTGAACTCATTCTATTGATATCCAAATGGTGGAAAAATGATAAACTGCTATGTTCCTTTAGGTTGATTCCACGGCATTTATTGAGTTGAAGCCTTTAATCCTGTAAACTACACTCAGGATTCTAGTTCTGACCTTGAAAAGCCCACACCTAGTCACGTAGTTAGGGAGAACCTGCTGTTTGCCAGATAATGGTGGTAAAAAAAGGTATTCAAGATAGTAATCATTCTTTATTCCTGCCATTATAAAGTGAACGTCCTGATTGCTGAGGGTGATGAGGATAACTGATTGAACATTTACAGTGCGTTAAGTAGCAGGCTAAGTACTTTACATATTTTTTTTATTTTATTCTCACATTTCTATGAGAAGGTGTTCTACAAAAACAAAATGGAGGCATGAAAAAGCGAAACAATATTGAATTGCTACAATATGCTGGAAAAAGGTAAAATAAGTCCAATTATCTTCTGCTTTACATCCCTTCCAATTGTTTAGAACACCTGCCATATCTTTTAAGTACTGTCTTCTATAGAAGAACTATTTCCAGGTTCATCAGCCATTTTTTTTAATGAAAAAGTTTCCAGGCTTTTTGCTTTCTGGATAAATTTATCGGAATATGGTAATGTGGACAAAAACCTCTTTTAAAACATTTTTGGAGGTAGTTTTCCAAGCACAATAGAATAATCAGCTTTCTTACTGTAGCAACTTCAGTTCTACTGACATTACATTCAGCTTTTTGATAGGTACAGATACTATTGAGAGATTTACAAAAAAAAATCATAAAAACCTCTAGATATTTTCATATGAAGTGAAATTATGTCATCTTGCCCTTGGATATAAAGTATTTTGAGGTAATTCTTTCTTTAGATCCAGGAGATATAATAAAATGATACTGAAAGTATAGATTTAGAAGGGAACTTATGTAACATACGGCTCTTAGCATGGTGCGCAGAATGGAAATATTCAATCAATGTCAGCTTCTCTTCCTATTAGCTTTGTGCTCTAGAGATGAGGAAACTGAGCTCAGCTTTCTCATTTTCAACCATTAACTTCATGCTTTATAACACAATATGTGAACTTACAGTATCTTTGGTTTTCTTAATCTGAACATAATTAAAACCCCTTGGCTTTTTGAACTTCTGGTTAATCCTAATGTGAGACTGTCAGACACCAGTATTTTGGTTCTTCCATTCTGTCCCAATCTTGTTTATTTGACCTCTTTCTATAATGTAAAGTGTCATTTTCCAACAAGATTTCATATGAAAATCCTCTATTACCACACACTTTCTTTAGAGGCTCTGCTCCTTTCTTACTTATCAGAATTTTCTAATTACCAGGATTTAATTTTGTGCATATCTACAAAAAGCCACCTTCCTTTTTAACAGCACTGTCTAGAGCCATTATTCTTATATTTGCTCTGAAATGTCTTATATCTACTCTCCTAAAATGTGGAATTTATCACCCTTATCAGTGATTCCTTTCTGGATGATATAAATTCAGAAAAGAAACATACTTTTCCCCTGTTGTTTGGTAAATACAAGCAAGTTGCTTTAGTATCATAGAATAGAGTAATTCTTCCTGTGAGAGATGGAATGTACGCAGGACAAGTCAGGAAATGAACACATTTTTTATAACAATAAAAGTATCCAAAAGCAACCCGAATAGTAGCTCTCCCCTTATTACATCTTGATACTGTCAGCTGAGTGATCTGTATTAGGACAATATCACTGTGTCCTCCATCTAGCTGGACAGCCTATAATATACTACCACAAGAATAACACCACACTTTCTCCTTTCATCATCATCCAAATGTTACTCTGCTTTTTTCCACCTACAGATTCTTGGATATTTTACAAGCATTTATCTTATTGACAAACAGGGCTATTCCACACTTACTTTTAGACTGGTTTCTTTTTGATGAAGAAAATCCTTCTATTGTCATAAAAATTTATTACTGGGACTGATACATATTTTTCAAATGTGAGGAGGGAAACCATATACCAGCATTAAAGCACATCTTTAAATCTGTTTATGGGTAAAATAACAGTATCATGTTTCTTGCAGAAAAACTCCCTCATGGCTTATTTCTCACCCCTTCACCTAAATGGAATAGCTGTTTATGTTGATGTTCTAACTATTCTGCTGTGGCTGGTCTTCACCTATGGAAGCTTAGACTCAGTGTCATATCTGAAAACTAATAACAGAAAATTAGTCAAACTACCTTCCTATCAGAAAATATACATACAGTTATGTAGATGCTTGGTAAAATGTTATTATACTATTTAGGTTCTTATCCTTAATGTTCCAAAATTCTGTGAGTCCGTGATTCTAGCATGTGAGAGAGACAACATATGTTTCATTTGATGTTGCAGACATTTTATCTAAACAAAAACTATTGACTTCATCAATTCAAGTTTTGTTTATTCTAGGACAGTTTTGCCCTTTCAAACCTGTGTTTTCAGGTATTTAAGGAAATGAGGAGTTAGATTTGAAACTATTGCAGTTGTTCATAGTAGAGGAAGTAGTAGTAGTAGTAGTAATAGTAGTGAATGCATCCAAGGTCAGGTGACGTTTCCTAGAAGATTTTTATGCATTTTCTCCTGTGCTCCCATCAGGCCTGCAAGAATAACCAAACACAAGTCCAACCACTGGCTGCTTGCAGAATCCAATTAACAAGAGTGAGTTATGGTAGAAAGAAAGTGACTTTATTTACCAAAACTAGTAATGGGGAAGTGGCCAGATTTACATCTAAAGTAATCACTTCAAAGTTTAGGCTGGAGAGAGGGGCTTTAAAGGGGGAATTTGGAGTGGAAGGCATGAGGGAAAGGTACTCAGTACAAGGTCTGCATATCTTGTTCTGGTGGCTATTTCTAGCTGTGGTCCTCCGGGAGTGTGGACTGGGATTATCTCAACAATAGCTGGGTTGCTGACTAACTGCCTTGAGGTAATCTCTGGAATTTTGCAGCTGGGTCTCCATGCATGGTCTGTTTCAAGGTTATCCCCTGGAACTTCTAAGTAAGCTCATAATTAGTACAGGCATACGGTTAAATAAATGTGCATGGTTTAAGGGAGTGTATGGTAAGAAAGAGAGGGATGTGGTGCTTCAAAGAAAGTACATTTAAAAGCTAGAACAAATAGACTTAACAGATATTTACAGAACATTCTACCCAAAAACTGCAGAATATACATTCTATTTATCAGCACATGAAACTTTCTCCAAGATAGACCATATGACAGGCCACAAAACAATTCTCAATAAATTTAGGAAAATTGAAATCATATCAAGTACTCTTTCAGACCACAGTGGAATTAATTTGGAAATGAACTACCAAAAGAACCTTCAAAACTATGCAAATACATGGAAATTAAATAACCTGCTCCTGAATGTTAATTGGGTCAACAATGAAATCTAGATGGAAATTAAAAAATTCTTTGAACTGAATGATAATAGTGACACAACCTATCAAAACTTCTGGGACACAGCAAGTGTGGTGCTAAGAGCAAATTTCATAGCCTTAAATACCTGCATCAAAGTCTGAAAGAGCACAAATGGACAATCTAAGCTCACACCTGAAAGAACTAGAGAAAGAAGAATAAACCAAACCCAAACCCAGTGGAAGAAAAGAAATAACCAAGATCAGAGAAGAACCAAATGAAATTGAAACAATAAAAAATGCAAAAGATAAATGAAACAAAAAGCTTGTTCTTTGAAATAAATAAATAAAATTGATAGACCATTAACAAGATTAACCAAGAAAAAAGAGAAAGCCAAATAAACTCAATTAGAAACAAAGTAGGAGATTAATAGCAGAAATTTGCTGGAGCATTATGGTGTAGGGAACTAAAAGGTTCTGAGAAAGTCTGTCCTCAACCCTATGCAGTGTACAGTGGCAATAAAATCCTTAGCAACCAAGTTAAACAATGAGCAGAATACCAGTTATATTGTATATGAGAGTCTTATCTGTATTAAGAAGTTAACTAAACTATGTTGTTATGGAGTCCTGAGAAAAGACATCTATAACAGAAATACGAGTATCTAATGCACGCATAAATATATATATATATATATATATATATATATATATATATATATATATATATTCTCTCACAATATAACCCATATATATGTACACACACACACACAGACACACACACACACACACACACACACACACACACACAGATGGGATGGAGACTCAATATTTAATGTATTATATTAGGCCTCATGAGTCAAAAGGTCTTTTTAGGATATAAAGGCATGCAAATGTGCACTTTCTGTAAACTGGGCAGAACTAGTCCATGGTTGGTGGTCTTTTCTCGGGAGAAACTTACTGGAATTAATATTTTATTTAATTAAAGCTACAGTTGCTTGTGCAATAAGGGGCTGTGGGGCAGTTAACTTATTGACTGCTAGAGAAAAAGAAAAAACATATGGCAGTTAGAACATAGAGAAAAAGAAAAACCATATGGCAGTTAGAACATAGTTTATTCTTTAAGTGTAGGAGCCTGTGACTTACCCCTGCCTGGCATGGTCTTAGGTCCTGTTTATAATTTTGTGTTTTGTTACAACAAGCCTTTTCTGTCAACCTTATGATCTCCATTTTAATGTTAATGCTGATCAGTTGTGTCTAAATCAAAAAAAGTGAGGAAAGGTATAGTGAAACTTGTCTGACTCTTTTCTTGCTGTCATGGCCTGAACTGGTTTTTTAGGTTTCTTTGGGATTTCCTTTAGCCAAGATAAGGGGTCCATTCAGTCTGCTGGGGGACTTAGAATTAATTTATTTTTTGTTTATATTCTCCCTTTTTTGTCAAAGTATACCAGAGGCAGTGCTGATGGCCAACCTTCTATTTTGTCCCATATCAATGCTGAGGTGGTGTGATACCTGCCCCTGGTCCATCATACACCTTGGTGGAATCCTTATGGCCAAGGACCTTAGAGTCAAAAGAATTAAAGCCAATTAAATGCTCTAAGCAAGACAGGCATGAAGGTGGGAAGGCACTCATTAATCCTTAAAACCCTTTTAATCAATATAATAGGCAAAATCCAGAAGCCAAAAAATAAGGTCATAAAGTGGACTTATCTATAAATTCTGTGCATTTAGCTACTGTGATGTGATCTTGGCTTGTAGAAATTAGCTGTCCAAAACACAAATAGTTTGTTCAGCTGTTTAGGCATCTGTGTGCCCATCCCTGACTTGGAGGGTCTGAATAAATTTGTATAGCTTTGATAAGCCCCAGCTATAAATGAGAGACTTAATTTAGGATTTGATCTTCAAGATGTTTGTCAAAGATGTTAAAAGGCTCAAAATATATTATTGCAACAGAAACATAGGTCATTGTAAAACAATAGTTACTCATTTAACCCAAGTAATAATCAAAAGACTTTAAAGGCAATACAGGAGGTTACATAGATGTAAAACATTAATTCTTTTAAATATCAGTTTTTTAAGGAATTAAAAACCTAATAAAGAGTATAGGAATTATTTTGATAAAACCTAAAATGTTGTCTCTTAAGCGAGTTATCAGAAAGGCAAAGAAAAACCTGCAATGTGACTGCTTCTTATGGGAAGCCCATTTACATAACCTGAAAATTAAATCTGATGAAAAAGTACTTGAATTTAATCAGACATCAGAAGATTGTGTTAAGATTATGAGTATAGCAGGGGAATATATAATTCTTAGTAACTGCATAAGAAGTTTTCTGATTACATTCAAAAATTTAGACATATCAAGAAAAGCCAAGATGACAAAATCAGGTTATACTGGAGGAAAACATTGCTTTTCTAGACCCTCGAGATAAAATGTTTTCACATCAGGCCACAACAATAGTTACAACTGGAGGAAAAAACTTACAGAAGCTGATGAAAAAGCTGAAGGAAAGAGTCACCTCAAGCTTTCTCAAGGAGAGAAAAAGCTAAAAACAGTGTGACACCACAGAAGCTGAACTTCTGAGGTATGATTCTGAGAAGTTTTCAAAACAGGATATAAAATTAAAAATCAAAATCTGAATTTTATTAAGAGCCAATTAATATCTTAAGAAAATCTCATTATAACACAGGGGACCAATCTTATAAAGACCATTATAACTAGTTCCCTTCTAATTATAGTCAACTGAATTATATACAAAACTTCTTTTATAATTTTTCTTTCATGAACCTTGTCACAGCTTACATAGACCATTTATGACATGCTTGGACTTTCTGACTTGTATTACATTTTCCTCTTTTCTACATAACCAGTAATTTTATTTTAAGACAAGAATTTATCATTCATATAAACTCTTTTTTCATATAAAATTATTATCTTTTCTTTATAACCTTTTTATTTAAAATATATTTTATATTGATAACTTTCTTTATATCTCTCTCCCCTGCTTACTGGTTTATTTTTACCTTTTTTAAATAAGTAACTTTAAAATAACCTCCAAATTATATAAAAGTATTCTTTTTTAACATAAGAATACAACTTACAGAATTATATATTAACTAGAATTATTAATTTTAGTAACCTTCAATTTTAGTAAAAATTTAGGGGGTAAGAAATCCTGAACTATTTGTCAGATGTTAGCATTTTATAGATTAAGCCATTCCACTATTTTAGAAACAATTTTCCTACATCATAATATTTTCTTAATTGGGAATGACTGAGACATCCAAGGAGCACTTATTATTTAATTCAAAATAATTTTAAGATTTAAAATTATACAAAAAGTACACTTACAAGTATTTATGTCATTAACATGTACTCAATTTTTCCATTTTTACCAGTTGATCTAGATTACTTTTGAAAACTGTCATATTACACAAAGCTAGTCATTATTTAAAGTTATTTCCCTGTTAACCATTTTTAAAATCTGAACATTAGGTGAACACCTAAGTAAGAAACTTAAGCACGTGTGTATTTTGCTGATAACTCAGAAGATTCAGCTGTTTTTATTGAACCAACAATCATAAATTAGTCTTATTTGTAAAAAAAAAAAAAAAAAAAACTCATATACACAAAGATTACTCTGTTTTTGGCTGGGTCTCACAACCTTTATGCCAAAACATTGATACCTTAAACATTTAGCAAAGGCAAATATAAAACTTATTTATCCAGACACAAATGTATGCCCATGCTTCCAAAGGCATTTTTTAAAATTTTATTAATAATTATAGTTAGAAACTAGTTTTATTTATCAAAGATTCATGTGAATGAAAAGCATTTGGACTTAATTTATGAGTACTCATTTACTTATAAGCCAATTTGGTAGCATACTAAATATGAAACAGAACATAATACATGTATATTACATAAATACATCTAATCGCATGTATACATGTGTGCACAAAGATCCAATAGCTTTTACCTTGGAACTCTAGCCATGAGATAGCATCACAAACTCATTGACTTATAAAAGATAGCTGGCTCCAAGTTATTTTTCTGACAAAATTGGAACCTCTTCACATAGCTAAACTTTGTTTGCCCTGATAGGTAATCCAAGGAAAGTTTTGAACCAAAATTTTAAGTAAAGCAGCCTCTATGGCAATTTGTGGGGTTTTTTTAAACTTGAGAAAAAAAACTCTTTTACCTTTTTTTTCCTTTTCAGTTTCAAACAAGTTTCCAATGTTTACATTCTAGATAGACCATAAGTAATGAGTCTTAGCACCAGCAGCTTAGTAACAGCAGATTTAAAGCAGGTAGAAAGAAAACAAGATAGAGAGCTTTAGAAGATTCCACTTAACTCTCTAGTTACAGATTCACCATTTGAGCTCTGAATTTTTCTTGCTTTAATTTGTCTGTCAGTTCAAAATGGGCATAAAATAGGCCATACTATGTAACCAGCTGGAGTCTTAAAGAGGATGACAAACTCGGGCTAAGATGTTGGAAGCTGTTTTTCCCCTTCAGGGCTGGTGTCCCTGGATTGAATAAGAAAAGCGAAAAAGAAAGGAATGGAGAGAAGAAAGGAGGTCAGGTTTTACAGAAGAGAGGATGAAAGAGAAAGGTAGGAGAAGAAGCTTTTGAGCCACCTCAAGGTTCAGGGTCAGTACCCCCCACCATCCTACTTTATCTCCTGTCAGAGAGAGCCTCAGCACCCCACACCTACATGGTATGGGGTGAATCCCTCTCATCTCTGCAAGTCACCAGTTAAGGTGAACTATTTCCAGGTGGAGGGAGCTAAGGATGCTTTTGGCCCAAAGGAGTAAGGCTGTAGGTGGCTCCTGAGATAATCTGGAGAATGAAGTTGGAAGAAGGGGAAAGAGAGAGAGTAGGGCCCACACACAAAGGTCACACACTCACACATACAAACAAGTGGCATACCTCCAAAAAATCCCCAGGTAAAGGGCTGGGTAGATTCCCAAATGTATCACCTCAGTTTCAAACAGTCCCCCCACCCCCAAAAGTCAGCTGAGTCTGAACCAACCAAAACCCCAAGGGTACCACAAATACAAACAAATACAAATGCATAAAACACTCAAATGGTATCCCTAGCAGCCGAGTCTAAATAGAGAAGAGCCCCAGTGACAACCTAAAAGAGGCAGAGGATAGTTGAGTGCATTCCAACTAACTCACTTAGTTCCAAAGTTTGTTGACTTCTCCAGTGGTCACTTTCTTTGCACCAGAGAAGCATTGAAGGCAGCAGGCACTGCAGCAGGAAGAGAAAGAGGATCCACAAGACAAAAGCATCTTGGCAGCTGCAGAGAAATTCCCTAACGTTCCAGCCATGGGGTCAGCCATGAGCAGCCAGCATTCACAGGCATCCCTATGCCCCATCATACAGAAATTAGACTGGCAGGCTGGAGACTCCGGAGCACACAGCAATCCCCATATGGGCCACCAAAATTGTAACTAAATGCAGATCTGGCCACTTGCTGCTTGCAGAGCCCAGTAACAAGAGTGAGGTATAATAAAAACTAAGTGAATTTATTTACTAAAACTAATAATGGAGAAGTAGCCACATTCACATCCAAAGTAACCACTTCATACGTTAGGGATAGGGGTTTAAAAAGAGGAACTTGGAATGGGAGGCATGTGGGAAGGGTACTGAGTACGAGGTCTGTATATCTTGTCCCAGTGGCTGTTTCTAGCCATGATCCTCCTGAAATGCAGGCTGGCATCATCTCAGCAATAGCCAGATTGATGATAACAGCCTTCATGTAATCTCTGGAAACTTGCAGATGGGTCTCTAGGCATGGTCTGTTTTAAGGCTAGCACCTGGGACTTCTAAATAAGCTGATAATGAGTAAAAGTATACAGTTAGATAAATGTGCATGGTGTAAGGGAGTGTATGGTGAGAGAGGCATGTGGTGTTTCAAAGAAAGTATATTTCAAGGCTATAGCTTAAGACTAAAGAGGAGAAGAAAAGGTTTCCACAATATGCTTAAGGGTTACATTTTGAGACTAGGGAAAAAAGGGAAAAGGGGGAAAAGTTTTAAAATGCACTTTTAGGCTAGACTCTTTAGCCTAAAACAATGACATTATTATTCCCATTTCACAGGTAACAAAACAGGTTAAATTTATTATTCATACACTTAACAAATATTGAACATCTTGTATGAGCTAGGCTTTATTCTAGAAATTTGGTATTACTAATTTTAAAATGGATAAAATTCCTATCCTCGTGGACTGACATTCTAATAAGAAACTTCTCATTTATTACAAGACATAAGAAATTAGTAATTAAAATTATATGTTAGAACTTGATACATTCTTTAGAAAAAAGAAAAGGTAGAACAGTGTAAGGAAGATCTGACTGCTGGAGTGACAGCAGGGAAAGTGTAGCAATATTACTCATGTCATGTTTCTGGCTTAAATTCTACTTTATCTGCAACAGGATTCCATCCCTGCCTTCCTGTGTATTATCTTGTCTGTTAAACCTTTGCTCATTCCTTTATGTTTAGCTTTTTGAATCATTGTGTTCCAAGTTTGTCTTTTTTTTTTCTTTTTTTCTTCTTCTTATTATTTTTTTGAGACAGAGTCTTGCTCTCTTGCCCGGGCTGGAGTGCAGTGGTTCAATTTTGGCTCACTGCAACCTCCACCTCACAGGTTCAAGCGATTCTTGTGCCCCAGTCTCCTGAGTAGCTGGGATTACGGGTATGCACCACCACACCCAGCTAATTTTTGTATTTTTAATAGAGACAGTTTCCCCATGATGGCCAGACTGGTCTTGAGCTCCTGGCCTCAAGTGATCCACATCCCTCAGCCTCCCAAAATGCTAGGATTACAGGCATAAGCCACTGCACCTGGCCAAGTTTTTCCTTTGTGTATAGCATAGAATTCAGTTTTGCTTTATAAGCCAAATTGAAATTTTATTATTATTATTAAATGAATACATCCTAATCACATTTAGGATGTGACTAATATGTTGGGTCTCAATTGTCATGGTATCTTATGTTGTAATTACTGAATATATTATTTTTACTGTGTTTTCCCCCCACTATGTTGTGTTTTTGTTGTTGTTTACATCATTTAACTTGTTTATACTACATTTTAACTTGTTTATACTATATATTTATACTATATTTATGAAGATTTCTATTCCAGCTCTAGTGGTTATTTTTGGTTTAATATTTTATATAGTAATCTTAATTTTTCTGTTTCTGTTTTCTCCATTTTAAAATTTTTACAATCTCTTCTGTCAATTTTAATTGGTATCTTTCAAATCCTATCTAAGACATGGACAATAGTTAATGAAATGATTCTACTTTCCTTTCTCCTTTTCCATGTTTTCTTTTTTAAGTTTTATTTTTGTGAGAATATATTATGTTTACATATTATTCTTTTACCCAAGATTAAGACTTTGTAGTCTCAGTTCTTTGTCTTAGGTCTGCTAGTAAAAATATGAAATACCCCCAGTCCTTTGGTCAGACTTGGTTGGATGAAGCTCATCCTCTAGCAGATTCCTTTGAAAGGACACATAAGTGTGTGTTTTGCACATTCAAAACTTTTTTCTATTCCTTTCACACTTCAAGGACTTAGCTGATGTCAGAATTTCTAAATTTCTTGAAACTTCTGCTTCATGTTGGTTTTATTTTTGAGAGGTCTGATTGCCTGTCTATTCTCATGCTTTTGTACCTTGTCATTTCATTTCCTGGAGACCCTGAGGATACTTTATGTTTTTTTAAGTCTAATAGTTTTACTTGAGTATGGTTTGGAATTGCTCACACCAGTTCAATTTTCCTTAATACATCCTTTCAAGATGCAGATTCAGGTCTTCTTTTGTTTTCTGGAAAGTTTCCTTGACCTATAGTTTTAAATATTAGTTCTCTTTCATGGTTTTGGTTTTCTTAGTGAAAGGCTCCAGATATGCAAATCTCGGACATCCTTTACTTAGCTTCCATTTCAAGCATCTTCTCTCTGACCCTTTTTCTTTTATTTTTTTTTAAATAAAAATGTCATTTACATTACCCTGGTTGTTTTTCTCTTTATTCAATACCCTTTATAAAATTGTCATTTGAATTCATATTTTTGGTCATTTTGTAACTTACTTTTCAATTCTGATATTTAATTTTTTTATTTCTTTCTTGGGTTCAATTGATTCTCATTTTATTTCTTCCTGTTTTTGTCCTTTGCTGCTTTCAGTGTTTATCTTTCTAATTCAGCATACTTTGAAAAAATTTCCAAATGCTCATTTGAGGATATTTAATTTAGTTTGGGGGATTGTATTATAGGTCTCTTAAGTTCTTTGGTTGGTTTTATGGGAAAAATTTTCATCAGCTGAAATGCGTCAATTCAATTTAAGTGATTTTTCAAAATAGTTGTGTGTGGATGTGGTCTGATTTTTTTTCTATGGCTATACTCTTCATAAATTGAGAGTGCCCACTTCTTTCAGTTCAGCCCAAATCTGTGTAATTTCTTTTATGAATGGTGTTTTGATTGCAGTGTTGTGGGCGGAGGGATTGGAGTGTTTTATTCCTTTTTGTTTTCTTTGTTTCTTTCCTTTCCAACTTCATACATCTGACTTCCCCCTTCCATCTACTGTCAATAACTCCCTGCTGTTGCCACTTCTGGCACCACTTACTTTCGCTAAACCCAGTGTTAGGAACCACCAAGTTCTGACCTGTGTTCAGCATTTTGGTATTTGTATTGAACTTTCTCACTTTGATGATGATTTTGTTTGTGTTTTATCTAATTCATCTAGAATCCTACTCTTTTTTAGTTCTTAAGTTTCCTCTCCTTCTTTCTCCACACCCACAGGCAATGGAAATACTTCCTAGTGCTCCTGGATGTGTGAATCATCTGTGGTTTTGTTTGTTCCCCTTGTTGGTTTTATAGTTTTTTGGGAGAAGGATCAATGGGGAGATTCAAGCTCAGGACGCCAACCTTGTTCTCCAAGCCTATAGGTCTTTAAGATCTGGAGGTGAACAGAGAAGATGTTAATGAGAAAGTTATATTAAACAAAGCCTTGAAAAGGATTAGAAAGTTGTGCAGTGGGATATTGGATGGGGATGCATTTCAGGCAGAGGAAACAGCATGATGGTCTTGAGGTGTAAGCATCTCTGGCATGTTTGCGGAACAGAAATGAGGGGAGCTGGACTATGGATGTGCAGGTGAATATGGAAAAGAAGAGTAAGATGAAAGGTCAGAGAAGTAAGAGGGTGATGTGTATTTGTAAGGACTGAATAAACATGCCTGAAGATAGAAATTGGAGAAGGTGGTATTCAAATCTATCTACATGATTTCACACCTTGTGTTCTTTTCACAACATAATGTTGCAATTCATAAAGAGATTTTATTAAGTTAACCTATAATGAAATATAACCCAGAATATGCAGTTTTGGAGCTCACAAAAGAATCTTCTAGTGTGAGAGAATGATAGGTCTTTGTGGACTCAATTTATTATCTCTAGTATTTACCTTTCCCTTGAAGAGAACTGATAAAACTCCTGGTGTCATGAAGCTTACATTCCATGGAGGGAGATACACAAGAAACAATATGTAAGTAAAAGACACAGTATGTTATGGTGATCATTATTAAACAGGAAAGAAGGATAACGAGTGCTGGAGAGATGTTCAGAATTTTAGGCAAGACAGCTATGAAAGAGCTTACTGAAAAAGTGACATTTGAATGAAAATCCTGGAAGATGTGAGTTAGTGCAAGGTGCTTAATCATTTTGTACCTAATTTTCTCATCTGTAATTTGGGGAAGGATTACATTAAATGGTCCATGTCAAAGTATTTCCCTATACAGTAGTAGGTAATGGGTGCTCTTTGCATAGCTGTCTTTTCAATGTCCAGGTTTAAAGTTAGTACCACAGAATATTGTGTTAGGGACTCTCCAGCAGAGTGTAAATGCTTGAGCATGTGCGCACATGCGTGCACACACACACACACACGACATTGCCGCTTCATTCTGGCAAAGATCATTTTGGTCTCTGATTAAACATTCCAGTATATCACCTGTGGAGGTAGACTCCTGCAGACACATTAAAGCAAGTTTTCATTAGCAATTAGAAAACATCAGATTCCACAGGTGCCACATAAATTTGCCAGTTTATCTTAATTCATCAACTGCTGTCAGCATCCATGGCTCAAGCTCCCCATCATAAACAAAAAATGAGGAAGAAAAGTTTATGTTTTATTCATTCAGTACTAATTTGCATGTGGTTTGATTAGAAAGTAAAGCAATGCAGTCAGTAGATGGTGCCAGAGGGTTGCTTTTCACTGCAAGGCTAGAATTAGTTTGCTGAAGATAATCTTTTGTCCAATGATTCTGATTCCTTTTCCCTGGCCATGCTAAACATTTTTCACACGGGTGAACTATTAACATAAGAAAAATCTAAAACTTTAGAGTATATCCACATTACTATGCATGGAATAAATCATTATACATCTTATTAAAATATTTAAATGTATAAATTTCAAAAGAGGAAAATATTTAATTCTCATGTTTTCTAATCATAAAAAGGATGTCTTAAGCATTTTGATGAAATTATTAATATATTATTTGAATTTATATTCAATGCATTAAGTTGAATTATGAATATGTATGTGTATTATTTATATATGTATATATAAAATTTAAATAATACTATAATATCTTAACAAAAGTGATACAGGGAACACATGGTGGTTCCATCTACCTATCTGAGAAGATTTTCTCACCAAATCTTTTGGAGTTGTTTCTTCTGGAGGGAAAATGATAGTCTTATTTATCTATCATCCCTTTAAGCATAACACCACATGGTGCTCATTCATAGAGTAAATATTTGTTAAATGAATTTCTCACAGTGATATCTTATTCTCAAGACCTCCCTCCCTTTGTGTTATTTTTATAAAAAGCTTATTAATCATATTCACTCATTTATTAGGTTCACATAAGGATTGCATATGTTGTCACCAAAACTCTTCTATAAATCCCTTCAGGTTATAGACCATGTTAATCTTTAACTTTCTAAAATTTATTTAAATCTTCTCCCATTTTTTAGGTTGCCTGTTCACTCTGATGGTAGTTTCTTTTGCTGTGCAGAAGCTCTTCAGTTTAATTAGATCCCATTTGTCAACTTTGGCTTTTGTTGCCATTGCTTTTGGTGTTTTAGACATGAAGTCCTTGCCCATGCCTATGTCCTGAATGGTAATGCCTAGGTTTTCTTCTAGGGTTTTTATGGTTTTAGGTCTAACGTTTAAGTCTTTAATCCATCTTGAATTAATTTTTGTATAAGGTGTAAGGAAGGGATCCAGTTTCAGCTTTCTACATATGGCTAGCCAGTTTTCCCAGCACCATTTATTAAATAGGGAATCCTTTCCCCATTGCTTGTTTTTCTCGGGTTTGTCAAGGATCAGATAGTTGTAGATATGCGGCGTTATTTCTGAGGGCTCTGTTCTGTTCCATTGATCTATATCTCTGTTTTGGTACCAGTACCATGCTGTTTTGGTTCCTGTAGCCTTGTAGTATAGTTTGAAGTCAGGTAGTGTGATGCCTCCAGCTTTGTTCTTTTGGCTTAGGATTGACTTGGTGATGTGGGCTCTTTTTTGGTTGCATATGAACTTTAAAGTAGTTTTTTCCAATTCTGTGACGAAAGTCATTGGTAGCTTGATGGGGATGGCATTGAATCTATAAATTACCTTGGGCAGTATGGCCATTTTCATGATATTGATTCTTCCTACCCATGAGCATGGAATGTTCTTCCATTTCTTTGTATCCTCTTTTATTTCATTGAGCAGTGCTTTGTAGTTCTCCTTGAAGAGGTCCTTCACATCCCTTGTAAGTTGGATTCCTAGGTATTTTATTCTCTTTGAAGCAATTGTGAATGGGAGTTCACTCATGATTTGGCTCTCTGTTTTTCTGTTATTGGTGTATAAGAGTGCTTGTGATTTTTGTACATTGATTTTGTATCCTGAGACTTTGCTGAAGTTGCTTATCAGCTTAAGGAGATTTTGGGCTGAGACAATGGGGTTTTCTAGATATACAATCATGTCATCTGCAAACAGGGACAATTTGACTTCCTCTTTTCCTAATTGAGTACCCTTTATTTCCTTCTCCTGCCTAATTGCCCTGGAGAAAATTTTTGCAACCTACTCATCTGACAAAGGGCTAATATCCAGAATCTACAATGAACTCAAACAAATTTACAAGAAAAAAACAAACAACCCCATCAAAAAGTAGGCGAAAGACGTGAAAAGACACTTCTCAAAAGAAGACATTTATGCAGCCAAAAAACACATGAAAAAATGCTCACCATCACTGGCCATCAGAGAAATGCAAATAAAAACCACAATGAGATACCATCTCACACCAGTTAGAATGGCAAACATTAAAAAGTCAGGAAACAACAGGTGCTGGAGAGGATGTGGAGAAATAGGAGCACTTTTACACTGTTGGTGGGACTGTAAACTAGTTCAACCCTTGTGGAAGTCAGTGTGGCGATTCCTCAGGGATCTAGAACTAGAAATACCATTTGACCCAGCCATCCCATTACTGGGTATATACCCAAAGGACTATAAATCATGCTGCTATAAAGACACATGCACACGTATGTTTATTGCAGCACTATTCACAATAGCAAAGACTTGGAACCAACCCAAATGTCCAACAATGATAGACTGGATTAAGAAAATGTGGCACATATACACCATGGAATACTATGCAGCCATAAAAATGATGAGTTCGTGTCCTTTGTAGGGACGTGGATGAAATTGGAAATCATCATTCTCAGTAAACTATCACAAGAACAAAAAACCAAACACCGCATATTCTCACTCATAGGTGGGAATTGAACAATGAGAACACATGGACACAGGAAGGGGAACATCACACTCTGGGGACTGTTGTGGGGTGGGGGTAGCGGGGAAGGATAGCTTTAGGAGATATACCTAATGCTAAATGATGAGTTAATGGGTGCAGCACACCAGCATGGCACATGTATGCATATGTAACTAACCTGCACATTGTGCACATGTACCCTAAAACTTAAAGTATAATAATAATAAAATTAAAAAAATTAAAATAAAATAAAATTTATTTAGACCAATGCCTGGCAATAAGGATAGCATGATATGAATGCCATAACTATGAATAATACAGTTAATATAGTTAATAATTATACTATAATTAATAACTTGTATGGAACCACAATATTAAATTTCTTATTTCTAGGCACAAGCAGTGAAGATAAAATACTTATGACTAAATTCAATCCTAATTATGAGACAAATAGGGAAATTTGCTGAAACACAGAAATTTACTTCAACCTCCAGGTTTTGGCAGCAATTAAATTTAGAGATAGAGGCAAATGTTTTCCATAGAATAAACACAGCATTTGAATTTATTTGATCTTGAAAAGTTTAAAGTGTCAAAAATAAGTAACAGAATACATAAATATGTCATTTGATATACTTTACAGACTTTGGAATTGACAAAAGTTAAGGTGCTGATCAAAAATTATGACAATTTCATAAAACGTGTTATATGAAAAAAACTTAAGAGAAATAGACTTTTGAGAGAAAGTTGAGGAAATAAAGATAATTATTGAATTAGATTTGGAGCAAAGTAGGTAATGTATTGAGCCAATTGTTGGAAAGGAACAGGATGTCAGATTCTGTAGATAAAGCCTGTGAAAGAAAAGAGCAGATCAATTGGATTAGGATAATTTAAAAGAGTAGAAAAAACGTCCAAATATCTTGAATCTGAGAAAATGAGAATATTTCTACAAGTCTTTGCATAGTAAAGATCTTAGAATCTTTTGCCAGAATCCTCACATTTTTATTTGACATGAAAATTGAACATATTATTAAATCCAAAGGCCTAAAATGTCTCATAAGGATTCCAGTCCCCTGTGATTGCACATAGGAATCTCAAGTGTAAGACACTTTGCTGTCAAATGTGTTTCTACAAGTAGGCACAGCACTGGACTATAATTGTAAGAGGAGGGTAAAAATATAAATCTCTTCTTCCAAAGAAACTTTTGTTATCAAACTTAGCATTTTAAATCAATCAGTCTGATACCTAAAAACTTAGAAATTATCTCTCTATTATAAGGTTTGCTGTTCTAATAGTAAGCGTAATAGATACTATATTTGATGATTCCATCACTTCGATTGGTATGATTTTAGTTAAATGATTGCACTATTATTTATGCCACAGGATGTTCAGAACCCCTGATAGTCTCTTTGATACTCACTGAGTAATGATAGTTTTATGCTGCTATGGCCTTAGAGTAACTTCACCCAGGAAAGTATTATAGCAATCCCCTTTCAATAACTTTTACAACAAGTGAACATATTTATTCCTATGTCCCTATCTGTGCTTAGATCCCATTTTTAAAATGGCTCTTTATTAGACATGTGTGTTTTTTCATCTGAATAAATCCTTGTAAACAACAGTGAGTTAGGTTTTATAACCCCACATTATGAATCTAAAACAGGCTGTATAATATGTTTAAGTCCATAAAGGGAGTAAGAGGTAAGGCTATGATTCAATTCTTGGTCTGCTTACCACCAAAACTTTTGTCCAATCTGTCTCTGGGGCCCATGTATTCTGGTTGTCTGGGACAGTTCTGATTGTTGCCTATCCGGCTTAGCATTTGTCCTCTTCTGAAATGTCTCATTTGGATGATAAATTTTATGGTCACTCTAGACCACACTAAGAAACCAGGATTATTTAATCAAGATTCAGACATTGCATCAATGTACTGGAAAACTAGAAATATGGTTTCTACTTTAAATGCTTAAAGAAAAATAGAGAACTTGGACATCTATTCAAGTTAATGTCTCCAGGATACTTGCATAAATCTCACTGTGTATACCAGTTAGTCCAATGCTAAAAACAACAAACAAACGAATGGGTTATGAAACTTGAGAGTGCGTACCAGAGTATAATATTAGAAATTTATGCATGCTGTACACATGCTTTCTTTAGAAAGAATTTGTCCCTGGGTAAGATTGATTAATAAAACTACTCTTCTTCAGCTGCTTTAAATTATATGCCACTTTTTAAAAAACCAATATTCAACAAAATAGGTTATTTCTAGTCAAAAGAGTTCTAAGAAAATATCAACATATTTATCTCTACATAAATATAGACAAGCTGAGGATGAGGGCAAAAAGCACCTACATGGCCCATAGAGCTACACATGCAATGCACGTACACACACACACATTCTGGACCTCACCTCCTACCTTTCTTTTGCTCATTCTGTTTCAGCCACAGTCAGTAGCTTCCTTGCTTTCCTGAAGCATATTAAGCTCCCTTCTCTCATAGGGCCTTTGCAATTTCCAGTCCCTCTATTTGGTATACTTTTCCCTCTCATTTCCCAATGGCTTCCTTCCTTCCTTCAGGTCTTTGCCAAAATGTCATCTTCTAGTAGAGATCTCTGATTAATTAAATTTAAACAGCAAAAGCCCCATTACCACACATCTTACTTTTCCCCATTCCTCCATAAAACATACCTCCTGACATACCTCCATAAAACAGACCTTCTAACATACCTCCATAAAACAGACCTTCTAACATACCTCCATAAAACAGACCTTCTAACATACCTCCATAAAATAAGGTGTGTTAGAATGTGTAAGTTCTATGGAGAATATTAAAGTAAAAATATTTTAACTTTTTTATCTTAATATTCTCTAATATAAAGTATTTTTACTTTAATATTCTCCATAGAACTTACACCTTCTAACATACCTTATTTTATACTTATTTATTTCACTTATTCTCTGTCTGCCGCTCTGAAAGGTAAGCCCATTGAGAACAAGGTTTGTATTTTGTTTTTTGGTGGTGGTGGTGGTTTGTTTTGTTTTAATTTTTGTGGATACGTAGTATATGTATATATAAACACACACACACAAATATATATATACACACATAGTAGATATCCACAAAAATATATACATATATGTTACATATATATAGTGTATATATGTATCCACAAAAATTAACACAAAAGAAGCCACCATCACCAACATGTACATGTATAAAATTAAAACAAAACAAACCACCACCACCAACGTATATGTATATCTCATGTTCCATATATATATATATATATATATATATATATATATATATATATATCATGTACCACATATAGGTATGCTACATGAGATATTTTGATACAGACATATGATGTGTAATAATCACATCAGGGTAAATGGGATATCCGTCCACTCAAGCATTTATCATTTTATTGTATTACAAACAATCCAATTATTCTGTTACTTATTTTTAAATGTGCAATTAATTAATGTTGACTGTAGTCATCCTGTTGTGTTACCAAATACTAGCTCTTATTCATTCTAACTATTTTCTGTACCCATTAATCATCCCCACTTCCTACCACCACTGCTCTTTCCCTGCCTCTGGTAACTATCCTTCTACTTTACATCTCCAGGAGTTCAATTGTTTTAATATTTAGCTCCACAAATAAGTGAGGACATACAACATTTATCTTTCTGTGCCTGGCTTATGTCACTTAATGTAATGACCTCAAGTTCCATCTATGTTGTTGCAAAAACAGGATCTCATTTTTATTTGTGACTAAATTGTACTTCATTGTGTGTATGTACCACATTTTCTTTATTCATTCATCTGTTTATGGGCTCTTCAGCTGCTTCCAAATCTTGGCTATTGTGAATAGTGCTGCAGTAAACAAGAGAATACAGCTATCTCTTCGATATACCAATTTCCTTTCTTTTTGGGTATATATACCTAGCGGTGGGATTGCTGGATCATATGGTGGGGGTGGGTCTATTTTCAGTTTTTTGGGGAACCTCCAAACTGTTCTTCATAGTGGATTGTTCTAATTTATATTCTCACCAACAGTGCACGAAGTTTTCCTTTCTGCTACATGCTCACCAGGATTCATTATTGCCTAGCTTTTGGGTAAAAGTCATTTTGACTGGAGTGAGACAATATCTCATTGTAGTTTTGATTTGCATTTCTCTGAAGATCAGTGATGTGGAGCACATTTTCATATGCTGTTTCCCATTTGTATGTCTTCTTTTGAGAAATGTCTATTCAGATCTTTTGCCCCTTTTTAAATCAGATTATTAGGGTTTTTTTTTTGTTTTTGTCTTGTTTTGTTTTGTTTTTTGTTGTTGTTTTTTTGAGTCAGAGTCTCCCTCTGTTGCCCAAGCTGGAGTGCAGTGGTGCAATCTCGGCTCACTGTAACTGCTGCCTTCCAGGTTCAAGTGATTCTCCTGCCTCAGCCTCCCAAGTAATTGAGACTACAGGTGCACATCACCATGCGCAGCTAATTGTTGTATTTTTAGTAGAGACGGGGTTTTGCCATGTTGGCCAGGCTGGTCTCAAACTCCTGACCTCAAGTGATCCACCAGCCTTGGCCTCCCAATGTGCCAGAATTACAGACATGCACCACGGCCAAGGATTATTAGATTTTTTTTTCCTATGGAGTCGTTTGAGCTCCTTATATTCTGATGATAATCCCTTGTCAAATGGATTTTTTGTTTCAATTTAGTGGGGAAGTGTTTGGGGTCTTTTTACTGAAATATATACCACAGTGTCTGCCATACTGTATATCCTCAATGAATATAACTTGACAAATAGAATGAAAAAATAGATTGTGAATAAGCTGAATTTCAGCTTAGAGATGACAATTTGTCTCAATCGCTGGAAGTATGTTTCAGAAATTAAGAGTAGGATCCCCTGAATCAGCAACCTTGTTTAGTTACTTTTAAGATCTTATGCATTACGGAGAACCAGCGATGGTTAATACCTTATGGCATATATCTCACCACAGCTGAAAATGATGCTACCTACTCGAAATGAATTTCATAATTTGCATCTTTCTCACAGTTACAGAAGGATATAGAAGGTAAGTTCATAATCAAAGTCAGTTATTTTTTGTTTGTTTTGTTTTGTTTTTATATGCAAGAGGACATATTTGCAGTATAACTGATTATAAAAGTACAAGACTGGTTTTTACCCTGATTGAGGGCACAGCTCAATTTCCTTTTAGTTATACCATGTGTCTTTGTAGAGCTGATTCTGCAGGCCCCAAGACAAGTCCCTTTCTCATATTATTGAGGTTCTCCTTTGATTGACAAGTATTGATCAGCAACTCTTTTGGCAACCTTGAAAAATAGTTGTCTTCTTGAAATAGGGTTTTCTACTTATAGGAATATGACCAGACTCACTTAAATTAATCCATAAAGATGGAAATATAGAGAGAAATAATATACCTGACTGATTACTGACTATGAGTTAGGCATACTCAGTCCTCATTCACACCTTATGAGATGAGATATTTGTATTCTGATTTTATAACAAGAAAACCAGAGTTTCAGAATCCAGGTTCATGATGTTTGGTAAATAGTGAGCATTCACAAAGTGTTAAGTGCCTTTATTTGTTTCACCACCTCTTCCAGGTCCAACATTTTATTATCATACTTGAAAAGTTAATACAAACATACCAAGTTACCCAAAATTGAGTGTAGATTTCTTGATAATTAGAGTAATTGTTAAAGTTAAAGCATTATCTACCTGAGATAAATATACTTGAAATATATATAAAATGAGAAAAAATATATTTTAAAATGCATTGGGTTTAAGAAGCCATATGAGATAAAACAATTGGCTATTTTCCCATTAAATATCCAAAGTAGCCTGGAAATTTTCTATTTTGTGAGATTATGATTATTATAATTTTATAGCTGGAATCATGCTAAAACACATGGGACAATGGAAAAAATGTTTTATGAGGCAAAATGAGCTCACTTTAAGCAGATGATTCAGATTTTATATAATGATAAAAATTTATTTCAAAGCCCACATTACATGAGTATAAGAAATTTCAGCTGCTGACACTGTAAAGATTGTTTTCATTTTACTTTTAAAACAGACCAAAATTCTGTAGGCTTCCACAGATCTAGTGAATAGTAACAAATCCAGAAATTGCTGTTCTGTTGCAGTGGCAATTTCCTTTTCAAATTGCCTAATAATAGGTGTTGGATTTTTCTCCATCTCCTGTACCGTTTAAAAACCATCCGGAACTGTGTCTGGTATGTAGTAGTTGCTTGTTTAGTATTTGTCCATTTATCAAATTAGTTTTCTTTTACTAAAAAACAAAGGAATGTGCTTTCAAGGTAAAAATTTCCACAACTCAATAGAATTGCAGTTAAAAGAAAGCTTCTCTTCCTTCCCAGAATCCAAGTCTTACTCTCAACCGAAACTGGTTATGGTTTTTTAGAATATTTCTTGTTGGGGCTGACAGAAAGCACTCATGTGCATACCTTTCTCCTCAAACAGTGCATTAGTAAAGGGGCTTTCTAGATATACGTTACCAAGTTCAAAGAGAATAGGAAAGCATCCATCTGCAGATGAATACCTTCAGTAGATTTCTACAAGATAAAACTTTGGTGGAAGAAAGTCGAGTGAAAAAACAAATCAGAGAAAGAACACTCTAATAGAAGTGCAAAGAGGCCACTTGAGGAAGTCTTCTCTAAAACTGGGGGGATAAATCAAGAAAGAAGATGGGAGATCCAGGAAACTGTGGACCTAGCTCTAGATGAGATGTTGCAACAGGGCTACAGAGCTGTCAGTCCTGATTGGAGTAGATTCCACCAAGTCAATCAGTGGGCTGGAGGAGGGAGGATTTCAGGAGATAGTTCACCGTTTGATATAGATTGCTGTCCTTTTACTTTGTTAAGTACACCTATGAGAAACAAAAATGAAATCCTAAGCCTGCCAACTGACTGAATGGATTCTGTCTTGGTCAAGGGGATCTCAGGGAAAGCTTGGAAGTTGAGTTCCCAGCAATAACAGGATGGGAGGTTGGACACCATCTCCCATGTGCAATGAAAGTTTTCATGTCCCTTGCTTCACCTTTTGACACCACAGGGCTGAAAACTGTATCCTCGAATTATGCTAACCCATTTTTGGAACATGGGTCCCATAGAGAGACATGAAACTCAACTGCACATGCCCACATTTCTCTACTTATAAATATTCATGACTCTTCCTATAGTTTATTGAATATGTGTATTTGGCCAGTCTATTCAACATAAATCCCTGTCATATTCTTCTGACCCTCAAAAAGTGTGTTTCTGGCTTCTGGATGGAGGTTACACTTCCTGGCCTCTCAGAATGGCTACGCTGCAGGCTGCAACCTTTATGAAAAGTAAAGCTCTCCTTTCCAAATTTATGAAATTTATCATTCTTCAGTTGATACATCTTTTTAAATTTATGAATTGTATCTCCCTCTTAAAATTAGAAAGGTGTATGCATAGGAAATTGTGGATAAACTCTGTAGTTTTAGAAACAGCAGTAAGTGTGCTGAGGAACAACTGAGTCATCAGTACTAGTGATCCCATAGAACACGGTTCCAACAGTTTGTGTAAGATGATGGATAGACAGATAGCCTGAGTGGAAAACTGACAATCCAGAGCTGATGGTCTCTCTGCTTGGAGATGAAGCCTCTTCGTATATGAGCTTACACTTATAAAAAGATATAAATAAGGAAAAGTGAAGTAAAAGAAAAACCCATGTTGATACTCTGTGGCTAGAATTTGTCATATATGGTGTTGAGAGAAGAGGGGACGTATTGAAAGAGGAATTGGGGTAGGGAAAAAGGAGGGAACTACATCTCAGTCTCATATTAAGCCAAATTCTCCTTTTGCCTTTTGTCTCAGTTTGCGGCTGGATATGGCTGCCGTGAAAACACAAGGGCTCTCTAATAGAAAACAAAACAAAACAAAACAAAAAACTGAAAGGAGCATTGCTAAGTTGACTCTGACTTGTTTCCAGGGAAGACAGCTTACTACAAGTGGGATAGATTTTTCTTCAGTGCTAGTGGTTTCAGGCTGTATAGGCATAATGTTTAATGGCATATTTCCAGGTTACTGACCAAGGAGCTAGTTAGACTAAAACAGCATTGTTGCAGAGTGGATTCTCCAGGAAACAGACACTGAGATGGAAATAAGATTGTAGAATGTTTATTAGAAACTGTGTAGAGATCAACACCTTTTAAAAAGGGGTGTGGGGAAGCAGCATCAGGCAGAGAGAGAAGTGGAACTGTGATGTGGCATCAACACCTTAAGCTGTTGATCAACAGCTTAAGCTGACCCAGAGGAAGTTCTGGAGTTGATAGGGTCTGGCTGCGGTGTTCCCCATTAGGCCAAATGTGAGAGAGCCATTGTACCCCTCCCTGGATCAGACATCAGATGAGGGCCACCCCTGAAGAGTGAGCCTTTGGTCAATGGAAGGCAATCAGAAAAGGCTGTTTGATAAAGAAAGGTAGCTTGTTGCAGCACTAAAAGCTGCTGAGGCCCGCTCTTCCTTAAAGGGGACCTAAGCAGTTTAATAATAAGCTTAAGATATCAGAAGAACTTGACAAAGATGCAGCAAATACAAGAAAATAAAAGAAAGGCTATAAAATATGTGATAGTGGACTAGGAGTAGGTGGAGGCTCAGGGCAAACTGCTAGAAAGGAAATATGATCATGTGGCTTTACCTAGTCACAATAATATAAATATCATGTATTGCTTTTGCCATTTATATTCAACCTGTTGAAATTTGGAAGATTTGTGACTACAAGGCTATAAATGAATGCATATGATCCCCATATTAATCAAAATTTAAAATTATAGATAACCGATATTTTGAAGTTGAAGATGAAAAGGAGTGAAAAAGAGTAGGATTACTAATATCATTAAAAGATAAAGTTAGAAATCAGTAAATACTGTCTATATGAATAGGACAAGAAATAGAGGTTTAAGTATATTATTCTGATTTACAATGATTACCAATAGGGAGAGAATAATAGAATAACACTTTGAAGAATAGTAGAAGTATCTATTCCACGAATATTTGGTAGGTGGTTACATTTGAAGTGATATAGGCATGGCACTTTACAATTTTCTCAATTTATTCTACTACAGTTGGCCTGTTTGGATATAATAACCCTATTGAAGAAAAGATATTTGTTCTAAATTTTCAAATTTATGTACATAAAGTTGAGAATTGAGAGTTATTTGAATTTTCTCAATAATGATATATCTCATTTATATTACTTTTTTATTTCTCTTTTTGTGTCCTAATTAGTTTATTAAGTAGTTTATGTTATCAGTTCTTTCACATAACCATATGCTTGAATTGTATTAGCTTTACTCTATTTGTACCTTCTAAATGTTGTTAATTTCTGCTTTAATCTTGGTTAACTTTTCCCCCTCTGTCTCATTAGAGGTATTTATTTTGCTTTTTAAATTTAATAATTCATTTAATTTATATTTTCCTATTTCAGTGTGTAGCATTTAAGACAATAAACTTTCTTACAGTGAATCATTTCATAGAGTTTATATTTTATTTCCATATTTCATAGATTGTGGTTTTTCATGTTTTTTAACTATTATATTTAGATATTCTTCAATTTTTTTTGCTTTTCCCCAGTTTTAAGGTTTTCAACTTAAAGATACCTTTTGAGGAGGATTCTATTTTTAAAATTTAACTTCCACTTTGATATTGTTATCAAAAAGCAAGTTATATATTATGTGTAAATGTAGAATTCACTGAAGTTATATTGAGACTATTGAGACTTCATATAGAACAAATTTTGAATATATTCCCAAGAGAATTTGAAAAGAAAGTTTGGATTCTATTTTCAGGATGTAGAATTTAGTATCTTAATATACATATAAAATGTCTTACATTATTATTTTTATTTGTTTATTTTATTTATTTATTTATTTTTTGAGACAGAGTCTTCCTCTGTCACCCAGGTTGAAGTGCAGTAGTGCAATCTCGGCTCACTGCAAGCTCTGCCTCCCGGGTTCACGCCATTCTCCTGCCTCAGTCTCCCGACTAGCTGGGACTACAGGCGCCCCCCACCATGCCCGGCTAATTTTTTGTATTTTTAGTAGAGACGGGGTTTCACCGTGTTAGCCAGGATGGTCTCGATCTCCTGACCTCATGATCCTCCCACCTCGGCCTCCCAAAGTGCTGGGATTACAGACAAGAGCCACCGTGCCCAGCCCACATTATTATTAATATATAGAGGGACCATAAATTATTATTATTTTTGCCCTGTGATATACCATAGAATACAGTAAGATATATGAGTCAAAGTCACCCACTCCTCTGATAAATCAATTTCATTCTGCTATTTCATTCTCTTCCAATTTTGCTGTATAAATTTTCAATAACAAATCTTTATTGTTGATTATACAGTATGTATACTACTATCTTAATGACTAGGCTTTCAAATCAAATGTGCTTTTTATTATTGTAACAATATCTCCATTCTTTTTGATTGAATTTAATCAATGTTTACTTTCTAGATTCTCTGAATTATTTTGATATAGGCATGGCTTTAATTTATGGCAATAGTTTTTTGACATAGTTTTTTTTTTTCGTGCTACATTTTATTTTATTTATTTTATTTATTTTTTTTATTATACTTTAAGTTTTAGGGTACATGTGCACATTGTGCAGGTTAGTTACATGTGTATACATGTGCCATGCTGGTGCGCTGCACCTACTAACTCGTCATCTAGCAGTTTTCTTTCATTACATATATTTTTTGATAAGGAAGCTCCACCTAAGTGTATGGTTATTTATTTCTTCTTCTTGCCTCTTTTCTTCCCAGATAAAGTGGCCTGGCAGTGTAGAAGGAATTATGCAAAACCCCTTTTCACATTTCTTTGAGCTGGAGCCAGCTCTGCTTAGTCATAGTCACATTTTTGTTACTGTTTTTTTTTTTTTCCTTGTGGTCCCATACTTCTTATAGTTGTCCAGATTTAAGGTAGCTTTTCTCATAATCTTTAAAGACCTCCAAATTTAGTTCTCACAGAAAAATAAAGTCAATACATAAAAAAGTTTGAAAGCTATTCAACGTGTGACCTCTTTTCTAGCTCCCTTAATATTCATTCAATTTCTTTGCCTCTTAAATATGCTCATGTCTCAATCTTTAAAGTATTTCAGTGGACTCTTACGGCTCTCAGGATAATGCTGAAACTCTTTCACCTGGCTTATCATGGGCTTCATGGAAGGAATGTGCTTTCATTTCCTACCTTGCTTCTGAAAACTTCCCTTCTTGCACTCTACCACACATTCACACTAATATATGCTTTAGGTCCTTGATCAGTTTATAGATCTTATTTGGATCTGTATTTGAACAACATATAAAGAAAAATATTTTGAGAATAATCAAGGTAATTTAATAATGATTTTATGAAATTAAGACATCATTTTAATGTTTTTAGATGTGATATAATATTTTGATTTTGTTTAAACAAAGAAATCTTATTCTTTACATACACATGATGAGAGGCTTATGATAATGTCTGAGATTTGGTTCAAAATAATCCGAGGTTGGAAAGTAGGTGAAACAAGGCTGTCTGAGCTTATAATTGTTTAAACTGGATGTTGAACACGTGGTAATCATTATACCAATCTCTTGACTTTTGTATATATTTGAAACTTTTCAAAATTAAAAAATAACCTTTTTGGATCAAATTATGGAAATGTATTTTAATATAGTTTTAGATCATATATAGGCATCCACAATTAATCTATTACTACATATTTATATAAAATAGTATAAAAATGCATATATAATTTTTATTTATTTACTTTTTGGATTTTGAACTTTTAAGTTCAGGGATACATGTGCAGGATATGCAGGTTTGTTACATAGTTAAACGTGTGCCATGGTGATTAGCTGCACAGATCATCCCATCACCTACAGATTAAGCACAGCATCCACTAGCTATTCTTATTAATGCTCTCCCTCCTCCCACCCCTCAACAGGCTCAAGTGTGGGTTACTCTCCTCCCTGAGTCCATGTGTTTTCATTGTACAGCTCCCACTAATAAGTGAGAATATGTGGTGTTTGGTTTTCTGTTCCTGTGTTAGTTTGCCAAGGATAATGGATTCCAGCTCCATCCATGTCCCTGCAAAGGACATGAGCTTGTTCTTTTTTATGGCTGCATACTATTCCATGGTATATATGTACTATATTTTCTTTATCCAGTCTATAATCGGTGGGCATTTTGGTTGATTCCATGACTTTACTATTGTGAAAAGTGCTGCAGTGAACATACGTGTGCATGTATCTTTATAATAGAATGATGTATATTCCTTTATGTATATACCCAGTAATGAGATTGCTGGAGGGAATGCTGCCTCTAGGTCTTTGAGGAATTGCCACACTGTCTTCCACAATGGTTGAACTAATTTACACTCCCACCAACAAAAGTGTTCCTTTTTCTCCACAACCTCACCAGCATCTGTTGCTTTTTGGCTTTTTAATAATAGCCATTCTGACTGGTGTGTGATGGTATTTCACTGTGGCTTTATTTGCATTTCTGTAATCATCAGTGACATTGAGCTTTTTTTCATGTTTGTTGGCTGCATGCATGTCTTCTTTTGAGAAGTGTCTGTTCATGTCCTTTGCCCACTTTTTAATGGGGTTGTTTTTTTAATTGTAAAATTGTTTATGTTCCTTGTAGACACTGGATATTAGACCTTTGTCTGATGGGTAGATTGCAAAAATGGTCTCCCATTCTCTAGGCTGTCCATTCACTCTGATGATAGTTTCCTTTGCTGTGCAGAGCTCTTTAGTTTAATTAGCTCCCATTTTTCAATTTTTGCTTTTGTTGCAATTGCTTTTGGCATCTTCATCATGAAATCTTTGCTGTGCCTATGTCCTGAATGCTACTGCATAGGTTTTCTTCTGGGGATTTTATAGTTTGGGGTTTTACATTTAGGTCTTTCATCCATCCTGAATTGATTTTCGTGTATGGTGTAAGGAAGGGGTCCAGTTTCAATCTTCTGCATATGCCTAGTCAGTTATCTTAGCACCATTTATTAAATAGAGAATCCTTTCCCCATTGCTTGTTTTGGTCAGGTTTGTCAAAGATCAGATGGTTGTAGGTGTGTGGACTTATTTCTGGGTTCTCTATTATGTTCCATTGGTCTTTGTGTCTTTGTACCAGCACCATGCTGCTTTGGTTACTCTAGCCCCATAGCATAGTTTGAAGTCAGGTAGCGTGAGTGTGATGCCTCTAGATTTTTTTTTTTTTTTTTTTTTTTTCGCTTTGGATTGCCTTGACTATTCAGGTTCTTTTTTGGTTCCGTATGAATTTTAAAATAGGTTTTTTCTAGTTCTGTGAAGAATATCAGTGGTAGTTTAGTGAGAATAGCATTGAATTTATAAATTCCCTTGGACAGTATGACTATTTTCATGATATTGATTCTTCCTATCCATGAGCATGGAATGTGTTTCCATTTGTTTGTGTGATCTCTGATGTCTTTTAGGTTTGTGGTTCTCCTTGTAGAGATATTTCACTTCCCTGCTTAGCTGTATTCCTAGGTATTTTATTATTTTTGTGGCAATTGTGAATGTGAGTTTATTCCTGATTAGGCTCTTGGCTTGACAGTTGTTGGTGTATCTGGATGCTAGTGATTTTTGAATATTGATTTTGTATATGAGACTTTGCTGAAGTTGCTTATCAGCTTAAGAAGCTTTTAGGGTGAGATGATGGGGTTTTCTAGATATAGGATCGTGTCATCTACAAACAGGGATGGTTTGACTTCCTCTCTTTCTACTTGAATGCCTTTATTTCTTTCTCTCGCCTGATTCCCCTGGCCAGAACTTCCAATACTATGTTGAATAAAAGTGGTGAAAGAAGACATCCTTGTCTTTTGCCAGTTTTCAAGGGGAATGCTTCCAGCTTTTGCCTGTTGAGCATGATATTGGTTGTGGGTTTGTCATATATGACTCTTATTATTTTGAGGTATGTTCCTTCAATACCTAGTTTACTAAGAGTTTTTAACATGAAGGGATGTTGAATTTTATTGAAGGCTTTTTCTGCATCTATTGAGATAATCATGTTGTTTTTGTCTTTAGTCCTGTTTATGTGATGAGTCACTTTTATTTATTTGTGTATGTTGAACCAACCTTGCATGAAGTCTCTTTGATTGCGGTGGTTAAGCTTTTTGATGTGTGGCTGGATTTGGTTTGCCAGTATTTTGTTGAGGATTTTTGCATTGATCTTCATCAACAATATTGGCCTGAAGTTTTCTTTTTTTGTTGTATCTCTACCAGGCTTTTTTTAATCAGGATGATTCTGGCCTCATAGAATGAGTTAGGGAAGAGTCCCTCCTTTTCAATTTTTTGGAATAATTTCAGTAGGAATTGTACCAGCTCTTCTTTGTAACTCTAGTAGTATTTGTCTGGTCCTGTGCTGTTTTTTTATTTATAGCTGCTTATTACTGCACAATTTCAGAACTCATTATTGGTCTAGTCAGGGATTCAATTTCTTCCTGCTTCAGTCTTGGGAGGGTGTATGTGTCCAGGAATTTATCCATTTCTTCTAGATTTTCTAGTTTATGTGCATAGAGGTGTTTATAGTATTCTCTAATGGTTGTTTGTATTTCTGTGGCATTAGTCGTGATATCCCCTTATCATTTCTGATTGTGTTTATTTGAATCTTCTCTTTTTTCTTCTTTATTAGCTAGCTAGAAGTCTATTTTATTAATTTTTTTCAAAATCCAACTCCTGGAGAAATACGGAACACTTCACAAATTTGCATGTAATCCTTGTGCAGGGGCCATGCTACTCTTCTCTGTATCACTTCAGTTTTAGTATATGTGCTGCTAAAGCAAGCACAAACACAAGTCTTGACTAAGCCATCTAAACTATTTTTCATCTCTCTTATATCATAATATAAAAGATCATAGTAAAAAAAATCTGTCAACAAAGAATAAAAGACAATACTAGACCACGTGTTTATTTTATCTTGTATTTTCTGGATATAGATTGGTCTTATCACATAGAGAACTAACAGTTCCCCTAATGGTTCGGGTATTGATATGCTTTTAGATCTGTATATGTTTTGTCAGTAAAACAAAGATAACAGCTCTTTGATTCTGCCAACCAAGGTTGGCTCTATTCTTGCATGAAGAGTCAGCTTTAAGTATATTTCTAACCACCATAACATATTTTTCATTGCTCTGAAATACTAGCCTATTTTGCTCGTTATTGGCTTCATGACCTGAGTCTTTTACTTCTGAGACCATAGTGAAGATGCTCTATTGAAAAAGGGCCTTCATATTTATTCATGTGAACAAAATATACATACGAAAATGAGTACGCATGTGCACACACATGTATACAGGCACACACACAAAGATAAATATTTAACAGTGAACCAGGCTCTGCACTAGAATCTGCAGGTATAACAAAGAACTCTGTACTTATGGGAGGTTAAAGTTTGAGAGACATGTGGAATGGAAAGGCATTGAAAATGATACAGAGCAATTTATCCTGGCCCCGCATTTGTGCCAACTGAGGAGTTACAAAAAATACTGTTTCTGGGTTCCACTCAAAATCAAATAAATCAAAATGTCTGGTTATGGGACCAACCGTATGTATTTTAAAAATTTTCCCAGGAGGCACTAATGTGTAACAAATACTGAAAATACTCATAAAGAGCACCTTTATCTGAGATCAAATGAAATCGTTTCTGTGCCACCTTTCTTCCACTGCAGTCCTCTTGCTTCATACTCCCAGATTTAGCAAGAAGAAAATGAATTATAACATTGGGATAAAGGGCCAGTTGATGGTGCTTGGAGTTTATTCATGTATTTATTCTGCAAACATTCAGTGAGCACCTATTATGAGCTGTGTGCTGGGCACTCTGGTGGTAGTTGCTAATACAAAATTAACAAGACATTGTTTCTGCTATATCAATTAGGAAAGACAAGTAAGTAATCTGTGATTACATTCCTGAATGAGAAGTGCAACATTGTGAGGGTAAATTTAAGTTAAGTAAAAGTGTGAAACCTGGACATGGGTTTTTAAAACAAAAGGAAGAAGTTCCTTTTTCTCTTTTCTGTTTTGCCATTTAATTCATTTGCAGAAGAAAACAGGTAATTTGACCATGGATTTTTTGCTTATTTTGACCTTCTGTTTATTTTTACTTTTTTTTTCTCCTTGCCTCTTGTATTTCCTGTAAACTGTTAGCTAAATCTAGAGACTTGTTCATATTCAGGTTCGAGTATGGGCTGGAATACTTCATCAGTAATGTTGAGTACTTCCATCAAGAGACCCATGCTACCTGTTTTAAGTGTCTTTTTGGATTTTATGGACCATTATTTTCATTCCCTAAATCCAGTATTTTGTCAAGAACTTTAAGTGGTTATTTTCTTTTACTCCTTCTTAGTATATTTGCCATAATTTTCTATGAAGAGAAACTTTCTCTGATTGACTAGTTATGCTGCAGTACAGTGGGTATAGGAAAATCAAGATAAAGGCTTGCTTCTTTATCAGTTTTCAAAATGATGAGTTGGTACTTGAATATCAGTTAAAGTAGACTGCTGAAGGATTTTTCCTGTTATCATTATGAACTAATGTTTTTAAAAATTAATCTCCTCAGTCCATTACATTTTTTTTCCCTGAATAATCCCAACTTTGGTCAATGACAGCCACTTCAGATTGGCTCCAGAGAACTTTAGACTTGACCCCGGTCATCATTGATAACTTCCTTGTTTCTGGTATGATAAAATGTAACCAACATATCTTATACCATTCCTGATCTACACTGAGAACCAGTCAGCCCAACAAGTAACTTAGTGGGTGTTGGTGTTTAGGGACTCAATCTGAAAACTTACCTGGAGTTATATAACCTAGGGAGGATGGCAGTGCTTTTCTGAGAATGAGCAAGAAAATGGGCATTCCACATAGGCTGAGGAGTGCATGGTGGTGTGCAGGAAAATCATGCCATAGAGACAACAGCCTTTTAAAATTCTTTTTCCTTACTATTTTTAATCCTCTAAGGCATATGTTTGCAGGCTCTTTCTCCATGGCTTACCTCCTTTGATGATGAAAAGGTGTGTGATAATAGCAGGCAATCGTTTTATAAATTACCACTTCATTTCATGGGGTTCTGTGTCTGTCAAGGTATATGACAATCAGGAAATGCTTACTGAATAGTCACTATGCTAGCTTTAAGGGATTCAAACAGGATTAAAACCTTATTTCACGTTGTCCTTCAGGTTATTTCAATAGAGTGATGAATGCTATTGTTGGAGCCCAGAACAAGAAAGTAATAAATTCTGCCTGAGTGAAAAAGAGAAGCAGTCATGCAGTGAGTTTTCATAAAGGTCTTAAAGGAATAAAACTTTGGTGTGTGTGTACGTATGTAACAGGGGATAGGGAGTTGGGGCATTATTTAAAACAGAACAGCTGTAATAAAGACAAAGACACAGTGATTTAAAAGTGGAAAGGTAGTAGATCCAGGTGGTTAGAGTATAGAGTGCCTGGGTGGAAGTTCCAACATTATGCTGAGAAGACACTTTCAGTCAGTTTGTTGGTGTAGCAAGGTCACTTATAAAGTTATTATCTAAACTTGAATAATCACAGTTGGCATTAAATAGAGAGGCATATATTATGAGACACTGTACAAATAGAACAGTCATTCTGGTGAGTGGATGTGAGGAAAGATTTAAATATGACAACATAATTTTGTTATGATGACTGTTATTAGAGCTTGGATGATAATGGAGTGAGACCAAAGTAGGGTAGTTAGAGCTCAGAAATAGCCAGACAAGACAGAGAAGGATATTAAAGGATTTTTTTAAAAATCACAAAACATAAAGAAATCAAAAAGTAGACAATCAAGTATCCAAGAAATTTACTGGTAAATGTCAGATAATTGGCAGGAAAGCTATTGAGGTTAAATGTTCAACAACACATCCATCCATCCATCCATCCATCCATCCATCCATCCATCCATCCATTTATTCATTCATTCGTAATCATTTACTCAATGATTATCAAGGCCTATTATGTTCATGTGTCTTGCAAGAAACACATAGAAAAATAAAACTTGGTCCCACCCTTTGAAATGGTGTAATACAGTAATAGATAACTGAGATTCACAGCCACAACTTTCAGTCTAGTGTTGGTTTTGTCAGATCACCCCTGGACAGTCCATCTCACTGGGTACACTTTGACTCTGTATGTTAAACCAAAGTAATTCGGCAGTCATCCCTTTTCACTAAATGTTGACACTAGGTGATCATGAATAGTCTCTGGGCTTGGGCAGGGCCATTTGGGAATTACCATTTTGGAACACCCATGTGCTTCTGAGCATTTTTTTTTAATTTCAACTTTTATTTTAGATAGAGGGGGTACCCGTGCAGGTTTGTTACATGGGTATATTGCATCCAGGTAGTGAGCATAGTCCCCAGTAGTTAGTTATTCAGCCCACATCTTCTCCCTCCCCCCTCCCCCCCCCCCCACTCTATTAGTTCACAGTGTCTGTTGTTCCCATCTTTATGTCCATGTGTGCTCAGTGTTTAATTCCCACTTATAAGTGAGAGCATGTGATATTTGGTATTCTGTTCCTGCATTAATTTGCTTAAGATTCTGGAGCTGAGCATGCTGTTGATCAAGTCTGTCCACATCAAATGTCAAGGATTCAAAACACCCTATCATATAAGATGGCCATTCACTTTTTACAGTCCAGACCTCAAGTCAGTGGTGTACTTCCATTACTAATGGAGAAGGTGTGTCCCAACTCCTGCCCTAGATTCATACCATAGCTAAGTAAATGAAAAATTCTCAAAAAATTATCTACTTATTAAAATAAGCATAACTTATTTTCTGTCAAACACCAAGTATTTTGCATCTGTTTGTAAATAGAGCAGTTTGCAAACTACAAGTGCGCATTTCAACCGATTCCTAGTCTTTTCACTCTCTCTTTATGTTCATCTTTCTTAATATAGTCTCAAAACACCCCCAAGGGGATTGGTGCTGATTCTTGCTTATTTTATATCAAAATTCTTGAGAGCTTGTTCCTCTGAAACAGGGCTCTTTTTTTCCTTCATTTTAAGGCATCTTCTCTGACTATTTCCTGCTGAAAAAAAAAAACTAATAATAACCTCCCACCTCTTGCACTAATTTCCCACTGATAATGGGATCCTGGTCATGGACTTTCTGCCTAAGATCACTTTTAATATTTTTTCCCTAAAAATACAGATGAAGGACTTCAAAGCTCTTTTGTTGTTTTTTATACTTTTCCCACTTGAGGAGTTACACAACTCTTGCTGCTGGACATTCAACTCATATTGAACACAATACTTGTACACAAATTAGCAATTTCTGTTGACTATCCCTTGAGAAAGAGAAATGTCAGACATCTGATCTCCCCCAAACAAAGTGATGATTATAAAAATTATGTAAAAAATTTCACAATGCCTTACACCAATGTATTATGTACTTCTTCACATGGCTATGAAGAAATACCCAAGGCTGTGTAATTTATAAAGAAAAAGAGGTTTAATGGACTCATATTTCCACATAGCTGGGAAGGCCTCACAATCATGGTGGAAGGTGAAGGAGGAGCAAAGCTATGTTTTACATGGCAGCAGGCAAGAGTGTGTGTGCAGGGGAACTGCCCTTTATAAAACCACCAGATCTTGTGAGCGTTAATCACTATCATGAGAACAGCATGGGAAAGCCCACCCCCATGATTCAATTGCCTCCCACCAGGTCCTTCTGAAGACACATTAGGGATTATGGGAGCTATAATTCAAGATGAGATTTGGGTGAGGACAGAGCCAAATCATATCATTCTGCCTCTGGCCCCTATCAAATGTCATATCCTCACATTTCAAAACGAATCATGCCTTCCCAACAGTCACCCGAAGTCTTAACTCATTTCATCATTAACTCAAAGTCCCACAGTTCAAAGTCTCATCTGAGACAAGGCCAGTCCCTTCTGTTTAGAGCCTGTAAAATCAAAAGCAAGTTAGTTACTTCCTATATACAATGGGGGTACAGGCATTGGGTAAATACACCTGTTCCAAATGGGAGAAACTGGCCAAAACGAAGGGTCTATAGGCCCTATGCAAGTCCAAAATCCAGCAGGGCAGTCAAATCTTAAAGCTCCAAAATGATATCCTTTGACACCATGTCTCACATCCAGGTCATGCTGATGCAAGAGGTGGGCTCCCACAGTCTTGGCCAGCTCTGTCTCTGTGGCTTTGCGGGATACAGCCCTCCCTGCTGGCTGCTGTAATAGGCTGGCATTGAGTGTCTGTGTCTTTTCCAGGTACACAGTGTAAACTGTTGGTGGATCTACCATTCTGGGGTCTGGAGGATGGGGGCCCTCTTCTTGCAGCTCCACTAGGCAGTGCCCCAGTGGGGACTGTGGGCGTAGGGAGCTCTAACCCCACATTTGCCTTCCACACTGCCCTGTCAGAGGTTCTCAATGAGGGCCCCATCCCTGCAGCAAACTTCTGCCTGAACATCCACGTGTTTCCATACATCCTCTGAAATCTAGGCAGAGGCTCCCAAACTTCAATTCCTGACTTCTGTGCACTCACAGACTCAACACCACATGGAAGCTGCCACAGCTTGGGGCTTCCACCCTCTGAAGCCCTGACCTGAGCTGTACCTTGGCACAGTTTAGTCAAGGCTGGAGCAGCTGGGACACAGGGCACCAAGTACCAAGGCTACACACAGCAGTGGGGGCCTGGGCCCAGCCCACGAAACCATTTTTTCCTTCTAGGCCTCTGGGCCTGTGATGGGAGGGGCTGCTGGAAGGTCTTTGACATGCCCTGGAAACATTTTCCCCATTGTCTTGGCAGTTAACATTTACTCCTCATTACTATGCAAATTTATGCAGCCAGCTTGATTTTCTCCTCAGAAAATCAGAAGATGGGTTTTTCTTTTCTATTGCATTGTCAGGCTGCAAATTTTCCAAACTGTTATGCTCTGCTTCCCTTTTAAACATTCCAAACATTTTAAATGTTCCAAACCATATCTTTGTGAATGAATAAAACTAAATGCTTTAAAGAGCACCCAAGTCACATCTCTAATACTTTTCTGCGTAGAAATTTCTTCCACCAAATACCCTAAATCATCTCTCTCAAGTTCAAAGTTTCACAGATCTCTAGGGCAGGGTCAAATGCTGCCAGTCTCATTGCTAAAGCATAACAGGAGTCACTTTTACTCCATTTCCCAACAAGTTCCTCATCTCCATCAGAGACCACCTCAGCCTGGACTTTATTGTCCATATCATTATCAGCATTTTGGTCAAAGCCATTCAACAATTCTCTAGGAAGTTCCAAACTTTCCCACATCTTGTCTTATGAGCCTTCCAAGTTTTTAGGAAGTTCCAAACTTTCCCACATTTTCCTGTCTTCTTCTGAGTCCTCCAACTGTTCCAACCTCTGCCTGTTACCCAGTTCCAAAGTAACTTCAACATTTTTGGGTATCTTTACAGCAGCACCCCATTACTTCGTACTAATTTACTGTATTAGTCCATTTTCATATTGCTATGAAGAACTACCCAAGACTGGGTAATTTATAAAGAAAAAGAGATTTAATGGACTCACAGTTCCACATGACTGGGGAGGTCTTATAATCATGGCAGAAGGCAAAGGAGGAGCAAGGGCACATCTTACATGGTGGCAGGCAAGAGAACATGTACAGGGGAAGTGCCCTTTATAAAACCTTCAGATCTCATGAGACTTATTCACTATCATGAGAACAGCACAGGAAAACCTGCCCCCATGATGCAGTTACCTCCCACCAGGTCCCTCCCATGACATGTGGGGATTGTGGGAGCTACAGTTCAAGAGGAGATTTGGGTGAGGGCACAACCAAACCATATCAACCAAAAAGCTCCAGTTTCTGTAAATGTGTTCATGTTATTGCACTAGTCAAATCTGCAGAGAATCTACACTGTCTTCCACAAAGGCTGAACTAATTTACCCTCTTACCAACAGTGTATAAGTGTTCCTTTTTCTCCACAACCTTGCCAGCATTTGTTATTTTTTGACTTTTTAATAGTAGTTATTCTGACTGGTGTTAGATGGTATCTCATTGTGATTTTGATTTGCATTTAATGATCAGTGATGTTAAGCTTTTTTTCATATGCTTGGTGGCCACATGTATGTCTTCTTTTGAAAAATGTCTGTTCATGTTATTTGCCTACTTTTTAATGGGGTTGTTTGTTTTATTGTAAATGTGTTTAAGTTACTTGTAGATGCTGAATATTAGACCTTTGTCAGATGGGTAAACTGCAAAAATTTTCTCCCATTCTTTAGGTTGTCTGTTTACTCTGTTGGTAGTTTCTTTTGCTGTGCTGAAGCTCTTCAGTTTAATTAAATCTCATTTTTTCAATTTTTGCTTTTGTTGCAATTGCTTTGGGTGTCTTTGTCATGCAATTTTTGCTCGTACCTATATCTTGAATGCTATTGCCTAGGTTGTCTTCCAGGATTTTTATAGGTTTGGGTTTTACATTTACATTTTACATTTAAAATCCATCTTGAGTTGATTTTTGTATATGATGTAAGGAAGGGGTCCAGTTTTAATCTTCTGCATATGGCTAGCCTGTTATCCCAGAACAATTTATTGAATAGGGAATCCTCTCCCCATTGCTGGCTTTTGTCAGGTTTGTCAAAGATCAGATAATTGTAGGTGCACAGTCTTATTTCTGGGTTCTCTATTCTGTTCCATTGGCCCTCTATGTGTCTGTTCTTCCAGTACCATGCTGCTTTGGTTAGTCTAGCCCTGTAGTATACTTTGAAGTTGGGTAGTGCAACGCCTCCAGTTTTGTTTCTTTTGTTTAGGATTGACTTGACAATTTAGGTTCCCTTTTAGTTTCATATGGATTTTAAAATAGTTTTTTCTAATTCTGTGAAGAATGGCAATGGTAGTTTAATGTGAACAGCATTGAATCTACAAATTGCTTTGGGCAGTATGGCTATTTTCATGATATTGATACTTCCTGTCCATGAATATGGGATTTTTTTTAATTTGTGTGATCTCTGATTTCTTTGAGCAGTGGTTTGTAGTTCACTTTGTAGAGATCTTTCACTTTCCTAATTAGCTGTATTCCTAAGTATTTTATCCTTTTTGTGACAATTGTGAATGGGAGTTCATTCCTTATTTGGCTCTTGGCTTGACTGTTGTTGGTGTATAAGAATGCTAGTAATTTTTTCACATTGATTTTGTATCCTGAGACTTTGCTGAAGTTGCTTATTAGCTTAAGAAGCTTTTGAGCTGAGATGGTGGGGTTTTCTAGATATAGGACCATGTCTTCTGCAAACAGGGATAGTTTAACTTCCTCTCTTTGTATTTGAATGCCTTTATTTCTTTCTCTTGCCTGATTGCCCTGGCCAGAACTTCCAATATTATATTGAATAGAAATGGTGAGAGAGGGCATCCTTGTCTGGTGCTAGTTTTCAAGGGGAATGCTTCCAGCTTTTGCCCATTTAGTATGATATTGGCTGTGACTGCCCTATCTTTCAACATTACTCTAAACACAGCATTCTTTTGTAGTTATCTCTGGCTCTTCCTACTCCTTCCAAAGGCCAAGATGTACACTCTGGATGATTACACAGTACTTTAAAAGTACTTCAAAGGTAATTCTTTTTATCATTATCTCATCAAGGCTGTATAATCCAGGTGGACAGGACCATTTGTCTTTTATTCTTAGCATATTTTTAGCATATGGAGAATACTCAATAAAATTTGATAAAATTTCCTTTTTAGCTCTTAGTGCAGTCATTACTTGCTTACTAGGTTATTACGCATGAAATCCAAGATTACAGAACACTTAGAAGAAGGTACATTTCTTATATTTTTGAAACCAAATTGTATACAAAGTAAGCACAGTTTGAGTTAAAGTTGTTTCTTGGATTTATTCTTACTTATGTTTATTTAAAATTTGATTATAAGAAGATATATGCCAATAGTGCAGATGTAAAAAAAAAAAAGGAAGACTTAAAATTTACTGCTATCTACTGTTAAGTAGCTCTGAGTTCTTAAAAATGTAATTATGTTTGTAACTTGTTAAATTGAAGGTTTTTAAACCATAAAACCCATAACAAATAAGATTTATCGTATTTCCAATTCCATGCTGTTTGAGAAATACATTTTTTTCTGAAGGCTTAGCAAATAAATATTTAAGTTGAATATAAACTTGAATTTTTCACTAAACTTTTAAAATATGCTTATTAAATGTTCTTATTCCTTAAATTACAATGTAACTTTGGATGACTTGGGTGGTTTTGAGATTATTTGAAGAATCTCTTTTTTCAAAAGTATGTATTAAGGTATAACCAGTCCACCAATTCTGTTACTTTTCTACTGATGTTTTTAAGAAATTTGACTTAATAGAGGCTTACAAATGGCTCCTTAAATAGGAGATAGGCGAACTGAATGGAATAGACCTAATTCCCCAAATATTAGTTTAAAATTTACTTCAAAAAGATAAAAATTAGTTTATACTTGAGGAATATTTTCAAAACTGAATTATAAAATGAAATTTTAGGAGTTGATTTTTGACTTAGGTAACCAGTATTTGATGATTTTCATGCTCATACAAATATTATCAAATTGAAACATCTCTTTTTCTCTGAAAGGCCAACTTTGTTTCTCTGTGGAATTCCTCACTGTTTTATGTGTTTGGTCACATCCAAAAAGTTTGTCTTTTTGAGTTCCCCCTTTTCTGTAGATATTCTCCTTGGCGTTTCACCATAGTCCATAGACGTTAGATCGTCTTCTCCACCATGTATATTATTCAGGTGATGGGTGCTCTAAAAGCCCTGACTTTACCCCTATACAATATATGCATGTAACAAAATTGCACGTGTACTGCGTAGATTTGTACAAATAAAAAGGGGGAAATATATTATTGGTCACCAACAAAAAGAGCACATGAATTGGTGAATCTTAACTAAAAAGAGAACTGCAAGGCAATTGATGTGTTAATTAGTGTAATGTGGCAATCATTTCACAATTCATGTGTATGTCAAATCATTACACTGTATATCTCGAATATATCCAACTGTTATTTGTCAAGTATACCTCAACAAGGCTGGAAAAAATGGGAAAATAAATAAATAAATGAAATGATGAGCAATAATATTTTATAAATGTCCTTACATGAAAGAATATTTTCTCTTTGGATTTTTTCTGATCCAAGTAATTGCAATTGCAAAAACCAGGAATCACTAATGTAGAGATATGGATGGCCAATTTGGGTTGCTTATACTATGACTATATCAGAAATGCAGCTTATTCCTTTCTCCAAATAGTCCCTGAGATTTTGCAGATGTCCATACAGCAGAAATAGGTCTTAGTTTGTGGCTTGCATGCAAATATACAAAGCTTGATTGTAGGCATAACCCCTTTTTTCCTATAGATAGTTTATGAGAATGTTGCAATCAAAACCATGTCCTAACATTCCCAGTGTGCTCCCAAATCCCTTGTCCCAGTTAGCATTTAGTTATGTGAGCAAACTGATTTCACAATGAGTCCATGAGATAACTGAATCTGTCTCCAGAATTTTAGTGTGATCGTGCTTAATAGCAAATGACCATTTAAGGTCCCCACCCAATCCTAAAACAGCCTTCTGGATTTCAAGAAGCTATATAATAGCTGGTTATGCCATCATTAAGCCTCAATTAAATGATTATTAAGGCCTTTCTGTGCTTGGAGTTATGGGGAAACATAGAAATGAATGCAAAAGTTATAATCCTTTCAAAATATTTTTTATTGCTTGCGCTTGATTACATATTAAAAGATTTTTTTTTTCTTTTTTTGAGACAGAGTCTCGCTTTGTCACCCAGGCTGGAATGCAGTGGCCTGATCTCAGCTCACTGCAACCTCTGCCTCCCGGGTTCAAGCAATTCTTCTGCTCAGCCTCCCAAGTAGCTAGGACTACAGGCACATGCCACCACACCTGGCTAATTTTTGTATTTTTAGTATGGACGGGGTTTCACCATATTGGCCAGGCTGGTCTCGAACTCCCAACCTCATGATCCACTCTCTTGGGCCTCCCAAAGTGCTGGGATTACAGGCATGAGCCACCCTGCCCGTAATGCACTCTTGTACTTTAAAGGAAGAAATGAAGAATTAAAGGAATGAAGAAGCCAAAAGATTTTATCAAGGCAGAGCTATATCTATTAAGCCTTCAAAGCTAAACTTGTTTTTCCCGAGTTGTCAATGTCCCAGATAAAATAAAATTTGATCTTGATTAGCCTTTTATTAAATAGACCAATAAAAAGTTAAAATTATTATGTTTGTAAAATGTATTTTGAATAACATGGTTCAGATATTTTCATATAGCAGTAAGTATAGATTGGAAATAATATAAACAGTTAAACCTGGTCATTGTACTACTTATAACCTTAAAAGGAAATAAAAGTATAAATGGGAATAGGAATAGATTACCTACTAAGAAATGATATGTTATAATAGCAAGAATAAATAATTTGCCTATTTCTTAATGATCTGAACAAAATGTGTTTTTCAGAGATTTTTTGAATCAGAAAAGTGTACCTATAACATATTCTATCTAAGAATTTAAACTGGTGATAAAACTGGAAATAGAAAAGAATAAAGATTGCTTCTAAATAGAAAATGCTTAAAACCAGCAGTATTTATTGATATTTTGTGCAATAAAAGAAAATGAAAGATGCAGTTATTTCAGCTGCTTTCTCAGGTAAAGCTGTTTTTAAAGAAAACTTCTTAAAGCTATGGCTAACCCAGCTCCCACGTGAAATGACTTTTTTTATGACATTTTCAATGTACCTTCAATGCATGTACTTCTAGTCTAAATTATTAGCCTAGGCTACTTTCCCTTTACTCACCTCAGATAGCATTTTTCAAGAAATAAACTTATGTACATCACAAGTGGAAAATAAAACCACGTTCTATTTCTTCATTTATAGGAGGTTGAACTTCTCTGGAGTGCTAGAGCTATAGATTTTTCTGGATGTGTGCTTCAGAGTGAAGTCAAGTGATATTACTTTTCTCTTAAATTACCAACCAATTGAAAAAAAATCCTTAGTTCTAAATTTCAAATTCCACCGATATCATAAGTCATACAAAAGCACTTTGCTTTTCACCCTTTATTTTTTAACATTGTCTATATGGGAATGGACAACTCTTGATTACTACAGCTAAATTGTCAGTTTTATGAATTACTTCCTATAAAAATGACCTCCTTTGCCCTGCAAGTATAGTTTTTTTGTTGTTTTTTTGTTTTTGTTTTTGTTTTTGAGATGGAGTCTCACTTTGTCACCCAAGCTGGAGTGCAGTGGCGATATCTCAGCTCACTGCAACCTCCACACCCCAGGTTCAAGCGATTCTCCTGCCTCAGCCTCCCAGGTAGCTGAGATTTTAGGTATGCACCACCACACCCGGATAATTTTTTTCACATTTTTAGTAGACACAGGGTTTCACCATGTTGGCCAGGCTGGTTTCAAACTCCTGATCTAAAATGATCCACCCACCTCGGCCTCCCAAAGTGCTAGGATTACAGGCGTGAGCCACTGTGCCCAGCCAAGTGTAGCGTTTTTTAATGCAAACAAGCATATGATAAGGAATTTAAAAGGAGGCTGCAAAAGGTCAGAAAAATTGTACAAACCTATTTCAACATGGAGTTCTTTCTTGAGTCTCTTTATTACTTTCACATTTCCTGCAGAAAGCTAAAAGTTCACTAGCAACAGTGCATAAAAGAAATAATAGTAAGGCGGTGTAATCACTAAGGAGCTGAAGCACTGGCATCTCTTAAAATGCTGGATTACCTCAGTGCTGATCAGTGGAAAATCAAAAAGGATGAGAAGGATGACAAACACTTTTGAGCTCTGAATGAAGAGGATACTGCCTTGCTGAAAAATCGTGGTCAGAGCACTTATTCTAGGCAGATTAAGCAGGTTGAGAATGACATTCAACAACTTCTTAAGAAAATTAATTATCTCAGTAGTGTTAAAGAGTCTGACACTAGCCTGGCCACCACCAGCACTCTGGGATTTGGCTGCAAATAAGCAAATGCTCCAGGGTGAACAATGTTTACAGGTTGCAAGGTGTAGAAAGATAGTAAATGCTGATTCTGAGAACTCAAAATACATTGTCAATGTGGAGCAGATTGCTAAGTTTATGGCAGACCTCAGTGATCTACTGACATTGAGGCAGGGATGAAATTTGATGTGGAAGAATGTAAGTATTAAATTCATATTCCCATACTTTCTAAGATTGATCCAACAATTACCATGATGCCAGTGGAGTAAAAACCTGATGTCATATACAGTGATGTTGTTGGCTGTAGGGAACAGATTGAGACATTGTAAGTAGTTGAAACCCCACTACTTCATCCAGAGAGATTTGTTAACCTTGGCATGGAGCCTCCCAAGAGTGTGCTCTTTGGTCCACTAGGTGCAAGACACTCTGTGCTTAGGTGGTTGCTAAATAGGACTGATGCTTGCTTCATTGAGTTATTGGATATTAACTTTTACAGAAATATATCTGCAAAGGGGCTGGAATGATTCATGAGCTCTTCCCAATGGCCAGAACAAGAAACGCCTGCCTTATCTTCTTTGATGAAACTGATGCTATTGGAAGAGCTCAGTTTGATGATGGTGCTGGAGGTGACAATGAAGTACAGAGAAAAATGTGAGAACTAATTCATCAGTTGGATGGCTTTGACCCTCAAGGCAATATTAAGTGCTGATGGCCACTAACAGACCTGATACTTTGGATTCAGCACTGATGAAGCCAGGGAAATTGGATAGAAAGATTGAATTTAGTTTACCTGATCTAGAGGGTCAGACTCACATCTTTATTTTTTTTCTTTTTTTTAAAATTATACTTTAAGTTTTAGGGTACATGTGCACAACGTGCAGGTTTGTTACATGTATATACATGTGCCATGTTGGTGTGCTGCACCCATTAACTCGTCATTTAATATTAGGTATATCTCCTAATGCTATCCCTCCCCACTCCCCCCACCCCACGACAGGCCCCGGTGTGTGATGTTCCCTTCCTGTGTCCATGTGTTCTCATTGTTCAATTCCCACCTATGAGTGAGAACATGCGGTGTTTGGTTTTTTGTCCTTGCGATAGTTTGCTGAGAATGATGGTTTTCAGCTTCATCCATGTCCCTACAAAGGTCATGAACTCATCTTTTTTATGGCTGCATAGTATTCCATGGTATATATGTGCCACATTTTCTTAACCCAGTCTATCATTGTTGGACATTTGGCTTGGTTCCAAGTCTTTGCTATTGTGAATAGTGCCCCAATAAACATACGTGTGCATGTGTCTTTATAGCAGCATGATTTATAATCCTTTGGGTATATACCCAGTAATGGGATGGCTGGGTCAAATGGTATTTCTAGTACTAGATCCCTGAGGAATCGCCACACTGACTTCCACAATGATTGAACTAGTTTACAGTCCCACAACAGTTTAAAAGTGTTCCTATTTCTCCACATCCTCTCCAGCACCTGTTGTTTCCTGACTTTTTAATGACTGCCATTCTAACTGGTGTGAGATGGTATCTCATTGTGGTTTTGATTTGCATTTCTCTGATGGCCAGTGATGATGGGCATTTTTTCATGTGTCTTTTGGCTGCATAAATGTCTTCTTTTGAGAAGTGTCTGTTCATATCCTTCGCCCACTTGTTGATGGGGTTGTTTGTTTTTTTTCTTGTAAATTTGTTGGAGTTCATTGTAGATTCTGGATATTAGCCCTTCGTCAGATGAGTAGGTTGCAAAAATTTTCTCCCATTCTGTAGGTTGCTTGTTCACTCTGTTGGTAGTTTCTTTTGCTGTGCAGAAGCTCTTTAGTTTCATTAGATCCCATTTGTCAATTTTGGCTTTTGTTGCCATTGCTTTTGGTGTTTTAGACATGAAGTCCTTGCCCATTCCTATGTCCTGAATGGTAATGCCTAGGTTTTCTTCTAGGGTTTTTATGGTTTTAGGTCTAACATTTAAGTCTTTAATCCATCTTGAATTAATTTTTGTATAAGGTGTAAGGAAGGGATCCAGTTTCAGCTTTCTACATATGGCTAGCCAGTTTTCCCAGGACCATTTATTAAATAGGGAATCCTTTCCCCATTTCTTGATTTTGTCAGGTTTGTCAAAGATCAGATAGTTGTAGATATGTGGCATTATTTCTATGGGCTCTGTTCTGTTCCATTGGTCTATATCTCTGTTTTGGTACCAGTACCATGGTGTTTTGGTTCCCGTAGCCTTGTAGTATAGTTTGAAGTCAGGTAGCATGATGTCTCCAGCTTTGCTCTTTTTGCTTAGGATTATCTTGGCAATGTGGGCTCATTTTGCTTCCATATGAACATTAAAGTAGTTTTTTCCAATTCTGTGAAGAAAGTTATTGGTAGCTTGATGGGGATGGCATTGAATCTATAAATTACCTTGGGCAGTACAGCCATTTTCACTGTATTCCTATCCATGAGCATGGAATGCCCTTCCATTTGCTTGTGTCCTCTTTTATTTTGTTGAGCAGTGGTTTGTAGTTCTCCTCGAAGAGGTCCTTCACATCCCTTGTAAATTGGATTCCTAGGTATTTTATTCTCTTTGAAGCAATTGTGAATGGGAGTTCACTCATGATTTGACTCTCTGTCTGTTATTGGTGTATAGGAATGCTTGTGATTTTTGCACATTGATTTTGTATCCTAACTGTTTGCCGCAGTTGCTTATCAGCTTAAGGAGAGTTTGGGCTGAGACAATGGGGTTTTCTAAATGTACAATCATGTCATCTGCAAACAGGGACAATTTGACTTCCTCTTTTCCTAATTGAATACCCTTTATTTCCTTTTTCCGCCTGATTGCCCTGGCCAGAACTTCCAACACTATGTTGAATCGGAGTGGTGAGAGAGGGCATCCCTGTCTTGTGCCAGTTTTCAAAGGGAATGCTTACAGTTTTTGCCCATTCAGTATGATATTGGCTGTGGGTTTGTCATAGATAGCTCTTATCATTTTGAGATACGTCCCATCAATACCTAATTTATTGAGAGTTTTTAGCATGAAGGGCTGTTGGATTTTGTCAAAGGCCTTTTCTGCATCTATTGAGATGATCATGTGGCTTTTGTCTTTGGTTCTGTTTATATGCTGGATTACGTTTATTGATTTGTGTGTGTTGAACCAGCCTTGCATCCCAGGGATGAAGCCCACTTGATCATGGTGGATAAGCTTTTTGATGTGCTGCTGGATTTGGTTTGCCATTATTGTATTGAGGATTTTTGCATCAATGTTCATCAGGGTTATTGGTCTAAAATTCTCTTTTTTTGTTGTGTCTCTGCCAGGCTTTGGTATCAGGATGATGCTGGCCTCATAAAATGAGTTAGGGAGGATTCCTTCTTTTTCTATTGATTGGAATAGTTTCAGAAGGAATGGTACTAGCTTTTCCTTTTACCTCTGGTAGAATTCGGCTGCGAATCCATCTGGTCCTGGACGTTTTTTGGTTGGTAGGCTATTAATTATTGCCTCAATTTCAGAGCCTGTTATTGGTCTATTCAGAGATTCAACTTCTTCCTGGTTTAGTGTTGGGAGAGTGTATGTGTCGAGGAATTTATCCATTTCTTCTAGATTTTCTAGTCTATTTGTGTAGAGGTGTTTATAGTATTCTCTGATGGTATTTTGTATTTCTGTGGGATCAGTGGTGATATCCCCTTTATCAGTTTTTATTGCGTCTTTTTGATTCGTCTCTCTTTTCTTCTTTATTAGTCTTGCTAGCGGTCTATCAATTTTGTTGATCTTTTCAAAAAACCAGCTCCTGGATTCATTGATTTTTTGATGGGTTTTTTTTTGTCTCTATTTCCTTCAGTTCTGCTCTGACCTTAGTTATTTCTTGCCTTCTGCTAGCTTTTGAATGTGTTTGCTCTTGCTTCTCTAGTTCTTTTAATTGTGATGTTAGGGTGTCAATTTTAGATCTTTCCTGCTTTCTCCTGTGGGCATTTAGTGCTATAAATTTCCCTCTACACACTGCTTTGAATGTTTTCCAGAGATTCTGGTATGTTGTGTCTCTGTTCTCATTGATTTCAAACACCATCTTTATCTCTGCCTTCATTTTGTTATGTACCCAGTAGTCATTCAGGAGCAGGTTTTTCAGTTTCCATGTAGTTGAGTGGTTTTGAGTGAGTTTCTTAATCCTGAGTTCTAGTTTGATTGCACTGTGGTCTGAGAGACAGTTTCTTATAATTTCTGTTCTTTTGCATTTGCTGAGGAGAGCTTTACTTCCAAGTATGTGGTCAATTTTGGAATAGGTGTGGTGTGGTGCTGAAAAGAATGTATATTCTGTTGATTTGGGGTGGAGAGTTCTGTAGATGTCTATTAGGTCTGCTTGGTGCAGAGCTGAGTTCAATTCCTGGATAACCTTGTTAACTTTCTGTCTCGTTGATCTTTCTAATGTTGACAGTGGGGTGTTAAAGTCTCCCATTATTATAGTGTAGCAGTCTAAGTCTATTTGTAGGTCTCTAAGGATTTGCTTTATGAATCTGGGTGCTCCTGTATTGGGTGCATATAAGATTCATACTTGTTCAATGGATGTTGAAAGATACCAGATTTGCATGGTTAGCACAACTACATCTATACAGCACTGGGGCTGAGATTAGACGCTTTTGTGTAGAAGCTAGGTTTTTTTGTTTTGTTGTTTTGTTTTTGGTTTTGGTTTTGGTTTTGGTTTTGAAACTGAGTCTCACACTGTCACCCAGGCTGGAGTGCAGTGGCACAATCCCGGTTCACTGCAACCTCCGCCTCCTGATTTCAAGCGATTCTCCTGCCACATCCTCCTGAGTTGCTGGGATTATAGGCATGTGCCACCATGCCCAGCTTATTCTGTATATTAAGTAGAGACCAAGTTTCACTATATTAGCCAGACTGATCTCGAACTCCCGATCAGGAACTCTCGATCCCTCAGGTGATCCACCCACCTCAGCCTCCCAAAGTGGTGGGATTACAGGCGTTGAGCCATGCCTGGCTGTAGCTGGTATGTTTTTGATCAGAGCATGGTAAAAAAATGCTACTGAGGATTGCTTGGAAGACGTAAATAAGATCATTAACTATTATGCCAAATTCAGCACTACTCACTGCTAACATGACATGACTGAGCCCTGAAGGCTTTCAAATGAAAACACATCTTTTCATTGGAATCCTAACTTTGTATGGAGTTGTTAATAACCACTTCACAAAAAAGACTTCAACATTATAAAATAATAATAGTAATTGTCATTTACTGAATACGTGATACTTGTGCCAAGTTACTGTGCTGACCATTTATGTTTATTTGATAAATATTTATTGAGTACCCACTATGAATTAGGATGAGGAAGATGATCACTGCCTTCAAGGAGCATATAATCAAATATAAACAGATATGCCCAAGGCAATGATAAGGAGACTCAGTGGGAATTATGAAAGCACCGACTAGCCTGAGGTAAAGCTTTCTGGAAAAGTTTTTGATTGAGCTCCATATTAAAGAAATTAGAAGATTGCATTTGAAGATGAAGAGAAATGACATCCTAAGCAATGAATTTGTGTGGACAAAAGCATTGATGAGAAAACACTATCTGTGTTCAAAGAACTACAAAGAAGTTAGTATTTGAAAGGTCAGAACTGAGAAGACCTGAGGCTGGAAAGGTATGCAGAATTAAAATCGTGTAAGAATTGGCATGACATTTTAAGATACCCAAACTTTTTTCTGTAGGTGAGAGAAATCAATCAAGACTTTGAAAGGCCATACATGGCATATATGCATACCTTACATACATGTCAGGGTACAGTTTGTATTTATGAAGATGTATTAGTTCAGGCTGCCCTGTCAAATTGTCATAGATAGGGAAGTTTAAGCAACAGCAATTTATTTTTTGCACAGTTTAGGAGGTAGAGAAATCAATCATCCAGGGGCTGGCAAAGCAAGTTTTACCTGAGGCCTCCTCTCAGCTGGTAGGCAGTCGCCATTTTGCTGTGTGCTCACGTGACTTCTTTGTGGGAGCAAAGAGAGAGCAAGCTCTCTGGTGTCTTTCCTTATGAAGGCACTAATCCTATTATGAGGATTCTACCCTCATGACCTCGTCTAACTCATTACCTCCCAAAGGCCCCATTTCCAAATACAATCACATTGGAGGCTGGGGTTTTGACATGGGAATGTATTGAGACACAAACATTGAGTCCATAACAGGGGAGAAGGAAAGAAACAGAAGAGCAGCCGTGAGGTGAAATCAGTGGGTTTGAATGGTCATTTGATTGATTGATTGATTGATTGTAGCTCAGAGAGAAGATACAGTCTACTTTTTTCTCTACCCATTGTAACCCATCAACTCTATGCCACCAGGTGAGGCTACTGCACTAGTCTTCATCCTAGTTCCCTTCCTGCTCTTTACCCAACCCCCACCATCGTCTCCACTACCAGCCCTCATTCCACCACCCTCCTCAGCACTATTCAGCTCCTTTCTAGTACCTGATTCTCTCCCAATTTAGGACATTTGCACATTCTAGTGGAGAAAATAGGTAAGTATACAAATAAATGCAACTCAGTATGCTAAGTACTACTGAATCACAGAAGTTACTAATGGTAGTATAGTCAGTTCTGTTATAAATATGACATACATGTTCCTGAAAAATTATCACACCATGTAGAATTACACAATTTAAAAAACACAGGGCTAATGATCAAATGGGCTTGGAGTTCAGCATTCAAAAATTTTGTCACTGCCATATTTTTAAAAATAAGAATCTAATGAAAATGACAATGTTTGTGTGTGTGTGAATAGTTAAGAAACACATACATGATACAATAATGTGGGTATTTTTACCATAAAATCTGGTTTGCTTTTGGAAGTGAGTATTAAAAGGGTTGCAGCTTGTGAATTATTAGGAAGTAGGAGGACAGTGAGCTGAAATCAGAGGAAAGGTTGTATTAGGTGCAGATAGGTGTGGCTTATAAAACACCCAGTGAATGGAGAGAGCTGGTGCATGTTTGTGGTATGTGTGGATTAGGGTACATTTTGTGTATCTCCACTTAGCTTGGACACAGCTGGTGCAGTTTTTTTGCATTCCCCACATGTTTCTCATGGAGGAAATCATGCATAAGTAACCTTAATTTTTTTCTTTTTATCAATTCCTTTAGAACAAATTTACTTTTTCAAAACAGGCATTATAGCAAAACTGACAATAATTGTGCCATGAACAGTTGGAAAAATTATCACAAAAGTGGTGAAGTAAACTGAGCCTTCTAACATGAAAAGCTATATATCAGCAGAAAAGAGGAAAGGGAACCAGGCCAAGGAAACAACATGCATAGAGGGGACCAAGTGTGAAAGAGAACATCATGTTTGGCAAACTGCCAGCATGTTATTTAGCTATATTAATACATCATATTGTTTGTTTGTTTGTTTGTTTGTTTTGAGACTGGGTTCAGCTCTGTCGCCCAACCTGGAGTGCAGTGGTGCAATCTCAGTTCACTGCAACCTCCACCTCCCGGGTTCAAGCAATTCTCCTGCCTCAGCCTCCTGAGTGTTTGGGATTACAGGTGCATGCCACCACGCCCAGCTAATTTTTGTATTTTTAGTAGAGACTGGGTTTCACCATGTTGGCCAGGCTGGTCTCAAACTCCTGACCTCAAATGATCCTCCCATCTCGGCCTCCCAAAGTGCTGGGATTTTAGGCATGAACCACCACACCCAACCATTACATCATAATGTTTTTAAAAGTTTTATCAAACATATTTTCATCATCATAAGTGTTGTAATTCACTTCCTTTTCCAACATTTGATTATTTATTTCTTATTCCCCCCAATGACGGGAAAAATAATTTGACTTCATTTGATGTCTAAAACCTTCATTTTATATATGTGCCTTTCTTTTTGTGTAACCCACCTAATAACATGGCAACATTGTAAAAATTTCAAATACTTTCACTCTAACTGAATTAACTTTGCCTTGACATTAAATATTACAAATAGTCTTTCCATGTTAGAAAATATCTTTCACATACTTTGAAATAACAAAAATGGCAACTTCATGAATTCTAATCCAGGGGTAATCATGTTTTCATTTTTTGTGTTCTGATATATTACAAACTTGATGGTTTAAATTAATGTTAATTAGAATTTTTAATTCAGCCAAAGAAATATTGTTCCTTGAGGTTTAACCTATTCTATTTCAAATTAACAAAATACAAAATGTATTCTTATATTACATGGATTCATTAAATCAATTAATAGTCACTTATTAAATGCCTACCATATGCATAAAATGATCTTAGGGTCTATGAGTCTATTTCATTTCATTTCATGTCTTATAATTTCCAATGTTCCCTCTTGTTGAGTATTGTATATCTGTACTCAGAACACTCTTGATAGAAGCACATCGAATGGGAAAAAATACCCGAGTGAAAACAACATTATTATTTCACTCAACTGATTAGGTTAATTGATTTCCTGATAGACGTAGGCCTTATTCCACATGGATGATCAAATTTATTATAGTTTCCGATCCTTTGAGAACACTGAAATCTAAGTTTTACAGTGACTTACTGCTTTATATAGACAAGTATCTTGTTTAGCTCAGTTACTTGAAACACAAAAAATTGTAATAATTTAAAAAATGTGTTGCATAATTGGCAAAATTACTGAACCTATTCAAACTACTTGTAGTACACTGAATTTTTTAGGGTTCTATGAAGTACTCTACAGAAGTTTTCTAGAAACTTCTTTTATTTTCTGCAAAAATTCTGTAATTTTTTTTGTTTGGGGTATTCACTCTCTCACTACATCTTGAAGACAGTTGTGTCATTGAAATTGCTGAGATTGTTAATGTAATGACTGTTATAATGCAAGCTCTGTTAGGTAAATCCTTTGATTCTTATTTTTATTTCTCATGATCCCATCCACCTTTTTGCTCAGTTCATTTTTTGGGCACTTTACAGACAGAAATAATATGAGAAAGATAATATACTCATAATCAGTTAATTCTACTCTTTTTGGGGATAAATAAAAGAAAAAGAATTTAAATGGACAAATGGACACTCAAAGTATTTCATTTATTTAATTCCTCCCCCAATTGCCATTGATGAACTAAGCTACTTCTCACTCCTCATAGTTTTTTTTTTTCTTTAGCTTAGGAACGCATATTTGTAATATGAAACAATGCTGGATAAGACTTGCCTTTCTGTGTTAAATAATATGTAATATTCATCAGTATAGAATTTATTTGGAAGAGGCCTTGGAATTCCATAATCTAGAATGTTAGGTGACAAAATAACAGGATACAAATAAAGGCAAATATGTATCCAATAAGATAATTTCAAAATATACTACAATGTTGTAGTAATCGAAACAGCCTGATGCTGGCATAAAAACAGATATATAGATTGAAGGAACAAAAGAGAGAACCCAGAAATACAACCACACATATGTGATCAATTAAAGTGTCCCAAGAACACACAATGGGGAAAGGAAAATCACTTCGATAAGTGTTGCTGGGAAAACTGGACATCTTAATGCAGCAGAAGAAAAAAACTTGATTCTTGTTTTACCCTATATACAAAAATCAACTCAAAATTGATTAAAGATTTAAACATAAGACCTGAAACTGTAAAACTAGTAGAAAAAAACATAGGGAAAAAGCTTTTTTTACATTAATCTGGGCAATGCTTTTTTACTATAACCCCAAAAGCAAAGGCAACAAGAGTAAAAGTAGAAAAATAGGATTGCATCAAACTAAGAAGCTTTTTCACAGCAAGGGAAACAATCATGGAGTGAAGAGTCAACCTATGAAATGGGAGAAAATATTTGCAAACAATACATCTCAAAATGGGTTAATATCTAAAATACGTAAGAAACTCAATAGCGAACAGCAAATAATCTGATTAAGAAATGGTTAAAGGGATGTCGAAAGAATTTCTCAAGAGAAGACATACAAAGGGCCAACAGGTATACGAAAAAAAATTTCAACATCGCTAACTATCAGGAAAATGCAAATCCAAACCGCAATAAGATATTAACTCATACACTATTAGACTGACTCATACACATTGGAATGACTTTTTTTCTTTTTTTTTTTAAATTTATTATTATACTTTAAGTTTTAGGGTACATGTGCACAATGTGCAGGTTAGTTACATATGTATACATGTGCCATGCTGGTGCGCTGCACCCACTAACTCGTCATCTAGCATTAGGTATATCTGCCAATGCTATCCCTCCCCCAACCCCCGACCGCACAACAGTCCCCAGAGTGTGATGTTCCCCTTCCTGTGTCCATGTGTTCTCATTGTTCAATTCCCACCTATGAGTAAGAATATGCGGTGTTTGGTTTTTTGTTCTTGCGATAGTTTACTGAGAATGATGATTTCCAATTTCATCCATGTCCCTACAAAGGTCATGAACTCATCATTTTTATGGCTGCATAGTATTCCATGGGGTATATGTGCCACATTTTCTTAATCCAGTCTATCATTGTTGGACATTTGGCTTGGTTCCAAGTCTTTGCTATTGTGAATAGTGCCGCAATAAACATACGTGTGCATGTGTCTTTATAGCAGCATGATTTATAGTCCTTTGGGTATATACCCAGTAATGGGATGGCTGGGTCAAATGGTATTTCTAGTTCTAGATCCCTGAGGAATCACCACACTGACTTCCACAAGGGTTGAACTAGTTTACAGTCCCACCAACAGTGTAAAAGTGTTCCTATTTCTCCACATCCTCTCCAGCACCTGTTGTTTCCTGACTTTTTAATGTTTGCCATTCTAACTGGTGTGAGATGATATCTCATTATGGTTTTGATTTGCATTTCTCTGATGGCCAGTGATGGTGAGGATTTTTTCATGTGCTTTTTGGAATGACTATTTTCAAAAAGACAAAAGATAGCAAGTGTCATCAAGTGTGGAAAAAAAACAGTTTTACAGTTGATGTGAATATAAATTGGTACAGCCCTGATGGAACAGTATTGAGGTTCCTCAAAAAATTAAATCTGGAACAGCTACATCATCCAGTAATTACACTACTTGTATATTGAAAGGAAATGAAATCAGTATGTGGAAATATCATCACTCCTCTGTTCATTGCAGCATTATTCACAACATCCAAGATATGAAATCAACCTAAGTTTCCATCAGCGAATGAATGGATAAAGAAAATGTGGCACATATAAATACAGTGGAATATTATTGAGCCTTAAAAAATGGAGGAAATCTTGTCTTTTATAACCACATGGATGTATTTAGAGGACATGATGCTAAATTAAATAAGCGAGGCACAGAAAGACAAATACTACATGATCTCATTTACATGTGGAATCTAAAAAAATCAAATCCATAAAAGCAGATAATAGGATGGTAGTTGGCAGGGGCTGAAGAATGGGAGAAATTGGAAGATATTGGTCAAAGAGTATAAAGTTGCAGTTTTGCAGGATGAATAAGTTTGGGAGACCTAACCTACAGAATGGTGGCTATAGCTAGTGCTGGGAGAGTAGACCTTAAATGGTCTCATCACACAAAAATGGTAATGGATGTGTTAAGTGGCTTCATTATGGTAATCATTTCTTAATTTGTATGTATATCAAAACATATACAATTATAAATTGTAAATATATACAATTTTTATCTGTTAATTATACTTCAATAAAGCTAGAAAATTTAAAAACAAAAAAATTTAAAAATAAATTTCTAAGGTAAAGGAACTATTGTTTTTAATAAAATTAACTGTTTCTCACATGCATATAACATAGAAATCCATCTTTAAGTCTTATAGCCAAATATTAAATATTTTAAATCAGAAAATTAAAGAGAAGAAAGTGGATGATAAATTCTAAAGCTGGATTATGAGGACCCAGATTTTGGAGATATTGGTGATATCATCCATTAATTCACATTTTAAAATAAATTTATCAGTGAAGCAAAGTTATAGAAATGTAACTATATAGGTGGAAAATGACATAACTACTTTCAAATGGTGGAATTGCTAATTTTTTATCTTTGTAAGACTGATTTTTGAGGTTAAAAGAAAAAGAAATCTAGCATCTCCAAGCATTTTATAGTAATAACATTTTCCAGGCAAGTCAAAGCACTGTTTGAAGAATTTCCACATGTCTGGCATTTATTAAACCTAAAAGTTAAAATTACTTTCTTTAGTTTTATTAGACTACAAACATTTTGTATTGTTTGTCAGGATAACTTTATATGGGATCTAGAAATGATAAATGGGCTTGTGATGAACTCTCCTGAAGGAAAGCCAAAGGGACTTTGGTTTCTGTCATATATAAAATACGGCATTCTGGTTTACAAGGAGGTTATCTTTGTCCACAGATCACTCTTGAGATAGAATCTAGGGCACTCTGGCCATCTCTGGCTATTTGCAAGTACAGATTATATTTCAGTTCTCTAAATGTTTTTGCTGGAAGAAAATCTGTGCACTTTAATCATAGTTTATTTTCATCATTAAGTAGTTGAAATGACAGTGAATTGAGAAAGATTCAAAAACAAAGAGTAAGACTTCCAAATCATTATCTGATTATATTCCTAAGGAGCTAAGCACAGCCCCATTTAATTAAAGAAAGAGCAAATGAGCACCTTCTAAACCAAACATGCTGGGCTTTCTTCCTCCCCCCTCCCCTCATATCTTGTATAGAAGTGGTGAGGCCTATATCAGATGGATTCCTGGGGTGCTAGGAAAGCAATAGAAGAGAGTGAGTCCCCTGGAGGAAAGGGAGGAAAGGGATATTCCAGGTAGATAGAAAGCACATGCAAAAGAAGTGATACTAAAATAACTGGAGTGAGAAAATATAGTCCAACTTTCTCATGTGCATAGATACAAAAATCCTAAACAAGAGCAAAATATTAGCAAATCAAATGCAGTGATTCATAGAAAGTATAAAATATCATGATCACATTGGGTTTATTCTAGAAATGCAGATATGGTAAAACATTTAAAAATATACCAAAATATTTCACAATAAATGAGAAAAAATTATACATCAGTAGATATATTTGACCAAATTCAATATCCAATCATGATTTTTAAAAAAAACTTTGGAAAATCAAAATAGAAGGGATGTCTTTAATGTAACAAGTTTCTGAAAATAGAAAAACATGCACATGAGTAAAATCATGCTTAGCAATGAATTATTGAAACTTTACGCCTTGAAATGAAGAGTGAGAAAAAGATGCACATTCTCACCACTTATATTTAGTATTACACTAGATGTCATAGCCACTGAAGACAGAAATAAAAAACATCCCTATTTATAGACAACTTGATTGAACATATAGAAAAATCAAAAACAATATGGACTGCTCAGTTAGAATTAGTTAAGAAGTTCCAGAAGGTCAATATACAAAGTCATTTTTCATTCTATGTACCAGCAATAGCAATCAAACATAGAATATGAAATTTTAAAGGGGTATCACTTAGAATAGCTTTTACAATTCTAATGTTTCAGCATAAATCTAATGGAAGGTGTGTAAGACCACTACCCTGAAACCTGCAAAACCTGTTCATGGATTTGAAGACCTAAATATCATTTCTCACAAATTAATCTATAGATTTAGTGAAATATCTATTTCTCACAAATTAATCTGTAGATTTAGTGAAATATCTATTTCAACTATTTCTGGTATTCATCCTTTTGCTGCAGAAACTGAAAAGCTAAAAATGCAAAGTATGTAGCATTATTTTGCATGTGTATGTTGTAACAGGTATGGCATAGTTCAGGATCTGGCTGTTTTTCTAAATGCTTGAGTCTTGTTGGTTGTAGCAGTGACAGTGATGGCAGATTATCTGGATGTGTCAATGTAATCACAAGAATCCTTCTACTGGAGAGGAAGGAGAATCAAAGTAAGAAAAGGGAGACATGGTAATGGATCCACGAAGTGGGATGATGCACTAAGTTGAAGGAAGAGGCCATGAGCCAAGGGTGGTAGGTAGCCTCTAGAAGTTAGAAAAGGCAAGCAAACAAATTATCTCCTGAAATCTTCATAAATAACATAGCCCAACCACACCTTATTTTAAATGTCTAACTTCCAAGATCATCAGAGTAAATTTGTGTGGTTTTAAATTATCAAATTTTTGGTAATTTGTTAAAGCAACAATAGAAAACTAATACACTCATTTGATTCATAAATATTTGTAGAGCAACTAATATATCTCGGACACTGGCTGGCTGTTGGGGATAAATGTATTAGCCCATTCTCACACTGCTAAAAAGAAGTGCCTGAGACTGAGCAATTTATAAAGCAAAGAGGTTTAATTGACTTACAGTTTCACATAGCTGGGGAGGCCTCACAAAACTTACAATCATGCAGAAGGGGAAGCAAACACGTCCTTCTTCACATGATGGCAGGAAGAAGAAATGTCAAGCAAAAGGGGAAAAGCCCATTATAAAACCAACAGATCTCATGAGAACTCACTATCACAAGAATAGCATGGAAGTAACTGCCCCATGATTCAATTACCTTCCACTGGGTCCCTCCCACAACACATGGGGATTATGGGAAAAACAATTGAAGATGAGATTTTGGTGGGGACATAGCCAAACCATATTAATATAATAGCAAATGAAAACTTGAAGAGGAGAGAATATTTTTAGACGCATTTTATGAGGCCAGCATTACTCTGATACCAAAGCCTGACAAAGGCACTACAAGAAGAAAAATTACAGGCTGATATTCCTGATGAACATAGATGTAAAAATTCTCAACAAAATAGAAGCAAATAAAATTCAGCAACATTTTAAAAGAATCAGTGATCATTATCAAGTGGAATTTATCCCTGGGATATAAGAATCATTCAAATATGTAAATCAATAAATGTGATTCACCGTATTAACATAATGAAGGAGAAAAACCATATGATCACCTCAAAGATGAAGAAAAATACATTTCACAAAATTTAACATTCTTTCATGATTAAAAAAAAGCTCTCAACAAATTAGGTATAAAAATAATGTACCTCTACACAATAAAGGCCATATCTGAGGAACCCACAGCTAACATTTAACCAATGGTGGAAAGTTGAAAGTTCTTCTATGATTAGGAACAAGAACCCCACTCTCTCCACTTCTATGCAACATAGCACTGGAAGTCCTAGCCAAAGCAATTGGGTAAGACAAAGAAATAAAAGGCATCCAAATTGGAAAGGAAGGAGTTGAATTTTCTGTTTGCAGATGACATGATCTTATATAGAGAAATCCTAAAGACTCCACCAAAAATCTGATTCATATCAGTCCATTAGAACTGATAAACAAATTCATTAAAGTTGCAGGATACAAAATCAACATGCCAAGATCAGTAGCATTCACTAACAAACTATTGGGAAAAAAAGATTAAGAAAACAATCTCGTTTACATAGCATCATAAAAAATATATTCATGAGTAAATTTAAGCAAGGAGGTGAAACACCTGTATAATGAGAACTATACAACAGGGATGAAAGAAATTGTAGAAGACACAAATAAGTAGAAAAATGCCTGTGTTTATGGATTAAAAGAATTAATATTTTTTAAATGACTACTCAAAGCAATCTGTAGATTCAATGAAATACTCACCATAATTCCAATGACATTCTCCACAGAAATAGAAAAAGCAATCCTAAAATATGTATGGAACCACAGAAGACCTTGAATAGCCAAGGTAATCTTGAACAAAAAGAACACAGCTGGAAGCATCATTTTACCTAACTTTAAAATATATTACAAAGCTATAGTAATCAAAGTGGCATGGTACTGTCATAAAAACGGACACATTTGCCAATAAATTATTGTCTTATGATATGTTCTAATCTAACCAGAAACACCGGAATAGGCTGTTTGTTTTTTGTATATGTTGTATTTGATATGTGTTTTGAACATCTACATGGGTATAGCCAGTAATAATAGCTAACACTATACTTGTCATTATTCTAAGCACTTTTTATGTATTAACTCATTTAATTCTTGTAACAGTCCTGTAAATATATAATAGTTGAGGAAACATTTATAGATGAGGGAACTCTGGTATGAAAATATGAAGTATAATTAACGTCAGATATTAACAAATATCAAGAAGAATTAGGATTAACCAGAAATGCCTTGATTTGGTATTTTTATTATAAAAGTTTTCTTTTTTACATTTTCTGAAGCCATATTGATTAATCACTGTTTCTTGATAATGTGTCAGGTCTTTACACATATGTTTCAGCAGTTAATTTTTATGTTGAGTAATTTTTTCAGCTGTCACTAACCTGTTCATGTCATGGGCACCAACTCACAAACATACATCTCAGCTTACATTTTTATAATATCCTCTAAGACATAAGTAATTTATTCTGCTTCTGCTGAAAATTTCCAAAATGTCATGCCCAGTGATCTCCATGGAATTAATTCTTGTCATATATTTATTGACATATTACAGGGTTTTCTATCACCACTGACTGCCACTTTTCAAAACTAGAACCATTATTTCAAGTGTCAGGGTACTGGTTACATTCATTCTCTTTGATATAAACAGATATTTTAACTGGTAGTTTTATAGAAATGTTATTTTTGAAAACCTTATGAATCACATATCTATTATAAGCAAAATTTTAAGATTAAGATGATGGCTATTTTATCTTTGTCCCCTTGTATCTTGGACAAGTATATACTTAGTATTTGTTGCATGAAGTAATGAGGTATAGAATTCTATTTACTAATTATTGTGTTCTTAATCTGAGTAATGAGAAATTGTTTGCACCGTGATTACAAATTGGTAGCAAACTTAGCAAAACAAAAAATGTATCAACATTATTTGTTGAACACCAATTATGTATCATCATGCTGTTCTTAAATCAACATATTCCACTGAACTTTCTACCCCTCTCAGTAATTCTCTCACTAATGCTTAATTATTGTTACCCATGACTCCATTCTTTAAACACTCCTAATACAGCACTCATTCCCTCAGCCTCAGAGAAGAGTGGACCAGTCATTGTCAAGGGCCATTTTTTTCAATACACTGTCAAAGGACCACAAATCTGCTATGAACAGGATGATGAATCACATGAATGAATATATTCTGTAAGTTTGTGATCACTTGATTAGTGTCAGTATTCCCCAATAAAATAAAAGCTATATGAACAATCATGTCTGTTTTTACTTAGCATTACATCAACCAGATGACAAAATTTAAGTGCACAAAGTATATTATTTAAAAGACTGAAGTTAAGTTCATTTAATTTAAATGAGGGATCATATGTTAAATCCTAAATGTTAAAATTTAAAAAAAAAAAGGTTAATCTTATCCAGATGGGAACATAGCTATTTATGCTACTGAAAACACATGTGATCATCAACCCAAGAAAAAGGCAACCATAAAAAAGAAATTTTTTTCCTCATCGAATCAAGATTAGGTAGTCACAAGCTGAAATCTTGGTTCCTTCTTTGTTATACTATTTTCCTACAAACGTTTCTTTAAATGGTCTTAGAAGCTGGGAGCCAAAGGTTTTTAAAATTGAATAATCACCTTTTCACATGCTGTATTTGTGTTCATATTTTGTGAATCCTCTAATGATTCATTTAAGTATTTACTGTGTTCTCCAGGTGGGCTTTCTATAGCTTTCCAAGGCATGATTTAAAAATATTAAAAATAATACAAGATTTTGTGTTTGCCAAACTAAAGAAGTTTTGAAAATAAAATGTGAGACTCTTTTTTTCCCACCATAATTTCTGTTTCTGTATCTAAGGCCGTTTAAGTAAACATCTAAAAACGGTTTTTATAATGGTAAGAGAATCATGAATTTCATTTACATATTTACTGTTCACATACTGCTGTGCTGGTAATGGCAAATGCAGAGTTTATTCAAATAGTTGTCTTTGAAACACATATAAGAGGTCAAAGAATATCCAGGTGGTTCTGAGCCCTTTAGCAGACACAAATACACACAAAATGAGGTTTCGAGATGGATTTCTGAAATGCCCTTGGGCTATGTAATGCTAAATTATACCTGAAAATTCATTCTATTCAACTCAGCAGGCTGAAGTAGCTCATCAATGTAGTGTAATTATAACTAAATAGGAACAGGAAAGGAATTAGGAGGACAGGATTGCTGTGTATAATACTTTTGTAGACAGGCTGAAATGAATTCTATTAATATATAATATTTATGCAAATTTTAAATTGGAAATAATTAGAAATTTTGGAGTAAAAATGTTGATACTATTCTTAGAAACAAAAATATGCTGAATATGATCCATAAATTGAAATTGATATTTTTTAAAGCCCATAAAGAATTACTTATCATAGTATTGGTCTTTGTCTATTTTAAGCATTATATTTTTAAACTATGAATAAATCTTCTTAATGTCTAGACCAACATTTTCAAAATTGTTTGGTTATGTGTGTGTATGGGCACCTAATTTTCTGACATAATGTTATCTCTTTTTAATTGGAAATTTGCTCTGGGTCATTCTAACCTACTTGATTATTTTCCCCGAAGAACATTCTCCAAGTCCATAATGGACCTTAGATTAGTGCAAATATTATCATTTCAGTGGACTTCATGCACCAATTAGGCTTTACTTGAATATCTTTAGAATCACAATATATGCACCTCTAGAATTCTTTTTAACTTTTAATTCAGGAGTGAAAGTGCAGGTTTGTTATACAGGTAAACTTGTGTCATGGGGGTTTGCTGTACAGATTATTTCATCACCCAGGTATTAAGCCTAGTACCTATTAGTTATTTTTTCTGATTTTCTCTCTTCTCCCACCCTCCACCCTCCAAAGGCCCTAGTGTCTGTTTTTCCCCGCTATGTGTCCATATGTTCTCATCATTTAGCTCCCACTTACAAGGGAGAACACACTGTATTCTTTTTCTGGAGTATGAGGATAGGTAAGTATCAGAATGCATTCTCTATTGAAATCTCACATATCAAATATATTCTCCCATTGTCTGACACTTTAAAAGCATGTATATTTGCCAAAATGACAATAACTCCAATAATTCCAACTAAAGTAAAATCCTAGGTAGTGTTCTCTATTCTCAACTGTTTTCTGAATTTGGTTTCTTTGACAATTAGTTTTACAACACATGAGATAGTGGTATCATGAACTGGGTACAGTTTTTGCAGCTCACAAACGTACACACTCCAGCTCTGCTTCTTTCTTGCAAGCTCTTTGAACTTGGCCCTTGAACCTCGGTTCCCTTATCTGTAGGATGAGGACTCCTACCTCGCATCACTGCTTTAAAATTAAAGCAACATAAACAAAATCCCTCATACAAAGCAAGCACTTAATAATTGTTCATTTTTATGATTCCATTTAGCTTCTGCAATTAATTAGGGAACTATTTTAATTAAAATACCTCATCTATATTTAATTCATTGCTTACATTATAAAGCTAACATTAGTGAACTCTAGGGGTGATGATGTAAAATTATAATATAGAGTCCCAATGATAATAACATATATTCTTTGAAGCAGAATATGCAAGATATCATACAGTGGAGTGCAGAATCCCAGTTCATCGTTTTTTTAGCATCATGTATTTATTACCTGCCTCACACCAAGAAGAATTTGTGCCCCACTACCACATATATAAAATAAAGTAGAAATACAATGAATTTTATATAGATAAAACACAGCAGAGGAAAGAAACCCCACAGAATAGAAAGATGAAACCAGATGCTCTAGTTCAGAGTCCAGAAAGAAGAAAGTAAGGGCAAGTTTCAGGAAAGACAGACGTTGACTAAGATAGAATCAGCCAGGAAAAGAGGAAGGCAGAACTCTGAGAAGTCAGCAGTGTGTACAATAGGATACTTGCTACTTTATGTCTCTGCCTTCCTCTACTTCACGTGCCACGTGCCACTTGCTGGTCCCCACCATTGTCCTGAGTCTTCTGTGCTTGGTTAAGAATTTTCTCTAGCTACAATCTGGCCACTGAGGAAGGACGCATCCTGCAAACACCTCAGAACCGTGTTTTGCTAGGAAGCTTTACCACTCACAACCCTGTGGCTTTTAAGATAGGTAGGTACATAGATAGATAGATAGATAGATAGATAGATAGATAGATAGATAGATAGATAGGATAAATAGATAACAGATGAATAGATAGATAGTAGATAGATAAGTGTATACATCCTATTCTGTAAACTCTTTCATAGTAAAATTCTATGCATAATTTTCATGATCACAGAAACTAATATGACTTCAAGGATGTTTTAATTTCTCATCAGGATTCCCTATAAACTCAGTACTATCCCTTCATCTCAGGACACAGTGGAGATGCTCTGAGACAAAAGTTGTGAGCTGCTGAGGAAGTATTTTTTATAAGTAAAAGATCTCTAGGGAGCATGGTACAGCAATTCTCCCACATCATGCTTGTCTAGTCCACTCGGCTGTTATAATAAAATGCCATACATTGGGTGGCTTATAAACAACAGAAATTTGTTTCCCAGAGTTCTAAAGGCTGGGAAATCTAAGATCAAAGTGCTGGCAGATTCAGTATCTTGTGAGGGCCTTCTTTCTGGTCAATAGAAGGCAACTTCTCTTTGTGTCCTCAGGTGGAAGAGGCAAGGGATCTCTCTGGGGTCTTTTTAATAAAGGCACTAATCACATTTGTGAGGGTTCTGCTCCCATGACCTAATTACCTCCCAAAGGCCCCACCTTTAAATACATCACAGGAGGGATTAGGTTTCAATGCACTAATTGGAGAGGAACAAAAACATTTAGACCATAGCAATGCACATCTCCAATAAACTATATAATCACTTCCATATGTCTGTGAGGTAGTTTGTTGCAGATGATAGTACCTTTTATGTGGCTATCATCCGAAAAGAGACCTTGTACCTTTTTAGGTTCAGGATTATTTTACGTTATACCTTTAAGGTAAAATATAGCCAACATTTATTAAAAATATATTGAAGGGAGGTGAATTATTTACATAGGCATAAGTAATTTCCTTCATACTTTTAAGTATAATCGCTAGGAAATTAAAGACATTTTTCAACTCTTTTGTAACCATTAAATACTTGAACCCATCCAAAGGATATGATAAAGAAGATAGAATTTCATTATCCTTAAAACACTGCAAATTTATCCAAGTATAAATGAGAAAATCAGGCAACCAAGAAGATAAACTAAGTCTGGATAATCAAATTTAGGCTACAAAAAGATAAAACTCAGATAAAATTGAAAGGAAAGCATATAGAGAAAGAGAAGCAACAAAAGCAAGAATGCTAAAAAACAATTACCACTAAGGAGATGCAGTAAAAATAAAATCAATTGTAATTGTAGTTATAAAGGATAAACATTTTAACTGTTTAATACATGTAAGTATTAAATATTTCAGAATCATAATAATTGTAAAGATTTCTTTGACATTAATGCATAGGAAACTGGACAAAGTCCAAAGAAATGAATAAAGGCTTAATAATAAAACCCAATTATAGTTTAAAAAAAATGAAAGTCTCTTCCAGATACATAAAAAAACTGAACAAAACTAAGGAGTACAGAATTGATTTGTTTGCTTATTTCACTTTTAGCAACAGTCAAGAATAAAGAAGCATCTTTCTGGAAATCGTTATTTTTCCCTAATTTGAACCAATACCACAAATGAAAACTTGGACCAAACTTAAGAAAGTCTTTTATTTCCTTCAATTCAAAAAAGAACAATGATAAATAAAGTAAAATGAGGTGTTGAATGAAATGACAAGATGTTTTTAATATGATAGCCGTTAAATATTTTAGTAACTATTTTTAGATTATCTACTTACAGGACAGCACTTGACTTGGGGCGAATGGATGTGGGTCCAGATCTCCAGACAGTTGTCAAGACAGCAAGTAATTTAATATAGATGAGTGTCAAAGATACAGATATATATTTGTTTAATTGCTGAAAAGATGGGTTGGTGATTGTGCTGGGGTTGAAAATTATTTGGTTGTTATCCTTGAAAAAACCTGAGGAAAGTATTCATATAAAGAATTCATAGGAATTGTATGAATAGGGAGGTGTTTCAAAAGAAGGAAGAATTTATCTCTAAGAGGAGAAAAGCCAGTGTTACCACAGGGGCAGCTGATAAGATAAGGAGGAAAGGGTAAGAGAAGGGTCCCACCCATACATCAGGGGCGCTGGGTGATATGAATGACCTAGGAGAAAGGTTAACTGTGAGTAACTTTACATCTAAACCTGATAAACATTTTCTGTTCCTACCTGAGAAAGGAGAGTTGAGATATCACTTCCTATCACTCTTGGAAGCCCTGATTGAAGCCCCTGCTGGGAGTACATGGTCCAAGTTGCATGAGTTCATATACCTCATCTTCCTTCAGTTATCTTTTCAGCAAACTTGTAGGAGCTGTCTGGTCTCTATCGGACATCTGTAAATGAAGAATTTGGGCAACAGAACTTTGCTGCATCTTTTCGGTTTTAATATTTAATTATTCTAGCAATTCTCTGAAACGGAACCATCATAAAATTCAAGTTAATGATTTCTATACACTCTATATACAGTGTCTTGACAAAATACTTAGAAGGTTTATGAAATTCAACACGTTTTAACTTGAAAACCAGATAAAGATGTCAATACTCCGAGTGAGCTAATAATTCGATACATTTGATCTTCTGGAAATATCCAGTTAGGGTTTCATTTGGAGGAAAGGATGAGGGCTGGAGGATCAGGAAGAGAGGGGGTGAGGTGACTCCAGTAAGACAGGGTACTCACCCCTGCTGCAGAGCTGAGAAGGCCTGTTCTGTCATCCCAAGTCAGCTCTGGCTCCAAACTTGAATGTCCCTGCCGGGAAGCCAGAAGCCCTGCAGTCAACTGGATTCACCCCTCCTAGAAGGTAGTTTAGCACAACTAGTTGTTGTGGAAACATGTCCCTTGTGGGGTGTCATCTCCTGTTTCCTGCACAACTACTCAAAGTATCCCTTCACCTCACATGGCATGTTATGTTGAACTGTCTCTGGAGAAATATTAGCCAGATTTTAATCAGGACACTATGTCTCGCCCTCTGTGACACTTTATTCAGACATAACCTCTTAGCTTCACTTTACTGAAGCATCAAATAAGAATGATGATAAGAATAATAAAAATGAAACCAATAATAACAATACGTACATCATAGGACTGTTTTCAGTGTTCAATGAAATAATGCATATAACATTTAGAAAAGACCTCAGCACCTAATGAACATTCTCTAAATTTTAGCTCTTTTTAAATCACACAGCATTCACTCCCTGTGTCACATTCTGGCAAACATGATGTCCTTGGTTTCAGTACATTACTAGTGACACCATAGAGCCCTTTTAGGTAAGTTTCCCCTAGAAGCTACCCAGTGCATTGCCACTTAATTCAGCCCTAAATCATATTGGCCTAGTTCCTGGTAAAATGCTCTCAACACAACTATGTAAGTCATGCTGTGTCCCTGACCATTACCTCTACGTGTTCTCATTTGGCTAAAGTTTCCCCATTTTCAAAATTGGGATAGAGATACTCAAGTAACAGAAGATTATGTGACATAATGTATATTTAGCATAGGGCTAGTTGCATAGTCTCTCTCTCTCTCTCTCTCACACACACACACACACACACACACACTCATTCTTTCCCTTTCTCTCTTCCTCTTTCCCTCTCCCTCCTATCTCACTCTCCCCTCTTTCTTCCTTTTCTTCCTCTCTCTCCTTCCTTTCTTCTGTTATTCTATTACTGTTAAAAGGACAGTTTATATTATACATTTATATTAAAAGTATATATCTTATAGGCTTTTATTTCTACTGATTCCTTCCATCAATAAATGAAAGGTATAGATACAATTATTTGATTTTTAATGAGAATTAATTTATCCCAATGTATCAATGCTCACTAGATTTGCATTTTAAGTGTGGAGTATAAAGATTCAATTTAAGTAAAAGAAAAACAGATTGTAGGGAGTAGATGAGGAGAATGTTTGTTAATTAAGGCATAAAACTGATTTTGCAAACAAAACAACTCTAGCCCATTTGGGATTCTTGAAGAGGGCAGGAAGAAGAGTGGGGTGCCTGGACGTGCCCTTCTCTTCAGCTTCTCTCTCTGTCCCTTATGTCTATATTTTTTCTTCCTACTTTTCGGAATGAAGGTTCCCCAGGTTCCACTTTCACCAAGGACTCTGCTCCCCCTCAGCCACTGCCCCTGCCTTTCTCTCACCTGCCTACCCTACTGCAGCATGGTGCTCATGAAGTTGGCTTGTATTCACCGGGTATATGTAAGGTCCCCAATCCCTCCAAGATTCAAGCCACTAGGCCCAGATGTGAGGTTCAGGAGTAGATGCTCTAAATGCACTGAGGCGAGAAAAGTAACATAAGAAAGGATTGAGGAGCTGGAAATTGCCTATATGGAGCCTAAGAAACTCAGCCCTGATATAAGGTCTGGAGGAGAAAGGTGGGCCAAACATTGACGAGTACAAGTCTGGCTGTTTGTTTTAGTGTGTATCTGTTTATATATACATGTGGATTTTAAGGTGTATAGGTGTGATGATCGATGAGGCTGGAGGGTGGGGGCTTCTTGTACATATGAATGAAGTGAATTGTCACATGGTCTTTCCAAAAACTGTTCAGATTGATATTAATTATACATAATGGAGAATTAAAAGTGTGAAAAGTGAAAAACTACAAATTTGACTGTATATAATCAAATAGTAATGCTAATATCAATGACATTTGAGTCATTAGTCCATTACTGCCTAATCATCACCACGTTTATTCATATCATAAATATATACCACCTATATACTGCCTAAAACAGAAAAACTGTTTTAATTCTATTGAATTGCCACAGTTTTCGTGCCTTGTTGGTCTTATGGCATTGGTGTCTAAGAAATCAGCAAATAGCTTTTATAAAGGAGACATTGCTTATTAAATATGGCTTTGTTCCTGTGAATTTAAAATACATCATTAGATCTTCATACCTGTGAATATGTACAATTTCATCAAAATCTATATACTGAGAACTCACGTAATGAGAGAATGCATTCAAATTAACACTGGGACTAAAAGATGTGAAATGACAAGTATTTTAATTATATAAAAAAGTTACTGTAGTCAATAAACATGAATTGGCTCTTGTCTAAATTTATTGAAAAAGAATTTGTGATTGTATGGACTTTATCATTGAAACTTGTTTATTAAAATTTATTCATGGCCGGGCATGGTGGCTCACACCTGTAATCCCAGCACTTTGGGAGGCCAAGGTGGGCGGATCACCTGAGGTCAGGAGTTCGAGATCAGCCTGGCCAACATGGCGAAACCCTGTCTCTACCAAAAATATAAAAATTAGCTGGGCGTGGTGGCAGGCACCTGTAATCCCAGCTACTCAGGAGGCTGAGGCAGGAGAATCGCTTGAACCTGGGAGGCAGAGTTTGCAGTGAGCCTAGATCGCACAACTGTACTCCAGCCTAGGTAACAGAGCGAGACTCTATACCACCAGCCCCCCAATACACACAGACACACACACACACACACACACACACACACACACACAACAACTCATTTATTCCACAAATGTTTATTAAGAGCCTACTTTGTGCCAGGCATTGATCTAACCTCTGGACATACATCTCTGGAAAAAAAATGAAGTTTTATCCTCAGAAATGTATGTTCTAATAGGAAGAGAAAGACAGCAGTGGAATGTACAGTAATGCAGACACTGACTATGCCCTAAAGCAAGATATAACCATAGGGGTCTTTGACAAACAGTCTTACCAAAGAGTTTAGTTCATCAAAAGTCAAGGACACTGAACAGAATATTGCTGAAAACTTATAGAATATTATTCTTGGTATATGTGGTTACAAAATATAATTATTTAAGTAAAAAAAAATCCTTTACACTGAAACAATGCTTCTATGAAGAGTTATGGAGATGATATTTCCCGCTACTAGTAGGTAGCCTGGATTTGTTCACACTTAAAAAAGAATAACTTTGAACAGCTGAGTATCTCCACTTCTGCTTCTTGGCAAAAAGGTGAAACTTAATACATAACAAGGAAGTCTTATGACATAGAAATTTTTCACTAGCATGTGGGTCCTTCTGTATTTTAAATAACAACTAATTTCAGACACCCAAGTCAGCACCCAAAGGTGTCTTTGAAACCATGTTCTCATTTGGAGTGTTTGGGAGAGGCAGTGTTCCTGGGCTTCTGCTGAATGCCAGGCATTGCTCTCAGAAAAGGACAGTACAAGCTATAATGAAGGCAGAGCTTCCACCTTGTCCACTTGAGTGACAGTGTGAAACATATTCAGATAGGGATATGCCCCAACTACTGTCAAAGTAGAGAACTGAGGACTAAACTGAGGCCCCAGGGGTTGGGGGTGGGGGAAGCTTCTGGAGAGGCTTCTTGCAAGCAGGAGCAGAGTGCCTGCTACATAGTAGGCACTCAACAAGCCTGAGAACCTATTGTGTGCACCTTCTATGTAAAGTTCTGTGGATATAAATGTGAAAATGTGCAATTTCTGTTTTGCCTGAGAAGTATAGACTGGGGAAATAGACAAAACTAAAATTGAGAATTGCTTTAATAATTGAACATACAAAGTGTATCAGAGATTCTCAGAAGAAAAGAATTTAGCAGAGTTTCAAAATAATATACAAATTTCAGTATTCTATAGTGGTTAAAAGATATATGAACCTAATTTTTAATTTATATAAATACTAAACAAGGTTTTTATATTTAGATTTTCAGTTTTGCAATTCTTGCTAAATATATGAATCTATTCTTAATCCAACATTGCTTCATGGACAGCAGTTTAGTAGTACAGATTTCATTAGAGAACTTAACTGCTATAGGATCGGGGGAGGTGAAGGAAATACAATTTTCCCTAGAAGATTTACATTAAACAGAGTAGTTACAGGCTGTAGCATCTCCCCTGTAATTTTATGAGAATGGTATTACCCTGGCTTTCACTGTGTGATTGCTGGTTACCTTCTGTCAGTGAGCAACAGTCTTACTGCAAAGCAGGAGCACAACCCGTCTCTTTGTCTCCGTGGTCAAATCAATTACTTCTTAGAAAGTCTAATTTTTTTCAAAATGACCATGTACAAGAGCAAACGCAGACATCAGAGATGTAAGTAAAATCTGACCCAACTTTTTCATATCACTGGGGTAGGGAAAACATACTTGATTTCTTAAAAGACTAATCATGACTTCTTCAGATACATCCTGGTAGTAGAAAAGATACTGTAGCTTTTCTCACCCTAACCTTTATCTTTATTCCTGTAACATGCATGAAAGATGTTGAGGGCAGAGGGGATAATTCGCTTGTTACCATGGAAACCCTTGGAAAGGTTTACAAAATCAACAGAGAAACAGATCAAATGCAATTTCAGTCTAGCTCAGCATCCTTCATTCAGGCATGATCACTGGACAGTTCTCTTTTTTGCTTTTCTAGGAGTGATAGATTTTCTTTCCTGGAAGTCTATTGAAAGGTTTGGGAAGCTAGCCTAAAACTTCTCGTTATTCATCCAATTTCAATTACAACTCTTAGGGAGTAGAAAGCAGTTCAGAATGGAGGGGAGAGAGTTAATTGTGAATGACAAGCTAAATATTTAACAGGATATTCATTGCCAAACTTCTTGGTCCAGAGCATGCTAGTGACATAATTCACTACAGGCACCATTTCAAAGGGTTAAAAGGAGTCATCTGCAGTCTTCCCTAAAGGAACTGATTCTGGCTGAAAAGGAGCAGCACAATTACCCTGGCGTAAAGTCCAGAACAAAGATTATTATGGAACTGAAAGCTATCAGGATCTTGCTAAAAATCAAAAGATTGTTATAACACTATTTTACGGTAAAGCAATATGCCTCTCAAGAAAAGCTTTACAATCACCTCTCTCTAGTAAGTTTAACTCTTTATCACTTTATCTTTTCTATTGTCTAAAGTAAATAATACCATATTTAGCCCAAAATGGTCTGTCACTGTCTCTATTTATCGTCATAGACAGGTAACGGCAACTTACTCTGTACTCAAAGTCTGTACTTTTTCATTATTTCTTTTGATGTCTTTAAATGTTATCAAATATTTTGAAAATCAAAGTCTATCAGTCACAATTATCCTATCAAAAAGCCAATAAATCATATAAAGATAATTTTTAGTGCGATAATTTATTCTTTGGTCTGTTTTCACCTAAGATCTGAAAACTAACATTTCTCCTGTTCAAAGAAGTTTCATGCACCACAGAAAGCTCTGAGGGCTAGGCTGCCAGTTTGATTCTGCAAGCTTGATTGCCTTTTGATGCCAGTTCTTTCTTGTGATAAAGAAACAATATATGATAACTGCTACTTTTTTCAGGTAAAAATGATTGGTGTGAAGTCTACACATATATTGCTGATTAATTTTCTTGTGATTTCCTCTTACAAGAATGAATCTAAATTATGCATAGATTTGAAAACCATCTTGTGCCTTTACTCCTGTATCTTTTATATATCCCTCATTTTTTTTCCTTGTGGATTATCAATGCCTTAATGCACATGGAAAATAAGAGATTCACAGAAAAATTATACTGAGTGTCTCCCCTTAAAATGTGCTCACTGAAGTCTGCGATTAAGCAGCAGGAAGAAATTGTGAATTACATGAGACAAGTCAGAAGATGTATAATTATACAGGCATAAACACAGTAGGGTGTACTGGAATGGTTCAGTTAAAAAAACTAATGTGTTACTTAAATTTAATTGTATCAACTATTTTATGTTGCATTAAGTTTTTCTATATTCTAATAATATAAAATATCAGAGAGCAGGAACATAATAAAATTAAAGTATATAGAAAGCTTAGCAATAAAAGCAAATAGAATCCTTAAATGAATTTCTTAAACTAACAATATTTGCAAAAGTAGAATGTAATACAATGGTTTGCATTCCAATGCGTAAACAGAAAAACTGGAATTTTCCCATCACCAAAATCCAGGGCATTTCCATTTTCAGTCATATCTTTTATGCGTGGGTTTTTGATCATATAAAAGGCATAAACTTACCTAGAGGCAATTGTAATCCAATTAAGGCAATAATTGTACATTCAAGAAAACCTCACTGTAGGAAAGAAGGAAAGTCTTCTTACAATTTTCTTTAAAAATGAGATAGTACATAAATCAACTTTCTAATTTTTCTCATTATCCAAAGATTTAATATGGTATCTTTTAGTAAAAATAAGTGTTTCCTTTCAGAGGATCTGACAAAAGGAATAGTAAAGGTGCATGTGGCTATGTCAGGAGTTTGAGGAAAAAGGAGAGAACAAAAATACTTATGAGAGAGATTTTAAAGTACAAATTGTACTAAACCTTTGAAGATTCATGTGGGGCTTTGAAATTCATTCTCTACTCATATTGAGATTAGTTATTTATAATTCACTATACAAGAGGAGGAGAGGGAGGGAAGAGTGCCCATTGCCTTGCTTCTGATAGTACAATTGCTAGGTAAAAGGAACAGCTTAGTGTTCACTCAAATAGCAGATCTTACTTGTGCAAAACTGCATTAAATACTTTCAACTGTATACAGAATATTTTGAGTGGTATTAAAAAATGTTTGCATATATCAGATGCTGATATTGCCAGAGCCAAACAGGTACAGACCAATTTAAGGAATTCTAATACATGCAAACCTGTTTTTTTAAAATTCGGATTGATTTGGGAATTAATGTTTAACTTTTGAGTCCATTTAAATACTAAGTTTTTATACATATATAATAACAAAATTTATTTAACTGTGAAGTTTATGTTTAAATTTTCAAAAATTTCTGTATACAACAAGGAAAACCTGTAACCTCCCTTGCTGAAACTCCACATGACCTTGAGAAAACATTTTTGGAGTTTTATAAAAGACACATGAAGGTACATTTTTAAAAAATGAATATGTTTTTAAAACACTGACGTAGAGGAAAAAGTAGAGTAGAAGCCATAGGATTTTGAAAATAGCACAATACCTGTGCCATGGCAAAGAAAACAGTGTGAATCGAGTTTCAGATATGTAACATTTCATCTTATTTTACTGAATTGGAACAGATCATGTATTTTTTATTCCTAATAATATCTTTGGGTGAGCTTATCGACCTTATCCATATTATCATGGAAATACTTGAGATCACTTCAGAAATCTAAATACTAGTCATCATAGCCCTCTTCTTATAGTCTTGGCCAATTATCTATTATTTCTGTGGGTTGCAATCTCTTCTGTAAGTTTAGTAGATTGCACTGAGAAAGTGTTCTGTAGGGTACCTTCCATCTCTAACCCTCATTGCCTCCATAACACAACCCTCATCAGGTCATTCCCCTACTCAAAGACATTAATGGTTTCTCATTGACTAGATAATGGTGGCTCTGGGCTTGTGTGCTTCAGATCCTTGGGTGCCCATGGAGTTACTACAAGGTTACTACATATTAATATTTACATAAATATGAATCATTGTATAATGAAGAAAAATATATGTGTATATGGACATACACGTGTATATATACATAAACATATACATACATATATGCTTTTAAAGTTCTAAAATATGTTTAATAAAAACAAATGTATTTAAAAGGTGGTGTACTGCATTTGTAATAGCTTTTTATACCATATATTTTACTTTAAAAAAAAACTATAGTACATGCAGCCCTCATTATGTTTTGGTATTCTTTTTTTTAAAAAAAAAACTTCATACTCCCGAAGGTTGAGAATCACTGAACTAGAAAGTGAGTACAAGCAAGACCTTATAATGTAGAAATTTACATGATTGTCATCTGCCCACTACTTTCTTCTCTTCCTGGTACCACCTATATTCTACCCTTTATCAAGCTACCAATTGTCAGCCAGGCGCAGTGTCTCATGCCTGTAATCCCAGCAATTTGGGAGGCCAAGGCGGGAGGATTACTTGAGTTCAGGAGTTCAAGACCAGCCTGGGCATCATGGTGAAACCCCATCTCTACTAAAAATACCAAAATTAGCTGGGCGTGGTGGCAGACACCTATAATCCCAGCTACATGGGAGGCTGAGGCACAATAATCGCTTGAACCCAAGAGGTGGAGGTTGCAGTGAGCCAAGATTGCACCACTGCACTCCAGCATGAGTGACAGAGCTAGACTCCATCTCAAAAAAACAAACAAATAAACAAAAAAGCTACGAATTGTCCTTGAAATTCACTATATTCTCTTATCTCTATGCCTTTGCCTATTTATCTTCTTGTTGATAGATGGCCTTCACCTGCACCTTCACACCTCTCTGTTGAAGGTTTCACTCACATGCCACATCCTTCCTAAATGCCTCTCCAGTTTCTAAGTCAAATTGCTCTTTCCCTTCTATCTTTTCAGTTCATATATTTTTGTTTGTTTGTTTGTTTGTTTGTTTTGAGACAGAGCCTCACTCTGTCACCAAGCTGGAGTGCAGCGGTACAATCTCAGCTCACTGCACTGCAAACTCTGCCTCCAGGTTCAAGCGATTCTCCTTCCACAGCCTCCTGAGTAGCTGGGATTACAGGTGCCCACCACCATGGCTGGCTCATTTTTGTATTTTTAGTAGAGATAGGGTTTCACCATGTTGCCCAGGCTGGTCTTGAACTCCTGACCTCAGGTGATCTGCCTGCCTTGGCCTCCCAAAGTGCTGGGATTACAGTTGTGAGCCACTGCACTCGGCCTCAGTTCATATATTGTAATTTTTCTTAAAATTTCTATATTCTGTCTTATATATAGAAAATTATCTATTTACACCACTAATCTCTAAGTTTCTTTCATATAAGGTATTCTTTATTCTTGTTTGATACATTCTCAGTGCATAATATGATGCTTTGCCCATCAAAATCCATGGCTGTCTAATGAAGTTTATCGACTTAAATATATATTTTTGACCACCTACTACTTTCCAGAGACTGCTCTAATGGTAGGGCTATAGCAATGAGCAAAACAACATTTTATTGAAGATAAGATGACACACAAATAAATATGTAATATGCTATGTAATGCTAAGTGCTATGGAGAAAAATAAAGCAAGTAAGGGAGAAATGGAGTTTTGGAATGTGGAGTGAGGAATTTCTATTGTCTATGGGGAAGTCAGGAAAAGCCACTTACTAAGGGGACATTTGATCAGACACCCTAAAGAAGGAGGAAATTGGTTCAGTTTCTCTCTGGATAGTTACAAGTAGAAATAGCATATGCAAAGTCCCTGAGGAACATTGGGATAATTGAAGGACCAAGAAAGAGTCCAATAAGTAGAGTGACTAAAGATGAGGTCAAAAAAGCATGAGGAACATTGGATAGATAGAGTAGGACAGACAACAGATTTTAACTGAAAAGTCCATTTCATTTGTAACTGAATTAAGACATAATATGTATATACTAACTTTTAGAAATCACTATCCATATTTCTAAGTGACTTGTGCAATAATTTTTAAATGACAAGTTTTAAAAGTATTTTTAAAATAATCACTCTCCATACATGGCAAGGCATGCAGTCATTGACTGGAAGACAATCAAATTTTGGTCATCCAGAAGTCCAAAAGATATTGTTTGACCAGGAATATTTTCTGACTTATCTTCTTATAAATATCCTTGTATTCTTTATTACAAGAATTAAAATTAAGTCTACCTCTCTTTAAAAATCTTCCTATGAGAAAAAGTAAATTTACATTTTGATAGAATTGTTCTAAGGCTTTTTAAGGCATTGACAGGGAAAAACAAGGCTGTTGCCAGTCTCAATTGATGTGTAAAATTGGTCTCTCAGTGATCAACAGTGATAATAGGTTTGATATTTTGTAATTTTTAGAATATGACTTGTCTTAGCAGTCACATATTTATTAATGTGTTGTGTTTTATAGAAGTCTTGTTTAAAGGTACTTATTGAAATTGATTACAAATTAAATAGCAATATAAAAATGGATTATTTAAAACAAATACTTATGTTGATACCATGATTTCTTTGTAACTGTGAAGACAGAAGAAATAATTTGTTATTAATTCCCAAATTACTTCATATCTTAAGTGTTGATCTTTTTTGTTACCTAACGAGTTGAAAATGTGATCTAGGTTTTAAAACTTTTTTTAAGTTTATACCAGAAAAAACAAACTATTTTTAGGCTTGATTGGTAAAGGCTCTCTAGAGGACACTATTAAATTCAATCTTTGATTTCTCTATTATTGATGCTTGTAGGGAATTCTGGTATGATATATGCAATGTCTTCAGCCCTTTTTATTCTCAAGTTCTAGTATGAATTCTATAACTGGTAGAAATTGAGAAATTGTAATTTTATAGATTCCTCCATGGAATCACATGTGCATGGATAGAATCAGTGCAGTCTGAATGAGCATGCACAATGGGACTATAAATGCCAGTTTGGGAGCAGAGACGTACAAAGGCTGACTGATAACACCCCGATACAGATTGACCTTAAATGGAAATGCATATTGGTCTGCCTCATATCCTTAATCACAGGCTTTTACAGGCTCCAGCCTGTGACTGGTTCTGCCTGCAGAAATATATTATCTCTCTCTCTTTCTCTCTCTGTGTCTCTCTCAGAAAAAAATCTGATGATATTCATGTATTTTTCTGTTTAACAATGCCCCACACATTCAAAGGTCACTTTTGTACCAGGTGAGCATTTGTCCATTTCTCTCCTGTACTTTCAGAAAACAACTTGACTATCATATGTCACCTGCTCTTTTAATTTCTCTTCTAAGAATCTGTGCTGCATTTATATCTACACTTGCATAAAAACCGTGGCATTTACTCTGTCCCCAGGTGTTTAGGTAATTGTTTTCTGCAGAGTATACTTTATCACTTCAAAAAATGTTACAGTTAAAAAATAATGTTAATTTGTATCTGTTGATAAAAGAATTATACATGTGAAACAACAAGACACTTAGGAAAATAAGATTGGTGTTAAATGAAGATATTAGTCTATCATTTTAACATACTGTCATGTGGTTTGCAAACATTTTCTTCCATTCCATGGTTGTCTCTTCACTCTGTTGATTATTTTTCTTTGCTGTGCAAAATCTTTTTAGTTTGATGCAATTCTATCTGTTTTTGCTTGTATTACCTGTACTTTTGGGGACATATCCAAAAAGTTTTGGCTCAAACTAATGTCAAGAAGCTTTTCTTCTATGTTTTCTTCTAGTAGTTTCATACTTGTAGGTCTCATATTTAATTCTTTAGTTCATTGTATTTTTGTATATGGGGTGAAATAGAGATCAAATTTCTTTCTTGTTTGTATGGATATCCAGTTTTCCAACACCATTTATTGAAGAGACTATACTTTCCCTATTATATGTTCTTGGCACTTTGGTAGATCAGTTGACTAAAAATGCTTAGATTTATGGCTGGACTTTCTATTCTGATTAACATATTTTCAATATTAAACTCTTCATGTATTTTTAATATTAATCATAACTCAAACAGCTCAATAGCAATAAAATTAATAACTTGATTGAAAAATGGACAAAGAATGTGAAAAAGTCATATCTCAAAAGAAGACATACAAATAATCAACATACATATGAAAAAAGTTCAAAATCACTAATCATCAGGGAAATACAAATTAAAAATTAAAACCACAAGGATATATCACATCACACCTGTTAGAAGAATTGTTATAAAAGTGTCAGTGAGTACATAAAGTGACAACAAGTGTCAGTGAGTACATAAAGTAAAGGGAATTATTTTACACTGTTGGTAGGAATGTATATTAGTACAACCATTATGGAAAACAGTGTGAAGTTTCCTCATAAAATAAAAATAGAACTACCAAATGATCCAGCAATTTCATTTTTGGGAATATATTCAAAGAAAATAAAATTAATTATCTCAAAGAGATATCTCTACTTCCATTTTTATAGCAGAATTACTCACAAAAGTCAAGATTGGAATCAACATAAATGTCCATCCACAGATAGGATAAAATATATGATATATATATATCTCATATAATATATAAATATCATATCTCAGACATATACATGTTTCATATATCATATATATCATATGTAAATGTCCATACACAGATGAATGGATTAAAAATATGATTATATGAGATATATGTATCTCATATAGATACAACACACACACACATACTCACACACACACACACACCCCAATGGAATACTATTCAATCTATAAAAAGAAGGAAATCCTGTCACTTATGGCAACATGGATAAACCTAGAGGACATTATGCTAAATGAATAAGCCAGGTACAGAAAGATAAATACTGTGTCATCTCACTAATATTTGGAATCTAAAATAGTGGAAGTCATTAACAGAAGCAGAGAGTAGAATGGGGGTTACCAGAGGTTAGGTGGACAGGAAGGGCAATGGAAACATGTTTGTCAACAGATACAAAATTTTAGTTATAAAAGCAATACGTTCAGGAGATCTATTGTGCAACATGGTGACTACAGTCATAACAATATATCATATGCTTGAACATTGCTAAGGGAGTAGATTTTAAATGTTTTCACAAAAAGACATGGTAATGGATATGTTTCATTCATTAAGTTGACTTAGCCACTCCACAATATGTACATATATGAAAACATTATATATATATATAATTTTTATTAATCAATAAACTAAAATAAAATACTGTCATGAATGCAAGCAGTTTGACATGACTAAAGAAAAGATAACCATTCATAAGCATCAATGCAGTGTAGGAAGTAGTGTTTTCTATGCTCTAACATATGCCATCTTTGAAACATCAGAAAGCAACTTTCTTAAAAACCATGATCTGTCATAATTATGTGTTTTGGGAAATCTTTTTGGTTGAGCAATATGAAATCACCAGTTTTGTAAGTCAATGGTTAAATCTAATAAATACCAGCTATTGCATAAGTGGGCAAGAAAAGGGGAGAGGTGGGTATAATAAGCCATTATGCCAGCACAAGTTGGCATTAAAAGCATAGGGCTGTTACAGTTAACCAAGTGTGATTATGTAATACACTAAAAATATCTAATTACATTAGGGAATATATGCATTGTTGCTCTTTAGGATATATAAGGTTAAACTTCCTACAAAAAAAATGAAAGTATGTTCAGTGTCATCAACATAGATTAACTAGATGACTTTATTTTTTCAAGTGACATATCAGAGCTTTTCTAGAAAGTATCTACCTTCAACTAAACTTACAATGTTTATTATAAGCATTTGAATTCTAATTTTACATATTTTATCATTAAAACTTTGTTTTCATCCAAAGGGAAAATTGAGTAGTTCTAAATGAATTGGGTAATGATAATAAAATTGACAAATATATTGAATGTTTACCATATGTCAGGCACTGTTTTAAGCATTTTGTTATAGATGACTAATGTAATTTACATAAGAGAGCAATAATCAAACATGTAATAGAATAATGAAGTAATTTGTGATACTTCATTTTTATTATAATTTCAAAATGTTATTTATGATTTTATTTCTAATCTCTAGGAAATTGGACACCCAAAATTAAATTAAAATATGAACATTGAGTGGAGTTAAAAAGCAACCTTATATATCTCCTAAGGAATCTAATAAATTAACTTTAAAAAGCAAAATATAAGTTTTACCAATATCCCTACCCTTTAAATCATATAGAAACAGAAAAAATATCTTGAGGAAAGTTTTACATAAATATAGGCAAACAAAATATCTGCAAATGAATGTATTTGTCTCATATGCTATCTTTTCTGCAAAGGAATGAAAGGTTTCCAGAACTTAGAATAAGTGAAGTTCTCTGCAGTGATTTTAGTAATTCATTGTGAATCATTACACACTTCTTGATCTAGAACAGCTAAGTTGTTTGGCATAACCTTTTGATTCATTTTCCTTTTTCTACTTATTGATTTTCTTAGCACTATTTACTGAATTACACTCTTATTCTAACAATGGAATTTCTGACACCTTTAGTTATATAGGAAAACATTATATGTGTGTAAATATTGACTCAAAGTATTAATGGTCTCTTATTATTGACATATTATCTCTAGAACTTCATTTGTATTTAAAATAAAAATTATGTCCACATTTATTTCCTTAGACTCCGTATAGAGTATGTGGCATATATTTTTGTAATGTTCCATGCCTTGGGCTACCTATCATTGGAAAATGTTATATTTCATATTAGACGATTCTTTTGACCCCTAGTAAACCTGAAACTGCCTTAGAGGAACAGCTGAATGTATTTCCTTAAATAAACACATTGTTCTTCAAATTGCTAGTGTTTGTCTTCTTAATAGGCTCCACAGGCAATGGGAATGTTGACTTTGAAGTCACCTCTACTGGGTTCATGTAGATAAGTCTATTTCATACCTTTTTTCTTCCCACACTTAACAGTGTCTTTCAACTCACGTTTGTTTTAAGACAACTATAAATGCATACATACTACATGGAATATTTAATTTTTATTTAATTTATAGTCTCAGTAATTAGTGAGAGGTTGGCTCACAATTACATAAAAATAAACTTAGACAAAAATCAGAAAAGGTTTACTTTTAATTGAGGTATGAGGAAAAATTCATTTACTTGGTCACATGCTTGGCCTTCATAAGGTAGCAAAAGATAAATGGTCACTTGCATTGTATAAGTGGTCGTAAAATTTTTCTCAGCACTGAACTGTCCTCCAGAGCTATTTATATGAAGCTAGTCATTTTCTAATGATCACTTGTAACATAGATGATACACTCAATTTTGATAAATGGGTCCAAACTCTCCTAAAGAAGCTGTACCAGTAATACTCCATGAAGCTTTCTAGAGTTTGTTTGCTTATTCACTATCCAGACAGAAATATTTTGCATATTTTTCACCATCCCAGTTTTCAAGAACCCAAGCTAGAGTTTGAGAAAATTCTATTTGAATGGACATAAAAATTTATTTGATTTTGAAATAAAAACAAATCATTAAAAATTCTACTTTAAAAATATGCTTTGAAACTTGAGTATCTAGGAAAAAAGTTAATAACCAAGCACAGGAACAAAATACAAGAAATTGTAGCATAAAGATCATAGATATGCTTTGGGAGGCCAAGGCGGGCAGATCACGAGATCAGAAGTTTGAGACCAGCTTGACCAACATGGTAAAACCCTCTCTCTACTAAAAATACAAAAATTAGCCATGCATGATGGCACACACCTGTAATCTCAGCTACTCAGGAGGCTGAGACAGGAGAATTGCTTGAACCCAGGAGGCGGAGGTTGCAGTGAGCCGAGATCACGCCATTGCACTCCAACCTGGGCGACAGAGCGGGACTCCGTCTCAAAAAAAGATCATAGATGTGTTTGTTACTATGATTCTCTTTTTGGTCTCTGAAAATGGGTCCCTGGAAATTAGAACCATATTAAGTTAACCATTTCTTATATATTAGAAACAGTTGTTTATCAGGTTAAAGATGCTATATTTTTTGTACTGTATAAACAGCCATCTAACATAGTCATTTGTTTGGGGAAGATACTAGCCTTTGATAATACTATTTCTCTTAGATTACTACTGGCAGCAATTAATCAACAGTTGTAGTAATTTACCCTATACTTCAAGCCAAATTAACAGTCTTGCCTTGCTTATATGAATATTAAAGGATAATGTGGCATTGGGCCTGGAATTCTCAGTAAGTTGCCCACATTGTTAATATTTACCAATATTAACTTAGGAATAGGCTGCAAGGTGTAAGGAATGTCTGTTTTAATATTCATTTTAAAAATACATGTTTTAAATATTGTAATTCAGTGTAATCACATCAGTTATGATAATTTCATTTTGGGTCCAGGATAATTAAATCTGGAATTGCATAAGATGCACTACAATGGTAATATTATTTCATTATTCTTTGTAACTAACATTCCAATCACTGGTATAGATTGACATTTGGAATATGACTATCATCACACAATTCTTTGCCCTAGGAGACTTCCTAATGGGCATTTTTTATACCTTGCTGTAGCCTTTTATGTACTTAATAACCGTACAGTTTCATGTAGCTTCATAACAAATAACTATCATTGCCATATTTATGTGGTAATAAAACTAGTTTAAGGTATTTTTATGAAGCTATTTATGGCTTTTAGTCATTATTGAGTTTTTTATGACTATTATAAAGTGGTATGGCTTAAGAAAAATTATAAACTCCCCTATGGGTATTTGTCATGATTGAAAATAATAGAATTCTTTTTGTTGTTATGTCTTGGGAAATTTTATTATCTTCTGTCTAGAAAAGCAAAATACTAGGGATCTTCAATCAGATTATTACCAAATTATTAAGATTTTGTTCTACGTATTGAATGAAAGCATATATTCCATTACTTGTCCCAATTGAAATAAACATAAACTGCCAAATTTCCTGGAAAACAGTATATCTAGAGGTCATTTCAGTTGTTAAGTATGTGTTATCAACTTAAGGTTTTATTAGTTGCTCCTTGTAGGTATTCTGGGTCAGTTTCATTATTATTTACTGAAAGCATTAATATTATTTACTCATACAAACTCTATTTCTTAGTTGTTATAGTAAAGACAGATTTTTTAATTATTGCATAAAATTGTATGTTAAGAAACATTCTCTGGCCGGGCGCGGTGGCTCATGCCTGTAATCCCAGCACTTTGGGAGGCCTAGGTGGGCAGATCACCTGAGGTCAGGAGTCCAAAACCAGACTGGCCAACATGGTGAAACCTCATCTCTACTAAAAATACAGAAAATTAGCTGGGCGTGGTGGTGCATGCCTGTAATCCCAGCTGTGAAGGAGGCTGAGGCAGGAGAATCACTTGAGCTCAAGAGGCAGAGGTTGCAGTGAGCCGAGATCGCACCACTGCACTCTAGCCTGGGTGACAGAGTGAGACTCTGTTTAAAAAAAAAAGAAAAAGAAAGAAAAGAAAATAAACGTCTAATTTTATGACTTTTAAAAAGCAAGGCATTTCTTGACCTGGTATTATCTTACTTTGAAGGTTCATTTGTTGACATCTCACCTTGCATATTTCAGATTAGTATATGATACTGAAAATTCTTTCTGTTCTCTGAAGCACTCTTTCCATCATTCATACATTATGTTGTTTCCATTTAGAACACTCTCCTCTCCTCTTGTCTGAGCTAATTCCTACTCATCCTTCAGGTGCCAGCTTAGATAATCACTTCCTTCTGATACATTTCTCTAAGCTGCTGGTGGCTGGTAGAGTTTATCTTTGTTATGGATTCCTCTGTAACCTGTATGTATTCTGTATGTAATTGATAATTTATCTAGTCATTTGGCTATAACCCCCAAAGACAGAGATCAGGTCACTATTTTCATTCTATATCCCCAGCATGGTCTGGCCTAGGAAGCCCTCAATTAATAGACGTTGAAGGATAAACAGAACGGATTGCCTTATTTATGTACCTGTTGTAGCAACTAGAAATTTTAGTCATTTGCCCCAAATATGTTACTATGATATAGGCTGTTTGTGAACTATCTCTTGCCTTTTTATATTCACAGATGTGTATGCATGATATCACCTGCCAAGTCCTTTTTGTTCTCAGGTTTTGGAGTTACTTTTTCTACTGACAACCCTAATTTCCTTATTTGATGAGAAGTATGAAAAGGAATCTAAAAATACTTATATGCTGGGCAATTTAACAATGTTTAAGGCATACTTTGAAAGTGCCATGAAATCCATATTATAATTTTCTCACAAGCCCTATTGTTGTACTAATTATTAAGCAATGATACTAGTTTCTAGTTAATTCATGGCTTATTTTATTTATTATACTTTTTAAAAATTGACATAAAAATTGTACATATTTATGGGTTACAGTGAGATGTTTTGATACATATATATTGGATAATTATCACATCAGGGTATTTAGCATTTTCATCATCTCTTTGTGGGGAGAACATTCAAAATTCTCTCTTCCACCTATTTTGAAATATATCATGCAATATTGTTAACTATAGTCAACACACCAGAACTTACTCCTCCTGTCTAACTGTGACCATATATACAGTTAATCAATCTCTCATTATACCCCAGCCCCTTTCCACTCTCCAATCTTTGGTAGCCACAATTCTACTCTCTACTTCAATGAGACCAGCATTTTTAGATTATTTATATAAACGATATCATATTTGTCTTTCTGTCCTAGCTCACTTCACTTAATGTAGTGTCCTCCAGGTTCATGCATGTTGTCACAAATGATAGGATTCCAATCTTTTTTATGGCTAAATAATATTCCAGTGACATACTGTGTTGAAATAGAAAAAAACTCATCTTAAAAAATGTGTATGGAACCACAAAAAACCCAAATAGCCAAAGCAATCTTAGGCAAAAAGAACAAACTAGAGTCATTACACTACCTGACTTCAAAATATACTACAAAACTACAGTAATCCAAACAGCATGGTACTGTCATAAAAATAGACACATAGACAAATAGAAAAGATAACCCAGAAATAAACCTGTATACTTACAGCCAACTGATTTTTGACAAAAATGTCAAGAACATGTAGTGGGGAAAAGACAACCTCTTCAACAAAGGGTGCTGGAAAAGCTGAATATGTACATTTAGAAGACTGAAACTAGACCTCTATCCCTCACTGTATAAAAAATTAACTCAAAATGTATTAAAGACTTATGTACTATAAAAAGACTAGAAGAAAAATAAGGGAAATGCCTTATGGCATTGGTCTGGGCAAAGATTTTTTGAACAAGAACTCAAAAGCATAGGCATCGAAAGCAAAAGTAGAAAAATAGGATTTCATCAAACCAAGAAGCTTCTGCACAGCAAAGGAAACAATCAACAGAGTGAAGAGAAAATCTACAGAATGATGGAGAATATTTGCAAACTATACATTTAATAAGGGGTTCATATCCAAATTATATGTAGAACTCAAACAACTCAATAGCAAAAAAAAACAATGTGATTAATAATGAACAAAAGATCTGAATAGACATCTCTCAAAAAGAGACATACAAACGGATAGCAGATATATGAAAAAATTGTCAGCATCACTTATCATCAGGGAAATGCAAATGAAAATCACAATGAGATATTATCTCACCCAGTTAAAATGGGTATTATTAAAAAGACAAAAGGTAATAAATGCTGGGGAGCATTTGGAGAAAGGGAAGTGGGAATGCAAACTAGTACAGCCACAATGGAAAACAGTATGAAGATTCCTTTTGAGACTAAAAATAAGATGGGGCAAGATGGCTCAGATCTGTAATCCCAGCATTTCAGGAGGCTGAGGCAGGAGGATAGCTTGAGGCCAGGAGTTCAAGGGAAGCCTGGGCCACATAGTGAGACCCTATCTCTATTAAAAAAAAAAAGAAAGAAAGAAAACAAAACCTAAAAATAAAACTACCATGTGATCCAGCAGTTTCATTACTGAGTACTGGTTATATACCCAAAAGAAATGAAATCATATGTCCAGAGATATCTGTATTCCTATGTTTACTGCAGCACTGTTCACAATGGCCCAAGATATGGAATCAACTCAGTGTTCATCAACAGATGAATAAACAAAATGTGCAGCATATGCACAATGTAATAGTTTCTATTTAATTTAAAGCTTCCAGATTATTTTATCATTTTAAGAAATGAAGACTCATAGCTGATAACACGTTCAGAATTAAAACTTGTCTCTCTATATTCTGTTTCCTCCCCCATCAAGGGTTGTCTCTGCTGCTAAGTGTCTTTATTCCTTAAATCAATTTTGCATCAGTTAGAGGAACAAATTGTTTTTCCACAGATTTGTAGCCATTAATCTCAGCAGTAACTCAGTGAATATTTTTTTTAACATCAACATCAGAAATACATGGACAGAAGGGAATAATTTGAACCAAGTCCAGGACATACTGGCTGAATCTATGAAAGTTAAGACTTCATGTCATATAATAAATCTTTGTCACTAATTTATGCTACTTTAAAATTTGGGGATATGATTAGAATGGTCATATAACATAATGCACACTTTCTTACTCTGTTCTTTCATTGTCTTCTCCATTATTACTGCTACTCAGTAATGGTATCAACTGGAAATTCTTGAATTGTAAGTAAAAATGACCTCATTTCCGAAGCATTTAAAGTTATTGCAGGTGAAAGCTCTCTCAAGGGCTTTCAGTGTTTCAATACGTGGATGTACAATGTCTGTCAATAATGAATGCCACACATTAAATTAACTTGAATAGTTATAGCCCAAACTTTATTCTCAGCTTTGGCAAATTTCTAACATAAAAGCTTAGAATGTAAGAATTGAAAAAAAGCTATTAGAATAATACAGATACTCTGAAAGGACCTCTAGATTGCTACACATATTTCTTTCTTTTCTGAGTATAATTGAGATTTCCAAAAATTTTTACTGAATGTTCATTTTATATTCTGGACTTGGTAATTTAAAAAAAAAGATAAAATTGTTAAAAGAGCAATGAGTAATTCAAAGAACTGAAGACAAAATATTGTATGGTTGATAAATTCATATCAACCTTCTTAGCTGAGATGATTAGAACACCAGGGTAAAGTGGCCAAGGTCATAGGGTTGAGCTGTCTGTGGCCCAGGTAGTTTATCCTCTTTCTGGGTCACAGACCATTTTGGGCACTATGCCCAGACATTCTTTAAAGAAGGACCTAGTCCCAACACAACAGTGGATGAAAGAGGGAAACAGGTCAGGGCCAATACACAGCTGTCAGAACTACAATGTCTCAAGGTCAGTATATTCCTAGAGTGATTTTATATATATATATATATATATATATATATATGTATGTATATAAAATATTGTGTATATACATATATACAATGTATATTGTATGGTATGTTTTGTGTATGTGTGTATATATAATATTATACATATCACTCTAGCAATATACTCACTTTACATATGGATACACATAACACTAGATATATACATATATATATATAGTGTGACAATTTTGTATAAAAAAGGGAGAATAACTGTGTTTGAATAACAATTATTTGTTTTTGTTTTAATTTATAAAGGCAGTAAAAATCAACCAGGTTCACTTCACTTACTTTTTGAGCAGGTGTCAAGTTCACACACTTGAAATTTCACAGGACACAAAATATCTACAATTTCAAAAAAAGCTTGCTTCACTGAAGTATATGAAGGTAGTCCCAATATTTTTCATTATATCCTTGCATGCATAAGTAAAATTTTAGATAATTTAAAGGACATTGAAATAATTAAGTATGCTGTTGTCTTTTCTCTTGAGGCATCAGAATGGGTGTAACTAAATTTATATAGGAAACTTGACTTTGTTCACCATGAAAGAACCGAAGAATCTGAGATTTGTTTTATTGAGGAAGGCTTAGGCTTGGTTCAGGCCCTACTGTGAGAAGAATTAGTAGGAAAAGTTCCAGCTTTATCTAGTGAGATTGACATTGTGTCATGGCATCTTTCTTAATTTAATAAGTATAAATCTTACACCTCCACTACCAGTGCAGTACTGACTTACTGTCGATTTGAACCTAAAGTTATCACATGCATCACACTTAATCATAGTGGTTTTCATAAACTTAAATTCAGTTGGGCAGAATTCTCTGGATATTTATATTGATTCTATGCTCCAGTTTTTATAAACATAACCCAGCAATGACATGGAATAAAGCAAAAAAGACTTCAGAGTTATCGAAGCTAAACTTTTGATTTCATAGAGGAAATAGGTTTGTTCTATTGCCCACCAGAAATGGTGACTAATAAATGTGTCTTTCCATCTTTCTTCTATGAGTAACTAGGAATTTCTTCAGCATTAGTTACTTCACTTTTTTTAGAAAAGGAATGTTGTCACTGAAAAGTTAAGATTTAATAAAGATTCACATGAGAATATTCTTCTCTTCTGTTTAACATCAATCTTTAAGTAGTTATTTTTATTATTGCAATAGTCTCTCTTCCTAATAAGTCATTTTTTTCTATACTCACCATTCCCCCACCCAAACCTCTAATGCTCCCTCATTACCCTTTATTCTATTAAAATGCTTATCATGCTGTAAATTATATTTATTTCTTTGGGTCACTCTTTCCAGTAAACTATAATCATTAAGAGTAGTTCTGTTACCTTTGCATCACCTTATCTGGCTCTGTACCTGGTTCATAGTAGGATCTCAGTGAGTATTTGATGAACAAATAAATGAATGAATAAATGAATGAATTCAGTAATATTGTTGAGTCTGTTTTTATTATACTTTTAAAACTTCTGCTTATATTCAGTAATGAAACATGAAGAAATTAAATCAGATATTTACCTTTACTAATAAAATTGTACCAGAGGGAGCCATAATATTATTGTCAGTTTCTAAAATGTGCAAGGCTACAAAGGGTGAAACCTCTTTGAATTAATGCCTCTTAATGGTTGGAAATTTAATCAGTAGTCTTCATTCACAATTTAAGAACTTTACATTGTCTCTCTTTCAGTAACAGTATAAATGACAACTTTCATATCTGAATCATAAATAATTCATCATCATGTATTCACCCCTTTAGAGTGCTAAGCATACCATAGAGGAATCTTTGTTAAAGATATTTGGCTAGCCATCTACTTAGTTATGTTAGAGGAAAAATATTCAAAGCTCTTGACCTAGTATTCCAATTTCTGGCAAACTTTAAAAGTACCATCTTTGACATTCATTTAGAATTCATCTCCTTGATCACTTTTGGCCCACAGTCACAGGCTTTGATTCAGAACTTCTAAAGCAACTTTGTTTTGACCTCTGCTCTGTTATTTTCCAAGTCATTTTAAAACCAAGACCAGAAAAATATCCTGCTTCATATTTTATCAAAGTTTTCAATTATCCCATTGGATTTTATTTCATCATCTTCCCCACACTATGTACAGTAAGTTGTTTAAGATTTTGTAGGCAAATTTCTCATTTCCATAGAATTTGTGCTTAGAAATTCACCAGATAATCATCAAATCAATAGTCCTTAATTAAATACTAAGTATATATACTCTTTATTTTTCACAATGCTTAATTAATCTCTCCAAATAGAATACTTCAATGCTATGTTCATCATGGAAGTAATAAGCTCTAAGAATATTTTATGTTGCAATCACTAATTAATTATGAAGCATAGCTTCATTTTTTCCTTGATGTGCTATCAACCTGCTGTTTATCATAGTCTGAATCTTATGGCAGGTAAGGTGGTTATATATATTTCAATTATATGTAATTAATGAATATTGTATAATTTTTCTACTGCCTAAGATCTGCCTAAATCAATACTATTTTTTAATTATCTTAGTACCAATGCTATTCAAGTGTTTTATGTCAAAAAAGTCATTTTGATAGTTTAGGCAGAGTCTTAGGTTTTTTCTTTCTTGATATAATGTGACTGCTAAGGCCATTAAATAATATATGAAAGTACATTGCTATGACAAAATATCAACCAAGAATGGATATAGGCCACACTTATTTCTTTTTCCATTACTATAGAAATTTGATTTGTGGTAATGGCAGTTAATTATTTTGAACAATGAATCCAATCAGTCTAGTCAGTTTACCAAGGAAAAAGGAATGTATTAAACAGTAACTTTGATAATATTGGGATGGACTACTGAAACAGATTAAGTAGACTGATTCATGCTTTAATCAAAGCAATGTTGTGTCCTTTAGTAGCTGATACATCTGTTCACACATAGAAGAATGATGTTTTGTGAGCAAACTTAATTTTCAGTTCCTTTAATAACAATAATTTTTATATTCAGCATGTTCTAGTTGAGTTCTCACATTAGGTAATATACGTCTGTGAGCCCTTCAATTTAGAAATATGAGTTATTAGTAAGAAATATGAGTTATAAGTAAGAGATTATTAAACTACCAGAATGCAGATAAATGAAACCCATAATGAATAATACAGATTCCTATATACTCTTTTCATAAACATTAGAAAAGATGAAAAGCTTAATTTAGTTGACCAATGACCCACATAAATATATTTTATGGATATTTTTCTGGATGTATATAGGAGTCACAAACACATTTAATAGTATTAAGCAATCTTAGTTTGAAATCATCAGTTTCGTTTAAATTTAAAATGAGGACTATGAAAACAATTATGCTTTATAAGCAACTGTTTATATTTTCATGAGATTTAAACAAAGCAATTTAAATTTACAAAAATTTAAGGCAACTAAGTATTTCTTTGTTATAAAAGTAAATTCAGATGTAAAATAGCCTCAAAGCAACTTGAATATATAAAATCAAGAAATCCATAAACAATCATCATTTTGAATAATTGCATTTATAGCCAAACCTGCTCAGTGGTAATGTAACTAATCTAGATCACACTTATATAAAAATAAAATTGTGTATAATTTTATTTTTATATATAAATATATATAATTATATCTAATTTTATTTTTATATATTTTATTTATATATTTTTAAAAATAAAATTATATATATTTATAAATATATAATTATATATAATTTTATTTTTGTAGGTATAGTCCTGTGCAATGTCTTCCTTACAGATAATGGTTGAAAATTAGAGTATAAAAGAGGTATTTTTGTTACTACCTAGCAGTTCACTTGATGTTGGTAGACTATAACTAAAGGATAATCTGTAACCTAATATGATTTCAACTCTATTTTGACTTTCAAAAGAGAGAAATAAAATAGCACTATATCATTTCTAACAAGTGTTTATAAGGTAGAAATTGCCTTAAATTCACATTTAAAAGAAACCATGCAAAACCTTATAAAATAGCAATATATATATGTACATATATATGATGTAGAGAGAATCTATTACTCTTACATGGAGGCAATTTCCAATAATTTGCTATATTTGTCCTGCTCTTCTCAGTTTTATGAAGTTTTTTTATGGCTCCAGCCCAAGTATTCTCAGATTTTAAATGAAGAGAGCATTAAATTCACCAATTTACTTAGCAAACATTTATTCAATGGGAAATGTACTGTGCTAGGCCTTGTGAGGGTTGTAAATATAAATAAGGGCGATCCCCATCCTCAAGAAGTTTACACAGACACAACACAAGGTAGTTAACAAAATGCCTTTGCAGCCCTCAGGAAAATAAGATTAGTTCTGCTACAGTGTTTAAAACTTGAAGGATGGGTAGACTATCAATAAATGGAAGTGGAGAATAAAGTATAGAATGAAACAGCAGATGAAGCTTGGAAGACACTAAGTGTGTTTAGAGAATGAAGAGGGGTTAAGTTAAGCACCAAATTCCCCTTGGAAGGCTCTACTGAAAAGTGGGTTATGAGACATTATAATAAAAATACACATCGGATTTGGAAGATATTCAACAGTATACTTAGAAGCGTGACATTCATGCCAAGATAATGTTATCAAATGTTGGGCATCTCTTAAGATGTATGAGACATGATTCTGCGCTTCTGAATTCATCATCTTAGCTGATCTTCACAACAAGCCTGTAAGGAGTTATTACCTTCATTTTATAAAAGGAAACATTAAACCCTGAAGGTATGCAACGATTTCCCCCAAAATTGATGAGTGTCTGAATCAAAAAACAAAACAACAAAAATCTTTCTTATTCCAGAGGACTAACTCTTCACTATATTTTCTTTTCATTTTTTTTATTTTATTTTTTATTATTATTATATTTCAAGTTTTAGGGTACATGTGCACAATGTGCAGGTTAGTTACATATGTATACATGTGACATGCTGGTGCGCTGCACCCACTAACTCGTCATCTAGCAATAGGTATATCTCCCAATGCTATCCCTCCTCCCTCCCCCCACCCCACAACAGTCCCCAGAGTGTGATGTTCCCCTTCCTGTGTCCATGTGTTCTCATTGTTCAGTTCCCACCTATGAGTGAGAATATGCCGTGTTTGGTTTTTTTGTTCTTGCGATAGTTTACTGAGAATGATGATTTCCAATTTCATCCATGTCCCTACAAAGGACATGAACTCATCCTTTTTTATGGCTGCATAGTATTCCATGGTGTATATGTGCCACATTTTCTTAATCCAGTCTATCATTGTTGGACATTCGGGTTGGTTCCAAGTCCTTGCTATTGTGAATAGTGCTGCAATAAACATACATGTGCATGTGTCTTTATAGCAGCATGATTTATCGTCCTTTGGGTATATACCCAGTAATGGGATGGCTGGGTCAAATGGTATTTCTAGTTCTAGATCCCTGAGGAATCGCCACACTGACTTCCACAAGGGTTGAACTAGTTTACAGTCCCACCAACAGTGTAAAAGTGTTCCTATTTCTCCACATCCTCTCCAGCACCTGTTGTTTCCTGACTTTTTAATGATTGCCATTCTAACTGGTGTGAGATGGTATCTCACTGTGGTTTTGATTTGCATTTCTCTGATGGCCAGTGATGGTGAGCATTTTTTCGTGTGTTTTTTGGCTACATAGATGTCTTCTTTTGAGAAGTGTCTGCTCATGTCCTTCGCCTACTTTTTGATGGGGTTGTTTCTTTTTCTCTTGTAAATTTGTTTGAGTTCATTGTAGATTCTGGATATTAGCCCTTTGTCAGATGAGAAGGTTGCGAAAATTTTCTCCCATTTTGTAGGTTGCCTGTTCACTCTGATGGTAGTTTCTTTTGCTGTGCAGAAGCTCTTTAGTTTAATTAGATCCCATTTGTCAATTTTGTCTTTTGTTGCCATTGCTTTTGGTGTTTTAGACATGAAGTCCTTGCCCATGCCTATGTCCTGAATGGTAATGCCTAGGTTTTCTTCTAGGGTTTTTATGGTTTTAGGTGTGAGGTTTAAGTCTTTAATCCATCTTGAATTGATTTTTGTATAAGGTGTAAGGAAGGGATCCAGTTTCAGCTTTCTACATATGGCTAGCCAGTTTTCCCAGCACCATTTATTAAATAGGGAATCCTTTCCCCATTACTTGTTTTTCTCAGGTTTGTCAAAGATAAGATAATTGTAGATATGCAGCATTATTTCTGAGGGCTCTGTTCTGTTCCATTGATCTATATCTCTGTTTTGGTACCAGTACCATGCTGTTTTGGTTACTGTAGCCTTGTAGTGTGGTTTGAAGTCAGGTAGCGTGATGCCTCCAGCTTTGTTCTTTTGGCTTAGGATTGACTTAGCAATGTGGGCTCTTTTTTGGTTGCATATGAACTTGAAAGTAGTTTTTTCCAATTCTGTGAAGAAAGTCATTGGTAGTTTGATGGGGATGGCATTGAATCTATGAATTACCTTGGGCAGTATGGCCATTTTCATGATATTGATTCTTCCTACCCATGAGCATGGAATGTTCTTCCATTTGTTTGTATCCTCTTTTATTTCATTGAGCAGTGGTTTGTAGTTCTCCTTGAAGAGGTCCTTCACATCCCTTGTAAGTTGGAACCTAGGTATTTTATTTTCTTTGAAGCAATTGTGAATGGGAGTTCACTCATGATTTGGCTGTCTGTTTGTCTGTTCTTGGTGTATAAGAATGCTTGTGATTTTTGTACACTGATTTTGTATCCTGAGACTTTGCTGAAGTTGCTTATCAGCTTAAGGAGATTTTGGGCTCAAAGAAGTGTGTAGAGGGAAATTTATAGCACTTAATGCCCACAGGAGAAAGCAGGAAAGATCCAAAATTGACACCCTAACATCACAATTAAAAGAACTAGAAAAGCAAGAGCAAACACATTCAAAAGCTAGCAGAAGGCAAGAAATAACTAAAATCAGAGCAGAACTGAAGGAAATAGAGACACAAAAAACCCTTCAAAAAATTAATGAATCCAGAAGCTGGTTTTTTGAAAGGATCAATGAAATTGTTAGACCGCTAGCAAGACTAGTAAAGAAAAAAAGAGAGAAGAATCAAATAGACGCAATAAAAAATGATAAAGGGGATATCACCACTGATCCCACAGAAATACAAACTACCATCAGAGAATACTACAAACACCTCTACGCAAATAAACTAGAAAATCTAGAAGAAATGGATAAATTCCTCGACATATACACTCTCCCAAGACTAAACCAGGAAGAATTTGAATCTCTGAATAGACCAATAACAGGATCTGAAATTGTGGCAATAATCAATCGCTTACCAACCAAAAAGAGTCCAGGACCAGATGGATTCACAGCTGAATTCTACCAGAGGTACAAGGAGGAACTGGTACCATTCCTTCTGAAACTATTCCAATCAATAGAAAAAGAGGGAATCTTCCCTAACTCATTTTATGAGACCAACATCATCCTGATACCAAAGCTGGGCGGAGACACAACCAAAAAAGAGAATTTTAGACCAATATCCTTGATGAACATTGATGCAAAAATCCTCAATAAAATACTGGCAAACCAAATCCAGCAGCACATCAAAAAGCTTATCCACCATGATCAAGTGGGCTTCATCCCTGGGATGCAAGGCTGGTTCAATATACACAAATCAATAAATGTAATCCAGCATATAAATAGAACCAAAGACAAAAACCACATGATTATCTCAACAGATGCAGAAAAGGCCTTTGACAAAATTCAACAACACTTCATGCTAAAAACTCTCAATAAATGAGGTATTGATGGGATGTATCTCAAAATAATAAGAGCTATCTATGACATACCCACAGCCAATATCATACTGAATGGGCAAAAACTGGAAGCATTCCCTTTGAAAACTGGCACAAGACAGGGATGCCCTCTCTCACCACTCCTATTCAACATAGTGTTGGAAGTTCTGGCCAGGACAATTAGGCAGGAGAAGGAAATAAAGGGTATTCAATTAGGAAAAGAGGAAGTCAAATTGTCCCTGTTGGCAGACGACATGATTGTATATCTAGAAGACCCCATTGTCTCAGCCCAAAAACTCTTCACTATATTTCATTCCACTTACCATGAATGAGGATCTGTACAACGTTCTGAGCAGCACCATGGGACATAACAAAACTCGTAATTTGGGGACATTAATCTAACAGCAGCATGTCACATGATTTGAAAGCCACAAGACTAGAAGCAATGACACCGTTCATCATGGTAGAGGAATTAAAAAACAAAGGCTGATACTTGATGATGGGAATGAGAATGTAAAGAAAACTAAAATAAAAGAGATAATGAAAAAATATGCTGTGATGGAATTTAGGTTAGTGAATAAGAAAGAGGAGGAGGAGAAAGAAGGAAAAGGTGGTGCAGAAGGAAGAAAAGGTGCAGAAGAAATAGGGGATAGAGGAGAAGAGAATGTGAGAAAGAGGGGCAGAAACATTTTTTTGGTGAAAATCCCATTTGGCAAAATGTAAACTAACAACTAAGCCACTTGGATGATTTTATTTACTTTTTATGATAACTCTATGCATTAGATACTATTACTATCTCTAATCTATCGAATGGGAACTGAAGACTTGGAAAGCCTCCCTTGCCCGTGGAGACAGAGTCTGTAGAATAGGAGGCTGAGATCTGTACCCACAGAATTGAATTCAGCAAAACTCATGTTCATTTGGCCCTCCCTGTCTGTAACTGTGAGATCAGCAGGGATGGTTAACCCTCTTTTGAGGATAAGGATCAGAGAAGTATTTTATTTAAGGGCATAGAGTAAAGTTTTCTGCTGTAAAAAATCTTCCTCTATTTTGGGGTACAGAGAGGCAGCATACATATTGATTATGCAAGCAGTAAATCTGGTAATTATCTTTGAAACGTCTTTCTCTTTACCTTCCATTTTTAATCGATCACCAAACGTCAGTGATTTTATCTCTTAAATTGTTCTATAATCCATCCAATTCTCTCCACTTTCACTGCTACCTTGCTATTGCAAACATTAACATCTTGTATCTGGGCTACTGCAGTTGCCTTCTAAATGGTGCCTCCTACATCTGTTATTTTCCTGCTACAGTTTGTTTTGTATACTATAGCCAGGATGATGTTTTTAAAATCCAAACCTAGTCTTCACATTCTGCCCCCTAAAATAAAAGTAAAATAGTAATGTAAAAAAACTATCGCTTTCTATTGCCCTTTAAAAAAACCAAAGTCCTTCAGTGACCAAAAGATATTTCATAGGCAGCAGTGCCAACCTCTGTATCTTCCCTCATTTTTCCATGTAGCGCTCACACTGGTGTTGCTTCATGTGCTTGGATAAGCTGGGACTTTGTTCATGCTGTTCCCTTTCCTAAAACATTCTCTAGTCCTCATCCCTACCCTTCCCCCTTTATTTGTTTAATAAACGTTTGTCCTTCAGACCTCAGGTGAAATGTGACTTCCTCAGGAGTCTTCCTTGATCCTGCAAACAGAGAAAATTCCTCTTCTATAGATTCTTATGGCTCTGTGCTTTTCCTGTGGAATCCTTATCCCTTTCATACATATATATTAATAAGTGTGCTTTTTGTTCAGTATCTGTACCTCTTGTTAGTCTAAAAGCACCATGAGGAAGATATCACGATTTTTTTGCTCTTTTATGCTGAGAATTTACATCCAACATAGAACAGGTATTCAGTAAATATTTGTTGAATGAACCATGAATGATTAATAGCCTCATCTGTGCTTAAATTCTAGCTTCTCCATTTACTAAATGCATGGACTTGGGTAATTTTCGTAAGCTCCACAAGCTTCTCTTTTTCCATTGGATGAAGAAGGATAGTCACAATCTAATAAGTAAGATTATTCATCTAAAGTTTTTGACATATAGAAAGTACTGAAATAATTAGCTATTATTCAACTACAAAAACTTCAGGGTCACAAAGAACAAAACTAATGTTTTTTGAGGGAGAAATGTCATTTCAGTACAAATTTAAGAAATATAAAATACATTTTAATGTTCAGGTAGTACCTGAAAAGGATAAAACATGTAATTTATCTGAGAAGTCTAATTTTATTATCATAATTATTAAATAATTATATATATATATATACACACACACACACATATATATAATTTTTTTTAGATGGAGTCTTGCTCTGTCACCCAGGCTGGAGTGCAGTGGCGCTATCTTGGCTCACTGCAGCCTCTGCCTCCCAGATTCAAGCGATTCTCCTGTCTCAGCCTCCCGAGTAGCTGGGATTACAGGGCTCACCACCACGCCTGGCTAATTTTTTGTGTTTCTAGTAGAGATGGGGTTTCACCATGTTGGCCATGCTGGTCTAGAACTCCTGACCTCCAGTGACTACCCACCTCAGCCTCCCAAAGTGCTGGGATTACAGGCATGAGCCACCATGCCTGGCCTAAGTAATTATTTTTGAAAATTAGTATGCATTTTACCTTGGTCCTCTTGTGGCCCAGAGTCAGATATTAGTTGTTTGGGAAAGTCATAGTGACCGATAAAAGTGGAAAATGTGGCCCAGCATACTATTAAATTCCCTTTTTCCTGTGCTGATGCTTACTGCTGTCAGGTAAATGGAGATTATGAAGAGGGCACAAACGAATCACTAGCTTCTGGCTCAGGAAGCAGATATAGAGCAATAGGCCCTTCGTTATACTCAGCTTTAGTTCTGTCACCTGTCATCAGCATCTGTCATTTGTTTCAGACCACTAGGATATACTTTCTCATCCACCTGTACCATCTCCAAAATTTCCTTATGCTACCAAGTTAAAAAATAAAACTAGATGAACTGTAAGGTTCCTTTCCATTCTGACAGTCTATTATTTTATCCCTCATCCATCTACCTCATCAAGGAGAGTTGGTCACCACAATGCTTTGAGGACATACAATGGAAAAGTAAATAATATTATTAATAGTATTGATACTAGGAGCACAAAGTTAAAGTCCTAAATATGGAGAATGAGGGAAAATAATAACATGTCATTTATAAGAAAAGAGTTAAAATTTAGCCTGAGCTTTAAAGTGCTGGTCTTGAAATCTAGTGAACCAGAAAATTTGAATCCCTCCCTGTTCCTGCCAGTCTGTTTTCTCATCTGTATGTTAGTAATAATAACAGGATTTACATTATATGGTTGTTTTGGTAAATGGGAAAGTATCTGTCAAATCTTTTGCACTGTGACTGGGACACAGTGATCACTGGTGAATGGTGGTTAGCATTGCTACTGCATGAAATACCTGACCCATCACTATCAGCCAAGTCCAGAGATGCTACTGATTTGCATGTGCAGAAAATGCTACCAATTTCTGAATTGTATGTTCAAAGAAGACTAACAAGAAAATAGTAAAAAGGCAGAAAGAATACTTCCTATTGCTACAAAAGGAATGTTAGTTCTGTATACAAAGTATTATTTTGTTGCAAATATACACAACCTTTTCACGTGGGGCTATGGCTGCTAATAAGGCTTTTACTCTTTGTGTAAAAAATGCGTGATTTATGCAGACAGACTGTAATATGAAAACCCTGCATAGTCTATTTGAATCAGCAAGTGGGCAGCCACATTTATCTCTGTTTACTGCTGAATAGCTTTCATTGTTAATTCCATTTTCTATTCCTGTTGTGCATATCACCCCTTAATTTAAATCTTTGACAAGCTAATTTAATAAAGGGGATGGTTTTTAGAGTGGAAAAAATAAATATCTTTACTCATCTTTTTAAAAATTATAATTAGCTTAAACAAAGACCTTAGGTATAGTTCCTGTGTTTATTAGCCATAAGAGAATATTTATGCTAAAAGATTAGTTTTTCTTAAATTTTTAAGGTACAACTTTATAAAATAATTCCTTCACTATTTCTTCATTGTTAACATTTCATTCATATAAAGGAGTTGTATTTTGGGTCTTGGAATGAAAATATCCAGCTTCCAGAGCAAAAAATTTTCAGTCAATCAGTATAGAGAAACAGAATTTTAGAAGCAATAAAGTCCTAGAATGCTAAAATGCATTGTACTACCTGGTGATATTCTGTTCTTGACAGTCACTAAAGACATGTTGACTATTCTTATGAGATAGTTCTGTTCTGAGTCCCTGCATCTTGGTTGTTCTAACTGAAAATGGCATTATCTATGAAATAGGAAAAAAAATCTATGAGGTATACATTAGCATGAATTCTGACGCTACAGATAAATGTAAAAAACATGGATAGTGTGGAAAAATATTACAGTAAAGGAGTTATGATAAGGTGCACCAAAGTACCTAGGAATAAAAATGGAAAGAACCAACAATTAAATAAATTAGTTTCAAATTTAAAACATGGGTTTGCAGAAGACTAATATGAATAATACTGCTATAAATCATGATTTAAAACATGAATATATATATATGTCACTGAATAAAATGAAATATATAGATATGTTTGTGTGTGTGTGTGTGTGTGTGTGTGTGTGTGTATTCCATTTACCTGAAAGTTCAGTCACATTTTATTGGCCACAAATGGTCAGAAGCACAGTTTCATTTGCCATATTGATGGACTGTTCGTTACCAACTTAGACACTTCTCAGTACCAAGCCGAATACCCCAAGGAGTAGCCTGGGTATCAGCAGACTAGATAATGAATTCTTGACACTTATTCCTCCAGTACTGTTCCAAGTTCTTCATGCTGTATCCACAGGACCTAAAACAGTGTCTGCCACACTGGGCTCATGAAATAAAAATTAATAAAGGATAAAAGGAAAAACTCCTATCCAACTAACAATTTAGTATCTTAGGTTAAAAAACAAAGCAACTTAAAGGCAATTTTTAAAAATTTTTCTCATATTAACATTCTACAAATTCTATTATGCATGGCTTCAGAAACCACAGAGAGCCAAATTTAGCTGTGTCAGTCACCTCCACCCCAGCAGCAGAGTTTCCCATGTGCTAACTGCCAACTGAGCCTCAACTGAAGTTCATGTATTGAGTCTCAATTACTGAGTCCTAACCTAGTTTTAGACAAATGTTCCATTTCCTTTCTTAGGCTGGTCTGCTAGCCTGAAACTCAGCCCACTTAACTGGAACACTGACAATCTATCTACCCTTTTTACTAGTACCCTTATACAATGAGGTTCTCTCCAGCCAATTATTGAGCATGTGGTTGAACTTGAATCAACCTTCTTGCAAGGACGATTTTACTATCAACTATGGGTAAAAAACATGCCCCATTCCTTAAGATCATCCAAACCGCGAGAGAGAGAGAGAGAGAGAGAGAGAGAGAGAGAGAGAACGAGAACACACAGGTCCAGAGATGTCATTCAGGATGTCATCTCAGACACAGAAATTTTTATTTCTGACCATGCTCCTTGGAGACCAGCCTCACAGTTGTCTCAAAATACTGCAAAGTCAAACACATGTGATTATGACACATTAGGTTCTAAGATATTCTCCCAGAACTGCAACACTCCAACACAGTCTCTAGTCATACTTTTCTAGCAATGTGAGAAACACAGGAGGCAGATGTGAGACCAGTTAATTTTAAATTCATAACGAACAAAGAATTAGAATAATAAGAAAAATATTATATCTAAGTTTCTTCCCAGTGCAGTAAATATATTCATATACTGAAAGAATTAATGCTGTTTTCAAAGATGCCGGAATTCCACATCAGCACAAAAAGTATGGATTAAGCTTCTCTGTAACCAGCCTTGGGCTAGGAATTTGATACAATAATCCAACAATTCTATCTATTACGTTAAGAAGATAAGGAAAAAAATCATCTTCTCTTTCTAGTAAGTATAATTTGGGGGATGACTGGAAACAAGTAAAGGACAACATAAGACAGAATATAATCCAGTGGAAACTTTAGTGGTACCTGTGTGTTATAGGAACTTAGAGGTTGAAAAAGTTTCATGAGAGAGGTGCAATATAAGCTACACATGCAAAATATGTAAAAATAGCTCAGGCACCTGAAACATCAGATTTGTGAAAGATGTCATCATATTTCATACTGTCTATCATGTGTGAGTATAATAGGTAATAGGTAAACAGTTCGATGTCCATTGAACTATAATTACTCCATTTGAAATGCTTAGAGGTCTATTATCAGGTGATTCACAATTACATTTGATTGATTATTCTGAATTTAATGTTTTCTAAAACAATATTCAACCACTTCTTATTGTATTCCAGTGTCCAGAGTTTCTTTCTATGCCTACCTAGAGGTCTTTACCTGAAGTTTAGAACAATCATTGTTCTTATTGTTATCTACTTCATGATAGATATTATGTTACCCCTTCACCTATTCCTAGTATGAAAACACCTTTAAAAGAAATATTTCATTGTGTTTTCTTTTCCTAAATCCTACTTGCTATTCAACACATTTTGAAGGATGAAACTGTAATATTACTACTAAAATAATGCTGTTTTCAAAGATGCCTGAATTCCACATCAGCACAAAAACTATGTATTAAGCATTTCTGTAACCAGCCCTGGGTTAGGAATTTGATACAGTAGTCAAACAACTCTATCTATTAAGAGCTCAAAGAAGTAATAGTGAGAAAGCCAAGACAGAAATTTTCTGTCTGATTCCACATTCTGTGGTCTAAATCACCACACTTTTATGCAGAAATATTTTTAAAACTCAATCACTGAAAAGCTATTAGCTGTTATTATTAGCAGTTACACTTAAATTTTGTTGCAGTAAAACTAAAGGTAAATAAATCCTTAATTTCATTGTAACTCATAAGGTATGTTACCAAATATAAATATTATATTGACCTTTATGCAACATTGCTTGATATTACCCTATGTACTACTAATAGTCAAACTTTTAATGGAGATATTTTAGATTACCTCTTTTCTTTCTTTCCTGACCTAATAATCTATATCTTGCAGGTTATTTTACACATTTATATAATATACACAGACTAGTGCTATTGGGGGAACTATATATTAAGTAAAGGACATTCCCATATGAAATGTGTATAATTTCAAGATAATTAGCCTAACTTTAAATCTAGTTTATCAAAATCAATCATGTTTTCATTTAAAAATATATTGATTGTATGTCTGTCACAGACTAAATGTTTGTGTCCCCAAATTTTATATGGCGAAACCTCATCAGCAATGTGGTGGTGTCTGGAGGAGGGGTATTGGGGAGGTGATTAGTGTATAAGGACAGATCCCTTATGATGGGATTTATGCTTTTAAAAAAAGAGGCTCCACAGAGATTCCTTCCTCCTTCTGCCAAATGAGCACACAGTGAAAACATGGCCCTCTATGAGCCAGGAAGCATGCTCTTACCAGACACAGAATCATCTGCTGGCACCTTAATCTTGGACTTGCCTCCAGAACTGTAAGAAATAAATTTCTGTTGTTTATGAGCCACCCAGTCCATGGTGTTTTTCTATAGAAGCCCAAACAGACCAAGACCATGTCAGACATTGTACTAGGTGTTGGTGTGTGATCGAATTAGGTGTGATTTCTTCCCTTCAGGAACTTACAACCAAATAAAAGATTCAGATAAGTAAGTCAATGATTGTCTAAGTTCTGTGATTAAATGAAGCACACAGGGCTATGGGAGCCAAAGGACCCCCATCTAAATCACATAGTATAGTATAATTAGGAAAGGCTGGAGGAGGAGTGACTGGTCCAGTTGAGTTTTAAAGAGTAGGAATTGGAAGGAAAGAAAGATGAAGGACATTCCTAGTGGGAAAGCAGCAATAGTAAGAAGTACAAAAAAAGTCCTCAAGAGACATAGTTAAGACCATGCTATGATCTTCACCATAATCTTAACCTCAGTCAAGACCATAGAACCACGCTATGATCAAAGATTTAAAATGCTATCCTGAAATCCATGAGTCATTGCAGGAATGCTAGTGGAGAATGGGTATAGATCTTACAGACACACTTCAAACTTAGATTTGCATCACTGGCAGAAATACTCTTTCAGATATTTTTCTTACCCTTTCTTATTTTTTACTTTTACCTTCTTTCTATATGGGAAAATAAGTTGGAAAAGCATAATTGATATTGCCTCTGCAGCTACATCTTCAGCATAGCATCGTTATATATTACTATCAACATGAGCATCATAGATAACAATACAATGTTATTTTATACTAATTGGGCATACTTTAGCACATTGTAAACCATAACTCTAGATATCTTGACATTAGTATGTATAAGGTCTTGGAAATAGCTGTAATACTGTGATAAATGCAGTGAACATCAATGGGGAAGTACTAACCGTAACTGCCCGAACCTATTGAGTGTTTAATTAATGAATGTTTGCAATTTTTGAGAGACTTAATATCAATTATTTTATCAACCAATGGGACTTAATTCAAAAATTAAATATGTATTCCTAAACCAATCATTCCATGTGAAACTGATTAAGATGTGGAAGGCCCATGAAATATGAACCATTTAACATGTGAATACACGTCATGAAGATGACATTGGAAATTCCAACAAAAATCTAAAATAAGATAATGGAAATTCAAAATTAATTAATGTGTCCATGATTAAGATATAATTTTAACTCAGACAATTTACATTCATATGTTATATCTTCCTTAGTTCCTATTAAGAATTAAACTCATTTAGATTATTGTATTTGGCTGAAAAGATTCTGGTAATGCCATGGTGTTCTTTTGTAAGTTCATAAACAATTATCAAATGCTTTTGTTGGTTCATAAACAATTATCAAATACTTCACATCGTATAATCACTGGAAAGAGAAAAAAGCTATCACAGATCTTAGCCAATTAAAGAGCTTATAGTTTAGTATCAAAAAAAACTAGGAAAAATTAATGTCAAATAGAAACATGTAAAATAAGATAATATAAATAAATGACTAAGTGTCAAGGAAATAAAGAATATAGGAAAGATATGAATTAGAATTGTTCAAGGATAAATGGTTCCACCTACACCTTGAAGAAAATAGTACCAATTGTTGAGCAGGAAAGAGTGAAAATATTTTAGGTGAAATACTTATGTATATATGTATTTCATATATATATATCCACACATACACAATATATGTATGTATTTCATATATATATTCACACACAAACATGACAGAAAAGTCATGAAGACAATAATTATCAATGTAGTTAGATGTAGTTAGGGGATTGAATTTAAGTGGTTCACTTGAAAGAAACAGATGAATCATTAATAATAATGAAAGATGAATTTTGAGAAATGAATCTGAGACTCTGAGTATGATTTAATGAAAATCTTTAAAGTTAAACTTTTATACAAACTTTGATGTTAAAACTAACTAGAACACCTTAAAAAGAGTGAAATAATATACATAAGAATTGGAGTCACTATATATAAGAAGAAAGCAGTAAATCCAAACATTAGCCCAGGTTTGCTTTGTGGGGTTTGCTTGAGGGTGGTGGCTTTAGCAATAACAAAGAATTATATCATTAGAGAGTGGTTCCAAGGTAAAGCAGGAAGAAAAAATAGAATAGAAGAATAAAGCCTAAGAATAAAAGTCTGATGAGATAAAGAAATGTGAGGAAGGAAGACATGCTAATACTTATGAACGAGCAGATGGAAAAGTGTCTTTAAGGAAGGAAGGCAACTAGCTTAGTTTTCTGCGTTATACTTCGGGTGTGCATAACGTCCAAGAGCTCAAAAACAGTGTGAAAGACTAAAATATCTAGATTCATCCACTGGGAGATGATTTCAAAACTTGGAGCAAGTCAGTTACTCTCTGCAGGATCAAATGCTGAGAAATGAGGAAAAAAGATTAAGTATTGAAGGTTATTGTTAAAGGTCAGGAGAAGAAAAGAGAAACAAAGAGGGCGGAATAAAAGCAACCAGTGATAGAGAAGAGATTATACAATAAAGCATAATTTATTCTAAAAAGAAAGTAATTTATTTTTCCCTTTTTCCTAATCTTTAGAAGCTGTGAAAAGTCAGTCATTTAAAGGTAACTTTTTATTGTGGTAAGAATACTTAACATGGATCTACCTTCTGAAAGTTTTAAGTGTGCAATACAGTATTGTTAGCTACACACACAAAGTTGTTCAGCAGATTACTAGAACTTAATTATTTTGCATAACTGAAACTTGATACCTATTTATGTCTATAACACATTTATATACTCCTGAATTTGCGTTATAACTCCAGAGGTTAAAAATGAACCACAGTTGAATTGTGTAGTGTGGATAAAATCGATGGCTCTGCATAAGTGGTTGAGAAATTTCTGTTATTCTGGCACAAACTTTTGGTAATTGTAAGCTATCAAAGTCTTTGCCAGACTGTTCAGTGATGAAAAGTCCCTGGGAATAGGTAATAAGAGGGTTGTGTTCTTAATGTAACTAAAGTACCAGGTGACATCTATTTGAGTTACTATTATAATTACGCACTTTTGTATATTAGGTACTCTGAGACCTGAAGAGTCTTGCAAGAAAAAAACAAAGGCAAGAAGGCAGGAAGGACAGGATGGAGGGTTTTTTAATATTGGAGGGCCAGAAGAAAAGGAGTTATGGTTTATCAGGCCCCAGTCCCCAAAATGGAGTTGGGAGCAACGGTCATTTTAGAATGATTTGACTCCTCTCCTTTGTATGGCTTATCCTGGATGGGACTCAGTAAAGACATGGAAGAGAAAGAACATCGTGTCTCTTGGAGTAGATGAAAAGGAAGATGATGACCACAGTGTTGGCCTCTCTGAGGCACTGCTTGATGCAGCCTCCTCCAGGGTCACTGCTCATCACTCCATTCCTCAGTGCCTATTCCTCAGGAGTGATATCACACAGCTAGCTGTCTTAGTTTGCATGTGCTGCTGTAACAAATACCTCAGACTGGTTACTTTATAAATAATGCAAATATATTTCTCATGGCCCTGGAGGTTGGGAAGTCCATGATCAAGGTGAAAACAAATTCAGTTCCAAAGGCTGCTCTCCGCTTCCAAGATGGTGCCTTGAATGCTGTGGACTCACATGGCAGAAGAGAAACTAAAGGGTAAAAGTGATTAGCTGGTTCTCTCCAGCCCTTTTACAAAGTCATTAATCCCGTTTGTAATGACTGAGCACTTATGACTTAATCACCTTCTAAAGACCTGCCACCTCTTAATACTATCACATTGGGTCTTAGGCTCATCATATGAATTCTGGGGAACACATACATCCAAACCATGGATATATTTATAATTTACAGAAGAAAATATCACTTTCAAAAGAAAAAGAATTTGCTCCAGAGTGTATAAACCTTTTATTGTCATAGAAGGAAATACTTACTTTAACAAAATTTAAGTTTTACAATATTCCATACTGCATACTGTTTTCATTGTTAGTAGACTAAAAATTTGGGCCATTAACATTCAAGGTTTGGACATTAGACAGGTCTATTATTTCCAGGGCCATTTTTTTTTTTATTTTGGTTCTCTTTCCTTTGAGCCTGGGTGGGGGATATGGGAGGAACTGAGAATGAGAGAAGAAAAAGAAGAGGTGAAAAGATACAAAAGAAAAGTTTGTGGTCATACAAATGATACATTTTTAAGGAGCTCAAATGTTCTTGATAACATTTTCTATTACAAGTTTAGGTAGGGAAACACTGGCAAGGCTCTAAACAAGCCTCAGACTACAGCCTTATGAATCTAAGTGGATAAAAATCCAGTCTTACCATCAAATATATTCATGGACATTTGGTTACCATTTTTATATGTAATAGCAAAATTTTCTGCCAACAAGAATCAGTGTTCAGATAAAATAGTGTTTTTAAAAATATGTGAGACCTTCAAAACTATGGTTAAATTTGTTTTTACCTATAAAAAAGCTATTAGCAAATATTAGACAATTGCAAGTGTTACAAATAAACACTACATGAAAATACTGTAAATATCTGTATAATCATGGAAGTTAGTTGGACCAAAAAAATTGTTTTAAAAAAAAATTAACCTGAAAAAGTTAACTATATGCCAAAAAGGAAGATGAATATATCCACATAATCGATTACCTCATTTTTCAAGTTTATTCCATTCTCTGCCTCAGTCCCATGTTCCATGGCTGTGACTCCAGAAGGAGTAAGCAAGAATCAGAGGAAACTGGGAGGGGTGGAGACCAACTCTCACAGGTCAATGATTTTAATGTTTACCAAGCATTAAAAGCAAAGAAACGGAGGTATAATGGAACATCCCCCAAGGGGAGAATAAAATTAGTCCTAAAATAGTACATTACATATTGGTTTTGGTGAAGTGTTGCAGAGAAACAGGCTGTCCTTCAAGCAGTCCGGTTATGTTACCCATCAGGCTGACTTGTGCACATACGGTTTAAATCAAGAAAGGATAGTTGTCCTAATTTCTTTGTGCTCATAAGGGGAACAATAGTTGAAAGCAGAAGTTACTACTACTTATTGAGATCCTTGAATGTGAGATCCTTGAATAACATTAAGCATGGTATCATTCAATTTATCCATCCCTTTTCTGCTGCCTGACAGAGTCATTTCTCTTCTGTTATTTCCTGGCAATTTTAGGAAAATATATTATGGTCACAATATCTACTAGTTTTAAAAATGTATTCAATTATTTTTGCAGCGCTTCTGATAGCTGTAACACTTTGCTAACCTCAGACAAATTGACTACAGGATTAATGTAATCATTTCTACAGAAAGTATTTCACAGCTTTAAAATGACAGCATTCTAAAATACGATAGTGATTCCCTGACACAGGATAAAGCTAACTGGAGAAGTTTTTCGTTCTGTGTCCTTTCCTCTGCTTCAGAGGTCACTTTGCATTTGAGTTCTCCTTAGGCTTTCATTTGAAACTGCATGGGATCACAGTGATTATCAGGAAATGAAAGATCCAACCAATGATGAAATGTCATTTAGCATTCTTGCTGATTGTCTTCCCCTCACCACCAACAAAAAAAAAAAGTGTCTCTTATGGAGACGCTGTCAATTTATGCTCAACATTTGAAAACATATTGGCCTAAGAAAAGGGTTCTCACATTTCAGTCACAAATTTTATTCACAGCTAGGGAGTTACTGAATACAGCTACTTAGTCTGCAGAAGAAAAGGCTGAAAAGTAACTGAGTAGTTTTATGCTTTTTGAGACAACCAAGACATCAGGTCACATCTTATCTTAACATGCTACAACAAAAAGGCACAAGACAATGTCTAGAAATTAATATGTACTTTTTAGTCAACATTAAAAGGAAATTAGAGAAATATTATGCAGCCTTAAAAAGGAAAGCAATCCTGACACATTGCTGCTAATGGATAAATTTTGAAGACATTACGCTAACTGAAATAAACCAGTCAAAGAAGGATACACATTTTATGATTTCACTTATATAAGGTACCTAGAATAGTTAAATTCATACAGACAGAAAGCAGAATGCTGGTAGGCAGGAGTTTAGAGAGAGGGAGGAATGAGGATTTATTGTTTAATGGTATGGAGTTTCAGTTTGGGAAAATGAAAAAAATTGGAGACGGATAGTAGCAATGATTGCACAGCAATGTGTATCCACTTAATACCTCTGAACTGTACACTTAAAATGGTTAAAGTAGCAACTTTTGTGTTATGTATTTGGCAACAATTTTTAAAAAATAAAAATAAGAGGAAATGGGCAGGAGATAGTTAGATATTGGAGAATTGTGAGAGGAATGGAATCAGAACAGGAAGCAAACATTTGCTTAGCCACTGCTCACTCTGTAATGTCCATAATTCTAAGCTCAAAGCTCCTCCTGTCATCCCTAGCCCCACAGATTCTGGTCTCCTCTTTGACTGAGATAGGTACAGGGAAGCAGTCTGAGCTCCACTGTGGATTGCCCAGACACAAACCAAGTGTTGCTTATTTTGCCTTAAAATGCTGCAGGATTGAGCTTGACATTCTCCTGTCATTGCCTTTTTCTCTTTAGGTCCCATTGAAGCAAAGCAGGAAGCCACTCTTAAAGAGACAAAGAAATTTGGAGTAGCCCAGTACACTCAGAGTCTAATTTCTTGACCTTTGTGGGAAACAAACTAGATTCCATTTAATTATACAGTAGTCTCATTGAAAACAGACCTCAGAATGTGTATTACTCAAGTATTGTTTGTGGACCACATCTTGAAAATTGCCTATCTAAACTACTCACAAAAAGACCAAGGCCATTCAGAGCTTTTCAAAGGAAGGTCATTAACTGTGTTCCAGAATTATCTTCCATTTTGCTGATACTCAAATCAGAGCAAATCATCTAATTCGGTGAAGAATAGATCTAGTACCGGTATCAGGATGATGGTCTCGATACAGAACTTCTCATCTCCAAAAATGATGATAAAAGACGATATGAAGGAGTTGAAGTACAGGGAGTTTTGCTATAATATTTGTTTGAAACCATGAATTCTGTTGCAAAGTAATTGATATACTATTGAATAATTTATAAATAGCATAAATTTTCAGTATTCTTACACATAAATTCATCTGGAAAAACATTAGTTGAGCACAAAACACTCACCTCCATGAACCCAGCTGAACAGACACATGCAACACCCCACTCCCAAAACAAACACACACACACACACACACAGACATACACACACATCTGAGTATTACCTTGGTTCACCAGTCATCATGGTCCATCCATATCTAGTGTTAACAATGTTCTGTATGATTTCAGATCACCCTCCCTCTACTCCTTCACATTAATGCACATGCTGTAATCCTTCCAAAGCCCACTTCCACAAGCAAATATCAAGTCTTCTTCAAGACGAACTGCCACGTTTATGATAGTATTTATATAGTTTTTAATGGTTTAATTTATGTAAAATTATGCTACTGTTTTATTAAGATCCTATTTTTTAAATGCGTCTATGATGAAAAAATTTTAGTGCTACACACCAACCCCAGTTTTTTCATAAGCCCTAGGGTTTCTATTGTGTAATTAAGTGTACTACAGTGATTTTTAGGCATACATATGTATTAGAGAAGAAGTGATTGTATTGTGTAAGTTTGTGTCACAGCATTACTCTCTATTGATTCACAGTGCAAAGAAAATGTGCCTTCTTTATCTCTAATGGCCCATAGTATATTTTTTTTCATGAGGTCTCCACTTGCAAGGTAGCATATAAGATTTTACTCTCATGAAGTATCTCTTATTTTATAAAGAAATGGCCTTCTAGGCCCTCTCCTCAAGAATCTCAAACAGAAACTGGGAAAACTGTAATTTTGTCTTTGGCTTTGTTCTAGTCATTGGACCTAATGTGTATAGATCTCACTATCTATCCAGTGCTTCCATCCCTGTCTCCTTTCCATATCCCTTGGGCCTAAAAGTATATGACTTTCATTCCTGTGTTTTTTTAGCCTGGACTTCTCTTACATATTATTCCCCTTCCAAGGACAGCTAGCATCATGGTTCAGCCAGATTGATGCAAGCAATAGGCACTCCAGGCTATGGAAGAACCTATGATTGAGTTGCAGGGTATCTCTTGATATTAACTAGGATAAAGAATTGGAGGAAATTCTTTCATCTCTCAACAAAGCCTGGCTTTAAAGATTATGTTTTACCTTCAGTCTCAAAAATCCTACACTGGATATCAAAATTTAAAAGTTGATTGTTTCTTTTTGCATTCCTGCAATAACAATTTGAATTCTCTCCAAAGACAGAAGATGCCTGTCACAGGATGGGGAAAATCACTTGAGAGGAAATGTAAAAAATAGCAAAAACAATCAATGTTTTCCAACAGATATTAGCTCTATCACATATACTATATGACCCTCTTCTCTTTGAGTTGGCATAGGTACTACATTTTATATGATACTTAAAAATATAAACATTGAAAAACATAAAACTGAAATTTTAGTAATGTTTAAAGCATATTGAGAAAAATCTCACCTTCCTGAAATTCTCAGATTCATGTCAGAAAATTTTGCTTGTGTAATTTTCTACCCTAGAAAGAGCATAGCCATTTCTTCATCACATCAAACCCAAGTACAGTATTTGGTAAAGAGGAAATAAGAGAATCAGTCATGGTCCATGAAGAGAAGTCCTGTGACCTTTCTAGTGTATTGGACTATACCACCAAACTTTACTCTTGAAATACATATTTTCTCGTAACTTGTGAGTAGAAAAATAAATATTTATTTCATAATAAGAAATTACATACAAATGTTCCACTATTCCCCTAAGATAGTTCAACATGAAACTAGCCCCATGCATAAAGTTGAAGAAATATGGAAGAAATTTGTTGGAGTAGACTTAAATTTCAAATACTTAATAATAAAGTCATTTAAAATAATTAATACAATTTACTTAATAACCAAATATTATGCTACTATTTAAGATGCTTACTGTCTAAGTTTTTTATGTAGATAATGTAAGGAAAGTTACTTTATGTAAATTAATATTCAATTTATTAAAGTTATACATTCAAGTCTTTTCTTAGGTTAGGTTCAATTAATTGCAAATTAATGATCACATATTTATCTGGAAGAGTAGGAATAATAAGCATTGTACTCTGTAACAAAATTAATACAAAAGATTATTTTATCTGAGCATAAAAAAAGTCTGCAAGAGATAAATTTTCAGTGAAAATATACCATATGTCCAGTTAAAATTAGACTGTGAAGAATAAGTTGAAGAATCCAATATTTCTTTAAAATTGTTAGGAGTATGTTTAAACAGAAGGCATGATTGTTTTCTCTTTTAATGCTTTTCTGAATTTTGATACCCTTACTCTGCAGCATCCAGCAGAATGTTTTATGTAAAAAAAAAATGGTGCTAATAAGTGTGTGTGGAGAAAATGAATAAAAATATTTTTATTGGAAAAAATATTTAGATTCATCTTACATGATTTTTTAAAACCAATTTATACATTAGGTAATTGTTTTGAAATAAGAGCAATACAATGTCTCCTTTGACTAACGTTCAAATTAATTTTAAGAGATTGAATTTCTCTATATAGTTAATCTCATTTACAGAGAGTTAATTATATTATCTTAAACACTTATGACATTAAATATGTAACTTTAGTACATCTGATTATCTCACCATTTTAAATGTCGGAAAGTGCAGACAAGCCTAGCATACAGTCTTCCTAAGAACATAAGCAGTTCTTGTAAAGATTTCTAAATTTTATTTATTACTTCAGATAACTCAAATAAACTAAAGCGATTACACTATATATTTTTAAGTTGAACAGAAAAATAATAATAGTGACTTGACTTAATTTATTATCTCTCTAATTATTTGTTAATTTTTTCAAGGTTTTACACATACTTAGGAAAAGAGTTACTATTTTAGACAGAATCTAAATCATGTGATAGACATTTGTCACTTAATCACATATTTGAGCCACACCCCCCAAAAAAATAACCTGGGACCTTACATTCTTTCGGATTCAAACCAAGTTACAAGTAAATACCCTGAAACTTTTTGTAGTTGGTTTCTATCTGCTTGTTCAAAAACAGAAGCCAAATCCATATATTTCTGTTGGGAATTAGTTTTGTAAGTTGGTGAATCACTTGTCTCCTTTGTCAAGTGTCATCTTAATACTTTTTAAACTGCTTTTAGCTGTTTGGGTAGGAAGGTAGAATTCTTAGGTTGCAGGTATATTCCAGCACCACTTGAATTAATTTATTTAATCTTACTAACTGAAAGGATTCTTCATTCTTTTCATATTATTTTCTCTTTTGACTCTTGGCCATGATTCAACAGAGAGTATATGAATACAAGCATATATTTGAAGGTAGGAATGGTAGGTCTGTAGTGGAATGTTAAGCACAATTGACCTAATTGTCAAATAAAATGTGCAGCTTTCAGTTGACATGGTATGAGCTTGAATGATATTTGGATAATATGGATGAAAGATGGATAAGATAGGAGAGTAGCAGCTCAGATGAAAAATGGGAAGATCTAATTCAAGCCTGGCTCTTGTATTTAATCTTTGGAAGATCTCTCAAGGACAAGATGATCTATTGTAATCCTGCCCCATTTTCCTAATTCTGAAATTCTTTGAGTTACTTAAAAAACAAAGGAAGCTATATATTGTCTTGAAAGTTTTTGAAGCCAGTAACTACTATTGCAAAAGATGAAGCTAACAGTAAAACATCTCTTTCTTATGTTATCATGCTACCTGAATGATTCACTTTAAATAGATTTACTTTGTATCTTAACTTCAAACTATGCTAATATTTAATCCTTGACCAGAACCTTGGAATCTTATATTGGTTGAATGCAAATATTTACTAATTAGATTTATGTACCCATAATCAACATTTTCTAAATACTTTTACCAACACATGATGTTACTATTTAACCTAATGATTATATTTTGATGTAGGTTTTGATCCAATGAAAAATATCAACGAGCCGGCATTTCCCCATCTTCTCTTGTTTTGTTTATGTCCTTTGTCTCTTTTCTACTTTCCTTGGCAACTAAAGTTCCCCTAACACCTTCTTATCTGCAATTAACTTGATCATATTTGTTTTTGCTACTTTCTGAAAAGAGAATTTTCTGTAATGGCAGCAGCACTACTCTGAGAATTGAATTCCACATTAAGTTAACCTCTCTGTTGTCAAAAAATTAAAGTACTAAAGTGTTTAAAAAAAACTTACATCACAAATGTTCAAAAAATGCAGATTGAAATCCAGACACAGGAATCCTTTGATGATAGATAATTGGAATTACTGTAAAAAAATAAGTATTATTACCTTTTTCCAATGGTTCTCAGCCTAAACACTGTTATTGTTGAAACCTTTTCACTTTTTATCCACATTATTCTAATAGTGTCTGAACTGATCTCTCTGCCTGATATATTTGCTTGTACCAATTTTTTTTATAGACTTCTGGCCATATGGCTTTGCCTTAAATGCAATTCTGCACCTATTACACTCCTTTTGAGTCTAGTATTCATTTGTTTCACAAGTCACTTGGGAGCACCTACTACATGCTGAGAATCTGGCATTTTCTCTTAGGAGAAGTCACCAATAAATACAATATTCCACATACTATGAAAGAGGTAAACCTAAACATCATAGACAAGGGTTCCTCGCCAAGAAGTCAGGAACAAGTGTCCCCTAGAAGTGATAGCAAAACTCAGTTGAATGAGTCAGACAAAAATCCACAGGACATAAATTAGTAAGAGAAAGAATGTAGCATTGGGAGAGGGAAGGATCTATGTGAAGCAGGTTCACTGTGCACTGGTTACCAATTTGTCTGAGTCTAGGGAGACAACACATTTATAAGCAACAGGCAGATGTATCACTTACAGATAGGCAGCAAGAAACAACAGAAGCCCAAGATTTATTGTGAGCTGAATTCAATTCTGTGAACAGAAGTCCAACATTCATTGTAAGTCAGAAAGCTGCCCAGGGAAGATGAGCTCTGGGCTGCTCATGGCCCCACTTGAACCACAGATGTGGAACCCTGAGAGGCAGCTCATCCTGGCTTATATACCTTGGGGTCACATAAATCACTGAGCTAAATTATTGAAGGGCATTCTGCTCTGGGAGAAGCCTGGAACAGAACCTAGCTGCTCCAGCCAGTTAGCTTTATCTCAGGATGCTGCACTCTCAGCACACTCTGTGATTATTCTTAAGAATTACACATAAGAAAGGGGAAAGAACTGGGTCACTCCAGAGCCAGCCAGAAAACTGTCCTGCAATCTGTAGTACAGTAAAAGCCTTGTTACTTTACATAATCAGGACCAGTTTCTGATTAAAGAGTTAAAGAGAAGAATTATTTCTTTTACAAAAAGATACATCAGTCTTGTATTGGATACAGATTAGGCAACAAAACAAAATACAGCGGTTTTTAACAAGATAGAAACTACCTTTACACATTAGTCTGAACGCAACCTATCTAAGAATGATGTGGTAACTTTTGTAAAGACCCAGGTGCTTTCTATAAAGCTGTTGTTTTTACCCCTTGTGTGATGGCCTCTGGCTCCTGGTTGAAGATGATCAATCAGCCATTCCAGAGGGAGTGTTGTCCACCTGCTCTCATGCCCCCTACCATGGTTTGAATATTTGCCCCCTTCTGAACTCATGTTGAAATGTAATCCTCAATTTGCCAGTACTGAGAGATGGGCATTTAAGAGGAAATAAGATTATGAGGTTTGTGCTCTTATGAATGGACTAATTTATTCGTAGATTAATGAATTAATAGGTTAGTGAATTAATGGGTTATTATGGAAGTGGGACTGATGGCTGTATGAGAAGAGGAAGGGAGACCTGACCTAGCATGCTCAGCCCCCTTACCATGTGATGGCCTGTACCACCTCAAGACTGTGCATAGGGTCCCCACTAGCAAGAAGGCCCCCACCAGATGTGGCCCCTTGACCTTGGACTTCTCAGCCTCCATAACTGTAAGAAATAAATTATTTTTCTTCATACTTTACCTAGTTTCATGTATTCTATTATAAGCAACAGAAAATGAACTAAGACTCCCTCTTTTTCTTCCCTGCATTTATCTTGCTGATGTGGGGAGGATAGGAAAGAAAGTGACTATAGTCACTGTCTTTGTACATACCTGCTCTTGAGAAACTGTTAGTCCTTTATCGGCCATATCACTGTGCTTTTCACCTATTTCCTGTGACCATGATAAGTATGAGTGATGGCTTTAGCAGGCTCCCTTGACAAGTTGGTCAGCCTCTGGAGACACTGGGGCTTTAGTCTGACACCCAGTTGGTAAACATCCCTCAAAAATGCTCTGGTTTATGCTTTTTTTTTAGACTGAGTCTCATTCTATCACCCAGGCTAGGGTGCAGTGGCATGATCTTGGCTCACTGCAACCTCCGCCTCCCAGGTTCAAGCAGTTCTCCTGCCTCAGCCTCCCAAGTAGCTGGGATTATATGCATGTACCACCATGCCTGGCTAATTTTTGCATTTTTAGTAGAGACGGGGTTTCACCATGTTGGCCAGGCTGGTCTTGAACTCCTGACCATAGGTGATCCACCCACCTTGACCTCCCAAAGTGCTGGGATTACAGGCGTGAACCACCACGCCTGGCCTGGTTTATGCATTTTTTTGTCCCCAAGATGATATGGTTTGGATTTGTGTGTCTGCCCAAATCTCATGTCAAATTGTAATACCCATTATTGGAGGTGGGGACTGGTGGGAGGTGACTGGATCATGGGGGTGGATTTCTCCCTTTGGTGCTGTTCTCATGACAGAGTTCTTACAAGATATGATGAAGTATGTAGCACCTCCCCACAACCTTCCTCCTGCCTGGCCATATGAAATCCTGACTGCCCCCTTTGCCCTGTGCCAAGATTGAAAGTTTCCTGAGGCCTCCCAAGAAGCACATGCCAGTATCATGCTTCCTGTACAGCCTGTGGAACCATGAGCCAATTAAATCTCTTTTCTTCATAAATTACCCAGTCTCAGGTAGTTGTTTATAGCAATGTGAGAACAGACTAATATAGAAAATTGGTACTGAGAAGTGGGGCATTGCTATAAAGATATCTGAACATGTGGAAGCAGCTTTGGAACAGGCAGAGGTCGGAACAGATTGGAGGGCTCAACAGAAGACAGGAAGATGAGGGAAGGTTTGGAATTTCCTAGAGACTTGTCATATCACTATCAGAAATGCTGATAGTGATATGGACGATGAAGTCCAGGCTAAGGAGGTCTCAGATGGAGATGAGGAGCTTATTGGGAAGTGGAGCAAAGGTCACTCTTGTTATGTATTAGCAAAGAATCTGGCAGCATTGTGCTCCTGCTCTAGGGATCTGCGGAACTTTGAACTTGAGAGTGATGACTTAGGTTATCTGGCAGAAGAAAATTCTAAGCCACAAAGCATTCACAGTGACCTGGCTGCTTCTAACCACCTATGCTTGTATGTGTGAGCAAAGAAGTTACCTGAAACTGGAACTTATATTTAAAAGGGAAGCAGAGCATAAAATTTGAAAAATTTGCAACCTGGATATATGGTAGAAAAGAAAAGCCCATTTTCAGTGGAGGAATTCAAGCAGGCTGCAGAAATTTGCATAACTAAAAGGAAGGCAAGTGCTGATAGCCAAGACAATGGGAAAAAGGCCTCAAAGCCATTTCAGAGAGCTTTGCAGCAGTTCCTCCCACTAGGGAGGAGGTAAACATGATTTCAAAGTACAGGCCCAGGGCCCAGTTCCCCTGTGCAGCCTGGGAACACTGCTCCCTGCTTCCCAGCTGCTCCATCTCCAGCAGTAGCTGAAAGGGTCCCAGGTACAGCTTGGGCCACTGCTTCAAAGGGTGAAAACCATAAGCTTTGGCAGTTTACATGTGATAATAAGCCTGCAGGTACATGGAATATAAAAGTTGAAACTTGGGAGCCTCTGCCTAGATTTCAACGGATGTATGGAAAAGCCTGGATGTCCAGGCAGAATACTGCTGCAGGGCTGGAGCCCTCATGGAGAACCTCTACTAGGACAGTGTAAAGGGGCAATAAGTCCCCACTAAAGCACTGCTTAGTGGAGCTGTGAGATGAAGGCCACTGCCCTCCAGCCCCCAGAATGGTAGATCCACTGGCAGCTTGCATTGTGTGCCTGGAAAACCCATGGGCACTCAGTTCCAGCCCCTGAGAGCAGCCATGACAACAGGGGCAAAACTGTCCAAAGCCTTGGAAATCCACCCCTTGCATCAGTGTACCCTGAATGTGGGACATGGAGTCAAAGGAGATTATTTTGGAGTTTTAAGATTAATGAATTCCCTGCTGGCTTTCAGAATTGCAGGGGGCCTGTGGCTTCTTTCTTTTGGCCAATTTCTCCCTTTTGGAATGGCAATGTTTACCCAACTCTTGTAACTCCATTGTACTTTGAAAGTATCTAACTTGATCTTTATTTTACAGGCTCATAGGCAGAAGGGACTTGCCTTGTCTCAGATAAGACTTTGGACCTTGGACTTTTGAGTTAATGCTAGAATGGGTTAAGACTTTGGGAGACTGTTGGGAAGGTATGATTATATTTTGCAATGTGAGGTTGTGAGATTTGGGAGGGGCCTAGGCAGAATGATAAGATTTGAGTTTGTGTCCCTGCCCAAATCTCATGTCGAAATGTAATTCCCAGTGTTAGAGATGGGGCCTGGTGGGCAGTGCCTGGATCATGGGGATGGCAGATTTCCCCCTTTGGTGCTATTCTCATAATAAAAGTTCTCATGAGATCTGATTGTTTAAAAGTGTATGGCACCTCTTCCCCACCCTTTCTCCTATTCCAGCCAGGTGAAGTGCTGGCTCCCCATTTGCCTTCTGCCATGATTGAAAGTTTCTTGAGGCCTCCCCAGAAGCATGCTAGCATCATGCCCCCTGTACAGCCAATTAAACCGCTTTTCCTTATAAATTACCAAATGTGAGGTAATGTCTTTATAACAATGTGAGAATATCTCATAGTGGTTTTGATTTGCATTTCTCTGATGGCTAGTGATGATGAGCATTTTTTCATGTGTTTTTTGGCTGCATAAATGTCTTCTTTTGAGAAGTGTCTGTTCATGTCCTTCGCCCACTTTTTGATGGGGTTGTTTGTTTTTTTCTTGTAAATTTGTTTGAGTTCATTGTAGATTCTGGATATTAGCCCTTTGTCAGATGAGTAGGTTGCGAAAATTTTCTCCCATTTTGTAGGTTGCCTGTTCACTCTGATGGTAGTTTCTTTTGCTGCACAGAAGCTCTTTAGTTTAATTAGATCCCATTTGTCAATTTTGCCTTTTGTTGCCATTGCTTTTGGTGTTTTGGACATGAAGTCCTTGCCCACAATGTGCACATGTACCCTAAAACTTAAAGTATAATAATAAAAAAAAAAAATGTGAGAATAGACTAATATACCAGGTTGAACAATTTTTGGCAAGTCTATTGCTACCAATTACAATTTTCCTTCATAGATAACTCATGCTGGTTGTAGGTGGGCCCAGGAGGAATCTGTCCTCTATACCTCTCTGGAATTATTAATTCATACTGGTGATTCTTGTCCCTCTCTACTTAGACATTCCACTTTGCCCTCTCCTCAGTTTCCTTTCACTTCTCCAGGTAGCATCAGATAAGCTGCAAGATTAAGTATAAATGCAATGGTGGAACTGACTATCAGTCTTTCTTTCATGTTGAAATCCTCATACTTGAAGAGTGTTTTTCTAAGGATCCTGCCCTTGGCAGGATGTTCACCAGTTGGGTACCATTCTCTCCTTTTTCAGTGTAGAGATGAAAGGAGAGGACAGTTCACAACTATTGCATGCTCTCAAAAGGCAACTTTTCACATCCAATACCTCCTCTTTTACTGAATGGGGACAGAGAGATGAGGAGGAATGATTACTGATAGATGCCACCATGCGGTAGGTCTTGTGGGGAGGTAGATGGCAATAAGAAGAAGAAGAACAGTAACCATTGAGTACTTATATGCCAGGTTCTCTTCTAAGTGTTTTACACATATTAATTCATTTAATTCCTCCCCAAACCACTATGAGGTGGTACAAATTTCTTTTTGGTAGATGTGCTTGGGTAACTTGCCCAAGTTTGCAGTCTTACAAGAAGTGGAGCTAGAATTTGATCCAAGGCACTCCAGTTTTAATGCCTGTTTCCATGAGCAGCTATAGTTATACTGATGCTTAGGTGCTATGGAGCATTGAGGGTCAACTGTCAAGATGACTCAGGAAGAGGGCAGATATGCAATTTGAAGTAGCTGTTGAAACATGGCAAACACAACATAGTATGATGCTAGAGAGTGGATAGATGAGAAAATAATGCTGGTGTGGCCCATCAGATAAAGAAGCAGTCACATCTCCTAAAAACAGATGCTATGTCTCACAAACCAAATAGCAGTCTTTTTGTATATACATGGTAGGAAAATTGTTGTTAACCCGATATCAGTGTTGTCTGCCACAAATACACACATGAATAACAAGCTGTCAACAGAAGCACCTTCTCAAGGCATCAAATAAAATGATGTGTAGCAGTTACTTTAAATCTCCGTAGTCCCTTTTGTTCATATTTGCTGTATCACTGTACCCACATATTCAACAAACTCTATAACCATAAATAAACTGGACTTCAGTTCAGTCCTGTGACATCACATAAAATGTTTGAATTCTAGACAGAATTGGCAAATTGTTGTTTTTACAGAATGAATAGAATTTGCAACATGATCATATTAGTATGCGTGTGAGTGCTGTGTCTGTATAAAAGTGCCTTGTTAAGTGATAAGAAATCATCTGCCAATGTTGTTTCTTAATATTTAATCATATATATATTAAATATTTATACAAAGGTGATAATAGAATTATGTGGCCACAGTAGAAATACAAGAGAATTCTAATTCTACAATATTGTGCCTAAAATTGTAATCCACTTAATCATCCTTCATTGCAAATGTTTTGTAACTTGACAGCTATTATTAAAAAAGGCAAAATGTGGCATATTGTAAAAAAAAAAAAAATCCTCTTACCAAGTGTTCTTGACATTTGACAATGCCATTAAGCTAAAAGTATCAAAGACAGAGTTTTAAATCATGTGAAGCTGTGGTTAAGCTGATCTTTTCCAAAAAGGTTTACAGAAAATGTGTTTTAACTTATTGCCATGAACAAATGGAGGCAACCTACATTTTTTTGAATTTTTGAGATTAGTAATATATCCATAAAGTAGCAGGGTCATACATTGTCTGTACCAATATACCATGGATTATATTACCCCTATGGCACCTATTTCTCATCCCCCCCAAAAAAACCAATAAGATTATTTGAAATATAGAGTGATAAAATGTTTCAGACAATTTTCCAGATGCCGAATTTCTAAGCAAAGAAAACAAGACACAAAGTAAAGCAAATAACAGAGGCTTGAGGTAAGCAGATATAAATTTCTTCATAGATGGCCATCCAAATGAACAGAAAGAGATTGTAGGATCAGTGCACCAAACTACCAAGACAACTTCAGTAAATAGTTTAGAACACATAGCAGCCCCCACTCCGTGGCTAATGATAATGAAATCCTAGTCACAAGCTGCTCCTACAATTGAAAAATGTTGATTTTGCTAGCTTTGAATTGTCATCTCTTTAAGAATAAATATTGATGACTTAGTGCCATTTTAGGTAGATATTTTAAGAACCCACTAGTAACACACACACCTATCTTCCCAACAGCCGGGCTGTTAACATAATAATTTATACAACGTCACCTGCTGATCCTGGAGCCCCACTCTGAGGAGAGAAGTTATGCATAATTAATTATATTCATATTTTAATATTCATATTGCTGATTATGATTGTCATGATTTATTATCCAAACTTCATATGTGAGGCAAAAGCATTATAAAAGATATGTTGTAAAAGGTGTTTTTTTTTTTATTAGCAGAACTAATTGATTTGTAGATGAACACTTTTCTTTACATAATGGAAGCATATTTTGATTACTCTGTGAATAAAACCACAATTACTCTTCTCATTTTAAAAAGGTACAAAATTATTTGTCTTTTTTGCCAATTTCTTACTTGATTTAGAGACCGTGAATGTGAACACACCATTTTTATTTAAAATTCCCTGTCATGCTATAGCTTGCCTCTCTCTTAAACAGTGATAACATGTGTATTGACATACTAACAAGAAGAATTTGAATTAAGGAGGAAAAGACCATCTGAAAAGAATTCCATATTTCTCCATGTAGAAATAAGGAACTAATCTGTTATTTCTTAATATGAATAAAATTTAGAGATATTTTTGATAACCTATGAATATTAGATTATCTGCTGTTAATTAAACTCAGGCCTGATATGATGCCTGAAACATCATATGCAGCAGAAGATGCCATTACAAAATGAAAGTACATCATCTGTATCTACTGGAGTTTCCTTGAGATTTAGCTTCAAAAGGTAAAAACTAGTTCCGATTTCACAGAGAAAATAATAATGGAGACCAATTTATATACAAGTACAGTTTTTCCTGTTGCAACATTTCGGTACAGACATTCATTCAAATTCTTGGGAAAAAACTGCCGATGTGCAGTTTGTATATCTCTTATATTCATACATGGAGGAGATGATTTATATGCTAGTCAATATTTAAGCTGAATTTGGGGAATTCTATTTTAGCTATGCAGGGGCGGCGAATATGATGTACTAACACTTCCATTTAAAAGAACTTGTGAGCACTGAATTTGTAATCTAAATGTTAGTAGAATTAAAAAGAGGGATGGAGGTGGAACTGGGCTACCTGCCATGTAATATAGTGTGGCTAGTACATATATTTGGTTAGCCAAAACAAATTAAACTCAGAAAGGAGGTAAAAGATGCTTTATTGCAATAGTCATATTCAATCTGAAAGTCAACATAAAAGTGTCTTAGCGTGAATGGTTATTTTCTTTCTTTAATGAATGTATATGGTAGGCTGGAAGTCATTAAGCTTTAAAAATTTAGAGAATATTTCTATATGGCAAAGTAAAAAACCTATTAATTAATCTGAGTTTCTGGCATGCTTTGTTCCATTAAGTATAGACTTATAGGAAAAAGCAAAATATAGGAGAAAAAACAACAGAGAGAAAAACTAGAGGTTAATTGCCTTTGTTGATTTCCAAGTAGTTTTGACAGCTCTGATCCATTAAAATATGTGTAAAAATTGATGAATGTATTCTTAGTAAGACTGTGTTTTGAGAAGGTTTTTCTCAACACTGAGGTTTTATTCCATTCGTAATCCAAATAAAAGCTGACTAAATTAAATTAATAGAAATGTCAGCTTCTGTAAGTGTGCATTCTTATGCTAAAAATATTGGGTAATTTTCTCATAGCTTTCCAATGGAGTTTGCACATTCACATCAGAGTTTATTTGGTGGAAAGGAGTAATACCTGATTAGTACTTTTTCTTTTTCTTACTATTTTCCTTCTTTGGGTAGGTAAATAAAAACCTTAGAGTAATTGCATGAGTTATCTATTGCTGCATAACAAGTTATCCCAAAATATCATAGCCCAAAACAACAAACATTTATTATTTCACTATTTCTGTGGGTCAGGAACCTGAGAGTAGTTTACCTGAAAGGTTTTGGGTTAGAGTCTCTCCTAAGGCTGCCACCAAGTTGTTGGTTGGGGCTACAGTCATGTAAAGGTTTAGGTGGAGGAGGATTATTCTAAGTTCACCTATGTGGTTGCTGGTGGGCCCTGGTTCTTCACCACGTGGCCTTCCCACAGGGTGCCTGATGACATGACAGCCAGCTCCCTCAGATAGGGGGAGAAAATGAAGGGTAAACACAAGTGCACCCAAGATGAAAGACACCATCTTTTTATGACCTAATCTAGGAAGTGACATCCCATTTTCTGTCACATTCAATTCATTAGAAGAGAATCACTAAGTCCAACCCACACTTAAGTGGAGGTAGTTAAGTTCTACTTCTTGAAGGAAGGCTATTGTATTAATTTTCTATTGCTGTTGCAACAAATTACCACAAGTTTAGTAACTTTAAAGACTCAAATTTAGTATCTTAAAGTTCTGTAGATCAGAAGTCCAACATAAAGGTATTAGTAGGGCTATATTCCTTTCTGGAGGCTCCAGGGAAGAATTCATTTTCTTGTCTTTTCCAACTTCTGGCAGCCTCCTGTATTCCTTTCCTTGTGGCCCCTTGTTCCATATTCAAAGCCAACAATGGTGGGTTGAGTCTCATATCATGGCACTATGACCTCCTCTTCTTCCCTCCTCTTCCAAACGTAAAGACACTTCTGATTACATGTGAATGTACCCAGATTATCCAGGTAAATCTCCCTATTTTAAAGTCAATTTAATTTCCCTTTACTTTGTAATGTAACATATTTACAGGTTCCAGGAATTGGAATGTTCACATCTTTGGGGGACTGTTATTCTTTCTACTACAGTTGTCAAATAATTTGTGGATATATTTTTTAAACCTCTACAGTAATAATGTACCTAGAATCATCCTCCTGCCCAAATACACACACTCAAGGTCCAGTCCTTTCAGAATATTTATTAAAGTCTAGTGGATCACTAACCCAGGTAACAAACTGCCTGCACTAGTTATTCAGTATCCAAAAGAGATCAACATCCATACCTTTCTCTTTCTCAGGTATCTATGGTTGCCCAGATTAAGTAAGATAAAATTTTTACCTTAAAGTAGGAGAAAGTAACTGGGTTTAGTTTAAGAAATATATACATCTGGTGTCAGAAAGAATTTGTTATAATCTGAGTTTTGCTAGAATACTGCCATGTGGTCTTATGCAGGTTACTCATCTCTTTTGCCTAAGGTTTTCTTACTTATAAAATGAGGGAAATAATATTGATGTTGCACAGATATTGTACAGATTCATTTATAATTCAGAAATTGATTATTTCATCTTCTCTGTTGTCCAAAATCTACTGTTTTATAAAATGACTGCTATTGATACTGTTACGTATCTGTGATGTGATCTTTTTCTTCTAAATCTTGAGGTTACTGATAAACAATATCTTTTTAAAAACATAGTCTAGACCTCCACCAGTGATTTATATGTCTCAGCCCTTTCAGGCAGGTACCCAGCATAAACATCAAGACTCCTTTTTGAGGAATCACATGTTGCCCCATTTGCCTATCTTATAGGCCATTGCTAGACATAGTAATTATGCCAAAACCCTTTTAATATTTATTCATAAACAAGCCCCAAGCTAATTTATCCATGTACCCTTAGATATTATTTTTCAAACTGAAACTTCTCATTGTTACTAACTATAAAATTAAAAATTATAAAATTGATTGTTATTTGTGAATGACACTGTAAATTTAGTTTAAAATTCAACATTGAAGATAAAATTAGATTTTTTTTCCATGTTGATATGAATACAAATTTGGGTGGAACAGAGCATGGTGGTAAAAATAATGTTCTTACTAAATTAGGAGACCTATAGAACAAAAATGTACTTGAAGTTGGTTATGTTATACAAATAATTTATTGTTGCATCCAAAGAGCTGTGATATTCTACCAATTCATACAAGCAGAGATATAAGTATCACATTTTATAAATATTTTATGTATATACAGTCATGAAACAGAAATACAAAAATTTTTGTGATAATCTGATATTGAGACGAAAAGAAAATATCAGCGTATTTCCACAGAATCTATCTCTTTACTACCTATCACAGTTGGATTTTAAAAATGTTTACATTTACCACATAAATTATTTACATTTTGTTTACATTTTATTAGAAATTAGTTGGAAATCTCTAATCAAAATGTTAAGCAAAATTCAGATTTTTAAGTTTGTAAAGAATTTCAGTTATTAAAAGTAAATCTCATGAATGAAAAGACAAATTTATTCTCATAAAAGCAAAGAAGGGAGTAAATAAACATTGAGAGATCTGAAGGAATACAAGATTTAATTTGAATGCCAATTATTAGGCTCTGAAATATCTCAATTTGAAGGAAAAGGTTTTAATGGAGCTTCTATTTATAATTAGATAGTTATCTTCTGTATCAGAATAGAATGAAATTGAGAATGCCTGTAACTGCATGATATCTACATTTGCTGAGACATTCAGAAGAAAATTAAAACATTTTTGACAGTTTTAATCATAGAAAATATGTTAAAAGCACTCTGTGAATGGAGGTAAAAAGACCACACTTATAAAAATATTGGGGCTAAAATATGTACACATTTCACTACAAAAATAGAATAGGGAATCTCTTCCATTTATCATAATTGGCTCTCAGCTTATTTTCCTCAGCACCTGTGAGAGGAAGTATTTTCTCAATTAAAAATGTAATACTTACAAAGCAAAGTCATTGGAAAAGAGTCAACAATGTCAAAACTATTAATGAAAAAATGCAACTTTAAAGACCTTTAAAATTGTATGAAAAATTAGAAATAATACAGAAAAATTAATTTTCAGAAAAATATAACTGACCAGGATATGATACATAAGTCAAAAAAACTAAGCAAAGTGTCTGGAAAATCATTCAGTTCATTTATATTTAATATTCAGAGAGTCAACCTAAATTTGTTTTAATTACACTTTAAATATGTTTATTAAAAGAATTTATGGAACCTATAGAACCAGTGATAATTACATTATCCAATGAATTAATTAAAATTTTGAAATTATATAATTTTAATAATTTTAATGCCCCCTTTAACTGTAAAGTGACCACATAGATACTAAATTGCAAGATCATCCTAACTAGAACCTTGTTCATGACCACTTTTTACCTTCCACAGCAATGTTGAGTCACAGAAGCTCAGATAATACACTCATTAATTCATTGATTAACTCATTCCCATATTTAACAAACACTTATTAAGCTCCATCTATGAGTCAAATATTGTTCTAGGTTCATTGAATATATTTTTGAGCAAAACAGGCAAACATGGGAGGGGGTCCAGTAATATACAACATACATAATAAATTTTAAAATAGCATTGTGTATTAGGAGTTATAAATCCTTTGGAAAACATACATTCAAGAACGGTAAGGGGGCTTATGAGTGTGAGGAGTGGTAGGGAGATGACAATTTGCAATATTAAATAGGTGAGAAGGTGACACTTGAGCAAAGATTTGGAGGAATTTAGGGAGTTAGCCGTGCATTATCTATGGAGAGAGCAGGCCAGGGGAGACGAAACTGCTACAGGGAAGGGCAACAAAGCACCAGGCATGTTTGAGAGGCAGCAAGGAGACCAGAATAGCTAAAGAGGAATAAAGGGGCAGTAGCAGGATATGAGACATGAAGGGCAAGAGAGGGAATGCAGTGGGATAGAAAGAGGAGAGATACAGATGGCGCACTTCAAAAATCCTCTAAACACTCTTGTTTACACAACAGCTAGAAGAATTTTTATCTCATTGGATGTTTTGTGTTCTTACTTTTATATTAGCTTGGCTTTGTTATTAAATATCATATATCCCATTTCTCTCCTGTCTTTGGTGAAGGATCTTAGATCTTTTGTATTTCCTTGATGCCTTGCTCTTTCAGGTTTGTATTCTCAGTCAAAAGAGCTCTTTGAAGTTTTGCTTCCTTATAGAATTCTTAAGAATCACATTTAATTTAATGGCTTTTTACTTTACATATGCTCATAGACACTTTATGAAAAGAATCTTTTTGAAAATAAAATCACTAAATATTTGGTAATTTCCCAACAAATTATATAGGCCTTGCCATAAGCAATGGATTTTTTAAGTTAAAAAGTCAGCTTTATCCACAGAATATGATGTTTGGAGTGACAGCTGAACTCAGGGTCCTGGCATCACTAATTATTAGCTGCATTACCTTGTGCAAATAAGACTTTCTGAACTTCAATATCTATAACTGGGAATCAATAATAAGACCCACACCACAAGATCATTGTCAGATTTTTCTAAATGTGTGTGAAAATTTGATCAACTATGAAATGACATACAAATGTTACCAACCATTATTATCATCAGTGCATTAATATAGCATTATTCCATTCTGAGCTTTAGAATGGAATAATTAGAAAAGCATTTTTCAAATGTCTTTCCTGAAAGCTTTATTCTTCTGCTCAGAATTCCTAGTATTCTCTTTTCAAAACATCTTAAAACAATAAAATATTTAAAGATATAATTGAAGGAAAAGATTTAAGCTAAATGTGTTATATTCTAGGGTTGTATACTTCTCTCCACATGAAACACATTTAGTTTCCTAACATTAGCTCTGGCATTTCATTATATTTATGAATTATAAAATACCTCACATAGCAGCCTCGGTTTTTTAAATGTGGAATACAAAGTCATCACAAAAAGGACCTAAGAAAATTAAGTCCATATATACGCGTATGAAAAGAGAGAAATGAGAAAAGTGAAGGAACAAGAAAAGAAATACCAAAATCTTGGGGTCTCCTTTGCTTCACCAAGGTAAAACCTGAGAGTTCTCAAGGAAACTGATGATCCCGACTTTCTGTTGGTTGAATGTTACCAACAGGATATTCTTTAAGGAATGTTTTGTCCTCAAGTATGAAACTAAATAAACTCTTGGGATGCAATGAAATTAATAGTGCTAAGTCTGTTCACTAATGATGAATATATAGCTGAGATTTTTCACCATGTGATTTTTAGTCTTGATTTTCTTAACAGTTGTATTCACCGTTGATGTCAATAATCACTGAGCATATTTGTCAAATTGTTAAGCAAAGTTCTAAACATATTCAGGAGGCTACTGGTGAACACTTGTCTGGATTTTCTTCTATTCATTGGGTTTCTATAGGCTTTATCTCTTGATAAAATATACCTCCTTCATTTTTAACTTTTGTAGAGAGAAAGATGTTCATGGAATATAGAAAATATTTTTTCAGAAAACTTATTCAAGATAACAGAGGACACAAAATAACTTTTTTTAAAATCCAAATTATAAGCTTTAGGAATTAAGTAAATACAAACTTGTTAATTAACGGCATTATCATTTCGTGTTTGCTTTGTATCCTATATGAAACGTGCTTCTGTTCTCAGCTAAAATTTTTAGACTAGACATAGATGAAGCATGCACCAAAGCCACAAGGATTCGTCAACTTTCATGGCCACTTATGCTTCAAGGCAAATCAAAGGTGTTTTGACAATTAGCTAATAGAACAAACAAACAAAAGAACAGAGACAGATCTCTATGACTCAACTGATAGAGCTGAGGCATTTGCCGAGTTTCCTGGTAGATGTGGTTCGATAAAACGTCTAACGTTAGAATCTGTGTCTTGGGAAGAAACCACCTCATATACCAAGAACGAACCCTGAGGGTGGTCTCACTGATAGTTCTCAGTGTACTGCCATGTTCCCAAAGTGTGAAGGCTACATCTTTATTATGATGCCTGTTACATTTTCTATAGTTAGCGGCAGGTTTGCTTTTCTCTGTGATATCCTTGAGCATACAAAAATGTTCATGTTTGTTTACCCAAACTTTAGCATGGCACCGGGCATATGTTGTATGTTCAAATAATTATTTGATCAATGAAAATGAATGCTCCCTGACATTTTAATTTTATTCCTAATATAACCTTTGAATGAAATATATAATAAATATAGAAAGGCATCCAAATATATATGTGCTTTTTTTCACTTCAGTTTCTATTAGGGAAAAAACAGTCTAAATCTAAATAAGTCACATACAATGATCAAGCTTACCAAATAACTAGTAAGAAGTTCAAGTTTCCACTTTGATTTGCCCTTGCAGACACAGCCTGGGAGCATGGAGAATTTTCTGGTAACAAATGGGAATCTGGCCAACCAATGATCTCTACATTAGCATTCTAATAACCAGAGGCCAACGTGCCATAGTGCTGTGTCAGAACTAATTTATGAAACTAGGTCCAAAGGCTCATTAAAATGGTCACAATTCAGTGACTGCCCAGTAAAATTAGACTACAGTTTCATTCTTATAACACCGAATATTTTAACATACTATTAAGGACATACTTCAAGTGTTAAAACTAGCTTTGATGCTGTGAAGGGAAAAACAACAACATTAGAAAGCTATTTACTTTTGTAGAAGATTGGCTCCAATCTCAGATTTTCGCTCAAAATGCTACAAATGTCCATATTTTAGAGCCCTGGGTGTGCTGTACTTGCTTTTGCAACTCTGGTACATTTGTGGGTTTTTTTGTTTTGTTTTGTTTCCTCAGAGTAAAAGCACTGCTGTGTAGCTCTTGTAAACCACAGGGCTGTGAACCCACCTGGCCAGGAAATTGCAGGCAGCACAGTTGGGAGTTGAATTTTCTTCTCCTCTGCTGCCAGACAGATCTCTCTACAGCACTCCTTTAATCATGCATCCTCCCCTGTGATGCCAGAGCTCCTGGGACACAGAGTGCATTGCTTTACAGGCTGCTTTCCACAGCCAAACTGGGTTTGAGTGGCATAGAAGGTGTGACATTCAAAATCTTATGAAGAACAAGGAGAGGTAGTGGGGAAAGTTCTAGATTAGGAGTCTGGTGCAGCTGCAGTTCAATCTGCTGCTAACTCTCAGACAGTCCTGTCTGCTGCTGGGGCAGGGTATCACCTCTTTTGCTGGTTCAATGCTTGGCACGTGGGCTTTGCTCAATAGGAAAGGTGGTTATAGTGAACTGAACTAACAGTACAAATAAGAAAGCCATTTAATTTCTCAGTATCTCAAACATCTATATATACGAAGTGGGAAGAATGGCTCCTGCTGTGCTTATTTCACAGGGTTGTTCTGAGGATCTCAACTAATAATAACTACCAAAACACTTTTTGGTGGTATGGTGCTTATACTTGGGTAATGTATGGTTATGTCCGTTCACTTGTCAAACATAACAGACTGTTTTCTTTATCTCCTGAATTTTTATTCAATGGAACAGTAATGAATCCCTAAATCTTCTAAATGTGAACAGTAAAAGAGACAGAATGACTTTTCCTGGCAGTCTGCATGCCATGACTGAATTATTTAGACTTCTATTTAAACCTGATGAGGAAAAAAAAAAAACCCTAAGAATAAAGATTTGTCTTTTAACCAATTATTTCAGAAAAATGTTTCTTTTAGACTTATTCACATTTAGAAGATACTATTGATAGTGTGGATGTCCTATTATAAATTAGATACCATTTCCATATCAAAGTTAAATATATCTGAAAAATGACAGAGCCAGCAGGGATTGCTAGTGGTAGAGTAAGTTGCAAATGTCAGTTTATTGTAGCAGTGTAAATTATATTTAATTTAAAAGACTACGTTTAACTTTTAAAATGAGGGTACTCCAAGTTGAATCCATGGCAAATAAATAAATATAAAATATTTTCCTAAACATGTCAGGGTATCTCATAAAGCAGTATCCTAGAGGAGCTCTGATTTGCTGGATGCTAATAGATATATCGTCCAAAATATCCTAAATTCATGTATATGTAAGAACATTTGAGTTAAATGCAAGTGAATCTTTTTTTGCAGTTTTATCTGTTAAGTGTAAATAGCCAAGAAAAGGATATAATGTAGCATTTTTACTAACAGTTTTACTGTGATAAATTTGTTTCACGATACCTAATAACATCTCCCAGCCAGGCGTGGTGGCTCACACCTGTAATCCTAGCACTTTGGGAGGCCAAGGTGGGTGGATCACGAGTTCAGGAGATCAAGACCATCCTGGCTAACACGGTGAAACCCCATCTCTACTAAAATAAATAAATAAATAAATAAATAAATAAATAAATAAATAAAATTAGCCAGGCATGGTGGCACACGCCTGTAATCCCAGCTACTTGGGAGGCTGTGGCAGGAGAATAGCTTGAACCCGAGAGGCAGAGGTTGCAGTGAGCTGAGATCGCGCCACTGCACTCCAGCCTGGCGACAGAGTGAGACTGTCTCAAAAAAAAAAAAAAAAAAAAAAAAAAAACTCCCAAAACATTGTTCTGATAAACACCATTTTATAAAATGTGTTGGCAACATGTGTTTGGTTAGACTTACTGGAGCCCAAAGTTATGCCTTTTGGTCTGTATAAATTTAATTAACAATAGACTTATTGAGCATCTATTGCATAAACAACAGTGCGTGGGGTGCTGAAGGGCATAAGAAACTGAGTGAAATTATGACTGCCCTTTAGAAGTCCAAAGTCAAAGGGCACCCATACTCAGTGTCATGGAAATGGTATAATAAAGTAGGTGCGAGGTGGGAGAGTCACATCTATTTGGGTGCAGAATTGAAAGTATCTTCCCAAGAGTCAAAAGCATGAAATAATAGAAATCCATTGTGATCACCTTTAATAGTATGCTTACAAAGATTGGTCAAATAAATGTAGTTACATGGCTGGTTAGTATTCTGGTGGATGACACTTTGGAATAGCACCCGTCTCCATTTGCTTCATCTCATTTGCCTCAAGTTAGAATAGGTTCAGCTCATTGACTTTTTTCAGTTCCATAAGTTTATAGTTATATCTGTCACGGCATCATGGTATTGCTTATTCAGTTTTAAATTAAAGAAGAAACAAAAATTGGCTAAATTTTTGAGAGCAGTTAATACATTTTTAATTAACTTACTGTGAAAAGATACAGTTAGTAGCCCAACAGGATATTTTTCAATTGTTTGAACCTGAGGTTTAATATCAGAGGGATAATTTTGGAGCAAATTTTACTTTTTTTATACTTTTTTCATGCTAACTTGAAATATTGAAACTTCAGAATGAGATGGGTCTATTCTCTGCTTAGAGAGAATCATGACAAAATGCAAATGGCCCTTCTCCCTTCAAGTGGGGGCGTGCCAGGCATCAATTAGCCACAGGTAGAGTTCTCTTAACCTGTGGTTTGTTCTCTTCTGCTTTATCCCTATGGCTGGAATGGAGTGAGAGTAGCTAGCTTCTCCACGCAGATGTGATGTGTAGTGCACCCAAACATAAATAAGTCTTATCAAAAGAATTCATTTAAATGGTGCCTGTTTGGTTTTATCAATCCTCACTCAGAAGAACATAATTCTAATAGCCAGATAACAACGTGGACCAGCCTGGTATATAGGCATCTGTAAAGGTACTTCTGCACAATGACTACAAATTTAACTAGGCTTTTTGAAATATGCCAAAAGCATTTATTGGGAGTGATTAAACCCACATCATTTCTTGAGAACAGTTTAAGAGCTCTGAACGTTGATATTTTGTATAAATCTCTTTGTAAATCCAGAAAACAAAGAAATAACACCTTACTTTTTGTGTCTCATGTTTTACTACAAAGCCCCTAGCTTATGAGAGCGTAGAAAATTGAACCTTGGTCATTCTTCCATTTACTCTACTTTGTGAGTAACTTACACAGTGCCAGGATAATCAGGGAACAAAACCTCAGGAGACTTCTCTGTTGTTGGTGACCACAGAGTTACTGCTAGGATGCCATACTGTGTGTCTGGTCCCTTCAAGGCCAACAGCTCTTGAGGCATGAGAACCTAAGCCTTGGCTTCCAATGAAGCTGGATTGTCCTGAATACCCAATTAATCTTGTATTTATAAAGTTCAATACAAAGGGACTGCTCGTTCATTCGAATCTTGGCAAAGCTTATGTTCACTATGATTACCTGAGCTCTTTGCCCACTGTACCCTCCTCCATGGAATCCTTTCTGCCCCTTTCACCCTTCTCCCTGTCTACTAAAACCAGGTTTTAGATGATAAACAACATAGCACTGCAGAATATGTAAATATGCATACAGATATCCTTCACTTAGGATGGGGCTGCATCCCAAAAAGCCCAGGGTAAGTTCAAAACGCTATAAATTGAAAGTGTGTGGCTGACTAGGAGCTATGGCTCACTTCCACTGCCCAGCAAAGCGAGAGAAGTATAGTTTCTACAGAATGCAAATTGCTTTCCTACCATTAAAAACTCAAAAATCGTTAAGTCGAACTGTCATAACTCGGCGACCATCTGTATTTAAGCATAAATTTCCATACATCCAAAAGAAAATTCTGCATTTGAACACGTTTCATTGTATATAAGTGGCAAAGTATTTTCTTTGGCATTTTTTAATACCTTTGAAAGGAGGTTAATGTGTGGAAATACTGAGTTTAACAACATTTCATGAAAGGTTTTTCATTGTATGAATATGCTGTCAATCTAAGTGTGTTTTCAGAATCACTGACAGTATATTATTTTTAAGAACAAGATAAATGCTACAATATTTTGTCAATAAACTTAAGTCTCAAGCTTTTTATTTATTGATGAGAATAATTTTACATGTTCATTTTATGTCATTAAGTCTAAGCTAGAAATATATAAAAGATGTCTGATGATATTTTCATGCGCATGTGCCCTCTACCATCATTACAGAGCTTAAAAAACTTGTAGAAATCTGTTTTTATTTTACATGCTTTTTTTGTTACAACTGTGTCACATCTAAAAGATTCAGACAGCCTCGATCTGGCTGTGCCTTATTCTAAGTCATACAAGAGTCACTATTTTCCTGAGTGATTCTTGGGTCTTTCCTCTACTCAGAACCCTAAATTACATCCCACTCAAATCAGCTTTGAAGCTCTAATGGGGTTTCTAATGATCTTCTCACACCCAATAATCCACCCACAACATGTTCTCTTTTCTTAAATATACCAGCTCACAATCTGCTAAAACCACTTGTTCACTAAAACCTAATGTCTCTGGCCCAGCACGGTGGCTCACACCTCTGTAATCCTAGCACTGTGGGAAGCCGAGGCTGGAGGATCACTTGAGGTCAGGAGTTGGAGACCAGTCTGGCTAACATGGTGAAACCCTGTCTCTGCTAAAAATACAAAAATTAGTAGGGCAGGGTGGTAGGTGACTGCAATTCCAGCTACTTGGGAGGCTGAGGCAGGAGAATCACTTGAACCCAGGAGGCAGAAGTTGCAGTGAGCCATGGGCGACAGAGTGAGACTCTGTCTCAGAGAAAAACAAAAACAAACAAAAAAACCCTATTTTCTCTGATGTGAATATTTATCAACACATAATTTACAGTTTTCATTCCTATTTTCTTAAATTCCTTATTAGTTATAAATTACATACAGAATAAAGTAAGTAAGTTATGAGGAATAATGCTGTAATTTACAGCCATGCTCTTACCACCCAATTTAAGAAATACTACCTTACTATTAACTTTAATGTCTTCTGGGTGTCGTTTCCAAGTCCCACACTTTTTCTACTCCTTTAGAGGTAAACTTCATCCTGAATTCCTTGTTTATCTCTGCCTTCTTTTTTTAGAAAAATGTTTATTTCCATAGGTTTTGGCGAACAGGTGGTATTTGGTTACATAAATTCTTTGGTGGTGATTTGAGAGAATCTGATGCACCCACCACCCTAGCAGTATACACTAAACCCAATTTTTAGTCTTTTACCCTTCACCCCCTCCCACCTTTTCCCCCGAGTCCCCAAAGTCCATTGTATCATTCTTATGCCTTCATATCTCCATAGCTTAGCTCCCACTTATGAGTGAGAACACACGATGTTTGGTTTTCTATTCCTGTGTTGCTTTACTTAGAATAACAGCCTCCAGTTCCATCCAGATTGCTGCAAATGGCAGTAATTTGTTCCTTTTTATGGCTGAGTAGTAGTCCATCATATATATATACACACCATAATTTCTTTATTCACTTGCTGATTGATGGGCCTTTGGGCTCGTTCCATATTTTTGCAATTGTGAATTGTGCTGCTATAAATATGCACGTGCAAGTATCTTTTTCGTATAATGACTTCTTTTCCTCTGGGTAGATACCCAGTAGTGGGGCTGCTGGATCAAATGGTAGTTCTACTTTTAGTTTCTTAAGGAATCACCACACTGTTTTCCATAGGGTTGTACTAGTTTACATTCCCCCACCAGTGTAGAAGTGTTCCCTTTTTACCAGATTCATGCCAACATTCATTATTTTTTGATTTTTTTATTATGGCCATTCTCATGGGGGTAAGGTGGTATAGCACCGTGGTTTTGATTTGCATTTCCCTGATCATTAGTGAAGTTGAGCATTTTTTCAAATGTTTGTTGGTCATTTGTATATCTTCTTTTGAGAATTGTTTATTCATATGCTTAGCCCACTTTTTGATGTGATTATTTGTTTTTTTCTTGCTAATTTGTTTGAGTTCTTTGTAGATTCTCGATTTTAGTCCTTTGACAGATGTATAAATTGTGAAGATTTTCTCCCACTCTGTGGGTTGTCTGTTTACTCTGCTGTTTCTTTTGCTGCACAGAAGCTTTTTTTTCTAGTTTTATCCCATGTATTTTTCTTTTTATACAATATATCATTCAATTTTGCAATTAAATTTACATGAAAGAATTCATACTGTCAGTATTTTTCCAGGGCATTATTTTTGTTCAGTGTTAGGTTTCTGAGGTTATCAATATTTCAATATTTCCTATGGCCCTAATTCATTTTCTCTCTCTCTCTCTGTCTCTGTCATTTCTCTACTGTTGTATAGTATTCCTTTTGGTAAATATGCTACCATTTGTTTATCCTATTAAAAATACAATGGGTATTTGTGTTTTTTCCAGGAATCTTTTCAATTCCAATGTACTACAATGAACAAACTTGTATATACCGTATGGTACACATGTGTAAAAGGTTTTTTAAGTGTGTACTTCCTGGATCACAGAGTTTGAACATTTTAAGTTTATTAGAAACTGATGAATTATTTTTCAAAATAGTTTTTACCATGTACATTTATATCTGCATTCTACACAAATTCTATTTGCTCAGAAATGCCAGCATTTGATATTACCAGGCTTTGTAAAATGTAAATTCAATGGGTTTTATTTGTATCTCATGATGTTTTAACTTGCATTTCCCACTACTAATGAGGTTGAGCATTTTTTCATGTGTTTATTCACCACTCATGTTTTCCCTTGTGTAAAGTGCTTTTACTAGGCTTTTTATTAATTTTCTATTTGGTGTTTTGACTCTCTTTACTATGATATGCATGAGTTTCCTATATATTCAAGAAACAAATCCTTTGTCAAATTTATGGTTCTTTTCACTGTCTTTATGTGGCTTTTTATGACCAGAAATTCTTAATTTTAATGAAGCAGAATTTATCAATTTTGTATTTTAAGGTTAGCGATTTTTTATGTCTGGTTTAAGATTATCCTCCCATATTCTTAGCTCAAAAAGATATTCTATTTTATTGCTTTCTAAACATTTTATATTTTTTCCTTTCATATTTAGGCAATAGTAATTGATTTTTTTGGTATGGTGTAGGTAGATGTTCAATTTCATATTTGTCCTTGTGGATAACCAATCATTCCATCATTATTTATTTAAGAATCAGTCTTTCCCTCACTGATCTGCTATGTCGGCTCCATGTGTTTATATATGTCAATTGTATGCATGTACAGTTTTGTCATATATACGTGTGTGTATTTCATGTTCATTGGTCCCTTTCCTATCTCTCTACCATTACTACAGCCTTAATTACCACAGCTTTAAAATAAATATTGATAAGGCAACTTTACCAACTTCATACCTTTTTTCCAAGTGTATCATGGCTATGTTTGGCCTTTGTTCTATTGTACAAATTCAGAATCAGCTTGTCAAGCTTCAGGCATATACATAAAAAATATTGGGGATTTTATTGGAATTACATGGAATCCATAATTATCTTGAAGATAACTGACATATTTATTATATTGAGTCTTCTAATTTTTCTGTTTATATAAGGTAACTGTAAAATTTTTCAATACAGTTTTATAATTTTTTTCATTAAGGTCTTTCAAGTGTTGTAATAGATTACCCCTTAATACTTTGTCTTTTATAGTATGTAAATAATATACTTTAGACTGTATTTTATACATATGATTGTTGTATAGAGATATACAATTGAATTTTGTATACTGGCTTTGCATTCAATAAACTTATTAAACTCTCTTATTAATTGTAATAATCTGTGGATGCTTTACAATTTTTTACATGAACCCACATATCATCAGCAATTAGTGACAGTTTTATTTCTTCTCTCTCATTTCTAAAATTGCTTTCCTGTCTTACTGCACTGACTAGGACATCTAGTACAATATTATATAAAGTTTAATATAGTGGGTGTCCTTTTAAATTATCTGATCTTAAAGCAAGTGTGCCCAATGTCTCACTAGACATCATTTCTTGAAGCATTAGGTATAATGTTTAATATAGATTTTTGTAAATCTTCTTTATTAAGTAAGGAATTTTTCTTCTCTTCCTAGTTGCTAAGGCTTTTGTCACATATTTGTCACCTATGTTGAATCAGATGATTTTATGTCTCACATTCTTTAACCTGGGCATAGTGACCTGTGCCCGCTGAACCACAAGGATGTAAAAACTAAAACTCATGTTCTGGCAGCAACAAGTATCTTTAAGGAACAAGCCAGGTGCAGTGTTCTTTTTCCATTTGATTTCCTGTTTCCACTCAGGTGGAATGTTCTTCAAATCCCTTACTTTCTTGCTAGTTTTATGTTGCATTCTTTAAAAGGATACATTTATATTTTATCCAGAATTTTTGGTTGTTTTCAGTGGTGGATAGCTCAGTGTATTTAGTCCACTGTGCAAGAAATAGAAGTTTTCCCTTTCCTTTCTGTCAAAATAATATCCCTCATTTCTTGAAGCACATCTCCTTTAGATTTCCCTTTCTATCATCATTTGGAAATTTTAACTTTGTTCAATCTAGTTATTTATATTACTTTCCAAACCTTCTCCTCCCAACTTTCCAATTTCTTAACAGTTTTACATATTTCTTTAAGATTGAGGTTGGTCAGTTGTATGCATAGACTGTTTTGTCACATACTTAAACCTCTTTTTGTGTATCCCAGAGACAATAATATTTTCAGTTTATGAAGGCAAAGTATGTGCTCTCTTCTCATTTTGACAACCTTGGAATTCAATAACTACATATTCCAGTTGCTGAGTGCATTTTGTTGCTCCTTTAGTAAACCTGGTATGATTTATGATCAAATCCTTCTAGCTTCCTTTTCTATATAAATGGAAAATATATCATAGGAAATTTAATAAGTCCTCCTATGAACAGAACTCTATTTCATACAAATGTTTATGCATACTGAAAAATTCTTAGCGAAAAATGAAAATCAGAAGAACATTTCATTCTCTTTTTGTTTCATGAAGCATTTCTGGCCAGTCACAGCGGCTCACACCTATAATCCCAACACTTCGGGAGGCTGAGGCAGGAGAATTGCTTGAGGCCAGAAGTTTGAGACAGCCTGGGCCTCCTAGCCAGACCTCATTTCTACAGAAAATTTTAAAAATTAGCCAGGCATAGTGGCACATGCCTGTAGTCCTAGCTACTTCAGAGGCAGAGGAAGGAGGATTGTTTGAGACCAGGAGTTCAAGGTTACAGTGAGCAACGATTTCCCCACTGCACTCCAGCCTGGGCGACAGAGCAAAACCCTGTCTTTTAGGGAAAAAAGAAAAGCATTTTTGATTCTCCTCACTTTGCTCAACATTTTGATTGTTTATAGTACTCATCGTTTTCTAATATGGTATATAGTTTTTAATTATTATGTTTGTTTCTCACTGTCTTCCCCCAGTAAAATGTAAGTTCCACAAGGGCAGAGATATAATCTGTTTTGTGCATGACATATCCCAAACAGTGCCTGACATAGAGTAAATGCTCAATAAACATATGTTGAATGAATCAATGGTGTACAATATTTGCATAAACAAATAGTAAAAAGAAAAATAAAAGTTCATGATTTACTTTTCTCAGATGGTTTCGTATTTTCTTAATCAGTACTGTTTTATTTTATGCTTTCAGATATCAACATGGCAGGAGAGCCCAAACCATACAGACCAAAACCTGGAAACAAGAGGCCCCTTTCTGCACTTTACAGGTAAGTAGATAAGCACTGTTTTACTCTATATATTAGTGAAATTTTCTTGCAGCTTTATAAGGCAATATAACTTGTAAGGCATCCACTATTTAAAATAATAATCCTTATTGGAATAAAGTACAACAAATGTTGTTGGTCAACATATAAATATATCTTGCTGCATTGGCAAGGATCTCAATGCCTAACCTTCTCATATCTGCTTATACAACCCTTCTACGAGATACTTATCTAATAAAAATCACTAATGACTCTACCTGACAAGTAGGTGGAAAGGCCAATGTTGGTTAACTTTTTTTATTTTATTTTATTTTTTGAGATGGAGTCTCTCTCTGTTGCCCAGGCTGGAGTGCAGTGGCACAATCTCAGCTCATTGCAACTTCTGCCTCCCAGGTTCAAGCGATTCTCCTGCCTCAGCCTCCCGAGAAGCTGGGATTGCAGGTGCCCACCACCACACCCAGCTATCATTATTATTATTATTTTTAGTAGAGACACGGTTTCACCATGTTGGCCAGGTTGATCTCGAACTTCTGACCTCAGGTGATCTGCCTGTCTCAGCCTCCCAAAGTGCTGGGATTACAGGCATGAGCCACCACGCCCAGCCCTTGGTTGACTATTAACTGCATGCCATGTTCTTTAGCTATTTTACATATGTTGTTTAATTTAATTTTCACAAGACTCTTGCAATGTAGATATTCCTGTTCTCATAATGCAGCTCAGGAACCTGAGATGCAGTTTCTTAGTGATTTTTTCAAGGTCACACCACTGGTTAACAATGGCACCAATACTCAAACTCATGCCCTCTGTACCTTAAATTCCACTCAGTCAGTCAGCCTTCTTTATTACAAAGTACATGTTTCTCTCATGACCATTTTTCCCAGACAACAAATATAGTCCTTCTCTTCTCCAGAGAGACAGATCCAATTCCTTTAACCTTTCCTGAAGTGCTTGGGTCTGAGTCACTTAACACTCTGGTCTTTCCCCTCTACGTGCCCCAATTTGTCAGTGTCTATATCTATGCGGAGAATCCAGGTGAAGAGATTTAGCACCTTTGTTGTTCTGTATATACTTCTATTATGTTAAGTAGAATTGAGTTGATTTTGGGGAAGAGTACAAGAGTAAACTTATATAACTTTCAGTTCTTTAAGAACAGCCACTTCTGAAAAAATTATGTTCTGCTGTTAAACCATATGTCCCACTTCATGTGCTTTTGCCATTAGTTTTTGTACTGTAAGTGCTGACTTTGTGTCTATTGCTGTTTAATTCTCTTTTGTTAGATATAGCCAATTGTTCCAGGCTATTGAGATCTCCTGTCATCCTATTTATTTGGTTTTCTCCCAGATACATATCATCAGTCCATCAGTATCTGCATCTGAAGAGTTAACATAAAAGTGTTGAGCAAGGCTTCCTTTTTCTCTGATATCATTTGGATAAAGGAGAATTAAGTTATATGTGTTAAAATTGATTATTTTCTGATTTAGTATAGTAAGAAGAGTGCTCAAAAATAGCCTGGAGCACTTTCCTTGTTTTTGTTCTCTGAAAACTAGCATATCTTCTTTTCAGCCACTTATAGCCTCATTTTTTGAACTCTAAGATGAGGGTCAGAACTAGATCACTTCTGAGGTCCTAGTCATGCCTAGTACCCCAGGGCTCTCTACTGTATGGTATTCAGAGATTTTTAAAGCTATACTGAAAAATACATCATAATTTCTCTTATTTTGGTTGTTTTTGTTTTAATAAAACATTTTCTTAAAAATGGAAAGCAATAGAGTATAACAAATGTTGATAGTGGGTCATGGGGTAATATTGACATTAAAGAGCAGAGATGATGTTATCAACAAGAAGCAAATGACACATTCTGTACCTTGTTTGAGGTAAAGGAGATGATTTATAAAACCGAGAAATTTTTATCAGATTCATTTGTAAATGTATACATTAGAGCTGCAGCTAATGCAGAACATTTGAAAAGTCTTATTTTCAATTACTGCTAAAACAAGCTGCCAATGGCTTTTTTTTATCATCAAAGAGTTGCTACTGTCTGTGCAATGATGTTAATTTTCATATTTTCTCTTTTCTTGGATTGTTTTGATTTTCTTATGAGAATGGAAGCTCATGACATGAATGTCATTTTCACTATTATTTCTCTATTACTGTTATATTCAATTGTGTTCAAAAGAACTAGAAGCAGAATTTCATTTAAATATGCTATATTGCATACAAGCCACATTAGTGAGAAAGTGCTTATTTATCCTCCTTTTATCTGTTTACACAAATTAAGGCTGTACACTGAAATTGCAAAACAGTAATAAAGGGGATACAAAAACGTGAATGTATAGCTGAGGAAGCCCTTTTATACACATTTTCTCATTCTCACGTAAGCTTAAGAAAAAAATTACCTTAATTTTATGTGGACAAACTATGCTTTCATAGTCATTCACCTGTTCATCAGATAACTCTACAAAATTGGTAGTATATACTATGCTGTATAAATGAGAAACCTGAGTTTCCAAGACAATAAAGGGTTTGTTCAAGACAAGATCACAGGATTAGGAAATGTGCTCGGTTTTCAGCCTTCACGTCTAGTATTCTCACCACTAGATTATAGCTCCCTGTATTTAGTCACTTGCTACCATCTAAACAACACAGATAGGGAAAGTAGAGATTTTCTGAGCATCAAACCAATCATCAATACTATTACTGTCCATGAATACCATGCCAGCAAGTGGCAGAGGAAATACTATACAATAAACACTACATAAGAAAAAACAGATATACCACCTATCTGTGTGATCATAGGGCACAGGTTTTAAGCTTCAAGTAAGTAAGTTCTTTTTGTAACATAGTAGTTGTATAATTTTCCTGAGAGGATAGAGTTGCATAAATGAGGTAAAAGCATTTAGTTCAATGTAGAGAATATGGTGGCGGCTTGGAAAAGGGATGGTTTTTGCTTTCCTGTTCTTTGCATCTCTGAGTCTGTGTTTTGTTTTGTTTTGTTTTATTTTGCTTTTGAGACAGAGTCTCAATCGGTCGCTCAGGCTGGAGTGCAGTGTCGTGATCTCAGCTCAGTGCAAGCTCCGCCTTCCAGGTTCATGCCATACCCCTGCCTCAGCCTCCCGAGTAGCTGGGACTACAGGTGCCGGCCACCACACCTGGCTAATTTTTTGTATTTTTAGTAGAGGCAGCATTTCACCGTGTTAGCCAGGATAGTCTCGATCTCCTGACCTCGTGATCCGCCCACTTCGGCCTCCCAAAGCGCTGGGATTACAGGCGTGAGCCACCGCACCCGGCTTCTGAGTCTGTTTTCTTATCTGTAAAATGCGAGAGGGGGACTCTTTTTACTCGGTCATTCATTCATTCATTTATACAAGATATATTTAGTGTGTATCTACTATGGTCTAGGGACTGTAATAGTGCTTTTCTAGGAAACTAGCATAGAAAATGGCAAGAACAGGGTGAAGAGAGAGCATAACGTAATGAAAGTAAGTTATTTGTATGAAGGTAGTCTCTGATTTACCTTCCTGCTCTAAACTGCTATGTCTCTATAACTATTCTATTTGGACCACTAAGTGAACTGCCGCCAGACTTTCTTCTTCACGTACATCCACTTTATCTCCAATACCAATCACAAAGTGGTATTCACATGAAATATCCACTGAGGCATAACTTTGATTTGTTTCTTCTTTTAATAGGATTTTCAACTCAGCCAAACAACCTTCAATAAGGCCTTATTATGTGCTAAGTAAACATGGTATACATAGAAAATAAAACAGTGAGACTTCAAAAAGCTTACAGTCTTATGCATAAGTTAGATGCACAGATGAATAAAGACAACTGAGAAGTATGCATACACTTCTGTAAGAGAATAAATGAGGAAGTTACTGATTCTGCCTAGGGAGCAGGGAGTAAAAACATCTGGAAAGTTAAAGGAAGAAGACAACACTTGAGCTGACTTTTGAAGGGAAAGAGAGAGGGAAGGGCATCTCATAGTAGGAGCTAGGATAGTCTACCTTGTGGGGAATGGAAAACTGGGGCATTATGGTGCCCAGGCTGTGAATATATCTATATATCAGGTTAAGGAGAGCTGACTTTTATTCTGTAGGCAACAAGGAACCACTTAAACATGGTGACTGATCGGAAATGGGGTGTGAGGAGAGAGAGTCACAAATATGTCCAGGGTTTTCTAGTTCAGGCTACTGAGGGAATGATCACATGAGCTGAATAGAAGAAATAGGAAACACATGATAAGCAATGGCAGGCTCAGGTGTAAGATCGAGGAAAGGGAGCAAAAAGGAATTATTTCAGTCTTGGACATGAATTCATAAAGACAGACAATTCATTAAAATAGCACTTGCAATAAAAATGTCTCCCATTAGAGTCTATTTGTAAATGAAACATAATTAATCATTTGTGAACATTTCATAAATATTGGACCTGGCCCTAATGGTGAATAGCTAATCCATTCTCTAGGGAAAACATTGTAACTTTTAATAAATTGCTGCTTCAAATACGTTATGTACATTACACAATATCTGTGGCACTCTAAAATAATAATTCTCCCCCAGGAAGTGAGTTTTCCAGCATGCCAACTTTCAATTAATGCTCAATAATTGCTAAATGAGAATAATTGTATGATGGTTTTACTTCTATTTGTAAAGTAGACAGACCTTTCCTCTTTGATGGAAAGCTAACAAAAAATATCAGAGAACAAAGACACTATTTATAAGAGATGAACAACAATGGATTTTTTTTCACCTAGAGGTGACTCCCTTCTACTTGCAGGGAACTCAACTCAGTAAGACATGTAGTATATATAGTTTCATCCCATTGATTCTGTAAAAATCAATCATCTGGTACTATTGCCAAATATTGCTTTTGGCTATCATACAAATGCCTCTTGTAGCAACCTTCCCATCCCACCCAGATGACCATGAGAATCAAGATTGTCACAAGTCATTTCAAGAGTCTTTAAGATTGTCAGAAGATAACCTACAGTTACAGCCACCATTTTAAGATCATCACAATTGGTGGTGGTCACCATGAATGTGGGTTATATTACAGTAACTCCAATGATAAAAAATAACTTTCAGAGCACAGACCAAGTAAGGTGACTGCAGCAAAATATCTCCGGTGATTCATTCACCACTGGACCTACGTGAGTTTTGTTTTCTTCCTTCATGGTGGCTCTAGCACATCATGGGAAAAGGGACCCTTGAATCACCTAAAATGTTCCCTAGAACCTTGAAAGTAGAAATGAAAGTAATGTAAGCTAATTTCAGCTAATGCTAAATAGCAAAAATCAGTATGAAGGAAAAACATCCTGGTCATCTTCACTTCATTGACTTATACTGTTTGCTGAGAAATGTTTACCAATTAGCTATTGATCATTTTATTCATTTTCTGTCTCCTTTTATAACATCAAGGATAACACACATTCCCTTTCAGAAGCTTAATATTTCCATTATCATTATCTCCCTTTGCACTGGCAAAGGCTTCCTTCCATTTCACCTACCCAGCCAGATGGTTCCACTCAAACTACAGTGTGAGGAGGAGAGGGAAATATTTTCTCCTACCCGCCATATTAATACATCCTGTCCTTCTGAAACTGACACAAGCCCAAACACTGACCTGCCTCCCTGGTTTACTTTGAATGTATGTTATTGCTTAGGTCTACATAGCAATTGCAGTCTCTTTCTGCTCAGGATCCTATCTTTCCTGTGCAACCAAATTACTAATGTATGGTTATCAAGATCCACAAGAGAAAATACCAAAAACGGTGTATATTTCTAAAACTCAAACCTGAATATCCATACATCTGGGTAATTGAGGGAGAGTTCTCTAATTCAGAAATCTCCACAAATGAATGTTGAAATGCTTTTGTTCTAGAAAAGGGGTCAAACATTCACTTTATTGATTGTTTAAATTTGTGCAAATGTTTTATGTGTGCTTGTTCAGTTTGCTTGGTGGGAAAAATGTTAGACATACCTCCTAAAATAACCTGAGCATTATCAGTGCTTTGAATTTGATTTTTTTGTTCCTCAGCTTTTTGGGCTGCATAAAGGAAGATATAAAATTTCCTAAAAGGTAATGTATTTAAGGAGCCTGCAACTATTAGAGATACTCTACAAATTTTAGTTATCCTCATCATTATGATTATTCAAAGAAAACATCTATGATAAAGTATTTTAGGAGGTTTTTCTTGTTTTTTGTTTGTTTGTTTGTTTTTTAAGACAGGGTCTCGCTTCATCACCCAGGCTGGAGAACAGTGGGCGTGATCTCAGCTCACTGCAACCTCCGCCTCCCAGGTTCGAGTGATCTTCCCACCTCAGTCTCCTGAGTAGCTGGGACTACAGGTGTGTGCCACCATACCTGTCTAATTCTTTTTTGTATTTTTAGTAGAGACAGGATTTCACCATGTTGCCCAGGCTGGTCTCAAACTCCCAAGCTTAAGCAATCTGCCCGCCTCAGCCTCCCAAAGTGCTGGGATTACAGGTGTGAGCCACTGCTTCCAGCTTTGAAAGGTTATTTTATATGTTTTTAGCTATGATGATGTTGCTAAATCTCACACAGTCAACTAAACAGGTTAATGTTTTCTATAACTTCTTTAAAAATAAAATTTTTTAAAAGATTATTTTACTTATAGTATGTTCCTCACATTTTAACACTAAGCAAATATAACTTATAGACCTTTTATTTAAAATGTTCAAAAAAGTGCTGACACAATACCCATTAAATAGTTCTGCTGCGGGCAATTCTCTCTGCTAGGCTAAAGAATGGCCTATTTGCAGTTTTCTGTTATGTTTTTAATGCATGAATATCCATTAATATCTTCTGGCATATAGAAAGAATAGAGTAGAGGTAGAGGGAGAACTTAATGCAGAGAATCCATCTCTAAGACCTTTGTGGTTTATGTTGCTAGTCTTCAGGTTATTTGAAAGACTACATTACTATTTGTTTGGTTTGACATAGTTTATGATAAAAATCAAAGGAAGTAAAACCATGCAATCAATTTTAAAAGGAGAAAAGTAGCAAGAGTCAATAATTCAGTGGGAATTGAGGGAGGTGGGCAGGTAGGATCAAGCAAATCAAGCAAAAATTTAATTATACTAATAAAACTTATGCAGTCACAAAGTATTACATGAGCACAACAAACTTAGCCATGTGATTCATGGTAGTCAAGGCGAAAACAGGAGCAAAATAATCTATGTAACCATGTAGTAAAAGAAAATACTTGAATATGTGTGAGAAGAAACTATGTTTTCCTAACTCTGTTTTCTGATGTAAACTTATTATATAGGCCTTCATAGGAAGTCATCTAAACAGCATAGCAGGTACCACCTTGAGTAGCATTTAGACAATACGTGCATGCTGTGCACACGCGCGCACACACACACACACACACACACACACACACAGGTTTTAAAGCTGATGCCATTTTTCTTATGAACTCAATAAAAGAATCACACGATATTCCTTTCCTTTCTGCTTCTCCCAAGGCAGTTTACTATACTGTGACAAATTTATCATCCTATAAAATTCTAGGAGTAGTGTTCCATGTAGCTAGATCTACAGACTAGGCCTTCAAATTACCACACAGCTGCATACTTGGAGGAGATAGAAAGGAAAAGTGGGCTGACCCCTTGCTTGGCTTATCCACTCAGCTTCTAAGTCTAGAAGAAAAAGACAATGCTTGAATGTCTAGAACCTGTAACAGTGACCACTTGAGCTGCTACTTAAGACTCCTCTTTCTTTGAGGTAGGGAGAAGTGGAAAAGGAATAGTAAACCAAGCATGGGATAGAAAGGGCTGAAATTTCACATCATTCTTACAGTTGGCAGGTGCCAATGAAGACAGGCAACTGATTCTTTCTAACTGTTGGTTTTACTACACCTTGGAAACTGTAGCCTGTCATGAAATTGTTGCTTTCTTTTATATATAAAAGCATGGTTCTGTGCTGAAGCTAAGATCTCTTCATCAGCAGGACTCACATTATGATCTTTTATGCTATATTCTCCTGGCATCTCACTGTGGGGTATTGCGGTTAGAGCACCAACAACAGCGCTAGTCCCTACTGGAGCTTAGCAGGAACGTGTGCATCTCATATGCTAGGTCATTGCGCAAGTGCTCCCTGCCTGGGATGAAGATGCTTTGTGGGTTTTATCTTGCAAAGGGCAATGCCCTTGCTTGCTTGTAAGTTGAAGTATCTTCATTGTCAGTGTTGATTTCATTTGTTTTCATTATTTTATGGGTATTGTTCATTGTCTTTCTATCCAGTGACCTGTTTCTTGTTTTAGGACAGTCCTTAGTAGAGAATGTAGGGTCTTGAGCGTCCAACCTATGATAAATTTGTAAGTCCATTGTTTGTTTTAATTTTGAAGTGTTATCTCATTCCCTTTGTGCTCACCATATCACCTTCTCCTTCTCAATCTATCCCTGTATTCAAGATTCCAGGATATGTTTTTCCTTCCATATTACTGTATGGAGGGTAGCATGAAAGAAATTGAAATGTCTCTAAAGATTTATCTCTAAATGAATCAAATTAAAGACTAAAAATTTTTAATGTTCCAGTGTTACTCTCTCATCATACTGTTGGGGAAATGTAATTAAAACAAGTATTTTCCCAAGTCAGAAATCCTCTCCACAAAGCTAATAGAGAAAGAAAAAGCTTGTATTATCGAATAAACATTAAGCCAAAATGTGGTGCACATCACAGGCAACCTAAGAGACTGAAGACCGAAAGAGATCTTACCTTTTTATGTAGCTAAACACATGCAACCTATTACATACATATTTTCAATATAATCAACAAGTAGTCCTCAAGTAAGAGGATTGACAGCACCATTTGTCATAGATCCTTCATTCTAACTGTTTCTGGTAATTGGGGTGACCATTTATTTATGTTAGGTAATTGACTTTATGCAAAAGAAAAACAAACTTTTCATATTCTCATGAAAGGAGGTAGTTCTGCAATTTGGAATAAGCCTCCTGCCCCCACTCTGCCTCCCCAGGTCCTTGAGAAAGACATTCCCAGGTCACAAAGCTGACAAAATGCCAATCTAGTCTTCAAGTGGATTCATATGTATTTAAAAAAGAAGATGAAGTAATTGCAATTCACAGTTTTCTAAAGTAAATCCCCAAATCAAAAGGAAGGGAGGGAAATCTCTTTCTTTATTTTCAATAGGGAGAATTAAGCCACCTGTTTTTAATTTGTATTTGTCCTTGGAAGCACAAGGAAGAAAAATCAAGGCAGAAAAAGTGAGCAACCAGCCAGGAAGTCTAAAAGCTAGGGCTCAGGTTCAGGTTTCCTGCCTCCAACTCTGAAATCATTCTGTGTTTTTCTTCTAATTTTAGGTTTTTAGGGTTTTGTCTCATTTCTTTTTAAACAATAGTACAATTGGCAGTGCCATTTAAGGACTGACTACTGAAGATTGATGGAAAGTTCCTCTTTTTTCACGCATTCTCTGGCAGTTAGAACCCTGTGCTCCACCTCCTGGTTGCTCCTCTAAAGCCCCTGCAGCCACATCAGGGCTTCTTCTATAACACAGTCTTCACACATGCAGAGATGCTTTAGCAGCAGACGGACCGTGTAACTTCTAACAATGAAATAAATGGTAATAAACAATTTGACAATGTGTAGAAGAATGTTTGAGCCCATATAAAATGAGGAGAGGAGAGAAGAAGAAATGAATATTAACAGTGTAGATGGACGTGATTAATGAGAAACCAAACAGCCCTTTTTCCTCGGTCATCTAGTCTCACTCTTACAATGTGAATGATTTTTTAAAGACATATAAAATCATTTACAAAATTGGCAAATTCTATTACCTTTGTAAAAATGTATTTTTCCCTAGTCCATTAAAGTTTGAAAATACTTATTACAAATCATAAGCTAGAAGACTTTAGGTTATATAAATATTTTTAATGTTAATTATGAACAAGTTCTGCACGGTAGAAAAGTGGCTTATAGGTTTTTTAAGTGTTGGTTGGTTTTAATTATATTAATTAGAAAATAATCTACAATTTCCTTATAAAACTTACATAAACTGTTTGGTGTCTTTGTGAGAGTAATTCTTCTGATGGAATTATAAGTACTAGAAGTGAAGCTAGATAGGCCTCCTTTTTCCATGTTTAGACAGAAGGCAAAAGGGAACACCACAAAGTCTCACTAGATTATCAGTTGGCTATGCATGATGAATGCTTCACACGAAAATTCATTATTTTAGAAGTTAATTAACTGTTAAACTTTCTAAATTTCTTTCTAGTGGAATTATAACATGATTGATAATTTATTTTTATTGGTATTTCCAAATATCACAATACTTAGGGATCTTCTTCCAACTCTGAGAGTTGACATCTATTTTGCTTATGTTTATTGTATGAAGGAATCAAAAGACAAGGGGCTTGTTTGAAATAAGCGTATTACATTGGAGCTGAAACTGAGATGCCACATAGTTTATGTAGAGTTTGGGGGTGCTTTTTGTTTTTTATAATTTTAACTTTTGTTTTAGATGTAGGGGGTACCTGAGCAGGTCTGTTACCTGGGTATATTGCATGATGATGAGAGTTTATGTTTTAATATTTGTTTGACATTATCTCCTCTTCCCACTCAGTCCTGAAGATTTCAGTGTTCATTAGAAGCACTGGACTGGAAGTCAGGAAACCTGCAACTAAGTTGTGTATCTGCTACTACCTGCCCAAACTAATTAAGTGATTATAAAAAAAAATCAACCTCTTTAAGCCCCATTTTCTCATAGTAAAATGAAGGAGTTGAATTAAAACACCTCTTACTTTATTTCCATTTCTAACATTCTGGGATTCTGCTGTTTACTTCCCAATCCAGAGACTAAAGTCAGACATACATGCTTTATTGTTAAGTTAATACCTTTTTTCCTTCAAACTCGGTGCAGTGTCTTAAAGTATTCATGTCTTTTGACTAATTCCATCCTTTGAAGTATATCTAAGGAGATAATTTTAAATATTTTTAAAAACATTTTTAAAAAATTAAATTTTTCCAAGATGTTCTTTGCAGTTTTATTTATAATAGTGAGTAATTTATTTATAATAGTGAGTAATCTGATCCAACCAAAATATTAAGCAGTAATGGGTATGGTGCACCTATTAGATGAAATGTTCACAAAGTGTTAATAATGACATGAAAAAACTTAGCATTTGATTAGAGAAAAAAACATTTTAAGTTCTGGGATACATGTACAGGACGTGCAGGTTTGTTACATAGGTAAATGTGTGCCATGGTAGTTTGCTGCACCTATCAACCCATCACCTAGGTATTAAGCCCAGCATGCATTACCTATTTATTCTGATGCTCTCCCTCTCCCCACCTCACCGCCCATAGGCCCGAGTGTGTTTTGTTCCCCACCTGTATCCATGTGTTCTCATTGTTCAGCTCCCACTTGTAAGTGAGAACATGTGGTATTTGGTTTTCTGTTCCTGTGTTAGTTTGCTGAGGATAATGACTTCTAGCTCCATCCATGTCCCTGCAAAGGATATGATCTCATTTTTTTATGGCAGCATAGTATTCCACAGTATACGTATACCACATTTCTTTTATCTAGTCTATCATTAATGGGCATTTGGTTTGATTCCATGTATTTGCTATTGTGAATGGTGCTGCAATGAACATATGTGTGCATGTATCCTTATAATAGAACGATTTCTATTCCTTTGGGTATATACCTAGTAATGGGGTTGCTGGGTCAAATAGTATTTCTGGTTCCAGGTCTTTGAGGAATCGCCACACTGTCTTCCATGATGTTTGAACTAATTTACATTCCCACCAACAGTGTAAAAGAGTTCTTATTTCTCCACAGCCTCGCCAGCATCTGTTGTTTCTTGTTTTTTTAATAACTGCCATTCTGACTGGCATGAGATGATATCTCATTGTGGTTTTGATTTGCATTTCTCTAATGACCAGTGATGATGAGCTTTATTCCATGTGTTCGCTGGCTGCATAAATGTCTTCTTTTGAGAAGTGTCTGTTCATGTCCTTTACCTACTTTTTAATAGAGTTGTTTGTTTTTTTCTTGTAAATTTGTTTAAGTTCCTTGTAGATTCTAGATATTAGACCTTTGTCAGATGGTTAGATTGCAAAAATTTTCTCCCATTCTGTAAGTTGTCTGTTCACTCTGATAATAGTTGCTTTTGCTGTGCAGAAAATCTTTAGTTTTATGAGAACCCATTTGTCAATTTTGGCTTTTGCTGTGATTGCTTTTGGTTAAAAGGAATTATATAAACATCATGACCAAAACTACTTAACAAATAAAATATATGCAGAGAAAAAAATAGAGCAAAATATTAACTGTAATTTTCTTTGTATGGTGGGAATATAGATAAATTTTTCTTTAAGCTTTTTTAAAAATTATACTTCAAGTTCTGTGATACATGTGCAGAACATGCAGGTTTGTTACATAGGTATACACATGCTATGGTGGTTTGCTGCACCCATCAACCCGTCATCTACATTAGGTATTTCTCCTAATGCAATCCCTCCCCTAGCCCCCCACCCCCAAACAGACCCCGGCGTGTGATGTTCCCCTCTCTGTGTCCATGTGTTCTCATTGTCCAACTCCCACTTATGAGTGAGAACATGCGGTGTTTGGTTTTCTGTTCCTGTGTTAGTTTGATGAGAATGATGGTTTCCAGCTTCATCCATGTCCCTGCAAAGGACATGAACTCATCTTTTTTATGGCTGCATAGTATTCCATTGTGTATATGTGCCACATTATCTTTGTCCAGTATTACTGGATTCAGTATTACTGAAGGGCATTTGGGTTGGTTCCAAGTCTTTGCTATTGTGAACAGTGCTGCAGTAAACATACATGCGCATGTGTCTTTATAGTAGAATGATTTATAATCCTTTGGGTATATCCCCAGTAATGGGATTGCTGAGTCAAATGATATTTCTGGTTCTAGATCCTTGAGGAATTGCCACACTGTCTTCCACAATGGTTGAACTAATTTACACTCCCACCAACAGTGTAAAAGTGTTTCTATTTCTCCACATCCTCTCCAGTATCTGTTGTTTCCTGACATTTTAATGATCGCCATTCTAACTGGTGTGAGATGGTGTCTCATTGTGGTTTTGATTTGCATTTCTCTAATGACCAGTGATGGTGAGCTTTGTTTCATATGTCTGTTGGCCACATAAATGTCTTCTTTTGAGAAGTGTCTGTTCATATCCTTTGCCCACTTTTTGATGGGGTTGTTTTTTTCTTGTAAATTTGTTTAAGTTCTTTGTAGATTCTGGATATTAGCCCATTGTCAGATGAGTAGATTGCAAAAATTTTCCCCCATTCTGTAGGTTGCCTGTTACCTCTGATGATAGTTTCTTTAGCTGTGCAGAAGCTCTTTAGTTTAGTTAGATCCCATTTGTTAATGTTGGCTTTTGTTGCCATTGCTTTTGGTGTTTTAATCATGCAGTCTTTGCCCATGTCTATGTCCTGAATGGTATTGCCTAGTTTTTCTCCTAGGGTTTTTATGGTTTTAGGTCTTATGTTTAAGTCTTTAATCCATCTTGAGTCAGTTTTTGTATAAGGTGTAAGGAAGGGGTCCAAAACAGCATGGTACTGGTACCAAAACAGATATATAGGCCAATGGAACAGAACAGATGTCTACAACCATATGATCTTTGACAAACCTGACAAAAACAAGCCATCGGGAAAGGATTCCCTATTTAATAAATGACGTCGAGAAAACTGGCTACCCATATGCAGATAATATTTTTCTTATAACTTTAATACATAATGCAATTTTTCTTTAAAGAGAATTTTATAACCAAAAAATGATGTATTTTAAAATTAGACATTTTCAGTGAAAAATGACAAACACCATACAAATGACTCATGCAGGCAATAGTGAAGGTTTTGGGAGGTGGGGCTGGTGTTAAGCAAAGCCAGTGAAACACATACAGCACTTAATCTTTAGTACTAGACTGCTTTAGTCTCCATGGTTATTAGAAAAGTTAATTTTCTAAAAGGGCAACTTCATTAACATTAGTCTCACAGTTCAGCGCAGTCCAGTGACCCTGTGTGGAGGCATAGTTCCTACTAGAGCTAACTGCAGGAAGTGGCCTATCAGTCAGCCCAGGCCAGGACAGAATGCCGAGTTCAGTATGCAGAGCGAAGGGCAAGGAGCAGGATATGGGGGCCAGGAGAGCAGCTGAAGTCGTCTAATCTTCAAAAAGAAAAAAGTCAAAATATCTGAGCCTTTAAGTGGTGCAGTGGAATGAGCAATCAGGAATGTGTGCTAAAGGCAGTTCTTATGACTGCAGATTAGTGAGCAGGTAGGAAGACAATTGTGCCTGCCTAATAATAACTGCCCCCTGGTATTTAAAGCTGTAATTCAGCTGCTTTGCTGCTGCTTTGAAAGGACATAGCGTGTGTGAGCTAAAAGAGTAACGGAATAAAGTCCAGGTTGTAGCCTTAGTATGCAGAGCGTGGGACATGACAGAAAAACAGGAGACACATGATGTATTCCTAACTCAGAGAATCTATCATCAATGCAGAGCAACAAATGGTAATGAGTCTGAGTTCAGTAAATGTATCAGAATGTACTTTTTAAGAATGTGATACACCAACCAATAGCTGAGTTTGAAAAGGAAACAGAAGATGACCCACAAATTACAGATAATCAAGAGTGAAAAAGCATTTTGAGTTGAATTACTTAGCAATTGTTAAAGGTAGTTTAAATGCTATCTTACTAAAACTATCTACAACATCAGTGGCAAAGACACTTATGATACTGTGAGAATTCAGGAAGAATTTAAATGGAATTGTAACATAATTTTATGATTTGTTGAAGATTATCTTTTTCTCATTTTTTTCCTTACTCTTTGTTACTCCAACTCAATATAGCAAATCTCATGTTTAGAGGATCGAAAAAAAAACATTATATGATCTCATTGAAAATATGGGCTGGGTGCGGTGGTTCACACCTATAATCCCAGTACTTCGGGAGGCTAAAGCAGGCAGATTACTTGAGCCCAGGAGTTCGAGACCAGCTTGGGCAACATGGTGAAACCCCATCTTTACAAAAAATACAAAAATTAGTCGGGTGTGGTCATGTACACTTGTAGTCCCAGCTACTCAGAAGGCTGAGGTGGGAGGATCACTTGAGCCTACTTGCAGTTTGAAGCTCCATGAGCTGTAATCACTCCAGCCAGAGCCACAGAGTGAGACCCTGTTTCAAAAAAGAAAAAGAATAAAAGAAATATGAACTAAATTGAGTATAGAAAAGTTGCAATATTTGGCATTAGAAAATAAAGATATTATGAAAGAAATAAGTAATATCAGGTATCCATTTTAACTGAAAAAGCAAATGTATTATGTTTTTAAATGTAATGCTAATGAAATAAAAGCAAGAAAGACTAGTCTTAGGGGTAGGTGAAGCACATATAGACAGGCAGTTAGTAGTCTCACTGGAGTGAGTTGCCATCTGGGGAGCCAGTCAGTGTGTTACAAGTTTCTTGGTCATACAATAAAGTCCAGAACAAAGCTCCAGTCCTGGAATGTTAATTGAAAAAAGCAGGGCAAGCTAGTCAGCTGGTCTTCATGAGGGATTGTGGGGTGGCAGCCATTAGAACTTAAGAGCCAAGACAGCCAAATTTTAGGGACAAACCAAATTGGTGGCAAGAGAGATGAAACGCAAAATAAATATTTCACATACGGTCAGCCCTGAGGGTCTATGTAGGAACAATGGAGACTTGCAAAAGAATTTCTAATCCCAGCATTTGGAGCAGATCATGGGATCTGAAGCCTGGAGGGATGACTTACCTCTTAGCTTCTATGAACAGAGTTTGCCCAAAGACTGACCAAATTCAGCCTATATTAAAGATTCTTAATGGATCTGGTGCAGAAGGAAACATAAATTTGTGGATGTAGTCATTTATTCATCAATTAACTATTAAGCACCCACTGGACATTTTTCTGGGTACCAAGGATATCCCAGTTAATGCTACAAGAAAATCTTTAGCTGAATTAAATGTAAAAGAATTTAATTGAGCAAAAAACGATTTGCAAATTGGGCAGTGTCTCAAGCCAGAGTACATTCAGAGATTCCAGTGCAGTTACATTGTGGAAGAAGATTCATGGAAAAAAAAGAGAAAGTGATGTACAGAAAATAGAAGTGAGATCCAGAAGTAGCGGATTGGTTACAGCTTCACATCTGCCTTATTTGAACATGGTTTGAACAGTTGACCACCTTTGATTGGCCAGAACTTGGTGATTGCCACAAGAGTAAGCTACGGTCTGTTTACAATTTCATTTAGGTTATAATTCACCGTGTACTGAGAAACCTTTAGGCTGAACTTAAAATATGTAAAGAGGCAACTTTAGGCTAAATTTGATTTATGACAAAGTAGACAAAAATCTCTGTCCTTGCCTTCAAGTTTGAGGTAACTAAAGACAAACAAAAGCAAACTAATTATAAATTAGAAGGTAGTAGATGTTATAGAAAAAAATTAAGCTAGAAGATTTTGGAAGTAGGAAGATGACAAGTACTGCAATTTTTTATAGGGTGCTCAATGAAGGCTCAGCTGAGAACATGACATTTGAGCAGCCGTGAAGGGGGTGATGAGCAGGCAAAGTGATGCCTGGGGAAAAGCATTCTAGGTAGGGGAACTTTGCTAGCAAAGGCCCTAAAGCAGAAGCATTCTCATGTGTTTTAAAAAGCAAGGATGCCAATGTTTCTAGAGAAAACTCACAAAACTTTGGGCAAGGAGGAAATGAGAGGAATAATGGCAGAGATGTAAATGGAGGCACCAAATGATGTAAAAGCCTCACAGGCCTTTGAAGCACTTTGGGTTTCACTCTGAGTAAAATAAAGAGCTTTTGGAAGGTTTTAAGCAGAAGAGTACCATGACAGAACTTAAATTCTGAAAAGTCCCATTAGCCATATGTTGACAATGGATTGTGGAGTGTTAGGGTAGAATGTGGGAGACCAGGCAGGAGATGGTGATGTGGTTAAACGGTAGCAACTGAGATGTCAAATAAAAATGGTTATGTTACTGATTGATTTTGAAAGTAGTGCCAACAAGTTTATTAACAAATTGGAAGTGGACTGTGAAAGAAAGAATGGAGTTGAGGATAAACACATTATCTGCTGCTACGTAGCAAGATTTATTAACTTAAAAAAAAACATTTTTGTCATATTCAGCGATGTGGGCTGAGTTCAGTCAAATAGTTCTGCTCTGTGTGTCCCAGATTGCTTTGGCACTAACAGAGTGAAACAGGAGAGTTCCCTGTTTCCCCCCCGGCAGGATGTGACAGGGTGTGTCTCCTTCTGTCTGTTCAGCCACCGTATGTGTGCACTCAAACCCCTTAAGGGAGGGGGAGCATGCAAACAGGCAGGTGCAGAAGCCAAAGCAAGCACCCCTGGTCTCTGGCCCCAGGCCAGCATCCAGGGAAGGGAGCTGAGACTCCCAAAGCCCAAGTGGACATGTGTTACAGTGCACTCCTTTAGCCTTGCCATCTGAAGACAGCTTAAGTGTTAACTAGCTCAGTACCCTCTTGGTACCCGGGTCCTTGTCCAGCATCCAGGAAGAATCAGGTCACACACAGACTTGAAAGATGAATGCGGGGTTTTGTTGAGTCCTGGAGGTGGCTCTCAGTGGGATGGATGGGGAGATGGAAGGGGGATGGAGTGGGAAGATGATCTTCCCCTGGAGTTTGGCCACCCAGCGGCCAATCTCCTTTCCAACTGTCCCCAGCCAAACTCCTCTTGGTGTACGGACACTTCTTCTCTTCTCTCTGCTGCACCGTTCTGCCTTTCTTCTGCTCTTCTGTTTGTCCTCTCATCTCCCCCTGGAGCTGGTGGTTTGGAGTTTACATGGGTACAGGATAGGGGGCGTTGCAGGCCAAAAGGCAAATTTGGGCATGAAAACAGGAATGCCTTTTCTCATTTAGGGCCACGGGTTTCCAGGCTTAAGGGTGGGCCCTTCGCTGGGGAACCACCTTCTTCGACCCAGTACTCCCGTGTGTTCTGTCCATATCAACAGCATGTAAGGTTGGAAGCTGAGGTTGGCAGGAATGGCTGTGGTGGCTGAGCCTTTTTCTTCACATAGTCTCTCCCTGGGGCCAGCTTAGGTTTTATCACATTATGGTAGTCTCAAAGCAGTTAGAGTTTGTATATGATGACTGACTTCAAGAGAGAGGAAGAAGCTGTTTGTACTCTTCAAACCTGGATTGCAAGTTCCAGAATGTCCCATCTGCCACATCACATTCTTTGTATAAGAGCAAGTCACAAGGAAATAGATTCCACCTCTTGATGGGTGAGGGGAAGAAACTGATGATAGCCAGACTGTCTACCAGAGATGTCTCCAAGGTTTTTGGACCAAGCAACTGGACATATGAAGTTGCAGTTAAGTGTGATGGGAAAGACTGACAGAAGTTAGAGTAGGCCAAGGTGGGTGGTGAGTAAAGATATCATATAGGCAATTGAATATCTAATCTGGAGTTCAGGGGAGAGATCTGGACTGAATGTGCCTATTTGTGAGTCATCAGTATATAGATGGTATTCAAAGCCACAAGACTGGGTGAGAACAGAAAGGGGATAAGAAAAGATAGAAAAGAGAAGAATTCCAAGGACTGAGCTCTACAACACTCTCAAATTTGAAGTCAAGAACCAGCAAAGGTGACTGGGAGGAAGCAACTAGTGAGGTAGTTAGGCTGGGTGGTATGAAACTCAGGGAAGAAGATGTTTCAAGAAGAATTAATCAATTGGGTCAACTGCTCTTCAAAGTTCATGTTAACTAATAATTCATCATTGAACTTAGCATTGTGGAGACCATTCGAGACATTGACAAAAACAAACAAGACTTTGAATCCATCGGGTTTGGTGTTATGGCTTGATCCTGCACAATTATCTCAGAGAGCATTCCAGGAGGGGATGTAGAATTATAAACCTACATCAGTATAAGATAGATACAGCTCTATAGAGTGGGAGGGATTCTAATGTGAAGCCAAAATGCAGCCTTGCCAGTCACTTGGAGCTTCCAACACAATCCAGGAGTAGATAATATTCAATAATCCAGGTAGGTGACTGGTATCACACAATTTTGTCAACCTGTGGCAGTTTAAATAATTACATTCTAAAATTAAGTGCCAAGATTTAATGCCTTCAGAGAACAAGGGTCCAGGGGAGGGTGGGAAAGCTTGGTTAGAGAGGGGCTGTGGTTACCAAAACAAAAACTCAGACAAGAAATTAACCAGCCAGACCAGTATGTGACTGGGAAGAGGGAAGAAACACAGCTAAGCAAAACACACGTAAAAATGAGTTGTAGTTCACCAAGTCTATGTCAGACATTAGCTATGACTTGGTCTGAATGAGTTTCAAATGTTTTATTAAGAGAAAGGATCAGAGATGGTGAGGTTGAAGCTGGGACCTGATGGGTATGAGACTGTGGGGCACAGGTGAAGAGTATGGAATGGATGGGGGGCAGCAGGGAGATACATGGAAGGACACACAAGTCAGCTGCTCCTCCCAACCTACTAGGCCAGGGCCTTGAAAATACATAGATCATGTCATTTAGCACCATTTACACTCTGCACAACTTATTAGGATGGGCGATCAAAAGACTACAGAGTATTGACTCTTATATCTTCATCTTAAAGTGGAGTAAAAGATAAATGGCATCGGCATTCTGCAAAGAGCAGGACTGAGGATGAAGATCTGAAACTGGATAACTCTGACTGATTACCTCCTTCCCCAGGCTGCACTCTTGACAGAAGGCACAGTTTCTCTGTAGGATTTAACAGCCATTAGCAAGCAACTAAGACAATTGAAAGAGACAGCTGAGCAGCCACATGCTAGTTTTTCTTAAATTTACTTCCCTTTACAAGTCTGGAACTGAGATGAGCAAATCTTGCTACATGAAAATAATTAAGTTTGAAAGTATTTCTTTTCAGAAAATCATTTTTCTTAATAGAAACATCTGCAGAATTGTGTGGACTCCCTTCCAGTGTGAGGAGCAGTAAAGTTAATCCTGTAATCATATTGGAGAAAGGATGAGACCCCACTCTTTACCCTAACCAAATATCTTCCAGCACCATCCTCACTGCTGCCCCCAAAGCTGTTGGAGCATTTCAATTATCCTAGGAGAATCTGCCAGTGGTTAATGATCTTTCTTGCCAGGAGGTTCTTTATCCTTCACCTCCATTCCTGTTGCTACAGTTCATTCCTCCCTGTAGAATTATGAAAGAACATTACAGTCCATCCGAGGGAGATGAGCCCTGCAGCCTTAATTTCCAATGTGGCAAAAGTCATGAGTCTGAGTGTCAGAACTGCCACAGAGATTCTTGGTTGATACCACAGCCATCCATTAACCTGTCCCTGGAGTTAGCAGCCCAGATGGTGGTAACTGCAAATGAAACTTACCAAGGGGCTTGATGATAGCCCTAAGCAGAGATTTCAGTTGCAGAGATTTCAGTTGAGCATGAAAGCCTTTGAAAAAGATATCACAGGAAATAGAGGGGAAAGCTGCATTTTACTCCAGAGAAATTGATTCTATATAGGAAAATCCCATAGGAATGAAGGAGCCTGGCTGTCTCCTCAACCTTGTAGGTAAATATGATGTTCTTCTAATGATCAACAAATAAAGTATTAGAAAATAGTATAAATATTCTAAAATATTAAGACTCAATGTCTTAATCAGACTGCCTGAGTTATCACCCTGCTCTATGTCTTCCTAGCTCTAAGAGCCTGAGAAAGTTTACTGATTCCTTTTTATCTCTGTTTTTGTCATTTATAAAATAGACATGATAATGATGTCAACTTCACAAGAAAGTTATGAGGATTAAATATGTGAAAATGCTTAAAATAGAGTGTCAAATTCTAAATATTGGCTGTCATACATGGGGCATTAAATATACATTATTATTTGTACATTGGTTTATGGACTATATGTCTGGAAATCTAAGTTGTACTGTGGATTTTATACCTTTTCATTACTTTTGTAGCCTTGAGCAAATTTCTGTACCTTCCATTAGCACAAGTTGGTAAATACGTATTTGGACATAATGCTTTTCATTTTTCTTCTTATTCCTGTGGCAGACATAGGTTAATTACAGGCCCTTACACCCTGAGGCCTAAGTAGGCTTTAGAATTCATGTCAACATGATGTTCCCAGCAGCCACCATCAGTCAGTTGACATGAAAATCAAAACTGATTTGACCTCTCAGCTTTAGAGCTCACAAGCTTTTAAAGGAATGTTTATTCGCACTTTCAGCCACCTCAGACTATCCCATCACAGTATCACCCCCACTTTGCCACCAATTTTTCAATGTTGATAGGACACCACAAATGTCTGCATTTGGGATAATCTTTGTGTATTCATCATAACACTACACCCTTGTAAGTAGCCACAGCTGGAGAAGGGATATGGCTGGCACGAGAGTCCACTGTGAGTACATGCTTGAGGTCAGTATCCAACTATATCTTGACCAAAGAAGCTGACTGACAGGGCATGCTCAGACTTCTTTGCGCAGATGGAGGTGAGGAGGTCAGTGCCTGTACAGACCAACCAGTGCTTCTTCCCATGCTATGCTCTAAGGAAGCTTCCTCCTAATAAATCTTTTGCTCTCCACAACAAAACCCTAATAATGTGTCTCCTAGGCATCTTGGCCCAGGCCAGCCAGCACAGAAGCCTGGGATTGTTTTGTTTAGTTTTCAGGTTAGGGGACAAGAATAACCAAGAGAATAAGTACCACCGACAGATTCTGATCTTTGGTAGATCTCAGAATTCACCTACAGTTATCCATGAATATCCTTTCCCTATTACATAAAGAAGACTCTTTCTTTATTAAATCTTTAGGCAATAAATGAATTTTTAAGAATACTGATAGGATTATGTTATGTTTTAATATGCAAAATATTCTGTAAGAAGACACCTAAGAATCACTTACAAGTGCTTATCTTTGATCAGTCATCATCTGTTGCTCCCATTTAACCATTTACCTTGTAACAAAGCTTTTTTAAATCAGAATGCCTTGGAATGATTAAAATGTCATATGGATGTGTTTAGATTACAAATAGTTAAGGATGAGATATAAACTAAATTTTAAATATCAAAACAAGATTTCTATAATTCTTAAGTATATTAAGTTATTTATAAAATATCATGCTAAATTATTGCATAAACAACAAGCAATCAGTTAGCTAAGGAATAACTTAAAATAGCCTGGGCCACCATCATACCCAGTGTGGGGCCAGATAGATGAAATATATGGCCAGTGTAGCATTTATTGTGTTCTTTATCTTTTCTTAAGAGTACAGAACAGTGGCTGTATAGACTTTGGAGTTAGACCTGTGACTGAATTCAGACTCCGTCACTTTGCTGTGTGTCTTAGTTCGTTTCCTGCTACTATCACAGAGTAACACTGACTGGATGATTTATAAAAAATGTAAGTTATTTGGCTCACAGTTCTAGAGACTGAGAAGTCCAAAATCAAGAGGCAGTGTCTAGTGAGGGATTTCTTGTTGCATCATAATATGGTGGAAAGCATCACATGGTGAAGAAACGCATGCACAAAACAGAGCGAAAAAGCAGATCAAATCCACATCTGCAATAATGACATAAATCCATTCATGAGGGTAAAGTCCTCATGGCCTAATCATCTCTTAAAGGTCTCACTTTTTACTACCATCACAATGGCAATTAAACTTCAACGTGAGTTTTAGAGAGGACATTCAGATAACAGCACTGTGTGGCTTTAAACAAATTACTAGGTTTTTCTGAACTTTAGTTTTCTTATATACTGTTGTCAAAATTCCATGTGTGAGAGAGCTTGGCAGAGTCCCTGGCACATCGCAAGCTCTGACTCTTGTGATAATTGTTAGACTCCCTCGTTGTTTGCGGAAGTGTGGTGGGGACAGATAGGAATCAGCCACATTGTTTTTTTCTACATAAAATATTTGCACCCACATTGGTCTTTAAAACTCTTTGAAATGCATATGAAAATTCCTTTGGAGAAAAAAAGTATGCAGTTAAAAAAAAAGAAGTCCTGTATTCCCTATTAAGAGATTAATTCCTAAAGGGTAGACAAACAAGATTTCAAACATCACTAGATTTGGACACTAGCTTTGGCCTGTAAATCGACTTTAGTGGAGAATGTTAACACTTCTCAATTCCTACTCCTTGCTGGCTTGAGTAAGGCACACAGGAGCCACTTTCAGAGATAATCTTCTCTTCTTTATTTACTTTTATCCTACAGAACAGATTGAAAGCCAGTGGCATAGATCTAGGCACAGGTTTTCTCAGTCAGTCAACATTTGGGGAGCATCTGCTATGTGTTGGGTGCCATGCCAGGTACAGGTTAATGCAACTGCCAGAACAGATCTTCTGCCCCCTTCTGAACTTTGCTTCTACACATCTAAGGTCCTGTTAGTGAGCCCAAATAAATATTCTTCACTCCACTCTTTTCTTCTTATTCTTCACTATCTCTGGGCGAACTTATTCTCTCTTATGATTTAATATACTAATTCTGCATTGATAACATGACTCCTGAATCTATTTCCAGCCCAAATGTCTCACCTGAGCTTTGAGCCCACATTTCCATCTGCTGAGTACTGCATATCTTCTCCAATATATCCCAACCTATTCCCCAACCTGAACTCTCTATTTCTATTAACTGGCTATGAATGCAGGAACAAGGATTCGAGGACTCAGAGATTAAAAAAAAAAAGTAATAACAATGATGGTTAATATTTATTAACCATTTATCCACTATTTATTTAAGTTATTTAGTTATCTAATGTGTGTAGTTATATATTTATTTCTCACAGTAGCTCTTTGAGATAGGTCTACTATTATTTCCATTTTGCAAATGAAATAATTGAGGCACAAAGAGAAGTCCCTTACTTCTCCAAGGCCACACAGCCAGAGGTGGTGGAGTCATGACTGGAATTAGGCAATCTGATTCTAGAACCTGTACACTTAAGCCCTTTGGCACATCCATCTTAAATGTAGGTCAGGGCTTGGGTTGTCATAGCTAAAAAGAACAGATCAGATAATGGTAAGTAGTATCACTGCCTGGAAATTTTAACTACAAAATTCTGTAAATATAATGGGTGGATATTTTTATAACATGCTTTGGATTCATGATAAAGCTCTAGTCTTTCAAAAGCTTGTGAAATTATTTCTGCAAAAACACACATATGCCGAAGCACAAGAGAAAAAGCAGGATGCGGGAAAGCAAAATGCCAATGCACAGGGGAAAAAGCAAGATGCCACCCAGACAGTGAGCAATTTGCTCAGCTTGGCTGGAGCGTGGAGTCTGTAGACTGAAGTCATAGAAGACAAAGGCTGAGAAGGTACACTGGAACCTGATTGTGAATGAACTTTTAGTTATATTAATACTATAAATATAGTAATAAAGTTATATTGGATTGTACTCTGTAGGCAAAACATGGGACTAGAAGTTGGGGAGCAAGGCAGGGAAGGTTCATCTAACACAATCATTACTGAGAGCCTCCAGTGAAGTAGGCATGATTCTAGGTACTTGAAATACAGTTTGTTTGTACCTCCAAGGAGTGTGCAGTCTTAGGGGGAGCTTGGCAATTACACTGGAAATTTTTAATTCACCACGGTTAAGTGTTACAGAGTGCTATGAAAATAGTTATGAAGTACCACTAACAAACCCATTGTGCCTTATAAGAAAATACTTCCTGGAAACATGCAGAGATTTGTAACGAGGAGAATTACATGATTATATTTGTATTTTAGAAATTTAATTCTGTTAGTAGATATGGCAACACCAAAGAAATACTGAAGAAGGAAGGTCATTGAAGAGATTAATGGATCATATAAAAGTTGATGATCACTTGAACTGTGAAAATAAGAATTGAGAGGCAAGTACAGAATCAAGAGGACTTTTGGCAACAGCAACAACAGAACTAGAAATGTTGTTGGAAAGGAGTTCATGAGAATGATTCCAGTCTTTCTTTTTAGTTTGGTCACCTAAGTGGCTGAGTTTTCCAAGTTAGGGAAAAACAAGGAAGAGCAAAATAAGCGAGGAAGGGCCGGGTGCGCTGGCTCACGCCTGTAATCCCAGCACTTTGGGAGGCCGAGGCAGGCGGATCACGAGGTCAGGAGATCGAGACCATCCTGGCTAACACGGTGAAACCCCGTCTCTACTAAAAATACAAAAAATTAACCAGGCGTGGTGGCAGGCACCTGTAGTCCCAGCTACTCGGGAGGCTGAGGCAGGAGAATGGCGTGAACCCGGAAGGTGGAGTTTGCAGTGAGCCGAGATCACGCCACTGCACTCCAGCCTGCCTGGGCAACAGAGCAAGACTCTGTCTCAAAAATAAATAAATAAATAAAATAAGGGAGGAAGACAGTAAATTTAGTTTGAGATATGTTAGCTTAGAGGCATCTACAATTAGAGATATTTCGTGGGCAGCTATAGCCACCTATCATAAATAGAATGATGCCAGAGATGTAAGTTTTGGAATTTCCAACATCTGAATCCAGGTGAGCTTTCTCAATAGAGCATAGAAGTATAAAGACAGACAATCTGACAGTACCTTGAGGCACATGTAAACAAAGCAAAACAAATAAAATAGATGACACATGAACTTTAGAGTCAGAATGTCTGAATTCAAATCCCAGCTCAACCACTTATGAGCTTTGTGATTTTGGACAAGGTACTTCATATCTTTTGGTCTCAGTTTCCTCATCTATAAAATGAGAACTACCTCAGATTGTATCATGACGTTTAAATAAATTAGTGTTTATAAAGAATGTTGAATAATACCTGGCCTTCAGTAAATACAATTTAGTTTTTATTAAATAAAAAGTATTATAATTCATTTAGCTCCAAATATTGACCTTCATTCTGTGTTCTATTTTATTTCTCCACTATGTCTTACTCTTCTGAAGGCTGTCGTTTGTTTATCTTATTCTACTCCTAATTCTAGTGGGTCCTGAATGAAGTATTATTAAATTCACTACCTATTTCACATGAAAAGTAAATCTTAGGAAAGATAAAAAAAATTCCTTTCTTCATGAAACAATTACCTTGTAAAAAAATCTTAGAAAAGTTCTCTCTAGGCATATCACAATGTAATGATCCGTTTCTACAGATTAAATTGATAAATAATTTTCTACAAAGGAATATTCCTCCTAGCAGTTTCCTTCTTTTACTTTTTTTTCATTTTTCAGGACCAACACTACTAAAATGATCTATTCATACATTTCAAGCAGTTTCAGACTTTAGAATTAACCTGTTTCTGGTATGGTCGTGACCATCAGGATCCACTCTGCCAGGAACAGTGCTAGATGCTCTAAATAGAAAATCTCATATTCTTCCCCAAACTCCTTGAGTTGGCTATGATGTTTGCTATATAATTGAGAAAAATGAGGTTATTCAGAGTCCCTGAATCATACCAAGCCTAGAGAAGCTGCCTCAATATAGTGAACAACAGCTAAGCAGTTGGTTTCAAAGCAGAGCATCATTCAACACGGGCCAGTTGTCTCTCCACTCTACAGTGTGTCATCATCATTTTGAGGATGAGACAAAAGGTAGAGTGGCCTGATGGGGGCACCCACCAAGATTTCCTGCCCTATTATTTCACCACAGAAGACACTTGGGAGTCCTGGTACCTTGGCCTTATCATCTATGGCTTGGAGGAACCAATGACCAATAATCTTTTTTTCTTTCAGCTCAGTTCATGAACCATCGGCAACATTCTCCCCTCTAGACCCATCATCAGAAGACTTAACACAAAACTGTTGGAAGTCTCTTGTCTAAACAGAGTACAGGTTTAATATTCTTACCAGTCTTAATGAGACTCTAAGTTCAGTTTTTTTTAATTGAATAACATTGTTCAGAGGATATGTCATAGTGATGGTGATGATAAGTATTACCTCAGAGATGGGCTTTTCCCTGTAAAATGAAGGCTTCAAGATCAGCTTTAAGAAGGAGTTAGATTGAGATAAATGTAAATGATAAATAGATCATGCATGGGAAAAAACAGTATTCTGGTATAGATATATAATGCTAAGTGTACCAAAGCAAAGCCAAATCAGATGTGTCTGGACAATACTTAGTTTTTCTGGAATGAAGTGTTTATTGTTTAGTTAGAGAAGCAGTAAAGAATGACATGGAAAACTGGTGAGGGCATGTTTGTGAAGATCTTAAAAGTTTGGGTACCATCTTCTTATGATTAATGAAATCAAGAAAGGTGGTAACACAAAAACATTTCAGGTGAATATGTTAGTAGGATCAGAGGTTGAAATGGTGATGTAGAGAAGGAATTCAAATTATTCTGAATTTCTAAATCTAGGAAAATAAATAACTTGATATGTATTAAAAGTAAAGAAAGCCTATTTTAGGAGGTTGTTTCCAATTCCTTCCAACAAAATAATATCTCACACACTGGCATACTTTTTCTATAAAGGCCACATAGCAAATATTTTAGGATTTTGGACATGCAGTCTGCTCTGCCACAACTACTCAACTTGTTGCCGTAGCACAAAGCAGCCTTAAACAATATGTAAATGAAGTCACATGGCTCTGTTTCAGTAAGCTTTATTTACGGACACTGAAGTTTGAATTTCATGAATTTTCATGTGTCACAAAATATTATTACTCTTCTTTTGATATTTTCCAGCTACTTTAAAATGTAAAAACCATTCTTAGCTTGGGGCTATACACAATCAGAGGGTGAGCAGGATTTGGCCACAGTTTGCAAACTCTTGGTTTATAGAACATCATCAGAACTTTCAATCCAACATCATTTTGAAAACTTTGAATTTCTTCTGAAGTCTTCTCTTGAGCATTTGGAAGGAGCTGGTTGAAGTGGGCTTGAAGTGGTAGGAGAAGGGGACAACTATTAATAACTAGCTAGTCAGACAAATCATACTAACCACAGGGGGCAGTAGGACAATATATGTCCCTGTATGCTCTAATCCAACAGTTGCTTGTCTGAAACCTTCAAAAAAAAAGAGAGAGAGAGAGAAATCAATCAATAAATACTACTGCAAACAAACACATTCTGAACTCAGTATTTTGATAATTGCAGAGGGAAAATCAAAAGTGGTGGGCTTTGCTTTTATTCAAGTTGCTTATGCCACCCTAAAGTGGTGCAATGCAGTACTTGCCCAAAGGAAGTGAGTGGCAGCATTGATGGAAGCTTAGTGTGAGAGCAGTGTGTAAAGTTGAAGTGACTTTGAACAAAGAATTTCGGAGAGACTAACTAGGCTGGGGTAACTAATGAAAACCAGGCTGGGAATGGAATGCAGAGGGGGACATGAGAGTCCCAAAGGAAAAATTGATGGGACTTGCTAACTAATGAGACATGGAGGCTGAAAAAAGAGAGAGGAGAAAGATATAAAACCTTTCAAAAGATTCTCATTATATTATTCAGTGCCACTAAGAATCACATACCAGTGAGAGGCAAGGGGGACGATGTAGTGTATAGAAAATGGGGAACATAGGAAGCTGGAGAGTAGCACTTCAAACAAGCAAATCACACACATACACTAATGTCTGATAAATGTCAGGCTGAAATTATTGGCAAATACAGAGAGAAGGGATCCCATTAATGCCCACATGCTATCTTTATTTCAAGTATTATCAGGTGGAAAATAAAGTAGTACCATTATCGTGTTGATGGTCTAAATATGTGAACAATCTCCTGCATCATATTATGTAGAATCCCCCTCATTTCTTCAAGGCAATTTCCTTTTGATCACTTGGCACTGGTCATGTCTTATAAAGCAAATATATCCAAACATTTTTCGTTGCTTCAGCTTTTCCCTCCCTAGTTCTGTTTGCTTATGTAGATCACAAATGTATGAGAAAAACAAACACAATAAGGCAATTAATGTACCTACAGTTAGAGATGTGAATAATATTGGAATTCAGAAAAGGAAAGGTTACATAAATAAACCTCTCCAAACTCTTAGCACCAACTATTGGTTTTATCTGCTTCTACCCTACCTAGAGCTGTCCAAAGGGATTGCTAAGGCACTTGCTTCCTAAAAATCCCTTTTCTGCCATTATGATTCACCCAAAGCAGCATGGTATATGGCGGAGATGCATGTCAGCTCTGCCTATAAATGCACCAAGGCATATTTCTCATAAGCACATTTTTGCCTACACAGAATGAAATAGAGACAAAAAAGTAATTAGTGCCTTCGTTGTTTGGACTCACATTTATAAAAATAAATGTTTAGCCTAATTCTAAGATAGTCATTTCAACTGTCTTTCTTAAAAATCTTAAACACCAGGATTTAGTTAAAAATATCTTCAGTTCGCCTACATTTCACCCTTAATTGTATCTTAAGAAACCTATAATGAAACTAGCGTGGCCAAAATACACTTACCAACAGGTTTCCTTAATTATTATCTAGGAACTATTTAGAAGTGGATGCTTTCCTGATTTACTTACATGTTGTAAAAAAAATGGAAAGTTAATTTATGAAATTAGAAAAGTAGCTGAAAGTAAGCCTAGCCCATTTTATAATGAGAAAAATAAAACACAGAATATGTTTTAAAGTGGCTTTCTCAAATGAACCACAACCTTCAGGATTAGACTTTCCCTTTGAGATATTGAGGTACAGAAAATACCAAGTTTTTAGAAGCACAAAGGAGGCTGAAGGACCCAAATTTGTGAGCTGACACTACCCCACCCTAAGGGGTGTTAAGACCAATAAATAACTATATATGGTATGCTGCTTCTCTCTTCTGAGTAAATCAGTTATTCAACTAACATGTAACAAGCACATTATAAATTATTTCACTATTACAACAACCACAAATAGATATATAGAAACGTCTACAAACAAATTACCATGTATAAAGAAAATGAGTAGATACAGAGAGTGCAATCAGAATTAGATTAATACTATGATCATCTTAATATATCAGTTAAATGTTATGTCCTCATTCCAAGACTCTCATTTTATTTAGCTTCTGCATTAATCCAGCTGCAAATTGAATTAGTCCAGATTAGGTCTTAGTATATTATTTATAGCTTTTTACTGGTGCTACATTATGCATTTTCATCCAAACAAGTATAATAATTTTGTCAGGTTCATGTAAAAGCAATTTTTGAATATACAGCAAATTTTTATATTAAAAGAAAATTTTCATATTTTTTCATAGACTTGAATCAAAGGAACCTTTCCTGTCTGTTGGGTAAGTATATATTTAAATACTTTAAGTATTAATTATTTAATTCAAATTTCCAAGAACTTCTGAGATGGTATTTTCAGTCATTTAACATCATATTCAAAATCATAACATATCAGTGCATGCAACATTGCTATCTATGTTTTATAAAGACTTAACTAAAATGCTCCCTAGGTTGTATTGTGACCTCAGAAATGCAGCTAATGAATGTATATGAAATCCTGTATCTTCCATAAAGGCTAAACAAGGTACACAGTGATCATCCATATTCTCTTCATGTAAAAATATACTCAGATTGGTTTTAAAAATTCCTCTGAGCCATAGCTCCACCATTCCAAGCCTGTCTACCCATTGCCATTCTCCATTTCTTTTCAATCTACTCTATTCACTGTTTCGTCACCCACTTCCCTAAGTCTGTCTTCACAATCAATATCTATCTTTTCTCCTTATCTCTCATTTCACTTTAATTTCTCCAGTTCACTCACATTGACTGCTTCTTTGCACCCAAAGCTGAGGAACCCTGAGGCAAATTTAGATAAGACGAACGCTTGCCTGCTCTGATGGTATCCTTCTTAGTCACAATACATATCTTTAAGAATAATATATTGTTGGCCAGGCGCGGTGGTTCATGCCTGTAATCCTAGCATTTTTGGGAGGTGGGCGGATCACCTGAGGGCAGGAGCTCAAGACCGGCCTGGCCAACATGGTGAAACTCTGTCTCTATTAAAAATACAAAAATTAGCTGGGCATGGTGGCACACACCTGTAATCCCAGCTACTTGGGAGGCTGAGGCAGGAGAATTGCCTGAACCTGGGAGGCAGAAGTTGCAGTGAGCCAAGATCACACCACTGCACTCCACTCCAGCCTGGGTGACAGAGCAAGACTCTGTCCCAAAAAGTAATAGTAATAAAATAATAACAATAATATGTTTTTGACATGAGTGCACATGTTCTATTTTTAGGCATTTCAAACTAAGAATAAGCAATGTTGTTTGTATCTGATCAAATACTCCTTTGACTAACATATTAAAGTGTATTATGAAAGGACTTTTGCACTTTCAATATTATAGATGATATTGTATGAAAAAGTTGTGAAAAATGCAATGTCTTGCCTAGAGAAATCATGCTATATTTGATGAGGGAAAAAAAGCTGTCATATATAGGCAGCCACAATACTGATGCTTAATGACCAGAAACATGGAATGGGGTTAGATTTTTAAGTGACCAGATCAATTTTCTTTTATTACTTTGTACATGGTCATTGAATATTTCTATCAATCACTCATTCAACAACATGGTTCCCAATTCCTTTCTACTCTTCATAAAAGCTTTTCAGAAAGCCACTCAAATCATGGAAATCAAAATAATTATTAGGGGATGTGGAAGACAAAAAATGGAATATATGCATTTATTTGAAGACTACATGGAAAATGAAAGGTCGAGTTGGTCTGGCCCAAAAAAAGTGATAAAGCATGCTTTTTTCCCTACATTGATCATCAGCTCCTATTGTTAAAAATCTCTACACCTGAAGAAATCTTTTAGTTTGAATGCATGTGTATTTGCCCTCAAGTCAAAAGGCCTGAAATAGCTTCTCTTCACGCCTCACTTCATGTAGTTTCTGTGCAGCCTTTACTGTTCTCCTGGCTATTATGAGATGGAATTCCTTTTTTATTGCATACTTCTGTTTTAAAAGGCAGACCCTAAGTAATCTTTGTTTTAAATTTATCAACAGTTTAGCACTGATTATTAGAACCCTGAGAAAATCTCTCCAAAAAAAAAAAAAAATACTGTATCGCTCAGCCAATGCTCAAAGTGGGAAAATTAGCATGGCACACATAAGATACTGCTTATGTCTTAAAAGTAAAGTGGTGTGAAAGGCAACCCAAATGATTCTGCTGAATGGATATTTTAATTTATAGCTAAATGTTTCTGTTCCCTCAAGAAAATTATTTTAAATAAGATTGTCCAAAAGTATGTATGCTAAGGTGGGCGACTCACTTGAGTTCAGGAGTTCGAGACCAGGCTGGACAACATGGTGAAACATCATCTCTACAAAAAATTACAAAAATTAGCTGGCCGTGGTGCCGTGCCTCTAGTCCTAGCCACCTGGGGGGCTGAGGCGGGAGGATCATTTGAGCCCAGCAGGTCCGGGCTACAATGAACCGAGATCGCACCACTTCACCCCAGCGTAGGCAACAAAGTGAGACCCTGTCTCAAAAAAATAAAAGCATGTATGTAGCTCTCTGCTGCCTTTTTCAGTGAGAAGATGTAAGTTCTTTAGTGGTGATTGGTGAGATTTTGGTGCGCCCATCACCCAAGCAGTATACACTGCATCATATTTGTGGTCTTTTAGCCCTCACCCCCCTCCCAACCTTCCCACCCAACCAAGTCCCCAAAGTCCATTGTATCATTCTTATGCTTTTCCATCCTCATAGCTTAGCTCCCACTTATCAGTGAACACATACGATGTTTGGTTTTCCATTCCTGAGTTACTTCACTTAGAATAATAGTCTCCAGTCTCATCCAGGTTACTGCAAACGCCGTTAATTTGTTTCTTTTTATGGCTGATTAGTATTCCATCATATAAATATACACCACAATTTCTTTATCCACTCTTTGATTGTTGGGCATTTGGGTTGGTTCTATGATTTTGCAATTGCGAATTCTGCTGCTATAAACATGCATGTGCAAGTATCTTTTTCATATAATGACTTCTTTTCCTCTGGGTGGATACCCAGAGTGGGATTGCTGGATCAAATGGTAGTTCTACTATTAGTTCTTTAAAGAATCTTTACACTGTTTTCTATAGTGGTTGTACTAGTTTACATTCCCACCAGCAGTGTAGAAGTGTTCCCTATTCACTGCATCCACTCCACCATCTACTGTTTTTTGATTTTTTGATTATGGCCATTTTTGCAGAAGTAAGCTAGTATTGCATTATGGTTTTGATTTGCATTTGCCTGATCATTAGTGATGTTAAGCATTTTTTCATATGTTTCTTGGCCATTTGTATATCTTCATTTGAGTACTATCTATTCATGTAATTAACCCACTTTTTGATGGGATGTTTGTGTTTTTCTTACTGATTTGATTGAGTTCATTGTAGATTCTGGATATTAGTCCTTTGTTAGATGTATAGATTGTGAAGATTTTCTCCCACTCTGTGGGTTGTCTGTTCACTCTCTTCTTTTTGCCATGCAAAAGCTCTTTAGTTTAATTAAGTCTCAACTATTTATCTTTGTTTTTATTGAATTTGCTTGCGGGTTCTTGGTCATGAAATCTAGGCCAATGTCTAGAAGCATTTTTCCAATGTTATCTTCTAGAATGTTTATAGTTTCAGGTCTCAGATTTAAGTCTTTAATCCTTCTTGAGTTGATTTATGTATAAGACGAGAGATGAGGATCCAGTTTCATTCTCCTACATGTGGCTTGCCAATTATCCCAGTACTATTTGTTGAATAGGGTGTCCTTTTCCCACTTTATGTTTTTGTTTGCTTTGTCGAAGATCATTTGGCTGTTAAGTATTTGGGTTTATTTCTGGGTTCTCTTCTCTGTTCCATTGGTCTATGTGCCTATTTTTATACCAGTACCACACCGTTTTGGTGACTATGTCCTTGTAATATAGTGTGAAATCAGGTAGTGTGATGCCTCCAGATTTGTTCTTTTTGCTTAGTCTTGTTTTGGCTATACGGGCTCTTTTTTGGTTCCATATGAATTTTAGAATTGTTTTTTCTAATTCTGTAAAGAATGATAGTGGTATTTTGATTGGGATTGCATTGAATTTGTAGATTGCTTTTGGCAGTGTGGTCATTTTCACAATATTGATTCTACCCATCCATGAACATGGCAAGTATTTCCATTTGTTTGTGTCATCTGTGATTTCTTTCAGCAGTGTTTTGTAGTTTTCCTTGTAGAGGTCTTTTGACTCCTTGGTTAGGTATATTCCTAAGTATTTTAAATTTTTTTGCAGCCATCGTAAAGTGGATTGCGTTTTTTATTTGATTCTTAGCTTGGTCACTGTTGGTGTGTAGCAGAACTACTGATTTGTGTACATTAATCTTGTACCCAGAAACTTTGCTGAATTCTTTTATCCATTCTAGGAGCTTTCTGGAGGAGTCTCTAGGGTTTTCAAGGAAAACAATCATATTGTTAGTAAACAGTGACAGTTTTACTTCCTCTTTATCAATTTAGATGCCCTTTATTTCTTTTTCTTGTCTAGTTGCTCTGGCTAGGACTTCCAGTGCTATGTGAAGAGGAGTGGTGAGAGTGGGCATCCTTGTTTTGTTCCAGTTTTCAGAGGGAATGCTTTCAACTTTTCCCCATTCAGTATTATGTTGGCTGTGGGTTTTTCATAGATGGCTTTTATTACATTGAGGGATGAGAGTTTTAACCATAAAAGGATGCTGGATTTTGTCAGATGCTTTTTCTGCATCTATTGAGGTTATCATGTGATTTTTATTTTTAATTCTATTTATGTGGTATATCACATTTATTGACTTGCATATGTTAAACCATCCCTGCATCCCTGGTATGAAACTTACTTGATCATGGTGGGTTATCTTTTTGATATGTTGTTGGATTTGGTTAGCTAGTATTTTGTTAAGGATTTTAGCATCTATGTTTATCAAGGATATTGGTCTGTAGTTTTCTTTTTTGGTTATGTCCTTTCCTGGTTTTGGTATTAGGGTGATGCTGGCTGCATAGAATAAATTAGGGAGGGTTTCTTCTTTCTCTATCTTGTGGAATAGCATCAAAAGATAGGTACCAATTCTTCTTTGAATGTCTGGTAGAATTCTGCTGTGAATCCATCTGGTCCTGGACATTTTTTTGTTGGTAATTTTTAAATTACCATTTCAATCTCCCTGCTTGTTGTTGGTCTGTTCAGGGTATCTAATTCTTCCTGATTTAAGCCAAGAGGATTGTATTTTTTCAGGAATTTATCCATCTGTTCTAGGTTTTCTAGTTTATGTGCATAAAGGTGTTCACAGTAGCCTTAAATGATCTTTCGTATTTCAGTGGTGTCAGTTATAATACCTCCTGTTTCGTTTCTTAATGAGGTTATTTGGATTTTCTCTCTTCTTTTCTTGGTTAATTTTGCTAATGGTCTATCAGTTGTATTTATCTTTTCAAAGAACCAGCTTTTTGTTTCATTTATCTTTTGTATTATTTCTTTTTGTTTCAATTTCATTTAGTTCTGCTCTGATCTTGGTTATTTCCTTTCTTTTACTGGGTTTGGTTTTGGTTTGTTCTTGTTTCTCTAGTTCCTTGAGATGTGACCTTAGAATGTTAGTTTGTACTTTTTCAGTCTTTCTGATGTAGGCATTTAGGGCTATGAACTTTCCTCTTAGCACCACCTTTACTGTATCCCAGAGGTTTTGATAGGTTGTGTCATTATTGTCGTTCAGTTCAAAGAATTTTTAAATTTCCATCTTAATTTTGTTTTTGACTCAATGCCCATTCCAGAGCAGCCTATTTAATTTCAATGTATTTGCAAGGTTTTGAAGATTCCTTTTTGAGTTGATTTCCACTTTTATTCCACTGTGGTCTGAGAGGTGCTTGATATAATTTCAATTTTCCTAAATTTATTGAGGCTCATTTTATGGCCTATTGTATGGCCTATGTTTTAGAAAGTCCCATGCACTCTTGAATAGAATGTGTGTATTCTACAGTTGTTGGATGAAATGTTCTGTATATATCTGTTAAGACCATTTGTTCCAAGGTAAACTTTAAATCCATTGTTTCTTTGTTGACTTTCTGTCTTGATGACCTGTCTAGTGCTGTCAGTGGAGTATTGAAGTTCCCCACTATTATTGTGTTGCTGTCTATCACATTTCTTAGGTCTATTAGTAATTGTTTTATAAATTTGGAAGCTCCAGTGTTAGGTGCATATATGTTTAGGATTGTGATATTTTCCTGTTGGACAAGGTATTTTACCATTATATAATGTCCCTCTTTGTCTCTTTTAACTGCTGTTACTTTAAAGTTTTTGTTTTGTCTGATATAAGAATAGTTATCCCTGTTCACTTTTGGTGTCCATTTGCATAAAATGCCTTTTTCCACCCCTTTACTTTAAGTTTATGTGAGTCCTTACGTATTAGGTGAGTCTCCTGAAGGCAGCAGAGAGTTGATTGGTGAGTTCTTATCCATTCTGCAGTTCTGTATCTTTTAAGCAAAGCATTTAGGCCATTTATATTCAATGTTTAGTATTGAGATGTGAGGTACCGTTGCATTCATCATGCTATTTGTTGCCTGCGTACCTTGGTTTTGTTTTTTGTTTTTTTTTCTTTTTAACTTATACTTTTGTTTTCTAGGTCCTGTGTGATTTATGCTTTAAAGAGGTTCTGTTTTGATGCGTTTCCAGGATTTGTTTCAAGATTTAGAGCTCCTTTTAGCAATTCTTATAGTGGTGGTTTGGTACTGGCAAACTCTCTCAGCATTTGTTTGTCTGAGAAAGATGGTATGTTTCCTTTATATATGATGCTTAGTTTCGCTGGATACAAAATTCTTGAATGATAATTGTTTTGTTTAAAGAGGCTGAAGATAGGACCCCAATCCCTTCTAGTTTGTAGGGTTTCTGCTGAGAAATCTGCTGTTAATCTGATAGGTTTTCCTTTGTAGGTTACCTGGTGCTTCTGTCTCACATCTCTTAAGATTCTTTCCTTCATCTTAACTTTAGATAACTTGATGACAGTGTGCCTAGGTGATGATATTGTTGTGATGAACTTCCCAGGTGTTCTTTGTGCTTCTTGTATTTAGATGTCTAGTTCTCTAGCAAGGCCAGGGAAGTTTTCCTCGATTTTTCCCCCAAATATGTTTTCCATACTTTTAGATTTCTCTTCTTCCTCAGGAATACCGATTATTCTTAGGTTTGGTCATTTAATATAACCCCAGACTTCTTAGAGGCTTTGTTCATATTTTCTTATTCTTTATTATTTGTCATGGTTGGATTGGTTTAATTTGAAGGCCTTGTCTTTGAACTTCAAATTTCTTTCTTCTACTTGTTCATTTCTATTGCTGAGACTTTCCAGAGCATTTTGCATTTCTGTGTGTCCAGTGTTTCCTGAATTTTTTATTATTTGTTTCTTTATGTATTTCCTTGAATATTTCTCCCTTCACTTTTTTTGGACTTCCTTGCATTGGGCTTTGCCTTTCTCTGGTGCCTCCCTGATTAGCTTAATAACTAACCTCCTGAACCCTTTTTCAGGTAAATCGGGGATTTCTTCTTGGTTTGGATCCATTGCTGGTGAACTAGTGTGATTTTTGGGGGTGTTTAAGAGCCTGTTTTGTCATATTACCAGAGTTGGTTTTCTGGTTCCCTTTCATTTGGGTAGGCGCTGTCAGAGGGAAGGTCTAGGGCTGAAGGCTGTTGTCCAGATTCTTTTGTCCCACAGGGAGTTCTCTTGATGTAGTACTCTCCACATTTCCCTGTTGATGTGGATTCCTGTGAGCCGAACTACACTGATTGTTGTCCCTCTTCTGGGTCTAGCCACCCAGCAAGTCCACCCAGCTCCAGTCTGGTACTGGGGGTTGTCTGCAGAGTCCTGTGATGAAATGGACTCTGTCAGGGTTCTCAGCTTTGGTGGTTTAATGCTCTATTTTTGTGCGGGTTGGCCTTCTGCTGGGAGGTGGCACTTTCCAGGGAGCATCAGCTGTGGTAGTATGGAGAGGAACCAATGGTGGGTGGGGCCCTAGAACTCCCAAGATTATATGCCCTTTGTCTTCAGCTACCAGGGTGAGTAGGGCAGGACCATCAGGTGGGGGCAGGGCTAGGCATGTCCGAGCTCAGGCTCTCCTTCGATGGGTCTTGCTGTGGCTGCTGTGGGGGACGGAGATGAGGTTCCCAGGTCAAGAAGGATTGTGGCTGCCTCTTCTGCATCATGAAGGTTGTCAGAGAAGTGGGAGAAAACTGGCAGTCACAGGGCTTAACCAGCTCCCATGCAAACCAAAGGGCAGGTCTCACTCCCACCATGCCCCCGCTAACAGCCCCAAGTTGGTTTGCAGGCAGTGGGTGAGCCAGGCTTGAGAACTTGCCCCAGGCTACCTGTCTCCCAGCTGCGAAAGAAAAAGGTTTGGTTCTTCCCCAGCCTGTGGAGTCTGCACACTGGATTCCCGCTCTCCCTTGAATTTTGGCTAGGAGGCTTCTTGCCCCTTTCAAGTTGTTACAAAATTCAGCTGGAGATTTCCTTCTGCCTGTGGTATTTTTCCCCCGCTCCTCTGGCCACCCTCCTGATGGATCCCTGTGGTGCCAGGCAGGAATGGCCTGCTTGAAGACCCAGCGAGCTCCCGGGGCTTTTCCCACTGCTTCCTCTATCCCTGTATTTCACTCAGCTCTTGAAATTGACTCAGCTCCAGATAAGGTCGGAAACTTTTCTGCCACAAACAGACCTTCAGTTTCTCCAGTCGGGGGTGTGTGTTTGGGAGAGGAGGATCTCCCTTTCCCACTTCTGCAGTTGGGGCACTCAGTATTTGGGATGTCTCCTGGGTCCTGCAGGAGCACTCTGCCTCCTTCAGAGGGTCTGTGGGTCCTCTTGGGATTGCTGGTTCATTCTTGCAGTTGATCTGGAGCTAAAATTCACCATGCGAGCCTCTGCACGCTGCTCTGTCTGTCCAAGTGGGAACTGCAGTCTAGTCCTGCCTCCCATTCCTCTGTGATGATCAAATTTATGACTTTTAATCCATAGTCACATGTCAGAATAAGTGCATGGTATATGGTTTATTACATCAGTTGACATGTGAGTATGTAACATTGAATTTGTCCACAGCACACCTCACTCACATTAATTTTAATTCTATGTTCAATAAAAATGTGTGAATTATATTAATGAATAAATCACTGCTAAATATTGCATACTTCAGTCCACTGCCTGTCAGTGTCTTAAAGTATTTGTTAATATGCACTGGTGAAAGTTGCTTTCACCCTCATAGGCTTGGACACTTACAAGCTAGATGTGTTAGTTTAGGCAATTACTTTTTTTTTAATACTTTAAGTTCTAGGGTACATGTGCACAACGTGCAGGTTTGTTACATATGTATACATGTGCCATGTTGGTGTGCTGCACCTATTAACTTGTCATTTACAGGAGGTGTATCTCCTAATGCTACCCCTCCCCCCACCCCACGACAGGCCCCAGTGTGTGATGTTCCCCTTCCTGTGCCTAAGTGTTCTCATTGTTCAATTCCCACCTATGAGTGAGAACATGCAGTGCTTGGTTTTTTATCCTTGCGATAGTTTGCTGAGAATGATGGTTTCCAGCTTCATCCATCTCCCCACTTAAACTCCCAAGCTTCAGGTTCTTGTTTGTGAAATGGAGATTAAAAGATTTAGATAATAATTTATATCAAACATTTAGCACACTTTTTGACACATAAGAATTGCTCATAAATGTTAGCTATCATTACAATTCTGGAAGGTATATTTATGTATCATGTTCTAAAGAGTCAATCAGAAAGCTTTAAAATAATAAATCTCCATTTTTATAGGCAGTGCTTTGAGTTACATTATAAAAAGCAAAAGAAGTTTCATTATAAAAACCAACAGAAGTTATTATAATGGGGAAAGATAAAAATTGTCATGAAATGAGTTATCAAGCAATATGAGTACAGATGTTTCAGATTTTAATGATGAATACTAGTAATTGTCATTTAGATTTTAATGATGAATACTAGTAATTGTCATTTAAATTTTTTAAGTAGAAATATTGATACATTTTTAATATGCATCTCATCTTAATATAAATTGGTGAACCAAATTCTTCCCTGGATAAATGTGCTGTACTAATTTTGAAATAAAATTGTTTGGTCACAACATAGACCCAATCTGAATATTGCAGTGGAAAAAAAAACTGTCAAAGAAAGTTACAAGAAGTTATTTCCTTACTGAGAAAGAGCATGGAGTTGTGAAAAGAAGTTGAGTGAAATCTCAGGTCTCTGATCTGCAACTATATATATGATATAAAAAGAACTTTCTTCATATGCACCAGGAAATGACTTCTAAAATAATGTCATTGAGGGGGGAAAAAAGACCTGTTACTTCTTTGTTCATTTAATGTAGTTTCCCTCTAATACACCTAGAGTGAGGCATGAAAGCTCATCCCAAGTGTGATTCTGTTTGCACAGGTAGATCAACAGATGCAGTGTTTTCCAACGCTACCTAGGTGATTCTGATACCAGTGGGGCCTGGGAGCCATCATCTACAAGGTGCTTTCATCCACCTCCATTGTTTTCCATACACACATGCACAGGTTGTCATTGTAAACACTTACCATCTCTGGAGTCCCTTCAGAAAATCTTCGAAATGTAATGTCCACAATCCCTCCCTGTTTTAAATGCATGTGGTGGAGGCAGCCACATTGAACTAGAACTATCTTGGAGTTCACTCCACAGAGACCAGGATAGATGCAAAGAGCCCAGAATATATGCCATGGAAGCCTCCACACTGCCTATGCAGAAGTACATATAAATTCATTCTGATGTCATCTTAGACCTAAGGCTGGGATCATAATAAATTTTAAACTTCAAAATATTAAATAATATAATTTCAATATTTAATAAATGTCTATTTTTTAAATATTAATATTTTCTATTTTAAACTATTATAAGTATTTATATATTTACTATTTATATATTTATTAAATATATTTAAATTTATTATAAATACATAATACTGAATGTTTATATTATTATAAATAAAATATATTTATAAAATACATTTGAACATTAAAATTCTTGCCCATCTTAACATTTTTTAAGATGTTAAGCAACCTTGTTTTTTAATGGAGGGCTTAAGTTTGGGGGCTCATATTCCAATCATCCTTGAAACATTATATTTTTTTAGAGCAATTAACATAATAAAATTCTGCTAGGAGAATGCTTCCTTTCAATGCTGCATCAGATATACTCTGATCTTGGAAATAAGCTGAGAGAAAACAGGCATCAAGTTTGCATTTAGAAAGGTGAATAAGGCCAGGCGCGGTGGCTCATGCCTGGAATCCCAGCACTTTGGGAGGCCGAGCAGGCAGATCACGAGGTCAGGAGATCCAGACCATCCTGGCCAACATGGTGAAACCCCAGCTCTACTAAAAATACAAAAATTAGCTGGACGTGGTGGTGTACACCTGTAATCCTAGCTACTCGGGAGGTTGAGGCAGCAGAATCATCTGAACCGGGGAGTCAGAGGTTGCAGTGAGCCGGGATCATGCCACTGCACTCCAGCCTGGCAACAGAGAGAGACTCTGTCTCAAAAAAAAAAAAAAAAAAAAGAAAAAAAGAAAAGAAAGGTGAATAAGCACAGAGTGATCATCAAGATTCTAATATATAAATCTTAGTTTAAAACCAGTCTTGCCTTGAAAAAGTTATTACAACTTTTTAATGAAAACACAAATGAGAAGGAATCAAAGATCCTTCATTTGAAGACTGAGATTTCCATTTTAAGGTTACATGTCAAAAAATGCATGAAGTTTCTTCAAGCACTGACTGTTGATACCTTGCAGACACTGAGCCACTTTGAGCATACACTCACAGCACCAAAGGAAACTTTCCACATGAATTATTTCTTCTTCTTCAGCATGAAGTTGAACTTTTAAAGAAGACTTTAATATGAATTAGTTGTATTTTGAAATTAAATATCGATTTATACCAATTTTTCATTTGATGAATTTTTTCATAAGTAGCTTTATATGAGGATGCTTATTACATTGGTTAAAAAAAACTTCAGATTTTGTTCACTGTATCAGAATAATTTAACTAAGTCAGAACAATTTAAAAGTTATATTGACTTATCTCACAATATATTATTTCCCAGGTTTGGTTGGAAGATCTTCAAGAATACATCACTGGGGCAGGGGCGGGGGTATGGTTAATGGATACAAAAAAAATTAGAAAGAATGAATAAGACCTATTTGATTGCACAACAGGGTGACTATAGTCAATAATAACATAATTGTACATCTTAAGTAACTATAAGAGTGTAATTGGATTGTTTGTTTGTAACACAAAGCGTAAATGCTTGGGAGAATGGATACCGCATTCTCCCTGATGTGATTATTACACATTGCGTACCTGTGTGAAAATATCTCATGTACCCCACAAATATATATGCCTACTATGCACCCACTAAAGTTAACATTAGAAAATTTTAAAATTATAAAAAGAAATAAAAAGAATACATCAATGATAAAAATATCAGAATTATTTTATTATATTTATCTCTATTGAAGCACTATGTGTGAGCTAAGCATGGACCAGCCAAGCCTGGATCGCCTAAGTCCTTTGAGATGCACGGGATCTATTCTACTAAATCCAAACAAGAGAGAGTAAATACTTTCAGGGCAACAAGGCTTGCCCTGCATCCAAAAATGACCTTATAATTGCTAACAGCTGTAGTTCACGAACCCATTTTCCTTGAGGTTTATTTTCTCCCTTTTCTTTCCAGTCTTGAAGTAGAATTTAGATCTTCAATATACTTCTGCTGTTATGAAAACTTTATTAAACCTTGATGTTCTTATTAGGTTAAAGACTCACACTATTTTACATTTATCCAGGTTTTGTAGGAAACCTCATATTTAGTAACAGATGCTATATATTATTATAGTATTAGCCACTTGCTTTAAGAGCCCAAGTTCTGTGATTTGATTTCCTTCCTCTGAATCCTATTCTGTCACTTCCTAGACAGATGGCTTTAGCAATTTGTTTAACTTTCCTGAGTCTCCATTTGCTCACTTAAGGTAGTAACTAATCTTTTATTATTATTATTATTATTATTATTATTATTAATTTCTTTTGAGACAGGGTCTTACTCCATCTCCCAGGTTGGAGTGCAGTGGTGCAATCACAGTCACTGCAGCCTCAACCTCCCAGGCCCAAGTGATCCTCCCTCCTCAGCTTCCCAAGTAGCTGGAACTATAGGCATGAGCCACCACACCTGGCTAATTCTTATCTTTTCTAGAAACGGGGGGTCTCACTGTGTTGGACAGGCTGGTCTTAAACTCCTGATTTCTAGCAATCTTCCCACCTCATCCTCCAAAAGTGCTGGGATTACAAGCATGAGCCATCATACTGGGTCATAACTAACTCTTAACAGCTGTTATGAATGTGATAATACTTAGTGTCTGACACATCGTAAACAGGAAATAAATATCAATTATTAAAAACATTCTTTGCAGCAATTAAGTTGTAAATCTTTTCTAAAGTTTCACTGAATCGCAGAAATGTTAACCAATTGAATCCAAAGGACTGAATATTTTAGAAGTGTTAAGAGAATCCAATTCTCAGTTCAGAAGAGAGTGAAATCAGCACAGGAGTGACAGACTGCCTTACTAGGGAAGATCACTGAGGAAGAGAGACAAGAAAAAAAGCAAAACAGCAGCCTGAAGACAGGAAGACAATTCCAGGCTGTACTTAGAGTGATATAAAATATGGAGTACAATATTGAAAACTTTAATAATAGGAACATGAAAGAGGGAAAGCAATACTGATTTAAGGATGGTTGGTAGCAGAACACATAAAAGCAAAAGCAGATTTATATTAATGCCATCAAATGATAGCTGTCTATCAAGCATTTAGGAATTGAGAAGTTAAAGAAACTGGTCAGATTATTAGGAAAATTTCCAAGACAAAAGTAGGACCTGAGTTTTTCTTCAAGGTGAGGTAAGAATTCAATAAGGAGCTATTAAAATGGCATTCCTGGGAGACAAAGTTGGATGAGTAGCAGCAGAGAAGGCACCATACCCCACGTATCAGACATTCCAGTCTAGTGAGCTAGGAAGATTCAGGAAAAGACAAAAGATAAGATTGGCAAATTCAGGGAGAATCTGTATTGAGAAATTATCCTAATACAAGGAGCTTTCTGCTCATTCTGTGGGTGAAGTGGAGCCATTCAATGATGTATACCTGCTTGGCTGTTTTGCTTTCAACTGAAGAGTGATATTATCCAAAGTGAGCCACTTATAAAGCAGTTGCAGAAGTTCAGGCATGACTTGAAAAGATGCAGGACTTGAATAGAATGAAATAAGAATGTAAAGAAAATGCCTGATGAAATAGCATTTTCTTTAAGAATGTCGAAATCAGTGAGTGAGTGGTGTCTTAAAGTTTTCTCAGTTAGACTTGATGGGATCATGGTGACAGCATGACAAGCTAAAATCCATGCGTAGTGTTGAAACTAAGGGAAGGTTAACAAGAAATTGTCCCCAAGCTTTAAATATGCCCATCTAACATCACGGAATTACTAATGGCCAATTCAATGCCTGTCTTTTGATGATGTGGTTTCAATTTTCTCTATGTCTGCAGGGAAAAAGGGATAAGGAGACAAAGCCAATTTTCTTCTAAAAATCTACTTTTTTGCGTTTTTTTTAAGACTCAGACAGTGCTACCACAAAATTAATGATTTCTTTACCAACTGCATTTGCTTCATTTTTTTCCCCAAAGCCCTCCAGGCTACTTCTCTGGAGAGTACACAAAGTTTCCACAGCGCTATTTTTGTAATCTAAAGCAGTTGTGCTTTCAGGCCTGATGCTACAACTGTAATTTTAATTTATCAACCTGCCAGTCAGTGAAATGCTGTAAAAACATGTGAAAGCTTAAACCCATCATTTATTTCTGCACCTGTCAATGACACTTTTCTGTACTTGTCAAAATCATTTAAACTGCACTATGATGGCATATACAATATCACCAGTAAATTGGGTAATCAATCATGTATGTGCATATTTTGACAGTGGCGTGTTGAATGCATGGGCTCCTGTATGCATTTTTAAGAAGTAGGCACTCATTACTGTTCAATAGTAAAATACAGTAGAGTCATCAAAAAGAGTCTCCCTCAGTCTTTTACAATTAAAAAAATGTCTTAAGAAACAGAGGGGCTGATTGTGCCTGAAATGGCTTTTATTTCTTCAGCAAAATGTTCTCCTTGGGGAAAAGGAAGCAATTGCAGGTTATAGCAGGCAGCAATATAGTGTTACATGGAGGGAAGAAAATGTATAGGATCATTAAATAGATTTATTTAAGTTCTGCTTATAAAGAAAGCAGTGGTGCAGTACTTTATAGTTGATGATATTTCAAAAGAGTGTTATCAGCACTTCTACCACTATCTAATTTGTTCATATAATAAAGTGTCACATTAAACCCAATATCACAATTCATATCAGTTTTACTTCAAAAATTGGTATCATCATATATCATAGGGAACCCTGCCCCAAAAAAATTTTGATGAGATCTTTCATCACAATAAATTATAGAATTTAAAAAATCAATCTATTAGAGAGTGAGAGAGAGAGAACCTGTTCAATCATTAAATCCACTCAACCCAGTAACAATTTGATGTCATTTAGGCTGTGTTTCTAAGATAAAATGTTGTTAAAATTGTAACTTAAATATTCTCTAAATAATCTAACTGTACCCTCTGAACTCTTGGTTGTAGCAATCCTCACCATTTATTTATTTTTAAAAAGCAAGTCTTATGAGAAACCCTTTAAAATCTATGAAGGATTTATGACCACTTCATAACATGCAAGTCTAAATTAGCCAAACTAATTTGTAGACATCAAATATTTCTACATAAGAAAATGAATCAGTAAACTTGACATGCATAAGCTCTCACTCATGGGAAAGAACTAACCTTAAGTGATGTTTCAGAATCACATATAAAACAAACAAAGCTTTGGGAGGTGCATTAATGTACACAGCCAGCACTGTTTCCTTATTGTTACCAGTACTGTTTTCAAGGAACATGAATTTAGTTTTGTTTTGTCTTGTTTTTTTAATTTTACTCTAAGTTCTGGGACACGTGTGCTGAACATGCAGGTGTGTTGCATAGGTATACATGTGCGATGATAGTTTGCTTCACCTATCAACCTGTCATCTAGGTTTTAAGTCCTGCATGCATTAGGTATTTGTCCTAATGCTCTCCCTCCCCTTTCCCCTTGCCCCCTGACAGGCCCTGGTGTGTGATGTTCCCCTCCCTGTGTCCGTGTGTTCTCATTGGAACATGAGTTTTTTAAGGTGTCAAGCCACATTGGAAAGGGTAATCATATAGTCAGACTGTTGAAAGATATATTTACTGAATGTGTATATGAATAAAATAGAAATGGTGGCTAAGATTAGATGTCATATGTAGAATCAATACTGCACGAAGAGAGTTGTTATTGTTTCAATTTAAAAATAAGATCTTAGTCTCATATACTTTTAATATCAGTCCTGAAAATAATCACTAAAAATAATGCAAAATAAGTGCTTTGATTTCACTCGGCTACCTTCAACTCATCTCAAAGAAAGCTAATTAAGCTTACTTGAAGAGAACTCATTTCTCTTTGTTTTAGCTCCATTAAATATACTGAAGACTGAATTTTCAATTAAATAATACTTGATTATCTAAATAATTTTTTGGCAGTTTAAACAGCATTTATTTCAGACAGTTCAAAGTATTGACTATCCTTTATTTTGTGTTCTTCAATGAATCTTTACTGATTCTCATAAAGACAAAATAGATATCATCATTCATTTAATGCTGAATAAGTGAGATACAGAGACATGATGATATCTCCATAAATAAACACAGAATATTGGTAGCCATTTTGGAATGGAGTCCAGTCTGGGACTTTTGCTTACAAAGCTGGCAACTTCATGTATCTTAACACCTCATGTTTTCTTCTGAGTTTCATCTGCACTTGAATGTCTAAATAATAGCTTTAATTATTCAGGAAAATAATCATGTATGTAAAAAGTTATTTATTGCTTTTAGAGCTATTGTGAATCCCAGATTTGCACTATAAAAGTGCTAGCAACAGTTTTAAAGCCTCACTTCCCAATCACATTCTGTTCATCCAGCCAGGAGTGACTGATCTTTATTTTATCAATCTCAAAATGTGACCTTTTCAATGCTTTTAATGACATTTTCAAAGTACAGAAATGCTTTTTGATTCAAAAGGATTTTCTACTTTATTCTGCAGAACAAGTCAGCTATCATAGTATAATCAATAGCTGCCAACTATTAGCAAAAGCCACACATCACTTATACTTTAAGAGCTTATCAGGAAGAAAAAATGCATTGAGTGGCTATATTTTGGCATGCTAACTAAGGTAGATATTAAAATGAAAAGTCAATCCTCAAATGTTTCATGTTTTTAGAAATGTTATTATTTCCTTAGTAAAAATTTCACTAGATCACATTCAAAATATACCATTAGAAGCTGCTGGCCACATTCAACTTCAAAATGAAATAATGTGCTTGTAGTTTTATTCAGTGTTAGGCAACCAACTACAGTTTCCCCCTAGCTTCAATTAAAAGCATATAAAAGATGAAACACTTGTTGAGACATTTCTTCCAGATACTGGCTAAATTATCATATCATGCAAGTGGTATTTCAGTTAAGTGTATATTATAGCCCAATTGGATACTAAAAGTCTTGAAAGCCTTTTTAAAAGTGAGGTTCTCTAGAGAAGTTATTTTAAAGATGTGTTCTGTAAATCATGGGCCTTTGATTATCCAGCCCATGGCAGGCTAAGCACTCCAAATTCCCATGTAAAGCCACCAAGTCACAAATTAAGGGATTGCCCAATAAATCAAAGCATTCATTCCTAATTAATTTTCTTAAGTTGCCAGGTTTTCGTTTGAAGCTCTTGTGAAAGGATTTGATAGCATTGCTGCCCTTTCTGTGAAGAATAGCTGTCTAATTTCATTAAGTGCATCAATTCAACATTTGAAGGGCACTGTGTATGTGCAAAATATTATATGATAATAATGTCAGTTGCTGTTCTAAACTAGCCTGCTAGACAGGGATAGTTTCCTACTATTGTGATTAAAAATTGAGCTTTCCTTCCATATTACAAAGATAACAACACCAAATCATCATTGATAGGGAATTTAGTAAAATATTTAGACATTTATTTTGGCAATGTAAGATGAAGAGTAGTATCAAAATCATTTAGACTTAACTAACAATATGTCTTCAAAAATTATGCAATGCACATTGTTTTTAAAAGCATCGTTAATTGCCTAACAGTACCCGCCAAACTACAAATCAGGGGTTAAAAACAGGAAGTAGATCTTATGATGCCATTTCATTCTAATCAAGACTTTATTTCCAGTATCTTTATTGTTATTTTTGAATATCAATTCAGTTATATTTAGATAAAATTTATTCAGTGCAAAATTCCATTTACGTTATATTGGTAGATGCAAAGCAAGATGCGAGGTGCACTGAACTGCTGCTTCATCTCATAGTGGATTCAGTAAAGCAGTGCCAATCAATGAATTGTTTTTACCATTTCATTTCAGAAAGTAGGAGTAAGCATTTTAAAACGTGTAGCATGTTTATATGCTATCGTTATAGCATGTTATATGATATCAAAATGTATGATTTTGTACAAAAGTATCAGACTGTGATAGATTGGAAATATTTTAAATAAAAAATAAAAATTTGGTTCTTTACTGCAATAAGCCAGGAAGCCCTAGACAAGACTACATCTTTGCCTTTGGGGAGGTAGTAATCTAATGAACAGGACAAAACAAATAATTTGGTGTCTATAATATAAGGCATTGCTTGGGAATTCTAATCTGCTGAAGAAGATAAAATAAAAATGAACAGACATCTGTAACATAAGTCATTCCTTGAAGACTCTTGAAAGAGAGGAAATAAAAGGCTGCAGGACTAGTGGTACCTAATGGCACACAAAGCCAGGTGGGTTTAGTTTCTTTTTGGAGATAGGTAGTAGCACCATTTTTCTTAAAAGAGACACTGGATGACGTGCCTGGAAAATTAAACAATGACTATATCAAGGGAGACTAGAAAGCCCTGAATATGTTTTAACTTTTCTTCAACTTCCCTCTCCCTTTCTCACCCCTCCCACCTCTGCCTTCTTCTCTTACTTTCTCTCTCTCCTCCTTGACACCTCTTTATTTTCCTCTCACTCTCCTTCTTTTCTTCTCTCTTTCCTCTTCTCTTCCTTTCTCCTCATTCTCTCCTTGTCCTACTTCTTCCCTCTACTTCTTTATCTCTCTCTATTCCTCCTTCTTTCAGCTTCTCTATATTTTTTCTTCATTTAAAAAATGCATGCCTTCTATCAGAAGAGAATACCTCAAAATATTAAGAGGCATCTGTGACAAACCCACTGCCAACATCATATTGAACAGACAAAAACTGGAAGCATTCCCCCTAACACCTGGAACAAGACAAGTATGCCCACTCTGACACTCCCATTCAACAAGGTACTAGAAATGCTAGCCAGAGCAATCAGTCAAGAGAAAAAAATACAAGTCATACATATGGGAAAATAAACTATCTCTCTTCACAGATGACAAGATTTTATACCTAGAATGCCCTAAAGACTCCACCAAAAGGCTCCTGCAACTGATATGCCACTTCAGTAAAGTTTCAGCCTACAAAATCAGTGTACAAAAATCAGTAGCATTTCTATATACCAATAATGTTCAATTTGAGAACCAAATCAAGAATGTAATCCCATTTACAATAGCTGCAAAAAAAAAAATAAGTCAGTAAACAAAGGAATACATCTAACCAAGAAGGTGAGAGATCTCTACAAGAACTACAAAACACTGTTCAAAGAAATCATACATGACACAAACAAATGGAAAAACATTCTATGGCTCATGAATTGGAAAAAATCAATATCTTTAAAATGGCCAGACTGCCCAAAGCAACCTATAGATCCAGCACTATTCCTGTCAAACTACCAACATTATTTTTCTCAGAACTAGAAAAAGCTATTTTAAAATTCAAAGGAAACCAAAAAAAGAGCCTGAATATCCAAAACAATCCTAAGTAAAAAGAACAAAGCCAGAGGCATTACATTACCCAACTTCTAACTACACTATAAGGCTACAATAACCAAAACAGCGTGGTACTGGTACAAAAACAGACAATAGACCCATGGAACAGAATGGAGAACCTGGAAGTAAAGCCACACACCTACAGCTATCTGATCTTTGACAAAGCCAACAAAAATAAGCGATGGGGAATGGACTTCCTATTCAATAAATGGTGTTGGGATAGCTGGCTAACCATATGCAGAAGAATGAATCTGGACCCCTACCTTTCACCAGATACAAAAATTAACTCAAATTGGATTAAATATTTAAATATAAGACCTCAAACTATAAGAATCTTAGAAAATACCATTCTGGACATCAGCCTTCGGAAAGAATTCATGGCTAAGTTCTCAAAAGCAATCACAATGAAAACAAAAATTGAGAAGTGGGGCCTAATGAAACTCAAGAGCTTCTGCATGCAAGAGAAACTATCAAGGAAGTAAACAGACAACGTACAGAATGGGAGCAAAATATTCACAAACTATATATCTGACAAAATGCTAATATCCAGAATCTTTAAGGAACTTAAATCATCAAGCAAAAAAACAACCCCATTAAAAAGAAGGCAAAGGACATGAACAGACATTTCTCAAAAGAAGACATACAGGCTGCCAACAAACATATGAGTAAATGGTCATCATCACTAATCTTCAGAGAAATGCAGATCAAAACCACAATGAAATACCATCTCACAGCAGTCAGAATGGCTATTATTAAAAAAAATTAAAAACCACAGATGTTGGCAGGGCTGTGGAGAAAAGGGAACATTCATACACTGTTGGTGGGAATGTAAATTAGTTCAACCACTGTGGAAAGCAGTCCGGAGATTTTTCAAAGAACTTAAAATATAACGACTATTCAACCCAGCAATCCCATTACGGGGTATATATCCAAAAGTAAACAAAATGTTCTACCAAAAAGACACATGCACTCACATGTTTATCACAGCACTATTTACAATAGCAAAGACACAACCAGGTGCAGTGGCTCACACCCATAATCCCAGCAATTTGGAAGGCCGAGGCAGGCAGATCACCTGAGGTCAGGAGTTCAAGCCCAGCCTGGCTAACATGGTGAAACCCCATCTCTACTAAAAATACAAAAATTAGCTGGGCATGGTGGTGCATGACTGTAATCCCAGCTTCTTGGGAGGCCGAGGCAGGAGAACCGCTTGAACCCAGGAAGCAGAGGTTGCAGTGAGTCAAGATTGTGCCACTGCACTCAGCCTGGGAAATAAAGCAAGATCCATCTCAAAAACCAAAAATATAGCAAAGACATAGCATCAACCTAAATGTCCATCAATAGTGGGCTGGAAAAAGAAAACGTGGTACACATACACCATGGAATACTACACAGACATGAAAAATAATAAAATTATGTCCTTTGCAGCAACATGGATGTAGCTGGAGGTCATTATCCAAAGTGAATTAATGCAGGAACAAAAAAAATATATTGAATGTTCTTACTCATAACAAGGAGCTAAACATTGGCTACTCATGAACATAAAGATGGCAGCAGCAGAATCTAGGAACTACTAGAGGGGGAAAGGGAGGGAGGGCAGAAGTTTGAAAAACTGTTGGGTACCATGCTCACTAGGTGATGGGATCAATCATACTCCAAACCTCATCATCATACAATGCACCCAAGTAACAAAACTACACATGTATCCCCTGAATCTGAAAAAAAAAAAAAAAAAAAAAAATGCATGCCTTCAACGAGGAGCTTTCTTTGCTTTGCAATAGAGCTCACTATTGGAAGGAAAATTAATGTATGTGAAATGTTTGCTGGGTATCAGAAATAACATAAGTTCCTAATACTCCAGCCTGTTCTCCTGCTCTTGCTTTGCAGTTGAGAAAAAAATTTTACCAGTAGCTTAATGAAAAATTTAAAATACTAGGGTATACCAAAAATGTCATCATTTTTTAATATTAGGCCAGTATGAGACTGCTCTCTATTTGGGAATTAGCAGTTTATCATCTCTGAGGAAATTAGTCATCCCAAAAGACAATCAAATGTTGACATTTGACATGCCCAGTAAACTACTAGGACCCTTCATCATCACGCTCCAATGAGGCCCACCAGTCGATAAGCCCTGCCCACATGTACATCTACACACTCATTCACACACCCACCCACACACATACGCCCAAACACACCCCCACGCCCCCGCCACACACACTCACAAAGCTGACAGCCAGGTTTTTGATGCCTTGCCCCGAAATATAACCTAATCAACAAGGAAAGAATCACCAGACATTTGAGGAAATACTCTAACATGGAAGAAAATCCCAGAGAAAATCAGATTTCCACAGAAATAGGGGAAATATAGAGAGTACAAAACTAAACAAAAATACTAAAAAACTCATAATTAATGCCCCTAGCAATAGGAAAATGTATCTACATTTAAAAGTATTACTTAAAAGAATATATGAAGAACAAGAAAAATCTTCTTAGAAATTAAAAACCTTATAGCAGAAATGAAAAATTTAATAAAAGTTTGAAATATGAACTTAAAAGATCAAAAAGATAAACAGATGGAAAATAGTAAAGAAAAGGTTTTTAAACAATCAGACCCTTGCTCCAGGGGTTCAATATCAAGCTAACAGTGTTTTCACAAAGAGAAAACTTAGAGGACAACATTATTCAATCAGAATACAAGAAAATATCCTAAAACTGAAAGATACGAGTTTTCTAATAAAATATGCTCACCACAATAAATGAAAGATGACCCAAACTAAAACAGTTTACTGTATATAAGACCTTAAATGTCTAAATAGAGGAATAAAAGCCACATACAAAGAATGAGAATAACATCAAATTTTTCAAGATTAGAACGTGCAGACAATAGAAGAATGCCTTTAAATGTCTTTTGATCACATGAATAGACTTATTGTAACATGGAATGCTCAAGATTAGTGCCAGTAAAGTATCTAATTCTGACTTCAACTTTTAAAATAATTAAAATCAATAAAATCAAAACAGGATAGTTACCAGAATAACAGTGCCATTATAACCACATTAAAAAGAAAAGCTTCCATCAAAATTTTATGGTATGACAAATCCAGTACAATATATTTTATTAAATATCGCATTCCACTCAATTTTGTAATATTCCATTTTCTGATGAAAATGTTATTCAGAAGAGAGGCTTCAGATAAAAAGAAAAATTGAAGTAGAAGTACATACGTTGAGATTTCCCAATTTTACCGTTAAAAAGTACGTTAGATGTCCTGCAATAATTTGTTCATAAGTATCTTTAACAAATGAATAATTATTAATATATTTCACAGATAAGCCACTTGGTAATTTTTACTGACATAGAACTATATAAACTTTTAGTAAAACATTTAAATTGTTTTACTTTGAATCTCCTCACATTTTATAAGTTAGTTTTCATTTATTCTGCTTCTTTAAAAGGCGTGGCCAGGTTGTTTGTCCATAATAGGATCAACAAATATTGAACTGCACTAGATTTGTATAATAACTAATTTATACAATTTAATATGTGGGAAATTATACCTCTCTGTGTATTTAGATATGTTTATTTGAAACAAAAATAATTAATTTTATGCATATGATAAGAAACAGCCTATTAAATGTATATATTTTTAAAAATAAGCAGCACAGATAGCAGATACAGAACTCTTTACTGTCAGTACTCTTGACTACCAAGAAATGAAGCCACACTCTAGAAAAATGCAATGCAAGAAAAGATTCAAGTTATCCCTTTGGGTAAAAATCATCCCCTTAATAATATTCTTTTGTAATCTAAATTCACAGCATATCCCATCAGCCCAAGGTAATCTTCTAAAATGTCATTATATTTGCAGTATTATAATTTTTTTTCAAGCCAGTATTTATGGAGGTCACTGGGCTACGGCAACAAAACATTTTAACTCCAGGGAGAGTATAGCTTTGTAGGATTAGCTCCTTTGACAATTGTCTTTCTAAAAAGATTTTTACTTTAGAAACCTCTGACATATGTAGTTTTCTTCAGATCCAATGTATCCAAATGTTTTGTAAAAACCAACATTTTGTGGTAGACATTCAAGAGTAATCTTATAACAGTTCAGTTTCTTGCTTAGCAAACTACAAGTTGATAACAATTTGCCAAGCTGTCTTCCTCTGCATTCACTGCTAACAACATCTACTCTTTCTCTCTTAGCACAGGAAAGGATGAATTTATGTACTATTATCAGAGTTGTCATGGCAACACTGTCACCGAGTCACATCTTCCACAACTGTAACATAATGAACCACAGATTTCTTTGTATGCTCAAAATGCTTTATACATTATCAAGGTTGACAACTCCAGTGGCAGTTCGCTGACCCACTACCTTAAAAAAAAAAAACCCTAGGTTAGTTATATTAGTCCATTTTCATACTGCTATGAAGAAACACCCGAGACTGGGTAATTTATAAAGAGAAAGAGTTTTAATGGACTCGCAGTTCCATGTGGCTGGGGAGGCCTCACAATCATGGCAGAAGGTGAAGGAGGAACAAGGCACATCTTATGTGATGGCAGGCAAGAGAGCATGTGCAGGAGAACTGTCCTTTATAAAGCCATCAGATCTCCTGGGACTTATTCACTATCATGGGAATAGTACAGGAAAAACCCACTCCCATGATTCAGTTACCTCCCACTGGCTCCCTACCATGACATGCAGGGATTATGGGAGCTACAACTCAAGATGAGATTTAGGTGGAGACACAGCCAAACCATATCATCAGTAGACAAAGAGGCCTTAAACCAAGCCTTCTGGGAGATGTGTTGGTGAAATAACTGGAGCATATATAGCTGTATTCTGATTCCAGTCCACTTCTTTAAGTAGACTTGGGTCAAACAGGAGTTTCATGAGGTTTCATCTTTCCAGTAAGTCTGTTTGATAAACCTGAGGCAGGCCCACTATGCCCCCCAGGACACCAGGTCCCACTCTCACTTCCCAACCCCCAGCCCCTCCTCAGTGCCTTTAAAATTTTGAAGGAAGATTATTTCCAGCCAGAAGGCCCAGAAAATCAATCAAACCAAACACACTGTCAATCAAGCACAAAGACTTTTAAAAGATACAGGTGACTCTTGTTATTTGTGGAAGTTATATTCTGTAAAGTCACAGCGAACACTGAGTTAGCAAATACTGAACCATTGCTCCTAGCGGAAATAGAGGGCTAGATCCCTATGAGCCTCTGATCACAACATTTTTGCCAACCAATCAATACATAAACTTGCTGTTTGTTTCTGTTTAAAGACTCCATGTCTTTAGTGTATGTTATATCAATATATGATGTTGATTCATTAACATCGAACTCACAGCCAGCAGCACAACTCATGCCTGAAGGAAGCTCATCTAAAGAAGCTCACATATTTTCTCTATAAGACACATCACAGCATTTCAGCACTATACTGGGGGGGGGGGGGCATTTTAAGCTGCAAAATCACCAAGAAAAAGCACAAAAGTATGAAAAATGAGGCACTAAATAGATCATAACATAGATGCTTATTTGCAGTATGAACTGAAACAAAGAGGCAGTGTCACCTCATTGGACCTCATCTAGGAACATGTAACTCAAAATGTTTACCCTCTATGCATGTTTCTGAATGATCATAAAAACCCTGCGAGTATTAATTAGGAGGTCACAAACAAATTTTGCAAAGTTGCAAATATAGAATCCATGAATAATGAGAATCAACTGTATTTTCAGAAATATAATTATTCACAAGCTATTTCTAAGAAATCTAAAGGTTGTTTCACCAAAATTATCGAACTAACAGAAAAAATGGGGGGTGGGGGTCTAACACAAAAGGGAAGGAAGTCCCCAAGGTGGCTGGTGAAGAGAAGTACCAAGATGACAGCTTTGTAACAGACCCAAAGAGAACCAGTCTGGGTTGCAGCAGGACAATGGAATGCTCCAGGAAGAATGAAAAAAGTAGACCATTATAAGTGCCAAGTAAACAATGATTGTACAAGAAGGAAATATAATCATTGCACAGTATGTTCCTCAGCTGTAAATAATATTTATATGGTTATATCAATATAAACATTGAATATTGACCTAACCAAACAAAAAAGAATTAATGAGGAAAAAAAATGGAAGTTCACAAATTCTTCAGTACAAGTAAACAGAGCAATATTTTGAGGGCTCAAAGAGGACTCACTTTTGAGTATAAGGTTTTTTTCTAGAAACTAAAGAATATTAGATAAAATGTTTTCTTAATAATATTCAGAAGGAAAGTACCTCTAAGAAACATTTATAGATTATAATAAGAAGAGATTAATATGGAAAATATCAGTTAACTCTTTAAGACACCAGATGCAATACAATGCCCCATTTGAAGCAGTAAATTAAAGATTTGATATTGCAGAGGAAAAGAAGGTCAATAAATGATATTAAGGAAAATTAACAAATATTCCATGAGAAAAATAGAGGAAAAGTAAAATGGCAAAAATGAGAACAAAAGAAAAAAATGGGATGAAACACCATTGAGTTTAATCTGTAAATAATAGCCATTACCAAAGATGACAATTTTATAGAACATGAGTCAATAATAAAAAGTAAAATATATAATTCATTGATTTTTCTAAATGAGGCATTTAGAATTTGAAATGTAAAGAAATCTATAGGAATCCATAAATTTAAAAAGAGACTAACTTTAAGACAAAAGGTAAAATCGAACTCAGTTTTCTCTGTGATGTACTACTGTGAAGATAATCGTGGAGAATTTTTGTGGGAAAGGATTGTAACACAAGAACTCTGTGTTCAGCTATGTCATTTTGTATGTGTGAAGATGCCGGAAAGACATCAACAGAAAATTATGATGTATCATGTACCAATCCCAGATAAAATTCTAGAAGGGTAGTCACTCACCTGGTTTTGTCTATCCTGAACACCAGCATCTTAAGGATCAACCTGTTTTACAAACGTATGTTTAACAAATATTTAGTCATGTTCTTTAACTGGGAACTTTATGGAAGGGTTAAAGTGATTCACTGAAAATGACTATGTAGAAAAATAATCAGGGAAGGGGAAAATTTGACATTTAAAAAATTCAGCTGGTAAAATAGTGATGAGATTTTTTAAAAATTTTGAATAATAGTAATAGGAGGGAGACTATCTCTTCTACAAATTCATGATTTAGGGATAAAAATTGACAGTAATCAGTGGGGAAAAAAATAGAAACCATAACAATAAGTCATGTTCACACAAAAAGGTCATAATTGACAAAAGGTGCAAATCAGTTCTTTTTTGCTTCTATAATATTTGTATGAAATACTCATTTTAGATAGTATGTGTCCAGTGCAGTATGAGCTTGTAACAAAAAGACAATAGAGGACATGTATAAATAGCTAGGTATTTTGGGAAAATGGGCAATGCAGAAAATCAAGTGCATGTGCCTAGAGGAATGACAATGTTTAGTATAAAAAGATTTGCTAAAATCTTCAATATTTTAAAATAATAATGGTGATAAAAAGCTGTCCTCTCATTTTAATTTGAATACGTTTACTGTTTTATGCTGAATTAATATTCCCCACTTGTTTTTGCTACAGTCTATTGTGTTTAAGTAGTTTTCTTATTACTATTTTACTTTGAATATAAGAAATGCCTCTTAAATTTTATCAAATGCCTCTTTAGTATTTACAGATAAAATCTGTAATCTCTTTTAATTTGTTTTTGTTCCAGATTACGTTGATAGATTTCCAGACCTGAAACTGATACTAATGACCTCTTTCTGGTTTACTTTGGCTTATAGGTTGCTCTTTTTCTAATGAGATTAGGTCTGAGTTCTTTTCTTTTTCATCTTTTTTCTTTAAGAATGAAGGCATCTAAAGCTGTAGATTTTTCTGAGGCAAGTATTCACTGTGTCTCACAGGTTTTGGAAAAAGTATTGTTTTTATTTCTTTCTAGAGAATATGTAGTGCAATTTTTCTTTTTTTGACTTCGCATCAGTTTGGTTGGGGAGAGTCAAAGAAACTGAACTAGTACTAAGGGAAAGTGAGCCAGATTTAGGGTATCAGCTTTTGAAAATCTGTAGGTGGATATCTAAATGTTACATTTTAACAATGTAACTTAATTTTAATGAAATTATGAAACTTTAACTTGAAAAATATCCCAGAACTATATAATGCTATAATGCATTAATCCTCTTCTCTAAAAAGAATCCCCAACAAATAGTTTTCAGACTCTTGTGGCATATGTATCTGTGTGTTATATTACAACATACAATGTTGTGTCATGGTATTTTCCATTTTACGATTCTATTCTTTTTTAAAACATACTAGAAGCTCAAGGTATTGGTATTCATTATCTTATTTCTTTGTTAAATTTAGCAGTAACATTCTTCCTTATAATTACTACCCTTTAATACTTAGTCTGCCTTCTGGAGCCACAATGAAGAAATTCAATTCCTCTTCCACTTGACAGGCTTTCAAATATTTAAAGTTAGGCACCCTTCTTCTCTAGCTGTCTTCTCAAAGGCTCTTCTCTAGCCCAACATCCTTCTCTAGCCCAAACAACCTTATTTAATTCAATTATTTTTTATATAGGGTCATTGTCTTGAGACTTTTTGCCATCCTAATTTTCTTCATCTATACGGATCCTAGTTGGTCAAAATTATTCTAAAAGTGCACTGACACATACTAAACTAAATATTTCCAATGATGGCTCAAAGTGAAAGTCCAATGGAATTATTACCCTTTTTTTATAGACACTAAAAATCATTTAATGCCAATTAAGATTTCATTATCTGGCCGGGTGCAGTGGCTCATGCCTGTAATCCCAGCACTTTGAGAGGCCAAGGCGGCTAGATCATTTGAGGTCAGGAGTTTGAGACCAGCCTGGCCAACATGAAGAAACCCTGTCTCTACTAAAAATACAAAAATTAGCCAGGTGTAGTGGCACACACCTGTAGTCCCAGCTACTCGGGAGGCTGAGGCAGGAGAATTGCTTGAACCCAGGAGGCGGAGGTTGCAGTGAGCTGAGATTGCGCCATTGCACTCACTCCAGCCTGGGTGACAGAGCATGACTTCGTCTCAAAAAAAAAAAAAAAAAGAAAGAAAGATTTCATTATCTTTGTGGCTTAATATTGAGATTGCAATTGACAAAAACACTCAAGTATTTCTTACAGCAATATCTGGGAAGCCATAGACAAGGTAGTCTATGCTATGAACTTTGATTATATTGATGCCTTGGTTCTCTCATATATAAAGTCAAGATAATATTAATACTAACTCATAGAATTTTGAAGACAATGAAATTATTTGATATATGTAAAGCATTTAGAATAGTGGCTGATAAATGCTAAGCCTTCAGTAAATGATAACTGTTAACATTATTATAATTATTATCATCTGTTTTGACATCATTCTCCAACATTTTTAAAAGCTAGTCTCCACCATAAAGAGCTTGTGTAGTTGATACATTTTCCCTTGAAGGAAAACTTTGAAAAAATCATTTTAATTCAGTATGTTAAATCATAAAAATATCAACTGCATGAACTATGAAAAACATTTACCTGTAAATGGACAAGTGTACTCTTCGACTACGTGTCACATATGGTTATTCTCAACAAACATGGAATATAAAAACACAAAACATGCAAAATACAACACAGCCTAAACTGGGTTGTGTCAGTCAGGATCTGCAAAAGAATATTGGAATAGAAAGTGCTTGGAACAGCTACTACCTCTGTGGCTGAGGGAGAGTACTCAAGGGAAAAATGAAGTTGAAGAGAGCCTCTCTCCCCAGGGTTGAGATGCAAATCTCACTGGAGGAGATGTGTTTGCAGCTGACTTGAGGTCAGAGAAGTCTATGAGGATGTTAGTGGACTGGAGGTGATGAGTAGGAAACCTCTGCTGAGATGCCCATGGTTATCACTGGGCCTCTGATAAGCTGCTGGTAGCTGTGCCAGAGAATAAGAAGAAAAGCACCTGGAAAAAGAAGCTCCTTCTTCTTCTATGCCTTGCAGTTTTCCTCCAGCACCCTGTACTGCCAAACTTTAACACTGTGTCAGCAGGCAAAGGAGGAAGTCCAGCTCCACTATTACAAAGCAAGCTCAAAAAAAGGGTAGATTTAGAGCTGACCAGCAATAAATTGATAGATGGAAGAAAGATCTAACCCAATATCGCAATTGTAATGCTCTAAACATTCTAATATCAATATACAGGTGTTTGAAAATTTGAATGAAAACACTTTACTTTTCTACAGAAAGTAAATACTATAGCAGAAAGTTCCACAGATGTGTAACATTCGATTTAAAAAAATATCTTTGGGTGACTAAAACACCTGCCTTTTCAGAGCTTATGATCTAGTGAGATAGACTCATAAACAGCCAAATACAATATAATATATTTAGATAGAAGTGTGCTTAAGAAGCTGTAAGAATGAGACCTGAACATTAATGACTACATTGAACAGTTAAAACAAAGAGATGGATCATAGTCTACAGGATTTTGACATGAGCCATCCTGGAATATTTTACCCTGAAAACTTCAGTGTCAAGAAATTCTGATAAATTAGATTAAGTTCAAAGAAGAGAGACGGTGATAATTAATGGAAGGGAAAGACTGGCTTGTGAGGGGAAAGGCTAACAAAAATAAATCTATACAAATTAGCTAAGTGACAAGAGAAGCAGAGAGCTGACAAGCATGAGTTGGATGTAAATTCAAAAAAGCTATAATCAAAGAATAGCACAGAAAGTGGAATTTAGTCTAATTCAACAAACTTTATAATGGGGGAAGATGTGGAGCTTGATTTAGGCCTTTAAGAATGAACATATTGGCTGGGCACGGGGGCTCACGCCTGTAATGCCAGCACTTTGGCAGGCCGAGGTGAGCGGATCATCTGAGTTCAGCAGTTCGAGACCAGCCTCAACATGGAGAAACCCTGTCTCTACTAAAAAAAAAAAAAAAAAAAAAAAATACAAAATTAGCTGGGCATGGTGGTGCATGCCTGTAATCCCAGCTACTCGGGAGGCTGAGACAGGAGAATTGCTTGAACCTGGGAGGCAGAGGTTGCGATGAGCCAAGATCGTGCCATTGCACTCCAGCCTGGGCAACAAAAGCAAAACTCCGTCTCAAAAAAAAAAAAAAAAAAAAAATGGACATACTTCCAGCAGAAAGAATATACCACATATGTTGATGGATGGAGAGTATAACAGGAAACCTTTTGTTGAGCCATCAGTTGAGCTAATGCAAAAGATTGTGTCAAGATACAAGAATGTCTCTGCCTGAGAGCAAGGAGATTTTTTTTTTTTGCACCAGAGTAGAGCCAGACAGAGCGTAGGTGCTGAGAAATGCTGACGGATTAAAAGAGTAATTGAATGAATAGTGAAAGAATGTCAGAGAAAGGAGCTACATTTTGGAGAGTGCTGAATGTTGAAGAGATCTGTATGTTACCTTGTAAGCCATGGGGACTAATTGAAGGGTTTTATGCTGTTGCTGTTATTTTTATTTAAGTATGCTTCCTAACAGACACAGTAGAGAGAAAAGTAACAACATACCCCATTCAAAGTGATAATTCCAAAATCAGAAACCCTGTGTTACTAGCCAAAAGAAAGAAAAATAATAGGATTTTTCTTCCTCCTTTTCTCATTTCCAAAATTTACTCTTCCTACATTCTGTCACTGGTCTATCAATTAAAGTAATCATCCTTTAAATGTGTGAGACAGTAAACTTGACTCACAGCAAGCAAAGAATGAGAGCTTTCTTAAGTTAGGTGGATTATTTTAATCTTTAGAACTTCTTAGCCATTTTCTCTTCCTCAGGTGACAGGTCCTGATTCACCAGTAGCGAGGAACTCTGTGAAGATATCATAATTATTTAGGTCCCATTAGGTTTCTCCTCACTTTCTCCCCCATTACAAAGGTCCTTGAAAATAAATTGAATATTTCATCAATGAAACTTAGACTAAGTAGCTTATTTCACTGTTTTTGAATTTTGTATATATGTGTGCATACGTATTGGTGACATACACCAAAGTAAAAGTAAAAATTTATATGTATTCCCTAAAGTGAAATGAACAGATTTTTGTTCACAATATTAGATTGGCAAAGTTTGTAAATTTGTTTAACTTTAGATACTCTGACAGCTAGAAACCTACACCAACATTTTATGATGAATTAGAAGAAGGATCCTGTAGATACACCTAAGGATACCTCTGATTTCACCTTATCCACGGGGAAGTATGCTCTGGAAATTCAGCCAGTTAGTTGAATTATATCCTGCATTATTTTTACATTATATCTTCTGCATTCATAATTTCTAGAACTAACCATGGGTATTCTGAAGAATAGCTGTGCCAAAGAGAGAGAATAATCTCCATAAAACATATTGTCCATACCTGTTCCACATTTTTCTACCACCAGATTTCTTGATCATCTAGAAATACCTACCCTTTGAACATTCACTTGTCAAATCCCTACTCTTTGCAAGGTCCAGTTCAAATGCCAGCTCTTTCATGAAGCCGTGTTTGATCCCTGTGTCTCACTCACCACCTCCTATTTCCCCTCCTTATAAGCTCTCATAGAAGTTCTTATTTCAGATTCAGTTATCAAATTCTGCCTCAACTTACGGTCAACTGTGTATTTGTCTAATCTCTTATACTTAGATTGAAATTCCTTGAGGTTAGAAGTCATGTTTTACTGATAATGTTATTCACAACTCCTAGTATTGCACCTGACTTACAATTAAGAACTCAATAATTGATTATTCAATTTAATATAGAAAGCCAGTTATCGCAATTGAGAAGGCTCTAGTAGTAGTTATTATTGGCAAGATGTTTGCTAAGAACACATTAAAATGTTTCCTACTTGTGCTAGGAAATTTATTAGTATTCTTAAGATTATATTTTAATGAAGTTCGGTGAGGGAAAATAAGAAGAAATACTTTGGGTATTAGCCTACTCATATGAAACTGGCTTTATGAATTCAAAGGGATTAGATAAAATTGATTACGTATATTGTAAAACCCAATGAGTTGTGATTCTTCTATAAATGAAAAAGTTTAAATGAAATTTCAGGAAAGTTACTTGGTCCTCATTTAATCTTCAGTAATAAAAGAAACAGTGTGGATATATGGCTCTAAGCAATTACTTTAGCAATTCTGATTCCCCATTACATCTTGAGAGAATGTGAATGATTAAGGACACACTGAGAAGTAGGATAAAATTAGTAAAGGTGTACTGGATTTTTAAATAAACAATATGAAATATTTGTTTGCACTAAACATTCAAAACCATCATTTCATTTTTCTAGAAGGTCAAATACCTGCCATAAGCCAATGGTTATGCTTCCAAGCAATAGAAACCTCAGCATTTCCTTGGTTGAGTTTCATCCTAGACAGTGCCCTAAACTTCTATTTTATTATCATTTTTGTTTTGAGTTACCTAAGAACCAAATAGTCATACTAAACTATTAAAGTGAGAGCGACAAAAGTTCTTCTCTTAAAAGCCAAAATAGATCATCCCATAAGGATCACAGTACCACTCTCAGTTTATGAGGGAGAAAAGGGGTGTGGGGCAGGGATTTTTCTTAACTGAAAAACCAACTCTTCTTAGCAATACAGTTCTAGGATATATAAAATTCTTTAAAAAACTGAATATGACTCCTCACAATGCCATCTTTTGGTGGGTGATTTCAAATAGAGGTTCACTCAGAAAGAAAAAGGGGATTTTTATGAAAGAGATAGAATCTGGAAAGAGAGAAAAGGATCCCCTCCCCCACAAAAAAGGACTGAGGAGGGTGGCAGGAACATTGGGGAAACAATAGCTAGTGTGAATCAGACTTGCCCTGGTGTGATCTTTGGATCTCTTTGAATCTCTTTCTCTTTCTTGGAAATCCACCTTGATTTTATAGCTTATGACCTGAGCCAACTACTGCCATGACATTTCTGCTAAAAGCCCAAACCATTAAGACAAAAGCAGTCTTGACATGATTACCAAGACAGGTCTGTTTGTGCATTTCATTTTATTTTTAACTTTGACAGATAAAATTGAGTTTATGATGGCAGGCAGTGGAACCTGAGAATCAAACAATTCAGAATACTTAGCTATAACTGGTTCTTGTAAATACATCTTAGCAGTCAGGATTGAACAAAAAAAAGCAGGTTGGACAAGATAATTTAAGCAGCAACTGAGAAAAATAAAAATGAATTTTCTTTTCCTGTGTACTTTTAAATTCCCAGAAGGCTTTTAAATTATCGAAGTATTTACTGAAGGTATAAGACACATAAGTGGAAATCATTACTGTCATCTATATTAATAATGCCTTTATAATTGATGAGTGTGTCGTATTTTCTTCTTGCAATTAAACTCTGCTGTCTGAGATTACAGCATAAAAAAGAGTCTCTGAAAAAAATTATAAAAACAATTTGGGGGCGGCAGGTGGGGCCAAGATGGCCAAATAGGAACAGCTCCAGTCTACAGCTCCCAGCATGAGCAACGCAGAACATGGGTGATTTCTGCATTTCCAACTGAGGTACCAGGTTCATCTCACTGGAGAGTGTCAGAAAGTGGGTGCAGGACAGTGAGTGCAGCGCACTGAGTGTGAGCCAAAGCAGGGCGAGGCATCACCTCCCCCGGGAAGTGCAAGAGGTCAGGGAATTCCCTTTCCTAGTCAAAGAAAGGGGTGACAGACGGCACCTGGAAAATCGGGTCACTCCCACCCTAATACTGCGCTTTTCCAATGGTCTTAGCAAACGGCACATCAGGAGATTATATCCCGCACCTGGCTCGGAAGGACCTACGCTCATGGAGCCTCGCTCATTGCTAGCACAGCAGTCTGAGATCAAACTGAAAGGGGGCAGCGAAGCTGGGGGAGGGATGCCCGCCATTGCCCAGGCTTCAGTAGGTAAACAAAATGGCCAGGAAGCTCGAACTGGGTGGAGCCCACCACAGCTCAAGGAGGCCTGCCTGCCTCTGTAGACTCCACCTCTGAGGGCAGGGCACAGCCAAACAAAAGGCAGCAGAATCCTCTGCAGACTTAAATGTCCCTGTCTGACAGCTTTGAAGAGAGTAGTGGTTCTCCCAGCACGCAGCTGGACATCGGAGAATGGACAGACTGCCTCCTTAAGTGGGTCCCTGACCCCCAAGTAGCCTAACTGGGAGGCACTCCCCAGTAGGGGCAGACTGACACCTCACACGGCCAGGTACTCCTCTGAGACAAAACTTCCAGAGGAACGATCAGGCAGCAACATTTGCTGCTCACCAATATCTGCTGTTCTGCAGCCACGACTGCTGATGCCCAGGCAAACAGGGTCTGGAGTGGACCTCCAGCAAACTCCAACAGACCTGCAGCTGAGGGTCCTGACTGTTAGAAGGAAAACTAACAAACAGAAAGGACATCCACACCAAAACCCCATCTGTACGTCACCATCATCAAAGACCAAAGGTAGATAAAACCACAAAGATGGGGAAAAAACAGAGCAGAAAAACTGGAAACTCTAAAAATCAGAGTGCCTCTCCTCCTCCAAAGGAACGCAGCTCCTCACCAGCAACGGAACAAAGCTGGACAGGGAATGACTTTGACGAGTTGAGAGAATAAGGCTTCAGACGATCAAACTACTCCGAGCTAAAGGAGGAAGTTTGAACCCATGGCAAAGAAGTAAAAAACCTTGAAAAAAAAATGAGACAAATGGCTAACTAGAATAACCAATGCAGAGAAGTCCTTAAAGGACCTGATGGAGCTGAAAACCAAGGCACCAGAACTACGTGATGAATGGACAAGCCTCAGTAGCCGATTTGATCAACTGGAAGAAAGGGTATCAGTGATGGAAGATCAAATGAATGAAATGAAGTGAGAAGAGAAGTTTAGAGAAAAAAGAAAAAAGAAATGAACAAAGCCTCCAAGTAATATGGGACTATGTGAAAAGACCAAATCTACGCCTGACTGGTGTACCTGAAAGTGACTGGGAGAATGGAACCAAGTTGGAAAACACTCTGCAGGATATTATCCAGGAGAACTTCCCCAATCTAGCAAGGCAGGCCAACATTCAAATTCAGGAAATACAGAGAACGCCACAAAGATGCTACTTGAGAAGAGCAACTCCAAGACACATAATTGTCAGATTCACCAAATTTGAAATGAAGGAAAAAATGTTAAGGGCAGCCAGAGAAAAAGGTAGGGTTACCCACAAAGGGAAGCCCATCAGACTAACAACTGATCTCTCGGCAGAAACTCTACAAGCCAGAAGAGAGTGGGGGCCAATATTCAACATTCTTAAAGAAAAGAATTTTCAACTCAGAATTTCATATCCAGCCAAACTAAGCTTCATAAGTGAAGGAGAAATAAAATCCTTTACAGACAAGCAAATGCTGAGAGATTTTGTCACCACCAGGCCTGCCCTAAAAGAGCTCCTGAAGGAAGCACTAAACATGGAAAGGAACAACCAGTACCAGCCACTGCAAAAACATGTCAAATTGTAAAGACCATCGAGTCTAGGAAGAAACTGCATCAACTAATGAGCAAAATAACCAGCTAACATCATAATGACAGGATCAAATTCACACATAACAATACTAACCTTAAATGTAAATGGGCTAAATGCTCCAATTAAAAGACACAGACTGGCAAATTGGATAAAGAGTCAAGACCCATCAGTGTGCTGTATTCAGGAAACCCATCTCACATGCAGAGGCACACATAGGCTCAAAATAAAAGGGTGGAGGAAGATCTACCAAGCAAATGGAAAACAAAAAAAGGCAGGGGTTGCAATCCTAGTCTCTGATAAAACAGACTTTAAACCAACAAAGATCAAAAGAGACAAAGAAGGCCATTACATAATGGTAAAGGGATCAATTCAACAAGAAGAGCTAACTATCCTAAATATATATGCACCCAATACAGGAGCACCCAGATTCATACAGCAAGTCCTTAGAGACCTACAAAGAGACTTAGACTCCAACACAATAATAATGGGAGACTTTAACACACCACTGTCAACATTAGACAGATCAACGAGACAGAAAGTTAACAAGGATATCCAGGACCTGAACTCAGCTCTGCACCAAGAGGACCTAATAGACATCTACAGAACTGTCTACCCCAAATCAACAGAATATACATTCTTCTCATCACCACACCACCCTTATTCCAAAATTCACCACATAGTTGGAAGTAAAGCACTCCTCTGCAAATGTAAAAGAACAGAAATTACAACAAACTATCTCTCAGACCACAGTGCAATCAAACTAGAACTCAGGATTAAGAAACTCACTCAAAACCACTCAACTACATGGAAACTGAACAACCTGCTCCTGAATGACTACTGGGTACATAATGAAATGAAAGCAGAAATAAAGACGTTCTTTGAAACCAATGAGAACAAAGTCACAACATACCAGACCTCTGGGACACATTCAAAGCAGTGTGTAGAGGGAAATTCATAGCACTAAATGCCCACAAGAGAAAGCAGGAAAGATCTAAAATTGACACCCTAACATCACAATTAAAAGAACTAGAGAAGCAAGAGCAAACACATTCAAAAGCTAGCAAAAGGCAAGAAATAACTAAGATCAGAGCAGAACTGAAGGAAATAGAGACACAAAAAACCCTTCAAAAAATTAATGAATCCAGGAGCTGGTTTTTTGAAAAGATCAACAAAATTGATAGACTGCTAGCAAGACTAATAAAGAAGAAAAGAGAGAAGAATCAAATAGACGCAATAAAAAATGATAAAGGGGATATCACCAGTGATCCCACAGAAATACAAACTACCATCAGGGAATACTATAAACACCTCTACGCAAATAAACTAGAAAATCTAGAAGAAACGGATAAATTCCTCGACACATACACCCTCCCAAGACTAAACCAGGAAGAAGTTGAATCTCTGAATAGACCAATAACAGGCTCTGAAATTGAGGCAATAATTAATAGCTTACCAACCAAAAAAAGTCCAGGACCAGACAGATTCACAGCCGAATTCTACCAGAGGTACAAGGAGGAGCTAGTACCATTCCTTCTGAAACTATTCCAATCAATAGAAAAAGAAGGAATCCTCCCTAACTAATTTTATGAGGCCTGCATCATACTGATATCAAAGCCTGGCAGAGACACAACAGAAAAAGAGAATTTTAGACCAATATCCTTGATGAACATCAATGCAAAAATCCTCAGTAAAATACTGACAAACCGAATCCAGCGGCACATCAAAATGCTTATCCACCATGATCAAGTGGGCTTCATCCCTGGGATGCAAGGCTGGTTCAACATAAGCAAATCAATAAACGTTATCCAGCATATAAACAGAACCGATGGCAAAAACCTCATGATTATCTCAATAGACACAGAAAGGCCTTTGACAAAATTCAACAACCCTTCATGCTAAAAATTCTCAATAAATTAGGTATTGATAGGATGTATCTCAAAATAATAAGAGCTATCTATAACAAACCCACAGCCAATATCATACTGAATGGGCAAAAACTGGAAGCATTCCCTTGAAAACTGGCACAAGACAGGGATGCCCTCTCTCACCACTCCTATTCAACGTAGTGTTGGAAGTTCTGGCCAGGGCAATCAGGCAAGAGAAGGAAATAAAGGGTATTCAATTAGGAAAAGAGGAAGTCATATTGTCCCTGTTTGCAGATGACATGATTGTATATCTAGAAAACCCCACTGTCTCAGCCCAAAATCTCCTTAAGCTGATAGGCAACTTCAGCAAAGTCTCAGGATACAAAATCAATGTACAAAAATCACAAGCACTCTTATACACCAATAACAGACAAACAGAGGGCCAAATCATGAGTGACCGCCGATTCACAATTGCTTCAAGGAGAATAAAATACCTAGGAATCCAACTTACAAGGGATATGAAGGACCTCTTCAAGGAGAACTACAAACCACTGCTCAATGAAATAAAAGAGGATACAAAGAAATGGAAGAACATTCCATGCTCATGGGTAGGAAGAATCAATATCGTGAAAATGGCCATACTGCCCAAGGTAATTTACAGATTCAATGCCATCCTCATCAAGCTACCAATGACTTTCTTCACAGAATTGGAAAACACTACTTTAAAGTTCATATGGAACCAAAAAAGAGCCCACATTGCCAAGTCAATCCTAAGCCAAAAGAACAAAGCTGGAGGCATCACACTACCTGACTTCAAACTATACTACAAGACTACAGTAACCAAAACAGCCTGGTACTGGTACCAAAACAGTGATATAGACCAATGGAACAGAACAGAGCCCTCAGAAATAATGCCGCATAGCTACAACCATCTGATCTTTCACAAACCTGACAAAAACAAGCAATGGGGAAAGGATTCCCTATTTAATAAATGGTGCTGGGAAAACTGGCTAGCCATATGTAGAAAGCTGAAACTGTATCCCTTCTTTACACCTTATACAAAAATTAATTCAAGATGGATTAAAGACTTAAATGTTAAACCTAGAACCGTAAAAACCCTAGGAGAAAACCTAGGCAATACCATTCAGGACATAGGCATGGGCAAGGACTTCATGTCTAAAACACCAAAAGCAATGGCAACAGAAGCCAAAATTGACAAATGGGATCTAATTAAACTAAAGAGCTTCTGCACAGCAAAAGAAACTACCATCAGAGTGAACAGGCAACCTACAGAATGGGAGAAAATTTTTGCAACCTACTCATCTGATAAAGGGTTAATATCCAGAATCTACAATGAACTCAAACAAATTTACAAGAAAAAAACAAACAACCTCATCAAAAAGTGGGCAAAGGACCTGAACAGACACTTCTCAAAAGAAGACATTTATGCATCCAAAAAACACATGAAAAAATGCTCACCATCACTGGCCATCAGAGAAATGCAAATCAAAACCACAATGAGATACCATCTCACACCAGTTAGAATGGCAATCATTAAAAAGTCAGGAAACAACAGGTGCTGGAGAGGATGTGGAGAAATAGGAACACTTTTACACTGTCAGTGGGACTGTAAACTAGTTCGACCATTGTGGAAGTCAGTGTGGCAATTCCTCAGGGATCCAGAACTAGAAATACCATTTGACCCAGCCATCCCATTACTGGGTATATACCCAAAGGACTATAAATCATGCTGCTATAAAGACACATGCACATGTATGTTTATTGCAGCACTATTCACAATGGCAAAGACTTGGAACCAACCCAAATGTCCAACAATGATAGAGTGGATTAAGAAAATGTGGCACATATACAGCATGGAATACTATGCAGCCATAAAAATAATGAGTTCGTGTCCTTTGTAGGGACATGGATGAAGCTGGAAACCATCATTCCCAGCAAACTATGGCAAGGACAAAAAACCAAACGCCACATGTTCTCACTCATAGGTGGGAATTGAACGATGAGAACACATGGACACAGGAAGGGGAACATCACACACCAGGGCCTGTTGTGGGGTGGGGGAAGGGGGGAGGGATACCATTAGGAGATATACCTAATGTTAAATGACGAGTTAATGGGTGCAGCACACCCACACGGCACATGTATATGTATGTAACTAACCTGCACGTTGTGCACAAGTACCCTAAAACTTAAAGCATAATAAAAAAATTAAAAAAAATAAAAAATTTAGTCACGTATTTCCTTTGTGAGCTTATTTGGTTACATCTGAAAATACTGAGAACTTTTATTCCATGAAAATGATTGTCCCCTCAATCAATAGCAATTGAATGCATCAAATATGTCTAGCACCATTTCTGCTACACAGTAAATACTCAAATATATTTATTGGAATTAGCAACCATTCCCTTTTCTTTGCATCCTCTACATCTGTTGTTTTTTTATTTTTTAACAAAAGCCATTCTGAGGGGTGTGAGATTGTGGTTTTGATTTGCATTTATCTAATGATTAGTGACGATGACCATTTATTCATATGTTTGTTGTCAGCTTGTCTTCTTTTAAGAAGTGTCTGTTCATGTCTTTTGCCTTCTTTTTAATAGGGTGGGTTTTTTGCTTGAAAATTTATTTAAGTTTCTTACAGATTCTGGATATTAGACCTTTGTCAGATGCACAGTTTATGAATATTTCCCCCATTCTGCAGGCTGTCTGTTTACTTCCTTCATAGTTTTGCTGTGCAGAAGTTCTTGAGTTTAATTATGTCCTACTTGTCAATTTTTGATTTTGTTGCAATAGCTTTTGAAAACGTAGCCAATATCAAAAAGGGGATTTCCTAGGTTTTCTTCTAAGATTTTCATATTTTGAGGTCTTACATTTAAATATTCAATCTATCTTGAGTCAGTTTTTGTATATGGTGAAAGGTTGTGGTCTAGCTTTATTCTTCTGCATATCAGCCAGCTATGATGGCACTATTGACTAGGGAGTCCTTTCCTTATTGCTTAGTTTTGTTGAATTTTTCAGAGATTAGATGGCTGTAGGTGTATGTCCTTATTTCTAGGTTCTCTATCCTGTTCCATTGGTCTATTGTCTATTTTTGTACCAGGACCATGCTTTTTGGTTACCGTAGCCTTGTAGTATAGTTTGAAGTAGGATAATGTGATGCCTCTTGCTTTGTTCTTTTTGCTTAGGATTGCTTTGGCTATTCAGGCTCTTTTGTTGTTGTTGTTCCCTATGAATTTTCAATAGTTTCTTCCAGTTCTTTAAAAAATGATGTTGGTAGTTTTATAGGGATAGCATTGCATCTGTAAATTGCATGGGATAGTATGGCCATTTTAATGATGCTGATTCTTCCAATCCATGAACAAGGAGTGTTTTTCTATATTTTATGTTGTGATTTCTTTGAGCAGTGTTTTGTAGTTCTCCTTGTAGAGATCTTTCACCTCCTTGGTTAAATCAATTCCTGGGTATTTTATTTTTGTTTGTGGCTATTGTGAATGGGATTGCATTCTTGATTTGGCTCTCACTTTAAATGTTATTGGTATATAGAAATGCTACCTATTTTTGTGTATTATTTTTCTTTGCCAGATTTTGGTGTTAGGATGATGCTGACTTCATAGAGTGAGTTAGAGAGAAGTCTCTCCTCCTTGACTTTTTTGGAATAGTTTCAGTTGGATTGGTAACAACTCTTTTTTATTTGTCTGGTAGAATTCAGCTGTGAATACATCTGATCATGAGCTTTTATTGATTGGTAGGTTTTGTATTATGGATCCCATTTCAGAACTTGTTACTGGTCTGTTCAGGTTTTCAGTTTCTTCCTGGTTCAATTATGAGAGGTTGTGTTTCAAGGAATTTATCCATTTTCTCTAGATGTCCTATTTTGTGTACATAGCAGTGTTCATAATAGTTTCTGAGGATCTTTTGTATTTCTGTGGGATTGATTGTAATGTTATCTGTGTCACTGATCTTGTTTATTTATTTAGAGAGCCAACTTTTGGTTTTATTGATCTTTTGTGTAGATTTTCACATCTTGGTTTCATTCAGTTCTGCTCCACTTTTGGCTATTTTTTTCTTCTGCTAACTTCGGGGTTAATTTGCTCTTGTTTTTCTAATTCCCCCATATACTGTATTAGACTGTTAATTTGGGAGTTTTCTAATTTCTTCGTCTACCAGTTTAGTGGAAAGTCTTGGGAGATGGGCACCTGTGGCCATGTCTTGCTGCCGCTGCCCCCTACACAAAATCCCTTGGGCTCTGCCCAGACAGGAGCTCCACCTCTGCCTATTTTCTGAGCAGATTCCCCTGCCAATTCAAATGTCTGTGGGGATCATGGCATCTCTTATAGCTAGGATCCCAGAGGTCTGTGGCGAAAGTGGTTTGCCCCACAGTCACTTCACTCAGCCTTCCTTAATAGCCATTCAGGGCTGGGAATTAGTCCTGGCACTTGGCATCCCCATGCAGGGTCCCCAGCTTCCTCCATCTTCAGCCTCAGTTACTGTGTCACCTCTCTGTTGACTCTCAGTGTTTTCTCTCAAAAGATCTGCTTTAAGTATGTAGGTTTAGTCCACATTTTGGTGTCTCTTGGTGAGACAGGCACTTTCTGGCTGCATCTAGTTAGCCCTCTTGTTCTGATCTCCTGAGGTGACATTTACACCTTAGGGTTTGATGGTAGCCAATAGGTGGGCTTTAGCATCCCTCAACTCAATGTCACAGTTGTATCTATACTATTAGAATAAACTAAAGCAAAAACCATTATTATTTTAATAATCCATGACTGCCAGACAAAAGTGGCTATTTCCTTCTTACACTTTAGGCAGTGGTCTCATTGTCCCCTTGGTTTGCATAGATGGATACAGCATTGCTCTAGCCATACAATGCTCAGTCTTCCATTCAGATGCTCAAATGGAGTAAGTTCTTACTTTATATTTCAGCACCTGAACCCAAACACCATGTGTTCCATTTGACAGAACTGGAGGCAGACTTTACCTTCATGGATTAGGTCTGCTCTTAGATCAGGATTTTTCACCCTCTATGTAAGAGCATGAGGAGCTATAAATAAATCTATCCTTAAAGCCAAAATAACAAGCCCATCTTAATAAGGTTATTTCAGTTAACATAAGAATAGTTACAAAGTAAAGGTCTGTTAAATTTATTTGGAAATATAAAATTATTCCTCCATTATATAGTAGTTTCTCAAAACGTTAAACATAGAATTACCATATGACCGAGCAATTCCACTTCTAGGTATATACCTAAAAGAGATGAAATCAGGGAATCAGACACTTTTGCACCAGTGCTCATAGAAACACTATTCATAATGGCCAAGATGTGGAAACAGCCAAGTGTCTATCAACAGATGAATGGGTAAAGAAAAAGTGATATGTATGTCAGTATACATATATATCTATAGGGGTGATATAGATAATATTTACATATATTTTAATAATATTCTATTGGAGTAATACTTTTAAATATTTTGTGTGTGTGTGTGCATATATATATGTGTGTGTATATATATATGTGTGTGTGTGTATATATATATATATGTATATATCTCATCCCAATGGAATATTGTTCATCCTCAAAAAGGAATGAAATTCTGATACATACTACATGGATAAACTTTGAAAATATTATGCTAAGTAAAATAAGCCAAACACAAAAGAACAAATATTGTATGACTATATGATTGTATGATTTGTATTTGTATTAATGACAGAGGCTGGAGAGGCAGGAATGGGAAGTTATTGTTTAATGAGTATAAAGTTTCTGTTTAGGTTGATGATAAGGTTATTGAAATGGGTAGTGGCAATGTTTGTACAATTTTGTGAATGTACTTAACGCCATTGAATCATAAACTTTAAAAAGATTAGAATAGTAAATATGGAGTTATGTATGTTTTGCCACAATAAAAAGAAAACGAGTAAGTAAACTTTTTTTTTTAAATTACTCCCCTGTGGTACAGTTACTCCATTCATCATCACATTAAGACTTCTTCCAGGTTGGGGAGTGTTGCGAGATGTTGTCAAAATGACCCCACTTGTGAAATCAGAAAACTTTCCCTTAAATCTCAGCTCTGTCACCTAGTAGGAATGCAAATTTGAGCAAGTCACTTAGGTCTGTTGCACCTTAATTTCTTCAGGTTATGCTGTCCAACAGAGTTGTTTTGATGACTGTAATTGAAATGCATATAAAGTGCTTCGTAAATTCAAACAACAAGGCAAGTGGATGGAGGTGACTTTTTAAAATATATTCTTTTAGGGAGCTTAGTCGTAATACTGTTATCTCTGAAATGCATTTACTAATTCATATTTAAATATACTAAAATATTAAGGTATTGTTGGTAAGACAGCCACAGTTATTTTTCTAATTTTTCTCTATTTAAAGTATTGAATCCATAGTTTTAGAATTAAAAAATCCTGAATTTCCAAGGAACCACATTTCTATTCACCATTTCTATAATGAATGGGTTATTAAACCTTTCCATTTATCTTATTTCAATACCTTTTGTTCATTATGTAGCCTCATTGTACATACCTTAGGAAGAAGGGATAATTATATTACCTCAGAGAGAAGGGACAACTATATGATTATCTTGTCTGAGATGAAAAACTATGGTCTTCATTCATACCTAATTAAAAGTTTTTTGTTTTTGTTTTTTTTTTTTTGAGACGGAGTCTCGCTCTGTGTCGCCCAGGCTGGAGTGCAGTGGCGCGATCTTGGCTCACTGCAAGCTCCGCCTCCCGGGTTCATGCCATTCTCCTGCCTCAGCCTCCCGTGTAGCTGGGACTACAGGCGCCCGAAAAGTTTTAACTTATTTATTTTGCTACCTGTTCTGATTTTCATTCCAAACCACACCATTATCAGTCCCTACATTGTCAAACATGTAATAATAATTTGGCATGACATTATATCAAATTGGACATTATCTTGGAAGGTCCTTTGGATGCATAATTATATTGAAAAATAAATATTTTAAAAGTAACAAATTTTATGCTATAACATCATAAGTTAATAATAAAATTAATGTCATTGAAACAAATGCCAACTAATTTTTTTGTTTCCCTCTTTAGCGGTTATGTCTTTGACTATGATTACTACAGAGATGATTTCTACAATCGGTATGTGAATTTTTCATCCTTGTTTTCCTATGACTTAAATTATCTTTTAACCATTTTGTACATTTTATTCATGGGTGCTCTTAATTATGGTATTTAAAACAATATTATTATAGTTAAAAATAAAATACTAAATCCCAACAAAATATACAGATTTTTATATTTTCATTATACTTACTTGAGTACAGTGGATCTTGGAATTTTAGGACTTTGGAGGTGCTCAAACCTAAGATTTGGTGTCTAATATTTAGATAAAATCCTAAAGATTTAATTAACTAATATTATCTGCCAAGTCATTTGTTGATTTAGAATCCTTCAAGATCAAGAGTTTGAAAACTCAGAAAAATAACTCCAACCTTCTGAAGTCCATAATAAAACATTGAAAATGCTATATTGGGTAGAGTCTGTAAAATTTACAGATCGTTCCTGCTTTGCAGGACAGTAGGAGGCCACAAAGGTGATGATGCAAGATGAGACCATCCAATGAGGAAAAAACAGGATTGTCTCATGATCTTAAACATGTTTGTCAAAACATTAACAACTTTTATTCTCTTCTCTATAAACTAATGGGAAACTATAGTAAAGCTAATTGTTATTTAGTATACTATAATTTAAAACAATAAAATATTAAGAATTAAGGTGTTTTAGTTCTTTGTAAAGAACACTTATCAAAAGTAGTTGAAACAGTGCATGCCTTCTCATTTCCTAACTCAGGACAGGATACGGAGTAGGCATCTGTTTTATCCCTTGTTGGATACTCCTCTCTAAGGTTGAATTAGCTTTGACATTCTATCAATGTTGTGAACTATCTCTGAGAGTTCTTTCAATGTGTGATTCTCTTGCCAGGGTCACTTCCCCTCCATAGCGTTATACGTTTCATCACATCACATCCACTTTCCTCACTTATGTCGATAAGTTTGCCTTTACTAAGTTCCTCTGACTCCATACCTAGAGTCTCTTGAGTAGAGGAGTATCAATATCCCTATAATGAGCTATTTCTTCTGTAATTTCATTTACATTTAATTTGAGTTTCACATCTAGTATTATCACTCTTCGATTCTTTGCTGCATTTTCATCTTTGATCAATTCTTTCTTTTGATTATTCAATTTTGCAAAATGCCACGTTTTGTCACTGAGAGATAAGGAAGCATTACAATTAATGATCTGAAACAAGTGAGTGAAGTGAATAATCAATGAACAGCAAAAAAAATCATTGACAGACTTTGAAAGATGGAATGTGATTAGTGATCATTGTTATTATCATGCACATTTATTATTTATGCATTTATTTGTGGAAAAGCTAGAAGCAAAGTTTGGACTTTATTAAATTACTTACCGTTTATATGTTGTAGTAACTAAAATTTGTGTTGTCGGAGAACTGGTGTTATTTAACTAATATCAGTAACTGAAATTTATGCATATCAGAGATGAGGATCAACTATATATAGATAGATTACGGGATTAAAAAATGAGGTAAATATATTTTAAGCCTTTAATTATGAGTATTATGCAAACAACAAAAAAAACCTTAGGTACTGTATAAAAATGCAAACTTAGAAAAAATTTTTCAATAGATGTTTTAAAGAGGAAGTAACTGTGATCCTTGAAAGGGTCTTATTCTCTCTGCTCCAGCCTCTAGGGCCTTTTGTAAGTTCCACAAGAATTCCATGTTTCTTCCTGCCTCAGGTCCTTTCTCTGTGTTGTTCCATCTCCTCATACCTCCCTACACTACCTGGTTCACTTGACTCCTCATCTTTCAGATCTCAGCACGAACATCCCTCACAGATTAAATTAGGTTCCTCTGTTCCTCTCGCTCAGCGCCCAGCACTGTTACTTCACAGCACCTCTCCTAATTTCTATTGCTATATTTCTTTCTGCAGTGTTTGATTCATGTCTGTCTTCCTTCCCCCACCTGAACAATGTTCAGTTTTGCTTATCTTTGTATCCTTGGGGACTATCAGTAAACCTCACACATAGTGGATACTCTGTATTATTAATTCATCTCCTTAGATTTAGAGACACAGTCATTTTCCGAAGGTCACCAAGCTAATTAGTGACAGAACTATGATCATAATCTAGGCATCCAATTTAGATTCAATAACCAACTATGTGAATATGCACAATGGGGAGGGCAATATCAGCCTATGGAGCTATGCGATTCCTACTTGAGAATCAGACCCACAACTGTAACTTCATTGCTGCAATGGTCAAACTACTGAATTAAGCAACTTATTTCACTAGTTATCCTTTTCTGACAAAAAAATATAATCTTTAAGAATGATTTTCTCAAAGCATTTTATAATTTCTATAAAATATATTTTAAATATTAAGAAACTTATCATAACTTATTCTAAAAGTGATGCAAACATCTGGCAGCATTAAAATAATCCCATTTACTATTAAGGAAGGATATCTAGACTGTTTTTATACTATTTGAAAATGTTACTTTTTGACAAGTTTAAAGACATTTTCTACTATAGCTATTTTTTCACTTGCTACGAATAAAGTTTTCAATTAATATACATTGTCTTATACTCTGTCTATATAAAACCATTTTAGCATCTTTTATTTTCTATCATATGACTTCCTTATACATTTAAAGAATTTCCACCTAACATGGAGTTTTACTCTACACCGTAGGAGACCCAAGTTCTGGTTGTTACCGGAAAGGGGTCCCAATTCAGACCCCAAGAGAGGGTTCTTGGGTCTTGCAAGAAGTAAGTCAGGGCAAGTCCACAGCACAAAAGCAAGTTTATTAAGAAAGAAAGGTGGTGAAACTATAGCTACTCCATAGACAGAGCAGAGTATTCCCAGTATTCCCAAAAGTAAGAGGAAGGACGTGCCTGCCCTAGGTACAATGCTTGTTTATACATAGGACAACAACAACAACAACAAAAACCATGGGGAGTTGTGCTCTACTACAAGGGTTTGTGATAAAGGATACATTTTTCTAATTACTGCATTTTGCAAGAATCAATATGACTATCTTTAAAGCAAAATTAGGAATGCTTTTGTTCTGAAGATATGGAGATATCAAGACATTCCTGGGCCTGAGTCTGTTTAGTAAACATTATTAATCTGTTCTCTTAACCATAAACATCTAGGAGCTAGGAATAAATACCTAACCTCCTGGGAATGCAGCCCAGCAAGTCCCAGCCTCATTCTTCCTAGCCCTCACTCAAGATGGAGTCGCTCTGGTTTGAATGCCTCTGACATGGTAACTAGCCTTGTAACTTTAGGCAAGTCAGGTTTTCAGTTTTCTCATCTTTAAAAGGAAGCCAGGATTTGCATTTTACTATTTAGAAATGTTAGCTCAATAAAATCATTAGATTAGATAGGTGATAGATGGATGGATGGAGATAGATCGACAGATAGATAGATAGATAATCAATAGATCCATCTTACTTGCCAAAGAACAAGAGCTTTAAATAGTCAAATTATTAGAGAGGCTGTAGCTTTCAGGTGACTCTCTACTATACAAGAACTTAGCTACAGTATGAACAATTTTCAAAATCATTTATTTGTTTTGTGTACAATCTGTTTGGCATGGAAGTATGAAATAGATCAGTATGGTTGTATTGTTAACAGACTGAGCAGTCTGTGCTCTCGTTAGTTTATTTTCCATTTTTGGCACTTGGCTAAGAAAGACATAAGCATCTGCCACTAGTGGATATACTCAAGAGTTCCCTATAAACATAGAATACCATGAAATAAAAACAGAATGGAGAGGCTGGACAAGATACATAGCTTACAGAGTCACTACTAATCCACAGTCATTTCTCATAAGTTACGGTCTTCTTGCATTTGTGTTTTCTTTTTCTCTCTCTCTTTTAGCAGAGGTGCAAACTTGGGCAAGTTAGTTAATATCACAAAATCTGTTATGTCCTCTGGGAGGTGAGCATGAAATTAATTCCTAACTCATGAAATCATTCTAAGAATTAAATGAGGTAACATAATGATCAGCATTATGCCTGGTATTTTTTAGTGCTTAATCAATATTAGCTAGTATTAACAGTTAACAGTAACCATTAACAATAATGGGGCCAGGCGCGGTGGCTCACGCCTGATCCCAGCACTTTGGGAGGCCGAGGCAGACGGATCACCTGCAGTGGGGAGTTTGAGACCAGCCTGGCCAACATGGTAAAACCCCATCTCTACTAAAAATACAAAAATTAGCCAGGTCTGGTGGTGGGCGCCTGTAATACCAGCTACTCAGGAGGCTGAGGCAGGAGAATTGCTTGAACCCAGGAGGCAGAGGTTGCAGTGAGCCGAGATCGTGCCACTGCACTCCAGCCTGGGGACAGAGCGAAACTCCGTCTAAAAAAAAGAAAAAGAAAAAGGAAGAAAAAGAAAAAAAAATAATGGTAGATGTATTTCTCATATTGACATTCATACAGCAGTGTCCATATAACTGAGAAACAAACTGGTTGGTCAGTTTTTCTTCCATTATAGCTGATTTGGGACATCTCTGGATTATTCTGTTTTCCCAGTTTTCCCTCTCCTACTCCCCCAAAGCATTCCGGCTGCAGCTGATCACACTTGCCTGCAGAGAGCGCTCAGCTGTTTCTGTTAACCCCATGCTGCTTGTTTAGATCATGAAAACAGAAATTACACTACTTACGTATAACAGGGCTAATTGCATATAGAAACTCGTTAAGTCGGTATTAAAGAACTGAAAACGCAAAAAGACAACACTGTGATATACTGGAGTTAGTGACTGCAGGAAGCTGCTACCACTTCTAGGGCTGGAGAAACAAAGGAAGATTTGGGGTCTCAGAAATTGCTGTAGAAAAAGAGCCTACCAGAGCTGAAACTATGCATAGGAGATTCTGTTCAGATGGTGCTGCTGTGTCTGAGTCCACAAGGAGAACCTGTGGTGCTGACACCCAAATCTCTGAGATGGGGATATGGGCTGACAGGTGCTGGGGTCTTTGAGGGAGCGTGGAGTGGCTGTTCTCCAAGTGTTGCAAAATTACTCAGACTGGATTCTGCTGATGCTACTGGAATGAATTGTTGTTGCCAGGATGAAGAAACTAGATTGGGGTAATGCTGAAAAGAGCAGGAAGCCAAAACACAAATAAAAAGCAAAACAAGAAGGAGCAGGTCCCTTTTCCTTGCTCCAACCTTGCAGTCTCTTTCTTAGGTCCTTTATTGGCTGAGCCCAGCAGGGAGCTAGCTGCCCAACCCCAACCCTAACCCTCACCTCCGGAAGTGTGGTTTTCAGAGTTCCAAACCCATCATCTGTGGCTAAGGGTAGGTCTGAAACCAAGAAACAATAGCTTAATAACTAACATATGTCCACATTATATTGTCATACTCTTTCTGCCAGGTTTGGAGACTCTAATGTGATTGAGGGTTTCCAACCCTTAGATAGTTTTAGCTTAGAAAACTTCTTTACACAATGTTCCACCTTACTGTGATTCATTGACCTGTCTATTCGTGGTTTCAGGGATCATGAAGAGTATCATTAAACAGTAGATGAGTGGTTATTCTAAATTCTTATCTTTTCTCTTTTACACAAAGCATTGCCCAATAATTTACAGCATTGAATGGCATTTTCTTTTAAAGGTCCATATATGACTCTAAATGTAGGACATTGTATGTTAATACATTAAACGTAAGTATTTATACTCTAGCAAAGTAAAAGGAGATGTATACCTAAAATTATATTTAATCTCCCTAGGGAAAGTTTTTAACTTCTGCAATGTTAGCTGTCTAAATCCAACCTCTTTTTTCAATAATATTAGGAAAAGCACTGATCAGTTTATAATTTCCAGTGATAAGGAGACTTTTATTAACAGAGAAAAACAAATGCCACAGGTGTTTTACTTCTATGTAAAACACGTATACATTTTAAATGATCCAAAATAGGCATTGTTCAATTCTGGAACCATTTTGACTTTGTGTTAATTGATCCAAGAAACTACTAGATTTGCAGTTAACGCAAGAACACTAAGTTACAGTTGTTTCAGATAGTTGATTAGAGAGCACAATATATATTCATGAATATTGGAAAACATATTAACAAGAAACAATGTTTTGTTATGCAAATTTGAACTATCCTCTGGTAGTATGGTATTCCATTTGAAATGTTTGAAAATAACAGCATGGTACACTTGACAAATGGTATTATTTGGAGTCAGAAGACATGAATTTCAGGACTAGATGCACATGTGTTGACTGGTTAAGCTTGGATAAGTCATCTCTTTTTTGTGCCAGTTTCCTTCCTGGGCAAAATGGCTTCACACTACTGACCTTACAGAATTACAAGAATTAAATGAGAAAATCGTTTTAGTGGCTTATAACCCCACAACAACATTTGAATTTATTAACTTTTTAATTACACAAAGCTGTATACAAAATGTACAGTTAGCAATGTTAGATAAAATACAGACTGTATTAGAATCAAAATATTGCAAAAAAGATCATTCAAGATTGCAATCAACTTGCCTTTAAAAGCATGTTCAAGAAGTATTTCCGTGTGATCCAAGGAGAAAACTTCACAGAAAACCTTGGAAAATTTAATAACAAAAAAGATCAATGGAATTTACTCATTTACTGGTCTCAGGTAGAGTGTGCCTTTTAAAATTATTTTCTGATTCAACTGTAACCAAAGATTTATTTGAAGTCAGAGTAGAAATTATAGGCAGAGTTTATGAGTTTTGAGTAGTTTAAACAGTACAGGGAACAGATACACTACCAGCCTATAAGAATTATTTGTGGGCCGGGCGCGGTGGCTCACGCCTGTAATCCCAGCACTTTGGGAGGCCGAGGCGGGTGGATCATGAGGTCAGGAGATCGAGACCATCCTGGCTAACAAGGTGAAACCCCGTCTCTACTAAAAATACAAAAAATTAGCCGGGCGCGGTGGCAGGCGCCTGTAGTCCCAGCTACTCGGGAGGCTGAGGCAGGAGAATGGCGTGAACCCGGGAAGCGGAGCTTGCAGTGAGCCGAGATTGCGCCACTGCAGTCCGCAGTCCGGCCTGGGCGACAGAGCGAGACTCCGTCTCAGAAAAAAAAAAAAAAAAAAAAAAAGAATTATTTGTGTAGATTTCAAATCTATCCCTTCTTAGAAATGAATAGGCACCTTACTTTGGTTTTATATACTGTACATCTGTCAAAGTTAAGCATAATGAAAAGGAAGGCTGGAGGTTGAATCAAGACATGGAGCAAGATCTTCTCTGGTCCTCTGGTTATTGATCTTTGTAGAGCTACTGAAAGGTGCTGGTGAGAATATGGCCCTGAATTTGTTATCAGGTTTTGCCTCTGGGTAGCCCAGAAATTTTAGCCCCCTAGGGAAGACCAAATATTTTTGTTAGCATCAACTACTTAGTAACTATAAGTTTTGATTCATGAACAAGGAAAAAGAAGAATTGTTTTCATGAGGGCAATTTAGAAAGAAACAGGTAAATACCAGAAAATGTTTGAAGTTACTACTAATCTAAAATGAAAATTTAATATTCAGTAATAAAATACAACACACATATTACATTTTTCAGTTTCTTTTCTTGTGTTTTAAACCACGTTTGTTGACAGTAAAATATAAGCATCAAGTCAGAAGTTTAGCCATCAGGTAATGATTTATTAGAATGTGGTGTATCTACCTGAGAAAATGCCCCACAGCCATTAAAATAAACATTACGAAGACCATTTAACAGGCCTGAGAAATGTTTGTTTTTAATATAAACCAAAGAGAATGAGCTAGAATACATGACTGTACATATATTATGTTTTCAATTATGTGAAAAATATGGATGCTTATAAAAACAGATTAAAGAATTATAGTAGTTGTTCTGGGGTCTGAGACTTAGAATTGTAGTTTTTTTATGTACTTTTTTTTCCCAAAATGTTACTTTATTATTGCTAAAGCTTAATAATAACAAGTTCTTTTTTAAAAAAGACACTTAAAATAATGTTTGCTTTGTTAATATGCCTTTGTCCAAAAGGCACTTAGTTTTTAAATTAAATTACCTTTGTCCAAAAACAATTATTGTTTAAGAACAGTAGATGAAATCAAATGTCCTTATTCTTCCTAGAGAAAAGTTGTCTATTTTATCAAATAAACTACTATTAAAATTAATATTACCAGTTTTTAGCTTTTGCTAGCTAATAAAGTTACATATGTCAGATATTATTTAAAGCATTAAAAGGCAAAATAAGAAAAGGGTACATAGAAAATAGAAATGTTTATTAAATAAAGAAATTAAATTCTCAAATTTTCTCCATGAGTTGGTTTTATTAAAATTGGACTGAATTTTTTAAATTTATTACTTGACAGCAGGTGTTTTAGAGTTTTCACTGTAAAATGGACCTTGAGGAAAGAATTATTATTATATGTTTGGCTTCATTATAAACCATTATCTATTTGATGAGTAAGTATTTGGGAGAAAATTATCCTGACCAAGAAATATTAGGGAAAATTAAGGGCTATTAAAGGAAAGGAGTGGAAATATAAATCCAAAGGGTAAGGAACAAGAAAAACAAGAGGAAGGAAAAAAATTAAAGCTTTTCACTAGCCTGGAGATTTAGATTCCATTTAATTCTGCTGGATTGCCATTTCTGCTGTCAGTCTACAATCTTAAATGAACTAGTTCCTTAGTCTCAATACTATTTGCCAATCTAATATTTGATAAAGGTAAAATTTCTTTGATTTACTGTAGGCCGAATTCTGATGAGAAGGCCAATACCTGTCTTTCTTGGGCTGCCTTTCACCTACTTCCCTCTATATTTTGAAGAACCCCTATATCCCATCTTGCAATCGCAGAAAGCCTTCCCCGCTTTCTATCCTTGTCTTGTTATGTTTTTGTACATTAGGACAACATCCAGTCTTCCCTCCTTTTATTTCTAATTGACTCAAGAGTGCCCAATGAAAATTAAGAAAGTCTTCAGGTCCATTAAAAGTTGTAAAATTAAAAATTATGCCCTCGTGTTAGCCCATGTTACTGGTGGAGGATGTCCAGGTTCTTGAACAAATAATTGGGCAAAACGCACAAACAAAGGAAGGAAAGAATGAAGTAACAAAAGCAGAGGTTTGTGGAAAATGAAAGTATACTCCACAGGGTGGGAGCCAACCGAGCATAAGGGCTCAAGAGCCTGGTGACAGAATTTTCTGGGGTTTAAATACTCTCTACAGGTTTCCCATTGGTTGCTTGGCATACACCCTATGTATATTAAGTAGTGGCCCACAATCAGTCCGATTGGTTGCGGGAGGGGACCAATCAGAGGTACTTTCAATTTTTCATCGGCCATGCAGAAAAAGGTGGCAGGATGAGGAGGGGCGCAAAGGGAGTAGCCTCTGGTCCTTTTGTTACTTGGGCGTAGAAAGGTGGGGTTTTCCTTTTTATTTAGTTCTAGGAAGTCAGCATGAAACAGCCTTAGGTTCCCTGCCTCCAGACCCTATTCTCCTGCCTCACGCATTCCCAATTTTGTTTTGTGAATGACCTATCACATTAAAATATTTAAGTCCTGATGCTGCCCAACGTCCCATCAAAGTGGAAGAAAGAATTGGTAAAACGTTACCCAATACCTTGGTGAAAGTCATCCAGCCAGGCTTGGTGGCTCATGCGTATAATCCCATTATTTTAGGAGCCCAAGTTGGGCAGATCACTTCAGTCCAAGAGTTCGAGACCAGGCTGGGCAATATGGCAAAATGCTATCTCTACAAAAAATACAAAAAAATTTATCCAGGCACGGTGGCATGCAGTAGTCCCAGCTACTTGGGAGGCTGAGGTGGGAGAATTGCTTGAGCCCAGGAGGCAGAGGTTGCAGTGAGGTCACACCACTGGTCTCCAGCCTGGGTGACAGAGTGACACTCTGTCTCAAAAAAACAAGAGAGAGAGAAAGAAAATTAGTCATTTTCCTTTGAAGTAACTCACCAAAATATTCAGAGAACAGGCCACTCACCATAGGAATTTATACCAAAGGAAAGTTGTTTAGTAAAGTACTAAGTATATTACTAAAATGTATGCCCCATACTAAAAGCATATCATAAATACAGTGAGCAAGTATGGCTCTTTCTCAGCATAAGATCAGGCCATGCCACTGTTGGAGGTTTGGTAATCCTTGGCTGGGGGAAGCAATAGAAATATTGATAAACATTTTTGTTTCCTATAAAAGTAGTATTAAATTACATTGCAATTAAAGTAGCAGTGAATATAGTGAACTTTACTTGGCCTGTATTTTTACTATAGCACTCTTACATCATTGTATATTTTGATTGTGTTTTAGAGATTTTCTTAACCCAATTTATAGATTGGCTTGTTTAGTGAACCTGTAAAACTACACATTGGTGTCCTAGGGAAATGGTCCTGCTAAAAGAGCTTGCCTTTCATTTCAAGCAGCAACTTCTACTCTAGAAGAGATCAGTCAATTGCCATATTTTCTTTTCACTCAATAGTTTTGGGTGTTATAGCTCATGCAAAGTGCCTTTGTATTTTGGTTCACTGACTTAAGGTGCTCTGTGAATTCAACTTATAAATAACTAATGTAGATCTTGTTTTGTGATTGAAATGAGGGGCAGGTCTAGCTGACCCTTTTGATTCTCAAGCCCCTAGTGGTATGGATGATATTCATAACCCTTTTCAGCCTCATCCTGCCTGTGCTCTTTGAAGTAAACTATTATGTGTTGACATCCATGACCTGTTCTTTGCTAGCTGTTCTTCAGCTCTAATGGACTTTGCTTAGTCACAGAAGATGGCACCTCTCTTGAACTCTGTCTCATTTCATTTCTTTTCCTTTCCAGATATCTCTTAGTTTTTTCCCCAGCATGTTCTAAATCATTTTCGAATACCCTAAGTCTCTAATGTAGGAGATATTCTTAATACTAAGGAATTTTGCTTTAAATTTGGTTTAATAGTGCTTTTTGCGCTTCCCTCACCTCACAGTATAATAGTTTTAAATGTCTCTAAATGAATATTTGGAAACCAGTCTATCTTAACTTTTATTATATTTCATATATTATTTCCTAAAAATAGATGATCACATTTTCATCTGTATGTATAAACAAGATGTAATTTTATGAATTAACCTATTATAGAACTTGTTTTTTTTATTTTCTTCCCATTCTAGTTTCTCATTTCTGACTTTCATATTAGATTGTTTTTATTGACTGTTTTAAAGTAATTATAAGAATGTAATCCAATATTTTATTCTGTCACAATAAAATATGTAACAATCATAATTCTAAGTCAATAATGCTATTTTCTTTATAGTGAATAACGTAATTACATGTCTAGTTCACTGGAAAATAGTCATGAAAATGAGGAAATGTATCCCAGTATTTTTTCATTGACCTTTTAGGTTACTCAAATGTGCTGTCATATAAAAATCTGTTGTATATGTGGATGCAGTACAAATAATATGAAGCTTCTGAATCTATGAATTATATATTTTTATAAATGAGTTAACCCTTATACCTTGATTCCTTTCATTGTTTAATGGAAATTAATTGATTGTGGTGAATATCATTTTTCACTTTTCCGCAAAGGTTTTAAGTTTTATTGATTTTTTTGTTAAATATGCTTGTAATATCTAACTATAAAATATCTCTAGTCTCAATTTGCAAATCTAACAAATGGTCAGAATAATTAAAAGATATCTTGATAAATATTTCCCACCGTAAGTAGTCAACAGTTTTATCCTCACGCTAGCTTCATGTCATTCAAACTGTCTCCTTTTGTCTGCAATCAGAGGAGACTTTGTTACTGAAAAGATTCTTAAAGTGAGCTGAAGCACCATATTGATTTGTCTGTCATAGCTGTTTTCTTGAAGCTGGTTTTACTTTTTATCTTGCTGGGCTGTTTACTGTTTGAACAGTAATTTTATTTCTTTGTTCCTGTTCTGCAAGATCTTTTCCTCTTTTAAACTAATGTGCTAATAAGTGTTTGATGTGTAAGAGGAATATTTCTGTTCATAAGAAGTGTAAATCTGTTTTACCAAGCAAAGAAATATATTTAGGAATGAAGGTCAGCATAATTTCAACAAATTGCATGGTACTGTTGGAGCAAAGCTCCTTGTCCTTTCATACCTTACAAATGAGTTCCTCTTGGAGGTCACACTCTAAAGTCCAGAAAGCATAGACTATATTAGCATCTATTTTCTTAGTGAAAATTAAATCTGCCAATAAATACCTGCATCTGAATATTAGAGAACAGCAGCAGAAAGAAAACATTTATTGAAATTTTCTACCAGGACATTCTGTTCAACATTTCACATATTTGATAGAACTCTCGGGCATCAAACCAACTCTCAGTCCCATTTGTGTTTTGTAAAGGTTATTTGATTACCACGGGCGTGTGCCTCCACCTCCCCGTGCAGTAATTCCGCTGAAGCGTCCCAGAGTGGCAGTCACAACGACTCGCAGGGGGAAAGGAGTCTTTTCCATGAAAGGTGGATCGAGATCTACTGCCAGTGGGTCAACAGGTTCTAAATGTAAGTAATGTCCTTCATTTTATTTCTCTTTAAAGAAGGGAGTGATTAACTATCATTGCACGAATGCCTATATTCAATAAATTAACCAGATAGTTATGAAGGACCTGCTATGTATAAAGTGTTAGAAAATCATAAGATGGATAAAAAATGGTCTCTGCTTTCCACCATACTGTGTTGCAGTAGGGGAGACAAACACAAAAATGTCTAACAAAAATCCAGGACCAATTTGAAAAGTATTTTATCAGAGCAAATAACACTGTGCTCTTGGCTTAGCTTGTGATATATTAAAGTACTGAAATATAATATGTTGCTTTTAATGAAGAAATAATTTTACTTCCAAAGGGAGTGCATAAACTGTCTTTTCAGAGAAACATACAAAATTAGTTCATGGTTTGAATATTTGAGCAATTAAGAGAGGCAAACTATAGAGATGTTAAAAGCATAATTTACCATACAGTGATAAATTATGATAAGATATATGTATCTGAAGATATATTTAATGTCATAAAAAGTAAAATAATATTTGCATAGTTTCACATTAATTAGTAAAAAGCAGCGATACAAACTTTCCAACTAAACACATTGCTAAATTTTTATATGGAGTGATACAGAAAAAAATTTTATTTGTTAGAATATTATTCATAAAGAAAGGATAACAAAATTTCCCATATTCCTTGAGATTGCCTTTTATCAGAAAACAAACAGATAATAAGCTGACCTATAGGTAAAAGAATAAACACATAGAGAAAGTTGAGAACACTATATTTCATTGACTGAGGTGACATTTGAGTGGAAACCTAAAGGAAGTGAGGAAAAGAGAAAGTGACCTTGAAACTGTCAGAGACAGAGCATTCTGTGGAGAGAAAATGGTCAGTGCAGAGACCTTAAATTGAATAGTCAAGGAACAATAAGGAAGCCAGTGTGGCTGCAACAGAGCCGAGCCAGAGAGAGAAAGTCTGGCTGGGGATCAGGTCAGAGAGTTAGACACAGGGCAAGTTCCAATGCAGCTTGGTAAGCCGCCGTAGAGACTTGGATTTACTCTGCATCCCAACCATTTAAGACAAGTAAGGCAAATACTATTATCCCAGTTTTATTGATGAGTAAACACAGAAAGTCATATAGCTAATAGACATAGTAGAGTCTCTTAGTTCTTATGCCTATGTGCTATCTGCTGTAGAACACTGCCTTTTATTTCAGCACTATACTGAGATAGAATCACTATTGAAACACTTTGTTTTTACAAAATGCAGTTCAAAATGCAGGAAGGTACTGATGCTTCTGAAAAGGCTAAAGTTTGTTGTACTCAACAAACTTTGTGGACCTAACTAAGATAACTTCAATAGCACACTAAATAGATTTATGGATTTCTATGTAATTATGTATTCATGTATCTATTCTGTAGATAGATAAATATGAATTCCATTTTGAGTCTTAGTAATAAAAGAAAAGGAGTTTCTGCAACTCGTTGGAGGTTAGGTCACCCCAATGTGGAGTATACACAAGTTTCTATCTCTCAAAAAGTCTCCAAGTGTTGAAAATTTCAATGACTTATTTCTTACATTGGAAAAAATAAACCATGAAGGGACTTTTATAGAAAGACAAATTACCAAAGTCAGCTACTTGGAGAAATAATGTGAAGAGACTTTACAGTTTGTAACCATTACAACATGTAACATAAGAATCTATCCTTAAGTCCAATGGTAAATCACACATGAGGTTTAATTTCATCTTTTCTTTGTGTGTGTGTTTGTGTGTGTGTGTGTGTGTAAGATGCGACAGTCTTGAAAAAAGGCTAAATCTGAAAATTGGACTACTAAATACAAACTAGAGATATTTTGAAAGAAATGTGGTGTGTTTTATTTTTTAGCAGCAATCATTCTTTGGAACTGTGTATCCTAGAGTATCTCTGTTATGCTGGAAAGATATAGATAAGCAATAGGTAGAAATATAAATTATGGGATAAAAAGATTTTGTAAGGACAATCAAGACAAATGATCATTTAAAATCTATTCAGCATGTTATAATTGTGTTAATTTTACTTACTTTTGTGAAGTGGTGTATCTTTATTATATTGAGGTTAAATCAAAAGGAAATGTTTCATATAAAGCACTGGGGAAAATCACTTTAAAAGATTTATCCTAAGGATTAAATCTAAGCTTGGAGGTAGAATAGTCATGTGGTTTCCAGCATCAATAAGATAGCTCCAAGGGATTACTGCAGAGAGACAGGCAAGCCATAGGCTATAGGTGCAACCCCAGTAAGATACTTGAGTCAGGGAGCTTGGCAGGCCTGGTTTACATGGTAGAAAACAGGGGCCCCTGGGCCTGCTCCAAGCCAGCCCTGCAGCAGAGCTTCTGTGTAGTAGTCAATGTCATGGTCAGTCACATCCCAGAGAGTACCCAGAAACAAGGGGCAGCCAGCCATGATGTACTTGAGCATGATGCCAGCCCCCTGTTATTATAGAAAGACAACAGACTGATCTATTCTATTCATTTCATATAGTTCTATAAATTTAGAGCTCAAGTCACAAAAGCTAACTGTTGATTAGTGTTACTTTAGTGAAACATTAATAAAAATTTATAATTCACTGGCAAGCATAACTAGAATCATGATTTAATATTCTTTTTAGGAGCATATTGGCAGATTACATTATGTATACATATATGTAAATAAAATATATATGTGCATGTATAAATATTCATTAATTTATAGTACTTTTTATAATTAGGTTGGTTTCTGGAAATAACAAAAGTTTCTAACTCAAATCACAAATGAAAAGTATCAGTGAAATTTAAAATATACTATGTTAATATTGAAATAATTTGAATAAAGATTTACTAAGGTATATAGCTTGCTCTTTAATTAATAGCTCTTTCCAGCATTTAATGGTTTGGCAAGTTCAGAAGAGGAAATTAATGTTATAGCTTGGATAATTTGTCATTTCTTATTTCAGAATTTGTAATATGACTGAATTCTGCTAAGGAGAAAACTATATAAAGAAAATATATTAATGTCATAATTTACCAAAAATGAATACTGATAAGCATTTAAAATGAACTGCTTTAAATAGATTGCCACTAGGCATTTCTGTCCCTTTTAAAATCAAATTGAACTAAAACTATAATCAGCTTGTCCTTTCCTGACATCATAGAGTCATAAAATAAAGAAAATGTGACATTGCAGATTAGCATTTTACAAAAGAGAAAACATGAATATCAGTGAGCTTTAGCTGTAGTTTCTTAGTGGAAAAATTGATGCCCTCTGGAAAAAAAAATTCGATCAAGTCAATTTCTTTAAAGAATTAATTTAAATTCTAATGTCTAACAAGAAAGACTCTAGTAAGTTTGAATGCCTTTGGGGACCTGTCAATGCACTTTCAGTGACAGAATAGGTGACAAACTAATATAAATGCCCTGAAGCATCTAACAGGAAATTAAAGACAATTCAATTAAAGTTAAAATTGAGAATTTATCCCCAATGCTAAGAAGGCTTTCTTATGTTGGGTTCCTCCCCTCAAAAGTATGATTGAAATACAGCGATAAAGCATCAACCAGAGAAATAATATTAATACTCAGCAACATATCATTAAACATTCCCATCCATCCATTATCCTAGGCAAAGTATATTCTGCTTTAGAGATTTTTAAAGAGAGAATGTACTATTGGCCGGAAAGGTTAGAGAAGGCTTAACAGAGGATTTTGAACTGAGTTTAGATGAGCCAGTAGATTCTGAAAGATAGAATGAGAGATACTTGCTTTCTGGGAGACAAGATCTGGGTGGAGAAGAACAGAGGCTTTCCTGTCAGATTGCCTGGAGTGGAGTCTGTTCCATAGTATACTACCATCGTGGCCTTGGGGAAATCCTTTAACCCCTATATACCTCTAATTTCTACCTGGAAATTGAAAATAATATACTGTGTATCCAATAGTTATTGTAAGAATTGAATTACTTATGTATATAAAATGCTTAGGCACATAGTAATGTTCAATGAGGTTAATTATTGCTACTACTATAATTATTATAGCAGTTAAGAGTATTAAATATGAAATTGCTGAACCTAGAATCCAATAGTGCCTCAGCCATTTATTATGTGTGTTTTGCAGCAAGGTACTTGCTTGCTGTGCCTTAGTTTCCTCATCTATAAAATGGGAATGATAATCTTACTGCCTTCTCTGTAGAGTTCTGAGGATTGAATGAGCCAGCACATGTAGAGCTCTTAGAACAGTGTCGGCTAATATAAAAGCCTTAATAGATAATACTGTGACAGTAAAAATAATAACTATTATTATCTGAAGTGAAGATTTACTGCTAGGAATGTCAGTTAATAAACTGAGGACATTATTATTAAACAAGATATAAAAATGGGTAAAAGGATAATGAAAAACTGTGCAGAGTATTGAAGGGTTCAGATTTCATGCAGGGCCAAGATAAAAAAATTCTCAGCAAAGTGCTACCTGCTCAAAATGATATTTTAGGACATCTATATGATGGGTGGCATTAGTTGGCGAGGGCTGCCATAACAAAGTACCACAGTTCGGGTGGCTTAAACAACAGAAATTTATTTTATCACAATGATGGAGGCTGAAAGTTGGAGATCAAAGTGTCAGAAGGCTTGGTTCCTTCTGATGGCTGTGAGGTAAGGATCTGTGTCAGTCCTCTCTCCTTGACTGGTAGATGACCATCTTCTCCCCATGTCTTCACACTGTTTTCTCTCTTTGTGTGTCTTGTCTAATAAATTTCCTCTTGTTATAAGGACAAGTTTAGACCCCTCTATGTTACAAGGGCATCACCTGTCCTCTAACTTCAGGCCAGTTGTTCGTTTTTTTATTATGGGACTTACACTTTTCTGCTTCATGTTATAGTTATTTGTATGCACATCTAATCTTTCTATTTTCAATTACAAATTCATTCAAGTTAATTATGCTTTGCACAGATTATACTCTTAAACATTTGTGAAATGTGACATCACTACTATTTTTGCTTTTTGCATTTTACTTTTTGTCATACATTTTATATTTGACTTTGAACCAAATCTTTAGAAATGCTACAGTTCAGAGAAAATTAGTTACAGAATATGTTGCATCAGTCGGTGAAACAAGGGGACAAATTCTGGCCTACACTCCAGGGTCTAAAAGAAATCAGTATGACGTGTATTTTCAAGCTATGTGATTTGAGATCTGCTACTTCTGTTACTTAGAAGACTGTTTTTGCTTGCTGAAATCTAAAGTATCTTTTCAGTCATAACTCAAAAACTCATTCTTTTGTGACTATTTTCACAATCAGTTATCATCAAAACTAATTTATCTTTTTTCTTTGCCCACATAGCTGATACAAGTTCAATTAATCAGCACCTAACACAGACAGGTACTAATTTTCCATTGACGAAATAGACATGAGCCCTGAGGAACTATTTCATAGACAAAATAGACATGATCTTTCATTTTCAGGCACTTATATCTGGTCGGGGGCAGGGGGGACCAGAAAATTTAAAAATGTGAGATAATTTCAATATCAGGTGACAGAACATTTTTACTATTTCTCTTTTTTTTGTATTTTATATGCATAATAATAAATTAGTTACATGTTTCTTGTCTGTCACTAGTTATAGAGTCCATGAGACCAGGGAGGCAGTTCACCATGATGGGCAGTGGGGGGTAGGAGGGTGGGACCTATATACCCATGGCTTTGGAGTCAGGCAGCCCACTCTAAACTTGAATTGTTGCCTATTGGCTAAAGCAATCTTTTTAAAGAACACTTAAAAAATTTTTTTAGAAATAGAGTATCACTCTGTCACCCAGGCTGGAATGCAGTGGCATGTAACCTCAAACTCCTGCACTCAAGCTATCCTCCCACCTCAGCCTCCTGAAGAACCAGGAATACAGGTGCATACCACCATGCCTGGCTAATTTCCTTATTTTTTGTGGAGTTAGGGATCTCAGCATGTTGCCCAGGCTGATCGTAAACTCCTGGCTCAAGCAACTCTCCTGCCTCAGCCTCCTAAAGCACTGGGATTAGAGGCTGAACAACTATGCCCAGCCTGCTAAGCAATCTTAATTAAACACATTACTTAACTTCTCTAATATTCACTATTCAAATCCAAAAGTAAGTTTAACAATTCTGATTTGCATATTGGGAATAAATTAAATGATACACTTGCAGCTTCTAATGAAATGCAAGATGAACAGATGCATATAGTAGGCATTTAATGAATACTTACTGAATAAAATCCACTCATTCTCCATTTCATTTTCTTTCTAAAAAATATAGAAAGAATGGGTATAGATGTATGTAGGCATAAGTATTATGAATACATATATATGCATATATATGTAATTCCCTGTTCTAGGAAATTTCATCTATGGGGTGGGTGATAACCAGTTGCTGCAATTTATTTTAGCAAAATACTTTAAAGTTTGACTTTTGAAAACTATTTTCTAGACTAGCAAATTAGCCTTTTCATATTAAATTAGCTTCAAAAATTGTATTATGTATTATGTTACAAGGGTATCACCTGTCCTATAACTTCAGGCCAGTTGTTCATTTTCTTATTATAGGATATTTATATATATATATAAAGAAAGGGACAGATGGGAGCAGAGCGGAGGCGTTGAAGTGATCATGATAAAGAGTTCCAGGAACCTTCCTTTTCTTTTTCTGAATATTATTGAATTAAGCACAGTGATTCCTTGATCATATTTTTCACATCAACTGAAGCTGCATGGCACAATAAAAAATATAGAATTGAAAGTAAGAAAATCTAGGTTTGAGCCTAAACTCTTACCTGTGCATATCACATGACTTTGGGAAAATCATGTACATCATCAGATTCTCAGATTCTTTATTGTTGAAATACTGTATTTAAAACTGATTTATAAATTAAGTGATATGCAAATTTTATTTATTTCTTTGTTTTGGACATTCAAATAATGTATAATGGCTGGGGAAAATAAATAACAAATTAATGTGATTTACTGTCAAAGTCCACATGATTATAAACATTTTTCAGTTTTCTAAATAGTTGATAGGAAGCATGGTATTGGTAAGGGAGGTTATATCTAGAGCAGGGTTTCAATAGTTTGGCATGATCGGCATTTGGGGTCAGATAATTCTGTGATGCGGTGTGGGCTATCTTGTGCACTGTAGGATGTTGAGCAGACTAAATCCTCACTAGAAGCCAGTAGGACCACCCCCTCCAAGTCATAACAAGGAAAAATGTCTCCAGACACAGCAGAATCTCTCCTGCAGAGCAAAATCACCATGTTAAGAACCACGGATCTAGACAGTTAGCTGAAACTTCTTTATTTACCCTGAATAGACTTGACCCAAAGATGATTAAAATAAATTGAAATATTTTTGGCCACATAAGTCAGAAATGCACAGATTTTTATATAGACAGATGATATCATCCCGTGTGCCTAATATTCTTTTTGGATTATATCTTATGTCACAGCAGAAGGCACAATCATTTTGTCAACTGTATCAGAATGTAATAACATTTATCACCAAATCAATGAACTCTATAGAGAGAGCAGATCTGAAATGACTTAATGTGACTTATTTTTAAAAACAAAGATACTACAGTGATAGTGATGCAACCTGACTTCTATTTCTCTAGTGTTCTTCTTGCCTAAAAATAAGCTAAAGTAATTTGTCCTAGGAACTTTGTAATTTTTTTAATTTATCATTTTGCTGATTTTTGTTTGGTAATTCTAAATTCAAGCCCTATAATCACTCATAGAAAAATAAGTTGTCCTCAACAAGACAACCAGAGATTTTTATTATGACAGTATGTTTGCTTTTGTGTATAATTTTTTTTTTTTTTTGAGTCAGAGTCTCACTTTGTCACCCAGGCTGGTGTGCAGTGGTGCGATCTTGGCTCGGTGCAATCTCTGTCTCCTGGGTTCAAGCAATTCTCTGCCTCAGCCTCCCAAGTAGCTGGGATTACAGGTGCGTGCCACCATGCCCAGCTAATTTTTGTATTTTTAGTAGAGACGGGGTTTTACCATGTTTGTGTATAATTTTTGACAAGTTTTTTTTGTGGTAAAATTTATCTAGAGAAAAAGAGCAAAAGATATTTTTCCTGTGAAGATAGTATTACCAATGTCTTCTAAAATATCTGTAATGTATATATATATATATATATATATGCTCAACTACTAGAGAATAGTAAGCAAAAATAGGGATTTAATATAATTCACTGTGCAGGAGAGAAGTTGTTAACAGGAGGGGAAAAAGTAGAAAACAAAAGCAGAAGAGAGCTAGAAAGAGCAGTACATGAGAGATAGAGGAGGTTCATCCCAGGCATTCCATCTAGAAACCACATGTAATAGCACAAAACCGTACCCCATATATAGATAGTGACTCTGCATGAAGAAAAGTAGAAAGTGGACTAAGGCCAATTGGACTAGGTAAGGGGCAAGCCTTTTCCCAAGGACAGCACTGAGATATTGAAGTGTGATGAGGAAACGACTTCTACAACTGCTCAAGAGGCAGCCAAGACTATTTGTAGAGCCTGCTTTGCAGGACCTAGATGAGCATTTGCTGCCCCCCCATTCTAAGAGGGAACTGAGCAGCCTGCATAGGGTTAGAGGCTCACTTTAACATTTCCTGGTAGGGTCCAGGAAAGAACTGACAGGATTTCCGTGTTACATTTCAACATTGTTTCTTGAGTAACATTAACTTATTAGACCCAAATTCCATAATAATCCAGCTGAGATCTGAAAGATGTTCTTTCAGTGCTAGACCTGAGTCTAGACTTAAATGAAACCTTGGCTCCCTGGAGACTTCTAAGTTCCAGCCAGATGAGTCTATATTGTTTTCTAATGTAGTTTCAATAAAGTGGAGTAGTAGTGGTTTATTGGCTTGTTTTTTAAGGCAATACATAAATTAAAATTAGTCAACTGCATTCCTGGGCTAAGGAGTAGCTCTAGTTGCTAAGAAATATATTCTGTTAGTTTTCAGCTATAGTCCTATTTATTTCTCCTGCATTGAAATCTAATGTTATAAGATAAAATATTTTCTATTAAATTTGATACGTTTAAGTAAAACTACATATGCCTTCATCAAAGGAATGAGTACCACTCTTCAAAGCAAAATCAATTTGCAATTGTGACAGATGATGTTTTTCAAATTTAGCTGCAATTCCACAATGGTACTTTGATGTCTTTGAAGTAATTGACATGAGGAGTGATTCTCTATTTTACCCTGTTCTACTTTCAGTTTAGTCATTCCTCAGAGGGATACTCTAGAGGGCCCATGCTTCTTGCAGTTTTTATTTTGCAAACTACTTTGCATTGTAAATAAAAGTCTGCTTTAAAAAAAATCTGATTTGACAATGGGAAAAGTTTTCTCATTTTTATACAAAAATCTGTTCTTCCCTTAAGATTTAGTGTTTATGATCCATAACATATCATGTATATTATATCATTTATCTTAATCGACAAATAGTTCTATTTTAAGCAAACATAAATTGCATTTTGTTTTTGTTTTTTTATTTTTTCAAAAAAGTCTGAAGACTAAAGAATCAAGTTAAACACTCTAATTTCCTCAGAAATTTCTGGGGAATATCTAGTCTGAGATTATTAGAAACCAGAAGGAAAAGAGACAGAAGATAAATAGACTGGAAACAAATAAGTATCCAAGATCTTGAAACTTGGCTCTTGAATGAGGTGTGAATACTGCCAGTCCACCTAATAAAAGCTCGGAGGCAGATATAGCTGTTCCATTGTAATGGCTTTAAAATCTTTCATCTCTGATTGTTGTGGATTCAAAATATTTCTAAATTCCATTATCCATTTGCATACCCTTCAGTCAAAAGATTTAGGATTAAATGCTCGTGTCACTGAGAATCCCCATTTGTAACTGGCATAATCATTCAGTATTCCAGGATCACTAGAAGTAATGAGAAGTTGATAAAATTGAAATGGTTTTCAGAAAAATAAGGACAGTGCAGTAAATTTTTTACAAATATAAACATATTTCATTTAAAGAATTGTCTTCGAAATATGAGATTGTTCTTTCCTTAAGCCTTTTTCCCTTATAAAATAATTACTGTAGTCAATAGTAGGCTATTTATTGTTGTTTTTAACATCCATACTTGGCAAAATGAAAAATTGTCATCTTATGTTAGTCCCCAGTTGTTTTCTTTGAAACTGTACTAAACTCTAAAAATCTAGAATGGGAACTACTACTATTGAAATTATCAGTGAGAACTTCTGTGATTTTCCTTTCCATCAAGCCCAGGGCTTAGAGGGAGGCATGTACAACTCACTGCCTTAGTTTTATTTAGGAAAACTGAAGCTTCATAGCAGCTTTGAGTGAGCTGGAAAGAGTTTTCTCACATCTAAGACATTTTCTTTAAAGGATAAATTGTATATCCTGGTTTCCATCAATCTTCAAGGAGCTGGATTAAAATATCATTGACTGCTGAAATACATATTACAACATAGTTCCTCAAAGTAGTATCTGGCATGATTTAATTATTGCTTCATCTGAATCCCTCTCACATTGAAGATTTACTCTATTTTGTAAAATTTAGCATCATTGGGTTATTTTAAAAAATATTTCTTAATTCCGTTATCCATTTCCATAACCTTCAGTCAAAAGATTTAGGATTAAACGCTCATGTCACTGAGAATCCGTATTTGTAATTGGCAAAATCATCCAGTATTCCAGGATCACTAGAAGTAATGTGAAGTTGATAAAATTGAAAAATGTCCTATGTGATTTGACACAGACTTGAGAAAATACGGGGTCCCTGTGAGTTCGGTCCTAGGTGAGTTATGGTGCATTTGATGCTCTGTTGTTTTCTTCCTTCTTTCTACTTTCCAGTGAAATCAGATGAGTTACAGACCATCAAGAAAGAATTAACCCAGATCAAAACTAAAATTGACTCCTTGCTAGGGCGCCTGGAGAAGATTGAGAAACAGCAGAAGGCGGAGGCAGGTAAGTGATCTCTGATCACAGACAGGTCAGAATTGAACCAGTGAAACGTTGTCAATCACAGAAGCAGTACAGGGCCAGGAAGACACTGGCTGAGTTTAACAGTGTTTAATACAGATGTGCCAACAATGTCTTTAAGCCCAGAGTTGCAATAATAAAATGTGATTTTTTTTCTTTTAGAGAACATGAACTAATTTTTCTAAGGTTCATACTAAAAATAAAAGGCAAGGACAAGTGTTTTGGTGGAATAATCAGTAGTAGTTGAGTCACAGTTGAAACTTTATCTCAATATCAAGTAACCTTTCAGAAAATAAAATCAATTAACAGAATAATGCTATCAGGCTAACATAATATTCATATATAATTAAATTAACTGCAGCAAAATTTGACAGGTTTCAACAATTATTATAATGCCCAACTCCTGCCTTTGCTGCCACCCTGAAAGACTTCAGTACCCAAGTTCAGGAACATCAAGACTAAGACCATGCACCTGGCTACCCACAGGCCAAGTTATTTGATCATATATTTTACAATTTAATAGCCTCTGTCTTTTGAATTATCAGCCCTGACCCAGCTCCTTTCTAGTACCAGTCTAATGCTCTTTTCATATGGCTACAGATATTTTTTGAGTCACAAGTATATGAGACCTGGTATAAACTTAGAAGTAGGCCACAGTTTGAAAAGTGTGCTCTATGAGGCTTTAGACGCCTCAGAAGCCTCCTTGGAGTTAAGATGGGGATTAGGAAGAGACCCGGTAGGTAGACAGACTTATGCCTCTTCGAATCCCAGCCCTTCCTCTGACCAGTGTAACTTCCCTGTATCTGTTCTAGATACTGGCATTCAACATAAGACTTAATTTGCTGGAAGAGTTCCATTTCTTATAAAATAAATAAATAAATAAAGTGTGAAAGCCCTTGATAAATCCAACCTCTTCATTTTGCAGATGAGAAAACAAAGGCTCAGGAAAGTAAATCGATTTTCCTAGACCTGTATATCTAATTAGTGATAGACCTCGGTCTCAAACTCAGGGCTTGTAACTGAATTTAGTGCCCTTTCCCATTTACAGCCCCAATCTCAGGTTCTCCTCAGAGCTTTGTCCCAGGATTTCACTAAAGTAAGGCTATCTGGGTGACACCTAAATGATGAGAACTCATGGGGACCTAGGGCCCCTGAGCTACCACACACAGGAGCCTGTCAGTTTGTTGACTCATATCACTGGGGTGAGGGTTGGAGCGTACCCTTGGCAGTGAGCCATACAGGGCTCAAGAATGAAAAGAAGCACATGTGAGGTGGTAGTGTAGCATAATGGATGAGAGAAATAAACTCTGGTTCAAATCGCTGTATACCACATTCACAGTTTTCTCATTTATAAAATGATACTGATGGCTGCCTCACATGGTGAGTAATGAACAAAGTGGCATATGTAAACTATATAGCACAGAGTTAAAAATATAATAATTGGAGTTATCAAGGACTAGTAGCAACACACCCATGTACAGGCAAATGGACATTTCCTCCGACTTTCATACGGCTCATTTTTAAAAAACATAAGCCATGTACCTAGCACATGGTCAACTCACACTAACCCTTGTTAAGGTAGATGAGGAATGATAGACTAAATGGAATCTTTCTTAATTAAAGATTTCTATTACAAATGTATTATTTCCAATTCAGAAAGGCATACTTGCCTATACTTTTTAATAAAAAAAATAGATTTTAGAAAGTTTTTAACATGCTGTCTATGGCACTGAAATGTTACTGTAACTGAAATATTCTGTCATGTTGCCTAAATCAATATTTCCCTTTGAGGAACTCTGTAAAATTCATTATTATGTAAAACAACCCTTACAGCAAAGGACTTTGATAACCAATTTGCACTTCAGTTTAAAGGATTATGGAGAACTCATTTAAATATGGAGAACTCATTTAAATATAAATCACCTCAAAGAGAAAAATGTGGTCCTTATTCCATCATAATATACCTTTCAGTTTGCTGCAATGACTAATACCTTCCATATATCTTTTTGGAAGATCATTTAGAAATGTAACACTAAAATTCAAAGCTTGCATCTTTTTTTCATGAGATGTCACTTACTTTTGAACATGTTTAAACTTTTACAGTCATGAGACAGTTGCTTTTAAAATAATAAGACTTAGTCCTTTGATATTTATGTCTCTTTAACTTTTTATGAAGAAAATGAATTTGTAACTCCATTCTTTTAGTAATTGTTTCCTGAATAGTGTATTTATAGAAATAAAAGATAAATGTTTTATATATTTTACTATATTTTCTTCACGAAAAAAATCAGGTTTGCTTGGAAAGAATTAACACTACCTTATGGAAAGTAGAGTGAAATGCACTAAAACTCATTTTAAAATGCTCAGTGGCTCCTTATTCAAGGGGACAGTCATTACAATGCTTAATTAGTTGAAAGCTAATTACTTACTTGGTAGCTAGCATTTACTCTTCATTATTACTCTTTCATAAATTTCTCACTCCTAATTTACTATTAGTTATTTATTTAATAGTGAAATTTTCCAGCAGAGAAATAATGGCAGGAAGGAGATGGAGAATCTGAAAGTGTGGGGAAGGACACACAACATGGGCTGTGCCTGAGGTCAAGTTCCATAGTATCTTTTTTTTGGAAGCGAACTCCTAAGCTCTCAGTACATTACTTTGGATTTTCTATACCTTAAATTGCTCAAATAGATGTGTGTGTGGTGTCCTGTCATTTGAGATTGTTAAGTTCCTCAGAACAAGATCATGTCTTCTCTTCCCTAACTCTACCCAACACCAGGTATTATGTACTGGGCACAACTTAGCAAGTCATTTAACTCTCTTAGGTCTCAAGTCTTTCAAATGTAAACTAGAGGAATGGGTTATGGCCTCAAATGTATATTCTGGCTTCTAAAACTATGATTACTGTGAATCCACCATGCATGTATTATTTTTTCCATTACATCACACAACTTCTTTGGGGATATAGTGACTATGTAGATTATAGAAAACCACAAGTAACACTTAAAATCAGTTCGGCCAGCAATTTTGCCTCATTGTTAGATGATTCTTTTAAAAGAGCCGCATATAAGTTGCCACATATGCATAGCACAAATTACATGCTTTACGCAAAGATGTTAAGTGAACAAAAACAGTGAAAAGCACAAGAAGGAAAAGTAAAAAGACTGGATAGCATGCAATGGGAACAGTTACTCCATGGGTAACTACATTTTTTAAAAAATTACATTTCAAGTGCAGACTTTCTGAAGTGAAAAGGCAATTATTAGACATTATTTAGTTCAATTTTATTCTCACTGTTATTCCTGATACATGAGCAGCCAAGTCTGACTGGGACAATTCCAGTGATAACATTGGGATGTTAGACTTACGTCTTAGAGAGGTTACAAGCAGGAGTCCCACAAGATAAATTCATCCTACCCATATGTTTGGTATAAGAGATGAAGTTTTCAAAAATAAATTAATGTCCAAAAATTGGAGTATTGTAAACAAATCTCAAAATATGAGCTCTTTTGAAAATATTGAACTTTTCAATACTGCTACTCAATCACTCTACACATGGCATGCACTTTTCAGTTTGCTAATATCTTTATCCAGCCAGTTCATGTATTTATATTATCTATTTGGTCCCTGTTCACATTCATGTCTGAGACTCCCATTGCAGGTTTTCCTTACACTGAGCTAAAATGTATTTTGCTTTCACTTGGTTCAGTTATCACTCTTATGTTCTCTGAAAAGAAACTTAATGTCTAATTCTTTGTGATACAACAGTCAATTAAGAATTTAAAGGGAGTGGCCGGCCGCGGTGGCTCACACCTGTAATCCTAGCACTTTGGGAGGCTGAGGCAAGTGGATCACTTGAGGTTAGGAGTTCGAGACCAGCCTGGCCAACATGGTGAAACCCTGTCTCTACGAAAAATACAAAAATTAGCCGGATGTGGTGGCACATGCCTGTAATCCCAGCTACTCAGGAGTCTGAGGCAGGAGAATTGCTTGAACCCAGGAGGTGGAAGTTGCAGTGAACTGAGATCACGCCACTGCACTTCAACCTGGGCGACAGCGAGATTCCATCTCAAAACAAATAAATATATATATATATATATACACATATACGCACACACATATATATTTAAAGGGAGCTATAGTATTCTCACCCCTCCAAAACCTTTGAACAGAGAGTTGATATCATTGGCCTATGGGTATTCATCTTAACTGCATTCAAATTTTGATCACAGCATCGTAGAGGCCTTTTTGGTCTAGAGAAATATCAACAGTTCCTTTAGTTGCTTCTCATTTAACTTGGTTTTGCACCTTAAACTATTGCCATCTCTCTTCTCTAGTCATTATGTAGTTTGTCAACACAGATTACGTTGCTCAGAATGGAAAGTGTTGCTCCAGATATGATCTGACTGCTGTAGCCTATAACATGACTACCATTTCTGTTCTGAATACCTTACTGCTCTCATTGACACTTCAGATTGAATTGGTGATGCTTCCGGTTAAAGATGATGAATTAAACACATGAATTGAGCAGTGTTTTCTCTTGAAGCTGCATTAAAAACAAGGAAAGGGTTTAGCAGCTGGACAGGAGGTATACCTAATTTAGCACATCCTAGAAATCCAAGTCCAATTTTAATCACAAACTCCCAAAAAGCTCAGAATTCAAGGCATCATATTCCCCTGGAAAATAAATGGTTGAAAGTCTGTTTAGGAAACAGATTCCTATGTCCCAGCTATCCCAACTGCACTTTGAAAGAAGGCTGGAGAAGTTTCCTCTAGTGAAGGTAAAACAGTGGGTCTCAGGGCTGGTAGACAATAAGGAAACTTGAGAGCACTTAAAAGCAGAGAGGGAGAAAGTTTCCGTAATTACTGTAGAAATGCCCACCTTCTCCCTGACTCAGCTACCACAGCACTGGCAGGACACTAGAAGAGTCTTCAGTTGAGAACATGAGCAGCCCAAGAGGAAAGACTTAAAGATGCTGATAGAGGGTCAACTAAGGAATCACTCAGCCAGACCACCTACAGAGACAGTATCTCTCTATACTTACAAAGTTGCCAGTCAATATTTTAATGCCCTACTGTTAATGTGAACAAACAAGAATCACCAGATCAAAGAACATAGTTAATAAGCAAATGCCAAAAAAAAAAGAAGTCAGAGGAAACAAACATATACAGGAAGAATAAAACTTCAAAAAGAAAAAAAAAACACTAATACCCTCAGAGAAATGAGAAGATACTGTAATAAAAACATAAAATTATAGAACTGAGTATTCAAAGCGCTGATAAAAGAGCTTTTATAAATTAACATATGATAGCACAAATAAATAACTCAATACAATGATTGGAAGACAAAATTGGAAAAACTCTCCCAGAAAATATGGAAAAAAAAACAGAAATGGAAAATAGGGGAAGGATATGAGAATTACACGATGAATATCTGAATAAGCTTTAGTTTCAGTTTTCCTAGGTCATCTGTATTCATTCTGAGTTGGGTTTCAGTTTACCTATGTGGGAACCCAAGGCACGGGAACCATCTCAGCCTAATGGCCTTCCAATTAACTGTTTTAATATGCCCTTTCTCTGAAAAGTACTAAAAAGAGTACTTCACCAAAAACACAGCGATAAACCAAGAAAGAGGAAAAACAGAGCCTTCCTAAAGCATGGACTCTAAAAGCAAAAAACAAAAGGAATTCTCAAGATAGAGGTAACAGAGATCCTAGGAGATGAGCTGTGCAAGAGATCTGGAAAGAAATGAGTCCAGATCAGAACTGCTCAAAAGCTCTGGGATAGACTTTTTAAGACATCAAAATTGATGAAATAGCTACTGGGTGGGAAAGAGGATTGGTTGAGAAGGAGGGGTAAGTTTGCATAAGTACGTAAAGAGAAGCACATAGAGAACGAATTTTTAAAACTTGAGGCAATTTTTAATTCTAGAGAAAATAAAATATTCTTCAGGAAAGAAAAAGTATTCATCCTGTACTAACAACTTAGCTGCACAAAGTACTTTCACCATAAAAATTGTGTAAAAACTGAAAATTTATTAAATCCAATTTACAATATGATTCTCTAGAGAGATGGGAAGTGAATGGGGATTATAGGACCAAGAACTGAATCCTCAGCTTCCTAGGGATAATGTCAACAGATAGTGCATAAAACTGATCGAGAAGTAGCAATATAAACAATATTTAGAGATAGGAGTGCATGTATTTAAAAGATTCAGCCAAGTGAGTGGAAAGCCTTTAAGGAGCTGGAAATGGTGAACAGGTAGGAACAAAACGCTGCTGTTTTCCATAGCAAGCTTGTAGAAATATTTGAGTACAAAAATTAAATATTTTAAAGAAGTTAAATATAAGGGGGTGAAAAGACATTGAGTTGTCCTTAGCAACTAGATCAAACCTTTCAACTGCTTACTGGAGTGCTTCCTGTAGTGCTTCCTCAGTTAACTGTAAAGGCAAGATTGCCCTGGACACTTACTAAAAGCAGCAAGGAAGGCTTTGTTCAAGACTATTGCAATAGGAGATAAAATTGAACTCAACTCTGCAAAAATAAAAGGCAGAATAATTTTTTGAATTCTAGAATGAGCTAAAGGCAGGCAGATTCTTGAATGCTGGAGCAAGCTAATGGAAAAGTATTGGGGGATGTTGGAGGAGGATATTTGGCCACCATCTGTGTTTGCTAATTAGCTCTTATTAAAGTTAGGCTGCTACTCTCCCAAGGAGACTGGAAGACAATGGCTCTATCTTATTCAATGATAACATGTCAAAGAGATAGCTCCTGAATCTTAAGAAAAATATTCCTGGGTTACAGAAAATTTGCCTCTCAAATGGGCAGAGAAAGAATTTACAATTGCAAGTTTGCTAAAGCAAACACTCTAAGGAAAGGATGCTCCAGGGCCTATGGTCAGGAAGAAACCTACCTGTAGTTTAGTCAAGCCAAGGGGAATATTGAAGCCATCTTGTGAATAACTCAATCACAGTCTTTCAAAATTGAATTCTTTCTCCTCACTTTCCTACCTAGATATACTCCTCTGTACCCTATCTCTGTCATCACTATTACATAAATCCTGTCCATCAAATTGCCAGTCTCAACATTATCCTCTATTCCTACCATAGCAGTGTTGCCAAATCTTACCTTGGGTATATTTTTCACCCCTTCCCTCTATTTTCCTAAAGATACGCCAATACCCAAACCCTCATCATCTCTCACATGTTCTGTTGCATTCATCTTATTTTTTACACCAATTTATTGAGGTACAGTTTACATAGAATAAAATTTACTCATTTCAAGAGTACAATTCAATGACTTAGTGATTTTACCAAGTGATACAACCATCACCACAAATCAGTTAGGACATTTTCATCCCCCTAAAAATCACCTTTTAGTTGGTCTCCACTTCTGGTTTGCTTCCTCCCGAATTCACCTTCCTTGTGGAAAACAGATTTACATTATCTAAGGTCCCAGACAGGAATAAAACAAAACTAGGTTCACATCCCACTAGAGACCTAGTTTAACTTACTAGCTGAATGAAATTTGGAAAAGTCCTTATAAAACCTATTAAATGGTTTTATAAGGATTATATAATATCTCTACTAAAACCATTATTAGATTTAAATAAACACAATTATATACCAGTAATTTTTAAATGATTTATGTTGCATTTGTGTCATCTCAACAATCTAGGGTATTTCATGTGAACAACTTTGAAGCCATTTCCTCCAAAAATGTACTCACATAACTAATATATTCATCTAAAACATTCTATGTAATTTTCCTGATGTTCATTTATGTGGCTGATAGTAATACCATCCAAAATAAGTTGTATTTTTCTAAATGGAATTTATTGGAACCATTGAGTTAAATTAATACTATATACAGGTGTTGTAATATAAAATTTTTCTTAAAATACAGTTTATGCTTGTATGCAAAAACAATGATTCAAGGATACTAACTTGGCTCTAGTGAATAATGTGACTGTTTTTGTATCAACATTCTTTCCAACCATCTGCTAAGTACAATTCAGCTAGCAATTATCTAGCAATTAAGCCAGCATGTCAAAAAACTTAATTGCCAACTCAACCAATTTTCATAGTTATATTAATGATAATAGCTATGCAGCAAACTCAATTTAATAAAAACACTTTGAACATAAATCCCAACAATTCTAACTTGTTTTCTGAATCGTAGATAGCTTTTTGAAGTAGAGATGAGATGTGCAGAAAAAATATTTGAATATGAGGATTGGAATTTAATATTAAATTCTTTTCTTTCATGGTTTTTTAAAGCTTTAGGCATTTTCCCTTAAACAGAAATACTTACCTGTAATTTGTACTTCTTTTCCTTTGATAGTCATTGTTTAGCTAACTAGAACATGTGCCCCTAACTAAACAGACTTCTTCATTCTTGAACTTAAAATTGGTTATTGAAGAGATTTGAAGTATTCCCTTGGTATGTCAAATTAGGCCTTCTTTTTTTAGAGATATATTAGAAAACAGCCAAGGTTATAAGATCAGAAATTTAAACTTGGAATTCCAGCTCTTGCACTTATTACTGTGTGACCATGAGCACTTATTTGTGCCTCAGTTTCCCCATGTGTAAAATGATAAATAAGCCTACATTGCAGTATATTTCAAGGACTAAAGTTAATGAATCTTACATGGTCAGCACTTCATAAGCACACACTAACTTGTAGCCATTATAAACCGTTTCTTTTTGTAATCCATAATGTAGGTGTCTTAGAGGTGTCTTTTTACATAAGCTGTTGGCTTTTTGGCTTCTAATCGACCTTTAAAAAAAATCTAATACTCATTTCTCTTTTCACAAAAGAAATGCTATGGTCATCCATCACTCTGACTTAAAGAAGCCAACAGACACTCCAAAAGATGCCAGTGTTCGAAGGCAGCCCTCCTCCAATAAGCACTGGAAGACTTCACATTTCATTTTTCTCTTGAAGACTTGTCAATATAAACACAAACAATTTTCTTCCCAGAAAATTTCAGACCTCACATTTTACTTTGACTTTGTGGTTTGGGATTGTCATGTAGAATGTGGCAACGAGGTTTTTCAGTTTTGTTTCTTTTTAAGTTATCTTGGATTTATATTTTTGTTACCATGGTGTGCAAAATTCAACTGTCACTTTAACTGAAAAGAATTTGACACATTTGATATTTATTTTAATTAGTTGATTCCACAATTCATTAATATATTCAGCAAACACTTAACTTGTGATTAAGGGTCTGAGTTAGCCACCAGGTAAACAAAGATGAATAATAAAAATGTTTCTGACCCAAAGAAGCTTTAGCAGCAGAGAGAGAAATGCACATACACACAAACACACATACACACTCACACAATCACATTGACAGTAAAAAGAGTGATGACTAGAAGAATAACTATGCAAATAAAGAGAATTGTATAAAGAACGAACTAAACGTTACTCATCTCCAAGAAAAGTAAAATTAGATAATTATTCATAAAAAAAGAACAAGTTGCTTTATCTCTACTTCAGCAATGTAATTACTGAATCAAAACTGCCTATTAAACTGTGAACCAACAGTTTAATAAAGAAGATGTGCTTTCATGTGTGATTTTATTCATGGAACCTATCATTGTTTAGTGATTATAATATTTCCCATTGAGATGATGACAAAAGCTATGTTGACTACCTATTACTAACACACAGGCTGATTGTATTTGTTAAACTCCTGTGACTCAATACCATTATAATTAAAGCTTTTTTTTCCCTCAACTCAGATAATGACTTCCAAGCATTTAGCTTTCAAGTTAATGATTGGATGATGAGAATAATATATAGGATTTTTTGCAATGAACTGTATTAATATACCACTGCCTTTGAAATACATCGTCAGAATCACATGTATATTGTATGTTAATACAAAAAATAGAGTAACTATGTCTATGTACTATATACTGTATTAGTTTGTTCTCATGCTGCTAATAAAGACATACCCAAGACTGGGTAACTTAAAAAGAAAAAGAGGTTTAATGAACTCACAGTTCCATGTGGCTGGGGAGGCCTCACAGTCATAGCAGAAAGTGAAAGGCACATCTTATATGGCAGCAGGCAAGAGAGAATGAGAGCCAGGAGAAACGGGAAACCCCTTATAAAACCATCAGATCTTGTGAGACTTATTTACTATAATGGGGGAAACCACCCCCATCATTCAATTATCTCCCACTGGGTTCTTCCAACAACACATGGGTATTATGGGAGCTACAATTCAAGATGAGATTTGGGTGGGGACACAGACAAACCATATCAGTACTGGACTATGCCTGTCTAAACATAGAACTAAAAAGGCTGTGTTGAAACCAAAACCCAAGATAATCTTTATAATGCCTGATTCTTAATGATCAGTAGGGGCGAATAATTTTGACATGGGAAATTTGTCTATAGCAATCAAGAAATAAATATAGATTCAACTCAAGAACTGTTTTGAGCCTGTTATAACATGTTTGTGTGGTCTTTGCAGTTTAAAAAACACAGTCACATCTTTTTCTTCGTTAGAGCACACAGCAACTCTGAAATAGATGTTATTTTCATGCTTACCTTTTAGAGAAGAAAATTACAATTAATAGGACTAGTAATTAGCAGAAGTATGGATCTCAAACCCTATATCCTTCCTGATACCTTATCTCTTCATGTGCAAGGCATTCAGTGAGGGGTACGGAGCACATCAAAATGTTTTGATAACTGACTTGAATTGTGCCTTTCAGTTTACTAAAGATCGACCTCTGTATCATCCTTTTTGAGTGTGACAACGATCTTCTGAGGCAATAGCTCAACTTTCCAGGAAGCTTAAACACTAATGAGAAGAAGATGAGAAAACAGTAGAACTAACTATAAGACAGCATTTGATCAGGGCCTTGGTTGATCAAAGAGGGAAAGATTACATTCAGCTGGGAAGATCAGGAAAGTCAGCTTTCCTGATACAAGCTGAAACAAATTGATACATGAAGCCAGATGAGGACTATGCATGTTTAAAGTGTGGTCCTACAGGGGTCCTTTGAAAATCTGCTATGCTTCCTTGGCCAGAGATCTTCTAGAGAAAAAATTATATATACATATACACACAAACACACACACACATATACACACACATATATGTATATATATTACACACACACACATATGTATATGTTACTTTCAACATCAAAAAGTAAGAGTTCTCAAAGAGCAAATATTTCTGGAATCATTAGAGAAGAAATGGATATACTAGGCCAATTGAATTCCTAATATATGTCAATCTTAAGCAAAAGTCCATTTATGTGTTGTAACAAAAAGATAAACACAATGACCTGACATTGAGAATGTTTGGGTTTAAAAAATTTATAAGATTCAAAGCATTTTTCACTGTACAGAATTATAAGAATCCCAAATTTCTATTTCTCTCTCTTTCTTCAGGTACCAACACTAGGTCTTGAAAGCTAGGGCATTTTGAACAAGCGGCAGGGTGACATAGAGTGGCAAGAAGTGAGCGGTTTAGATGATGTGTACAAAAACTTCTTTTAGGAGGAAGAGTGGGGGGCCAAAACCAGAGTAGCCACCTCCATTGTGCAGTCAAAGGATCAGTGATAGGAGAGGCAACAGAATAGAACAAGAGATGTGATTAATGGTAAAGGATTCAAAACTGTCCAATGCTCGAGCTAGTCAACTTATCACATCATTTTCTCAGTGGAGCCTACTAATAGATGTGTATGTGGGTTAACCTAGGTTACAGATCTAGAACTGTAGAGCACAATGAATGATATGTGGAAGGAAAATGAGAATAAAACCTAGAAATCTTCAGTAAGAGTAAAATTGAGAGTGTTTTGGTCTTTCTTGCCTTATTTAACTTCCTTTGAATTCAAACAACTGAGTCTTCTCTAGATTAAACAGATTTTTTTCTTTAACTCAGTTTTACCTTCTTAAATTGGATAATAATTTTCTATATTTAGAAAAAATCTTGGTTACATTTTACAATAACCACTTTATAGTCTTCATAGGACTTTCTGTGCTAAATGTTATATAGACATTAGGAAAAATGGGAAGAATTTATGTACTATACTTCCTTCCATCAGTACATCTGTATATGCATATCAAGATAAAAAGTATAGTTTTAAAAGCAGAATTCACATCCTTACTGCACAAATAATGTTGTTAAATGGAGAAATTTGAACCTAATAAGTTGATTTTAAAAACATCAAGGCGTGTATAGCTTGTGTCTATTTATATGAAGTAAATGTCTTTCTCTTAATGAAAAAGAGCCTATGTTTTGGTCATTTATGATACCCGTAGTAATTATTTCCAGCCTTGGTTTGATCTACCAGCTCTTTTTCTCCTCTGAAACACAGCCTCAGCCCCATGAGTGTTGTTCTGTGATCTCAACAGGCCTCTTGATCTAAGTTTACTGTTGTTGTTATTCAGTGAAGAGCATACCGTCTACCTTTTGTATATAATAGAACACATTTATGTAGTCCTTTATAATTTGCAAAACATTTCCCAAATATAAGCTCTGCTAATTCTCACAGTAAAACCCAGAGGTAGGTATAGATGAGGAAAGAATGACTTAATGTGCTTAAAGGACCTGCCCCGAACAAATGGCCAAAACTTAGACTCAAACTCAGTGTCTATAATTCTGTGGGTAAGTAACAAAGCTAGAGCTAGAATCTTGTCAACTAGAGCTCAGAGTAACTAAACTCTGACAACAGAGGCAAGGCACGGCAACCCTTTACTACTGTCTTATTTTCAATAAACTTTATCATTTGGAGAATTAAAATGCAAGAAAGTATAGATACACATTTATTTATAAAAGTAATTATTATTTTAATTATAAGCAATTTCTTGGAAAGAATATCTGCTTATTTGCTTATTTGTACATTATATTTATATCAGTTTGTTGATTTATATATTAGTTATGTTTGGAAAGTTTGGTGCTGAGACAAAATGTTTATATCAATGCTCATTTTCCTTTTATCTCACGTTATGAAAAAGACCAGAAATGAATACCCTAAAGTTATTTAGCTCTATAAACTACCTTTATTGTCATAAATTATCAATAAATAAGATAAAAAATTAGGCTATTTAAAAACTCAGATCAAAGGATAGATTAATCATCTGATAAAAAATAACCCAGCAAAATTAGTGAAAACAACCAACTTTTGAATAGTCATGAACACATGGGAATAAGTTAGAGAAGGAGGAACATACAATGATCTAATTTATCGGATACCCAACATTTCTTTGTATTATCATAGGGGATGAATACCACCCACTAGAGGAAATAATTACGATGCTGTCAGCACAATTTCCATTTGAGCAGGTTTCTGTATATGGAATGCACAGATCCTGACAACTAGAGGAAATTCTAGTAATGTGGAGTGTAGCTTCATTTGTTGAGCACTTATTATTTGCAAGTCTCTATACTAACACTTTGATTCACTATACCAAACCCTGAAAGTTTAGGAAATAGTTGTCCTTATTGCATGGATGAGAAAACTGAGACACATGGAGGGTTAATCATTTCCACTTTGCACAGCATCACAAAGCTATTAGGTGATGAAGCTCAACTTTGAACCCAGGTTGTCTGACCCCAGAATTTATGTTCTTAACCATTGAAGTTAACCACATCTGTCAACATAATTTAGACTTTAAAATTTCCGGCAATTATTCACACAGACATGTTGTCTGAAAAACAACATATTTGCTTTTGTACTTTTTTCCTCAGTGAGTTTTTGTCTTTTTCACTTAGGTTTGAACTTGTCAATGAATTTTCTCAATCCTGCTTCCTTGAGTGAAAAAGTTCTATGTTGTATCTGATTTTTGCCATTTGTTTTTGCTCTATTTTTCCTCTCAGAAAGACCATCCTTATTAGAAAGCACTATATATAAAATAAAGTAGCCAGAAAGATCAATCTGTTTATGTAAATCTTACTAATTTATGTACTACTACCATCTGGATTCCCTAATTTTTGCTAATTCTGTTAAATAAATATGCTTACATGTAAGTGCACATAGAAATCTGTACATGATTTACATGATTGAAAAAATTCAACTTAAAGCATAATATTACCTTACCTTCTGTACACCTTTAATAGCATATAGCGTTTACCCTTTCATGGACTGTTTTTTCATGGTTTATCCAAATGGCTCATGAGCAACCCAAGGTAGTAGTCATTTGCTTTCTCCCCCCCCCAGAAGCTCAGAAGAAGCAATTGGAAGAGAGTCTAGTGCTGATCCAAGAGGAATGTGTGTCAGAGATTGCAGATCACTCTACAGAGGAGCCTGCTGAAGGAGGGCCAGATGCCGATGGAGAAGAGATGACAGATGGGATAGAGGAGGACTTCGATGAAGATGGGGGTCATGAGCTGGTAGGAAAGAAACATTTGGTATTCACACCCTTTGGGTAACAACACTAGCATGTTAGCAACTCATTCATTCTAAAATAAGGATTAAATCATTTGGGGCTTATTTCTCTTATATGCATATATTTAAGGGAACATGAGTATAGTGCTTTGCACATAATAAGTGCTCAATACTTTATTGCTAACTTAAAATAGGAAAGTCTAAATGAAGGAGCAAAATAAATATCATGTAAGAGATTAGGTATATTTAAAGTCCAAAGTGAAAGATTCTCTCCAAAATGCTCCATTGCAAAAGGAACCTTGCATTTATGCAATTACAAGTGAACTATATGTGGATATAATATCCTGGTAACAAACTACAATATACTGGAAGATACCTGGTTTACTAACTGATGATAATTATTTATACTATTTGTATGGCCAACAGTCTTGTCTACAGTGTGCTCCCTAAGATGACACTTTGGTAGATGGCCAGTTCATCATTTTCAATGCCTGTACTGCCTGATAATCAGTTATTATGAGTTGGGAATTTGGCTAAGACCTGCTTCTTTACAAGTTGTATTTTCCTAATATTGTAATCATTATACTGCTCATTTCCAGATGTCCTTTCCTGCATAACCACATCACGGACTTGGTAAATGTATGCTGATGAGGATGTTATTTCTCATATTTTATCAAGCATGAAATTAAATATACTATCTCAAAGGACTTAACTAATAAAAATGATATGCGGGCAAATGTGGGTATATATGTCGCCAACTTCCAAATATCTATGGACTGATCATGTTAAATTTGGCTTATCCCAGGTAAAAATCAGGTTCCAGTTTAATACTGTACCTTTAGTTACTTAACTCATTTTGTCATGGTGCTTGTTTTATCAATAGTTTCCAAGACAGCTGAATTGCATAGATTCTATATTAACTTTTAACATGCCAGCTCTGTTAAAATTTATGGCACCTTTATTATTTTTTGTTTATTTATTGAATTAATTATTTTTGAGACAGAGTCTCACTCTGTCCCCCAGGCTGGAGTGCAGTAGCATGATCTCAGCTCACTGCAACCTCCGCCCCCCTGGTTCAAGCGATTCTCCTGCCTCAGCCTCCCGAGTAGCTGGGATTGCAGGCACCTGCCACCACATCCAGCTAATTTTTGTAATTTTAATATAGATGCGGTTTCACCATGTTGGCCAGGCTGGTCTCAAACTCCTGACCTCAAGTGATCTGCCCACCTCGGCCTCCCAAAGAGCTGGGATTACATGTGTGAACCACTGTGCCCAGCCAGCACCTTCATTTAAACTTTTCAAATATGAACTTTTAACAACCACCCCTATTTCCATGAAAGTCTGTATCAGTTTGCAGAACACAAGCACCTGTTCTTAGACTGACATTGATTTCAGGAATCTATTGATTAAGGATTAAAGAACAAACAAATGTCCCAGCTTCTCCTTAGGCAGGACTACATGATTCAGCAGGACTAATTCGACAACATGATTTCTTCAACTCATTCTAATCAGATCTCTGCTGTCAGGATTCCATTGTGACTACACTCCTTGAGCTCTCTGGAGGCCTCCATGCTGCCATTTACAATGGTTACTTCTCTGTTCTTATTTTAATTTACTTCTCAGCAGAATTTTTCATAAGCTGACCACTTCCTTCTTCTGAGAAATTCTCCTAATTTACCACTTGCTCATTATCAGTTTCCTGTACTAGAAATTTTCCCTCCATGCTCCCACTTTAAATATTGGGTAGCTCAGGGTTTTGTCTTAGGCCATCTTCTCTTTCTACACCCTGTCCCAAGATGTCTTCATCAAATACTAGAGCGTTAAATATTATCTATAGGCCAAGATTCCTAAATTCACATTTCTATCCCTGATCTCTTCATGGGACTCTAGAGTCAAATGTTTAGTTGCCTATCACCACATAGCTCTCCAATAAACAATTGAAACTTAACATGGCCAGAAACAGTCTTGATTTTTTTCTAGTCATTTTGCACTTTCCCAGGCTTCCTCATTCTGGTAAACAGCATCGCCATTCACATAGTTATTAAAACCAAAGACTAAGATCATCCTTGGCCCCCACCTTTATCCTTGTTAATGCTACTTCCAACTCACACCCCCAAAGTTAGTTACAACTCCACAACAAGTACCATGACCCAAGCCACGATCCCTGCTCTTCAGATTTTCCATAATATCTAAACTGGTTTTCTTGCTTCAACTCTTGCCTCATGCAACCCATTCTCCACAGAAGAAGGGTAAATATCTTTATAAACTATCTGTCAGATAATGCCATTTCCTTGCTTAAAACCCTACAATGTTTTTCATCACACACAGAGTCAAAATCCCAAAGAGTGTGAATGTTAAGTTGTGATGAGATTAGGTGAAGGATGCCAGTAGAGAGAGAGAACTTGGTGAAGAGAAAGAGAAAAGATCCCCAATGCTGAAAGGAAAGGGATCTAGACCACAAGTATACATACCTGAAGACTCATCCACTGCAAGTGACTGTGATTAGTCTAAGGATGTTGTGGCAGGAGTTTGAGGGAGTTCAAGCACAAACTAAGATAAGTCAGAGAGTGATAACCTCTGGGGAATGAGGAGAGATGGGCACTATCACAGATTTGAGGGGAATGAAAAAGATTTGAAAAGGCTCCTATGGAAAACACTAAAGATTACTAATTTAAAAAACATATAAAGATTGGCAGTGTTAGTAGCCAGTTAAGGTTAAAGATCAAGAATTAATAGAGTAGTATTTTGCAAACTTTAAGATGTATCAGAACTACTTAGAGAACTTTGTAAAAACGCAGATTCTTGTGTCCCATTCTGAGAGATTCTGATTCAGTATGCTGAAGGGGGCTCTAGGAATTTGTATTTGTAACATGTTCCTAAATTATACTGATGCTGCTGGTCTGGGATCACACTTTGAGAACTACTGTTATCACGTTATCAATCTGCCTTTTCTCCATTGGCTTTTATCAGCCCTTATGGAAGCATGAAGAAAGCAAACATGTTCAAAGTTGCATTTTTGTCAGATAGTGCAAAAAAAAAACAATAAATAAAAGGAGTTAGGATATTAGTAAAAAAATAAATAAATAAGAGTGGCTGACTAGATGGGTCATGGAATCTAACCAACAGGGAAGGAAAGGAACACGGTTGTGGGGGGCAGTTTAAAAATGAGAAAATAAAGGCACAAAGGGAACAAAAAGCCCCTACATATACCATTAAGGACTAGAGAAAGAGGAACTAAATGAATAAAAGAAAAACAAAGTCTGTACTTAGGGACCGAGATATTTCAGAGGTGGACAGTTTAAGAGATGATGAGATGTTCTATGGGAGGGAGTGATAGAAGTGGGATCAGTGCGAAAGTCACAGCAGATGAAGAATCTAAGGAATGAGGGGCTCAGATGCAAGATGAGTCATCTACATGGGCATGAAGTCACTCCAAATATTGGATGAGAGGGTGAAAGAGTAAGACAGTTATGGAAAGGCTGACAAGAAAGGGAGGGCATGGCCAATTTCAGTCCCAGATCTGTCATTATCAGTCCAATTGAACTACCTAACCAAATAACTTCTCTGAGTCTCTCTTGACTTTCTTTTTTTACAAAATAGGCAAGATCAGAAATTTCAAAAACCATTCTGTTTCAGTTTTACTCTGGATGCATGTTTCCTAGGAGCAATATGTCTGAAAGAGCAAGGCTTAACCATACAGTCATGGCAATAAATCCAAACCATGGTATCTGGACTATACTCTAAACACACAGAAAATAGCTGATTAGAACTGAGCACCTGCCTGGAGGTACTCATCAGGTTTTCTCCCTCAACCCTGGTATTATCATTGGAGGCTTAGGGAACTAGAGATAAATCCTATCTCTATTATATCATTTTGTTTCTAAGACTTGGAAAATAATAAATGAGGAAGGGTTTAACACTCAGTCCTTGCAATCCGGATTGAAACTAAGGAGTCTCTCCTAGTGATTGGCCAAGAGAAAATTCCCTAGTCTGGTGTTCACTGTTATCTCCTTTCCAGGCTACTGAACCAAACCATCCTTGGTTCCCAAAAAGTGAAATAAAAGCACAAATATTTTCTTTTTAGGTAATAAAGGGCATCATAGATTTGAACAGCAAAGATACAATATAATTAGAGTTTTTCTCACAAAGAAGAGCTGGTATCCACATGCCCATTTGGCTGCTCAAGGCAAATCCAGAATGCTCTTGAAAAAGAATGAACAGGAAATAAGAATTGGATCTGAAGTGAAGGAAATTCAACAAAATGAGCTAGTAGGGTAGCTGTAGGTGGTGGTGCCCCTTGTGAGGTGGTGAGAAGCCAAAGATATGAGCACAGACTATCTACATAATGTCTAGTTCTAAATATACACTTAGTGAAAATGATTTCCATGAAGCAATTCTTTCAACTAACATTTGGGAATCTATCATGTGTGCACCAGGTGCTACCAAAAATGCAGGGATAACTAAAGTCCTTGCTTTATGTATGAAAGGAAATGTTTAAGAGTATGGCTCCTTGTCTCAAGTAGCTTAGTGTCTTGTAGAGAGAGGACTGATTTCCTGGCTGGGCATGGTGGCTCACGCCTGTAATCCTAGCACTTTGGGAGGCTGAGGTGGGTGAATTACCTGAGATCAAGAATTTGAAACCAGCCTGGCCAACATGGTGAAACTTCATCTCTACTAAAAATACAAAAATTAGCCGGGCATGGTAGCAGGTACCTGTAATTACAGCTACTCAGAAGGCTGAGGCAGGAGAATCGCTTGAACCCAAGAGACGGGGGTTGTTGTGAGTTGAGATTGAGCCATTGCACTCCAGCCTGGGCAACAGAGCAAAAACTCTGTCTTAAAAAAAAAAAAAAAAACCAACATGGCACATGTATACATATGTAACAAACCTGCACGTTGTGCACATGTACCCTAAAACTTAAAGTATAATAAAAAAAAAACCAGACAGATGACTGATTTCCTCATGCACAAAAACAGAAAAACTAAACAAAAAACAAGCTCGGACTTTATAATTTATAAGCAGCCAGCCAAGACTAAAAATCTGTGATTCTACAATAATCTATACCTATATATTTCAGTAGTGCATAGAAGTCAAAATTTGGATTTATCTACAGTTAAATTCTGTATTGATGCACTATACATACACTATGAAACCACTACTATAGTCGTGTTTCTGAATAAATCCACTAGCAAGTATTCACTGATTGACTGCTGGGGATAAAGAAGGAAAATAAGAAAGATATGAACTAACTGAGGATAAAGGCCACAGACAAAAAATACAATGCAGCATGTCATGGTAAGAACCATACAAAAAACATAGTTTATAGTTGGGGAACCAGACATAGCCACTATGGTCAATAAAGACTCCTGGCAGAAATGGGGTTGGAACTTTACCTTGAAGGATGACAAATTAGAGAAACGACATGTGCTAAAATTGAATAAACAATATTCAAATCATCCTTCATTGTCCCCAGATCATTTTATGGAAAATATATTTAAAATCCCAAAAGCATTAGATAATTCACATTATACATAGGTAGGTAAAGGTGAATTTTAAAAAATAAAAACTACTGGAAACTTCACAAATACAACATTTCAATCTCTTTTATTCTCTATATTTATATCCACCAAATCTGTATTCCCCTTTATATAAAATAACATCATCCAAAATTAAAGTGGCCTTTGCCATAATGGAAATACTATAGGAAAGCTAGTGCTTAACACAGTGCTAATTCAAAAAAGCAAATGAGCTCTCCTCAGGTGTATGAGAAAAGGCTTCTGTGAACACTCTAGGACATTATAAAGCTTTCAGATGTGTTATGGAGCCTTAGGCTAATCCAGTGTTTTCCAAAGGAGAGTTTTTGGTCAACTTACACTCAATACCTGGGGTGCTAAAATGCCAACATAGATTATCTCAAGAAGCAGCCCTGGAATCTGTGCTTTATCAAACCAAGGTTTGAAACTACAGAGCTAAACCATCAATTCCCAAAGGAAACTATAGACAAGCAAAACATTTAAATGGATTAAGGAGAATTTGAGTTCTTTTGAATTCTACTTATAATTACTTTTCCTTTTGCTGACTACACACAATCAAATCAGGCAAATCTAGCAAGAATCCACAGTAGATTTACCTAGCTGAACTGTGTAATACTTAGACATGAAAGCTGAGTACTACGTTGTAATACATCTTTCAGGATTTAACAAAACATTCAACTAAGCAGTAAGTCACCTGGGCTTACCAGGTATTGAATTTCTGTGCACACTGGGGAAGGTCTGGACCTCAAATCCAATCCTGCAGTTGAAGACAACTGAAAGTAAACATTCTGGTACACCATTGAAAAACTGGAATGCATAAAGCATTCTGATCAGTATTCTTGGTCTTTCTTTATAAGAAAGGCTGAAAATGTCTCCTTCTTTTTGAGACTTTTTGTTTCTTTCCTAATGAAGTCCTTCACCTGGATGATCCCCCTTATCAACTGCGCTTCTCTTTCTTTTTCTTATCATTTTGAATGAATGCTGGCTAGAGGACAAACAAGAACTGTGAGACATGTTCCACAAAGGTAGTGCCAACTGAATTAGTTGGAATTGTAAATTACAAGGAAGAAAGTAGTACTCAATCTGTTGGATTTTGGCATGTATCTTAGCACAGCATTCAAAGACCTTCATCTTGAACTCTGTCAATCCATCATATGCTATCTTCCCTGTCCTACTGAGAATAGATATTGAGGGCATAAAGACAGCAGTACCCTTATTTGGATGGAGTTAGGGATAGGATGAACAGCCATGGTGAATGTGTCCTGCAACTGACCTGGCCTAGGTGACCTGCATGGGTCATGCATGTCCACTGGCCATCTGTTCTCAACAGAAATGGGATATGACTCAGCCTTTGATGTGAGAGAAAGTGTAATAAGCAGGTATCTCTGCTTCCAGCTTTCCACCTGGAATCCCTCCTCTTCAAGAGTTCTGATCCCTTTGTAATAAGTGTCCCCTCTTATTTCAGACTTGCTACTCTTGCCATCTCACTTGATTTCAATCATTTTTATTGTAGTTAACGAACTCTGCCATTAAGGCAAAATCTCTCCTGGAGGTTGGATGGCTTAACTGTTAGAAACAAGAGCTCTGCCTGCAGTCTGACAGAAGCATATTCAAAGTCCCATGACTTTGAGCAAGCCACTTACCTGTGCCTTCACTGGCTTTAGTTTTTCCATCTATAAAAGAGGGTTGACAATAATATGTGTCTGGCTCACAATTGCCATGAGGAGTGAATGAACTAATGTCTAAAAGGCACATGCTTGGCACAGAGTAGGCATTTTGTGCTACTCTGTAGTTACTTAATCTGTTTGATTTTGAATTTTGTTTGATTTTCGTATTTTAGCACAGCATTCAAAGACCTTCGTCTTGAACTCTATCAATCCATCATAAGCTATCTTCCCTGTCCTACTGAGAACAGATATTGAAGGCATAAAGAAATCAGTACCATTATTTGGATGGAGTTAGGGATAAGATAAACAACCATGGTGCATGTGTCCTGCAATTGACCTAGTCTAGGTGACCTACTGCACTATGACAAAAAAAAAAAAAAGACTTAGAAAGTCAGAAAGACTTTGTTAAGTCTTTTATGATGTAGAGCATTTGTATCCTCTTATATATTTTTTTCCAAAGTCAGAAAAACTTTGCCAAGTCTTTCCGTTTTTATTGTAGGGCATTTTTATCCTTGTGTATATTTTCTGGTTTGTGTGTTTGTTTGTTTCTTTGTTTTGAGACAGAGTCTCTCTCTGTTGCCCAAGCTGGAGTGCAGTGGCGTGATCTTGGCTCACCACAACCTCCATCTCCCAAGTTCAAGCAATTCTCCTGCCTCAGCCTCCCGAGTAGCTGGGATTACAGGCACCCACCACCACGCCTGGCTAATTTTTGTATTTTAGTAGAGATGAGGTTTCACCATGTTGGCCAGAGTGGTCTCTAACTCCTGACATCAGGTGATCCGCCCACCTCGGCCTCCCAAAGTGCTGGGATTACAGGTGTGAGCCACTGTGCCAGGCCTGTATTTTCTGTTTTATTGTCCTACTTAACTTCATGCATTTAATTTTGGTGACCCAAATGTTTCCATGCATTTCCAGACATGGGATAAATTAAGTCACAGTTATATTAATAATAAAAGTCTACTGGCTTTATATCAGCCTCTGCATAGCTGCAATACCTTGCCACTCCCTCACAATCTCTCCCAGCTGCTTCTGGGAGTCCCAAAAAGTATCTCACCTGTGCTCAGGAGCATATCTGATGATGTGCTTCTTCTACCTGCCCACTACCTGCCCTCCCCCTTGAGGATGCAGCCTTGCCACAGACTTTGCTGCTGCCTTTTGTGAGAACCAGTATGACTCTCTCACACTCAGAGGTGCAGGACCCACAAGGTGCACTTGGTGTAAGATCCCTTCAGGTCTCATTGTGCCAGAGAAGCCACATCAGGTTCCACATTAAAGTTGCAAGGACAATGCCCTGTCCCCAGCTCTAAACTGCAAGTTGTCACCAAGACCCCAAGTAACACAGCCTAAAGCCTGAACCATGAGTTCTACTATAGAGCAAAGCAGCTACATGAGCTAATGACTGAATATTTTGCAATAACTCCCTGCTTCTGGCCTTAGTCTTCTGCAGATTGTTCTCCAAAGAGCTGCCAATTTGGCTGTGTTAAAGCTTTAGCCAGGCTATTTCATTGTACTTAAAACTCTCTAATAACTGCCTACCTTGCTTGGAATAGATACCGAAGTCCTTACGTTGATCTACAAAGTCTTGCGTGATCTGGCCCCTGCTACCTCTCTGATCTGGCTCCTAGTTCTCTCCCATTCACACCACATCAGCTCTGTAGTTTCCAGGCACACACTGCTCAGCTCCTGTTTCAAGGCCTTGGCATTTGCTGCACCCCTGAATGTGGGGACAAGGAGAACAGAGGGCAAATTATAAAAGACCTTGATGCTTTACTAAATGTTTGAAGTTTATTCCACAAATTTCATATAAGTAAACCTGTACTTACCTGTACATAAGAGAGAATTGGAATGCAATACAACCTAGTGGTCTGATGCAAATTTTTTGGAGTCAGATAGAGATAGGGTCTCCAGATTTAGCAAATAAAATACAGGACACTCAGTTAAAGTTGCATTTCAGATAAATAGTAAATGATTTTCTAATATAATCATGTCCCAAATACTACATGAAATGTACCAAAAAGTGTTATTTAATTTGAAATTCAAATTCAACTGGGTTTCCTGTATTTTATCTGGCACCCCTACATAGAAATGGAATTGAATACTGGCCTTGAACAAACTATTTAACTTCTTTCAGCCTTGGTATGAAAATAGAGTAATAATACCCACCTCATGGGGCTTTTGTAACGATTAAAAAATATAATGCATGGACTGCACTTAGCAAAGTCACTGGCACAAAGTAAACAAGTAAATTGCCGCTGTTATCATTATTGCTATTGTTATGATCATCTCATTTTGCCAGTGAAGCTTTCAATAAAACATTACATTCCTAGCAACATAATCTTCATATGAAACTTTGTATTTTTAAAAACCCTGGATTATCCAAATTTGTTAAAAAAGCACTTCTTATTTGATAAGAAAGACTTCAGGAAACAAATGTAATATTCTGAGAAGAATTATGATTTGATTTCAGTTTGTTAAATTTTTATTTGATTGTATAGCTCTCAGCACATTCAATTCAAAACAATTTATTTTTAAATTCCATTCTTATGGCTTTCTTTTTTTTAATAAAGATAACACTAACAGTATCCTGTGATGATATAGGGCTTTTGCTTCAGTTTTTGCTATAGATTTGTTCTCTGACTCATGTGATCTGGCCATGAATTTAGTAACAGATGGTAACTTGTGGTTTTATGAAAACCGAGTATGTGAGAAGCCTTACATATCACATTTTCTTTAGTCACCCAGACACTTATTCATTAAAATAACAACCGAAAGAATTTTTAATTAAATAATGGAAACTCAGTAATGTGCCAGATATTGTTGGTTGCTTAAGATTCAAAGAATAAGACCTACTGGTTTCTGGTTTCACAGAGCTCTCACTGGGTAGAAGAGAAGATGTTGCAACCAGAACAAATAAGTAAAACAGTATGATAGGTAAAAATGTCACATAAGTCATACAATCGGGTGTAGGAAGTGAGATGATAGAGCAGACTTCACAAAGTCTGTGTAACATTGTAGTTGGTTCTTGAAGAATGAAAAAATGTATGCAAAGTAAAAAAGAATTAGATGGCATTCCGCATGGAAAGAACAGTATATACAAGGAAGAAAGGTATGAAAGAATTGGGGAAGTTGCCAGTTTAGTTTGGCTAAAGCAGTGGAACTCAGAGGATGGCCCAGAACCAGCAGCATCATATCATGTGGAGTATTTGTTAGAAATGCAGATTCTCAGGCTCTAACCCAGGCTTACTGGATCAGAAACTCTGGGGCGGACCCCAGTCCTCTATGTTTTAACACGCATTCTAGGTGATTGTGGTGCCTACTGAAGTTCGAGAACCCTGAAGTACAACAGTAGAGTTTTCAAAACTGAGTGCACATGACATCACTGAGGGTGCATCTTTCATAAACACCAATGACAGGGGCCACAAGCCATAAAAATTAAATCAGAGTTTCAGAAGGTGGAGCCCAGACCAAAAGTCTAAAGATGTTTTACTGTGCAGCCAAGGCTGAGAACCACTGGGATAGAGCACATGGTACATGAAGAAGAAAGGGCAAATAGACACTTCACAAAAGAGGTAAACACATGAAAACTCACTCAAAATCATCAGTCTTCAAGAAAGTACAAATTAAAACCACAATAAGGTAACACTGCACACCCTCACTCAGACTGACCAAAATTGGCTGCTATAACTAAATGCTGGCAAGGAAGTGGAGCACTAGTGTATCATTGCAATTAAACAGACAGAGGTTGCCTGAAGGGTAAGGGTGAGGGTCAGGGATTGACTTTCCTGAAATGTCATTCCGTACCTGATCCTGGTGAACACCCACTTTTATTTCACTACTCGGTTTTATCTGGAAACCTTCCTGAAATTTCAAGTTACTCAGGCACATCCTCCACAACTCCTGCAAACCTCTGTTAGGACACTTCCTTCAGTGCTGCTACCACTTTTTAAAATGCCTTTCTCTTCAACTAGATTTAAAACCGTTTGAGCCAGGGTGTTCTTTTTTCTTTGTGGATCCCTCACGCATAGCACAGTATCTAGCATTTGTATGGGGATGGATGAGTGAGTAGACTGAGGGATGTTGGGTTACCTGATGATTTTGACACACCGTGTCATGACTCCATGCATTTACATATGCTGTTCCCTCTGCCTGGAATAACCCATTCTACCTTTTATTTTGTCTGTCTGGCAAAAACATCTCCTCTCTTAAAGATCATCATTCTGTGTCACCCATTCCATAAATCTGTCCCCCAACAAGGACACATCCATTTGGATTTGCTTCTTTCTTTAGGCCATGCTTTGTACATAGCTCCTCACACTTAACTTACTATATTGTAATTAATGATTTTCCTTCTTTCTGGATCACTGATTTGTACATTTCTCGGGGGTTATTTCACTTTGTATTTTTCCTCAGTGTAGTGCTTAGCATATGTTAATGTTCATAAATATCTGTTAAAGAAAGAGAGAGGAAAATGTCCTCAGACTACCTCAAACATATTATGAGCATTTTAAGTGCATTTTTATTGTCTGTCATAATCAGATTGTGTTCTAAGTATTACTTTTGTGTGCATCCCCTCTGTGATTTTGAGGATTATTATACAAAGAATGGAAGCAAACAGTTTTCATTATAGCTTAATCACTAGGTCATTCAGGCAGCAGCCTGAGTCTTGAAGGCACTGAGGAGGAACAACAGAAGGAGGCTTAAAACCAACACATCAAAGTCAACACAGCAGTATTGACTCTATCGTGTTGGTTTTCAGTGGTTCTGAAATATTGTCTCCCACGAGTGATAGAAATGCAAATTTGAAGTAACCTGAATTTAGTTAGCAAAGCTAGAATGCTGACTTATAAAACAAACCAGAAAATAAGACTTCCTCTCACTCCTGATCTACAATTTTTAAAGCCAAAAGAAAAGAGTCACAAGTTCATAAGAAAGTAAATTTCAGAGGATTCCAAACTAAAGTATGCCCAGATAAGTAAGATAGATGCTGTGATTTCAACTGCAGCTATCAGTGCAGCTATCAAACAACGTGATCATTAAAAAACAAGCTTTAGTTCTAAGGATTTTTGAGATGTTAAGAGTATTGTGGTAGATACACAATTTTCAAACAGCCTCTCATGATGTTAAAAGCCAAATAACAAATCTAGAGTATAAATATTTTCACCATTTCTGAGTTTCTATACAGAGGATAACACAGGGGGAAGAGAACAGAAAGATTCTGGAGTCCTTTGGAAATGAGAAGCAGCTTAAAAATAAGCTTTAAATATACAAAAATAGGAAAAAATAGTTACTTTTCTAAAAATGCTATAATGTGTTAGAGGAAAATGGAGAAATCTAAAGTCTTAATTCTGTGAGATTTCAAAAAGCTAATTATGAAAGTAGTTAGAAAAACAAAACAATTCTGCCAACAAAAAGACCTCTCCCGGCTGGGTGCGGTGGCTCACGTCTGTAATTCCAACACTTTGGAAGGCCGAGGCAGGCAGATCACCTGAGGTTGGGAGTTCAAGACCAGCCTGACCAACATGGAGAAACCCTGTCTCTATGAAAAATAGAAAAAAATTAGCCAATCATGGTGGCACATGCCTGTAATTCCAGCTACCTGGGAGGTTGAGGCAGGAGAATGGCTTGAACCCGGGAGGCAGAGGTTGTGGTGAGCCAAGATTGCACCACTGTACTCCAGCCTGGGCAACAAGAGCGAAAGTTTGTCTTAAAAAAAAAAAAATTCTCCCTATCAATATAGTAGGAAAACAAAATTTTTTAATTGCATAAGCAGTAACAAATTTACAAGCATGTAAGGTAGCACCAAAGTGACCACAATGTTAGTGTCATAGCAAAAATAGCAATGGATGAAGTTAAAAAAGCAAGGAAGATTTAAGACTGTTTCAACAGAAATCAAGACTATTGTAGTAAGAGAGAGATTGAACTCAGCTCTGCTGAAACAGGCAGGAGAGATTTTAAGCACTGGGGTAACTAGTGGAAAAGTACTGGAGGATGGTAGAGGAAGGTGGGTCAGTGTAATTAGGCCATCTGTGTTTGCTAATTGCTGCTTATCTAAGTTAGGTTTACACCTCCCACAGAGACTGAGAGATAGAGGTTGCTTCTTACTTAATGATTACAGTTCAAAGGAATGATTCCAGGTCCTTAAGAAATATATTCCTGGGTTTATACAACTGGCAAGAAGCTGGGGGAAGATTTATATCTCCAAGGGGCAGAGGAAAAATTTACAAATACAATTTTTCTAAAGTAAATGCTCTAAGAAAAGGGAGGTCAGGAGCCTATAGTCAGGAAAAACTCCGTCTAAAGTTTTGTCAAGCCCTCTTGGTCATCAGGACAAAATCTCACACATTTTATTTGGCCAAACAGAAGAAAGGACAATTATTTCCTCAAAAGACAAAAAATCGTACCTCATGACAGTTTTCTGAACAACTCTTAAGAGATCTCAGAGGTAATTCCAGAGCTACATTTTTACATTTGTCAAGTAAAAAACAAATCAAGACTTAGTAATGAGAGACTTATTTGAAAGGGCTATTGCAAGGCGGGAGAGGGACTACTGCAATAGGGAGAATGCTTTGGCCATGAGATCCGCAAGCATCTCAAGTACTAGGCAAGAAGGGTTTTTCTTTTATGAGAGGAGTAAACAAGATTAGAAAGAACCCAGGGTGGAGAAGTGGGATGAAAGACTGGCATACTAAGTAAATATATCAGAGGATGTTTTACCCTGAAGCCAGCATATTTTCCAGGAGGGCCCTTAAAGAGGGGATGGATCCTGGCTCAGGCTGAGGATGGACTGAAGTTTGGGGTCCTGGGAGAAGGAGAGACTCTTATTTGATTAATAAGCATTTTGTTCTCATTGACCAATGGAGACAAAATAGTTCAGTTAGTCATGAATGAGGGCAAGAGTGGGAATTTGGAGGATCTATGTCTGGCCTTAGCATAGGTAAATAAGCAGGTGTGAGTCTTATCTAAATCAACTGGAGAAGGGTGGTTCTTTGCAATAAGCCATTTCCCAGAACAAAGGGTTTCTTAACTATCTTAATGAGGCTCACATAAAATTCAACATCATCACATATCCAGAGGTTATTTGACTCACAATCTTGGAGATGTGTTAGGCCATCCTCACATTGCTATAAAGAAATACCTAAGACTCGGTAACTTACAAAGAAAAGAGGTGTAACTGGCTCACAGTTCTGCAGGCTGTACAGGGAGCATGATGCTGGCATCTCCTCAGCTTCCGAGGAGGCCCCGGAAGTATAATCATGGCAGAAGATGCAGCAGGAGTAGGCAGGTCACATGACCAGAGCAGGAGCAAGAGAGAAAGCTAGGTGCCACACACTTTCAAACAGACAGATCTCACAAGAAGTCACTCACCATTGTGAGAACAGCACCAAGAGGATGGTGCTAAACCATTCATGAGAAATCCTCCCTCATGATCCAATCATCTCCCACCAGATCCCACCTCCATTACTGGGGATTACAATTCAACATGAGATTTGGACGGGGAACACATATTCAAGCTATATCATATGTCTACACTGTAATCATTGGAGAATGGGCTTAATCCCTAATAAAATTTATTTTGATGTCAAAGGTAGGAGGAAGGACACAGATTCACCAGGCCTCCAAATAGACACTCTAAAAATGGGGAAACGGGAAGTCAGTGTCTTTGCCTTTTATAATGGAGAAAATCGTTTCCATTTGCCCTTACAAAGTGCAGATATACATTTATCGATTCAGTTATTTGGGTTTCAGGTTCAGATGGACAAGCCAAATCACTGAGTCTCTGAGGCTCACTTCCATATCTGTTAAAGGAAGTTTTTTTGGGTTATTGAAAAGATTAAATAGGATCATGTTTATGAAAATCCCTGCTATGGGATTTTGTATGTCAAACTTAATATTTTCCTCAAGTAACAAAATTTAGTGGACATGCCAATTATAGGAAGTTTTAGTAACATTGAAAGAAAAAAATTAAAATGATTTGGTGGCTCATGCCTGTAATCCAATACTTTGGGAGTCCAAAGTAGGAGGATCACTTGGGCCTAGGAGTTTGAGACCAGCCTGGGCAACACAGTGAGACTCTTATTTTTTTTAACGACTTGGTTATGGTGTTTATGCATACCCCTTGTAACTTTTATGTCTTAAAAGTCTAGAATATTTTATTAGTAATCTTGTATCTCACATCAAGACACTCTTTTGAGGAATTCTCTGTTGAGCTGGGGTATAGTGTAACACCAAATCATTTGAAATTGCTGAGAAAAGTTGCAGTGATCTCAAATTTGAAAGAAGTTATTTTCATTTATATGGGAATACTAAGAAGAAAGGAACTAATCAAGATAAAACAGTTGATACATAATTATCTTATTTAAAGAGAAGGGTTTGTCATTATTTAGCCATACAAAATCTGACCACAAATTCTAGATCTTTGTATTTTGGTCTTTTGAATCCCACCCCATCCCCAACCCTAACCTTCACCCTTTGGTACCTTAGTCTCCTCACATTGCCCTAAACACAGAGAGACAGACTAGACCACTCACAGGCAGGTGACTGAACACACACACATATGAGGGAGTTCTATGGGGGAGAAGTGGCATCTTCTGCCTGCCCAGGAGGTAACTCCCATTGTTCTATAAGGATGAGTAAGATGCTACATACTAATATCAGTAACATAGGGTTCTTAAATAGCCTTGCACGTAGTTTGCCCAGAATGCCTATTTTTGTGTAGGGTGGGCCAAACCCGTATTATAGTTCTATGATGCCAAGCCAAATTTATTAAATCAATAAACTCTTCTAAGATTCTGAGAGGCAAACAAGTCTTTCCCGTCTTGTAAATTATTCCCAAATTCCAAAGGGCAAAAGCTATTGGAAAAATCATCTTAGTGACATTAAGAGTTTTATGCAACAGAATAATAATTAGTCTAGATATGTGTTTTGCCCTTAATGCCATTTTTATTCACTCAGCCAGCAAATACTTATTAAATGATTACTGTACTCAGGCACCATTGTAAGGGCTGAGTAAAAGGAAGTGAATAAGAAAGAAAAAAACCTCTTTTGGGGAGAAAGGGTTGCAGGCAGGCCGCTTCATTCTCAAATCGCAGATTATATTCTAAAACATATCCAAGATTCACATTCTAAAATATACTATTCAACCTGAACACATTCTATAAAACTAATACAGTGGAGTATGACTGGAGTATTAAATTCATTTTTACTTCAGTGCCCATTGTTACGCCTCATTGTTATTTAAATTCAGACTTGTCCATTAAAAGGTCTATTTGTAATTCACTGAAAAAAATAGATGATATGATAGATATTGTAAATAGAGGACTTATCAAGATAAGGTAGAAATATGAGCACAAGGTAAATTTTGTTAACCATCGCTAATTGACCTGTGCTTTCTAAATTTCTAGGTTTAAGGAAACTAGTATTAAAACAATGTGATTTTTAATGCCAATATTTACACAATTTTTGTAAGAGGTAAAATGTAATTTGAGCAAATAATGTAAATATAAGAGAACCAAAAGAATTTTATTTCTATAAGAAAATAATTTCAAAATATGTGAACACATGCTTATGAGTATGCTTAACCAAACCTATTACATATATTCAAAACTATTTCCATTTTCTGTTAGCCACTCATGAGAAAGAAATAGTTCACGGGTTGTCTAGTGATTGTAGAGTTGCTTCATTTGACTTTTAAAGTATCATTTTAACTAGAATTACCTCCAGTTTATGGGAAAATGTAAAGACTCTACAAATTGCATTGGTTAAAAGTAATCCTAAAAAATGGCACTGTAACCATGGAAATATCATTTAGACTCATAAAATTTTAACCACACTTTTTTTTTATTCCCTTTCTGGTTTCTATGTTGCCTCTGTTCACTGTGGCATGTTAGGTGCATATTCCACCCAATTTTCTTATGACTTAACTGTTTAGTTTTTAAATGGGAGAATTGTCTGCCAGTGAAGAGAGACTGAATGGAAGAACACTTAACATGAGATCTACCATCTTTAAAACATTTTAAGGGTACGATACAGTATTGTTGACTATGCAATGTTGTACAGCAGATCTCTAGAATTTATTCATCTTGCTTAACTGAAACTTTATGCCCACTTATTAGCAACACCTTCATTTCTCTCTGCCCCCTGGTAACTACCATTTCACTCTTTGATTCTACAAATTTGACTATTTTAGATACCTCATATAAGTGAAATCACACAGTATTTGTCTTACTGTCACTCAGCATAATCTCCTCAAGGTTCATCCATGTTGTTACACATTACAGATTTTCCTTCTTTTTTAAGGCTAAATAATATTTCCTTGAATGTATATACCACACTTTACAAAATCCATCCGTCAGTGGACATTTAGGTTATTTCCACATCTTGGTGATTTTGAATAGTGCTGTAATGAGTGTAAGAGTACACATAACTCTTTGAGATCCTAATTTCAATTTCTTTGGATAAACACACAGTAGTGGGATTGCTGGGTCATCTGATAGTTCCCTTTTTATTTGGGGAGAGGGGGACCTCCATACTGTTTTCCAGAGTGGCTGCATTATATTGCATTCCCACCAACAGTGTGCAAGCATTCCAATTTCTCCACTTATCTTTGTATTCTAAGAATACACATAAAAGTAATTCTCTTTATCCTATTAAACAATGAATTTTTGGATTCCTGACACAACAATGTTCTATTCCTTGAATTTTCTGGCACTACCATTATATGAATACTATTTTTTTTTTTTTTGAGACAGAGTCTTGCTCTGTCGCCCAGGATGGAGTGCAATGGTGCAATCTCAGCTCACTGCAACCTCTGCCTCCCGGGTTCAAGCAATTATGCATACTATTTTTTTTAATTATCCTCATTTCTTTCTTCCAGAGCTACATGATAGTAATACTCCTGTTTCCTACAATCTATAAGAACACTGGAACCTTTAGTTGTGTGTTTTTTTACATTCCAAACCTAAAATGTTTTGAATACGTAAAATATTCTACACAGAAATACCAGAAGCTATTTATTTCTTAGAAACATCCAGCAATTCATTGAAGTAAAGTGTTAAAGTGTATACATATTACACAAGCCAATTCCCCTACATTGTATTTATTGAATAGATTAATAGACTTTTCTGGGAAAAGGTAATTAACTGTAAATGCTGACCTCTCACTGCCTTTTCCAGAGGTTGTTGAACTTCTGTGGCCTAAGTATTTTATCTGCCAAATAGCTAGAAATTCTTTTCAAGTTTATTTTTTAATGCTCCAAATACAAATATAATTGATTCATTTCCCAGTGTTTCACAGGCACAGGACTTTAATGATTTTTTTCTAGCTATTTTTTAAAATATTGAGTATGATGAGCTGTAAAAACTCTAAAAACAGAATAAAAATAAATGAATAGACAAAAGACAATGTTCATTTGATAAATACCAGGGCAAGAAATTTGTACTTGAACAAGCTAAGAAAGTCATTAACAGCAGTATTTCTGGAAACTAATGGTATACCTGCTCAAGCTACACTGAATCTAATAATCTGTGACAAAAGAAATGGCAACAGGTATGAACACATTTCATTTAATCTGAAATTGAAAGAAAAGAAAGTGGGGCACTTTTCTTCCCCAACTTTTTTCATACCTCAACAGACAAAATCACAATGGAAAAGAGATTTATTGCCAAAATGTTGCTGACCTTTTACAATTCTTGCCCCATATTCTGGAAGTTAATTGATTAAAAAAAAAAAAAGTACATTTTCATGGACTGGCACAAAGATTTTATCCAGATAGCATTCAAGTTGCAAAGAGGCATCCTCTAGCTCAGTCCCTTGCATGGTGCACCTTTGTCACCCACCAGCCAGGACTGTGCCCAGCTGGTTCTCCCCTCATTAAGTCTCTCACCGGCACAACCATGCTGCACTATCAGCCTTGCCCTGCCTAAGGATCTTCCCTTCTAAACCTTCGCTGTCTTTAGAATGTCTCTGAATATGGAAAATCACAAGCTCCGGGGTTGCCTGCTCCAGGATAGCCTGAGATGAAATGAAAGTTCAGGCCTTTGGAAAGCTGGTAAGAATTCTTTTCACCTGGAATCTGATAAGTATCCCGGAAACCTTATGCATATTTGATATTTTCTGCCTTGCCACAGTTTTAGGAATACATTTTAATAATATTAAGTAACATTTCCTAAAAGTAAACCTTCCTAGCCTGTAGTCTACTGGAAATAATACCTACCCCTGCTATTTAAAGCTGTGTGAATTGAACAAGTTCTGGAATCACTTTGGGCCTTAGTTGTTTCAAAAATGTGGAAAACAGCTTATCTTTAAAAAGGCAGAAATCTGAGAAAATAAGATATAGCGTCACACACACACACACACACACACACACACACACACACACACAGTGAAAAACTGAGAGGATTTTTATTTTATTCCAAGTCAGGAAGAAACGGAAAGAAAACAATACTGTTTCCATTTTCACTACCTTCCAGGAACAATGCTGAGTTTTTTATATATGTCTTGTCATTACTGCCTAAAATAACTTCGAGGAGTAGCTATTTCACAAATAACTGATTTTAGAAAGATTAAGTAACTTCCCCAAGCTCACACTGCTCATAAGAGGCAGAATCAACCTGCAGTCAGGGTCCGTAAGATTCTAACACCCTTAGATATTTTCATTGTATTAGGGTTTCCACAAATTTTATTAATTTTGATATGTATAGTACCCTTTTGGTTTGTGCCAAATCTATGCATCAGTGGTACTATTTTTTACTTACTTATTAAATTACCTCATTATTTAAAATAAATGTATCTTTTACACTAAACTTTAGTTCACTCTAATAAATGAAAAACCAAGCATCTCTTTTCATAAGTTGGAGAAATATTTAAAATAAATATAATGAAAGGACAAAATTTAAAAAAAAACCTTGATATTTGTGACCAAAAAACCCTGTGTTCCTGCTGTCCTCTCCTGTTTCTCTCTCAATCTCTCTTTCTCCCATTAAAAAGAATAGACAGTACTAGAGAAATGTTAAGACTGACACAAACATAAACTTTCTCATTAATGCAATCCAAAGAACTGGAAGAGCAGTGTTCTCACTACATGAGTCAATGTTTATATTTTATTGTATATTGATAAATTATAATTGCATATATTTAAGGGGTACAAAGTGATGTTATAGTGTATGTACACATATGTAGAATGATTAAATAAAGCTAATTAACATATTCATCACCCCAAATACTTATCAATTTTTGTGATGAGAACATTTGAAATTTACTATCTTAGCAATTTCGAAATATACATTGCACTGTTATTAACTATAGTCACCATACTGTGCAATAGATCTCAAAAAACTTACTCCTCCTCTCTAACTGAAATCTTGTACTCTTTGACAGACATCTCCACATTTCCCTCACCTCCCTGTTTCTCGTAACCACCATTCTACTCTCTGCTTCCTACCTCTGTTTTAGATTCCACATAGAAGTGAGAACATGCAGTATTTGTCTTTCTGTGCCTGGCTTATTTCATTTAACGTAATGTCCTCCAGGCTTATCCATGGTGTTATAAAAGCCAGTCCTTCCTTCTTTTCTTAAGGCTGAATAGTATTCCATTGTGTATATATGCCACATTTTCTTTATCCATTCACCCATTGTTAGAAACTCAGGTAGATGCTACAGCTTGACTATTGTGAATAATGCCACAATAAATATGAGAATGCAGATATCCTTTCACTATGAGTCAATATTTTTAATGAATCTTCCCATATAACAATATATTGGGCAGCCCTAGCAGTTTGTGCATCTCCCCAAAACCCCCGGGAAATGCAGAGCTCAATCCTGCTGATCTGCATTTCGTGCTTGACAAGTTGATGTCACTGAATGATATTCTGACTGGATGTCACCCTCCAGCACTTTTTTTTTTTTTTGCGCAACTTTCTACTTGAAGTTGGAAGAAACTCTGCATGCAGATCGACTTGTTATATCACATTGGAAAAGTACCCCACATTTTACAGAGTTTGATACCTCACAATTGTTAAAAGTGAGACAGCATTTCCATGCCATGTATTCCAAATCCCTGAGGATCTCAGCAGGCAGATGGCCCTCTAGGTCACTAGCCACTGCTGACAACATGGATGCCCTCACCTGGGCTCTGTCTGTGACATGTCTAATGATTTCCATCAAAATAGGATATTGCCTTCTCAAATGTCCTCATTTTTAACAAGGAAAGCTTATGACACACACAATGAAAAGAACACTTAAAGTCATAAATACTGTATACACATTTGTTTCTATAGAGCAAGTTGATTGTAGAGAAGCTGCCAGGCTAGTGCCCAAATGTTCCTGAGATAGTTCAATAAATATCTCTTTACAAGCCTGTTATTGCCTTTCAAAGGATGTAAGGTCTCAACATTCCTAATTAATACCATAGGTTTTGTCCAAAGGGAATAGGAAGAAATTAACACAAAAATACTGAAATAGATACAAATAATTTTGAATAAACCTTCTATTTATATAACACAGAACTGGTTGAGCATTAGCTGCTAAATATAATAGTATTACTATTTGGGTAACAATGATGTTGAGAGCTTAGGCATGATCTAAATTGCTGTAAATAGGAGAGAGTGTATGACACACAATGGTAAGAAATAAAGGCTGTATGAACAAAGCACTGGGTTAGTTACAGCCAAATATGAAGACTTACGTGACTTGAGCAAATGACTTACCTCTCTGTGCCTCAGTTTTTTAATCTATAATATGAGTATAAGGATGGCACTTCCCTCATGGTGCTGGTGTGAATATTAAATGGAAAAAAATATTTAAAGTACTTAAAAGGGGGCTTGACATATAGTAAGCCCTCAGTGCATGTAAGTTTTTAACTAAATAAGTTAAGCCTCAAAGTCTTACTGCCAAGGAAAAAGCAGTGACAAAACTATTTAAAGAACCCAGGTATATTAAGGAGAAAATTTCAGTTTGGTGTTCTCTAACAATTAACTAACAGGTCCTCATCTCCCACTTTAACCTAAAGAATCAGACACTCATACTTTGTTTCAAACAATAGCTAATTAGATTTTAATAACAAATGAGGTTCAGAAAAGGATGGACAGAGGAAGAGGCTGTGTCACAGTAGAGAGGCATCCAGGGTATGCCAGTTATAACATGCCCCCTTAGCACACCTACACAATGCTTTGGATCAAGAGAAAAACATTTTTCATGACACTTGCAATTACAATCAAACATGAAGCAGGATGGTGTATGAATTTCCATATGTACATTCTAAACATGGCATGGTTCTATTTGTACTGCCACCATGGAAAAATTAGATATTTTTTTCAAATGAAAACTGGAAATGAAGAAAAAGATGTCAGAGAAAGATCTACTTCTTCTACTCTGTTAGTCATACTATCAAAGTCTTGGGCTATAAGATGTTAAATGCTTAAAATACATGATCTAATATCAACAGGGGTACCTAAAATACAGACAGTCACATAAACATTTCATAATTAATTACGCTGATAGGTGTCATATGTTATTATGTCTAAATGAGACAGCTTTCAAATCTCAAAACAAAAAATCTGTTACCATCAATGATGATGTTAAGGGCTAAAAAGTTTATAAAGTAAAAATATATATAAGAGATAAGTATGAATTCTACATAAAAATCAATTACATCTAAAAAGCACTTGAAAATGCTCTTTATATAATCATGTGCATAGCTTCTCACCTCAGTACTGATTGCACTTCAGTCCTCTGAAACTTACCTGTGTGCCAGAGAATCAATCTTTGTTCCTGTAAAATATAAAATATCATCTGTTTTTTTAAATCATTTACCTTTGCTATAGGAAAAATAATATTAATAATATAAATTTAAATCACCTGAAATTGTATATTTATATGAAAACTAATAACTTTGAGATAAGGCCCAATTATTCTAAAACTTTACCCAGAATTTTAAATGATTTCAAAATTTAAGATATATTTCATTTTCTGATATTCATGGGCATGTTTGATCTCCATTATTTACTGATACTAAGCAACAAATAGATTTTTCTTTGAGTTGTTTCTATCAACTTAAAGAGAGTAACTATATCTGGAAGTATTGATATATTAGATTGAAAAATTTAGCCAAAAAGAATGACGTGAGCAAGATGGCAGAATAGGAAATCTGAGGCTTAATTTCCTTTTCTCCCCACCAGAAAGTTCAACTAGCAACTATCCATTGCAGAATAGGAAATCTGAGGCTTAATTTCCTTCTCTCCCCACAAGAAAGTTCAACTAGCAACTATCCATTGACTAGAATATGCTTTTGAAAGATTCAGCCATATCACTAATTTTTTATTCCTATGCAAGATATGGTATTTTCTATATAAGTAATAAAACTGGTTATATCTTTTCATAACCCAAACAGATCCAATCCATGAGTCAATTACATTGAAATATTCAATGGCTATTTGCTATTATTAATACTTTATAAGTATGCAGCTATTGATAGAGCATAGAGATAAGAAGATTTGGTGAAAAATATACTGATATCTTCTATTGTATTCTCACAACACAGAACACTTCTATGACCAAATGTGGTGGTAGAGGGGTTTCCCCACAAAGCAAGCTATTCTCCAGTGGATACCAACTGGGTGTCCTATAGTTGATTCAGTTCACAGTATCTATCTGGAGATAGCATCCGAACCCACAGGTTAAGGACTCAGTCCCACAAGACCACCCTTCCCACTCCCCCATTTCATGTACCAGTGCAAGTCCCAGCTTTTTACCTGTGCTCTGCCCTACTGGCTATAAATCAAGGTTCCCATGTACCCCCTCCTTGTGTTCAATATTTTTCTAGGATGGCTCACAGAACTCAGGGAAACACTTCACTTATATTTACTGGTTTATTATGTAACAAAATTATAAACAATACAGATGAACAGCCAGATAAAGAGATACATAAGGTAAGGTCTGGAAGGGTTTTGAGCACAGGAGCTTCTGTCCCAGTCAGTTGGTATGCACCCTCCTCCTGGCGTGTGGCTATTTTCACCAAGTGAGAACCTCATTAAATTTCATGTTCAAGAGTTTTATAGCACTTAAGCTCCAGCACCTCTCACTTTCCTTGAGGTCAGTGGGTGGGGCTGAAAGTTCAAACCCTCTAGTCATTCAGTCTTTCTGGAGACCAACACTATCTTGAGACTATCTAGGGGCCTTGCCCTAAGTCACCTCATCATCATAAACTCAAGTGAGAGCAAAGGGCTTGTTATGAATAACAAAAGACACTGCTATCACTTAAGAAATTACAAGAACTCCAGAAGCTCTGTACAAAAACCAAATATTATAATGAAAGATGCTCCTATCACCCTTATCATTTAGGAAATTAAAAGGGTTTTAGGAGCTCTGTGCTAGGAACCAGAGACTAAGACCAAAAATATATATTCCTTATTATGTAGAAGAAAAAAATACAGAAATCCAGTTTCAAAAAAGCATTGTTCATCACCCCCTTAAAAAGGTCAATAATGTTTATTTAAAGTTTATTAAAGTTATGTGCACATATGCAAGTAAATATTCACAATTCTTCTTTGTGACCCAGAAGCTAATTCCCTGTGCTCTTTCACTTGCTGATATTGTTAGCAGAAGAGGATCTCCAAAACAGTGCAAAAGATGCTTGCCGCCATTGGCTTCCTAACGCTCATTTGCCAAAACTCTGCTAATCAAAATAGTTCCCAGTGCCCAAAGTAAATCTAAAAGTAACTCCCACCAAGGACCCACGTTTTTAGAGGAAGGTTTGTTGGGAACATGTCATTGCCAACCTTCACACAAGGGGAATCAATATTCTGTCATGTTGATTTCAAATCAAGTATTTATTTAATGTGACCCTCAGGTAAGTGCAGAAATATGTGATTGTGTGCTGGATTTATTTGATCACCTTCAGTAAGACCCTGGTCAAGTGACTTTCTTTCTTTGTGTCTCAGGATTCTCTTCATTAAAATGAGCATTTGTGAAATACAGTATAAATGATTTAGTTTTGGATGTACAGTGCAGACCCAGGATGGATGGATGGATGGATGGATGGATGGATGGATGGATGGATGGATGGATAGGTAGGTAGATAGATAGATAGATAGATAGATAGATAGATAGATAGATAGATAGATACACATATACACTAAGTAACACCACACCTTGTTTGCTCAGCAAGTAATGCCAGGTGTAGATGATACAACAGAAAGAAAGCCAGGCAAACACAGTGCCCTTCCTCTTTATCAAAGTTCAGTCTAGTCATCATGAGTCTTGTGGATTACCCCAGTCAAATCCCAATGAACAGATGATGTTAGAACCTTTTGTTCAGGTCTATAACATGTGGCTTATTAGAGGAATCTGATTATAAAGGAAAAAGCCCTTCCAATTAAGTTTGTTTTCTTATTTGGGAACAGATTTGTTCACAAAAATCTAGGAGAGAATTCAACTTTTACTGAATTATTTCAATAATTTATTGAATAAAAATGCTCTAATGTTTTATTTATCTTGATCTATACCAGGATAATCATATAACTGACGATTTTTCTAAATTCTATATTCTCATATAATGAATAAAGGAAAACATAGGTAAGTGAGTTGGTATCTGAAATCTATTTCAAAAAGTAACCTGCAGAGGATATGGCATGATCATTCATAAAACAGATTAAACCCAATTTCCAATTCCTTCTACATCTGTTATAATTCTGGAAATTCTTTTATAAACATGAAATAGAAGGTACTACAAGACTCTGAAATTCTGAGTTATCCAGTATTCTATTATATCCAGCATAATTTGAGTGTTAAAAGTGTTTTGGTAATATTACAAAGCTTTAAGTGGTTTTTTTTAAATTACCTATGTTTCCCAAATATACTGATTTAAAAAAAAGGAGGGTTATGTATAGGATAATAGTGTATTTTTTTCACCATACTATTTCACTTACTGTCAGATTAATTTTATGCAATTTTAAAAATGAAGTCATTTTATTATATTGTAATCTTTGAATGTGTATACAGTAAATTTAATTAAATGAAAATTGTTAAACAACCGTGACAACCTTTCCCCCAGCTATTCAGAATAATTATGAGTTAACTATATGTTTTCAAAGGGCTTTTAAAATTATTCCTGTAAAGCAATTAATTCCAAATAACATTTTTGTTGGCTATAAAATGATTTTTAAAATATTTCTACTTGTAGTACTTGTAGTGCTAAAATTAATCCCATAAGGAACTGTGGAAAGCAGTCAAATGTGTAAAATTTCAAAGTTCATAATCTTAGCATTAGTCAGCACTTGGCTTTTCGCACTAGCATTAACTTAGGCAATTTAGAGTACTATCCTAAAATTATCATTATCATTTCTAGCATTGGGAGTAAATAACGATTTTTAGACACTACATAATTAGTATGAAAAATCAAAAATCGATGCATGATCAAACATAAATTATGTGCCAAATAAAACTACTATAATCTATCAATGCAACTAGTTAAATATGATTGTCAGTGATCCCAAAACACTCAAAATACAATCATCATTATCTTCAGAAAGTATCAGAGTACAATTGGAATAAAATAAGAGAAATGTTAATGTATGTGTAAGAGAACATCCAAGCAATGTGACTAAATTTTTTGAATAATTAAATTTTTACACATTTTAAATAAAATTATGTAACTCACGATAATTTTACTATAAAGTTAATTGTTCTTTTTACCTAATCAAAGTAGTTTTACAACATAAAAGGTCTTTTTCAGAGAAATGCCAAAAGCACGTTCTTAATTAAAATGATTTTTAATTAGTTCAAAACAGAACTTAAAAAAAATTTAGACAGAACTACTACAAATCAGGGAAAAGCAGGTAGAAGTTTATGGAAAAATCCTAGTATGTTTCCACTAATTCCATCCCTTATCTCCTACTAATTATGAGGGTATGTATTTTCACATAAAGATTATCTGTGCTATAATTAGTGGTGTTCCCAGGCTGCCTCACTACAACGCTTCTTCCCGCAATTGGTCAGAACAGAATATCAGAGAAAGCTCTAGTCTGGGCAGACAGGCAAATCATTCATTCTCTGATATAAGAACTAATAATCAATCTGAGGATGATTCTTGCCCAAGAACCTACCTCACTGATTTATAATAGAAACCAAATGAAAATATACATATAAACTGTTTTTATAAACTTCCACCCACTATAAGAATAAGTGTCATTATGATGATTGTCACCCATGCCCACAAGCTTAGCCCAGTTCCAGATCCTAAACACCCATTTCCATACTCTAATGATAGAGACTGCATAGTCTATCTGGAGGGAATTAAGGGAGCCTTAGCTAGGTAACTCAGCTGTCTTTAATGTTGTTTCTAAAACCAACCCACCTCCCACTGGAGTTGCTTTCTGCCTTACTCTCTCTTGCCATCTTAGAAGATCTCACCTGAATTTATAGCTCAAAACCCCCTGACACTTCAATACCTCTCACATTCTGCCTGGCTATCTTACTGATCGTCATACTCTCTAGATTTTTGGCTTAATATTAATAAATAGTTCAGTCATTTAGCTGATTTAGACTCAATGTAACAAATTCTTTTCTAACCACGATTATCTACAAATAGAGCAAGCTGCCTTAAGAGTTCTGTATCATTTGAGATAGACAAGACACAGCTACATATTCATTGGCCATGATTACTGTAAAAGACACTGCTGCTCTGTTTGCAAGATTAGACAAGATCACTGTACGATACTAATCACCAGCTTCACCACTGAACCACTCTGATTCTCTGATGCTTCTGGAGTTACAGTTCTGAAGACATCATTATGGTTCCTGACATCATTACATCTTATCAAACTAAAAAAATTATTCCTGTAGAATCCAAAATAAATAGAATCTTATTAGAAAATTATTTGTGATTTCAGTTAAATGAAATGTACTCCAGAAACACAAATGATCTGTGTGTCTAGATGTTAAAACTATTACTGCACTAACATCTTCATTAAAGACAGTAGGTTTTGTTATTTCATACAGAAATGGAAAGATAAAAAGGCTAGGAAAATCAGCCATTTTCTATAGTATCATAGAATTTAAGTTACTGTATATGGTATGCTAAGATGTTTTATTTTCTTTCCTAAAACTGAAGCTAAACATAAAACAATACTATGAAACAATCATAAAAGGAAAAGGAAAAAGGAGGAACTTAATGTTAAAATAAATTTAACTTTATTTACCAAATCCACAGAAACTTTTCCTATAAGTATTATAAAGTGACTGTCAAACTTTTGCATCATGTTTTACTTTAGTTTATAAGATTGATTTATCTTATATCACATATCTTGTATCTTATAAAGTACATCTTCATAATTAGACATAGAAAATGATATCATTAACTCTGAAAAAGAGGGTTCTTTTTTTTTAAATCACATATGGTAAGTCATATGGTTTGGCTGTGTCCCCACCCAAATCTCATCTTGAATGCCCAAGTATTGTAGAAGGGTTCTGGTGGGAGGTAATTGCGTAATGGGGGCACATCTTTCCCGTGCTGTTCTTGTGATGGTACATAAGTCTCATAAGATCTGATGGTGCTATAGGGGGGAGTTTCCCTGCACAGGCTCTCTCTTTTTGCCTGCTGCCATCCATGTAAGATGTGACTTCCTCCTCCTTGCCTTCTGCCATGATTGTGAGGCTTCCCCAGCCACGTGGAACTGTAAATCCACTAAACCCTTTTTCCTTATAAATTACCCAGTCTCAGGTATGTCTTTATTAGTAGCATGAAAACAGACTAATACAGTAAGCCATGTCCCAAAACAAATATCCATAAAGAATATGGTAGTTCTAATTATAATTTATGTTAGTATATTGTTTTCAATTTGAAATCAAAAGCTCTTTATACTGTGTCTATAAATCAATCTTATAAACTAAAGTAAAACATGATGCAAAAGTTTGACAGTCACTTTATAATACTTATAGGAAAAGTTTCTGTGGATTTGGTAAACAAAGTTAAATTTATTTTAACATTAAGTTCCTCCTTTTTCCTTTTCCTTTTATGATTGTTTCATAGTATTGTTTTATGTTTAGCTTCAGTTTTAGGAAAGAAAATAAAACATCTTAGCATACCATATACAGTAACTTAAATTCTATGATACTATAGAAAATGGCTGATTTTCCTAGCCTTTTTATCTTTCCATTTCTGTATGAAATAACAAAACCCACTGATTTGGGCATTTGTGATCCACTATGCTAAAAAGCCCTGTTGTTTCTTGGTCTTTTTTATTTCATGACTATTGTGAGTCAGATGGAAAATAGGATAAAGACATGAGAATTACTGAGCAGAACAATGGGTTTGAGTTATAAAACTGAACAGTTAGGAGGGGCAGGGAAATAAGGACAGAGAAGGTGGAATGGAGACAGGGAAAAAAGCAGTGAGCATGTTCAGAAGACAGTTTGCCAGTGTAGTCACAATTTACCAAGAATCACTATAGACAATGTCAAGGGTTAGCCCAATTTACATTCAAGCATTTATCCTTTGTGTTACAAACAATTTAATTATTCTCTTTTAGTTATATTAAAATGTGCAGGTAAATTATTATTGGCTGTAGTCACCCTGTTGGGAAATTACATACTAGATGTCACTCATCTAAGCCTTGTTTTTAAAGTTAAAATCTCAGATGATTCTCCCCTGTGTTTTCTGATTCACTGTCCTATACTCTAAATGGCCATCAACTCAGGAATAGAGATTATTCAGCCTCCAAGAACTACCTAATGGAGCAGTTTCCTCCATTGGTAGTTATTCCAATAAGTTACTACTCATTTTGGTTTTCATTCCATTACAGTTTTTTGATATGATTATTTGAGCCTAAAAATGTAACGTAATTTGGTTCCTAAGAGTTTATTAACAGAAGACAAGTTTTAACTTATGATGAACAGTAGGTGCTGAGAATTAGTCTGTGTTACTTAAAAATTTGAATTGAATTGTATCTCATTTAGAATGAGGGATTTGTGAAAGCCAAATATATTCACATTGTCTATAAAAAGTGTGAGTGGCTGAATGATTACTCAAGAAACATGATCCATAGTGGCAACAAGTATAATTGCTGTTCATAAGACTTTGCTTTTCTATAAAGTGTTATGTGACCTGTCTTACCTACAGTTTCTTTCACCTTATTTGCATTTATATATGCTCCCTAAAAATACAGATGATGTAAATTTCTCTAAGTTCTTATTAGTTATAAATCTGAATTAGAACAAAAATAACAAGCATTCCTGCTACTGAAGAAGTCATAAGACTTATTTAAAAGTATGATTTTCTGGGCAGAGTGTAAATAAGGTGGATTTATTCTATATATTGCTGTACTCTTTTATTTCAAATATAGTAATGCATAAAGTTTAAAATTAAATGTGCCTTCCATGTAGATTAATACTATCCATTTCATCTTTGTCAAGTAGAAGTAATTGCTTGGTTCAATACAATCCAGTCCCATCCGAGTAGATCTCTTTGTTCTTTTTCAGAAATGGGAGAGATTGAGAGTTTAAAAAGCATTCATCATCAGGAGAATTTGTTTTAAAAGCTTCCAAGCTCCCAAACAGCCAGTAGATAAATTACCCACTATTCAGAGAAAGAGAGCACAATTAGTTTTACATTATACTAAAACAATCAGCTCCATAAGTGACTATGTTTCTTAAGAAAAAAGCAATATGAATGTCATAGTTTGTCCTCTTTCTCCCAGGCTTTACAGCCAACAGCAAGCCTTTTCTCATACTAGAAGTTTTATGGAAAGCTTTGTGAATATGTTTTGACATTGTTTTTAGATAAGGAGAAATATATTCATGACTTGTAACCATGTGGTTAATAATACCTACTTCACAATGCAAAGTTAATGAGTCTTTTGTTTTATTCAAATGCTTTGAAGCTTTATGGTAAGAAGGAAGACTTCAATAAATTATTTTCAAATCTACCTTTCTTTCCCCAATAATTATTTTTATGTAATTATTTACAACTAAGAAGCAAAGGAAGGTGTAAGAAAAAATTATACTGGGGGTAATGAATTATGCACAAAAAATCTACAGGTTGTTTTTTTCATCTTAACAAAATACATAGTTGCTAAACAGTCATTACCTCTTTTGACACATGCAGGATGGTGTAAGAATGTACTAAATTCATGTCAACTGCCATGACTTAACCTGGAGAAACACCATGACTAGTAAGCTTTACATACACAGCTGCTACAGTATTTTTAGCATTTTCCATTTATAATAAGAAAGTGATCAATGGAGGCCTTAGAGGAAAGAGTGCAATTGCAATCATATAAATAGCCTTATTTCCTTTTTTGCACACAAGTGGTATCTATCAAAATTCAAACATTGTAATACCTATTTTCATATATCAGTGTTCATCTATGGGTTACTTTTATTTTATTTTTTAAGTTATTCATTCTCATAATGATAATTGATCATTGTTGATATGTGCATGCAGGTCATATACAAAACTTCCTTTACACCACACAAAAAGTAGTCTACTTATGTTGTATAATAAGTTCGAACCTTTGTGCCTTAAGTACAAAACTGACTCTTCTCATGCACATAAACACAACCTGGAACTGCATGACAAACACATTTGAATAAAGCTTTCATTTTTCAAAATTCATATATATGTGATCAGTGTACAGTATGAATTGGGTAAGGAGAAAGAGAGGGAAGAGAAAAGGAAAAAGGCAGTGAAGGAGAGAAATAGAGAGAAAGAGAATATATCAAAATACAGTGTCAAAATGTCTTATTCATGAAAGCTTCTTTCCTAGGGATATAAGTTTTTAAATGTGTCTGACTATAGAAAAGACTATTAAGTGGGTATGTTTTGTTTTAGATCAGTTTATTAAATTTTTTTTCATGTTAGACAGGTAATGTGCCAATATCATAACAAGATTTGAGGGAGGCACATCTCACACATGAGTGTGAAAATTCAATCATCACATTCACTGAGTCTCTTTCAACCAGTAGTCTTAGCCAGGCATGAAATCTGGGGGGCTGCAAACCTCCAAAGAAATTCTCACCACCCATTTGCCACACTCAGTCTTTTTCATAATCTTTGTATCATGGACTTCAAAGCTTTAATAAATAAAGTCAAGTTACCTAATTCTCTGGCTACTTATAAAAGGTCAACATGTCCCATCCCATCTGATACCTTGATTTGCATGTCTTTGACTCTTAAGACATACACAGATTTTCTATCTAACCCCTAAGACCTTTGAAGTTGATGGGATAACAGTAGGTCTAATATTTTTTATCTAAATATAAAGACCTGGAACTTGATAGGATTCTAAGATAAATACATAATTTTCCCCACTGATTGAGTCTTGCATTATTTTGTCTTCATATTCAATTTCAATCAGTTGTTCAACCAATTGAATTTGGGCTCTTACATAATGCTTCAGACTCATGGTTGCACCATGAAGTCTTTCAATGTTTCTGATTTTCTTCTTTTGCAACCAAGATTGTGAAATGCAGATCAAAGACCTGTATTGGCTTTTTCTCCTATCCCAGATGCATAAGGCTTAGGACAGCACTGTTCAAAGCCTCGTAGTAGGGGTATCCTATGGTCATTCTTGTTAGGGGCACAACAAAGATTCACGAGTAATTGAAATCTCTTTCCCTAGTCTAGAACTTTAAGTGGTTCCTCCTTTGACTTGGACAAGAGCTCAGGTTGAAAAGTAATTGCTGACCTCAGGCAATAAATTAGCTGGATTAAAAAAAATCGTAACATTCCATAAATGAAAATAATTATAGATTTGCCTACAACAAAGGACCTAAGAACCTACCATCAAAATTATTTGTCCTAAATATCTAATTCTTCCTTTATTCTTCCCCTGATCTAACCTTAAAATCTAACTTACATATCAGTATACGCATGCTATCAACAATAAAACACAAATCTCTGTATTTTAAAATTTTTTTTTATTTTCTCAGTTTCTACAGATAAAGTGATCTGAAATAACGCATGATGCCACAAAGCAGAAAAGAGAAACTGTGACAACCCCCAGAAATGTGAAAGGAGGTTTCTTACTGGACAGCAGCATCTTTGGTTCAATTTATATAAAAACCCAAATAAATAAAATGGACAGTATTGCTCAGTTTTAGAAATTCCATTTCTTCTATGTTTTAAGCTGTACAATTGTCAGGTTTTTATGGTTTAAATTGTAAATGTGTTTTCCCCTTTGCTAATTATGTTTTTTTTTTCAGTCTTAAAATGTGAAAGGCATTTATGAATGGTAAGGGAAACACTATATACAAATGTATATTTGTAAAAGCTATTTTTATGATTAGCATGTTTCACTGTTGATCATATATAAAGTCAGGTGATATTGCAATTCTGTATTTAAAGCTTATTTCCAACAATGTCATGTAAGAAAAGATGCATCTTATGCTAGTTTTTATAATTTATTTATAATTTATAGTTTAAAGTACTTCAGATCATAATGATAAAATACTTGAAAAAGTTATATTTCTGCCCTGTATAAGCACCCTTTTTATTAATAAAGAATGCAGATATTTCAGATGTGATATAATAGTTAAAGAACTGTTGGTTTGATCTGTGATTAAGTTGAGCATGCTCCGCTCTACTGAACTAAATGATCCAATTATTACTTCAGTCTGGGTATGAGATTCCATGGACAAGTAAGGACTAGATTGCCAAGGAAAAGACTGTCTTGCCCTTGGATCCAAAAGTTTAAATTAGTGCATACATCATGTCATTTCACCTCCTGTTCCTAGGAACTCTCCATTCCCAAGCATTGCCAGTGTTTTCCAGATAATCTTAGCTGTTGTCTTGTGCTGTGGAAATGGAAGAAACCATCTTCACAGACCGTAGGAGAATTCAACATATAATTTCTTAATAAATACTGTTTCTTTTAAAACAAAGTTGGTGTGTATCTTTCATTTGGGGTACATTTAGTTTTAATATTCAGTTTGAACTTTTACAGTCACTGTGCTACCACAAAATCAGCTCCATAATGAAAGTAGTGTATCTTTACCAAAGCGTGCATCATAGGTTCTACATGCCCACACTCTCTTGGGAGTGACCTGTATTCTGGCACTGATAATTTGCCATGTAAAAGAAAGCCAGATGGCCTTCAAACCTTGACAGAAGTCATACTCCAGTTTATATTTTAGGAAAGTATATTTTTCCTCCAAATACAGAATTTTAAGAAAATATTTCAGAATACTACTGAAGGTGAAACTACTTCATCGGGAGGTATTTACGTTCTGCCAGACTTAAAGTCTATAACTAAATGACTGCAAGTTCCTCATTAAAGAGCACAGAGACAACATCTATAAATGTCACCAAGGACACTTAGTAAGATTAAGCCCTCCTTTTTTCAAAGAAACTGAGGAGAGTCTAAAACCACCTTGGTACATGTTCCCTTAATTTTCTATTTAATTTCTTTAAGGTAATTTATCTTATTTCTCTGTCTTTTGAAGACAAGCTAATGAAAAACAATGTCCTTTTATCCAACAAGAGGTATTAAAAACCAAAATTCTGGACAAAAAAAAAGAATTACAACTCTAATATTAAAGAACATGCATATACTACATTTTCCTATTTAAGGTCTTTAGAAAGTTGCACATAGAACCTAGGATCTGGATCAAGAATGTACTTCCTTTTTAAGGGACTGCAAAAACCATACCATGATGCACTGTTATTTTTGATGACCATAATAGGCATGGGAGAATTTGTGACTGCCAGATTAGACTCTGAAACTGAAAATAACCTGTATATGGTTCTATATAAAATCAGCAAGGTGGCTTCTTGGTTTTCACCAAATAGATGAATTTGCTAGGAATAATCTGATACTCCAGAGAGGAAGTGTTGCAGGCACTGCATATTAGAAAATTATGTATGTGAATATTTTTCCCAATTTGTCATTTGTCCTCATAGTATTCAATAAACAGTGTGGCATTTATAATCAAGCATGATCATAAATTATTGAGAGTATCATATTGTCCCCAATGGACATTATTCTCAAAATAAGTTAAATAATTAAAGTGTATAAAAATAATTCTTTGTTATTGGGCTGGGTTTTCTCCACACAGACCTTGAAATATAAAACCATGGGTCTTTCTCTGTGTTACCAGTTCCTGGCTTAAGAATTTCTTTTAATGACAAACATGGAATAAAATATATACCAAATCAAAGTACAGGTGATTTAGGATTGTAATCCCTAAATGTTTGGTTTAACAACTTAAAAGAAAGCTTTCAAAGGCTGAGGAGGTGAATGTGAGCTTCTTCTAACTCCAAATTATGTCAGTCTCATAAAACAATGCTAAGGGAAAAAGAAAAAGAAGGATATTACTCACCACATTAAATTCAAGAAAAAATATGAAAAATTAGGCCCATTGCTTAAAGGTAGGTAAACTGGTGACTCATGGAAATGTGAAAAGGGAAAGTACCAATTTTGCTTTCATCTTCTTCAACAAAAGAATGGTTATCAAAGCAGAAATGCACAACCGAGTGAATTAAAATAAAAATGAAGCAGAAGATAAGCCAAAAAGAAACAATTTATTTAAAATTGTTAAGGGGTTAAAGTTTTAGAGAACAGGCCTAGTGCGGTCGCTCATGCCTGCAATCCCAGCACTTTGGGAGGCCGAGGTGGGCAGATCACGAGGTCAGGAGATCGAGACCATCCAGGCTAACACGGTGAAACCCCGTCTCTACTAAAAATACAAAAAAAAAAAATTAGCCAGGCGCGGTGGCAGGCACCTGCAGTCCCAGCTACTCGGGAGGCTGAGGCAGGAGAATGGCGTAAACCCGGGAGGCGGAGCTTGCAGTGAGCCGAGATCTAGCCACTGCACTCCAGCCTGGGGGACAGAGCGAGACTCTGTCTCAAAAGAAAAAAAGGTTTAGAGAACAATGGCTGGGCGCAGTGGCTCATGCCTGTAATCCCAGCACTTTGGGAGGCCGAGGCAGGCATGTCACTTGAGATCAGGAGTTCAAGACCAGCCTGGCCAACATGGTGAAACCCCATCTCTACTAAAAATACAAAAATTAGCCAGGCGTGGCAGCACGTGCCTGTAATCCCAGCTACTCAGGAGGCTGAGGCAGGAGAATGGCTTGAATCCAAACGGGCAGAGGTTGCAGTGAGCCGAGATGGCGCCATTGCACTCCAGCCTGGATGATAGAATGAGACTCCGTCTCAAAAAAAAAAAAAAAAAAAAAAAAAAAAAAAGGTTTAGAAAAGGTTTAGAGAACAAAAGTTACAAATGCAAATATTTATAAAGCCCTGATAAGAAATATAAATGAAAGAAATAGCCCAGAAGTAAGTTAGCAGAACTTAAATGCAACTCTGTTGATGAGTAGATAACCATCTCTCAGTTTCATCTGGGCACCTGAAGAAATGAAGAAATTCTAAAGAAATGAAGACCTGGATTGACCAGGTTTCCTGATTTTTCCAGAGAAAGTAGACCTCCAGAGTTTAAAATGAGATATTTTATTTTGTTTCTTTTGCTCTATTCTAATGTGAATCCTGGTGTAATTTACATCCAGGATTTACTAGTTATAAGACTTAAAAAGAATAAATTCTTTGTAATTAGAAACAACAAATTCAGGATTATCTCTGGTGAGAAAGAGAGGAAAATAGAATCTGGGAAATAAAATAGGGATATTCAACCACATCTGTAATAATCGATTTACTAGGAAAAATGTTTGAATCAAACATGGCAAAATGTTAAGATTTGATAAAACTTTAGACTACGCTGATATTCATTATATTTCCTCTATGTTGCTTTTTAGGGTTAAAATACTTCCTTATAATAAAAGTATGTGATTTATATCTCAAAGTTTCTATACATAGATAAGTTTCTATATATAGATCTATACATAGAAACACAAAGTTTTCCTATAAAAAGTTTCTACACATAGATCTATCTATACATAGATATAGATGTACATATTCATGATACAGAGATGTGGGTGATATAAAAAGCATAGATAAAGGTGGTAATTTGAAACAGCAGACTGTGACTTTGTGTTCTACCTTTTCTAGAGATGTTCAAATTCCTAGGCAAGAATATAACCTAGAGAAAGAGAGATGCACTAATGTTCAAAGGCATTCTTACAGAGAAGGAATGTGCATGTGAATTTATTTTTTTGTTATTGTTGAAAAGGCTTCCTATCAGCACTTGAGATATCTGGAAACTCTAGAAATTTAAATATGAATCATGCAAGAATTTGGGGTACCTAAATACAAAAAATAGTTTCCATGTTTATATGCTACTCCTATAAGGCTAAGGGCTTTGCCTTTTCTGTCTTTATACTCTGTAAAAATGGTGCCTTGGACATAACAGAATTTATCCATATATGTTTATGGAATTAGATGAAACAGGGTTTTAGGTTTTTACTGTATTATAAAAATAACAAAAGCCATAATTTGTTCAGCAAGTACTATGTGCTGAGCACTGTGCTAATTACCTTATATGCATTATCACTAAGGCACAAAGGAAAATTGCATGGTGGGTACTGTTACCCCCAGTTTACAGGTAAAGAAAGCAGATAATGTGTTCACTCATCAATTCTTTATTGAGTACCAATTCTGTGCCAAGCACTGTTCCCAGCAATAGGGGTCCAGTTACAAATAATGAAGACTGAAATTCCTGACTTTAAAAAGCCTGTACTCCTCTGGGGATGACATGTTAACAGGCCAATAAAGAAGCATATGTATAGTATTGCAGATGAAAATGATGATAAACACAAAGGGAAAAACAAAGCAGGGAAGGAAAATGGGCTGATGAGGTTTTAAATGAGTGTTTCAAATAGGCTGGTCAGGGAAGTTTCCTTGGTAAGGTGGCATTTGGACAAAGGTGTGAAGCAGGGGAGAGGGTGAGCTATGTGGCCATTTATGGGAAAAGTCTCCTGAACAGAGGGAACAGCAAGTAAATGCCCTGAAGCAGGATTATACTTGCTGTGTTCAGGAACAGTAAGAATGACAACATGTTTGGATTCGAAGAAAATGATGGAAAGAAAAGTAAGAGATGAGACCAGAGAAAAGCTAGAATTCCAGATCATAGAGCCTTAGAGATGAATCTGAGTGCGTTGGCTTTTATTTTGCAATGGATGGGAAAAAGTGGAAGGTTTTGAGCTGAAGAATGAAATGATCTCACATAAGGGTTAAAAGAACTATGTGGGCTGCTACATTGAGAAAAGACTAAAGAAATAGAAGGAACCCAGAAATTCCTATTTTTAGGTTGAGAAACCACTGCATGAGCATGGCCTGTGACTAGACTGGTCTGATCAGAGCAGAGAAGCACGTTCCTTTACTCATCAAATATTTGTTAAGCCTTAGCTCTATTCTGTGTGTGTATGTAATGATGGGCATGCAGTGGTGAATACAAACACGTTTCTGTTCCTCAAAGTACCTGGTCTGGTCTAGTGAACAATTCTGGGAAATAGCAGAATAAAGACGGAAAGAATAAAAACGTCTAAAATGATATTACAAGTTAAAAAGAACACTGGCTGCCAAAGTCTTGCTTCTTACAGCTCTGATGGAAATGGATAATCATTTTTTAAATTACCTTTGCTCAGTTGACTGTAACAGAGCAGCATAGGTGCCCTAAAGTACAGCAGGAAAAGCTCAGATTTACCACAACTTTTTACAGACTCCACAAACTAGCTGTACATTGAAGATAACATAGCTATTCACCCAAACACAAGGGAATGCTCTTCGACGTTAGCCACAGTGATGGCACACATCTGCACGCTCATCAGCTCCTCTCTTTAGATAGCGAAGACAATACTTCAGTTCTTAGAACACAAAATGGTAGCCAACTGCACAGAACAAAGATGACGACCCATCAGCCAGCCCTTCTTCAACTATAAGATCCTGGTTTTGTTCAAATATCAAATGGCCAGTGTATTAGTTCATTTTCACACTACTATAAAGAACTACCTGCGACTGACTAATTTATTTTTAAAAGGGGGTTTAATTGACTCACAGTTCCGCATGGCTGGGGAGGCCTAAGGAAACTTCGAATCCTGGAGGAAGGCAAAGGGGAAGCAAGGCACATTTTACATGGTGGCAGGAGAGAGTGCTAGAGCAAGGGAGGAAGTGCCACACTTTAAAACCATCAGCTCTCATGAGAACTCACTATCACAAAAACCGCGAGGGGAGAAATTCGCCCCCTGATCCAAACATCTCCCACCAGGCCCCTCCTCCAACACGTGGGCATTACAATTTGAAATGAGATTCAGGTGGGGACACAGAGCCAAACGGTATCAGCCAGGTGCGTCTGAGAAGGCTGGGTCCCTCCTTAACCCTAAGGCCTGGATTTTGAACTTAGATAAGCCTAAGCCAATGATTCTCCACATCTGTGTATTGCTACACAAAGAACTTTTAAAAATACAGATAACCATAGGCCAGTTTCAGATATTCTGATTTAATTGGTGTGTTGTTACAGGGGTTTTTTGTTTTGTTTTGTTTTGTTTTGTTGCCCAGGTAGTTTACGTGCAGACTGTGTTGAGAACCGCCGACCTAAGCTAATTATGGAAATCCATTCCTCTTACAAGTGGTTAATTGAGGAATGAGTATGTAACACAATTCTTTACAACAAGATATGAGGACTTACCTTCCTGGGAGCTCCTCAGAAAGGTGTTCTCACTGGTGAAGGAAACACGGTTGAGGATTGGGTTCTTTTCTGCTTGTAGAAAAAGCCGTGTTGTGAGGATTTGAGGCCTGGAGCTCCAACACCTGTCTTCTAATGATGAGGAGAGGAGCCAGAATATTGAAGGTGGCAGAGGGAAAAGATGAAAGTATCTGGGTCTTCATAATGTCTTCCATCCACTAAATAAGCCCTGACGCCACTCTACCTCTAGCTTATATGAGTTAATAAACATGCTTATTATTCAAAAAACTTTTTTTTTTTTGAGACGGAGTCTCGCTCTGTCGCCCATGTTGGAGTGCAGTGGCGCGATCTCGGCTCACTGCAAGCTCCGCTTCCCGGGTTCACGCCATTCTCCTGCCTCAGCCTCCCAAGTAGCTGGGACTACAGGCACCTGCCACCATGCCCGGCTAACTTTTTAAAATATTTTTAGTAGCGATGGAGTTTCACCGTGTTAGCCAGGATGGTCTCGATCTCCTGACCTCGTGATTCGCCCACCTTGGCATCCCAAAGTGCTGGGATTACAGGCGTGAGCCACCACGCATGGCCTCAAATAACTTTTCTATTGGAGTCATATTTTCTGTTATTGCAGCTGAAAAAAATTCTAAATAATTCTTATAGTTACCTAAGGGAAAAGAAGTTAATCAGAAGTACCGCATGCTTGATAAGATAGTTAGGGGGTTTTGTTTTGTTCTGTTTTGTTTGGGGGAGTTTTTTTCAAATTAATATACCTCAGTAAAGAACTGCAGTCTTTTTTTCAGATATTCTATTCTGGGCAGAGAACAAAATAGTTAAAGCAAGAGAAATATTTCAGTTAATTACAGAAAAAAAAAAATTCCAGTTTGAAAAAAACTAAAAAAACTAGTTTTTTTCAAACTAGAATTTTTTTTTTTCTGTATACTTCAAATTGTACCAAAAGCTGTGGTAATTAACCTGCCATGGAGGCCTGAATCTTAGAGGTAGAAGCCACCAGCATGCAAGCCATCAAAGACAATCATGAAATTCCAACCACCTTTCGGTTTGCAAACAGAAAGAGGCAGTAACTCTTTGGTAGATAAGTGCATATGCAAGGGGAGAAAAACAAAATGGAACACATCAAAAATAAACTATGTTATAAAAAGAGGAAATATTTCACTCAAAATTAAGAGAATGATCAGATCCCTATTTTTTATAAAACAGGATAATATTTTAGAAAACAGTTGCTCTGTGTTAAGGGGGAAAAAAAAGTACCAGACAATAAGACCTTGAAAATGCCAGAATAAATTGAACAATTTTTTAAAACAAAAAGACAATAAGACCTTAATAAAATTGGAGCACAGAGCCATTAAAAAACAATGGATATGAAGGCAGACATTTTTTAAATAAACAAATAGACTTAAGGAACTTGAAAACAAAATAGTCAAATGCCAACTGTATAATTTAGAAAAACAAATATTTAGTGAAAGATAACTTTTAGAGACTTCTATGTGATATAAAGCAAAAATAAAGAAGTGAACATATAAAAAAGATGATATTAAATATTGAGGGCAGAGAAAGAAGACTCAATACAAGCATTTTAAATCCTCAATACCATAAATTTGTTTAATGTGGTTTCTGCCTGGGCATCCATTTTTAGGCCTGACATAAGTTGTTTGAAACCCAGTTGTACCCTGTCACCTCTGGCCTAGTAAAAACTTCCCTTCTCTATATGGTTGCTGGTGATATAGCCCATTTGTTTCCTCTTCCCACTGACCTACAGCCCAACACACCCACTGCTGCTATAATGATACTTATTCATCATCATCAGTCATTTAAGTTCCTTCCCTCTCATTCATGCTTTTTTTTTTTTTTTTAAACTAGCCAATTCACAACCCCCATGGAAAGCCTAAGGAATAGTGCCATGGACCTTAATAAACATATAGTCCCACAGATCCTCTCCTCTCTCCACCTCCCAGCCCCCATCTTGAGTTCCTGTCACGTCAGGACTTTCCCTAAGCTTTTCATTATTACTCCTTACCTCTCTGGGACCTATGAGTAATAAATTTCTTCTGTCTCATGCATTTTGGTTTCACCTCCTCATTGTGTCTCGCCTGACACACACACCCAAATCCCCTGGTCAGGGCTCTCCTAGACAGTGACTATTTTGGCCTATGGCCACTCTGGACAGAGATACCTCAAGACTAAATTAGAAAGAAACCATAAAAATAAAAATCACAACATTCAGAAAGAAAACTGAACAAATGGAAAAGTAAAAGACATAATTGAAGAAAATGTTTTACTTGAGTGAAAGACCATCTACAACTCAAAAAAAGCACCATACTCTAGGAAAAATCTATTTTAAAAGAAAATCCAAAATTACAGGGAGAAAAGTGAAATATAAAAATAAAAAAGTAACAAATTCCAGGAGGCTCTCAAGCAGCTGCTCCAAAATAGCTAAGGCTGAATCTATGATAGAAAAATATTTATGATCAAAAGTGCTAAGCCAGAATAAGAGCGAGCAGGGCCATGAATACTTTAATTTGTGAAAGTGTATAATGTGTATAATTAACGTGTATAATATGTGAAAACACGTATGAAATATCTCATACATCTGTAGACTCAGAATGTATGCCATTCATGCTGAATTCCTGAAAACATTTTGGAACAATTAACCTAAAGATAATGTACCATGTGATATCAAAAAATAAAAATGCAAAAGATGTTTATAGAACAAATATCTAATGATGACTAGTGAATTCAATATGTCACAGAGTTACATATAAATGTTACAAAGATATTTCTAAAATAGAATTTAAAAAATTATTAAAAACATGATCTATATGTAAATATAATTGCTGCTAAATAACAACCTGCTTCTATAATTCCAGATTGAGTTAATAAATTTGATTAGGAGAGGACAACAGAAAACAAGTGTATGTTAAATGCCTTATCCTGCACAGGCCCATTCATTTAACAAACATTCACAAATAATCTATGATGTGTCAGACACTCTTCTAGATTCTTAGAATATATCAGTGAACAAAAGACATGAAACCCTTCACCCTGATGAAGCTTGTAGTATATCAAGTGTATATTTCATATAAAGGTAATCACTAATAGAACAAACCCAACAATGACAAAATTAAACCAGACATTGCCTGTACCCCAAAAGAGGAAGGAAGGAAGGAAGGAAGGAAGGAAGGAAGGAAGGAAGGAAGGAAGGAAGGAGAGAAGGGAGGAAGGGAGGAAAGAGGGAGGGAGGGAGGGAGAGAGAGAGAATAGGGAAGGGTGAGGAGAAAAGGAGGAAGAAGGAAAGGCAGGCAATGGAATGTGAGGCAAAGTATTTTTTAAATGCCTAAATCAATTTTTAAATGCCTAAAAAATTGTCATTTTTTTAAATGACAGGAAGTTCAATCACTCTATTGAAAGACAAAAAACAACTACAATTAAGCTACCAAAATCTATGATATGCTGCTTAGAAGAGTCACAAAAATATTAAAACGTTGCAAATGATTGAATGAACCTCCCAAAAGTTTCATGCTGAGAGATTTTACTTGTGATACCCATTAAATATTTACATATTGTTCATTTCTTTGCCATGTAATCCATTTTAGAGCAATAAAAAGACCTAAATCTCTGAATCTATCCAATTCATTTTAGGGAACTACTGACTCTGATATAAAAACTTGATGAAAAAGTAGCACCCAAAAGCTAAATATAGCTAAATTAGCTAATTCACTAATATTGGTGTAAAAATCAGAAATAAAGCAAAATACTAGCAGAACAATTCAACACAATATAAAGGATCCCCCATGACAAAGTGGGGCTTTATGACAAAAATTCACACACATTCTCACACACATACACACACATAGATATATGTATATGCATCTTAAAATAACATTCTACTTTATACTGAAAAAGATGTTGTAATTTAAGTTACATTTACAAGAAGAACAATTCTGCGTTTAAATTAATATTTTATCTTTTTCTAGAAGAGGAAGGTAGTTCAATAAAGCAAGAAACAGAAATCAATAGTATAACTAGTAGAAAGGACGAGAAACATTTTTACTTAAATATGATGTGGATTATCAACCTCCAAACTCCAAGTAAGTAGGAAGAAACACTATTAGGCTTAATTATAAATTTTTTTAAATTTTTCCAATAAAAGTTAAAACTTTTATAGCTTTGTAATATACAAATAACAGGTGTAAAATACAGTGAAAAAATATTCCATTCAATAATGATAATATACCTAGTTAAAATACCTAAGAATAAGCTCAGTAAGAAATCCACAAACCTATCGTAGGACACACTACAAATTTTTATTCATAGAAATAAAAGATATGAATATATGAATAGATATAAGATGTTCCTAGATAAGTTTGAAGTTCACAACATGCCGATTCTTTACACATTATTAATTAAATATAATTTTTTCCCTAAGCCTCAAAGATCTCTTTTACTCTTTTGGTTTTTTGGGGTTTGTTTGTTTGTTTGTTTTGAGACAAAGTCTCGCTCTGTCGCCCAGGCTGGAGTGCAGTGGGGTGATCTCGGCTCGCTGCCACCTCCGCCTCCTGGGTTCAAGCAATTCTCTGCCTCAGCCTCCTGAGTAGCTGGAATTACAGGCACCCGCCACCATGCCCGGCTAATTTTTTTGTATTTTTAGTAGAGACAGGGCTTCACCATCTTGGCCAGGCTGGCCTTGAACTCCTGACCTCATGATCCATCCGCCTTGGCCTCCCAAAGTGCTGGCATTACAGGCGTGAGCCACCACGCCCAACCTCTTTTGGTTTTTAATGATATTTTATATGCTTATGAGCCCAAAAATACACTCATAGCCTTGCCCTCTCTTATTCTATAGCCAGCTTCTCACTAGACATTTTTATTTGGATGTGTCACAAGCATCTCAAACATAACTCTTGGTTTTCCACATAAAATTAATCCTATCTCTAGAAATGGGACATTACTATCTCCCAATTTACTAAACCAAGAAATCCAGGAGTCATCATAAATTTCTTCTCTTTCCTTCCACCTCCAGTCTGCCACCACATTTTGTTGGTCTATCTCCAAATATACCTTGCATTAATCTACTTTTCTTAATTTCATATGAAATATTCTAGAAATCACCTGTTTATGTCCTTGCTTCCTCTCTACCTGTAGCTCCAATGTAAGAATTGTCTTTTCAAAACATCAATGTAAAGTGTAAATTGCTACACTTTCATTTTAAAACTTCATAGCATCCCAATGCCCTTAGAGTAAATCCAAAGCTTTTGTCATTACCCATGAGGCTCTGCTGACTTCTCCTACCTCTTCTTTCTTTCACTGAAATGGTTCAGTAAAATGAGAAAAACAATCAATGAGCAGAATAAGAAATTTAACAAACAGATTGAAATTATTTTTTAAAAACAGAAATTTTGGAGCTGAAAATGCAATGAATTAAATAAAAAATGCAAGAGACAGCATCGACGATGGATCAAAATTAGGTTACCTAAAAAGATATAATCAGAAGAAAGAAGAAAAAAAAGAATAAAATTGTGTAGCCTTTAAAATTTTAATTAGAAAGGATTTCTAATGACATGGTGAAAATTTTAGGATTAAAGATGGATAAAAATTATGTATACAGGATTACTTTAGTTTTATTTTAAAAAATAATGCATTGGGAGAAAATGTTTGATTGTATATAACTTTTCCTCCATCTTTATACTTTTCTGAACTTTGAATATATTGTTGATAACTGGAAGATAGAGTTATTAATTACAGAAATACATGAATCAAGATGAGATTGGGAGAAAGATAATACATTTAGTTTTAGACATGTTGGATTTTAGGCAACATATATATCCAATGTGAAATTTCCCAGCATAAAGTGTACTAAATATCATGAAAATGATGAAGACTGAAAGCATTTGTTCTGGAACTCTCCACAGAGACATTATAGAAAGCTGAAGGAATGAATAAAAATGTCCATGAATTAGGAACAGAGAGGACCAAGGGGCTAACCTCTAGGAATTCTTAATGACAAAAATAAAGAAGACAGAGAAATTGGTGATCAAAATGAGGAAGAGAGAGAGATGATCCTCTGACATTTTCTACTACATATGTTTGTGGTACCTGTTGTTTATTTGAACCAAAAGCCTTTGTATTATACTCACAGATAGTCATTTTATACATAAGAGTAACTGAGGTATGCAATCTATCAAAGAGAATATCAGAAGGATCTATCAGCAGCAGATTTCAACAGCTTGCTTTAAGTTGTTACAAATTTTTGTAAGTTTTGGGGATGATGCCCTCCCCATTAGGGATATAGCAAACAGTATCTCCCAATTAGATAGTGTCATGGTTTGAATGTATGTGTTCCTCCAGAATGCATATGTTGGACTCTAAACGTTAAGGGGGTGGTATTAAGAAGTATGGCCTTTTGAGAAGTTATTAAGTAATTAGGGCTCTGTCTTCATTAATGGGATTAACACTTTTGTAAAATAGGCTTCAGAGACTGTCTGGCATTTTCATGACACATTTATTCCTTTTGCCCTTCCACCTTACACAGTATGAGGATGCAGAAACAAGGCACCATTTCGGAAGCAGAGAGTGAGCCTTCCCAAGATACCACATCTGCCAGCATCTTGATCTTGGACTTCCAAAATTCTAAAAATAAATTTATGTTGTTTATAAACTACTATATTTTTTATAGCAGCGTCAATGGACTAAAACAGAAATCAATCAACCACTTATCCATCAGCTCACACCCTCTTGGATGATCCATCTTTGACTCTCAAATCTCAGCCTCCAATTCCAACTTCCTAATTTCCTTTTGGAAACCACACAACACCCAGGATTGATGTAGAGTAAAAAAGGAAGACCTTAGTCACCGGTGATTAGGACTGAATTAAGGGGTGGAAGTAGAAGTCAAGAGAATAAGGTGAAAACCTGTAAAGTGTGCAAAATTGCTTTATTGGAAATGGAAGGAGACAAATAAAAATGTATTCGCCATGGTTTCTCTTTAAGATAAGACTGTATGCAGTTAGGAGAATAACTTTTGTATGTCTCTTGGCCCAGGTAATACCAGTAATAAAGGGGAGAGAGAGTGTAATCCTGCTAATTCAAATTTTCTGTTCTGTTCTTTCCATGGAGTATTTAAATAAGGGTTCAACCTCCAAATATCCTTCTCCACTCACTTCATTCACCTTCACATTAAAAGACGCATACATACACACATACACAATTGTGTCAAGGAAATACTTAATGATCATCTATTAGAAAATGTCCAAAATTATTAGCCTGCATCAGGCTGTAACTGCATACATCCTAGAGGATGTGGTCCATAGATAAAACTAATCTTATGAAGTTTTACCTTTCCTGACTACTTTGTTCATTAATGATTTGCCAAATAACCTGAAATCTGCTTAAAATATGTCTTCTAAATATGATTATGCTCACTACTCTGTCCCATGCCCTAATGATCTAATGCATAGCACTCTTTTAAGTTGAGGCTGAAAGCCTCTGGAGGAAAATCATTATAGATTTCACAGTCTTCTAACTTCTTCAGGTATAACATTGCTACTATTTGAGCCAGACTAATTTTTAAAGTTTACACAGAATAGTCCCATTCAAAGCTACTCATTCCTCTCAACTTTACTTCTCTCTGATAGACTCCTAACAAAAAGAGCATCTTTCTGAAGATTAGCTTTGCTGTCAATTTTCTTTTCCAGTAAAAGAAACTTTGATGTAAAAATCTTCTCTGGAATCATAATTTCCTTGTATGCATTGTGTTCTATTTATGTTATTTTTAAATGTCTTAAAAATTCTAGTTTTTAGCCCTATGTTTGGGAGAAAGCATTATTAACCTTTTAATGATTTCTGTTTGTCAGGCTTTAAGACAGAAAACACTTACTCTTTATAAACAAACAGAAAAAAATGTGTAGCCATTGTCATTGTCTTTTGGTGATTTATCTTAAGTCTATGCAGAAGATTGGTTTTCTCTTTAGCTTTCCTCCATTATTTTTGCTAAATGTGTTAAATTCCTTCTTGACAACTGGAGGATTCAAAGTAATTCAAATGAGATTAGTTCACTGTGGTTAATACAAAAACCTTTATCTCCTAAAAAGTGCCAAAACTATTATCAAAAATTTCCAGAAACCAAATGCATTTTTACTGACCTTTATCCGTGTTGATACTTTCCCTTTTGCCTTGCTTTATTCACTGGCAATGCGGTGAAAGCACCTCAGCCTGACATATAAAAAGCCTTTTATAATTTCAGTACAGCATCTTCAATTTATTTACCCTGTAGCCTTCTCCATTAAATATAATATAGATTCTTGCCATGTAAATCTTTCTAATGCACAAATATATTCACATCACTGTTAAATGAAGTTTAACCTAAAGCTGCCTCCTTACATATTTTAAGTTCAGCCTAAACATTTTTCTGTGCATCGTGAACTATAACAAGTGGAAGAGTAAACAGACCCCTCCACTTGTTAAATCTGTGGTAAACAGATTGCCACACCTGTGCCAATCACTGAGTTTTTGCCAATCAAATGTAGCTAACTGTTCGAACCATGTTCAAATAAGGCAGACGCTCACCTGTAACCAATCCAGTTGTTTCTGCACCTTACTTTCATTGTCTATACATCACTTTCCTTTTTCTGTCCATAAATCTTCTACCACATGACTACACTGGAGTCTCTGAACCTACCCTGGCCCACAAGCCTGCTCGATTCACGAATCATTCATTGCTCAATTAAACTCCTTTAAATTTAATTCAGCTGAAGTTTTTCCTTTATCAGATGGTATCAGAAGCAGGGTTTGAGTAGAGTTTCCAACAAACCCCAGGAAGACTGAGTGACCAAAGCAAGGTACCCACAGGATCCAATTGTGTCCATTGATCTGTCGGAGCAGCTGGGCAGCATTCTGAAATTCTCTCTCGAATTTCAGAGCTCCACAGATTTGTGTTTTGAGCTCTCCAAGTTTCTTTTAACAAATTCTGATCCAAACTGGGCTTAAAGGTCATGACAGAAACTGGACTGGGTCCAGGATTGGATTTGATTTAGTAATCTGGCTTGAATCTAGTTAAAGGCCTCTTATATCTGACTGGATCAGAAAAAAAAGTAAATGGTAATATTGCAGGGGTTGCAAAATTTGGCTTTTGAAAATTCACAGGGATTTTCATGTTCTACACGTTTCCTTTTTCTTACGTGCTTCGGTAGGAAAAAAAAAATATATCATTGGCTAAGTTAATCAAAGGAACCTGAGAGCAAAGTCAATATCTTAGGTAAAAATGAGATCCTTAATTTACAAAGTACTGAGTTCCTTCTGGCTTATACTTGCATAAGTGTTAGGTCCCAGAAGCAGTGAGGTCTTATAGAAATGGCAAAATCTTACTTAATATAATGTAGAGTGGAACGTTCCAAATGAGCAAAACTACACTGAAGTGCATTTGAAAATGAGGGCTCCCAAATTAGTCTCATCTAGGGGTGCCCATTGATATGAAGAAGCTTCTAAAAAGATTTGAATATTTTTATTTAAAGACTGTAAGAAGGACAAATAAAAAGCTTAAGTAACTAATTGGTTTAAAAAAATTAAATCTGCTAACTTTTTAGCTTAGGTACCATCCCAATTCAAAGGAAATAGACTGGAGCACCAATTGGCTGACTTTGGGTAAGTAATGGGGTACATTTTACCTGAGTAAAGGACGGAATTGGACTACAGACCCTCCCCTCAGTAAAGTCCCTCTTGGTTAAAAGTGGATTTGGCACCATGGGATGTTAACCACTATTCTCTTTGGATTAATCTGCCGTGCACTCTTTGCTGACAGCTATGGGTGACAGGGATAGGCATGTACAGGACCAACAAGCAGCCACCTGAACTTTTGATTCAGTATCGCTGCAATGTGTGGGTCTTTCTCTGGCCTCCCTGAGCTCCTCACCTTCTCCATACCCTGCCACAGGGAATGCTTGTTTTTTTTTCTCGTCTTTCTCTTTCCTATCCTTTCTGTTACTCAGGGCAACCATCTTACCCAGAGACCACATGTTGAAACTCCTGGTCAGATGTTGGATTAAAGATGACAGGGCTCAACTGGGGGCAAGTTTGAGTCTTTCCAGTTCAATATTGGGTGCTAAGCAGAATGGCTAATGTCTATGTTTTGTCACATGTGTTTTGCTCTGGACAGAGTGGAAAATGTTAATTTGATTACCCCATGCAGCCCCTTGGACAGCATCTTACAAAATTGAGAGGTTTTGCCTGTGGTTCCCTGAAACAGAAAAATAATAATAATATTCTTTTGTATTGCAGCTTGGCTTCTAGGGCTACAGTGTGGTGAGCAGGGTTGCTAGGGCCTCTCAGGGAAAGGAAACCCAGCAGTCTGTCATGCCAGCAAAAGAGTAAAGATTATTTACCAGTCAGACATCTAGCCTCTCTGTCTGTGCAAACTGGTTGAATGAATGGTAAAAATCATGATTCATCTCCTCTGTAAAGTTTTGATTAGTGCAAAAAAGGATTCTGAGGCTAGTCTTAGGCTGTAGCAAATCTCGTGTGCTTTGTATGTCTTCCTTTATGGTTCTATCATAAAGAGGGGTACCTTAGGCCAGAACATGGGCTTAGGTCCTGATATAGTTTGGCTGTGATACCACCCAAATCTCATCTTGAATTGTAGTTCCCATAATCTCCATGTGTCATGGGACAGACGCGGTGGGAGGTAATTGAATCATGGAGGCGGTCCCCCCATGCTATTTTCATGATAGTGGGTAAGCTTTCATGAGATCTGATGGTTTTATAAGGAACTTTCTCTTTTTGCTTGACTCTCATCCTTCTCTTTCCTGCCACCATGTGAAAAAGGACATGTTTGCTTCCCTTTTCACCATGATTGTAAGTTTCCTGAGGTCTCCACAGCCATGCTGAACTGTGAGTCAATTAAACCTCTTTATTTTATAAATTACCTAGTCTCAACTATGCCTTTATTAGCATCATGAGAACAGACTAATACAGGACCCCATAAAGTCACTATTCACGATGATGCAGCAAGCCAGTCAGTAACAAACTTTGCTGCAGATCCCTGAAATAAACAAAAAAACTGGATGAGGTCTCCACCTTGTTTTATGTCCTTGAAAGCTTGACCTTATGACCATGTGGTGGTTATTTTCTCTTGGTCTCTGCCTTCCAGGGAATAGGATTTTGGGGACTTATGTCATAGCACTAAAAATTATCTCAAGCAGTTAAAAGTCTTTGCAAGCTCAAAACTGATTGCTCCAGATTCCTTCTGGGAAGAGCAATGGAAACTTCCCAGTGCTGTAGCTCAGCAGCTAAGGCTGTGCCATTTTACAATGGTGGCCTGGATTCAATCTAGCATAGGAAATTTCTTGTTGATATCTGTGTGACCTTTACCATTTGTTGATTCCCTTCTCCTCCATGAACAACTTCTAGCTTCCCTCCTTAGGCCCTAGAAACTGTCTGCTTTCCTGACCCTGTTCTTGGAAGGGCTCCACCTTGAAGCCAGTTACGAAACTTAAAAACTGGCAAATAAAAAGTCTTACAACTACTGGATCTTCTTCTGTCCGTCTGTGTAGTTATATATGTGTTGTGAGTGTGATGGTAATGTAGAACAGCTCAAATTAATTGGCTTAAAGAAAAGCATTTAAATCGAATATTTTGAAAGAAAAAAATACTGTAATGTCTTTTAGTTCAAGTGACTTTAGTAATCTTTGAGAAATAAAAATAGTTTTAAATATTACTAGTAAAATAAAGAAACTTGGTCTAAATTAGGCAGGTCTGATATTAGTTTGCTAATGCTTTAAGATCATAAACTGCTTCCTTGGTTTTTGAAAGTTGTTCAACTTGCCTGTTTTATAAGTAGGTAAGGCCTGGGGACATGTGGTCCCCTAGCTATGCTGGAAAGAGTCAGACCTTATCCATACATAATTACAATCACTTACCATATTTTTCACAAAAAAAAAATTGCTAAAAGTTAACATTGTAACATATACTTGAGACTACTGAAAAAACAGTTTTACATGCAAGGTGGATAAGAAAAGTAAAATGTGCTTTTAGTAAAAGATTATAAGAAGACATGGAAATGTAAATTTTTGCCTGGTTTAAAGGATTATTTTAAATTAGATAGAATAAAGCTAAAGGTTTGAACAAGTTGTGAAAGATTTGTGAAAAATTATTTGTAAAAGAGATCCCGTATATGAACACATTGGCTAAATTTAAAGGTATATTATCCATTTTTTTCTGTAAATTGAAGATTGGAATAAAAGCACAACAGAGTGTGCTTAGAGCACTGATCTACTCTTTAACAAAGATTTGTAAAGGGTTATAAAAGGTTTATGAAAATCTTACCTTATGGTCAAACTGATTAAAATTGGTAGATTTGTCTATAAGGTTATATTAAAGATTGGGGTTGGCCGGGTGTGGTGGCTTATGCCTGTAATCCCATCACTTTGGGAGGCCAAGACAGGTGGATCACCTGAGGTCAGGAGTTTGAGACCAGCCTGGCCAACATGATGAAACCCCATCTATACTAAAAGTACAAAAAAGTAGCCAGGCATGGTGGAGGATGCCTGTAATCCCAGCTATTCAGGAGGCTGAGGCAGGAGAATCACTTGAACCTCTGGGAGGTGGAGGTTGCAGTGAGCTGAGATCGCACCATTACACTCCAGCCTGAGCAACAAGAGGGAAACTCCACCTCAAAAAATAAAAATTAAAAAAAAAAGATTGGGGTTGGCATTAATAATACACTAATGCAAGGGTGAAATTTGGCTTTCTCTCTTGAACAAGATTTTCATGTAATATTAAAGGATAATGAAAGATTTTTTAATGCTTTTTGAATAAACTACCAAAAAAAGAAGGGAAAGACAAGAGACTGGAAAGCTAAGACTTTCCCCTATCAATGAGTAATGGTTTTTGACTTTTTAAAATTTGTGAGTCATCATTTTGCCTGAATGAATGACTTACATTGACCTGGAATTCTATTTTATAATATCAAGTGTTTAAAACCTTTAATATATTTGATAGACTTCCCCAAATCAAATTTCAGCTTCAAAATTGTCTTTTCTGACCTCTAACTTTGAAATTCTACAGAGGGCCCCTGAAGCATCGAAAAGAGAGGTAAACAGGATTGTTTGACATGTTAAGTTACGTGGGAAGCATTGTCAAAATAAAAAATAATGTTTAAACTTCTTCCGGTTATATTTTTAGTGAATGATATTAATATATGTTCCAAAATTATATGGGATTTCTAAAATTCTAATGTCTGAGAATATGCTATCAATCATAATTTTGGTTATTAAGTTATTATAAACTATAGAAATAACTAAATTTCCTTGACAATTGTGTCTTTAACTATGACCACTTAAAGTCATTTCCACAGTTAATTGCTTAATGCTGGTGCAGTTTCTGAAAACCTCACAAGCATGCAAAATCCTAGAATATGGTGTCTTTTAGGAGGTTCATGAAAAAATAAAAAGGACCTGTAAAGCACTCTTGAATACAGGTTTCTCATAATTTTAAAATCATATCATTTGGGCTAGGTAAGCATTCCTGGAACTCTAATGAAAAGACTGACTGGTTTATAAAATGCTAACCCAAGTAGAACAAAAATTAATTGAATATCAAGAAAATACTTTGCCAGATTTTCATGCTAAATCAGCCAATAGTGCAATTGTTTAGATACACAATTTGAATGAACTCCATGGTCTAAGTCAAATTACCTATGATAACCTACCAGCTATTAGTGCTATGCCCCTCAATTGGAGAAACAACTGGTATTTAAGAGGACATAAGTCCAATGTTAAAGATGAACTCATGGAGAACCAGGACAGCTGCCTTGTCCTTCCTGAGTTCTTAAAAAAAGAAAGTTTTGCATTCCATGACTCATCCTGGAAAACCTAAAGTGATCTAAATTAAATATACATTGGTGTGGTGATTTCTAAATTGCTAAAATAATTTGAGTAATGTTTACTTTGTCAAACCCATATTCCTGGGAAGACAATCAAAGCTTCTGATAAATTTGGCTACCTGATGGGCCATTTAAACATATGTAGAGGGATTTTATTCAAATGTCATTTTCAGTGCATGTTTTCTGGTTGCATTAAAAAACTTTCCCATGCAAGAGGGCTGATGTTATAAGAGTAATTGTTATGCCACAGTGGTATTTTCACCAGGTAAAGAAAGCTTTTTATGGTTCACTGACTGACCACAATCAACCTCTTCACAATCTAGAACCCGAAGATTGGATCTTCTGAGAACATCAGAGAAAGACTGCCCTTGCCATCCACACTACAACAAAACTTTAGGACCTTGAACCTGGTTTCATAATATCACAACTGAGAAGGGTCGCTCCACACTCTTGGAACTGCACTCCTATTGGAACCCTTAAGGTAAAGCTAACCAGGGAAGTTTCTCCCCAAAAGAAAACGGCATCCTTGATGTGAACAGCTTTTCCCAAGATCATGCATGAAGACTTCTCTACTATTATGAGATGCTTATCTTTCAATATTTTTCTCTTGCTTATGCCTCTATGAACAATAGAAGTGAAAAAGGCAGTATGTTTTGTGCACTTATGGGGTATACTTTTATTTGTGAAGGATTTTGCAGCCAGCCTTATACCTGGATAACCTTATACCTTGATGAGGCCCCAATGTAGGTGAAAAAATTAAATAGTACATATGTTCCTGCATAATCAGTCAGAAACAGAATATTGGTTCACTCCTCTTAACCCACATCACAAGTTAAAGAGAAAATTGCCAGGAGGGCTCCTTCACTCCTTTAGAAGGACATCATTTGTTAGGTCCTTTTTCCATGGTTCAGAGTAAAAGAAGCAATGATTGGGAATGTACCCCTCATGATAGGCTCTATAGCAGATTCTACTGTAAAGCCTATAGTTACACAACAGACTTTAAATTCTCTTGTGAAATTTACGCTAAATAATATAATTAGCTAAACAGCTGTGCAGCTGCTGGCCCTTGTAGACAATGGAAAATACATCAAATGTAGATTACAGACATTTCATTCCAGAGGATTAATGAAGAGTCTTCTTAGTTAAGTGAGTAGACTTTTTATCTAGCTTATTCTTTGATCTATTTAATTTTAGGTGCTTTGGTTTATGCGGACACCGGGTAAGGAGCATATGCCAAACTCATAGTATTATCCTCCAGATAGTCATAATAATAGTCTCCCTTGCAGGCTGTATTCTCTCAAAGGTTTTAAATATTTGCATGCAGCCATATCTAGAATATCAAATGGTCTCTCTTCAACTGGAATGACAAGAGCTGAAAGAAACGTGAGACCATGAAGACACTGTAACCTATGAATGATGTGCTGAGGCCAGAAACCCAAAATGATGGTAACTGAGAGTGATGCTAAGGCCCTAAGTTTTAGTTACACTCTCACCTAAGTGAAAACCTGACCAAAATGGGGGAATTATTTTAAACAAAATTATGGGAGGCCGTTGTTTTGGACTGAGCTCATTCTCTAGGCCCTAACAGACTAAACCAAACCAAAATAGAATCACTCATGCTAAATGTGACATAATCAAACTAAGACCTTAAGAAAACACGTAAGTCCTAGAACAGACCAGGTTTTGCATTTCTCTCATAAACAGGGTGTTCCATAAGGAAGTACTCTCTACTCAGTCCTTGTTCCCACCTTACAAAACCCTCTGTTCTGCTGTTTCCCAGTGAATTTCAAGACCAAAACAGTATATTTATGATAGTGATAGTGACATCAATGACTAAAGTTTTGGTCAATGTCTCAAAATTGAGAAAATGACCAAAAGTGGGGAATTGTTAAATCAAGTTTAGCCTAAAGCTGCCTCCTTACAGGTTTTAAGTCCAGTCTAAAGGTTATCTTTACATCGTGAACTGTAACAAGTGGTGGTACAAACAGACTGTAGCCCAAACCTGTGCCAACCACTGAGTTTTGGTCAATCAAATGTAGCCAACTGTTTGAACCGTGTTCAAATAAGGCAAACACCGAGCAGTAACCAATTCGGCTGTTTCTGTGCCTCAATTTCTTTTCTCTTTTTTTTTTTTTTTTTGAGATGGAGTCTTGCTCTGTCCCCCGGGCTGCTGGAGTGCAATGACACGATCTCAGCTCACTGCAACCTCCGCCTCCTGGGTTCAAGTGATTCTCCTGCCTCAGCCTCCAGAGCAGCTGGGATTACAGGTGGCCACCACCATGCCTGGCTAATTTTTGTATTTTTAGTAGGGATGGAGTTTCACCATGTTGGTCAGGCTGGTCTCAAACTCCTGACCTCAGATGATCCACCCACCTCGGCCTCCTAAAGTGCTGGGATTGCAGGTGTGAGTTTCACTTTCCTTTTTCCATTCATAAATCTTCTTCCACCACGAGGCTGCACTGGAGTCTCTGAACCTACCCTGGCTCAAAAGGCTGCCCAATTTGTGAATCATTCATTGCTCAAACTCCTTTAAATTTAATTCCACTGAAGTATTTTATCATCATTTTCCTTGTTTTAAAAAATCACATTTCAAAACCTGGATGGCCTGTCGTTACCTAAATACTCAACCCAGCATTTCAGCTCCAGAATAATCTGGAATCAACCTACACATTTGGGCTTCTTTCCTACTTCTCTTCATGTAGGCAAAATGTTAGCAAAAGCAAACACACTGCAGTCTTTCTTTCATTTCAGTACAAGTAAACAAATGTTTAAAATATTTATAGAGATTATTCTGTATAGAGTGTTCTGGCTAGACAATCTCCCCCCTCCTCTCATTTGTATTTAGTAAAACTATGTACATATCTATGCATCTACATACAATCCATTTCATTTGGACTTAAGGTAGACACTTTATCATTGCTTATCGACTCAATTATGCATTCAATAGGTGTTTATCAAGCACATCCTCTGAACACATAGGTAACACAAAATCAAAGATTTTAAAGAATTAATCATCCAAGGGAGGTTGACAGAAACATAAACTACAGAGTAAAATACTTTGTAATACTTTTGTGCTTATCCCGATGGCTGCTCCTGAAGAGTGCAACCTCATGCTAACGAATAATCTGCACAAGCCAGACATGAATCATCAAGAAGGAAGACTGCACACAGCCTGGCTCTTCATGATCGGTAGCCACCTCCTGGTTAAGCTTTTGTGTGTAGTCACTGACCTGTAACTAGTCCAGCAATGCTATTAGGACTCTCCTATTAGCACTCCATTCTCATTCTCTTCCTTTATATCTAGTTTAAGCACAACCTCTCTATGTGACTTCTCCTTTGATGCAGATGAACGTCGCCTTTCATGTCTGATTCGAACCACTCATAGAGATGCAGATCCAATGAATAATACTTGGATTATCAAAAATCTATCAATAATCTCAATACTGTGATTATACAAAGTTTTCTAATACTACAATGTATCAAACTATATATTTGATCAGCTTATTAATGTCATTAGTGAAGCTCATTGACCATATACAATGAACTAGATTTAGATACTCGTTTCATTATGTAACCATTAAAACTGACTTCTTAGAAAAGTTTGGATAGCTGTGAGAAATTTCCTCTTTCACATATACTAGTTGAATTGTCATTTTGTTTTTTATATGTAATTTAAATAGAGCAACTGGGCTTCAGTCAGTGAGCATTTATTGACCATCTGCTGCATGCATATCCCTAGTTCATGGAAGAAAACTAAAAAACAATTCAAAGCAGAATTCAAGTTATAGCTTCAAAAATAAAATAAATAAGAAGGACTTTTTTCTTATTTGGTATCTAGCAAAAGAGTTTCCCTTTCTATGCCTAAGAAGTAAAGAAGCCTAGGATATAAATGTTTGATAATAATCTGAAATAAATATGTCAAGAAAGAAATTCAACTGCTATCTTAAAGCAAAAGAGCAGCTAAAAAGGAAATGAACCCACCTGAATCTCTATTCTGGAAAAACCCATATTATTACAAACGACCTCATGATTTGTACGGCCTTGAGATGGCTCAGTTAAATAATCTTCAAGATATTATGGTTAACTCTCCCATCCCAGGATTCTTGAATGACAGTTTCAGGAAATGTTAGGGAACATTGAGGCAGAATGCCTTGTAATTTCTTGGTAAGTTCCAACTTGAAGCAGGTGGTCTGTGAGGCCCTAACTGAGAAATTATTTTATCTATAAAGTAACATGAAATGATATGTGAAATGCTTATTTTTGCTAGATTAATAACAGGAATGATGATACAAAGTGCTGTGTTTTCCTTCTTTGCAACTGCCTCAGTACAAGCTGCGTCAGCATATGCTAGGGAGCAGTGACCAGGCTCCAACTACTTTTTTTTGCTTATCAACTCAAAGAAGCAACTTCTCTACTTCATACATACTAACACAACTATGATAGGCAGTGAGAACAGAAAACTGAAAGATGTGAAAAGGAATGTGTTCTCATAAAACCTACACAGTTAGATATATGGGCCGGGCATGGTGGCTCACGCCTGCAATCCCAGCACTTCGGGAGGCCAAGGCGGGTGGATCACCTGAGGTCAGGAGTTCAAGACTGGCCTGGCCAACATGTTGAAACCCTGTCTCTACTAAAAATACAAAAATTAGTCAGGCATGGTGGCACATGCCTGTAGTCCCAGCTACACAGGAGGCTGAGGCAGGAGAATCACTCCAACCCAAAAGATGGAGGTGCAGTGAGCTAAGATCATGCCACTGCACTCCAGCCTGGGTGACAGAGTGAGACTCAAAAAAAAAAAAAAAAAAACCAAAACAAAACAACCTGTACAGGTAGATATATGAGGGCTAGAGCAGAAAACAAATGAAATAATGAAGTTTATGGGGATTCTGAGAAAGCATGAAAGGAGAACAGATTCTTTTTCCTTTCCTTCCCAACTCCCACCCTTTCCTGGAAGAGTCCCTGTTGAAATTTACGAATATCTGTGATATCTGTGATCAGCTAAAAAGTATGAGATTGGTGCCAATATACCATTCCTCAGATTGAGAGAAAGCTGTGGATGCTAGGAGCACGAGTCAAATTAATAGCCAAGAGACAAGCTCACTCAGCAAAGGGAGGGCTCCTATAGTGTCTGGACTAAATAGGGCCTTTCATGTCAGAAAGCTGCATAGACAATCAGTAGATTATCCAGAAGCTATCAAACATAGCCAGCATAACATATCGCTTGTGTCAGTAATATAGATAGTACACACATTTGAAGCCACACAGAGATAGCAGTGAGTCCAAGGCATAGGCATCCCTCCTCCCTTCCCCATCCCACTCTAGCTTACTATAGATATGCATGGATACATATAAATATATATGTAGAGATATTGATACACACACACACACACAGAGCTTATAAGCAACATAGAGGAAGAGAATAGAAGAGAAATCCCAGCTGACTTTTGTAAAACCAACTGACTTAGACAATCAGAACTAAATTATGGAATAACTTTTGTATTGGACTGAATATCTGAAAATTAAAAATTAATTTTCTGTTGCTAAGAAGAAGTAGGGAATCAAGGACAACAAAATCTATGTTCAGTTATAAAATAAAATTCTACTTTTTCATCTCTGAGAATTACAGCCTGTCAAAATCACAAACTACCATGACAGTAGTATCTAATTTCTCTACTTTGTGTACAGGAATCTTGGAGAAGATTCGACTGATCCAATTGCTGAAATAGAAAGTGCCAGGAAGAGTTATTTTAGGTCAGGTTTCCTGAAAGTATAAAATAACTTGGTGAGAAAGTAAAAAATTAAATGGAATAAAAATGATATACCTCCTTCAATAATATAATTATATGTAACAAAGTAAAAACTCTATTAGCAGTTCCTATACTAATTTCCAAATTTCTCTGCATTAACTTACCAGTTAAAATAATTCATATTCAAATATTCATTTATTCTATTCATTAATTCATTTGATGTATTATTATGAAGTGCCCAGAGTGTCAGGCATTGAGACTATATAGACATAGTCTGTGTGCAGAGATCCTGTGGTCTGAGAGGGGGATTGATATAATACAGTGTGATAAAGGTAACGATAAAAAATGAACTAGATATAGTAGTAGCACAAGCTCAGTTCGGCTTGGTCCAGTAAGAGAAGGCTAGCCAGGGAGAAAAGGGAACAATGGCAAGCAGCAGAAAAATGCATGAACGTCTGCAACAATGGCACCTCCAGAGAACTGTTTAAGAAAAGTAATTTGCAGCTGGTCTCTGTGGTACCTCTGTGCTTGCCTCCATAGAACCCTGGAGCCATGGTACTGACCCTCAGCCAAGAAAGGAATAAATTGTGCTACCTAGTGATTAAAGTATGCTGTTTAAAATCCGAAACTCCTCGAGGCATTTTGTATTAACCTGTCTACATTGTTTATTGAAAATGTATAAATCAGCTTCGGCTTCCAGCCAAGATGGAATAATGGGGGCTGGAACTGAGAATCTGATCAAATACATGAAACAATAGCTTTCAAGACATTGGATCTAAAATAATGAAAGGCAGTGATCCTTAAGGACTGGAAACAAATGAGGTTGGCCCTACAGTCATCCCAGCTTAGTGGTTGAAGAGTTTCCAGGTGATGGTGCAGTGAGGGGGAACCCAAGCAAAACCCTGAGTTGAAGACCTGCAGCTAGGAGTTCAGGAAAGCCAAGATGGCTAGAGTTTACAGAGCAGTGGCAGAAGAGACAAGTGCTGCACACAGAGAGAACTACAAAGATCTTTGGAGGGTACTCCTGGAGTACTGAATTGAGTACTGACCAACACTTGTTTGTGAGGAAACTACCTGAGTTTGAAGAAGAACCATCCAAAAGAGAAACCACTGCCTGGAAATCTTATAGTGCCAGGAATGGCGCCAATTTCCAACAGCCACTGTGGGAAACCTTATGATTCACCAGATATTAGTTATAGCATTAAAAAGGGTCTTGCCTTAGTGGCTACAAACTATAAATAAGCTAAATGCTGTTCTGGTGTCACCTAACAAAGCTTAAAACAAGACTAAAAAATTCAAACTGTTGTCTGGCATTGAATCACAAATCAATAGCAGACCACCAAAACCTCATCCACCCAGGAAGCACAGACCCTTGCCCTCACTGCTTTGCCACTGGTTCACATCTGCCCTGAGCTCACCATGGATGATGATACCTCTGCACTTGTTGGCAACTGCTCTGGTATGTGCAAGGCCAGAATCCTTGTCAAAGATGCCCCCAGGCCTTCTTCCTTTCCATAGTGGGATGCCCATGGGACCAGAGTTTGATGATGGGCATAGGGCAGAAGGACTGCTATGTGAGGAATGAGGTCCAGAACAAGTGAGGCATCCTGACCCTGAAGTACCCCACTGAGCACTGCATCATCACCAACTGGGAAGACATGGAGAAGATCTGGCACCACACCTTCTACAATGAGTTGTGGCTCCCAAGGAGCACCCTGTGCTATTGACCAAGGTCCCCCTGAACCCCAAGGCCAACCATGAGAAGATAGCCCAGATCATGTTTGAGACCTTCAACATCCCAGCTATGTACATGGCCATCTGGGTCATGCTGTCCGTCTAGCCTCTGGCCATACCACTGGCATTGTGATGGATTCCAGTGGCAGGTTCACCTACAGTGTGCTCATCTCCGAGGACTATGCCCTTCTCTATGCCATCCTGCATCCAGACCTGGCTTGCCGGGACCTATCTCATGAAGATCCTCCCCTAGTGAAGCTATAGCTTCACTATCATGGCAGAATGGGAAATTATGCATGACATCAAGGAGAAGCTGTGCTGGATCATCTTGGACTTCAATCAGGAGCTGACAGCCCCTGCATCCTTCTTTTCCCTGCCAACAGCCAGGTAATTACCATCTGCAACAATCTCTTCTTGATAGGTCCCGGCTCTCTTCCACACTTCTTTCCTGCATATGGAATCTTGTGGCATCCATGAAACTACTTCCAACTCCATCATGAAATGTGATGTGAACATGCACAAGAACCTGTACTCCAACACAGTGCTATCTGGTGGCACCACCATGTACCCGAGCATCCAGGACAGGATGCAAAAGGAGATCACTGCCCTGGCCCCCAGCACAATAAGATCAAAATTATTGTGCCCCGTGAGCACACATTCTCTGTGTGAATCAGCGGCTTCATCCTGGCCTCCCTGTTCACCTTCTAGTGGATTTGGATCAGCAAACAAGAATACTAAAAATCCATCCCCTCCATCGTCCACTACAAATGCTTCTAGGCAGACTGTTACTTAGTTGTATTACACCGTTTCTTGATAAAACCTAACTTGCACAGGAAACAAGATGAAATTGGCATGAACATATTTGTTTTTTGTCTGTTCACTTTGGGGTTTTTGGCCTGGTGACTCAGGATTTAAAAATGAACAGTGACAGTGAGAGCGGTCAGTTGGAGTGAGCATCTCCCAAAATTCTACAATGTGGCAGAGGACTTCGATCATACATTGTTCTTTTTAAAAAAATGGTCATTCTACATATCATGAGATGCATTGTTGTAGAAAGTCCCTTGCCCTCCCAAAAGCCATCCCACTTCTCTCTAAGAAGAATGGCCTAGTCATCTCCCCATCCACACAGTGGAGGTGACAGCGTTGCTTTCTTGTAAATTATGTAATGCAACATTTTTTAAATCTTCACCTTCATACTTTTTTATTTTGTTTTATTTTGAATGATCAGCCATCATGGCCCTCTTTTTGTCCCCCAGCTTGAAATGTATGAAGGTTTTTCATCTTCCTGGGAGTGGGTGGAGGTGTGGAGGCAGTCGATACTGGTACTGACTTGAGACCACTTCAATAAAAGTGCACACCTTAAAAAAAGTCATCAGTAAGTAAAATTTGGAAAATATAATCTATAATGAGGAGAAAAATCAACTGAAACTGAACTAAAAATTATACAAATAATAGAATTAGTAAACAAAGATATTATGTTCAAGAAGCTTAAGAAATTTAATTGTGAATAGAAACATGGGAGATGGTTTTTAAAACTCAAGTCAAATCAAACTTCTAGAAATAAAAAAATACAATGTCTGAGACAAAAAATACAATGCATGGGATTAAAAGCAGAATAGATATGACAAAAGAAAAGATTAGTGAAACTGAATACATGTTAATAGAAATTATTCAACATTTTCATATGTTATAGAAAAGACAGATCAGTAGTTTGCACCTGATTTAACCAATTATGCAGTTTGCTTTTAGCTACATAACCAGTGGCTTATCAAAGACCTCTTGGTAAATTTGACTCCCTGAGACCAAAGTAACTTGCTCTATCTTGGTGATTCAAAATCTGAAGCTTAAACACATCTTGTCCAAAAAAAGATCTGTGATGTTTCCTAAAAAATTAAATATAGAATTACCAAGTAATCCAGCAATTCCACTTATAAGCATATACCAAAAACAAAAATTGAAAGCGGGGCCTTGAAAAGATATTTTTATGCTTGTGTTCATAGCAGCATTATTCACAATAACTAAAGAAGAAACACATGTTCATCAACAGATGAATGAATAAGCAAAATATAATATAGACATATGCAGTATTACGCAGCCTTAAAAAGCAATGAAATTCTGATATATGCTACAATAAGGATGAATCTTGAGGACATTACATTAAATGAAATAGGCCAGTCACAAAAAGACAAATACTGTGTAATTACTTATAGTGAAAATCATAGAGACAGAAGATAGAATGATAGTTGCCAGGGGCTGGAGGGTGTCAGGAATGAGGAGTTATTGTTTAATGAATATATAGTTTCAGTCTTGCAAGATGAAATGAGTTATGAAGATAGATGAACATAATAATTATAAAATGTTATGAATGTATTTAATACCACTAATCTGTACACTTCAATTGTTAAAATAATAACATTTTATATCATGTGTATTTTAACACAACTTTTAAAAATAGAAATGAAATTAAACTTAGGCAATCACCACCTCTTACACATCTTTTATAAATATATATATATATATAAATATATATATATATATACTTTAAGTTCTAGAGTACATGTGCACAACGTGCAGGTTTGTTACATAGGTATACATGTGCCATGTTGGTTTGCTGCACCCATCAACTCGTCATTTACATTAGGTATTTCTCCTAATGCTATCCCTCCCACTGCCCTCCACCCCACGACAAGCCCCCATATATGATGTTCCCCACCCTGTGTCCAACTGTTCTCATTGTTCAGTTCCCAACTGTGAGTAAGAACATGCAGTGTTTGGTTTTCTGTCCTTGTGATAGTTTGCTGAGAATGATGGTTTCCAGCTTCATCCATGTCCCTGCAAAGGACAAGAACTCATCATTTTTTATGGTTGCATAGTCTTCCATGGTGTATATGTGCCACATTTCCTTAATCCAGTCTATCACTGATGGACATTTGGGTTGGTTCCAAGTCTTTTCTATTGTGAATAGTGCCACAATAAACATACGTGCTCATGTGTCTTTATAGTAGAATGACTTATAATCCTTTGGGTATATACCCAGTAATGGGATGGCTGGGTCAAATGGTATTTCTAGTTCTACATCCTTGAGGAATTGCCACACTGACTTCCACAATGGTTGAACTAATTTACACCCCCACCAACAGTGTAAAAGCATTGCTATTTCTCCACATCCTCTCTAGCATCTGTTGTTTCCTGAATTTTTAATGATCACCATTCTAACTGGTGTGAGATGGTATCTCATTGTGGTTTTGATTTGCATTTCTCTGATGGCCGGTGATAACGAGCATTTTTTCATGTGTGTGTTGGCTGCATAAATGTCTTCTTTTGAGAAGTGTCTGTTCATATCCCTTGCCTACTTTTTCATGGGGTTGTTTTTTTCTTGTAAATTTGTTTAAGTTCTTTGTAGATTCTGGATATTAGCCCTTTCTTCACATGGGTAGATTGCAAAATTTTTCTCCCATTCTGTAGGTTGCCTGTTCACTGTGATGGTAGTTTCTTTCACTGTGCAGCAGCTCTTTAGTTTAGTTAGATCCCATTTGTCAATTTTGGCTTTTGTCACCATTGCTTTTGGCGTTTTAGTCATGAAGTCCTTGCCCATGCCTATGTCCTGAATGTTATTGCCTAGGTTTTCTTCTAGGGTTTTTATGGTTTTAGGTTTAACATTTACATCTTTAATCCATCTTAAATTAATTTTTGTATAAGATGTAAGGAAGGGATCCAGTTTCAGCTTTCTACATATTGCTAGCCAGTTTTCCCAGCACCATTTATTAAATAGGGAATCCTTTCCCCATTTCTGGTTTTTGTCAGGTTTGTCAAAGATCAGATGGTTGTAGATGTGTGGTGTTATTTCTGAGGCCTCTGTTCTGTTCCATTTGTCTATATCTCTGTTTTGGTACCAGTACCATGGTGTTTTGGTTACTGTAGCCTTGTAGTATAGTTTGAAGTCAGGTAGCGTGATGTCTCCAGCTTTGCTCTTTTTGCTTAGGATTATCTTGGCAATGTGGGCTCTTTTTGGGTTCCATATGAACTTTAAAGTAGTTTTTTCCAATTCTGTGAAGAAAGTCATTGGTAGCTTGATGGGGATGGCACTGAATCTATAAATTACCTTGGGCAGTATGGCCATTTTCACGATATTGATTCTTCCTATCCATGAGCATGGAATGCCATTCCATTTGCTTGTGTCCTCTTTTATTTTGTTGAGCAGTGATTTGTAGTTCTCCTTGAAGAGGTCCTTCACATCCCTTGTAAGTTGGATTCCTAGGTATTTTATTCTCTTTGAAGCAATTGTGAATGGGGGCTCACTCATGATTTGACTCTCTGTCTGTTATTGGTGTATAGGAATGCTTGTGATTTTTGCACATTGATTTTGTATCCTAACAGTTTGCCGAGGTTGCTTATCAGCTTAAGGAGAGTTTGGGCTGAGACATTGGGGTTTTCTAAATGTACAATCATGTCACCTGCAAACAGGGACAATTTGACTTCCTCTTTTCCTAATTGAATACTTTTTATTTCTTTCTCTTGCCTAATTGCCCTGGCCAGAAGTTCCAACACTATGTTGAATAGGAGTGGTGAGAGAGGGCATCCCTGTCTTTTGCCAGTTTTCAAAGGGAATGCTTCCAGTTTTTGTCCATTCAGTATGATATTGGCTGTGGGTTTGTCATAAATAGTTTCTCATTATTTTGAGATACATTCATCAATACCTAGTTTATTAAGAGTTTTTAGCATGAAGGGCTGTTGAATCTTGTCAAAGGCCTTTTCTGCATCTATTGAGATAATCATGTGATTTTTGTCATTGGTTCTGTTTATGTGATGGATTAGGTTTATTGATTTGCATATGTTGAACCAGCCTTGCATCCCAGGGATAAAGCCGACTTGATTGTGGTGGATAAGCTTTTTGATGTGCTGTTGCACTCAGTTTGCCAGTATTTTATTGAGGATTTTGGCATCGATGTTCATCAGGGATATTGGTCTAAAATTCTCTTTTTTTGTTGTGTCTCTGCCAGGCTTTGGTATCAGCATGATGCTGGCCTCATAAAATGAGTTAGGGAGGATTCCTTCTTTTTCTATTGATTGGAATAGTTTCAGAAGGAATGGAACCAGCTACTCTTTGTACCTCTGGTAGATTTCGGCTGTGAATCTTTCTGTTCCTGGACTTTTTTTGGTTGGTAGGCTCTTAATTATTGCCTCGATTTCAGAGCCTGTTATTGGTCTATTCAGATATTCAACTTCTTCGTGGTTTAGTCTTGGGAGGGTGTATGTGTCCAGGAATTCATCCATTTCTTCTAGATTTTCTAGTTATTTGCATAGAAGTGTCTATAGTATTCTCTGATGGTAGTTTGTATTTTTGTGGGATCGGTGGTGATATCCCCTTTATCTTTTTTTATTGCGTCTATTTGATTCTTCTCTCTTTTCTTCTTTATTAGTCTTGGTAGTGGTCTATCAATTTGTTGATCTTTTCAAAAAACCAGCTCCTGGCTTCACTGATTTTTTTGAAGGATTTTTTGTGTCTCTATCTCCGTCGGTTCTGCTCTGATCTTAGTTATTTCTTGCCTTCTGCTAGCTTTTGAATGTGTTTGCTCTTGCTTCTCTAGGTCTTTCAATTGTGATGTTAGGGTGTCTATTTTAGATCTTTCCTGCTTTCTCTTGTAGGCATTTAGTGCTATAAGTTTCCGTCTTCACACTGCTTTAAATGTGTCCCAGAGATTCTGGTATGTTGTGTCTTTGTTCTCATTGGTTTCAAAGAACATCTTTATTTCTGCCTTCATTTCATTATGTACCCAGTAGTCATTCAGGAGCAGGTTATTCAGTTTCCATGTAGTTGTGTGATTTTGAATGAGTTTATTAATCCTGATTTCTAATTTGATTGCACTGTGGTCTGAGAGACGGTTTGTTGTGATTTCTTTTCTTTTGCATTTGCAGAGGAGTGCTTTACTTCCTACTATGTGGTCAATGTTGGAATAAGTGCGATATGGTGCTGAGAAGAATGTATATTCTGTTGATTTGGGGTGGAGAGTTCTGTAGATGTCTATTAGGTCCTCTTGGTGCAGAGCTGAGTTCAAGTCCTGGATATCCTTGTTAACCTTCTGTTTCACTGATCTGTCTAATATTGCCAAATTATAAAGACCATCAATGCTAGGAAGAAACTGCATCAACTAATGGGCAAAATAACCAGCTAATATCATAATGACAGGATCAAATTCACACATGACAATATTAACCTTAAATGTAAATGGGCTAAATGCCCCAATTAAAAGACACAGACTGGCAAATTGTATAAAGAGTCAAGATCCATCAGTTTGCTGTATTCAGGAGACCCATCTCACATGCAGAGACACACATAGGCTCAAAATAAAGGGATGGAGGAAGATCTACCAAGCAAATGGAAAGCAAAAAAAAAAGCAGGGGTTGCAGTCCTAGTCTCTGATAAAACAGACTTGAAACCAACAAAGATCAAAAGAGACAAAGAAGGCCATTACATAATGGTAAAGGGATCAATTCTACGAGAAGAGCTAACTGTCCTAAATATATATGCACCCAATGCAGGAGGACCCAGATTCATAAAGCAAGTCTTTAGAGACCTACAAAGAGACTTAGACTCCCACGTGATAATAATGGGAGACTTTAACACCTCTTGTACATCTCATAGTTTAGTTGTGGCACAAATAAGTGATAGGAAGATTGCTTCACTAGTAAGCAGACTCAAGAAAAAAAGGAGAAAGTTTTAGACCTCTCTGATGTTTGTCTGTACTATCTTTCTGCTGCTATGCCATATTTTTAATCTTTATTAAAGCCTTACATGAATATATTCTTTATAGTTTTGTCCTCAATTATATGACAATGTAATTGCAGAAAAATGCACTGGTATTTTAGGAAGACATAGAGTGTGGTCCATAAGTGAGGTGAAGGAACAATAGAAAGGAATTGGATTTCTGTGGGGGTTTTTTTGTTTTTTGTTGTTGTTGTTGTTGTTTGGTGTGGGCATAGAATGAAATTTAAGAGGCAATATAGTGAGGTGGATAGGAATATGGAGCCTAAGGTCATACTTCCTCTGATCATTTTCTAGCTGTGTGACCTTGAGCAAGTTGATTGACCTTTGTGTACCATAATTTCTTTATCAGTATCTTGGAAACCTAGCAAATAGTAAACATCATGTGAATGTGTAATGTGTAATTTGATTTTATTTCTATTCACACTTTCATTGAAGTCTGAGGAAAATCCCTATTTCATTAATTTAATGCATTTATAATGTTATTCCTAAGTTTTGGATAAGATACTTATTTCAAAAACAAAAAAGGAAATGAAAACAAGAACCCCATAACAAAAAAAAACTATATGTTACAGTGAAAAAAGTATTTTTTATCTACAATTTCTTGACCCACATATAGTTATTTTTTAGAAATAAACATCAATTTCTAAAAAGTAATTTTGTGAACAGATCCTACATTAAATCCCTCAATAAATTGAATATGTATTTTTTATCTTAAATAATGTAAAAGCAAATGTATTTAGAATAGAGTTATAAAAGATATTCCGGTAACAAAGAAAGAAAGAAAATTGAACAATTCACTGGGGAGAACAATGCTATACAGGGTGAAAAAAAATCTCTCCTTTTAAATCACTAAATGGACTTATTATCTGTTATATCTTAGATGACGGCAGAAGGAGAGAAGAGACATTAATTTATATCACTATATTAGCCTGGGTTTTTTTTTTTAATACGATTGTTATTTCTACCTGCTTCACTAGCCCAAGTGCTTTTCTACGCACATCAAGTTGTTAATAAACTTGCAGTAAATATAATACCATCTTTTAATTTCAGCCGTAAAGAGGTCAACAGATTTTGCATTTTAAAATATTCTGTCTTCAAATCGTACCTTGAAAGTGAAAAATGCTAATTATCTCTAATAAAAACATAATTTATTACAGAACTTATTTGGAATGAATGGTGGAATGACGTATTTTTGTCAAGAACTGTGAAGGGTTTGAAATTTTACTTTAATAAGTTAGTCTGTTACTATTTTATTGATACTGACAGAAAACACAAAACTCCTGTGTCGGAGACAAGAAACTTTTTTACTTATGTTACAGCAAGCAATGTGAATCCCCATGTGTCAAATAGTCAATAGGTTGTGCTTTTTTTTTTTTTTTAACAGTTCCAATGCCAGAGAAAGCACTATTACAATTCTCTAACACAGGAACAGAAAACCAAACACCACATGTTCTCACTCATAAGTGGGAGTTGAACAATGAGAACACATGGACATAGGGAGAGGAACATCACACACATGAGCCTGTCAGGGGGTAGGGAGATAAGGGAGAGATAGCTTTATGAGAAATATCTAAATGACAGGTTGATGGGTGCAGCAAACCACCAGGGCTCGTGTATACCTATGTAACAAACCTGCACATTCTGGACATGTATCCCAGAACCTAAAGTATAATTAAACATTTTTTTCAAAAAAGACAAAAGACAAAAAGTGTTGGCCAGGCTGTGGAGAAAAAGGAACACTTGCACACTGTTAGTGGGGATTTAAATTAGTACAGCTATTATGCAAAAATGTATGGAGTTTCTTCAAAACAGTAAAATTAGAACTACCATATGATCCAGCAATTCCACTACTGGATATACATCCAAATGAAATGAAATCAGTATGTCAAAGAAATATGCACAGTCTCATGTTTATTGCACTAATATTCACAATAGCCAAATATAGAATCAACCTAAGTGTTCATCAACAAATGAATATATAAAGAAAATGTGTGTATATACACACAATGGAATACTATTCAGCCATAAAAAAGAAAGAAATCTTGACATCTGTAGCAATAGGAATGAAGCTGGAGGACTTTAAATGAAAAACAAACAAACAAATAAAAACCCAGGCATAGAAAGACAGAGACAACATGTGCAAGGCTGGTTCAGTGTTTAAAAATCAACTAATGTAATCCATCATATCAATGGGTTAAAAAAATCAATTATAGTTGTACACACCTGTAGTTCCAGCCACTTGCGTGGGTGAAGCAGGAGTATTTCTTGAGCCCAAGAATTGAAGGCTGCAGTGAGCTATGATCACACCACTGCACTCTAGCCTGGGCAACAGAGTGAGATCCCAATTTTTTTTTAAATTATATAGTCATATCAATAAATCCAGAAAAAGCATTTGACAAAAGTCTAACACCCATTCACAATAAAAACTCTCAGTAAAAAATAGAGGGGAATTTCCTTAAGTTGATAAAGCATATCTACAAGAAAACCTACAGTTACTATTAAACTTAATGGTGAAAAAGTAGAAGCTTTCCCACTAATACCAGGAACAAGTCAAGGATGTTTCCTCTCATCCTGCCTTTTCAACATTATACTGGAAGTCCTAGCTAATATAATAAAACACTAAAAGGAAGGGTAAAGTATACAGATTGAGGCAAAATAAATAAAACCATCATTGTTTGCAGATAACAGAATGATCTATGTGGAAAATTCAAATGAATAAACAACAGCAAAGAATGCTATTGAAACTAATAAGTTATTACAGCAAATTTGCAGGATACAAGGTTGAAATAAAAAATCAATCACTTTTCTATATACCAGCAATTAACAAATGGAATTTGAAATAAAAAACACAATACCACTGTTATTAGCACCCAAGAATATGAAATACTTTGATATAAATCTAATAAAATGTGCCCAAGATCTATATGAATAAAACTCTGATAAAAGAAGTCAAAGAAGGACAAAATAAATTGAGAGATATTCCATGTCCCTGGATAGGAGGACTCAATATTGTCAAGATGTCAGTTCTTCCCAACTTGATATATGGATTTGATGCAATCTCAACCAAAATCTTTGCAGATTATTTTGTGGATATCAACAAACTGATTTGAGAGTTTATATGAAAAAGCAAAAGATCCAACATAACTAATATAATATTGAGGGAGAATAATAAAATCAGAGGACTCACAGTATTCTATTTCAAGATTTACTTTAAAGCTACAGTAATCAACACAGTGTGATATTGTTGAAATAATAGGCAAATAGATCAATGGAACAGAATAGAGAGCCCAAAAATAAACCTATAGAAATAAAGTCCACTGTAAATTAGTAAAGCCATTATGCAAAAATGTATGGAGGTTCCTCAAAAAATTAAAAATAAAACTACCATATGATCCAGCAATTCTGCTTTTGGATATATATTCAAAAAATGAAATCAATATGTCAAAGAGATGTCTGCACTCTCATGTTCATTGCAGCATTATTCACAATAGCCATGATATAGGATCAACCTGTGTTCATCAATGGATGAATGAATAAAGAAAATATGTTAGATATATACATGGAACCCTATATTCAATCTTATAAAAGAAGGAAATGCTGTCATTTCCAACAATGTGAATAAACCTGGAGGACAGTGTGCTAAGTGAAATAAGTCAGGGACAGGAAGGCAAATCCTGCATGACCTTACTTTATATTTGAAATCTGAAACACTGAAATTCATAGAATTTGAGAAGTAGAGAGTAGAATGGTGGTTACCAGGAGCTGGGGTTGAGGGGTGGAAGGGAAATTGAAAATACATTGGTCAAAGGATAGAAAATTTTAGTTAGAAGGAATAAGTTCAGGAGAATTATTATACAACATGACTACAGTTATAGTTAATAACAATGTATTGTATAATTGAAAATTGCTAAGAGAATAAATTTTAAATTTTCTCAACAAAAAATAAGTATGTGAGGTAATTCACATGTTAGTTGATTTAGTCATTCAACAATGTATACATATGTAAAAATGTTACATTGTATATCATAAATGTGTACAATTTTTGGTCAATTAAAAACATAAAAATTAGAAAGAAAGAAAGACAATGTCAAGAGAATGAGAAAACCAGCCATAGACTATGAGGAAATATTTGCAAAAGACACCTTTGTTAAAGAATTATTATCCAAAACATACAAAGAGCTCTAAAAACTCACCAATAAGAAAACAAACAACACAATTTAAAAATGGGCCAGGTCGGGCACGGTGGCTCATGCCTGTAATCCCAGCACTTTGGAAGGCCAAAGCAGGCGGATCACCTGAGGTCAGGGTTCGAGACCAGCCTGGCCAATATGGTGAAACCGCATCTCTACTAAAAATACAAAAATTAGCCAGATGTGGTGGCACGGGCCTGTAGTACCAGCTACTCAGGAGGCTGAGGCAGAAGAATCGTTTGAACCTGGGAGGCAGAGGTTGTAGTGAGCCAAGACCGCACCATTGCACTCCAGCCTGGACAACAGAGTAAGACTCCATCTCAAAAAAAAAAAAAAAAAAAAAAGCCAAAGACCTTAACTGATACCTCATCAAAGAAAATATATAGATTACAAGTAAGTGTATGAAAAGATGCTCCACATCATATATCATCAGGGAAAATTAAATTAAAACAACAGTAAGATACCACTACACACCTATTTGAATGGCCAAAACCCAGAACACTGCAAACACCAAATACTGATAAAGTTGTGAAGCAGAAGGAACTCTTTTTCACTGCTGGTGGAGATGCAAAATGGTACAGCCACTTGGAAAAACAGTTTGGCACTTTTTCATAAAACTAAACATACTCCTACCAGGTGATCTATCAGTCATACTACTTGGTATTTACCAAAAGGAGTTGAAAACATATCAATACAAAAACCTGAAAATTGATGTTTATAGCAGCTCTATTCATAATTGCCAAAATTTGGAAGCAACCAAATTGTTCTTCAGTAGGTGAATGGATAAATTGTGTAACATCCAGACAATGGACTGTTATTCAGCACTAAAAAGAAATGAGCTATCAAGCCATGAAAAGACATGGAGGAATATTAAACACATATTACTCATGAAAGAAGCTATCTTCACAACAAAATTGACAGTGCACTAGCAAAACTAATAAAGAAGAAAAGAAGAATCAAATAGACGCAATAAAAAAAGATAAAGAGGATAGCACCACCGATCCCACAGAAATACAAACTACCATCAGAGAATACTATGAATGCCTCTACACAAATAAACTAGAATATCTAGAAGAAATGAATAAATTCCTGGACACATACACCCTCCCAAGACTAAACCACGAAGAAGTTGAATGTCTGAATAGACCAATAACAGGCTCTGAAATTGAGGCAATAATTAATAGCCTACCAGCCAAAAAAAGTCCAGGACCAGACAGATTCACAGCTGAAATCTACCAGAGGTACAAAGAGTAGCTGGTTCCATTCCTTCTGAAACTATTCCAATCAATAGAAAAAGAAGGAATCCTCCCTAACTCATTTTATGAGGCCAGCATCATCCTGATACCAAAGCCTGGCAGAGACACAACAAAAAAAGAGAATTTTAGACCAATATCCCTGATGAACATCAATGTGAAAATCCTCAATAAAATACTGACAAATTGAATCCAGCAGCACATCAAAAAGCTTATCCACCACAATCAAGTCGGCTTCATCCCTGGGATGCAAGGCTGGTTCAACATATGCAAATCAGTAAACGTAATCCATCACATAAACAGAACCAATGACAAAAACCATGTGATTATCTCAATAGATGCAGAAAAGGCCTTTGACAAGATTCAACAGTCATTAATGCTAAAAACTCTCAATAAACTAGGTATTGATAGAACATATCTCAAAATAATAAGAGCTATTTATGACAAACCCACAGCCAATATCATACTACATGGCTGGAAACTGGAAGCATTCCCTTTGAAAACTGGCACAAGACAGGGATGTCGTCACTCACACCACTCCTATTCAACATAGTGTTGGAAGTTCTGGCCAGGGCAATTAGGCAAGAGAAAGAAATAAAGGGTATTCAATTAGGAAAAAAGGAAGTCAAATTGTCTCTGTTTGCAGATGACATGATTGTAAATTTAGAAAACCCCATTGTTTCAGCCCAAAATCTCCTTAAGCTGATAAGCAACTTCAGCAAAGTCTCAGGATACAAAATCAATATGCAAAAATCACAAGCATTCCTATACACCAATAACAGACAGAGAGTCAAATCATGAGTGAGCCCCCATTCACAATTGCTTCAAAGAGAATAAAATACCTAGGAATCCAACTTACAAGGGATGTGAAGGACCTCTTCAAGGAGAACTACAAATCACTGCTCAACAAAATAAAAGAGGACACAAGCAAATGGAAGGGCATTCCATGCTCATGGATAGGTGGGAATTGAACAATGAGAACACATGGACACAGGAAAGGGATAATCACACTCCGGGGACTGTTGTTGGGTGGGGGGAGGGGGGAGGGAGAGCATTAGGAGATATACCTAATGCTAAATGATGAGTTAATGGGTGCAGCACACCAACGTGGCACACATATACATATGTAACAAACCTGCATATTGTGCACATGTACCCTAAAACTTAAAGTATAATAATAATAAAATTAAAAAAAGAAAAAAAAACATTCGTGACATAGGCATGGGCAAGGACTTCATGTCTAAAACACCAAAAGCAATGGCAACAAAAGCCAAAATTGACAAATGGGATCGCATTAAACTAAACAGCTTCTGCACAGCAAAAGAAACTACCATCAGAGTGAACAGGCAACCTACAGAATGGGAGAAAAATTTTTGCAATCTACCCATCTGAGAAAGGGCTAATATCCAGAATCTACAAAGAACTTAAACAAATTTACAAGAAAAAGCAAACAACCCCGTCAAAAAGTAGGCAAAGGATATGAACAGACACTTCTCAAAAGAAGACATTTATGCAGCCAACACACACATGAAAAAATGCTCATCATCACTGGTCATCAGAGAAATGCAAATCAAAATGACAATGAGATGTCATCTCACACCAGTTAGAATGGCGATCATTAAAAAGCCAGGAAACAACAGATGCTGGGGAGGATGTGCAGAAATAGCAATGCTTTTACACTGTTGGTGGGGGTGTAAATTAGTTCAACCATTGTGAAAGACAGTGTGGCGATTCCTCAAGGATCTAGTACTAGAAATACATTTGACGCAGCCATCTCATTACTGGGTATATACCCAAAGGATTATAAGTCATTCTACTATAAAGACACATGAACATGTATGTTTATTGTGGCACTATTCACAATAGAAAAGACTTGGAACCAACCCAAATGTCCATCAATGATAGACTGGATTAAGAAAATGTGGCACATATACACCATGGAAGACTATGCAGCCATAAAAAATGATGAGTTCTTGTCCTTTGCAGGGACATGGATGAAGCTGGAAACCATCATTCTCAGCAAACTATCACAAGGACAGAAAACCAAACACCGCATATTCTTACTCATAGGTGAGAATTGAACAATGAGAACAGTTGGACACAGGATGGGGAACATCACACACTGGGGCCTGTCGGGGACTGGGGGTATGAGGGAGGGATAGCATTAAGATAAATACCTAATGTAAATGATGAGTTGATGGGTGCAGCAAACCAACATGGCACATGCATACCTATGTAACAAACCTGCACGTTGTGCACATGTACCCTAGAACTTTAATTAAAAAAAAAAAGAAAGACGCTATCTGAAAAGGCAACACACTGTATGATTCCCACTGTACAACATTCCAAAAAAGGAAAAACTATGAAATGAAAAGATCAGTAGTTGTCAGGTGTTGGTGAGAAGTAGTGGAAGGAGGAGAAGGATGAATAGGTTGAGCAGAGGATTTTTAGGGCAGTGAAATTATTCTCTATGATACTATAATGATGAATACAGGTTATTATACGTTTGTCCAAACCCATAGAAAGTACAACCCCTACAGAGAACCTCAAAGTAAGCTATACACCTTGCATGATTATTATGTGTCAATATAGATTTCTCAGTCACAACAAATGTACTATTCCGGTGAAGGATGTTGATAATGGGACAGGCTATGTATGTGTAGGACTAAGGGGAGAAATTCCTATTCTTACCTCTCAATTTTTCTGTGTACCTAAAACTGCTTTTAAAATATCTTATAAAAATCTATTATTCTTGCTTATTCCAACTATGCACAACTGGAATTTGAAATTAAAAGCAAAATCTCATTTACATGAGCATCAAAAAATAAAATCAGTGGGATCTAACAAAATGTTTGTAAAGTCTATATGTGAAAAATTACAAAACTCTGATGAAAGAAATCAAATAAGATTTAAATAAATTGAGAGATATTCCATGTTCATGAATTGAAAGACTCCACTTTAGGATGTTAATTTTTCCTAATTTGATCTATAAATTCAACACAATTCCAATCAATATCCCAGGAAAGTAGTTAGTAAAGATTGGCAAACTGATACTAAAATTTATATGGAAAAACAAATAAAAAGCAGAATAGCCAACATAATACTAAGGAAGAAGTACAAAGTTGGAAGCCTGACATTATCCAACTTCAGAACTTACTATAAAACTACGCTGATCAAGATTTTATGAAACTACTGAATGGTGAATGGAATAGAATGGAATCCCAGAAACAGAACCACACATATATTGCAATGGTGCAAAGGTAATTTAATGGATCAACAATAGTCTTTGCAACAAACGGTGCTGGAAAAATTGTACATTCATATGAAAAAAAGAGAATCTAGACATGGACCCTACAACTTTCGTTAAAACGAACTCAAAATGGATCATAGACCTAAAAGTAAGATGTAAAATTAAGTGTAAGATTAGAGCAGCTGACATCTAAGATTTCTCTGGAAATCAATCCCATGGTACATGCTGGAGGAACCCTGGGAACTTTAATGTGGGAAGTCCTCCACTGGCAACTCAATCGGCCCTGAGCCCTTCCAAATCCAATTGTGGGCCAGTCATATCCCAGATGCTTTTCATAGTCTGTGGCTAAGCAGAAGAGCAGAATGATTCTAGGCAGAGGTAGGATTGGGCAGGCCATGGTCATTATTCAGGGACAGTTGAGCACTTCCCATCATTTCTCCTCTTTCGCTGACCTAGATAAAGTTTCTCTCAAACAGTGGTGTATGTGTATTTTATGCATACTCTCTATGGTACAACCATCATTGCATTGTCCCACGGAGGAATACGGTCACTGCATGACCTCACTAGGACATATAATTCAGCAATGTAACCTCACTGCTCATAACTCTTTTATCAATATAAATTAGTTTCTTATTTGATATTCCTCTTATCTTATCAGAGAAGGGGCCACCAATGGCATTCAAGGCAAGAAGGAGAAAAATGTAACTGCGTATCTCACTCAAGTGCCACTGATTCTGCTCTGGGACTTACCCTGTATTGCCCTTTTGGATTTGTCACAATAATAAGCCCATTTTTTTCTTGCCCCTATAGGTGCCAGTCCCTCAAAATATGGTCACTGCAACCTCTAGGGGACAGGGAAATCAGGGTCTGTTCTCAGGTAGGGATATGAATAATCCAGTCTCTCACTTAGCCTCTTCTGCTCTTTGCCCCTTAAATCTAATGAGTATCTAAATCCTATTATTGCCTTCTGAACAAAGGTTTTTCAAATCCAGTAGTTAATTTTTTCAGAAATTCTCCTTATAAGTCAGACAGTTATACCTCTGTAAGAAGAGTCTCTTAAAATATCATTTTTATCATTTTCTACTCTGCACATTTTCTACCCTGTGCAAATATTTTCATTTACTCTAGAGGGCTAGAATCAGTGTTCAAACTGTTTAACCTTGTATTCATGGTTTACTGCTGTAACTTTATTAGCTTACTGCCTACAGACCTTTATATGAATTCTCTAATCTGGACAAATATCAATCATCAAAAGCACCATAGACTTCAGAAATCACCCAGCCTTCCTTGAGCTCACAAGTCCCAAGTTGGCCTCTCTCCCCAACTACTATCATTGAATTATTATCTACATAAATCACAAAGCTGAGAAACATATGAGCCTTGTGATTTATCTAATTTGAAAATAAATAGAGGCAAGACCTCAAGTAGCAGTAGAATCTGCACACACTATCTCCAAGAAGAAATGGACTATAAACAAAGGTTAGAACTCAGAATGACTTTTTGAAAATCTCAATTTCTTGTCAATTTTCTAGTACATTGCCTTATATTAGTAAACTTTTTCCAAGCAATGATGAGTGGAAAGACTCCAAATCATATTTAGGGTCTTTATAAACACTATTATAAAGCTTAGACCAAATGTCACTAAGTCTCTGTGCCTTTCCCTGATGCTTTCCCATCAGCAAAAATCACGGGCTCTCTCATCCATGTCCCCTCAGAGCACCTTCCCACACTCCTATTTAAGTTTACATCCCCCAGTTTCCTTTCCGTGTGTTCATAATAATCTGTGTATTCCTCATGGCAGTAAAATCCATTTTTTAGCCTCTTTTTGGTTCTTTGGAAAGGTGATTATCTTAGAAAAAATTATCGCTTCTTCCAGTATTCTCCAACCTCCAATAAAGGAAGAGAGTCTGGCTCTGCCATCTGTTGCTTGTATTATATGGCTGTAATAATGTGTGGAACATAGAAAGGAAATTAAGGAATTCATAGGTATAATATGCCTAGTTTCAAAGTAAAAGACGTGAATGTATTTTAAATGGAAGGAGAAACTAATGATGAAACACAATCCATTATTAACAAAAAGGTTTAGGAAGGGAGGCATTCCACCAAAGTATGTGTAAAAGTTCCTCTGACTTCTGTAGCAGACTTCTGAGGCTCCCTTTCTCCCAGACAATATTACAGAAGAGCCGAAAAGTAGGGCAGAGAGATAGGTCTGGCACAACTGCATAAAAGCTCCTGAGGCCAATCAGAGAACTACCCAAGGTCATTTATTCACATGAAATTACGTGAGGGTTTATTTTCTCTGTTTTATTTTTTCTGAAAATTGAGAAAAACACTTTGGGCAATCTTTCTTAGCATTAGGAATTAAATTTGAGAATTAACTTTACATGAACCCAAACATATATGGTATCCCATCTTAAATACAACAAATCTTTATTGATGGTCATCTGAGACTCTTCCTTTCTATCCTATCCCCTTCCTCCACTTACCTAACCCTGAACATTAGCCCACTGGGTTCTCACCACTGCTTTTATATATATTTCCTTCATAGCTCATATCACATTTTGTTTTAATTATTTGTATATACTTGTGTTTTCTATACTGCATTATGAAAATAATTAAATGTTCAAAACTTCAGAATAAATCTGATTTAACACATAGAAGACATACAAGGCTATTTGTTCTCTCATTTATGTATATTTCATTGATTCATTCACCTAATTTGTCAGATGTCATTAGTATCAAAAATTCCCAGATTAAAGGCCAGGTACCCATCATTTTTCAGTTCCACAAGTCATTTTCTTATGTGTGTTTCTCCCTGATAGAGACAACATGCATTTTGTAGTTCTAATTGAGCTGGTAAGATTTTCATTTCTCTCCCCTCTCCCACCTCATTCTAGACTCAGGAGAGATTTACAGATCTTATAGGTAAAATACATATTGCCTTTTTCTTTTTTGTATTAGCTTCATTGGAACCTGTCAAATAATTTAAGAAGAAGACTTAAAAACTCCTAGATCTTTTGATTAGGCAATTGTAGAAGACATTTAACATATTATTAATCATTTTATCAAATAGCATGTTATAAACAGTCATAAACTAGAAGGAGCAGGATGTTATATTCTGCTGAGAATACTATTTTTTGATAACAGGTAAACACCCACTACATTATTAGGGCTACAATCTAAACACAGTTATCTGCTACACTCAGATCCTTGATTTAATGGTAGAACTATCATCCCACAAACAGCATTACTCTCTAAGCTGCAATATTTAATTTTCCATATTCAGATCCCACAACAGATTAGTTGTGTTTACACTATAAAGTAATGAAATGGATGTTTTAGCAAGCATATCCCAATATATGCATTCAAATATGTGTCGCCACTGAAAATAAGTCATCTTGAGATATTTGTATTTCAAGAATGTTTGTTTTACCACAAACACTTATTATGGAAATAATAGAGGTAAGTTTAAGTTAGGGTGATAAAAAAAGGAAGAAGTAATTAATTTTATTTAGATTTTTGAGAAAAATTTCAGAGAAAGGCTGGCATTCATGTATGGCCTTAAAAGATAAATTAATGTTTTTCCCTGAGGCCCATGCAAAAGAGAATTATGAAAAGAAGAAGGAGCCAGCCAAGATAATTATCAGTGGTTTAGTGTGACTCTGTGAGAAGAAGGGTGAAAAGCTGAAGGAGATAAAAGAGATAGGGTTCAACAGGTAAGCAAAAAAAAGGGGGTTCCATGGTGTAATGGTTAGCATTCTGGACTCTGAATCCAATAGGTAAGCAAAGGCAAACTCACTGAAGGCATCATATGTAATGCAAAGAACACATAAAAGACTGGCACAATGGGATTTGCATTCAAAACAATTATTCTGGTTATAATCTGGAGGACAGATTACAGAAGTCTGAGGCTGGAGGAAAGACCAGTTCAGAGACAAGTGAGAGCTGAATTATTACAGTCAAAGCAAGGATTGATTTGATAATTATTTAGAAGATAGAATTAATGAGAGTTGGTGACATGGCACATAAAGACTCCTACAGAGTTGGAGGGGTGTAGGATGACTTGAGTTTCTGGCTTGTGTGATTGGATGGGTAGTGATGCTATTAGCTAGATAAAGGAATATAGAAATGGGTCATATGTGGGGAAAGAGTACACAGATTTGAAGATGTTCAGCTCTACGTGAGTGTGAAATTTTTCAACTGAATCTGATTGCAAGAGACTTATCAATCCTAGTTATATAAATATATAAATAATGAGGATATGAGTGGTAAAGGAAACCATGAAATAGACAAATCCACCCAGAATACATATAAAGATAAGAAGGGAAAGCCAAGAAGGGATTGGAAGAGAAGGACAGTATTGCAAAGCAGACAAAGAAGTCGGGGGTAGGAGGAGATTCAGCAGCATTGCGTCTTAAAAGCCAAGGGGAAAAATTTCAAGAAAAAAAGAAGTGGCAGGGAAAAGGAAAAATTACTAAGCAATATGTTATGTGTTTTATTCTATGCTATTTTATCTAATTTTCAAAACAAGCCTGTAAAGTAAGCATTTCCCATGCAACAGGTGGATAAAGTAGGACAACTTGCTCAAGATCAACAGTCAGCAATTTGTGGAATCAGGTTTGGACTGAGGTCCACCTGTCTCCAGGACACACGAATGCTATATAAAAGGAAAGAGAGGCAGAAGTACACTGTATGTGATAATTAGGGTATCATCAGTAGAGTGACCAGATAACAGTGGAAGTGAGGAAGTAGGTTTGGTGAACACTGACTTCATCGTCAAAAAGCTTGGTTTATGGGTTTTAGTGAAAGAAGATCCTAGAGCTAAGGGACTTTATTTTTCCAAAACAAGAGGAACTTTGTCATATTGATGAGAAAGAACCAATAGAAAGAAAGAAGTTACAGTTGCAGAATAAAGATAAGTGCACATGGTCTTTAAGGAGATGGGATGAATTGGGGTTTAGGACACAAGGTCAAAGATTAGCCTTGAAACTGTACCTTCCTATGATCCTTAGCTTCAAGGGAAGTCACTAGAGCTATAATTCCAAATTGTGTTCTTCTCTAAGTGGGTTAGAGACATTCCACTAAAAAGGTGGAAGGGCTCATGGCCAAATGTTTTTTGGGAAATGCTGGCTAAAGATCCTTAGATCCTTTACTAAAGAACTTTACAGAGCCATTAACATATTAATGTGCATCACGAATATCCACAATAAGAAAACATAGTATTTCCCAAATATATTTAATCTCAGGAACTATTTATTTCCTTATGGAATTCACTGGTCTATAGGAAACAGTTTGAGAAATGTTACACCACAGTATTTGCATTCTAATTCTTCAGTGAAGAACTTTGCTATGGCAAAGTGACTCCTACCTCCCCCCACAAAAAAACACATTTTTCTTGCACTAATTTTCAAATAAAAACTTTCCTCTGAGGGCTGAAGGAATCCAATATAGTATATTAAATTAATATTTGGATTAGTTCCTTCTTATTCTTCCTCTGAGAAGCAGACACCCAAGACAAGTTTAGACATACCAGGGATATATCAAGGGAAATGCCTGCGAGGAAAAAAAAAAAGGTGGGGGAGGGGAGGAGGGTGAACTCATGAGACTGTGATACAGCTCTGACCCTTATGATGCAGAGAGAGGAAGAGAAGGCTGGTATGAAGAGTCTCAAACTACAGATCAAACACAGTTTTGACCAGACCAATAAGGACTCCTGGAGCTAAAGTCACCCATTAGAGGGGTCCCACAGGAAGGATCTGTCTTAATATCCCTGCCAACTCAGTCACAGGTAGAGAATGTCCTGTGGGAAGCGTGGCCTCCATACAAATGCAGTGGTAGAGTCATAGATTTGTGGTATGTTTTCATGAATGTCACAGTCTACCCTAAACTGCACCTCTTCCATGATTCCCATGACTCTCTTCTGGGAAGGAATATTTTGAAAGGGAATTTAGTGGGACAAACTACAGCCACCATTGCTGTAGCTGATCTCAGGGTCACAACCAGTATTCACCCCTTCCCTCCTCCAACAGTCATTCTAAATTCCCTTCATTCACAGTTACTACTCTGGCAGGTTGTAGTGACTTTCTTGATGGTATAACCCAAACCCATATCCCAAAAGAGTCTGAATCCTTGGTAATCACATCTTTTTTGGTCCAAAGTTGTTGCATGTGTTTGTTTACACTTATGAAGGAGTGAAGATGTACCAGGAGGAATCAATGTCAATCACCTGACTTCCACATGTATTCCTCTGTATGCAAAAGCATGCTATGTCTTCCTGCTGATCAGCATCAATTACCTCTTCCAAAATGGTTACTTTTCCTCTTGTCTTTTGGTTCCTGGACACCAGGTATCTAAAGTCCCCTGGCAGCAGCCATAGCTTAATGTTCAATTAAGCCTTTCATGTGTCTGCTGGCAAGAGTGAGCCTCTTTGGGGAAACAGGCCTTCCAACCCTGCAGTGTGAAGACGTGTGGACAGCAAGCACACATTCCCTAGTCATCACCAAGAGTGATTGTAAGTGGGTCGCTCCTGCTCGTATCCTTTTTCTCCTGGACACGTACACCCTTTCTTTGTGAACAGAGCATCATGTAGAGGTCTCTGATGGCTTCCCATCTTTCCAAATTGTTCCTCTGAGCAGGCACTACAACTTTGCCTTTTGAAGGCCACGCCAGCATTCTAAGAGGCCATCAGCTTTTGAATGTTGTATCCATGGTACAATCTAAGGTTTTGGTGACAGAAAAAAAGCCACAATAACAACAAAAATTCAATGTATGTATATGCCTATAGATATATTTTATTTTATGATCATGGAGAAAAATACAAAAGGATACATATTGTTAATGTCAGTTGTTTTGGAAGGGGATGAACTGTGGACAGGCAGGGCATGAAGGAAAGGGTAATAAAGAAACCACCAAAGGGTAGGGGGAATACTGCCCTAAAAAAACAAACAGTATATATAATGTAATCAACTTTTAAAATGTTTTTTTATTTTTAATTTTATTATTATTATACTTTAAGTTTTAGGGTACATGTGCACAATGTGCAGGTTAGTTACATATGTATACATGTGCCATGCTGGTGTGCTGCACCCATTAACTTGTCATTTAGCATTAGGTATATCTCCCAAAGCTATCCCTCCCCTCTCCCCCCACCCCACAACAGTCCCCAGAGTGTGATGTTCCCCTTCTTGTGTCCACGTGTTCTCATTGTTCAATTCCCACCTATGAGTGAGAATATGCGGTGTTTGGTTTTTTGTTCTTGCGATAGTTTACTGAGAATGATGATTTCCAATTTCATCCATGTCCCTACAAAGGACATGAACTCATCCTTTTTTATGGCTGCATAGTATTCCATGGTGTATATGTGCCACATTTTCTTAATCCAGCCTATCATTGTTGGACATTTGGGTTGGTTCCAAGTCTTTGCTATTGTGAATAGTGCCGCAATAAACATACGTGTGCATGTGTCTTTATAGCAGCATGATTTATAGTCCTTTGGGTATATACCCAGTAATGGGATGGCTGGGTCAAATGGTATTTCTCGTTCTAGATCCCTGAGGAATCGCCACACTGACTTCCACAATGGTTGAACTAGTTGACAGTCCCACCAACAGTGTAAAAGTGTTCCTATTTCTCCACATCCTCTCCAGCACCTGTTGTTTCCTGACTTTTTAATGATTGCCATTCTAACTGGTGTGAGATGGTATCTCATTGTGGTTTTGCTTTGCATTTCTCTGATGGCCAGTGATGGTGAGCATTTTTTCATGTGTTTTTTGGCTGCATAAATATCTTCTTTTGAGAAGTGTCTGTTCATGTCCTTTGCCTACTTTTTGATGGGGTTGTTTGTTTTTTTCTTGTAAATTTGTTTGAGTTCATTGTAGATTCTGGATATTAGCCCTTTGTCAGATGAGTAGGTTGAGAACGCTTGTAGGTTGCCTGTTCACTCTGATGGTAGTTTCTTTTGCTGTGCAGAAGCTCCATAGTTTAATTAGATCCCATTTGTCAATTTTGGCTTTTGTTGCCATTGCTTTTGGTGTTTTAGACATGAAGTCCTTGCCCATGCCTATGTCCTGAATGGTAATGCCTAGGTTTTCTTCTAGGGTTTTTATGGTTTTAGGTCTAACGTTTAAGTCTTTAATCCATCTTGAATTAATTTTTGTATAAGGTGTAAGGAAGGGATCCAGTTTCAGCTTTCTACATATGGCTAGCCAGTTTTCTCAGCACCATTTATTAAATAGGGAATCCTTTCCCCATTGCTTGTTTTTCTCAGGTTTGTCAAAGATCAGATAGTTGTAGATATGTGGCATTATTTCTGAGGGCTCTGTTCTGCTCCATTGATCTATATCTCTGTTTTGGTACCAGTATCATGCTGTTTTGGTTACTGTAGCCTTGTAGTATAGTTTGAAGTCAGGTAGCGTGATGCCTCCAGCTTTGTTCTTTTGGCTTAGGATTGACTTGGCAATATGGCTCTTTTTTGGTTCCATAAGAACTTGAAAGTAGTTTTTTCCAATTCTGTGAAGAAAGTCATTGGTAGCTTGATGGGGATGGCATTGAATCTGTAAATTACCTTGGGCAGTATGGCCATTTTCACAATATTGATTCTTCCTACCCATGAGCATGGAATGTTCTTCCATTTGTTTGTATCCTCTTTTATTTCATTGAGCAGTGGTTTGTAGTTCTCCTTGAAGAGGTCCTTCACATCCCTTGTAAGTTGGATTCCTAGGTATTTTATTCTCTTTGAAGCAATTGTGAATGGGAGTTCACTCATGATTTGGCTCTCTGTTTGTCTGTTGTTGGTGTATAAGAATGCTTGTGATTTTTCTACATTGATTTTGTATCCTGAGACTTTGCTGAAGTTGCTTATCAGCTTAAGGAGATTTTGGGCTGAGACAATGGGGTTTTCTAGATATACAATCATGTCATCTGCAAACAGGGACAATTTGACTTCCTCTTTTCCTAATTGAATACCCTTTATTTCCTTCTCCTGCCTAATTGTCCTGGCCAGAACTTCCAACACTATGTTGAATAGGAGTGGTGAGAGAGGGCATCCCTGTCTTGTGTCCGTTTTCAAAGGGAATGCTTCCAGTTTTTGCCCATTCAGTATGATATTGGCTGTGGGTTTGTCATAGATAGCTCTTATTATGGCACATGCATACATATGTAACTAACCTGCACATTGTGCACATGTACCCTAAAACTTAAAGTATAATAATAATAAAAAAATGGATGCATATTAACAACATTTTGCTGACTGAAAGAAGTCAGGCCAAAAAAAGTACATACTATAATAAGATTTCATTCGTATGAATTATGAAAACAGAGAAAACTAACTCCTAATGTTAGAAAATCAGGAGCGTGATTATTACCTCTTTAGTTAGATAGGGTTGACAGGAAATAACATGAGAGAATGCTTTGAGGTTACAGAAATGTTCTCTATCTTGGTTTGGGTGTTACTTATATGGGTATACGCACTTATTAAAACTCATCAAGCTGTTTAAGTTCTGTTATGTCTTATTGAATAAAAAGTAATTTTGATTTTAAAATAAAAAATTAAAAAAAAGAAAAACCTAGACTTCACCAAAAACTATTAGAACTGATAAACAAATTCAGTAAAGTTTCAGCAGAATATAAAATCAACATACAGAAATGAGTAGCATTTCTCTATGCCAACAGTGAACAATTTGAAAAAGAAATCAAGAAAGTAATCTAATTTACAATAGCTACAAATAAAATTAAATACCTAGGAATTAACTTAACCAAAGATGTGAAAGATCTCTCCAATGAAAACTGTAAAATGTTGATGAAAGATATTGAAGAGGACAACAAAAAATCCAAATATATTTCATGTTCATGGATTGGAAGAATCAGTATTGTTAAAATGTCCATACTTCCCAAAGCAACCTACAGATTTTTTTTTTTTTAAGACAGGGTCTCACTCTGTCACCCAGGCTGGAGTGCAGTGTTGTGATCATGACTCACTGCAACCCCTGCCTACTGGGCTCAAGTGATCCTCCCACATTAGTCACCCAAATAGCTGGGACTACAGGTGTGTGCCCCTACACCTGGTTAATTTTTTTTCGTATATTTTGTAGAGGCAGGGTTTTGCCATGTTGCCCAGGCTGGTCTCAAATGCCTGGACTCAAGCAATCCTTCTGCCTTGGCCTCCCAAAGTGCTGGGATTACAGGCATGAGTGCCCGTGCATGGCTTGCAATCTACAGATTTAATGCAATCTCTATCAAAATGCCAAGGAAATTCTTCACAGAAATAGAAAAAGAATTCTAAAATTTATATGGAACCACAAAAAAACCAGAATAGCAAAAGCTATCCTGGGCAAAATGAACAAGATTGGAGGAATAACATTACCTAACTTCAAATGATACCACAAAGCTATAGTAACTGAAACATCATGGTACTTGCATAAATACAGATACATAGACCAGTGGAACAGAATAGAGAACCTAGAAACAAATCCATACATCTATAGTGAATTCATTTTTGACAAGAGTGAGTGACAAAAACATATAATGGGGAAAGGACAGTCTCTTCAATAAATAATGCTGGGAAAACTGGATATTCATATGAAGAAGAATGAAACTGGATCTCTATCTCTCACCCTATAGAAAAATCAAATCAAAATGAACTAAAGACATCTAAGTTCCCAAACTATGAAACTACCAGCAGGAAACATTGGAGAAACTCTCCAGGACATTGACTTTGGCAAGGGTTTCTTGAGTAATATCCCACAAGCACAGGCAAGCAAAGCAAAAATGGATGAATGGGATCACATCAAGTTAAAGTTTCTGCACAGCAAAGGAAACAATCAACAAAGTGAAGAGACGACCCACAGAAAGGGAGAAAATATTGGCAAACTACTCATCTGACGAGGGATTAATAATCAGACTATATAAGGAGCTTGAACAACTCTATAGGATAATATCTAATAATCTGATTAAAAATGAATAAAAGATCTGAATAGACTTTTCTCAAAAGAAGACGTACAAATGACAAACAGGTATATAAAAAATGTTCATCATCATTGATCATCAGAGAAATGTGAATCAAAACTACAATGAAGTATTATCTCACACCAGTTAAAATAGCTTTTATCCAAAAGACAGGTAATAACAAATGCTGTCAACAATATGGAGAAAAGGGAAGCTTCATACACTCTTGGTGGGAATGTAAATTAGTACAACCACTATGGAGAACAGTTTGAAGGTTTCTCAAAAAACAAAAAATAGAGCTATCATATGATTCAGCAATCACACTGCTAGGTATATATCCAAAAGAAAGGAAATCAGTATATCAAAGAGAAATCTGAACTCCCATGTTTATTGCAGCACTATTCACAATAGCCAGGATTTGGTGGCAACACAAATGTCTGTGAACAGATGAATGGATAAAGAAAATGTTGTACATATACACAATGGAGTACTATTCAGCAATAAAAAGAAGGAGATCCTGTCATTTGCAAAAACATGGATGGAACTAGAGGTCATGGTGTTAAGTGAAATAAGCCAGACACAGAAAGACAAACTTTGCATGTTCTCACTTATTTTGGGGAGCTAAAACTTAAAACAATTGTATTCATGGAGGTAGAGAGTAGAATGACAGTTACTAGAGGCTAGAAAGGGTAGAAGGGTTGGGGCGTGAGGGGGGAGTGATTGCTGATGGGCAGAAAAAAATAGTTAGAAAGAATAACTAAGATCTAGTATTTGATAGCACAACAGAGTGACTATATTCAATAATTTAATTTTATGTTTAAACATAACTAAAAGAGTATATTTGGATTGTTTGTAACACAAATAATAAATGCTTGAAGTGATGAATACCGCATTTACCCTGATGTAATTGTTAAACATTGTATACCTGTATCAAAATATTCTATATACTCCATAAATATATATACCTACTATGTACTTACAAAAAATTAAAAATAAAATAAATTTTACATCCAAATTGAGACTTTTTTTCAACTTGCTTGGTGTTCTCATGTAATATTACTATCTCTTTTTTATAAGAAATGTGATTATTGCCCTTGATTCAAAAGGATTTATTTTGTTACCCAAGAAAGCAAAAATGCTTTGTGACACAGGTTATCTGTAGTGCTACTTAGAGAAATTGCAGTTACTGACTGTTTTCAATTCCTAGACTTTGGGAAATATTGACAGGTCCTCTCATCCTCAACTTTAGTGTTACTAATAACTGTAGAGCTGGTGAAACTGTCTGGAGCTTAGGTTCACAGAGGTGAGTCAGAGGATTTTAATCTTTTGGATTTTAACATAATGGCTTTTCTCATATTAGGCCCCTTCAGGAAGAAGAAAATACGAAAAAAACCTGTTCTTAAAATTCAAAGAAGGTTTACTAGCTAACTTCAGAAAGATGCTGGAAAGTGATTAATTTTTATACAACATATTTCAAAATGTACTAGTTAATAAGAGGAATGCTATCCAGAGTGGAAACAACTTTTTCAAAAGCTCATTATCCTGGAGTCTTGCACATCAATGCTCATGATTTCCTGGGTACAGTAATAGCAACCCCTATTTATGCACTACTTGCCATTTGAGGTTTTTAAAATGATAAATAGCTGCCATTTGGAATCTGCCTCTAGTTTGAATACCAAAATGACAGTATAGTTCAGAACTTCATGGTTCACCTACTGGATATGTCTTGTTTACTGTTGAAATGTTCTAATCTTCATTTCCATGATAATGACAACAAAAAGGAGACCAGTGTTCTTTACCAATGAAGCTGCAGTCACACCAGAATTATCTTTTTATAAAACATCAGAGTGACAGGGATTATGGTTGCTTTTATGTTCTGGGAATTACTTAATTTTAACAACTTAGAGAGATGCCACTACTATGAATCTGGGTATTTTCTTTTTTCTTATCATGCCTAGCATTGCTTATTTTTATAATTTGTTGCTTTCTGAACCTAGGGGAAAAAGATCTATTTATATATTTTCCCCTCAGAAACAATACCAATTTGGTAGATATCTCAATAACTTACCTAGTTTTTCAAGATGAAAGTGATATACTAGTAGAATGATTGATTATATAATTCATGTAGAAGACCATGGGGCTAGAATTCCCTAATCCCTTTGGAGTCAAAATGGGAGATGAATGGGAGTAGAGGGCTACCGATGACTCTGAAAAGATGGTGCACTGACTTTTGATAAAGGATTAAGAAAAGATCCTGTCTCATTAAATATATCTGTGTTCACCTAGTATTACAGTGGGTCATTTTACATATGTGTCAATTATAGCTTTTTTCCGTTTGTAAATGTCATGAAACTAGTGATTTGACTTTTAAAAAATTATTATATTCAACAACTGATATCCAAGTAGAAAAAAAGTGACCAGCTGCTGTTATAGTGCACTATTCCAAAGCTGCCTTATCTACACACAAGAAAGATTACCGACTCAATTTTCGAAATAGTGTAAAAAAAGAGGAAGGTGAATATTACGTAATGTTATAACAATAGGAAACGTTGAGCAAATAAGTTAATCATAATTATTGTAAATTCTTCACTGCAAAAATAGAATAACTACTACTGTCTGATTTTTTAAAAAACAAAATGTGGAATAAAATACAAAGTAAGACATAGCATTGACAGGTTACAAAAAGGATAATAGTATTTTTTTCAAATCTAAGAAATTACGTATTGATGATGTGCGAGCTACCTCTGCTCTGCCTGAAAATAGAATTTACAGAGTTAGAAGAATGTGGAAGGAAGAAGAGAGACACCTTAGAATTACCGTTATTCCATATGGGAGGTGAATTCCGTATTCCTGAGATTGTAGTTCCCCTATGACTCTGGAGTGCTACATAATTTTTTTTTTTTTTTTTTTTTTTTTTTTTTTTTTTTTTTGAGACGGAGTCTTGCTCTGTCGCCCAGGCTGGAGTGCAGTGGCGCGATCTCGGCTCACTGCAAGCTGCGCCTCCCGGGTTCACGCCATTCTCCTGCCTCAGCCTCTGGAGTAGCTGGGACTACAGCGCCTGCAACCATGCCCAGAATTTTTTTTTTTTTTTTTTTTTTTTGTATTTTTGGTAGAGAAGGGGTTTCACCGTGTTAGCCAGGATGGTCTCTATCTCCTGACCTCGTGATCCGTCCGCCTCGGCCTCCCAAAGTGCTGGGATTACAGGCGTGAGCCACCGCGCCCGGCCAGAGTGCTACATAATTTTGACGATGCCTTCTTAGAAGAGTAAACCTGAGTTGATAGACTGTTCTGGAAAGACAATAGGTGTACCCAGATGTGGAGCATGTTTATTATTCTATTCCCATGGTCTTCTACAAGGAGAAAGGGTGGAAGGTGGCTCCTTTGCCCTCACGGTGCCTTCAGAAAAAATGTTGCCTCTTAACGTAAACGTAATTAAATATATTTTAAAAATACTTAATATGTATTTTAAAAATCTAACAAGTTCAAAACATCTTTAAATATAATATGATTTAATATTAATTAGTGGGTTTGAAATTGATAATTTTCTGTAACAATACTTAGTCCTCCCTTCCAAAATGGAAATTATACAACTTGACCAATGTTCTATGTGAAAATAATTTCCTTGATTTCTATTTACTATGAGCATCTGCATAGGAGTGTTATTCTTTCTTATGCTTATGAATCTAGTTAATTGTTCAAACTGTGCTAGAGAATAAGTATTTTGGCATACATATTTCATTAGATTCATTTACAACATAGATGGTTTCCAATGGGAATTTCTTACGCTAACCCGATTATCAAAAAAAGATGAAAATCTGTATCATCTGCTTTCAAGTCTAGTGTTATGTCAAAATACATTTTTCAATTATGCATTTAATTATTCAGCTAATGGGTTTCATAAATAGTAGAGATTTCATTTTAAATTATTTTTATAAATAGTTCCAAAACATGTTTTTTTTGTTGTTGTTTTTTGTTTGTTTTGTTTTTGAGACAGTATCTCTGTTGCCCAGGCTGGAGTGTAGTGGCGGAATCTGGGCTTACTGCAAACTCTGCCCCCGGGGTTCAAGTGATTCTTGTGCCTCAGCCTTCCGAGTAGCTGGGATCATAAGTGTGCACCACCATGCCTGGCTTATTTTTGTATTTTTAGTAGAGATGAGGTTTTGCCATGTTGGCCAGACTGGTCTGAAGCTCCTGGCCTTCAGTGATCTGCCTGCCTCGGTCTCCCAGAGTGCTGGGATTATAGGATTGAGCCATCGTGCCCGGCCCAAAAACATGTTTTTCAATTATTATTTTTCTCGTGAAGACATATAATCGACCTATGTTTACACATGTATGTTCTCTATACAGTGAAACTTTTTAAAGAGAGAATAGTATGGAAAATTAAAAAGCTCTGGCTCTCCGAGGCAAAGGCAGAGAAAGGGCAACATTTTGTTATGCCTCCTGATTTTACTCCTTGAGTTTTATTTTCTCCCCTTGTCTATTTTTTTAATGCTAGAAACTGTATTCTTAAGGGAGCATACCTCTTCAGGCAAGCATGATAAATGACAGATTTTAATACGGTGTGACCATATAGTTGAGAAGTAATTACCTAATAAAGACAATAATGTTACTATTTCGATTATTTTGGGGGGGGGGGCATTAGTTTTACATCATCTAAAACAAAATCCAGGTTTCAAATTCACCGGTAGTAAATATATTAACTTTCTGGATCAAAATGGAGAGCCTCTCAAGATAAAGAGTTGTGCAGTCAGCAATGACAAATTAGTCAGGATAGCAGGAACCTGGGGTCAAGCCTATTTTCACCATTTTGGTCTCACCACCGTATATAAGCAGGACCATAGTTGTGTAGCACTTGTTTCTGACATCAGTGTGGCATATCTCTGTAGCACTGTCTTCGTCACGGATATTGCTCTGGGTAGCAGGAACTCTAATTATCCAGTTCCACTTCTGTAGGATCACATTTTTTACAGAGGTATGACAAATGGTACACAAATTTGGTTCTCAACCTTGAGATGGGATCAGAGATATTCTTCTTGTTGTCCAGGAGAACAGCAATTTGGATGTTTCTCTCCACAATGCCGTCATTAGGTTCTTTGGTAGAAGAGATGATGGTGAAAATAACCTGGGCCCACTTATATTTGTCATCAACAAGAATGATCCTCTCATCTTCATCTTGGTGTCACAAGAACAGCCTTAACAAAAATGGCCTGGACTGTCCAGAAAAGAAGATAGTTCTTTATCTTGACTTCAGTTCTCTTGAAAACCCAAATTCTAAAATGAGTCAGACACTTCCTCCAAGGTTTAATATAGAATTATAACTAAACACATTTCAGAAAGAATAAAGGACAAGGAAGTAAGTCAAGAATAATTCCATTTGCAGAAAGAGGGCCTGCTGCCTTGTTTTATTTTATTTTTTTGACCCAGGAAAGGTAAGGGCCCATTAGCAAAGTAGAACCAACATTTAAATACATAAGCAAACATGAAGGCTTTTGTCTTTTCCTCTCAGTTTTGAATCCTTGGTGTCATGTGGGAAGTGGATTGGTTTCACATCTAAAATAGGAGAAGGAAGGAATGAAGGAGTTGTCAGTGACCTAAGATAAATATCTGATGCATACTAATTTTTTAGTGTTACCAGAGTGGTCCCAAACTCCTTAGCGTTCTGAGCTCAACATGATTGTAATATTTAATTAAATAGTTTGTGTCCCTCTTTTGCATTTTGTGGCAGAAAGGATACGATTCTCCTGTCTTGGTGGAATTTGGGGAGTGGATCTGGAGGCGCTGCAGTTGCTCATCATCACCTGTGAGCTTAAACTTTCATTTCTTTCTGCAAGCCTCTCCTAGCCCTCTTCCCAACATTTCATCATTTGCCCATGCTGCTCCTGCTCCTTGTTTATTTCTACCCAAAATGCCAAGAAAAACTCTCCATAATGCCCCAAGTTTAGGAACTGACTTTTCCCTCATAAGTTGGAAAAACAAATCTTCATATTGTTTTTGCATATGGAACTACTTAGATACTTTCAACCTGGAAATTGTCTTTCATAATCAAAAGGATCATACATATGTGCTTTTCTAAACCTACTGATCTTAAACTGTTGGATGTCAGGACCTCCTTTTACTCTTAAATTACCCAGGGCCCTAGAGAGCTTTTCTTTATGTGGTTATATCTACCGCTATTTATCCTACTAGTAATTAAATGAGAAATATTAAAAATATTTCTGTGATCTGAATATTTGTAACACCACAAAAATTTATTTGAAGAAACCTAATCCACAATGTTATACTATTAACAGGTGGGGTCTTTAGGAGGTCATTAGGTCATGAGGGCAGAGCCTTCAGTAATGGGATTAGTTCTCTTATAAAAAAGCCATAAAGGAAATGATTTGCCCCTTCTGTCTTTAAGGACACAGAGAGAAGGTACCATCTACCAGATGTCGAATCTGCTGGAGCTTTATGGTGGACTTCCTATACCCTAAAAATGTGAGAAATAAATTTCTGTTGTTAATAAGCCATTATGGTACTTTTGTTATAATAGCCTGAATAGACTAAAATAAGTATTTAAGTATTAAAATAATACATTATGATATATTAATTCAATATATAATTATTCAGAAAAAACAGTACAATTTCAGTTATGCAAGATAAATTCTAAAGAACTGCTGTACATTATGTCTGCAATTAACAATATTGCACTGTGCACCTAAAAATCTGTTAAGAAGGTAGATGTCATGTGTTCTTATAGCAATAAAATTAACAATAATACATTTATTGCAGTTTAATATGTATAACATTTTTAGGAAAAATAATTGTATATTGCAAAACAAAAAATTGTAGTGAGAATGGTGGCATTGTACATTTTCACAGATCCTTTTCTTATCTGGCTTATTCATAGATGATAGTAGAGTCTCATTTCTGCTTCTACATTTACACTATTGCAATATGTTGTTTTGGTTGAGGTTTATTAAAAAGTCTGGAGAAGTTTCTAAAGTATAGGAAGTATCCGAAGAAGCATATGAAGAAAATATTCTGGGGAGAGTACAGTCACTTCCGCTGTGAAGGCACAGATGAGTTCCTAAAAAGCACTGAGCTATGCAAAACAGTGCTTTTAAAAATACAGGGTTTATAAGGAAATGAGTTTAGGAATATAGTGCTCGGAAACTTTTCTGACACACACAAAAACCAGATACTAATCTAATTAAAAAGCAGGGCTCTTATAAAAATGGTAGCACAGTTTTAGACATTAAATAGGCAAGAAATGAATGAATTCAATGATAAATACAGCATGACCTTATCGGAAATTTATTTGTGGAACCAGGTGTCTTCACTCCCACCTGGCTGGTCTACCTGGCTCCCAAGTCCACCACTCTACAGGCAAAAGGAAGAGAACACAAGAGAGATGAAGAGAGAAAAAGGAAGGTGAACACAGAGGGAAAAAGCAAAATAGGCTGAGAGGAAATGAGGAAATTAAAGAGAGGGAGGTTGGGGGCCTCTTTAGTGTCCTCGGTAGTTAGAAGGATTGCACCTTGTGAGTTTTTGTAAAGTGCTGGCGGGAAAGTGATGTGAAATTGAATGGAATATGGTAACACCATGTGTGGATGGGTGTGGCCCAATGTCCTCGTGAAGTGTGTGTCTGAGTGGGATGTTTGTATTTGTAGGAGGGAAAAAGTAATATCTCTTCCTTACCTATCACAAGGTTTGCAGCTGACACTCCTATAATGAAAGGTAGATTAACAAGAGGAAAGCATAACAAATTTAATAAAGTTTTGTGTGGCACAGGAGACTTCAGAAATGGAGATCCAGAATGAATGAAGGATAGTTTCTCAAAAAGGATATTGAGCAACTGTCTCTTTCTTCCTTTTATCTCCCTTTCTGTCTCTGTCTCTCTGTCTCTGTCTCTGTCTCTCCCTCTCTCACACACACATGCACACAAACGTACATGAGCATGTAGTGTACCAGGTCTCCTATGAAGTACATCTTATTTTAGTTTGTGAGACACAGTCATACGAAACCCAAATTTGGAATAATTTTGTAATCATCAAGACAGAGTAGAGTACCATTAATCTTATATATTGGATATTCCAGTAGTTTGTATATTAACTCATGGTAAATTGAGAATTAGAATACCGTATTTCATATTATTTGAGAAAATTATTCACTTTTAGGTTATTTTCTTTAATGTACCTTGGAATAAAAGCTTCACTTCAGACCCTCGGAAATGCTGGATGAAGGTAAAAATTACTTTGAATGCTTCTGAAACTATAAAAATACTGCCTAGGGTGTTCTCTATTGATTATATATGCAGATTACCTTTTTAACTGCCTCTCTTATGCGGTATTAATTTGTGCTTGGAATATTTTATGTCTTGATAACTTGATTGATTTGGAGCAAAGTCAGTAAAACACAGATCTTTATTTTATTTAAGTAAAATTCAATAGAAAGGCTTTCATCTGACATCAGTCAGATTTTATTGAGGGTTTGATATAATTCCTTTTGATATAATATCTCATTTCATTAATAACAAATATAGGAATATATGCCAGATTCTGAAATGAATTATAATCGGAGCCATAGATATTTTTCTAAACCACATTCAAGTGTCAATTCACTTCCATTTCAACTAGCTTGATAAATAATCATACCCTAAGTTTACACAGTTTCATATTCATTACCATATTTTTTCCTAATAACAACCCCCAAAGCAGGTAAAAGTCATACTAGCATAAAACTTGACATGACAAGGTTATCTGCAGTGGTTTGGAGCATCTGGAGAGAGGCCAGAACCTCCATCTTGGAGTGGGACTGAACAGTAGGGATAGAAGTGTTTGGGAACTTGAAAGGGTAGAGGTAGGAGCACAGAACGGTTTCAGATTCCAGAGGAAACTCAAGTCAGATGTATAGGTTATGGTACACAAAGTGTGTGTCTATGGATGATTGTCTAATATGTTCAGTTCCCATATGTGGGCAGGGAGTTTACCTGACAGGAAAGCCACAAGCACCTGTGCCACAAAAGGTTACTGGAAACAGGGAGAACTAGACTAGAGTGATCAGAAGGAGGAGTATGATCATATCATTATTAGTAGTACACATACAGGTCACCTACAGAGCTGGGTAAATGTGCACTGTGTGATTGGGTAGGTCCAGGATGGGGCTGTGGCATGTTTGTTTTAAAGCCACAGAAATGATACACTTGGTCTATGGTGAGAACCATGACTTAAATAAGAGTTCGGTGTGGGGTAGCAGCATTCATGACATAGCTAGGAGCCAATGGTAGACTTGGGCAGAAAAGGCAGGGCTCTAGAAACTCTAAGAGTTGAGGGATAGATTGCAGTGCCCTGTAAAATATCTCAGGGTGAATGTTTCAGAGCAATTATGGTCATACTACTTTCTTTTTGAAAGGACACAGTGATGAATTCCATTGTGTATGTGTGTGTGTGTGTCTGTGTATGTGTGTGTGCTGGCCATGTGTCAGAACAATAGGTCCACCAAACTGTAGGCATAGGGCTGGTTGAGGCATGTTAATACTAGGGAGGTAAATTATTAGTCTGTGGGTTTTGCAAAAATGCAGTTGTCAGCAATGGGCAATTTATAACCAGTGTCTCTCAAAAATTCAGACAAGACATTAGCTTCAGGGATATCTATCATGAGTAAAGGGACCCCAAACACTCAAAAGATTCAGAGTCAAATACTTATTTGAGAAAAATGGGAAGAGAAAATCAAGAGACATATTTAAGTCATAATATTCAATAGCAAAATTGGGCTAGAGATATAAAGAGACAATTCATAGTAAAAGCACTAATGAGAAAACAAACAAACAAACAAAAACACATAAGAAAAGTTGTCCAAACTTTCTGATACTAGCAATAATAATTAAAGTAAGGAGATAATTTAATTTTATTAAATTAGCAAAAGTTAAAAAGTAATAGAATCAGTATTAATTTCCTATGACTGTTGAAACAAATTATCACAAACTAGGAGGCTTAAGGCAACACAGATTTATTCTCTTACAGTTCTGGAGGTCAGAAATCTGAAATCAGTTTCACTGGACTACAGTCAAGGTATTAGCAGGGCTGGTTGCTTTCAGAGGCTCTAGGAGGAGAATTGGAGGAGAGAGGAATTAGCTTCTAGTCTTTTCTAGCTTCTGGAGGCCACCTACTTTCCTTGGCTGGTGACTCCTTCCTCTTAGTAACTACTCCAATCTCTTGGTTCATCATCACACTGCCTATTTATGTATCAAAGCTCTCTCCAATAAAGACACTTGTGATTACATTTGGGAATGTAATCACAAATGTAATGAGGAGAGAATACTCTCCTCATTAGGCTTGTATTCTTTTTTAAAAATTTTAAGTTCTGGGATACATGTGCAGAACGTGCAGTTTTGTTACATGGGTATACATGTGCCATAGTGATTTGCTGCACCTATGAACCCATCATCTAGGTTTTAAGCACCCCATGCATTAGGTATTTGCCCTAATACCTAATGGGATCATTAGGTATTAGGGATACCTTATGGGATCATTAGGTATTAGGGATACCTTATGGGGTATCCCGAATGATTGGGATCATTCGAACCCAAGAGTTTGAGATCAGCCTGGGCAACATAGAGTGACCCTATCTCTACAGAAGTTTTTTTAAAAATTAGCTGTGCATGGTGGTGCATGGCTGTGGTCCTAGCTACAAGGGGAACTAAAGCAGGAGGATCACTTGAGCCCAGGAAGTCAAGGCTGCAGTGAGAGGTGTTTGTGCTGCTTCACTCCAGCTTGGGCAACAGAGCAAGACTCTGTCTCAAAAAAAGAAAAAAAATGTTGTTATAAAGGAAGGAATTTCAAAACACAGCCATTTTCAAATTCTTGACAATTGTTGAATCTGGGCAAAGTAGCATACAGTAGCATAAAATCCTCCCCCTCCCCTTGACCCTTACCCCCTGACAGGCCCCAGTGTGTGATGTTTCCCTCTCTGTGTCATGTGTTCTCATTGTTCAACTCCCACTTATGAGTAAGAACATGCAGTGCTTGGTTTTCTGTTCCTGTGTTAGTTTGCTGAGAATGATAGCTTCTAGGTTCATCCATGTCCCTGCAAAAAACATGAACTCATTATTTTTTATGGCTACATAGTATTCTATGGGATATATGTGCCAGATTTTCTTCATCCAGTCTATCATTGATGGGCATTTGCTATAGTAAATAGTGCTGCAATAAACATATGTGTGCATGTTTCTTTATAGAATGATTTGTAATCCTTTGAGTATATACCCAGTAATGAAACTGCTGTGTCAAATGGTATTTCTGGTTCTAGATCCTTGAGGAATCACCACACTGTTCTGTTTTCCACAATGGTTGAATTTATTTACACTCCCACCAACAGTGTAAAAGCGTTCCTATTTCTCTACATAGGCTTGTATTCTTTGAGTCTGGTTTCTTTCTCTTAACATGAAGTTTGTTGCAAGAGGCTGCAGTTAACTTACTTTCATTGCTAATAGTATTACATTGTAGGGAATACCATAATTTAATCTACTTTAGTACTAATGCAAATGTGGATTGTTTTCATTTTTTGATTTCTTAAAAAAGCAATGCATCTACACTTCTCTTCTAAATTGATGTTTATACTCTCTCCTAGCCAGTCAAGAAGTTTAGACTGCTTTAACCCCATGTAATCTCTTTCTGTCTTCAATCCTATTGCCATGTTATTTTAATTCTCTTTATATTTTAAACCTCTCAAGACATTAAAAAACTTTACACAGTCATTATTCATTTGGGTATACCCACATATTTACTATTTTAATTTCATTTATTCTTTGTTGTAGCTCTTCTTTTTTTTACTAGATTGTTATCATTTTGCCTAAAGAATACTCTTTCTTTCATTTACCATGAATCTGCTAGCAACAAATCATCTTAGTTTCCATTTATCTGAAAATGTCTTCATTTTTATCTTAATTCTTGAAAATAAAATTTAATTATTGTTCTTGTATGCATGGCTTAATTTTTTAAAATTTAATGTATATATTTAAGGTAAACAACATGATTTTTCAATAGACTATTTTTAGAGCAGTTTAGGTCCACAGTAAATTTGGGCAGAAGGTATAGAGATTTCCCATATGCCTCTTCCCCGAAACATGTATAACCTCCCCCATTATCAACATCCTCCACCAGAGTGGGACATTTTTTACAATTGATGAGCCTACATTGACACATCATCATCATCCAAAGCCCATAGTTCACGTTAGGGGTCACACTTGGTGTTGTACATGCCTGAGGGAACTGATTGAACACATGTGAAGCTGTGTCCAAACTGTGACCAGATTAATTGGAAAAATGTAAAATGACATGTATCCACCATTGTAGTATCATATAAAGTAGTTTCACTGCTATAAAAATTCTCTATGCCTCATCTATTCATCCTTCCCTTCTATAAACCCTGGCAACCACTAATGTTTTTACTGTCTCCATAGTTTTGCATTTTCCAGAATGTTGTATAGTTGGCATCAAACAGTATGTAGCTTTTGCAGATTGACTTCTTTCATTTATAATACACTGTTATTAACTGTAGTCCCCATGTACAACATGATGTTTTTATATACACGTACATTTCAATACTGAAATGATTATGGCAGCCAAGCCAATTAACATATCCTTCAGGCACAGGTACAGTTTTTTGTGGTAAGAGCACCTAAAATATATCCTTTTAGCAAATTTCCAGCATACAATGCAATATTAACTATAGTCCTCGTGATGTATATTAGATATCTAGAAATCCATTTATTATAGATTTCTAGATTAACAGTATTTTTTCACCACATTAAAAATTTACTCCATTATTTTTTGACTTTCACTGTTCTTGTTGAGAAATTAGAAGTCATTTTGGCTTTTGCTTCTTTGAAGGTAATGTCTTTTTTTTTTGCTTTTAATGTTTTTACCTTTTCTTTCTTTTTTACTAATTTTGCTATGTTGGACTAGTTGGAAACGTAGATGTTAAACCCATCTACCGAGTTCTTGATTTCACATATTTTCTTTGTTTTAGATTTTCCATATGGTACTTTTTTACATATGCTATACAAATTGTCTATAGTTCCCTCATCTTTACTATATTTGCAACCATTTTTAAAATCTCTTTGAAGACATTATTTTATCTCCTTGAACATAAGCATAATTATTTAAAAGTCTGTGTTTGATAATTCCAGTATTTGAAGACCTTTGTTCTCTTTGTATTATCTATTTTTTCCTGCTGGCTTTTCTTCATTAACTCTTAACTCCCCTGTGTATTATCTTTGATTATGTGCCAGACATTATATTTGAAAAAAAAAGCCAGGAGCTTTGGAGTCTATTTGTGCTATTATAGGTTCATTTGCCAACATCCTGATAAAACAAGCCAGTCTAATCAGTACTGAAAACCAGATCTTCCACATATCCGTTTTCCTATAACACTAAGCAGGTATTTTAAAAATTCTTCTGTAAATTCCGGATTTGCAAAACGTGCCTTGCCTGAAACTTTAACATTTTTTAGGTGTATTGCCTTTTAAAAGCTTCAAGCCAACCAGCACTAGCTAGAGGGGTTTAATATTTTCATAAACTCTGAGTAATATGACTGTAAATTTCTTTAGCTTTCAGCCTACAAAAACATTGTCCACTATGCTTCTTTTTAAGTCATTATCTCACGAACCCACAAGTAGCCATTTTCCATCTTTTCCATAGCTTCATTACACAATATAGATATTACATCAGCACTTTTTAAGTGGCCTCATGTACAGACTGGTGATTTTTCTTTCTTTTTCTGAACGTACCATATTGTTGACTCATTAACATTGAATTCACAGCCAACAGCACTCGAACTCATGCCTAAAGGAAGCTCATCTAACACACACATTTTCTCTATAAGGCACAACATAGCCTTTGTGTGCTTAGGAACGCTATGCAGCACTTCAGCACTACCCTTGGGAGCCATTTAAAGTAACAAAATCACCATCAAAAAGCACGAAATGTGAAAACACAGCACTAAAGACACTGCAAAAATGACACTTGTTTACTGTATGGCATTGAATGAGAAGGCTGAGCATTTTGTTGTTTAACCTCAGTTGGGAAAGCACATGTTGGGTGACTCTGTGTACATCTGTGAATGACTATAAAGGTGCTGTGAGCATTGATTTTATGTTTAAAAATAAATTTTAGTGAGTAGGCAAATTTGCAAATATAAAATCCTTGGATAATGAGGATTGACTGTATCTGAGATTTCCTAAAGCCAGTTTAATGAATTAAAATTTTTTGAATCACATAGATGGTGTAAGCTGGGATGCATTTTTTTGTGAGGGCTGTTACTTCTGGTGCACCTTTATTCCAGCAGTGCAGTCTTTCAGGGTCCCAATCACAAAAAAAGAAGGGCCCCAGGATTCAAATTCTTCCCCCTGACTCTGAAGCTGTCAAGAACACTGCTCAGTCATTGAGTCACTTTTTCTGGAATTGGTCACTGGCCTAATGATAAAAACTACCAGACTTCTCAATTTCTGTCTTTACTGGATCTCAACTCGATGATTATGGACTAATAACATGGTTTTACATTTTATTATATCCTGATCATTTTCACATCATCACCAGAAGACAAATTGTAAGACTGGACTGCAAGATTTTTTTTCTAATCTAAACTGAAAAATGTACTATTACAATTTTACAAGTTTGTTTTGTTAAGGTCACAGGGATAGATCACATGCTTTGAATTGATAGGAGTGTGGTTTCTTCTGCAGAGTAGAAACATTTTAATTTTCAGTCATTCTGGTAAGAGGTCAGGGCAAGGCTCAGGAGATGGGTTTTCGACTGAAGTGAGGTGAAAGTCATTTTCTCACAGATGGAGTGTGTTAGGGGATGCTGCTGGAAAAAATAGTAAGCTTCTCTGGGTCATGAAGATTCTGGTAAAGAATCTAGAATAGGTCTTGGCCTGGACAATGGTTGTAAATTACTCCTTGTGTTGACTTGCCTTTTATTGTACCCCCAGAAACATATCATCAAATTTAATAACCTAGAATCAATTGTGCCATGGGGGATTATGGATGCAACCATTCCATTGTTAATAGAAAGGAAAATAGTTTTCTTCTTCTGAGATCAGACTAAAAGACAGCTATGCTCAAGATAGCTGTGACCTCACAATGGCCTCACATGGATGGAGGCAGTATGACAGACATCTGTTTCCCAGGGCTGCTCTGACGAAGTACCAAAAACCAGGTGGCATAAAACAACAGAAATGTGTTGTTTTCCAGTTCTGGAGGTTAGAAATCCTCAATCAAGTTGTCATCAGGGCCATGCTTTCTCTCATGGCTCTGGGGGAGAATCTTCCCTTGCCTCTTCTAGTTTTAAGGTGTTTTCTAGCAATTCTGGGTATTCCTTAGTTTATAAATGCATCACTCCAGTCACTTGAATTTCTTCTTTCTGTATCTTCATATTTTCTTCCCTCTGTGTGGGTCTATGTCCAAATTTCCACTTTTTATAAGGACACCAATCATATTGTATTAGGGCTTACTCTAATGACCTCATCAATAACTTGGTTAAATCTGCAAAGATCTTACTTGGAAATTGTCAAGATCATATTTTGAGATATTGAGGGTTAATATTTCAATATATCTTTTTGGAAGTTGTATTAGTCCGTTTTCCCACTGCTATAAAGAATTTCCCTAAGACTGGGTAATTTGTAAATAAAAGAAGTTTAATTGACTCACAGTTCCACACGGCTGGGGAGGCCTCAGGACACTTACAATCATGGCGGAAGGGGAAGCAGGCACCTTCTTCACAAGGTGGCAGGAGAGCAAGGAGCATGAGTGTGAAGGAGGAAATGTCAAACACTTATAAAACCATCAGATCTCTTGAGAACTCACTCATTATCATGAGAACAGCATGGGGGACACCACCCTCATGATCCAATCACCTCCCTCCCTTGAATCATGGGGATTACAGTTCAAGATGAGATTTAAGTGGAGACACAAAGCCAAACCACATCAGAGATGGAAACAATTCAGTCCATAATAATGAGGAATCCAAGGAAAAAATACCTGAGGGAACTGACTGAACACATGCGAAGCTGTGTCCAAGGAGGCTCCTATTGTTGACTGGGCTTTAAAGCACCATTTCTGTGGGTTATACTATATTCCAAAATACAACATAGGCAAAGTGGGGCATGTATCTGTCAGGTTTCAGTCAGGAGAACAGAGTCACTGTGAGTGTTTTAAAATGAGGAATTTTAAAAATAGGATTTAGACCTATACAATTGTGGAAGAATTTGGTTAAAAAAAAGTCCAGAAGAGGGCTTGGAGGGCCAGAAAAATAGTTGTTAACAGTGCATTTGGGAAAGCAGTCACAGCCACCAAAGGGGATTGGAAGGGAGACATTCACGGAGGGGATGAAGGAATGGGAAGCCATTGCTCCACTTCAGCTGCCCCCTGTGTGGGTCTGCAGCCAAACATCTGTGTTGGGCTAGGACCACTGTCAGGCAATGAGGTAAGTGGTAGAAAAAAGAACTGGATGTAAAATGAAGGATAAACTGGGACCTGCTGGGGCTATCTGCAAATGCGTGCCAACCTATCCGACTATAAAGAATTTCACTTCAACCTTCCAAGAGCTGCCAAACTGCTCTTTTGGCCAATTCTAACCTTGAAACATATAGGAATGGGATCCTGGAAACATAACTCTCATCTTTAACAATGTGCCACAAGGGAAGGCAAATTCTGCTGGAATTCACAAATTGGACATGAAACAGAAGTGAGATTTTATTACAAAGTTAATGGAATTATAAAAAAGAGATAAAGAGAACTTATACTAAAGGGATTAGACTGTTTTATTTCATGGACAAGGAAAGTTAATAAAGTAATCTATAGCCACATAAGGCTTATGAAAAAGAAAATAAGCCCTGCTTGTAGCTGGAGTATAAAGACTAACTTTCCCTTTTGGATATTGAATGTAAAACTTGGGAGAGCCAAATTATGGTTTTCATATATTGAGCCACTGACTAGCTCAGTGTAATTCAATATATATTTGTGTACCAGACTTTATCTTTGAGTGAAGATGCCTAACCAGGTCTTCCTTTCTCCTCCTCCCTGCTTTCTGCCTGCAAAACACCTGGTCAATTGTATTGGTCAGGATTCTCCAGAGAAACAGAATCAATACGAAATATATTTATGTCTTTGTGTGTGTGTGTATACACACTATACTTTTATAACTATGTAGATATGATATACTATACATTTATGACTATTTAGAATAATTTTAGTATTATTAAAAAATCATATACAGATGGTCCCCAACTTTTTTTTTAAGTTTTATTTTAGGTTAAGGAGTCCATGTGCAGGTTTGTTATATAAGTAGACTTGTGGCACACGGGTGTGATGTACAGATTATTTTGTCACACAGGTACTGAGCTGAGTACCCAATTACTGTTTTTTCTGTTCCTCTCCCTCCTCACACCCTCTACTCTGCAGTAGGCCCCAGTGTCTCTTGTTCCCCTCTTTGTGTTCACGTGTTCTAATCATTTAGCTCTCACTTATTAGGTGAGAACATGTGGTGTTTGGTTTTCTGTTCCTGCATTAGTTTTCTAAAGATAATGGCCTCTAGCTCCACCCATGCTCCTGCAAAGAACATGATCTCATTCTTTTTTGTGGTTGCATAGTATTTCATGGTGTATACGTACTACATTTTCTTTACTTAACTATGGTTTTACTTATGATTTTTTGATTTTACCATGGTGCAAAATGATATGTATTCAGTAGAAACTGTACTTTGACTTTTTAATTTTGATATTTTCCTAAGCTAGTGATATGTGATATGGCACTGTCTTACAATACTGAGCAGTGGCAGTGAGCAATAGCTCCCAGTCAACCACATGATCACCAGAGTAAATAACCAATACTCTACAGAGTACTGTTGCCAGATGATTTTCCCCAACTGTCGGATAATATAAGTGTTCTGAGCACATTAAGGCAGGCTAGGCTAAGCTAAGCTATGATATTATATTTGGTAGGTTAGATCTATTAAATGCATTTTTGACTTACAATATTTTCAATTTACAATGGTTTTGTTGGGATACATCCCCATTATAGGTCAAGAAGAATGTGTATATATATAATATACTGTACATATGTATATATGTGACATTGGCTTCTACAATTATGAAGGCTGAAAAGTTACAAGATCTGCAGGGAGAGTTGGCAAGCTGGAGACCCAGGAGAGCTTATGATAGCTCCAGTATGAAGGCTTGAAGGCTGGCAGGCTCAAGACCCAGGAAGAACCAATGTTTCAGTGCTAGTCCAAAGTCAGGAAAAAGTCAATGTCCTAGTTGAAAGGTAGGTAGGCAGGCAGAATTCTTTCTTGGGAGAGGGTTAGTCTTGTTCTATTCAGGACCTCAACTAATCGGAAGGGGCCTAGCCATATTAGGGAGAGCAATCTGCTTTACTCACTTAACCAATTTAAATCCTAATCTCATCCGAAAATGTCCTCACAGAAACACCCAAAATAAAGTCTGGTCAAATAGGTGGGTACCTCATGGTCCAGTCAACGTGACATATAAAATTAACCAGCATAACATTATTCTCAGCAACTTTCTGGACTGAGGCTTATTTTTGACCTGGGAAGAGCTTCTAAGTACTTTTATTATTACCTTAAGAGATTTAATTTTCTTTTTCAGTTTGAGTGTTTATGTAGTCTTAGTTCTTCTGTACATCTATTACAAACATAAAAGAAAAACAAAACATGTAAATCTAAAGATTCTCAACGGGAGAGGCTTTATTTGTTCAGGGACATATGGCAATGTCTCAAGATGCTTTTGGTTGTCAAGGTCAGCATCTAGTGAGTCGAGTTCAGGGATGCTGTTAAACATTCAACCATGCACAGGGCTGCCCCATTTGACAAAGCATTGTCTGGCCCAAAATGTCAGCATTGCTATTACAGAGAAACCCTGAATGATAATCCAAAAGAAATTTGATAATCAATTTCAGTTTCAGTCTACTTGAAGATGTCCTATTTGTTCTCTGAATAAATATAAAAGTTGAGAGGATAAAGAATTTCAGGAGCTAAACATTTTTAAAAAGTGAAGTTGGCAGGGCAATTTTTGGCAAGGAGGGATCTTGATAAAGATGACCAGAGGCACTGTCAGTTTTGAGAGATCATTTTTCCTTCAACGCTTGTCTGACTCCGTTTCCAAGCTGGTTCACCAGGTCTTTATTCATTTGCTCAGGAGGAACACTGACAGATTATGTCAACCTTGAATAAGAGGAGCTTTTCTTTTGGTTGGTAAGCTATTAATTATTGCCTCAATTTCAGAGCCTGTTATTGGTCTATTCAGAGATTCAACTTCTTCCTGGTTTAGTCTTGGGAGAGTGTATGTGTGGAGGAATTTATCCATTTCTTCTTGATTTTCTAGTTTATTTGCATAGAGGTGTTTAAAGTATTCTCTGATGGTAGTTTGTATTTCTGTGGGATTGGTGATGATATCCCCTTTGTCATTTTTTATTGTGTCTATTTGATTCTTCTCTTTTTTCTTCTTTATTAGTCTTGCTAGCGGTCTATCAATTTTGTTGATCTTTTCAAAAAGCAGCTCCTGGGTTCATTGTTTTTTTGAAGGTTTTTTTGTGTCTCTATTTCCTTCAGTTCTGCTCTGATTTTAGTTGTTTCTTGCCTTCTGCTAGCTTTTGAATGTGTTTGCTCTTGCTTCTCTAGTTCTTTTAATTGTGATGTTAGGGTGTCCATTTTAGATCTTTCCTGCTTTCTCTTGTGGGCATTTAGTGCTATAAATTTCCCTCTACACACTGCTTTGAATGTGTCCCAGAGATTCTGGTATGTTGTGTCTTTGTTCTTGTCAGTTTCAAAGAACATCTTTATTTCTGCCTTCATTTCGTTATGTACCCAGTAGCCATTCAGGAGTAGGCTGTTCAGTTTCCATGTAGTTGAGCAGTTTTGAGTGAGTTTCTTAATCCTGAGTTCTAGTTTGATTGCACTGTGGTCTGAGAGATAGTTTGTTGTAATTTCTATTCTTTTACATTTGCTGAGGAGTGCTTTACTTCCAAATATGTGGTCAATTTTGGAATACGTGTGGTGTGGTGCTGAAAAGAATGTATATTCTGTTGATTTGGGGTGGAGAGTTCTGTAGATGTCTATTAGGTCCTCTTGGTGCAGAGCTGAGTTCAATTCCTGAATATCCTTTTTAACTTTCTGTCTCGTTGATCTGTCTAATGTTAACAGTGGAGTGTTAAAGTCTCCCATTATTATTGTGTGGGGGTCTAAGTCACTTTGTAGGTCACTAAGGACTTGCTTTATGAATCTCGGTGTTCCTGTATTGGGTGCATATGTATTTAGGATAGTTAGTTCTTCTTGTTGAATTGATCCCTTTACCATTATGTAATGGCCTTCTTTGTCTCTTTTGATCTTTGTTGGTTTAAAGTCTGTTTTATCAGAGACTAGGATTGCAACCCCTGCCTTTTTTTGTTTTCCATTTGCTTGGTAGATCTTCCTCCATCCCTTTATTTTGAGCCTATGTGTGTCTCTGCATGTGAGATGGGTTTCCTGAATACAGCACACTGATGGGTCTTGACTCTTTATCCAATTTTCAAGTCTGTGCCTTTTAATTGGAGCATTTAGCCCATTTACATTTAAGGTTAGTATCGTTATGTGTGAATTTGATCCTGTCATTATGATGTTAGCTGGTTATTTTGCTCGTTAGTTGATGCAATTTCTTCCTAGCCTTGATGGTCTTTACAAATTGGCATGTTTTTGCAGTGGCTGGTACTGGTTGTTCCTTTCCATGTTTAGTGCTTCCTTCAGGAGCTCTTTTAGGGCAGGCCTGGTGGTGACAAAATCAGTCAGCATTTGCTTGCCTGTGAAGAATTTTATTTCTCCTTCACTTATGAAGCTTAGTTTGGCTGGATATGAAATTCTGGGTTGAAAATTCTTTTCTTTAAGAATGTTGAATATTGGCCCCCACTCTCTTCTGGCTTGTAGAGTTTCTGACGAGATATCAGTTGTTAGTCTGACGGACTTCCCTCTGGGGGTAACTCGACCTTTCTCTCTGGCTGCCCTTAACATTTTTTCCTTCATTTCAACTTTGGTGAATCTGACAATTATGTATCTTGGAGTTGCTCTTCTCAAGGAGTATCTTTGTGGCGTTCTCTGTATTTCCTGAATTTGAATGTTGGCCTGCGTTGCTAGATTGGGGAAGTTCTCCTGGATAATATCCTGCAGAGTGTTTTCCAAATTGGTTCCGTTCTCCCCATCACTTTCAGGTACACCAATTAGATGTAGATTTGGTCTTTTCACATAGTCCCATATTTCTTGGAGGCTTTGTTCGTTTCTCTTTATTCTTTTTTCTCTAAACTTCTCTTCACACTTCATTTCATTCATTTGATCTTCCAACACTGATACCCTTTCTTCCAGTTGAACACATCAGTTACTGAGGCTTGTGCATTCATCACATAGTTCTCGTGCCATGGTTTTCAGCTCCATCAGCTCCTTTAAGGACTACTCTGCATTGATTATTCTAGTCTCCATTTGTCTAATTTTTACAGCTGAATTCTACCAGAGGTACAAGGAGGAGCTGGTACCATTCCTTCTGAAACTATTCCAATCAACAGAAAAAGAGGGAATCCTCCCTAACTCATTTTATGAGGCCAACATCATCCTGATACCAAAGCTTGGCAGAGACACACAAAAAAAGAGAATTTTAGACCAATATCCTTGATGAACATTGATGCAAAAGTCCTCAATAAAATACTGGCAAGCCGAATCCAGCAACACATCAAAAAGCTTATCTACCACGATCAAGAGAGCTTCATCCTTGGGATGCAAGGCTGGTTCAACATACGAAAATCAATAAACGTAATCCAGCATATAAACAGAACCAAAGACAAAAGATTATCTCAATAGATGCAGAAAAGGCCTTTGACAAAATTCAACAACACTTCATGCTAAAAAATCTCAATAAATTAGGTATTGATGGGATGTATCTCAAAATAATAAGAGCTATCTATGACAAACCCACAGCCAATATCATAGTGAATGGACAAAAATGTGAAGCATTCCCTTTGGAAACTGGCATGACATGCCCTCTCTCACCACTCCTATTCAACATAGTGTTGGAAGTTCTGGCCAGGGCAATCAGGCAGGAGAAGGGAATAAAGGACATTCAACTAGGAAAAGAGGAAATCAAATTGTCCCTGTTTGCAGATGACATGATTGTATATCTAGAAAACCCCATCATCTCAGCCCAAAATCTCCTTAAGCTGATAAGCAACTTCAGCAAAGTCTCAGGATACAAAATCAATGTACAAAAATCACAAGCATTCTTATACACTAATAACAGACAAACAGAGAGCCAAATCATGAGGGAACTCCCATTCACAATTGCTTCAAAGAGAATAAAATACCTAGGAATCCAACTTACAAGGGATGTGAAGGACCTCTTCAAGGAGAACTACAAACCACTGCTCAATGAAATAAAAGAGGATACAAACAAATGGAAGAACATTCCATGCTCATGGGTAGGAAGAATCAATATCGTGAAAATGGCCATACTGCCCAAGCTAATTTATAGATTCAATGCCATCCCCATCAAGTTACCAATGACTTTGTTCACAGAATTGGAAAAAACTACTTTAAAGTTCATATGGAACCAAAAAAGAGCCCGCATTGTCAAGTCAATCCTAAGCCAAAAGAACAAAGCTGGAGACATCACGCTACCTGACTTCAAACTATACTACAAGGCTACAGAAATCAAAACAGCATGGTACTGGTACCAAAACAGAGATATAGACAAATGGAAGAGAACAGAGCCCTCAGAAATAATGCCACATATCTACAACTATCTGATCTTTGACAAACCTCACAAAAAGAAGAAATGGGGAAAGGATTCCCTATTTAATAAATGGTGCTGAGAAAACTGGCTAGCCATATGTAGAAAGCTGAAACTGGATCCCTTCCTTACACTTTATACAAAAATTAATTCGAGATGGATTAAAGACTTACATGTCAGACCTGAAACCATAAAAACCCTAGAAGAAAACCTAGGCAATAGCATTCAGGACATAGGCATGGGCAAGGACTTCATGTCTAAAACACCAAAAGCAATGGCAACAAAAGCCAAAATTGACAAATGGGATCTAATTAAACCAAAGAGTTTCTGCACAGCAAAAGAAACTACCATCAGAGTGAACAGACAACCTACAAGCGTTCTCAACCTACTCATCTGACAAAGGGCTAATATCCAGAATCTACAATGAACTCAAACAAATTTACAAGAAAAAAACAAACAACCCCATCAAAAAGTAGGCAAAGGACATGAACAGACACTTCTCAAAAGAAGATATTTATGTAGCCAAAAAACACATGAAAAAATGCTCACCATCACTGGCCATCAGAGAAATGCAAAGCAAAACCACAATGAGATACCATCTCACACCAGTTAGAATGGCGATCATTAAAAAGTCAGGAAACAACAGGTGCTGGAGAGGATGTGGAGAAATAGGAACACTTTTACACTGTTGGTGGGACTGTCAACTAGTTCAACCATTGTGGAAGTCAGTGTGGCGATTCCTCAGGGATCTAGAACGAGAAATACCATTTGACCCAGCCATCCCATTACTGGGTATATACCTAAAGGATTATAAATCCTGCTGCTATAAAGACACATGCACACGTATGTTTATTGGGGCACTATTCACAATAGCAAAGACTTGGAACCAACCCAAATGTCCAACAATCATAGAGTGGATTAAGAAAATGTGGCACATATACACATGGAATACTATGCAGCCATAAAAAATGATGAGTTCTTGTCCTTTGCAGGGACATGGATGAAGCTGGAAACCATCATTCTCAGCAAACTATCACAAGGACAAAAAACCAAACACCACATGTTCTCACTCATAGGTGGGAATTGAACAATGAGAACACATGGACACAGGAAGGGGAACATCACACACCAGGGACTGTTGTGGGGTGGAGGGAGGGGGGTGGGACAGCATTAGGAGATATACCTAATGTAAATGAAGAGTTAATGGGTGCAGCACACCAGCATGGCACATGTATACATATGTAACAAACCTGCACGTTGTGCACATGTACCCTAAAACTTAAAGTATAATAGTAATAATAAAAAAAGAGGTGCTTTTCTCCTAAGTCAACATTTTAGAGGAAAAGAGTCAATTCAAGCAATTATCACATATGTGTAACTGAAGCACATATGTGTAACTTTTCAAGAGTGATTAGATGGTCTGTTGTCTTTGAAGTGATAGTCAAATATCAGGTGTGTTCTAGGGAGGTTGTGTAAGACTTTTGCTTGTATTCTCCAAATGATTGCAGGGTGATGTATTAGAACAATGGTCTCATCGGAGGACTGAATGGGATTCTGGTGGTGTTTCTCCAGAATGAGAAGCATGAGAGAATGGTGTGTTATGGGGGTGCTGCCATGTTCCCCATCCACACACCTTTCTTGCACATTCCACTTTCACACACATACACACACCCCAAGAATAGTGCTTACATTGTGAAAGTCTAGTTTAGTAAGAAAAACTGAAAGTAAGAACATTAGTTTTTATAGTTGTCCTTTTTAGAATGGCAAGATTTTTTAAACCTTTATATTTTGAGAATGCAAATCAGATACTTTTTCCTTGTAGTACTACGAATTAGCTCATTAGATAAGTTGGCCAATTTACTTTGTGTGGTACAGACATCTTTTTTTCTTGCCAATTTGGAGGCTCTAATGATCTAATTTGATAACTTGGAAAGATGTGAAGGATATCATCTAAGTAACTTATTTATGCTAATAAAGGCTTTCTACTTTACATTTCACCTAAAATTTAAAGGTTTTATACTTGTGTTTTGATAGACTAGTGTCATTTATTTCAGACTTCTTATTTATGGAAATTGCTATGTTGTAGATTTCTATTCTTAGAGTTGGAAATACAGATTGGCAAGTCATAAAAATAGCAAAGCATTTTTTTCAGAAAGTACCATGAATATAGTAATTGGTCTCTAAAAAGATAAGGTTATAATTATGGCTTTTCCAAGAAATGAGAACCTGAAGATTTTACAATGAGATCATTTCTACTCATATCTGGCAGGCTTCATTTTTACAAATTTTATTTTAATGTACATATGGATTATTTCATTCTAGGTTATTTTATTTCTACTGTCTAGGGAACTATAGCCTTTCTATATAGTCACTTTCTGTGAAAGTGACTGTATAATATCCTGATAAATTTAATATACTCTTTATATTATGGTGTTAGCCAAGCAGAAAAGCACATAAATAACTGAAACATCTTCTCTTTAAAAGGAGACATTGTGTTATAATTAGATCATTAACTGGAGCGAATTGGTCACATTTATAGGAGGAAAAAAATAATAATGTATTTTTTGGTCATGAATCCATGTCTTGTATCTAGGCAAAAAAATTGAGCTTCATAACATTTTTCTGACCATATCAGTGAGAAATTTGGTTCTTCTGCTTATTTTGTACTCTAATTTAGTTCCAATGAATTAATTTTCAATTTTAGCAATTAATTGTTCCATTTGATTAGAATCTTTTCTCATCTCTCTTCACCCTCCTCTCATTCAGTTTGAACCAATGGTATTGGCTTTCTAAGTATTTATCTTTTACTTATGATTCAGAGTTTAGTACTTGATTTTTCAGCTTATTATATTCTCTGATGCCCATCTTCGAGATAATCAATGAAGTGTTTCTTCTTTTCCTCTCCCCACTCCATTTTTCCAATTTTTGATTTTTTTATTTCTACATTATCAGATCATACAGCATTTATCCCTAATCCAGTATTTGTCTTTTGTTGTGTAACAAATTACCCTCAAAACTTAATAGTTTAAAACTACAAGTATTTATTATCTCACACAGTTTCTAAGGATGGAGAGTCCACAAATAGTTTAGCTGGATGGTTCAAGCTTAGGGTCTCTCATGAGGTAGCAATCAAGATGTTGACTGGGGTAGCAGTCATCTGACAGCTAAATTGGAGCTGGTAGAGCCATTTCTAAGATCTTTCTATGGATGCCTCATTTCCTTGATGGTGATTGGCAGTAGGTCTCAGTTCTTCATCATATGGGTATTTCTATAAGGCTGCTTGAGCATCCTCTTGGCGTGGCAGCTGGGTTCCCCCAGAGTCAGTGACCCAAGACAAAGAAAAAAAGCTACAGTGCCTTTTATGACCTTGTCTCTGGAGTTACATACCATTGCTTTTGCTTTTTTTGTGTTCATTAGAAGCAAATTACTATGTCCAGCTCAGGCTGAGGGGAAAGGAATTAGGCTATACCTCTTGAAGGGAGCAGTATCAAAAATTTTTGGACATATTTAGAAAAAACACTGGTAATCCCTTTATCACAAATATTTATTCCATATGCAAAATACATCCTCCCCTCTCAGGGATATTACATGTTTTATACCATTATAACATCAACCTGAAGTTCAGCATCTGTCGTCTAAATTCAGGTGCATTTGAGGTTCCTTGGGCATGGTTTTATTAGTACAGCTTCTCAAGCATAGCTTCCCTAGACCTGAAAACCTGTGAACTAAAGAGATAAGTTATCTTCCAACTAATATGCCAATCATACTATAGCAGGACAGGTATAAGACAACCTCTAAGCAATCCCTGTTAAAGGAGAGAGGGGATTGGACAGGCAAGGAGTCATTCATCTATAGCAATTCTGCAAATTCAGCCAGGCAAACATTGAAATTCCTTGATCAGAGCTCAGTTCTACTCCCGCCTAGGAATCATTCTCCATGGCTCTTGGCTACACCCTCTGGGCTCATGGTTTCACCCTCTGAGTCATCCTCCTTTTTCAAGAATAGGCCCAGGCGTGGTGGCTCATGCCTGTAATCCAGCACTTTGGGAGGCCGAGGAGGGCAGATCATGAGGTCAGGAGTTCGAGACCTGGCCAACATGGTGAAACCCCGTATCTACTAAAAATACAAAAAAATTAGCCAGGCGTGGTGGCGGGTGCCTGTAATCCAGCTACTCAGGAGGCTGAGGCAGGAGAATCACTTGAAACCAGAAGGCGGAGGTTGCAGTGACCCGAGATCATGCCACTGCACTCCAGCCTGGGTAAAAGAGTGAAACTCCATTTTTAAAAAAAAGTAAGCCATGTTTGCAGCTGCATAGTTTCTCATCCAGTTTCATGCCAGAATTTTGGGGAATTCAACATCTCTTTTACTATATATTATCTCTGTCCCTTTCAGTCTAAGCTGGAAGATTTCTGAAAACATAGTTTTATTAAAAACTCTTGAGTTTTCTGTGAATTTCATGAGGGTTTACTCCATTAGATAAAAGATATTCTCATGAATCTCCTCAGGATAGGCCTTCCCCTTCTCTTTTAAGCTTCTGCTCAGGTGGCTGAGAGATAAAGCCTTTAAACTTAGAAATACTACCATTGGGAGATATGCCTCAGTGAAGCATGTCATTAAGCTCTTTATAAGGCCTTTTCATTGAATGGTCCTCTTATGCACCACCATAGACCTCTCTGAGGTCTTCAGAAATAATTCGAATAAGGGTGGAAGCCACACCTGGTGCTTCAAATTTGGACCAAGATTTTCTTGCACCGTAGTTTGTTTCATCTTTGCTTGGAAACCACTTCTTAATCCAGTCTATCGTTGTTGGACACTTGGGTTGGTTCCAAGTCTTTGCTATTGTGAATAGTGCCCCAATAAACATACGTGTGCATGTGTCTTTATAGCAGCATGATTTATAGTCCTTTGGGTATATACCCAGTAATGGGATGGCTGGGTCAAATGGTATTTCTAGTTCTAGATCCCTGAGGAATCACCACACTGACTTCCACAATGGTTGAACTAGTTTACAGTCCCACCAACAGTGTAAAAGTGTTCCTATTTCTCCACATCCTCTCCAGCACCTGTTGTTTCCTGACTTTTTAATGATTGCCATTCTAACTGGTGTGAGATGGTATCTCACTGTGGTTTTGATTTGCATTTCTCTCATGGCCAGTGATGATGAGCATTTTTTCATGTGTCTTTTGGCTGCATAAATATCTTCTTTTGAGAAGTGTCTGTTCATATACTTTGCCCATTTTTTGATGGGGTTGTTCTTTTCTTGTAAACTTGTTTGAATTCTTTGTAGATTCTGGATATTAGCCCTTTGTCAGATGAGTAGATTGCAAAAATTTTCTCCCATTCTGTAGGTTGCCTGTTCACTCTGATGGTAGTTTATTTTGCTGTGCAGAAGCTCTTCAGTTTAATGAGATCCCATTGGTCAATTTTGGCTTTTGTTGCCATTGCTTTTGGTGTTTTAGACATGAAGTCCTTGCCCATTGCTATGTCCTGAATGGTATTGCCTAGGTTTTCTTCTAGGTTTTTATGGTTTTAGGTCTAACATTTAAGTCTTTCATGCATCTTGAATTAATTTTTGTATAAGGTGTAAGGAAGGGATCCAGTTTCCGCTTTCTACATATAGTCTACTGACAGCACTAGACAAGTCATCAGACAGAAAGTCAACAAAGAAACAATGGATTTAAACTATACCCTAGAACAAATGGACTTAACAGATATTTACAGAACATTCTACCCAACAAGTGCAGAATATACATTCTATTCATTAGTGCATGAACCTTTCTTCAAGATAGACCATATGATAGACCACAAAACAAGTCTCAATAAATTTAAGAAAATTGAAATTATATCAAGTACTCTCTCAAATGACAGTGAAATAAAAGCAGAAATTAACTCCAAAAAGAATCTTTAAAACCAAGCAAATACATGGAAATTAAATAACCTGCTCCTGAATGATCATTAGCTTAACAATGAAATCAAGACGGAAATTAAAACATTCTTGAACTGAATGATAACAATGACACAACCTAACAAAATCTCTGGGATACAGCAAAGGTGGTGACAGGAGGAAAGTTCACAGCCCTAAAGTCCTACATCAAAAAGCCTGAAAGAGCACAAGTAGACATCTAAGGTCACACCTCAAGGAACTAGAGAAACAAGAACAGAACAAACCCGAACCCAGCAAAAGAAAGGAAATAACTAAGATCAGAGCAGAACTAAATGAAATTGAAACAAAAAATACAAACAATAAATGAAACAAAAAGCTGATTCTCTGCAAAGATAAATAAAACTGATAGACCATTAGCAAGATTAACCAAGAAAAGAAGAAAATCCAAATAAGCTCAATTAGAAACAAAATGGGAGATATTTCAACTGACATTACAGAAATACAAAAGATCATTCAAGTCTACTATGAACACATTTATGCACATAAACTAGAAAACCTAGAGGAGATGGAAAATTCCTGGAAATATACAACCCTCCCAACTTAAATCAGGAAGAATTAGATACTCTGAACAGAACAATAACAAGCAATGAGATTGAAGTAATAATTTTTAAAATTACCAACAAAAAATGTCCAAGGCCACATGGATTCGTAGCTGAATTCTACCAGACGTTTAAAGAATAATTGGTGCCAATCTTACTGACACTATTCCACAAGATAGAGAAAGAGGGAATCCTCCCTAAATCACTCTATGAAGTATCACCCTAATACCAACACCAGGAAAGCATATAACCAAAAAGAAAACTACAGACCAATATCCCTGATGAACATAGATGTAAAAATCCTTAACAAAATACTAGGTAAACAAATCCAACAACATATCAAAAAGATAATCCACCAGGATCAAATGGGTTACATACCATGGATGCAGGGATGGTTTAACATATGCAACTCAATAAATGTGATACACCACATGAACAGAATTAAAAACAAAAATCACATGATCATCTCAATAGATGCAGAAAAAGCATTTGACAAAATGTAGCATCCCTTGATGATTAAAACTCTCAGCAAAATCAGCATACAAGGGGCATAACTCAATGTAATAAAAGCCATCTATGACAAACCCACAGCCAACATAATGCTGAATAGGGAAAAGTTGAAAGCATTCCCTCTGAGAACTGGAACAAGACCAGAATGCCCACTCTCACCACTTCTATTCAACATAGTACTGGAAGTTCTAACCAGAACAACCAGACAAGAGAAAGAAATAAAGAACATTCAAACTGGTAAAGAGGAATTTAAACTATTGCTGTTTGCTGATGACAAAACTGTATACCTAGAAAACCCTAATGACTCCTCCAAAATGGTCCTTTAACTGATCAATGAATTCAGCAAAGTTTCAGGATGTAAAATTAATATACACAAATCAGTAGCTCTGCTATACACCAACAGCAACTAAGCTGAGAATCAAATCAAGAACTCAACCACTTTTACAATAGCTGCAAAAACAAAAAAACAAAAAAACAAAACTTGAACATATACCTAACCAAGGAGGTAAAAGACCTCTACAAGGAAAACTACAAAACACTGCTGAAAGAAATCATAGATGATAAAAACAAATGGAAACACACCCCGTGCTCATGGATGGATAGAATCAATATTGTGAAAATGACCATACTGCCAAAAGCAATCTACAAATTCAATGCAATCCCTACCAAAATACCACCATAATTCTTAAGAGAACTAGAAAAAAACAATCCTAAAATTCATATGGAACCCAAAAAGAGCCCACATAGTCAAAGCAAGACTAAGCAAGAAGAACAAATCTGGAGGCATCACATTACCTCATTTCGAACTAAACTATAAGGCCATCATCACCAAAACAGCATGCTACTGGTATGAAAATAGGCACATAGACCAATGGAACGGAATAGAGAAATCAGAAATAAACCCAAATACTTATAGCCAACTAATCTTTGACAAAGCAAAACAAAGCATGAAGTGGGGAAAGGACACCCTATTCAACAACTGTGTTGGGACAATTGGCTAGCCACATGTAGGAGAATGAAACTGGATCCTCATCTCTCACCTTATACAAAAATCAACTCATGATGGATCAAAGACTTGAATCTAAGATCTGAAACTATAAAAATTCTAGAAGACAACTTTGGAAACACCCTTCTAGACATTGGCTTGGCAAGGATTTCATGATCAAGAACTCAAAAGCAAATAAAATAAAAACAAAGATAAATAGCAGGGACGTAATTAAACTAAAGAGCTTTTGCGCAGCAAAAGGAACAGTCAGCAGAGTAAACAGACAACCCATAGAGTGGGAGAAAATCTTCACAATCTGCATGTATGACAAAGGACTAATATCCAGAATCTACAATGAACTCAAACAAATTAGCAAGAAAAAAAACAAACAATGCCATCAAAACTTGGGCTAAGGATATGAATAGACAATTATCAAAATAAGATATACAAATGGCCAACAAACATATGAAAAAATGCTCACTATTGCTAATGATCAGGAAAATGCAAATCAAAACCACAATGCAATACCACCTTACTCCAAGAATGGTCATAATCAAAAAATAAAAAAAAATAGATGTTGTCATGGATGTGGTGAAAAGGGAACACTTCTACACTGCTGGTGGGAACGTAAACTAGTACAACCACTGTGGAAAACAGTGCAGAGATTCCTTAAAGAACTAAAAGTAGAACTACCATTTGATCCAGCAATCCCACTACTGGGTATCTCCCCAGGGGAACAGAAATCATTATACAAAAAAGATACCTGCACATGCTTGTTTATAGCAGCACAATTCACAATTGCAAAAATGTGGAACCAACCCAAATGTCCATCAATCAACGAGCAGATAAATAAACTGTGGTGTATATATGATGGAATAATACTCATCCATAAAACGGAATGAATTCATGGCATTCACAGCAACCTGGATGAGACTGGAGACTGTTACTCTAAGTGAAGTAACTTATGAATGGAAAACCAAACAGCGTATGTTCTCACTCATAAGTGGGAGCTAAGCTATGGGGATACAAAGGCATAAGAATGACACAATGGACTTTGGGGACTCAGGAGGAAAGAGTGGGAAGGGGGTAAGGTATAAAAGACTATAAATAGGGTTCAGTGTATACTGCTCGGGTGATGGGTGCACCAAAATCTCACAAATCACCATGAAAGAACTTACTCATGTAACCAAATACCACCTGTTCCCCAAAAACTATGGAAATAAAAAATTTTTAAAAAATCTCATTTGTCAGGAAGAAAAAAAGAACAAGTGTTGTGGACTTAATGTTTGTGTCCCTCCAAAATTCATTATGTTTTATTCCTTGCCCACAGTGTAATGGTATTAGTAAATGGGGCCTTTGGGAGGTAATTAGGTCATGACGCTGAGGCTCTCATGAATGAAATTAGTGCTTTTATAAAAGGAATCCCAGAGAGCTTTCCCTTTCCGCCTATGTGAAGATGCAATGGGGAGTTTGCAGTCTGCAATCTGGAAGAGGGCTGTCACCAGAACCAGACCTTACTGGTATATTAATCACTCCAGAACTGTGAGAAACAAATTTCTGTTGTTATGAATAACACAGCCTATGGTGATGATGTTTCTCAGGGCAAGTAGCTCAAACTGACTAAAATAGCCAGTGAACTGAAAAAGGGGAATGCCAGGCTTTTTTTTTTTAATGACCTAGTCTTCAAGTCACACACCACCACTTCTGCTTTTTGTTTTTTCCATTTGGAAGGAGTCACTAAGTCCAGCCCACACAAACTGGAGGCCTCTTGGAGGAGCATATCAAATAATTTGTGGACATAGTTTAACACCACCAATCTGGAATTTTGTTTTAGTCTTAAATCTATAGTTAAATAAATTCATTCCTCATCATTAGTCCTATTTATGAAGTTTTCCCAACCATTTACTAGTTAAATCAAGATTTTCTCTAATAAATTCTTCAAGAGCTTAGGGACATAATATTTCCTGAGTTCTGCATTTTGCCATTTCTTTTTATACTGAAGGTCAGCTGGACTAGATTAGAATTTCTAACCTAATTCTAATTCTAATCTAATCTAGATTAGAATCTCACATTCATTGCCATTGGTATCTTGTAGCTGTTGCTTGAGTTTCTTCTAGACTTTAATGTTTAGGCAGAGAAAAGTATGGCAATCTAATTTTCTTTTCTTTTTAAGTAACTTTTTTTCTGCCTAGACACCCAAAGCATTTTTTTAAGTTTAATAATTTTATCAGGATATGCTTGAGTTAACATTTTTGTCATCTTACCAGATATGTAGTATCTGCTTGCAATATATATGCAGGTCTTTTTTATTTCTTAAGTTTTCATTTCTTGAAAGCTTCTTGAATTTTGAATTATAATTTTACACATGTTTTATGCTTAATTATTTTAGTTCTCTTCTTCAGGGGAAACATATATATTTATATGGAAAAATATATATACTTCAGGGGAAAAATATATGTATATATACATATATTATCATATAAATACATATGTAATTGTTATTGATTGAATTGCACTGCCCTAAAAGAGATAGGTTGAAGTCATAACCCCCAAGTACCTCAGAATATTACTTTATTTGGAAATAGGGTCATTACAGAGGAAACTAGTTAAAATGAAGTTATATTGTAGTAGAGTGGACCCCTCATTGAGTATGAACGGCATCCTTATAAGAAGTCAGCCATGTGAAGAAACAAACACACAGAGAGAATGCCATGTGACAACAAAGTTAGAGATTGGAGTCCTGAAGCTGCAAGCCAAAGATACCAAAGATTGCCAGCAAACCACCAGACTCTGGGAAGAGGCAAGGAAGGATTGATTTCCCTGCAGGTTTCAGAGGGAGCATGGCCTCGCTGACACCTTGATTTTGGACTTTAGCCTCCTGAACTGTGAGACAATTAAGTTTCTATTGTTTAAAGCCACTCAGTTTGTAGTACATTGTTATGGTAGCTCTAAGAAATGAATACGATTATCTTTTTTGATTGACTTTTTTATATCATTTTGGGTGACCCCGTTTATGTCTGTTTCATTTCCTCTTCTCAAGGATTTTTTTTCAGTTGCTCTGTGAAGAATAGTTTCTTTAATATATGATGCTTTTTTATGGTCAGGCTACCTTTGATTTTCAGAATCTATCTTGTTTCAGCTGAATCATACTATAAACTACCTCCTTTCTTCTCTATCCTGTACTAGTAGTTGCTGTCTCTAAACAGTACAACCTCAACCTTCTAAGGTGACTCTCTTTCACCCACAGATTCACTTTCTGGGACCCTTCATTGTAATTCCCCTTTGTTGGTGTTATGACCCATCAGGCATAATATCTACTCTCAGAAGTTTCTTTCCAGGTGGAGCTCTGTTTTTTGGGTAACTCACCCTTATTGGTCCTGCCTTCCACCTCTGCAAAGACTCCCTACACCCTCTTGTGCATCTCCTGCTGAACTCTCCAAACTGCTCTGGTCTGGTGTCAGGGTATTATCCCCCTTTGTATATAAAAATTAAAGCTTGTTGGAATTTCCTCCTAGTAACACTGTGAGTAGTGGTTATGAATGCTGTTACTTGTGAAGCTATAATGTGGGATCTATATTATGCAGAAAGTTAGGGTGAAGCTAAAACACTAGATCACCTAATTTAAAGGTTGTGTACACTCACTTGTTTGGAGCATACCAAATGACTGCTGTGGTTGCTTGAACATTTTATAAAGTAAATAGAATCTTTGCTTCAGTTTTATCAACTCACAGGTTTTGGATGTCATAGTGGAACTTATATTACCTGCACAAGATGGAGGTAGGTATGGATTATAATAAGGGTTCATATTCAACAGAAGCCAAGATGCTCAACTTCTCCAACCCCCATTTTTCTTATTTATAAAATGGTTCTAGTATTAGTCATCTTGCATTATTCTTCTCAGTTCTACAATTGATAATTAATGTAAGCATAATATTTTTAGCATAGAGCATAGTATGTCATGGGCATTAAAAAATTGATAGTAGTTATTATTAAAAATAATATAACATTAATATTAGTATACTCAGTGAACCAATTAAATACGAGCTAATTTGGCCTGTTAGTCATTTTAATATATGAAACTGATTTAAATCATAAAGCCCTTCTGAAGCTCTGGAGCACATCAACCTGTCAAAGGAAACTGAGAAGGTGATTAAAAAAGCATTGGTTAGAAAAAGATAAGTTGTAAATTCATTTTCTCACTCAGCTCAGAGTGGCACATGCTGATACATTTTATACATGACAGTCTTGATTCTTATGAAGACTTGGAATAAAATGAAAATAATTGAATTAGAAACTGCATCATTCACTTCAGGGAATATTACAACAGGTCCTGCTGTGGATGCAAGTGCATTTAAAGAGAATATATACCCAGGTACATTGTTCAAATTCCACTTGGAAAATAATATTATATCCTCGGGAATTCAATGCTCATAGATAGCACCGATGGTGTAGCAACTGAACATTTTTCTTCTGCTGTAAACAGAGACAAGTTGAGTAGCCATCTGAATTATGTGAGTATTCTGGTGTTATCATAGTTGTTTCAACTATAATTTAAGGTAGTATTTTATAAACCTGCCTGGCCATTAGAACTACCTGGTAAACTTTTCAGACAAATTTGCTTCTGAGTGCCCCCACACCTGCCGAAACATCATCTATTTGTTATAAGTTTCCTCAGGTGGTTGGAAGAATCATAATTAGGGATGTTTCAGCTTACTCTGTATTTCCTGGGATTTGGGTTATGAGGCCAAACAAGTAGATTATGAGGTTGGGGGTGTAGAACAACAACATAGGTCCTTGCTTTTCAAAGTGTGAGTCCATGGGTCTGCAGCATCAGCTTCGCCCGGGAGCTCATGCTGAGCTGATACCTTTCCTCAGACGTGCTGTATAAAACATGAATTTTAATGTGATTCCTGTGCTTCGTATGCATACCAAGGTTTAAACTGCATCAACATAGACCTGTTACAGAACACATTTTGACTTTATCAAAAATTGAACATAAAAACTTCATGGACCAAATAAAGAGTGAAGATGTAAAATCAAAGGGGGAAAATATTGATGGGTTCATGTAGAAACTCCCAAGAGTACAGCAGTTGCTTTATATATAATACAAAATTGTTATTGTACTTACAAATATAAAAATCTATTTCATTCGTTAGTCTGAAACCAGAAATGAGTTCATCCACTACCATTCATTATTGCTATGTTGCTTATTAAGCTTTGTAGTTGGAAACTGGTGGTCTAAGTTTGACTTGTAATTTATCCTTCTCTGATTGACAGGTGAAATTTGTAATAGAGGCAGCTAGCAAAGAAAAAACTAAAAATGAACGTCTTTTCCTGCTTTTTTTTTTTTTGAGAAAAAAACATTTACAAAGTGGTTGACAGAAATTTATTAATTTCTCCTAGGCTTTCCTAATTAGCTCCGCCAGACTATCATCACTGCGACCTTTGTGATTCTCTCTTAAACCTGAGTTATATCACATCTAGATCTGTGTTTTAGAATCACTTATTTTTTTTTGTTGTTCATATTTTAATTCCTGGAGGGCAATTTGTAGTTTCTGTTTCTTGTAGTTCCCAATGCCTCCATTGTCTCTGTCTCTACCATCAAATAACTAGGGCGATCACATATCCTGATTTAATTGGAACAATCCAATATGTCTGTTGTCTCAGAGTAATTATAAATAGTGTTTCCTTTAACTTTAAAAAGTGTTCTGGTTAGAACTATAAGTCATATGGACTCCCATCTGTATTGAAGATGAAACAGAGCTGTGGCTAATTTGTTTAAGAAGACCCTTTTCTTCAGGGAGTCTTAATAGCTGTTGCCAGAGGAGACTTCCAACTACTCTGCATCCTCCTAGCATATCCCTCCTCCCTTTTCTTCTCTTTGCTATAGCTGTCTTTGATAATGTGAAAAAGCAAATATTCAAATGATGAGAAATGATTCTTTGGCAATTTCTAGTTTACTAGATATGATTCTAGTTTACTACGTATGACTGTATTGCAGTCATTTTATTTTATTTTATTTTCTCATGATGCTTTAACATTTTAAAAGTTTGCCAGTCTGTGTCCTTTAATTGGAGCATTTAGTCCATTTACATTTAAAGTTAATATTGTTATGTGTGAATTTGATCCTGTCATTATGATGTTAGCTGGTTATTTAAATTGACACCCTAACATCATAATTAAAAGAACTAGAAAAGCAAGAGCAAACACATTCAAAAGCTAGCAGAAGGCAAGAAATAACTAAAATCAGAGCAGAACTGAAGGAAATAGAGACACAGAAAACCCTTCAAAAAATTAATGAATCCAGGAGCTGGTTTTTTGAATGGATCAACAAAATTGATAGACCGCTAGCAAGACTAATAAAGAAGAAAAGAGAGAAGAATCAAATAGATGCAATAAAAAATGATAAAGGGGATGTCAGCACCGATCCCACAATAATACAAACTACCATCAGAGAATACTACAAACACCTCTACTCAAATAAACTAGAAAATCTAGAAGAAATGGATAAATTCCTCGACACATACACCCTCCCAAGACTAAACCAGGAAGAAGTTGAATCTCTGAATAGACCAATAACAGACTCTGAAATTGTGGCAATAATCAATAGCTTACCAACCAAAAAGAGTCCAGGACCAGATGGATTCACAGCCGAATTCTAACAGAGGTACAAGGAGGACCTGGTACCATTCCCTCTGAAACTATTCCAATCAATAGTAAAAGAGGGAATCCTCCCTAACTCATTTTATGAGGCCAGCATCATCCTGATACCAAAGCTGGGCAGAGACACAACCAAAAAAGAGAATTTTAGACCAATATCCTTGATGAACATTGATGCAAAAATCCTCAATAAAATACTGGCAAACCGAATCCAGCAGCACATCAAAAAGCTTATCCAACTTGATCAAGTGGGCTTCATCCCTGGGATGCAAGGCTGGTTCAATAAACGCAAATCAATAAATGTAATCCAGCATATAAACAGAACCGAAGACAAAAACCACATGATTATCTCAATAGATGCAGAAAAGGCCTTTGACAAAATTCAACAATGCTTCATGCTAAAAACTTTCAATAAATTAGGTATTGATGGGACGTATCTCAAAATCATAAGAGCTATCTATGACAAACCCACAGCCAATATCATACTGAATGGGCAAAAACTGGAAGCATTCCCTTTGAAAACTGGCACAAGACAGGGATGCCCTCTCTCACCACTCCTATTCAACATAGTGTTGCAAGTTCTGGCCAGGGCAATTAGGCAGGAGAAGGGAATAAAGGGTGTTCAATTAGGAAAAGAGGAAATCAAATCGTCCCTGTTTGCAGATGACATGATTGTATATCTAGAAAACCCCATTGTCTCAGCCCAAAATCTCCTTAAGCTGATAGGCAACTTCAGCAAAGTCTCAGGATACAAAATCAATGTACAAAAATCACAAGCATTCTTATACACCAATAACAGACAAACAGAGAGCCAAATCATGAGTGAACTCCCATTCACAATTGCTTCAAAGACAATAAAATACCTAGGAATACAACTTACAAGGGACGTGAAGGACCTCTTCAAGGAGAACTACAAACCACTGCTCAATGAAATAAAAGAGGATACAAACAAATGGAAGAACATTCCATGCTCATGGGTAGGAAGAATCAATATCATGAAAATGGCCATATTGCCCAAGGTAATTTATAGATTCAATGCCATCCCCATCAAGCTACCAATGACTTTCTTCACAGAATTGGAAAAAACTACTTTAAAGTTCACATGGAACCAAAAAAGAGCCCGCATCACCAAGTCAATCCTAAGCCAAAAGAACAAAGCTGGAGGCATCACGCTACCTGACTTCAAACTATACTACAAGGCTACAGTAACCAAAACAGCATGGTACTGGTACCAAAACAGAGATATAGATCAATGGAACAGAACAGAGCCCTCAGAAATAACGCCGCTTATCTACAACTATCTGATCTTTGACAAACCTGACAAAAACAAGCAATGGGGAAAGGATTCCCTATTTAATAAATGTCGCTGGGAAAACTGGCTAGCCATATTTAGAAAGCTGAAACTGGATCCCTTCCTTACACCTTATACAAAAATTAATTCAAGATGGATTAAAGACTTACATGTCAGACCTGAAACCATGAAAACCCTAGAAGAAAACCTAGGCATTATCATTCAGGACATAGGCATGGGCAAGGACTTCATGTCTAAAACACCAAAAGCAATGGCAACAAAAGCCAAAATTGACAAATGAGATCTAATTAAACTAAAGAGCTTCTGCACAGCAAAAGAAACTGCCATCAGAGTGAACAGGCAACATACAAAATGGGAGAAAATTTTCACAACCTACTCATCTGACAAAGGGCTAATATCCAGAATCTACAATGAACTCAAACAAATTTACAAGAAAAAAACAAACAAACCCATCAAAAAGTGGGCGAAGGACACGAACAGACACTTCTCAAAGGAAGACATTTATGCAGCCAAAAAACACATGAAAAAATGCTCACCATCACTATCCATGAGAGAAATGCAAATCAAAACCACAATGAGATACCATCTCACACCAGTTAGAATGGCAATCATTAAAAAGTCAGGAAACAACAGGTGCTGGAGAGGATGTGGAGAAATAGGAACACTTTTACACTGTTGGTGGGACTGTAAACTAGTTCAACCATTGTGGAAGTCAGTGTGGTGATTCCTCAGGGATCTAGAACTAGAAATACCATTTGACCCAGCCATCCCATTACTGGGTATATACCCAAAGGACTATAAATCATGCTGCTATAAAGACACATGCACACGTATGTTTATTGGGGCACTATTCACAATAGCAAAGACTTGGAACCAACCCAAATGCCCAACAATGATAGACTGGATTAAGAAAATGTGGCACATATACACCATGGAATACTATGCAGCCATAAAAAAGGATGAGTTCACGTCCTTTGTAGGGACATGGATGAAATTGGAAATCATCATTCTCAGTAAACTATCGCAAGAACAAAAAACCAAACACCGCATATTCTCACTCATAGGTGGGAATTGAACAATGAGAATGCATGGACACAGGAAGGGGAACATCACACTCTGGGGACTGTTGTGGGGTGGGTGGAGTGGGGAGGGACAGCTTTAGGAGATATACCTAATGCTAAATGACGAGTTAATGGGTGCAGCACACCAGCATGGTACATGTATACATAGGTTTTTCCAAATATAAGATTATATCATCTACATACAAGGATAATTTTACTTCTTCCTTTCCAATTTGGATGCATTTTATTTCATCCTCTTGTCTGATTGCTCTGGCTAGGGCTTTCAGTGCTATGTTTAATAACAGTGATGAAAGTGGGCATGCTTGCCATGTTCCAGATTAAGAGGAAAGCCTTTCAGTTTTTCTCCATTCAGTATGATACTAGCCTGTGGGTCTGTCATTTATGGCTTTCATTATGTTGAGGTATGTTCCTTCTATACCCAGTTTTTTGAGGGATTTTAAATCATGAAGTGATGTTGAATTTTTGAAATAATTTTTCATCATCAATTGAAATGAGCATATGGATTTTATCCTTCATTCTGTTGATATGATGTATCACACTGATTGATCTGCATATGTTGAACCATCCTTGCAGTCCTGGGAATAAATCCTTCTATTTGCACTTTAAGGATAAATTTCTATTCTATATAGGACCAACTGACTCCCCTAATATTTGGGAAGCTTGGAGCAAAAGAAAAATAGAGACTTACATGGCATACATCTAAATATTTAAAGTTATAAGTTAAGCCAATAAACACAAATAAAATGTGTCATACGCTTCTACATTTACAGTTCTTGGAAGCCTCAGAATGCCACCCAAAAATGTGGCAGTGTAGGAAAAGCCAGCCCCACATCAAAGTGCACTCAGCTCCTGTCCCTGGCTTTTCCTCCCTTCTTTGCACCTGTCTTTGTTCCACACCATGTGGATTCTCATGCCACAGATATGTCTATTCAAACCTACACATCTAAGCTCTGGCTACATCTCCCATTCTGCAACCAGCCACTCCAAAGCCACCTCTTGTGCCAAGAGATGTACTCATCATTCGTGCAGTTCTCATTTTGGACCATAAATCTTGCCTGAGACCAAACTCAAGGAAAAAGACTCATGCAGATTCTGCAAGTAAGTTGAACATTGTTTGAGAAAGGCATCCCTTCCCCATTTTCTGGGGCCCCGAATACCCAAAACATGGTCTCGATAAAAAGATGGTGCAAATGTTGCATAGGCATGTTCCACTGGACCCACAGACTCTCCATATAATGGAGAACATGATGGCAAATGGAGAACCAAAGCAGAGTAAGAACCCTTTTGTGTGAGTGTAAGGGTAATATTATAGATTAAAATAGTTTACTAATTTTCCAGAGAAACACTCTCATGGGTAACATCCTTAGATTTTTTTGTGTGTCCTTTTTATGTATCTTCCCCCAATCAAAGGACCAATGGCAAGTCCAAGACAAGAATATTTAAATTTTAAAAGTCAGGGATGTGGCCGGGCGCGGTGGCTCACGCCTGTAATCCCAGCACTTTGGGAGGCCGAGGCGGGCGGATCACGAGGTCAGGAGATCGAGACCATCCCGGCTAAAACGGTGAAACCCCGTCTCTACTAAAAATACAAAAAATTAGCCGGGCGTAGTGGCGGGCGCCTGTAGTCCCAGCTACTTGGGAGGCTGAGGCAGGAGAATGGCGTGAACCCGGGAGGCGGAGCTTGCAGTGAGCCGAGATCCCGCCACTGCACTCCAGCCTGGGCGACAGAGCGAGACTCCGTCTCAAAAAAAAAAAAAAAAAAAAAAAGTCAGGGATGTTGGACTCAGAGAAATAGATGGAAAATTGTTAGCAACATCCATATAATAAGACACAGACACCACTCTTTTCTAACAGTGTAATTTATTATATTAGAACTTGGAGGTCCCATCACTGTGCAGCTGCCCTTAAGGAGGTCTGCATGTCGATCCAAAGCATGCACTATGTTTGTTCAATTCTTTTTCACTTTGGATGCAATCTGTCCTACTAGAAAAAGTAACCATTTACACGAGTTCCTAGCCAGTACTCAACACTAGGAATCCAGATTACTTCAGAGGAATAAGCATTTGTTGATCTGGATAGTGGTACTACATAGGAGATTTTAAAAGTTGGAAAGAACAACCTATATAGGAAAGACTGGGCTGAACTGGGCAAGTGGAACTCTAACCCCTCATACTGCAGGAAGAGGCAGAAAGGGAGTTTCTCAGGATTTCCCTGATTTAACAGCCTGCTCAGTGGCTGTTATGTCCACAATTTGTGGGTGATCTGCACAGAAGTGGCACCAGACCTCATTGAAAAATGAAGTATGCCTATAATGCTTAGTGCTCCTCTCTGTCATGACCCTCTGGCTTCCTTCATTGCTTGCCCTCAGGTGGCTGGGACCCCCATTATAATTTCATCTGTCCACTTCCATAGCAGATTTAATCATCACCAGCACCTCAACGACAGATCTGGGGCAGTCTTGCTGTAGCAAAAGATTGCTAATTTCTGAAATCATTAAATGTAAGAAATGCAAAGAACTTTAGCTGGTATCTAACCCAAATCCTTCATTTTACAGATGGGCAAGATGAAGCCTAAAAATATAAGTGAAATATGCTGGATTACATAGCTTGGGACTTGAATCTAGGGAAGAGGAAAGGAAAAGAAACAGAACTAGGTAATTGTAAACTATTAATATTCAATGGGTACTCTGATGGTTAATTTTAGGTGTCTGCTTGACTGGACTAAGAGGGACACAGAAAGCTAGTACAACATTATTTCTAGGTATACCTGTGAGGATGTTTCCAGAAGAGATTGACATTTGAATCCGTGGACTGAGTAAGGAAGATCCACCCTCAATGCAGGCAGACACTATCCAATCTGAGGGCCCAGATAGAACAACAGGGCAGAGGAAATGGGAATTCACTTTCTCCAGGAGGTGGGACACAATTCTTCTCCTGCCCTTGGACATGAGAACTCCAGATTCTTCAGCCTTTGGAGACTCGGACTTGCAACAGTGCCCCCCGAGGTTCTCAGGTCTTCACTCTTGAACTGAGAGTTACACCAGTGGCTTCCCTAGTTCTGAAGCCTTAAGACTTGGACTGAGCCACCCTATCAGCCTCCCTGGTTCTCCAGCTTGCAGACAACCTACCGCAAGACTTCTTAGCCTCTATAATCATGTGAGCCAATTTCCCTAATAAATCTACTCTCATCTATCTATCTAATCTACCTATCTACCTATTATCTATCTATCTATCTATCTATTTATCTATCTAACATATTGGTTCTGAAGACTGATGTGAGAATTAAAAACTGAAACTGAGTCAAGTGCCTGGCACATTGTATACATCTGAAAATTTATTTTTAAGTTCCTGCTATGCTACTATCTACCTTAATGACTTTGGGGGATGTTTCTCAAAATCTTTTGTTGTATCTCAGTTTCATTATTTTGATGATGGAAGTGATAATAATGGCAAGGACCTCAAAGCAAGCTCTATGCTGGACCTAGTTATCATTAAAGGGCTAAGTTGCAGTGTCAGCTATGGACAAATCATAAAACACAAGGAGACTCGGGACATCTGTGACCTGTCAGGACTCGTGTCTCACATGCTAAACCCCCATGTCAAACTATGTCTTTATCAGGAATAAGGAGGGCATTGGGGTGCAGATTCCTTAAGCATTAGACATTTTCAATTTCCTTTTATCAGGTACCGTAATAAGAACATATCTGATACATATAACGTGCCAGGCACTTGACTCAGTTTCAGTTTTTAATTCTCACATCAGTTTTCTAAAATGAGTATTTCTTAACCCCTTTTATAGAAGAGTGAATAGAGGCTCAGATAAGCTAAGTGACTCCTAGATCACAGAGCAAGTGAGGGACAGAGACAGGATTCAAGTCCAAGTTCTTTCCACCACACCAAGCTGCTTCTTATATTTTATATACCTTTATGTACCCTACAATATAGGTGGTACAAAAGGTGGGCATCTGTTAACAACCTGTTCATTTTAAAATAGCCTGCAGCAAGGCAGAATGATCATGAAATGGAGAATTTGCTACTCTCTTTCCATTGTTAGTGCCGTGATAAAGCTGGTGGTCATCAGAGTAGTTCTGTTCAGTTCACAATAATATGAATAACAACTCACTGTTCTAGTTACAAAGCACTTTTATAATCCCAAACTCAAATGCCTGTGACGTCATTGCCATTATTATCATTTCCATCATCAAAATAATGAAACTGAGATACAACAAAAGATTTTGAGAAACATCTCCCAAAGCCATTAAGGTAGGTAGTAGCATAGTGGTAAAAACAAGTTTTCTGACTATACGCCTCAAGCTTTTGATGAATCTAAAGTTCTATAAAAATTTGAATGGCCTGTGAATACAGAGTAGTTTCTTACTAATGCAGTCAGTCAATATACATTTATTATTTGGAAAATGGCAGAGAATCACAACTCTTATCTAACTCAACTGTTTCTAAACATTCATAGAAATTTAATCTGTTAATAATTGAGTTCGGGATGGCTGGGGCACTTAGAAGAATAGACTATTTTAGTGTCACAGGTGAGACAAAGAACAGGCCGAGAAGCTCATGAATCGCTGCATTCCTCTGACTGATTACAGAAAAACAAGAAATTCAGTGCTGCTAAAATTGGGCTTCAGAATCATTTTCACAACAACCCATACATCATCCCTGAATTTCCTGAAAGAACATGTTTAGGTAATGATTGAAGTCAAGTATGATTCTTTCAAAGGTTTTTCCTTTAAGTAATTTTATTAGTAAAATTATGTTTAAAATATATATATAGTATGTATATACACTGTATGTATAGTACATAGTATAGTATATATATACATATACTATATATTTTGTCCCTATATATATACACACACACACCATATATATAGTGTGTGTATATTCTGATTCTCACCCATAATGTTTCTATAGATATATCATTTTGGCTTAGATGAAAGCAAGCAAGCAAGCAAAAAGATGAATCACTTCATCTAATTATCTCCTCCTTAAAATATAACTCTTTAAAGTGCTAATAAGTGCTTCTTAAATAAATAAATAAATAAATAAATAAATATAATGGGGGAATAATATTGAAGGAATTTGTTGTATTTATCTTATTAATGTGGAGTGGTAAAAATTATTTTAGTATACAATAATAGTGTAATAAACTTACAAGACTGGGTCTTTTTTAATACCGGAACTTGTATTTCCAAATGAGAGTTTGAAAATAGGGTAGAATATACATATACAAATGAAAAGTGAATGATGTTGTCAGCCCCCTGTACACATTTTTATAATGCTGCCATTGGTGAAGCTTTTTAACATCTTCTTCTAGAATTACTTTCAAAGTCAGTGGCATGTTCTTTTAAATGAATGGGATGGTGGCAAATGCCCATTCTTTTGGCAGTCTTTTATTTTTGGAACAATAAAATACTCATTTGTTTCCAAGTCTAGTAATTATTGGGAGTCTATGGAGTTATATTTAGAAGTCAGTACTTCACAGTCAAAGAAATCTTAACTTGAGAGTTAAGAAAATGATAAGTCTTAAGATAAAAGCAATTCTAGGCCTGACAGGTATGAATTTTCCCCGTTCAAGGTGTTTTCGGGTTTGTTTGTTTGGTGGGGTGAGAGTGGTGAAGTATGGAGGAGTGTGTGTATTAGCAGCACATTCTTTCCACAGCCTTCTATTCCAACAGCAAAAACTATTTCAACTACATAGATATTTCCTATCTTGATTTCTGTTTTCAGGATTATAGGTTAAAGCATACATATACTTCCCATTCACAATAATAAACTCAGAGAGGCACCAAATGAATTTTCTGAACCAAAGAGTTTTTCAGTTTACATTTCCTGAGTTCATGCACCTAAAAATGACACAAGTCTCTGGTAAATCTTTCTTAAGACAAGACCTGTAATATTTTTATGTAATTATGAATACCGTGGTAGCCTAAGCTGAGGAAAAAATAGCATCTTTAGTTATAATTTAATTTCATTTGGAATTAAATCACCTATTCATCATAATTAGTATTAGTTAGATTATGCTGTATGTTAGAGCCTTTATACATAGACAGAAACTTTTGGTGCGAAATGGTCCTAATGAATATAGAGCTTTCTTTTCATCTAAAAAAAAATAGTGATGTTATCCTGGCTTTTGGTTCTGTAAGAAAAGTTACTGGGCTCCAAAATAAGGTTCTTTGTTAATGTGAGGATCTTCATTCATTAAGAATAAATTACTATATTACTGACTCTCAGTCCAGGGTAAAACTACTTAGCCTCTCTGTTATTGGTTCATGTAATAATAGCTCTAGAATATGTTCTTTTCATTCAACAGCATCAACCAATGGACCAACCGTGAAGGTGAATAATCTGAGACATAATTCACAAGGATTTGAAACAAATAAAAATTTTAATGATAATAAAAATGAATGTAAATATATTAAAAAGCCAAATTTTAAAATAATACTTTCCCTGATTTTAATATACTTCCACCTGCTGAACAAATTTTTCTGCTTGATATTTCTTTAATCCAAATTCTATTGTATAAACCTAAGTTGAGTTTATAGTTCATCCAGGAGTCTTAATGGAGCAAAGAGGCAAAAAATATCACCAAATTGTTGTTGTTCTATGTCAGCAAAATGACTACCATTGCTATAGATTTGGGTTGCAGAGGGGAAATCTGGCTTATTGATTATTTAGCATTACTTCAACTAGTGTTGTGCTGTGGTAGTGTTACAGTAGGCAGACAGCTAGAGCTAGACATGACCAGGAGCAAGAGCCCCTGAGAAAAAGGAGGTCTGGATAATCTCACACCCCAGAAACCACCCGAAACATGCGTGCAGATATGAGCAAAGAGGAGGGAAAAAAACTATACAGGAAGCAGAGCTCCTTAAGATGCCCAGTAATCACTCATTCTACAGTTAAGGTGTCAGAATCTCACTAGGTATATGCTGATAAAGGGGAAGAGCTCAAAGGAGAAAATTTGTCAGAGATTCGCAGGCACAGTTTAGATTCGACCCGCTAAACAACCTTCCTGGGGGTGGCGGTAATGAGCAACGCAGCCATTAGACAAACTTGAGATCCAACACCGAGCGCACGTATGCGCACCAACTAATAGTAAGGGAGGGTCCTACAAGCCTGGCGTAGGAACTAGGAGGGGAAAAGTCAGGGATTTAAGACAGGAGCGGGAAAACTAGACAGAGAAAAAAGGCAGAGATTAAAGAAATAGGAGCTAACTTCAAGAAAAAAAACCAACAGCATCAAAACCCAAGTCTCGGGCTGCTGCTGGCTCACCCTCTTCCGGTAGCCCGTTCGGCCTTATCTTTCAGTGTACCGTCTATCTATAAACTCTCTGCTCTCGATTTCCCTTCAATAAAGCTCTCTGTTATCTGAATTGTCACTTGGCCGAAATCTTTCTCCCTGGACAACTAAGAACCGTGGATTCCCTTACTACCTGGTAACAGAGGCACTTTCACAAGCTACTACTACTAACAGCACATTATTCGCTATGTGCTATTGACAGCATATTATTCACTTTCACAAGCTACTAACAGCACGCTATTCACTATGTTCAAAATACTTCGTACGTATTAATACATTTAACACTCACAACACCCTGTAAGAAAGAACCACTCTTACTCTTCTTTTACAGATGAAGAAATAGAGGTACAGAGTGGTTAAGTAATAGACAAAAATTACATTTATGAAAAGACCAAAATGTTTCATTGAAAAGAAAATCCGTCAGACAAGGACAAAAATGAGCTTTGTTTGCAATAAACAAGACAGAGATACTGGAGATAAGCATTCCTTCAGCTGGATCGGGCTGCAGACCCTATGCTCCCTCTAAAATCTTGCAGTGGGTGAAAACAATATGTTTTTTCCAAGCAAGCAAACTTCAGTTTATACTGGGAGACTATACAAATGCACATTACATGGAATAAGAACTTGAATGCACAAATACATGTTAACGAACTATATTGTTTAGAGGTCAAAAGAATTAAGTATTTAACTGGAATTTTAATTAGAATTCTGGGGAAATAACCATTTTTACTGAAAAGAATTGAATAAATGTATTTATTGAAAACAAAGAAGGGAACTGTTCACCTTTTGATTAATTTACAACGCAGAACCAAAGTCTTGTGGGCTTTGAATATGCTCATTTATTAAAAGAATTGTTAAGTGCTTCTATTAGATTGCATGTCATTCATTACACTACGACTTTCAACAATTTACTCAATTTCCAATATTAAGAATAGTTCACTTATTGTGGATAAAACTGGGTTATGAGATTAGAATGTATTTATCAAGTCTTAAAATTAATCCAAGGTATTCAGTATTAAATGATAACTTGTATTACAAAACTACTTGGAGCAGTACTATGTTGAGCTTTATGGTTCTCTTCAATTAATGTTTAGATTTTTTCTTTAGAAATGGTAATGTTAGATTTTGTATAAATAATAGATGTCATAAACATCAACATTATTCATTTTTTATTGGTAGATTATTAACTGAAGATCTTTTTAACAAAATTTTAACTTTCAATAAGAATTCGAGAAAGAAGCAGCTCAACTAAAGCTGAAATATTTAGGGGCAGTTTCTTAGAGGACAGAGACGGTGAGGTGACAGAATAATGGGCAGTCATCAAGCAAGCATGGGTGAGAAGAGGGAGAAATTCAAGTAACAAAATCATAATTGAAAAACATCAAGGTAGTTGACGTACGTAGATGCAGTCTAAAAAGACTAACGTTTTCTATGACCAAGTATTTTCTGTAGTCTATCATTTGTCTAAAATTTTGAATTCAAACTGCGCTGGTAGCAAGAGCAATTGTATTGTCATATTAGTTTTTCAAATAAATTTTATTGCATATATTTGAGGGTTACAACACGATGTTATGTGATACGTATATGATTATATGTCTATGTATATGGTTACTATAGTGAAGCATCTCACACACTTTTTTGTGTGACAAGAGCAGCTAAAAATCTATTTATTGAACGAAACACTCTAATACAGTTCTATTAACTATAATCCTCATGTTGTATTGTTGCATTATTGATTAAGTTTTTCATTACATTTAGTCTGAGTAAACATCAGGCTGATAATTTTTATTGTATGTTTTGTGGTTAGTATTTTCATGTGTTATTCACATAAAACATGGTGAATCAAGGAAAACGATAGTGCTATTTTATTCTGCAATTTACTAACAGTTCTTTGTGCATTGTCTTTTGTTTGGAATCACACACTTAAGAATGAACTTCAAAAAAAGGAACATATATACTAAGAAAATCTATCAGAATGACAAAAGGACCCAGAACCATGTTACATATGGAGTACTTGAGAAAAATAGGGAATTGGGGCAAGAGAAAGAAAAAATTTGGGCTGTTATTTGGAAAAGCAAAGAAAAGGAAGCAATTGGGTGGAAATTAAAGATATAGATTTGGACTCAATTGAAAGAAAGAACTAACAAGAGCTGTTAGGATGAAATGTGATGCCCCAGAAGGCAGAGCATATTCCATCACTAGAGATGTTTAAGGAAAAATGAGACAAGCCTCTGTCTAGAAAACTCAGAGTGATTTATCTGGATGACTTCTAAAGTCTCTTCAGCTGCAAAAATCTGAGTCTTTCATCCACTCTGAAATTAGACTCTCCTATGAACGAGACTGGTCATGAGCGTCTTTTGCAAAAACAGTAAGGAAACATCATTCTTCTGATAAGGTATCAATATCTTTCAAAATTGATACCATGAATAGATTAATTATTTAAAATGTTGCTGTAACTCCCTAAATTTATGTTTTATTTAATTCTTGTTTGTTAAAATCTCAAAAACATTTCAATTCAAAGTTGTTGAATGCTTATTATTTTCCCATATTCATGAGTTCTTTAATAAAATGTTTCCAAACCTTAAAAGTTTTCCATCCTCTGATAAACAGCCCTAACATATTTCATATGTATGAGGTCCAGAGTGTATATTTAATCCCAAAAAAAGAAATGAGCTACTTTTGGGAAGTGCCAGTGTTCTTTCAGGCTGCCAGCAAAGCATTGATGAAGAGCATGAGGGTTAAGAACACCATCTTTGGCTTTGAACAGATGTGGATTCCCGTCAGGCTGTGCTGCTGACACAGCTCTGTGAACTTCTGCCAGACAGCCTGCCTGACCGAGCTTTGTTTCTTCATCTGTAAGACATAGATAATATCACTGCCTACTTTGTAATGTTATTGTATATTAAATACTATAATACACACAAAGCACCTATCATCCTTTCTAACTTACAGTAATCATTCAATACGTGTTAGCTGCTATTTTTACTGTTGCTATTACTATTAAAGGTTAAATCAAGAATATAAAATAATTTTTTTACATTTTACAAAGTCCGCAAAAATGTTATCTAGGAGTTCCTTGATATTCCAGTATTCACCTGGGTAGCAGTTCTGACAATTTGGAAAAAAAAAATCATCTTTTGCTTCGTCTTTATTTTCAATTTTATAACAACTTTTTGGTCTGTGTAATAAAGAGGCAAATTTTCAACATGAAAAACTTTCAAAATTTATACCATGAATAGAGTTACACCTGACATTATCATAATAAATTTCGAGAAACACATTGTGCTTAGTACCTATGTGTGACCTAAAAGTTATGCTTACTCTCAGCATGTTACGTAGTGTTTTGTAGTATTTGTCAAAGTATAATTGCCATACACCATGAATGTTAATTAAATTAACAAACATTAACAAGGTTATATTTTACTCAATTACTTTCTTAAGCAAAAAGCATTTGTCCAAATTTTCCCTCAGTTTCTAAAAATAGTATGCATAGCCACATGCTTACATTAATGAATTCATTTTCAGAAGTAGAACAGAAAAAGTTCAAAACTTACCTGTTTTCTCTGATTTTAGCAGAAATATTTTCCAAAGAACTATAAAAATTTCTAGAAATTAATTTGTCACAAATTGAATATATTAAAATTCTATATTAAGAGCCATCACATATATATATCACATATTATATAATGTATGTATTATATATGTGTGTATACATATATATGTCTTCCATCAGCATACCAGTTTGGTATCTACGCTTTCAGCCCTCCCTTTCTTCCTCCCCAATCTTAGCATACCATATAAAGAATTTGCCCCAGTTTGATTCAGCCACTTTCTAGAAAGGCTCATTTTATAAACACACATGTAGCCATTTTTCCCTCAAATTCAGTATATTTTATGAACAAAAGCTTCCTTCTAAAAAGGTGGGAACAGAGAAAGAGGAGATGTTTTACTCCACTAGGTAATAACATCCCTTTCCGACAAATTAATTAATTAGCCAATCCTAATATTATTGTAAATAGGTACATCAAACAATGTCATGGCTAATTTTTAGACACTAAAATGGAAGAAATGAAAAGGAAGAAGAGAAGAAAGAGAAGGAGAAAATGTAAAGGAGCAGAGGATGTATTCTATTCCATACAATAAATGAAAAGGAAAATTCAGATGATAACCCAAGGCTAATGACTTCTGACTTTGCATTTTATTTAATAGTTCATTCACTCTTAATGTAATATGAATATTTTGTACAGAAGTGGCTACAATTTCTAAGTCTTTGATTGAAACCAAAAGAAGGTCTAAATTGGCTCCTTAAACTTTATGCCATTAGTGTTATTTCTCAACTCAGTAACTGTATTTTCTAATTCAGTGAGTCATAGACGAATATATAAGAAATATTCATGAAAGACAAAGTACTCAGGCCAAAAAAAAGTGAGTAAAAACTCTAGTGAAATAGTTGTAAAAATCCTAAATGAATTCTGCATACTAAAAACATTTCAGATTGTCAAAGGAAGGAAGGAGGAAGGGAAGGAAGGAAGGAAGAAAGGAAGGCAGGCAAAGAAGAAAGAAAGAAAGGCTGGCTGACTAAGTGAATAGCATCATTGCTTTCAAGCAAAAATGTAACAAGTATTACAAGAAAATTAAAAACTATTCTTGCGAGTCTCAAGAAGGTTGGTTGGGGTTCAACAGATTGCGAAGAAACAAGGAACTCCAAAGCCTTGAAAGTGACAGTAGAGCACAGAGGTTGAGAGCCTGGACCTTGGAGGTACAAAAGCCTGAATGATATTGAGGGTCCACCACTTTCTAGCCACAAAAATTTATGTAAGTCCTCAGTATCTCTGATCCTTAGTTTCCTCTTCTGTAAAATAAGAATGATAGTACTTGCCTCATAGGATTGTGATAATGAATGAAAAATACTTAGTAGAGTATCAGGCTAAGTATCAATTATCAATAAATAAGGTCATTAAAACTAAGATCTCTTAAGCAAGATAGATGGCCATTTTACCTGCTTATTCAAGGATAACCAAAAGCAGTTCCTGCTTCCACAGAGCTTGACTCCGAGGATTCCGAAGGGGACTCCGTGTTCTGACAGTCCATAAAACAAAGCAGAGGAAAAGGCAACAGGTAGAGAAAAAATTGCCTGTAGCACAAAAATGCCTAGTTCCAGCTCTGCATTTTATTAGCATACTGACAGAAATTTAAAGTAACCTGGTAATGTAGTTCTTAAAATGGGATTTTTCTCACATAATTTCAACAATACCTTTCAACAGTCAAGTAAACATATACATTTGGAACCTAGTCTACCACAAAGAGCAGATCAGGAGGGAAAATAGTTTTTCTGTGGTGTCAATCCAAGAAGTCATTAAATTAGGCGATATTAGTAGTTCTTGAGAAGCGTCATGGACATAAAAATTATCATTTTAGAGACACTTACTTGAATAGTTTCATGCTGTTTTGTCAGAATCAGAAATTAAGTAATTTTTCCAGAAAACTGCAAAATAAAATAAATAAGCTCCCGTCATAGTTGATGATGTTGACTGAGGAAAGAGAGGTGCAGCTGTTGATTAGGCACATTGAAATTTAAGAACTTCGCAAAATATTTTATAAATAAATAAATGTCTCAGATGTATAAGATTGTTTTTTTCAAAAAGTCAATCTTTAGGCCAATCACTTCATCTTTCAGTTTTACTTTTTGGATTCTATCAAAACTTTAGCCTTACAAATATGGCCTCTAGTAAATATATTTTATTAAATAAACAATAATCTTATAAACTAAGTATTAGAAATATTAAATTGGTCATGGTAAAATGACAAAGAACTAAGTAACTCAGTCAGAGCCATGCAGGCCCTATGTTGTTAAGGGAAAGAATTAACCATCCTGGGTTTGAATGCTGAGGACACCTTTCATTACCTCTAATATCTAACACGTTAAGTTCTCTGAACTTATTTTTATTTGTTGAATGGGGATAAAAACAACTACTTGCAACGTTGCTGTGAGAATATGCAAAATGCATTCAAAGAGCTGGCACTTGTAGGCCCTCATTCATCATCAGACCTACAAAAGCACCTTGTATTTCCAAAGACTTTTTGCTGCTTAAAACAAGTTTGGAATTTATGGATTATTTACTGCCACAGGCGTTTTCCCACTGTCCAGGCTAAAGGAATCTCCTTCTTTGAAACAGATGCAGATTTGAAATAACCGAAAAATTTTAATAGCATGGATTGTCCCTGTCAGGATACTAGACTGCCCATCAGGACTCCAGATCAGTTAGGATCCTGCAGATGTCTACTGAGTAGGTAGTCCTGAAAATGAGAGCTGAAAACCAAAAGGCAAGACTTGGTGTAGTCAATGGGCCAGGAACTCAGAAAGGGCTCAGGTCCACTGATTCAGAAATGAAGGCAGAAAAAAATTTAGGCTAGTGGGGAAGAGAAGTTGTTCCATTTTTATCTGAAACAGTCTTGAGACTTTTATTCCAGAGATTCTTGGCAGATTCACATGGATCCACACTGTCTCTAGAGTTTCCTTCCTTTATTCAATGGACGTAATGCCCCACATCTTTTAGTTTCTTCATTGGATGAAATAATTTAACGCAGTTCTATTGTGGCTCCAACTATTTGGTTGCTTAAAAGTCTCCAAGTTGGAACTTTCCTCTTTTTTTTCCAGCAACAGCTCATGATTTTGTTATAATCTTTCTCCCAGCTCAGGGGCAATTGCCCAGTTCATCCCTCAATCTGGAAGATATATATTATCCTTTTTTTACTTTCTAAAAATTCTGTTCTCTATCCCACCATCTGCTAGTTGCTTTCCTTTCCCTGCAGCTGGTCATAATTAATAAATTATAAATTTTAAATTAGGCCCATCTCAGCTACTTCTCCTTAGCAATATCTTAGCAATGACTCTGTAGGAGCTTGGTAAAAAGATTTCTTCAGAAATGATCCCAAGTTAAAATGTAATAGTTACTAAGTAGTAAAATGCAAATCTTCAAACTGGTCATGTTTTAGATAAAAATCGAAGCTGTAAGATATATGTCTAGAAACTCCTATTAATCACAAAGCTGCATGTACCTTGATGTACTCTACCAAGACAACACTTTGTGAGTCACCTAATACTATCTCCAACCATCAGATCGCAAATCTCTGTGTAAACAGGGGAAATTATTATCCCACTCCTACTTGCAAATACTAATTGCACAATAATGACATTTACATAATGAGTCAATGAGACAGTGAAACAAAAAAAATCAGTTAAAAATGTGATTAAACAGGCACACAGTCCTCACAATAATAGTTTTGTATGATTAACAGCAAACTGGTTCACACACTGCCAGAGAATAACCTATAGAGGTTTATTGAGCTGAGGTCTAAACAATGGGAGGTATGGGAGATATAAGATTAGCATTATGAGATGTGGAGCTTGCATTTTTATCAGGGTTGCAAAGTTAAACAAATGTAGAATAATTTAAGAACTTCATAAGCACTCTTAATTCTGAAGTGTGGGTACAGGTATGAAGTACTCAAAATCACCTAGCAGTTGAAATTATCTCTTAAGATTTCTGTCTTTGTTATTATTGTTTACTGTATTAATTAATATTCCCCCAGAGAAACAGAACCAATATGATTTGATATATAACAGATTTTATATATAAGAGAGATTTATTTTAAGAAACCGGGACTTGGCTCATGCAATAGTGGGGTCTGATAAGTCTGAAATTGACAGAGCAGATTAGCAGACTAGAAATTCAGGTGACAGTGATGTAGTCTTGAGACCAAATTCAGCTCAGGGAGGATTTTTATGTTGCAGTCTTGAGAATTCCTTCTTCAGAAAACTTCCATCTTTGCTCTTAAGGCCTTCAACTGATTAGATAAGGCCCACTCACATTATGGAGAATAACTTGCTTTACTCAAAGTAAACTGATTTAATGTTAATCACATCTAAAAAATATCATCAGAGGAACATCTATACTGGTGCTTGACCAAACAGCTAGACACCATAACCTAGCCAAGTTGATACAGATTTAAACATCACAATTATAGACACTCAATAATGAAGGAAATAAGTACTCGTAAGGAAAATCATGCTCATCATAGTACTTTCCACAACATGCTTTTTAAAAACACGGCCCCAAAATTCTTTGACATTCCTCCCCCGAAAGGTTACAGGGAGCTCTGTCTCTCCATGTGGCTTAAGCTCTCACAGCATGGTGGCTGGGTTCAAAGTGTGAGTATCCCAAGAGGAAATTTCTGAGATGCATTTCAAGCTGCATTTTAGGAGGAAACTGAGTGATATTTTATGACCTAGCCTCAGAAGTCACATGATGTCAATTCTCCATGCTATGTTGGTTGAAGCAGTTACAAGTATTCCCTAACTCAAAAGAAGGGGAAACAGATCTACCTTTCTCTGGGAGGAGTACCAAAGAATTTGGGGCCCATGTTTTTAAATTGCCACAATTAATTAACATTAATTGAGCTGCTACTGTGTCCCAGGCTGTGTGATCAACTTTTATGTATGTCTTTTAATCCTCCAACCTCTCTGAAATGTGATTATTACATATAAGTAAACTGAACAAGAAATATTAAAACTTCCCAAACTCACACAGCCAGCAAGTGGCATTGTGGCATTAACCTAGGCGTTCTAACTCTAAATCCCACACATTTTGTATGACACAACCCTGTCTCCTATTTTTAAAAGAAAGAAATAAAGAAAAATAAAATCAAAGTTAATAAGAATATTTTTTGATTGCCACCTGAAGTAGACATTTTTGTTTAGGTCTACCCAGCATTCATTCATTCTTCTGATAATGCAGACCACAGGCAAATCAGAAAATGTCTCCTGTCTAAGCAGATGCAGGCCCTGTGGATCATGCCATGGCAAGGGGAGCTCAGGCTGGATTTCAGACCCTAATCGCCATGTAGCTGGGCAGCTTCCTGCAGTGAGCAGCCTGTAAAACTGTACATGTTGGCCTTGCCCCAAACCACCCTCATTCCTGGTAGAGGTAAACAGGGCCCACCTACACTCCAGCTGGAACATGTGACCCAGTTTGCCTAATGAGATCCATTTCAGGGCTCTTGTTGAAGCCACTAGAGAAGGAAGTTATTTTCTTTTTGCAGAAACTTTAGCAGTAGTGTAATATAAGGCAAGAGCAGCTGGGGACCACCCTACAAAGTTTGAAATAAAACCTCCATAAAGGAAAGCAGGACTGGGGGTGGGGGCTGGATCCTTGGATCCACCCTTACCTGAAGCCAGGACTATCCCTAGACTCTGCAGATACTTGAGTGAATAACCATCCTACTTTTATTTTCATTTAAAAACATATTTATGTTGAATTTATGACACTCATAATCAATTGTCCTAACTGATATATCCCCATGGTCATAACTTCACTTTATCTATTAAAAAAAAAAGTAAAAAAAAAAAAACAGAAAGATCTTGAAAATCCTTTCTAGCTGTGGTTCAACCAGTGATCTCTAAGTATATGTGCAGATACGTGTCTGCACATATACAGAGAGAGAGAGAAGGAGAGAGATAGTGGGGGGATAGAGAGACGTATATATTTCTATATATTGGGCCTTAACTTTCTCATCTTTACAACTAGAATATAGAACTGCAGTGTCTTCAATTTCCTTCCAAAGCTGATTCTGTAATTTTCTACAGATAAGGGCAGAAAATATCCTAACTTATTTCTGTTCGGACCACTGAACAGCTCTGTAGCACTGCCACCTGGTGACCATTTGCTTCAGCTGTTATATTAGTCCGTTTTAACGCTGCTGATGAAGACATACCCAAAACGGGGAAGAAAAAAAGATTTAATTGGATTTTCAGTTCCATATGCCTGGGGATGCCTCAGAATCACGGCAGGAGGTGAAAGGCACTTCTTACATGGTGACAGCAAGAGAAAATGAGGAAGAAGAAAAAGCAGAAACCCTTAATAAGCCCATCAGATCTTGTGAGATGTATTCACTATCATGAGAGTAGCACAGGAAAGACCAGCCCCCGTGATTTAATTGCCTCCCCTGGGTCCCTCCTACCACATGCAGGTATTCTGGGAAATACAATTCAACTTGAGATTTGTGTGGGTACACAGCCAAACCATATCATTCCTTCCCTGGCCCCTCCAAATCTCATGTCCGCACATTTCAAAACCAATCATACCTTCTCAACAGTCCCCCAAAGTCCTAACTCATTTCAGGGTTAACCCAAAAGTCCACAGTCCAAAGTCTCATCTGAGAAAAGGTAAGTCCCTTCTGGCTATGAGCCTGTAAAAACAAAAGCAAGCTAGTTACTTCCTAGATATAATGGAGGTACAGGGATTGGGTAAATACAACCATTCCAAATGGGAGAAATTGGCAAAAACAAAGGGGTTACAGGGCCCATGCAAGTTCGAAATCCAGCGGGGCAGTCAAATTTTAAAGCTCCAAAATGATCTCCTTTGACTCCAGGTCTCATATCCAGGTCATGCTGATGCAAGAGGTGGGTTCCATGGTCTTGGGCAGCTCCACGCCTGTGGCTCCCTCCTGGCTGCTTTAATGGGCTGGCATTGAGTGTCTGCGGCTTTTCCAGGCAAAAGGTGCAAGCTGTCGGTGGATCTACTATTCTGGGGTCTGGAGGACAGTGGCCCTCTTCTCACACCTCCACTAAGCAGTGCCCCAGTAGGGACTCTGTGTGGGGGCTCCGACATCATATTTCCCTTCTCCACTGCCGGAGCAGATGTTCTCCATGAAGGCCCCACCCCTGCAGCAAACTTTTGCCTGGGCATCCAGGCATTTCCATACATCTCCTGAAATCTAGATGGAGATTTCCAAACCTCAATTCTTGACTTCTGTGCACCTGCAGGCTCAACGCCATGTGGAAGCTGCCAAGGCTTGGGGCTTCCACCCTCTGAAGCCACAGCCCAAGCTCTATGTTGGCCCCTTTCAGCCACAGCTGGAGCTGATGGGACACAGGGCACCAAGTTCCTAGGCTGCACACAGCATGGGGACCCTGGGCCCAGCCAGGAAACCACTTTTTCCTACTGGACCTCTTGGCTGTGAAGGCCTCTGACATGGCCTGGAGACATTTTCCCCACGGTCTTGGAGATTAACATTAGGCTCCTTGCTACTTATGTAAGTTTCTGCAGCTGGCTGGAATTTCTCCTCAGAAATGGATTTTTCTTTTCTGTTGCATCATCAGGCTGCAAATTTTCTAAACTTTTATGTTGTTTACCTTTTAAAATGGAATGCTTTTAAGAGCACCCAAGTCACTTTTGAATATACTATGCAGCCCTAAAAAGGAGTGAGTTCATGTCCTTTGCAGAGACATGGATGAAACTGGAAACCATCATTCTCAGCAAAGTATCACAAGAACAGAAAACCAAACACTGCATGTTCTCACTCATAAGTGGGAGTTGAACAATGAGAACACATGGACATAGGGAGGGAAACATCACACACCAGGGCCTGTCGGAGGGTTGGGGGGTAGGGGAGGATAACATTAGGAGAAATACCTAACATAGGTGACGGGTTGATGGGTGCAGCAAACCACCATGGCGCGTGTATACCTATGTAACAAAACTGCACGTTCTGCATATGTATCCCAGAACTTAAAGTATAATAATTAAAAAAAGGAAATTTATTCTGCCAGATACCCTAAATCATCTCTCTCAAGTTCAAAGTTCCACAAATCTCCAGGGCAGGGGCAAATGCCTCCAGTCTCTTTGCTAAAACATAAGAGTAACCCTTGCTCCAGTTCCCAACAAGTTCTTCATCTCCGTCTGAGACCACTTCAACCTAGACCTTATTGTTCATATCACTAATCAACATTTATCCCAAAGCCATTCAACAAGTCTCTAGGAGGTTCCAAACTTTTCCACATTTTTTGTCTTCTTCCGAGCCCCACAAACTGTTCCAACCTCTGGCTGTTACCCAGTTCCAAAGTCACTTCCACATTTTCAGGTATCTTTTCAGCAACGCCCCACTCTACTGGTACCAATTTACTGTATTAGTTCATTTTCACACTGCTGATAAAGACATACCCAAGACTGGGAAGAAAAAGAGGTCTAATTGGACTTACAGTTCTACATGGCTGGGGAGGCCTCAGAATAATGGCAGGAGGTGAAAGTCACTTTTTACATGGTGGTGGCAAGAGAAAATGAGGAAGAAGCAAAAGCGGAAACCCCTGGATAAATCCATCAGATTTCATGAGACTTATTCACTATTACAAGAATAGCATGGGAAAGATTGGCCCCCACAATTCAATTACCTCCCCCTGGGTCCTTCCCACAACACATGCGAATTCTGGGAGACACAATTCAACTTGAGGTCTGGGTGGAGACACAGCCAAACCATGTCAGCTGTTTTTGCCCTTCTGATCAACAAAGGAATTAATGCAATTCCAAAAGCTTTTGAAATAATATTTAAGGCCTCAAACATGTGAAACTAAAATAAATAAATACATTTCAATAAACATTTTATTGAGTGTCAACTGAACACAAGTCACTATAAAGAGCATATGAAAATATCTAAGCAGTCTTGGAATTTTGGGTGTTTTTTTTTTCTTTTTTTGTGGAAAAAGGAAATTATCTATCTAACTAACTAAGGAAACTAACTATCTTGCCCAGGCTAGTCTCAAACTGCTGGGCTCAAGTGATCCTCCTGCTTCTGCCTCCCTAAGTGCTTGGATTACAGGCATGAGCCGCCCTATCCATATAGTCTAGGAATTTTGATCTCATGGGGACATCCTATAATCCATACTGTAAGAGGATAACAAAAGAAAGTTACAGATAATAATTAACTAGAAGGCCACAAATGCCTGAGAAATTTTGAAGATATTAGAGGAAGTGCATTGACATGAGTTTGCTGTTTACAATGGGACAGTATCATTCTAGATGGAGAGAAAAGCATGGTCAAAGAACAATGCAATGATTCATCATAGAATATATTTTAGGAATAGCTACAGACCACTTACAGCGGAGCATAGATGTGATCAGGGGACTACTAGGACGAAGGGCTTTTTAAAAAGTAGTTGTAGGTCATATTTGAGAGAAACTTGAAGGTCAGTATAAGCAAGCAGAGCACAGAATGGAAAGGTGGTGAGAGATCAGAAATAAGCATACTGGCTGGGGTGTAAGAAAAATATAATTCCATAAGGGCCTAAACTAGGGTAGTGGTAGCAAGAAGACCAGATAAAACAAACATATGCAAGAGATATGTCTGAGTTAGACTCCACAAAGTTTAGTAACTGATTAAATATGAATTAGAACAAAGGAACTCCTTATGATGGAGAAATGTTATCTTGGACTTTTGAGCACAGATGACTGCAAAAACAGGTGAGCTACTAAAAAAATGACTCGGGAAGAGGAGCTTTTGGCTGTGGGCAGAGGGAGTGGAAGAATATCTTAAATTCAGACTTAGGCTAAGGTGGAGTTCAGAAGGATTTCTGGTTGAAGATATACAAAGTGTAGCTGGAAATAAAGGCTTCAGTCTCAAGGGAGTATCTGGAAACAAAGATGCAGGGTTTAGAACCATCTTTGAAATAATTGTTAAGCTAACAAAAATAGATATAGTGGCCAACTAGTAGAATAGAAAGAAGAGTAAGTGCAAAACACTGAAGAATGCCAAATTTTAGAGGACAGAAAGAGAAAAATAAGTCAGTAGAGGAAACAAAAGTATTAGAGAGCAAGGGAGTATCAGGATGGGGCTGTGTCATAGAAGCCAAGAGAGAAAAGCATTTCAAGAAGAAAATCAATACAGGAAAATTCAGAGAATCTGAAGGAGCGAAAGAATAAGAAATACCAAACCATTGGTTGAACTACTTGCTGATGTTAAGAGAACTGTTTTAGTGAAATTCTGGGGGCAAAAGCAGGAGAAGAAGAAGAACTAACCCGTGAGTTCAGGCAGAGTTCACACCCTACTCTCAAGAAATTTAATATATTTGGCCGAGTGTGGTGGCTCATGCCTGTAACTCCAGTGCTTTGGGAGGACAAGGCAAGAAGATCACTTGAGCCCAGCAGTTTGAGACCAGCCTGGGCAACATAGGAAGACCCCATCTCTACAGAAAATTTAAAAATTAGTCAGATGTGGTGGTGGGTACCTACAGTCCCAGCTACTCAGGAGGCTGAGGTTGGAGGATGGCTTGAGCCCAGAAAGTCGAGACTGCAGTGACCCATGTTCACACCACTGAACTCCAGCCTGGTCAACCGAGTGATACCCTGTCTCAAAAGTGAGAAAGAAGGAAGAAAGGAAAGGAAAGGAAAGGAAAGGAGAGGAGAGGAGAGGAGAGGAGAGGAGAGGAGAGGAGAGGAGAGGAGAGGAGAGGAGAGGAGAGGAGAGGAGAGGAGAGGAGAGGAGAGGAGAGGAGAGGAGAGGAGAGGAGAGGAGAGGAGAGGAAAGGAGGGAGGGAGGGAGGGAGGAGGGCGGAGGGAGGGAGGGAGGAGGGGGAGGGAGGGAGGGAAATTTCACCTACTAGAGGAGGAGAGAGATAAGATAACATAAGAGGGAAAAGGTCAAGCGAAGTTGTTTTTCCTTAACTGGGAAAAGACAAGTGTGTTTATAGGTGGAAGAAAGAAGTTTAAAGAAAGGGAAACATTTAAAATAACAAAAAAGGAGACATCACTTGAAGTGGCAAAATTCCAAAGACAAAGGTCAATGGCTAGGACACAACTGTAGGATTTATATTTGTAAAGGAGAAAGAATAATAATTCTTCTCATATAGAATAATATCAGAAGATAGGGAAACCAAAGAATAATTTTATGGCAGAGAAAACATAAGGTCCCATAAGCTGTCACTTAGATTCTTATTCTCAACAAATAAGATGGGACTATAGAAGGTGACTGTCTTGTCCCAACTTCCCCAGGACTTTCCCAATTTTAGCCCTGAAAGTCCACTTCCCAGGAAACCCCTTAGTCCAGGGCAAACAGGGATGATTGGTAACCATAATTGTGTATCAATGGAGTGTTGCTGCCATCATGTAAGTTTGTATCTTACTGAGATTGAGGACAAAAATTTATAATACTTTTTAGGAGGAAACTTAACAGGAGTTAATCAGAAATGGATAAATAGATTGCTGATCAAAAGTGATGGACCATTTTATTAGACAACAGGAATCTGCAATATCAATCATCAGGGTCTCCTCTGCACAGGTTTATGCTCAGCAGCCCAGGAGCATCAACTGAGAAAGCAAATGAACGGTTCTTGCAGTGCAGGTGGTCTTTCACTCCTGAATCCCATCTGTCTGGCTTCCCTGCAGGCCACTTCAAAGGACCTCCTCTCACAAGACCACTTGTGACATCCCTATTATTAAGTCCTAATTATCACTTCTGACATCTTGTTGCTTTGTAAGCTTCCCATTTCATGAAATCTCTATGCCATTTGTCACAGTTGTCCACTCCCTCCTGTGAAAATTTTGCTTTCCTAATTTTTTACATATTTGGCCTATAATTATGCCTACATTTGCCTTCCGTAAGGGTTAACCAACTTCACTTTTCATTTTATTGTCTATTTTGTCTATTCCAGAGTTAAGTCCTCTCCAACTATTACTTCTTTATCCAGGACAAATAAAATTCGACAAGTCTGAAACCAAATTTATTATTTATCTTAAAACCCATTGTACTGTATTACCTGTTCAGCACCATGATTCACTCAAAGCCCAAGCCAGAAACCTAGGAATCGTCAATTCATCCTACCTTCTCTTCCTACGATATTAACTTGATCACTGGATTCTTTTCAATTAACTTGCCTTACATCGTTCATGTCTTTCCCTTTCTTACTGGTACTGCCACAGTTCATTCTTTGTAACTTCTCAGTTGGATTGCCATGGGCAAGAGCCTGAGCAAGGATTGAAGTGCTGACACTTAAGTTAGAAGGTACAAGGTAGGAAAGGTGAAGATGAACCAAAAAAAAGCAGCGGGGCAAGGAAAGACTTGAAACGCATGCTACATGGCCCTGCTGGCCAGCATTTTAAACAAACTGCAAAGAAACACATCACATCTCTCAGCAGTGCGCTAGTTCAGCAAGGAGGACTTTCTGAATGGTTGCAAGAAAAAGCCATACCTTATAGGAAAGAAAAAAGGAGAGGGAATTTATAGGCTTGGTTTCCTTCTTCCTCCCACTTCTCATTGACCAAATTCCATCCTGCTGGGCTGCAAGTCTCCACAGACCAGGTTGTATCATCGAGCTACCTGATTTATCATTTGATCCATGTCTGGAGGTTTGGGGTGACTCAGCATGGACAGAGATAAACATGGTGGGGCAAGGGAAAACGTAAGAGCCACAGAGGCCCAAGGCTGAATTTAGATTTCAGCCACTTGTCAAGATTTTAATTTGGGCAAGCTAAGGAGTTCTTTTAGGCTTCTAGTACATGATACATATAGATTGCTAAGATTGTTTTCAAATTGAGAAAAAATTGTCTTTCTTGTATCTATGAACCAGATTTCTTTTATCTATGAACTAGAATATGTTGAAGAATGTCCTGCAGGCAAATTTCTGGCCCTGAACATTTCTCACTTGTTCCTCCTCACTCTCTTCCTTCTGGTATTGACACCATGGACACATTCTTATCACAGTATGATTCCAGGCCCTACATCTTCATTTCTTGATGTCAGTGAGTTGATGCAATGAGTGATAGCTTTTGTGGAAGTTATTCAGCGATACCAGCGAAAATTTAACTATGCACGGAAGTGACTATGAACCACGTAAGATTCCACTAAAATCAAATTAAAAGAATCCCAGGTCACGTTCCCAAAATTGCCTGTGACCATTCCAACACTACCTCACATGAGAAGTGTAACAGAGGTGAGTCAGAGTGGAAAGAGACAGCTCTTTTAGCCAATCGTGATTAAAATATCTTACTGTGGCAAATTTTTCAAAAACATAACCTCCTAAACACATCAATAGAGCCTCTCATCAGATTATGCAATTGAGAGGCCCTGAAGCTTCATTACCTTATCCACAAATCTGCACCAGTGCACCAGGTTTGTGGCCAATACTTGGAGCAAGGCTGCCTTTTGTACACACAGAGAGCTTAGAGTTTGGCAATATTAAAAGTCTTTTGATTCCTAAAAGCACCTCATTCTTTCATGCCTTTATGCATCATGCTTCCTCTGTCTCATGAAAGCTCTCCTTATCCTGGCTTCTTGTTCATCTAGTTTATTTTTCCTTCTCTATGAAGTTTTCCCCGATCCCTCCAAACACAACTCACCTCTTTGTGCCCCTCAAGCACCTAATGTCTACCATTATTTCTGCGTGTATTGATTCAATCATCAAAAGTGTATTGAGCAACTCCTATGTGCCTGATATATTGCCAAGATATGGCAGTAAACAGAAGAGACAAAGTCCCTGGCCTCACGGAGCTTACCTTCTAGTGGATGGATGTAGACAATAATCAAATATGTAAGTAAATGTGTAATATGGAAAGCTGTGATTTCTCAAAGAAAGAGAGATTTTTAAATTCTGGCTATTTTATAAATGTCCATCAGAATATAACTCAAAGGCAGTGAAGTTTGAAATTATTTGATATCTGAGTGAAGAGGTTTCCATGGGGAAGGAATAACAAGTACGAAGGCCCTGAGGTAGAAAGATGTTTGATGAATATGTGGCTGATAGGCTTTGGGTTCAAGGCATAACAAAGAGGCTGGAGCTGTTGAAGGAAAATGAGAGAGGAGGAGAGTATGAAAATATAGAGTCAGAGAGATGACCAAGCAGGTCCTTGAAGTCCTGCAGACATTGCAAAGAGCTTGGCTGTTGCTCTGAGTTTGGAAGCCATGGCAGGGGGCTGAAGCAACTGACTCACAATTTAAAATGATCACTCTGTTGAAAATCAACTGTGGCTACAAAAGCAAAATTTATAGCTTATTTATCTTTGAGTTAAGGGTAGAGAGAGAATATTATTTTAAAGCTGGCAGCAGTTGCTTAGAAAGAAAATGTTTGTTCAAAACGAAAGCCCTCAGGACATGGACAAATGCGCTAAAATAGACATAGAGAAAACAGAATTGTTTTGCATAATAGAGTTAGAGAAAGGTTGAGCTCTGGGCCCTGTGTGAGCAGGACATTAACGAATAGGGAGTCTTTGGAGGGAGTGGGACATCCCCAAAGCAGGAAATCAGGAGATTCAGGAATAAAGTAAGCTGTTGAGAAATTCCCTGTAGTGAGAAGAGAAACTCTTATGAAGAAAAATGTGAAATATCCAATTTTAGATAATCTAACCCATTTTTCAATAATACAGCAAATCCTTCCAAATCCTCAAAAAATAAAAAGTCTAATACATACAAATGTCTTATGTGAATAGTGTTTGCAGGAAATGAAGGGAAAAGGACTGTACCATTTGGGGCTGGCTTGAGTGGAGAGAAGAGATCAGGAACAGAGGATAAGATATGAGTACAACCAACTCAGGGGAGGTAAAAACAGAAGCAAGAGAGGACCACAGAGGCATTTTCATGAGAGAGATGCTGGGTATCTCATCATGGTAGGGAGGGAAGAGTTCAAGATGTTATTATTTAAATGGTAATGGTAATGGTCTCAATGGAAGAGTAACGGCCCAATGCTGGAGTGGATGGAAGCTGACAATAATTCAATGTAACCACCAGGGTTATGTTGGTATGCACAGTGTGCTGTGCACAATGATAAAGGGTGGGAATGAATGGTAAATCAATTGATGTCAAGGAATAAAATTCATTAAGAAATGAATTTTGAAATAGCTAACCACAATTTTTTGCTCAGTACTGATAATATTAGATCTAATATGTGCATTTACAGTCTTGCACCACATAACAAATTTCAGTCAATGATGGACAACATATAAGATGGTAGTTCCATAAGATTAAATACAGTATTTTTATTTTATCTTTTCTATATTTAGATACACAAATTCCATCCTGTTACAATTGCCTACAGTATTCAGTAATATGCTGTACAAGCTTGTAGCCTAGAAGCAATAGGCTCTACCATATAGCCTAGGCCTGTAGTAAGCTATACCATCTAGGTTTGTGTAAGCACACTCTATGATGTTTGAACAATGATGAAATCACCTAACTGCATTTCTCAGAATGTGTTCTCATCATTAAGTGATGCGTGATTGTATGTATCAGCTTTACAGTTCCATTATGCTTTTACTTTTTAAGCTAACATTTATTTTGAGCTTACTATGTTCCAAATCCTGTATTAAGTGCTTGATAACTCTATGATATAGTTATCATAACTACCCGACTTTAAATATCAGAACACAAAGTCTCAGGTAAAGTAACTTGCTCAATGAGGTAAAACTGGGTGGGACAGAGGCAGGATTTGAATTCAGGCTGCAGATTCTGAGAGTCCTTGCTGTTAACAATGACTCTGTATACCTCTCTTTCATGCGTCATGCATACATCATTACATCTCAGCTCACAAACATGCCATTAATTCAAAACAGGAAAGAACTGAATCTGTTTGGGGAAAAGTTCCTGTTAGATACTAAAATGTGCAATTGGAGAATATGCAAATTCTGTCAAAAAATGAACAAATGTTTACATTGGAGGAACCGTTAATATTGTAAAACAGAATAGAAATAGAGAAGGTGGCCCTGAACCATAGAATTAAAAATAGGAAAAAAGAAAACTAGAGTCATCAGAGTTTTGATGATATACATTTTCTAAACAAGAAGCTGCATGATTTCAATATAGCTGCTTGACTACACATCAGCCTAAATTAGACACTAACACTCTTAAATATAGTTATAGTTAAAATAGTCTGGACACAAAGGAACTGAAGACTGTACAGTTCATGCAACAAATAAGAAGAGTTTTAATCAATATATCTTGACTAAAGGAGTGTGTGTGTGTCTGTGTGTGTGTGTGTGTGTGTCCTTATGGCTGCTTTGAACATAAATTCAAAATGGTGACTCAGCCATCTTGGCCTTGTGGAAGACTTACAATCGCTACGATCGCAGTGTACATGATTAGATAATCAGGAAAGGGACAAACTGTCAAGAAAAGATTTAAAAAGGAGATCCCTGAGATGCTGATAAAACTTAAACCTATGTGGCTTTTTTTTTTTAACTTTCACTGGAAAATGCCATAGCTTATAAAGTGAATTTAAATAAATAAATTGTTGCCATTGAAATCCTTTTATTTAAAAAAATAAAATTTAAGAAGCCCAAGTTGTATGATACAATTGACTCTCTAAAAAAAGGAATAAAAGATCTTTAGAAATTAATGAATGCCCAGTGTCTTAGGTATTTCTGTGACTGCTTACTCCCAGGGTTGGCAGCTTTCCATTGAAGGCAGAGCTATTCAGGCATCCTTTTCTCTCACTACAACTTCAAGCAACACAGCTATGTGCATTGTCAGACACTAAGGAAATGCTGAAAATTATTTACTTGTTCATCCAGCAAATTGACTGGGCACATACTGTTGAAATTCTAAGCCAAGTACTGGCTTAAAATTTGATCCAAAATTAGAAAGACACAGGTCCTGCCCTTGAGTCACTTACAGTCTAGAGAAGACTCAAACATGCAAGCCATGAGAACTGATATTCAGCTCTCACACACCAGATGACCATTCCACTTGTTTACAAGTGGGTTCCCCTGTTAGGTCACTGCCTATGCTGAACTGATTGTTAATTTTTTTTTTTAATATTCCCCCTGTAAGTAATTACAATGTACTGTGGTATTTTGTACATTAAAGGCAAATATATGATGCCAAAGAAACAGAGAAAATACATTGATTACATCTGAAATGGAAATGGAAATGATGAATAGCCTCACCTGTCCCGTGACAGTCTCTAAACACATCAGCCCATAGTGATGTTTATGAAGAAACAGAGACTTTTCAGGTTGCAAGGGACTCTAGAAATTAGCTAGACAAACCTCCTTGCTCTACAGAGAATGAGACGGAATCACAAAATGTTTCAATGACTTTCCACAATCACCAACCCAGCTGAGTGAAATAAGAACCACTCAACTTATCCCACCAGAAATTATCTCTTATCCCACCAGAGAGGTGGGATAAGAACCCAGGTCTTGTAATTTTCAGTCTCAATATTCTTTTTTTTTTTTTTTTTTTTTTTTTTTTTTTTTTTTTGAGACGGAGTCTCGCTCTGTCGCCCAGGCCGGACTGCGGACTGCAGTGGCGCAATCTCGGCTCACTGCAAGCTCCGCTTCCCGGGTTCACGCCATTCTCCTGCCTCAGCCTCCCAAGTAGCTGGGACTACAGGCGCCCGCCACCGCGCCCGGCTAATTTTTTGTATTTTTAGTAGAGACGGGGTTTCACCTTGTTAGCCAGGATGGTCTCGATCTCCTGACCTCATGATCCACCCGCCTCGGCCTCCCAAAGTGCTGGGATTACAGGCGTGAGCCACCGCGCCCGGCCTCAATATTCTTTAGAAGTCTATCTCACAATAGTCAGTAAGTCAGTAACACCGATGTTTCTAACAGATCCCTGGTTGTTTTGTGCCCATTGATTGCCCTCAGTGCCTTCTGTATTTCTCACATAACTACAGCAACATCACTGGAATGGCAGCAAAGACTAAAGCAGAACGCCTGGGCTTGGGTCAGGAGGCATGAGGTTAGATTCCTATTATATATTGCCTACTAGCTCATGACCCTGGAAAATAATTGCCCAATTCCTCTAGATTTTTATTTCTTCATTAAGAAAATGGAAATAACAATGCCTGTACTTGTGTGAGATTTCAAATAAACTATGCAGATAAAAACTCTGTGTTTCTCTGATTTCAGACCCTTCCCACCTTAGTTCATTCCCAATGTGATCTTTCTAATCCAGATCCAATCAAGTTATGTCTGTGCCTAAAACTCTTTAATGGTTCCCCACTGCCAAAGGGGAAAATCTAAACATCTAAACATAGTCCTTTAAAACCCTGACCTAGGCTTCTTTGCAATTGCATGTCAATCACTCCCCATAATATCCTATGTCATAGTTACATTGAATAACTTATTCACATTCCCTGAAGATGCCATGCTGTCCTACACCTGTTTCACTTGTGCTTTTCCACTCACTGTCATGTACTCCTCTCTCTAGACCCACCTCCCTAATTCATCCTTAAGGACCTTGCTTTAATGTTTGACATTTTTATGGCTAGCATGGATTTGTGTACTACTTTAATAATTAAAAGACTAAATAAACATTTTATTCTAGGAAAAAAATTATGATCATGTTTAAATGTCACATTTTCTGTTAAAAATTCCCGATACTCCTTGATCATTTAACTGTTTCCATGGTTACTGTGTAACTGGTACCTTCCTCCATTATTAATATCATAATAGGTTTATGTGTCTGCCTCAGTTCTGAGTCACTGAAGCAGGCAATGTGATCTCCCTCATTACTTACCTCAAGACCTATATTCATAAATAATGTGGAGAAAGTACCTATGAAAGACTAAACCATATGGAATCAGGATTGCACCAGTTACTCTTGGGCAACCCAGACTGTGGCACTCGTTAGAGCTTTTCTCTTCCAGGGAAGGAACAGAGACTAGTGTCAGAGCACAAATACAGATTCCCAAGCAGTAACTTAACAGTAATCCTCCTGTTCTGAAAATTGTCATGGTCCATGTTTTCCAATATAGTTTATATAATCACCAGAGTGGCATTGCCCCTAGAAACTGTTTTCTCAATTCCTCTAAAAATGTAACTCTCAATGTGCTTTTTAAAAGGCAAACTCTAGGGTGGTTGATTAATTTCAACTAGGCACTATGTATACTCTTTGACTAAAAAGGCAGTATAATAACTGGTGGCTTGGTTCTTTCTTGGGTGGATACAAAAGATGTAGATAACATACTGTTTGTTGATAATTTTTAAAGAGGGTACAATTATGAATGTGATATAAATATTAAATGAGCACTTCTCATAGGTATTATTTGATTCATTAATTTCTTTATCCCTCTCATCCTTTTTATTTTTTGTGTATGTTTATTTATGTTTTGTGTGTGTGTTATGTTAATGCTTAGCATAAGACCTATCCTGTTAACAAAATTTTAGATATACAATAAACTATTGTGTTGTATTTCATCATGACATACAGTAGAGATCTAGGACTTACTATTCATCTTGTAAAAATGCACCTTTGTACACTTTGACCAACATCTCCCTATTTGCCTCTCCTCTTTTCTGTCAACCACCATTCTACTCTCTGCTTCATTGAGTGTCTTGGTGCTTTTCTTTTTAATTTCAACTTTTATTTCATTTATAAGGAGTACATGTGTAGCTTTGTTACCTGGATATATTGCACCCAGGTCATGAGCATAGTACCCAGTAGATTTTCAACCCATGCCCCCCTCCCCTCTCTGGTAGTCCACAGTGTCTATTGTTCCCATGTTTATGTTAATGTGTGCTCAATGTTTAGCTCCCACTTATAAGTGAGAACATGCAGTATTTGGTCTTTTGTTCCTGCATTGGTTCCCTTAGGATTATAGCCTCAAGCTCCACCCATGTTGCTGCAAAGGACATAATTTCATTCCTTTTTATGGTTGTGTGGTATTTCATGGTATATATGTACCACATTTCTTTATCCAGTCAATCACTGATGGTCACCTAGATTGATTCCATGTCTTTGCTATGGTGAATAGTGCTGTGATGAACATATGAATGCATGTATCTTTTTGGTATAATAATCTATATTCCTTTAGGTATATACCCAGTAATGAGATTGCTGAGTCAAATGGTAGCTCTATTTTAAGTTCTTGGACAATGTCCAAATTGCTCTCCACAGTGGCTGAACTAATTTACATTTCCACCAACAGTATATAAGCATTCCCCTTTCTCCACAGCCTTGCCAACATCTATTATTTTTTGACGTTTTAAATTATTGGAGAAATTGCCACACTGCTTTCCATGATGACTGAACTAAATTACATTCCCACAAGTAGCGTATAAGCATCTCCTTTTTTCTGCAACCTTGCCAGCATCTGTTATTTTTTGACTTTTTAAAAATAGCCATTCTGATTGATGTGAGATGGTATCTCGTTGTGGTTTTGATTTGCATTTCTCTAACGATTAACGATGTTGAACATTTTTTATATGTTTGCGGGCCACTTGTATGTTCTCTTTTAAGAAGTCTGATCTTGTCTTTTGCCCATTTTTTAATGGGGTTGTTTTTTCTTGTCAATTTAAGTTTCTTATAGATTCTGGATATTAGACCTTTGTCAGATGCATAGCTTGTGAATATTTTCCCCATTCTGTAGGTTGTCTAAGTACTCTATTGATAATTTATTTTGCTGTGCAGGAGCTTTTTAGTTTAATTAGGTCCCACTTGTCAATTTTTGTTTTTGTTGCAATTGCTTTTGAGGACTTAAGTCAAAAATTCTTTGCCAAGCCAGTGTCAAGAAAGGCATTTTCTAGGTTTTCTTCTAGGATTTTTATAGTTTTAGGTCTTACATTTAAATCATTAAATCATCTTGAGTTAATTTTTATATATGGTGAAAGATCTAGGGGTCTGGTTTCATTCTTCTACATATAGCTAGCCAGTTATCCCAGCACTATTTATTGAATAAGGAATCCTTTCCCCATTGCTTGTTTCTGTCAGCCTTGTCAAACATCAGATGGTGATAAGTGTGCAGTTTTATTTCTATGTTTTCTATTCTGTTCCATCGGTCTATGTGCCTGTTTTTGTACCAGTACCATGCCATTTTGGTTACTATAACCTAACCTAATAGTATAGTTTGAAGTCAGGTAATGTGATGCCTGTTTTTTCTTTTCTCTTAGAATTGCCTTGGCTATTCAGGCTCTTCTTTGGTTCCACATGAATTTTAGTCTAGTTTCTTCTAACTCTGTGGAGAATGACATTGTTAGTTTGATACAAATAGCATTGAATCTGTAAGTTGATTTAGGCAGTATGGCCATTTTAATGATGTTGATTCTTTCAATCCATGAGCATGGAATATTTTTCCATTTATTTGTGTCATCTCTGACTTCTTTCAGCAGAGTTTCATACTTCTATTTGTTGAGATCTTTCACCTCTTTAGTTAGCTATATTCCTAAGTATTTCATTTTCTTTGTGGCTATTGTGAATGGAATTATGTTCTTGATTTGACTCTCAGCCTAACATTACTGGTGTATAGAAATACATCAGTAATTTTTGTACATTAATTTCATATTCTGAAACCTTGCTAAAATCGTGTATCAGTTCTAGTAGCCTTTTGGTGGAGTCTTTATGGTTTTCTAGGTATAGAATCATATCATCAGTGAAGAGAGATTTTTTGACTTCTTTACCTATTTGAATGCCTTTTATTTCTTTCCCTCATTTGGTTGCTCTGGCTAGGACTTCCTGACTCATTCATTCTTGAGAGAACCAGTAAGATGTTAGAATGACCCAAAGACTATGTGTGTGTGTGTGTCTATGTGTGTGTGTGCAATAATAAATTTGCTTAAAACATGCAGAAGAGGCCAATATCAATTGCGTTTATATGAGACACAATTTACCTTTCTATGGAAAATAATCATTTTATCATTACCAGTATCCTACTACTTATAAAGTTGTAAAATAACTTTATATCTACAATAGGTAAACTGAAAGTTGTGTTAGATAATGTCCAATTTTCCATTGAGGACACTCAATAATGTTTTCTATGCATTTCTAAGTCTTTCGCAATTTTTTCTGCAATATTATGCTATTAAAGCACTAATGCATTTTGTACAAAAAATTATATAGATTTAGAAGCAAATATTTTTGTGAGTATTCAACTAAACACTCTGATTGTTCTTGAACATTGCCTTATAACAACATGATCTATAAAACTGAACAATGTCTCTCAAATTGGTTGTTTATAAGATTTAACTGGGGTGCTTCTTAACATCTAGATTTCCAGGTCCTCTTCTAGGAAATTCTCATTTCAGTAACAAAAATTTCTCTTCAGAAAGGGAGCTAGAAATAAATATTTTTAAAGAAGCACCATACACGATTTTATGATTAGGCAAGTTGGGGAATGTTGACTGAAAGCAAGCCTGAAAATAATACCGTAACTATAATTTTAAGAATACTTAAATTAATTAAGCAATAGTTAATTGAACTTTAACCCAGGAGTTTTATCAAGACTTTCTTTGTTTTCCCAGGGAAAATGTCTAAATTCATAACCACTTATTGTTTCCCCAATTTGTTTAACTATTTTACCAGAGAATACATATTAATTGCATCTGAAGCACTACCTTTTTAACTTTGAAAGGCACTTATTCTATAAATTTCCCTCACCTCATGTATAGAGTGATAGCATTCTTTGAACTCCCAAAATTATTTTTGAAAAATTTACGAATGTAACAAAGTAATCAAGAAGCAATAAACTGAGGTCAGCCACCAAGAATAGCAGAGATAAGTGAGTCACCAAAGCCTAAAATATTAGTGCATGTGGGAGAGAAGTAAAGATGAAATAATGAGTCAGAGTGATATCTGAATCTAAAGAGCAAATCCACAATCAAATTTTGCATGAGTGCACAGATGGGCAAGAGAAGAGATTTAAGAAATAAATACAGTGGATCCAGATAAATTTCTGGGCAACATTCTTCAAAGAGAAAGACTCTTTATTCCCATAACAGGAACTGAATTTCAGCCAGTACATTAGTACATTGACATTATTTCTATAGTACTTGGTAAATGGTCACTATCCTAAGCCCCTATCCCTTCCCCCTAGCAAACCCAGGATCCGGCAACTGAAGGGATAATATCTGACTCAGCAGAGGACCCCAAAAACTTTGATCCAGACTTACTGACATCAACTATTCTAATTGCTTTAAGTCTTCATTCTATTGATGGTTAAATACTGTGGTTATTACTCTTGTTCACAACGATGCCTCCACTGTTCTTTCATGACTCTCTGAACCAGATTCCTGAGACTACAAAAAAAAATTAATTTTCTCCTAGAAAAATGGGCATTTTAATTCTTAGGACTTATTAACCTGAAAGTATCTCCGAGAGCACCCATGTTCTTACATTGCTATTGTCACTTAACACTTCACTATGTGTCACTTAACACTTCACTATGCGATAGTGCACCAGATGGGGGTTGCAGTTAATTCTTTGGTCACTTCTTAACTGATAAATTTTGTTGTCACTTCTTTCCTGCTAATTCCTGTGTAGCCTCCTTCCAGATACTCCTAAAAAGAGTCAGAAAAAAATTTTTCAAACATCTATGCTCTGTAAGAGACTATAGTAAATGCTACTATATTTAAACATGGACCTAAGCAAACAGTACAATTTAAAAGAAGAATAGGTGGTGCGGTGGCTCACGCCTGTAATCACAGCACTTTGGGAGGCCGAAGCAGGCGGATCACAAGGTCAGGAGATCGAGACCATCCTGGCTAACATGGTGAAACCCGTCTCTACTAAAAATACAAAAAAAAAAAAAATAGCCGGGCATGGTGGCGGGTGCCTGTAGTCCCAGCTACTCGGGAGGCTGAGGCAGGAGAATGGCGTGAACCCGGGAGGCAGAGCTGGCAGTGAGCCGAGATCAAGCCACTGCACTCCAGCCTGGGCCACAGAGCGAGACTAGTCTCAAATAAATAAATAAATAAATAAATAAATAAATAAATAAATAGAAGAATATGATTTCTTCATACAACAGAAGAATTTTTTTTCTTTATATGTATGTTGTATAACTTTTAATTTCTATTTACTCTGGGAATTCTATATTTCTTATTGAAATGGTTGGGCTTTCTCATTTTAAAAACTCATGTAAATTTATTTACACACCAGTTTATCTTTGTATGTAATGGAATTCGTGAGTTGCTTACACCAGATGTCTAAGGGAAAGTCCTGTTTCTTTAATTTGGAACTTGGGAAAATCCTTTTACAACCCTGGCCCTCAGTGTGCTCCCATGAAAATGAGTATACTGAACAAAATCAGAGCATTTCCAACTTTATATCAACATAAAGTTCTCATCAGAAGAAATTTTGCACAAAAACTTACCAATAAGCAGGGTTTTTCCAGTTTAAGCAGGGGAAGGCAGAGTATTGCCAGCTTGAAACTCATCCACTTCCCAGGCAACTTATAGACACCCTAAAGGAACTGCCTAAGATTCCACAAAAACACAGTGTAAAATTACAAAAAAAAAAGATGATCAGTAACACCCTTTCCAACTCTAAAATGTCTAGAAAAATTTATAGTATGTTCCTCTGGCTTGGGTTGTTCAGTTGTAGATCAAATGAAGACTGAACTGATTAAGGCTAAACTAGTACAAACACATAGTGGAGAATAATGTTATATGTTATACATAATATATGAGAAATAACAAAAAGTAGGCAAAGTTATGCCATTGTAACTCATTCTCAATCCCTTCACATCTTACGATACCATCCAAACCAAATATCAATTAAAGATAAAGTAATGCCTATTTAATTAAAAATAAACAATAAATTGTATTTAACTAAAAATTCAATCAAAAAATTAAAATAATAACTTTAATAGGAATCATAGACCACATTTTACTGTAAGCATTTAGCTATAGTGCTTTGTGTGTGTGTGTTAGTCCTTTTTCACACTGCTATAAAGACACTACCCAAGACTCAATAATTTGTAAAGCATATTTAATTGAGCCACATTTCTGCATGGCTTTGAAGGCCTTAGGAAACTTACAATCAGGGCAGAGGAGAAGCAGGTACCTTCTTCACAAGGTGGCAGGAGAGAGAGAGAGTCAGCACAGGAAAAACTGCCACTTTTAAAACCATCAGATCTTGTGAGACTCACTCACTATCATGAGAACAGCATGGGGGAACCACCCCCCATAATCCAATCACTTCCCTCCCTCAACACATGAGGATTACAATTCAAGATGAGATTTGGGTAGGGACACAGAGCCAAACCATATCAATATGGATACATGTATACATTTTAAAAATATAAGATATTTGAGGAAAATATATATATGTATGTATGTATATATATATATATATATATGTATTCTGCAAAAGTTTCCTTTGATTGTTTTATCTGAGGGACTACCATGTCCCTAACTAGATTCTAAGCCAGACCCTCAAAGCCACTACTCCTATACACTGATTTCAATTATTCTTTGGTGACCATCATTAATCCAGTGATTTGGACAACTTTAGAAAAGTTGAAATTTTACCAAATCCAATCCATACTTCACACGGTGACAAGAGTTATCTGTAAAAACATGAATTCATAAATCCATGACTAGCATGCTTAAAACACTCATAGCTTCCCACCGCCCGGAGACTCAGTGTGAAATCCCAGACCTTCATGATTTGGCCCCTGTAAACCTCACAAGCCTCACCTAGTTCCACTCTCTCTCTGCCCACTCCACTCCAGGAAGCTTGGCCTTCTCTCAGTCTCATGTTCTCTCCCATGTCGTGGGAACCTTAACTATGCTGTTCCTCAGCCTAGAACACACATCTTTTCAGGCAGTTGCTTCATCAGTCTATTCATTCGTCAGACATCAGCTGGGACCTCACATCCTCAAAGGAGCCTTCTTTGACCCAGTCTAAGTCAGACATCCTGCTACATGTTCCAACAACATCTTATATCTTTTCATAAAACTTTGCATTCTTAGGCTGGTTAAACATACACAAATCAATAAACTTAATCCATCACATAAACAGAACCAATGACAAAAACTACATGATTATCTCGATAAAATTCAACACCCCTTCATGCTAAAAACTCTCAATACACTAGGCATCGATGAAACGTGTCTCAAAATAATAAGAGCTATTTGTGACAAACCCTCAGCCAATATCATACTGAATAGGCAAAAACTGGAAGCACTCCCTTTGAAAACCAGAACAAGACAAGGATGCCCTCTCTAACTGCTCCTATTCAACATAGTATTGGAAGTTCTGGCCAGGGCAATCAGGCAAGAGAAAGCAATAAAGGGTATTCAAATAGGAAGAAAGGAAGTCAAATTGTCTCTGTTTGCAGATGACATGATTTAGAAAACCCCATCATCTCAGCCCAAAATCTCGTTAAGCTGATAAGCAACTTCAGCAAAGTCTCAGGATACAAAATCAATGTGCAAAAATCACAAGCATTCCTATATACCAATAACAGACAAACAGAGAGCCAAATCTTGAGTGAATTCCCATTCACAATCGCTACTAAAAGAATAAAATACCTAGGAATCCAACTTACAAGGGATGTGAAGGACCTCTTCAAGGAGAACTACAAACCACTGCTCAAGGAAATAAGAGAGGACACAAACCAATGGAAAAACATTCCATGCTCATGGATAGGAAGAATCAATATCATGAAAATGGTCATACTGTCCATAGTAATTTATAGATTCAATGCTATCCCCATCAAACTACCAATGACTTTCTTCACAGAATTGGAAAAAACTACTTTAAACTTCATATGGAACCAAAAAAGAGCGCGCATAGCCAAGACAATCCAGGGCAAGAAGAACAAAGCTGGAGGCATCATGTTACCTGACTTCAGACTATACTACAAGGCTACAGTAACCAAAACAGCATGGTACTGGTACCAAAACAGATATATAGGCCAATGGAACAGAGCAGAGGCCTCAGAAATAACGCCAGACATCTACAACCATCTGATCTTTGACAAACCTGACACAAACAAGCAATGGGGAAAAGATTCCCTATTTAATAAATGGTGTTGGGAAAACTGACTAGCCATATGCAGAAAACTGAAACTAGACCCCTTCCTTACACATTATACAAAAATCAAGTCAAGATGAATCAAATACTTAAACATAATACCTAGGATCATTAAAATCCTGGAAGAAAACTTGGGCAATACCATTCAGGACATAGGAATGGGCAAAGACTCATGTCTAAATCAGCAAAAGCAATGGCAACAAAAGCCAAAATTAACAAATGGGATCTAATTAAACTAAAGAGCTTCTGCACAGCCAAAGAAACTATCACCAGAGGGAACAGGCAACCTACAGAATGGGAGAAAAGTTTTGCAATCTATCAATCTGACAAAGGGCTAATATCCAGAATCCACAAAGGACTTAAACAAATTTACAAGAAAATAACAAAAAACCCCATCAAAAAGTGGGCAACAGATATGAACAGACACTTCTCAAAAGAAGACACTTATGCAGCCAACAGACATATGGAAAATGCTCATCATCACTGGTCGTTAGAGAAATGCAAATCAAAACCACAATGAGATACCATCTCATGCCAGTTACAATGGTGATCATTAAAAAGTCAGGAAACAACAGATGCTGGAGAGGTTGTGGAAAAATAGGAACGCTTTTACACTCTTGGTTGGAGTGTAAATTAGTTCAACCATTGTGGAAGACAGTGTGGCAATTCCTCAAGGATCTAGAACTAGAAATACCATTTGACCCAGCAATCCCATTACTGGGCATATACCCAAAGCAATATAAATCATTCTACAATAAAGACACATGCACATGTATGTTTATTGCGGCACTATTCACAATAGCAAAGACTTGGAACCAACCAAAATGCCCATCAATGGTAGCCTGGATTAAGAAAATATGGCACATATACACCATGGAAGACTATGCAGCCATAAAAAAGGATAAGTTCATGACCTTTACAGGGACATGGATGAAGCTGGAAACCATCATTCTCAGAAAACTATCACAAGATCAGAAAACAAAACACCGCATGTTCTCACTCATAAGTGGGAGTTGAACAATGAGAACATATGGACACAGAGAGGGGAACATCACACACCGGGGACTGTCGGGGGGTAGGAGACTAGGGGAGGGATAACATTAGGAAAAATACCTAATGTAGGTGACAGTTTAAGGGGTGCAGCAAACCACCATGGCACGTGTATACCTATGTAACAAAACTGCATGTTCTGCGCACATAACCCAGAACTTAAAAGTATAATAAAAAAAGAAAAAAAAAGAAAATTAGGATATAAAGGTGGAAAATTAAAGAAAAAAAACTTTGCATTCTTGGAACTATTTAATTCATCATTTATAATTCTTTGTTTATCTTCTGAATTTTTTTTTCTTTGCCAGTAAATTCCATGATGACAGTGCCGTTTTTGTTTCTCTTATCACTACAGCTCCAGCACTGCTTCTAGTACCTGGCATTTGGTACATATTCGATAAATATTTACTGACAATAAAGAACACTTCAAAAATTTACAAGTGCGTAATTTATTCCTTAATGGCTAGTAATAGTTTTCAACTCACTTTCTCATAACTAAAAAAATGCTTAAATTTTCTTTTGTTCTAAAAGATTTTATGCTTAATTCTTGAGCTGAATGGAATGTTCTGAATATATATGCTTTTATAGAGCCATCTAGTGCCCATTTTGTTTAGTGAAACTAAAAATGAAAACAGGAGGAAAAGTCCACAATATCCTCAACATTGAAGAATGCATAACCTCCATCTGGCAGCAGCAATTTAATACATCAACTGGCCTGTTGAATGACTTTTTTCCTGAGCTACTTCTGGCCTTCACTGTATACACACCAGATTAGTCATTCTCGATTATGGTAACTAAAAATCTGATGAGAGTTTTATAGTTAACAAGGTATGTTGAACAAAGGTGCTGCTACTTGCTCCCTCCTGAAACCCCACTACAATGACAATAAAGGAATAAAATATGCACAATGTGTAAAGATAAAGAGAACAGAGTAGGAAACAGCAGCAAATAAGAGATGTTAACAAAATTTTAGAACTTAGAAGAATGGGTAGTAACTGACATTGCCTTTAGAGAAAGCTGATAACTAAGGAAGACTGGAGGAAGCCAGTAAGAAGATGAATCCCCAAACATCTCAAAAGCTGAAGGCAAAATAGTTACAGCCCTTCTCAAGACTCTACTGTAGGATTTGTACTCCAGCAGAGCATAAACCAAGAAATAATGAAAACATGGTATTCAGGACACAGGATGAAGGAAAGAGGTAAAGGGAAATTCCCAGATTGATCATAATGGAGAATCTCAAGATTCCATCTGTGAAACAAAGAAAGTAACCAGTAAAAATTGGAGGAGAAGGATTGAGAACTCTAAGAAATATCTAAAAATGACAAAAAACAAAACAGCTGCTTGGATATATGGACAAGAGATTGCAGTTCCATCAAAATATTTGGGAATTAATTAGTAAGAGGTATATGAAAGAAAAATAGAAAATAAAAAATACAAGAAAAAATAAATTTAATAAATTGCTTAGCTGAAAATGATACTTAAAAGGTGATAATGGTGTAAAAACCAAATATCAATTTAATCAATTGAGATACAACTACTTTGGGAAGATGGGAAGAGAGAAAATAATGGAAGTGGTACATTCATGTAAAAGAGCGAAATCTCTTTAGTTAACCATTTTAATATCTAAACTGAAAATGTTTTAAAATGATAAAATTATATTTAGAAATATGGACACAAGCGCTGAAAATAACAGAAAATGGTTTCTTCTGGGAGGAAGAATCAGGAGTATGACTGCAGATAGATATTTCTTATTCTAAGTTTCAACTTTTAAAGGTATATAATTTTTAATAGGTACCATATATTTTTCTTTCTTCCCCGTTGTGCACTTCTACACTGAGCCATGGTGCAAAGCAGCATGTTTTCAGATCCTGTCTAAATGGTACTATTATTGATAGCCTTATTTGGTCTCAACTGGAACTTTGATTACACAATATTAAACATAAGAATTTTTCAATGTTTGTTAGATCAGACATGCACAAAGCCACCTCATCCCTTCGCAAAAAGTCCCCTCCCCTCCACTAGTTGCTTGAGTACAATGGCTGATTTGTCCTCTCTGGCTTGAGGGATATTTTGTAATGTCTGGCATCACAAAGCACTCCTTATGAAAGCACCAGACATCAATTGCCCAATTTTCTACCAGATTTTTCCACAGTAACTCTTTCACACTTGGAACCAAAGTGTGATGCCACATTGCTGGCATTTTATAGTAGCCTGTGGGAACCATTCTAGTCAGCATTATATGGGCCAGTACTTTTGTGAGGGCTGCCTGTCAGGTGTAATCAATCAGCAGCTTGAGCATTTCTTTTAGCCTCAATGATCTGCCTTGTTGTATGGATTCACACTTTTATCATAGTCACCTTCTTAGAAAGCATTAAAACACCTACAAATTCTTAAATGAGCTGATTATTTTTCACTTTTTTCACTAGGATTTCTACAGAGGTTAAAGAAAACAAAAAACTCATTTTTTCAGTATTCCAAAATCATGGACTACTCCAAAGGCATACTACTCTCAGTATATGTCTTAACTCTATTATTACTCACTAGTTGGCAAAGCTCTGGTGACCATGATAAGTTCTGCCCGGCAGATTTTTCCTCTAGTAAGATGTCATATTCTAGGCAACAATCAGTTGAACGCATTGCTTATGCTCTTCATGTTTCGAGACTCCACAACCTAATTGGTGGGCTGCCTATAGTCTGAAAAATACGCATTTCCTAGTAGATAAAAGGTTTGAAGAGGAGATCTTTTCCACAGTCAGACTCTCACTAGACAAAACAAGGTAAGTGTGGGTAAAGTTTTCATAAGGTTTTTAATAAGTGACTGAAGGCAAAATGTATCCAAAGAACGCCATTCTGAGGAGAAAGCTTCTGAATTTCTTAGGTCCCAGGACTGTCTTAAAGAATGGATTTAACAGGCCCTATACTGGACCTCTTCCCTATGAATTTACTATAGCAGAATCATAACAAATAAGGAGAAGGATAGACAGAGAAAATAATGTTATTACTAGCAAGGCAGTTTTCCAATAAGCAAAAAACTTTTAAATCTGATTACATAATAAAAGGATTCTTAAAAGAGATCTAATTTCTGAGGAAACAAAATAACCTTAGCATTTGGGAGCTCAACGAAAAGGAAATCATAGGTCAGACCCAAGGTGAAACATCTCATACTGTAGTGTGAGATAGCATAGCCCAAACAGGAGGCTCAAGGAACCTTGGTGAAGCACACTGTTTTTGAGTTGAGCGTCTTGAGTTGCTGCAATGAAGATTTCTTGAATGGATCTTGGTAGAACTTTCACATTGTTGAATTTCCAAAAATATCACCAAAGTTTAATTAAGCAAAGCTGCATTTATTAGAATTTACTATGGCAAAGTAAAATTTCACTTCTACATTTTTAGAAATCAAGTATACAGAAAAGAAAGTGGTATGCTTCAAAGATCTTCAATTTGCTAACCTCTACCTTTAGTGTCTCTCTCTCTCTCTTTCTCAACATACCTGGAGGTAAAGTCCTCTGGACATGTATGACTCTCTTTTAAATATGTTCTTGATTAGGAAAATGAGGTCTTTTGTGAATTCAGACCTGTGCATATCTGGTCACATAAAATTGCACCAGACAAGGCAGCTACATCACACACTTGCAATGCTAAATGAAATACCAAGTGAGGCTCAGTTGCCCATGCTAGACACATATTCTTGTCATCTCTTGCTAGCCAGTAAATGGTGAAATAACAAATATGTGCATAACATGCCACCCAAGATACCTTACCTCTTTAGCTCTAATAATATTTGCTTTATATATCTGGGTGCTCCAGTGTTGGGTGTGTGTGTGTGTGTGTGTGTGTGTGTGTGTGTAATACTGAAGCATAGTTATGACCTCTTGCTGAACTGATTCCTTTATCATTATCATTATGTAATGCCTTTCCAGCTTCTTTTATGTTTTTTGACTTAAAGTCTTTTTTGTTTGATATAAGCATGGCTACTCTTACGCACTTTTGATTTCTTTTTGTGTGGAATATCTTTTTCCTTCCATTCACTTTCAGTTTTTGTGTGTCTTTACAGGTGAAGTGAATTTCTTGTAGGCAGTATATAGTTAGGTCTTGTTTTTTATCCACTTAGACAGTCTATATATTTTAATTCAGGAACTTAAACTACTTACATTCAAGGTTGTTATTGATAAGCGAGGACTTACTCTTATCATTTTGTTAAATTTTTTTCTGGTTGTTTATGTATCCTTTGTTTCTTTGTCTCTTTTTATTTATCTTTGTGGTTTAGTGATTTTCCATATTACTAAAGTTTGATTCCTTTCTTTTTCTCATTTGTGTACCTGTTTTACCAGTGAGTTTTACACTTTCATGTGTTTTCATTATGATAGATATCATCTTTTCTCTTTCAAATGTGTGACTACCTTAACATTTCTTGTATAGACAGTCCAGTGGTAATGACAAGCTTGTGCTTTTCTGGGAAAGAATTTATTTCTTCTTCATTTCTGAAAGATAGCTTTATCAGCTATAGTATTATTGCCTATGAATTTCTTTCTTTTAGCATTTTGTATATATCACCTTATTCTCTTCTAGCCCATAAGGTTTCTGCTGAGAAATTTGTTTGTCTGAAGAGGATTCTCTTATATATGACTTGATGCTTTTCTCTTGCTGCTTTTAGAATTCTCTGTCTTTTAATTTTGACAGTTTGCCTATAACGTGCCTTGTAGAAAACTTTTTTAAGTTGAATCTATTTGGGAAGCTTTGCACTTTGTGTATCTGGAAGTCCATATCTCTCCCAAGACTAGGGAAAGTTTCAGCTATTATTTTGTTAAATAGGTTTTCTATGCCTTTCCCACCTCTTCTGCTTCTGAAACTCCCACAACACAAAACTTTGTTTGCTTAATGGTGTCCCACATGTCACATAGGCTTTCTTCATTCTTTTTCATCCTTTTTCTTTTTCTTTTTTTGTGTTCAATGGTTATTTTTAAAAGACATGTTTTCACATTTAGAAATGCTTTCTTCTACTTGATCTAGTCTATTGTTGAAGCTCTCAACTGGATTTTTTGTTTAATTCCTTGAATTATTCACTTCCAACATTTCTGTTTGGTTCTTTTTTATGATATCTATCTCTTTTTTGAATGTCTTAATTTTTATATTTTTGTTATGTGTACATAGTAGTTGTATATATTTATGGGGTACCCGAGATATATTGATATAGGCATACAATGTATAATAATCACATCACGGTAAATAGGGTATTCACCACCTCAAGCATTTATCATTTCTTTGTGTTATGAACATTCCAATTATACTGTTATTTTCAAATGTACAATAAATTATTGTCACCCTGTTGTGCTATCAAATACTAGATCTTATTCATTCTAACTTTATTTTTGTACCCATTAACCACCATCACTTTTCCTGCTGAATCTTATTAGATCATAAATTGTTTTCTTGATTTTGTTGGTATTATTTTGAATTCCATATCAGGCATTCCATACATTTCCTTTTCTTTGGGGCATGTTACTAGATAATTATTGTGTTCTTTTGGAGATGTTACATTTCCTTCTTTTTTTTTTGGCTTCTTGTGGCCCTATGTTTATATCTGAACTTCTGGTGAAATAGTTACTTCTCCCAACTTTATGAAGCAGCTTTCATAATGAGAGACCTTTTCCTGTAAATGTGTCCTATAGTGTTGGTTAGGTAGGGTGCTTGGTTTTGTTTCTGGGTGGATGCAGTAGTGTAGTCTCTGTATGATTTCTTTGGCCATAACCAATAACAGCAGTGTCTGCAAATGCCTCAGTGGTGTAGGCTGTGGTTGCTTGTGGAGGCTATGATGTGGCTTTGTTGAGGATGAGGACACTGGGAAGGTAGATCCTTCAGGTCCCTGAGAGGCATGCACAGGTGTGAAATAGCTATGCTGCTGGAAGGGATAGGGTTGTCAATGGTGGTAGTAGCAAGAACCAGGCAGACCAGACCTTGGACCTCTGGGTGCCATGCAGGTGGATAGCAGCCCCACTGTTGAGGAAGTTAGTGTTGCTGGTGGTGGCAGTAGTAAGCCCCATGTAGGCTGATCTTCAGGCTCCCATGTGGTTCTGCTGCTAAAGGGACAAAGTTACCTGGCAGTGGGGCAGCAGGCCTTGCATGAGCTGGTTGTTGGGCCCTGGTGATCCCATCCCATCATTGAACAGGGCAGGGTTGCTGACAATAGTGAGCTGGCTGTGGGCAAGCCAGTTTTCACCCCTGGGTGGTTCTACTGCTGAGAGGGACAGAGTTGCTGGCGGTAAGGGCAGCAGGCCCCAGGTGGGCAGCTCTCAGTCTCTGAGGAGATCACATACTGATTCCCACTGTCTTGAGGGCAGCTTTCCTGCTGTGCTGGACCTCTTGTTCCCCAGAGTACAGGGCACTGTGTGGGCTTGGGTCCCAAGGTCATGGCTGCATCACTGGTGTCAAAATACTGCAGCCCTCTGGGTAGATGTGCTATCATGTCAGTGGTGCCCCAGGGATATGGAGATGCAAGGGCTATTAGGCCCCTGGGCAGGGTGCAGTCTTGTGTTTGCTTCTCTCTCAAAATGGCACCAGGCTGCAGTAACATGTGTGTCAGTGAGTTGGGAGGACCCAGAGTAAATTTCTTCTGTGGAATAATATAGTTTTGTGGACTCCAGGCAGCTCCCTATATATTGTGTTCGGGGCCTACTAGAAAGCTATTGGGCTTTCTTATAACTAGGACTGCAGGAATCTGTAGTAAGAGTGTGGACTGCTGAGGATCTCTTCCCTGCCTTCTCCCTGAATGAGTTCTTCCAGTTAATCCTGGCAATTTGTTTGCTTTGCTCTCTATGGTCCTATCCCAAGCCTCCATGCCTCAGAGAGTCTCTGTCACTTCCTTGCTAAATTCTAGTGTTCTCTAGACACTCTATTCAACATGTGGTTATCTATTTGTTTTTTTGGTCCTTCCTTTTTAGGGAGGTTAGTGCTGAGCACCTTTAGTCAGCCATCTTGATATAAGCATCAAAAACATCTGTATTGAATGCCTACTACATGCCAGGTATCAAAAACATCTGTATTGAATGCCTACTACATGCCAGGAACTGTTCTAGGAGTCAGAGACATAGCAGTAACAATCAGAAAAATGTCCCTGTCTTGACATGGCTGAAGCTGGAAGCCATCATCTTAAGCAAACTAACACAAGAATAAAAAACCAAATACCACGTGTTCTCACTCATAAGTGGGAGTTGAACAATCAGAACAGATGGGCACAGGGAGGGGAACAACACACACTGGAGCCAGGAGGGGTGAGGGGTGGGTGGCAAGGGGAGGGAGAACATCAGGACAAATAGCTAATGCATGTGGGGCTTAAAGGGTTGGTAGGTACAGCCAACCACCATGGCACATATATACCTTTGTAACAAACCTGCACATGTAACCCGAAACTTAAAGTAAAAAAATAATATTAATTAAGAAAAAGAAAATGTCCCTGTCTTCACAGAGCTTACATTCTAATAGAATCGTAGAGCTAGACAATGAATAATTAAATAAATAATATGTCCAAGGATGATACTTACTATAAGTATATATTGAGCAAGTTAAGGAAATAGAGTGGCAGTAGTAAGGCCACTTTATGTAGGTACTCAACGAGGGTTTTCTGATTAGTGGCATTTGAGAAGCAATGTGAAGTGAAGGGGAAATCAGGTATTGGGGGAAATGCCCTTCAGGAAGAAGTACATCGTGGCTGTAAATTAGGATCATGCCTTGTGGCTCCAAAGATCAACAAGGAGGCCTCTGTGATTTGAGCAAAGTAAGTCAGGCAAAGAGAGAAAGAAGATGAGGCCAGTGAGAAAGCAAGAAAAGACTGAAGGCCAAATCATGCAAAGCTAACAGGCTGTTGAAGATTTCTGCTATCACATTGAGTGTGATAGGATGACTTTTGAAGTTAATGTGATTTGACTTAAGTTTTTAAAACATCTCTTTAGCTGTTGTTTTGAAAACAGACTATAGAAAATCAAGATTGGAAGACAAAAGACCAATTACAAACCAATTAGAATAATAATCAGTGGTGGCTTGAACCAGGGCAGTAGCAGTGGGGGTATTAAGACAGAACTCAAAACTAAATGTATTTTGAAGCTAGAATAAACATGGTATCTTGACAGGGTAGCTGTCGGGGATGATAGAAGAGAGTCATGCAGGATAATTTCAAGGCTTTAGGCCAACATAATAGAAAGGGTTGAGTTGCCATTAATTGAGATGAGAAGACTGCCAATGTACCATGTTGGGGACAAGATGAAGAGTCCAATTTTAAACATTGTAAGAGGATGGAATTGTCACAGAGCAAACCCCAAAATTGAGGCTCAGCCCAGGAGGCCAAGTGGGTTGTTGGCTTTGCACAGGAAAGAATTCAAGGGTGAGACAACAGAGTAAAATGAAAGCAAGTTTATTAAGAAAATAAAAGAGTAAAAGTGTGGCTACTCCATAGGCAGATTAGCCCTCATGGGTTGTTGGCTGGCCATATTTATGGTTATTTCTTGATTATATGCAAAATATGGGGTAGATTATTCATCAGTTTTCTGGGAAAGAAGCAGGGAGTGGAACTGAGGGTTCCTGCCCTTTTGGACCGTGTAACTTCCAAATGTTGCCATGGCATTTGCAAATTGCGGTGGCAATGGTAGGAGTTTCTTTTAGCAGGCTTATGCATTATAATTAGTGCATAATGAGCAGTGAGAACATTCAGAGGTAGCTTTTGTTACCATCTTGATTCTGACTGGTTTCTGCTGGCTTCTTTACATCATTTTGTTTTATCAGCAGGGTTTTTGTAAACTGTGTCTTTAAAAACAAGTTTTGCTGAACTTGTCAGGCCTCTGAGCTCAAGCTAAGCCATCATATCCCCTGTGACCTGCACGTGCACATCCAGATGGCCGGTTCGTGCCTTAACTGATGACATTCCACCACAAAAGAAATGAAAATGGCCTGTTCCTGCCTTAACTGATGACATTATCTTGTGAAATTCCTTCTCCTGGCTCATCCTGGCTCAAAAGCTCCCCTACTGAGCAACTTGTGACCCCCACTCCTTCCCACCAGAGAACCCCCCTTTGACTGTAATTTTCCTTTACCTACCCAAATCTTATAAAACGGCCCCACCCCTATCTCCCTTCACTGACTCTCTTTTCAGACTCAGCCCGCCTGCACCCAGGTGAAATAAACAGCCTTGTTGCTCACACAAAGCCTGTTTGGTGGTCTCTTTGCACAACGCACATGAAATTTGGTGCAGTGACTCAGATTGGGGGACCTCCCTTGGGAGATCAATCCCCTGTCCTCCTGCTCTTTGCTCCATGAAAAAGATCCACTTACAACCTCAGGTCCTCAGACCAACCAGCCCAAGAAACCTCTCACCAATTTCAAATCCGGTAAGTGGCCTCTTTTTACTCTCTTCTCCAACCTCCCTCACTATCCCTCAACCTCTTTCTCCTTTCAATCTTGGTGCCACACTTCAATCTCTCCCTTCTCTTAATTTCAATTCCTTTCATTTTCTGGTAGAGACAAAGGAGACACGTTTTATCTGTGGACCCAGAACTCTGGCACCGGTCACGGACTAGGGAAGGCAGCCTTCTCTTGGTGTTTAATCACTGCAGGGACGCCTCTCTGATTATTCACCTGGGTTTCAGAGGTGTCAGACCACACAGGGACGCCTGCCTTGGTCCTTTGCCCTTAGCAGCAAGTCCCACTTTTCTGGGGGAGGGGCAAGAACCCCAACCCCTTCTCTCTGTGTCTCTACCCCTTCTCCGCTTTTCTAGAGGAGGGGCAAGAACCCCTCAACCGCTTCTCCTTCACCCTTAGCAGCAAGTCCCACTTTTCTGGGGGAGAGGCAAGAAACCCCCAACCCCTTCTCCTTCACCCTTAGCAGCAAGTACCACTTTTCTAGGAGGCAAGAACCCCCGATCCCTTATTTCCACATCCCAACCTCTTATCTCTGTGCCCTGAACCCTTATTTCCATGCCCCGACCTTTTATCTCTGTGCCCCAATCCCTTATTTCTGCACCCCAACCTCTTATCTCTGCACCCCAATCCCTTATTTCTGCACCCCGACTACTTATCTCTGCACCCCAACCCCTTATTTCCATGCCCCGACCCCTTCTCTGCTTTTCTGGAGGGCAACAACCCCCCACCCCTTCTCCGTGTCTCTACTCTCTTTTCTCTGGGCTTGCCTCCTTCACTATGGGCAAGTTTCCACCTTCCATTCCTCCTTCTTCTCCCTTAGCTTGTGTTCTCAAGAACTTAAAACCTCTTCAACTCACACCTGACCTAAAACCTAAATGCCTTATTTTCTTCTGCAGTGCCACTTGACCCCAATACAAACTCGACAGTGGTTCCAAACAGCCAGAAAATGGCACTTTCAATTTTTCCATCCTACAAGATCTAAATAATTCTTGTCATAAAATAGGCAAACGGTCTGAGGTGCCTGACATCCAGGCATTCTTTTACACATCAGTCCCTCCCTAGTCTCTGTTCCCAATGCAACTTGTCCCAAATCATCCGTCTTTCCCTCCAGCCTATCCCCTCAGTCCCAAACCCAAGCATTGCTGAGTCTTTCTAATCTTCCTTTTCTATAGACCCATCTGACCTCTCCCCTCCTCTCCAGGCCGAGCCAGGTCCCAATTCTTCCTCAGCCTCTGCTCCCCCACCCTATAATCCTTTTACCACCTCCCCTCCTCACACCCAGTCCAGCTTACAGTTTCATTCCTCAAATAGCCTTCCCCCACCTGCCCAGCAATTTCCTCTTAAAAAGGTGGCTGGAGCCAAAGGCATAGTCAAGGTTAATGCTCCTTTTTCTTTAACCGACCTCTCCCAAAATCAGTTAGCGTTTAGGCTCTTTTTCATCAAATATGGAAAACCCAGCCCAGTTCATGGCTCATTTGGCAGTAACCCTGAGATGCTTTACAGCCCTAAACCCTGAAAGGTCAGAAGGCAGTCTTATTCTCAATATGCATTTTATTTTTTTTACCCAATCTGCTCCCGACATGAAATAAAGCTCCAAAAATTAAATTCTGGCCCTCAAACCCCACAACAGGACTTAATTAACCTCTCCTTCAAGGTGTACAATAATAGAGTAGAGGCAGCCAAGTAGCAATGTATTTCTGAGTTGCAATTCCTTGCCTCCACTGTGAGACAAACCCCAGCCACATCTCCAGCACACAAGAACTCCAAACGCCTGAACCTCAGCTGCCAGGGGTTCCTCCAGAACCTCCTCCCCCAGGAGCTTGCTATAAGTGCTGGAAATCTGGCCACTGGGCCAAGGAATGCCCACAGCCCAGGATTCCTCCTAAGCCGTGTCCCATCTGTGCAGGACCCCACTGAAAATCAGACTGTTCAACTCACCTGGCAGCCACTTCCAAAGCCCCTGGAACTCTGGCCCAAGGCTCTCTGACTGACTCCTTCCCAGATCTTCTCGGCTTAGCAGCTGAAGACTGACACTGCCTGATCACCTCATGAAGCCTACAGGACCATCACAGACACTCTAGGTAACTCTCACAGTAGAGGGTAAATCTGTCCCCTTCTTAATCAATATGGAGGCTACTCACTCCACATTACCTTATTTTCAGGGCCTGTTTCCCTTGCCTGCATAACTGTTGTAGGTATTGATGGCCAGGCTTCTAAACCTCTTAAAACTCCCCAACTCTGGTGCCAACTTAGACAATACTCTTTTATGCACTCTTTTTTAATTATCCCCACCTGCCCAGTTCCCTTATTAGGCCGAGACACTTTAACTAAATTATCTGCTTCCCTGACTATTCCTGGACTACAGCTGCATCTCATTGCCGCCCTTCTCCCCAACCCAAAGCCTCATTTGCATCTTCCTCTCGTATCCCCCAACCTTAACCCACAAGTATAGGACATCTCTATTCCTTCTCTGGCAACCGATCATATGCCCATTACCATCCCATTAAAACCTAATCACCCTTACCCCGCTCAATGCCAACATCCCATCCCACAGAATGCTTTAAAAGGATTAAAGCCTGTTATCACTTGCCTGCTACAGCGTGGCCTTTTAAAGCCTATAAACTCCCCTTACAATTCCCCCATTTTACCTGTCCTAAAACCAGACAAGCCTTACAGGTTAGTTCAGGATCTGCGCCTTATAAACAAAACTGTTTTTCCTATCCCCCTCCCTTGGTGCCAAACCCATATACTCTCCTATCCTCAATACCTCCCTCAACAACCCATTATTCTGTTCTGGATCTCAAACATGCTTTCTTTACTATCCCTTTGCACCCTTCATCCCAGCCTCTCTTCGCTTTCACCTAGACTGACCCTGACACCCATCAGGCTCAGCAAATTACCTAGGCTGTACTGCCGCAAGACTTCACAGACAGCCCCCATTACTTCAGCCAAGCCCAAATTTCATCCTCATCTGTTACCTATCTCGGCATAATTCTCATAAAAACACACGTGCTCTCCCTGCTGATCATGTCCGACTGATCTCCCAAACCTCAATCCCTTACAAAACAATAACTCCTTTCCTTCCTAGGCATGGTTAGTGCAGTCAAAATTCTTACACAAGGACCAGGACCGCACCCTGTAGCCTTTTTATCCAAACAACTTGACCTTACTGTTTGGCCTAGCCCTCAAGTCTGCGTGTGGTGGCTGCCACTGCCCTAATACTTTTAGAGGCCCTTAAAATCACAAACTATGCTCAACTCACTCTCTACAGTTCTCATAACTTCCAAAATCCATTTTCTTCCTCACACCTGACACATATACTTTCTGCTTCCTGGCTCCTTCAGCTGTACTCACTCTTTGTTGAGTCTCCCACATTATTCTGGATACCACACCTGACCCTCATGACTGCATCTCTCTGATCCACCTGACGTTCACCCCATTTCCCCACATTTCCTTCTTTCATGTTCCTCACCCTGAACACACTTGGTTTATTGATGGCAGTTCCACCAGGCCTAATCGCCACTCACCAGCAAAGGCAGGCTATGCTATAGTATCTTCCACATCTATCATTGAGGCTACTTTGTGCCCGCCCTCCACTACCTCTCAGCAAGCTGAACTCATTGCCTTAAGTCAAGCCCTCACTCTTACAAAAGGACTAAACATCAACATTTATACTGACTCTAAATATGCCTTCCATATCCTGCACCACCATGCAAGAGGTTTCCTCACTACACAAGGGTCCTCTATCATTAATGCCTCTTTAATAAAAATGCTTCTCAAAGCTGCTTTGCTTCCAAAGGAAGCTAGACTCATTCACTGCAAAGGCCATCAAAGGGCATCAGATCCCATCTCTCAGGACAATGCTTATGCTGATAAGATAGCTAAAAAAGCAGCTAGCATTCCAACTTTTGTCCCTCACTTTCAGTTTTTTCTCCTTCACATCAGTCACTTGCACCTACTCCCCCACTGAAACTTCCACCTATCAATCTCTTCCCACACAAGGCAAATAGTTCTTAGACCAAGGAAAATATCTCCTTCCAGCCTCACAGGCCCATTCTATTCTGTCGTCATTTCATAACCTCTTCCATGTAGGTTACAAGCCGCTAGCCCGTCTCTTAGAACCTCTCATTTCCTTTCCATCATGGAAGTCTATCTTCAAGGAGATCACTTCTCAGTGTTCTATCTGCTATTCTACTACCCCTCGGGTATTGTTCCGCCCCCCTCCCTTCCCTACACATCAAGCTCAAGGATTTGTCCCTGCCCAGGACTGGCAAATTGACTTTACTCACATGCCCCGAGTCAGAAAACTAAAATATCTCTTTGTCTGGGTAGACACTTTCACTGGATAGGTAGAGGCCTTCCTACAGGGTCCGAGAAGGCCACCACGGTCATTTCTTCCCTTCTGTTAGACATAATTCCTCAGTCTGGCCTTCCCACCTCTATACAGTCCGATAGCAGACTGGCCTTTATTAGTCAAATCAGCCAAGCATTTTTTCAGGCTCTTAGTATTCAGTGAAACTTTTATATCCCTTACAGTCCTCAGTCTTCAAGAAAGGTAAAACGGACTAATGGTCTTTTAAAAACACACCTCACCAAGCTCAGCCACCAACTTAAAAAGGACTGGACAATACTTTAACCTCTTTCTCTTCTCAGAATTCAGGCCTGTCCTCAGAATGCTACAAGGTACAGCCCATTTGAGCTCCTGTATAGACAGACGCTCCTTTTTATTAGACCCCAGTCTCATTTGACACCAGACCAACTTAGACTGTGCCCCAAAAAACTTGTCATCCCTACTATCTTCTGTCTAGTCATACTCCTATTCACCATTCTCAACTACTCAAACATGCCCTGCTCTTGTTTACACTGTTTCTCCAAGCCATCACAGCTGATATCTCCTAGTGCTATCCCCAAGCTGCCACTCTTAACTCTTAAAGTAAATAAATAATCTTTGCTGGCAGGACTATGCTGAATCTCCTTAGGCATTAATTAAATATCCTGGGTCCTCCCAATTCTTAGACCTTTAATACCTGTTTTTCTCCTTCTCTTATTCCGTTTTTCAATTCATACAAAGCCATATCCAGGCCATCACAAATAATTCTAAATAACAAATGTTTCTTCTAGCAACCCCACAATATCACCCCTTACCACAAAATCTTCCTTCAGCTTAATCTCTCCCACTCTAGGTTCCCACCCGCCCCTGATCCCACTCGAAGCAGGCCTGAGAAACATCGCCCATGATCTCTGCATACCACCCCCAAAAATTTTCGCCGTCCCAACACTTTACCACTATTTCATTTTATTTTTCTTATTACTATAAGAAGATAGGAATGTCATGCCTCTGAGCTCAAGCTAAGCCATCATATACCCTGTGACCTGCACGTACACATCCAGATGGCCGGTTCCTGCCTTAACTGATAACATTCCACCACAAAAGAAATGAAAATGGCCTGTTCCTGCCTTAACTGATGACATTATCTTGTGAAATTCCTTCTGGCTCATCCTGGCTCAAAAGCTCCCCTACTAAGTACCTTGTTACCCCCACTCCTGCCCGCCAGAGAACAACCCCCTTTGACTGTAATTTTCCTTTACCTACCCAAACCTTATAAAATGGCCCCACCCCCATCTCCCTTTGCTGACTCTCTTTTCAGACTCAGCCCGCCTGCACCCAGGTGAAATAAACAGCCTTGTTGCTCACACAAAGCCTGTTTGGTGGTCTCTTCTCATGGACGCGCATGAAAGAAATCCTGTCTCAAAATCAAAGGCAAAAGTGGTGGAGATGGCATGAGACAGGAGCATGAATAGATAATTCAGCCACAGAAATGGGAAGGAAGGCAGAATACTTTGACCTAGGTGCTGGTTGGTAGGTAGATTTGATAAAGGAGCTTGAGAAATTCTCTATATTTAAGTAAATAAAGTTAAGAATGAGGATGGAGACAGAGATGCAAGTTTTAGGATAGAGAAAAAGCAAGAAATAATCATTCTAGAGAGAGCAAGATAGAAGGACTAGACCAGCAGTTCTCAAAGGGTGTTCTGTGAACACCTGAGATGGAGACCCTTCCAGAGGGGGTCTGTCAAAAACTTTTCCTAATAGTACTATGATGTTATTTACCTTTTTCACTAAGTAAGTTAATATTTTCACAATGGTGAAATAAAGGGTAAAAAAACTTCTTAGCACAAATCAAGGAAATAGAGCCAAACTGTATTAGTGCTCATTGTATTTTTTCCCACCACGCACATGCAGGAAAAAAAAAAAATGCTGGTTTCATTTAAGAATGTTCTTTTTTTCACCAGGCACTGTGGCTCACACCTGTAATCCCAGCACTTTGGGAGGCCGAGGCAGGTGGATCACCTGAGGTCAGGAGTTTGGCACCAGCCAGGACAACATGGTAAAAGCCCGTCTTTACTAAAAATACAAAAATTAGCTGGGCCTGGTGGTAGGTGCCTGTAACCCCAGCTACTCAGGAGGCTGAAGCAGGAGAATCACTTGGACTCAGGACGTGGAGGTTGCAGTGAGCCGAGATTGCACCACTGCACTCCAGCCTGGGTGATAGAGCAGCAAGACTCCATCTCAAAAAAAGAAAGAAAAAAAATTTAAATGTGAAAAAAGAGTTTATTTGGGCTGAATTTGAAGACTGCAACCTGGGAGACATAGATTCAAGTTGCCCTAAATATATGCTCCTTAAAAATATTTTTGATGAAAGAATACAAAACATAAATTACATTAAATCTTGATTCTTTAAGTACCTACTTTTTAATATTCTGTTTACAAAAGGGGAAGTATGTGTAAATCACCACTGATGCCATCCAGAAATACAATTATTTCTTGGAAAAAAGCTTTTGTACATTTGTTGAGTTGCAGGCTGAACTGGACATTTTTTCCCTTGGACTGTCATCTTAAATTAAAACAATGACAAAAACACTATGGTTATTCACATTTGAGTATTAGGCATATCTGTTTCCAGTGATACAATCCATGCTTTTAAGTGAAAAGTAGAATGCTAGAGATTTTTATCTGCTGTAATGAGACTGATAGATTCACAATACTTAATGATTTTTTCAAGAGATCAGTGGTCATACTGATGTACGTAATTTTTTAATATTGGGTCAATGATGAAAAGATCATCAGAAATCATTGAACCCACATTTTCTAAACTAAGAATATATAATGTACAAAATCATGTATGGGTAGATTCATTCAATATGCAAGACAGGCCATTGAATTTTGATATTACACTATGTGAAAAGTTCATTAAAATGATTTGCAATGCTGTTTTGCAACTAACCTTTAAGAAACAATTACATGCTGAGTTTTGACATATGTACTTATATTTCAAGAAAGAAATCCACAGTTATCTTAAAAGGCTATTAAAATGTTCTTTGTTTTTTTTCCAAATATGCATCTGTGTAAGAATGGATTTTCTCCATATACTTAGCCACAACATAGAACAACAAATGAAATACAAAAGCGAATATGAGAATCCAGCCATTATACCAGACATTAGAGATATATGAAAAAAATGCAAAACAATGCCATTCTTCTCACTATATCTTTTGCTTTAGAAAATGCATTTCTTTCATTAAATATAATTAATTTATAATATTATGTAATATGTTTCTTTTGTCACTTTAAATGAATTATTACATTACATTTTAATGTCTTAGTTTTAATTTCCATTATGGAAAATATTAATAGATGTAACCCACTTAGGCAAAAGCTCTTTGGAGGCCTCCATAATTTTTAAGACTATAAAAGATTCTTGGAAAACTTAAGAAAATTGAGAATTGCTAGACTTGAGAAATACAATATGATAGTAAAAATTTATAAGTACTATTTAATATTTTTGCTTTGGTAAAAAAAGATATTTAGATTCACTTTTAACATACTTAACATTAATAATATACCTGATTATACATAATTATAGGAATTTAGTAGTGAAGAATCTGAATAACCTAAAGATTCACATTGCAATTAAAGATTATCTAGACCATTTCCCACATGACACTGAAACCTCTGGTTTTTATTCAAAGTTTTATTTCACCTTAGAGCTATTAAATTATTTTTTATACTCAAAGTTTGCATGTCCAGGCTAGTAACGTTGACTATTGTATTCTATATTTTCAGTTTTAAAACTGCCACATAAGTCTTGACCATTTGTAAGGCAACGTGGTTGAACAAAGATACCCAGCATAGTCAGTTCATGTGCTCAGACTTTCTGCTCCGTCCTAGTTAGTGCTAACAAAGTTCTTACACAAGGTGGCTGTTGGGCTCTCTGTGGGACTTCCCAGGCACACCTTATGTAGATATGAGACATTATGTTTATAGTTTCAAACCGGCCAGACCCAGTGCCTCTTTTATAATAAATATTGTGTAATATTTCTTTATTATCTTGACATAAAATACATTGGTAAGTTAGCCTGCCTACACAACTAAATTAAAAACAAACAAGCATACAATTTATAATAGTAAAATAAAACAGAGAATATAAGTAATTTATAATAAAAATGACACATAATTCAATATGTGAATGTGAATGATCAGTATGACTCAATAGAAGATAAACCAAACTTACCAGACGCTTGCACCTGCAATAATTAAGTACCTTACAATAAGTCTGGATTGAAGACAAGTAAGATTAAAAGTCATACTATATGAGAAGTAAGGCTAATGAAAGAGGAGAGGTAGAGACAGACATTAGAATAAAAGTTAGCATTTGAAAAGTAATAACAGACTATGCTCATTTGTATATAATCGTATAAAATAAGAGAAAGAAGTAAATGATCTTAGTCAAATGGAAATAACATGCCAAAATAAGTTACATTATATCGAAGTGGAGAAAGTAAGGAAGTATGATTTCTTATGTATGAGCTGGGTCTTATTTATAAGTGAGGTATCAAAATACTTTCCTTGATGGGATATCAGATAGGTGATGAGTAGGTATCACAGAACACGTCTTTCCTACCTGGAAAATTTGCTACATGTCAAAGCAAATATTGAGTCTACTCCTTATAACAATGTTGGAGACAATATTTTATGGGGCAGAGAGAATGAAAAAAATAAAGATTACAAGATTCTTTAGGGAAGCCTTCCGAGAGAAGAGAGGAGATGAGATCCGTACTAAAATTTGAGTAACAAGTAGGTATTTGTGAGGATGACAATGTAGAAAGTAAATGGTCTGTCAGACAGACCAACATGTACAGCAGCAGTGAAGAGTGAGAAGCACATCTCTTCAGCAAGACCAGCAAGAAAGTTGTGTGTGGGAAAGTCATGGGACTTACCTCGAGAAAATTAGACTGACAACAGATTGTAAAGTGTGGTGTGCTAAGAACCTGGACGTTACTCTATAGGCCAGGAGTTGGCAAACCAAAACATAGTGCACGAGTGTTAAGAAAATGTCAGTTTCAACATATCTGTAGCATGGGTTAGTGTAACTTAAAAACATCCACAGTGTATTATAATTTTTAAAATTGAATAAAATGTGCATCTATTTTGCTATTACTGACATTGGACACATTTCTCAGTTTATTTCATAGTTCTAGTTCCTGTTTTCAAAGTATCAGTCAATTTTTATTCCCATTAGCCTACAAGAATTTCAATATTCTTATCAATTTTATGTGCTATTCATTTAATCAAGGAATTAATTATCTGCACATAGTGAAAACATTTTTCTTAAAGGTTATTTGCCTTTTAATTTGCATATTTTTCTTTTTAGTCTACTTCAACTACCTCAATATCCTTAATTAAACAAGGCAGGAATTAAACAAACCAATAAAAGACTTTATATTAAATATGATTTATGTTTTTTAATGTAGTCAAATTTATTCATCTGTTTCTTTATGATTTCCTTTATCTATTTGACATGGCAGACACTAAGAAAAATCCTCCACGTTAACTTGGAACCCCTTGACACCACTATGTAATGACTTTCCTTCCCATAGAGAACAGACTAAATTTTATTCAGAATGTAATAAACCCCAAGTAAATTACTGAGTGATATTTAATATCCTGATCTAAAGTTGGGATTTAGATTTTATTTTCATATCCAAATATTTTTACACTACTTGCCAAAAGTAGGTCATGCCAAATGAGAAAGATCCCTATCTCTTTTGAAATGAGATACTAATTCAAAACATCTTCTAACTACTCTCATAAGTTAGAAATTTTAGGTCACATAAAAAAAAATGAATTAAACAGTGTTCTGAAGGAATTCATTGTTCCACCATGGTAATCAGAAACTTGAGCAACTGAAATCCTTTTTAATTAAGCCTTGCTATGAACACATGTGTGTGCATATTTATATATAGAAAATATATCAACATTTATTTTTATCTTTTGATTAGTGTTAAATAAATAAAATTCTTCCTTAATGATTCATTCTAAACCTTAGTTGTCATTGCACAATTCTACTGATGTAAATGTTAAATGTACCTGGGCAACTAGAGCAAAACTCCATCTCAGAAAAAGAAAAAAAGAACAGATTGTGGGCTGATTCTCAAAATTCACCTTAGAGTTGTTAGTTTTTTAAAGCATATTCCTTATATAAGTTGCTTACTTGTCACAAAACCTTTCTCTGTAAGTAAAAGTTGAGGGGCAAAAAGTTGCTTGAGAGTTCTAGTCAGCTGACCTCTAGTTTAAAGTTGACTTTTTATTATTAGTTTTTTAAAATATCTGCAAAATAAATGGTATTATATAAAGTAGAATTAGATCAATATTGCCATCTGATGTATCTTCAAAGCTCCCTACCAAAAATCATTAAGAAAACTTAACAGAACAGTGAAGAAAGCGACCTCACAGCTGCAATTCACATGCATGAAGTTGACTTCAAGCTCAGCATGTGTTGTTTGAGGATTGCGTAAGGAAAACAATCAAAATGTCAACAGATATAAAAAGTCATAAAGTATGAAGCAACAGAGTGGGTTTTGAAGAATAAAAGTTATATAATATGACATAAGGAGTGTGGAGGAGCACAGCTGGTAGCTAGGTGAAGAGGTAAGGAGTTACTCAGGAAGGGCCCAAAGAACCACAGCAGCCTTGAAACATGTCCAGCACAATTGTATACAGCTGTGGCCAATATTGTGCTGCAACCATTTGCTTTTCTGTCTCTTGGTTTCTTCTCTTCATGCTTTCTCTTCCCCAGCATCCCCTATTTGTCTCAAAACTTCTTCGCTTTTTCACAAAGTTAGAGTCAGCTTTAGAGGATAACAGGGGTTGAAGGGAGGAGGGAGGTGTATACTCCCAAGTTTCTTATCATGTCCCTTTTCTCAAAGAAAGTGTAGCACAAAGAAGCAAACATGTGAATCTCAGTGACTTTCCCTTCAGCAAGACCAGGGGACCTATATCATATTGAAGATTTGCACTTCTGTGTTTAAAATCCAGTTAGGTTCTTCAAGCAAACAAAACATAAATGAGATTGATGCTTTGTAACAATATCTGCAGCAGTTTTTTCCATAGTGGGAGGGGCATGTGATTTGAAGTATACGATACTATTACAAAATTTCAAGCAAAAAGATAAGGCCTTGGAGTGGGACAATGACAAGAACAAATAAGACAAAGAAGGGGAACCCATACAAGTTTCAAAGTGTCAAGACAAATTCCCATGTAGGAAGAGTAATGACTGGCATTAAACCAGCTGTCTCAAAGATAAAGAGTATGGCCATTTTCCATAAAAACATAGATACCACCTTTGTGTTTACATATAGCTTATACCACATAATAATATAACTCTTCGTTCAAATTAGGAGCTCCTTGTATCCAGAAAATGACTTTTATTCAACTTTTTGTTTTCAACTCCTAGTTTATTACCAGGAACATGATAAATGCACAGAAAAATATTTACTGAATAAATAAATCTCTAGTCTCTCTTATTACCAAGCATATACTTTCACAAAATGTCTAACTTAGATCAGTACAGTCTGCCCCTGAATAGAATTTTCAAATCTGTTTCAAGTCAACTGACCTATTCAGTAATCCAACTGTTAAAGTTGTACCTATAATAATGTGCTCTAACATTATGAGAGCCAAGACAGTAGATACACCTTAAACAGACTGTGTTAACTGGACAACGATAGCATAAAAAAGCAACAAGAACTAAGTTCCTTTAAGATATATCATATGTTGTAGATATATATAAAATATTATTTGTTAAACACTGAAAACAAAAGTAGACAGTACCTAAAAGCAATAGTAGCTTGATATTAACAAGACTGATCAAATGTTCATCTTGACATGACTTAGGCTTACTTGACTAGGACAGGGAGGCTCTAAACTCTATGTGAACTTCCTTCACTGTCAGCTCCATCTCAGGTTCAGACCTCACCCCTCTCCCATGCTCCCATGCACTCACATGCCTGACTACAGACATTTCCTACCTCAACTTTCTTGTTATTGCAATGTTTGACTCAGTTCCTTAAATTTCAAGATCACCCCCAGCAGTTTTCCACACTCTCCTCTTTCCATACCCACCTATCCCTCAGTCTCTGCACATAAAGGCTTTCCCTACCCACTCCTTCCTTGAAATGTTTCTGGCTTAGGTTTTGAGCCCTATTACAATAGTCTTCTATTGCAACTACCCCTTAATGAAAGTCTTTCTTTTCTAATGCCTAGACTTCCTCTCTTTCACTGACCATACAAAATTCTATAACTAATCTAATCCTGGCTTAGGAAGATACTGTGTAACTCTGAGCATAAAAAAAACTCCACCTCTTGAGACCTCTCAATTTCCCATCTAACAAAATCGTATTTGCTTGGGAATTAATGGTCCCTGACGCCCTCTCTTGCACCATGGCTCTATGAGTCGAGGATACCAGTTTTTCCTGGAAGAAGAAATGACTAATCACACATCAGTCAGGTTTTACTGCTTTGCTTGTTTCTGGCTGTGTAAACCCTGACATTTTATCCCCTTACACTCTCTACTAAGCTCATTATCCATCTCCTGGGGGGCCTGAGCTTCTAGCTCATGGAACACACATCATTGTACACAAACAAAATGTTGGCATGCCACACGGGAGTAAACAGATGAGGTGACTCAAGGATGGAGGCAAGCAGCCTGGAAGCTATGGCAGCCCCCGGCTCCCTCCAGGTCCTCACATAGAGATCAATATATTTCCCACTTCTGAATCCCATTCACAGGACACACCAGTGTGTTCTGGAACAAACATCAGGAAGCTCAGCCCTAAGGAGTTTTGGAATGTTGGATTCTGTTCTAGACATTTGAGTATACCAGAGCAGGTCTGGACAATCACAATTGCCTTGACTGGACTCTCTGGGATTATTTCCCCAAAGTTTAGAACCTCCATGACATAATCAACTTTCTTCAGATCTTCTAGTAAGCTTAAATATCCTGGGAGATGTAAATTCAGTGAGGACCCTATTTCCTCTTTCCCTCAGCTTCTTTCTCAAGCAAAACTGAAAAAAAAAATAAGATAGAATAACTCTCTATTCAGAATATAACTGTGGTTCTGAGGACAGAGATTCCCATATTTGTAAACAGAGAAATTTGGGTCCTGTGGTTAGACAGTTGATTGATCTGTAAGCTACAGTTTCTTCACCTATAAATAAGAGGGGAGCAATAATGCCTACTTCATGGTGTCATTTAATGGATTAAATGACATAATACATGCAAAGTGTTTAGTAGAGGTATGTTCCATAAGAATAGGAAGACTCCAATAAATTTACTTCCAGCTTCAATAGCTAATTCTTACACTGCTTCCTAGATTCCTGTTGTCTTTCTTAACAATGACGCAACTTGTGCAGACAACATTTGATAGCACAGCCACTTAGAAAAACGTTACTCAAATGTAAAGATTCTATGTTGCATCACGCTGACTGAGATTCACATGTCAAGATTTATTCACTGCTTTATATAAACCAGGCTCTTTACCAAACACCTTCTTATATTCATTCCATTTATTCCTCATCACAAATCTGTATGGGTTATTTTTATCTCATTTATAGAAAGAGAAACTCAAAGCCAGACATGTTAAGAGATATATACAAGATCACAAAGCTAATAAGGAGAAATGACATGTCTCAGTGCCTTTTACCAGAGATTGTAAAGCTAGCAAAAGTCAAGAAAGAATTTTCTCCTTGTTTCTCTTTGCCAAGGACAGAAGGGTCTCCTGCCTGAGCGCTGAAGTCTGCCACCTGCAGAAACATTTGAGCAGTAATATAATTAAGCCTTCCCTTTGAACTCATAGTTTGGTGCAATTTTTTAATTAATAAACTTTATTTTTAGAGCAGCTTTAGGTTCACAGCAAAATTGATTTGGAAAGTACAGAGTTCACATATATCTCCTGTTCCCACACAAGCACAATCTCTTCCGCTATCAGCATCACACACAAGAATAGTACATTAGTTACATCTGATGAATCTACATTGACACGTCGTTATTACCCAAAGCCCATAGTTTATATTAGATTCCACTTTTGATGTTGTACATTATATTGGTTTGGACAAATGTACAATAACAACTATTCACTACTGTAGTATGATACAGAATAATTTTACTGCCCTAAAAAAAAAATCTTCTGTTCTCTGTCTATTCATCCCTCTCTCCCACCTATCCATTGGCAACTACTAATCATTTTATTGTCTTCATAGTTTTGCCATACCAGAATGTCATGTATTTGGAATCACACAGTGTGTAGCCTTTTTAGATAGTTTCTTTCAGAAACGTTCATTTAAGCTTCTTCCATGTCTTTTTATGTTTTGATAGGCTCACTTCTTTATAGCACTGAATAATATTCCATTGTATAGCTGTACCACAGTTTATAGATCCATTCCTACTGAAAGGCATCTTGATTGCCTCCAAGTTTGGGCCATAATGAACAAACTGCAATAAATATCCATGTGCAGGTTTTTGTGTGGACATGTTTTCAAATCCTTTGAGTATATACCAAAAAGTGTGATTGCTGGATCATATGGTAAGAATATGGCTCATTTTGCAAGAAACTGCCAACTGTCTTCCAAGGTGGCTGAATCATTTTAAATTTCCAACACCAATAAATGATGAGAGTTCCTGTTGCTACATATTCTAGCCTGCAAATGGTGTTTTCAGTGTTCTTGATTCTGACCATTCTAAGTGTATAAAGGTATCTCACTGTTTTAATTTGCAATTCCCTAATAATATAATGTTGAATATTTTTATATGCTTACTTGTGATCTATCTTCTCTTTTTTTTTTTTTTTTTTTTTTTTTGAGACAGAGTTTTACTCTTGTTCCCCAGGCTCGAGTGCAATGGCATGATCTCGGCTCACCGCAACCTCCGCCTCTGGGTTCAAGCAATTCTCCTGCCTCAGCTTCATTTACAGGCATGCGCCACCATGCCTGGCTAATTTTGTATTTTTAGTAGAGACGGGGTTTTTCCATGTTGGTCAGGCTGGTCTCAAACTCGCAACCTCAGGTGATCCACCCACCTCAGCCTCCCAAAGTGCTGGGATTACAGGCATGAGCCACCACGCCCAGCCTGTCTATCTTCTTTTCTTAGTTCAAGTCTTTTGCTCATTTTAACAGGTTGCTCATTTTCCTATTGCTGAGTTTTAAGAGTTCTTTGTTTATTTTGGCTAACAGTCCTGTATGTTCTTTGCAAATATTTTCTTACGGTCTATAATTTGTCTACTCATTTTCTAGAATGAGTTAGAAAAAATTCCCTCTGCTTCTATCTTCCAAGAGATTGTAGATAGTTATTAAAATCTCTGTTTTAAATATTTGGCAGAATTCACCAATGAACCTATCTGGGCCTGGGGCATTCTATTTTGCAAAGTTATGATTGATTCAATTCTTTAATAAACATAGACCTATCCAGACTGCCTATTTCTTCTTGTGTGAGCTTTGACAGATTGCCTTTCAAGAAATTCCTCCATTTATTTCATCTAGGTTATCAAATATGTGGCCAGAGAGTTGTTCATGGTATTCCTATGTTATCCTTTTTCTGTCTATGGGATCAATATGATGTCCTCTCTTTCATTTCTAATATTAGTAATCCCTCTCTCTTTTTCTCTTAGTTAGGCTGACTGGAGGTTTATTGACTTTAATGATCTTTCCAAAGAATCAGCTTTTGGTTTTGTTAATTTTCTCTATTAATTTTCTGTTTTCAATTTCATTGTTTCCTGCTCTAGTATATATACATATATATGTGTGTGTGTATATATATATGTGTGTGTATACATAAAATATATATTAGATAAATAAATATATATATATATATATGTATTTTTTTTTTTTTGAGACGGAGTCTCCCTCTGTCAACCCAGGTTGGAGTGCAGTGGTACAATCTTGGCTCACTGCAAACTCTGCCCCCCGGGTTCAAGCAATTCTTCTGCCTCAGCCTCCAGAGTAGCTGGGATTACAGGCACCTACCACCAAGCCCAACTAATTTTTGTATTTTTAGTAGAGATGGGGTTTCACCATGTTGGCTAGGCTGGTCTCAAACTCCTGACCTCAGGTAATCCACCCTCCTTGGACTCCCAAAGTGCCGGGATTATAGATGTGAGCCAACACACCTGGCCTGTTTCCTGCTCTAATTTTTACTATTTTTTTCTGCTTACTTTGGACTTAATTTATTCTACTTTTCTAGCTTTCTATAGTGGAAGCTTAGATTGATTTAAGATATTTCTTTTTTCTAACATATGCATACAATGCTATAAATTTTCCTCTAAGTATTGCTTTCTCTGTATCCCATATTTTAATAACTTGTATTTTCATTTTCATTTAGTTCAAAATACTTTTAATTCATCTTGAGATTTCTTCTTTCACCCATGTGTTATTTATAAGAATGTTGCTTAATCTCCAAATATGTGGGGATTTTTCCAGCTATCTTTCTGTTATTATTAATTTCATTATTGTCTGAGACTAGACATTGTATGAATTCTGTTCTTTAAAAATTTTTAAGATGTGTTTTATGGTCCAGAATGTGGTCTACCTTGGTGAATGTCCCATGTGAAAAATAATGTATATTCTGCTGTTCTTGGATGAAGGACTCTACAGATGGCAATTATATCCAGTGGGTTTGTAGTGCTTTTGAGTTTAATTATGTCCTCACTGATTTTCTGCTGGATGCATTATTCTTTCTGATAGACTGATGCTAAAGTCTCTAGTTATCTATTTCTCCTTGCAGTTCTAGGAGTTTTTGCCTCAAAAATTTTGATCCCCTATTGTTAGGTACATATACATTAAGGATTCTTATGTCATCTTTGACTATTGAAATCTTTATCATTATGTAATGCTCTCTTTATCCCTGTTAACTTTTCTTGCAGTGATGTCTATGCTGTCTAAAATTAAAGTAACTACTCCTACCTTCTTATGATTAGTGTTAGCATGGTATTATTTTCTCCATGAATTTACTCTTAATCTATATGTATCTCTATATTTAAAGCAGATTTCTTGTAAACAACATATAATTAGGTCTTGTTTTTTGATCCACTCTGATAATCTCTGTCCTTTAGTTGGTGCATTTAGACCATTGATGTGCAAAGGGACTATTGATATAGTTAGATTAATAGCTACCGTATTTGTTATTGCTTTCTATTTGTTGCCCTTGTTTTTTGCTCCTGTTTTTATATTGCACAGTTTTTCTGCCTTTTGTGGTTTTAATTTAGCATTTTATGATTCCATTTTTCTCCCTTGTTAGCACATTGATTATACTTCTTTTTCTACTTTTTTAGTGGTTGCCCTAGAGTTTGCAGTGTCCGTTTACAACCAATCCAAGTCCACTTTCAAATACTACTGTACCACTTCACAGATAGTGCAAATGCCTAACAATAACAAAATGTTCCTAATTCTTCCCTCCCACCCATAGTATCATTGCTATCATTCATTTCACTCATGCATAAGCATATACAGAATGTGTGTATTTTTTCAAATACATTGTTTCTATTATTATTTTGAATAATGTTCTCTGTTAGGCCAATTAAGGATAAGAAAAGTAAGCTTTCATTTTACCTTTACTTGTTCCTTCTCTGACACTTTTTCTTTCCATATATAGATTTGAGTTTCTGAACTATAATATTTTCCTTCTCTCTGAAGAACTTTTGTTTTAACATGTCTTGCAAGGCAGGTTTACTGGCAACAAATTCCTTCAATTTTTCTATGTCTGAGAAAACCTTTATTTCTGCTTCAGTTTTAAAGAGTAATTTCATAAGGCATAGCAGTATAGATTGGTGGTTTCTTTCACTCAGTGCTTTAAATACATTACTCCACTTTCTTCTTGCTTGCATGGTTTCTGAGGACAAGTCAAATGTGGTTCTTATCCTTGCTCCTATCCAGGTAGAGGTAAGGTATTTTTTTCCTCTGGATTCTTTCAATATATTTTCTTTATCTTTGATTTTCTGTAGTTTGAAAATGATGTGCTTAGATATAGTTTTTTGGCATTTACACTGCCTGATGTTCTCTGAGCTTCCTGCACCTGTGTTTTGGAGTCTAAAAATAATTCGAGAAGATTCTCAGCCATTACTTCTTGAAATAGTTCTTCTGTTCCTTCCTCTCTGTCTTCTTTTTCTAGTATTCCTATCATGCATATGTTATACCTTTTGTAGTTAGCCCATAGTTCTTAGATATTCTGGGTTTTTTCTTTTTCCAGTACTTTTTCTTTGCTCTTCAGTTTTGGAAGTTTGTACTGTTATAGCCTCAAATTTAGAGATTTTTTTTCACTATGGTCAGTCTACTAATAAGCCCATCATCAAAGGCATTCTTCATTTCTACCATAACGTTTTCGATCTCTAATATTTCTTTTTGACTCTTTCTTAGAATTTCCATCTTTCTGCTTACATTACCCATCTGTTATTGGATGTTGTCTACTATTTCCATTAAAGCCTTTAGCATATTAATCATAGTTATTTTCAAATTTGTGGTCTGATCATTCCAATGTTCCTGCCATATCTGGGTCTGGTTCTGGTTCTGATGCTTGTTCAGTCTTTTCAAACTGTGTTATTTGCCTTTAAATATGCCTTATTTTTTGTTGCTAGGCTGATATAACGTACTGGGTTAAAGAAACTGCAGTAAATAGGTCTTTAGTAATGTAGTGGTAAGGTACAGGTAGAGAAGAAATATTCTACAATCCTGTGATAAGATCTCAGTCTTTTGGTGAGTCTATACTCTGGACTGTGAACGTAGCCAGTGCTTCTCAGTTTTTTCCCCATTAGGTAGAGCAAGATGGGTGGAGGGGGCTGGAGTTGAGTATTTCCCTTCCTATAGAAAGATGAGGCTCTGACATAAGCCCAGTAGGTCAAGCTCTGGTAAAATAGTTTCTCCTGCAGGAAAGCCTTGTTAAGAAGAATAAAATGCTTTAGCATATTTCAGAATGGTTCGTTTTTCCCTCCTTGTGACAGATTCATGTGTGGATTTTTCTCTGATATTCACTGTGAGGACCTGGTAGAGCTCCTGGTGGTAAAACTCACCAAAATGTGAGGGCCTCCCTTATGACTAGAGTTTCTATGTCCCTCCAGAGTTTTTATCTCTCAGTCTTGTCCACACTGAACCTCCATACTTCATCAATTATAGTTTAGATTTTCCTACCCTGGTACTTGTTCCAGTGGAAGTTTCTACTGCACAACCACTGACTGTCATCACCCTTCTTATTGATCTATGTAAACAAGGAAAATATTTCAAAACAATTGTGTAATAATCCTCATTTTTTCCTTTAAAAACCTTTGTCTTTCTTTGCCTCCCTGAATGTGTACATAGTTTATTATGGCATGGGTATTCCCACTGCAATGCTTTATTCCAAAATAAATACATTTTCTTTTAGAGAGCCTGTTTGTTATTTAGGTTGACAAAAATTAAAAGAATATATTTGAATATATGTGAACATCATATAAATATAATATTAATAAAACTGTTTTTCATGCTAAGGCAGTTTGATTTTCAAAATTTTATTGCAATAACCTTTTATTTATTTTACATTTATCTTAATAATTGTGTCGTGATAGCTATCATATAAAGTGGAAGAAGAGATAGTAAAGGAAAAAATTATAGAATTTTTTTTTTTTTGAAATGGAGTTTCACTCTTGTTGCCCAGGCTGGAGTGCAATGGTGTGATCTCGGCTCACCACAACCTCTGCCTCCCGGGTTCAAGTGATTCTCGTGCCTCAGCCTCCCAAGTAGCTGGAATTACAGGCGCCTGCCACCAAACCCGGCTAATTTTTGTATTTTTAGTAGAGACGGGGTTTCTCCATGTTGATCAGGCTGGTCTCGAACTCCTGACCTCAGGTGATCCACCCACCTCAGCCTCCCAAAGTGCTGGGATTACAGGCATAAGCCACCAAGCCCAGCCAAAATTATAGAATTTTAGAAACAAAATACCACATACTATTTATAGTTCCAATCTTTCATCAGGATGCTAGTTCCAAGATTTATCATAGCTTGAGGAGGAAAAGAAAGCTTTTTGAGAAAAAAGAAAATAGAGGAAAAGCACTGTAGACTATTTCCAAGGAGATCTGCTTTTAACTATAACAGGTATCGAGATTTTCAGAACACTATTCTCACAGTCAAGACTGAAGTCTATTTATCCAGTTGCAATAACCTGTACCGACAGATCATGCTAACTTTAGCACTTGTGAGAGAAGGGAGAATGAGGCCACCAATGCACTTATTCTCGCAGTTGGACTTGGGTGCTCCATCAGTCCTAATCAGTGCCTTCACAGGAGAGGCACTGCTGAGGCTGGATAAATAAAGGACCCATGAAAAAGTTGCCATTAAGAAAACAAACCAGTTTTCAATCACTGAATTGTGTCATGACTTTTTGTGCCTTTTCAGATTTCTTTATAAGTAAAATCATAAATATGTAAAAAACACATTTATAAGCATTAAATTTTTAATTTCAATTCATTTAAGTGAATAGCTGAGTGACTAAACAAAAACAAAGTTTTGGTACTCGCAAGACTTCTGACACCAAATGTATGGGTTTTCTACCAAAGACTCCAGTTCTCCACAGAGACCAACTGGGTATCTGACAATTTAATTCCATTCTCACACTAACTACCTGGAGTCAGCACAGAGCCCACACACTAAGGGCTCAGTCCCACAAAACTGCCCACCACCATCAGATGCTAAGCATATGTATTATAATAGATTCTCAGGTTAACCACACTTTTGTCCAGCTTGGCTACAAATCAAGAGTTTTCACAAATCCTTCATCAATAATTTGCTATAATTGCTCAAAGAACTCAGGAAAACACTTTACTTGCAATTACCAGTTTATTGCAAAGGCTATTATAAAGGATACATATGAACAACCAGATGAAGGGGTACATAGGGTGAGGTCTGGAAGAGTCCTGAGCATCAGAGCTTCTGTCCCCATGGAATTTGAGGTGCACCGTGCTCCCAACATGTGAATGTATTCACCAACCCAGAAGCTCTCCAAACCCCATAGCATAGGATTTTTATAAAGGCCCCATTAAATAGGTATGATGGATCAAATCATTGATCATTGGTGATTAATTCAATCTCCTGCCCTTCTTTCCTCCCTGGAATTGGTGTTAAAAGTTCTAATCCTCTAATCACATGGTTGGTTATCCTGGCAACTAGCCCCCATCCTCCAAGAGTCACCTCACTAGCATAAATTCAGGGGTGGTTGAAAGGTGCTTATTATAAATAACAAAATATATGCTCCTCTTACGTCTATCATTCAGGAAATTCCAAGAGTTTTAGGAGCTCTATGCCAGGAACCAGAGGCAAAGACTGAATATATATTTTTTGTTATGTCACAGTAACCTTGGAAAATTACTTAATTTCTTATGCCTTGATTTCCTTATTTATCTGTATTATCCCACAAGGTAGCTGATTTGATTTAGTAAGTTACTATAAGTGTTAAACACAGCTCCTGGCACATAGTAGGTGCCATAGAAGTGTTGGCTATTATTATTATAACTCTGTTAAAGTTTACAACTGGTGTATTACAAACTGTTGGTTTATATATGTCTTCTTTAGACAGGAGTTTCCAGAGGATAAAGATTAATTCAACATATTGTTGACAAGATAAATTATGCTTATATAAGAGTCTTTTTGCTTGTAAATCTGTTTGATAGAGGAAGTATAAAACCCAAAATATGTGTACTAAGTGATGTGCTTGTGGAAAATTAAGCCTAATTTGCAACTAACTACAAAATATTTTTAAAGCATCTTAAAGTAGCTGAAGCACCCTCTATATATTGTAGATAGTAATAATTAGAATAACCCAATTACAAAGCTAACATTTATGGAGTCTTAATGTATATTATGTACACTACCAGGAGACTCTTATTAGTATTTCTTTATAGATAAACTACTTCAACTACTTTATATAATTTTATTTTAAAAAACAAGACAGGGATTATCAGATCTATTTTTTAATGATGAAATCAATAAGTAACAGAATTACTAGGAAGTGGCAGATGTGTGTGTGATTCAAGATATGTTATCATGTGATTCAAACCTAATATTTTTCATCATTCTATATTAATTTTCTCATTGTACAAATTTAAAGAATTACTGTTTAAGGGTCAACATTAATGAGGTTGCATTTTTTTTATCTCTTAGTCAGCTGTGTCTAACTTGCTTAATTGTGCATAGATTTTTAAATGCTTAACTCGTAAAACATTTTAACTTTAATATTAAGATTTCGAAAATTAGTTCAATTAACTCACAAGTGAGTTTTTAAAATTATGTTAGGAGCTATAACAAAATATATTTGAGTAAGGGAGAAAGAGGAAAGCAAAACACTTAACTACAAGAGGATTACATGAAGCCTTTCAGAAGCACAGCAAACAGAATAAAAACTGGGAATTTATGTTAACTTTCTAAATTAAGTTTCCAGTTTAAAAAATGAAGAAGGACGGTGGCTCACGCCTGTAATCCCAGCACTTTGGGAGGCCGAGCCGGGCGGATCACGAGGTCAGGAGATCGAGACCATCCTGGCTAACACGGTGAAACCCCGTCTCTACTAAAAATACAAAAAAATTAGCCGGGCGTGGTGGCGGGCGCCTGTAGTCCCAGCTACTTGGGAGGTTGAGACAGGAGAATGGCGTGAACCTGGGAGGTGGAGGCTGCAGTGAGCTGAGATCATGCCACTGCACTCCAGCCTGGGCAACAGAGTGAGACTCTGTCTCAAAAAAAAAAAAAAAAAAAAAAAAAAAAAAAAAAAAAAAAAAAAAAAAAAAAATGAAGGAGGAGGAAAGTACCTGGCTTCAATGAGTAATAGGACATTTCCATGGAACAAATTTGTTATTCAGTATCAAAATAGGTACAGGCATATTTGTTTCTCCTGAAGGGGCATTAAAATACAACTCACTCAATGTGGGGTCTCCCTGAGTATTTGGGCTGCTTGTGCCATGGTGTCTGTGATGGCTGCTGTTAGTCATGCAGAGCTAGGGGCCACCTTCCCTAGAAGCGGTGCACAGTATTATTTCCTCAGAAGTTCTCTCAGACACTTTATTGTTTTATTCCATCCCTGTATCAACCTATTTAACACTTCAGCAGGACCTGGTGCATGTGGATTGATACTAGCAGGGTAGTATCACAGCCTTTCTATCCTGAACGTTTTGTTCCTTAGATGCCAGAGAAATGTTTAGCATTGGAATTCTGAAGGCTTGAGGAGTGAAAGAGGTGACATGCTGACTCTCAGAACAGTTTTGAGAATGATGGTTCTCTGCTTTATATCTCCAACTGGAATAATGCTGTTGGTGAGAGAAAGAAAACAGCACTTAGTCAGGTTTGAGAAAGCTTTTCATGCCACAATTCCAGATGCCCCACAGATTGCAGAAGCCTTTCTTCAAGGATTTTATGTGTATTCAGGGTGGGGAGTCCTTGTTTGAATAGCAGGTAAAATTTATTTATTTAATTATAAAAACCACCACTAAGCTATAAACATGTAACAACCAAGTACTTTAATTCTTAGAAAAAAAAAAACAGTATGTTGCTTTGATATGATGTGTTAAGCTTTTACTTTATTAGAGGGCTGAAATGCAATAAGCTCTCTACACGTGTGGCCTACCAACTTTGGAGGGTAAAATATCTTTCAGGTATTTACAATTAAAACAAGTGCACATAAATCTGGAGCAGCTTAAAGACTCCAAGGCAATTGCATTTTTTTCACTGAACAAAATAGTGTATCAGTCTGTTTTTTTTAATTATAATAGAACATCACCAGAGAAAAAATTTAAAATGCAGAAAATATGAATTAAAATAAAGATTACTTTTAACCAATTATCTCACATGTACACACCTATGGCAGGGGAATCACACTGCACATATAACCTTATAACTTTATTTTACTTAAAGTACCTTGATATGATTTGCCTGTGTCCCCACCCAAATCTCATCTTGAATCTCCACATGTTGTGGGGGGTACCAAGTGGGAGGTAATTGAATCATGGGGGCAGGTCTTTCCTGTTCTTTTCTTGCAATAGTGAATAAGTCTCACAAGATCTGATGGTTTTATAAAGGGAGTTTCCCTGCACAAGCTCTATCTGCCTGCTGCCATCCATGTAAGATGTGACTTGCTCCTCCTTGCCTTCCACCATGATTGTGAGACTTCCCAACCACATGGAACTGTGAGTTCTCCATTAAACCTCTTTCCTTTGTAAATTTCCCAGCCTTGGGTATGTCTTTATCAGGAGCATGAAAACAAACTAATAGATGCCTAGTGAGAATTTACAGATATTATTAAATATAACTGGGTCTTAAGAAAACACAGTATTCTATCATATGAATATTTACCATTATTTAACCATTTTCTCCATTGTTGGATCCTAGAGTTGTTTCCAGTTTTTCTCTTTTAAATGTAACACTTATTGTTGCAATTAGCATCCTTCTACATAAATCTTGGTTGGATCACTCATTGCTCTATTAGAAAAAAAATCTTGAAGTAAAATTACTTAAAAAAGGATAAAAACATTAAGAAATGTCTTGAGAAATATTGTCCAAGTTGCCTTCCAGAAAGGTTCTACAAATATACCTTAGTGTGACTACCCTTGGCATTATCATACCTTTCTTATTCTTTTGCCACTTAGATTTATGAAGATTAAATCTCAGTGTTATATCCCACTTTTTCTCCTATTACTAAAGAAAGGGGAGAGTTTTGCAAATGATCACAATCATTTATACTTCTTTCTTGTAGGATGGGAGGCAAGTATTTTTTCCCAGCTGGTTCTTCAATTTTTAATTTCATTCATGAGATTTCTAAGACTTAATATCTATAGTATCAAACTATTGATCTTTTAATTTTTCTCTGTTTTTATACTTAAAAAGTCTTTTCCCATCTCAAGATTTAGATAAATATATATACTTTTTTATATAAATACTTTTTCTCTATATTATTATGGTCTTACTTTTTGCATTTTACTCTTTAATGCATGTGAATTACTTTGAAGGGGTTGTATATAATTTTTTATTTTCCAAATAGTTAAATACCCATGTCAGTTTTGGTGTTGGCAATATATGCTCAAGTTTAATCCAAGGCTTAACTAGTCTAGACACTTAATCCAACAAGTTAAAAGAACAGGAGTCTAGACACTTAATCCAATGAGTTAAAAGAACAGGAGAGTCTACCTGAATGCCCTAGAATATTGTGACCAGATTAAGAGATAAGCTATTTTAACTCTTCATTAACACAGTTACCATTCTACCATGTCAGCCACAGGGTAGGGCAGGGTTAGCTCCCGTTATGTTCTAGAGTTCAAGGTTTATGACCTATACTCTTCTTAACCCAAAGGCCCATTTTAAGTATCTCAGAGTATAACATTGAGACCCCAGAATTTAACTCAATTATGATACAACTGTCAGAGGCGGGTGAACCAGAGCAACTCCATCTTGAATAGGAGCTGGGTAAAACAAGACTAAAACCTACTGGGCTGCATTCCCAGATGGTTAAGGCATTCTAAGTCACAGGATGAGATAGGAGGTCTGCACGAGATACAGGTCATAAAGACCTTATTGATAAAGCAGATTGCAGTAAAGAAGTCAGCTAAAACCCACCAAAACCAAGATAGCCATGAGAGTGACCTCTGGTCATCCTCACTGCTACACTCCCACCAGTGCCATGACAGTTTACAAATGCCATGGCAACATCAGGAAGTTACCCTAAGTGGTCTAAAAAGGGGAGGCATGAATAACCCACTTGTTGTTTAGCATGTAATCAAGAAATAACCATAAAAATGGGCAATCAGCAGCTCTCCAGGCTGCTCTATGGTGTAACCATTCTTTTATTCTACTTTCTTAATGAACTTGCTTTCATTTCATGGACTTGCCCTGAATTCTTTCTTGTGCAAGATCCAAGAACCCTCTCTTGGGGTCTGGATTGGACCCCTTTCCTGTAACACAACTAGAGTCAACAATGTGCCAGAGACATGGTAAACATTCAACAAAAATGAACAAATGAGCTCTTGTTGTTTGCAGACTCATTTATTTTTCTTATTATATATTATAGTGAAGGCACTTTCAAAGGTTACATAGAAAGCCTTTTTTTCTCAGGAGATCTGAAAAAGCCTAGTGAAAATATCCCCAAATGTGTAATTACTGCACCTACCCCTGTGGCACTGATTTACTTATTGGTTAAAACGTCCTACCTAATAGTCCGGACTCCAGAGGGAATCGGGTTCTCAGGTATGGCTACATAGAACCAGAGAGAAGATTCTTTCTTATTCCCCTAAATGAAGGGGGTCTCTAATACAGTGGATCTTTTTGCCTACCTTAAGAGAATTATGCTAAACTGGTTCATGTCTGGGTTATTTACTTATTTAAAGATAAAAATTTAAAAGGACTAAGCAATCTCTAATTATGAACATATGCTAAAATTATAGGTAATAATAAAGTCCAGCTGCAGAAATATAGAAAGCACCAAAAATTGGAAAAGGAAAAAAATAAACAGAATACAATAGATTAAATAGGACATAATAGAATTAAAATTCTAAGAATATTTACCAAAATCCCTTGGGACATACTTTTCAAGGACATCATGGGTGCTTTAGGTTAACATCTACCCCCCAGAAAATGTCACTCATATGCTTTGTCTCCTGGCACATGCCCAAAATCTATAAGGAATAGCCACTTCAAGTACTCAATTTCCCTATTACTGAATGTATGGATCTGATATGGTTTGGCTGTGTCCCTACCCAAATCTCATCTTGAATTATAGCTCCCATAATTCCCACATGTTGTGAGAGGGACACAGTAGGAGATCACTGAATCATGACCCCCATACTGTTCTCATGGTAGTGAATAACTCTCACGATATCGACGATTTTATAAGAGGTTTTCCCTTTCACTTGGCTCTCATTCTCTCTTGTCTGCCACAACATAAGATGTGCCTTTTGCCTTCCACTATGATTGTGAAGCCTCCCCAGCCAGGTGGAACTGTGAGTCCATTAAACTTGTTTTTCTTTATAAATTACCCAGTGTCAGGTATGTCTTTATCAGCAGCATGAAAACGAATTAATACAGAACCTTTCTGCAATATTTATCCATATGTATATAATTTCAGTTCACAATAAATTTTTCAGATTTTCAGAATTTGTTTTAATTACTGTCATATAGGTAAAGAAACTAAATTTTTTGCCCTAAAAATAGGCAAATTTTAAAAGCTTCAGTTCTGCATTGAACTTTATTTATCTAGGCAAATATATTAAGAATACCTTTTTTTTACATTTTACATTTCCAGTTATAAAAAGTTCCTAAATATAAAAGAGAATCCATAATATCATTAAAAAATAAAACAGTAAAAAAGAAAATAAGATTTTATACTATATATCAAAGGTTACTGATTCTCAGTTATCTCAACTCTAAAATAAAATGATGTCTTATTAGCTCACCTCACACATTATTAGTAATGATAATAAAATGAAAAAAATCTGTGAAGGTACTCTGGAAATCTTAAAACACACAAATTCTGTTCTGAGAAGAGCATGGCTTAATAAAAACAGCCACAACACCATTTCAAAAATTGTCTTTGAACTAATATACAAAAGCTACAAGGAACTCAAACAAAAACAAGAAAAAAACAACCCCATTTTTTAAAAATGAGCAAAGGACATGAACAGACATTTCTCAAAATAAAACATGCAAGTAGCCAACAAACATGAAAAAATGCTCATTAAAAAGTAGGCAAAGGACATTAACAGACCCTTTTCAAAAGAAGACATTTATACAGCCAACAAACATGATAAAAAGCTCAAAACCACTAATTATTAGAGAAATGCAAATTAAAACCACAACGAAATACCATCTCACACTAGTCAGAATGGCAATTATTAAAAAGTCAAGAAACAATAGATGCTGATGAGGCTGTAGAGAAATAGGAATGCTTTTACATTGTTGGTGGGAATGTAAATTAGTTCAACCATTGTGGAAGACAGTGTAGCAATTCCTGAAAGACCTAGGGGCAGAAATACCATTGGACTCAGTAATCCCATTATTGGATATATACCCAAAGGAATATAAATCATTCTATTTTAAAGATACAGGCATGCATATGTTCACTGCAGCACTATTCACAATAGCAAAGACATGGAATCAACCCAAATGTCCACTGATGATAGACTGGATGAAGAAAATGTGGTACATATACACCATGGAATACTACGCAAAAGGAATAAGATCATGTCCCTTCCAGGGACACGGACTGAGCTAGAAGCCATCATCCTCAGCAAACTAACACAGGAACAGAAACCAAATACCACATGTTCTCACTTATAAGTGGGAGCTGAACAATGAGAACACATGGACACAGGACAGAAACAACACACACTGGGGCCTGTTGGGGGGTCTTGAAGGGAGGGAGAGCATCAGGATAAATAGCTAATGCATGTGGAGCTTAATACCTGGGTGATGGGTTGATAGGTGCAGCAAACCACCATGGCACACATTTACCTATGTAACAAACCTGCATGTCCTGCGTGTGTATCCCAGAATTTAAAATTAAATTAAATTAAATTTAAAGAAGAAGAAATTCATCAGATGGACAAACCGTAAGTTCAGAAATCTATATTTTTGGAAGCAGATAAGAAAGATGTTGCATTCTGAATTATTTGTGCCCTGATAACTATGTCCTTAATATGGGAGAAACAAAATCTAAAAAAAAAAGTCCCAGAGCGTAGGGAAATACTAGCCCATCTGGATGATCCCTCCTCACCAGAAACTCTAGTAAATGGCTGGTCCAGGAAAAATTTGCTTGTTTCAAAAATGAGTAATTAATCAAAAAAGAACAATCCCAAAATCTGTGTAAGACATTCTACAGAAACAGGAGAAATGAAATAAGAAGAAATGGCTGACCAATAAAATGCATTAGAAAATGTGACCTTGGATTCACCACGAATGTTAAAAATCTTATGCTGCAATCAAGTCTATGACATGTGAGCACAAAGCAGAGTTGCAGGAGTTCAGAGGAGATATGTCAACACCACAGAAAGAAATAAAATGTAAGCTGGCAAAATTCAGGGAAAAGTGAAATAGAAATATAAAAATGTATCGAATTAAGGTAAAATCAGGAGACACATTGGAACGTTGCTAAACAAAGTAGGGAATAGGGAATATTTAAAAACAATCAAATGGTAACAAGAATTTGAGAAAAAAATTCTAATTTCCATTAATAGCAGGCTCAGTTATTCAAATCAACTCTCCCATTGAAAATATCTAAGCATGATATCTAAAATAAAGAATAAAACAAAAAAAATAAAATATTGACAATCTGTGGCCGGGTGCGGTGGCTCACGCCTGTAATCCCAGCACTTTGGGAGGCCAGGGCAGGTGGATCACTTTAGGTCAGGAGTTCAAGACCAGCCTGGCCAACATGGTGAAACCCCACCTCTACTAAAAATACAAAAATTAGCTGGGCATGGTGGCATGCACCTGTAGGCCCAGCTATTCGGGAGGCTGAGGCAGGAGAATTGCTTGAACCCGGGAGACAGAGGTTGCAGTGAGCCAAGTTCACACCACTGCACTTCAGCCTGGGCAACAGAGCAAGACTGTCTCAAAAAATATAAAATAAAGGCCAGGTGCGGTGGCTCACGCCTGTAATCCCAGCACTTTGGGAGGCCATGGCGGGTGATCACAAGATCAGGAGTTTAAGACCAGCCTGGCCAACACAGAGAAACCCCGTCTCTACTAAAAATACAAAAATTAGCCAGGCACGGTGGCAGAAGCTTGTAATCCCAGCTACTCAGGAGGCTGAGGCAGGAGAATCGCTTAAATCCGGGAGGCGGAGGTTGCAGTGAGCTGAGATGGCGCCACTGCACCCTATCCTGGGTGACAGAGTGAGATTCCGTCTCAAAAAAAAAATAAATATATATATATATGTAAATAAAAATAAAATATTGACAGTCTTAAAGAATTATGGAAAGTCCCAAGCCTTTTTTTTTTTTTTTTTTTTGAGACGGGGTCTGGATCTGTCACCCAGGCTGGAGTGCAGTGGCACGATCCTGGCTCACTGCAACCTCCGCCTCCCAGGTTCAAGCAATTCTCCTGACTCAGCCTCCTGAGTAACTGGGATTACAGGCCCGCACCACCATGCCCGGTTAATTTTGTATTTTTAGTACAGATGGGGTTTCACCATGTTGACCAGGCTGCTCTCAAATTCTAATTTCCATTAATAGCAGGCTCAGTTATTCAGATCAACTCTCCCATTGAAAATATCTAGGCATGATATCTAAAATAAAGATTAAAACAAAAAAAAAATTAAAATATTGACAATCTTTGGCAGGGCGCAGTGGCTCATGCCTGTAATCCCAACACATTGGAAGGCTGAGGCAGGCAGATTGCTTGAGGTCAGGAGTTTGAGAGCAGCCTGGCCAACATGGCGAAACGCTGTCTCTACTAAAAATACAAAAATTAGCTGGGTGTGGTGGTGCACGCCTATAATCCCAGCTACTCTGGAGGCTGAGGCAGGAAAATCGCTTGAACCTGGGAGGCAGAGGTTGCAGTGAGCCAAGATTCTGCCACTGAACTCCAGCCTGAGTGACAGAGCAAGATTCCATCTCAAAACAACAACAGCAAAAAAGAATGTTGAATATAGGCCCCCAATCTCTTCTGGTTTGTAGGGTTTAGCCTGGTGGAGTTCCCTTTGTAAGTGATCTGCCCTTTCTCTCTAGCTGCCTTTACCATTTTCTTTCATTTCAACCTTGGAAAATCTGAAGGTTATGCGTCTTGGGGATGATCTTTTTGTGTAAAATCTTGCAGAGGTTCTCTGTGTTTCCTAAATTTGACTGCTGGCCTCTCTAGAAAGGGTGGGGACATTTTCGTGGATGATATCCTGAAATATGTTTTCCAAGTTCCTTGCTTTCCCCTCCTTCCTTTCAGGGATGCCAGTGATTCATGAATTTGGCCCCTTTACATAATCCCTTATTTCTTGGAGGTTTTGTTCATTCCTTTCCATTCTTTCTTTTTGTCTGACTGTCTTATTTTAGAGAGCCAGTCTTCAAGTTCTGAGATTCTTTCTTCAATTTGGTCTATTCTGCTGTTAATACTTGTGATTGCATTGTGAAATTCTTGTAGTGTGTTTTTCAGTTCTGTCACATCTGTTAGGTTCTTTTTTACACTGGCTATTTCATCTTTCAGCTACTGTATCATTTTATTGTGATTCTTAGTTTCCTTGGATTGGGTTTTGCCATTTTCCTGAATCTCAATGATCTTCATTCCTATCCATATTCTAATTCTATTTATGTCACTTCAGTAATTAAGGCTACTTTAACAAGATTCTAAGCAGCAGAATGAGGCCGTATTGACCTCAAGCATGTTCCTTCTTCTCCCTCATCACCACCAACACACACATCAGAGTCCCAGACCCAACTAGATGAAAAAAAATTCCATAAACTATTAGGACTAGTTTTTAAAACTAGGTAGCTTTCCTCTTAAGTGTTTAAGTGACATTTCTAATTGATCTGAGACTTTAACTTAAGTACAACAGAATGTATGTATTATAATTACACTGACTCTGTATAATTAATAATCTCTTGTCAGATGGATAGTTTGAAAATAAATAGAATATATAATGAAGTCTAACAATTCAATAGCAAACACACAGACAAACACACAAATAATTCAATCTAAAAATGGGCAAAAGATCTGAATAGACATTTCTCAAAAGAAGGCATACAAATGAAAAACAGATATATGAAAAAAATGCCCAACATCACTATTCATTATAGAAATGCAAATCATACCACAACAAGATACCATCTCACATCAGTTAGAATGGCTTTTATTTAAAAAAAATAAAAAGATTATATCAGATGCTGGCAAGAATGTGGAGAAATGGAAACCCCCACACACTTTTGATGGAAAGGTAGATTAGTACTGCCACTATGGAAAACAGTATGAAGGTTCCTCAAAAAACTAAAAATAGAACTACTGTATGATCCAGTAATTCCACTACTGGGTATATGTCTGAAAGGAAATCAATATATTGAAGAGATATCTGCACTCCCATGTTTATTGCAACAATATTCACAATAGCTGAAATATGGAAGCAGCCTACATTTCTATCAATAGATGAATGGATAAATAAAAATGTAACATATATGCACAATGGAATATATTATTTAGCCTTAAAAAAGAATGAAATCATGTCATTTGTAGCAACATGGATGGAACTGGAGATCATTATGTTAAGTGAAATAAGCAAAGCACAGAAAGACAAACATTGCATATTCTCACTCATAATAAAGTGGATCTCATAATGATAGAGTATACTGGTGGTTACCAGAGGCCAAGAAGGGGCTGGAGTAGGTGACAATAAGGAGAGGTTGATGAATGGGTACACACTATATATACACACACACACTATATATATATATATATATTCACACACACTATATATATACACACACTATATATATATATATATACATACACTATATATATATAAAACCTGGTGTTTGATATATCAAAAGGGTTACTATAGCTCACATTAATTGATTGTACATTTCAAAATACCTAGAAGAGAATAATTTGTATCTTCTTAGCATAAAAAAGATAAATAGTTAAGAAAATTGATATCCCAATTACCTTGACTTGATTATATGAATGTATCAACTTATCAAATGTACTGAAAAATATGTACAACTATTATGTATCAATAAAAAATTTTTAAAAGAAAAACAACAGAGAAAATGAACGAAACCAAAAGTTGATTCTTTGAAAAGATCAACAAAATTGATAAACATGTAGCTAGATAGAGTAAGAAAAAAGAAGATTCAAATTACTAAAATCAGAAATGAAAGTAGAGACATTATTAGATTCTATAGAAATAAATAGGAGTATAAGAAAGTATTACAAACAACTCTATGCCAATAAATCAGATCACCTAAATGAAATGGGCAAATTCCTAGACACATAAAACCTACTAAGACTAAATAATGAAGAGCTAGAAAATCTAAGTAGACCTATAACTAATAAGGAGATTGCATCAGCAATAAAAAATCTGACAAAGAAAAGCACTGGGCCTGATGGTTCCACTGATGAATTCTACTAAACATTTAAAAAAGAGCTAATCCAATCCCTCTAAAACTTTTCAAAAAAAATGGAAAAGGAAGGAACACTTCCTAACATTATCATTCTATGAAGTCAACATTACCCTGATACCAAGCCAAAGTCATTACAAAAAAAGAAAAACTATAGGCCAATATTCCTTATGAAGATAGGTGCAAAAATCCTAAACAAAATACTAGCAAACTGAATTAAGCATCATATTAAAAGAATTATATGCCATGACCAAATGTGATTTATTCCTGAAATTCAAGGAGGATTCAATATATTAAAATTAATATAATGTACTACATTAACAGTATGAAGGAAAAAATCAAATGATAATCTCAATTGATGCCAAAAAAATTGACAAAATTCAATAATCTTTCATGAAAAGAATTCTCAACAAATTAGGTATCGATTGAATGAACTTCAACACAATAAAGGCCATATAGCACAACTTCACAGATAAAACTGCACTTGATGGTGAATAGTTGAAAGCCTTTCCTCTAAGATCAGAAACAAGTTAAGGATACCCACTCTCATCACTTGTATTCAATATAGTATTTGAAGCTCTGGCCAGAATAATTAGGCAAGAAAAAGAAATAAAAGGAATTTGAACTTAAAAGAAAGAAGTAAAATTATCCTTTTCACAGAGGATATAATCTTAGATAAAGAAAATCCTAAAGACACACACACACAAAAATGGCTAGAACTAATAAATGAATTCAGCAAAGTAACAAGATACAAAGTCAATGCTCAAACATATGTTGCATTTTTATACGCTAATAAAGAACAATCTGAAAAGGAAATTATTAAAATAATTTCATCTATACCACCAGCAAAAAGAATACATTATTTAGGAATTAATTTAACCAAGAAGGTGAAAGACTTGCACGATGAAAACTACAAAACGTTGAAAGAAGTTAAAGAAAACATAAGTAAATGGAACTGTACCCCTTGCTCATTAATTGGAAGACTTAATATTGTTAAGATGTCAAATACTACCCAAAGAGATCCACAGATTCAGTACAATCTCTATCAAAAGCCCAATGACATTTTTTAAACAAATTTAAAAAATCTAAAATATATATGGAATCTCACGGAACTCCAAATAGCTAAATCAATCTTGAAAAAGAAGAACAAAGCTGGAGGGCTCACACTTCCTGATTTCAAAACATACTGCAAAGCTCAAGTAATCAAAACAGTGTTTTACTGGCATAAGGACAAACATATAGACCAATGGAATAGAATAGAGAACCTCAAAATAAGCCCTTGCATATACCATTGACGCTTGAGCAACACAGGAGTTATGGGTGCTGACTCCCAAACAGTTGAAAATCCACATATAACTTTTTAATCCCCCAAAACTTAACTGCTAATAGCCTTGCCAATAACACAAATAGTGTATTAATATATATTTTGTATATTACATGTATTGCATACTGTATTCTTACAGTACAGTAAGCTAGATAAAAAATGTTATTACGAAAATCTAATGGAAGAGAAAATATGTATACGATTCATTAAGCAGAAGTAAAAGGGGTAGATTATGAGAGATTACTTAATGGATGCAATGTATGTTATTCAAGTATTGGATACCCTAAAAACCCCAACTTCACCACTGCGAAATCAATCTATGTATGTAACAAAATTACATTTGCGGCCCGTAAATTTATACAAACAAGACAAATAAAAATAAATAATTAAAATTGAGCTGGATTCCTTTTCTGTTCCAGAAAAAATGATTAGCTAATCATGTATTTTAAAATTCTTAAGAATAAAACTAGAGACAAAGAAATCATGTTAAAGTGGCAGTAAAGTGCCAATAAGTTTTAAAAATTTGTTTCCACTTTTGTTTTTAAAAAAGAGATTTTTTTTTTAACTTTTAGGTTTAGAGGTACATGTGCAGGTTTGTTTTATAGGTAAACTGCATGTCATGGGTATTTGGTGTACAGACTATTTTGTCACCTGGGTAAGAAGCATAGTGCCCGATAGGTAGTTTTTCAATCCTCACCTTCCCCCAACCCTCCATCCTTAAGTAGGCCCCAGTATCTGTTGTTCCTCTCTTTGTGTCCATGTGTACTCATTGTTTAGTTCCCACTTATAAGTGAGAACATGCAGTATTTGGTATTCTGTTCCTGTGTTAGTTTGCTTACGATAATGACCTCCAGCTCCCTCCACTTTGCTGCAAAGGACAGGATCAGGCCAGGTGTGGTGGCTCATGCCTGTAATCCCAGCACTTTGGGAGGCCAAGGTGGGTGGATCACCTGAGGTCAAGAGTTTGAGACCAGTCTGACCAACATGGCGAAACCTCGTCTCTACTAAAAATACAAAAATTAGCCAGGCATGGTGGTGTGCACCTGTAATACCAGCTACACGGGAGGCTGAGGCAGGACAATCGCTTGAACCCAGGAGGCAGAGGTTGCAGTGAGCCGAGATCTGGCCACTGCACTCCAGCCTGGGAGACAGAGGAAGACTCAGTTTCAAAAAAAAAAAAAAAAAAAAAAAAAAAAGAGAGGCACGATCTGATTCTTTGAAAAAGAAATATTTTTGAAAGGAAATTTTGTGAGTAAATAAATTTGCTGTAATAGAAAATTTTTTCATATTTATAAAAGTTTATTCCTATAGTGTTAATTTTTCCATTTATTTGTCTATAATAATATAATTATAATAATTACAGTTTTTAAATATTTTATGTATTTGATATGGTTAATTGCCTTCTTTATTTTTCATCAAAATACAATTTTTGAAATGACATATATTTTGAAATAATATTTTCAAGTTCCAGGAAAGCTTCTGTTGGGACTTTTATTGTGATTGAATGAAATGTGAGGTAAGTTTTAGGACAATTGATATGGTTACAATCATGATGGTCTGAGTATCATTTCTAGACAATAGCAGGAATACTTTTAATGTTTTATTGGGTAACACTGCTGTAGGATTTTCAAAGGTACCCTTTATTAAGTTACAATTGCTCCACCTTTTCCTAGCTTGTTAACTACTTTTTTAATCATGAAAAATTACTTTTAGTACTTCATTGAAATGACCATATTATTTATTTTAATTAATCAATTAATTTAGGATTTCTTTTATTCTTCCCCTTTTTTATTTCCTTGAAAGTTTATTGATTTTCAGTATTTAATGCTGTTGTTATTCTTGTTATGTAATGCATTTATTTAAAGTTCTAAATTTTCCCTTACGAATTTTTTTTTGCCAACTTCCACAAATTTTGGAGTGGGTTAACAGATTTTTTAATTGTCTTGTTAATGTTTAATATTTGTATATATTTATGGAGTACATATGCTATTTTGTTACATGCATAAAATGAGTAATGATCAAGTCAAGATATTAGGGGTATCTACCACCCGAAGTATTTCTTATTTCTATGTGTTGAGAAAGTTTAAGTCCTCTCTTCTAGCTATTTTGAAAGATACACTACAGGCCGAGCGTGGCGTCTCACGCCTGTAATCCCAGCACTTCGGGAGGCTGAGGTGGGTGGATCACTTGAGGCCAGGAATTCGAGACCAGCCTGGACAACATGGCGAAACCCTGTCTCCACTAAAAATACAAAAATTAGTTGGACGTGGTGGCACGCGCCTGTAATCCCAGCTACTCAGGAGGCTGAGGTAGGAGAATACTTGAACCCAGGAGGTGGAGGTTGCAGTGAGCCAAGATCTCCCCACTGCACTCCAGCCTGGGAGACAGAGCAAAACTCTGTCTCAAAAAGAAAGAAAGAAAAAGAAACATACACTACATTGTTGTTACCTCTAGGCATCCTATTCTGCTATCGAACATTAGAACTTATTTCTCCTAACTGTATGTTTGTGCTCATTAACCAATCTCTCTTCATCCATCCTCCCCAACCCACACACCCTTCCCATCCTGTTATCTATCATTCTACTTTCTACCTCTATCTCCATGGGATCAACTGTTATAGCTCCCACATATGAGTGAGAACATGTGATATTTCTCAATCTGTGCAGAGCTTATTTCACTTAACATAATAACCTCCAGATCCATCCGTGTTTCTGCAAATGACAAGATCTCATTTTTTATGGCCAACTAGTAATCCATTGTGTTTATATACCACATTTTCTTTATGCATTCATCTGTTGATGGACATTTAGGTTGACTCAATATCTTTGCTTTTGTGAATAGTGCCACAATGAACATGAGAGTGCAGGTATCCCTGTGATATAATGATTTCTTTTCCTATAGATAATTACCCAGTAGGGGAATTGCTGGATCATACAGTAGTTTTATTTTTAGTTTTATGAGAATTCTCCATACTGTTTTCCATAGTGGCCCCATTAATTTACATTCCAACCTATAGTGTATAAGAGTTCCCTTTTCTCCATATTCTTGCCAGAATCTGTTACCTTTTCTCTTTTTTAATAAAAGCAATTCTAACTGGGTAAGATGGTATCTCATTCTGATTTTGATTTGCATTTCCCTGATGATTAACGACAAGCATTTTTTTCATATACCTGTTGATCATTAGTATGTCTTCTTTCTAAAAATGTCCATTTGTGTTCTTTGCCCACTTTTCAATGGAATTTTTTTTTTTTACTGTTGAGTTGTTTGAGTTCCTTGCATATTTTAGATATTCATCCCTTGTTGGATAAATAGTTTACAAATATTTTCTTCCATTCAGCAGATATCCTAAGTCTTGATGGTTTTCTTTGCTGTACAGTTTTTTCAATTTTAACATAGTCTCATTTCTCTATTTCTGTTTTTGTTATCTATGCTTTTCCTGTCTTAGCCATAAAATCTTTGCCTAGACAAATGTTCTGAAATATTTTCCCCATTTTCTTCTAGTAGCTTTATAATTCGAGGTCTTACATTTAAATTTATAATCCATCTTGAGCTGCTTTTTATATATGGTGAGAGACAGTAGTCCAATTTCATTCTTCTGCATGGATATCCAATTTTTCCAGCACCATTTATTAAAGATGATATCTTCTCTACAATGTATGTTCCTGGCACTTTTGTCAAAAATCAGTTGGTTTTAAGTATGCAGGTTTATTTCTGGGCTCTCTATTCTGCTCTATCAGTCAATGTGTCTGTTATAATACCAATGCCATGCTGTTTTGGTTACCATAGCTGTGTAATATGGTTTGAAGTCAGGTAGTGTGATGCCTTCAGCTTTATTCTTTTTGCTCAGGATTACTTTGGTTATTCAAGCCCTTTGTTGATTCTATACACCAATTTTATGATTCTTTTTTCTATTTCTGTGAAAATTGACGTTGGCATTTTGATAGAAATTGCATTGAATTTGTAGATTGCTTTGGGCAGTATGGTCGTTTTGCCAAGGTTGATTCTTCTGATACATGAGCTTGAGATGGCTTTCTGTTTGACTGTGTCCTCTTCAATTTCCCTCATCAGTCTTTTGTAGCTTTTCTTGCAGAGAAAAGCTGCCTTTCACATCCTTGGCTAAATTTATTTCTAAGTCTTTTATTTTTATAGCTATTGCAAATGGGATTGCCTTCTTGGTTTCTTTATCAGCTTGTTCATTATTAGTGTATAGAAATGCTACATTTGTGTATGTTAAAATTCTATGCTGCAACTTTCCTGAATTTATTTATCAGATCTAAGAGTTTTTTGGTAGAGTCCTTAAGTTTCTCTAGATATAAGATTATGCCATTTGCAAACAGGGACGATTTGACTTTCTCTTTTCCAATTTCAATGTCTTTTTATTTCTTTATATTGCCGATTGGTCTAGCTATAATTTCCAGTAGTATGTCAAATAAGAGTGCTGAAAGTGGGCACACTTGTCTTGTTCCAGTTCTTAGAGGAAAGGATTTCAACTTTTTCCCATTCAGGATGATGTTAGCTGTGAGTTTTTCATATACGGCCTTTATTATATTGAAGTATGTTCTTTCTATGCCTAGTTTGTTGAGAGTTTGTATCATGAAAAGACTGAGTTTCATCTAATGCGTTTTCTGCATCTACTGAGATGATCTTATGGATTTTGTCCTTCATTCTGTTGATATGATGTATCACATGTGTTCATTTACATATATTGAACAATTCCTGCATCCCTGGAATAAATCCCACTTGATTATCTAGTATCTGTTTGATGTGCTGTTGGATTCAGTTTTCATTGAGGATTTCATTGAGGATTTTTGCATCTGTTCATCAGGGATGTTGGCCTGTAGTTTTCTTTATTTTTTGCATCCCTGTCTAGTTTTGGTATCAATGTAATGCTGGCCTTGTAGAATGAGTTAGGGAGAATTCCCTCATGTTCAATTTTTTTAATAGCTTGAAGAGAATTGGCTTTGGTTCTTCTTTGAAAAATTGGTGGGAGTCAGCATGAAGCCATCCAGTCCTGGAGTTTTTTTGTTGGAAGACTTTTTATTACTGATTCTAGCTACTAATTATTGGTCTGTTTAGGTTTTCTATTTCTTCCTGGTTTAACCTTGGTAGATTGTATGTATCAAGGAATTCACCCATTTCCTTTAGGGTTTCCAGTTCATTACCATACAGTTGTTCATAATTGTCTCTGACACTCTTTTGTATTTCTGTGGCATCAGTTTTAATGCCTTCTTCTTCATTTCTTATTTTGTTTACTGGGATCTTCTTTTTTTCTTGGTTAGTCTAGCTAGTGAATTTTGTTTGTTATCAATTTTGCTCATCATTTTTTTAAAAAAAACATTTTGTTTTGTTGATCCTTTGTATTTTTTTAAGCTTCTATTTCATTTAGCTCTGCTCTGATCTTCATGATTTCTTTTCTTCTGCTAATTTTGGGTTGGGATTCTTCTTGCTTTTCTAGTTCCTTGAGGTGTAACATTAAATTGTTTATTTGAAATCTTTCTACTTTTTTGATAAAGGCATTAATTACTATAAGCTTCCCAGTTAGCATTGCTTTTGCTGTACCCCAGAGGTGTTGGTATGTTGTGTTTTGGTTCTTACTGGTCTAAAAAATTTTTTGATTTCCTCTTTAATTTCTTTCTTGCTCAATAATTTGGGAGCATGTTCTTTAATTTCCATATATTTGTGCAGTTTCTAAAGTTCCTCTTGTAATTGATTTCTGGTTTTGTTTCAATGGAGTCTGAGAAGACACTTAGCATTATTTATTTTTAAAAATTTTGTTGAGCCATTTTTGGTGTCCTAACATGTAGTCTGTCCTGGAGAATGTTCCCTATGTTGATGAGAAAAATGTGCGTTCTCTAGCTCTTGGATGAAATTTTCTGCAAATTTCTGTTAGATCCATTGGGTATAAAGTGCAGTTTAAATTAAATGTTTTTTGTTTGTTTGTTTGTTTTCTGTCTAGATGATCTATGTAATACTGAGAATGGGGTGCTTAAATCCCCAACTATTATCCTGTTGGAATCTCTCTCTCTCTCTTTAAATCTAATAATATTTGCTTTATACATCTGGGTGCCTAGGTGTAGAGTGCATATATGTTTAGAATTGTTATATCCTCTTGCTGAATTGATTTTTTTTTTTTTTTTTTGAGACAGTCTAACTCTGTCGCCCAGGCTGGAGTGCAGTGGTGCGATCTCAGTTCACTGCAACCTCCACCTCCCGGGTTCAAGTGATTCTCCTGTCTCAGCCTCCTGAGTAGCTGGGATTACAGGCACACGCAGCCAGCCCCTGCTAATTTTTTGCATTTTAGTAGAGACGGGGTTTCACCGTGTTACCGAGGCTGGTCTCAAACTCCTGAGCTCAGGCAATTCACCCGCCTCGGCCTCCCAAAGTGCTAGGATTACAGGCATGAGCCACTGTGCCCGATCCCTTTATCATTACATAGTGACCTTTCTTGTCTCTTTTTTACTATTTTTAACTTACAGTCTATTGTATCTAATATTCATATAGCTATTCCTGCTGGCTTTTGGTTTCCATTTGCATAAAATATCTTTTTTCTTCCCTTTACTTTCAGTCCATATGTGTCTTTACAAGTGTGATGAGTTTCTTCTAAGCAGACTATTGTTGGGTCATTTTTTAATCCATTAATTCAAGCTATATCTTCCAGGTGGAAAATTTATTCCATTTGCATAAGGTCATGATTGATACGTGAGGGCTTATTCCTGTCATTTTATTAATCCATTTCTGGTTATTTTTGTGTATTCCTTGTTCCTTTCCTTCTCTATCATTGTTTATGATTGTGGTTTGGTGGTTTTCTGTAATGGTAACATTTGAGTCCTTTCTCTTTCTTGTGTGTTTGATCTACCAGTGGACTTTATATTTTTGTGTGTTTTCATGCTGGTAAATATTGTCCTTTTGTTTCCATATGTAAGACTCTCATGAGCATTTTTATAGGTCCAGTCGACTGGTGATGAATTCTTTTGCTTTTGCTTATCTTGGAAAGACTTTATTTTTCCTTGGTTTATGAAGGATAACTTTGTTGAGTACTTGGCTGGCTGTTTTTTCTTTCAGCACTTTGAATTTATCATACCATTCTCTGCCGGCTTGTAAAGTTTTTGGTGAGAAATCCACTGTTAGTTTGTTGAGGGTTCCCTTATAAATGACTAGATGTTTTTCTCTTGCTGTTTTTAGAATTCTTTGTCTTTGACTTTTATCAGTTTGACTACAATGGGCCATAAAGGAGACTTTTTCTTTTCTTTTCTTTTTTGCGAAAGAAGACATGCAAGCAGCCAAGAAACATATTTTTAAATGCTCAACATCACTAATAATCAGAGAGATGTAAATCAAAACTATAATAAGATATCATCTCACAGCAGTCAGAGTGGGTTTTATTAAAAAGTCAGAAAATATGAGATGTTAGTGAGGTTGCAGAGAAAAAGTAATGCTTACACACCATCAGTGGGAATGCAAATTGCAGCCACTGTGGAAAGCAGTTTGGAGATTTCACAAAGAACTAAAAATAGAATTACCGTTCAATCCAGGAATCCCATGACCAGGTATCTAGCCAAAGAAAAATAAATTGTTTTACCAAAAAGACACCCGCATTCATATGTTTATTGCAGCACAGTAGCAAAGGCATGGAATGAGCCCTGATGCCCATCAATGATAGACTGGATAAAGAAAATGTGGCACATATACACCAACATGCAGCCATAAAAAAGAACAAAATCATGTCCTTTGCAGCAATATGGATGCAGCTGAAGGTCATTATCCTAAGTGAATTAACACAGAAACAGAAAACCAAATACCATATGTTCTCACTTCCAAGTGGCAGCTAAACACTGGATACACATGAACACAAAGATGGGAACAATAGACACTGGGGACTCCAAAAGGGGGAAGGCAAGAGTTGAATAACTACCTATCAAGCGCTATATTTACTATTTGGGTTACAGGATCATTAGAAGCCACAACCTCAGCATCGTGCAATATACTTATGTAACAAACCTGCACATGTACCCCCGAATCTAAAATAAAAAGTGAGATGAAATTTTTTTTAAAAGAAAACCTTTTTGCATTGTATCTGTTTGGGAACCTTTGGCCTCCTGTGCCTGGGTGTCTAAATCTCTTGCTAGACTTGGGAAGTTTTCATATAGTATTTTGTTGAACCATTTTTCCAACTCTATTGTTTTCTCTTTGCCTTCTGAGACTCCAAAATTTTGAATATTTGGTCACTTTATGGTGTCCTACATGTCATGTGGGTTTTGCTCATTTTTTAAAACATCTTTTTTATTTTTGTCTATATGAGTTATTTCAAAAGGAAATAGTCCACTTCAAATGGACTACTGCACCATTTGCTCCGTTTTAAAATATTACTATGCCTTAGGAAGCAATCTAGCCAGGAGGGTTATTTGACCTCACACAGGTATTGCTTTCCCACCTGTAATGCCATTCATCCAGAACTCCCCCTAACCCAGCAAGACTCTATTCAGTCATCAATCACTTCTTTTAGAAAACGTACCCACTACCCATATCACTCTAGAGTTGGTTTCGATGCCCTTGTGTTATTCTTAGCATTCGTCATACTGTATGGCAATTCTGTTTCCTCTATGGGGCTGCGAATGTTTCCAGGAACAAGAATAGGCTTCATCTTTTTCTTCCTCATACAGGGAAGTGACTGACATACAGTAAGGCATCCCACAAATTGTTCAATGAATCAACAGGAGGTGCAATGGCCAGAGGAACAATTTATACGTATGTAAGGCTATGTAAAGGCACGTAAAGCCAAACCGCTGTGAAAACCGCCTTCAGAAGTCAGTCGGCTACTAGGCAAATATACAGAAGCACACAGGACAAATCCATTCATTCTCCAGCTCCTACACGCCCGGGAAGCAGTTTTACTTTACAGCAAGTTCAAGAGTCGCACCGCAGATGCTGTAAAAACGAAAGAAGCCCACAGTTGGGACGAGGATTCCAGTTTTGCGTCACCGTCAAGGCGGGAAAGTTCCCGGCTGTCGGTTGGAGGGTGGGTCCTCGCCCCGCCCCGCCCCCTCGGGCCGCCCTTCCGCGCTTCCGGGAGGCTTGTCCCAAGCTCACGGACCCCTCGCTGGGTGCCGGTTAAGACCCCGCTCCCCGTCGCCAGTGCTATGGAGGCGGCGGCGGCGGTGGTGGCGGCAGAGGCGGAAGTGGAAAACGAAGACGGCGACAGCAGCTGCGGGGATGTATGCTTCATGGACAAAGGCTTGCAGAGGTAAAGGGCGCTCCGCAGCCAGGAGCGACCCGCGCACTCCCCAGAGCCGGGGCCACGAGTGGCTGGCGGCGACACCAGAGTGGAGGCGCGGCACTGCTTTACCAAGACCATAAGTGAACGCAGTCTGGCTTTCGGCCTCCCCGCTCCTCCAAAACTTACCTGCCGAAGTGCCAGGTTGAATGAGCCGTGGATGCCTTCCCGCCCGTGTCTCCTGCCCAGCGTTTCACACGACTCTGCTTAGCCTAGAAACTGCCCCAGGACCTTGTCCTCCACCAGCTTCTGACCACTCTTTCCTTCTGCTGGTTTTCCTTACTTACTGGTGGTTATTCCTTTGCTTGCCGTTTAATTGCTGGTTTTCTCGTGTTCTCTCGTCTTTCCTGTTCTTACCTCTGAAAAAAACCTGCAGGATAGTATCTCTGGCAGCTATGAGCGGGCAGTCGCTGCTGCCTGTTAGTTTTGCCTCAGTTCTCCTTGTCTGCATTCGAAATCATTTGTCCGTTACAGAACATTGCAATACATATATTCATATACTTTTTGAAAGTACTAAACTTACTATATTTAGTTCATCGTTTCCCTCTCTCTTGAAGCCCTGACTTGTGCAAAGCATATGAGGCACTTGGTTCTGTAATACTGTAAAGCAGGTCTCCACCTGCATTTCAGGCTCTTTAGTCTCGACCCGTAACATTTCTCCACTTACACTTTATTTACCTGTACTGAGCTACAGGCAATTCCATAGCAGACTTCTCTGTGCCTTTGCACATGCTGTTCCTTTGTAGCGTGTCCTCTACGCGAACTCTGCTACTGATAATTAAGCATCTTGTTCTGGATTCTGATTTAAACTTTGCCAGATGATCCCAAGAAGATGCTGTTCAAGGGACATTTTACATTTCTATTTAATACTAGCTGCCATTTACTGAATGCTATCTGTTGTGTGCATGTTATATACATTATCAGTAATCCTCACAGCAATTCTACAAGGTAGTAATTTTTCTCATTTACAAGTGATGAATGAGACTCAGAATCTATTGACAATTTGTTCATCTTTATACACTTCATGAAGAATTAAGTTCGGATTCAAACCCATTTTCCGTCTAATTTCACTATGCTTTTTCTATCTCACATTATCTGCACATTATTAATGTCGAGAAACTGAAATGTGTCAGAAAGTAAATGACTGTCATTAAGAGCATGTGTTAACAGCATAAGGTCTGGCACTAAATAAGAACTCAAGTAAATGACACAGCAGGATAAGTGGGAAATGCCCCAGATAGTCACATTTAAAGGTTGCTAGTTTGAAATTTGCAAATGCTTCCCTGCTGTCAGAGTTAGGTTTCCTACAGCTGTAAGATAGCTGCTACTCAACCTACAGCAGATGCCCGTGACATTGTGTGTTCCTGGGTGTATCTCCCATCTAGCAACTCCAAACTGTGTATGCTGTAGTTTGTGTTCCTGGAACTACTATCTTCAGGAGAAGCTTCAGTTATAAATAGTAATTGGAGTGAAGAGATGAGTTCTGTTTAGGGGAGATCCATTAACTTTCAACAAGGGAGGACAGGGACTTTTTCAATAGGAATTGCAATAACATGGTTTGTTTTTGAAAATGCAATAGACTGTGGATTAAATAGCTATTGCACACAAAGAAGAAAATAAAGTTATAATCTCCAGCATGAGATCTGGATTTACATATGCTCTGTTAGCTGCAAGAATTTGGGCAAGCTATTTAATTTCCATAAATTTAGGTATCCTTAAGATACCCACTGCTTAGAGTTATTGTGAGAATTAATTGAGGTAAGAAAACTGAGGCTCAGGTTGTCATTTGCTCAAATCACACAGCAAAACCGTGATAGAATGCAGATTCAAACTGGGATATTAACATTCCAAAGCCTTTACAGTTATTGACTACTATTCAGCACTGCCTTCAATATATGCTGATGACTGCACACAGGAGTTAGAAATGCCCACTGTCACTTGCCTGCCTTGAGCGGTTTCTTGTTTGTATAAATAATCCAAAATACTTGGTTGTGTTGTAAGAAGCACCGTGTTTTGTGAGACATTTCAAAGGTACCACAAATAGGAAAGATTTCATTCTAGAATGAATAGAGCACATATTTAGTATCTACGTGCTGTTTGGTTAATTTTAGTTATTTGGTCATGCTTTTAAAATCTATTTTTATAGTATATATTTTCTTTTATAGCATATCAGAATTATCTTTAGATTCAACTCTTCATGCCGTCAATCTTCATTGCAATAACATCTCCAAGATCGAAGCCATTGATCATATTTGGAATTTACAACATCTAGATCTGTCATCTAATCAAATAAGTAGAATTGAAGGACTAAACACACTGACAAAACTGTGCACATTAAATTTGTCCTGCAATTTGATTACAAAAGTAGAAGGTTTGTAAGTGATTTTCATTTAACACTTAGCGTAAGGAAAATGATTTAGGTCCATTTTTTTCCCCAAAAGAATGGAATAAATATCAGAAACTCTTAAAAATTGAGTCTGAAACTCATTATACAAAATATTTTCTCCAAAAAAGTGTCAATTTTTTAAAAATTCTGTTTTTTCTAAATGCCAATAAAATTGATTTCGCTGTTACCAGACTGGATTTACTTCAGAACAGTCTGAAATAACATTGTAATGCTATATCTCTGTAATTAATTATTTAAATTTTATAAAGGCTTTATTTTATTTTACTTTTTTTTTTTAGGACTTGAAGAACTAATTAATCTGACTAGACTAAATGTATCTTATAACCACATAGATGATCTTAGTGGTAAGTAGAAATGCTTATGTTTTCTGTATGCTAAATGTTGTGCCACATGTGATAAGTTAACAGCTCAGCTAAACATGTTGGAAATCTCTGAATATTAATCTAATTTTTAGCCAAAGAGCTCATCTAGAGAGCGTATTCCAGTCATGATTCTATTTTGTTGGTACCAAAACCACAGCTGAGTACAAAATAGAAGTTAAAACCAAGGTAATCAGTAGCAGGAAAAACTTAATTGGAAAGGATCCAGTTGAAGGGAATATGTTTTAATTTTAGCCAATTAATCAATGTACTGTTATATAGAGAAGAATAGTTCCAATAGAACTTTCCACAGTGGTAAAAATGTTCTAATCTGTGCTGTTCAATATGGCAGCCAGTAGCCAAATGTGGTTATTGAGCACTTGAAATGTAGCTAGTGCAACTTAAGGACTGAGTTTGTAATTTTATTTAATTTTAATTTGAAAATAAAAAGCCGCATGTAGCTAATGGCTACTGCCATGTTGAACAGTGACAATATGCTGCATTCCAAAGGTTGTTGCAAGTTAAGGAACAAATAAAATGAGATTTTCTTTTTATCTGTAATATAGCTAAGGAGATTTTAAAAGTGTTGCCTTTTTTAATTGATTAAAGTGATGTAGCTGATAAGTTGAACAAAGTTTCATGACTATTCCTAGAATTATCTGTTAAAACTCGCAGAATTCCTCTAATATCTTCATAATCCTTATCAATATTTGAAACAATCTGATTCATTTGTCGACTCTTCTCCCCCACTAAAAGAACACTACCCTATGCCAGTTGCTTAGTATACAAAAAATAAAAAGACCTAGTCTGTACCCTTAAGCTGAAGTAACAACTGTATTTCAATTTTTTAAAACCTTTTTTCCTCTTAAAGACATGAAGTATTAGAACTGAGTTTGTTTTTGCCGGGTGTGGTGTCTCACGCCTGTAATCCCAGCACTTTGAGAGGCCAAGGCAGGCGGATCACCTGAGATAGGGAGTTCAAAACCAGCCTGACCAACATGGAGAAACCCCGTCTCTACTAAAAATACAAGATTAGCCGGACATGGTGGCACATGCCTGTAATCCCAGCTACTCAGGAGGCTGAGAGGGGAGAATCACCTGAACCCAGGAGGCAGAGGTTGCAGTGAGCTGAGATCGCAGCATTGCACTCCAGCCTGGGCAACAAGAATGAAACTCCATCTCAAAACAACAAAAGGAACTGAGTTTCAACCCTGGCCTTGTCATTACTATGTAATGTTTAGCAAGGTGTTTACTGTTTAGATGCAATTTCCTTATCTAAAAAATGTGAATGGATAAGATAGTTAATTCTCTCAGTATGTATTTATGAAGATCACTATATGGAACAGTGTCTTATAGTGATGAAAAAACTAACAATAGGTAAGATAAGTCACAGGGCTTACATTATAGTGGGGAAGAAAAACAACCCCCAAAAAATCAGCAAAAGATTTGAACAGACACTTCACCAAGAATATATATAAATGGCAAATAAACCATGAAAAAAAATTGGTTGGAATCCTTAGTATTTAATGAAATGCAAATTAAAACCACAATGGGATACCGTTTCACACCTAGAATAGCTAAAATAGTGACAGTGCTGGTGAGATTGTGAAGCAGTTGAAACTCGCATACATTGTTGGTAGTTTTAAAATGGTACAACCACTTTGGGAAGGAGTTTTGTTTTTTTTTTTTTTTAATTTGAGGTAAAGTCTCGCTCTGGGGTGCAGTGGTGTGATCCTGGCTCACAGCAGCCTCTGCCTCCTGGGTTCCAGCGATTCTCCTGTCAGCCTCCTGAGTAGCTGGGACTACAGGCGTGTTCCACCATGCCCACCTAATTTTTTGTATTTTTAGTAGAGACGGGGTTTTGCCATGGTGGCCAGGCTGGTCTTGAACTCCTGGCCTCAAGTGATCTGCCCACCTCATCCTCCCAAAGTGCTGAGATTACAGTCTTGAGCCTGTACTGGCTATCACTGTGCCTGGCTGAGTTTGACAGTTTGTTATAATGATAAACATAACACTTAAATATAATTGTGCAGTCTGACTCTTAGGTATTTACCAAAGAGAAATTAAAATGTGGCCACTCAAAGACCTGTACATGAACGTTCGTATGATTACATAGCTTTTTATATGATTTTTCCATTTTGGAGAAAGTTCTGAGGCAGGAAGAGAAGCTGTAAGTGCTTGAAGGGTACACTGGCATTGTACAATTAGTACTTGTCCATGACAGCTGCAGCTGAAGTCCAAGGTGGGCCAGGCAGAAATAGCTACTGCTACAAAATGTTCTAGATAAGCTTGTGCGAGAAATATTACCAGGGAATTAAATGAATGCTAATGTATTTATTTTATATTCAAACCAGCAAAATTGAAGTGTACTACAGAGTTTGCTTATGTCTGCTAATCAAGACTGATGTGTCGAGAGAGCCTAAAGCCATTGCTTTATCCTTTTTCTCATATGAGTGTGTGCATCCACCTGGGGAAGTTCTTTTGATTCATTTTCTTTTGAAGAGAACCAGAGCCCAGGAACCTCAGGGACTAAAGCCTCAAAGAAATGTTAAACTTCTGTTTCTTCAAAGCAACAATTAACTTTACTGATAGCCTATTCATTAGATATAGCTGTTCACAGCAAGATCTAATGCTGCCCGTTTGCCTCTAAAAGTATAACCTATCTAGCAATTATTTCTAATTAGCTATTGGAAAGACTATTGCTGTGGCATTTAAAGAATTATGTTCCTATTGCAGGATTGATTCCCCTTCATGGAATTAAGCATAAACTTAGATATATTGATCTACATAGTAATCGTATAGATAGTATCCATCACTTACTTCAGTGTATGGTAGGATTGCACTTCCTGACCAATCTTATTTTGGAGAAAGATGGAGACGATAATCCTGTCTGTCGACTGCCAGGTATGAATAATTAATTTAATATTTTTTCTAACAGTTAATATTGAGAGCTTCTTTATTTTCCTGAAATTGGCATTCGTGACCTCATTTTAGTCTTCAGCTTTGCAACATTTTCTATATTGGGGAAAACATGGTTACAAATAAAATTAGTGTATTAAGACTAATGACTGTTACAGAACACAAGATGAACAGTTCAGTGATGCTCCTATTTAGGCAGTTTCATATTTGATAAGTGAATGCCTCAAAATTATATCATTATAGTATATTCTTTTAATAATAGTATAATACTATGCAGCCACAGGAAAGAATATAGAATCTCTTTTTCTACTAATGGACAATTATGTCCAAGATACATTAAGAGGAAGAAAAGCAGGTTGCAAAGTACTGCACACAGTAGGCCACCATTTGTGTGAAAAGGGTAACACACATACACAAACATTTACGTACATACATATATATGTATGCACGCATGTGTGTGTGTGCTCAGTATATACATAAAACATCTAGAAGAATATACACTTTAAAAAAATGTATAATGTTAGCTAACTCAAGGAAAGGGAACTAGGTAACTGGAGATTAAGAAATGAGAAAATTTTTTACTATGTTCCTTTCGAATTTCATATTATGTGAATTTATTACATTATTAATAAATGATTTTGTTTTAAGAAAGTTTAATATATAGAGATGCTGGTGCTGCTGAAATGCTATTTGAGCTAATTGGGAATCAATCAAGTTGACAAAGATAAAGCAGACCAGACTACCATTTCTAGAACTCACTTATCTCATATTGCTTAACCAAACAATAAGAGAAATGTGTAGAATGTGAATATACATTCTAAAGATCAGCTTGAGTACAAGTTAGCTACAGAGGCTTCATTTTATTATTCATATGCAACTATAAGAAGGCTTTTTGCAGCATGGAAACCTGTGTTGGTAATTTTATTTCACTGAAGAAAATCTGATACATTTGATAATTGTTTTCCTGAGGTGGAAAATATTTCCTATTCTTTTCCATAGTCTCCCTGAAAATCAGGACAGATTTGAAAGTTTTCTGAGGAAACCCTTTCCTTGAAAGAAAACCATATTTCTAAAGCCTTGCATTTTTCTTTTCTCTGCTAAACCCTCAAGTTGGATTTTTTTTTTTTAATAATCTTATCTCAAGAACCTCTGGTTTCTACAATTTGAATCTTTGTTTTTCACTTTTTTTCCTAAATTAGGTACTTCTCTCAATACAGTCACCCTCCCTTCAGAATTGAGAGGTAACTTATTGCTGAAATGACTTTTCTTCCCTCAAGATTTCTAATACTAATTTGCCAGACTTCTTTCTTACTTTCGGAATTCTTCCAACCACTTTGTTGGTCTTTATTAGAAATATACTTAGTTTTAAAATTACATTTACACAGGATTAAGGTGCTCCTGTTAGCCTTAGTACCAAATGAATGTTAATTTGTCAGATATGATTGTTCTTAGGGAAAATAAACATATTATTCTTGATTACTTGATAGTTCACCTGCTTTAATATTAGTTATGTGTAATTTAAAAGGGAAGAAGGGATATTCTGCTAATGCTGAGACCTCGCTAGGGAAATTCTGGCATTTTGGTCATTATCCACATCATCCTGCTTTAAGTTCATTTATGTTGTTTATATTAACCATATTAAAAAATAAAAGACATGTTTAGCTTCCTTCCTAGAATAAATTTCTACTAGTTTTATGCATTATATATTTAAAGTAATTTTTTAGAGATAGTTATTTTAACTTTTTGAACTTCATCAGGAGGGTTATTTGAGAGGGATGGAGAGTGGAGGAGAAGTGTTTTGTTTCTTTTGTATGTAAGGATTTAATGATTACATGCTGCAGAAGTTGAATAAGTAACAAGTTTATTATTTGCTTTCTGGAACTATTCCGGGTGATGTATCTGGTAGCTGATAAATTTAGTTTATTCTAGAAATAATTGACTTTTTTTAATATTTCAGTTTTCATTTTGAATGATTTGTTTCCAAGGGTACAGAGCAGTTATTCTCCAGACTTTGCCACAGCTTAGAATCCTAGATTGCAAGAACATATTTGGTGAACCAGTAAATTTGACAGAAATAAATTCATCACAGCTGCAGTGCCTAGAAGGTCTTTTGGATAATTTAGTTTCTTCTGATTCTCCCCTAAATATAAGTGAAGATGAGGTATAGTATTTACTTTTTTTTTCCTAATATAAAAAATACCTTCAAATTTCAATAAGTGAATATAAATTAAAAGGATTTTGGTTTGTTTCTGTGTCATAGATCATTGATAGAATGCCAGTGATAACAGCACCTATCGATGAGTTAGTTCCCTTGGAACAGTTTGCAAGTACACCAAGTGATGCTGTGTTGACGTCTTTTATGTCTGTGTGTCAATCTTCTGAGCCAGAGAAAAATAATCATGAAAACGATTTGCAGAATGAGATAAAACTTCAGAAATTAGATGACCAAATTCTACAACTTCTAAATGAAGTAACTATTTTTCCTACTTCTCTATAGACATGTTTATTGAAGAAAACATAGTTAAGAAAATGTAAAATAAAAATTATGTACTAGCTGACCAACCTATTTTAGTGCATCAGTGTTCGTGTATTTTTGTTTTCCTCTACAGAAATAGGGTTCTATTATTGCATAATGGTAGTAAAAGGTAACATAAATTTTTCACTCACTTTACTTGTCTTCCTTTACATCTTCATTATGTAATTTCTTTGTCTTGTTCTGCAGTACTTTACATTACTTCTATTACACCCAACTTTTATTTCCACCGTAAGCAAGGGAGAAACTCTTTGGACTCAGTGTTACTTAACGCAAAGGAATACTTTGGCCTCTACTATCTCTTCAGTGGTTTAATGGTCAAAATCACTTCTACAACTTATAGCTAAATGGCAGGTTAATTTACATAGTTCCTGTATCAATTTCATTTTCTAGTAGACCATCACCTAATCAATCTATACTTTCCTGAGCTGTTAATCCTTCTTTACCCTGCTACTGAATCTCTAGTTTTTAGAATCTGTGAACTATGTGTATGAACTACAATTCCTAGAATTTACTGCTATTCAGGTCTCCAACCCTCACTCCAGCATTCTCACTATCATCCACAGTGGCAGTGGTTCTCTTGGGTACCACTACTATCTGACTGCAATAGATTATTACTTTATTTGCCTTCTAGCTGGGTGTAGGATAGAAAGATAGTGGTATAGTTCAAAGAGGCTATTAGTCATATGTTAGTTCAACTTAAAAATTTTTAACTAAGTTATTGTTACTAATTTTTTTTTTTTAGAGTCAGGGTCTTACTCTGTCATCCAGGCTGGAGTATGGTGGCATGAACATAGCTCACTGCAGCCTCGAATTCCTGAGCCCAAGAATCTTCCCACCTCAGCCTCCTGCGTAGCTGGGACTACAGGCACATGCCACTGTGCCTAGCTAATTTTTAAATTCTTTGTGTGGAGACTGGGTCTCGCTTTGTTACCCAGGCTTTCTCAAACTCCTGGCTTCAAGTGATCCTCCCACCTCAGCCTCCTAAAATAGTGAGATTACAGGCAAGAGCCACCACGCCCAACCTCTATAACTAAATTTTCTTAGTCAAAATTTTTTCGCAAATTAGGAAGGGGGAAGGAGTGGAAAATGCTTATGAAATGGTTATGGTTCAGGAGGTTTTTAATCCTGAACTATTATTTATATAACATAATATTAATAATGCTGGATAAACAAGAGGTCTGCCTTAGGTGAGTGAAAGTCAATAAGGCTGTGAGGATTCTGTGTTTCAGAAATCCATAGAGATTTCAGTTTGAGCCAATAAGGAGATAGTAATAGAAGTGAGACAAGAATGCTGGCCTACATATTATTTGACATCATTGATACTGTATGGCTGGACTTTTGGACTCCTCCATTTCCTCAGGTTTCATCTTTTCATCTTTTCTAATGGCTGACTCTTCTACCAGTGAAAACTTAGATTGAAGTTTAATGTCTTTAATTTGAAGTGAACATTTCAGTTTCTCATAGGCTGATCTCATTTTATTCTCATGACAGCCCAATCAAGTAGATAGAGATTAATATATTATTGTCCTTGTTATTGAAAAGAAGATCCAGAGTTTAAATCATTTATTTAAAAGTACTTTATTTGCAAGATAGTTGAGCTCCAAATTCATATAGCTCCTTATGTCCAATCAAATTCTTCAACTATGTCATGCTTCTCACTTATGGTGCTAGTTCTTTCTACTTTGTTAACCAAAAACAGGAGTCTAGCTATCTGGAAAGAAAGGTGATTCACTGCTATGTATATTTAAAATGTTTAAGAAAATGACTTCTTGTTCACTGTCTTACTTGGGGTAAAGAGTAAACATGGAGTTTGAATTTCATTGAGCTGTTCGTACACTCAAATGATTTCATCTCGAGTATCAATTTATAAAGTCATAATATTACTGCAATGTGCTGTACTATAATAAAGACATTTATTTTCCTTAATCATGGGACTTAAAATCATAATTAACCCTGCCGAACTGGGAAATTTTATGTCTGTGAAAAGCTGTTTTGCCTTTATTTTAGTTTTTCTCCAACATTCTATTATGAGCATTTTTATTCTTCAGCAAACTTGAAAGAATTTCTTAGTGAACATCAGTATATCCACCAACCAGATTCTACCCTTAACATTTTACTACATTTATTTTGTCATGTAGCTATCTATTCGTGTATCAAACTATCTTATGACACATTTCAAAGTAAATTACACACATCAATACATTTCTTCCTAAATACTAAGCATGCATATCATTAATTAGAGTTAAATATTTTTTAGGTGTTTTCTTTAATGTGAAATACAGGTCTGCATATTTCCTGAATTGAGAATACATATATCTGTTATCCAAATTTCTGTGAAGGTTAACATTATCATGTTCCCTTATGGCCTCTCTGACAAGCAGTCCTCCACTGCCTCCAGAGGCAATCACTTTTCTTATTTTTTGTCTACCATATATTATTTAATATTTGTTTTAGAACCTAATATAAATAGAATCATTCAGTGTATACTCTTTTGTGTAGGGCTTCTTTCACTGAGCATAACCTTGTAAAAATTAATCCATGCTATTATGTATATCAGTAGTTCTTATTTCTATGTAGTATGCCATTCTATGAATATATTACACTTTATTTTTCCATTGTCTTGTTGAAGGTTTTAACCTAGCTTATAACCTGGGTTATTAGAGGTTTATGAGTAGAGCTGCAATGAATATTACTGTATAATCTTTTTGTAAACATGTATCTTTGTTTCTCTTCACTAAACAGCTATAAGTGCAGTTTCTGGGTTATAGGGTAGATGTATGTTGAGTTTTATAAGAAATTGATACCTTTTTTCAAAGTGGTTATTCTATTTTATTCCCACTAACAATGTATGGCTGTTCCAGTTTTTCTGCCACCTCACCAATATTTGGTGAGGTTAGCATTGCTTTTATTTTAGTCATTCTAGTGGGAGTATCCTGATGTTTGTTGTGATTTTAATCTGCATTTCACTAATGATTGGTTATGTTGGACAGTTTTTCATGTGTTTATTGAATATTTATTTATCTTCTATGAATGCCTGTTCAAAATTTTTGCCCATTTTTAAATTGGGTTGTTTATCCAGGTTGTAGGAATTTGTTGTATATGCTAGACACCAGTATTTTGTCAAATATATCTAGTGTGAATATTTTCTCCCTGTTTGTGGATCTCATATTCATTTCCTTACTGGTCTTTTGATAAGCAATAGTGTTTAATTTTGATAAAGTCCAATTTATCATTTTTTTCCCTTTCATGGTCATTGTTTTCTGCAACTTTAAAAACTTTTGTGCATACCAAAATAACATTCTCCTGTGTTAGCCTCTAAAAGTTTTAATGGTTTTACCTTTTGCATTTAGATCTGTATACATATATGGTTCACTCTTTTCCATATGGATTTTCAGTTATCTCAGTACCATTTGTAGAAAAGGCTCTTCTTTTCACTAAATTTCTTTAATGAATTTCTTGAAAAAAAAAATCAAATCAACTTACAAACTGTAAAATCTAGCTCTGGGTTCTTTTTTTCTTTGTCAGTTTGGGTAAGCTGTATTTTTCAGTTAATTTGTCCATTTCATCTCATTATCAGCATAAAATTGTTAATATTCCCTTATTATACTTTTAATTTCTATAGGATCTATAATGAAAATCTCTTTCATTACTGATATTGGCAATCTGTGTTTTCTCTATTTTTATTTGTTTGCCTTGATCAGTTTAGCAAGGGGTTTTGATGATCTTTTCAGAGAATAGACTTTTGGCTTTGTTAATTTGATTAATATTTGTTTTCTGTGTTCTTGATTTCTGGTTTTTATTTTTCCCCTCTACCGTGAATTTACTTTGCTGTTTGTTTTCTAGCACTTTTTTTTTTTTTTTAATACAGTCTTGCTCTGTCACCCAAGCTGGAGTACAGTGGCCTAATATCAGCTCACTACAACCTCCATGGCTCCTGGGTTCAAGCGATTCTTCTGCCTCAGCCTCCCGAATAGCTGGGATTACAGGCATGTGCTACCACACCCGGCTAATTTTTGTAATTTCAGTAGAGACAGGGTTTCTTTCACCGTGTTGCCCAGGCTGGTCTCGAACTCTTGGCCTCAAGCGATCCTCCTGCCTCTGCCTTCCAAAGTGCTGGGATTACAGGCATGAGGCACGGCCCCCAGCTGTAACGTCTTAATATAAGTACTTAGGTCATCGATTTTAGACATATCTCCTAATGTAACCTTTTAAAGCCGTAAACATTCCTCTGAGCACTGCTTTAGCTACATTCCACAAATTTTGGTATGTTTTGCTTTTGCTATTGTACAGTTAGAAATACTTTTCTAATTTCCTTTGTGATTTCTTCCTTGATCCAAGAAATATTTAGAAATGTCTTTTATTAATTTTTAAACCATTTGTCATTCTGTAGATATGTTATTGGTCCTTGATTTCTGATTTACTTCCATTTTGTTCAGAGAACATATTCTGAATAATTTCTGTCTTTTTAAATTTATTGAGTTTTTTTTTATAGCCTGGCATATGGTTTTTCTAGGTGGATATTCATTGTGCTCTTAAAAAGAATGTGTATTCTACAATTAAGTCAGGATGATTCATAGTATTTTCAGGTGAACCATGTCTTTACTCATTTTTTTGTGTCTGTTCTATCAGTTGCTGATGCTTGGTTTTTTGTTTGTAGAGGTGGGGGGGTTGATCTAGTTCTATCAATTGTGGCATGAAGAAGTGTTGAAATCTCTGTGGTTGTGGATTTGTGTTTCTCACTTTAGTTCTTTATTTGCTTCTTATGTTTGAAGCTCTGTTATTAAGCACATACACATTTATGACTGCTTGGTCTTTCGGATGAAGTTACTCTTTTATCATCATGAAATGTTCCTCTTTATCTAACAGCCTTATTGAGATACATTATTCACTTACCATGTGGTTCACCCATTTGAAGTGTGCAATTCAGTGGTACCTATTAGCAGTCATTACTCATTTCCTTCTACCTCCACCCTCAACCCTAAGCAACCACAAATCTATTTTCTTTCTCTATGGATTTGCCTATTTTGAACATTTCATATAAATGAAATCATAATATTTAGCCTTTTGTGACTAGCTTCTTTCACTTAGCATAATATTTTCAAGGTTCATCCATATTGTAGCATATATCAATACTTCATTTCTTTTTATTACCAAATAATTATTCCATTGTATGGATATACCACATTTTATTTATCCTTTTGTCAGTTGATAGACATCTGAGTAGCCTCTACTTTTGGTTATTATGATATTTCTATGAATATTTATGTATAAGTTTTTGTGTGGACATAGATTTTCATTTCTCTTGGCTATATCCCCAGAAGTAGAATTGCTGGGTCATATGTTTAACCTTTGGAGCAACTGCCAGACTTTCCAAAGTAACTGCGCCATTTTACATCTTCAGCAGCAGTATATGAAGGTTCAGTTTTTCCACATCCTTGCTATCTTGTTCTTATATGTCATTTTCATTGTAGCCATCCTAGTGGGTGTAAAGGCATATCTCATCCTGGCATCCATTTACTTTTAACCTGTTTGTGTCTTTATATTTAAATGGGTCTTGTGGACAGAAGAAAAGTGAGTCTTGTTTTTAAATCCCATCTGGCCATCACTTCTTTTGAAGAGTCTGTTAAAATTTACTGTAATTATTAATGAAGTTGGATTAGGGTCTACCATTTTATTGTTATTTGTTTTCTGTTTGTCTCTTTTATATTCATTTTTCTTCCTTTCCTACTTTCTGTTGGATAATTTTTAGAATTCAGTTTTTTTTGTTTTGTTTTTTGTTTTGTTTTGTTTTGTTTTGTTTTGTTTTTTGAGACGGAGTTTCATTCTTGTTGCCCAGGCTGGAATGCAATGGCGTGATCTCAGCTCACCGCAACCTCCACCTTCTGGGTTCAAGCAATTCTCCTGCCTCAGCATCCTGAGTAGCAGGGATTATAAGCATGTGCCACCACGCCCAGCTAATTTTGTATTTTTAGTAGAGATGGGGTTTCTCCATGTTGGTCAGGTTGGTCTTGAACTCCCAAGCTCAGGTGATCCACCTGCCTTGGCTTCCCGAAGTGGTGGGATAGAATTCAGTTTTAATTCATATGTTGGTTTTTTAGTCACAATTCTCTAGGTTTTGTTTTGGTCTGGATGCTCTAAAAAAAGACTTGAAACAGTCTACTTAGAGTTAATACTGTATCACTTCAAGTAAAATGTTTAAACATTATTTGTATTTATCTGTATATAAATCAACTTGTGATGCTCTTTATTTCTTCTTGAGGATTCAAATTTCCATCTGGTGTTATATTCCTTCAGCCAAGACTTCCAGCCTGAACTTCCTTTAGCAAATGTTGTAGCGTTACATCTGTGGATACTAGTCTGTTTCACCTTTATTCTTAATGGACTTTTTCACTGAATGTAGAATTCTCAATTGACAATTTTTTTTTCTTTCAGTACTGTGCCTGGCCTCCATAGTTTTGATTGCAAAGTTAACATGAATTCAAAATCCTTGATTTCTTGTATGTAATATGCCATTTTTCTTTGGCTACTGTCAAGAATTTGTCTCTCTTTGTTTACAGCAGTTTGACTGCATTGTGCCTAAGGATGGTTTTCTTTGTATTTATCCTGCTTGGGGTTTCTCTATGCTTCCTTAATCTGTAATTTTATGTTTTCACCTAATTTGGGAAATTTCTTCCAATATTTCTTCTGCTCCATTCTCTCTTCTCTTTTTCAGATTCCATGTAGACTTTTTGATATTGTCTCAAAATTCACTGAGGCTCTGTACATTTTGTCAATGTTTGTTTTTCTGTATTCTTCATATCAAATAACTTCCATTGAACTAGGTTCAGCTTCATGTACTCTTTCTTTATTGCCTCACTCTACTATTAATCTCAGTCAGTTTCTACTTCAGACATTGTATTTTTCAGTTATAGAATTTCTATTTTTAGTTCTATTTCTGAGCTGAGTTTTCTTGTTTTTTCATTTATGACAGGTGTATTTCTTATTATCTCATTGAACATCACTATTGGATCGCTATTTTAAAGTTCTTGTTTGCTTATTCAAACGTTTGAGTCATCTCAGGTTTGGTGTCCATTTTCTCTTGAGAATAGGTCATTTTCCTTGTTCTTCCTACGGCAAGCAATTTTGAAGTACGTCCTGGACATTGTGAATGTTTCGTTGTAGATACTCTAGATTTGGTTATAGTCCTTCAAAGAGTGTTGACATTTTTGTTTTAGTAAGCATTTAACTTGGTTTGACTCAGATTGTATGTTTTTCTCTTAGGTAGCAGTTCAAAGTTCATTTCATTTATTTTGTTCTTTGCTGGGCCACTTGCAGTCCACTTCATACTGCCCTCTGGTTCTTCAGGCCCAGAAGTCTGGTTTTTCCTACCTGAGGTTTAGACTCTCTGCATGATGCTGATTGTGATACATTCTCAGGCTAAAAACCATAAAAAAACAGAAACACTCTCATTCTGGTCCATTTTCCAAGTGTCAGCTCCCCTCTAGGATAATCCTAGTTTTGTTCACTTTATAAGGCCTTCAAGTAGTTTTTATTTTTGTTTTGTTTGTATTTTTTCCAGAGTTTATAATTATCTGCAGGAAAGTCAACATGGTAGAAGCTTGCTTGTCCATACCAGAAGCTGAATTCCCTGTCTTTAATATCAAACATTTCTAGTTTATAAACCCTTAATCATATAAAAAGATATAATATTTCAGAAGATTTCCAATTTCAATCTTTTTTATACTGAACTTTTAACAAATTTTGTTGGCTTTTTAAATTTTAGACTTCTAATTCAATAGATAACGTTCTTGAGAAAGACCCCAGACCAAAAAGAGACACAGATATAACTTCTGAAAGTGACTATGGAAACAGAAAAGAATGCAATAGAAAAGTTCCTCGAAGATCAAAAATCCCTTATGATGCCAAAACCATTCAAACTATTAAGCACCACAATAAAAACTACAACTCTTTTGTAAGGTACTTGTTTTAGTTTTAGAAATTTAAGGCACACAGAAGTTAATAATGCTGGCTTCTCTCTTGAAGCTATCTCTTGGTGATATTTGTTACTTTACTAATGTTGAAGATTTGATTTTTCAGCCTTGCAGGTTCTGATCTGGTCAGTACATTCATGTAAATGTATATAAAAGGATCCTTTTCTCTGTGTCTGTACCTAAGTTGCAAAATTAATGTATAAACCTGAAGATATCTCATACTATAAAGAATACTGACTTTAGAACTGGAATACCTTAGTTTAATCTAGGTTTAGTTCAATCAAAAACAATGTATGTGGTTTTAGTTTAATTTGAACTAATAACATTAGTTCAAATTCCACTGCATTCATTTACAGTGGGAAATAAGACTAGTACACCTGAGTCTACATGACTAGCCTTTTCTCTCTTTGTAGGCAGATCTAGATGGAAAGTCAAATCCTAGTCAGATGATACTGAGTTTAGGATTAAATGTGAATAAGATGATTGTGTTTAATGCCATAAGGACAAGGGAGACCAATATCTGTACTTTCATAATTGGGATCACCATGACAAGTGGTTCAGAAATGACTACTCTGGGATGGTTACAGTAAACTTTTGCCTCTGTAATTCTCCTTTTGCAAAGCATATTTTGTTGTTTTGTTGTTGATTAATTCTTCCATACCTACCCAATTACATTTTACATGTATATATACCCACACACACAGAGGCATTCAGTTCACTTCAAACACTGTACTTTTTTCCAGGACATACCCTGGAATTTCTTTGGTCCTACCAAGTGATAGAATCTATTAACTTTGATCCATTGTATGTCGATTTTAAACTTTTAACTCTCAAAGAGTAGTTCTATTTACTGTCTTTTCAAGTTCTTGGGTATCATCTTACCACAGTACTTTTTAAATTATTCTGATATATCCAAGAATTCTACCCTACCTGAAAATGTTGAACCCTGAACATTTATGAAATCATTATCTTTTTTAAAATCTTAAGGCACTCATTAATCAACAGAGCACACCCATTATAAAATTTATGAAGCAGTTTGTCCAAGTTACTATAATTTTATTAATATTCTTTTTAAAAAGCTGTTTGCATATACAACTAGAAATGTTAATTTAGAGAAAAGTAATGTGAACACTACTTTTTTGAGTTATTTTCTATGTTTCATTCTTTACAGTTGTAATCGTAAAATGAAACCACCTTACCTTAAAGAATTATATGTAAGCTCATCTTTAGCAAACTGTCCTATGTTACAAGAATCAGAAAAGCCAAAGACTGAAATAATTAAAGTAGACCAAAGTCACTCAGAAGACAACACTTACCAGGTATGATTTAAGAGTTAAAGAAAAAATGAGTATGAATAATTTTAAATACAGAGTCCCAGAAAAATTATGCATGCTTTTATTAGCAAAAAGTGTTTGAATTTTATTGGAGTGATGAAAATGGGTTATTTTTTCCTTCCTGATTTCCAGATTTTATGTAATGTTATTTTTGAACGAATGAAAATTACATTTTTTTATGATCAGATTTAAGTGAAATCATTTGTTACATGCTTCTGGAGGAAGAAACAGTTATGAATTTTTTAATTCTTATTCCTTAAGGTAGTGCTTCCTACTTTTTTTGGGTGTCAGACCCTTTTCAGTATCTAAAAAAATTTACAGGTCTTCTCAAAGAAGCCTATTTTTACACTCAAAAAAATGTATATATTTCAAGGTTTTCATGGACTTTCCTGAAACTCAATTTTGGACCACTGGATCCCAGATTAAGAGGTGTTCAAGGCCGGGCGCGGTGGCTCACGCCTGTAATCCCAGCACTTTGGGAGGCCGAGGCGGGCGGATCACGAGGTCAGGAGATCGAGACCATCCCGGCTAAAATGGTGAAACCCCGTCTCTACTAAAAATACAAAAAATTAGCCGGGCGTAGTGGCGGGCGCCTGTAGTCCCAGCTACTTGGGAGGCTGAGGCAGGAGAATGGCGTGAACCCGGGAGGCGGAGCTTGCAGTGAGCCGAGATCCCGCCACTGCACTCCAGCCTGGGCGACAGAGCGAGACTCCGTCAAAAAAAAAAAAAAAAAAAGAGGTGTTCAAAAATGTTTTAATTCTTTAAAATTTGCTTAACATTTCTCATGTTGAGAAACTTCAGTACTTGTGGTTTCATTATTTTATATTTTTCATTAACTTCCCCTTATATTACTTGTGTATTGTTCTTTCAATAATAGAATTGGTACATTTTAGGCTACTGGTTTCCTCCCCTTATTCTCAACTATAGAGGCTTTAATATTGAAAAATAATAATTATCATTATGACTTTGGACACACTTCATCTTTCTTCTTACTTAACCTATTGTGCCTGTGTTTCCCAAGTTACATATTCATTTTTCTCATGAAAAATCAATCTTTTCTGATTCAACCCCCGCCCCAAGTTTGTTCGAGATTAGATCCTTACCAATCTTTATATTCCCTTGCGTGCCTTGGTAAGGACTCTGTTTCCTTAATACAGAGTCTGGCATGTGGGTGCCATGCTATGAGTATATACTATTTCAAAAAAGGAATCTTATCTACTATGGCATAATAATAGCAGCTAACATTTATTGATTGGTTATTATGTAGCAGGCACTGTTCTGCACTTACCTACATGCTTTGCTACCAGTAACATAATTTTTGGCCCGGCGCAGTGGCTCACACCTGTAATCCCAACACTTTGGGAGGCCGAGGTGGGTGGATCACTTGAGGTCAGGAGTTCGAGACCAGCCTGGCCAACGTGGTGAAACCCCATCTCTACTAAAAATACAAAAAAACAGCCAAGCTTGGTGGCACATGCCTGTAGTCCCATCTACTCGGAAAGCTGAGGCAGAAGAATTGCTGGAATCCAGGAGGTGGAGTTTGCAGTGAGCTGAGATCATGCCACTCCACTCCAGCCTGGGTGGCAGAGTGAGACTCAAAAAAATAAAATAAAAAGTTTCACTGTAGCTCTTTGAAGTAGGTACTATTATTCCCCTGTTATAAATGGGAAAATTGAGGCTGTGAGAAGTTAGGTAACTTTTCTAAGTTCACATAACTTTGTTGTTTTCTTTCAGTCCCTTGTTGAACAGCTAGACCAAGAGAGAGAGAAGAGATGGAGAGCTGAGCAAGCCGAAAATAAACTCATGGATTATATTGATGAGCTGCATAAACATGCAAATGAAAAAGAGGATATTCATAGTCTGGCTCTACTTACCACAGATAGGTAAAAAGAAATTAATAAACCTGAAGATACCTCATAGCATAAACAATACTGACTTTAGAACTGGAATACATTAGTTTCAGTGTGGTTCAATCAACAACAATGTATGTGGTTTTAGTTTGATTTGAACTAATTTTATTAGACAATTTAGCACTTTATTAGCTTGTTATATCAACAAGAAATTCAGGTACATGTATTTGAGCCCTCAAGCAGGAAGGTGTCAGATAAATATTATAAGTAAAGAACAGCAAGAGACTAGAGCAGTGATTAACAAACTTTATGTAAAGTGCCAGATTCTGTAAAGGGCAGGCATTGGCAGCCTTTTTCTTTAAGCTTCATGGGTCATATTTGATCTCATCACATACTTATCTTCTGCAATGGGCTTTTGTATCATATAGCCCAGTTTCTTAATTCTGATGTTTTTATTCTATCCTCACCATTACGTCTCCCATTTTATCTGGGTTTTTTGTTTTGTTTTGTTTTGTTGTATTGCATTCTTTAATACAGGTCTGTCATTTCATTCTGTGAAAATACCAGTTTTTTAAATTACAATAACTTTTTTTCTTCTGTTTCCTGTAATTATTTCTAACGTCATGCTTTTCCTCAAATGATTATAACATGTTTAGAGTTTCTTATGGTTTCTTACCCTTGAATGAGCACTAGGTTTTTAGACTTGACATTTGCTAACACACTTTGGGAAGTTGCTCTTGGTTCCATTTCTTGTCTGATTGTGCAGTGGATAATTCCCCTTCTAAAATCTGATTTGGATAAGTTGATGTACACAGTTCACAGCCCAGTTCCCGATTTCTTTTAGGCACTTTTGTGATACTGACGTGGTGTTTTCTACCCCACTGCATGTTTCTCTGATAGGTTGTACCTGTGGAGTATAAGGACAATTCTAATACGCAACATGCATGCTATGAGAACCTCTATAATTATAAAGCTGTGATGCGTTATGTTATCACTAGCCCTTCTACCACTACCCACCAACTTCCTGCCTTATTTGTGTTTTATAAATGTCTGTCTGAATTGACACAAGAAGCTACTGGGTATGGATGAGGGAACAGGATGTCTCAATTAAGAGTGCTCTGACTACCTCAGAAAAACAGCACTCCTGCTTTCAGTAAGTGCATGAGTAACCAACATTATGTAGTGACAGATTTATAGAGATCTTGTGACTGAGTCATGGACAGATAGTAGAAGAGAAAAGATATGTCTTCCTTTTTTCAGAATGGAGCAGTTTCATGAGGCAAAGCCTGAGTGTTGTAGGAGTTGTTTTTAATTTCAATTTAGTTCCATTTGCCTTGTAATTGAAATTATTCCCAAATTTTGGCATTCTCTTATCCTTTGTTTTCAGTTATATGTGTATGAATTTTTACTTTATTCTGTATTCTAGGTATTTAGTGGGATATTAGAGGACGCTGTGTCTAGGGCTGCTAGCCAAAGTCCATTTAAACTGGAAGACTTTGGGCACACTTTATCTTTCTTCTTACTTAACCTATTGTTGTGCCCGTGTTTCCCAAGTTATGTATTCATTTTTCTCATGAAAAATCAATCTTTTCTGATTCTTCTTTTATCTGTGCCACCCCCCCACCCCCCCCACCACCACATGTTTGTTTGAGATTAGATCCTTACCAATCTCCCTGTTCCCTTATGTGCCTTGGTAGGGACTCTGTATCCCTAATGCAGGGTCTGGCATGTGGGTGCCATGCTGTGAGTATATACAATTTCAAAAAATGAATCTTACCTACTATGGTATCTTTATTATCCAAACCTCCTTGATGACCAGATCTGTTCATCTAATTATCTACTAAAAATGCCTTGCCTGTATTCCTCATAAGTTTCTTAAGATCACCATGGCCTCAGGTGGATTCATTCTTCTTCCTTATTTTATATTTCTTGCCCTAATAAATGGTGCCCCATCCAGCATCCAGTCAGTCACCAAAACTATAGAAATCTAGGAATCTTTGTTTTTTGCTTCCTTTCTCTTTCTCCTATCCCACAACCAGTTGATATTACCATCTTTATTGATACTTTTATTCATCAATTGATATTGATATCATCTTAAAAGATGTTGAACTATCTCCTCTGTATCCCAAAACTGTTACCTTTCTTTAGGCCCTTAACTGTTGCTTAGATGATTGTTCCATTTCTGTTTCTCTGTGGCTTTCCCTGCCCCTACCCATATACAGTCTAGCACGCTTTCATATAGCATATCAAACAGGAGTTGAGAGCATGAACAAAGGAAGACCAGTTCAGAGAGTACTCTCATTGAAGTCAACAATTTTATCATTTTTATATGTGTAATATACTTAACACCACATATAACTTCTGCTTTAGGCTAAAGGAAATTATTTTTAGAGAGAGAAATTCCAAAGGACAACTCGAAGTTATGGTTCACAAACTTCAAAATGAAATTAAAAAACTGACTGTTGAACTAATGAAAGCAAAAGATCAACAAGAGGATCACCTTAAACACTTAAGAACCCTCGAAAAAACATTAGAAAAAATGGAGAGACAAAAAAGGCAGCAGCAGGCAGCACAGGTATTTCTCTATTTTAATATATGAGTAGCACAGATTAACACAAATTCATAGCTTCTATCGTGAAACAAATTATACTACCTAGAAAACCTAAAAGATGTAAGGCCATATGCAAAAATTAAATTGCTGTTAATTTAACGGTCACATAGCCTGTTGAATTATGTCTAAATTAAGACTACTAGCTCTTAACACAAAGCAATTAAAAAGAAAAGTTGATGGAAATGTTGCAGGTGGTTAGGCTTTTATTCTGAGAGAGCTGGCTTTTTAAAAGGCTTTCAGGTGATTGAAGGAATTTCATTTTCATGCTTTCTGAATGGAAATTATCATTAAAATCTGTGATGCAAATAAGCAATAGTTAATGCTAGTGTATTTGTTCCTTCCAAGGCTGCACTTTGTGTGACTGTAACATCATTAATTTATTAAAGTTTGAAAATCAACTTAGTCACCGGACACTGTCATTTAAAAGGTACTTATGGAAACTGACATTAAAATAGCAGGGGAGACTATTATCTAAATAATGTAATTGTGGGTATTTTACTCAGATAAGACTGATCCAAGAGGTGGAACTCAAAGCTTCAGCTGCCGATAGAGAAATATACTTACTTAGAACTTCCCTTCATCGAGAAAGAGAACAAGCGCAACAACTTCATCAACTTCTTGCATTGAAAGAACAGGAACACAGGTAAATGAAAAATGTATCAGGAATGTATTGGCATTTAAAAAAAGAAAAAGAAAGCTACTGGTTCCCCACTACCAGTATTTTTTTTTTTTTTTTTTGAGACGGAGTCTTGCTCTGTCGTCCAGGCTGGAGTGCAATGGCGCAATCTCGGCTCACTGCAAGCTCTGCCTCCCGAGTTCACGCCATTCTCCTGCCTCAGCCTCCCGAGTAGCTGGGACTACAGGCGCCCGCCACCATGCTGGCTAATTTTTTTTTTTTTTGTATTTTTAGTAGAGATGGGGTTTCACCATGTTAACCAGGATGGTCTCGATCTCCTGACCTCATGATCTGCCCCACTCGGCCTCCCAAAGTGCTGAGATTACAGGCATGAGCCACCGCGCCTGGCCCCCACCACCAGTATTTAAAGATAGTGATTGAGCATTGGTGAAGTCTGACAGAATTAGTTAGTGGAAAATGCCGTGTTCATGTATGTATACATTAGAATCAGCCCTATAGCAAGAACTAGTAGCTAAAAAATGAATAGTTGCCTTTGTTATCAGCATTTGAGGTATAGGTTTATAACAATATAGCTTATTGTTCATTTCTTCAAACCCAGCCAAAAGTTGGTCTTTATATAGAGAGAAAATTTTTAATTGACCCCCAAGTTAATTAATTAGTAAATTAATCAGTATTCTTTATTCCTCTGAAGGAGGGGTCAGTGAACTTTTTCTGTAAAGGGTCACATAGAAAATATTTCAGGCTCTGCAGGCCATACCTAACTTTGCCTTTGTAGCACAAAAGTAGCCATAGATAATACATAAATGAACGGCATGGCTGTGTTCCAATAAAAGTGTATTTACAAAGAAAAAGGCAGTAGGTCACATTTGGCTGATGGGCTGTAGTTTCTCAACTCTTGCTCTACAGAATCTGTAATAATTTCAACATTTTCAGTTTATCTATTTCAGTTATCTATTTACTATCCTACCAGTGAAATTGTATGATTATCATATGTTAATTGTATTTATTCCGAAACCTGTTTTGTTTTGTGTCTACATAAATTTTGGTGCTCTGGGGAAAATTGTTATCTTGTATAGATGAGACAATTATAAAAGATTGGGGGAAAATAATCACAAAAATCTAGAATTTTGTACTTTGTTTCCTTTACAGGAATTTTGTACTTAGTTTCCTTTACTTAGTTTCATTCCAGTTTAAAGAAACCAAAAACTGGAAATAATGGGTTTCACATTATGAGTTTGAGTAATGCAAGAAAAGTAGTGGAGAACCGTAAAGAATGAACTAACTGGCCCAATATCAAAAGATTAGTAAATAATTTTACACTTTAACTGACTTTTTCTATTAACAAACCACCAGTGCTAATCAGACTGTATTTATTGCAAGTCAAAGACTCGGCCAAAGTAGTAGATACAGTGAAGCATCTTATGCAAATGCATCTGAAGAATTTCTGAAGCCATAGAATGATTCTGAACTATCTCATGAAGTTAAGATTTGACATACTTCCCTTATCTCCATCACTATTAAATACACAATCAAATAAAACTCATATTATTTGTACCTATCTATGCCCAATTACTGCGTTTGAAAGTGAGAGGCTGATACTGAATTAACAATACTGAATATAGAATATTAAGAACTACGTAAAGACCTTTAAAATGTTTCTTTTCAGGTGAGTATCATCCTTTTATCTTTATATGTTTTTCACTCCAGGAAGGAACTTGAAACAAGGGAGTTTTTTACTGATGCTGACTTCCAGGATGCCTTAGCTAAAGAAATAGCCAAAGAAGAGAAAAAGCATGAGCAAATGATAAAAGAATACCAAGAGAAAATTGACGTGTTAAGCCAGCAGTATATGGATTTAGAAAATGAATTCCGTATTGCTTTAACTGTTGAAGCCAGAAGATTTCAAGATGTAAGAATTGGCACCCAGCTTTTTATTGAAAACAGAATCAGTAAGATATGGTTTGATGAGAGGACTTGTTTTAGAAACATAGCTGTATTAAATGTTGGCTTCATAATCTTAAGTAAAATATATAAATTCTTAGAGGCCTTAGTTTCCTCAAATAAATAATAGCTACTATTTACTGCTCTTGCAAAAACTAAGTAAGATTATAAATGTTATAGAGCACTGGAATAGGAATCTGAGAACCTGAATTCCCTCCTATTACTGTAGAGCAGGGATTGGCAAAACTAAAGCCCCCAGGCCAAATATGGCCCACTGCCTATTTCTCTTTAAAGTAAAGCTTTTTTGGAACAGAGCCATGCTCATTTTTTACATATTATCTATGGCTGCTTTTCCATTACAAAAGCACAGTTGAGTACTTTCTTTTTTTTTTTTTTTTTTTTTTTTTTTTGTTTCAGATAGAGTCTCGCTCTGTTGCCCAGGCTGGAATGGTGCAGTGGCATGATCTTGGCTCACTCCAATTTCTGCCTCCCAGATTCAAGCAGTTCTGCTGTCTCAGCCTCCCAAGTAGCTGGGACTACAGTCACAGGCCACCACGCCCGCCTAATTTTTGTATTTTTAGTAGAGACAGGATTTCATCATGTTGGTCAGGCTGGTCTCGAACTCCTGATCTCAGATGATCCGCCTGCCTCGGCCTCCCAAAGTCCTGGGATTACAGGCGTGAGCCACTGTGCCCAGCCGTAGTTGAGTACTTTCAACAGAGTTCATATGGCCTGGCCTGTATAGCCTAACAGTTTACTGTCTGGTACTTTCTAGAAAAAGTTTGGTAACCCCTGCTATAGAGGAATAATTGTGCTCCTCTGACCAGTCCCACCAAACGTATAGTAGATCCCATTTCCTCTTGCCTACTTAAAGATATGGCTTCAGTAAGTCTTCTTTCTTACTCTCTTACATCTTCAGTTTTTCCGCTATATTGGATCATTCCCTTCAGCATACAAACATGCTGTGATTTCTCTTATCTTAAGAAAACTCTCTTGATTCCATTTCTTCCTTTGACTACTATGTTGTTTCTCTGCTTCCATTTACAACAGAACATATCAAAATTGTGCATTTGCTGTCTTTGATTTCTCTACTTCTCTCTTCTCCAACCTGCTCTCATCTGGCTTTTATCTCTATTGCTCTACTAGCATTGCGCTATCAAAGCCACCAGCAATATCCACACTATGAAAGTTGTGAGTCAAATTTGTCCTCATCTGATTTGACCTAGGTGCAGGATTAGACAGGGTTGATAGCTTTCTCCTCTTCCATACTCTTTCTTTGCTTGGTTTCCAGCACACTGCATTTCTTGGTTTTCTTGGCTTTCCATTACGTCACTTCTTTTCAGTCTCTTTGTTTCTCTTTTGTCCACAGTTTCATTATTGCAGTGCCCAAGTTTTCAGCCCTTAAATTCCTTTTCTTTTCTATACACACTCATTCTCTTGGTAAACTCCTCTAGCATCATTATATCTCCAGCCTGGACGTTTTGCAAGAATTTTAAACTTCTATGTCTAACCACCTATTTAACATATTCTACTTCACTGCTAATTTTACCCCCAAACCTTCTACTTTGACATTTCTCCTGTCCCAGTTAAAGACAACTCCATCCTTCTAGGTGCTTAAGCCAAAAACAAAGTCATTGTTGATTACTCTTTCTGTGACACTACACATTCAGTACCTCAAGAGATTCTGTCACCCTTATTTAAAAAATATACATGTGGCCATTTCTTACCACCTCTAACACAGCCACTCTGGTATGTCACAGTATCTTGTATTATATTAAGAGCTTTCAAGTTAATCTTCCTGCCTCTATCCTTCCCCTACCCCCCTCTGTTTATGCCAAACACAGCAGCTAGAATGTTCTTTTAAAATACATGTTTGGTAATATGACTCCTCTCTTCAAAGACCTCCATTGTCCCTTCATTTTATTCAGAGTAGTGGTCAAAACACTTCACAATCTAACCCTCTGAGTTCATCTCCTACTACCTTCCCCTTCATTTACACCACTCCAGTGACAACAGCCTTCTTCCTATTCCTCCAATGTATCAGGCACATTCCTGCCTAGAACACTCCTTTCCCACACATTTGCATGGCTCCATTCCCTACCTCCTTCCAGTCATTGCTCCATTGTTGCATTCTCAGTGATTATGCCAGTTAAAATTGAACCCACATCTCCCAACACTTCACACACTTCACATCCTTCTAACCTTTTACCCAAGCATATAGTATCATCTAACATGTTGTATAATTTATTATGCTTGTTGTTATATTGTCAGTGCCTGCCACCTAGAATTTAAGCTTTACAAAAGCAAAGATTTTATTCTGTGGTATTCACTGATGCATTTCAGTGCTAGAGCAATATCTGGCCACCCAGGCTGGAGTGCAGTGGTGCTATCTCGGCTCACTGCAGCCTCCTCCTCCCGGGTTCAAGTGATTCTCCTGCCTCAGCCTCCCAAGTAGCTGGGATTTTACAGGTGTGCACCACCACACCCGGCTAATTTTTGTATTTTTAGTAGAGATAGGGTTTTACCATTTTGGCCAGGCTGGTCTCAAACTTCTGACCTCAAGTGATCTGCCCTCCTTGGCCTCCCAAAGTGCTGAGATTACAGGCATCAGCCACCGCGCCCAGCCCAAATAAATGATTTCTGGCTTTAGATTTGTCACTAATTCCCTGGGTCACTTTAGGCAAATATATAATCATCATCCTGGATCTCTGTTTCATCATCTGGAAATTACTAGATTGAAACAGATTATCTTTAAATCTTATTCTTTTGCTAAAACTGTGATACTATTTCCAGAAGCAAATATTTTCTAATTATTTGGAGAACTGCTATTTATAATACAATTTTGGAATATAGGTTAAAGATGGTTTTGAAAATGTTGCAACTGAGTTAGCAAAGAGCAAACATGCTCTTATTTGGGCTCAACGAAAAGAAAATGAGTCTTCCTCTTTAATTAAAGATCTGACCTGTATGGTAAAGGAACAAAAAACAAAACTGGCAGAAGTTTCTAAATTGAAACAAGAAACAGCAGCAAATTTACAGGTAAGACTTTGCAACATTATATGTTTTAAAATTTTTTTACATTATTTTCTCAAGTGGGTTGTGATAAATTTAGGAAGTACACGAAAGGAACTTTTAAATGATACTAATTATATATTGCATATAAGAAAAATAGTATAACTAAAGAAATTAAGCTCATGATTTCACAAATTGTATTGCTCATGAGATAGCAATTAGGTAAAATAAGTAAATTAGTTTTAAGAAACATGTTCAATTAAATAGGTGCCAGTAGTATAGTGATACAACAAAAATTGTGGAAGTGATACTCAAATGGTTAAAGTTTGGGAAGCACCACTTGGATTGCTGGTATTAATTTTGTGGTGGTGATGCTGGTGGTTTTAGATATACTTAGATGTAATAATCATTAAATTAATGTCTTTATTGCTGTTGTCTCAATTTTAAACATTAATGCTATTTTACCCAAAATTTGTTTCTGGAAAATGACCTTTAACACTATTGATATAAATGCTCGTGAAAAATTTTGAGTATTACAGGTATAGTTTCTCTTTAACAATTTTAGAATAAAATTCAGATTGTTTAAAGGAGTGGTATCTTAAATTCGACTGTTTATTTCATGACCTACATTTGTCTTTAGTAAAACTAAAACTTCTGATGTAAAATTTGGTAATATTTACTTGTATTTGCTTAAATAACATTTTTTCTCATTATAAGATGGAAAAAATAGAAAATAAAGCACTTAATATAATAATTCTTATTTTTTTTTTTGGGAATATACAGAATCAAATCAACACCCTTGAAATTTTAATTGAAGATGACAAGCAGAAGAGTATTCAAATAGAACTTCTCAAGCACGAAAAAGTCCAGCTTATTTCTGAGCTAGCAGCCAAGGAATCACTAATATTTGGTTTAAGGACAGAAAGAAAAGTATGGGGACATGAGCTGGCACAACAAGGTAAAATTCTCAGATTTTCAAAGGGAAAATAGCTTATTCTTATAAATGAGCAAATCTGGGTATTGGAGAGAAAAAGACTCAACTCTGCCTAAAGATGCCAAGAAAAAAGGTGACCCTTTATCTGGAAGGATAAGTAGGCATTTGCCAGCTACAGGGGAATGAAGACCTCTTAGGAAATGAGAAATAGTTTATTACACCAATGAAGAAGTTATGGCTCTGGTTTTTTAAATTTTGTTTCCCATGATAATTTGACTACTATTCTGAACCATGGGTGCTTTTACAAATCAGCATCTGAATATATTGTTAAAAATAATTCTTTTTTTTTTTTGAGACAGAGTTTTGCTCTCGTTGCCCAGGCTGGAGTGCAGTAGCGCAGTCTCGGCTTACTGCAACCTCTGCCTTCTGGGTTCAAGTGATTCTCCTGCCTCAGCCTCCCGAGTAGCTGGGATTACAGCCATGTGCCGCCACACCTGGCTAATTTTTGTATTTTTAGTATAGACGGGGTTTAACCATGTTGGCCAGGCTGGTCTCAAACTCCTGACCTCAGGTGATCCGCCCACCTTGGCCTCCCAAAGTGCTGGGATTACAGGCGTGACCCACCGTACCCGGCCAAAAGTAATTCTTATACAGTGATTTTAAGTTATTTGTACAGTATACACATTTAATTTTCTTTTCTGATATATGCAACATTTATTGTGCATGCACAAATTAAAATATTATATAAATGAAAACTATTTTTTAGTAAATCCTCAGTTTCATTCCCTTTCCAATCATTGTAAAGCAAGAGATATATACTGGTTTCTTTTGTTTTGTTTTGTTTTGTTTGCATTCACAGATACCTTTAAAATTATGAATAGCTAGATATTTGGTCTTTTTCTTTTGAGACAAGTCTCACTCTGTTGCCCAGGCTGAAGTGCAGTGGTGTGATCTCGGCTCACTACAACTCCACCTCCCGGGTTCAAGCAATTCTCCTGCCTCATCCTCCCCAATAGCTGGGATTACAGGCATGAGCCACTATGCCCGGCTAATTTTTTTGTATTTTTAGTAGAGACAGGGTTTCACCATGTTGGCCAGGCTGGTTTCAAACTCCTGACCTCAAGTGATCTGCCCACCTCAGCTTCCTAAAGTGCTAGGATTACAGGAGTGAGCAGCTGCACCCAGCCAAGATATTTGGTCTTAATGGAGCATTCCTTATTTGTTCATTCTCTGTAGGAATTTTTAATATGCTCTTGTTTGTTTGAATGTCATAACATGAATTAATATTACATATCTGAGTTACTTGTTCTCAACTTTATTTGTGGTTTCAGGTTTTGAAATAACCACAAGTGTTTAAGAGGCCTTTTTGTTTGCTTCCCCTTTCCTCTTCATATTGTACTATTATAAGCTATGTTTCTTTATTTAGTTTTTTTATTATTATTATATTACAGTTTGTTAGAGTTTAATAAGATACAAACCCCCAAGGTGTTTCAAAGTATGTAATTGATGATTTTTGTTTCTTAGGATCTTCTCTAGCCCAAAATCGTGGAAAATTGGAGGCTCAAATTGAGAGTTTATCTAGAGAGAATGAATGTCTGCGAAAGACAAATGAAAGTGATAGTGATGCATTAAGAATAAAGTGCAAAATCATAGACGACCAAACTGAAACTATTAGAAAATTAAAAGATGTAAGTTTGACATTTTATTTTGGTTAAAGAGCAAATGGCAGGTTTGCAAATCTTTGGATCAAAGTATCCAAAAGCTGTTTTTCAGTGTTTTCCAACTGTTGTAAAATTTGGGGTAGATATCATGCATTTCTTTTTATAATATTTGCCCTTTTGCTCTTAAAAAGTTCTACATGATATTTATTAATTTGGAATGAACTTTATACTTCAGAATTTAATGGAGAATCTTATTATGGCCTTTGGAATAACTGGAAATACCCAATGTCAATTAAGGGTTAGGAGTCACAAGAAAATGAACATTTTATATGTTTAAAATATTATTTTAAAGGATAAATTAAACCATATCTAATTAACCAGAATATGAAGCATTTAAAGTTAATAAAAACAAAGTGCCAATTTTTTTCTTAAAGTGTTTACAAGAAAAAGATGAACACATCAAAAGATTACAAGAAAAGATCACAGAAATAGAAAAATGCACTCAAGAACAACTTGATGAAAAATCTTCACAACTGGATGAGGTACTTGAGAAGTTGGAAAGGCACAATGAAAGAAAAGAAAAACTAAAACAACAGTTGAAAGGAAAGGAAGTAGAACTTGAAGAAATCAGAAAAGCTTACAGGTATTATATAGTACAGTATTTCCCACTGAGAAATAAAATGTGGCTTAATAATTTAATAAACCCAATTTATTTTTCAAATTACTTCTCATATTAGTACACTGAATCGGAAGTGGCATGATAAAGGAGAACTTCTATGTCATCTTGAAACACAAGTAAAAGAAGTGAAAGAAAAATTTGAAAACAAGGAAAAGAAACTTAAAGCGGAAAGAGACAAAAGTATTGAACTACAAAAGTAAGCATTAGGTTCTAAAGGATTTGAGATCTCCTTAATCGTAAACACTGTGGAATGGGTGAAATACGTATAAAGAGAGGAGGGCTAAAAATCATGTAAGACATAGTTATTTGCCAAGAAGTTTATTTCCATTTCATCTGTAAAATGAAGATAGCAGTAGCACCTACCTTAAATGTTAGATAAGAGGTTGACATTTGATATATATGTGTGTATTTATGAATAGATGTGGCTTATATGAATTATCTAGTTCTTAGAACAGTGCCTGACACATAAGAATTGCTATATGAGGCTGCACACGGTGGCTCACGCCTGCAATCCCAGCGCTTTGGGAGGCCGAGGTGGGTGGATCACCTGAGATTAGGAGTTCAAGACTAGCCTGGCCAACACGATGAAACCCCATCTCTACTAAAAATAGAAAAAATTAGCCAGGCGTGGTGGCAAGCGCCTGTAATCCCAGCTACTCAGGAGGCTGAGGCCAGAGAATCACTTGAAGCCAGGAGGCGGAGGTTGCAGTGAGCTGAGATCACACCATTGCACTCCAGCCTGGGCAACAAGAGCGAAACTTTGTCTCAAAAAGAAAAAAAAAAGAATTGCTATATGAACATTTTGTTTTTATTACGATGAGCATTTTAAACTGTGTTTGAATGAAAGCAGCTAGTGATATTTTAGTTGTTGAAAGTGGAATTTAGAGGAGACTGCCAGTTGACTACCAGGGTCAATGAGCTCCTGAGGAGGCTGGAGCACATTTAGATAGCAGTTGCCAGCACAAGCTGAGGATGAGAGCCAATTTTTTTGTTTGTTTTTCCGAGACTGAGTTTCATTCTTATTGCCCAGGCTGGAGTGCAATGGCACGATCTGGGCTCACTGCAACTTCCACCTCCTGGGTTCAAGCGATTCTCCTGCCTCAGCCTCCCGAGTAGCTGGGATTACAGGCATGCACCACAACGCCCAGCTAATTTTTTGTATTTTTAGTAGAGACTGAGTTTCACCATGTTGGCCAGTCTGGTCTCGAACTCCTGACCTCAGGTGATCCACCCGCCTCGGCCTGCCAAAGTGCTGGGATTACAGGGGTGAGCCACCACGCCCGGCCGAGAGCCGATTTTAAAGAGAGGAAATAAAATGTGTACCTGGCTGCCACTGTTCTGTGGGTTCCATAAAATGCTCAAGAGGAAATAAGGTTTTACTGTGTTAAAAAATATAACTAGACTTGTTAAAAATAAGTTATAAAGTTGGAACCTTCAGAATTAAGTAGCACAGCTTAATGATTAATTCTCGTGTGAAGATAGAGTGATACAGATAACATGGCTATCTATGGATAGCCCAAAAATCTCACTTAAAGATAGGTTCTAATTATGTCAAATCTAATGTAACCTGGAATTTGATTTCTTGTTTTGACTCAGTCTAATGGGAAAGTGTTGTTACACTGCAGAAAGTTTTGGTTGATAGCACAGTTGTTTTCTGTTGATAGATTCTGTTCCACTTTGCTTTCAACCAAGTACTAATACAAGAACTTTGGCTTGGAATCTGTTGCAATTTTTTATCCTGCCAGTAACAAATTTACAATTAGGAGTCTTTGAGATTCTAAAAGAAAGTCATATTCTATAATTAGCCAAAAAAAACTAATAAAAATTATAAAACCTAACAATCTTCAGACTTTTCCATTGCATTATTCATTATACCGTTAATATAAAAATGCAGACCTGATTTTATACATGAATTGTCTTTATGACTAAGACTGGTATACTTTTTAATTTAAGGGAATTGTAATAAAATAAGCCAATTATTATAAATAATAACAGGTTTTACTTGTATAGCTTTTTAAAATTTATAGGTTGATTTCTTCTATCTTATTTTGAACCCAACAGTAATCCTGTAAGGTTGGCAGAACAGTCCTGTTTTATAGTTGAAAAACTCAGCTTGTGACTTGCCACTAGTCACTTGGCTACTAAGTCATACAATTTTAAAAAGGCTTTTGATGCATGTTCCTTATGTTTAATCTGTTATTACTGATTGCTGTACTAAAACCAGAAAATGTGCTCTTTTTATGAATGTTACTTTTTAAATAGTATTATTTGTATTTATATAAAGGAATTGTTTTACCTCCAGGATACTTTTAGTATGAAAATTTTGTGAATACCATTTAATGTGTTTCGTCCACTAAGCATTACCATAAGGAAGTCAAAAATACATATTCATAAACTTAAACCATCTGTAGTATGCACTTCTCAAATTATCACATTGAAAACATGGAGAAAAAAGATTGGTAGTAGTCATCATCTGTGAAGGTGCTTATAAACTATACCCTTAAGCCAAATGGTGGCTCACCTCTGTAATCCCAGTACTTTGGGAGGCCGAGGCGGGCAGATCACTTTAGACCAGGAGTTCAAGACCAGCCTATCCAACGTAGTGAAACCCTGTCTCTACTAAAAATACAGAAAATTAGCTGGGCCATGGTGGTGCACATCCTGTAATCTTAGTTACTTGGGAGGCTGAAGCATGAGAATCACTTGAACCTGGGAGCCAGAGGTTGCCTTGAGCCATGATCATGCCACTGCACTCCAGCCTGAGTGACACAGCCAGACCCTGTCTCAAAAATAAAATAAAAAACTATACTCCTAGACTCAAAATAAATGGGGAAACAGAGTACTCTAACTTTCAGAAAATGAAAGTGTAAAAAACATTAGTGATATATTATCCTAACCTAATGTTATCCTAATAGATTCTGCTGGATGATGAACTACTTACTTATATCTTTAGTTACCCTATAATAGCCTTTGATATTTTCATAATACTGAGTTATGTTTCCATTAGTATGAATGTGAGCCACCCGAGAAGAAATAACATCCTAATCTTTACATTCACACCACATATACACATATATATGTGGATGTTCTTGTTTTTTTAAGGAATGCAATGGAAAAACTTCATAGTATGGATGATGCCTTTAAAAGACAAGTTGATGCAATTGTTGAAGCTCATCAAGCTGAAATAGCACAGCTGGCCAATGAAAAGCAGAAGTGTATTGATTCTGCAAATTTAAAGGTATTGTAAGTAAAATTCACTTCAATAATCAGTATATTACATGATTATAGCTAAATAAATTAGATCTTCGAGAATTATAAAGAGAAAAGGCAACATGATCTCATGACCAAATAGATATAAAGAATGTTACCAAAACTATCCTAAAACCAGGGTAAAACGTTGGTAATACTTAGATTAATTGTAGAACATAATTCTAATTTCTAAGCAAAACTTGTACATTTGATTCTAGTGTGTACTTTCTCTGCTCTCTGGATAAAAATTTCATATCTAACTAATCTTGGATAGGAGTCTCTTTGGTTACACATAGGCAGGGTGAGAATCTGAAGGTATTAAACATAATCCATCACCACCTTGGAAAAAGTTATCAGAGTATTAGGGTTCAAGACTATCAACTTTATTATCTCAATATTATTAATAAAGTAATGAGTTTAGAGTAATGCTAAATCAGAGGGAAACATCAGAAGCACCTATGAAGCTTTTTAATAATACACATTCAGGCCGGGCGCAGTGGCTCACGCAAGTAATCCCAGCACTTTGGGAGGCCAAGGCGGGTGGATCATGAGGTTAGGAGATCAAGACCACCCTGGCCAACATGGTGAAACCCCTTCTCTACTAAAAATACAAAAATTAGCTGGGCGTGGTGGTGAGCACCTGTAATTCCAGCTACTCGGGAGGCTGAGGTAGGAGAATGGCTTGAACCCGGAGGTGGAGGTTGCAGTGAGCCGAGATTGCGCCACTGCACTCCAGCCTAGTGACAAAGCAAGATTCTGTCTCAAAGAAAAAAAACACCATATTCATGAACTTCCCCTCAGAGACTCATTCACTAAGTCTGGAGTCAGACTCAGGTATTTTTTTAATTCCACAGGTGATTCTTATGTGACCTCTCTGGTGAGATAATATGAATTTCCATTTTTTCCTGCTTCTGAAGTGGTAATAAGAAACTAAGGTATCTGTAAAACTAGAGATGCAGAAATCAGCAACTATAAAAGAGTTCACCAACAGAAAGGCAAAGTAATGCTCCATATAGAAATTATATGGCTGGGCACAGTGGCTCAAGCCTGTAATCCCAGCGGAGGCCGAGGCTGGTGGATCAGTTGAGCTAAGGAATTCAAGACCAGCCTGGCCAACAAGGTGAAACCCCATCTCCACTAAAAATACAAAAATTAGCTGGGTGTGGTGGCGCATGCCTGTAGTCACAGCTATTTGGGAGGCTGAGGTCACAGGATCACTTGAGCCCTGGAGGCAGAGGTTTCAGTGCACCAAGATTGTGTCACGTTGCACTCTAGCCTGGACTACGGAGCGAGACCCTGTCTCAAAAAAAAAAAAAAAAGAAAAGAAAAGAAAAATTATAATCAAGGTTGTGTGTTTAAATGACATTATCCTCAGGACTCTGTGCAAAGAAAAAGAGGGAGTGAGGTCTTTGGAAATAATCACAATGAGTAAGAATATAACTTGTCCAAAATTCAGTGTTTTGTTTCAGGTGAACAGATGTTCCAAATATTTTACTTAAAAACTACCAAATGCAGGCTGGGTGCAGTGTCTCATGCCTGTAAGCCCAGCACTTTGGGAGGCTGAGGCGGCTGGATCACCTGAGGTTGGGAGTTCGAGACTAGCCTGACCAACATGGAGAAACCTCATCTCTACTAAAAATACAATTAGCTGGGCATGGTGGCACATGCCTGTAATCCAGCTACTTGGGAGGCTAAGGCAGGAGAATTGCTTGAACCCAGGAGGCAGAATTGGTGGTGAGCTGAGATCACACCATTGCACTCCAGCCTGGGCAACAAGAGTGAAACTCTGTCTCAAAAAAAAAAAAGGCTACCAAATTTAGGCTGGGCATGGAGGCTTACACCTGTAATCCCAACACTTATTAGGAGGTTGAGGTTGAGGTGGAAGGATCACTCAAGACCAGGAGTTCAAGACCAGCCTGGGCAACATAGCAAGACCTTGTCGCTACAAAAAAATGTGTTAATTAGCCTGGCATGGTGGTACACGCCTGTAGACCTGTCTCCTCAGGAGGCTGAGATGGGAGGATTGCTTGAACCCAGGAGTTCGGGACTATGGTGAGCTGTGATCATACCACTGCACTGCAGCCTGGGTGACAACAATATCCTATCTCAAAATTTTAAAAACCTACCAAGTGTTTAACAAGGGTACATCAGGTAATACTAAATAAGGTTTAAACCTTAAATAAGGTTACAGGTAATACTAAATAAGTTAATAGTAATGTTTAAGTATTAACCTTAATACTAAATAAGTTTAAGGTTTAAACACTTAAGGGAAGTGTTTGAAGTAATATCAAAGGAAAGAGTTTTAGAAATAGCACTAGAGCTTAAATATGATAATTAGGTTTGCAGGCAGGGGATTATGAGGTATCACATAATAGTGATTATTTAAATTGGGAGAAATATTAGTTTTCTAAGGGAAAAGAGATTGAGAGATCTATATTAGGGTTTAGGAAGCATGAAGTAAACAGAAAAATGGTCATATTGGTAACATTATCAGAAGTGTTACGATATCGTAGGAAAGACAATTTCAATTAGAAGTTAACAATATCAACTACAGCAACTCCTAGGAGAATGTAGGTTAGGAATAAATGATAAAATGATCTCTCAAAAAGATGGTAATATATAACCACCAACAGTGTTTTTAGAAAAGCTGTAGGCACTACATTAAAGATAGGGTTTCTTTGGGGAGGGAGGTTATTTCAGTTTTAAAAATCTATAAGGAACTGGTGTTTAAGCTGAACTTGTGACTCAGCATTGATAAGCAGTATAGGACTGTAGACAGATTAACCAAAAGCATGGGATTCTCTGTCCTAGCTATGATATATAGAAACTGTACAACTATAAACAGATTTTCTAAGCTCTAAAATAGAGTTAAAATGTGTGTGTGTGTGTGTGTGTGTGTATGTGTGTGTGTGTGTGTATATATATATATATATATATATATATATATTTTTTTTTTTTTTGAGATGGAGTTTCACTCTTGTTCTGGCTGGAGTGCAATGGCACTATCTTGCCTTACTGCAACCTCCACCTCCTGGGTTCAAGTGACTCCTCCCTCAGCTTCCTGAGTAGCTGGGTACAGTTGTGTACCACCACACCTGGCTAATTTTGTATTTTTAGCAAAGGCAGGGTTTCTCCATGTTGGCCAGGCTGGTCTTAAACTCCTGACCTCAAGTGATCTGCCCACTTCGGCCTCCCAAAGTGCTGGGATTACAGGTGTGAGCCACCACACCCGGCCAAGTTAAAATATATTGCCATGTCTTGGCCAGGCGTAGTGGCTCACACCTGTAATCCCAGCACTTTGGGAGGCCGAGGTGGGCGGATCATGAGGTCAGGAGATCGAGACCATCCTGGCTAACACAGTGAAACCCCATCTCTACTAAAAATAAAAAAAAAATAAAAAAGTTAGCCGGGCATGGTAGCGGGCACCTGTAGTCCCAACTGCTTGGGAGGCTGAGGCAGGAGAATAGCGTGAACCCAGGAGGCGGAGCTTGCAGTGAGCTGAGATCGCACCACTGCACTCCAGCCTGGGCGACAGAGCAAGACTCCATCTCAAAAAATAAATAAATAAATGCATATAAATATATGTGTGTATATATATATATATATAGCCATGTCTTTTTCACAAGTTTATGAAAACTAAGTAGATAATATATTAATGCATGAAAGTACTTTGTATACTGTATAAATACTGTATTTTTCCTATTAGCATTTGAGCAAGTTACATTTTACTGACATTTCTTTAAATACATCACAAATTTCAAAATGTGTAAGAATAAATTTTGGACCTTTTCTTTCAGAATGCATTTTAAAAATACATTTTCTTTAAGAAATTAAAATGTAAAATTTACATGTCGATTTAGGTCCATCAAATTGAAAAAGAAATGCGTGAACTTTTGGAAGAAACATGCAAGAACAAAAAAACAATGGAAGCAAAAATTAAGCAACTTGCTTTTGCTTTAAATGAAATTCAGCAAGATATGTGATGGTTCTGAGAATGAATTTAATTGAAATAGACCAGCAGACCTATTGTAAAAATGATTAAATATTGTAATAGTAGTAACTGCTATGACTTTGAAATGTCTCTTTCTATACATTTCATTATGAATATATTTTTAAAGACTTTTGATCAAGTATTTATTAATTGTATAGGTTTTTTATAATAAATTGTTGACAATTTTGTCTATTAGAAAAAACTATCATAACTAGACTTACAATATTTTTCTTGTTTCTGTACTATACATTGTTTGGTAATTACACATTTGCCTACAAATTTGTGAATGAAAAGATTAGTATTTTCACCATATGAGGTAAAACATTTTAATCATTGTTATCTTATTGTGATGATGAAGAACTAATTATATTTGTTATTTAATTGATGTAGCTCAATTCTTTTAAAGTACTTATGTAGCCAAAAAGCATTTGAAATCTGTATGATAAAAGATGTGGCATTCTTAAGAAAGTATATGTAGCCATCTCCACATCACTCATTATGACCCCTTCTTTTATAATGCTTATATCTTTTCATTAAAGATTACATTTAAGGTTTTATAAATATTGTCTGTTCCTGAAGAGGAACACCACTGTTCCACCTTCATTCTCCCTTCTAATAACTGTATATGAAGAAATTCTGATAATGTAACTGGAAGCAGTAATTCATTTCATTCCATACCAGGTCATTACTGTATTACTGTTTCACTTTTGTCACATCATATGCTAGTATGCAGAACAAAAGTCTTAAGTACTATGCCCCTCTTCTATTTCTGAAAGGAAGAAAATATATATTTTCTTGATATCAGTACTGAACTAAGATTTTAAAAGTAAATAGAACAAAAATAATTTAAGTGCTTCATAAAGAGAAGGCCCCATTTCATTATAGATAATCTTTGTGTTGAAATTTGTGAGACAACATCAAACATAACAACATGTATAATGGGAGTCTTAGAAGGGGGGTAAATATTTGGAGAAGTAATGGCTGAAAACTCCCTCAATTTGATTTAAAATACCCTACATGGCTGGGTGCAGTGGCTTATGCCTGTAATTCCAGCACTTTGGAAGACTGAGCCAGGAGAACTGTTTGAGCCCAGGAGTTAAAACACTAGCCTGGGCAACATAGTGAGCCCTGTCTCTTAAAGCACAAACAAATTAAAAGAACTACAAATACAAGGTTTCAGTAAAGCCTGGGGTAAACATAGAATGACATCTAGACATGTTTTATAGTGAAACTGTTAGGGAAGCTCTTGAAAGGAGCAAGAAAATATTCTCATATAGAGGAACAACAGGTTAACAGCTGACTCATCAGAAACAATGGAGGCCAGAAGGCAGTGGCAATATATTTGACATGCTGAAAGAAAAGGAACTGTCAATCTAGAATTCTACATCTAGCAAAACTGTTCTTCAAAGTAAATGCAAAATAAAGACATTTTCAGATTAATAAAGACCAAGAAAGTGTATTGATAGCCAGCCTGCCTTAAAGCTGAAGAAAACCTAAAGGCTTCAAAGAAATGATACCAGAAAGTGACTCAAATCCATTGAAAGAAATTAGTATTATAAAAAGTAAAATTTGTGGATAAATTTTTACATAAAAGACTAAATGTATTTTTCTTCTTTTAGCTAGAAGACACAAAGAAATAATAACTATTGTTGAATTTATAAAATATGTAACATGACAAAAATGGCATAAAGTTGGGGGAAGAAAATAGAGCTATATTTTAGAAAAGTTTACCAGATGAAATTAGTATTAAAGATGGCTGCATTAAATTAAAATGCATATTGTCATCACTAGAACAGCCACTAAGAAAATAATACAGCTTAAAAATGAACACTGGAGATTCCACTTCTGGAATAACTAAATAAGGACCTCTGCAGATCTGTTTCCCATCAAAACAACCATAACTGGTGAAAAGTACTTTAAAACAGCCATTTAAAATCACTGAGAATTGTCCTTAGGGTATACAGCAAAAGAAGAAACATTTATTCAAGAAAAATTTAAATTCAGTAAGAATGGCAAAAACCTGTGGCACTGAACCAAGATTATCTCTCACCCTCAGCTCAGCCTGATGGCAGCTCCACACTAGGTGGAGCTCCTGGCAAAGAAGATAAGATTTCCTCTCCACTAACAGTCAAATACGATATTTCACCAGCTGGGCAGGCTGTGAGCATTCCTTGTGTCTTTCAAAAAAGTTACAACAAAGGCTAAATTCCTGGTACACATAACAAAACTGTAGCGGGCTCTCTTCCTTCCTTCCATGCATAGGGCAGGCCAAGAGTACCAGAAGCCCAATTACCCTTTCCCCAACTCATAAGGTAAAGATATTTTATAATGGTAAAATGGTAATCCATCGGGAAGTTATAATCAGTGATACCTAACAAAAGAGCCCCAATATATATGAAGCAAAAACACACTTTAATGGAGAAATTGGTTATTAAACAATAATAGAGACAAGTACTCCACTTTCAATCATGGATAGAACAACTAAGCAGAAGATCGAGAAAATAAAAGATGTCAACACTATAAACCAACTAAGCCTAGCAGACATCTATACAACATTCTACTCAACAGCAGAATACTGCTACATCTGTCTCAAAAGCACATAGAACATTCTGCAGGATAGATAACATGCTAGGCCATGAAATGAACCTCTGTAAATTTTAAAGCATTGTGGTCATACAAAGCACGTTCTCTGACCACAAAGGACTGAAATTAGAATAACAACAACAACAAAAACTGGGAAATTTACAAATATGTGAAAATTTTAAAACACTTCTAAATAAGCAATGGGTCAAGTATGAAATCACAAAAGAAATTTAAAAATTGTTTAAGGCTGGCTGGGGGCAGGGGCTCACGTCCGTAATCCCAGCACTTTGGGAGGCTCAAGCAGGCAGATCAAGAGGTCAGGAGTTTGAGACTAGCCTGACCAACATGGTGAAACCCCATTTCTACTAAAAATACAAAAAGTAGCCGGGTGTGGTGATGCATGCCTGTAATCCCAGCTACTCAAGAGGCTGAGGCAGGAGAATAGCTTGAACTGGGTAGGCGGAGGTTGCATTGAGCTGAGATCGCACCACTGCACTCCAGCCTGGGCGACAGAGCGAGACTCCGTCTCAAAAAAAAAATTTAAGGCTGCCACCACTTCCAACACCCACATGGAGGCCGGCAGCCCCAGCTGGTCAGCACCCCACCACAGCCAACAACTATACACTCTGCTGTGCTGCCACTGCCACTGGCATGAACTAACAAGCATGGATCCCGCTGCCACCACTTGATAAAGTGCTTTGAAACCACCCTAAAGACTGTTGTGGCCAGCGGTCTGGGAACACCTTCGTACTTCCAGCATAGTGAGTTCACAAACTCAAAGGGCCAGAAAATAAAGGTGGAGGCCCAATACCAGCCCCTCAGACTTAGAAGAGCATGCAGCCCAGGAATACTCAGCTGAGTCCTGACCTCCCAAAAAATCTACCAGAAACAAAGCTAGTTGGCTGAACCCACCTTATACCACAATCAGACCCCCACCCCCAAGGATATCAAAGAAGATAAAAGCAAAACAAACAAGTCCCAACCAAAGGACAAGAATTTCAAAGACTGAAGGAACACCAGACCCCACAGATGAGAAAGAACCAAGAACTATGGCAACTCAAAAACCCAAAATGTCTTCCCTCCAAACAACAGCACTAGTTCCCCAACAATGGTTCTTAACTGAGCTGAAATGGCTGAAATGACAGAAATAGAGACTAGAGCATGGATTGGACTGAAGATCATCAACATTCAAGAGAAAGTTGAAATCCAATCAAGCATTATAAGGATTACAATAAAATGATATAGGAAATAAAAGCCAAAATCACCATTCTGAGACAGAACCTAACTGAGCTGATAGAACCGAAAAACTTACTTCAAGAATTTCACAGTTTAACTGCATATATTAATAGCAGAATCAACCAGGCTGAGGAAAGAATTCAAAGCTCAAAGGCCTGCTCTCCAAAATAGCTCAGTCAGACAAAAAGGAAGAAAACCAATGAAGAATGAACAAAACCTCTAAGAAATACGGGATTATGTAACAAAACCGAATCTATGACTCACTGGCATCCCTGAAAGACAGAGAAAGCAAACAACTTGGAAAACATATTTCAGCATATCCATGAAAATTTCACCAGCCTTGCTAGAGAAGCCAGCATTCAAATTCAGGAAATGCAGAGAACCCCTGCAAAATACTAAACAAGACCATCCCTAATACACAAAAGTCATCAGATTCTCCAAGGCCAAAATGAAAGAAAAAAGAGGCAGCTCAGGGGAAACCGCATCAGGCTAACAGCAGACCTTTCAGCAAAAACTCTACAAGCCAGAAGAGAATGGGGGCCTATATTCAGCATTTGTAAAGAAAACAATTTCCAGCAAGAATTTCATTTCCAACAAAACTAAGTTTCATAAGCAAAGGAGAAATAAGATTCTTTTCAGACAAGCAAGTGCTAAGTGACTGTGTTACCACCAGATCTGCATTACAAGCAGTCCTGAAGGGAGTACTAAACAATGTTAGGAAAGACCATTAACTAGACACCACAAAAACACACTGAAGTACATAGACCAGTGACACTCTAAAGCAACCACACAAACAAGTCTGTATAATAATCAGGTAACAAGATGATGACAGCAACAAATCCATGCATGTAAATACAAACTGAATGTAAATAGCTAAATGCCCCCAATCAAAAGGCACAGAGTGGGGGTCAGGGCATAGTAGAACAAAAGGCAGCAGACAGCTTCCACAGACTTAAACATCCCTGTCTGACAGCTCTGATGAGAGCAGTGGTTCTCTCAGCATGGCGTTCAAGCTCCAAAAATGGACAGTCTGCCTCCTCAAGAGAGTCCCTGACCCCCGTGTAGCCTGACTGGGAAACACCTCCCAGTAGGGACCGACAGACACCTCAAACAGGTGGGTGCCCTTCTGGGATGAAGCTTCCAGAGGAAGGATCAGGCAGCAATATTTGCTGTTCTGCAGCCTCTGCTGGTGATACCCAGGCAAACAGGGTCTGGAGTGGACCTCCAGCAAACTCCAACAGACCTGCAGCTAAGGGGTCTGACTGGTAGAAGGAAAACAAACAGAAAGGACTAGCATCAACATCAACAAAAAGGACACCCACACCAAAACCCCATCTGTAGGTCACCAATATCAAAGACCAAAGGTAGATAAAACCACAAAGATGGGGAGAAACCAGAGCAGAAAAGCTGAAAATTCCAAAAAACAGAGTGCCTCTTCTCCTCCAAAGGATCGCAGCTCCTCGCCAGCAAGGGAACAAAACTGGACACAGAATGAGTTTGACAAGTTGACAGAAGTAGGCTTCAGAAGGTCGGTAATAACAAACTTCTCAGAGCTAAAAGAGCATGTTCTAACCCATCACAAGGAAGCTAAAAACCTTGAAAAAAGTTTAGATGAATGGCTAACTAGAATAAACAGTGTAGAGAAGACCTTAAATGAACTGATGGAGCTGAAAACCATGGCACGAGAACTTCGTGATACATGCACAAGCTTCAATAGCCAATTTGATCAAGTGGAAGAAAGGATATCAGTGATTGAAGATCAAATTAATGAAATAAAGTGAGAAGACAAGATTAGAGAAAAAAGAATGAAAAGAAACGAACAAACCCTCCAAGAAATATGGGACTATGCGAAAAGACCAAGTCTATGTTTGAATGGTGTACCTGAAAGTGACAGGGAGAATGGAACCAAGCTGAAAAACACTCTTCAGGATACTATCCAGAAGAACTTCGCTAATCTAGCAAGGCAGGCCAACATTCAAATTCGGGAAATACAGAGAACACCACAAAGATACTCCTCGAGAAGAGCAACCCCAAGACACATAATTTTCAGACTCACCAAGGTTGAAATGAAGGAAAAAATGTTAAGGGCAGCCAGAGAGAAAGGTCAGGTTACCCACAAAGGGAAGCCCATCAGACTAACAGCAGATCTCTCAGCAGAAACCCTACAAGCCAGAAGAGAGTGGGGGCCAATATTCAACATTCTTAAAGAAAATAATTTTCAACCCAGAATCTTATATCCAGCCAAACTAAGCTTCCTAAGTGAAGGAGAAATAAAATCCTTTACAGACAAGCAAATGCTGAAAGATTTTGTTACCACCAGGCCTGCCTTACAAGAGCTCCTGAAGGAAGCACTAAACATGGAAAGGAACAACTGGTACCAGCCACTGCAAAAGCATGCCAAATGGCAAAGACCATCAATGCCATGAAGAAACTGCATCAATTAATGGGCAAAATAACCAGCTAACATCATAATAACAGGATCAAATTCAAACATAACAATATTAACCTTAAATGTAAATGGGTTAAATGCCCCAATTAAAAGACACAGACTGCCAACTTGGCTAAAGAGTCCAGACCCATCGGTATGCTGTATTCAGGAGACCCATCTCACATGCAAAGATGCACATAGGCTCAAAATAAAGGGATGGAGGAAGATGTACCAAGCAAATGGAAAGCAAAAAAAAAGCAGGGGTTGCAATCCTAGCCTCTGATAAAACAGACTTAAAACCAACAAAGATCAAAAGATACACAGAAGGCCACTATATAATGGTAAAGGATCGATTCACCAAGAAGAGCTAACTATCATAAATATATATGCACCCAATACAGGAGCACCCAGATCAAGTCCTTAGAGACATACAGAGAGACTTAGACTTCCACACAATAATAATGGCAGACTTTAACACCCCACTGTCAATATTAGACATATCAATGAGACAGAAGGTTAACAAGGATATCCAGGACTTGAACTCAGCTCTGCACCAAGCGGACCTAATAGACATCAACAGAACTCTACAACCCAAATCAACAGAACATACATTCTTCTCAGCACCACACTGCACTTATTCCAAAATTGACCACATAATTGGTAGTAAAACGCTCCTCAGCAAATGTAAAAGAACGGAAATCAACAACAAACTGTCTCTCAGACAACAGTGCAATTGAGAGGTGACAACATGCTAGCAGCCCTCACTTGCTCTCGGCACCTCCTTGGCCTCGGCATCCGCTCTGGCTATGCTCGAGGAAAGCTTCAGCCCACCACTGAACTGTGGGGGCCCCTCTCTGGGCTGGCCGAGGCTGGAGCCGGCTCCCTCTGCTTGTGGGGAGGTGTGGAGGGAGAGATGTGGGCGGGAACTGGGACTGCGTGTGGCACTGGCCATCCAGTGCAAATTCTGGGTGGGTGCAGGCTCAGCGGGCCCCAGCTAGGTGGTTGCGCCAGCTCCCCAGCACTGCCGGCCCGCCTGCACTGCGCTTGAATTCTCGCCGGGCCTCAGCCGCCTCCCCACAAGGCAGGACTCGGGACCTGCAACCCGCCATGCCTGACCCTCCCCTACCCCCCCACCCCCATGGGCTCCCGCGTGGCCTGAGCCTCCCCAACAGGCGCCGGCAGCCCCTGCTCCGCGGCCCCTGGTGCCATCGACCACCCAAGGGCTGAGGAGTGCGGGCAGATGGTGCAGGACTGGCGGGCAGCTCCGCCCGTGGCCCCTGCATGGGATCCATGAGGCGAAGCCAGCTGGGCTCCTGAGTCAGATGGGGACTTGGAGAACTTTTATGTTTAGCCAGAGGATTGTATATTCACTAATAAGCACTCTGTGTCTAGCTTGGGGTTCGTGGATGCACCAATCAGCACTCTCTATCTAGCTAATCTGGTAGGGACTTGGAGAATCTTTATGTATAGCTAAAGGATTGTAAATGCACCAATCAGCACCCTGTGTCTAGCTCATGGTTTGTAAACGCACCAATCAGCACCCTGTCTCTAGCTCAAAGTTTGTAAATGCACCCATCAGTGTTCTGTGTCTAGTTAATCTAGTGGGGACTTGGAGAACTTTTACGTCTAGCTAGAGGATTGTAAATACACCAATCAGCACTCTGTGTCTAGCTCAGGGATTGTAAATGCACCAATCAGCACCCTGTCAAAAAGGACTAATCAGCTCTCTGTAAAATGGACCAATCAGCTGTCTGTAAAATGGACCAATCAGCTCTCTCTAAAATGGGCCAATCATCAGGATGTGGGTGGGGTCAGATAAGGGAATAAAAACAGGCTGCCCAAGCCAGCAGCGGCAACGTGCTCGGGTCCCCTTCCACATTGTGGAAGCTTTGTTCTTTCACTGTTTGCAATAAATCTTGCTGCTGCTCACTCTTTGGGTCTGCACTGCCTTTATGAGCTATAACACTCACCGTGAAGGTCTGCAGCTTCACTCCTGAGGCCAGCAAGACCATGAACCCACCTGGAGGAATGAACAACTCCGGACAGGAGGAACGAACAACTCCGGACAGGAGGAACGAACAACTCCAGATGCACCACCTTAAGAGGCGCCACCTTAAGAGCTGTAACACTCACCGCGAAGGTCTGCAGCTTCACTCCTGAAGCCAGCAAGACCACAAACCCACCAGAAGGAAGAAACTGAACACGTCTGAACATCAGAAGGAACAAACTCAGGACAGACTACCTTTAAGAACTGTAACACTCACCGTAAAGGTCTTCGGCTTCATTCTTGAAGTCAATGAGACCAAGAACCCACCAATTTTGGACACACAATCAAATTAGAACTCAGGATGAATAAACTCACTCAAAACTGCACAACTATATGGAAACTGAACAAACTGCTCCTGAATGTCTACTGGGTAAATAACGAAATAAAGGCAGAAGTAAAGATGTTCTTTGAAACCAATGAGAACAAAGACACAACGTAGCAGAATCTCTGAGACACATTTAAAGCAGTTTGTAGAGGGAAATTTATAGCACTAAATGCCCACAAGAGAAAGCAAGAAAGATCTAAAATCGACACCCTAATATCACAATTAAAAGAACTAGAGAAGCAAGAGCAAACACATTCAAAAGCTAGCAGAAGGCAAGAAATAACTAAGATCACAGCAGAACTGACGGAGTTAGAGAAACAAAAAAACCTTCAAAAAATCAATGAATCCAGGAGTTGATTTTTTGAAAAGATCAACAAAATAGACTGCTAGCGAGACTAACAAAGAAGAAAAGAGAGAAGAACCAAATAGACACAATAAAAAATAAAGGGGATATCACCACTGATCCCACAGAAATACAAACTACCATCAGAGATTATAGTATAAACACCTCTATGCAAATAAACTAGAAAATCTAGAAGAAATGGATAAATTCCTGGACACATACACCCTCCCAAGCCTAATCAAGAAGAAGTTGAATCTCTGAATAGACCAATAACAAGTTCTGAAAGTGAGGCAATAATTACTAGCCTACCAACCAAAAAAAAGTCCAGGACCAGATGGATTCACAGCCAAATTCTACCAGAGGTACGAAGAAGAGCTGGTACCATTCCTTCTGAAACAATTTCAATCTCTATTAAAAGAGGGAATTGTCCCTAACACATTTTATGAGGCTAGAATCATCCTGATATCAAAGCCTGGTAGAGACACAACAAAAAAAGAGAATTTTAGGCCAATATCCCTGATGAACATCAATGTGAAAATCCCCAATAAAGTACTGGCAAACTGAATCCAGCAGCACATCAGAAAGCTTATCCACCACAATCAAGTTGGCTTCATCCATGGGATGCAAGACTGGTACAACATATGCAAATCAATAAACGTAATCCATCACATAAACAGAACCAACGACAAAAACCACATGATTATCTCAATAGATGCAGAAAAGGCCTTCGACAAAATTCAACAGCCCTTCATGCTAAAAAGTCTCAATAAATTAGGTATTGATGGGACATATCTCAAAATAATAAGAGCTATCTATGACAAACCCACAGCCAATATCATACTGAATGGGCAAAAACTAGAAGCATTCCCTTTGCGAACTGGCACAAGACAGGGATGCCCTCTCTCACCACTCCTATTCAACATAGTGTTGGAACTTCCGGCCAGGGCAATCAGACAGGAGAAAGAAATAAAGGGCATTCAATTAGGAAAAGAGGAAGTCAAATAGTCTCTGTTTGCAGATGACATGATTATATATTTATAAAACCCCATCATCTCAGCCAAAATCTCCTTAAGCTGATAAGCAACTTCAGCGAAGTCTCAGGATACAAAGTCAATGTGCAAAAATCACAAGCATTCCTATACACCAATAATAGACAAACAGAGCACCAAATCATGAGTGAATTCCCACTCACAATTGCCACTAAGAGAATAAAATACCTAGGAATACAACTTACAAGGGATGTGAAGGACCTCTTCAAGGAGAACTATAAACCACTGCTCAACAAAATAAAAGAGGACACAAACAAATGGAAGAACATTCCATGCTCATGGAAAGGAAGAATCAATATTGTGAAAATGGCCATACTGCGCAAGGTAATTTATAGATTGAATGCTGTCGCCATCAAGCTACCATTGACTTTCTTCACAGAATTGGGAAAAGCTAAAGTTCATATGGAACCAAAAAAGAGCCCGCATTGCCAAGACAATCCTAAGCAAAAAGGACAAAGCTGGAGGCATCAGACTACCTGACTTCAAACTATACTACAAGGCTACAGGAACCAAAACAGCATGGTACTGGTACCAAAACAGATATATAGACCAATGGAACAGAACAGAGGCCTCAGAAATAACACCACACATCTACAACTATCTGATCTTTGACAAACCTGACAAAAACCAGAAATGGGGAAAGGATTCCCTATTTAATAAATGGTGCTGGGAAATCTGGCTAGCCATATGTAGAAAGCTAAAACTGGATCCCTTCCTTACACCATATACAAAAATTAACTCAAGGTGGATTGAAGACTTAAATGTAAGACCTAACACCATAAAACCCTAGAAGAAAACCTAGGCAATACCATTCAGGACATACACATGGGCAAAGACTTCATGACTAAAATACCAATAGCAATGGCAACAAAAGCCAAAATTGACACATGGGATCTAATTAAACTAAAGAGCTTCTGCACAGCAAAGGAAACTATCATCAGAATGAACAGGCAGCCTACAGAATTGGAGAAAATCTTTGCAATCTACCATATGACAAAGGGCTCATATCCAGGATCTACAAAGAACTTAGACGAATTTACAAGAAAAAACAACCCCATCAAAAAGTGGGCAAAGGATATGAACAGACACTTCTCAAAAGAGGACATTTATGCAGCCAACAAACATATGAAAAAATGCTCATCTTCACTGGTCATTAAAGAAATGCAAATCAAACCACAATGAGATACCATCTCACAGCAGTTACAATGGTGATCATTAAAAAGTCAGGAAACAATAGATGCTGGAGAGGATGTGGAGGAATAGGAAGGCTTTTACACTGTTGGTAGGAGTGTAAATGAGTTCAACCATTGTGGAAGACAGTGTGGCAATTCCTCAAGGATCTAGAACTAGAAATACCATTTGACCCAGCAATCCTATTACTGGCTATATACCCAAAGGAGTATAAATCATTCTATGATAAAGACACATGCACACGTATGTTTGCTGCGGCACTATTCACAATAGCAAAGACTTGGAACCAACCCAAATGTCCATCAATGATAGACTGGATTAAGAATATGTGGCACATATACACCATGGAATACTATGCAGCCATAAAAAGGATGAGTTCATGTCCTTTGCAGGTACATGGATGAAGCTGGAAACCATCATTCTCAGCAAACTATCACAAAGACAGAAAACCAAACACCACATGTTCTCACTCATATGTGGGAGTTGAGCAATGAGAATACATGGACACAGGCTGGGGAACATCACACACCAGGGCCTATTGGGGAGTGGGGGCCTGGGAGAGGGATAGCATTAGGAGAAATACCTAATGTAAGTGTCGAGTTGATAGGTGCAGCAAACTAACATGGCACATGTATACCTATGTAACAAACCTGCACATTGTGCACATGTACCCTAGAACTTAAAGTGTAATAATTTTTTTTAAAAAAGGCACAGAGTGGCAACTTGGATAAAGAAGAAAGACCCATCAGTATGCTATCTTCAAGACCCCCATCTTACATGCAATGACACCCATAGGCTCACAAAAGGACAGAGAAAAATCTACCAAGCAAATGGAAAACAGAAAAGAACCAAGTGTTGTTATCATAATTTCAGACAAAACAGACTTTAAACCAGCAAAGATCAAAAAGGACAATGACGATACATGATGGTGTAAAGTTCAGTTCAATAAGACCTAACAATCCTAAATATATTTGCCTACAATACAGGAGCACCCAGATTCGATAAAATTCAACTTCCCATCAGTAAAAGCCCTCAACAAACTAGACATTGAAGGAACATACTTCAAAATAATGAGAGCCATCTATGACAAACCCACAGCCAACATCATATTGAATGGGCAAAACCTGGAAACATTCCCCTTGAAAATCGGAACAAAACAAGGACACCCTCTCTCACCACTTCTATTCAACATAGTACTGGAAGTGCTAGCCACAGCAATCAAACAAGAGAAAGAAATAAAGGGCATCCAAATAGGAATGGAGGAAGTCAAACTATCCCTGTTTGAAGATGATATGATTCTTTACCTAGAAAACCCTATAGTCTCTGCCCAAAAGCTTCTTAATCTGATACTTCACCAAAGTTTCAGGATACAAAATCAATGTACAAAAATCAGTAGCATTGCTATACACCAACAACATCCAAGCTGAGAGCCAAATTAAGAATGCAATCCCATTCACAATAGCCACAAAAAGAATGAACTGCCTAGGAATACAGCTAATCAGGGAGGTGAAACATCTCTATAATGAGAATTACAAAACACTCTTCTAAGAAATCAGAGATGACACAAACAAATGGAAAAACATTCCATGTACATGGATGGGAAGAATCAATAATGTCAAAACAGTTATACTGCCCAAAGCAATTTATAGATTCAATGTTATTCCTATTAAACTACCAATGTATTCTTCACAGAATTTAAAAAGGCTATTTTAAAATTCATATGGAACCAAGAGCCCAAATATCCAAGGCAATCCTAAGCAAAAATAACAAAGCTAGAGGCATCACATTACCTGACTTCAAACTATATTACAAAGCTACAGTAACCAAAACAGCATAATACTTGTATAAAAACAGACATATAGGCCAATGGAACAGAATATAGAGCCCAGGAATAATTCTGCACACCTACAACCATCTGATCTTTGACAAAGTTAACAGAAACAAGCAATGAGGAAAGGACTCCCTATTCAATAAATGGTGCTGGGATAACTAGTTAGCCATATGCAGAAGAGTGAAACTGTACCCTTTCCTGACACCATATAAAAAAATCAACTGGTCTGGGTGTGGTGGCTCACACCTGTAATCTTAGCACTTTGGGAGGTCAAGGTGGGCAGATCACTTGAGGTCAGGAGTTCCAGATCAGCCTGGCCAACATGATGAAACCCCCTCTCTACTAAAAACACAAAAATTAGCTGGGCGTGGTGATGCACACCTATAGTCCCAGCTACTCAGGAGGCTGAAGCATGATAATTGCTTGAACCCGGGAGGCAGAGGTTGCAGTGAGCCAAGACTGCGCCACTGCACTCCAGCCTGGGTGACAGAGTGAGACTCTGTCTCAAAAAAATTATATAAAACAAAATGAAAATAAATAAATAAATAAAAGGCAATAGTAAGTGTTGACAATGATGTAGTAATAGGAATCCTCATACACTGCTAGTGGGAATATACAATGGTGCAGCCACTTTGGAAAACATTCTGGCAGTTCAGCAGAAGGTTAAACATAGAGTTGTTATATAATCCAGTAATTCCATCCCTAGTTACATACTCAGGAGAAATGAAAATTTTGTCCACCCAAAAACCTGTACGCAAATGTTAACAAGAGCATTATTCAAAAGATCCAAAAGGTGGAAACAATCCAAATATCCATCATGTGATGAATGGATAAATAAAATGTGGTATATCCATACAATGGAATATTATTTGGCAATAAAAAGAAATGAATACTGATACAACCTGCAATATGCAAATGTCCAGAATAGGCAAATTTATAGAGACAGAAAGTAGATTGATTCGTGGTTGCCAGTGGCTGGGAGTTTGAGGGGAAAGGAACATTTAGTTTTTTGGGGGGCACTGAATATATTAAAAATCAATAAATTATACACTTAAATGAGTGAATTACATAGTATGTAAATTATACCTCAATAAAGAAAAAACTTAACAAGAATTCAGTATTGAATAATACACTAAAACTGTTTTCAGAAAAAAGAAGGGAATAAAGTAAGAACACAGGAATAAAACCATTGGAGATATATAGAAAACAAATCATGAAGTACCAGCTGTATATCCAATAATATCAATATTTACATTAAATGTGAATGGTCTAAACAAGGACTTGGCAAATGCAGGCTGCAAGCCAAATTCTGCTGCTTGTTTTGAAAAATAAAGTTCCTTTGGAACACACCCATACGCATCCATTTATATATTCTATTGCTGCTTTTGTGCTACAATAGCAAAGTTAAATGAGTGCAACAGAGACCACCGTGAAAAGTCTAAAATATGTATTATCTAGTCTCCTATGGAAAAAGTTTGCTGATCCCTGATCTAAATATGCCAGTCAATGAACAGAGATTGTCAGACTAGATTTTTTTAAAAAGTCAAGATCCAACTATATTTTGCCTATAAGAGACACATTTTAGACTCAAAGACACAAATCAGTTGATAGCCAAAAGATGAGAAAAGAGAGATTAAGCATTCAATCATTTTAATAATTCAAAATGAATTAATGTAAGAGCTGAGACCATAAAACTTTTAGAAGTTTATGGCCCACTTCTTGGTATATATCCAAAGGAAATAAAACTAGTATCTCAAAGAGTTATCTGCATCCCCATGTTCATTGCAGCATTATTTACAATGGCAAAACATGGAAACAACATAAGTGTTCACTGATGGATGAATGGATTTTAAAAAATGGTAGATTCAAATGAAATATTATTCAGCCATAAGAAACAAGGAAATTATTTCATTTGCGACAATATGGATGAATCTGGAGGACATTATACTGAGTAAAATAAGGCCAGACACAGAAAGATAAAAACTGTATGATCTCACTTTTATGTGGAATCTAAAAAAGTTGAACTCACAGAAGCAGAGAACATAATGGTGGCCGCTGGGAGCTGGGGGTTGGGGTAAATTAGGAGATGTTGGTTAAAATGTATACACTCTCACTCAGAAAATGAATAGGTTCTGGGGATCTGATGTACAGCATGGTGACTTTAGTTAATAATACTGTATTGTTTGATAAGAGAGTAGATTTTAAGCCTCCTCACCTCTCCTCAAACACACACTCAAAAAAACGTAACTATGGGTGATGAGGATGTGTTTATTTGATTGTGGTAAACAATATACAATGTATAATGTATATCAAATCATCACATTGTAAACTTTCAATAATACAACTTTGTCAATTAAATATTTGTATATTTTAAAAGATGACAACGTGAAACAAAATCCTTGTGCCCTTGGATTAGGCAAAGATTCTTTAGACATGAAAAAGTATGATCCATAATGTTATGGGCTGATCACGTAACCCCAAATTCACAAAGTACTAACCCCCAACACCCCTCATAATGTGACTGTATTTAAAGACTGAGCCTCTAAAGAGGTAATTAAAGTTCAATGAAGTCATATTGATGGACCCTAATCCAATTTGACTAGTGTCCTTATAAGAAGGAAGAGAGACACCAAGGATGTGCATGTACTTTGGAAAGGCCATGTGAGGGACAGGGAAGGTGACCATCTGTAAGCCAAGAAAAGAGGCCTCAGAAAAATCAAACCCAATGATATCTTGATCTTGGACTTCTACCCTCCTGAACTGTGAAAAAACTAATTTATGTTATTTAAGCCACCCAGTCTATAGAATTATATTATGGTAGCCCCAGCAAACTAATACACATACAGTTGATAAATTAGACTTCACCACAGTTAAAAACTTTTGTGCCTCAAAGCACACCATTAAAAATGAAAAGATAAACACAGACTGAGAAAAAATATTTGTAAATTATGAATATGATAAAACATTTATATCCAAAATATACAAAAATGTGTACAATTCCAAAAAAAGACTGCACAATATAAAAAGGGCCAAAATATCTGAATAAACATTTCATCCAAAAAGATATACATACAGCCAATAAGCACAAAAATGGTGATCAACATCATTAGGCTGAGATGAATGAAAATTAAAATAAAAGTCAGATGCCATTTCACACCCACCCAAATGGTTTTAATAAAAATGGCCAACAATAACAAATGTTAGCAGGGATGTGGGGAAACTGGAATGCCCAGGGTGGGAGTGTAAGATGGTATAGCCACTTTGGAAAACACTTTGGCAGTTTCTTAACATGTTAACAGAAATAGTAATTCCACTCTTAGCAATCTAGTCAAGATAAAAACATGCCCACACAAAGATTTGTATGCATGTTCATAGTAGCATCATTCATAATTGCCAAAATGGGAAAACAAATCAAATGTCCATATACTGGTAAATAGATATATAAAATGTGGTATGCTCACACAGTGGAAATCTACTTGGAAATAAAAAGAAACAAAGAACAGGTACTACAACATGGATAACCTTGTATTAGTCTGTTTTCACACTGCTATAAAGAATACCTGAGACTGGGTAATTTATAAAGGAAAGAGGTTTAATTGACTCACAGTTCTGCATGGCTGGGGAGGCCTCAGGAAACTTATAACCATGGCAGAAAGCTAAGGGGAAGCAAGGCACGTCTTACATGGTGGCAGGAGAGAGAGTGAAGAAAGTCACACACTTTAAAACCATCAAATCTTGTGAGAACTTACTCACTATCATGAGAACAGCATGAGGGAAACTGCCCCCATGATCCAATCACCTCCCACCAGGTCCCTCCCTCGATGTGTGGGGATCACGATTTGAGATGAGATTTGAGTGGAGACACAGAGCCAAACCATATCAAACCTCAAAACCAATATGCACAGTGAAAGAAGCCAGATGCAAAAGGTCATATATTGTATGATCCCATTTATATCAATATTTATATATTAATATAATATTTATATTATATTAAACGTCTGCAAAAGGCAAGTGTATAGAGACAGAAAGCAGATTAGTGGATGATGGGGGCCAGGGATACAAATGGGGAGTGAATGCCTCCAAATCAGCTAGAGGAATCTTTTTGGAGTGATGGTAATGTTCTAAAATTGCTTTGTCATGGTGTTTGCACAACTCTGTACATTTCAGGTCTATAAAAATTATTGAGTTTTACACTTAAACTGTGGGTGAATTTAATGGTATGTAAATTATACTGCAATTCACTGCTTAAAAAGCAGCTGTAAGAGTACTGGGTTGGCTATATTAATATTAGACAAAATAAACTTTAAGGCAGGAAATATTACTAGAAATAAAGATGGGTATTTCATAATGACAAAAGGCAAATACATAGTGAAGATATAACCATTATGTGCATCAAACAGCAAAGCCACAAAATACATGAGCAAAAATTAAAGGGAAAATAGGCCATTCAATAACTGTATTTGCCAATGTCAATATTTCACTCTTAATATCTCACAGAGCAACCTGCAGAAAATCAGCAAGAGTGATGAAGACTTGAACACCATAAACTAATCTGACCTGATATTTTATAGAGATCTCCACTCAAAGACAACAAAATATGCATTCTTTTTAAGTAGATATCTACCATTATCTAGCATATATCATATGCTAGACTACAAAACAAATCTCAACAGATTTAAAAAGTTTTAAGTCATAATAAGTATTATCTGAAACCACAATGTGGTTAAATTAGAAATCAGCCACAGAAAGAAGGTTGAGACATACAAAAATATTTGCAAATTAAACAGTAAATGGCTAAATAACCTATGAGTCAAGAAATAAAGCACAAAGAAAATTAGAAAATATTTTAAATTAAATGAAAATAAAAATAAAGCATAGCAAAATGTATAGGATACAGCAGAGCAATGTTTAGAAGGCAATGTATAGCTTTAAATGCCCATGTTAAAAAGAATGGTTTCAATTCAATAAGTTAATCTTCCCTCTTAAGAAATCAGAAAAATAAGAGCCACTTAAACCTAAGAATGGAAATATTAAAGATGAGTACTAAAATTAATGAAATAGAAAACAAAAAGGCAGTAGAGAAAAGCAATGAAACCAACAATCTGTTCTTTGAAAATATAAACAAAACTGATGCACTTTTAGCAACTGTGGGCAATAGAAAAGAGAGAATAAAAACTACCAAAATCAGATGGCTGCTCATGGTGGCTCATGCCTGTAATCCCAGCTACTAGGGAGGCTGAGGCAGAAGAATCACTTGAAACTGGGAGGCAGAGGTTGCAGTGAGTCGAGATCGTGCCACTGCACTCCAGCGTGAGCAACAGAGTGAGACTCTGTCTTAAAAAACAAACAAACAAAAAACCCTACCAAAATCAGGAATAAAAAGGAAACAGCATTACTAACTCTAGACTCTACAGAACTTATTAGATGGCTTAGTTAAAATGAACAAATTCCTAAAAAGATGCAAATTACTGAAACTGACTCAAGAAAGAATAGAAGATCTGAATCAACCTATAACAAGTAAAGAAATTGAATTCCCACAATGAAAAGCTCAAGCCTAGAAGGCTTTACTGGTGAATTCTATAAACCAGCAGTCACCAACCTTTTTTTGGCACCAGGAACCGGTTTTGTGGAAGACAGTTTTTCCACAGACGGCACAGTGGCTGGGGATGGTTTTGGGATGAAACTGTTCCATCTCAGATCATCAGGCACTAGTTAGATTCTCACAGGAAGCGTGCAACCGAGATCCCTTGCATGCACAGTTCACAATAGGGTCCATGCTCCTATGAGATTCTAATGCCTCCGCTGATCATGGAGTTCAGCTTTGCTGGCTGGTCCACAGCTCACTTCCTGCTTGTGCAGCCCACGTCCTAACACGTCACAGACCAGCAGTGGTCCATGGCCTGGGGGTGGGGACCCCTGCTATAAAAGATATCAAAAAGAAATAAATGATATCAAAAAGAAATATAAATATAATGATATCATGATATCAAATTTGATACGATATCAAAAACAAATATAAATGATATCAAAAAGAAATAAAACCAATCCTAAACTCTTCCTTTAAAAGTTTATTTACATATTTTTAGACAGTGTCTCACTCTGTCACTCAGGCTGGAGTGTAGTGGCTCAAATCACAGCTCACTGCAGTCTTGAACTCCTGGCCTCAAGCAATCCTCCTGCCTTGGCCTCCCAAGGCAGGGAGTATGTATGCTGGGACTACAGGCATAAGCCATCACACCAGTCCCTACCTAAAGTCTTTTAGAAAGTGGAGACGGAGGAAACACCTCCAAACTCATCCTATGTGGTTAGTAGTATGCTGATAATTTCTGGAAGCCATAACTTAAAAATAACACCTGGCAATAAGTATCTCCCCAATCTGTACTACCTGAAACACCTGTATCAACGGAATGGGCTGACTTGGATGGCCAGGACCACCTGGATTTCCTCTTTGAACCACTAAGATAAATGAGATATCAAGTATCATCTCTGGCCATATTGCTAGTGGTAGATGGTTATGGTGCATTTCCTCCTCCTTAATAGTTTCTTGTCCACAATAGGCACTGTCAAGCTAACTATCAATGAGAACTTGTACCTTTGTGTGCCTTTCTGGATTAAATGTGTCAGCATTGTTATCTTTTAACGCTTTATCCTTTGGTGGCCAACTATATTTGGTCAAGCCATGTATTTTTCATCAGCCTCTAGATGATAATCCAGTAATCCAGTGCAATACTTAGAGTTCACCCATTCTTTGTCCACTTTGACTGCCAACAATCTACAAAGTGATGTTTTAAAGACAATACCAACTTAGAATCTTTATTTCTACATATTTTACATAACATTTCTGCTTCACTTAAGCCACCACTACAGAATGTATAGGCAACTTACTGTACTCCACCTGGAATCTGTTTCAAGGTTATGGCAATTTATACCTAGCTGCATTTAAACCATTGAAATTTTTGTTGACTGGGAACAAGTACACTACCCAAGAACAAACCTTTGGAGTGAAAGTGGGAAGTACTTTCCTGTTAGAAGACCACTACTTTAGCCCTCCAGAATGATAGAAACACTCAACTTGGTGATTTTATCACTTCAGTTGCTCTCTCATATGTTATTCCAATATATGTTGCCCTGCTACTTGTACCATCTAAGTCTTTAGACCGTTTCTTGCTTTCTTAGTATAAATGGTACTGTTTCCTGATGGTGAATTCCTTCACCCAAGAATATCACTTTGTAAATATTTTAGAGTTTGATGAATATTTCCTTCCTTCCTTCCTTTTTTCCTTCCTTCCTTCCTTCCTTCCTTCCTTCCTTCCTTCCTTCCTTCCTTCCTCTCTCTCTCTCTCTCTCTCTTTCTTTTCTTTTCTTAAGACAGGGTCTTATTCTGTCACCAAGGCTGGAATGCAGTGGCATGATCTTGGCTCACTACAGCCTCAGCCGCCTCAGCTCACGTGATCCTCTCATCTCAGCCTCTTGAGTAGCTGGGACGACAGGCGCATGCCACCATGCCTGGCTAATTTTTTAAAATTATTTTTAGTGATGAGGTCTCACCATGTTGCCCAGGCTGGTCTTGAACTCTGAGGCTCAAGCAATTCTCCTGCCTTGGCCTCCCAAAGTGCTGCGATTACAGGTGTGAGCCACTGTGCCCGGCCTCATGAAATATTTTCTTGGAATGGTTGTTCAGCTATGACAACCACCCTCCAAATGCCTTCAGATGTTGCAGAGGGCAGTTAGGCATATTGCTTACAAATTTCTTCTGCATTCCACTTTAAAATAGTATTTATAGAATTAGTCAATTCTATTCCATTCTATCCTCTCTGTTCCTCCACAACATTTATTGTATCACCAGGTTTTGAGTCCCATTTTGATACACTGTTAGCATTTCCACATTTCAATATTGTCTCATATCCATGTAAATGCTCAAGGGAGAAAGAAAATGGTATCCAGGGAGATTTTTACCCTTTGAAGGAACACTAGTGTCCTAATTGAAATTAAGATCTGAAAGTATATTTGATTTAATTCATGTTCTACTTCTTATAATATGGGTAGTAATCTTTCCAGTGTTAATTTCTTTGGCTTTTGAAACTTCATGTCTCTATAGTATACCATCCCATGATCCCATTGGCAGTAAGTACAAATAATACTGTGATTTGATTCCCCATTTATAAGCCTGCTCTTTTAATAGAGTTTATAACCAGAAGCAGTATTCTGGAAAAACAACATAATGGTGTGTTGTAACAGCTTAGAATTTGGCTACTCAAAGTGTGGTCAGAGATTAGAGAAATGCAAATCAAAACCACAATGAGATACTATCTCATGCCAGTCTGAATGACTATTATTAAAAAGTCAAAAAAAAAAAACAACTGATGCTGGTGAGGAAGTGGAGAAAAAGGAACGCTTTTACACTATTGGTGGGATTGTAAATTAGTTCAACCATTGTGGAAGACAGTGTGGTGATTCCTCAAAGATCTAGAGGCAGAAATACCATTTGACCCAGAGATCCCATTACTGGGTATACACCCAGAGGAATATAAATCATTCTATTGTAAAGACACGTGCATATGTTATGTTCATTTCATCACTATTCACAAAAGCAAAGACATGGAATCAACCTAAATGTCCATTGCTGATAGGACAGGATAAAGAAAATATTGTACATATACACCATGGAATACTATGCAGCCATAAAAGTGAACAAGATCATGTTCTTTGCAGGGACATGGATGAAGTTGGAAGCCATTATCCTCAGCAAACTAATGCAGGTACAGAAGACCAAACATTGCATGTTCTCACTTATAAGTGGGAGCTGAATGATAAGAAAACATAGACACATGGTGGGGAAAAACACACAACACACACCGGGGCCTATGGGGGAGGAGGGCCATCAGGTGGAAAGAGAGCATCAGGAAGAATAGCTAATGAATACTGGGCTTAATACCTGGATGATGAGATGATCTGTGCAACAAACTATCACAGCACATGTTTACCTATGTAATAAACCTGCACCTCCTGTGTACTCCTGAACTAAAAATAAAAGCTGAAGAAAAACAAAACAAAACAAAGTGTGATCAGAAAATCAGGAGCATTTACATAACTTGAGAGCTTCTTAGTTATGCAGATTCTCAGGCACCACCCCAGACTTGCTGAATAAAAATCTACACTTTTATTTATTTTTGAGATACAGCCTTGCTCTGTCACCCAGGCTAGAGTGCAGTGGCGCCATCTTGGCTCACTGCAGCCTCTGCCTCCCGGGTTCAAGTGATTCTCCCACCTCAGCCTCCCAAGTAGCTGGGATTACAGGCCTGCACCACCACATCCAGCTAATTTTTTGTATTTTTAGTAGAGATGGGGTTTCACCATATTGACCAGGCTGGTCTCGAACTCCTAAGCTCAAGTGATCTGCCCACCTCTGCCTCCCAAAGTGCTGGGAGTATAGGCATGAGCCACCGCACCCGACCAGAATCTACAGTCCTAACAAATGCACTAGGTGACGGATTTACACTCAAGTTTGAGTAGCAACGGCCTAGAGCTCTCTGCAGTTTACTTCAGCTATGGATCTTATCACTGAGTATGAAAACTAAAATTCTTATTAAATATCTACCCTAGATAAGACCTTTATAGGCCTCTCTGCTGGCGAGCTCCTATGTAGTTTTCTTAGCAAATTCTGCCTGTTTACCTCACTGATGTATTCCTTAAGTCTGACTTCTTTTGCTGGTAGTTGAAGTGATTTGCCACAACAGTGTCTATGCCATCTCATTTCACAAACATGCCATCACTAGTGCTGTTTGTAAGTATTTGAGTTTCGTTCCATTTGAGGCACATTTCATGGCACCATTGTGGTTGGGTGGGTCCATGCAACTAGTTCCGGTCAATACGTTTTCACTGCAGATGATGATATTTTAAGCTTCTGAGATGTGAGATCTTATTTGTTATTGTAACATAATCTAGGCCATCCTTATTAACACATCATCCATCCTTGGAACTATTTCAAAACTACAATAGATAAATTAATGTTATAGCATCTACTTCGGGTTAAGTTGTACTCATCTGTATTTGGCAATGCCAAATTGGCAGTATTATTTTATATGCTTCCTATCCTTTATTTTTCAGGTATCCGTCTATATGTGACACATGAATTTGAGTAAGATCTGACAATGAGTCCAATTTTTGCCTGAACCAATTCCTAAAACTCCTAATTTTTCAGTTCTGACCACTTAGCTATAATATTAGCTATATTCCATAAATAGATAAGGATCCAGGATTCCTTGTGGCATTCTCAATGGCACTCTCTATTGCTGTTTAATCTATATCTACTTCAGCCTACTGGAGGGAATGAGTAGTTCTCTAATATCACATGGATATGTACAAATGAGGATACCTGTGGAATCCTTACTGTGCACTAAGGTAGCAAACACTCTGCGAAACTTAGTTACCATTTATATAATCTTGAATATTCTATTTCTATTTCCTGACAAAGTATTAGGTTCACTTATCTGTGAGAAAGAGGTGCTGATAGCCCTCAGTTCATAATAGGCAGCTCAGGTCATTGTGTGATAGGGAAGTTGGCATTATATTGACCCATACTGTATGCGTGTGCGTGCAGTTTGTCTAGAGATTATTCAAAAGATGGCAGAGGTTTTACAAATCATTTGGCTGTCTGGGTCATGGGTTCCAAGAAGGGCTGCCTACTCTGCATCCTATCCTTTAATCCAAAATCTTGATTTAAAAGTACCTCAGACCAGGTGTGGTGGCTCACACCTATAATCCCAGCACTTTAGGAGGCTGAGGCGGGTGGATCACCTGGGGTCAGGAGTTTGAAACCAGCCTGGCCAATCTGGTGAAATGCTGTCTGTACTAAAAATACAAAAATTAGCCAGGCATGATGGCAGGCACCTGTAGTCCCGGCTACTTGGGAGGCTGAGACAGGAGAATTGCTTGAACCCGGGAGGTGGAGGTTGCAGTGAGCTGAGATCCCACCACTGCACTTCAGCCTGGGAAACAGAGCGAGACTCTAAATAAATAAATAAAAGTATCTCAACTCAAAGTCCCTAGTCTTTCAGTTTATGTACTGTTATGTACTTATGTTTATGCATTTATTTTCCAGCTTGTGCATACAACTCACCAAATTCCCAAAGTCAAGATATGCTCTCTCCAAGACTGCTGAGCTCCTTCAAGATTGAGATGTTAGGGAAACAGTTTCCGGTTTAACATTCTGGAAGATAATTAGAAAAAAGTCTATTGCTGTCATCCCTTGGGATCCCAGTATGGTCACTCACATGGCCAGACCCGGAGTTTCTTGGGGGGATAACAGTTTAACCCCTTTCTTTTTTTGTTGAGGTATTAGGGGATAAAGAAAAGTTGCTAGCTTCCTTTATTAAACTCTATTAACATTAAATATTGTCAGTGGAATGGATAAAAGTAAATACCCGGCCAGGCATGGTGGCTCATTTCTGTAATCCTAGCACTTTGGGAGGCCGAGGCGGGTGAATCACTTGAGGTTAGAAGTTCAAGACTAGCCTGGCCAATATAGTGAAACCCCATCTCTACTAAAAATACAAAAATTATCCGGGCGTGGTGGCACGCGCCTGTAATCCCAGCTACTCAGGAGGCTGAGGCAGGAGAATCACTTGAACCCAGGAGGCGGAGGTTGCAGTGAGCTGAGATTCTGCCACTGCACCTCAGCCTGGGCAACAGAGTGAGATTCTGTCTCAAAAAAAAAAAAAAAAAAGAGTAAATATCCTTAGGTTGATATCACCATTGCAAGTCCCAGTAAATAAATCTCTGACAAATAGTAGATGAATCCACATGTTCCAGGTGTAGGAGAGTAAAGATGCCAATATTGTGACTACTTAACTCAGTTGGTAGATTTCCATTAAGAAGTCTTGATATCCCACCTAATTTATGATTTATGGGATGATCATAAATAACTGGAGGATTCAAAAGAGATAGAATGGAACTCTAATGGCGATCCCTAATTATCTTCTTTATTTTTTAACTTCTTTTGGAGATATAGTATTGCTACTCCTTGGTAATATTGGTGGAGAGAGGGAGAACAAGGGGTCTCATTCACTATGCCTAATCCTAAGGCTTGACTCACAATTATACATTCCATGCAGTGTGGTGGATGTAACCACCATTTTTGTCAATGTGCCTCCTCTGGAGTTCATAAATCTAATACAGCTGTTAAAAGGTCCCTAGAATCTGACTGTGTTCTTTAATTATGTCCCAGTCATGCTGGTATTCCCAACATTTATTGTCACAGCTTGGGATATAAGTCCCAGTCTGATCTAATTTCTTCCCATCAGATAGCTCATACCTTATCTTTCCTAGAGCGCTTTACCAAAATCTCTCACCCAGTTCTTACTTCCTGAAAGACCTGCTGGTTCAGGCATACAGGGATACCACCTACAATGCAAAACAAACACCTCCTTATTAGAACTTATGAAACCAAGGCAAGAATCAAATATAAACACACTGATCCTTGCCCCAGAGTCTTGTTGAGCATATGTTCAGGCTTTAAAGAGATGAAAAGAATCCTTTCTGTAGCAGGCACCCTCTCTCTGGTTTATACACATACTGAGAATGAATTACAGGGGCATCAATCTGTGGTGTCTTATCTGAGACTCACCCAAGCAAAACATTATTTTCCCATAGGAATACACTGTATCAGTTTCTTTCCACCAAGGGGTTGCTGTGCAGTTTTCCACAAGGGCTCTTACCAGGTTTTGTAAAAGTGAAATTTAGAAGAAAAGTCGTTACATCTGCAATTAGACTAAATTTTGCCTTGTCTTCCTTCAAGGAATGTACCAACTGCAGTCATTATACTACAGATTAAATAAGCATGTGATTTATAGATGCAATTTGTTTTTTCTCCATTTCTTTAAACTGTTGGAATATCTTTTTATTTAAACCTAATGAAATAGTTGTTTCTACAACCTTGAGAAGTTGGGGGTCTAGGTCCAACATTATAAGAATCTTTGAATTCTTTCTAGGATTTCAATCACAGCCTGGCAATATTACCTCTATTAGACAATTCTTTCAACATGCTTCATGGTTATGATTTCTTCTCTCCTACCCAGTTGCACCCTGCCATAGTCTGCTCTTGCAGTGCCATAGTTTTTGTGTTAGCCCATTTTTGTTGCTGTAAAGGAATACCTAAGGCTGGAAAATTTATAAGGAAAAGAGGGCTATTTGGCTCATGATTCTACACGCTGTGCAATCATAGCTCCATCATTTGCTTCTAGTGAGGGTCTCAGGAGGCTGCTGGTCATGATGGAAGGCAAGAGGAACCATTGTGTCACACAGCGATTGATGGAGCAAGAGTGAGAGGAGGAAATTCCAGGCTGATTTAAATAACCAGCTTTTGAACTCAGAGTGAGAACTCACTCATTGCCACTAGGAGGGCACCAAGACACTCATGAGGGACCTGCCTCCCTGACTCTAACACCTCCCACCAGGCTCCACCTCCAACACTGGGGATCACATTTCAACATGAGATTTGAACAGGACAAAACATCCAAACCCGTATCAGCTTTCAATGGATTATTTTATTTTTGTTAAATCATTTTTTGTTTTCATCTACAAACTACTGTATTTGTTGGTAATGTATCTGTCTTGCTTTTAGATTCCGTTTTCTTAGGCTATGTCTCATTGAGAATAGGACATGGTGAGAGGCTTTGAGGATCTGTCTATACCACTTTTTTCCGTTGTCTTTAAACCTTTGGTAGTGTGAGGAGGGGCTTCTTTGATCGTCAGATTTTTTTTTTTCCTGAATAGTGGTGAAGAGAACATTGATTTGTAACTTAAGTCCTGGAAAGCCCCTCCTAATCTCAGTATTAACAATGTTGGCATGCATCACCTATTATTTTGTAAACATTACTGAACTTACCAAATCTGTGTGCTTGCTCTCTTTAGTGATGCAATCTTCATAAAGTTTTGCAAAAAGGTAGAGTACAAGTTGCTAAATAAAACTTGAAATCTCTTTAGTGTATGAATTATATTTCTATGTATGCTTGAGAGTAATCTGCATTTCCTGTTTCTACTTATAGGATACAAACTTCTGAAGACAAAGTCTATGCATTTTCTCTCATAGTTTTGTACCAAGCATATCATGAGTGGGCAAAGAATGTTGTTGTTTATCATAATAAAAAGATTCATAATCTTTGAAACATATCTTTTTTTTTAACATAGAAAGTGCAGAAGATAGATGTTTGTATGTTGCAAGGTTTTTTGTTTGTTTGTTTGTTTTTTTGACGGAGTTTCACTCTTGTTGTCCAGGCTGGAGTGCAATGGTGCGATCTCGGCTCACTGCAACCTCTGCCTCCCAGGTTCAAGTGATTCTCCTGCCTCAGTCTCCTGAGTAGCTAGGATTACAAGCGCATGGCAATATGCTCGCTAATTTTTCGTATGTTTAGTAGAGACAGGGTTTCACCATGTTGGCCAGGCTGGTCTCGAACTCCTGACCTCAGGTGATCCACCCACCTTGACCTCTCAAAGTGCTGGGGTTACAGGTGTGAGCCACCGTGCCTGGCCTGTATGTTGCAAGGTTTTGAAAGGAAAAATGGAAAACTGTATTTTATTTTCATTAACTTAGATTACAAGAAGAAGGTATTAGGGTTGATGTAGCAGTCTTTTGATGGAGATTTGTTAGCTCAAAGGGCATCTGAGAGTCTAAAGTTCCAACCATTCATGATCACCGAATGGGCTAATGCACTTAAAAAATCAGTCTGCATGGCCAGGTATGGTGGCTCATGCCTGTAATCCCAACACTTTGGCAGACCAGGGTGGGTGGATCACCTGAGGTCAGGAGTTCAAAACCAGCCTGACCAAAATGGCGAAACCCTGCCTCTACTAAAAAAACAAAATTAGCTGGGCATGGTGGTGCATGCCTGTAATCCCAGCTACTAGGGAGGCTAAGGCAGGAGAATCTCTTGAACCTGGGAAGCAGAGGTTGCAGTGAGCTGAGATCATGCCATTGCACTCCAGCCTGGGCAACAAGAGCAAAACTCCATCTCAAAAAAAAAAAAAAAAGTCAGTCTGTCATCATCAATAAACAAGTAAAATTTTGTTGGATTTTCTTAAATATTTAACTACCAGATTATGACAAAACTGTGCATATTTTAAATTGATCCTGAATCTCTATAAAAATGGCATTTGTGAAATTCCACAAATGTTAGATACTATAAGTTTAATGAGCTGTGGACTAAGAAATCATTCTGTTTTGAAATATTTAAGCCTTCCTTCTTAGTCCTGAACTAGCTAAGGAGCTGCACTTCCAAAATGCATTTAAAAAAAGAAAATTTAACCAGGGGCATATAAACAATATTATAATTGAAAATAGTATCTACCCAACTAATCAGCGTAAATTGAATTTAATGAAGGATTACTGTTATGCATTTATTACCCTTATAGGTCAATGAAATATAGTTTAGTTCAATTGGATTTTTTTTTTTTTTTTTTTTTTTAGGATAGATTCTCACTCTGTCACTCAGGCTGGATTGCAGTGGCAGGATGACAGGTCACTACATCCTTGACCTCTTGGGCTCAAGTGATCCTCTCACCTCAGCCTCTCTAGTGGCTGGGACTACAAGTGTGCACTACCACGCCCAGCTAATTTTTGTAGTTTTTGTAGAAATGGGGTTTTGCCATGTTGTCCAGGCTGGTCCTGAGTTCCTGGGTTCAGGCAATCCTCTTCTCTCAGCCCTCCAAAGTGCTAGGATTACAGACAGGCGTGAGTGCCCAGCCAGGCGTGAGCACTCAGCCAGCTTTGACTTTTGTTGGAAATAATTTTTAAGCCTTTGTCAGAAATGGCACAAAGAACTGATGTAGGAATTTACAGCCTTTTGAGAGTTATCTCCTTTATAGTCAAAAGGATACAGAAATAAAAGTTAAATTACAAAACTGATCAATATCATGTTCTTAAACATTATTTGTATCATAACTTTTAAAAAATCATGTTTCTTAGTTTTTTTAAAAAATAGAATTTTTAAAAACATTTAGCAATATTTAAAAAACTTTTGCATTATCAATCTCTGTTTTTTGTCGATTTTTAGGAAAAATATATATTGCATTATTTTTCATTGTGCTATTTGGCGTTTCTCAAAGAATGACTATGTTGTGCATGAGAATTATCTGAACTGTGAAAAATGTGGACTCACAGGTCATATTCTCATATCAAATGCTAATTTGATCCCTGGGGTTTGGATCCAAGCATCTAGATTTTTAACAAACATTGTAGATGATTTTTTCCCCTAAGGTCTGGGAACCACTGGTATAAGCGATTTTTAGCTCTTCAGACAGACATAAGATTTTGAATGCTAATTAAAATGGCTGCTAATTTGTGAATAATTTCTAATTGAACCCCAGGCAATCTAAAGAGATAAAAAATTCATTGTGAAAAACACAAATAACAGTGCAAAATAAATTGTTAATTGACCTTTTAGAATCACTAATAATATAATTGCTTTGTAGAAAACCTTTTAAAGCTGAAATTTAAAAAATATTGTTTTTAAAAATTACCAAGATAGCTACTATAAAATATGATTACATGCCATGGGATGAACTATATCTCCCCAACATTTGTATGTTGAAACCCTAACCCTCGGGCCTTTGGGAGGTGATTAGGTTTAGATGAAATCGTGAAGATTGAGCCCTCAGATGGAATTAGTGCCCTTATAAGAAATCTGAGAGCTTATGCTGTCTCTGTTCTGTCTGTCTTTCTCTCTCTCTCTGCCATTTGACACAATGAGAAAGCCACAATCTGACAGCCAAGAAGGGGGCCCTCACCACAACCTGGCCATGGCAGCCTCCTGATCGTCGACTTGCAGCCTCCAGAACTGTGAGAAAATTAATTTCCGTTAAGTCACCCAGTTTATGGTACTTTCTCAAACTAAGACACCATAGAAGTGTAAGTTTTAAAAATATTAATACATTTAGTGTTATTAATTCCTGTCCCTGCACATATAACACAATGTTCTGTTATAAAGTTAAAAACAAATTAGAATCTTCCTAATTCAGTATGTTCTAAGAAATACTACTTGACAATAATCAATAAAATAAATTTGCAAAACTTGTCAATGATGTGTCCCATGTCAAATCAAATAAAGATAGCCTTTCTTGGATAGGTTGTTGGAAAATGGTTGTATCAACTGAATTTTTCATGTTTTACTTCAGATTTTCAATTTTAAGTTTTGTTTATAGATTTGATTAAAATAAAGGTTATTATGAATAGGTTATTAATAAAGGTTATAAAGTTCTGTGCCTATGATGTGTTATAAATGGTGTGTTCAGCTTTACTAGTTAATGCTGTTGTATTTGATGTCGCTTCAGTGACCTTTTTTGTTAGTTTATTGTTACTTAAAATTAAGCAAAATCTTTCTTGCATGAAATCTTCTTGATTAATTATTGCCATATAGAATTTTCATTCACCTAATCTTTTTTTTTTTTATTTGAGACAGAGTCTTGCTTTGTTGCCCAGGCTGAAGTGCAGTGGTGGCATCTCGGCTCACTGCAACACTGCAACGTCTGCCTCCTGGGTTTAAGAGATTCTCCTGCCTCAGGCTCTGGAGTAGCTGGGACTATAGGCGGGCACCACCACCCCCCGCTAATTTTTGTATTTTTAGTAGAGACGGGGTTTTACCATGTTGGCCAGGTTGGTCTCGAACTCCTGATCTCAAATGATCTGCCTGCCTCGGCCTCCCAAAGTGCTGGGATTACAGGCGTAAGCCACCGCGCCTGGTCTCATTCGCCTAATCTTTATTGTCTACTATATTCAAAGTGTTGAGTGTGACAACAAGTCATTTAAAATTTAGTCTGGATTCTCAAGAGTTTGTAATATAATGAGGAAAAAATCCCAACGACTTTCTTTTACTCAGATCTCCATAATGTCATTTGCCATCAATAGTTTGGAATATCACTGAAGTCCAAGGGCCTGTGGCTACCCAATATTCCAAATACAATATAATTTGGTTCAAATAAGATATTAAGAACTTTGGTCAAGAACTTTGGTCAAACACAGGAGATCTGGAATCTAACGGCATGTCTTTGGCAATTCACAACCTCTCCCTCTACACGTTTCTCCATGTAGAAAGTAAAGGCCTTGGAAAGGATTGATGAAAACCAACCCTAAAACTCCACGATGCCTTTTTCTGTACTCCGAATCTAAAAGGGTGAGCTATGAAGTAAAACTCTGCACTTGGTCCAAGTCATTGAAATATTTGCAAACGATGCTAGAGCTCGAAAAGAGCAAAGATAGCAGAAACCGTCCAGAGAAAGTAACCTACTGCTGAAGCTCTGCAAACTTGAGCAGTCAACCAACTTCACCGCTCACAAACGTTTGGCCGCTAGGCATTGTGACTTTCTGCCCAGATAAAAGTCTTTTTTTCTTTTGTCTCCTTTTTTTCTTCCTCCCTGCTTTGCCGCGTGAGATTACCACTCCTCGGGTCAGCTCGCGAACGCCAGGGAGGCGAGTGTGAAACACACGCGCCAACACCCCTCCTCCTCCTCGTGCGCTCCTCCTTCCTACAGAAAAATGTGTTTCTAGGCAACGGCGGGCGGCGGCGTCACTTCCTGCCATTTAAACTCAGGTCCCCACCCCTCGCAGCCCCTTCTCCTCGTTTCCACCCCTCCCCCCTCGGTCGTGGGCCTCATTCACGCTTCCCCGGGCTTGGGGAGGGGGCGGAGGCCCGGCGTGACAAGCGGCCCAGACTCCCGTGGGCGCCGCACACCTGTTGTTTGCAGCAGCCAGCGACCCGCACTACCGCTCTCGGCGGGCGGGGAAGCGGCCGCAGCGGAGCCGACCCGGCAGGTGGCCGCGGGCGGGGCCGGCGAGCGAAAGTGCGCGGGGGCCCGACCACCGCGGGGCCGGGACGCGATGGCGGCGGCAGAGCCCGCGAGCTCGGGCCAGCAGGCGCCGGCAGGGCAGGGGCAGGGCCAGCGGCCGCCGCCGCAGCCTCCGCAGGCGCAAGCCCCGCAGCCGCCCCCGCCGCCGCAGCTCGGGGGCGCCGGGGGCGGCAGCAGCAGGCACGAGAAGAGCCTGGGGCTGCTCACTACCAAGTTCGTGTCGCTGCTGCAGGAGGCCAAGGACGGCGTTCTGGATCTCAAAGCGGTGAGCTCCGGAGGCGGGGACGGGGGCGGACTTCGGAACCCGTGGCCCCCGGGGAAGCCCAGCCCCTCGCCGCGTGGGTCTAGCGGCGTGGTGTAGACGCGCCTTGCGGGGACCCGGGACCGGGCAATCCGAGGACCATGTGGCCTGCGCCCGGGTCGTGGACGCCGGGATGGGGGAGGGACGAGGGACCAGGATGGCACCGAGCGGACGCGTAACCAATGGGGCCCGGCGCCACGCTGGGCTCTCGACAAAGAGCCCAGGACCTCGAGCGCGCCCGCGTGGCTTCTGTCTCCGGGCGCAGGGACCTGAGGGTAACCGAGTGTCTGTTGCTCTGCGTCCACCTGTGGCAGAGGCTCACGGGGTAACGGGCGCTTTGCCCGGAGACACCGTGGATATCGATTTTGCTGTTAAGAATGGATGGTTTTAATAGGCGATTCCAGTTGGAACCATGTTCCTGTAGTTTAAATAAAAAGGAGGAAAAACAAAACCCAGTCTGCCATCTCTACCAGATGAAAGAAAAAAAAAAAAGAGTACTTCTTTCCACGCCCCTCCCCGATAAAATAGTATTAAATCTTCCTTGTGCACTTCTTTCATCACCCTGATAGTTAGGAGGGGTATTTGATTTGTGACTTCATTTGGCATGTGTCATGGGTTTCCAAAAGTGAGATCTGCTGTCACACGAAAAGGGGATATTTTACAACTTTCACCCAAAGAGGTGGAAGTGCTCAGTAAACTCTCTCCCTGCGTCGTCCTTTACAGCGTTCAGATTTTTCAAACAGGAGCAGGCATCAAAAGCTGTTCTGTCATACAGAATGACTTAACCGATCTAGGAAGGATTTGGAAGAATTCAACAGCGCTCAGGATAATGAGAATGTGGTCACTCCGCGCGAAGTTTAAGAACTAAAGTTTTAGAAACAAACAAACAAAAAACACTAACTGCCCAATAATCACTGCAAATCCCCTTTGACTCCCTAAATGTGGCCTTACTTGGAGGATTGGCCCCAGCTCCCAGGGGAGTGCCTGGACCACCTTACCTGGCTTGAGAGTGTCACTGCATCCTCAAGGCTCTGCATAAAGCAGTGGCAGCTCCCTGAATGTAAGGACCAAGACTTGCAGGGGCCAACTCTTCTGCTAGAGGCCCTCCTCCAGTGTAGCCCAAGGGGAAGTAGATCTTTTCAGTGCCCTCTCCTTTCCCTGGATGTAGTTGGTGTTCAATCAGTGATTGTTGAACTGAATTACCTAAATTGTTCAACTTCATACAACTGAGGCATGCTGCACATATTTTGCATTTTGGTAAGTAATTTCTACTATTTTCTTTTTGATATGTTATTCCTGGAATTTTTTTCCCACCTCTGGAAATTCCTTGTTCTCTTTTTTCCACCACAGCCCCTTCTTCCTTTCTCTCCCTGAAAGTGATTTATGGCATGTGTAGTATTTAAATTGTAGTGAATTAAAATGGATTCTGTTTAAAGAATTTCACAGGAAGTCATGAAGTTATCAGAGAAAGCCAGGAATGTTACAAAGCACAGGTGGCAAACTGCTGTTCAAAATCTAGAAATTCAGCTGTAGCCTGTGACTTTGGTGTAAGAAAATCAGGGAAGTTTGGGGTTTTCCAGGTAAAACTGAACTCTGACGGCTGGACTTTGAGGGCTTCTCCCTCAGCTTGCCTCAGGATATGGTGGAACTTTGCCCTTTCTTGACTTGAAATTCTTTAGCTTCCTCCTGTTTCATCTGTGGCTATATAATTGCCCTACAGAAGTCACAGAGGCAGTGAGTAGGATGTAAAGTTTGGTATTTCATGACAATAATTGCTTTATTCATTCTGGAACTCTCCTAAAAATTCAAAGGTTTCTACAATAACACTGTCTCATTATATTAATGACTTCATACTCCTAGAAAAGAGTTTGAATGTCTTTAGTTTTCATATATATGTATGAAAAACATATGTTTTATGTATTTTACGTATATTTTTCATTTATTTATATATACTTATATATGTAAAAATCTTTTTTTTTTCTTTTTTGAGACGGAGTCTTGCTCTGTCGCCCAGGCTGGAGTGCAGTGGCGCGATCTGGGCTCACTGCAAGCTCCGCCTCCCGGGTTCACGCCATTCTCCTGTGTCAGCCTCCCGAGTAGCTCGGACTACAGGCGCCCGCCAGCGCACCCAGCTAATTTTTTTGTAATTTTAGTAGAGACAGGGTTTCACTGTGTTAGCTAGGATGGTCTCGATCTCCTGACCTTGTGATCCACGCGCCTCGGCCTCCCAAAGTGCTGGGATTACAGGCGTGAGCCACCGCGCCCGGCCAAAAATCTTACATTGAAATCTTTCCAATGATATTTCTTATTATACACCATAGTAAAAGATCGTTAAAGCCTTTTTTTTTTGAGACTGAGTCTTGCTCTGTCACCCAGGCTGGAGTGCAGTGGCAGATCTCTGCTCACTGCAACCTCCACCTCCCGGGTTCAAGCGATTCTCCTGCCTCAGCCTCCCAAGTAGCTGGGATTACAGGTGCCCGCCACCATGCCCGACTCATTTTTGTATGTTTAGTAGAGAAGGGGTTTCACCATGTTGGCCAGGCTGGTCTCGAACTCCCAACCTCAAATGATCTGCTTGCCTCAGCCTCCCAGAGTGCTGGGATTACAGGCGTGAGCCACCATACCCAGCCCATTAAGACATGTTTGATAATACATATTAAAGATGGACTCACACTGACAATTATAAATTTCCTCTAATTTGAAATTATAAAGACACATTTTCTCTTGTATTCTTACTTTGGTGGGGGCATATTTCAGCATAATTTTTTTGAAACTTTTAAGTTATACACTTGACTTTTAAACGCAGTTAAAGAAACTATACATATATATATATATATATATATATATATATATATATATATATATGGTTTTTTGGTTGGTCTTGTTTTTTTTTTTTTTTTTTTTTGAGACAGAGTCTCGCTCTGTGGCCCAGGCGGGAGTGCAGTGGCGCAATCTCGGCTCACTGCAAGCTCCGCCTCCCGGGTTCATGCCATTCTCCTGCCTCAGCCTCCCGAGTAGCTGGGACTACAGGCACCCGCCATCACGCCCGGCTAATTTTTTTTGTATTTTTAGTAGAGACGGGGTTTCACCATGTTAGCCAGGATGGTCTCGATCTTCTGACCTCGTGATCCGCCCGCCTCGGCCTCCCAAAGTGCTGGGATTACAAGCGTGAGCCACCGCGCCCGGCCGGTCTTGTTTGTTTTTTGAGACAGGGTCTTATTCTGTCGCCCAGGCTGGAGTGCAGTGGTACAATCTCAGCTCATTGTAACCTCCACTTCCCGGGCTCAAGTGATTCTCCTGCCTCAGCCTACCAAGTAGCTGGCACTACAGGCGTACACCATTATGCCTGGCTTATTTTTATATTTTTAGTAGAGACAGGGTTTTGCCATATTGCCCAGGCTGGTCTCGAACTCCTGAGCTCAAAGCTATCTGCCTACCTTGGTCTCCCCTGTGAGCCACCGCTTCCGGCCTTGAAGAAACAGTTTTTGAATATCCCAAAGAATAAAAAAGTATATCAAACTTCAAGTAAAATATCCAAATATTTTGGATATCATAAAGTATCCTAGACCACATAGATGCTATTTCTTTTCTATCTTATGCTGCTGGAGAATAAGAACGTAAGGTTGTATCTTAGTGACACATTTCTTCTTTTTTTTTGAGACGGGAGTCTCACTCTGTCACCCAAGCTGGAGTGCAGTGTCGCGATCTCCACTCGCTGCAAGCTCCGCCTCCTGGGTTCACGCCATTCTCCTGCCTCAGGCTCCTGAGTAGCTGGGACTACAGGCGCCCGCCACCACGCCCGGCTAGTTTTGTTTTTTTTTTTTTTGTATTTTTAGTAGAGGTGGGGTTTCACCGTGTTAGAATGGTCTCGATCTTCTGACCTCGTGATCCTCCCACCTCGGCCTCCCAAAGTGCTGGGATTACAGGCGTGAGCCACCGCGCCTGGCCATTTCTTCTTAATAATATAACTAATTGAAAACATGGCTCGGTCAGGCGTGGTGGCTCACGCCTGTAATCCCAGCACTTTGAGAGGCCGAGGCGGGCAGATCACCTGAGGTCAGGAGTTCGAGACCAGCCTGCCCAACATGGCGAAACCCCGTCTCTACTAAAAATACAAAAAAATTAGCCAGGCGTCGTGGAGGCGCCTGTAATCCCAGCTACTTGGCAGGCTGAAGCAGGAGAATCGCTTGAACTCAAGAGGCGGAGGTTGCAGTGAGCCGAGATCGCACCACTGCACTCCATCCTGGGCGACAAGAGCGAAACTGTGTCTCAAAAAAAAAAAACATGGCTCAACATAGAAAATCAATTTTAATAAAGCTGTTGTAGTATAACTTAACAATTAGGAAGCAATAGAAAGACATTGAAAGTGATGTGAGGAAAGTTTATTCATTATCTCTGCAGCTTCACCTACACCATATAGTCTCATTTACAATAGTGGAGGTGGGATAGTTATTATTTCTTTATTCCAGTGAGATAAGAAATTATATCATGGTTATTTCAAGCTACGTGGTTTGCCAGTTTATGCTGTTAATAGCTAATATACATCAAGAGCTTACCATATGCAAAACATTTTACATGTTTTTAGCTAATGTTATCCTCTTAACAACAGTGAACATTTCGGCAGAACAGCCCCATTTCACAGCGTAAGAAACTGCTAGTTAAGTAGGCCAAGATAGGTTAGATAACTTGCCTGGTGTTGTACAGTAGAAAGTGAGAGCTAAGATTTGAAATTAGACCATTTATTGTTATTCTCTATGTTATACCATCTTTCAGTAGTCTTCAAAAATAAATGTATGTAGGTAGGTTTCCATTTGCATAAGGGCATGGAAAAATGCATGATTATTCTTACTCCTCTGCCCAAGGTGGAAAAGAAGGAGGTACTGTGCTCCTGAAAATGAAGCTATTGGTGACATATTCTGTATTATTGCATAAATTAAACTAGGATTTCACTTGTTCACAGTTAAGAATTTGAACAACTGTTAAGATAGTCATGACTATGTATCTGTATGTTGTTTTGAAAATTCCTATTAAATGTAAGTTATAACTAAAGTTCTACATTTTATTTGCCATTTTGGTGTCAGTATGAGCTTTTTTAAGCATGATGAAGATTGCTTATCTCTTTTATTATAATTCTTTAACTTAATAAATTACCTGAATTATACCTGAATTAATGTGATAAAGTATGGTGCGTCTTATCTGACAGGTCCCTGATGCATACCCGTTTATGAGCCTGATTTAGATACATCCTGGGATAAATAAATAATTGAAGACACTAGTTTGGCCGGGCCCGGTGGTTCACGCCTGTAATCCCAGCACTTTGGGAGGCCGAGGCGGGCAGATCACGAGGTCGGGAGATTGAGACCATCCTGGCTAACACGGTGAAACCCCGTTTCTACTAAAAATACAAAAAAATTAGCCGGGTGTGATGACTGGTGCCTGTAGTCCTAGCTACTCAGGAGGCTGAGGCAGGAGAATGGTGTGAACCCGGGAGGCGGAGCTTGCAGTGAGCCACGATCACGCCACTGCACTCCAGCCTGGGTGACAGAGCAAGACTCCGTCTCGAAAAACAGCAACAACGACAACAAAAGACCCTAGTTTGTAATACCAGGCAAACATTTTAAGGTAGAATTAGCCTAAGGAGAGATATGTGGGTAGGACAGCGAGAACTTTAGTGCATGCTTACAAATTCTCAGGACCCTTCCACTCCTGGGTGTATACCCAAAGAATTGAAAGCAGGGCCTCAAGAAGGTATGTATACCCCTGTGTTCATAACAGTGGCATTCATAATAGCCAAAATGTGGATGCAATCCTAATGTCCGTCAATAGATGAGTAGCTTAACAAAATGTGGTATATATACAATGGAATATTCTTCAGGCTTAGAAAGAAGAAAATGCTGACATATGCTGCAACATGATAAACTTTGAGGACATAATGCTAGGTGAAATAAGCCAGTCACAAAAAGATAAATACTGTATGATTCCACTTACGTGAGGTACCTGGAGTAGTCAAATTCACAGGGGCAGAAAGTAGAAGGGTGGTTACCAGGGGTTGAGGGAAAACAGAATGGAATTTGTTGCTTAATGGATGTTATAGGCTGAAATGTGTCCCCCAAAATTCATATGTTGAAGGCCTTACCTCCATACATCAGAATGTGATTGTATTTGGGGATAGGGCCTTTGAAAGATAATTAAGCTAAAATTAAGCTGTGACCTGATCTAATCTGACTGGGGTCCTTATGAGAAAGGGGAAATTTGGATATACAAAGAGATGCCTCAGATGCTGCCACCCAGAGGAAAGACCATGTGAGGACACAGCAGGAAGGTGATCATCTGTAAGCCAAGGAGCGAGGCCTCTGAAGAAACCAAATGGGCCAATGAAAAAAAAGAAAATGTCAGGCCCATATAACTGATGAACGTCGATGCAAAAATCCTCAATAAAATACTGCAGACCAAATCCAGCAGCACATCAAAAAGCTTATCCACCATGATCAAGTTGGCTTCATGCCTGGGATGCAAGGCTGGTTCAACATACGCAAATCAATAAATCCATCACATAAACAGAATCAATGACAAAAACCCATGATTATCTCAATAGATGCAAAAAGGCCTTCAACAAAATTCAACAGCCCTTCGTGCTAAAAACTCTCAATAAACTAGGTATCAGTGGAACATATCTCAAAATAATAAGGCTATTTATGACAAATCCACAGCCAGTATCATACTGAATGGACAAAAACTGGAAGCATTCCCTTCGAAAACCAGTATAAGACAAGAATGCCCTCTCTCACCACTCCTATTCAGCACAGAGTTGGAAGTTCTGGCCAGGGCAGTCAGGCAAGAGAAATAAATAAAGGGCATTCAAACAGGAAAAGAGGAAGTCAAATGGCCTCTGTTTGCAGATGACATGATTGTATATTTAGAAAACCCCATCGTCTTAGCCCCAAATCTCCTTAAGCTGATAAGCAACTTCAGCAAAGTCTCAAGATACAAAATCAATGTGCAAAAATCACAAGCATTCCTATACACCAGTAACAGACAAAGAGCCAAATCATGAGTGGACTCCCATTCACAATTGCTACTAAGAGAATAAAATACCTAGGAATCCAACTTACAAGGGATGTGAAGGACCTCTTCAAGGAGAACTATAAACCACTGCTCAAGGAAATAAGAGAGGACACAAACAAATGGAAAAACATTCTATGCTCATGGATAGGAAGAATCAATATCATGAACATGGCCATACTGCCCAAAGTAATTTATAGATTCAATGCTATCCCTATCAAGCTACCAATGACTTTCTTCACAGAATTGGAAAAAACTACTTCAAACTTCATAGGGAACCAAAAAAGAGCCTGCATAGCCAAGACAATCTTAAGCAAAAATAACAAAGCTGGAGGCATCATGCTACCTGACTTCAAACTAAACTACAAGGCTACAGTAACCAAAACAGCATGGTATTGGTACCAAAACAGATATATAGACCAATGGAACAGAACAGAGGCCTCGGAAATAAACACCACACATCTACAACCATCTGATCTTTGACAAACCTGACACCAAGAAGAAATGGGGAAAAGATTCTCTATTTAATAAATGATGTTGGAAAACTGGCTAGCCATATGCAGAAAACTGAAACTGGAGCCCTTCCTTACACCTTATACAAAAATCAACTCAAGATGGATGAAAGACTTAAACGTAAGACCTGAAACCATAAAAATCCTAGAAAAGAACCTGGGCAATACCATTCAGGACAAAAGCATGGGCAAAGACTTCTTGTCTAAAACACGAAAAGCAATGGCAACAAAAGTCAAAATTGACCAATAGAATCTAATTAAACTAAAGAGCTTCTGCACAGCAAAAGAAACTATCATCAGAATGAACAGCCAGCCTATAGAATGGGAGAAGATCTTTGCAATCTACCCATCTGACAAAGAGTTCATATCCAGGATCTGCAAAGAACTTAGACGAATTTACAATAAAAAACAACCCCATCAAAAAGTGGGCAAAGGATATGAACAGACACTTCTCAAAAGAAGACTTTTATGCAGCCAACAAACATATGAAAAAATGCTCATCGTCACTGGTCATTGGAAAAATGCGAATCAAAACCACAATGAGATACCATCTCACACCAGTTACAATGGCGATCATTAAAAAGTCAGGAAACAACAGATGTTGGAGAGGATGTGGAGAATTAGGAATGCTTTTATACTGTTGGTGGGAGTTTAAATTAGTTCAACCATTGTGGAAGACAGTGTGGTGATTCCTCAAGGATCTAGAACTAGAAATACCATCTGACCCAGCAATCCTATTACTGGCTATACACCCAAAGGAGTATAAATCATTCTATGATAAAGACACATGCACACGTATGTTTATTGTGGCACTATTCACAATAGCAAAGACTTGGAACCAACCCAAATATCCATCAATGGTAGACTGGATAAAGAAAATCTGGCACATATACACCATGGAATACTATGCAGCCGTAAGAAAGGATGAGTTCATGTCCTTTGCAGGGACATGGATGAAGCTGGAAACCATCATTCTCAGCAAACTATCACAATAACAGAAAACCAAACACCACATGTTCTCACTCGTAAGTGGGAGTTGAACAAGAACACATGGACACAGGGAGGGGAACATCACACAGTGGGGCCTGTTCAGGGTTGGGGGGCTAGGGGAGGGATAGCATTAACAGAAATACCTAATGTGGGTGACGAGTTGATGGTTGCAGCAAACCACCATGGCACATGTATACCTATGTAACAAAACTGCACGTTCTGCACATGTACCCCAGAACTTAAGGTGTGTGTATGTGTGTGTGTATATATATGTACGGTATATATATATATGGTATATACATAAGGTATATATATGGTGTGTGTGTATATATATGATATATATAAAGTATATATGGTATATATAAGGTATATATATGGTATATATGTAAGGTATATATGGTGTATATATGGTATATATGTAAGGTATATATGGTATATATATGGTATATATGGTATATATAAGGTGTATATATGATATATATAAGGTATATATATGGTATATATAAGGTGTATATATACGGTATATATAAGGTGTATATATATGATATGTATATATAAGGTGTATATATATGGTATATATATGTAAGGTGTATATATATGGTGTGTATATATAAGGTGTATATATATGGTATATATATATGTAAGGTATATATATGGTGTGTATATATATAAATTCCTCCTTAGTTTTCTCTAACAATCCAAGCATAAAAAAAAATCCCTGTTAGAACTGCTTTTGCTGTATTCCATAGATTTTGTTATATTGTTTCCATTTTCATTTGTTAAGATATTTTTCAGTTTCCCTTTGTATTTTTTCATTGACTCATTAGATGTTTAAGAGCATGTTTTTTGTTTTTAAATTTCCATGTATTTGTGAATATTCTGTAGTTTCTCTTGTTAATGATTTTGTCAGAAAAGATACTTGTAATTATCTCAGTCTTCTAGAATTTGTTATGATTTGTTTTTTGGCCTCATATATAATCTAACCTGGAGAATGTTCTGTGTGCAGTTGAGAAGCGTGTGTATTCTTCTACTGTTGGATGGATGTTAGGTTCATTTGATCTAGAGTATAGTTTAAATTTGATATTTTCTTATTTACTGTCTCTACGTTCTGTCCATTACTGAAAGTGGGCTGTTGAAATCCCCTACTATTGTTGTATTACTGTTTATCTCTCCCTTCAGATTTATTAATGTTTTCTTTATATATTTAGGTGCTGCTATATTGGGTTCACACATATTTACAACTGTTATATCTCATGTTGCTGAATTGACCCTTTTATTATTATATAGTGACCTTTGTATCTTTTTATAGTTTTTGACTTAAAATCTATTTAATCTGATATATGTATAGCCACTTCTGCTTTCTTTTGGTTTCTATTTGCATGGAGTATCATTTTCTGTTCTTTCATTTTCAGTCTACGTCCTTACAGGTGAAGCAAGCCTCTTATAGGCAGCATAAGTTGAGTGTTTTTAAAAATCCATTTAACTACTTTGCCTTTTTATTGGAGAACTTAATCCACTTACGTTCAGGGTTATCATTCATAGGTAAGTAGTTAATACTGTCATTTTGTTGTTTTCTAGTTGTTTTGTAGATATTTTCTTCCTTTCTTTCTATCTTCTTTTGTGGCTAAATTATGTTGTTGTCTAGTGGTATGTTTTGATTCCTTGCCTTTTTATGTATCTGCTATAGGTTTTTGCTTTGTTGTTACCATGAGGCTTACAAAAAAATATCTTACAATGCGGTATTTTAAGCTGATAACAAGTTTGATCGCAAAAACAAACAAACAAAAAGAAACCTAACAAGCCTCTATGCTTTTATTCCAGTCCCCTCCTCACATTTTGAATATTTGATGTCACAAGTTTTATCTTTTTATATCGTCTATTGCTTAAAAATTATTGCAGCTACTATGATTTTTAATAGTTTTGTCTTTTAACTTTTACACAAAATCCAGAATACTTTAATTCTGTGATGATGCTGCATAAATTGCTTATATCTTTAGTCAGTGTACTTACTTTTAAGTGAGTTTTAGACTTTCAGATTGTTTTGTGTTACTCCTTAGCATCCTTTTTTTTTTTTTTTTTTTGGAGATTGAAGACTTCCCTTTACCATTTTTTGTAAAACACTTCTGGTAGTCATGAACTCCCTTATCTTCTGTTTTTCTGGAACAGGCTTTATCTCTTCTTCATTTCTGAAGGACAGCTTTGTGGGGTTTGGTATTCTTGGCTGGCAGGGTTTCTTTCAGCACTTTGAGCACTGAGGCAGGCCAGAAGCTTTTGGCAGATGTGGCCAGCACAGGAGTGGTGCAATCTGAAGCCAAAGTTCACTGAGATATCCCTGGTATTGTGAGCTGTCCAGAGCCCTGGACTGCTGACATCAGCCTGGCATTGGTGCAGCCCAGAGATTGAGTTTGCCTTGAAAGCCTGAAGCCTCGGGTTATGTGATCCTGCTTGGCACCAGGCTGGATCTAGAGCTTCAGTCTATGCGCACTAGCCTGGAACATGGGGTTGTGGTGGTCTCACCAGTGTTAGGTTTTACTTTGGCAATCCTAGCATTGGAGCTAAAGGTATGGTGTCTCTCTCCTTGCTGTGCTTCCTAGGGTTGAGGGAAGGATGACGGGGTAATATAAAACTGCCCTTCTTACCCTCTTCAATGTGACTTTTCTTATTATTGTGCTGCAACCAGATAGTGTAATCTCTTATATGGCTTATTTAGCTCTTGTGAAGGTATGTTATAGTATGGATGCTTGTTCAAATTGGTGTTTCTGCTGGGGAAAATTGCTGAAGCGTCCTACTCTGCCATCTTGCTCCATCCCTTCCTAAATAAATCATTGTTTTAATTTCACCAGTAAAGACTGACTGTCCTCAATTATGAGTAAGTTTCCTCTTACATCTTAATATTTTTGTGAAAGTGAGGATATACTTTCTGATGTTCCTTTTCCAACCTAAAATACAATTACTGAAGTATCAGTAGAAAGCTTGGGAAAAGGTTAATATACTCTAGAGTAAAACTTGCCCAGTATGCAACCACTCACAGAGAACCACTGTCAACAATTTTTAGTATTTCCCATTTCTTGCAACTTTTTATAGCTGAGATCAAATGTTTATTGTTCCTACTTATTAATATTATTATTATTATTTTTGAGGCAGAGTCTCTGTGACCCAGGCTGGAATGCAGTGGTGAGATCTTGGCTTACTGCAACCTCTACCACCCAGGCTCAAGCGAGTCTCCTGCCTCAGCCACCCAAGTAGCTGGAATTATAGGTGTGAACCACCATGCCTGGGTAATTTTTGTGTATTGGTAAAGATGGGGTTTCATCATGTTGGCTAGGCTGGTTTTAAAGTCATGGCCCCAAGTGATCCACCCGCCTCAGTCTCTGAAAGTGCTGTGATTGTAGGCATGAGCCACTGCACCCAACCTCTTTTTCCAAATTGTAAACATGATTTATAATGTCTTCATAATTTTGATCTGTCACATTACCCAGAATTAACCATTCTTATTAGTAGGTATATAAGTTTTTATGTTTTTTTCCTATTTCATACAATGAATATGTATTCACAAATGTGTGCCCCGTTGTTCTTTATTTTAGTAGCTTCCAGATTATAATTATCAGAAAAAGTCAGAGAAATGGGCAGTTCCACGCTTTTCACACTGTGAGGGGTGTTTGGAAGCACCTACCTGAGCCTTACGCTTCAGGGAGTAGCTGGGAGCTGACCTAGGAACTCCGGGACTCAAAAGCCAGATGTCATCAATATATATACAATTTAAGAATTTAAGGTTATATTATACCTCTACTTAGAACAACGTTCAGACACCTACAAGATCCTGCCTAGTCTGGCCCTCCTTCCTCTGCCACCTCGTCTATGCACTCCCTCTTAGATGACTCCAGTCTCACTGACTGTCTTTCAGCACTCTCACATGCCCTCTCCTCCTGCCTCAGGGCTGCTGCACAGGTGTTTCCTGCTGCCTGAAATGGACTTCTGCACGTGTGTGAAAACACACACACACACACCCCACCACCACCACTGCACCACACATACACAAACACACAACTGGCCACTTCTCCAAACCGTCTGGTCTTAGTTTTTTTTTTTCCTTCTTTTAGATGTTTTTGTAGGCAGAACAGTGGTCCCTCAAAGATGGTCATGTCCTAATTCCCAGGACCTGTGAATATGTTCAGTTACATAGGAAAGGGGAACTAAGGTCAAAGTTGCTAATCAGCTGATTTTAAGATGGGGAGATTTTTCCTTTTTTTTTTTTTTTTTTTTTTTTGAGATGGAGTCTCGCTCTGTCACCCAGGTTGAAGTGCAGTGGTGTGATCTCGGCTCACTGCAACCTCCGTCTCCCGGGTTCAAGCAATTCTCCTGTTTCAGCCTCCCTAGTAGCTGGGACTAAAGATGCCCACCACCATGCCCAGGTAATTTTTGTATTTTTAGTAGAGATGGAGTTTCACCGTATTGGTCAGGCTGGTCTCGAACTCCTGACCTCAAGTGATCTGCCCGCCTCAGCCTCCTAAAATGCTGGGATTACAGGCATGAGCCACCGTGCCCAGCCAAGATGTGGAGATTTTTCCTGGAATATCTGGCTGTGCCTGTTGTAATCAAAAAGTTCTTCAAAGTGGAAGAAGGAAGAAGAGAGTGAGAACCAAAGAGGTGGAAGCTTGAAAATGACCTTTCTGCTGTTGGAAGAAGGGGTCATGAGCCAAGAAGTGTGATAGCCTCTAGAAGCTGGAAAGGCAAAGAAATCGATTCTTCCTTAGAGCATCTAGAAGGAGCACAGCCTTATCAATATTTTGATTTTAGCTCAGTGAGATCCATTTTGGACTTCTGATCTATAGAACTATAAGATAATAAATTTGTGCTACTATTCAACCATTAAAAAAAAAGGAAATCCTGTCAGTTTTTGACGCCATAGAAGAACTTGGAGGATATTTTGCTAAGCAAATAAGCCAGGCACAGAAAGACACATGATCTCATATATAGAATCTAAAATAGTCAAATTCATAGAATCTAAGAATAGGATGGTGGTTACCAGGAGCTTGGGGAGATGTTGGTCAAAAGATACAAAATTTCAGTTAGACAAGAATAAATTTGAGAGATCTAATGCACATCGTGGTGACTATAGTTAATAACAATGTATTGCCTTCTTGAAAATTGCTAAGAAAATAGAATTTGAGTGTTCTTACCACACACAAAAAAAATGATCAGTATGTGAGATAAAGCATGTTAACTGGCTTGATTTAGCCATTCCACAATGTATACATATATCAAAACAACATTTTGTAAACAATATATATGATTTTTAATTACCAATTTTATTTAAAAATTTTGTTTTGTCTTAAACAACTACATTTCTGGTCATTTGTGACAGTTAGCAATGGAAACTAAGGGAATACAGTGTATACAGATGCTTGTCCTGACTCTCCTTAATCTGAAGTGACTGAAGTAGGTTCCTGCTTATTCTCAGCAGCCTGGGTTTTTGCCTTACTATCCTTTATCACAATATGGAATTATTTATTCCTTTGTTTGCCCATGTTTCGCTGTAGGCCAGGGACTGTCTTCTGTGTTACCAATGCTGACCCAGCCAGTCCATTATAAGCTTTCAACAAATAGCTATTAGTTTTGAGTTAAGTGAGAGGACATTCCTAGTCAGCAAGACAGTGTATGTCAGAGCCAAGAGGTAGAGAAACATGTGGGTACATTTGAGAGGCTATAAATCAGATGACTGTTGTGTGAAGAGAATATTGGATTGCAAGCAGATTTACAGGCTTAAACTAGGTTAGAGGCAGGGACAATAAGAAATGGAGAGATTCTGGTGACTTCACATTGTGGAAGTGACAGAACCTGGTGCTGAGTCTATGGGAATAGGAAAGTGGAAGTGACAGAACCTGGTGCGGAGTCTATGGGAATAGGAAAAATTATCAATGACTGCCATATTGCTGGCTTGGTAAATGGAGTAGATAGTGGTGATTTTCACTTAGAAGTTATCAAAAGGGAGAAAGAATTGAGAGGAATGGTAAATTCAGTTCTGGACATGAATAAGATGCCTGTGGGACATCCTAGGGTAGGTCTCTGGCAGCCTATCGGAATTATAGGTTTGGAACCCAAGATAAAGTTGAGGGCTTCCTGTTTGACTTGGATATGGTTGATTTATGAAGTTTATGTAAGGAAAATGGTTTTTAGCAAAAAGAGGAACAAGAATGGAACTCTGAAACACTAGTAGTTCAGTAGCAGAGGGCAGAAGAAAGGGAAAATAAGACAAGAGAAAAGTCTGAGGGTATGGTAACACCAAGACTAGAGAACGATGAGGGAGTAGCCAACCAGTGTCGAGTGCTACAGAGGATGCAACAGGACTTAATAGTGTCCACTGGTTTTAGTAACAGAGGTAATTAATGTTCCAGAAAACATTTTGGGCTTTTAGACAGTTTATACTAAAGAATTACTGGAGCAGAGCATAATAATAGTTTTTAAGTCCTTTACTTAATGTTGTCAAATTGCAAAAAGATGAAATTAGTTTTCAGTCCAGTAGCAGCATATGATTGTGACCAACCATCTCACAGCATCAGAAGTAGCATGGTATCTCTGAGTTTATGTCCTGACTTTACAATATTTAGTGCCCTTGGGCAAGTTACTCAGCCTTGGTTTCCTCTTTTCCAAAAATGGGACAATAATATTACCTACCACAGGTGGTTATGATTAAAGAAGTTATCAAAATGAGTTTTTATTTTTAAAGCACTTAAACAGTATCTGGCACATAGTAAATGCTACATTGAAGTGTTTGTTGGGTAACTGACAGATACATAGAGAGATGGATACATACATGTATACATACATACATAAAATAAATGTTGGGTATTCTAATTTTTTTTATATTTTACAAATTTGAAAAGTAATGAATAGTATTTTTTTTCAGTCAACTTTATATATATACTTTACATATATTAAAATGTTCCTGGCCAGGTGCAGTGGCTCATGCCTGTACTCCCAGCACTTTGGGAGGCCAAGCGGGCAGATCACTTGAGGTCAGGAGTTCGAGACCAGCCTGGCCAACATGGTGAAACCCCATCTCTACTAAAAATAAAAAAATTAGCTGGGCCTGGTGGTGGGTGCCTGTAATCCAGCTACTTGGGAGGCTTAGGCAGGAGAATTGCTTGGACCCAGGAGGTGAAGGTTGCAGTGAGTGGAGATCATGCCACTGCACTCCAGCCTGGGTGACAGAGAATCCATCTCAATCAATCGATCAATCAATCAATAAAATGCTCCTATTTTAAGCGAACAGTTAAATTAGTTTTGATAAATACTTGTACCTGAATGACCATCACCTCAACCAGATGTGGAACATTCTCATCACCCCAAACAGTTCCCTTTTGCCTCCTCCCAGTCAGCCCTCAACTTCATCCTCAATCCCAAGCAATCATTGCTCTGCTTTTTTTCCTGTGAATTAGAATACCCTTTTCTAGAGTTTCACGTCAGTGAAGTCGTACCGTAGGTACTCTGTGCTTAGCTTCTTTCACTTGGCATGTTTTTGAGATGCATTCATATTATTGCATGTACCAATGGTTCATTCCTTCCACTCCCCGAGTGGTGTTTTGTTTTATGGATGTACCACACTTTGCTTATGAATACATTTACTCTACTAAATGTATAGTTTTGGTTGTTATGAATACCGCTATGAATTCATGTATAAGCCTTCATATAGACACATTTTTATTGTTTTGGTGTGTATTCCTTTGATTATTATTCCTTTATTAACTCATTAAAAGTTTGAAAACTTTTTCAAGAATGGTAACTTTTTTTGTTTTTGTGAGTTCTATCTTTTGTCCGTGTTTTATTTTGTGGTTTTATGTTTTCTATGTTTTAATTATTGAGATAGTCTAATCTTTTTATTTCTTCTATATATGTAACATTTATAAGTTCCCATGAAGGAAATTTTTGACATTTTGCTGTATATGCATGTATGTTTGTGTATGTGTGTGCCCAGTAATTTTGGGAGTTTTAATCAGTTTTGAGAATGGGCTATTCGGCAGTTAATGAAGACAGCTAACATGAAAGTTAGGGTAAACTCAAATCATAGTTCATATTCACTATAATTTCTTCAGAATTTTTTAGATTATTTTAAAATCCATGTACATTCTAGTAGATTCTGTCTAGTACATTTTTCTTGAATATGACAAGTCTAGGTTCCTGACACCATTCGTTATCCTTTAAGCAATGAAATTTTGTGTATAACTTAGTTTTCTGATTAACTTAGGTTTATCTCTTTGTTGTTTTTTTGTTTGTTTCTCTTTTTTTTTTTTTTTTTTTGAGACAGAGTCTCACTCTGTCACCCAGGCTGGAGTGCAGTGGTGCGATCTCAGCTCACTGCTACCTCTGCCACCCAGGTTTAAGTGATTCTCCTGCCTCAGCCTCCCAAGTAGCTGGGATTACAAGCGCCTGCCACCGCGCATGGCTAATTTTTGTAGTTTTAGTAGAGACAGGGTTTCACCATCTTGGCCAGGCTGGTCTTCAACTCCTGACCTCATGATCCACCCTCCTCGGCCTCCCAAAGTGCTGGGATTACAGGCATGAGCCACCATGCCTGGCCCTGTTATTTATTATTATTATTATTATTTTAATTTTTAAAATTTTTGTAGAATTTAATACCACACCCGGCTATGCCAGACACTCTTCTATTTCAAATATTATATTCATTTAATCCTCACAGCAACAATATCTTCATAGTTATCTTACAGATGAGGAATTTGAGGCTAAGTAGCTTGCCCAGGGCCACACAGCTAATAAGTGGGGTCTACCTCAGAGCCCATGTTCCTAAGCTTTATGCTGTGTTGCTGACAGGGTGAGGTTAAAATATGGAGGCCGGGCACAGTGGCTTACGTCTGTAATCCCAGCAATTTGGGAGGCCGAGGTGGGTGGATCATGAGGTCAGGAGTTCGAGACCAGCTTGCCCAACATAGTGAAACCCCCTCTCTACTAAAAATACAAAAATTAGCCAGATGTGGTGGCATGCACCTGTAGTCCCAGCTACTCAGGAGGCTGAGGCAGGAGAATTGTTTGCACCCAGGAGGCGGAGGTTGCAGTGAGCCAAGACTGTGCTACTGCACTCCAGCTTGAACAGCAGAGCAAGACTCTGTCTCAAAAAAAAGAAAAAGTAGGTGCAAATCTCAGTAATAGAATAGCAGATTCACACTTAATCTTTCTCCTGTTTTAGGAAGTTAATACTTAAAAGAATTATTATTTATTTTTTCTTTTTTTCCTTTTTGAGACAGGGTCTCACTCTGTCACCCAGGCTAGAGTGCAGTGGTGCAGTCATGGCCCACTGCAACCTCAACCTCCTGGGTTCTAGTGATTCTTCGACTTTAGCCTCCCAAATAGCTGGGACTGCAGGCACGTACCAACTTGTCTGGCTAATTTTTTTAATTTTTTTTTGTAGAGATGGGGAGCTTTCTCTGTTACCCAGACTGGTCTCAAACTACTGGGCTCAAGCAATCCTCATACCTCAGCCTCTCAAAGTGCTAGGATTACAGGCATGAGCCACTGCATCGGCCAAGAGAATTTTCAAAGTATGCAATTGAAAATGTAGGCAAGCAGTCTCTAGATCTTAATAATTTATAGGTTTCTGAGGTTCAGCATTATTGTCCTAGTTAAATAGGCACTTTATCAAATATCTTTTTTTCATTTGAGTCATCTTTGATGATTTCTGTTGGTAAGACAATAGAAATGAATTTCCTTTTTTAAAAGTTTATACAAAGTTTATTAAAAATTTTTTTTTAAAAATTTAAAGCTTATGCATTTCAAAAATATCAAATACAGTAGCAGTTAGTTTGGAGTGACAAGACGACCCCTGAAGATTTTTTAAGGAGAGATTTCCTTGTGGTAGAGTAGTGACTGGGAATTGAAACATGCGGCTCCTGGAGGGAGCGCTTTGCGTCTTTAAAGTAAGTTATTTATTCTTTTATATTTAATTTCCTTATTGATTTGGTAGCCCTTACAGACCCATTGAAAACACATAGTGGCCACCTCCAGGAACTATTTCCTGTTTGCTCCCACCTTAAGTAATCTCTCATTTTTCTATCTCTTATAACATTTTGTCTACTTTAGGTACTATTTCATTTTTTAAACCTCATTCTATAAAGTGTTGGTCACAATCCCAGAGCTTTAGACATGTATGCAATTTTTTGTTACTGTTTATTATTTTTCAATAATAAGTGGAAATTAAGATCTTTCTGTTTTTTCAGGCCATTTTATACACTTGATATGAAACTTCCTGTAGACCATTGTTATTTGAATTGCTTCTTCAATGCAGTTATATAACTTGGAAACTTTTGGCTGTGTACCAAATTTATTTAAAGTCATTTGAAATCATATAAGTCCATTTAAAAATGTTTTACCACAAATGTATTTATGAATATGCAGTTAATGCTAAATTCCACCTTGATCATTCATTAGCTTTGTGGATCTGTTTCCAGTATAACAGGGAGAACACTAAAGCTGCCATGAGCATTAAATTAGATAATGTCTCTGTAAGATTCTATTACACAATTATCCTGTTACTGGCTTATAAAAGGTTCCTCTTAATTGTGGATTGAAATAAAACATTCTGCATTAACATCTAAAGATATAAATTATCTTTAACAGTGTTTAAAATTAAGTAATAATTAGTCCAAACCTCATCATGAAATAGATCAACATAAAGTACCATGTGGCTCAGTTGAAAGCAAGTTCTTTCAGTTTTTATTTTAATTCTCATTAAAATATAGGCAATTTTGGAGCATCAGTTGGGGGCCTTCCCATCTTCTTTTCAAGTGGAACTGATTGGTTTTATATAGTACTTCTGTTGCACATTTTTTATTTTGGGATTCTGGCCTGCTTCATCATAGTGTTCGTTTCTGAATCACAGTAGCTAAACTATTGAGTGCATATGTATTGACTTTTGTGATTTTGGAAGACAGCAAATAAAGTACCTGCTTTGCAGGTGAAGAACCTGAAAGACAGGATGTTTCCTATTATTGTTTTGATATTAGCCTTTTTAATACAACATCATGGTCCATCAGAAGAACAAGCCTGAGCCAATGAGCCTTAGCTAATCCTAACTCAAATAAAGCTACCACATAATGTTTCTCCCTATCCAGAGTTAACACTGGGTCTTAGTGGACTCATTTGTTCAAATGAAGGGACGTGGCCTCATGATTATTAAAGCCGTTTTTAGCACTTATGGACTACCTATCTCAGCTTTCCTGGTTCATTTGTCTTGAGCACCTCTTAGAAGCATTGCAGACTTTAATTTTGTTCCACCTATAGACATTGCTTTGTTCACCTTTGTTTATCATATTTTTAGAACAGGATTTAATATTTGGAAGGGAGATCTAATTCTTTCAGAGGAATATTTTTGTTTGTTTTTTTCTGTAAACTGAGTTAATGTGATACAATTAGATGCTTCCTTTATGGCTGTATAGGTAAAATCCTATGAGAGTAAATGTAGCCTTTTAAAGTAAATGTGATTAAGAAATATATATACTTATTCAACAGTTACAGTGGCAAGCATGGGTTGGGAATGGTGACTTGCTTTGCTCTCCACCTACCCCTTGTCTGTACCCAGGCAACTGTCCAGGGCTGGAGGAAAATGCAAAATAATGCTGATAGGTCTCACTTTAAATTCATGATCACCAACTACAAAGGGGCCAGTAGTGCTGTCCAGCGTTCCTTCCATGCTACCTATTGTCTTGCTTTTTTATATGAATATTTTGTACTTTCTTCTCTCCTCTCAACCATTAATAGCTCCTTTCCTTTCTCCCCGATCCCAGTGCTGATGAGAGAATAAAAATCAACCAGAAGGAAATGTCTAACCTTTCTCCCTACCTGGTCTACTAATGTACCTATATCTGTACCCAGGTACTCTGCTGGACTTCAGTTATTAATATGCCCTGTTATTATCTAAGGACAGTCCTCACTTATTGAATTCACATCCTGCCTTCCCTACTTATTGCCACCTCTAGCAGTCATCCCTTCTCTCTTCTGCATTGTTAATGATTCCTCTTTCTTTACCAGATCATTCCTATCAGCATACTCACATGTTGAAATAGCTCCCATCTTTAAAAGGAAAAAAAAAAACTTCCTGGAGACCCCACAGTTCCCTAAAAATATTGCCCCATTTCTTCTTACCTCTTTGCAGCAGAACTCTTCAAGAGTTGTCTATTCTAGCTTTCTTTCCATTCTTTCTTGAAATTTCTCCATTAAGACTTTCAGCCCCACCTCTCTGCCAAAACAGCTCTGATCAAAGTCACCCATGATCTTTCCAAAGGCAAATCACTGATCAGTTCTCACTAACTTGCTCTGACAGCAATACTTGATATGGTCACACTTTCTTACACTCTCTTCCCTTGGATTCCAAGACCCCACACTTTCTGATTTTCTTCTGACTTCAGTGGCAGGTTGCTCCCTCATTTCCTGGACCTTAAACTTCCCCAGAGTTGGTTCTTAACCTTCCCTTATATGCTCACCTCCTATGTCAAACTAGTGGATTCCATCTTGTGGTATAAACTGTCTATTCGCTGAAGACTACTGAATTTATATCTCTAGCTTGGATCTCTCCCCTAAGCACACACTCTCGTGTCCAGTGGTCTTGCTTTCTCCCTGTGGATGTCAGAAGGTTCAAGGCCAGTTTCTTTATTTCCAGTGCTCCAAACTGGTTCCTTCTGTAGTATACCTTATTTGTAATTGCTCTTATCAAAAACTGAAGTCATTTCTGATTCCTCTCTAGGGACCTGCTGCTTGCCATACCTTCAAAATATATCCAGAATGTTAACATTTTTCACCATCTTCATAGCTACCCCTCCATCCAAGCCACTACCATCTCCTGCATGGATTATTGCCATCGCCATCTTGTTGGTCTCCTTTCCTGTCTTTATCTCCTTTTTCCATTTTCCCTCTCATTATTCTGCCACACTGGCCTGCCTGCCTCTCCTTGAAGAAGCTAAGCACCCCTCACACTTCAGAACCTTCGTGCTTGCTGCTTCCTCTGCCCAGAATGCTCTACCACCAAACATTCACAGGGGTCTCCTACTCCATTCAAATGTTCAGATGTCACCTTGTCAGAGAGCTCTTTCCCTGAAAATCCTATTTGATATAGCACCTTCCTCTTGCCTGCATTCTCTCCAAACATAATTATTTGTATATTATTAACTTCCCTCTCTTCTTTGAGGGCAGGGACTTTGTTCTGTCACATCTATATCTTTAAGACCCAGAACCAAGCCTGGAACATTTTGGTGTTAAATGAATGGAGGAAGGTAGTGGTGATAGTGGTGGTGGTGGTGGTGGTGGAGATTCATGGTATTATTCTGTTAGATATTAAAGCCCCAAATTAGTTTTTAAAGAATTCACACACAACTTTTTCAAACACTATATAAAACAAGGTAAATCTGTATACACACAAACTTTAACCAATCTTAAACACAGTCTTACCCACGATCCGTTTCAACCTGTATTTGATGATGAGGCTGACTAGCCAACATTTAAGTAATCACTATACAGTAGACATTGCGGTAAGATTATCCAGTTTAATTCCCACAATACTCCTTTCAGTATATGTTATACCATTTTATGAAAAAGGAAATGAGGCTTAGTGAGCTTACGATGAGGCCAGCTGAAGATAGGAAGTGGCAGCCCTGGGACTGGATCTCAGTGTGTTTAGCTTCAGAACTTCTTAAGAATGATGGGACTGGCTGGGTGCCATGGCTCACACTTGTAATCTCAGCACTTTGGGAGGTCGAGGTGGGTGGATCATCTGGGGTCAGGAGCTCAAGACCAGCCTGGCCAACATGGTGAAACCTCGTCTCTACTAAAAATACAAAAATTAGCCAGTCGTGGTGGTACACACCTGTAGTCCCAGCTACTTGGGAGGCTGAGGCAGGAGAATCAGTTGAACCCAGGTGGTGGAGGTTGCAGTGAGCCAAGATCACACCACTGCACTCCAGCTTCGGCAAGAGAGGGAGACTCTGTCTCAAAAAAAAAAAAGAATGATGGGACTTTCTAAAATAAAACCCTCCTGGAGATTCTTTTACATATGATCTGTACATGTTAGTCATTTATATGTTTACATACTTAAATAGTAAAGTATTTGAGAAATAATGTTTAGTTTTAGAAACTAGGGGTTAAATGTTGTGATTGTTAAGCAGTAATAAATATAAATGATAAACAAGACACCTTTTTAAAACTTTGAGCTAAAAATTAAATCTCATGGCACTTTGCCTAATGACCTAAGCTAGATCTTGTGGTCTGGTTCATACAAACATGTTCTGATACCAAAACCAGAGTGCTGTTGCTATGGCTGTGAATGCTTTTCTGTGTGAGTACATAGATACCAGTAACACAGAGCCATGGCTTGGAGTTCTCTGAGTTACTTCTCTAGAGAGAGGAAAGTGAGAAATGAAACCTCAGCTTCAGATTTGTACCGTTAACTTTGCAGTCGTGTATTGCTCTTCATAAAAACAGCCTCGAAGTCAAGAGTAAAAATTCTGTGAAGGTCGATAAAACAAGAAGGGAATTGCTAAGTACAAGGGAAGAAGGTATCAATGAAACAAACCATGGCTAGTCCTGCTGTTAATTTTCTGGTTCTCTAGAAGGGACAGTGCCAAGTTAGAGTTGGGGAACAAAGAGCCCCACTCTCCTGCTTTTCCTTCTTCTGCCACATCCTGCTTATTCTCCTGGTCCACTGAGGCATGAATCCCCTTCTTGAGGAAGACCTGAATGATGGGACAGCAGTAACCTGGGGGTTTTGGTGGCACATACAAAAAAATGTGTCTGAGAGAACTGACATTTCTCTTAAGATCCCAAATGCCTGTACAGTGAATATAGCTGTCAGTGGCACCTTCTCTGGGGGGAAGGCAGGTCCAGATTGCAAACACTGTGCTGAGCTAGGTTTTCACAGAATCAAGAAAGTAGTGATGCTCTCTGGGAGAGCTGTTAGCAATTATGCGAAGCTGGGAGAGCTGTTAGCAATTATGTGAAGCTAAATCCTGTTCATTTAGATATTTTAGATAATGTGCTGAAAATTGTCAGTAGAGACACAAATATTTGTAACTACCATGGATCTTAAAATGTGGCTCCACATTCAAAATAGGCTATTGTCTAATCCACTCTGAAAACTTCTTTGAGGTTCTCTTTGTTCTTTTGGGAACACACATCAAAAATGTGAATTGGAACTAATCAGAGGAATTGTTTGTTGAATTCATAACATGATAGCATATATTGTTTTGTTGATCTTATCTAATGTGAATGCAGCTACCAAGTTTTTGTATAATAGTTGCTAGTGCAATCTTGAGCTATTGATTCTGATTTCTTGCTGATTTTATGCTTTGTGTTAGGATGGCATGATTCATTCCTCTGTTTTCGTTATTAATTTAAAAATGTAGATATTTATTTCAAGGTATTATAAGTGTGCATATAGTTCAGAATTTCCAAGTGTCTTAATTACCAAAATAAATTGCTGAGATGTAATTCTTTAAAATTTTAAAAAATAAGTAATGCATCTTTAGATGAGACTGTTTATGAACAGAGAAATAAGATAGGAGGTGACATGGATAGGCAATTAGTAGCTCCTCCTCAGGATTAGTCCATAAGGTGACACAAAGTATTCTTATTGTGTTCTTTTATTTTTGCAGGCTTTGTGTCATGACCTTAATTTCTTTTTCTGTTCCAACATCTGCTAGCTTTTAAATGGAATAATTTCTTTGGTATTTGCAGTGTTTGGGAGATGCTTTGAACATGCTCAGCTATTGTCCCCAAGCAACTGAGTGGGTCAAATTTGAGATTGGACTTGTTGTGGATTTAATAATCAACCCTTTTTGGCTTTAAAATATGACTTGCCCTTTATTTCACTGTTCTCGTTGTCTTTCCTGAACAGGCTGCTGATACTTTGGCTGTGAGGCAAAAAAGGAGAATTTATGATATCACCAATGTCTTAGAGGGAATTGACTTGATTGAAAAAAAGTCAAAAAACAGTATCCAGTGGAAGTAAGTTACAAACCAGCACCCTCTTCTGAAACCTTTTTTCTTCTCAGTGCTCTGTAAAATTTGACCTTCCCAATGTTTCTATCTCCCAAATCCTCTATTTCAGTCAGGCCCCTCAGCTTTCCCTGAACACACCTTTCTGGGCCTCTGTGTCACTCCTGTGTTGGGTGTTCCCTTGCTCTCTTGGATATTGGGTTTTCGCTCTTAAAATTCAAATCTTACTTTCTCCCTCAAGCTATTACTCATTTGGCACACATTGCATACTGTCTTGTATTAATCTCTTCCTAACTCTTTACCTGTCCTTGAGAGCAAGAACTACTTTCATAGGAATTTGTACTTTGTAAATAGTAATTAATTGAAACGCATGTTGTCATTAATTGTGGCCTGGTTATACGTTTGAATGTAACAATTTCTGTTCTTCTAATGTGTCCCCTTTGACCATAGTTTTTGTCTTGTTTTGTTTTCGCCAAAATTCCACCAAAACATTAAAATGTTGTAATTTATTTTACCAGCACCTCAGTCACATCCTGAGACTGCTAGGTGTGACTGCTGAGCACACTCTTTTGGTACCCAGTCACCAACCAGTCTGGCCTTCCAGATGACAAAAAAACACTGTAGGGAAGATTGAGAATTTTTGTAATTTGGTTGTTCTTGTCAATAAATTTTCTAAGCAAGAAGTATGGTGTTTAAAATTTTTAAGGATTTTAGTGCTTGATTTTAAGAGTGTAAAGACTTCTGTCTTGAATATATTACTAAATAAGTCAGTTTTATTACAGTAAAAATTAAGTGATATTAACCTAGATCTGATACTGAGGATATTAATTCTCATATGTTTTTAAGAGGTGTAGGTGCTGGCTGTAATACTAAAGAAGTCATAGATAGATTAAGATATCTTAAAGCTGAAATTGAAGATCTAGAACTGAAGGAAAGAGAACTTGATCAGCAGAAGTTGTGGCTACAGCAAAGCATCAAAAATGTGATGGACGATTCCATTAATAATAGATATCCTTTTAAATAAGTTATGCATATACATATAGCTTTGGAATATGTATGTATAAATCATTTCAGTCTAAAGATCATTCACTTTGTTTTTAGACAGTTAAGTTTTATAAGTAAATATGACATTTTAATTTTATTATATTCTTATATACTAATATTTTCTAAATGTTACCTTTTTAAGTTATATAGTACAGATCCGTTAGCGTTATTCCTGTGTTGCACTGAGGGGGAAAAAGAGATTAGCCAACTTTTGGTCTACCAATTGATAGAATGCAGTATGCTAGCCAGTGTGCTTAGGAAATCTGTGAATATTAGAAGCCATTGTTAAGTACATTTGTATTTTTAAATAATTATGTTCAGTGTTCTGAAGTATAAAATTCAGCAGCTCTCAAAGTTTTGAAAATTTTTCGTTTAAAGATGAGATATGATGTGTCCACAATCAATCCTTGATACTTTCTGCCTAACATGAACCCCAAAATAGTTCCTACTGGAGAACAGGGGTCTAAGTCGTGTGTGCCTATCAACAATATATATTGGGGGAAAAACATTATTATATATAATACATATAATATCATATATAATATATAAAATATATTTATATATAATATATAAAAACATTATTATATATATAAAAACACATATCCATGTGTTTCTTACAAACCACCGTCTTCTCTCAGGTATCTGTGATTCTCTTAGTTTATGAACTTACCTGTACTCTTAAAGAAACTAACCACATTTTACCTTGTAGCACCTCATGAAATTTTGACTAATGTATACAATATAATTTACTTTTCACATTTTCATGTATTTGGTGAACAAGTCCATGATCTCATTTGTTATTTCCTTTGTATGGATCAGAGCCCCTTAACAGTTTGAGAACAATGGGAGTTTTCAAGCTGTGTTCTGTGGAGCTCTGAAATTCAAAAGCCATTAATCTATTTTATCTTGGACTTCGCTGCCCTGCTTTACGAGATGCTGGCCATTCCCATTGCCCCAACCATGGTTATGTGTGATATATATAAAGTTTTCTGTATATTATGGTATTTTGACATCTCCATAAACCTTTCTGGCTGAGGAGAGACTGCCCATCCTGGGACTAGCCACTTCTTAGAAACAGCATGGGCTCATGTCCTTTTTAGGGTCATGGATGACGCTGGAAACCATCATTCTCAGCAAACTATCGCAAGGACAAAAAAACCAAACACCTCATGTTCTCACTCATAGGTGGGAATTGAACAATGAGAACACATGGACACAGGAAGGGGAACATCACACACCAGGGACTGTTGTGGGGTGGGGGGAGGGGGGAGGGAGAGCATTATGAGATATACCTAATGCTAAATGACGAGTTATTGGGTGCAGCACGCCAACATGGCACATGTATACATATGTAACAAACCTGCACGTTGTGCACATGTACCCTAAAACTTAAAGTATAATAATAATAAAATTAAAAAAAAAGAAACAGCATGGGCTCAGCCAGGAGCATCCCTTTGATATATAAACTAACCAGTCAAGGTCCAGACCTCCTCTCTCCAGTCCATACACCCCAGGTGGCAATATTCCTCTGCCTTAATCATCCCAGGGTCAGGTACCAGACAACTGGGGGACTACCTGCATAGCTTAGAGCCCACCAAAATTATCCAAACTAGGCCAAATGCAGTGGCTCACGCCTGTAATCCCAGCACTTTGGGAAGCCAAGGTTGGCGGATCACCTGAGGTCAGGAGTTTGAGACCAGCCTGGCCAACAGGGTGAAACCCTGTCCGTACTAAAAGTACAAAAACTAGCTGGGCATGGCAATGTGCATCTGTAATCCCAGCTACCAGGGAGGCCATAGGAGAATTGCTTGAACCCAGGAGGCAGAAGCTGCAGTGAGCCAAGATCACACTACTGCACTTCAGCTTGGGCGATAGAGCAAACTCCGTCTCAAAATAAAACAAAACAAAATTATCCAGACTAGCTAATCGTAGTGTTCTCCCCACCCTGCTTTTTTTTTTTTCCTGAGATGGAGTCGCTCTGTTGCCCAGGCTGGAGTGCAGTGATGCGATCTTGGCTCACTGCAACCTCCACCCCCCGGGTTTAAGCAATTCTTCTGCCTCAGCCTCCAGAGTAGCTGTGATTACAGGTGCTCACCACCATGCCCTGCTAAGTTTTGTATTTTAGTAGAGATGGGTTTCACCATCTCTAGACTAGACTTCTTTTTTTATCTGTCCATGTGTGGCAGCCCCTCTGTGCATATGGTCAGGCTGGTCTTGAACTCCTGACCTCAAGTGATCCACCTGCCTCGGCCTCCCAAAGTGCTGGGTGGCGTGAGCCACCATGCCCAGCCACCCTGCATTTCTTTTCCCAAGGAAACCCCAATAAAAGCTCTGGGCTAATGCTTTCCCCTTGCTCCTGTCTTCTGCCTCCTGACCACCTTGTTGTCTTAACCATGTGGCCCTGAGTAGCCTGCCTTGCCTCCCGTCACTAGGACCTATGAGTATAATACTTTGTTTTTCTGAGCCTTTCTTTAATCCTCTGTGTCCTCTTGTGGCCATACCTGACCATTTAATACAAGAACAAAAAACAACGATCACAGAAAATTCCTGATGTGGAAGCTGATATGGTTGCTGATGGCCTCCTTTTCCCCATCCATTCCCTTCCCCCAGAAACCTTTGCCTCCATGAAGAATGTGCACTGCTTTCCATCTCTCTCCTAAGGGTCCTCAAATGTCACAAAAATCAGAATGGCTTCTTCTAAGAGCAAAGGATGGGAACTCCTTTGTCTTTACCTTTCTAGACTAGACTTCTTTTTTTGTCTGTCCATGTGTGGCAGTCCCTCTGTGCATATGGTCATTTAGTTATTTTGACCTTCAGATGTATTACCTTAATTTAAATGCCTACGGCTTGATATAAATGTCGTTCCTTAACTCCTATGACAGTACATTTTCCTATGTAACTCATGAAGACATCTGTAATTGCTTTAATGGTAAGTACCATTAGACTTTTCCTTGCATTCTTCCTCTCAACCTATTTAGTGGAGGGTGATTCAGAATTCCCTGTGTCCTCATCCTGTCATTATTTTCAGAAGTTGTGGGCATTGTGTCTCACTCCACCATGCCGTGTATTGATAGACTGCTTTTGTTTCTGTTTTCATGAGAATAGCTGCTTTTCACAGCATTCAGTTCATTAGCTCCACTGGTAGGGATCAACTGTGTGTGGAAGGGGAAGGGGACAGGGACAGAGGGCAAGCTAAATCAGAGCGGGATTAAGCAACTTTCATTGTCACACAGTCACAGAGTTAGTGACCAAACTTGAACTAGAACATGGTTCTCATCAGCATTGTTTATCAAACTATATGCAAGTATGCTGGTCTCAAATGAAACTCAAAGAAACCATAAGGAAAGAATTAGGTGAATCCATCTTATAACCAGGAAACCTATTCCTATGCAATTTGCTGCCCCTGTGTTTTCTCCTTAAAATAACAATATCATGTTAATAATTATAATTATTAATATAACTAAAATGGGGGGACGTGTGTTCCCAAAATTATAGCACAAGTAAAATGAAATTGTGCATATTTAAATTTATGTGTATTATCCACCTATTTAAAAAGATTCTGCCAAGTACCTCATCAAGTGGAATCTGACTTTCTATGTAAGACTATGTTGGAAATAAGTATAGGACTATTGTTCTATTTTACCACTGTATTTCCTGAGTTTTTTAAGGAAGTTTGCTGAGACTTCTGTTAATCTGCAACTCAACAGAGATTTGTTGTAGAATTTGGCTTCAAAAATAATAAAATCATTTAAGCTCAACATTTCAGTGTCTCATACCTAATCTCCACTATCCTCAGTCCAATGAACAGTGTTATTTGAGGCTAAATGGTCTTAAGAATCTCAGACTTTACAGGAGTCTTAGTCAAAGCAAAATCAACTTGAGCTGAATTTGTTAATGAGAATCATACAGCTAACCCATGTATAATACTAATACATGTATTATCTTATTTAATCCTCAAAATAAATCTATGCAGTAGGTTGTGTATCCCCCATTTTATAGAATTGAAAATCAAAGCTCAAGGTCACCTAGTTTGGGATTGAACCAAACACTCTGATTCCAGAGCCCACATTCTTGCCACTGTATTCCATGATCAACAGTATTTTATGTAACTTTTTATATTTATTTTTGACCAGGTGATACACTTTTGGCCATTCAGGCACCTTCTGGTACACAACTGGAGGTACCCATTCCAGAAATGGTATGTAGGATAACTTATGTTTATATAAGTGGGAAAAATGAATCTACTGTCTCAAGAAGGATATTTTCTTTAGCTGAATGTGAGCTAATTGTGTAAACACTGTGAGTTAGTCAAGTTTTTATCTAAAAGTATTGATAGCTGAATTTGTATGTCTTTAATTCCTTGGTAAAATTATAGAACTAAATGAATCATAAATGATTTTAAAGATTATTGGCTATATCCTTAGTCATTTATTGATATCATTTAGCTCAAAGTCAATTTTTAAAAAGTAATCAGAATGCTTTATCAAGTGATTTTTGTTTCATACAAAAATTAAAACTATTGTATAAAATTATCTTCAGGCTATGTGAATAAGGTGTGTATGAAACAAATGAATATTGTGTTTAGACTTGGGTCCTATCCCTAAGATATCTATCCCCAAGTAACCAAATGATTTAAAATGATTTAACATTTTGATTAAATTATTTTAAATTTGAATTTTTTAAGTTAGAGGATGTCAAGAAATGACTAATCATATGGCCAATAATCTATAAAAATAAGTTAAAATGACCACATTGGGCTGGGTGCAGTGGCTCATGCCTGTAATCTCAGCACTTTGGGAGGCCAAGGCAGGTGGATCACTTGAGGTCAGGAGTTTAAGACCAGCCTGACCAACATGGTGAAACCCCATCTCTACTAAAAATACAAAATTAGCCGGGCATGGTGGTGCATGCCTGTAATCCCAGCTACTTGGGAGGCTGAGGCAGCAGAATTGCTTCAACCTAGGAGGCAGTGGTTGCAGTGAGCCGAAATCGCGCCATTGCACTCCAGCCTGGGCAACAAGAGTGAAACTCTGTATCAAAACAACAACAACAACAACACATCTACAATTGATATAAAAATTGCCACTGAGGAAAAAGTTCAATGTACATATCAACAATCAATTCCTTTAAATTAGGTCTTTTATAAAACATTGTCTGGCTTATTAAGTCAAAGACATTTATTGACTCTATGAGTTTCATGATTTTCGTTTTCAGATTCAGATTTTTAAAAACAAACTAATTTGAAAGCAATAACCAAAAAAGGGAGTAGAAAAAGATTACTATATTATCTACCTCCTTCCCCCACCCGCTTATTAAAAAAGTTTACATTTAGGCATTTGTATTACTGGAGTCTGAAGCCTCAGGATACAGATTACTTTTTCAGCTGGAAGAATGTTATATTTATTTCTCAGTAGGAGAAATTAGTTGTCTTTGTGCTTGCAGATGGGAAAAAAAAGAGTTTGATTTGTGAAGCATGTTGAACTGACCAGATCTGTGGTGGCCAACTCCAGGGGATAAATTTCCTGTATATGGAGAATACCTGGAGCATTGCTGGGCCCTGACCTATTATATAGTCACACACGGTAACAACAGATGGTTGCCAGAATTCTACAACAGAGAGTTTCTAATGATCAGTATTTGTGAAAAGCTTACTTTTTAGAAACTAGTGGTTTAGAGCCCTCAAAATTACATTCTACTCTATGTCTCTACTTTTGTGTTTTGACTTAATGACTTTATTGTGTTATGTGAATTTAGTAAGTCCCTAATAGCTTTGCCTGTCTTATTGTACTGTCTTAAGTTAGCTAGAAATGTTAATAATTATACATTTGTTTATACCCAATAACTTCAAAGGGTCAGAATGGACAAAAGAAATACCAGATCAATCTAAAGAGTCATTCAGGACCTATCCATGTGCTGCTTATAAATAAAGAGTCGAGTTCATCTAAGCCCGTGGTTTTTCCTGTTCCCCCACCTGATGACCTCACACAGCCTTCCTCCCAGTCCTTGACTCCAGTGACTCCACAGAAATCCAGCATGGCAACTCAAAATCTGCCTGAGCAACATGTCTCTGAAAGAAGCCAGGCTCTGCAGCAGACATCAGCTACAGATATATCTTCAGGTGGGTTCAGAGCCTTTCTTTTGTAAATTAGAGAGGGAGAAATATAAAAACAGGTTGGCTCTCTTATCCAAAGTGCTTGTGACCAGAAATGTCCCAAGCACTTTTGACATTTTGGAATATTTGCATATACATAATAACATATCTTGGGGATAGGACCCAAGTCTAAACACAGTATTCATTTGTTTCATACACACCTTATTCACATAGCCTGAATATAATTTTATACAATAGTTTTAATTTTTGCATGAAACAAAATATTGACTGTGGCTTGACTGCAGCCTATCACAAGGTCAGGTGTGGAATTTTCCATTTGTGGCATATGTAGATTTCAGCTTTTACCTGAAGTTTACTTGGTAAGGTTCTTTTATCTCTCTTAGTAAGTCTAGGATAAATTAGTGAAATATGTTCCAACTACCTTTAAGAAAATATGTTCCAACTATCTTTAAGTATGGACCATAGTGACTTATGCCTCTTGTTTCTCCATATTCTTTGTTATACTTTTTATTTGGGAAGCTTAGTTTTATAGAAGTGATAAATGGTCTCAACTCCAATTATGTAGGAAATCTTACTTTCCTCATTTGTTTCATTTATGAAATTTTAAAAAGCTAAAACATTTCACACTGGGTATCAGGAGTAGAGAGCACAACTCTTAATTTGGCAGTACCTTACTGATTCCAAATAAAGGGAGCATGGTAGGCAATCTCTCAGTGACTACTGAATGAATGAATGAATGAATGGTGCCAATATAGACATCATATTGCAGATAATTTAAAACTATATTGTATATAATCCAAATTGTTTATTTTACCTCTAGGATGTGTCTCATTGCTAAAATGGGATTTCACAGGTTAAAAGTGACGCTAACAAGATATAACTGGACATGGAATGTTTTTTAGCTTCTTTTTGCCCACATCTATTCCTTTCTTTCCCCTATAAATATGTCTATACTACAGACCATTAGGATGCACAATAGAAAAGGTAGTGCTGGCTGGGCGTGGTGGCTCACAACTGTAATCCCAGCACTTAGGGAAGCCAAGGCAGGCAGATTACCTGAGGTCAGGGGTTCGAGACCAGTCTTGCCAACATATAGTGAAGCCCTGTCTCTACTAAAAAATACAAAAATTAGCTGGGTGTGGCGGCGCACACCTGTAGTCCCAGCTACTTGGAAAGCTGAGGCAGGAGAATTGCTTGAACCCAGGAGTTGGAGGTTGCAGTGAGCCGAGATCGCACCACTCCAGTCTGGGCGACAGAGTAAGACTCCATCTTAAAAAAAAAAAAAAAGAAAATGTAGTCCTTAAAAAGCTTACAATCTAATTAGGATATAAAGCAGGCAAGCTTTACATGGGTTTTACCTGGGTTAGCTTAGACATAATTAACACACTGGCTTCAACAAAGTGTTTTTAAAAAGTGAGTATTCTGTTTTTATGGTTTCATGTTTGGAAATCCTAACTAAGGAAAGTAATTTTGGGCTACATTAGAGCAGGCCTTGAATTTCAGAGTAGTTAGGACATTTATCCAATAAACCAGTGAAGATCTGTGACCAAGGAAATAGCATAATTAGCTATAATGGTGCACACAGGAGTAATATGATTAGGAAAGATGCTTTTGGCCCTGGGAAGCAGAATTCAGAAGCGATGGAAACTGTAGATGTTTGCAGTTATGCAACTGAGAGAACATTAGGGCTAAAACAAGGGCCAAGTGTGGTGGGGCTCATGCCTGTAATCCCAACACTTTGGGAGGCCGAGGCAGGTACACTGCTTGAGCCCAGGAATTTGAGACCAACCTGGGCAATACAGTGAGACCCTATCTCTAAAAAAAAAAAAAAAAAAAAAAATTAAAAATTAGCTAGGCATTGTGACGTGTGCCTGTGGTCCCAGCTACTGGGGAGGGAGGCCAAAGTGGGAGGATTGCAAGCCTGGGAGGTCAAGGCTGCAGTGAGCCCTGACAGCACTTAATGTACTCCAGCCTGAGTGACAGAGCGAGATCCTGTCTCAAAATAAATAAATAAATAAAAAGGCTAAAACAGTGATTACAGTGAGATCAGGAAGAGAAATAACGAACAGATTTGAGAAACACTGTAGGCAAAATAACATTTGATGTGTGAGATCTGGAGATAAAGTTAACAGGAATGGAAAGTGATGTTGAAGTTTTAAGGTTGAATAACTGGGAGAATTATGAAACTACTGACTAAAACTGAGTCAGTTTTGGTAGAATGATGATGAGGTTTGTTGTTGTTTTTTTTTTTTTTTTTTTTTTTTTTTTGGCAGGGTCTCACTTTGTCAGCCAGGCTGGAATGCAGTGGCGCGATCTCAGCTCACTGCAGCCTCAAGTGATCCTCCCACCTCAGTCTCCCAAGTAGTTGGGACTATAGGCACGTGCCATGAATGTCTGGCTAATTTTTTTGTATTTTTTGTAAAGACGGATTTCACTATGTTGCCCAGGCTGGTCTGAACTCCTGAGCTCAAGCAATCCGTCCACCTCACTCAGCCTCCCAAAGTGCTAGAATTATAAGCATGAGCCACCATGCCTGGCAGATAATGAGTCTTTTGGTCTTCGTCTGGAGTTTGGAAGTTTAAAAGTAATGCCAGGCACAGAGTAAGCGCTCATGAAAACAACCTGTCCACAAAGTACTAGTACTTTAAATAAATGTGCATGTCAGTCAAGCTGCTGCTGTGACTACTTGTGTTTAAATATGAGTATCTTTTACTGTTAACAGAAATATAACAAAACTTTATTACTGTTTCCAGCAGGATCTATTAGTGGAGATATCATTGATGAGTTAATGTCTTCTGACGGTAAGTAGGTTAAAATTTTACTAACTCACTTATCAGTAATGCTTCTGTGGAATTTATAAGTGAAACATGATTTAAAAGAAATGAACATATATTTGCTACCTGCTTTACTATGAAGATTCATGAAAATTCTCCCTTAACACTTACAGTAAGTAATAGGCAACCTTCAGAATTTATTTTTCTTTGCTTGCATTTTGAGGGAAAGGAATCCATATGGGGATACTTCTCACCTTCATTGAAAATAAACTGTTAGCCCTTTCCACTCCTGAAGGATCTGGTCCAAGAAGAGTAAAATAACTTGTCTAAATCAAGCAACTGATCTGAACACCTGCCTTTGTAAATACCCCTACCCAGGCCAATTTCAAGCTGCCAATGGGAAGTCACTGAATTAGTATTAATATTAACCATGTTGTCATCTAACCTGAAAAATTATTAAATATCAGTTAGCTACAATATGCTAATTACTTTAATAATTTCTCTCCTTCTGTAAGTTCTTGGATCAGAGTCCTACTACCTAACAAATAAAGTAGAAACCTACGAAGTGGTAGCAGTTAAGTTAGCAAATGTTATAGTAACTAGAGATGTACTAAACATGTATGTAGAAGCAGAGAACATCAGCAAACTTTGTAAGTCCAGTTCATTCTTCTGTTTGCAAAGTGGAAAACAAAACACTTTCATTAGTGTTCTGTTTTTTTTTTTTAAGGCAGAGTCTCCCTCTGTCATCCAGGCTGGAGTGTCATCCAGGCTGGAGTGCAGTGGCATGATAGCTCACTGCAACCTCCACCTCCTAGGTTCAAATGATTCTCCTGGCTCAGCCTCCCGAGTAGCTGGGATGACAGGCACCTGCCACCACACCTGGCTACTTTTTGTATTTTTAGTAGAGACGGGGTTTCACCATGTTGGCCAGGCTGGTCTCAAACTCCTGGCCTCAGGTGATCCACCTGCCTCAGCCTCCCAAAGTGTTGGGATTACAGGCATGAGCCACTGCACCTGGCCTCGTTAGTGCCTTTTAGTTATATTACCTTAGTGATAAGTTCAACCAATAAAAAATTTAATTTCTAGGCCGGGCACAATGGCTCATGCCTGTAATCCCAGCACTTTGGGAGGCCAAGGCGGGCGAATCACGTCAGGAGATCGAGACCATCCTGGCTAACATGGTGAAACCCCATCTCTATAAAAAAATAAAAAAAATGAGCCGGTCGTGGTGGCAGGCACCTGTAGTCCCAGCTACTCGGGAGGCTGAGGCAGGAGAATGGCGTGAACCCGGGAGTCGGGAGCTTGCAGTGGGCCGAGATCGAGCTACTGCACTCCAGCCTGGACGAAACAGGGAGACTCCATCTTAAAAAAAAAAAAAAAAAAAGAAAAAATTAACTTCTGTTTCTCAATCTAATATCAATATTCAATGTACAAATTGTTACTAAATGAGAATATTTCAAAATACACATTACACAAGACTTTAATTTGGAATGATGTATTTGAGAGTATTTTGTTAAAGATCATTAACCGTATGTAGAAACCATCTTTAACACTAAATTTGTTTTTTGTTCGCAGTGTTTCCTCTCTTAAGGCTTTCTCCTACCCCGGCAGATGACTACAACTTTAATTTAGATGATAACGAAGGAGTTTGTGATCTGTTTGATGTCCAGATACTAAATTATTAGATTCCATGGAAACTTGGGACTGTTATCTACCTCTAACTGTGTAACATTTTAGACTTCTTAATAACCTAAATATTTAAAATAATGAATGTAACACCTTTTTTAGTTCACTGATTCTGAAGTGTTCTTCCCTAATACTTTCTTTACTTCACAAAACTTCAACCATAAAAACAAAGGGCTCTGATTGCTTTAGGGGATAAGTGATTTAATATCCACAAACGTCCCCACTCCCAAAAGTAACTATATTCTGGATTTCAACTTTTCTTCTAATTGTGAATCCTTCTGTTTTTTCTTCTTAAGGAGGAAAGTTAAAGGACACTACAGGTCATCAAAAACAAGTTGGCCAAGGACTCATTACTTGTCTTATATTTTTACTGCCACTAAACTGCCTGTATTTCTGTATGTCCTTCTATCCAAACAGACGTTCACTGCCACTTGTAAAGTGAAGGATGTAAACGAGGATATATAACTGTTTCAGTGAACAGATTTTGTGAAGTGCCTTCTGTTTTAGCACTTTAAGTTTATCACATTTTGTTGACTTCTGACATTCCACTTTCCTAGGTTATAGGAAAGATCTGTTTATGTAGTTTGTTTTTAAAATGTGCCAATGCCTGTACATTAACAAGATTTTTAAAAATAAAATTGTATAAAACATTCAATTTATTGGTCTTTGTGGAGAATTAGATGCATCACCAGTATATTACAACAGAGCCATTAATCTTGTAGCTTCATCAACATTAACTGGTTTGCTTTCATGACGCTGCTGAGGAATCTGAAAGGAGAAAGTATTATATTTAAAAACACAGACAACAATAGCAGACAAATGACTTATATAAGCTGTTATTCAATTTAATTTTTCTAGTCATATCTTTGGAAGTAGAACAATCTGTATATTCTGACAATGTTTTAGAGTCTGAATATGCTATTTATACTATAGAGCCTAGTACTAGAGAGCCAAGTACTAAAAATTACACTCAACTTACAGGCTTTGAAAACTTGGGAGTTTAATTTATTAGCCTCAATTTGTTAGCCATAAAAAAAAGCAAATGATTTCTGCTTACCAGTTCTTTCTGCAGAGGTTCAAGTGAAATGCTTTTTGCGAAATGTGCAAGTTCCTTTTGTACATTTACAAAAGCTTTATTTACTCTGTTAACTTTTTCCTCATTCATAATGTTTATCTTTTAAAAAGAAAAAAAGCATTAATCTATGATCTCATAACCATTAAAGATAAGATATATTCAACCTTAACCTGTTAAATCTAAAATCTAAAAACTCTTACCAACAAATTAGGGATAATTCACTCAAAAATTCTTATAGTCTTATTGGGAAATTACAGACAAAAAGTTTTGGTTTTTAAAAAATGGGATTTATGTGGCTATGCCTCACACTTATGGTTCAGAAGGCTAAAATATGTGACTGTGATATTGTGATTCATAATAAGATATATATATATATTTGGTCTTTGTCCTCATTTCCTGTCATACAGCTTTTTAAATCATTGTATTAAGAGGGATAAGAGTGTCTTTTGAATGCTAATAAGATGGCTGGTAGCTGGGAGTCTCTAGATAGCTTCAGGAGGAGGGCTAGTCAGATAAAAACACAGGGTTAGAGGATTAGGACTTTCTGCTCCAGAGGAGTGGGGATAAAGGTTAAGCCCATCACTAATGGCCAATGATTTAATGAATTATGCCTACATAATGAAGCCTCCGGAAATCTACAAAAGAACTGGGTTCAAAGAGCTTCTGGATAGCTGAACACATGGGGGCTCCTAGAAAGTGGCATGCCCAGAGAGAGCAGGGAAGCTCCATGCCCCTTCCCATGTACCTTGCCCTCTGCACCTCTTCCATCTGGCTACGCATCTGTCCCCTTTGTAATATCCTTTATAATAAACTGGTAAAAGTATTTTCCTGGGTTCTGTGAGCTGCTCTAGCAAATTAATCAAACCCAAGGAGGGGGTCATGGGAACACTTATTTATAACTGGTTGGTGAGAAGCACAGGTAAAACATCTGGGACTTGTGATTGTCACTGGAAGTTGGGGAGAGGCTTAGGACTCAACTCTCAACCTGTGGAATCTGACGCTATCTCCAGGTCAGCAGTGTCAGATTTTAATTAAAGGACACCCAGCTGCTGCCTGCTGAAGATTCATCTGCAGAATTGTTAGGTGTGGGGGAACTGCCCCACAAATCTAGTATTGGAAGTGTTGAGTGACCGTATGAGAGTGAGAGTAAGAGAAACTGAGTTGCTTTTTTCCTGTATCCTTACAGTGACCAAAATCTTTCTAGGCTACAGTGCTGTCATCCCGCATCTATACAAGAAACCTGGATCAAATACTTTTAGTCCCTTCTAACATAACAATACGTCTCTGAATCCTTCCTGGACCTTCTTGTCTTAATGGAAGACCCCTGATGACAGCTTCCCTCGCAGTCCTCCTCTTGAGTTTAACAGAGGTAGGGGTGGTGCTCTTCTTCTTCACTGTTGCTGCTGCCAAACAATTTCTCCTTCAAAACCCTTACCTCCTTTGCACCTTATGCAGCCTACCCATAGATCTCTCTCTTAGATCCTACCTGGTGGCATATATAAAAGTTCTAGTACCTCCTGTCCAAATAAAATAATCTTCCTCAAATACACCAAGCTTTTCCCTAGCTCAGGGCCTCTGCACTTGCTATTTTTCTCTGCCTCGAACCCACCACTCCCAACACTTCCTAGCTCTTTGCATTGCTAGCTCTTTGTCATTCTAGTCTTGGTTTCAATGTGTCAACTATGAAGACCGTCCTATATAAACTGTCATCCCCAAAACCCCCATCATCTGCTTAATTTCATTCTTAGCATTTATAAAATCATAAAACTATTCAACCAAAAAGCTTAACTCCGCTAGCTCATGAAAGTTGAAAGATGAAATGTTAGATTTCTATGGACTATTATAATTAAACTGAGTCCTGGAGAGCTGACTCCATCTACTACTGAAACTTGAAAACATTTTCTTAAAAATTTTTCTTAAATCTTGTAGAAATTTCTCAGGTATTTTGAAATATAAACAAAGAAAAGAAACCCCTTTCAAATTGTGCATTTCAATAAATATTTTTTATCTTCATTTTACAGGTTTTTGTTTGAATTGCAGATGTCTTCAAAGATACAAGAATTACTGAGGAGAAAAAGAATGGGTGCTCACTGACATCCCATGTCTTGCCTCTATTAATACATTCTTACATTTGAGTTTAGAGATAAGAACTGTTTCCCATACTATGGTTTTTAAATGAGTTCTATGGTTCAGTAAAACTATTAAATTGAAGCTTCACACATTTGTAGTTAAAATGTTTATTTCTTTTCAACATTTGTTTTCAAGAAAGGGAGGTTATTTTTCTTCCTTTTTTTTTATATTTTTTTAGACAAATGCTTGAAACCATCCTTACCTTTCTAGGAAAAATGAAGAACCTTTTTAAAAAGTAATAGTATACAGCTGTTCAGTAGCTTACAATGACACTTTGCTTGTAAACAATAAAGTCAGAGTGCTTAACTAATACTCACCTTCTTAAGATTAGTGGTAACTGGTTTTGCTTTGTTTTTAGCCTTAAAGTTTTTTTGGCTGGCTATGTGAAATACATTCCTGGACTTCGGCCCTCTTAATTTGTTCTTGGCCATTGTCTAGAAAAGAAAATAAATTCAATTAAATTGCCCACATTTATGAACCGTAAGTCAATTTTAAGTTTTTAAAGGTACCAATTAAATCTAAAAAATTCTATCTTACTCTTGATTATTTTTAAAGTTGGTGCATATATTATTTCCAAGTCTTTCACTCCTAGTAGATTTTCTGCTCTTTGAGTACAGAGTATGTATCTAATTCTTCCCTGTATCCCCAGTAATGGGCCCATAGGAGGCATCCAATTAATATCTGCTGGTTGAATTCACTAATATCATCAACACAATAACTGTTATTCTCAGCAGTACCTCACCACCCATCCTTCTGTTAGTCTATATACTACTATGCTATTCTGGTTCCTATCATACTTTAGAGACTGATTCTGCCTCCTTCTTGACTTCTTTTTTATTCCTTTTTACTCTCCCCACTTTCTCTCCTGTGCATCCCATCAAAATCAGTCCTTAATCCTCCATTTCCTACCTCCCTCTCTCCCTTAATTTACTTTTATGACTTCCATATTACCTCTATGTGAACGGCCCTTGCCTTGAAGTGTTGGATACTGTCTTTCCTCCGTAGCTAGAGATGCATTAAGCCAGTAAATTCTACCTTAAAACATCTCTCAGATCTGCCTTTAATAATGTATATGAGGAATAATTTTTAAAATATTAAGTTAACACATATTGAGCTTTTATTATATGTACAAGCACTACACTTATGTGCTTTAACTCATTTACTCCTTACAACCCTTTGTAAGAAGTACTATTATCCCCATTTTAAAGATTAAAATTAAAAAACTGACGCAAAGAGAAGTTAATTTGCCCAATGTCACACTGTCAATAACCAGGAGATGCCAGGACTTACAGCCAGGCAGACTAGATCAGAGCTAACGTTATGTGATATTACACTTCATGTATAAATATAAAAGCTATACAAAAAAATGGTATAGTATTGCTTAGTTCAGGACTGGATTACTGCTGAAGTCCCTAGGTCCATTTGTTCAAACCACTGTTTGTCAAACTATGCCCATGGACCAAATCAGGCCAAGCACCTGTCCTTGTAGTAAAGTTTAATTGGAGGCCAAGTGCAGGCGCGGTGGCTCACACCTATAATCCCAGCACTTTGGGAGGCGAAGGCAGAGACCAGCCTCACCATGGTGAAACCCTGTCTCTACTACAAATACAAAAATTAGCTGGGCGTGGTGGCACATGCCTGTGATCCCAGCTACTCGGGAGACTGAGGAAGGAGAATCGCTTGAATCCGGAAGGCGAAGGTTGCAGTGAGCCAAGATTGCACCAGTGCACTCCAGCCTGAGTGACAGAGCAAGACTCTGTCTCAAAAAAATTAATTAATTAAAAAATAAAGTTTAATTGGAATACAGTTATGTCCATTCAATCATATGCTGATATGGCTGCTTTCCTGCTATAACTATGACCCACAAAGTCCAAAATATTTAGTGTCCGACCTTTAACAGAAAGTCTGCCAACTCCTGGCTTAAGCCATCTGCACAGTGGCTATCTGGCACCAAGCTATGCGATCGACCTTCCCAATGTTAAAAACCTTCAACAGTTTTCCCAATGTATAAGGGGCAACGTGCCTTGGCTTGGCATATTACTGGCACTCTGAATCTACCCTAAATCTGCCACACATATCTCCTGTTACGTCCCTATAAACACTGCTCTAGCCAGCCTGGTCTAACTGTTCTCTTGCACAGACACCTTGAACATTCTTCCTTTTTTACCTTTGCTCAGTCGTAGTCTTGACTGAAATTTATATCTTCCTTCAATGTAGCCTTACTACATTGTAAGTAATTAAGGAACTACTTAACTGAAACAGCAATGCTTTTGAACGCCAACAGTATTCCTCCTACTTAAAAAAGAATGCAGTAGAAAATACATGGTTATTACAGAAGATGCAAAAAATAAAATACACATAATAAAACCCCTCAAATGAAGTACTCTAAAATCATTCCAAGCCGGGCGCGGTGGCTCATGCCTGTAATCCCAGCACTTTGGGAGGCCGAGGCGGACGGATCACTTGAGGCCAGGAGTTCGAGACCACCCTGGCCAACATGATGAAACCCCGTTTCCACTAAAAAAAATTAAAATTAGCCGGGCGTGGTGACGCGCGCCTCTAATCCCAGCTACTCGGGAGGCTGAGACACGAGGAGGCGGAGGTTGCAGTGAGCCGAGATCACGCCACTGCACACCAGCCTGGGCGACAGACTGAGACTCAGTCTCAAAAATAAATAAATAAAAATTAAAATAAAATAATTACAATAGTAACCAAAATCCAATCATTCATCTAGTATAAATCAATTGCTATATGCCACGTGTGGTAGAGAACCTATATTTTATACACAAAAAATATATATGGAACATAAATAATGACAGTATATATACGGAACATACACAGACATGATAGGTATATTGTACATGACACTACCTATAATATACACATGGACCATGAACAGACAGTCTACAAGTGGAGAGGTTTACTAGAGCTGTAGACCTGAGCAAGGTTCGTGGAGAAAGTAATACACTAGTGGGGGTGTGCGAGTGGAGGGAAATTCTCTGAAAACCACGTAGAAACTGATCATGAAAGACACAGCCCAAAACTGGGACCCCGTCAGGAGATGAAAGCCCAACAAGCACCGGGGTTTCGGGCCTGCTACCCAGTAGGGCTGCCTGAGGCAGAGCGCGACGGAACCGAGCCTACAGGCCACAGCGGTACGAGACCGGCCCAATCCAACCCCGACCCCTGCAAACTTCACGCCAGCCCTCCAGAAAACTTAATTTATTAAACTCTCACCAGAAGTTTAACACTTGCGTGCAGCTTTTTAAGCTCCAGGTAACACCATCTGGCACGTACGGCGTCTAGGAAGTTCCGGGGAGGATGAACCAGTCAGGATTCCGCTCACGAGCCGTAGCTCCGCCCACCGAACGGAGCCCCGTCCATAGGCGGAAGTCCCGCCCATAGAGTGAGTTCCCACCCACCTGGCGTAGTCCCGCCCATAGAGCCAAGTCTAAGGAGCAAGGTGCAGTGAAAAAGCGAAGCCCCACCCATAGAGCGAGGTTCGGAAGTCCAGTCTCATTAGCATCCCTTGTCTTCCGCGGTGTTGCAGACTTATCCTCAGCTCAAGCGAGTTTGGGGCGTTATGGAGCCAGCCAAGTCTCCCCTTGCTGGCGTGGGTACTTGTGCAGAAACTTCCCGAGGTGCTTCTGAGACTGCACAGTGAAGACCGCCGCACCGGAGGTCAGCGCTCCGCCGCGGACTCCCGGCTGACTCTGCCACTCTCCCAGGAGGAGGCGCTGTGCACCTCTGGGTGGTTTCCAGGGCTCGGCTGGCGGTAGAGGGAGCCTTGAGGTTGGAAAAGATCTAGAGCTATAATCTCCGAAAGGAAGATTTGTAATGCACTGCGAGTTAGAAATGTTTTTCTCACTGCAGCTTCCTTGTTTCAAAAAGAGAATTTTTGACAGCACTGCAAAGGCACAAGAAACCAGGCACAGTATAAAATATACAAATAAAACAGGTACCAAGGAACTTAAAACATTCAACCCATAACGTCGTCTAGGTTTTTCTGCTTTAAGAAAATTGACTCAATTCTTCCAAGAGAATAACCCTATTAAAGGTAAGTTTTCACATGTGCCTCTATTTATTTTGTTGAGGTCATAGGAAAAGCTGGATTTCAAACAAACGTAGATGTAAGAATTAAATAGAGGAGAGAAGCACGAAGGGTGGCTTTATAGTCAACAGGGACAGGTTTATTTTAAATAAACCTGAGACTGGCAGCTGGCCAAGTTAGGTCAGAGCCACACTCTCTTACAGACTAAGAGTTTTTAAGGATTCAGGGTGGGAGAGTTTAACAGAGGCTTGGACTGCTTCTGTGTCTCTTTGCTGTGCTTATCTGGGAGGGAGAGTTGTGTGTCTGTTCCCATACATCTTTCTGCAGCTGCAGGCATACCCGCAGCTAAAAGTCTGCTTTTAGCTTCCCTATCTTAGTACACCTGAAGGGAAAGGAATGTGCTTATTAAGGCCCACTGTTTCACTGGGGCTCATTGTATGAGGGTGAGGTTTGGTAGTTAGCCAAGAGATTTTCCCCCTACTTCACTCTGCCTGAGCTGTCTTATCTGTGTTTTACTGACTGCTCTTTCTATCTGCTTGTAATTAGAAGAGAAGTGATTTCCTTGAAATTCATGAGGCTAGAAAGGGAGCTGGAACTTAAAAATGGCGGTGTTTGTCCGAGATGACGGTGCTCCTGCTCTGTCAGTAAAACTGACATTTATATGCCATTTTGTAGCTTACAAAAGATTTCAGCCTACACTATGCTCAAAATAAGGTGATAAAACCACTCCTGTTTTGCAAGTGATGATACTACTAAGGTTCAGAGTTTAAGCCGTGTGCTGGCAGCCACACAACTAACTAGAAATTGACAAAGCCAGACGGTTTTGTAAAACTAAGCATTTTTTTAAAACAGTTTTTAAAAAGGTTTTGTAAACTTGATAATTCGCAAATCCACATTGGTTAGCACTTGGTCAAGTCCTCTTTCCAACAAACCAGGCACTTGCCTGCTTACAGAAAGATAAGCAATTTTTGCAATAAATCATTTAATTATGCCCATCACAAAAAAAATTAAGGAACAGAATATACTAAGGGGAGAGGAATAATTGCTTGCCAATGTATGTTTATTCAAACTTTTGTATTCTTTCTGACGATCCACCTGTTAAAAACACCTAAAAATGCTGGTATAAAATGCCCATAAAGTGTAAGAGCAAAACAAAAACAGAAAACCGTTAGACTTTTTTATAAGGCCAGAGTTATTCACAAATACTGAGGTGAATAAGTTGGGTACAATTATTTGGTTCTTTGAATGTGAGGCTATTGATATATATATACAGAAGGCAAAGAAATAAATGTAACAGAACGACATTACAGTGTTTATGAAAACTGGTAGGTCTCACTTTTATTTTGAAGTGGCGAAATAACATGGTTATTCAGGCAAGAGCAGAGGTCTGAGTGAGGAGGCCTGGGTTTTTGGTTTACCTCTCCCACCAACCAACCGTGTGATCTTGGAAAAGTTACTTCATTTCTCTGTGCCTCCCTTTCCCATATGCATGTAGATAGTCATTATACCCACTTCAGAGAACGTTGATTATCTGCTCAGCATCCCTTTCTGGATAACCACTCTTCTCCGATCAAGTTGTCCTGGTTGAGCTGATAACTACAGTCCTCCTCTAAGGATTTTCCAGCTAGAGCTGGTGGAAAATGCTGTCTCTTGCATTTGGTGTCTTTGTGCTGGGATGATATAAAATCAAGGCTACTAGTGGCCATCTCCTCCAGCAACTTGGAAGAAGTCTTCCTGCAATGAGAGCAACACACACAAGAAGACAGAACTGAACAGACCAGAGAACTCTGATGCAATCATTTGAGTCCTTGGATTCAGCCATAGATGGAAGAAAGATCCATCCCTTCATTTTTCAAGTACCTGAGCTAAAATATTACCTTCTTTGAGCTTAAACTACTTTGGGTTGTTTTTATTTTATTTTTTAGTCACTTTAACCTGAAAGAGTCTTGACTCCACTCCTGTCCTACCTACTTCACAGGATTATTGTGCAGAGTTAGTGAAATATAAAACATGAAAGCATAAAGTATTACTAAAACAAAAGAAAGGATCATGTTAATTTTCTAAGAGCCATATTTACCCATGTTCCAAATGAACCATACATAAAGAAAATAGCTTAAAGATTTTTCATCTTTAAAAATACATGCAAAAATTAAATTTCCAGTTTTTCTAACAATCTTAAAGATGAATAAAATCATAAATAGAAAAATAATCTTTCAGAAACCTTAGTTTTCCTGGGATAGACTCGGCAATGCAGAGTTCTTTATACAGACCTGGACCTCAAATAATTGTCTTGGAAGCAATTCAACAAGTAAACAAAGATAATTAAGGAGAAGAAGAAAATGAGAACACCACATAAATTACAAACCATCTATAATGAAACTCATAGTCCTCTAAGGGAACACAGCCAGCCTTGTATAGATGATACTCCATAATTTCTCTTACTTATTTAACCTCCATCTCTTCTCTCCACCACACAGTTTCATTAAGTCAAAATAGTTTGGACACCTAGGCTCTGTAGGTGCTCAAAGGAAGTACATACCACATTTCTATCTCTCAGGGCACAATCATCTGGATTGTAAATGCACAGGGAACAATGATTCTTGACAGAAAGTGGTAAGAACTATGATAAATGCACAAAATATGCTATTTATGGGTGGAGATAATTCCGAATTCCAGAAACATTCATGTTAAAGCTCTTATTTGATTGTCTCAGAGCAGAAATTGGCAGACTTCAGCCCAAAGGCCAGATCCAGCCCACTACTTATTTTTGTATAGCCCACGAGCTAAGAATGAAGTTGCATCTTAAGATGGGGAAAAACTCAACATAAGAATGATACATAGCAACACATGCATATTCTATTAAATTCATGTTTCTGTGTCCACAAAGTGTCACTGCAGCACAGCCATGCTCATTTGTTTACATCTTGTCTGTCTGCTGTCATGCTGTAATGATAATGCTGAGTACTTGCGACAGAAACCGCATAGCCTGGAAAGCCTAAAACATTTATTACCTAGGCCTTGACCAATTTAATTTTTTTTTTTTTTGAGGCAGAATTTTGCTCTTATTGCCCAGGCTGGAGTGCAGTGGCTCAATCTTGGCTCACCACAACCTCTGCCTCCCGGGTTCAAGCGATTCTCCTGCCTCAGCCTCCTGAGTAGCTGGGATTACAGGCATGCGTCACCATGCCCAGCTAATTTTGTATTTTTAGTAGAGATGGGGTTTCTCCATGTTGGTCAGGCTGGTCTCGAACTCCCGACCTCAAGTGATCTACCTGCCCCAGCCCCCCAAAGTGCTGGGATTACAGGCATGAGCCACTGCGCCCGGCCCTAATTTTTTTTTTAAACAGGGTCTCACTCTGTCGCCTATGCTGGAGTGCAATGGCGCGAACACTGCTCACTGCAGCCTCCACCTCCCGGACTCAAGCGATCCTCCCACCTCCTCAACCCCCCAAGTAGCTGAGACTACAGGTGCACACCACCATGCTTGGCTAATTTTTGTATTTTTTGCAGAGACATGGTTTCACCATGTTGCCCAGGCTGGCCTTGCATTCCTGAGCTCATGTGATCCACCCTCCTTGGCATCCCAGATTCTGGGGTTACAGGTGTAAGCCACCACACCCAGCCACCAATTTAAAACTTTAAAACATTGCCAATCCCTATATTAGAGTTGAGCAGCATGGTGGTATTATTCAGAATATTGCTATTTTATACTCAAATACACAGGCAGCTTAAATGAATTTTTCCTCCCAGCATTTCAAGAAGGTAGAAAAACCTTAATGTCATGAGTTTGGGTTCCCTTTCATCTGATGATTATCAATAATTTTCATTCTTCCAGGCTAAAAATGGAAGCTCCCAGTTATGTAGAAGATATTTCCATCTGGATCCGTCTTAGAAAGTGAAACAGGAAATGGCTTAATCCTAGAGGAGAAGATAAGACTGGAGAAATTACTGGGGAAAGGGCGGTTAAGGGCTTTCTGCAAGTGCTTGAGACTATCCCTGTGGCACCCCCTACCACAGCCCTAGGAACAATAGCATAAGATCCTTGCACCAATAAATGTCACAGAAAGGATGGAGTTTTCTGCCTTTAAATGTAATGTGGACTTTGGCATTGAGCATCTCAGCAGCCACTGTGATGAATTGAAGACCAGAGAAATTTTCCTATTTTCTGGGCACTAGGTAAGCCACCCACTTCCATATACTTGAGACTGAGATCACATTTTTATGCCAAATTAAGAAGGGAAAGTCAGAGTCAGATTTAATTTTATCTAAAATTTTAAGTTTTATGATGATTCTAGCACACTTATACTCAAGTATTGAAGTGTTATGATGATCCTCTTTTTGGAGACACAAAGGCTTACTGCAACCTCCGCCTCCTGGGCTCAGGCGATCCTCCCACCCCTCCTCCTGAGTAGCTCAGATTATAGGCACGTGCCACCATGCCCAGCTAATTTTAATTTTTGTAGAGATGAGGTCTTACTATGTTGCTCAGGCTGTCCTGGAACTCCTGGGCTCAAGCAATCCTCCTGCCTTGATCTCCCAAAGTGCTAAGATTACAAGCGCGAGTCATCATGCCCCACAGTGATGTTTCTTAAACTCAAACATTTTAACTGGCAAAAATGGAGCTGCAAGGCCTTGTAGATATACATACATATGGCCGTGCGTGGTGGCTCACGCCTGTAATCCCAGCATCTTGGGAGGCCGAGGCCGAGGCAGTCGGATCACCTGAGGTCAGGAGTTTAAGACCAGCCTGACCAACATGGAGAAACCCCATCTCTACTAAAAACACGAAATTAGCCGGGCTTGGCGGCGCATGCCTGTAATCCCAGCTACTCAGGAGGCTGAGGCAGGAGAATTGCTTGAACCCGGGAGGCAGAGGCTGCGGTGAGCTGAGATCATGCCATTGCACTCCAACCTGGGCAACAAGAGCAAAACTCTATCTCAATAAATAAATAAAAATAAAAAAGATATATACATATATCTGTGTACATACACATATACATACAGCATAACATGAGCAAGCCCTAGACCCAGAGATGGACATGTTATGATTGTGGGAAAGGTCTATTATGGGCGGAGGATGGGGTTGTGGAGATGCTATTGAAGATGAGACTGTAAGATAAACTAATGAAGGGCCTTAACCAAGAAGGGTTCATTTCACTTTAGTATTTTAAAATACTTTAGTATTTCCAAAAAATAAGGATATTCTCCCTCATAACCACAATGCAGCCATCAAAACTCAAAAAATGGATACTGACACATTACTGCTATCTAATCCATAATTGTCATTCGGATTCCATTAATTATCCCAATAACATCTTTTATAACAAAAGAATCCTATTCAGGATAAAGTGTTGCATCAGGTTGTCATGTCTCTTTAGGTACCTCTTACCTGAATAGAACCTCAATCTTTCCTTGGCTTTCCCGGCTTGACGCTTTTGAAAATAACCGTTCAATCATTTTTTGAAATGTTTTAGAATGTTTCTTTTTCTATTGTTTCCTCATGATTAGATTTAGTATATACTGTTTTGGGTGATGGGGAGAAAGACAGACAAAAATACCAGAAAAGTAGTGCTGTGATCTTTCATTGCATCCTATTACTTAGTACATGATTTTATTTGTCCCTTTACAGGGAAATATGAATTTTGATCACTGCATTAAGACAACATCTATCAGGTTTCTCTCCCATGAAGTTGTCCCTTCTCAGGCCGGGCACAGTGGCTCACACATGTAATACTAGCACTTTGGAAGGCCGAGGCAGGTGGGTCACCTGAGGTCGGGAGTTCGAGGCCAGCCTGGCTAACATGGGGAAACCCCATCTCTACTAAAAACAATACAAAAATTAGCCAGGCATGGTGGTACGTACCTTAGTCCTGGATACTCGGGAGGCTGAGGCAGGAGAATCACTTGAACCCAGAAGGCGGAGGTTGCAGTGAGCTGAGATTGCACCACTGCACTCTAGCCTGGGCAACAAGAGCGAGACTCCATTTCCAAAAAAAAAAAAAAGAAAAAGAAAACCAGAAAGTTACTCCTCTTTTAATCAGTATTTTTTTAGGAGCCAGTTTAAACTATGTAAATATCCCATTATTCATCAAACTTTCATGTACTAGTTTTGGTACACATATTGATGTTTCTTGGCTGAATTGTTACTATGATGATTGCCAAATTTTAATTTTTGTATTTCCATCTTCTTTTCTGCAGTCATCAGTTGACATTTTATTGCTAGTAAAAGCTTTCTCCTCCACCTATGTATTTATTGAGATCAGTATGAGCTCATAGGTTGCTATCTTATTCAACAGATTATAGTCTTTTTTTTTTTTTTTTTTTGAGACAGAGTCTACCTCTGTCACCCAGGCTGGAATGCAGTGGCTCAGTCTCTGCTCACTGCAATCTCTGCCTCCCAGGCTCAAATGATTCTCCTGCCTCAGCCTCCCAAGTAGCTGGGACTACAGGCATGTGCCACCATGCCTGCTAATTTTTGTATTTTTAGCAGAGACAGGGTTTCACATATTGGCCAGGTTGGTCTCGAACTCCTGACCTCAAGTGATCTGCCCACCTCAGCCTCCCAATGTGCTGGGATTACAGAGCTGAGCCACCACGCCTGGCTTCACACTATAGTCTTTTATTATCATAATTTATTTTGATGTTCATATTACCCAGATTTGTACAGTGAGTGCTCCTTCACCTGCCCCACTATTTTGATCCATCCCTACCATTCTTTGACCACTTCCTTACTTTCTGGGACAACAAAGCATTCCAGGCTCATTTTGGACCTGTGCTTTGCCAATCTTAGAATCAGTCATTTCTCCACAGAGCCCTGGTTCCTTTAGGTGACAAATGATACTTAGAAACCAAGATCTGGGGCCAGGCATGGTGGCTCACGCCTGTAATCCCAGCACTTTTTGGGAGGCCAAGGCAGGTGGATCACTTGAGGCCAGGAGTTCAAGACCAGCCTGGCCAACATGGCAAAACCCTAAAAACATTAAAGTTAACCAGGTGTGGCGGCACACACTTGTAATCCCAGCTACTTGGGAGGCTGAGGCATGAGAATCACTTGAACCCAGGAGACGGAGGTTGCAGTAAGCAGAAATCACGCCACTGCACTCTAGCCTGAGTGAGAGAGTGAGACTCTGTCTAAAAAAAAAAAAAAAAAAGACAAGAAAAGAAAAAGAAAAGAAACCAAGATCTGGGCTGGGTGTAGTGGCTCACGTCTGTAATCCCAGCACTTTGGGAGGCCGAGGTGGGCGGGTTACCTGAGGTTTGGAGTTCAAGACCAGCCTGGCCAACATGGTGAAACTCTGTCTCTACTAAAATACAAAAAAAATTAGCCAGGCATGGTGGCAGGCGCCTGTAATCCCAGCTCTTCGGGAGGCTGAGGCAGGAGAATAACTTAAACCCAGGAGGCAGAGGTTGCAGTGAGCCGAGATCGCGCCATTGCACTCCAGCCTGGGTGACAAGAGTGAAACTTCATCTAAAAAAAAAAAAAAAAAAAGCAAAGAAACCACGATCTGGGAAGTTGATGCTTCCATGTCTTTGCAGTGACCATAGCTAGGAAATACATGCATGTGTGTACATACTATTTGTCTATCTACCTATCTATCAGTATTCACACGGCACATCAACTGTATTTATTTCTATATGTACACACCATGAGTTCATGCTGATATCTCTAATTTCATTTGAATACCAAAGGTTTTAGTTTTCTACCATTCCATTGTTGTCATTTTTTCCTGGCTCCCTTATTTGAAATATATGTACTCATTTGGTTCATCTTCCTGTATGTAACCAGTCTTCTTTCACTGTTGCCACCTACTTCCCCTACCTCCATGACATGCAGGTGTCCTCCTTACCCCCATGGACTCTCATCCACCTGGGCTGCGGCCATCTTCATGTGCTGCCACCTGAATAGGTGGTTTCCCCACCCTGTTCACTCTCTTGCTTTCTGTGGGCTGATGCCGTCTCTCTCCTCCTTATAAGACCTAATGTCTTTTAGACTTAAGAAGGAAGGAAGGAAAAAGGAATAGAGAAAGGGAGGGAGGCAGAGAAGCAGATAGCAGAGTTTGAGATTTTATTCTATAGGCAACGAAGGACTTGTCCTCCTCTCCACACCCCACCCGCCAAAACACACATGAGATTGCTTATTGTAGGGAATAATTTTGTTAGCTGCATGAAAGTAGCTTAGAAGAAGGAATGGTTGCAGGCAGGGAAGTAGTGGTTCAGGAAATAAGTGATGAAGCCGAACGAGGAGATAGATATCCTTAGATGACTGTGCACCCACTATGGCTCCTCTGAGCAGCCAATGCATGACAAACAGTCAATAAAAATTATATGCAGTCTGCATTTCCGTGTAGTTTCTTCATGGGTCAAATAAATATTAGAGCTACTTTCCAATGAAATTTTTATTTCTTGGCCAGGCACAGTGGCTCATGCCTGTAATCCCAGCACTTTTGGAGGCCAAGGCAGGAGGATCACTTGAGCCCAGGAGTTTGAGACCAGACTGGGCAACATATCAACACCTTATTTCTACCAAAAATACAAAATTAGTTAGACACGGTAGTGTGCACCTGTAGTCTCAGCTCCTCAGGAAGCTGAGGTGGGAGGAAGCTGAGCTTGGGAGGTTGAGGCAGCAGCAAGCCATGATTGTGTCACTGCACTCCAACCTGGGTGACAGAGCAAGACCCTGCCTCAAAATAATGAAAGAAAAAAGAGGAAGGGAGGGAGGGAGGAAAGGAAGGAAGGAAGGTAGGAAGAATGGAAGGAAGGAAGGAAGGAAAGGAAAAGAAATCTACATTTCTTATGAGGAACCGATCAGATGAACATTTTCATGATTGATTGTGGAAATGGGGAATCTTTTTTTAACCCCCTAATGACAGGAGCATTTATTTCTAGACTATAAATGAAAATTTATGACACAGCCTATATAAGAAAATGCAGCAGAATAAACAGGATCCACCACCTTTCTCTCTAGGTCAAATTCCTGGAAATATCTGGAGGGTAAGAACCAGTGAATGAAAAGAGATGGTTAATGCTTTGCAGTGAAGGAAAAGTGACTCGCATCAGTAGATTACTATGAAGCTGCAAGAGGTGAGTCACAGGCTTTAGCTTTTCATGGTATGGTTTCTGTATTCAAATACCATGTTACTTTTATGCATGCTTTTCTCTCGTGCTCTTTTCAGGGCCCAGAAAAAAAAGTCACCTTGGATTTCCATTCATGAATACATACTTCTGTGACATAGGAGGTGTGAAAGAAGCATTTGCTGAATGAAATAAAACTTCCTGAAATGTAAAAATAGGCAAGGGTTTGTAGCCATACACTAAAAATTATTGTAAAGCACTGTCACTGTTAGCATGGCCAAGATATACCTAGAAGAACACTTTTCGTCTTCTTGTAGCACTGCTTCTTGGATGTGATAGGTGCTCCACAAATATACTATTAATTTAATTAAGCAAATTTGATTTAGAATAATCTCCTGGCCAAATGCCTAGGGATCTTGAACCTGAACTAATTATAGTCACAAAGAAGGGCTTGCATTTGAAATCTTCGAGGGTTAAGAATGGTCAAATACATGTCACAAAGACAATAAAAATATTCCAAGGGCATGCGTCGTACTTTTTCACTCTTTATGATACTTGGTTAAAATGCAAGTAATGGTTAAAATAGAGGAACTGTGAAATATTTAGCAGGTGCATATTTAAAACTCAGAAAGTTGGCAAAGGCAAAGAAGGCAGTGTGCTATTAAATTTAAAAAAATGAAAGGATGCAGTGCTTTGTAATTATCAAGTTTAATTGATAATGTAAACTCTCAACTATCTAAGTCTCAACTATGATTTTGTGTTTCAGTTGAAAGTGTTATTTTCAGAGTTTACACAGACCAAAGCAGACAGTCAAAAACTGAGAGAATGCTTGAAAGAGGTGAAGGAGTGGGTCTTGCAGATATTTAGGGGGAAGGTGCTCCAGGCAGAAAGGCCAAGAGCAGAAGACAGCGTGGCATGATTAATGAACAGAAAGCAGCACGGCTGAAGGGGGTCACATAGGGTTCTGCAGGTCATTGCAAGTACTTTGCTTTTGTTAGTTTATTCTGTCTTTTGTTTTGTTTTGTTTTTGTTTTTGTTTTTGTTTTTGAGATGGAGTCTTGCTCTGTCGCCCAGGCTGGAGTGCAGTGGTGCAATCTAGGCTCACTGCAAGCTCTGCCTCCTGGGTTCACGCCATTCTCCTGCCTCAGCCTCCCGAGTAGCTGGGACTACAGACACCTGCCACCACGCCCAGCTAATTTTTTTGTATTTTAGTAGAGACACGTTTCACCATGTTAGCCAGGATGGTCTCGATCTCCTGATCTCGTGATCCACACTCCTTGGCCTCCCAAAGTGCTGCGATTACAGGCATGAGCTGCACCTGGCCCATTCTTTCTTTCTTTAATTATTATTGTTATTAATTTTTGAGGCAGTGTTGCACTCTGTTGCCCAGGCTGGAGTGCAGTGGTGCGATCTCGACTCACTGCAACCTCCGCCTCCAGGTTCAAGCGATTCTCCTGCCTCAGCCTCCTGTGTAGCTGGGACTACAGGCATGCACCACCATGTCCACTAACTTGTATTTTTAGTAGAGATGGAATTTCTTCATGTTGGCCAGGTTGGTCTCGAACTCCAGACCTCAGGTGATCCGCCTGCCTTGGCCTCCCAAAGTGCTGAGATTACAGGTGTGAGCCACTGCCCCCAGCTTTTTTGATATATTTCTTTACAATCTTTTTTTCTAGGCATATATACTATATTGCTTATTAAAATTTCTGTGTAGATACTATTTTATAATCTATATATATATACACTTTAATAAGTAGTTTGGAAATATGGCATTTAATGTCTTTCAAAAATTATATCATTTTGATATACATAAGTTGTTTTAACCCTTTTCTTATCATTATCACTTCTGTTGTTTCTAGAGCTTTTTTCTGTTATAAATACACTGTAATTAACATCCGTTTGAATAATCTTTGACAGAATCTCTTAATATTTTCTCAGGCAGCGTGTCTATCAATAAGATCTAAAGTTATGAATACGCTTAAAATTCTTGATTTAAATTACCAATTTTTTTCCAGAAGATCATATATTCTACATTTCTACCAATAGTGTATGGACATGGCTGTTTCGCCATATTCTTATTACACAAATTGTTTATACATTTTTGGTGGGTTTTTTTGTTTGTTTTTTTGTTTTGTTTTTTTTGAGACAGAGTCTTGTTCTGTCATCCAGTCTGGAGTGCAGTGGTGCAATCTCAGCTTACTGCAACCTCCGCCTCCTGGGTTCAAACTATTCTCCTGCCTCAGCCTCCCGAGTAACTGGGACTACAGGCATGTACCAGCACGCCCAGCTAATTTTTGTATTTTTAGTAGAGATGGGGTTTCACCTTGTTGGCCAGGCTGGTCTCGAATGCCTGACCTTGGGTAATCCACTTGCCTGGGCATCCCAAAGTGCTGAGATTACAGATGTGAGCCACCACGCCTGGCCACTCTTTTTTTTTTTTGAGACAGGATCTTGCTCGCTTTGTTGCCCAGGCTGGAGTGCACTGGTGAGATCACTGCTTACTGAAGCCTCCATCTCCTGGGCTCAAGCGATCCTTGCACCTCATTGAGTAGCTGGGGCCACAGGATTGTGCCATCACACCCAACTAATTTTTGTATTTTTTTTTTTTTTTTGGAGACAGGGTTTCACCATGTTGCCTAGGCTGTTCTCAAATGCCCAGGCTCAAGTGATTCACCCACCTCAGCCTCCCAAAGTGCTGGGATTACAGGCATGAGCCACCGTGCCCAGCCTGATACGTTTTTAGAAGCAGAAAAAATTTGATTAGGAAGAAAGGGCATACAGATTGTTTTAAAATTATACATCTTTTGAATTTTGTTTTAGGCTTATAGTATAGTGGAGTATTTTTTTGTGTCTGTGAAATTAACTGATTGCTTAGGAGTTAAAACTGACAAAACTTAGAGGTGAAGAGAAAAAGAGAAAATCAGAAATTAATGTGACTATGAAGTTTCTGGTTTGTGCATCTGGTGGATGGTGGTACCATTGGATGAGATAGAAATGTGACAGGGAAGTTGGGACAGGGAAAAACTGTATAATTCCATGTGAACAATTTAAGTTGAAGTCATTGGATCTAATTCAGTAGATCTAGAGCTGTGCCGCCAGCATAATAGCCACTAGCCTCATATGGCTATTGAGCTCTTGTAATGTGGCTACCCTGAATTGAGATGTGCTGTCAGAATAAAATGTACACCAGATTTGGAACTCTTTGTAAGAACAAAGAAGGTAAAAGATAAATGATAGTATCAGTTAAGATCCAATCAGGAGACAAATCACACAGTAATTTGAACAGGGAAAGTTTACTGTAAAGAATTATTAAGTATAATGGGGCAACTATAAAGATGTAAAAGATAACTCTAAACAATATCCCGAGGCTAAGGAAGTTTCTAATGAGGGACAAACTTGGATGCCAGCCTCCGTTCCAAAGGGATTCAGATCACTGGAGAAGATACGGTTGCAACCCAGTGGATGACAGAGAAGTTTGCTGGGTTGTCCAGGTCTGAGCTGGTCCACAGTTACTAGACAAGCGAGAAACAGGGTACAGGTGGGCTAAGACTGGTGTGCAAGACTACAGGTATGCAGAGGGACTCAAAGCATTGGGAACAACTCTGGCTGACAGATGCATAGCCTAGAGTGGACAGTGTCCATGTCAGGAGGCCATGGGAAACACTCTTTGGGGTGCAGGCAGACTAGGGCTGGTGGGCAGGTATGCAGAGGGAGTTGGGGCATCTGCTTGCCAATAGGGTGGCATGAGGCCTGGAGTATGTGGGGTTTGTTTTGGGAGGGGCAGTGAGGTGGTCACTGGGTTAGGGCTAGGGTTGTCAGCTTACTGAGAGACTGCATACTCTTGAGTGTGCTGCTGGGCCGGAGTGCCTGGATGTCTCTATACACGGCCACATGTGGCTGCTGAAAGCAGCCCAGCAGGAACAAGAATAAAACAAAAAACACAGCATTCAGGAACCAGGAAGAGAAGTTCCTTTCTCCAGCAATGACCTTCTACTGAAGAAAGCTTAACATTATGCTTGCTGCAAAAAAGAAATGCTTAAAGCTTCATTATCACAGAGCTGGTAATGCAGGGTAAAATTAGACGTGAAAGACAATAAATTGATAACTGAAACACTCATTAATTTTTATTTATTTTATTTTTTTTGAGACAGAGTCTCACTCTGTCACCCAGGCTGGAGTGCAGTGGCATGATCTCAGCTCACTGCAACCTTCATCTCCCGGGTTCAAGCGATTCTCCTGCCTCAGCCTCCCGCGTAGCTGGGATTACAGGCACCCACCACCATGCCCAGCTAACTTTTTGTATTTTTAATAGAGACGGGGTTTCGCCATGTTGCCCAGGCTGGTTTCGAACTCCTGAGCTCAGGCAATCCGCCTGCCTCGGCCTCCCAAAGTGCTGGGATTTCAAGCATGAGTGCATTAATTTTTTTTTTTTTATTGACTAATGTTGAAATGATATTTTTGATGTATTAGGTTAAATAATATATATCATTAAGAATAATTTCACTTTCCTTTTTAGTTTTTAAAGTGTACCTAGTCAAAAATTTAAGTAACATATATGCTTAGCACTTGGACAGTTCTGGAATGGATGTCTAAGCTAGGTAGATTACTTCCATAAGAACTGATGGAAGGGCCTAGGAGGAGAGTGTAGAGAGAGGAGAGATTATAGGCCCCAAACCCCCAAATTTAAAGGTTGGTGTGATGATTAATTGTATGTGTCAATTTGGGCCATGAGGTGCTCGGATATTTGGTAGAACAGTATTCTGGATGTTTACATGAGGGTGTTTTTGGAGGACATTAACATTTCAACCAGTAGATGGACTAAGGCGGACTGCCTCCCTAAGGAGCTGGGCCTTATCTAATCAGTGAAAGCCTGAATAGAAAAAAAAAAAAAGCTGACCCTCTTCCAAGTAAGGGAAACTTCCTTCTGCCTGATTGTCTTTGGGATAGGGCATCGGCTTTTTCCTACTCTAGGATTCAAACTGAAACAATGGCTTTACCTGGGGTCTTGAGCCTGCTGGGCTCTGGACTGAAACTACACCATCAGCTCTCCTGGGTCTCCAGCCTCCAGCTTGCCTACTCACTCTGAATATCTTGGGACTTGTCAGGCTTCATAATGAAGTGAGCCATTTTTAATAATAAATCTCATTTTCTCCCTCAATACGTATACATGGTTTTGGAGAACCCTAACTAATACATAATACAGTTGAGTATAGAAAGAAGAACCCAAGGAATTCCAGAGAGCATGGGTGGGTAGCAAATGGAAAATGTAAATTCAGGAAGAAAGTTTCCTGCTAATGAGAAGAAATTCCAGAACATGTTAGTATGCTGATGGCAATAATAAAGAAGAGTGAATGGAGTTGGCAATGGAGGCTGTAAGGGATAAAATATTATATGTTTGGCAAGAGTGCAAGGTTTTGCTAGGCACATAGGGCTAGTGCAGCAAGCTTTCAGTAGTGAAATGGTGGCAACCAGGTCAGAATTTCTTGGAATGAGGGTAAATCACACCTTCCTCGGTGGTGAGATGGGGATATGGGTACTGCTTTTCATAGAACAAACTGTCCGGCCAGGGGGATGGTGGCTCACACCTGTAACCACAGCACGTTTAGAGGCCAAGGCAGGTGGATCACCTGAGGTCAGGAGTTCAAAGCCAACGTGGTGAAACTCCGTCTCTACTAAAAATACAAAAATTAGCCAGGTGTGGTGGTCCATGCCTGTAGTCCCAGCTACTCAGGAGGCTGAAGCAGGAGAATCACTTGAACCCGGGAGGCGGGGGTTGTGGTGAGCTGAGATTGTGCCACTATACTCCAGATTGGGCAACAGAGTGAGACTCTGTCTCAAAAAAAAAAAAAAAAAAAAAAGGAACAAATCTTCCTTTTCTAGAGGACAGAAAGGAATAGATAAACCTTACAAGAGCTGATGACAGAATGCCGTCATGCCCCTAATATCGCTCTGTGGTTATATTTCAAAGAGTTGACAGCAATAGAATGACATTGACTTATTCATTCTAGGCCAAGGAACTACTAAATTCTTTAACAGCCGAATTACTTTGGCATGAATTATCTGGACTTTTCAACACTGATCTGATGTTTATACAAGTGTATTTCCTTTCAAATAGTCTTGATGCTTCCTTTTTCTCTTTCACACTTTACCTACTTTTGTAATATGCACAAATAAGATATGAAACACTACAAAATAGGGTGTAGATAAATTTCGATTAGAAAACTGTATAAAATTAAACAAAAGAACAAAAATGTAGAAATTGGGTTTTAGCAATGTGTTCTTATCTGACAATATAGGACAAAGAAATGTTTGGCTCTAGTTTCCGAAAGCTATCATTGGAGAGGTGACTGGGGAAGAGATTTATTGAAGTTATCCTTTCAATTTTGGTCTGAGAGTCCTCATCTTGGTGTGAAACCTTGGTCACCTGAGAAAGTCCTTTAACCCTTTTGAGTCTCAAATTCCTCTTTGGGAGATTGCATTATGTAAGACTAACCTTAGGATAACCTTAGGAATAAGAAAATAAAGAAATCGAAACCCCATATAGTATCAGCTCCATAAAGTCAACAATCTCCACAAGCTATCAAGTGATAAGACATTCTTGTGGGTAGTACATCCTGGTTGTACAAATCACAGGACTCAATGAATAAAGGAAGCTGGGCACAAATTGGAGAGCATCTTGGACTTGGGACTCTGCAGACTGGTGCTATGTCCCTGACTGTGTGGCTTGCCTCTCTAGGGGACTGGGGAACCTTGCTCATCTAAGTTTCGTGCTTGGTAAAAATCAGATGATAATAGCTACTTTGGTTCACATTTAGAGTTTTTAAAAATAATACCTGGGGGCTGGGTGCGGTGGCTCATGCCTGTAATCCCAGCACTTTGGGAGGCAGACGCAGGCAGATTGCCTGAGGTCAGGAGTTTGAGACCAGCCTGGCCAACATGGTGAAACCCCATCTCTGCTAAAAATACAAAAATTAGCCGGGCATGGTGGCACATGCCTGTAATTCCAGCTATTCGGGAGGCTGAGGCAGGAGAATTGCTTGAGCCCAGGAGACGGAGGTTGCAGTGAGCCAAGAGGGTACACTCCAGCACTCCAGCCTGGCCAACAGAGCAAGACTCTGTCTCAATAAATAAATAAATAAATAAATAAAAAGAATACCTGGAAAAATGTGCATCTCAGGGAGAGTCTGTATACATGCCCTAATAAAACAACATGAACTTATACTCTGATATTTCCTTAATATGTTACTGTGTTAATTAAATATTTTTATGGCTAGATTTGTAATTTACAAGTGCTGCTTTATTATGACACACAGTGTCATTGAAGAGGAGAGCGGACTTCAGCACATTTTGTTCCTTAAGGGAGCTTAAATTGGATCTAACCAGTTCAAAAGTGAAGTGAAAAAAAAACACACATCTCCACTGACCAAAAAAAGAGTGAGGTGGAGATGATGACCATATCGTGGGTCAGCATTTCTGGGTTATTTGGTTAGTGTTAGTCTTTTTGTTTTTGTTTTTTGTTTGAGACAGGGTCTCACTCTGTCACCCGGGCTGAAGTGCAGTGGCATGATCACAGCTCACTGCAACCTCCGTCTCCTGGGCTCAAGCAATTCACTGCAACCTCCACCTCCCAGACTCAAGTGATTCTTCTACCTCAGCCTCCCAAGTAGCTGGGACCACAGGTGGGTGCCACCATACTTGGCTAATATATATATATATTTTTTTGGCAGAGACAGGGTCTCACTGTGTTGCCCAGGCTGGTCTTGGACTCTTGGGTTCAAGCAATCCTCCTGCCTTAGCCTCTCAAAGTGCTGGGATTACAGGTTGTGCCCAACCAGTGTTAGTCTTCTTTTACTTGATTACACTTAATGGTTGTAAGCCTGGAGACAGAGGCTCCTTGTTAAAGAGAAACCACACAAATAGTTATGAAAGTTATTTAGTAAGTTAATGGATTCATTGATTTGAAGAAGTAAAAAGATGTTTGTTTCCTCAGTTGTTTTTTTTTTTTTGAAAAAATTTCAAACCTACGGAAAAAAAGTAAGAATATTATCATGAGCTCCCAAATATCCTCCAGCTAGATTAATCAATTATTTACTGAGACATTTGGAAGTCAGTTTCAGACATCAAGATATTCAGCCCTAGCACTTTAGGAGGCCGAAGCAGGTGGATCACCTAAGGTCAGGTGTTCAAGACCATCCTGACCAATATGGTGAAACCTGTCTCTACTAAAAATAGAAAAATTAGCGGGGCGTGGTGGTGTGTGCCTGTAGTCCAGCTACTCAGGAGGCTGAGACAGGAGAATTGCTTGAACCAGGGAGGAGGAGGTTGCAGTGAGCCGAGATTGCGCCACTGCATTCCAGCCTGGGCAACAGAGCAAGACTCAGTCTCAAAAAAAAAAAAAAAAAAAAAAAAAGTACTTCAGCCCTGTAGCTTTAGTGTTGAACTCTTAAATCATTCTCAGTACCATTATCACTCCTGAGAGAATTAGTATCAATTAATAATATCACATAGATGCTGTCCATATTTAAATTTCTCCAAATGTCTCCCAAATATTTATTACAGCTTTTATGTAACCTAGAATCTAATTAAGTATCATACATTGCATTTAGCTGTTACATATCTTTTGTCTCTTTTAATCCTAGACTGTGTGAATATCCTATTCCCCAATATCCTTTCATCCAGAAGTTTTAGTACCCATTACTGATCCTTGCCTGAATCAGAGATTATACAGAGATTATATAGGCCTTGCAAAAATGGTGGTTTTAAAATTTTATCATTTCATCTGTATTTGCTAGTGGACATAAAGAAGATCTCTCATTCTCTCTCAGCATCACTATGCACTGATGGATATTTGGTGGGTGGGGAGTTATAATCTATTACTATCATTATTTCTTTTGATGGTCAAATTATCCCAAATTTGTCAGCAGTTCCTCCTTCAAGCTACCTTATTTGTGCGTATCTGTGTATGTGTGTGTGTGTGAATGTGTCTGTGTGTGTGAATGTGTCTGTGTGTGTGTGTGTGTTTGAATGCTTTCTAGCTTTCTGGCATAAGAAATATGTTCTAGGCTCATCTTAGTCTTTCTCTGCTCTAGACCTGAAACTGTTATGTAGGTAGTCAAGCAGACCTAAGCAGGGCAGGAGAGCCCCTACTGCCCCCCAACCAAGAATGTCAGACAACCATCAGGTGATGGTCAGGCGGTTATCAAACTGCTTCTCTAAAATAATAATTGGTTGCAGCTGGCATCAGGAAAAGGCAGTCTCCCAAGAGATAGAAACACTTAAAGTTGGTGATCAGCAGCTTCCCAGTAGGATCTCAGGAGTTGGTTGAGTGGTCTCAAGCATGCACACTAAGAGGCAAATGGCAGAGTTTAACTGGTATATGACCTTCCTTTAGGAACACTCAACTGGTAAGGAAAAAACCCCTCAAGTGAGCATGTGCACAATTTTGGTAAACACACTGTGCATACAGCCCCTTTCAAGTGTTGGCAGTCCACTATGCCTGCGGACAGCCCACCCCAAAGAAGAATCAGGGAAGAAGGATTGCAAGACCCCAGAAGCATGCCAATGTATAAGACCCCAAGTCAAAGGTCAAACAGTGCACTTCAATCTCTCAAGTTGCTGGCTTGGCCCTCTTCCAGGTGTACTTTACTTCCTTTTGTTCCCTCTAAACTTGTTAGTGAACTTTCATTCCTGCTCTAAAACTTGCCTAGGTCTTTCACTCTGCCCTATGCCCCTTGGTCAAATTCTTTCTTCTGAGGAGGCAAGAATTGAGGTTGTTGTAGACCTGTACAGGTTCGCAGCTGCTAACAAAACTAGTCACTTCTCCAAATAGCTCTGGTTCCTTCGAAGGGGGAATGGTGTTTAGGAAACAAGATCTGGGTGCTAGTGTTTAAATCACCTTTGCAAAAATCATAATAGTGAGAAAATTGTAACAGTGAAAGAGGTCTTACCTAACCAACTTCATCTTGCCTTTCACCTCCAAACTGCCCTTGATCATTTCTGGGTGTGAACCAAGCTAACTTTGGGAGAAATTTAGTTTATAATTTCAATGGTAATAACCCTTCCCAAAGCCATTTATTTGTTCTGTAGCTCACGACATTTTCAACTTCCCCAATTACTCTCATAAATAACATCACTATTGTAGAACCTGAGATTGACCTTTTGAGATGTTTTTTCAGGCTTTTGCATGTATGATGACCAGATGGCCCCACCCAGACCAGCAACTCCTCTGTGGCCCCCACCCAAAAGTGGACTCAGCTCATGAGGACCATTTTCTACACCACCGTAATTGCATTTCCAACCACTCAGCATCACCCATTCCCTAGCCCCCTGCCTGCCAAACTATTCTTGAAAAACCCTAACCTTGGAATGTGGTGGGAGGCTGATTTGTGTAATAATAAAACTTTGAGTAGGGCATGGTGGCTGACACCTGTAATTTCAGCACTTTGGGAGGAGGCTAAGGCAAGAGGATTGTTTGAGCCCAGGAGTTTGACTGGGCTCATAGTTTGCCTGGGCAACACAGTGAGACCCTGTCTCTCCCCACTACAAAAAAAAAAGTTAGCCAGGCATGGTGGCACATGCCTGCAATCCCAGCTACGTGGGAGGCTGCGGCAGGAGGATGCTTGAGCCTGAGAGGTGGAGGCTGCAGTGAGCTGTGATTGCACCACTCCACTCCAGCCTAGGTGACAGAATGAGACCTTGTCTCAAAAAACCAACCAAACAAAAAAGCTCCAGTCACTCATTTAGCTGGCTCTATTTCAATTCCCCTGTCTTCATCAATAATTAGTTCTGCCTAGGAAATGGGCAAGATGAACCCATTGGGCAGTTTCAGTGTCTCATAGCAAGGGGTAGATTCAGATTTGTAGAGCCTGAAGCTACTACAATTTTGGGACTTTTTTTTTTTAAAGAAAAGGAATGTAAAGTTACAAATATAAAATTAGTATATGGCTTTAGAAGTGGTCCCTCAGTGAAGGGCTATATATTTTAAGGTTTATTAGCTTCATTATTATTGGGATATTATTGTTCTTGGGATCTTTCAGTGAAGAGAATGTTCAAATGCAACACCACGGGTTTATTTCTTAGCTTCTGTCATTTCCTATTTTGTATAAACCAGAATGAAAATCATGCTTCCAGAGATTATCAATATATTTGTTCATTTGCTCTATCTTACTATTTTCACACAAGTGGTTTCCAGCCAGGCACAATGGCTCATGCCTGTAAATCCCAGCACTTTGGGAGACCGAAGTTGGTGGATCACTTGTCAGGAGTTCCAGACCAGCCAGGCCAACATGGTTAAACCCCGTCTCCACTAAAAGCACAAAATTGCCAGGGCATGGGGGTGGGCACCTATAATCCCAGCTACTTGGGAGGCTGAGGCAGGAGAATCGCTTGAATCCGGGAGGTGGAGGTTGCAGTGAGCCGAGATTGCACCACTGCACTCCAGCCTGGGTGGCAGAGCAAAACAACATCTCAAAACAAACAAACAAACCAATAAAAAATGGTTTCAGAAGCATAACACCAATATCCTACCAAAAACAAACCTACTAGTAATGTTCAAGATTTTCTTTCATTTCTTCTTAATATGTTATATGTCCTACTAAGGATATATAGCCAAAGTACTATAGTCGAACGCTATTTAACTTTTTCTTTATGGTTACATTATCAATTCAATATACAATTAATTTTAATTGTTTCTGTTTGAATTCAATTTCAGGGTTTGCTTTTTTATTCTCTTTAATTTAAATTTATTTTTTAAAAATGCAGAACAATGTTAAAAGAAAAATCTTAGACAAATTAAATTGAACAGAGTTTAATTGTGCAAAGAACAATTTGCAAATTGGGCAATGTCTCCAATCAGAATAGGTTCAGAGAGACTCTGGCCCTTCTGTGTGGTTAGATTGATGGACAGAGAAAGGAAAGTGATGGACAGAAAATGGAAGTCAGGTACAGAAACAGCTGGTTTGGTTACAGCTCAAAGTTTACCTCAGTTGAACAGGGTTTGAACAGTTGGCTGCCTTTGATTGGCCAACATTCAGTGATTGGCACAAGAGTGGGCTACAGTCTATTTACACATCTAGTTAGGTTAGAGTTCACTATATACACAGAAAACTTTAAGCTGGACTAAAATATGTAAGGAGGCAGCTTTAGGCTAAAGTTAATTTACGACATTTATGATTAAAAGTCAAAAAGATACACTGAGAAGTTTCACTTATCCCTCTCCCTCTGTTATTGGAAAGAGGTCCCAGTCCAGACCCCAAGAGAGGGTTCTTGAATCTCATGCAAGAAAGAATTTGGGTTGAGTCCACAGAGTAAAGTAAAGGCAGGTTTATTAGAGAAGTAAAGAAAAAAAGGGGCCGGTGCGGTGGCTCACGCCTGTAATCCCAGCATTTTGGGAGGCCGAGGTGGGCAGATCACGAGGTCAGGAGTTCGAGACCAGCCTGACCAACATGGTGAAATCCCGTCTCTTCTAAAAATACAAAAATTAGCCGGGCGTGGTGGTGGGCGCCTATAGTCCCGGCTACTCAGGAAGCTGAGGCAGAAAAATCACTTGAACCTAGGAGGTGGAGGTTGCAGTGAGCTGAGATCGTGCCACTGCTCTCCAGCCTGGGCGACAGAGAGAGACTCCATCTCAAAAAAAAAAGAAACAAAAGAATGGCTACTCCATAGACAGAGTTGCCCTAAGGGCAACTGGTTGTCTACTTTTTATGGTTATTTCTTGATTACATGCTAAACAAGGGGTGGATTATTCATGAGTTTTCTGGGAAAAGGGTGGGAATTTCCTAGAACTGAGGTCTCCTCCCACTTTTAGATCATATAGGGTAATTTCCAAATGTTGTCATGGTATTTGTAAACTGTCCTGGGGCTGGTGGGAGTGTCTTTTAGCATGTGAATGCATTATAATTAGCATATAATAAGATTTGAATGGAGTTGCTGTGGTTCCATTGCCTCTGACACTTCCACCCCATTCACACTCATCCTCTATAAGGAACTATTTTTATTAATTTATGGCTTTTTCTCTACTTTTTTGGTAAAAATCTGAAAATATGTGTGCAGTTTCTTATTTCTATTTTTTTCTTAAACATGCAGTCTATTATATACACTCTTTTGCTCCTTTGCTTCCCCCGCTCCCGCAACCTCAATACATCCCAGGACTCACTTTATATCTGCTCTGCTCATGGAGATCTTCATTCTTTTTATAAATGGACAATAGTCCATTGAATGGCAGCTGGGCGCAGTGGCTCACATCTGTAATCCCAGCACTTTGGGAGGCCGAGGCGGGTGGATCACCTGAGGTCAGAAGTTGGAGACCAGCCTGGCCAACATGGTGAAACCCCATCTCTACTAAAAATACAAAAATTAGCCACTAGTAATGCATGCTTGTAATCCCAGCTACTCTGGAGGCTGAGGCAGGAGAATTGCTTGAACCTGGGAGGTGGAGGTTGCAGTGAGCCGAGATCGCACCATTGCACTCCAGCGTGGGCAACAAGAGCGAAATTCCATCTGAAAAAAATATATATATATATAAGTCCATTGAATGATGGATGCTCTACAGATGACCTAACTAGTTTCCTATGAAAGGTAATTTGATTGTTGCCAATACTTAGGTTGCTGTTTTAGAAAATTATATAGACTGCGCTATGAATTTAAACAAGAAGGAACTTGAAACCACTACTGCAAAATTATAATTGAAACAGTGAAAGAGATTGGACCTAACCAACTCTATCTTATTTCTAACTTCTAAGCTGTCCTTACTCATTCTTAGGCATAGGCTGAACTAACTTTGAGGAGGAACATAGTTTATAGTTTAGAACAAAGACAATAACAGCCCTTTCCCAAAACAAACCTTCTTTCCTGGGGACTGGACCGCCTTTGCAGGACTAACAAATTAGCCAAAAGATTAGAAATTATGGTTTAGGAGTCATACAGCTGGAGGCTGTATGATTCTGACCCTCCCCAAATTGCTCCTGGGAATAACATCACTATTGTAAAGCCTAAGACCAGTGCTTCAGATATGTTGCAGACCCTGCACTGGATGGATCAGCAGGCACCACTCAGCTCGATAAACTGGCTCATCTGATCCCATGGCCCCCACCCAGGAACTGACTTAATGCAAGACAGCTTTGACTCCCTATGATTTCACCTCTGACCCAAACAACCAGGTCTCCCGACTTACTGGCTCTCCTCCACCCACCAAATTGTCCTTAAAAACTTTGATCCCCAATGCTTGCGGAGACTGATTTGTGTAATAATAAAACTCCAGTCCTCTGCACAGCCGGCTCTACGTGAATTTCCCTTTATGAATTGCAATTCCCCTGTCTTGATAAATCAGCTGTGTCTTGACAGTGGGCAAGGTAAACCCATTGGGTGGTTACAAACTGTGTACCCAAGCAATAAAAGTAACAATTTGGGAAGTATTTGAGACCCACCAACCAAAATTTCTTTAACAATTTTGGTCTATTCAGTCATTCATCCATTCATGTAACCACTATTATTGGGTGTCAAGAACTGATACTTACTTAGAACGTTAAGAGCATTATTCATCTTGACATACCAAATCATCCGAGTTACTGAAAATTGGTTTACTAGGTTCCTTACAAAGAGGTTGCTTGGATTTATAAAATATGAGGCAGTTGACCCGAGACAAGGACGTAGAAAGTGGTTCATGTACCCAATTTTTATTTTTCACTTTGAACCCAGAACATTCACGACTCCAGGCCAGAAATTCAAGACTCTGCAGCTAGTTCTGACTCCAGTCCTAGGGTAACAAGCCCACCAAGAATCCAGGGCAGATGTCCTGAAAACCCTTCTTGCGGGGTCAGGAGGGCAGCAGAATTTTGGGACCAAATCTCAACAACTGGTTTTGGTTTCCTCACTCACCAAGCCACAAGCCTGCAGAGTGAGAAGAGGTAAGGAAAGGATGAATGGGCAATGGAGCCAGCCCAGGACCGGGAGCTGGTCCTCTCTAACAGCGACCCCGCCCGCTTTAGCTGAGCGACCCGGGGCAGGTTACATAGTGTCTCTAACTTAAGCCACGTGTTTCTCGAGGAAATGCTGAGAGGATCTAATGGGAAAACGTGGGTACACGTCTTAGCTAAGACCCTCGCCCACGATAAGCCCTTAATAAGTAGTTATTTTTCAGTGGTGGTGATTACCATCGTCATTATTGTTTTGTATTTGTAATCATCACTGCCACGACCATCACCGACCTCTTTTACGCCTCCACCGGGATCCCCACCTCCCAGCCTGGCAGTTCCAGGCTCTGGTGACTCATTCACTTCCTGGAAGTCCTCTAGGCAACACTTTCCTCTCCCGAGTGACGACTCCTCAGAAGGCAGGAGATCCCCCCCGGAAACCTTTCTCTCTCCGTCTCTCCCTCTAACTCAAATCTCTCATTCCCGAGTCCAAACTAAGAGAGACTCGCGCCCCAGGAGTCAGCCAGCGGCGCGGGCGCCTTCCCCGCACGCCTCTGCCGTCTGGAGGACGCAGGCGGGAGCGCCCCGGACCGGGTTCACGGTCTCGCACTCCTGCCGCCGGCGCCCCGCGGTCCCGCCCTAGCAGGCTCCTTCCCGGGCCCCTCCCCGCTCCCTCCTCTTTCTCGCTGCTCAGTCACATCTTTCTCTTCCTTCCACCCCGAGGGACCATGTCGAGGCTCAGCTGGGGATACCGCGAGCACAACGGTGAGCGCCTTTTCCTGATCCAAGGGGGGGTTTGTGCGGGGGACGAGAGGACTAGCGCGACGCCCCGGCGCTCGCTGACCACACACTGGGCTCGCACATTGAGAAACTTTTTCGGTTCCTCTTTAAACTAAGCAGCACTCCTGGGAGCCCAGTGCGAGAAGCGGAGAGCAGTCTTGTCAGGGTAGACGGGTTGTTGGTGGTGGATGTGAGCGTTGGTGTGTGTTATCTCTGTCAGGATTCCCCAAACTCCCAAGTGTTCATACGTGTGAGTTCACCTTCATCTGAAAAGCCAAGGACTTTGCCTAGTAACAGCCACGTATCAATTACAGGCTTGGAGATCAGAAGTCTGATGACACACTTCAGTGAAATAAGGACAAGTTCGCTTTCAGTCTTTTAAGCTCACTATTCACTTAGGAGAAACAAATCATAGAAAATCTTTAAAAATATATTTAGGAAATCTTAACTTGCATTGTGACACTGAAGATTAAGTTGGCTTCGTGGCAAACAAAATACTGCATGTTTCCTAATAGTTGTTACTGTAAATATTCCCACAGCAATTTGCAGTTGGCTGACTACTACTGGGGACTTTAGTAAGGGTTCAGGTTCTCGCTGGGAAATTAAGTTACATTGTGGGTTACTTCTCCACTCTTCTTCTCCACGCTCATCCTTGCAGGGTGAGCAAAGGATTACTGAAATTATAATTCATTGATAGAAATGTATTAATAGGATAAATAATAATGACATACACTTTTCTTCTTGTATATCACACATTATCAAAAGTAAAACATTTTTTCTTGTTCCTACGTTAAACTGAACTGATTGTTTAAATAATAATTATTTGAAATAATCGCAGTGACACCAAAAAGCCTTATAGTGAATAACTGTCAAAATTAAGGCTTAGTTTAGCCATTCCTCAATGTGCATATATTTCAAAACATCATGTTGTACACATAAATATATACAATTTTTGTCAATTTAAGAAGTAAATACATAATAAAGAAAAAAATTAAGGCTGTGAATAATAATGCTTTCCTTCTATTAGCATGTACATGATTAAACAGTATAGAATGGTCAAATTTTATAGAAAGTTTAATTTCACAAACTAACAGAAAAATTCTATTTCTAATTGTAGCCTGTTTAATTTCTAATTGTAGCCTGTTTTTAAACATGCTAGTTTAAAAATGGCAGCAGGTGAAATTTATAACTTTAATAATAAAAGGTGTATAGTCAGATTTCTTCTTGATTAAGGCCATAATTATAATCTTACATTTTGCTAATTTCCAGTGAATGTTTAGGGGGAAAATATGACAAATCTTTTTTCATTTCCCTCTCTGCTGAAGTCGTTTTTATTGGAGTTATTTAATAGTCATTGAATCCCAACTGCGCCTTTATGGTAGTTAGGAAGAAGAAGGGTATTTCAATCAATCAATCAATGGATATTGATTACTCTTTAGTAGGTTAGAAATTATTCACCTGAATGAAGCTTATTTCAGCAATTTTAAAAATTCATCTTAGCAAAGCCATTAATAAGGAGTGATTTTGTATTTCTGTTAGGAATTGTTCTGTTAGGAATTAGCCATTCCTTTCTTTTAGATGCGATCTCTCTCTGAAGACCACATCCTTACTTAAAGGTGTGGTCTTCAGAGAAAGATTGGGAAAATCCTATTGGAAATGTATTATATACTAACTAGGCAAGTTTTTTGTTTGTTTGTTTGTTGTTTTTGAGATGAGTCTTGCTCTGTTGCCCAGGCTGGAGTGCAGTGGCACTATCTTGGCTCACTGCCATCTCCCTCTCCTGGGTTCAAGCGATTCTCCAGCCTCAGCCCCACCAAGTAGCTGGGATTATAGGCATGAGCCACCATGCCTGGCTAATTTTTGTATTTTTAGTAGAGACAAGGTTTCGTCATGTTGGCCAGGCTGGTCTAGAACTCCAGACCTCAAGTGATCTGCCTGCCTTGGCCTCCCAAAGTACTGGAATTACAGGCATGAGCCACAGCTCTGGGCCTAACTAGGCAAGTTTTTTGTTTTTTTTTTTTTTTCTGTTTAAACATTGGTAAACCAGTGACTGAGCAGATAAAAGGAAACTTAAGCTGGGAATAGCAACACTGATAAAATAAAACATCAAGACTTGAAGCCCTGAAAGGGTACTGCCTTCACAAATAACTTAGGATTCTTCCCCTAACCTTTGACTACTTTATTAGTTTAGTTTAGCGAATGTGACATCACTGAAAAGTGTATATCACTGTAGGTATTTAAAAGTTCCTAAATCAGTTGAGCAACCACCACATATCTCTAATTAAGAATTATGCTGGCTGGGCACGGTGGCTCATGCCTGTAATCCCAGCACTTTGGGAGGCCAAGGTGGGTGGATCACCTGAGATCGGGAGTTCAAGACCAGACTGACCAACATGGAGAAATCTCGTTTCTACTAAAAATACAAAATTAGCTGGGCGTGGTGGTGCGTGCCTGTAATCCCAGCTACTTGGGAGGCTGAGGCAGGAGAATTGCTTGAACCTGGGAGGCAGAGGTTGCAGTGAGCGGAGATCACGCCATTGCACTCCGGCCTGGGCAACAAGAGTGAAACTCTGTCTCAAAAAAAAAAAAAAAAAGAAAAAGAATTATGGTGGCTTGCACCTGTAATCCTAGCTACTCAAAAGACTGAGATGGGAGGATTGCCTGAGGCCAGGAGTTCCAGACTAGCCTGCAGGGTCATGGGGGGGACAAGGAGAAGGAGGAGAGGAGGAAATTTTTTTTGGAAAAATTGAAAAAGGGGACCTCTTTAAGAGGCAGGGTACTGAACTGACTATGGTAGTTAGTAGATAATATTGGGAATGTGATACAAACAATTATTACTTTTATTTTATTTTGGTTTGACTTCTTTTTAAAATAGTTCTGTTTATAAATGACTGGAAATAGGAGAGCAAAGCAATTAGGAGAAGAAAGCAACTCTATTGATTGGAAGAATGTCACCTGCATATTGTAACACATGCATTGCGCATTTGAAATTGAATTTTCGTTAGGTTAACTCTTACTTGGTGGCAGTGAAATAGAAGGCTTTTTCTGAATTAAGGGGGAAAAAAGTCTAGGTTATATATAGAAAAAGTACTCAGAAAGATGGTGAAAGTATTGAATAAAAAAGGCTTTTTCTGTAATACATTCTAAGCAAGGACTTCTGATGCTCAAGTGGCTTTGAAGTCCAGTTTGTCAGATGACATCTTTTAAGCTGAGTGTATAGTTATATATTTATGCTATGACTTTTTGTGCCTGAAGCATATATGAAAGAATGTATGTATGTGTGAGTTCTCTTTTGCAAAAATGAGGCATAGTAAGCAGTATCAGATTTAGAGTTTGGGCCAGGCGTGGTGGCTCATGCCTGTAATCCCAACACTTCAGGAAGCTGAGACATGCGGATCACTTGAGCCCATGAGTTTGAGACCAGCCTGTAGTGAGACTTTCAACAAAAAAAAGTTTTTTATAAAAGTAGCTGGGTGTGGTGGTGCACACCTGTACTCTTAGCTACTTGGGAGGCTGAGGTGGAAGGATTGTTTGAGTTTGGGAAGTTGAGGCTGCAGTGAGCTGAGATTACACCTCTGCATTCCAGCCTGGGTAACAGAGCAAGACCCTGTCTCAAAAAAAAAAAAAAAAGATTTAGAATTTTATGCTTTAAAGTTTGTTGATGATTGTGATATATTGCATTTCTTTAAATATTACTCTAAATTTTATCATTTTAAAATGTTTTTGGTTGTCGTTAGTAACAGGTTTAATTAATTGTCATGCTATGATGTTTTAATTAGTACTTGATTTTTAGTGAAAGATTGGTTAGCAAAGTAGGTGGGTAAACCTTAGTCAGTAGCCCAGTGTAGGTGGTGATAGCTGTATAAATTTCAGGAATAGTAGAGAGAATAAGAACCTATAACCTATAAAGTGACTCACATCTGTAGAATGACATGGAACTTACGTGAAACTACAGCTTTGCTGCTGATTTTGAGAGGCAAGACTTTATAGAGTCTTCCAAAGAAGTGAAGAGGATTGAAAAGGGAACTGTTAGCTGATTGGCTCGTTTCAATTTCCCTAACATGTCTGATTTGTGAACTTGATACGATTTTGACGTTTTTGAGTAGAGGACCAGGATGATACCTTTCTCTTGTGTTGAAATTCAAATGTAACATTGGCAAAATAACCATAGAAGAACCTTCTGAAATGAAGAAAGAGAGAAATAAATTACAATCTGACTCTACTGCAGATAATCAACAATATTACGTTTCCTGACGTGGTGCAGCCATTTTATTTGGATTATCCTAGGTGAAAAATTTGTGTGTTTCCTTGGTATGCCTGTTGCACATCACAGGTAATTGAGTGGAGGCCTGAGTGACACTAGACGATAGCATTGAGTGATAGAAGGAAGAATAAAGAAGTAAGCACAGCATCTTTAAGAATGACACCCTTTCTTTGCTTCATGGCTTTCTCAGCTTTTTTGACTCTTCCAATCTGCAAACTTGAACTCTGGAGCAATAGCTCATTTTTGGAGCTGAGACTGAATGTCATTGTTTTCAATGATGAGTTGTATTATTGTTTTTAGTTTGGTAGAAGGTTACCTTTGGAGAGTATTTTATAAAATTTACAGACTCTTGTCTACAAGGGTTACTTTAATTCTGAACATGACTTAAGGCACACCAAGAGTTTCCCACATCTATAATAAAAACAACTAATCTTGTAAAAAAAAACAATTAGATGCCAAGGTCCTGAGGACGAGAATCTCATTTTATTAATCTTTGCGTTTTCTTCAATTTCAAGCACAGTGTGTTATACTCAATGTATGTTTGTTGAAAGAAAGAACTTATTTAATCCTTTTCTTTTGGTCCTATATATTTAAGGTCCTATTCACTGGAAGGAATTTTTCCCTATTGCTGATGGTGATCAGCAATCTCCAATTGAGATTAAAACCAAAGAAGTGAAATATGACTCTTCCCTCCGACCACTTAGTATCAAGTATGACCCAAGCTCAGCTAAAATCATCAGCAACAGCGGCCATTCCTTCAATGTTGACTTTGATGACACAGAGAACAAATCAGGTTGGCTTTTCTTTTTTTGTGTGTGTGGTGGTGGATGAAGGGTTTGAATGATTAGACTATACTCTTTTTTTTTTTTTTTTTTTGAGACAGAGTCTCGCTCTGTCGCCAGGCTGAAGTGTAGTGGCGCGATCTTGGCTTATTGCAACCTCCGCCTCCTAAGTTCAAGAGATTCTCCTGCCTCAGCCTCCCGAGTAACTGGGATTACAGGCGCACGCCACTATACCCAGCTACTTTTTTTGTATTTTTAGTAGAGACAGGGTTTCACCATGTTGGCCAGGATGGTCTTGATCTCCTGACCTCGTGATCCGCCTGCCTCGGCCTCCCAAAGTGCTGGGATTACAGGCGTGAGCCACCGCACCCAGAATACACTCTCTAATCTTTCATGTTTTGTTTTTGCTAGACCTGGAATTTGTCAAATTGAAGCATATTTTTCTTCGTGTGAATTAAGATATCTTGTTATATATTTGAACCTTCAGATAATCTTACCTTAAAATAATAAAGAGTATTTGGAAAAGGATATGTTGCATGATAATTTAAAATTGACCTTAGCTTGTTATTATAACTTCACTTAGCATTTACCATTATAAAAATATTAAAGTTTAATAGTTTTTATAGATATTTCATGATTTGTTTCTGCAAAGTTTTAGCCGTAATTATTTTAGCATTATTTGCAAACCTATAATGCCATTTAAGTACCTGCTTTAATAGAAAAAGTTTAGTTTAAAAAAAACTTATTCTCTTATTTTAATTGCCAAAGTAATATCCACTCATAGTAAATGAAACAATATGGAAACATATAACAAATATTAATGTCTCTTTCTTCCCACAGTCTCTCCTGAAGTAACTAATGTTATTTCTTCCATAATATTTCGGTGCTTAGTTATGTATACATACATGTGTATCATCCTTGTTTTGCATTTTCTTATTAAAAATACATTTGGAATAATGCTATATAACTCTGAATTTTTTTCTTGTTTAAAAATATTTTATAGACATCTTTCCAGATTAAAATATATCTTGTTTAAAAAGCTAAACTGCAGCCGGGTGTGGTGGCTCACATGTATAATCCCAGCACTTTGGGAGGCTGAGGTGGGAGGATTGCTTATGTCTAGGAGTTCAAGACCAGCTTGGGCAACATAGTGAGAACTTATCTCTACAAAAAATAAAAAATTAATCAGGCATGGTGGGGTGTGCCTTTACTCCCAGCTACTCTGGAGGCTGAGGCAGGAGGATTGCTTGACTTCAGGAGGTCAAGGCTGCAATGAGCCATGATAGTGCCACTGTACTCAGCCTGGGTGACAGAGCAAGATCCTGTCTCAAAAGATAAAAATAAAAGTAAAATAATTTTAAAAGTTGAATTGTATTAGCTATGCTTGTATCGTAATTTATGTACCATTCTCCTAACAATGGACATTGAAGGGAGGGAAAGTAGAAGTTTAATTTTTTTAAAAAAATAAATATATGAAACTTTTTTACTGTATATTCCCTATTAGTACTTTTTTCTAGAACACGTAATCATTTCGTTTAATGATTAGTTCTTGGGATAGTGTCTTTCACACCATGAATAAATAATGGACTTATAGATTATTTGTTAATTTATTAAATAAGTGATGAAAAAACATTTTCTTGAAGTGAATGTTTAATCCTTCTTCAGACTATCTACTGCCCAAGCAGAGATTCTGCCCAAGGTATCAAGTTTAAATGTAAGATGAGATAAAATATTAGAGAGAATCATATTTGGAAACACTTTTTAGGGCCTCTGACAGATTGTTTTTATTTTTAATCTAAGATCAGGATGATGCTGTATTTGCTCTATTAATGAAAAAATATAGTTAATTTTTAAAAATCCTTAATTGAAAGAAAGTTTTTACTTATTAATTGAGCCCAGATTTAGATTAGTAGTAATATCTTGTATTTATGTAAAGCCTTATTGTTAGCAAAAATTATAAGCCCAACCACATTTCTTCTTCATATTTGTCAAATTCATAAAAGTAGTAAGTTTTTTTTTCTTTTCTTTTTTTTTTTGAGACAGAGTTTCACTCTTGTTGCCCAGGCTGGAGTGCAATGGCACAGTCTCGGCTCACCGCAACCTCTGCCTTCCGGGTTCAAGCGATTCTCCTGCCTCCGCCTCCCAAGTAGCTGGGATTACAGGCATGTGCCACCATGCCTGGCTAATTTTGTATTTTTAGTAGAGACAGGGTTTCTCCATGTTAATCAGGCTGGTTTCGAACTCCCGACCTCAGGTGATCCGCCCGCCTCGGCCTCCCAAAGTGCTGGGATTACAGGCGTGAGCCACTGCGCCCAGCCTTTTTTTCTTATTTATTTATTTATTTATTTATTTTTTTGAGACAAGGTCTCGCTCCATTGCCTAGGCTGGAGTGCAGTGGTGCAATCATGGCTCACTGCAGCCTTGACCTCCTGGGCTCAAGCAATCCTCCTGCCTCAGCCTCCTGAGTAGCTGGGACCACAGGCATGTGCTCCCATGCCCAGCTAATTTTTGTATTTTTCATAGAGAAAAGGTTTTGCCATATTGCCCAGGCTGATCTTGAACTACTGGGCTCAAGGGATCTGCCCGCCTCGGTCTCCCAAAGTGCTGGGAGCCACCACACTGGCCTAAGTAGTACATTTTCATCAAAGCATTGTAAAAAATGCATAAAGACAAATAAATACATGGTATTTTCAACTTTTCGGAGGAAATGCCAAGTAAGGAGGGACCTGGCCTTTTATATACATGTTCAACTATATTTCTTTCAACCCCTCAGTTTTGTGAATCTATGTTAATAAAAGTGGTTAAGCCAGGCATGCTGACACACACTGGTAGACCCCGCTACTGGGGAAGGAGGATGATTAGTTAGGCCCAGGAGTTTGAGGGCAGCTGGGCAACATAGGGAGACCCCATCTCTTGCGGTTAATGTAATAGATATATTGTAAAAGTGTCCAAGTCTTCTAAATACAAAGTTTATACCACATAAGTGTAGTTTGTTACTGTTTACAATATGTCAAACATTTAAAAAGTAAGCTGTCTCAGAAAATAAAAAGATAAATAAATAAAAAAATAAGGCCGGGTGTGGTGGCTCACATCTGTAATCCCAGCACTTTGGGAGGCCGAGGTGGGCAGATCACCTGAGGTCAAGATTTTGAGACCAGCCTGGCCAACATGCTGAAACCCTGTCTCTATTAAAATACAAAAATTAGCCAGGAGTGGTGACACACACCTGTAATCCCAGCTACTCAGGAGGCTGAGGTAGGAGAATGGCTTGAACCCAGGAGGCGCAGGTTGCAGTGAGCCAAGATCATGCCACTGCACTCCAGCCTGGGCAACAGAGCAAGATTCCATCTCAAAAAAAAAAAAAAGTAAAGCTACCCATTCCTCATTTTAGAATGAGAAATGATTATATTTTACTTCATCTAAAACTTTAAGTATATTTTTTATAAATGTAGACATTCATAGTGTAAAAATTTTCTACTCTAATTTGCTCTATGAGAACCCAGGTTTCTCTCTCTCTCTCTTCTGTTTTTCTCTTCCTTTCATTTTCCTTCTACTTCGGGTTAATCAGTGAAATCAATTTATGTTTCCAGATTTGACACTTAGTCATCAGTAGTGTGTGCTCTTTCTTTTAAATGAAGATCCTTTTCCTATCTAGTTCACAATAAAATTACCAGGATTAATTGAAAATATCCATAAAGTACTTTGTAGTCCTCTGAAACAGTAGCTATGTAAATATGGGTCATGATTCTTATTCTTTTTTTCTCAAGATAAACCAAAAGAGATTGTTTCATGGTGATTTGGGAGATTAAATCAATTAAAAAGAAGAAACCACCATAGTTAAACAAGTTTTTTTTTTTTTTTTGGTTTTGTTTTTTTTTTATTTTTGGTAAACTATAAAAAACACAAAGATACTTTCTGTAGCAAACCACATTAATTTGAATAAAACAGTTTCCATTTTGTAAAGAAGCCATTTTTGACCAGGATTAACCCTGAATCCCACCTCAGGCATGTCAATAAACCACAGGCATGAAATCTTCCTCATAGTTCTTGGAGGGCGTGTTTGGCTGGACACATCCATGCTCCATAGTTAAACCTTTAGAGAACTACCCAAAAATCCTTTCAAAAGGGAGTAAAAGGGAGGAGGTGGATGTGAAATTTTTCCCTTCCTTCCTCCTCCTTCTTCTTCTCTCTCTCTCTCATTCTTTCTTTCTTTTCTTGACTTTCTTTGTTCTCAGGCTGGAATGCAGCTGCCCAGCCATAACTCATTGAAGCCCGGAACTCCTGGGCTCAAGTGCTTCTCCCCACTTGGTTGCACACTACCATGCCTAGCTCATGAATTTTTTTTTTTTTTTTTAAGACAAGATCTCACTCTGTCACCCAGGCTAGAGTGCAGTGGTGCAATCTCAGCTCACTACAACCTCTGCCTCCTGGGTTCAAGTGATTCTTCCACCTCAGCCTCCTGAGTAGCTGGGATTACAGGCGCACGTCACCATGCCCAACTAATTTTTTGTATTTTTAGTAGAGACAGGGTTTCGCCATGTTGGTCAAGCTGGTCTGGAACTCCTGGCATTTTTAGTAGAGACAGGGTTTTGCCATGTTGGTCAAGCTGGTCTCGAACTCCTGGCGTTTTTAGTAGAGACAGGGTTTCGCCATGTTGGTCAAGCTGATCTCGAACTCCTGGCCTCAAGTAATCCACCCGCCTTGGCCTCCCAAAGTGCTGGGATTATAGGCATGAGTCACTGTGCCATGCCTGGCTCATGAAATTCTTTAGGAAGACTTCCAATTGGCTGTAATATACAGGGGAAATAGTAGTTTGAAGAAGAAAGACAAGGCTGTTCTCACCTGAGCTCCTGGTCTTTCTGGACTCAAACAGTATCTCGCTGCTTTGGGAACCTCACCTGAGGCCCTACCACCCTTGCTGTGGCTCCCAGGGCATTCTGGAATTTTCCTAACACAGAACTCTCCACATTATGTTGTAACTGCTAGTTGGCTTCTCTGTCTTTCCATTTAGCTAAAGCTCTCTATGAGCAACAACTATGTCTTACTTACCTACCTAGCATGGTGCCTGGCACATGGTAGGTGCTCAATACATGTGTGTTTAAGTTACAAAAAAAAAAAAAAAACTTGTATGACGGAAAGACATGGAAAATACCATGACATAGCATTGGGATGCCTTAGCATACATAGATTAACTCTCGATAAAATTACAAACCACCAGAAATCAATTAATATTTGCCGTTTAACACTTAAATAGTTAAACATTATTCATTGCTGGAACCTTTATTTTTAAAAAATTTGTGGTACTAATTTTTGTATTTTATAAATGAAATAGTTCTTGGATTATAGTAGGCGCTCAATAACAATTAGTAACTACTACTACTAACAATAATGGTGTGTGTTCTTTTTGTGGATAAAATATGTGTGCTGAAATTTTAAAAAGATATCAAAAAGAAAGTTGTCTTCTGATTAAGAAAGTCCTGCTAGGAAGAGCAGTAACTTGATGAATTCAGTGATCGTTCTTTAATTTTCATCTCTAGAAAATGCCAATTTCTCAGTTATGCTTCCATTATCTAGTTCTAGGTAACTGCCTGAAGTCAAACAAATTATTCACAAGATCTTACACTATATATTCTTAAAACAAAAACAAAAACAAACAACAAACAGAAAAAGATTTAGTAGGTGGACATACCATAGGTGTATAATCCCCCCAGGAGCCAAGATAGCTAGGAAATGAATTGGTAACCTATGACAATGTGACAATTATATAAAGCTCTATTATGATTATTTGTTTCCTTCACTAGACTAAGTTTCTTAAGGATAAGGACAAACTTGTTTATCATTGCATATTTAGTATTGAATAATTGCTAGCCCATCGTAAGCTCTTAATGATTGTTGAATGAGAGAGTAGCTTGGTGTGTATATGCTCTGAGTAAAATAAGCCAGATTTAATGAAGGTTCTTCTGGCTTCCTAAATAATACAAGGTCCTACTGAGTGGGAACATCTGTGTCCTTTGGTTTCTCTCTCTCTCTCCCTCTCTGTCTTTGTCTTGGTATAATCCTGGCAGATTTGTGCTCTTGGCTCTTGTTTCTCTAGATTCCAAGCAAATTGCAGATGTGCTGTTCATGTATCTTTACTTCAGAGAACAAGTTTACCATAAAGTGATTATTCTCAGGTTCACTAGTCCTAAGAACTTAGTTTTTAGTGATTCCCGGTAACTTCAGTAGCATCCCTACAAACTAAAGTTTGTGGAAGAGTGCTTTAACAGGTGAGGTCTCTTATTTTATCTTGGTAATATTAATTGATTCAAGTACTCTCTGGGCACTGGAGATACAGGGGACCAAAACAGTTTCTGCCTTAAAGGAATTTGTATCCTAATTAGCAGAGAGTAAATGCGTGAGCAAACAGATCCTGTTGCCAGCTTGCTTGTCATTCAAGACAGCTGACTACAGTGTAGTTTAGGAAAATGGCCAGGGTTAGCAAATTACCAACAATTTTTAAAAAGTCAAATTTAAGGCTGGTGTGGTGGCTCACACCTGTAATCCCAGCAGTTTGTGAGGCTGAGGCAGGAGGATCACTTCAGACCAGGAGTTTGAGACCAGCCTAGGCAATATGATGAAACCCCATCCCTGCAAAAAAAAAAAATACAACTAGCTGGACGTAGCTGTGTGCGCCCGTAGTCCCAGCCCCAGCCGCTAGGGAGGCTGATGTGGGAGGATTAATTGAGGCTGCAAGTTTGAGCCCCACTGTACTCCAGCCTGGGCAGCAGAGACCTTGTCTCAAAAAAAAAAAACAAAAACGAACAAACCCCAAAACACTGCAACCTCTGCTTTCTGGGTTCAAGTGAGCACTTTTGGCTAATTTTTGTATTTTTTTTTTTTTCTTTTTGTAGAGACAGGGTTTCATTGTGTTGGCCAGGCTGGTCTCAAACTCCTGACCTCAAGTGATCCACCTGCCTCAGCCTCCCAAAGTGCTGGGATTACTGGTGTGAACCACCACACCCAGCCAAAAAATATATATATAATATCTCTGTATACAGATATTAAATATCAAATATATAAAATATACTTATATTAAATATATACATATTAAATTTATATAAATATAAATTTATATTTAAATAATAAGATGGGGCCTTGCTATGTTGCCCAGGCTGGTCTTGAACTCCTGGGCTCAAGCGATCCTCCCTCCTTGGCTTCCCAAATTACTGGGATTACAGGTGTGAGCCACCATGCCAGGCCTGTTCATGGAAATTTAATAACGCTTATGGTATATTTAGCTTCCAACGCTTCCTGATTCTCCCATATGCTTTAAACATGCCCAATAAAGATTAATTAGGATGAGACAATTTAGGACTATGTTTTCTATTAAGAAGCTTTTCTATATACTTAAGATATGATTTATTGTCATAGTTTTAGAGATCATATTTACTGAGGAAATTACTCAAATGTACTTTGTCAAAGTGACAAAGATATGACAGATTTTTGAAAAATTATTTTTGTCCTATATTTCACATTTCCCCAAGAATATAGAATTTAAGGACAAAAGGTATGCTTGCTTTGCCTGTTTTTACAGTAAAAAACTGTGTTGATTGTGTTGACTGTGTGTCAGGTAGTAATAAGTGCTTTGTGTTCAATTTTTCTTCTGTTTTAATGACAGCATTAGGAGGAGGTCCCATTACTATCTTGTTTTTACACTTGGAAGATAAAGCTTAGAAGTTAGGGTTTGTTGCCAGGTGTGGTAGCTCATGCCTGTAATCCTAGCACTTTGGGAGGATCGCTTGAGGCCAGGAGTTTGAGACCAGCCTGGATAACATAGTGAGGCCCTGTCTCTACAAAAAAAAAAAAAAAAAAAAAAAAAAAAAGGGCTGAGTGTAGTGGTGCATACCTGTAGTTCTAGCTACTTGGGAGGCTAAAGTGGGAGGATGACTTGAACCCAGAAGTTAGAGGTTGCAGTGAGCCGTGATTGCATCAGCTTAGGCAACAGGGCGAGACCTTGTCTCAAGGAAAAAAAAAAAAGAAGTTAGAGTTTGTTCAAGATCACATAATTAGGAAAAGACAGCATGAGTGTAGGCCTTCTAACTGCTGAAGCCTGTGCTCAAACCACAATGCTGCACTGCTCTACCAAGCTCAAACTGGACCTGTCTGCATGTCACATCCTTATTCAGACAGGCTGACTTATCCTCAGGTAAACACAACCATTCCTTACCTTTCAGAAGTCCTAATTTCTATGCCTTTCTAACCAGTATGTCTGTTACGATTTCCCAGGTGTTCCATAAAAATCTGTATTGTGGATGCTTTAAGCTTTTAAAAATGTTCTATTTTCAATCTACACATATTTAAAAGTGGTATTCTTGTCAGCAAAGCAAATGACACATTTGTAAAAAATTCCTTGGAGGACATGGATGTATGGAGTAATTCAGGGAGATGTTGTGGTTTGAGCAGCTTATGTAAATATTTTTTCCTTGCTAACAATATAAAACATGTTGTTGTTTAGTTCTGCGTGGTGGTCCTCTCACTGGAAGCTACAGGTTACGGCAGGTTCACCTTCACTGGGGGTCCGCTGATGACCACGGCTCCGAGCACATAGTAGATGGAGTGAGCTATGCTGCAGAGGTAAGCCATAAGACATATCTGTGATTCACAGTTTTCCCACATGGTGGAATTTAAGGGGTACAGAGACAACTTTACTGATTCCAAATAGATCCTGAGCCAATTAGGTATCTTAGTGTCTGAAACTGCTTTATTCATTCAATATGAGAGTTTATGAATATGAGAGCTTCAGATGTTGCCCTCCTAAGCGTTAAACCAACCCTGAGAGCTTAGGGTTATATGTTCCCATTTTAGACATAAGTAAACTGGTTGCTGGAGAGATTAAGTAATTTATCCAGCTAGGAAGCATTGAGACAGGTTTAAATCTAGATCTGTCTGATATCAAATTACAAATTGTTTCTATCTACTGAAAGGCCAGTGAGAAGAGAGAGAAAGAAACATTTGTCTTAGTCCAAATGTGGTCATATTTCATCCAGATACAAATATCCACTAATATGTAAAGACCACATTAAATAGGTAATATTTAAATAGGTAAATGGCAAAGTTTCACTGAGGAAAAAAAAAAAGACAAACTCTTCTAAACTCTACTTTATCTCTATATTTACAGGTATAAAATAAAAATCTGTTATTCAGTTTATTGGTAAATCATAACACAATAAAGCATTCATTGAGTTGTTTCTACTCCTTTTTCCTTATAATTGTATTCACTAATAATACTCTGTGCAGGATCTGGATTAAAAAATGCTCTACTTTTTTTAATCCTTTGGTTAAAGAACAAAGCATAATAAGCTTCAAGTTTAATATGATTAAATATTACTAACACCCAACTTTACCATGAGATGAAAGTGAATTATATGACTCAATCAATACTATTCACGTGAAAATAATTTGGTTTCTGAGTCGCCTAGGCAGGACAGAGCTAAGTTATCAGGCAAGTGCAATTTTTCTTCATGTTCTCATGGTTACTGAGCTGTAGAGTTTAGATGCCCTGTATAGCCCTGCTGTTCAGAGAAATCCGACAATCAGAACTTTTTTCCAGTTTCACTCTTCCATTGACATGTACCTCTGCCCTTTCAGGTTTTCATCTGAAATGTTTGCTTTGCCACTAAATCACTTGTGTTTGAGGCCAAGTAGCTTTAGAGTATGGAACCTGCTCTGTCCTCAGGGTAGAGAAATAAAATGTACGTACAAAGTTTTTTATGATGGTGGACAAACTTTGTCTAGAAGGTAGAAAGTGGGACTGCTGAATTTGTATGGTGTCTCAATTTGCATCATTTACCAAATAGTTTTCATGTTTGCTTTCTAAAGTTTTATGTTCTGAATATAACATGTTCTAAATGTCCAAAGCGCCCTCGGAACTAATTATTGGTTGCTTTGGATCACTGGTCTCTCATTTTCCTTACCAACTCAGGAAAATTGGTCAAAATGCTGTGTGTGGTTACACCTTGTACTTTAATAAACTTGAAAGTACTACATACTCAGAGAGGCTTAGGTTTTCTGCCAGCTGGCAAGTAGTTTCCTGAAAAGGGTCCTCCTGACATATGTCAGAGGCTCAGAGTCTTTACCTGCAGATCAAGGGCCATTTTTGTAGACAAAGACTTTTTTGTTGTTGTTGTTCTGCAATAAATAATTATCTTTTATTTATTTATTTATTTTAAAGCAAACCAGTGAAGGAAAGGACCAAAACCTTTGGTTCACTTATGTATTTATAAATGGAAAAAATTTATAATGCAAATTTCACTTATTAAAAAACTTAGGTACAACTTACAACATTACAGATAATTATTTTCCCTTCTTTTGTTTCACATGGAGACCTTGGAGACTCAATTCATGTTAAGACACCTAAGTATGAGTCCTCCAGGTAAATATTACACAAATCAGAAGCATCTTGGAATTTTTAAGTATATTTTAAGACATACATTTTTATGCATGCTTTAAACAAACAGTATTTTATTTATTTTTTTTTTGAGACAGAGTTTTGCTCTTGTTGCCCAGGCTAGAATGCGATGGTGCGATCTTGGCTTACTGCAACCTCTGCCTCCTGGGTTCAAGTGCTTCTCCTGCCTCAGCCACCCGAGTAGCTGGGATTACAGGCATGCGCCACCATGCCTGGCTAATTTTGTATTTTTAGTAGAGACAGGGTTTCTCCATGTTGGTCAGGCTGGTCTCGAACTCCCAACCTCAGGTGATCTGTCTGCCTCGGACTCCCAAAGTGTTAGGATTACAGGCGTGAGCCACCGCGCCCGGCCAGTGTATATATATATATATGTTTGTTTGTTTTTAAATGAGAGAATCTAACAAAGAAACTATGACCAGCACCAGCATTTAAAGATAAAGCTTTGTGGATAAAGCTTGGAATAGATTTTCTTTTTTCTTTCTTTTTCTTTGAGACAGGCTCTCGATCTGTTGCCCAGGCTAGAGTGCCATGGTACAAACATGGCTCACTGTAGCTTTGACCTCCTGGGTTCAAGGGATCCTCCCACCTTAGCCTCCAGAGCAACTGGGACCACAGGTGGGCACCACTACATCTGGCTAATTATTTTTTATAGAGACAGAGTCTGGCCATCTTGCCTAGGCTGGTCTGAAACTCCTTGAATGCATATTAAAGAACAGTATACAATTCCAAGGGTGGGTGCAGTGGCTCATGCCTGTAATCCCAGCACTTTGGGAGGCCAAGGAGGGATGATTGCTTCTTATTTCATTGGCTTATATATTCATTCATTCTTTCACTCAGTAAGAATTCATTGAGAATCAACCATGCTCCTAATCTTTACACAGCTTACTGATGCTTACCCTGAAAGGAGTGCAGCCTCACACATATTTGAGGTCAGAAAATGCTGCCCTGTGGGATAGGCATCCGTTTTAAGTTAAACCTGGTTTAACTTAAAACCTGGTTTGGTTGAAGGGGAGGGAACTAGGTCAAGTGGGGGGACAGCAGTGGTTTTGCATAAAATCATGTGTGAGGATGTGGGTTGGGAAGGAGGCTCATACATTTGAAAAACAGTATGGCCTTTAACAGTGTAGTTGGAGCTTGGAGAATGAAGGGGAGAGTTGTCAGAGGCAAAGTTGGAGAGGCTGGGAAGGGCCTGATCTTACTGAGGTAAGTCCTGGTAAGGTTTATGAAGGTGATTCTAAGTGCAATGGGAAGCCACTGAAAGGCTTTCCATTGGGAAGTGGTGATATTTGCATTTCAAAAATAATTCAACTACTGTTTGAGAATAGATTGGATGGAAGCAGGAGTGGCTAAGGGGAGCTTTGGAGGAAACTTTTGGGGAAAGTTCCAGGCAATAAATGAGAGTGCAGGTAGAGGCTGGCTGGCTGGCAGTGGCAGCTTTAGTGGCATTTGTCGATTGGTGGGTTTGAGAGTGAGGGAGGGCAGGATCCATGTTTCTAGGTTGAGATAGGAAATGCAGATAGAGAAAGTCTGGGTCAAACCTCAGGCTTGGTGGGGTGGGAGAGGTAGACAATAAGCAAATAAATAAATGGTGCATGGTAAGTTCTTTGATGGGAACAATACCATGTGATCTGGTAGAGTGGCTGAGGGCTTAGGAAAAGCTTCTTTGAGGTGATACATGAGTTGAGACTGACTGATAAGAAGAAAGCATTAAGAGAAAAATCTAGAGAGACCTTTCCAGGAAGTGGGAGCAGCAAGCTCAAGTTCTCTAAGGCAGGAGTGAGGCTGGCATGTTCAAGAGGAGAAAGTCATTGGCCTATTAGGATTGGAATTAATGAGAAAGGAAAAGTTATGTGCTCTGTCCTGATGAGGCAGGCAGGGACCATGCCACATCGGGTACTGTTGGGCATTGTAAGCAGTCTGAAGTTTATCTGTAATGCAGTGGGAAGAAGACAATGGAAGGTTTTGATCAGGGGAATGACATGTTCTGCTTTATATTTTACAAAATATAACTAGCTGCTGGGTAGAGAGGAGGCCGCTGTCAGGCAAATGTTGAAGTAGGGAGAAAAACTAGAAGGTTATGGAAGTCATTCAAGTGAGCAGTGACAGTAATTTGGACTCTGGGGGTGGTGGAGACGAAGAGAGCTGGACAAATCTATGATGTTTGGGAGATAAAGTCAATAGGGTTTGCTGATGAAAAGGATGTCATGATTGAAGGAAGGAAAAACAGGAGTTTAGAAACACTCTTAAGGTTTCGATGTAAGCATATTGGAGGCTGGTGGTGCCATTTACTGAAATGTGCAAGTCTGGGAAGGAGCAGGTTGCAGAGAGGAATTCACTCTCTGTTTTAGACAGGTTAAGTTTGAGATGTCTGTTAGGCATTCTAGGCTCATGTTCAAGTAGGCTATTGGATAAAAACTTCCAGTTTAAGAAGAGGTCAAGGCTGGAGATGGGGGCATTTGGGAGTCCTTGCATTTGGTTTCATGTTCAAAAGAACCCCTTTGTGCTCAGCTCCGTGATTCCAAGGAGTTGATTAGTTTTTCCAGCCACTTTTGTACAAAGTTCATGACCATCATCAAGTTACGTTCCCTTGTGAGTAAAAAGGAGAAGTGAAAGAAAGAAAAAAGACATTTAAAGTTGCAACATATACAACTTTAATTTTAGGCCTAATATGATGGTTTATAATATTACAGAGAGATTAAAGTGATCTAAATCAAGAAAAGTTTTATCCCAAAAGTTAGGCGTCTACAAAACTAGGCTAATCGTCCATTCTGTGTTTGGAACTTTATCTAATGAAAGTTTAGGCAGAATATATAGCAAGCATTTTAAATATGTAGCTAATAATGAAACTGATTTCAACATTCATCATGGATTTTTGGCATAGTATTTGGCAGTATATTTTGCATACCACTAATATGGAATTTGAAACTGCTAAATTTTAATAATATTATTTAGAAATTAGTTGCCAGTAGAGAAGAATCTAATTTTCATTTTTGTAGTGGTTACAATTTCTTGTCATTCAGTTCAAATCACTGCTCTTGTCATTGTTAGTCAGGAAATGTGAGTTTGCTTTTTTTTTGTTTTAATTAAAATATAAATGCTAATAGAAGTGGTATCAGTTCCTCTGTGAAGGTATTGCTGCCAGTCTTAAGTAAGGTGTGTAGGAGAGAAAGAAAAATATTTTCTTGGCCTAGTTTCCCATCATAGTTTAAATAGTTGTACTTTTAACTAGCAGAAGGATGGTTATATATAGGATATATATATGTCCATTCATCTCTCTTTAGTTACACATTCATTTTTTAATCAGTTCTGGTTGTGATCCTAACGAAGTCATTCTATATCTTTCTCTGTTTGGTCTCATCTCTTACTGAGAGAACTGGTGCATTGGCACAGAGCCACTTAAAACAATTTTAACATCCTTATCAGCCCTTCCCTGACAGTGAATGTCATCTGTCTCATGTGAGCCAAATGAATTCTGTTTCATCACCCGGTGTTTTCAGGTTTCTTTCCTCCCCCAACTATCTCACACCAACTTGGAACATGGCACTACAGGAATCTACTTTTATATTGCACAGTCTTCCTTGATTGTTTGTGCATGATGCACTGTTTTATAGTTGACTGTTTATGATAATTGTTATCTATCCAGAAATTATCTCCTATAAATTTCCTGTAAGACATATTTATCTCCTATAAATTTCCTGTAAGTTATATTTAAAGGATGGGATAAACATGTATTTGAATATGCTAAATCCTCTCTGTAACAGTCAGCTAGAAAGATGATTTGGGCATGAAGGCTCACATAAGTATTTCCTTCCTGATAAAACAAAAGGGATTCATTAGAAGGAGATCTTGTCTGAAGTCAGTCCCTCATATCAGGTCCTTGGACACCATGGCTTGATCACCATTTATGATTGTAGCTAAATGTTTTAGGCATGTCGCATTGCCCTTTGGCTTCTGTCTCACTTTGTCCTTTTGGGGAAGACTCCCCCAAAGTGGTTTTCTCCTTTATCGTTATTCTGAAATCTTTCACACTTGTGGGTGTGTTCGAGATACCGTATTGCTTGCAATGGTAAAACATTTAGGATACCTTTAGGTGTTGCATAAGGCCGCTGCATATGAGTAGAGTTGTGAGGTGGGTGAAGTCTGTTTTCCAGAGTTCCAGGCCCCCCACCTCCTTCCCTTCCCCCTTGTTTTATCTCCCTCCTTAGTAGCATCAGCTACCCTCCCATTTTCTACCTCTTTTTCCCCCATTGAAACTTGCTCTCAGCAAAGTATCTAAACATATTCATAGAACGTGGTAAATGTATCAAAATGATAAGCATTTTTATGTGCGAGATGACAAATATTTTAATTAGTTTGATTTAATCATTCCACATTTATACATATATTAAAACATTGCATTGTGCCCCATAAATGTATACAGTTATGATTTGCCAATTAAAAATGCTCTTAATAAAAAAGTTTGAATGCTACTTAACATGATTACATGATTACTCATAAGGAGACTTTGTGTTTTCAAGCCATAAATAGTCTTAAAATGACAGGTAGTAAACATTTAACTGGACAGTTTTAGAAACAGCCTCACTGTCCTTGGTAGCGGGATTGTCCTGGAAAACCTACTGTGTCGGAGGTTGACTTCTCCACCCATCTGTGAGCTCAGCCCTCTTCCATGGACTTTACTGCCAGCCGGGATTTGATTTGAGGCTGCTCCATTGCAGTCTCATCTGTGGAAGGCCTGGAGGAGCCTCCAGTTACTTGGGAGCAATAGCTGGAGTTTGTTAGGGCTGAAGGGGCTGTGAAGGATGTTCAAGGCTTTTTTAAAAATTTATTTATTTTCTGATATGAAGTGTCGCTCTGTTGCTCAGGCTGGAGTGTGGTGGCGCAGTCTTAGCTCACTGCAACCTCCACCTCCTGGGTTCAAGTGATTCTCCTGCCTCAGCCTCCCGAGTAGCTGGGACTACAGTCATGTACTACCATGTCCAGCTAGGATGCTCAAGGCATTCTATATAGTCTTTAATATAGTGGACCACAGACTAGTTAAGTGACTGTGATCCTTCACTGCATGAACTTTCACTTTTGGACAAAAATAAACAAGAGGATTCTGTCCAAGATTCTTGTGATAAATACATTATACATAAGTGTACAGCACCAGAAAATTTGTAAATGTTTTATTTGCATTTATGTTTTTCAGGATGTCTAACAAAACATTCCTACTATGTTGTATATCTCCCTTTCAGCTCCATGTTGTTCACTGGAATTCAGACAAATACCCCAGCTTTGTTGAGGCAGCTCATGAACCAGATGGACTGGCTGTCTTGGGAGTGTTTTTACAGGTGAGAATCTACTGTTTTCATTTTAAATGATCAGCCTTGTTGAAGAAAGAGCTTCAGTCACGAAGTAGACATTCAACCATCTTGTTTAATAGTAAATTCATTTTAGGTGTAGCAGTTTCCTTTTGAAATGAATATTTAAAAATTATATATTCATTTAGGAGCATTGTCTTATAAGTCTTCTTATTGTCCATTGATCATTTTTATGTGAATAACAATAGCAGCATCAACATCAAGAATAGTAGCAGAAATAACAACTGAGATACTGGAAGAAAACATTTATTCTGGGCTCTTCCTAATTGTATACTATTTAGGACAGAATAAAGTTCAAGCTCCTGATTCTTGAAACACTGGTCTCACCACAATGACATATTGTCCCAATGTGCTCACTGGTTTTTAAAAAAATTTTATTGTATTTCCTTTAATCTAACGTTCACATGTGGTTAGACAATTATTGTCATCATACCTGGGAACAGGTTGGGCTTCTCACCTCCCTCTGCCTCCACATTCTTGTAGGTGTGCCCCTTTGTCACACCCCATACTCTCCATGTGTTGTAACTCATGAACAGAGAATGCTTCACGGATGGCAACAATTCCTTGCCTTTGGACACCAAGTAGGGGTGGTTGCGGCAGGATCCGGGTGCTTTAAAACCTTCAGGTAGATTCAGATCACCTGTAATAATGAAAAGAGGATCATTTATGTATCTATAATTTATGATGAGTTTGCTTATGATGATATATTCCCTTGATTTGGGACCTCAAATCATTTTAGGCTGCAAGTGTGAGATGTTTGCATCTAGTATTTTGATGCCACCATTGTCCGTTTGAATTGAGGGGCTGACTGTCACATCTAGCTTAGTAGTGCAGGTTATTTGTTAGACTGTCTTATGCAAAGTTTCTCTCAAGTTAACCTACATCTTAAACACTGATAAAACTTAACAAATATTAAGCTGTTTCTATTAGTTTTGGGACTAAGCTGAAAGTTCAGTACAGGAACCCTGTAATATTATCTTGTTGTTCAGATCCTTCTGGCATGATAAGGCTGGCAGGTAAAAGAGAAGCTTTGTTGTAGAACAATCACTGTATGTTCTGTGCTGGCTAAGGTTTTTTTAAAAAATAATTTTTAAATAGTGGCTGAAATTGAGTGATTCAGACTTGATCTGCTACAGTAACCATTTCTTTTGAAATTTCATGTTTTTAGATTGGTGAACCTAATTCCCAACTGCAAAAGATTACTGACACTTTGGATTCCATTAAAGAAAAGGTAAAATGAATTACTGTTAATAATTAACATATTTCTTGTTCTCTCCCACATTCTCTTATCTTCCTTTAAAGACTTAGACATATGCTGCCTGCTTTGAAGTTTGCAACATACTTGATGAAAAAAAGCAGAAGTAACCTATTACCACTTATCTTTTGAATGTAAAGGTCTTAAATTACCTAAAATAAACATGAATAAATATACTTATGCATAATTAGTCTCTGGTATTATATTACAGAGTAAGCCTTTAATTGTAACACATTTAAGGGACCACTTATATGAAAACAAACCTTATGCTTCTTAAATAAATCTATGATATGTTACTTTATCTAAAATTTTTAAGATGTAGATGCTTTTTTAAAGATACTAAAGGAAGATATTACATAATTCTAGATGCAGATATTCTGTATTGTTTATGGAATTATAATGGAAGTACATGGATGTATGTTTTTTGAGGTCTATGTAGAGCTATCCCATTGTAATTTGTGGGAATTCTTTTTGATCCTCCAGGGTAAACAAACTCGATTCACAAATTTTGACCTATTGTCTCTGCTTCCACCATCCTGGGACTACTGGACATATCCTGGTTCTCTTACAGTTCCACCTCTTCTTGAGAGTGTCACATGGATTGTTTTAAAGCAACCTATAAACATCAGCTCTCAACAGGTACATAATCTCTTCCAGGTTGATACTGATTCCCTCAGAGGAAACTGGGCTTTTTTTTTTTTTTTTTCAACCCTGCCCTTAATTTCTACTGTGTTTTGAAGTCTGTTTTCTCTTTATTCATCAGACGGGTCGTTGGGCTAGATGAGACCTATGTCCCTTTCGTATTTGACCTGTGATTAGATGATTTATTTGCCACTTCTTAGAAATGTACATAGCGACACTGATGAAAGTAAAGCATCATTTTGAGCACTATAATCATTTGCTTTTGGTTTGTTGCTGTTTGTTTGATATGGGGATATAAACAGGCTGAGATAAAAATGAAAAATGGGGATATAAACAGGCTGAGATACAAACAAAAAAATCAGAGAGCGGCTACTTATAGAAGGTGACATTTTTCTTTCTGACCTTAGTCCCCACACCTGCTTCTACAAATTTCCAAGTGAAACTTGAGGACAGTGATTGGTGCAGTGCCCTAAGAAATGTGTGCCTGCTAAGTGTAAGAAGTTGTTGTTTTGTACACTTAAAAGGTAGTTAAGTGGGTAGGCTGGGCACAGTGGATCCTGCCTGTAATCTCAGCACTTTGGGAGGCTGAGGTGGGTGGATCGCTTGAGCCCTGGAGTTGGAGACCAGCCTGGGCAACACTGTAAAACCTTGTCTCTACAAAAAATACAAAAAGTAGCCAGGTGTGGTGTGCATGCCTATAGTCCCAGCTACTCAAGGGGTTGAGGTGGGAGGATTGCTTGAACCCAAGAGGCTGATGCTGCAGTGAGTCAGGATCATGCCGCTGCATTCCAGAGCAAGACTTTGTCTCAAAAAAAATTTTTTTTGTTAAGAGGGTGGATCTCATTTAAGTGTTCTTACTATAATTATAAGAAGAGGAAAGAGAGAGAAAGGGGAGGGGAATGAGAGGGAGAGGAGGAATTGTTGATCTTTTGGCATTTGTTGACAAAAACTTTTGTTGGGCTGTCTGAGGGGCTTAATGCTTAAGCATTTGCAGAGAGGCTGTAGGGAGGTTCTTTCTGTGTAGACATCTACTCACTCATTCTTCTGTTAAATACTTATGGAGCTTCCCCTGTAGGCCAAGAGTCTGCTAGACTCAGGATATCCAGTTTGTCAGCCAGGCTGGTGTGGAGTCGGTGCAACCATACCTCACTCCAACCTTGAACTCCTGGGCTCAAGCCATTCATCTTCCTGTCTCAGCCTCCCATGTAGCTGGAATTACAGGTGCATGCCACCATGCCTGGCTTATTTTTTTTTTGAAAAATTTTGTGTAGACAGGGTCTTGCATTATTGCCCTGGCTGGTCTTGAAGTGATCCACTTCTGGCCTTAAATGATCCTCCTGCTTCGGCCTCCCAAAGTGCTAGGATTACAGGCATGAGCCACTGCACCTAGCCAGTATATCCAGTCTTTAATGTTCAGAAACTGTGCTTGAGGTGTGAACCATGGGGCTGGCCAATCTGATGGGTGGATGCTGTGTGTTCTTGGATGCTGTGCTTCTTCATTGGTTTTGTTTTTGTTGTTCTTTTTGCATTAGGTGCAATATCTTAGCAAGAACACAGTCTAGTAATTTTTGCAGCTAATAAAGTACACATGTACTGGGCTTGCCCACCTGCCTACCTGTTTATTTTTCCTCCTAATGATACCAGAGCTGGCCCACCTTTACCGAGATCATTTCAGGCAGCATTTCCCCTTGGGGCATTGAACACATCCTTCCTTCTGTTGGGTGTTTCTCCTTGTTGACCTTGTCTTTAGGATTAAAGGCAAATAATAACCTAGTGTATACTTTTTAAAAACATTTTACAAAGGTCTATGTAGAAATCCAGAGCTTGACTGACATGAAAACTCCTGTGAATTTTTTCTATCATTGTATCATGAGAAAAATGACCTGTTACTGATTCAGAGTCCTTAATAAGGGAATTCATTTTTCTCCCTGTCACATGCTAAATGGTTTACTTTTACATTTCTTTATTAAATTTGAACTGAATAATATTAAGAGTGAATAAACTATAACATCAAGGTAGTTAATAAGGGAATCCTGTTTTCCCTCATATTTCAAGGACACTGTTATTTCTTAAAGCCACTTGGAAAATAACTTTTTGTTTAGTTTCGTTTTTTGTTTTCAATCCACCAGTGATTTGGAAGAGAATATATCAAAATATATAGTTTAGTTCCTTAAAAATAAAGTTAACCTTATTAAAAATATCTACCTGCAAGTTTAGGAATTGTGACTGCCTAGCTGAGGATTCACTACTTTGTCTTATTTGAGGCTCAATGGATTACTATTATTAATGTGGCTTTTATGCAGAGCAGTATATAAAATAATAGCTATGTTTTAGAGCTCTGATGTGATTGTTAATTCACTTTGGAGCATTCACTTAAATCTCCTATAGTAGGAACACTTTCACGTATTTTAGTTTTTAACCAAATTGAGAAAGTTATTTGAGTAACAATTCAATTTATTAAAATCTGATATTGTGGTGGTTTTAAAAGTTAAAGAATAAAGCAAAAGAAAAAAAATTCAGTCCCAGTCTAACCATGAAAAAATATCTGGCAAAACCCAGTCAGGGGACATTCTATAAACTAGTCAGTATTCTCAAGGTTGTTAAAACTGCCAAGTTCATCAAAAACAAGGTAAGTCTGAGATACTGTCACAATCAACAAATGCCTATGGAGATATGAATACTAAGTGTAGTGTTTTCCGGATTTTTTCCTAGGGTTTTCTCCACAATTTCTTGCCAAGTCACAGTTTGACCTAAGGGGCAAATCAGATGTTTTTCATTTTCTTTTTCTTGATTTAAGTCCATTTTTCTCTTTCAGAGTCACTCATTGAGGACTAAATTCTTAACTGCCATGCCAGTGAGCAGATAAATGTACTATTTTCTGATCCTTTTGAAGACAAGTCTGTCATTTTCTCTGGAGGGACAACTTCTCTTGCCAAGTCTCTTTGGGTTATCCTAAATCATCAAAATTGGGTTACTTAGCTGAAATTCAATGTGCAAAATACTTGGCTTTGTTTCTATTCTCCTTTTAAAGAAAAAAACTCTTTTTTGTTTATTATATTTGCATGCAGTGAAACTCATGAATTTTAAGTGTGTGGTTGCTGATTTTGGTAACTGTATATAGACATGCTACAACTACTACAATCAAGATATAGTTCTCAACCACTGTGGTGGCTCACACCTCTAATCCTAGCATTTTGGGAGGCCAAGGCGGATGGATCACCTAAGGTCTGGAGTTCGAGACCAGCCTGGTCAACATGGTAAAACCCCATCTCTACTAAAAATACAAAAATTAGCCACGCATGGTGGTGCATGCCTGTAATCCCAGCTACTCAGGAGGCCGAGGCAGGAGAATCACTTGAACCCGGGAGGCAAGGCTGAAGTGAGCCCATATTGCGCCGCTGTACTCCAGCCTGGGTAACAGAGCAAGACTCTATCTCAAAATAAATAAATAAAAGATAGAGATCTCAGCCAAAAATTTTCTGGTGCTCTTTTGCAGTCCTTCACCTTCTTCACCATAGTCCTAGGCAACAACTGATGTGCTGTCACTAGAATTTAAATGAGTCATACAGTAGATTTTTGTGTTTGAGTTCTTTTAATGGTATAATCTTTTTAAGATTCACCCATTTTATTTTATTTTTTTCCTGAGACAGAGTCTGGCTCTGTTGCCCAGGCTGGAGTGGAGTGGCGAGATCTTGGCTCACCACAACCTCTGCCTCCCAGGTTCAAGTGATTCTGCTGCCTCAGCCTCCTGAGTAGCTGGAACTACAGGCATGCATCACCACGCCTGGCCAATTTTTGTATTTTTAGTAGAGATGGGGTTTCACCATGTTGGCTGGGCTGGTCTTGAACTCCTGGCCTCAAGTGATCTACCCATCTTAGCCTCCCAAAGTGCTGGGATTACAGGTAGTGACCCATGGTACCTGACCCATTTCATTAACTTTTATTACTGTGTAATATTCCATGGTATGGATATATTATATTTTTAAAAAATATATTTCACAGTTGATGGACATTTGGCTTGCTTTTAATTTTTGGCCATTATGAATAATAGCAATCCATATATGGATATTAGGAGTAATTTGCTCACTTTTGTGTGGACACATTTTTATGTCTTGTGTCAATACCTAGGACTAGAATTACTAGTTCATGTTTGTTTAATTTTGTAAAGTACTATTACATTGTTTCCTTTTCTTTTCTTTTTGTTTCTGAAGGAGTCTCGCTTTGTTGCCCAGGCTGGAGTGCAGTGGTGTGATCTTGGTTCACTGTAACCACCACCTCCCGGGTTCAAGAGATTCTCCTGCCTCAGCCTCCTGAGTAGCTGGGATTACAGGCACTTGCCACCACACCCAGCTAATTTTTGTATTTTTAGTAGAGACAGGGTTTCATCATGTTAGCCAGGCTGGTCTCAAACTCCCGACTTCAAGTGATTTGCCCGCCTTGGCCTCCCAAAATCCTGGGATTACAGGCATGAGCCACTGTGCCCAGCTGAGTAAAGTACTACTATATTGTTTTCTAAAGTGGCTGTGTCATATTAAATTCCCACCAGCAACGTATGAGATTTCTAGTTGCTTCATACCCCTGCAAGCATTTGGCATTGTCAGTTTTTCTAACTTTAGGTATTCTAGTGGGCATGTGTGATTTTAATTTGCATTTATCTAGTGACCAATGATTTTGAACATTTTTTGTATGCTTATTGGCTATGTATGTATCTCCTTTTGTTAAGTATCTGTTCAAATCATCTGTACATTTTTACATTGGGTTGTTTGCAAGAGTTCTTTATATAGTCTGGATAACAGCTCTTTCTCAGGCTGGGCGCAGTGGCTCACTCCTGTAATCCCACTGAAAGATTCTCCCCGGGGCCTGAAAGCTTAAGGGAATGAATAACTTTTCCCTCCTCAGGCCCAGTCCCAAGGCGCAAGGCCACTTGCTCCAGCAGCGTGCGTCAGGCAAGATAGCAGAAGCAGGAAGAGAGCTGGCCAGAAGACACATACCCCCTGAAGACCGAGAGGGAGGCCATCCGGGTACTATGTAGCAGTCAGATCAGACTGGGACACTTCCTGTTTACAGAGGACTGTAAAACCCCTGCCCCATCCTCACTTGGGGCTGACGCCATAGGCCTCAGCCTGTCTGCCCCCAGGGATGCAAGGCTCTTGTATTGGTTCGAACCCCAAGAGTGCGCCGACAGACAACACGAGGTGGTGTGGAGCAACACGCTGTTTTAACGAGTGCCTGGGTGCAGACGGGCTGAGGTCTAAAATGGCATCAGCCCCAAGTGAGGACAGGGCAGGCAGGCGTTTTATAGTCTCCTGTAAACAAGAAGTGTCTCAGTCTGATGTAACTGCTGCATAGTACCCGGACGGCCTCCGTCTCGGTCTTCAGGGGGTATGTGTCTTCCGGCCAGCTCTCTTCCTGCTTCTGCTATCTTGCTGACACACACTGCTGGTGCCAGTGGCCTTGTGCCTTGGGACTGAGCCTGAGGAGGGAGGAGTTATTCACCCCCTGCCCAGCTTTCAGGTCCCGGGGAGAATCTTTCATTCCTATTTGGTTATAGAAAAAAGGAAAAGGGATGACTTTCTCAATAACTACTTCAGGCGTGACATAGGGGTGGCGTGAGCACCTTGGAAAAAGAAAAACTTAATTTTTTGGGGTATTCTTGAGAGACGGGTTTGTATCCATCATGTCGCTGTAGCAGGAGCACCGTCTGGATTTTTTGGTGGCTAGTGGGATAACACAGGGGAGAAACAGGAGGAACCCAATGATGAAGATTACTGTCCCTACCAGTATTTTAAATCCTCCTAAATTAGAGAACCACCCTCCTAGAAGGTTTGTTGGGTCCCATCCCTTCCAGGTTTGGACTGATACATGGGCTACTTTTCTGATGTTTGAAGCGATTTCTAGAACCGCTTTTCCGTTATCGTCTATGTTAAGACAGCAATTAGCGATATTAAACTTACCATAGACCCCACCTTCTTCTGCTAATAAGTAGTCTAGTGGTAGCCTGTTTTGAAAAATTGCCGCAAGCATTTGGTTTTGTTGCGAGAGCATTTCTAGGGCTGAGGCGGTTTGGTTAGTGATTATCTTTAGAACAGCTGGTAGTCTAATTGTTCTATTTAGCCTATATGTGGAAGTGCAATAACCCCATGAACCATCCTCAGCCCAAGTGGCAGGACCGTAATATTCGATGATGTGTTGCAGACGCCACTCGTCCTCTTGCCATCTTTGGCTCCCTTCTACCTCCAAGGATCGTTTTTCTCTGGTTAGGTTATCATACACAGGGACTCCGAGGGTGTTGCCTGCCTGCTTTGAAAGTAAAAAGAATCCAGCTTTAATTGTGCCTAGGAAGCAAGTACCTTGCCAGGGATAAGGTAGCCATGAGTATGCCTGGGTTTCACATATCCAAAGGAATCCATCAGGGGCAGTCCATTGGAGGCTGGTGTTCATAGGATTGTCCCACAGTGCACTTAGGCTGGGGTATGCGGCATAAGGGTTGTGGTGTTTGTACAGTATCAGGCCTTTTTTGACAAGACATAATTGAGGTAGCTTAAGTTAGAAGGAGACCAAGCTCCGTGGGGTAATTTTGGCCACCCCTCTGCTGTGGAGGCATTGACTGTTAGGGTTTGGTGACAGGGGCTTTCACCTAGGCATGATGAGTTTTATCATTCCACTTGCGGGATATGCACACCGTCCCTGTTACTGGAAGTGTGCAGGACTGTGGGCATTCCTGAGGAGTGAAAGTGAGGCTGGAGTTTTGGGATGCTAGTAAGTAAGGGGGAATGTCTATCCCCTACCATGGCCACTGTTGACTCATACGGGCTCCCCTGCATACCTGGCAATTGGACACATTCATGGTAAGGGCGATGCGTTCTCCTAGATCTACAAACAGGTTTTTTCCTGCCTTGGGAAGCGATACGTCTGCTTGTAGTTTTGTATAAAGGGATGGAAATGCCACGGGTGATTTTGGAGGGGAGTTGTTGGCTTTTGTTTTGGCTATAATCTGTTCTCTCTTTGTATCCTCTAGCACTTGAGTTTTTACTCCCCATTGTCCAATTGTGGTGAAGCAAAGCCACTGCTTACCTTTTGGACAAATAGTCCCATTACGACTACCGGATACTCCTAGATTTTTTACTTTATATTAACTTTTCCCCGATTCAACACATTCCTCGATCAAGGTTCCATAACAGGATTTTTCTATATAAGTATGGTAAGTAAAGGATTGTTGTATTTTTCCTCCGTAGTGGAAAGACTGATAATGAGAGGTGACAGCGTGCTGGCAGTCCTCGCAGCCCTTGCTCGCTCTCAGCGCCTCCTCTGCCTGGGCTCCCACTTTGGCGGCACTTGAGGAGCCCTTCAGCCCGCCGCTGCACTGTGGGGGCCCCTTTCTGGGCTGGCCAAGGCCGGAGCCGGCTCCCTCAGGTTGCTGGGAGGTGTGGAGGGAGAGGCGTGGGCGGGAAGTGGGGCTGCGGGCGGTGCTTGCGGGCCAGCACGAGTTCCGGGTGGGCGTGGGCTCGGTGGGTCCCGCACTCGGAGCGGCGGGCCGGCCCCGCGGACCCCGGGCAGTTAGGGGCTTAGCACCTGGGCCAGCAGCTGCTGTGCTCAATTTCTCGCCCGGCCTTAGCTGCCTTCCTCCCCCCGGGGCAGGGCTCGGGACCTGCAGCCCGCCATGCTTGAGCCTCCCCCCAACCTCCGTGGGCTCCTGTGCGGCCCGAGCTTCCCCAAACGATCGCTGCCCCCTGCTCCACGGTGCCCAGTCACATCGACCACCCAAGGGCCGAGGAGTGCGGGCGCATGGCGCTGGGACTGGCAGGCAGCTCCACCTGCAGCCCTGGTGCGAGATCCACTGGGTGAAGCCAGCTGGGCTCCTGAGTCTGGTGAGGACTTGGAGAGCCTTTATGTCTAGCTAAGGGATTGTAACTATTCCAATCGGCACTCTGTATCTAGCTCAAGGTTTGTAAACACACCAATCAGCACCCTGTGTCTAGCTCAGGGTTTATGAATGCACCAATGGACACTCTGTATGTAGCTACTCTGGTGGGGACTTGGAGAACCTTTATGTCTAGCTAAGGGATTGTAAATACACCAATCAGCACTCTGTATCTAGCTCAAGGTTTGTAAACACACCAATCAGCACCCTTTGTTTAGCTCAGGGTTTGTGAATGCACCAGTCGACACTCTGTATCTAGCTACTCTGGTGGGGACTTGGAGAACCTTTATGTCTAGCTAAGGGATTGTAAATACACCAATCGGCACTCTTTATCTAGCTCAAGGTTTGTAAACACACCAATCAGCACCCTGTGTCTAGCTCAGGGTTTGTGAATGCACCAATCGACACTCTGTATCTAGCTAATCTGGTGGGGACCTGGAGAACCTTTGTGTCTAGCTCAGGGATTGTAAACGCACCAATCAGCGCCCTGTCAAAATAGACCACTCGGCTCTCTGTAAAATGGACCAATCAGCAGGATGTGGGTGGGGCCAGATAAGAGAAGAAAAGCAGGCTGCGGGAGCCAGCAGTGGCAACCCACTGAGGTCTTCTTCCACACCGTGGAAGCTCTGTTCTTTCCCTCTTTGCAATAAATCTTGCTGCTGCTCACTCTTTGGGTCCACACTGCGTTTATGAGCTGCAACACTCACTGCAAAGGTCTGCAGCTTCACTCCTGAAGCCAGCGAGACCACGAACCCACCGGGAGGAGCGAACAACTCCAGACATGCGCGGCCTTAAGAGCTGTAACACTCACCGGGAAGCTCTGCAGCTTCACTCCTGAGCCAGCGAGACCATGAACCCACCAGAAGGAGGAAACTCTGAGCACATCCTAGCATCAGAAGGAACAAACTCCGGACATGCTGCGTTTAAGTACTGTAACACTCACCGCGAGGGTCCACAGCTTCATTCTTGAAGTCAGTGAGACCAAGAACCCACCAATTCCGGACACAATAACACTCAAAACAGCTCAGAGGGGCTGCTGTGGACAGTAGGGCGGGTACTGATACCAGATGCAACGCTCTTGTATCACTTCGAACCCTGAGAGCGCGCCAACAGCACACGAGGTGGTGTGGAGCAACAAGAGGTTTTAATGAGCGCCTGGGTGCAGACGGGCTGAGGCCTAAAATGGCATCAGCCGGAAGTGAGGACGGGGCAGGGGTTTTATAGTTCTCTGTAAACAGGAAGTGTCCCAGTCTGACGTGACTGCTGCGTAGTACCTGGACGGCCTCCCTCTCAGTCTTCAGAGGGTATGTGTCTCCCAGCCAGCTCTCTTCCTGCTTATGCTATCTTGCTGACGCACGCTGCTGGAGCAAGTGGCCTTGCACCTTGGGACTGGGCCTGAGGAGGGAGGAAGTTATTCATTCCCTTAAACTTTCAGGCCCCGGGGGAGAATCTTTCACCCAGCATTTTGAAAGGCTGAGGCGGGAGGATCACTTGAGGCCAGGAGTTCAAGACCAGTCTGGCCAACATAGCGAAACCCTGTCTTCACTTAAAAAAAAAAAAATTAGCTGGGCGTGGTGTCCCCTGCCTATATATAACCTCAGCTACTCCGGAGGCTGAGGCATGAGAATTGCTTGAACCCAGGAGGCGGAGGTTGCAGTGAGTCGAGATTATGCCACTGCAATCCAGCCTGGGTGACAGAGCAAGACTCTATCTCAAAAAAAAAAAAAAAAAAAAAAAGTGAATCCTTGGGCCTTATTAGAAATTCCAATTCACAAGTTTGGGGTAGGGTCCAGGGATCTGAATTTTTAAGAATTAACTCAAAGTATTTTCATTCAGGTGCTTTGGGACCACCCCTCCCAAAACTGGCTTAGAGTGAGACATGCGTGTGGACATAATAGATCCATCTAGGAAGGTTAGTTAGAACTGAGTGGACAAGGGGCTTGGAAGCCATGCTGACACATTTGTTTTGGGCACCTACCAAAATGTTAGAAATGTGATGTATTATAGGGATGTATTTGGAAATGTTTCCACTAAAATGATACGATGTTGGGAATTTGCTTAAAAATAGCCTAGTTTGGGTAGGATGGCAAATGGAAAGAGAGCTTTGGTCGGAGAATGGATGGAAAAATTGGCTGTGTGTTGAAGCTAGGTCATGGATGCCTGGTGATTTATGATGTTGCTTTTTCTACCTTTGTGTACTTTTGAACATTTACATAATAAAAAGTAAATTAAAAGGATAGGGGAAAATAAGTAAACAGAAAACAAGTTTCTCTGTGGTTAGTGCATGGCTTGTCAAGATGGCTTATTTATTGAAACTTCTCAGCTACCCCTCAAGTTTCTCATCTGTAAAAGGGGATAATTATGTATTATTGACAGGGGTATTTTGACTGAGGTAATGGAGAGCACTTAACACAGTGCCTAGTCCATTATGTTCCATAACAGAACTTATTTTTATTATTACTCAATTTTGGCAGGCAGTGGAGTGCTATCAAAGAGGTTTGAGCATGAGAGTGGCATAAAGCTGTTTACAGAACCATAGAAGAGTATTTTAGCTTATTGGAGTTGCTACACAATGAAATTAAAATTTCAGTATTAGAGTCAAGGAAACCAGCAAAACAGGTCATACCTGCTTCAGCCTCAAGGCTGAACTGGGAACATTTCTACTGGGAACCTGTAGGTACTGAATCAGCCTTAGTGACAGAGGAGCAGCTTTGCTGCTTGAATAAAGCCTGGAACCACATAAGGGGATAAGACTGGTGGGAACCAGCCAGGGATGTGCATTTTAAGGCCAGGGCAGTAGTGGAGGACACCCAGAGCCAACAGAAACAAATCTGAATGGGGACTGGCAAATACAGGGTCGACCTAGCTGGGCCAAATGATTGTGAGACCCAGTTATAAGGGGAAGGGGTTTGGCGAGATACCAGGACAGGTCTAGGGACTCTTACCAAAATACACAGGCTGGTCGGAGAAAGAGCTGAAGTCAGATCCAATTCTAGACTGGTGAGCTGAAAGTGCTGCTGGGACAGGGAGCCATGATCAAGTTCCAGAGGGGTTGAACTACCAGAGGGGCAGGAGCTAGGGTTGTGGGAGAAAAATAAAGCCAACGTCTTCAGAAGAATCAGCGGTATCACTGTGGAGGCAGGTTGCTTGATGAGGCCTGTGGACCCATGCTGTAATTCAGGACTCAGAATTCCTGCACAGCCATCTGGAATGACCACTCCAGACAGACCTGGATTGTTATGATCTGCAGAAGGCTAGGTATCTTTCCTATGGTCTCAGAGGTTAGATTTTATTAGTCTCTGCTATTTGACTTGACCAGAGATTCTCTTCAGCCTCATGTGGTTTTAGCTATAATGATCTGGTCTAATGAAACATGAGTAATAGTACGTTGTAAACATTTGTCTCCTTCCCATATCTGTACTTAAAAAAAAAACAAAAACCTCAAAATGGCCGGGTGCAGTGGCTCCCGCCTGTAATTCCAGCACTTTAGGAGGCTGAGGAGGGCGGATCATGAGGTCAAGAGATCAAGACCATCCTGGCCAACATGGTGAAACCCCATCTCTACTAAAAATACAAAAATTAGCTGGGTGCGGTGGCACGTGCCTGTAGTCCCAGCTACTTAGGAGGCTGAGGCAGGAGAATTGCTTGAACCTGGGAGGTGGAGGTTGCAGTGAGCCGAGATTCTGCCATTGCACTCTAGCCTGGTGACACAGCAAGACTCTGTCTCAAAAAACAAACAAATAAAACCCTCAAAATATCACATGTGGAAAACATGGTTGCTTGTATGTATGATGGTTGATCCTATTGCCATAGAGCATGGTTATAAACTGTTGCCTATTTCTTATAAAGGACCTCTCTCTCCTCTGCCCCCGTCCTGGTTAGTACTGTACAAGAAACATTTTAGGCATCAGGTATTTGATGAAAACCTAAAGGATGTGAATTTGGTTGACTCTGAGATTAGATGGTTAACAAAATTTAGAGAATGTAGGTTCTCATTCCTAATAATTTGTCTTCATCAAAGTAAAACAAAATAAACACCAAAGATTTTCTTTTATTAATTGACAGTATAATTTTGGTGCATATTTTTGAGAAGATAAAATTAGTTTTAATTTTTCCAACTTCACTTTAGACCTGTACTAAATCTTAATAAGTGATATTAAACCACCAAGGGATTGTTAAAAATTTATAAAACATATTTATAATAGAAAAGTTTTCAGCAACAAAAAATAGTGATGTAGGTTGATATGTATTGGCATGCAAAGATGGCTAGGATATATACTAAGTGAAAAAATTAGGTTTCAAAACAGCATATATAGTTGAGTTCATTTTTGTCATAAAATGTATGTATGTATGTGTGTTTATAGATTGAAAAACATTGAAAAACATTCTCTGATTTCTAAATATTTACTCTTTAAACCACACTCTAGATGTTTCCTCTTGTTGGCCAGGCTGGTCTCAAATTAAAAATGCTTATACATTTAATTTTGGAACCTGTAGGTATTTGTACAGTGATGAGAATTTAGCAAAAGAGTTGCTTTATTATATATGACATGTAACAGAAAATTTTCATTGCAGTATTTTTTGTTCCTGGTTATAGATATATCTTCTTTATGCAGGGTAATTCATTAATATTGGTGGGAATTTCTATGCTGAAGCTAACTCTTTTCTTCTTCTACAGCTGGCCAAATTTCGCAGTCTCCTGTGCACAGCGGAGGGTGAAGCAGCAGCTTTTCTGGTGAGCAATCACCGCCCACCACAGCCTCTAAAGGGCCGCAAAGTGAGAGCCTCTTTCCATTAAAAATTGTCACCAATGAACTCCCCCAAACATGGCTGTGGAGAGACAACAAAACAAAACAAAGCACAAAAGTCTCTGCCAACAACTCTTTTGTGGAATTCTAATTTATAGGAAACATTTTAGTATGAGCTTCAGTGTCACAAAGAAAACCAGATCTCTCTCTCTTTTTTTTTTATTTTTTTTAGTGATAGAGTCTCACTCTGTCACCCAGGCTGGAGGGCAGTGGTACAGTCTTGGCTAATTGCAGCCTCCAACTCCTGGACTCAAGTGATCCTCCCACCTCAGCCTCCAGAGTAAGTAGGACCACAGGCATGCACAAGCATGCCTGGCTAATTTTTAAATTTTTTTTTTTTAAGAAATAGGGTCTTGCTATGTTGCCCAGGCTGGTCTCAAGCTCCTGCCCTAAAGTAGGCCTCCTGCCTTTGCCTCTCAAAGTGCTGGGATTTCAGGCATGGGTCATCAAGCCCAGCTGACCCAGAGCTCTTTACTAACTTATCTGTCTCTTATTTGCACTCATGGATATTCACAGTAAGCATTGTTTGACATATATTAAAACCCATGAAATATGTCTACTTCAACCTGTGTGAAAATATAGTTAACATTGCAAACTTTAGAATGTATTAAAAATTTTACCTTGCCATAGAGACTGAATTAGTCACAGCTCTCAGTGATGTTAGATGGAAACTTATATCTCAAATGATAGGATTGTGATGCTTTTTTTGTAACAAGTGATTCTGCTTAATATTTTGTTATTCCAGTTCATAAAAAGTAGATTACGTTTTCCTATAAGGATAATTTTTGCAGTGATTATATTGCTAACTCTCATTGCATGATACCTTTAATAAAATGAACAATATAAGAGTTAAGGGCAATGGGATAAAGCTACTTAATGTGTCTCCTCCACTGATCAAAAATATTCCATATAGTCTTGGTGAGGAATTCCCCAGGATATAAATGGCTATTTACACTGTAATGAATTATACCATATATGATATTCACTCAGTAATGTTAATAATGAACTGGCTAATAATTGACAAGATGCAGTGCCTGCCAGTTTATGACATTAACTTGGTTTGAAACTAACATATGACATAGTACCAGTGCAGTCAGAGCTGCCCTTAGGCATGATGAACATGTGGCCCGTTTTTGCCTGGTGTTTTGGCAGCAAAGCAGGAAGCAATTTTGTGTGGGTCATTGTTCTGTCAATTTGTGGAAAAAATTACTTCAGTCTCATATAAATATAGAATGGGTCCATAAACCCTTCAACTCATTTCCATGGCAAAACTCACTTTTCTTTTTATACATGTCCTTCAGTCTCTTAATTTTGTCAGGTGGAGCTTGATCTTAATTTTAACCTATTATCTTTTATTTTTGTTTGTTTTTGGTGAAGGATAAGAGTGGTGTTTCTTTTGCCCTTTCTGGTACAAACAGAGGGACACTAAGCATTAACTTAATAATCACATTTAAGACTTGAACACATGCTACCCTTTTGTCATCTTCTGACATAAGTTTACCTGAGTTTCCTTGATTTGGAAGATTTGTTTCTTTTATCTCTCTTCCTCTGGATGTAGTTTTTTTTTGTTTTTTTTTTGTTTTTGGACGGAGTCTTAGTCTGTCACTGAGGCTGGAGTACAGTGGCACGATCTTGGCTCACTGCAACCTCCATCTCCCGGGTTCAAATGATTCTCCTGCCTCAGCCTCTTGAGTGGCTGGGATTACAGGCACATGCCACCACACCCGGCTAATTTTTGTATTTTTAGTAGAGATGGGTTTTGCAATGTTGGCCAGGCTGGTCTCAAACTCCTGACCTCAAGTGATCTGCCTGCCTCGGCCTCTCAAATTGCTGGAATTACAGTTGTGAGCCACCACACCTGGCTTGAATGTAGATTTTAATAATTGAATTTATTCTGCCGTGTTGATAGAATAACTGAATATCAGTAAATTGTGTAACAGTGGTGGATACTGTTGCATAAGATGAGCTCCTGAAGAGTGAAGCTAATTCTTTGGTCAATGTTCTTTTCCCCTCAGTGTCTAGTTTAAGGCTTTTAGAAGATTGATCTGTAGCAATTATTTAATGAATTGAATATTTAAAAAATTTTTTATTTGCTGTCTTTGGTAATTATCTCTCTGCTTGAAATTAAATGCACTATAAGTTAATATAACAAGTAAAATACATTGTCTTTTGAAAATAGTTTCTTTTTAAAGGAATACTAATTAATTGTAACTTGTAAAACCAAAAGTTCTAATGGTTTTTAAAAACCAGTGTTGAGTGGAAAAGTGTTTCTTTAGTTTGGAAAGACCTGTGAAGTATCCTAGTCAGGGAAAGAACCTGTTTTCTGGAAGAATGTAAGTTGCTATATGTGGAGGGGCATGTAGGACAGGGGTTCTAATTACTGTCTGTGAGAGTTACTACTTTGTAACTTATGGTTTCTGCTTCAGTATTGTGTTGGTTCTGTATTATAAATTGCACCTTAATAGACCAAAAATATCTATACAGCACTGATTTCCTTGAATATTGTGTGTTAATTGATATATCTTCTAGAGGCAAAAGGTTTAAATGTGTTAAAATGGTTATATTGCCTCCTTTTTAAACAAATTAAAGAGTTGTAAATACTAGTGTAGATCTCTTTTGTTTACCACAGCAAATACTGATTTTATGATTGTTAAGCATTTCATATTTTAATTTAAATTGGATTCAACCACAATAAAGAAAATGAGAAAAGCTTTCAACTGTGTCAGGGCCATGTATGCGCATTACGCACAATGAGATTGCATTTTACACTTCTTCTTTACTTTTTTTTTTGAGACAGGGTCTCCCTCTGTCACCCAGGCTAGAATGCAGTGGCATGATCTTGGCTCACTGCAGCCTTGATCTTCTGGGCTCAAACAATCCTCCCAACTGAGCCTCCCTAGTTAACCGGGACTACAGGTGTGAGCCACTACACCTGGCCAATTTTTGTATTTTTTGTAGAGACAAAATCTCTCACTATGTTGCTCAGGCTGGCCTTGAACTTCTGGCTCAAGTGATTCTCTTGACCCAGCCTCCCAAAGTGCTGGGAAGACAGGTATAAGCCACTACACCCAGCCACATTTTACACTTTTAATTTAGAAAATAATTTCAAACTCAGAGAAAAAATACACAGTACAAAAAAACTGTTTTTCCCCTTGAATTGTTTGAAAGTAATTTGCCAGTCTGATTCCTCATCATTTCACAACCTTTAGTGTGTATTTCCTACAAGCTGGGACATTGTCCTACATAATCATAATACAGCTGAAACAACCATGAGATTAGCATGGCTTTATTATTAACCACCCAATCCATTCAAGAATAACTTGTCCATTTAGTTTTCATGTTTCCTTCAGTTAGGACTTGTTTCCCAGTCTCTCCTTGTTTTTTGTGAGCTTGACACTTTTGAAGATTATAGGTCAGCTACTTTATAGAATGTTTCCATTTGAGTTTGTTCAGTGTTTTGTGATTAGATTCAGATTATGTGTTGCTGGCAGGAATACCACAAAAGTGATGCTGTGCTCTTCTCCTTGCATGCAATCAGGCACCCAACTTTGATTTGGCTCTTATGGAGTATGTTCATTTTGTCATTTGATTAAGATGGTGCATTAGTCCATTTTCATGCTGCTGATAAAGACATACCCAAGACTGAGTAATTTATAAAGAAAAAAAGGTTTAATGGACTTACAGTTCCACACGGCTGGAGAGGCCTCACAATCATGGCAGAAGGCAAAAGGCACATCTTACCTGGTGGCAGGCAAGAGAGAGAATGAAAATCAAGCAAAAGCAGTTTCCCCTTATGAAACCATCAGATCTCCTAAGACTTATTCACTACCGTGAGAACAGTATGGGGGAAACCACCCTCATGATTCAATTACCTCCCGCTGGGTCCCTCCCATAACACATGGGAATTATGGGAGCTACAATTCAAGATGAGATTTGGGTGGGGACATAGCCAAACTATATCAGATGGTGTCTGCTAGATGTCTCTGTTGTAAAGTTATTTTGTCCTTTGTAAATATTTGTTGGGAAGGGATTCTTTTAAGAGCATATAAATATTCTGTTCCTCATTAAACCTGTAATTTATTCATTTATTTCCAGCATAGATTTAGAGATCCTGTTTTATTTAACAGGCTGTAATCTGTTATTATTATTTATTCTGATGCTCAAATTTTTTGTTGATTTGCCCAGCGGGAGCACCTTCAAGCTGACTTGTGTGTCCTTTTGTCATGTCCCTATGTCCTCACTTTCTGGCAGCTTTCCTATGTTCCTGGCTCATTTTATACCTTTCTTTCCCTAGCCCTAGAACCAAGGATCCCTGGTTTCTTTTAGTAGAAAATAGTATTGAGGAAACCAAGATTTGGGTGAGCTCATTGCTATTGGAACATTGCTACTCTGAGGCCCTCTTGATAAACAGTGGTTGAGAATGTATACGCAGATATAAACATCTACATGTCTATACTTATCTATATTAAAACATGATTTCACACTCATATCTCTAACTCTAATCCAGCACTACAGTGTTCATTCTAGTTTTCTCCATTTCTATATTTGTAATTTCCTTCTCCAACAGTGAGAAACCTGGCTTCCATTATCCCCAACACAGTTTCTGATTTGGCTCATTCTTCTGTTTGTAGCGAATACCCCATTACTACTTCACCTTTCACCCACACATTGCACAGATGCCTGTCTCACTCAGCTTGGGTTCTGGTGTCCTGGGCTAGGCTGCCTTGTCCCTCCTGTCATCATGCAGTGTCCACCTTGCTTGGCTCTATCTTATAGACATTGGACTAAATTTTCAGGAAGGGAAGGGAAGGGAAGGGGAAGGGAGGAGAGGGAGAGGGGAGGGGAGGGGTAGAGAAGGGGAGGGGAGGTTGGGGTAAGAGTAAGAGTATGCTTTGAAATATTTGCTGAGCTGTTCATAGGGAAGTCCTTTTTTGTTTTTCTAACATAAGGTTACAGAGAACGTAGCTTTACTCACACACATTCTATCAAAAATGGTATTGGAATGGGATATTTTGTGAAAGGCTTTCAGTACCTTCTGAGTGGGGCTGCAGAAAATATAGGTCAAGAAATAGTGGTCTTATTTGAAAGGATGGGAAGGCATCCAGGCCCTCAGATAACTACCTCACCAAGCTCTTTCACGTTTTACTGAAGAAGACTAAATCCTTTATGTTAAGGTTTCAATACCCATTGAAATGCAAACTCCACTCAGGATAATTTTCCAAGTTACCAGTAGTGATTTGCACTTGAGTGTAACTGATCTTTATATGTCAAGTTTTGGTAGGACCAAAGACTGTTGACAGAAGGAAAGTTAGCTTGATACAAGAGTGAATGATCTGAGTGTTTGGATAACCAAGCTGAACTTGAACCACTTCACAGTTTTGCCTATATGCTTACTGTACCCTAACACCTTGCACCATGACTGATGTATAGTAAATACTCAATTTTGGTGAATAGAAATCACTCTTTTTTGAGTTGAATTAATTGGCAATTTCTCTGGTGTGGCTAGAAACCTGTCTTTCCCTTCCTAAAGAGAAATTGTACCAACCAAGGACCCCCATCTCTGTCATGGGCTGACAGCAGTCTTCCTGCCTGAAGATCTTCAACATTTTCTTGCTTCACCACTTCTGCCAGAATGAATTACCCAGCAGAAGAAAGTGGGTACATTAAACTTCCTTGTTTCAAGTGAATTTGCTTCCAATATAGCTCTTCTGGGTGAAGAGAATGGTCAGTTTATCTTAGCTGTGCTCAAAGAGTGAGAGTTGCAGAAACTGTGTGGGTTTGATGAACCATAACTCAGCCCTAAGTTATTTATGGAAGGCATGACTTAGGAAAAATATGTTACATAAAGATTTTGTATTTTAACAAGGACTCCTGGAAATAACTGTGTTATGGAAGAGACACATAACTGTATTATGTGTCTAAAGGCTCCAGACACAAACACATAATTAAATGATACTGGCATTAAAAAAAAATAGGTGGCATAGTATCAGCCAGGTTCCAAAAAAAAAGACAGAAACCACTCAGTATTCCAAACAGAGGGTGTAAATACTTGGGATTAATTATACAAGTGATGAAAGATGCTGAGAGACCAAACAGAGGACAGTGAGGCAACCAAGAGATTAGCAAGAGCAGGAGGTCCCACCTTCCATAGGAGGAGGCAGTGTTCCTGGAGCCCAGGAGCTGTGGAACAGATAAGATGAAATGAAAGTATGACTGAGTAGTAGGATCTGGTTATTTTTTTTAAAGACACAGTTATTATCTAAGATCTTACTTGAGGCAGAGAGGAGGGGAGAGATACTCCGGGTTCTCCCTTTGTTGTATCCACTAAATTTCTACCAGTACCCGTGGATGAAACCTTGCCAGAAGCCAGACACATGAAAGGCCATCCCCTTTGTGATACAGAACAGATTAGTGGAAAAGTCTAGGATTGGATCTGAGAACACGCATGCTTAAGACCAGCCAAGACACCAGCGCTGGGAACCTCCATTATTAGGTCAAACAAAAGACTATGATGCTGGGATGGAAGTCTCCAGAGAGAGAAAACCAATGTCATACTTCTCTCCCACTCTGTAAATTTTATTTGACCACCATGTATTGGACATGTTAGATGTTAAATGTAATGCTAGGGGTTAGAGATATAAAGATGATTAAGATGTTATTCCTGCTCTTAAACAGCTCAAAACTTCCAAGGCACATATAAAAACAAAATGCCTCAACACAAAATATTAGTTTTCTTAATTTTAGGCATCTATAAAGTGCTGTGGGAACATGGAGAAAATGAAGAAATTATTAGTTCTGGAAAAAAAACAAAGGCATGAAGATTTCCAAGTGTGGTATATTTAGAAATTGAGTTCTTTGGTTCCCTGTATGGTTTTCTGCCTAGTGTCTGGGGACAAGGACATGTATCAGTGAGGACTCTTTTGTTTGAGAATAATAGGAACTCAGCTCAAAATAGCTAAAACAAATAATATAATTTATTTATTTATTCATTTAGAGAAGGGTCTTGCTCTGCCACCCAGGCTGGACTGCAGTGACTCAAACATGGCTCCCAGCAGCCTCAAATTCCTGGGCTCAGGTGATCCTCCTACTCAGCCTCCCAAGTAGCTGGGACTACAGATGTATACCACCATGCCTGGCTAATTTTTTTTCTGATAGAGATGGGGTCTTGCTATGTTATCCAGACTGGTCTTGAACTCCTGGCCTCAAGCAATCCTCCTGAATTGGCCCCCCAAAATGCTGGGATTACAGGTGTGAGCCACCATGCCTGACCAATTAGTTATACAAGTGATGAAAGATGCTGAGAAACCAAACAGAGGACAGTGAGGCAACCAAGAGATTAGCAAGAGCAGGAGGCTCCCGCCTCAATTTATTGATTCACACAATTGAAAAGTCCAAAGGTAAAGCTGGCATTCATCATGGCAAAGCCAGGGCCTACAATCAGGCCTCAGTCTCTCTACTTCTTGGCTGCCCCCCAACTTCTGTGGGCTCCATTAACAGTGAGACTTTCCCCTCATGTTGTCAGATGGTTGCCAGCACCTCTGTACCTATACCACCTTCTATAAGACACCTTATAGAAGGTAAAGGAGGTCTTTTATGTCTGAAGACTTCAAAAAATGTCTGGCTTGAATTCTCACTGGCCTGGATGGAGTCACATGTCCATCCTTCATCAAGTCCTCATGGCCAATGGAGAGAACATTGGCTCAGGGCAGCAGGGGGAGTCAGCTTCTTTCATAACTGAGCTGACTAAGAGTGGTGGGGTTGAGAGGGACACTGCAGTGAAAGAAAATGGGGGCTAGGACCCAAAGACTGGGAAAATATTCTGCACAGCAAAAGCAACAAATATCTATTTAGGCCTGAAAAAGTGGCTCGAAATAGGCCAGAAAAGAATGAAATTCATAAGATAATTCAGAGTTTCCAGGAAATAACTGTCATTCAATTAAGGGATGTTTCTCAAGCCAAAAGTAGAGTCAGCATTTCAATAAGGCACAAGATTTAATGTTTTTTTCCTGCTAATGCTTTGATAAAGTGATTAACTGGCATGAGGAAGAATAGGGATTGTCAGACCTAGGAGCTAAACTTGGAATTGCACACTTGGCATTTCAGCAGGACAGAGCTACTGGATGACCCAATCCTGTTGGTGTCCCATGTGGGACTCACATGTGGACACTGGGTTCTGAGCATTGTGGCCTGTCTGTTGCTGGCCTCTCTCAAGTTCCAAGACGGCAGAGACATGTCTGTTAGATTTCATCCTCATCTGTCTTAGCCTTCTTTGAACTTGTCTAGCAACCAGCACGGAATGATCATGCCTGCTATTCACAGTACCTTGTCCTTGCAGGTGGTTCAAGAAGTATTTGTTGAAAACCCTGAGGAATGAACACATGGATAAGCACTCTGATCACGAGTAAAATGAGCATATCCTGCAACCTATCTGCCTCAATAAATAGCAAGTGTCCATAGATTATTCATCTAAAAACTCAAGCAATTCATTCCCTCAGGACATGCCAGTTTATCAATTGTGAAATTACTCCAAGATGTGGCAGGGTAGATTGCATTGTGACTAAAAAGGTAACCTTTCTCCCCAGGATGATTTCGGGTTTTTTTGTTTGTTTGTTTTGAGAAGGGGTCTCACTCTGTCACCCAGCTGGAGTGCAATGCCACAATTCAGCTCACAGCAACCTCTGCACCCCAGGTTCAATTAACTGGGACTACAGGCACACATCACCACATCCGGCTAATTTTTGTACTTTCAGTAGAGATGGGGTTTCACCATGTTGGCAAGGCTGGTCTTGAATCCTGACCTCAGGTGATCCACCTGCCTCAGCCTCCTGTTGGGATTACAGAAGTGAGGCACAGCGCCCATCCTCCCCAGGATTTCTAACCAAGTGTTGCCCTTTTTTGTTCTGGCTAAGGTTCGCGCATCTCTCCTCTGAGTAAAATCTTCTGCTGCCATCATCTGGACAACTAGGACAATTTCTTTCACAGCCAGTGCAGTAGACCAGCAGTTCTCAAAGTAGGATTGGCAAGCTCCTGGGGGTCCTTGAGACACTTTCACGGAGTCAGTGAGGTCAAAACTATTTTATAATAGTACCAAGTGTTATTTGCATTTTTTTAGTAACTGTTTTGGCATTTGCACTGCTGGTACAAAAGGGTTGATGGTTTCTTACATAAATCAAGGCTGTGGCAGTAAACAATACTAGTAGTCTTCACCACTGTCCAATCGCAGTTTTAAAATGTTATTGTCTTTCAAGAATGTTCTAGTTCCTAAGTAAAAATTACTAATTTTATTAAATCCCAACCCTGAGTCTACATTCTTTTAATATTTGGAGTCAAGAAATGGAAAACCCGAATGAAGAACTTCTGCTGCATATTGAAGTATGACGATTACCTTTAGGGAAGCACTTCTGTGATTGTGTCTGAATGGCAAACTGAATTAGCCTTTTTTTTTTTTTTTTTTTTGTTTTTGTAGAGCACCATTTTTATTTGACAGAAAAACTGACAAACTGTGGATATTCAGGCTTGGGTAATTGGCAAATATTTTCTTGGAAATGAACAAAGTGAGCTTGTCACTTCAAGAAAAACAAGCTAAAGTATTTGTGGGCAATAGTAAAATAAGATTTTTCAAGAGAAAATTTGGATTTTGGAAAGTTTGTATCTGCCTCTGTCGGCTTGCCTGCTTTTCAAGGGATGGAGACATTTCTAATTAGACCACTGGTTATTTGAATAAATGTGATCTGGGGGAGATATTTTATAATGAATTGTGTTAACATTTTGAAGATATGCCCAACTTGGTGGACTGATATTTTCTAAATGACCAGTGCATGATGTTACACAGGCATGCACAGAAAAATCTGTCTATCCAAAATTCAATATAGAACAATAGATTTTACTGGAACAAGTATGAAAAGTTTATTCCTGTGGTTTATTCATAAAGTTTATTCATATGGTTTTAAGAAACCATCACTTGTGGCCGGGCATTGTGGCTCATGCCTGTAATCCCAGCACTTTGGGAGGCCGAGGCAGACGGATCACATGAGGTCAGGAGTTTGAGACCAGCCTGGCCAACATGGTGAAACCCTGTCTCTACTAAAAATACAAAAATTAGCTGTGTGTAGTGGCGGACAGCTGTAATCCCAGCTACCTGGGAGGCTGAGGCAGGAGAATCGCTTGAACCGGGGAGGCGGAGGTTGCAGTGAGCCGTGATCGCGTCATTGCACTCCAGCCTGGGTGACAAGAGCCAAGACTCCTTCTCAAAAAAAAAAAAAACCACTACTTGTTAGGTTTTGGTGTAGTACTGAAGACAAATATACACAATTATCTGAAAAAGCTACTAACTTCCTCCTCCATTTTTCAAGCTACATATCTGTGTGTCTGGATTTCCTTCAAGCAGTTCAAACAAAACAGCCTATCACAGCAGATTGAATGCAGAAACAGCTGTAAAAATCCAGCTGTCTTCTATTTAGCCAGACATTAAGGGATTTATAAAAAATGTAAATATCTCTTTTTTTAATACCTTTTCTGGTAAAATATTATTTACACAAAATTTGTTATTTATGCTAATTTATTATTCATTATATGCATTTATTACCTTTAAATGAATTAATAAAGAAATACTTTAAATCTTCTGTTTAAATTTCCAATTCAGTAAATATCAACAGATATAATCCACATAAACAAAAGCTCTTTGAGATCTTCAGTAACTCTTAAGAGTGAAAAGGGTCCTGAGACCAGAAGGATTAAGAACTACTCCTGTGGCCAGTCACCGTGGCTCACGCCTTTAATCCCAGCACTTTGAGAGGCCAAGGCAGGTGGATCACTTGAGGTCAAGAGTTCGAGACCAGTCTGGCTAACATGGTGAAACCCCATCTCTACTAAAAATACAACAACAACAAAAATTAGCTGGGTGTGGTGGTACGTGCCTGTAATCCCAGCTACTTTTGAGGCTGAGATAGGATAATCGCTTGAACCTGGGAGCCAGAGGTTGCAGTGAGCCAAGATTGCGCCACTGCATTCCAGCCTGGGCGACAGAGCAAGACTCCATCTCAAAAAAAAAAAAAAAAAAAAAAGCACTCCTGTAAAGCAAGCCCCATGATTCAGTGTCCTACCACTTGTTCGTCCCAGCACTCCTTTCTTCTAAAGTAGTGATCAATTCTACTGAGCAAAGTGGCATATGCTGTAATAAAACCATATACACCTACACAAATATATTACCTAGATACCAAAAGGTAATAGTATTCACACTGTCTCACACTATTAGACACAGCACTCGTCACTCTATTCCAGGCACTCTAGGTTCCCTCTTCCTTTATGGCCTTTCCTCACTTTTACTGTTATCTCTTCCTTGCCACTTTACTTCCTCCCATCAAGTCCAAGGCCAAGGGATCTGTGTTAATTCCTGTTTAGATGCTAAAGGGACAATATAATTTTCATTGTGTTTGAGTTAATTCCTTGAATTCAAGTCTCAACAATTTACTGTATAGTCTCTTAAGGCCCTGGCCAAGCAGTTCCCTGGGTTCTATCCACAAAAATTCCCTATCTAGTTTTGTTCCTAGCAAACTGCCACCCCTCCTGTTCTAAGCATTCGGTTTTGAAAACCTGTCCCTAGTGCCTTCTATTTTCTTGTGTATTTCTGAATGATTCTGACCATGAACTTCAAGTTTCTTTGCCACGCTCTTTCCCAGTCTCAACTTTTACACGTATTGGCCTCCCACTTCTTCTCATGCCTTCTCTTCTACCTGTAGGCATTTACATTTCCAAGGCCCTACCTTGCAGTTCTTCCCTCTTCTCTTGGAAAAGAGCAGTAATCTATCTTGACAGATTTGTTACACTTTAGGTTGTTTTTGTTTGTTTGTTTGTTTTTGCTGGATTATAGCACTGCAATAGGCATATGTGGCCAGGAGTAGACCAGATGGCTATTTCCCTAGGGAGTCTCAGGAGTTTGATGAAGTCCTCTAGGTATAGAGTCAAACTCTCAGCTCTGCAAAATCAGAAACATAATTTGTCAGCACGATGTCCCTTTCTCATGGGCAGACTTACCATAAGTGAGTTCACAAGTCTGAAATATAAGTTAAAAAGTCAAGTTATTAATTTATAATGAGTGATATGAGTCTTACATTAGCTGGAACACTAATCAAACATGAACGTTCATTCAAAGAATATTTCTTGAGCACCACTAGGAAGTCCACTCTATACAGGAAACCAAATTATATAAGATGTTTACTTGGTGAGTATGGATCTCAGAAAAATACGACAAATAGGAGAAAGAAATTGTCTGAAACATCCGACTCGTCTAAAGAATCATTTTCAAAGTGGGACATAATAATAGAATTTTGTTGGCTGTACTTCCCAGCATTTTCTTCAAAATATGTATAGTTTTGCCAAAAGGACTAAAATACTTGGCCTGTTGACTAATGTTTTCTTAAACACTGGAATATATTTGGATAAACTAGCAATATGTGCTTCTGTGGTTTTCAGTTTTCTATTCTGTGATAAATCCACCATTTCCCTAGTTGGCACTTCCTTATATTGGACATGTTAACACATGCACTCAAGTAAGATTTTCAAATCTGAAGCCACTCTGCCCTTTAAGGAGTGTGTTTATATTTTGGTTCTTATTCATAAGGTATATATTGCAAAGTCCAACTCTGAGAGAGCAAACATGTAATATAAAATTTTAAGCTCATTTTACTTATTCTCAAGTTCTTGTGGGAAAGTCTCAGTATAGCCCCCAAGGACTACACAATGATATTTGTTTTTTTGTATGTGTGTGTGACGGAGTCTCGTTCTGTCACCCAGGCTGGAGTGCAGTGGCGCGATCTCGGCTCACTGCAAGCTCTGCCTCCCAGGTTCAGGCCATTCTCCTGCCTCAGCCTCCTGAGTAGCTGGGACTATAGGTGCCCACCACCACGCCTGGCTAATTTTTTTGTATTTTTAGTAGAGACAGGGTTTCACCATGTTAGCCAGGAAGGTCTCGATCTCCTGACCTCGTGATCTGCCCACCTCGGCCTCCCAAAGTGCTGGGATTACAGGCATGAGCCACCGCACCCAGCCACAATGATATTGTTTAAAACTACTTATTGAATATATAAAAAGAAAACAAAGTGTTGTAATTAAAGATGATGAGACAGCATAGCCCCCAAAACTCAATATAATCTGTTTATTTCATCTGGTTTTATTTTCATAGGAATTTTCTTCTAGGAAACCTGTGTTAGCATTTGATACAGGTAGATGCAGTGTTTTCTCAACCAGCTAGGATGAAAAGCAAGAAGAGAAATACAGGGATGCAGACAGAAGGCACTGACTGAGATAAATATAAGTAAGACTAATCATAGTTTTGTGACTAAGTAGAGGTTTTACAGGTATAATGACTTTTAAAGACAATTTTCAGGGTTATTGTATAATAAAAATCTTTGGGATCCATGAAACTCCGGCAGCCCTGGTCCCAAGGGGCCACCCAAATGTTGTGTATCTAGCAGTGCCTCTTTCTCTTGGCATAAAGACTATGCTGTGCTGGGTTATTCCATCTGTCACTCAGACATCCTGAGATCAAATAAAACAACAATTCCTACACCCTCATCTATTTCCTTCTCTTATTTCCTGTATAGTGGATATACTTTCTGTGTTTTTCCTCTTAGAAATTGGAGCCTGGATAAATACAAGCTTGAAATCCTCCTTCCCCAAATAATGAAAGGTTCTGTTGTGCTTTGCAGCCATCCAGAAGCATGCTTTCAGCTGAGCTTGCTCACTCATCACAAGAATTTGAAATTTCAGCTCCAAATATTCTTTTATGTAAATGACTTTATTAAGAAAAAGCAAATCCAAATCTGGCTTCTCAACCAAGAAGAATAAGAGAGCTCTGTTTGTTTTATTTGTTATGAGAACACACTTCATTTGTATTCAAGCAAAGACTTTTTGTCATATATAATGAAAGTGTATGCTTGTTAAAAATCAGTAAGATTGAAAAGGCTAGGAGGACATATTCCATTTTAACCTTTTTTTAAGATAAAGATCTCAGCTATATCTATTTCAGTATGCTTGAATGAGTCTCTGTAGACAGTTCATATTTCTTGTGAATGTGTCAGCTTATCATTAGGTCAGGTAGCATCTTTCAAATGACTTGGTGAAACTTAATTACATACTCTTGTTCTGTAATAATTTCATGTAGGTAAGCTTACATATGAAACACTTTGTAACTAAGTTGTAAATCAAAACCAAAATTTATCTATGCTTTTTCACCCTTGCCCACTTCCATTCCTCTTCAGTGCTTGACAGGGAATCAGAGAAATAGTGAATGCCTAATCCTGAATTTAATTATTTACCAGACATGGGTATATGTCGTGTTTCTGTCTCTTCACTTGCCTTCTGAGGTGAATGTCCTGGTTTCCTCCCTCCTCACCAGCTGTCCCTTTCTGGTCTGTTCTCTCTCTGCTTCACTTACTTCCTGGGTAATTTTTTTTTCTAGCCCCATGACTTTAAATGACATTTAAAAACATGGTTGATGTATACATATATATATACACGTGTGTGTGTGTGTATATATATATCATATATATGTGTATATATATATTCAGATGTATATACTATATATCATATATATGTATATATATTCAAATATATATACTATATATATGTGTGTGTGTATATCAGCATATATCAGATATATATATCCATTCCCAATCTTTCCCCTGAACTTGGAACTCATATACCCAACTGCCTATAAGACTGCTCCATGGAATGTCTGACAGACATGTCAACATTAGCATGTCCAGATCCCTCAATTCTGCTTCCCATCCCCTTGTTGTGCCTGCAACCTTCCCTTCCCAAGGATGCTCCATCTCAGTAAATGGCACCACTAGCTACACAAAACTCACAGTCATCTCTGTACTCTCTTTCGCTCACACCCAGATTGAATCTGCTAGCAAGTCCTGTGGATGCTAGTCTTAAAATATGGCTCTCAGCTGGTCTCTCTGCTCCACTCTTTACCCCCTACATTGTTCACACAGCGGCCAGGGTGATTCTTTGAAAAAGCAGGTCAGAGTGCTTCACTCCATTTGAGCTCCACACTGCAGTGACTTCCTATGACTCAGAACAAAATCTGCTGTGCCTATGATGGCATATAGAGTACTCTGTGATCTGTGCTCTTGTGGCTCCTGCCCCCCTTCTCTCCTGCTGTCCCATCCACCACTCTTCAGTCTTGACACCCTCGTTTTTCCTCTGCCAGGCCTTTTCAAGTCTTTACAGTGGATATTCTCTTTGCCTGCAATGCTCTTCCTCAGATACTCATATGAATCACTTCCTCATTCATTCAAATGTCACCTCTTCAAAGAGGCCTTCCCTGACCACACTTTCTAAGTAGCAGCCCTGTTACTTTCTTTCCCCTTACTCTGATTTATTATTTTTCATGTCATTTACAACATCATTAACATAATATTATTTATTTTTAAACATCAGTCTGTCTTACAAGAATGTAACCTCCTTAAGGAAGTGTTTTTCATTTTGTTAATCAAGAGTTTTTAGCACCTAAACCATGTTTGACTCATGATAGACATCAATAGGTGTTTATTTAATTAACCAATGCATATTTTTTCATGCACATTTGAACTAACGTATACATTGACAATATAATCCTTAATTTTCTGGATAAGTTGTGTGCATCTATAGAAGACTGGGTGTAAATCTACAATTATATGTCAGCTTTTATGTTATATTGAGTTCATGGGTGTTCCTTAAAAAATGCTTAAAAGATATTGCAGTTTTTAAGACGTTAATGCACCTATGCACATGCATATATTCACAAACTGTTTTCAGTAGTACTTTGAAATCCTCCTAAAAGTTTTCATGCAATGTTCAACAATATAAATCTTACTTTCAAGTAGCTGATTCATAGTGAAGATCGTTACTCACAATATGATAGATGCCATATTTCCCAGTACTCAGGTAGTCTCTTCATTACGGGCACCTTGTCTTCCAGAACAACACGCTAGGGTGAGAAACAGAGAAAGGGAGTGAGGGAGAGGATGGAGAGAATAAAATAAAATGTTCTTGCAGTAACTGGTCAGTACTTGAAAGGGAGAATATGCAGTAAAGGAGAAGGAGTATTTAACAGGAATTAAAGAAGCCTTAAGAGAAAACAATTATGTGAGCATTCATCTCCCTAAAAAAGGAAAAAGGAAGGTGCAGAGACAGCAGTGACTTGTTCCTCATCTTAACCACCAGGTGGTGGTGTCGCATCAGAAAGGCTGATTTGCACTACCTGGTAGCGGATGAGGCAATGAGGCACCATGACCATTACTTTACTCCCACCTGCTAGTGCAAGATTTCAGCCTCTTCCGAAGTCTCCCTCTCCTAACTATTTCTAAATATTCCCAAAGAGTGTCTCATTTGTGGTAATGAGTGAGTCAAGTCAGTTTGCACTTGGTGTCTCATAATTTCTTCTCTTTTGTCCTCACCTCCCTCTCTCCTCCTCCTACCTTCCAGGTGCATCACTTGGCCACCATTCCCTGTGGGAGCAGCTCTGCCACCTGCTCTGGGCATTGTTAATCCTCTGGGTCCCAAACTGAATCCACTGGGCCTTGCTTTTGCTGCTGCTAGGGAAGAGAAGGCAGAGAAGTATTCATTAACAGTAAACATTAGTTGTGCTCAGCCCTCTGCAGTCTACCTCTGCTAGGCATAAAATAAGGAGAAGTGGCCTCGGGTGAAAGCAGGTTTGGATTAAAATTTCCTAATGCCAAGGCTGCTTGAACGTTGGATTACTCTTCACCTATACTTCTATAAATGTGTAATCTTGTTATAAGTTTTCCACAAGTGGCATAGAGTCTCTTCTGTGAACACTGTTCTTCTGTGCAGGTGGGATGGACTAGATCAAGGGTCTTCAGCAGTTTTGATCAGCCAGTGGATTTCAAAGACCCATTAATTAAAAGCTTTTTAATCAAAAGCTTTCTTACAAAGGGCCCCTGTGTTAATCTTACCTCCCTGACCTTCTCTTTGGCACGCTCCATTCTTGTCGAGATTCCCAGTGAGGTTGGGATTCTTTGAAGGTTAGCTGGTGTTCTTTCTTCATTCCTTATTCAACTCCAGGTTTTCTGCTGGGTCAAGACCACATCCCTGCCTTCAGGCCTCAAAGATTTCATTAAAAGCAATCTACAACCTTGCCCAGTCTAGCTTTTTCCCCTGTGGTACCTTATCTACCCAGTCATCCATACACAAGACTCCATTCTTCAGAGGATATTCCTAGCGTTAGAGAAAGTAAAACACTTATTTTGTTCGTGAAAAGTTATGGGAATGTGATTAGAATTTTCTAGACTTGAGTTTCTAGAGAACTCAGATTATTGCTTTTTCATATAAGAAAACATTTGGATACACCTTTGGGATTGCTGGCCCTACCCACCCACAACTGAATCACCTATGGCCCAATATGAGCATGACTTTCCGCATATTTTTAGATTTAGATTAGGGGCAGTGGCCATGAGAGAAGTACTAATTCTCACCTGAAGGACAGAGGATAAAGTGCGATGGCTTGTTAAAATGGAAAAGTTTCTTCTTTTCCTTTCCTTTTTTTTGTAAGATCTTGCTCTGTCACCCAGGCTGGAGTGCAGTGGCACAATCTTGGCTCATTGCAGCCTTGACCTGCTGGGCTCAAGTGATCCTCCCACATCAGTCTCCTGAGCAGCTGGGACCACAGGTGCCCACCACTACACTAGACTAATAGTTTTTTGAAGTGACAGGGTTTTGCCATGTTGCCCAGGCTGGAGGGCAAGTTTCTTAACATCTCCAGGTCTTGCTTATCTAATTCATAAAAATGAGAATAATAATAGTATCCATATAATAAATTTGTTGTGCATCTTATACAGGATGAGGCACCTAAAGGAATTATCGCAGTGCCTGGCACACTCAATAAATGTTAGCTGCTATTGTTTGAATGTGCACAATCTATCAACAGGGGAGATATAAGTAAGAACAATCTAGTAGTTCCAGATTCCTTTTTTCAGTCCAGACACTAGGTGTCACTGCTGATGTTTAGTACTTTTCAAACAGAGGATAAAAAAAGTTCTAGCAGTTGCAACAAAAGCAAAAATTGACAAATGGGATCTAACTGAACTAAAGCGCTTCTGCACAGCAAAAGAAACTATCATTAGAGTGAACAGACAACCTACAGAATGGGAGAAAATTTTTGCAATCTATCCGTCTTACAAAGGTCGAATATCCAGAATCTACAAGGAACTTAAACAAATTTACAAGGAAAAAACAACCCCATTAAAAAGTGGACAAAGGACATGAACAGATACTTCTCAAAAGAAGACATTTATGCAGCCAGCACATATATGAGGAAAAGCTCAACATCACTGATCATTAGATAAATGCAAATCAAAACTACAATGAGATACCATCTCACGCCAGTCAGAATGGCGATTATTAAAAAGCCAAGAAACAACAGATGCTGGTGAGGTTGCAGAGAAACAAGAAAGCTTTTACACTGTTGGTGGGAATGTAAATTAGTTCAACCATTGCGGAAGACGGTATGGTAATTCCTCAAAGACCTAGAACCAGAAATACCATTTGGCCCAGCAATCCCATTACTAGGTATATAGCCAAAGGAATATAAATCATTCTGTTACAAAGATACATGCACACGTATGTTCATTGCAGCACTATTCACAATAGCAAAAACATGGAATCACCCAAATTCCCATCAGTGATAGACTGAATAAAGAAAATATATGGTACATATACATTATGGAATACTATGCAGCCATAAAAAGGAATGAGATCCTGTCCTTTGGAGGGACATGGATGGAGCTGGAAGCCATCATCCTCAGCAAACTAATACAGGAACAGAAAACCAAACACTGCATGTTCTCACTTGTAAGTGGGAGCTGAATGATGAGAACACATGGACACAGGGAAGGGAACAACACACACTGGGGCCTGTCAGTGGGGTATGGGGTAGGGGAAGGGAGAGCATTAGGAAAAATAGCTAATGCAAGCTGGGCTTATTACCTAGGTGATGGGTTGACAGGTGCAGCAAACCACCATGGCACACATTTACCTGTGTAACAAACCTGCACATCCTGCACATCTACCCTGGAACTTAAAATTAAAAAAAAAGTTCTAATAAAAACAAGGTGGTGGGGGTGGGAGAAGAAGGGAAAGTAGAGATTACCTTCTTAAGAACACAAGCCTTGGTGCATTTCTTTAAATGTTATATTAAAAGTGAGTTAGCCTTAGAGAAATTGTAAGGCTTAAATCAATGTACTTAGACATCAGTTAAGCCAGTATGGTTTGCTGATTTAACCAATTAAAGTTGATACAAAAATAAATAGTGATACTATATTTAAAAAGATGCTGCTTCTGCTGTAAGGCTGAAACAATGGAATCAGCCCAGAAATTAGAGGCATGGAGGAGGAGATGGAAAAGGGATGTTAACCAACAGCTAAATAACAGGAAGAAGAAAAACAGTAAGAGACAAAACGGCCTACAGATCTTGTGTTTACATGATGGATAACATTAGGTAAATATGGATCTTTTTCTTCCCATTAAATATTTAGTCAATTTATTCAAATGTTGAAGCCTTCTTTGAAATATTTCCCCTGGTCTGTATGTGTATAGAACATCAGATTAATACAAATTTATAACTAAAAGTCAAAATTCCCATATTCAGCACATATGCAGGAGAAATGGAATTTCAAATTGTACTGATTTTGTTAATTGCATTAGAAGTTTGAGATGGGAAATACTACTTTTTATCAAGTATTGAAAAGATAGGTGATGGTGAGGATTTAGAAGCACACATACTCGCCGTTCACCGTAGTTGACTGACTGCTGCAGAGAGTCTTAGACCAGGAGCAGGGCGGGCATTTACCTTGCCTAGCAAAAAGAGTAAAGAGATGGGCAACTAAATAAATCTAAATTTTTCTCATTTCCCCACTTTACTTCAAACATTTTGCAAGTGAGTGTAAGACAATGATCATGTTACTAATGACAGCTAAAATTTTTGGAGGCACTCTTTTAAGCACTGTTCACAAATCAATTCATTTGATGCTCACTATAACCCCATGATACAGGTACTATAATTATTCCCATTTTACAGATGAGAATGCTGAGGAAGGCCAGGTTAATTACCTAAAGCATTTGGGCTAGTTAGTAAGTTTGATAAAACAAGTTTTCATTAAGTAGAGTTATATATTTCTAAAACAACATAGTAAGATAAGGCAAATTATGTACATCTATCCATTGGTCTTTCTGATCTTCTTAATTATGCATATTTTATATAGTTTTATGTATGTATAGTACACATGCTCCACTCTTCTCATTTAGCATAACTTTATAAATGTTGTCTTGTAAATACTTTTTTAATGTGGCTGAACACTTATTTTTAGTGACAACAGGAATTATGTTGTGCTCCACAGTGCCCTCAGAATTCTCAGAGTTGGTTTGGAGCCAGGAGGGAGACAGGTCAGGAGCACAAACAGGCCGGTCTTGGTTCTTAACTCTACCCTCTTGCTTTGTCTAGAGCAATTGCTCTTTAAATAATAAAGTATTTAAAATCAATTTGCATATTTAGTGTATGCATACTATTCATTAAAGAAAGGATCTCATAGTCAAAATAGTTTAAATATCACGAGTTAGATTGTAATTTAGACTTCTTCTAATGAACAGTTAGGTTAGTTCCATTTTTTATTGTTATAGAAAATATCGCTATGGGCAGCTTCATACACACACTATTTTTGTTTTTCCTCTCAATTGTTTCCTTACTTTAAATTTCCAGGCACTGATTTAGGCCCAGAGGGTATGAACGTTTATAAGCATGTTAAGCAGCATTGACAAATTGCCCTGGCTAAGGCAATTTACAATTGCAATGCACGTGTTCTTGTTGTTTATCCGCAACCCAACAGTGATGGCTTTGAAAAAACAAACAAACCTTACACAAATAAAAGACAAAAAATAAAACAATATAAAACCTATCAGTGTAAATTAGAGTATTTGGATCATCCTAATTTAAAGGTAGCTTGTCTACTGTGTTCCAGGTGAGGCCGACTGGCCAAGCCCGATTGGTGGCACCAAATTTTAGCTCACAAAATGTGCTGTAGTAGGTGGCTGGAAAATTAGTGAGAAAAAAAGTTAGCTGTGAATGAGAAGCCTATCAAGATAAAAACAAACAAACAAACAAAAACAAAAAACTTCAAGAGCCAATTTAAAAAGCTATTCAGGGATCACAGAAAAGGGAAGAGACGCTGGTCCTCTTGGAATCTTGAGAGCCATCCTTGAGGGGCTGCAATTTGGGGAACTAGACTTTTCCAGAAGATTTCTTCACTCTGAAATTTAAATAGGGCAGAATTTAATTAGTGCTGCTTATTCACAAGGCTGTGTTGGAGGAAATGTTAATGTATTTATTTTCTGCAGGTAGTGGTTTTAAAATATCATATTACCAAGGACAAAGAAAAAAGGAAAGAGAAGAAAAAAATCACTCATATTTTCACCCCTTACCAGCAATAACTCTTACTATTTTGCCTTTTGGGAATTAAAAGAAATGAGTCTCTAAAGTATGTTGCTCTAATACAATTTTGGTAATTAGTATCACTTTTTATAAGCTGGATAATGCATTGGTAAATTGTGCTTGTAAATCTCAGATTTGTGTAGTTTTTTTTTTTTTTTTTTTTTTTGAGACGGGGTCTCGCTCTGTCACCCAGGCTGGAGTGCAGTGGTGCAATCTCGGCTCACTGCAACATCTGCTGCCCAGGTTCAAGCAATTCTCCTACCTTGGCCTCCCAAGTAGCTGGGATTACAGGCGCCTGCCACCGCACCTGGCTAATTTTTGCAGTTTTAGTAGAGATAGGGTTTCACCATCTTGGCGAGGCTGGTCTCGAACTCCTGACCTCGTAATCCACCTGCCTCGGCCTCCCAGAGTGCTGAGATTACAGGCATGAGCCACTGCGCCCGGCCAGATTTGAGTAATTTATAATGTCCTTTATATTATGAAGGCTAAGGCTACTTTCTATCCAAAAGTGCTAGTTTACTTAGTCGAACATGTAAACCCACCTGCAAGCTCAGCAGAGAAGACAAGGAGCAATTGTACAATTTTCTCACCTCCACATGACATCACCCATGGCAGGGTGGTGGCAAATGGTTGAAGGATGTCACACACTGCCCTGCTGGTGCTAATCTCTCTTCTCATGAAGCAGAGACATTCAGTCTATGGTGTCACACGGATGCCAACATTAAGGTTGGAGCAAACAAGGTCAGAATATGTCTGTCTTTATTAAATATGTGTTCAAGAAGACACTAGGATTTTAACTGTTAAAAGTCATATGTTTACCCTTTAGCACAGAAAAGTTGGCTTTTAGGCCTGGCTCTATATTCAGTAGGGATTGGATTAATGGGGCCATAGGATACCCTGACTTCACACATTCACACTCAGATCCTATGAAGGAACCTGGAAATTGTGTATGCGATATGAGGGTCTCTTTGGAAGAAGAAACTCTTCTTCACACCCATCACCCTAGTTCAGGCCTTTATTGTTATAACCTTCTAACTCTCTTGCTTCATTCAGTCTGACTCCCTCACCACTATACTCATCATTGCTAGAACACAGAGCTGGTGGTATTTTTCCCTGGCCACATGCCTTTGATGAGGGTTACATTGACAACAGAGCAGAGTCCAAACCCCATACTCTTGCCTTCAAGAGCTTTCTTTCACTCTCTAGCTCCAACCCCCTTTTCCACCTCATTTTTTCCCATTCCCTGGCCAGCCCCCTTGTGCTCCGATCTCTCCAGACAACCTTGCCATTCTCTAAGCCAGCTCTGTTTTTCTCTTCTTTTGCTCTCGTGCGTGCTTTCTTCCCTTCTGTGAAATTCCCTTTCCTGAAAGAAAGCAGACTGCTCTCTCCTTTAAGGACCAGCATAAAGATAGCATCTGAATCTTTTTTGGCTATCTCTCCGTTGAGCAGAACGAAGAGCTTTTTCAACTCTGCTCTGTTGTGTTTTGTTCATAGCACTGCCCACCTTGTTACGCAGTTCTTTGTATTTGTGTCCCCCAATGCTGGTAGACTGGGGCTCCTTAGGAGCAAGGGTGTGTCTATTACATGTTTGTATCCCCAGAAATAGCAGTGCCAGACACATAAGAGATGCTTGTTTAATACTTTGGAATAAACTTGTTCATTTACAAATGGGTATGGTCACTGTTAAATTAATAAAAAAGTAAATAATAGTTGTTTAGCAATATTTGTTATTTATTTATTCGACCACCCTTTACTGAGTTCCTGCTACACACAAGACACTGTTATGGGCACTGGTATCCAAGATGAGTAAGACATTGTCCCTGACTTGAAGGGGCCCACAATCTTGTGAGGGAGATAGATATATAGTATGGAAATATTCATCAATTTATTTTATAAAATAGAAAAATATGCTTACATTTGGATTTCTTTCTGCATGAAATTAAGGTGGAGAGTGGTATTTTAAAAGCAAAAGTAGAAAAACATATAAAGTATATCTAATTTCTGGTTTGTACTATTCAGAAAAAATAGGTTTAAGAATAAGTCATCTTTCCTCTACTGCAAGGGTATAAATCCTGGGTATTTCTGATAAATGTGTTGGAATTTAGACTTTTTTTTTCTACCAGAGACAGCCACCCCCACAGTAGACTGCACTGCCAAGGAAAAGAATGGTGGGCTAGGAATACACACAAACGCAGAGAAGCTGCTCCCTTTGCTGCCGGAACCCAGCTGAGATTCTCTGCTATTCCAGGAATTCATACTACTAGCAGCAAAGCAGTGGTATCTCCATAAACATCCTTGGCCTTCTGATAAAGTGAGAAGATAAAGAAGAGTTTGACAAGATAACCAGGAGAGAGTTTTGTATCAATCTTTGATTTCAGCATAAACCTCTCTCGTAGGCTTGGAGTGAGTGCTTGCTAGAGTCTTCCTCTAGTTTGGCCAAGTGAGACAAGGTGTCCCAGTTATTAATGAACCATGACATGTAAAGAGAAAACCTGAGGTAGTCAACTGACATTTTATAAAGGTCAGAGGTTACTGTAAAAGAATGTGTGCAGAGACAACAATCATTCTTCTATTATACAAGGAGGAAAATCCAGATGCAAAGAATGGTAAGACTAGAGGAGACCTCAAGAGGTCAGGTAGTTCAGCCCTTGCCTCCAGGCAGGAGAACATTCAATCATCCAAAAAAAAAAAGAAAAGAAAAAAGCCAAGAGGAAATAAAATGAACTCAACTCAAAAAACTGGATCCTATTTTGGAAATCAAATGTTTTTCTAGCAAATGGCATCAGTTAACACCTGCATTCTGTAGAGCTGATGCTCTAAATTAGCATGGAACCCTGGAGACATTTTAGAATTTTTAAAATCTGTATTATTAGTTTTCTTTACTCATTTCTTGAGAGTGAGTTATTTTAAGATTATGAAAGATAATACAGCATTGAATTTAATGAATAATGATGTATCCTGTAAGATTGGTGGCCTTCAAGATGTGATGGAAACAAATGTCAGCCCTACAATAGGAGAAGGTGTGCTGTTTGTCTCTTTTGGGATATGGGAGTGAGTATTGACTCCAGTTATAGAAATGCAAAACTACTAGATACATGATGTAGTGGAGAATCAGAGGAGTTTCTTATGAATATTTTTAGCAAAGCAATGATGAGCTATTCAAAGCATAAAAATAGTATTTATCAATTTATCAGTCCTTCTATGATATTAATTTGAACCATTTAAATTAATGTATTATCTCTCTTCTCTTTCCTCTTGGCTTTCCAGAAGTTCAATACAACTTCTGGAAAAAAATCTGATGCCTTTTGCTATCATTTAGCAGAGAAGAGTAATAGGCGCATTGAAAAATTAGTCTGTTCATCTATGATGTACAAGTCTATAGAAGTTGACCTGGGTAATGACAGTAAAGATAAGTTTTGGCTTGATAATTAAAGACTGTGACTTACACTAAGAGTTATATAAACTAGGTATTATGTCTGAGATGAGAGAGCTTTTTGGAATGGATATAGGACAAAGGCCCCAAGAAACATGCTCAGAATGGGCATTGCACGAAGGTGGATATCCTCCCTTTTATAAAAGATCTTTGAACTGTTTGAAATTGTGCAGGACAGAATAATGGCCCTGAAAGATGCTGACATTCAAATCCCCAGAACCTGTGACTATATTACCTAACATGGCAACAGGAACTTCAGAGATGTGAATAAAGGTATAGACTTAGAGATGGGAGATTATCCTGGATCATCCAGGTAGACTCAATGTAATCACATACATCTTTAAATGCAGAGAATCTTTCCTGGCTGGGATTGGAGAAAGGAATGGTGACGACATGAGCAAGGTCAGAGAGAGTGTGCACTTTGAAGATGGAAGAAGTGGGCCATGACCCAAAGAATGCCAGTGGCCTTTCTAAAGCTGAAAAAGAGAAACAGATTTGATCTTAGAGCCACCTTTTTGGTGGCAGGACCTGAGCCCTGCTGACAATTGCTTTTCATGCAGTAAGAGCCAAACCGTGTAGAACTTCTGACCTAGAGAACTATAAGATAATAAAGTTGTGTTGTTTTAAGCCACTAAGTTTGTAGTAAACTGTTATGGAAGCAATAGAAAGCATACAACAATGCATTGTGATAATAATTAAAAATCCCTGACCAGACATCTTGAGTCTAACTTATAGAACAAGGATGCAATGAACAGCTGGTTGTGGCTCTTCATGGGAATGATCTGTTGGTAGGCAACTCCCATTCAGTAGTGGGCCTTAATAGAAGGGAATTAATAGTTCTTCTGGAATAAGGAGAAAATAAAATCTTCAGCCTCTGCCTGGAAAATCTTGAACAGATCAGACAAATTCTCATGGTGGAAGTTGATTCACACTGTTTCAGTTAATTGCTGAGAATTAACATTTACTGATCACTTTATGAAATATTTCAGTTAATCTTCACACCAATCCTGATTTGTATTCTCCCATTTTACATAAGAAAAACTGCAGGTAAGAAGTTAAGGCAACTACAGGTAAGAAGTTAAGAAACACTTTTACAACTCCAAACAGAAACTCTGTAACCTTTTAGCAGTTATTCCCCATTCCACCTTTCCTTCAGCCCATGGTAACCTTTAATCTACTTTCTGCCTCTATGAATTTCTCTATTTTAGATATTTCATATAAGTGGAGTCATACAATATTTGTCCTTTTGTGTTTGGCTTGTTTATTTGGCTTGTTTTCAAGGTTCATCCACGTAGTAGCTAGCAGGTGCCAGAACTTCATTCCTTTTTATGGCTGTATTATGATATTCCTTTGTATGCACATACCATATTTTGTTTATCCATTCATCTGTTGATGGACCCGTAGGGTTTTTTCCCCCTTTTGGCTATTGTGAATAATGCTGCTTTCAATTCTTTGGCTAGCTAGGAGTGGAATTGTAGAGTCATATGGTAGTGTTTACTTTTTGAGGGACTACCAAACTATTTTCCTATGGCTGAATTATTTTTAATTCCCACCAGCAACGTATGAGGGTTCCACTTTCTCCACTTCCTTCCCAACACCATCATACTATTTGTTAATATCTAATGGTATCTTATTGTGGTTTTGTGTAAATGAACTTATACATTTATAGCCGTTGCTGAGAATTTTGGTTACAATGAATAGAAACCATTCACGTCATCTTTCTATAACATTGAAGTTGGATCCTTTCTGTCTTTTTATTTTCCCTAATTTTGTGCATGTAAAATCACTTTCGGATGTTTACTACCACTCCCCTGGTTTCCCCCAATCACTAGTGTTCTAGCTCTTGTCCTAGCTTAGAGAGCCAGGTCATCTAGGAAGAGACTCAGGAACAGGGAAGAAACTATAGATGGAGCAATTTTGTGCAATAGGGAGATGCATGTGGTATATAAAAGAAGGCAAGGTAGCAGTGTACATAAGGAGTTATATGGCTATAAAGGAATGTAAAAATTATGTAAGGGAAAGAAAACATGGGCGTATGGATGGAAAAGTAATGGAGGAAATGATAGCAGCAAAGCAGGTACACTCTGAATATCAGCCAACACTGGAGGAGCCATGCTTCAAAGTCATCATGTCTCTGACTTGTGGCTTCATTATCGAGAGAAAATAGATTTGGATTCCCTAAACCCCATTTGAGGTAGGGTGATCATGCCCCCTCTTTTTTTCTCTAGGGCAGAGAGGTAGCTCCTGCAACCCTGATAAGGATGGGAAATCCACTTCCCCAGCCCGCCTTGAACTGCCACAGTAGATCAGACATAATTACACAGTACATTGGCCCAGTGGATCTGGTAAAACTAGCCTGTGAGATTTAGGAAACCTGAAGTTTCACTCAAAAGGAAAAAAAAAATCATGTTTTTTTTTTCCCCAAGGAGTTGCTCTTTATTAAAATCTTAGATCCTATATTTGATTGGTTATCCCTGAGCAACAGCAAAAGTGACCCCATGATGGGAGAGCATATTTCACTGTCTCTGTGACACCAGATTTAACTTTCAAAAGAAATTACACACCAGAAGCTTGAAAATATGCATGCCATTTCACCTTCTGTAATTTATATCAAGAAAAAAAATCAAAGCAATGTGCCAATATTTATGTGCATATTATGCAAGATGATTACTACAAAGTTGTCTATCAAAAAATTGACAGCCATCTAAATGTCCAACAGAAAGAGATTTGTTAAATAAATTATGGCTTACCCATTTACTAGAATACTATTTTGTCATTAAATTGTAAATTGTCATTGTAAGTATAAATTTTCATTACATTGTAGAAATTATTAATTCACATGAAAGAATATTCACAAATTATTGACAAAAGAAGTGAATTACAGAAGAATAAGGTCTCAATTTGTAATTATCTATATATTTTTTATCAATCTGTATATCTCTCTATATATCTATCTGTATCTATATATCTACCTCTGTATCTTCAACTGTCTCTCTATCTCTATATATCCATACATATATGTCTGGAAGATTATATATCAATATCTCAATAGTGGTCTTTGGACAGAAGGATTAAGGGTGATCTTTATTCATTCTTAAGCATTATTTGTATTTTCTAATTTTCATACAATAAACTCACACTCTTCACCCATACTTCCTGGAAAATATCAGATGGTGGCAACTTCACAATTCTGGTAATAAAGAGGGCTCCTTCCCCTGCACAAATGCAGAATCATACCCCCCTATCTTCACATATTCAGAACAGTAACATGACATTCTGGGAGTCCTTTAAAAAAAACTATTCTAAATTCTCCTTAGAGAAGACCAGCAAGATACAATTCTACGAGGCAGCAAATGCTGATGTGAGACTAGAGATGAAGATGGTTCAGCAATGACGCATCTTACTGGTTTGGTCACAGAAAGGAGCATGTTGCCAGTTCCCGCTGTCGGGATGCCTTTTGTGTTCTGCATCTTTTTTTTAGCTCGGGGATTATCAGGGCAATGTTTCCATGCCAGAGCATTCAGTGCAACAATGCCCACCTAAATTCAGAGCTCAGTGTGATTACTACCAGCTTTTAACAACTTTGCTAGATAAGAATTTATCTCTTGCCAACAGAATTTGTTCTTATGGTTGACTTATTCATTCAGGAAGTAAGCAAATAATGCTGTGGTGACTTTAATGCCCTACAAAGGCATTTGCTCAGGGTTAATTTGAGTAGGGTATAATCTTTCAGTTGCTTTGTCAATAAAACATCCCAATTTTATTTTCCACACTGACATTTTACATACTTGGCTCCCATAGTTTATAGGCATGATGGGGACTCACAGGACCAGATGATCTAACACCAATTATGCTGTCAATAATGCTCTGTGCTAAGGATGGAACTCAATATTCCTTAGTTCATCTATACATTCATTTTTAAGATATAAATAAAATAATAATACTGTATTTTCAAATTGTTATACTACAGAGTGAAATACAGATTTTTAAAAATTAACGAATTTCTTTTAGAGATGGGGTCTTGCTATGTCACCCATGCTGGAGTGCAGTAGCTAGTCACAGGCATGTTCCTGCCTCAGTACAGCCTCAAACTCCTGGGACCAAGTGATCCTCCTGCCTTAGCCTTCTGAGTAGCTGGGACTACAGCCGCACACCACCATGCCTGGATCAACAGTTAATTTTTGAAGTTACTTCTGAAACATTGTCCCGTGACAGGCAAGGCTGAGCAGTTGTTCCACCCCTAAGTCTGTTTCTCTGGAGACTCCCACTAACAAGATCCTGAAAGAAATTAGAAAAGATCTAAAAAGCATTGGGTCACAGATCGAGAAAGATGTTTAAAAATTGAAACCACAGGCCAGGCGCGATGGCTCACATCTGTAATCCCAGCACTTTGGGAGGCCAAGGCAGGCAGATTACCTGAGGTCAGGAGTTTGAGACCAGCCTGACAAATATGGTGAAACCCCATCTCTACTAAAAATACAAAAAATTAGCTGGGCGTGGTGGCGGGCACCTGTAATCCCAAACTTGGGAGGCTGAGGCAGGAGAATCACTTGAACCCAGGAGGCGGAGGTTGCAGTGAGCCAAGATTGCGCCATTGCACTCCAGCCTGGGCAACAAGTGTGAAACTCTGTCTCAAAATAAATAAATACAAGTGAAAAATTGAAACCATGCACAAAGAATTGGGTTATTTACTCAGTCAGGTTAAGAGTATGCAAGAATATCTTCAACCCAGTAAATAGAAAATCAATTGAATTACTTTTTTCAGGTAGAGGGATTTGGGAAATCCCTTAGCAATATCTTTTAAGTGGGTTCTTGAAGGTTCCTATAACCTAGTTTTCATCTAAACCTGAAACAACTTTCTCATTTTCTCTTAAAAGTATCTCTTCTAAAAGACAATTTTTTTTTCTTTTCTTTCCTTCTTTCTTTCTTTCTTTTTTTTTTTTGATAGAGTCTCACTCTGTTGCCCAGGCTGAAGTACAATGGCATGATCTTGGCTCACTGCAACCTCTGCATTCCGGGTTCAAGCAATTCTTCTGCTCAGCCTTCCGAGTAGCTGTTACTACAGGTGTGTGCCACCACTACCTGGCTAATTTTTGTATTTTTAGTAGAGACAAGGTTTCACCATGTTGGCCAGGCTGGTCTCGAACTCCTGACCTCAAGTAATCCACCTGCCTCGGCCTTCCAAAATGCTGGGATTACAGTCATGAGCCACTGTGCCTGGCCAGACAATATTTCTATTTAATAGATTCAACAAACATTTGTTGGATATGAACTCTGCATCTCGTCTTTTATATGTGGTCCCTCAAAATATTCTGTAAAAAACAATGTTGCTCCAGAATACCTCAAAAAGTATCACCAATTTGCAAGTAGGAAAGTGATGTTCAGAACGCACTAACCTTTAAAACTGGTCAGCCTTTGCACTAACCAGTTTTTCCTCCTCCCATCTTGTCCAACTCTTATCTATCCTTTTCTTTGCTGGTCATATTACTTTAAGTGGACTTGTTCCATAAATACAGGTTAGGAAATGGAAGATTTTATAAGTTAATAATAATAAAAAATCCAGTGCATTGTCTATGTAAGCCTTGCATTCTGATTTTATAATTCTGGTTGACATTGTTTATATTATTCCCATAAGTCGGCTTCTTTTTCCTTCCCCTAAGAACAACAAAATTTCACTCAGAACAAAAACAAAACAAGCTTGTCTTATTGACAAATGAATTGTCTGTATCAGTGAACAAATGTTTATTGAGTAGCTACTATATGTAAAGCAGTTAGAATATGATAATAAAATGATGAAGTCCCTGACCTCATGGGAATCTCAAACGTCAATTAGTAATTATTAGTGTGATACATGCTGGGAAGCAGAGTAACATAGGAACATCTATTGCTTTCTTTTTTTCTTTTTTTTTTAATAGCTCACCCTAAAAGTTAATGTTTCTATTTTTGCTTATGTGCATCAAATGAATTATTAAGAAATATATAATGGATTTATATAAAGAGTACAAAGTATGTGCAGACAATACAAAGGCAACAGCTTGAGGCAGGAAGAATATATTACATTTCAGGAACTGTGATCTTGGAATCTCTCTGTCCATATTATCTATTCTTTCAATGCTAGCAGCCCGTTGCCTGTTTAATTTTTTCTTTTCTTTTCTTTTTCTTTTTCTTTTGAAACAGAGTTTGGCTCTTGTTGCCCAAGCTAGAGTGTAATGGCGTGATCTTGGCTCACTGCAACCTCTGCCTCCTGAGTTCAAGCAATTCTGCTGCCTCAGCCTCCTGAGTAGCTGGAATTACTGGCGCCCACCAGCATGCCCAGCTAATTTTTGTATTTTTAGTAGAGACGCGGTTTTACCATGTTGGCCAGGCTGGTCTCGAACTCCTGACCTCAGGTGATCTGCTCGCCTTGGCCTTCCAAAGTGCTGGGATTACAGGTGTGAGCCACCACACCTGGCCTTGTTTCATTTTTTCCTGTTAGTTAATTGTCTCTGTATGGATTTAGTAGAGATCTATGACATTTCTAGTATGACATTGCCATCTTGATCAAATCTACTTATAAGTACTTTTCTTGCCTCAGCGGAGCAAGAGATTTGCCATCTTTCTTTACATGCTGATTCCTCCATTACCATTTAATCTATTTCTTAGTATGTTTTTCTGACTATACTGTCGAGTTTAACCTGCCTAGGTAAACACAGAATTACACAACATCCCGAGGTTTGTAAACTTAAATCTGTCATTTCTGGCCTTGTTAACAGGTGTGGCTTATGAAACTGTGCTCGTTAATTTTATTTTATTAGATTACACGGTTCTTGAGGGTAGAGATCATCTCATGAAACGTTTATAAACTTGATAACATAAAATATAGTGGAAATGCCCTCAAGTCCTTTGAAGTCATTTAGTAATATTTTGTTCCAGGAAGAAAGAAGTGTTATTGTTTCTGCTCCAAAAATGACCAGAGATAAGTGATTTAATTTCAATTTTTAAAATCAGGCAGGTATCTATAATTCTCATGTACTTTCTGTACCATAGAATAAATATGAGTGCTTACAAAATGCTGCAATATCTGAGGTCACTTACGAGCATATTGTATTTCTAACGGCTAGTGACATACATATTTATGCTCATTGCTTTTAGACATATTAAGCAATCAAATATATACTCTTTATTGACTTATTGCTCATCTACAGTTTTGCTGTTTAGACGCAAAACACATTTTTCTTCAAAATTTTAGAACATTATGACAACTTAGGAAAAATTAAACATAATTTGGCTCTAAGAAAGAGTACTATGTTTTAATTATTTATTTTTGAGACTGAGTCTTGCTCTTTCGCTCAGGCTGGAGTGCAGTCACCCGATCTTTGCTCATTGCAACCTCTGCCTCCCAGGTTCAAGTGATTCTCCTTCCTCAGCCTCCTGAGTAGCTGGGATTACAGGCACGTGCCACCACATCCAGCTAATTTTTGTAATTTTAGTGGAGACGGGGTTTCACCATGTTGGCCAGGCTAATCTCGAACTCCTGACCTCAAGTGATCCACGCACCTCGGCCTCCCAAAGTGCTGGGATTACAGGCATGAGCCACTGTGCCTGTTTTAATAATTTATGTATACATATATATCTTTAAAGTGTATCTTGAAAGAAAGTTTATTTGGCAGTTAAGGGTTCAACCACCACCTCCACAAATATTGGAATTCTCATTCTGGCTTTGCTACTACTCTCCAGCTATGTGGCCTTCTACAGAAGCAGCTAGAGCTCTCTGAACCTCAATTTTCTCATCTGTAAAATAAGGATAATAATTGTACGTAATTCACAGGGTTGATGTGATGATGAAATAAGATATGATTTCTAGTTAAGTCTAAACAAATATTGCTTGATTTCATTTAGGTATTTATTTAGAAAACACTACCCAATGTGCAGTCACAGTTCTAAGTCTTTGTAAATATTAACTAATTTTTTCATTTAATACTTCAATCTTCATAACCTTGTAAGGTAGGCAATTTTATTACATCTATTTTATAGATGAGGAAACCAAGGGGCTGAGAGGTTAAGATAACTATTTGAGGTTAAAAGACAATACCAGAGCCAGGCTAGCAACCTGAGCCATTAGGCTCAATAATTCATACTCATTTTTTTTATTTTTTTGAGACGGAGTTTTGCTCTTGTTTCCCAGGCTGGAGTGCAATGGCATAATCTCAGCTCACTGCAACCTCTGCCTCCTGGGTTCAAGTGATTCTCCTGCCTCAGCCTCCCAAGTAGCTAGGATTACAAGCAGGTGTCACCACACCTGGCTAATTTTGTATTTTTAGTAGAGGTGGGGTTTCTCCATTTTGGTCAGGCTGGTCTTGAACTCCCGAGCTCAGGTAATCTGCCTGTGTCAGCCTCCCAAAGTGCTGAGATTACAGGCATGAGCCACCGCACCCAGCCAATAATTCATATTCTTAAACAATGCTCCTTGTTTTATTTGTATATTAATTCAACCAAGGTATTTAACTCCTACCATGTGTCAGGAAATGTCCTAGGCACTTGGATTATAAAGATAAAGACGTCTCCACCCTTGACAAGATCATAGTTTAGTGGTAAAAAAAAAAACTGTGAACAAATAACTATAATACAATGTAGAAGACATGTGCAGTGGGCTATGTAAGCACAGTGGAGAGAAAGTTTATTGGAAGTTCTAACCTCCACATTTGAGGGACTGTGGGAGAGGTACACATGGACACACACATTGCATATACCCAATAACTTAAACATTATAAATCAACTTTTATACAGCTACTTTTATAATGACAAAATTAAAAGTACATGTAAAGTTATGTTTTTTAATGACCAAAAGTCAGTACAATGTCAAATACAACTGATTTAAATATTCGTGGATAAATCTGTGTATTCAATTGAATATTTGGTAATGTTTAGATGAGTAATAAAATAATTCATAAATAAAGTTTATTTATTTCACATATATATTTTTCTGGCCTTAATTTTAGCAAAATAGTGAATTATAATTTATAATCAAGATTTTTACATAATTTGTATACTGTTGACAGTAATAATGTAAATACCTAACATATACTTGTGTTCACAATGCATATAATTTTAACATTTTAAAATCAAATTGTGCCAGGTGTGGTGGCTCACACCTATAATCGCAGCACTTTGGAAGGCCGAGGAGGGCAGATCACTTGAGGTCAGGAGTTCGAGACCAGCCTGGCCAACATGGTGAAACCCTGTTTCAACTAAAAATACAAAAATAAGCTGGACCTGGTGGTGCATACCTGTTATCCCAGCTACTCAGGAGGCTGAGGCACGAGACTTGCTTGAACGTGGGAGACAGAGGTTGCAGTGAGCCAAGATCATGCCAGTGGAACCCAGCCTGGGCAACAGAGACTTTGTCTCAATAAATAAATAAAGTAAAATAAAACAATACACATAATTAAAAATTTGTCATTTTCATTTTTTTAAAAAAATTTATTTTTATATCATCTATTAAAAATAAAATGTATGATATAAAAGTATTAAATAAGAAATTTTAAAAAATTAGTTAAACCTGAAATTTATAATTCAATTTTTTGAAAATTTAATTACTTAGTATTTTTATAAAAATAAAACAATTCCCAATTCTAGCAATCAGTGTCCATCTAGTTGCCAATTGGATTGATGTGTCACACATGTTACATCTAGACCAACTTACATGAACATTTAAGAGGAATATGAATTGCTTAAAATTTCAAAATGTTCCTCAGCTGCCATATGCAACTGCTATGAATACTCATTCATTTGTGAGTATCTCTGGAACCATAAATTTGAGCACATAGACAAGGAAATGTGTACTTGGCTCTCTCTTCTGAGAACTGGAAATAACAGTTTATTTTGTAAGAATCTATTGCACATATGCTGTTTGAAGAAAATGATTACTGTGGCCTCTCTCTTGCCTACGTGCTATTACTGCTCAAATCCTCCCCATACTCTGCAGCAGTCTCCATCTCCAGTATTAGCAGTGGCAGAACCCACAAAACCTTGCCTTGTTCAGACACAGTGGACTTTTGTTTCAAGGACATAGGACTAAAGACTTGGAGAGAGGTATTTCCTTGGGCCCTGAATCATTTTAGTCATGACAACAGATATTTAGGGTTTGGGGTTCTGCTGTGCCAGTCTGAGCATCAGCTCCAAAAAGACAGTTATGTTTATATGTTCCTCAAGAAATTTATTTTTGTTTGTTTATGATGTGTGAGGTCCTCTGAAGTGCAGGGTTTAGCCCCGGTCTCCTTCTTGTTTAGGTCTAAGGGTCTGTGTAATTATTTCTTATGGGACCAAAGAATTTTTTAGAATGAGACAGATATTTGGTTGCGTCTTGAAGAAGATATAGCACCGTGAGACATGTTACTGACTGTGCAAAGGCACTGAGGTATGTAGTGATGTAATCTGTTAAGGGAACTGCAGACACATCTGTGTGGCTGGAGCACAGGTTGCTCTTGGAGTAGTGCGAGGTGAAGCAGGAGAGATAAGTTAGGACACATCCCGGAGGTCTCAAGAGCCATTTTAAGGAACTCGGAGTTTATCCTAAATCAAAGAGGAACCTAAAGGGTTTTATACAGGGAAATAGTTGATTATTTTGAACCCTGAATGGGGGAGTATAGTTAAGAGAAGGGCAACCATAGAGGCAGAGGCACCAATTAGGGTGGTGATTATCCCTGCAAGAAGCAAGGATGACTTTAATAATGATGAGTTAGTAGACTTGGAGATGATGAGGGAAGTTAAGAGGGATCCGGGATAAGTTGAGAGGCTGGGTGTCTGCGTGAGGGTGGCACATTTTAGTTGTTTAATAAATGTTTGGGTGAAGTTTGCTCGTTTCCAGTGCCTCCAGCATTTTAACTACACTATCACATACCCTTAACTGTGGTTGATTTGCATACATTGTTTCAATACTTTGAATTGCAAAGTGGGTACATTCTTACCACTAAGAAAAGATTCATTCCAACAGAGTGGTGCCACAAAGTTCTCAGTGAAGCTGGTCTGTTACTGTTACAGAGCTGTGTTCATTCCCATTATGAGCTCCTTGGGTCCAAGTTCATCTCATGGGTCCGTCAGGTCATAGATAACTGTGATATAATGTACAATGCTCATCAATAAGTTTTCTGTACACAGAAAAAACCTGCCATTCAGTTACCTTTCATAAGATTCTTTGTCCACATTGCCCAGTGGGAAACATTTGGAATCCTTTTCAAATTTTCCAAATAGATTATAACTTCACAGAATGTTTCCTTTGTTCTTTAAAGTGCTGAATCATTTATTTTAAAATCAGGTTTAACCTAACGCAACTTTAGTTTTGGTTTGCTCTATTTGATTTCAAGTAACCTTTCAAAACAGGTCGGGGGCAGATTTATAATAAATGTAGCTTGAACTTGGCTTGGAAATCTGATAATGGCAGGCAAAGGGACTATGTTGTTCTTATATCTCTTTTTAAAAGCCCTCTTTATTTGCGCCTTTTCATAGCTGGGTCGACTACACTGCTTGATGCAAACTCAATCCAAAATATAACCTGAGCTTAAACAAAGGGATATGAGAAGTCTGCCCTAAAAACTGGGAACTCCACACCTACCCAACCCTCCTACTGCTATTGACCATGTGATCTGGTTCTAATAACTGCTTCTGTCCAATTCTGTGTATCTGAGTCCAGGAACTGTTAACCAAGGTTGTCTAAAATATGGACAATAACACACTTTTATCTATTTTTTTTTAAATACAGAAATTGAAGTCTGTTTCCTCAATCCCAGCTTTGGGACTGGGACTCTTGATTGTGTGTCTACATTCTGAATTATCAAGCTGGTCCTGGCTTTTTTTCCAGGGCACACCATTATCTTGTGTCTGAATTTTTAGCATGGACTTACTACTTTTTGTCTGTTGCATTATCTTTTACGTATTTTAGTTTGTACGACAAGATGGTTTTTCTTCAATGACATCTATTCTTCTTAAGTTAGGCCTGTTCTTTTCGCGTATTCCTCATCCCAGGAGAAACGGCCCACAGCAGCTTTCAAACCCTTCTATAGCATTTCAATTTGTCGAGCAGATTGATTGTATCCCGGAAGAGAGGCAAATTTGTAGCTCATATACCAGTAGAAAAACCTTGCTGGATAAATAGCAACAGGAAGTCGAAGTTAAATCATTATTCCTCTGCCTTCCTAGCATTTGGTTGTGTACATATTATAGTATGCATTTAATTCCAATTTGACTTACAGTTATTTAAGTCTCCCCCAATAGGATTGTAAGGTCCTTTGTGACAGGGTCTATTCTTATTCATTGCTGTATGCCTTGCAGCATGAGGGTAGTGCTTTCTAGGTGGTAAATGCATAGTAAATGGTTGAAAAAATAAAGACATATAATAAAATTAGAATGTGTAAGATTCTCATTAATAGGATCAGTGTCTTATTCATTTACCTGCTATATATTAATGTAATGCTTTCCATATGGTGAAATACCTAGTAAATGTTTGAATAGTAAAGATAGAATTAGAGTATCACTTTTCTAATGTATATTTACTCTTAAATTTTTTTCCTGCATAGAAATCAGCTGTCATATTGGCTTTTTGTGCTTGATTTTTCACACAACGTATTATTTTTTTTTTTTTTCTTGAGACTGAGTGTCGCTTTGTCACCCGGGCTGGAGTGCAGTGGCACGATCTCCACTCACTGCAACCTCCGCCTCCTGGGTTCAAGTAATTCTCCTGCCTCAGCCTCCTGAGTAGCTGGGATTACAGGCACCCACCATCACACCCGGCTTATTTTTTGTATTTTTAGTAGAGACAGGGTTTCATCATGTTGGCCAGGCTGGTCTTGAACTCCTGACCTCGTGATCCGCCTGCCTTGGCCTCCCAAAGTGTTGAGATTACAGGTGTGAGCCACCGTGCCCAGCCCGTATTATTATTTTTGATGGTGAGAACAGCTACATCTCTGTTCAAGTCAAATACATTGAGTGCCCACTGTATGCTTTAACTTCTCAAGTTCTTCAAGAGATACAAACATGAGTGATAAGATGAATCACTGCCTTCCTTATTTTTTTCCTCTCATCTGCTCTTTTTGCATTCTCTTGTCTGAAAGAAGAGATATAGCTATTTGGGAAGTAGAGGCAGGAGAATCTCTTGAACCCAGATTTGATGCTGCAGTGAGCTATGATCACACCACTGCATTCCAGCCTGGGTGACAGAGTGAGACCCTATCTCTAAAAGAAGATAGGGTCTTTTTATATGTTTATCATATGCCTTATAATAGCTAGATCAACTACACTGCTTGATGCAAATTCAATCCTGCTGGTCTCCAAAACAAGAAAAAAAGAAGAGAGAAATCAAGTGCGTGAAAATTATAAAACCTGACAAAGGGGAAGAGCTTGGGGAGATGCTCATCTGATGTTCTGGGGGGAGCGCTATGCTGGGAAAGGCTTGTATCCAGCTGTGGGAACCTTCTAGAGGAGTGGCATTTGAAATCAACATGAAAATATGGCCAGGATTTTGACTGAAGAAGTAGGAGACCATTGGAGAAGAGAAGAACGTGAATAGAGACAGAGAAGCAAGATATGTCTAGAGAATGTCAAATGGGTTTGTTAGGCTTAATGTACAAATAACAAACAAGTGGGAGGTAAGTCTTACAAAGTCAAGGTAGATGGAAGACATATTATGAACTTTAGGGAATCTGTACTTAACTTGGGAAGACAGTGGAGAGCCATAACCGTGTGTGCGTGCGTGCATGAAAATGTGTGTGTACGTGTGTGTGTTTGTGTGTGTGTAAGGAGATAAAGAGAAAGATGGGGGTAAGGGGAGGGCTGCAAACCATAGCAGGTTACTAAAATCACTTGAGTATCTTTGAGAAAGATACTCAATCAGCCCAGATCTCTAGAGTGAGAATATTAAGGTGACTTCGAAAACTGTACTTAACAAAACCCCCAAAATTCCTCAGGTAATTTTTATTTCCCAGGTTTGGGAGTCAGTTGTGGATTATAGATTACTGGCCAGGAAATTCTGTTCACTCATTTGTCAAAAGTCTATTGAGGCCAGGCTTGCAGTGGCTCATGCCTGTAATCCCAGCACTTTGGGAGGCCGAGGCAGGTGGATCACCTGAGGTCAGGAGTTTGAGACCAGCCTGGCCAACATGGAGAAACCAGGCAGAGGTTGTCCTGAGCTGAGATTGCACCACTACACTCCAGCCTAGCGACAGGGTGAGACTTTGTCTCAAAAAATTAAAATTAAAATTAAAAAAAGTCGATTGAACACCTACTATGTATCACACATTGTGTAATTACTGGAAATATAGAAAGGAAGACAACACGCACCATCACTGATCTCATAGAGTTTACAGCCTAGCAGGATTAACCAATGCTAAATGAGTAATTACACAAATTATAACTGTACTAAGTACTATTGAGGAGAAGCACAGGGTACTGTGAGAAAACATAATGATGGGCCTGACAACTCTGGTTAGGGGAGATGACCCTGAGGAGGTAAAATTTTTATCAAAAGCTCAGGGGCTCAGTTAGGTGAAAGATTTGAGAGTCACTGTAAGTAATTCAGAGTGAAATAATGACTTGAAATAGGGACGAGAATGAAGGGGGAGATGGATGAGCTTCTGTTTCTGTTTGCTTTGTCCAGTAAAATTAAGGGGAAAAATATGTCAAGGAAAATCATCAGAAAGTAAAGCAAAATGTGAGCTATCCTTTTGGCAGAACTATGGATTTCCCAAGTTTTTAATAAAATTGGTGCCATTTCCCAAGCACTTAATGCTTGGCTTGGGGCTGTGGTCTCTGGAATTGAGTCTTTGTTAACTTCTCCTTCAGTGCAACAGAAAATTATATTTCTGCTGAAATAAGGAATTTAAAGTTTATATACCCTTCTTGAACATTGCCAATGTACAAAAATACAAAAAAAAATCGTTTCCCAATTTTAGAAAGAAAATAAATTCCTGAGAGATCTCTCAACTCTAAAATATTTCTCTAGGTACGACTTCTCTCTTTATCTATCATTGAATCTTAGCTATCTAAGGAAGCAATAAATGTTTCCAGGAACTTCCATTTATATTCTTTTACATGTTATTTAAGCTGCAGAGCTTTCTGAGACTCTTCATTTCTGCAGAAGTAACAAATGCTGCTGTTTAATCCGTGTTCCACCTGAAAGCTTAGATTTCTTTTTGAGTTGATTTTCTGACTAACACAGTTAATTTTCTGATTAGTATAGGGATTTATTTTCCTGGAAATGGCTTAATGATTAGCTCTAGTATTTACAAAATAAAAATAACTTCCTGACGTGCTATTCAGTTCATATGGTGGGTGGAAGGAAATGGCTGTTTTTGATATTCAATTGACATACTAGGGTTCTACCATTAGAAATTTCAGGGAAAATTCAGATTTTAGAATTGGAAGTGTCTTTCTCAAATGAGCCCAGTTCTAAACTTTACCTAGATTCACCAAACTTTACTCCTAGCCCAGTCTTTTTCCTCTCTCATCTTTAAAGAAGTGGTAACCCTTTTTAAAGTTTCCACTTGGTTCACAATGGCCCCTAAGCTGCATCTGCTCCTGCAGCCTATAGCCTATCTTCCTAAATGTCAGTGAATTCAGTGGGATCTCCACCCCATTTCCAACTACAGTTGATAGGACCATAGCTGGGTCCCATCCAAGCCAGCTGGGGTCCTTTTCCTGGGAATATGGAACTGGGACTAGAAATACATCTGTTTCTTCATGTGGTAGGTATCATCATTCCTGTAAAAGAAAAACGTAGGAAGTAGCTTGTGACATACGAAGTTTAGTCCAAGAACACTGCTCTTGATAATAGAAAAAAAGAGGAGGATAATGATAAGAAAAATATTACGTTTGAAAAATTAGAAGGAAGGGGTCACATCGAGCTCAGTGGTGACATTGATTAGGGCCATGTTTTATGGATTTCCACCATGCCAAGCAGCCCCTGAGCTACAAGAAGCTCCTGCTGCCTCATCATCTCTGTGCACAGTGGGGCTGGTGGGAACTAGCTTTGAGAGGGCATCATGAACCATGTTTTGAATAGTTTGAGATGTTCTTGTGACATCTAGATGGAAATATCAAATAGGCATTGGATGTGGGCATTTGAAACAGTCTTGGATAAAAATGTAAATTTAAGATCATAAACCTAATAAAAGTTTACATAGCCTTTGAAGCCAAAGTTATGGATAAGCGAACCTTATTATAGCAAGTTTAAAATTTTGCCACTTAACTCTTTTTTTCTTACATTGAACCTATCGTTTTTTGTTACATGATTTTTTATAATACTTCTTCTGGAACACACCCTTTGTATTAATAGTGAACAGATGGTACCAATTTATGCTCTTCTCAACAACGTATGACAGTTCTTATTTCTTTGCATCATTGATAGCACTGTGTATTATTTAAAAATCTTTACTGATTTAAAGAATGTAAAGATTGATAGAACATTATTTTAATCTGTACTTCTTTGATTATTAAGTTGGGTCATTTAAAAATGTATTTATTTATGATTTGTATTTCTTCTTTACTAAATTGCCTCTTTATGTCTTCTTGACATTTTCTCTTGGAAATTCAATTTTTATGTTAAAACTTGTGAAAGCTTTTTACATAGCGAGGACATTGTTCCTGTGGATGCCATTTATATTGAAACATTATTCCCGGTTGTCATTTTCCTTTTTATTAAATTTTTTTATTGTTGCTGCTTTTACCAACATATTTAATTTTTCACAGTTCAATCCATTATTCTGCCATTTCCTGGGTTTGCCTTTGGTGTCTTTGAATAAAATTCTCCTACCAGATATTATTTAAATATTTATGTATTTTCTAGCATATTAATGATTTCATTGAAAAATTTAACCTATCTTGGATATATTTTGATATATGAGTGAGATCAGGTTCTAACTATTTTTTTAAGTAGCTAAATGTTATTTTAGCACAGTGTGATTCTGTTGTGAATGTTTGCTTCTGCTGGCAATTTAGATCATCTAATAACATAGTAGAAGGTAACATACCTAAATAGCATAACATGCTTCTACCTGTAAGGGGTATTAAAATGTTTATTAATGACTTGGGAAAGATATACTCTAGTTTTGAGAGAAAAATAAAGCCATTTAAAGTTTGTTCCTCTATAACATAAATGCTATTTCTGTCTTCTCATAGTTAGGGGATTAGCATCCAAGATGCCATTGTGAGAAAACTCTAGTTATTGGGGGAACCCACCCCCAGTATTTCAACATAGGTTCTTTCTATTTTCCATAAGTGTCAGCTGGCTGAGAAACAAAGAGAAAGAGTACAAAGAGAGGAATTTTACAGCTGGGCTGTCGGGGGTGACATCACATATCGGTAGGACCGTGATGCCCACCTGAGCCTCAAACCAGCAAGTTTTTTATTAAGGGTTAATAAATAAAATAAAAAAGGGGAGGGGATGTAAGAACAGGGAGTAGGTACAAAGATCACATGCTTCAAACTGCAAAAGGCGGAACTACTAATAAAGGTCTAACAAAGATCACATGCTTCTGAGGGAACAGGACAAAGGGCAAAAGCAGAACTATTGATAAGGGTCCAACAAAGATCACAAGGCAAAGGGCAAAAGCAGAACTACTGATAAACATCTAAGTTCAGCAGTGCATGTATTGTCTTGATAAACATCTTAAACAACAGAAAACAGGGTTTGAGAGCAGAGAACCGGTCTGACCACAAATTTACCAAGGCGGAGTTTTTCCCCACCCTAGTAAGCCTGGTACTGCAGGAGACCAGGGCGTATCTCAGTCCTTATCTCAACTACACAAGACAGTCATTCCCAGAACGGCCATTTATAGACCTCTCCCCAGGAATGCATTCCTTTCCCAGGGTGTTAATATTAATATTCCTTGCTAGGAAAAGAATTTAGTGATACCTTCTCTACTTGCACATCCTTTTATAGGCTGTCTGCAAGAAGAAAAATATGGCTCTTTTTGCCTGATCCCACAGGCAGTCAGACCTTATGGTTGCCTTCCCTTGTTCCCTAAAAATTGCTGTTATTCTGTTCTTTTTCAAGGTACACTGATTTCATATTGTTCAAACACACATGTTTTACAATCAATTTGTACAGTTAACACAATTATCACAGTGGTCCTGAGGTGATGTACATCCTCAGCTTATGAAGATAACAGGATTAAGAGATTAAAGTAAGACAGGTATAAGAAATTATGAAATTATTTGGGAACTGATAAATGTCCATATTAAAATGAAATCCTCACAATTTATGTTCCTCTGCCATGGCTCCAGCTGGTCCCTCCATTTGGGGTCCCTGACTTCCCGCAACATCTAGTAAGTGCACTTGTGATCTGAGCATTCTAAAGTCTTCAAACACAACCCCTTTGTTCACCAGTTCACTGTTTTGGTACATGGTGAGAGTGTGTGCATATTTTTAAGACTCTAAGTTTACTCCTTATAACTTACTTCTTTATTGAAAGCAAGATTTTTTGTACAAGAATCCTATGGCTACTTCTCCACATTTATTTCAAGCATGTTATACTTCTGTTAAAATACTTTTTATTCTATTCATTATTTTCCTTAGCTTTTAGTCTAGGAACACAAAATCAGCTACCATTTTTTAATTGGTTAAATACCTACATCCATAGTTCCATTTTGCCAAAGTAGATATACTCATTTATACAGTAGCTATATCTGTCTGTCTGCCTATCTCTATGTGTATCTACTGAAATTAAAAACTGGTAAATCTATTAAGAGTAATAAGAAAATCTGTGCAGTGTCTCAGAAGATCAGTGAGTAAATAAACATTTGGGGTTTACAGATAATCAAGAAGATAATGCTTATAAAATAAGTATTTCCTTATGCTTTCATGGTCTTGGATGCAGAGAATATTGATGGCTTTTAAAATGATTTTGGCCCTTTATTTATCCAATGATATCTTCCTCAAACAAACTTTCTCTTCTATGCCCTTTTATTCTCATTTGTAATCTTTTATTACCCACTAATAAACAATTCACTAAGGTTTGAGTTCTCTTTTTAAAAAAAATCTTTTTATATCTCTTCTGCAATGAAACCTTATATCAACCCAAAGTAATATTTTTAGAGGAGAAAGGAAAAAAAGATAATTCATGAATGATACCAGAAATATACTGTCATACCATTTGTAGGTATGTGTTACAAAGGATGAGGAAGAAAAGCAAAAATAAATATTATACTAGGATGCAAGATCAAGAGAGACTTGGAGTCCATTTTTAACTTTTTAAATAGTTTAGAGCAGGGATCTTTTCCTGAGGTCCAGGAATGACTTTGTGATGGGGAAGGAAGCAAAAGGCTGAGTTTCTAAACATTCTAAGACTCAGTGCAAAATTTTGGCTATATTTGATTATGTAACATTTTTGGTAAGGGAGAGAAGTTTCATAGCTTTAATCACATATTGGTAGGAATCTGCCACCACAGAACAGAGAAGGACCACGGATAGGGAGTTCCTAGAGTTATAGTAAATAGATATCTGCTCTTTTGAGTCATGTAAGGAAATTAAATTTAATGAAGATATTTCTTTTTCTTTCTTTCCTTTGCCCTAATTCCTGTTATGATGAATTTAATGTATTTTGAGTCATTTTGCTAAACCTTACATAAATGAACAATATAGAAAATATTTTGGTCTACCTGGACTCACAGTTCAGCAGAAGGGTGCCATAGTGATAACGGTACAGCAGGGTATTTCTGAAGGGCAAGTGAAAAGGCAGAAAACAGCATGCAGTAAGAGCACTCTTTATCCTAGAGCCCACGCTGGGCCTCACCAGCTGGCTTATCATTCTAGATGCCAATAGATGTGGCATAAAGAAGGTCAGCTGCCAAACATCATGGAAAAGCCAGAGAATCCTTGCAGGATGTTTAAATTCTTTATGTAAGTTGACAAAGGATGAGGACATACAAGAGGAGGGTGAGTCAGTGACACATATGAGTTACACTCTCAGATGATCCAATGCCTAGTTTACATACCTCCTCTCAACAGCTGTTTTTATTGGCTACTTCAGAGAAATTCATAATGAATCTCATGAGTTCTGCCAAATATATGAAATTCTGGCAGAGGCAGTAAGGGGAAACATGCTACCCATTTGGCATTTGCCTTAGGGATAATGTTTGATGGTCATCATGTATTTTTTTGTCACATCTTTGCCCTGTCCATAATAAGACTTACAGACTTATATCTAAATGCTGGAATCCATTTTAACCTTCTTAAAAAATATATGGACCATCAGGTCAAGTGTTTTTCAGATCCTTCCTGTGAAACTTATTTCTAAATTGTTTAATTTCTTTTCAGAAAATGTTTTCAAATGAACATCTTTTGCAAATGTATTTCTCAACTTAAGCTCATATCCCTCTTTCTTTGGCTCCCACCTTTTGAGAGCCTTTGATAACTTTATAATTAAAATCCTATCAATACAACTCATGTGAAGTAATAGGATCCTAGGCCAGGTATAAGTGTTGCAGGCTTTCTCAATATTTGGCAAATATAGAGTATCATACACAGTTGGATTCCTTTGCAAATAAAATATTTTATATTTAGAGATTACACGTGGGGGCAGAGCTAATGTGTTACTTGACTCCATTATATTTGTATTTATTTTTTCAATTAATAAATTATAAATTTCCCAACTTTGTGTAGAAAAACAAATTAATTTTGATTAAAAATAAAATAAAAACAAATTACATTTTAATAAAGAGGATTCACCTAAATTCTAGGCCCCAAGTCAAATATTTCAAAAGAAGTCTCTTAGTATGGTTTTTAGGTGTAAAACAAACACAGCCTTTGCAGAAAGGCTTATTAGAGCAGTGAAGAATCTGCTTAATGTTTTTTAAGTAATTTTACTAAAACTTACAGAAATGAACAATTGGGCTTGGTCTTTACTACTTCAAATGAGATAACTAAAGTAAATCACAAGATTAAACACTGGACACAGGATTTGTAGAATTCTGGATGTAGATATGGCTTCGGCAAAATAGGAGGAATAAGTTCTAGTGTTTTACAGCATAATAGGGTGACTATAATGAACAATAATTTATTGTATATTTTTAAATAGCTAGAGGAAAGGATTTTGAATATTCTCAGCACAAAAAAATGATAAATGTTTAAGGTAATGGATATGCTAATTACCCTGATTTGATCATTACACATTGTATACATGAATCAAAATATCACACTGCTAGCCTGGGCAACATAGAGAGACCATGTCTCTACAAAAAAAAATTTAAAAATTAGGCTGGCATGGTGACAGGCATCTATAGTCCCAGTTACTCAAGAGGCTGAGGTGGGAGGATCCCTTGAGCCAAGGGGTTTGAGGCTGCAGTGAGCTATGATCACACCATCGCACTCCACCCTGACTGGCAGAGTGAGACCTTGTCTCAAAAAACAAACAAACAAACAGAAAACACCACACTATACTCCATAAACATGTACAATTATTGTGTGTCAATTAAAGATAAAAATAGCATAAGGTGAAGCGCACATCTGACTAAAAGATTGCATGATGTTTCTATATGATTCTAAGCAAGAATGACTTCTTTAGCATTTTTATAAACCATTCACTTGTGACTTTTCTTCCAATTTTAAAGTAAAGATTCTCCATGCAAACTAACTAGTTGTAATAATGGCAGAGAAGCATTGTCCTTGCTAACGTGGGGAGAAGAAGTGAAAGCAATATCCAGAAGCGTCATCTTCCTATATAAAAGATAATCATTTTGATCACAGACAACACAAATGGTAGCAATGTTGGGCCAGCATAACGATATTAAATCCAGTGGTCATCTCAGCTATATTTTTGTCTTCAGGAGTAAGCAAATGAATTTCCCAATATTTCATCTCCAGCTGCTCTTAGGTTGTTGTATTTGAAGCAAAATACTCTTGCAAGTAAAGTATTTAAGATTTTTGAATGTAAATGGAGTAGAAACTTAATGGTTTTAGAAACTGAATGCACAACAGAAAGAAAGAGATAAAATTATTTTATTGGTTCAAATAAACTGAAAAAAATAGACATACAAATCACTTAGTTGTAATTTTAAAGAATTCCTCAAACTAAACTTGAATTTAAGCATAAGCTTATGCTTACAGATTACTATTTGCTAGCTTACTAATTATTATTTGAATTAAGCAGTAAGAACTAAAATTTAAGTTTCTTAGTTTTACAGATTGATTTGAAGGCATGCTGTCTTGCTAATATTGAAATAAATTTATTTCTTAAAAATTATTATTTTACTGGATTATGTCAGAAGCAGGGCTGTGTTCTTGAGGAAGGACAAGTTTCTTCTCAGAATCATCAAAATGAAGCTCTCACTGTTCTGCCCTTCAGAGGTTGGGTTGGGCGGTTGTTGTGCTGCATGGGGACAGCGTTATCACCTTCAACATTTGATAGAAGGCTGCGGAATTGTGCCAGCTAGAAGGATAAAATATTTTAAAAATAAAAAGTTTTTAAAGTTACATAAAGCGTTTTATTTACAGGATTACTAACGCACTGATATTTAGAAAACTGAGTTAGAAATTGCAGTAATATCACTAATAGGAAGAGAGAAAGCCCCAAATCCTTTACATTCATTTCTTTGAACCAGGCATTTTGCTTTAATTATTGATTTAATTATTTAATTAAATCAATTAAATAAAGCAAATTTAATTATTTGCTTTATTTTATTGATTTAATTATTGATGACTGGGTTAAAGTATCAACTTTTTAATTTCAGCTGGGGTACGTTGGGCGAGCGACTTATTAGCTTGGTACCTTAGTTTCCATAAGTACTTACTTCACTGTGTTGTTGTGAAGATTAAATGGGTTAATACATGCAAAGCCCTTAGAATGATACTTGACACATAGCATGTGCTCAATAAATGTCAGTTAGCAACAGGCTACAATGCTTGTCCTGTAGGTTTGTTATGAGAATTGGCTAATAAAACATATGTAAGGCACGTAATAAACATGGTAGAGCAATGAATGATACTTACTATAATCACCATTATTAACAACAGTTAATGAGATATTTTGTTGAATATTTAAAAGTTTAAGCTCCACAAAAGGAACAAAAATATTTTGCCAACTATCAAGGTATGCCAGCTGGGAGCCACAATTCCCCAAAGTCTTATTGAAATGTCCAGTCACAGTTTTTCCTTTATTTCTGAAATGCTTAAGAAGATATTTAACAAGGTTGGACTTTTCCTTATTAAGGAGGAAAGAGTGGCGGGAGTCATTTTTTTTCTGCATAAAGGCAAAATAAAGTATTATAATGCATTTTTGGATAGTTTAATAAACCTATGTCCCCAAATTAATATTTTTAAGTTGGGAGGAAAAATGAACTTCTCACAAAGCTGACTGAAATAATAATCTCTCTCACTGATACTATCAATTAAAGTAATATTCCTGCTACGCATTCCCAGTTCCCATTCATTCACAACTCTACCTGCTCTGAGCTGACACTGATGCTCTCCTTACAGATGATCCAAGTTACACTCTCATAAAGAGGAGGATGAGTCAGAGAGCCAGGGTAGGTCCAGAAATCCAGGGATGAAGGAAGGAGAGTAGAGGGGTCAAAATTTGTGAATGGGGCTCGTTTGCCCTGGAAGAAAAGAATACATCATTACAGCATGATATAAAATACTTATATGAATATATGTGACATATATATGCTATATTATCTTGTTATACATTATTTAGAGATTTTAGCTAAGAGTCATTGATTTTTCTACTATTTAGTATTTCATGACTGGCGTGTTTGTGGATATAAACAATAATATCAACAGAAGAAAAAAAGATGAAAAATGTGTTATATGTAAGTTTTTGACCAAGACGTCTTCCTTCTTCATTTGGTTGCAGATAAGCAAAGATTCAAAAATCTTTTTTACAATCTATATCTTTAAAACATATTTAATTTCTAGTATAAAGCTTTTATTTTTTTCTCTAGGAATGATGCCAGATTCTATTTCAATGGCAAAAATCTTTATTGACATGCATATTGGTTGTTTCAGTTTTATTCTATTTATTCCTATCGTCTTTTCTGATTGTTACTGGTGTGTAGGAAATATACTGATATTTGTATGCTAATCTTTTATGCATTCTGTATTTTAGATGATTCTTCTGGAGTTTTCAGGTGGATGTTAGTGATGATATCAACTGCACATAATGATAGTTTTGTTTTTGCTCTTTCGATATCTATCATAATATGTACTCTTTCATTATTTTGTTGCACTGACTAGGACCCTTATTATAATTTTCAATTGTGATGGTCACAGTGGCACTTTTGTCTTGTCCCTGACTGAAATGTAAATGCTTCAAGTGTTTCACTATGAAGTTAAATGTTGATACAAGTTTCTAGGTAAATTCTTTATCAAATTCAATAAGTTTTCAGACAGTTTTCTTTCATTTTGTTTCATCCTAAAGAAAGGGCATTAACTTTTATCAAATGATTTTAAGCATTTAACAAGTTGATCATGAGGTTTTCTTCACCTTTAACTAGTTAATATAATGAATTAATTTAAGATTTTCTAATATTGAGTCATTCTTGTATTTTTGGGATAAACTCTACTAGTTCAGAAACTACTCTTTTAAAACACTGTTGAATTTGATTTGTTATAATAAATTTTAGGATTTCCTTTAGCTATATTCCTAAGAAAGTTTATCCTATGTTTTTTGTTTTGTTTGTCTGTTTTGTAGTTTTCATACCTGGTTTTGGTATCAGATTCCATTAAATTGATGGGAAGTTTTCTGTCTGTTCCTTCATCTGGGCACTTTAGTTAACACTGGCATGATTGTTTCTTAAAAGTTGAGTAACCCTTTTCCATGAAGTGGTCTGGGCCTAGTCTTTTTGTTTAATAGATACATTTTGACTATTGTTTAAATTTACTTTTAGGTTCTCAGTCTATTTAGGTATTCTAACTCCTTTTGAGTCAATTCCCTTATTTCACATTTTCTTGGAAAATTATCCATTTTATCTAAATTTTCAAATTTACTGGCATAATGTTATAAAAAATTTTGTCTCTTAAAATTTTCTTCTATATCTTTAGTCACAACCTATTTATTTCTAATAATGTTTTATATGTACGGCTTTTTTTCTCTTTATCCAGCTTCCCCAAAGTCTGACTTTTTTGTTGTTCTTCCAAAGAATCAACTTTTCAATTTATTGATAAAATTTTACCCCTTACTTAGCCATCATTTTTCTTTTCAAAATTTATTTATTTATTTATTTATTTAAGATGGAGTCTCACTCTTTTACCCAGGCTGGAGTGCAGTGGCACAATCTCGGCTCACTGCAACCTCCACCTCCTGGGTTCAAGCGATTCTCCTGGCTCAATCTCCTGATTAGCTAGGACTACATGTGTGCGCCACCACGCCCAGCTAATTTTTTGTATTTTTAGTAGAGATGGGATTTCACTATGTTGGCCAGGCTGGTCTTGAACTCCTGACCTCAAGCAATCTACCCGCCTCGGCCTCCCAAAGTGCAGTGATTACAGGCATGAGCCACCACACCCGGCCATCATTTTTCTTTCTTATTTTATTCTTTTCTGCTTTTATCTTCACTAATTATTTCCTTATATTTTCTTTTCATATTTTTTTGATAACTCTTGAGTTGAGGGCTTATTTTTTATCTCTGTCATTTATACTTTATAAGACAATCATTTAAGTTTAATCTTTTCTAGAATCAGCATAAATCAGATTCATTTTACACAAATATATGACAGTTCTCCATGCTGCAAAACATGACAAATCTCTGATTTATGGTTTAACTGCTTACCTTTAAAACAATAAAGCTAAGTTTGTATATATCAAAAAATCCATTTTTTTTGAGTTGACAAGAGTTATGGTTATCAAAGATTGTATATCAACCATATCTCAAAAGAATGCCCTTTACTTCTGAATTTTTCTACTGCTAAAAAACTAGAGATATCTTTATTTATCAAATGGAAAATCACAATTTTGTTAGATATAGTTTTTCAAGCAAATTTAAATGGCTATGTAATCTGGTTTTCTACAGGCCATATTCTGCTGAAATAAATAAACCATAACTATGAAAAACAGAAAACCAAAACAATTCCCTGCATTAGAGACTTTCTCAGAGGTAGGCAGTATTGAAGTAGCACCTTGATTTTCAGTTGGTAGCTTTTACTATGGCCTTCCTACTCCCCAGTTTTAATACTTCATTAAATGATTTCCATAGATCTGTAAATTCTTGTTCTCTGATTTAAACTACTTATTTAGTGTGTTTACCTTGGTTTTAATTGCTTGGAGGGCATCAAGTACTTTCTGCAGCTTTGGGTTGGCCTCACCAACCTGGAGATTTAAGAAAATAAAGTATGAGATAAAGATTATTATCAATCGAACACTGCTTAGCTAAATTTTGAATTTTTTTTCAATTAACAACTGACAAGAGGTAAGGTATTTTCTCTCTGCTTTAGAAGGGGAGATTTTTCAAGCTGTATGTCTTTGAGGGCCTTTGTACTCTATAAATTGTTTATAATATGTACCTACAGATAAAAGTAGCAAACAAAAAGTTTGATTTAAACTTAATTATTGGCAATATGTTCAAAGTTATACAGGGCAAAATCTAGTAATTTATCAAAACTGACACAAAAACAAATCTCTTATTTTGGTCTGTTATATTAGTTTTCATTACTACAGTATTTGGCATATTGTAAGTGCTCAGTAAAGGTTAAGTAGAAGTGCTATAATTTCAAGAGTTACTTGGTTACCCGGGCATACCCAATTTAATAATAACTTTTTCATAGAACTTTTCAGGGATTCTTCTATAGAGGATTTGAGCAACATCTCCCATTTAAAAAATCAATTGAATATTCTTTGTAAGAAAAAATTCTCTTACTATTTCTTTCCTAATGAGATATTAAATTGATAAATTTCTGAATCTATGATTTCAGGTTTCCTTATTAATATTTAATAATATTTCTTTCCTGATGAGACATTAAATTAATAAATTTCAGAATCTATGATGTAGGAAATTTAGAGGAAAGGGAATTTGGAAGAGCTGGAAAATAGAAATTCCTTTTTCCCTGTGAACACATTTCTATCTCACCTCCACCTGAAACTCATTTCTCTCTTTAAGAGGGAAAAGCAGAGATAAAACCAAGCAATAAAATACTAGGGAACTATTTGTTCACCTGTAGTCATCGGTTAAATGGAAACTTTAAAATAAGAAATTCTAAAATATATGTTGCCTTATTTCCTTCTATTTTGAGGTCTAATTGGTAAGACAGTGGAAGCAGAGCTGTGTAATTATCTGTAACTCACCTTCATCAAAACACCAATAACTGCCAAACCATCAGCCTTTGAGGCAGCTTCAGCAAGGCTGGAGTACTTTGCAGAATTCCAGTGAGCTACGTGAAGCTAAAAATGATACTATGGTTAATTAATTATTTATACCAGTGTGATGAAAAAAGATAAGTTATAAGTTAACTTGTTACCATATGATGATGTATCTTGGCTTAGATACATAAAACTTATGTGAACCTTTATCCAGTGGATTAGAAGAGTTACATTCTCACTCGTAGGAAGGGTTATCTGTGTGCCAGGTAGAGATTACAAAACCTGGAACCAGTAAGCAAAATGTCCTTTCCTACGATATTGTTATTTAATATTACTCCTTTAAATGTATCTCTCTTTGTTTTGAAAAGATCAGGAAATATGACTAACTAGTTTTTGGGAAAATAATTGAAGTAATTTTCTCTCACATGAGGTACTTTATAGTAAATTTATGAGAAAGGGTTCCTGGAGTTCCTGGGAGTCTTGGCCAAGAACAGATTCTTTCAGGCACGTTCGTGCCCTTTCCAAACATCTCTCAAATAAATATCTCCAGCTTAACGTCTCTGCAAACTCTAGATTTGTACATCCAAGTATGTATATATGTATTCTTGATATATTCTTGATATCTCTACATGGATGTCTAATAGATGTTTCAGACTTAATCTGGCCAAAATAGAACTCTAGATTTCCTTCTTGCCAAACCTGCTTAATTTTACCTTCTTAGGATAAGGTTTTTAAATGCTCAATCAATAAGTACAACAACTATCATTCATTTCTTGCTTTCCCCACCTATCAACATTCACATCTTACAGGTTATACTTCGTCACATGTTCACAACTTTGAGCCTTTGCATTAGCTTCTAATTTTCTCTGGAATTTCCTTCCCCATGATCTTCAAATGGCAGACTTTTGTCTTGAATTAGGGTTGAACTCAAATGCCACTCCTTAAATAATTCTTTCCTGATCATCCAATATAAAGTAACCACCACAAATCAAAACAGTTCTATCCATATCACTTATTTAATCTCTCTTCTTCCTATTCTCCTCCCTCCCTTCCTCCCTCCCTCCCTTCCTTCCTCCCTCCCTTCCTTCCTTCCTCCCTCCCTTCTTTCCTGCCTTCCTTCCTCTGAAATTTTTATTTTCCCTATCAAATGCAAGTTCTGATAGCAAGTACTTTTTAAAAACAGTATCTCACGCCTGTAATTCCAGCACTTTGGGAGGCCGAGGCGGGCGGATCACGAGGTCAGGAGTTCGAGATCAGCCTGACCAACGTGGTAAAACTCCATCTCTACTAAAAATACAAAATTAGCCGGGTGTGGTGGCACATGCCTGTAATCCCAGCTACTCAGGAGGCCGGGGCAGGAGAATCACTTGAACCTGAGAGGAGGAGGTTGCAGTAAGCCGAGATCGTGCCTCTGGACTCCAGCCTGGGCAACAGAGCAAGACTCTTTCTCAAAAATAAATAAATAAATAACGACAAAAAATAAAGACAGTATCTGGCATATTGTAGGTGTCCAGTGAATATTTGTTGAATGAAAAAAGAATGATTAAGACAGTATATTAAGAGGGATCACTTATTGCAATTTCCTCTGACCATGCCAGTGTAGATTCTGTCCCTACTTGTAATTAATTATTCTTACATCTGTATTCCTATGCTTCTTTGTGAATAGTCATACTGCCATTTGCTACTATATTTATTTAATCACAATAATTTATGCCTATACTTCCCTGCTTGAAAAATGTTTGCTTGTGTCTCTACGGAAATGTTAAGTAACATTATTCAGCACATGCAACATGAAAGGTGCTGGTCTAAGTGTGCTCTGTATGGGTTAACTCTTTTCATGCTGTCAACAATTATTAAGATAGATACTAATGCTATATTATCTAGATTCTCTATATAGGAATACTGGAGCGTAGAGTGATTTGTTTGAATTTGTACAGCTAGTAAGTGGTCGAGCTTTGATTCAAACCCTGGCAGTCAGCTGGGTACTTGCATTCTTAAGCAACAGGCTGCATTGCCTCTCAAACCTATTGTCTTATAGGTATCTCAAGAAGGTTTATTGAACTGAATTTAATCATATGCTAAACTTTGTGGCTAAGTGTCTCTCAATATCTAGCATGGATTATATTGATTTTTCTCAATTTAGATGAGAGAGTCACTAATTTAGTTTTCTTGGATACTACCAACTATCCTTCCAAAAAGATAATACTAATTTAGGCTCTTAGTCCATTTAATTTTAATCTACCTTCAATTTTATGGAGGGGAAAACCCAATTAACAGATTTCTGCAGCATTGAAAGGTGTTAGTCATGCTTTACAACACAAGGTAAAGCAAGTTTTATTTGTATACAATCTGCTGATGTTCTATCAGAATAGAAGATACATATACTTTGTAACGTAGCAGTCTGCCCTGGAAAAATCTATCGTACATAATTACTTTCACTAGTGCACAAGATATATGTACAGATATATTCACTGAAGCATTTTTTAATAAAAGCAAAAGAAACCAATATAACAAAAATCATATGTTGTGATTGTTCATCAATAGAAGGCAGTTAAATAAATTCTGATGCATTCACCCAAATGAAATACTATGCTGACAGTAAAAAAGGTGGAATTCAATCTTCTGATTTTTAAAAATTGTCATGATAAGTGGGTAAATAGAAAAAAAGCAGGTTGCAAAATTATATATATTATAGAATTCATTTGATGAAAGTAAAATTAAAAAGTCAACCTGCATATATGGGTACACATGTATTATATAATTCATACACCTAAAATAAAGAGCAAAATTTCTCACATTTTAATCTCCCAGACCCTCTGCTGAGAGTTTGGTGTACATGTCTCCATTTTTCTTTGGATATACAGATAATAATGTCCTGAAATAAGTCACAAACTTCCATGTGAGAGCAGGTTAAGAGCCAGGGAAGGTTAGACCCTCATCTAGGTGTATGCTGTTCTGTGACCATTGCTGTGGTTAAATTCGAGCTCTTAGTAGAGTCTCATTGAATTGTCCTGGCTTGGCCACAACGATACTGCTGGTGTATCCAAACTTGAACGTTTAAATAAAGAGGAAATGATGGTGTGTTCCATTTGGGGTTACAGCTTTAAAGGAGGAGCAGTGTCATCCTTTGAAGCTAGCTTTGATATCAAGGTAACAGCTTTTGAGGCATTCTCAGGGAAAGGTGAATCTTGGGCTCAGGAGTTTAGCTGCCTCTTTCCACATGAAAATTTTCTCTCTCTTGCCAAACATTATGTGTCTGTGCTTGATTTTAATGGAAACTGGGAGTTCCTTACTGGAATACCCATTCCTTTGGAGTCATTATGATGTTGTCTTAGAAAAGAAGGGAGAAGCTGCTTCTGGGAGTACTCTCAGGGTAATTATCTCTCACTTACTAAATTACATTACCTCGGCAGAATATTTGACTCCATCCACTGTATGTTCTGAACCATGCTCATTTGTACTGCCCCAGTGAAAATGGAACTGAAAGAGCCTGTAGCTGTCAGAGAAAGGACCACCTTTCAGCACTGGAAGAAAAGGGAACCGATTGTTAGCCTGATGCTCCACAAACTCTAGCTTATCTTTGCATTTAATATAAACCAACACTAAATTGTATTGAGTAGAAGTGAAAACAAACATTAGTGCCTAAACTTTCATCTTGTTTTCCCCCACATCCATGAGGATGACAGTCATATGTATGGTGCACCCCTGACTGTGGCATTGATGAGCTATTCCATGAATTATACACATTTCCCAGCCACACGAGCTACAATTTTACCTATTTCTAACTCCTAGAAAGCATATTGCAATGTGAGTGAATTATATCATTACAGGGCTGTCCTTGAATCTCCTTTAATTTGCAAGTTTATTCCTTCATTCTTTCAACAAAGACAGTATGCATCAAAAATCTTTAGTAGTTTATTTTGAGTAATGAACCATTCATCACCTACTGTGTAACTGATGAAGACACAAAAGTATATCTTGACAGCTTTGTTGAGAATCCCTGGCCAGGGACCAAGAGAGAGTACCAGTGGGGCAGTGGGGCACTTATAAAACTTTGTTTGGAGAGCCTATCCAATGATAATATTAGTTAAATGCATATAATACCAGACCTAATCTAATATTAATAATGGACATAGTCCCAAGGTGCCTAAAATTTAGGCCTCAGAAACTCATAAACAAATTTAGCATTTTAAATCAGTAGAACTGTTTTATGGAATTGTCATTTAATAAAATATTCAATAAACCTTCATGAAAAGCTAACTCTGTAGCAAAATTTGTTCTAGATTCTGGAGTATAAGGATAATTCAGTCACTGCTTTGTTTTTCTTTTCTACTGTGCTCATTCATACTCATCCCAATTAGAAAATATTTTTCTTTTTAGTTGTTATATTTGTAATGACTGGTTCACTAGACCTTTCTGGATAAATGCTGTTTATTCAGAGACAGTGAAGTGAGCATACAGATACTGGAATGACGAGAAGAGACGTGATGGTGACTTTGAGAAGCAAGACTGAAAATAGAGAGCTGGGAGTTCCAAAAATTGTCTTTACCACCTGGGCGTTTTCCAGAAGTCCAAGATGCCTCACTAGATTACAGCAATGCTGCACACAAGCACAAAAGACTTAGAATGGGTGTCATATTTCTCGAGCACTATTTTTTAAATTTTCCCAGTAGACTGTAAGAAAAAAATATCAGAAGGGTCTTTCAGCTCACCTGATCGGTTATCGTTGTCCTCAAAATTTACATGGAAGGAATGCCCCACATTGATAATTTCTTTGGCTGTGGCTGGGTTGTAGGAGACACTAATAGGTTTCAGAGAGGTGTCATGTTTGGTTTCACTGGTTTTAATATCAACAGGGGACTGGTTATTTCCATTGGCAATGGGATACAGCTTGCTCCATTGTTCAGGACCTACCAGGACAAACACGTGTAAAATCAATGTCTTATCAAATGCTTGATTCCAAGTTTTAGGAGTATAGTTACCTGTTTGCTTATTAGATTAGGGTTTATTTCAGTGTATTAAATGATATTCTCTTAAGATTAATAGAAATTCTGTGTTTGAAGATGTCCCTTTTCTTTCTTTCTTTCCTTCTTTTTCTTTCTTTCTTTCTTTCTTTCTTTCTTTCTTTCTTTCTTTCTTTCTTTCCTTCTTTCTCTCTCTCTCTTTCTTTCTCTCTCTTTTTTTTTTTTTTTTTGACAGAGTCTTGCTCTGTCACCCAGGCTGGAGTGCAGTGATGCGCTCTTGGCTCACTGCAACCTCTGCCTCCCAAGCTCAAGCGATTCTCATGCGTGAGCTTCCCAAGTAGCTGGGATTACAGGAGCATGCCACCATGCCTGGCCAATTTTTTTGTATTTTTAGTAGAGATGGGGTTTCATCATGTTGTCCAGGCTTGTCTCGAACTCCTGACTTCAAGTGATCCACCTGCCTTGGTCTCCCAAAGTGCTGGGATTACAAGCATGAGCCACTGCACCCGGCCCCTTTTCTATATTGTACTATAAAATAGTGTATTTGTCAATACTACTAATATAGATCTATACTCATAGTCTATAGAATCAGACCATACATATTTTATTATTAGCAATAGATTTCTAATACAAGCTTAACTCATTTTATTGCGCTTCACTTTATTGTTCTTTGCAGATATTGCATTTTTTACAAACTGAAGATTTGTAGCAACCTTGCATCAAGCAAGCTTATTAGGGGCATATTTTCAACAGCATGTGTTTATTTCACGTCTCTGTGTCACATTTTGGTAATTCTCACAATATTTTAAACTTTTTAATTGTTCATATATCTATCATGGAGATCTTTGATGTTACTATTATAATAGTGTTGTGGCACCATAAACCATGTCCAAGTAAGATGATGAACTTAATCTGTAAATGTTGTGTGTGTTTTAACTACTTTACTGACTGGCTATTCCCCATCTATCTCCCTCTCTGTAAGTCTGCCTATTCCCTGAGACAAGAATATTGAAATTAATCTGTTTAATAACCCTACAATGACCTGTAAGTACTCCAGTGAGAGGAAGAGTCACATGTTTCTCACTTTAAATCAAAAGCTAGAAATGATTAAGCTCAGTGAAGAAGGCATGTCAAGAGTTGAGACAGGCCAAAAACTAGACCTCTTGTGCCAGTTAGTCAAGCCGTGAATGCAAAAGAAAAGTTCTTGGAGAAAATTAAAGGTGCTACACCAGTGCACACACAAATGATAAGAAAGCAAAGCAGCATTATTGCTGATATGGAGAAAGTTTGCATAGTCTGGATAGAAGATCAAAAACCAACAACCACATTCCCTTAAGCCGAATCCTAATGAGAGCAAGGCTATAGCTCTTTTTAATTCTGTGAAGCCTGAGAAAGGCAAAGAAGCTGCAGAAGAAAAGTTAGAAGCTAGTCGAGGTTGGTTTATGAGATTTAAAGAAAGATGCCATCTCCATAACATGAAAGTGTGAGGTGATGTGGCAAGTGCTGATACAGAAGCCGCAGACAGTTATACAGAAGATCTAGCTAAGATAACCAATGAAGGTGACTACACTAAACAACAGATTTTCAGAGCAGACAAAACAGCCTTCTTTTGGAAGGAGATAGCATCTAGGACTTTCATAGCTAGAGAGGAGAAGTCAATGCATGGTTTCAAAGTTTTAAAAACAGCCTGACTCTTTTGTTAGGGTCAAATGCAACTGTTGACTTTAAGTTGAAGCCAACACTCATTTAACATTCTGAAAATCCTAGGACCCTTAAGAATTATACTCAATCTACTCTGCCTGTGCTCTGTAAAAGGAACAACAAAGCCTGAATGACAGCACATCTATTTACAGCCTGGTTTACTGACTATTTTCAAGCCCACTGTTGAGCTCTACTCCTCAGTAAAAGAAGATTCCTTTCAAAATATCACTGCTCATTGACAGTGCACCTGGTCACCCAGGAGCTCTGATGGAGATGTACAAGGAGATTGATGTTATGCTTATGCCTGCTAACACAGCATCTATTCTGCAGTCTATGGATCAAGGAGTAATTTCAACTTTCAAATCTTATTTAAGAATACACTTTGTAAGGCTGTAGTTCCCATAGATAATAATTTTTTTTATGATGGATCTGAGTAAAGGAAATGGAAGTTGTCTGGAAAGGATTCACCATTCTGCATGAACATTTGTAATTCATGGGAGAAGGTCAAGTTATCAACATTAACAGGAGTTTGAAAGAAGTTAATTCCAAAGTCATGGATAACTTTGAGCCTTCCCAACCTTCAGCAACCACTATCCTGATCAGTCAGCAGTCATCCACACTGAGGCAAGACCCTCCACCATCAAAAAGATTAATACTTGGCTGGGCGTGGTGGCTCATGCCTGTAATCCCAGCACGTTGGGAGGCCAAGGAGGGCAGATCATGAGGTTGGGAGATCAAGACCATCCTGGCTAACACGGTGGAACCCCATCTCTACTAAAAATACAAAAAAATTAGCTAGGCGTGGTGGTGGGCACCTGTAGTCCCAGCTACTCGGGAGGCTGAGGCAGGAGAATCACTTGAACCTGGGAGGCAGAGATTGCAGTGAGCCTAGATCATGCCATTGCACTCTAGCTGGGCGACAGAGAGGACTCTGTGTCAAAGAAAAAAAAATTAATACTTCTGAAGGCTCAGGTGATCACTAGCATACTTTAGCAATAAAGTATTTTTAATTAAGGTATGTAGATTTTTTAAACATGCTATTGCACACTTAATAGACAACAGCATAGTGTAAACATAACTTGTAAATGCCATGGAAAACTCCAAATTTTATGTGACTTGCTTTCTTGTGATATTTGCTTAATGATAGGGGTCTGAAACTGAACCTTCAGTATCTCTGAGGTATGCCTGTATATATATATATCAAACATATTTTGTAGTCAGCCATGCCCCAAAAGACAATGCTAAGAATACATGCAAAGATAGTATAATTATTTAAAGCAGACAGTTCAACAATTAACCTATAGCTGTACAATTATTTTAAATACTTAATATCTTTTCTGTTGGAAATGGGAACAAGTTATCATTTTGATCTATATAAACAGGAGAACTCTTACCATTTTTGTCATCATATCCCCAGTCTGGACTTGCCATTATCTTCTACTGAGTTTTCTTTTTCTGAAAACAAAAATAATACCTGGAATAACTAACTGCAACTGTGCATGCAGGAGATGCCTTAAATCCCTGCTTGGGCGTTTTTATAGAAACTTACTTGCTTTTAATAGGCCATTATTTCATCATCTCTGCTTATCAGGAAGTACACATATCTAAAAAAAAGGTGTTGTAAAAAATTCTACAAGGGCTATGTTAGTTTCAATTGCTTAATTTTCTTATATTGTAAAAGAGAATTATCAGATCCTAGATTTTATAAAGCCAAGTCCTGTTTCACTCATGTTAGTAGAAGATATGGCTTAATATTATAATATGTAATTCTTTAGATTTTCTAAATGAAAAATACTTTGTACACTCAAGATTTCCAACTCTACCTTTGTTAGTTACCTAAGCAATATATGCAAAAGTAATTTATCAGGAAAATAATTTGTGTGTTTACAGGCTGATCTGAACTAGTATCTTAATGTTAATTTAAAATCAGATAATTAAATTACTAATCATTTGTAATATATGTTATTTATAATGATACATTTTATAGATATACAGGGTAAGAATAAAGTCCATTTTGGAGCAATATTGGAATTCATAAATGGAGAAGATTTTATTAATATTAAAGTTAAATATAACACAATATTTATTTTATACATCAAATAGGTCTACAAGAATAAAGGTCTTATTTTTTAATAGCTCTATATAATTTATAAACCAGTTTCTTATTATTTTATTTCACCATCACACATACATACAAATGCTATATAGTAAGAATTAGCATTTGTAATTGAGAGATGTTGAGGTACTTTGCCACAACTGGCAACAAGCCAAGAAGCCAAGACTTCAGCCTCCTAATCCAGTTCCCTTCTTCACTGTACCTCCACCAAATGCCACACTAATTCCCCTCCTATGCTCACAATACTCTTAAGTGCAAGTTAAGCCTGGACCAAGATGAGAACTGATGCCAACTGAATGATGAGAAGGTACACAGGACTTTTCAGGATGGCAAAGAAAACTGATTAGGATGTGCCAGACTCTGGCCAGTTCTACATGTTCAAAGCTCTAAACATGCTCAAAGAAAAGAAAACCGGAAAAATAAGCTACCATAGTGATGCTTTTTTCATGCCATGACAGTCATTCCTCCTTTCACATGGTAAGGATTGTCTGAGCTGCTGCAACCCCTGAAAGAAGAGAGGGATCAGGAGCAATTTTCACTAAGGCTGACTGGAGACACGTTGTTTGCTCCTTTGCAGTTAGTGATGGTTCGTTGTCTCATATGCAGAGTGGGCTGTGGTCATGAACATTCACAGAGTGGGAAGAGGCCCAAGCTCCCATTCTATGGCTTTAGTAAGCATAAGAAGATATTGCTTAAAAGAGAATTCTTTTTTTTTTTCCAAAGTACTGTTTATTGAAGGCCCAACAGGGATCAACTGCTGTGCTAAAAACTTTACGTACATTAACTTATTTAATTCTTATTATAACAAAATTGGGCATTAAAATCTGTGTTTTAGGCTGAGGTGGGAGGATCTCTTGCACCTAGGAGGTCCAGACCAGCTTGGGCCACATAGTGATACTCTGTTTCTGGAAAAAGAAAAAAATTGTGTTTTACATTAAAAAAATATTGAGGCTTACAGAGGTGAAGACACCTCCTCAGAGTTACAAAACTTGCAAGTGGCTGCTTATATCCCATAAGCCTAGGGTTTAAACCTAGATCTGTGTAATTCCAAAGCTAATACATTTGCTTAGCCTTCCACTGTCAACAATTGTCCACTGACCTCCAGTTGATTCTATTTTCTGGAGGATTGGATTAGGTGATGTAGCTTGGTTTGGCTCAAGATGACCAAGAGTCAGGCTTCATCCTTGGGCTTACTTCACTCCGGAAGCTCATGGAGTGACAGGAGCAGGCTACCCCCTGCCAGGTAATTTGCCTCCTAATATTGTATACTTTGTAAAAAGCAACTTTAGCTTGAACTACTCTATTAATCAACAAATTTGAAAAACAGCAACCCCCTTTCATTACACGACTATGTGATGATTTGTCACATGAATGCTTTAACATCCATATGGAATGGCAATTTATTTAAAGTTTTAGGCACAGAATGACACTGGACCCTAACTATTATCACCTTTTATTTCATTATGTACCCAGGGTGTGTTATTGTACTGGCAGAAAATTATATAGAGAAAGGATATAAAGTTTAATGAGCCTTTATAAGTCCAAACACCCTTCCCATTTACCTTTATCCTTCTTTTTCTGCTTACAAATTTTGCTTCTCTCAGCTGAATCTATGCCAAATTCAAGATGTTTAGTTTTGTATTCACTTCACTTTCACCAACAGTTTCCTCCCAGTATACTTTTCCAGGATGATCTTTGGGTTACTTTTGCCTACCAAGAAGGAGTTTAATCTACACAGACTCTGCTCTTCTAAACTAAAAGTATATATATATATATATACTTTTAAATTTTATATATATAAAATTTAAATTTATATATATAATTATATATTATATACTGTATATTATATACTGTATATAATATATAATTATATATTATACAGTATATAATATAATTATATTATATACAGTATATAATATATAATTATATATTATATACAGTATATAATATATAATTATATATTATATACAGTATATAATATAATTATATATTATACAGTATATAATATATAATTTGAATTTATACATATATTATGTATATTAGATTATTACATTTATTTATTAACACCAATTAATTTCTAAATTAAATGGTACTAAATTTAGGGTACTAAATATTTTTTAGTACCCTAAAATGTTTTTCAAAAAAGCATTTCTTCAGTGTTTTTAAGTATCTATTTAAATCAGTTTTAAATTATATTTAAGAGCCTTAGTATTTCTTATTTTAACTTTTGTTCTTCTAGTTCCTTTGATACTTTTCATCTAATTTTTATTTTAATATTTTAAAATCAAAAACATGAACTCTTCTGGAAGCAAATAAATTATGGTGAGTTTCAAATTTAAATTTGTACTTAGAAAATAACTCTCTGCTATAAAAGGAACAAAAAGTGAAAAAGAGTGCCATCCGTGCCTAGTTATGGACGAGATCTGCTAAATGCCACTGAAAGGAAAAATCCACACCTTGGCAGGACCAAATTCCAAAAAGCCAGAGCTGCTCTACAATGCTTAGAGTTCCACAACAATAAGTGGCTTTCCTGGGATTCATATTTTCCCTAAAATGAGGAAATATATATTGTGAAAATAATGTCATTGTTGACTATTAAATTTGGCCTGACTCTCACATTGCCTCCTAAATTCCCTGCCCCTCTAGAGATGGTATCATTTGGGGTGGCAAGATAAATCTTATTTCCAGTGGAGAAGTGGGTCATGGAAAATGGTGATATTAGCCTGGACATTTCTGCATTGAGACAACTAGAAATTCTGATTAATCAACTGAAGTGGCAGGATGGGTTATCTGGATTTCACAGCTATCATTTTCTCTCAGTTGGGCTTTCTCATCACCTGTAACAAAGCTGTGTTGGTAACTTTATTCCTTCCAATGTTTGTATTTGTCTCCATCCATACCGAGCTTGTTCCCATTTTAGGACCTTTGTGCTTGCTGTCCTGCTGTCCAGATTGCTCTGTACCCAGACCTTTGTATAGCCTCAAATATCTCCTGCTTAGAAATGACTTTCCTGAACTCCAAATTCACATGTCCTCCTTTTCCCAGTCACTCCATTATATCATTCTGTCTTATTTCTTTCATAGCATTTGTCACATCTTGCTTGTATTGTGAAATTAATTTACTTGCTTAATGTCTATAACCATCTCTAAAATGGCATCTCTATGATATGATAAAACCTTGATCATTTTTTTCACCACCATGTTCTCTTCATCTATAATATGCCTGGAAAACAGTGGTGCTCAATAGACACTTATAGAGAGAATAATTAAATGGTCATTTTAAATTTAAACTATTGTATATTTTTAAAGATGTAGAAGAGCAGAATGTTATCAGGGACTATGCTTACCCAAGTGCACTGATCTGAACTCAGGTTGTGTGGTACATTGATATTTGGGCATGTGAATGAGCTTTGCTATACTCATGTTTGTTTTTGGATTAAGGAAAAAGCCTTTCCCCTCTCAGTTCTATTAATGGGAGGAATGAAGTGACCCGTCTGTGTCTGTCAGTCATTACTGGGAGAATGAGAACACTGATCTTTGTAAGTGTCAAATTTTTGACACTTTGTAAGTGTCAAAATCTAACTCTTCAAATATAGTTTGAACTTTTGACATATAAATTTCAAAAATCCATCACTTTTATGGCTTTTATTGCTGTAACTAAAGAAAAGTTTCAACCTTTTATTTCCTGTCTTGGAACATTTTATTTTTAACACAGTTGTTAAATCTGCTAATGGGTGTTTTTTATTAACAACCAAGTCAACTCTTTATATGTAATCATTTTAATACACAGCATAAAGACATTCGCAGTGTCTTACAATTTCAGGCTTTTGAAAATATTAAATTTTAAGTATATCTCATTGACTGTCATGCTAATTGAAATTACTGGCTAGAAAGACACACTGATATTCAGAGAATATCTAGTGAACTTTTATGCTAATAATTAGGAATCTCTTCTACTGCATGAATGGATAACTTGGGCAAGTTAATAGTACTATCCCCGTATTTATTTTTAAAATTGAGAACATACTATTTGTATCTTATCTTCTATAACTGTTTGGGAAATTAATGAGTCTTATAGAACAGATAATGACACTATTAAGTAACATTTTTCACCTAAAAAGAAAATAACATGCATTAATGATTTATAAAGCATAAAATTCTGCTAGGCATGGTGGCTCATGCCTGTAATCCCAGCACCTTGGGAAGCTGAGACCGGTGGATCACCTGAGTTCAGGAATTTGAGACCAGCCTGGCCAACATCATGAAACCCCGTCTCTACTAAAATAGAAAAAATTAGCCAGGCGTGATGGTAGGCACCTGTAATCCTAGCTACTCGGGAGGCTGAGGCAGGAGAATCGCTTGAACCCGGGAGCCAGAGGTTGCAGTGAGCTGAGACTGCACTGCTGCACGCCAGCCTGGGCAACAAGAGTGAAACTCCGTCTCAAAATAAATAAATAAATAATAAAATTCTGCACAAATATAAATGATCAACATAAGCCTCAAAAAAAAAAGAGTTTGATTTTAACTCTCAGGCAAATAGATGATGATATAAAACAAAACAGTGAAAATATTGCATGTGGCCTGAAATTCAAACACTTGCTTCATAGATACATGTTTGCTGTAGATTAAACTAAATCCTATATGTAAATATGAAAAGAGATAAGTTCTCAAGTGTAAATATTAAGGGAGGTGAAGGTCAGTTCTATTAATTACCTTGTAGTAACATCCTTCATTCATCTGTTTGGGGGTTCTAGCTACCTAAAATCATTTTAAGGTTAAAAAAACATGTCTTCTTACTCCTGAAATCAGCTTTTTTAGCTCTTAAATCCTTTTATCAAAGATTAGATTTCTAAAATACATTTGTAATGACATGTCTTTTCTTAATCCAGTGGTTCCCAATGTATGGTTTGTAAATCACCTGCTTCAGTGTCACCTGAAGTGATATTAAAATACAATGTGTGTGTCTCAACCAATCCTTTATTTTTGTGAATGGTCTTGGCCAGTTTAGATGATCAACAAATAAGCTCTTTTAGTAAGTATTGGTAGCTTTGTTAGAGGTATCTGGGAGTTAGATGACTCCACCCTCACAATCTAATTACCAAGAGGTGTATTTCAGTGAAAGCAAGTCTTCAACAATCAAATTTCCCAAGTGTACATGTGTTATAAACAAACAGCCAGAAAATAGTCATATGCCTTGCCTGTAATTTCAGGTGGGCTGGCCGCAAGTGAGGCTCACCAACCAGCACCTTGCATGAAAAGTTCACTCCAAACAGACATCAATGACATCAAGACCTCTTTTGGGTCAGGCAGCTGAGTTCAGTGGGGCTTAGACCTCACATACTCCATCAATGACATTTGAGTGCTGGGCTTCTCCACTCCTATGTCTTGTTCATACAAGACATTTTCTGGGTCCAGAAAATTTTTCCTTCTCAGTTACTACTCTTGATACCACTAATTGTACAAAATTCTTTCTGACATCTTTTATAGTAAATAACAAAACTTTAGGTGTTGATTTCACTACAAATAGCTAAGTAGCCACCTCTGAAGAGGGCGGGTCCTGATTAGGACACTATCAAGCATTCCTATTAGGCATTGGATTATATGAACAAAAGTTATTTATACTGAAGTGATGTATAATTATAACACTACTGAATCAAAATCTCTGCATGCAAGACCTGGGAATCTATGTTTTTAACAAACATTTCCAGGTAATATATTAAAAACATATTTGTAGACTTTTACAAACATTTTTAAAAATCCTAAATGCTATTTTCTTGACATGCTTTCTCCTTTAGGAAGAATACTGAATTAATATTCACTTCAACAGCCACTTCAAAAACTACTCACTGTTTTTCTAAATTAGATTTCCCCCATAAGATTTCTTGAATTTTTAATGCTTTTACTAGTACCTAACTCCAGTGAATAAATTTTTTTTCATTCATTTTTTGTGATACCCTTTTAATTATTAAGTCAGTATGCTAAATACAGGGTGGTGACTTGCTCTGCAGTAGTTTTTAAATCAAATGCTCAAGTCAGAGCCATGATTAAGTAAAGACAGGTACAATAACTAAATGCCTTCTAGTACTGGCAATACCAGTTGTTGCCTGCAGGAGATTGTCATTTTAATTTACTCTGATCTTTGTCTTAGTAGATCTATCAAAGAAAAGTGGCAAGAGCACTATTTGAATTAATGATTTGCAGAACGACTCATTACTCAAGGGCAGGTTTCACAGAAAAAGTACATTATAGAGGTCCTCTTTACTGATCTTAAAAGAGTAAACAAAGACATGTAACGAGGATGAAGTAGTATCTACAACGTTCCTTTAGTCTCTAGACTGTCTTTTGTTTCACAGTTATTTTTAAGAATTAGCATTAACAGTAAAATTTTTTAAATCTGTCTAACCCAATTTCTTTGAGTAATGCTGTTTCTTTATGATAAAACTGGGTTAATAAGTATAAAATACCTAAAAATATTTTCTAAATGAGGATTAACGATTAATACACATAGCAGATGCACAGTAAAAGATGGCTTTTATTTTTTACTGAGTGTGCTACTACTAATAGAAAACTTTGTGGGCTATGGTTGAAACTTTAATGCAGCCAGGTGTTAAGGAGGACACAAGGCTATGTCTGAGCTTCTAAGGATTTGATGATGTACATTAGCTGATCAGCCTTGAAATCAAGGGACATAATCTGACCCCCTCACCCCGGGGTTTTTCTAATAAATGGGGAAGGAATAAATGGAATGATTACAAGTGCTTTCTGATTTTTAAAAAATCTTTTTATTTTTAGCCTCTACACTAAGGACACAACAGGTGCTTTTAAAGAAAGAAATAGAAATAGTTTCTTTTAGAATAGCCCAATAGAATGAGACCATTTTACTCCTGTACTTTTTTTACTCACATGATCTTAATTTGTAACTTTTAAGAAGTTCGGAGGCTGAGAAAAACAAATATCAGTATTTCCATTTCAAAAGGAAGAAAGAGGCTTTCACAGATGAGAAAATTAAGCCACTTGTCCAAAGTCAGATGAAAGTGTTAAAAGTGGAATGTCAAGTCTTTAAACTCTGGGTCAAGAATTCTTCCCACTATGATAAATTATAAAATCAAACTAACAGTAACTTTTTTTCATTACTTTTTACTTTATTATCACAAAAGAGTTTAGTCGTGTGGGAAACTATTACCTCACAACAGTCATTGTAGTTTCCCTAAAACAGACCCTATAACTTTGGCTTGATTTTGTCCATGGGTGCTGGAGATGGGGTATGGACCACCATTATCTTTGGAGAGAATGCATGCTGCATGCTGTGGTTTTTGCATCTCCACAGCTAGCCTGCCCAGCTCATGAAGCTATCACATGCATCCCTACTGAGGCTCTTTCAGGGCCTACCATTTCCACATTTCTGTGGAGAGACCAAGCTACTTGTGATTTATGCTTCCTGATTCCAGTGTAGCTGGTGAATGCATATTCTACATTTCCACAAAAATCTACCTTATTTCTTCCAGTCCTAGGTGTAAAGGATCAGCCTACAGGATGGAACAAAATAGGTCCTCCTCCCTTCTATTTCTAGAATAGGGAGGAGAAAAAAGCAAAATTATTTATTAGGGTCTTCACAGCAAAATTTTAGAAAAGAATCCTGTCCTCTTACCTGAAGGCAAAATAGCAAGGTTTGAATGGAAATCCTTCCTGATCCTGTTTCCTTTATGCAAAAGGTTACTTGGGCAATTAATTTAGCTGGTCAAGGCCATGTCTTATTCTGAATTTCCTGTTTTACTTTCTAAAAAATTTTTTTTCAAGTTGCTCCAGGCAAATGAGAGTTACCTAAACATATACAATAAGCAGATTTCTAAGATGGGTTTAGCTCTAAGTAAGTGAAGAATTTTCAGGCCTCTTAAAGATGTTTGATATCACGTAACTCTTCTGTCCTCAGTGACTCCCACAGAAGGAGTGCAGGGCAGCTTCTCCTGTGGTTTCTTAGGGCTCTTTTAGCTTCTGGAATCAGAAAATTCTGGAGAGGCTGCTTAGGCAACAGTTTTCAAGTGTGACTTGAAAGGCGCTGCATTTCAAAACCCCAGGGTTATGAGTGAAGAGGTGTTGAATGAAAGGCTCTTAATTGCATCGCCTTGCACCTAGTTTATCTGGCCCTGTGATGGAGTTCCTTAATATGCAACACTTGGACATTGTAATAGTCCTAATTCCTTTAAGACTGTCCCGGACTCTGCCTTTAACTAGTTGGTAAAGTTCCACATAGCCTTTGTGCAACTGCCTGAGGGTTGCAAAATGAGGGGATGACATGTTGGCAAGTGCCTCAGTTTTCCATCATCACCCAGGAGGCAGCCAGAACTAGTCTGGTGAGAAAGAACTCCAGGAAAAACACCTCCCCAGGTTCGAGTCAATAACGCTTTTAAAATGGAGATCCACAGAGTCCAAAGGAGTTCTTATGGGCCTTATAGGCTAAGAACCAAGCTCAGTTAGAATGAAGCTTATGAATGTGGACTTCTTAGAACAAATAGGGCTGATTTTATGCAGTGATTCGATCTGGGGAAGATGAATTCTTGGCAATGTTCTCAATTCCTCCTATTGGTAATTCCTAGGGGTGCTTGCTAGCCAGGGTTCACGTTCGATGTTCTTACAATGCGATCTTTTGTCACTCCTGTCTCAGGCTCCAAGAGTCCTCATACAGTCCCCTGCAGAGTTGGACAGGATTTTACTGCGTGGTTGCTTGCAGCTGGCAACAGCTGTTGCTACACTTTTTTATCCACATTTATTTTTGTGTGTTAAGATTGTGTTTCTAGTCCTCCCCCAACTTCTGATACTACACACTTGCCAAATTGTTTGCTGATGAACATGATATTATTAGTAAAGGCCAGTGACTTCTTCCAAGGGAGCATTGACTGTTTATGTAGTGGCTTTATGTAGCCACTTCTGGGTATGGCACTCACTGTGCCATTTATTTTGGTTAATGTTTTTAAAAGACTCATTTTAACTTTAAAATCAGAGGTGGCGAATGAAACTTTGCTTAAGGATTCATGTCCCTAAAATGTAATGTTGGAGTAGTAAGGAAAAAAGGAATCATCTTTTAGCGGCAGCTAGGTATAATGAAGTTTGCAGAAAAGAAAAATAGGGTGTATTTCATTAGATCTAATATTGACAGCACTGCTCTAGCATGATGGACATGCCTTCTGTATGAGATGAGTATGACATCCACTCAAAAAACAGCCCAGTGGGGAAAGAAATGCCAGCAATAATAGATGTGACCTTTTAGTGCCTTGGCCATTGGCATCGCCTGAGGGTAATCCTAGATCACCCATTTTTCCATTTGGATGTAGCTGAGACTGACAGGGCAGGTGTCCGGCCTAAAGCAACTGATTTACTGATTTACGAGCAGCTTTCAGTCTCCTTCCTACTTGCCTCTTGCAAAGTGAACTTGAAAATCCAGTTCTTTTCACTACCTCTGTGGAAAACCTAGAGGCAAGCACAGGATTTATTCTTTGTTACTTGTAAGGCTGCTGTTGAAGTAATGCAAAGGTCGATGATTAAATGACATACCATAAAGATTTTTAGTACTGTTATTAAACCCAGTAGGATTAAAATGCAGCTACTGATGAAAGACTTGAACTGCAGTGTCTAGATGAAGCTAATTCCAACACAACTTAATCCCTTCATCATAATATGAACAAGGAACAAAACAAACGGTACCATGGCAGTTGGGCACTGTCTCAGGCACCACAACTTCTGGTTGTTGAAATTAGCTATGGGTTGATTTTGTAACTCATAGTTGCATATTACCATTAATGTCACCAACCTGTCTCCTGAAACACCAGGTCTGCATCCAAATCATTCAACCTAACCTCAAGGGGTGGATGGAGAAAGTATGTTTTGAACTCAATGATCCATGGCTTCTTAGGGTGTAAAATTTGGGCTAGACAGCACTGAGTGTGGGAGGGGAGAGAATCACATTTGGCCCCGCTACATGTTACAAGTGGCACTTGCAGAATCCTGGCTCCCTCTCTCTACTTCCTCAGCAGGAAAAGTGCTTAAAACCATTTGAGGGGGCATACCTTAGTAACATCCTGAATAGACATGTGTGAACCTGTCTTTTCTGGAAGCTAGATTTAGGTTAGCTTGAATGTCCAACCAATACCGGTATGCCTGCTTTCCATTCTGTCCTGTGCCATCTGGAGCAACTCAGCTCTCTGGACCTTAGCCCCAGTTTTCCAATCTAGACTGTGACCTTGCCTTTGACCTGTGGTTGGTCTTATTTCACAGCCACTGACTGCTGCCTATGTCAGGATGCATGCCCCTGCTCTGCCCAGCCCCTTCCTGCCAGCTCAGCCCTCAGCTCCATTTTTTTTTTTTTTTTTTGAGACATAGTCTCACTCTGTTGCCCAGGCTGGAGTGCAGTGGTGTGATCTCAGCTCACTGCAACCTCTGCCTCCCAGATTCAAGTGATTCTCGTGCCTCAGCCTGCAAGTAGCTGGGACTACAGACATGTGCCACCATGCTTGGCTAATTTTTGTATTTTTAATAGAGATGGGGTTTTGCCAAGTTGGACAGACTGGTCACAAACTCAGCCTAGCTTCTAATCCAGGACCTCTTACACCATCCTATTCCATGATCTGATGCTGACCACTAGTTGAGTTCAGGCTCAAGTGACTGCTTAGACCAGAGGCTGAGAGTTTAGGCCTGGGAAGAATATTGCTGAAGGACCCAAGTCCCAGAGGGGAGAGTACAGGCTGCTTTGAGCCAGAACCAAAGGGCACTGTGTGCTCTCCAGTGGTCAAAAATTTGAGGAGAAATATCTGGCTTAAGCGGGAGAAAAGTGAAAGCAAGAAGAACATGAGCCATTAATCTTGTGCCACACTAATAACTAACATGACGCTATAGACTTGCAATTCAGCTCACTTGGGTAGCATTTGCATCTTGAGTTTCTCACACATTGTGAAAAATCACCCAGGGATATTTTTATTTATGATCTTAATTTAATTTTGTTGGACGGGTACTATGTTCATGTGGTTTCAAATTCAAAGGTATAAAAGGGTACAAAGTAAAAAACAATCTTCTCCCATTTTCTGTCCCAGAGAAAACCAAAGTTATCAATTTATTTCATATATTTAAAGAGATATTTGATGCATATACATGGGTATAACTGCACGTATTATTTTGCTCTTTCGAAAAAAATACAAATAATACATACTGTATACGCTTTTTTTGTCCCTTACTTTTTCCCCTTAATACATTAGAATTTGGCCCTATTACTATACAAAGAGTAATTTTTTTCTTTTTGTTTTACATGTTTTGTTTTACTTTTTTTCCTTAATTCATTTTCTTGGAATTTGGCCATTATACAAAGAGTATTTTTTTTTTGGCTTTGCAACGTTCTTTTTTATGGCTTGCCATTGTTTATTTAGCCATTCCTCAATCAATGGGCATTTAGGTTATTTCTCATTGTTATAAACAAAGTTGAAATGAATGGTACATTTCCTTGTATATGGAGAGGACTGCTACTGGATACAGGAAAAGGGGTCTAGTAATATGAATACCTTGTAAATAAATACATAGATTTTTGTTCTTCTCAATGACTTCTCACTGCTTAGATTCTAATAACTATCCTGACAGGGAGGGAAAGGTAATACATACTTTTTTTTTTCTTTTCTTTTTTTGAGACAGAGTCTCACTGTCACCCATGCTGGAGTGCAGTGATGTGGATCTCGGCTCACTGCAACCTCTGCCTCCTGGGTTCAAGAGATCCTCCCAGCTCAGCCTCCCGAGTAGCTGGGATTACAGGCCTGTGCCACCACACCCAGCTAATTTTTTTTTTTTTTTTGTATTTTTAGTAGGAATGCGGTTTCACCATGTTGGCCAGGCTGGTCTCAAACTCCTGACCTCAAGTGATCCACCCACCTTGGCCTCCCACAGTGCTGGGATTATAGGTGTGAGCTACTGTGCCTGGCCCATTTTTCTTTCTTTTTTTTCTTTTTTTTTTAACATAAGGAAAAACATATCTAGAGAGAGGCAAAGGTGACAGCTTTCTTTAAAGGGAAAGTTGAATGGAAGGAAATTAATCTCTTAGATACACCCCAGAGTACCACCTTTTAGCAGAGAAGTCCATTCTTCCTTCCAGAAAAAGTGCTAAGACAAAATCTTGTTGGGATGATCTGTTTTTAGAGTTCTCTAAAAAATATCTGTTTCCTCACACATATACAAAGTAAAGGAAAGCAAATAGCTTATAGAACAAGGACGACTTTTACATGATTGATAGCAGATTCAAGGTGGAGTCACCAGTGGAAGTCACTGAGACAACAGAGAAGAGAGATCTTTCAAGGCGGGGAACCAGCTTCTGACTGAAGGGTGTGTGTGGTGGTGGCGAGGCAGGAGCAGTCTCATTGTCTTTATAAATAGCTCTCCAGGACAACTTTTGTGTTTGATATAAAGAGAGAAAACAAGTTTGTGAGCACAGTCTTAAAACCAAGGGAGCATACCTTAGTTACATCCTGGAATAGACATGTATGAACCTGTCTTTTCTGGAAGCTAGATTTAGGTTAGCTTGAATGTCCAACCTATACCTGTATGCCTGCTTTCCATTCTGTCTTGTGCCATCTGGAGCAACTCAGCTTTCTGGACCTTAGCCCCAGTCTTCCAATCTAGACTGTGACGTTGCCTTTGACCTGTGGTTGGTCTTATGTAACAGCCAATGACTGCTGCCTGTGTCAGGATGTATGTCCCTGCTCTGCCCATCCCCTTCCTGCCAGCTCAGCCCAGCTTCTACTCCAGTACCCTCTTATCTCACCCTGTTTCATGGCCTGATACTGACCACTAGTTGAGTTCAGGGTCAAGTGACTGCTTGAACCAGAGGTTGAGAGAAATGCAGCCAGTCAGGGCACTGAGATCACTGACTGCTGTGCGAGAAAAACTGTAGCTGCAAAGGAAGAACTGGTATACACGAACACTGAGAAACATCACCCCAAAATTGTTTTTCTCTAACTGAAGTATGAAGGTGAATATACAAAGAAAGAAACTTTAAAGCTTAGTGAGAAAGCAACCAAATGTACCTATGCACTTATTTTTTATTTAAAAATTAAAAACAAATTTTTAAAAGACAGGGTCTTTCTCTGTCACCCAGGCTGGGTGCAGATCACTGCAGCATCCAGGTCCTGGGCTCTAGCGATCCTCCCACCTCAGCCTCCCAAGCAGCTGGGACTACAGGTGCACGCCACTATGTCTAGTTCCTTTTTTTTTTTTTTTTTTTTTTTTTACTTTCAGTAGAGACAGAGTCTTGCTATTTTGCTCAGGCTGGTCTTGAACTCCTGGGCTCCAGGGATCCTCTTGTCTTGGCCTCTCAAAGTAGGGGCATTATAGGCATGAGCCACCGTGCCTGGCCCAGATTTAAATTTTTACTTTTAAAAGTATATATTTTTTATTTTAAAAAAGTGATTAAGTGCATTTTATTTATTTTGTTTTAATGTAACTTGAAGCTAAACTTATTATGTGAACCAAGCCATTTTGATCAGTGATAAATGGCAGGTCTAGTTTTTTTTTCTTCTTCTTATTGAAAGATCAAGAACCTCAGCCTGCCATGACTTTCTTGGCTTCCTTTACTAGCATTTAATCCTTCTAGTATTTGACATAATTCCCATGACAACGTGTGGACTGAATATAACGTCCTTCATTTCACAAATGAGGAGATTGAAATTGAAATATTTTGTCACTTGCCAGAAGTCCCATGTCAGGGTGGCAGTGTTGATATTTGATCCTACTTTTTGTACCTCCAGCCCAAGAGTTTTTTCTATGACAATCAGGAACCTTGAGATTAAAAACACATTGAATGTTGTCATATGTTGGTAAGAATAAAATACCAAAAAGAAAATGCCTTCTACACACAGCTTTTCTCATGTACTCACTCTAACCTTCTATTTGCACAATTGGAAGCAAATATATCAGCCTCATTGAGCTTCAGTTTTTTTGTTTGTGAGGCAGAAATAACAATAACAACCTTACACAGTTGTGAGGATGAGTAAATAGTATATATAAAGTGTCTCATGAAAAGATAGCACTCAGTGAATGGCAACTTTCCTATAATGATAATAATTATTATTATATAGGAGATCAGGTAGGTGAAAATGTTTTATAAATTGCAAATTGATAAATGCAAGGTACTCTTATTATAATTATTTTCTTACATTTAAAAATATTTATTCACTAATTTTAGAATACGTTTTAATGGTTGGATCCATTTAGTATATTCACTTTAGTGCTATTCTAAGCCATTATTTTAGGAAATTAAAAATTTAAAATTAGTTTAACTGAAGTGAATACCAACGCTTCTGAAAAGTGCTTTCCTTTTTTTTCATTTTACTTAATCTTAAAACTAAATGTCTTTCTGCAAGAAGAGATAACTCGAGACTTCTGTTGGGATCAAGTATGATTAATAGCCTGAAATCAGAAATAAAGCTGCTTTATGGAAGAGTAAGAAAATAAGGTGCAGATGAATCTCCTAAATTATTCTTTGTGTACTAGAGGAAAACAAAATAAAATTTCCTCAACCCTTAAAAACTTTGTGAGCTCTAAAACCATTGACAAACATAATTTATTATTACAGAATCCCAGTTGCACACCTGAAAACCCTGGGGCCACATGTGTTTCAGAATTCAGAATTTCTCAGATTTTTGGAAAGCAATACAACACAAATATTATATATGAATGCCCTTATCAGGGTCTGGGGGAGTACCTTGTAATTGAACACATTACTATTTTTGGAGCAAATGTATGAATAGTCATAGTACATGGAATAAATAAAGACTATAAATAGCTTCGTGTCAGGTCAGGTTAGGCCCACAGGTGAGTTCAGGTCACATCAGGTCATGTGTTTTCAGGAACAGTTTTGGTTTTCAGAAATTTTTGGATTTCAGAGCTGGAGATAAGAGACAGTGGAGCTGTATTTTTATCCCCAATGTGGAGCGGGTCAACACAAAGGCAACGTGTCTGGTAGGAAGATCATCAGATCCAGACTCAAGTAGGCCTGAACACCTGATCTACCTTTTAATCCTCGGATTTATTGTGGAAATTATTTCACCTCTATAAGCCTCTGTTTCCTTATCTGAAAATGGGGAAAAGAATCCTACCTTGCAGGATTGTGGCGAGGGTTAATGATAATATAGGCCAGGTGTCTAGTTACCTGGTACTTACAGTATGATTGATAGCTGCTATCATTGTTCATGAGAGGTGGTATCTAATGAAATAGAATAAAATCTCTTTTTTTATTATTTCAAATTTGAAGGTAGCAGGGAAAAGGGGTAGAAATTTTGTATATGAATTCCAGCAGACTTCCTAAAGGGAAAAGGGGCAAGGCCCCAAAGCTTTGTCTCTGGGACTTAACATTTATTGAAACCTATTAGGCTGGACGGGATAGCAACTATTCTCAGCTCAGAGTCAGGGAAGTTCCAAAGAGTCCAAAGAACCCCTGAAATGAAACCCCCAGGAGGGTAGAAAGAACTTGCATAGTGGGTTGGTCCCAACTGAGAGACAGGCAAATGTAGTCTGGGCCCATGAGGAATTGGACATAGGAACTTGTCTCACTCTGAGCATCTGTGGTCATGCTTTCAACCTGCACGAGTGACTGTGTGAATTCATTTATTTATTCATTTAGCAATTGTTTTTGAATGTCAACTAAGCATAGATCTATGAAAATATCCAAGAAACATACAGAAACAACTCTATCTTCATTAGCATTATAGTTTATGAGGGACTTAAACAAGGATCAACAGCAAATCACCCAAAATTGTGGTGAATTTTCTAAAGGGATAAACTAGGTGGGCAGTGGTAAGGGCAGGAATGGGCTACTTACAAGGAGGAAGGCAAGAGGAGACAGGACAGCCATGACCAAGGTTGAGGTATGGCCAGAACACTCCTCCTCTGTGACACCTCGCTGCTGTGCTTTCTCATCACCAGCTTTTAGATGGAGTGCCATCCCCTCAGAAGGCCTTCTTGACCTCGCTAAACTTCATTTCACTCTCCACTTTGGCCAATCACTTTCTACCCATTATCCCAGTTTATTTTTTCGGAGCTTTTATAACCGTCTGAAATTATCTTTTCTAGTTTTGCATGTATTTATTATATGCTTCCCCTCTTTAGAAGGAAAGATTCTTGAGATCTCTGAGGATTTTGTCCAGTGTCTGAGGGTGCCTAAATATTTGTTGAATGATTAAAAGGAAGACTATGCAAAGACCTTAAAGCAAAAAAGAGCCCGATGCATTCTAGTAAATAAAACAAGGCATTTGGGTCTTGTTGATGCTAATGGCCTCCAATGAATCCTGCCTTCTGGTATCCATACCCTTTTGTAGTCTCCTCCCTTACTGACTCAGGGCATGGCCACATGACTTATTTGGCCAATGGGACATCAGCGAACAACACGAGCGAAGGCTTGATAAGTGCTTGTTTAGAACACAGATGAGCCATGTGAGAAAGTCCTGCCTGGTCTGGTCTCCCTCAAGAGGAAATACTGCTTGGAGAGCAAGGTGCTGGCATTCCAGCTGTCCCAGCTGAAATTCAGCCACCCAGCTGAAATTCACTCAGTGAGTAAGTCCAGGTAAAACCAACAGAAATATCCACCCATCAACCCCATAACAGTGAGAAGAAAAAAAAGTTGTCACTCTAAGCCACTGAGTTTTTGGGTGGTCTTCTATGTGCAAAAAACCTGAAACAGAGCCGAGGCATAGTGAGCAGGTGAAGGTAGTGTGAGATGGTTTAGAAAGGAAAACAATCATTCAGAACCTTACACAAGTCAAGTTACTGTATGTTAAACACAATGGAAATTAACAGGTTTGAAGGAAGGGAAGACTTATTACTGTACCCTACTCACTGTACCCTACTCAGCAAAGCCATATTCTCTTAATGGTTTTCAGAAGCCAAGGTAGAGAGGAAGTGCCTTTTAAAAATAGCTTTTGAGGCAAGAAAGGCCGTAACTGGAAGGCCAGATGGAAGAACATGAGCAGACTTGTTTCTGAGCACATGAAACATCCAAGAATTAACATGGTGGGTTTTGATTGGAGTGGAGTATGGGGAGAATCTATTCCTGCAGGCCAGATCTATGAGTCAGTGACTTCATTCGGTGGATGAGTCCTAGGGAAATTCAAGTAACTCTTAAAAATAGAAAGACGTGGAATTGCTAACGAATGAAAAATAAGATTCAACCACTTGTAAATGATGATATCAGGACCCTTCTTGTATTAATTGGTGGAGAGGGTTTGGAAGAAGAGACACTGAACCTCGAATGAAAAGGAAGCCCTGCATGGAAATGACGTGAGACAGGACAGGGCAGCTGGAGAAACAAAAGACCAATTTCATAAACGGTTATTTTCTGTTTATCTTTGTTTGTGCAAGAGCACAGAAGAAGCTGCTCACAACAGTCTTTCACATATTGTTGATAACTTGGTAGGTATTATAACAAAGGCTTATTCCACTAATGCCCCTAAAAATGTGGGCATGTATCTTATCTCTGTGCACTGGCCTCTTTGATATACCCTGGGACATCCAGATACCCTGAAACCTGAGTCCCAGGGCTTAAAACCCACTTACTGGTATTGTGTATGATTTACCAATAAGGAGACTAAATTCCTTACCAATAAGGAGACTAAAACCATGGAAAACATGTGCTTATGTTCTAGACAAATTACGTTTTCTGGTTGTAGCATTTGGTTAAAAAGCAGACACTGAAAAAGCAAGCTATGGACATATAGAAAGAACGGTTCAAGTCCCATTGAATCTTTGTTAGCCAGTCTTTGGGAACAAATTCCATAGCCCTTCTTCCATAAATCCTTCTAGAAAGATAAAATATGAGATTTTGTAGCCTTTTACCTCCTCTAACCCTAACTTGCTTGAAATATCTAGTAATTTTTCATACCTTAAATAGAAAAATCAAGCCAGCCAGATTTTATTTATAAGAAGATGAAATACCAATTTTCCCTGAAAGTAGGCCTAAATGTAAAATTAAAGGCACTGCTGACCTTTTCCTGTCAATCTAAAAGGTAAAAAATTTTTAAAATGGCCTGGGCACTCAACAGTAAAGCCTTTTTAGAAAACAATACAAGCGTTGGCTGGGTGTAGTGGCTCAGGCCCATAATCCCAGCACTTTGGGTGGTCAAGGCAGGAGTATCACTTGAGCTCAGGAATTCCAGACCAGCCCGGGCAACATGGCAAAACCCCATCTCTACTAAAAAACACAAAAATTAGCCAGGCGTGGTGGCATGTGCCTGTAGTCCCAGCTACTTGGGGGACCGAGGCAGAAGGATTGCTTGAGCCTGGGAGGTCAAAGCTGCAGTAAGCTGTGTTTGCAGCACTGCACTCCAGCCTGGGCGACACCCCCTGTCTCTAAATAAATAAATATATAAATAAACAATTAAAAATGATACAAGCATAACTCTTGTTTCTCATCTCCGGTAACTGTAAATGGCATTACACCATCCCTGTTTCTTAAGGAAGAAATCTAGGAGTCCTCTTTGAATATTTCCTTTCACAAAATCTATTTATCAAATCAGCAGCAAGTTTAATAGCTTCTTCCTCCTAAACATAATTTAAATCATCTACTTGTGCACCACCATCTGCCATCACCATTTCTCTCTTGCAGAACCACCAGGCCCTGGGGAGACCACGCTCCTGTAGGGAATGTGGGTTCTGCAAGAAGTAACTGATCCCTTCAGGAAATGCACCTTTTCCCTCTAAACACAAAGCAAAACTCCCCAAAACTGAGAACTGGACCTTAGAGGCACATGTTGTCCCATCCTGAGAGTGGATGCCAGTAATAACTCTGAGGCTCAGGCCACTGGGAGGGGAAATCTGAATCTGTGACTCTTCTGCTCAGACACTCTCAAGGGAGCTGAACTGGTTCATGGTTGCTGATGACCCCTGGCTATCGATCTCTTTAAGGAAAGATTGTCCAGTTTAGGGATTTAGGACTCCTCCAAATCATCAAATAATGAGTTCATGAAGACCACCAGATACCCAAGAAGGTAAGCACTGTATGTGTCAAATACGTTTAAAAAGATAATAAAGAAGAAAATGTTAAAGAGATATCAGATGTGGCCAGGCACCATGGCTCACACCTGTAATCTCAGCACTTTGGGAAGCCGAAGCGGGATGATTGCTTGATGCCGGAAGTTTGAGACCAGCCTGGCCAACATGTCGAAACCCTCTGTCTACTAAAAATACACAAGTTAGCCGGGCATGGTGGCAGCCACCTGTAATCCCACCTACTTGGGAGGCCGAGACAGGAGAATCACTTGAACCCAGGGGGTGGAGGTTGCAGTGAGCCATCACACCACTGCATTCCCTGGGTGCAATGTGAGATGCCCTCTAGGTGACAGAGCAAGACTCTGTCAAAAAATAAAATAAAATAAAATAACAGACATGAAGTATTGAGCTTGATGTCTAACACTCAGTGGGGCTTACTATGTGGAAACTCCATGTGGATTGCACCTCATCCTTTCTTCACTGGACCAGCGCTATTAGCACCAATTCACCAGCTACTATCATCTGAAGGTACCCATTGATCATGCAAGTTACCTTCTCTGGGCAGGCAATCCACATCTTTATGGTATTGAGTTTATGGCAGACCATACAGAGAGGTAATATAGTAGTTTTCTACTGCTGCTGAAACAAATCATCAAAAGTTTAGCCTCTTACAATACAAATTTATTCTCCTGACACTTCTGGCAGTCACAAATCCAAAATACGTTTTTGGGGCTAAAATCAAGGGGTTGGCAGGGTTGCATTCCTTCTCAGTCTCTGGGAAGAATTTGTTTTGTTGTCTTTTCCAGTTTCTATGTGCCTCCTACATTCCTTGGCTTATGATCCCTTCTCCATCCTCAAAGCGAGCAGTATAAAATCTTCTCTCCCTCCTCTTTTCTTCCTCCTTCTTATAAGAATCTTTGTGATTATATCAGGCCCATCTGGATGAATCAGAATAATCTCCCATCTCAGGATCCTTCATTTAATCACATCTGTGAAGTCCCTTGTGTTGTGTAAGACATTTTCAAAGATTCTGGGGATTAAGATATGGACATTGTTGGGGCCAATTATTTAGCCTACTACAGGTAGGAAGCAAGGGAAAACTTCTCAAGGACTCATTTAGTGATGGTGGCGTTTGAAGGTGGTGGTGGCTGGGGTATTGAGGAGGAAACAGGCCAAACTGGAAATAAAAGATGATTTTTGGCCCTGGGTGTAATTGAATTGGCATATTTTGAGGGGATGGGATTCAAGGAAATTAGCTTCACTGAGAGCTGAAAAAGATTCAGGGATTTTGCTTTCTAAAAAGCAAAATTGGGAGTATAATTGTGGTGCGTAGGGGAAGAGCAAGGGGAGTTAGTGATGGTTGAAATAATACAATGTACGAATAGTTTCATTACTAAAGCATATCATTCTCTGGATATTGATGGATATCATTCAATTGGCTGTAGTTGATGTAGCAGAAAAGAGTCATCCATTGATTCTATTGATTCTATTGAAATTTTTAGGCAGATAACTTATATTATTTTGATGAAAATATCAATGCTGATATTAGCAATAGATACCTGAGAAGAAGCAATTAAAAAAACTAAAGATGTGTAGTTTGGCAGAATGATTATCAATATAGTCATCTGTGTGAACTGCTTACCTTCAGTTCCCTTGTGGCACAATAGCACGAAAGAAAGTCAGGGTAATGTGAGTTTTATTTTATAAGGGCTGTTAAGTCTACATAGGTTTGCTTAGTCATCATGGTCGCTGTTTTGTGTCATGCCCATTCACTTATAATTTAAAGAAAAAGTAAAGGGAACATGTTTCTTTCTCAACACTTTTGCTTTTGGCAACCTCTTGTTGCTTTTACTACTAATGAGAGAAATTCCAGTTCTTTAAGAGTTAATTTTAAAACAAAACTTTGCCCGCATCTTTCCAATTCCTGGAATACCATTCACAGGAGCACAGCACAATAAATAATTCTGTTCATGCAGGTGATAAATGCTGTTGAGGGCTCCGCTTGCTAACCATTTAAGAAATACAGATTTACATACTTTCAAGGCATATCCGTGAAAATGTCAGTTCTTTAACTAAACACTCATCTACACAGCCTTTCTGCTAAAGTGAGCACCACCTGAGTGACTTGCCCACACTCTGAGCTCTTCTTGCCTCCAAATGAATTGGTGATTGTTCCCTTCCTGCCTCCAGTGTGTTGGTTACTGTTGCCATCCTTATCAAAGGTAAGGGTCCAGGCCCACCAGCTTGGAGTTATCTGTGTCTCCTTCCCTTTCCTTAGGCTCTTGTGGTAAATGCTGCCAATTCTATCTTCACAACCCCTCTGGTGTTCTTTCCTTTCTTCTCCTTTCATCACCATTGCCTCTTACCTGCTGACATCAAATCACATCCTAACTGACCTCATTGCCTAAGCCTTTGCTCCCTCATATCCAGCTAAAGATCTACTGCAAGAATGATAGCCCTGAAGCCCTGTTCCAGTCAGCTCATTCATGGTCAGGGAATTTTCAACAGCTTCCCATTGCTTTGCATAAAAGGCAAACACCACCACCTAGCAGGCAAGGGCCTCAGATCTACTTTTCCAGATTTTTATTTCAATAGTTTCCTTTATACTGTTTATTTTGTAAAGCAGGACTATATGTTGTCCCCAAATTTCTTTTCTTTCCTTTCCTTTCTTTTCTTTTTTATTTTATTTTTTTTTAAATAGAGACAGGGTCTCACCATGTTGCCCAGGCTGGTCTTGAGCTCCTGGGCTCAAGCGATCTGCCCACCTTGGCCTCCCAAAATGCTGGAGTTACAGGCGTGAGCCACTGCACCTGGCTATTAACCCCAAATTTATTCTGTGTCTTTCTCTCTTTACCTTCAGACTTTGCGATGTGCTGCTCTTTAATGTGAAATGCCCAACTCTTGTCCCAAACACACATATCCACTTGTGAAAATCTAACCTATCATCAAAAGTACATCTCAGATGATAGGTATTTCTTGAATAAAGTCTTTCATCTTTGCATTGCCATAGAGTTTGTTTTACATCTTTCTTATGACAGCACTCACATTCAAACCGTAGTTATATTTATGTGTATACTTGTCTCTCCACCAGATGGGTAGTAAGACTCTTAAAATCAGAGTCCGAATTTTATCAGTCCTAGGAGTCTTCCATTCTCTTCAGTAGATAATCAAACACTTTTGTTAAATATTGGAATGAATAAGCAAGTGACTTATTTTGTCGATTTATTTCTACAGAACATTAGTGATGTGGTGAACAAACACTTTGAGCACATCCAAAATAAAAACCATCTGGAACTAAAGTAACAGAATTTTTAATCAGCTACACTGCTATAATACACACTGAGCTATGAAAAATCTTATGCTGGAAAAGGTGCCAGAATCTTAGTACACTATTTTCAGGAAAGAGATACCATTTCTTTCCCTAAGATATGACCTCGTCTTAGTACCAGAAATGTGAAACCTAACTGGAGAATAAATAAGTTTCAATTTTTAATAGCTCATAACTCTGACAGGGCTGGGAGTATCAAATTAACTTGAGCATTATCCACCCTGCAGTGCCAGCTGAGGGGCACGTGGAGAGAAAGGTGCTGAGGGTGGGTGTGGGTGCTCAGCTTCTAGACGGTACTGGCAGCAACAGCTGCCGCTTGGCTCTGGAGGCAGCCCTCTGCTCTCCCTCTGTGGGCAAGAGGTCCAGGATGAGATGGGGAGGTGGGTGGTCAGATGGGGCAGGGGCTTAAGAGGAGGCCTCAGGCCCTGGTTGGAGATACAGCTGAGCTGTATGAAGCAGAGCAATTAGTTATGGCATCACCGGTATATAAAAGGGTGAGGGAATCTCAGAATTGAGTTATAATACCTGCTTGTGAGACGATATTACATTAATGATGACAAAGGGTGACTTCTATGAACTTCCAGAAACAAAGGATTATCTGGGGAGTAAACTTAACAGGCGCTTCATTTCAGAACAACATGAAAAAATTACAGGCACATAAATCTAGAAGTAGGTAGCTCCGTCTCTACCATAATGGATGATGAAAGGTGAGATTAAATGATTCTGAACTTTGCCTGACATGATAAACCTCTATGACTTAAGAAAGTGAGCACTGCTTGGCTGGACAGAGCCTCCCTAATATTATTATGGTAAAAGGAATTTCTCACATTGCAGGCTGGGGAAGCCAAATATGGACTTTGTGCCACAGTGTTCTGCACCCGTTCGTCACAGAGCTTTTGCTTTAAAATGAGCATTTGGAAGAACTGGTAAATCATTTTATGCACTTTGCTTGTGTTATATTCTAAATAAATTTATAAATGGTTGATTCCTTTTAAATCTTATTTTAAAATCATCTTCTCTTCACCTTCAATATAGCCTGGGCTTGTTAATTTATTTTTAAGTTCGGGGAGAACAACTGTGGCCATACACATGAAGAAAATACAAAATATTGGGACAGATGACAATTTCATTGCATATCCATCACCCTCCTTCTTGCTAGTGCCCTGCAGGTGAGAGTCAATCAGTAGAATAAGGAAGGCCTAGGGACCTCCAAAATAATGAAGGCTTTTATAGACCCAGGCAGAGGGCAGTGGCTCCTCTAGGTACAGGGTTGATGTTTTGCCCTGGGATAAGGAACTCAGAACCCTTGGCTCCCTGAGTGGGTGCAATCAATGAAACCCAGTAGATGTCTCTCAGTCTTTGGAGAAAAGTTGCCTTTGCCAATGTCCTATGTACAGCTTGCTTCTGCAGGCCAACTCTAGCAGCCCTGGAGAGGAACTGCAACTTTGAGCAGAACTATTGTTAATCCACACAGTTAAGGAGGGGAGAAGCCCCACCATGCTCTTTCTTCCCCTTTTTTTTTTTTTTTTTTTTAAGTTTTTGTAGAGATGAGGTCCCACTATGTTGCCCAGGCTGGTTTTGAACTCCTGAGCTCAAGTGATCCTCCCTCTTCGGCCTCCCAAAGTGTTAGGATTACAGGTGTGAGTTACTGTGTGCTACCCATCATGCTGTTTCTCACCTTGAGCTTCAAAAGGTCACTTTTCTCCCTTAGCCTCCAAGGAAGACTTTTGATCTTTTGCTCACAAAATAGCCAATGGCCAACAGTGTGAGAAAAGATCATCTATGTGACCACTGTTTAGAAAAACATAGATCAAAACAATGAGAGACCATGGGAATGGGAGGCAAAATTCAAAAGACTGATAATATTCCTGCGGAAGCACGAAGTACTCCAATAATTCATTTGCAGCCCTTAATTAAATTATAAATGGACATAGAGTTAGATTCAAATATTCCACTTTTAGGAGTCTGTGAAATTGAAAAATTAACAAGAGTAATTGGAAATAAATGTGCAAGGATGCTAACTGAATCAATGTTTATAAGAGCAGGCATTTCAAAATAACCTAAACGGGAATGGAATTAAATAGTGATACTAGACAAGTGCATTTGTGATACTTTAAGTGTAAAAAGTGAATTGAAGAGCAATGGCATAATATGATCCTGATTTTGCATATAAAATTTTTTTGCATCTGCACACTTATGTAGTCAGTGAAGAGAGATTAGAAAGAAATACCAATCTGGTAACATTTGTTGCCTTAAAGAGAATATGACTCTAAAAGATGACAGATTGTTAATTTTTACTTGATTTACATCTGTATTGTTTGATAGCTGCAAAGAACATATATCATTTTTATAATAAAATTATTTAAATTTTTTCTTAACCTCATATTTAAAAGTTTATAAGATTTTGAGATATTAATCTGAAGAATTTCAGAGACAGATTATAGAATTTAAAAATTAAAATTTTTTAAAAATTAAAATTATTCTTGCCTTAAGAATAAGCCAATATTTTAATAAAATCTTGTTTTAACCAATAAAAAAAGTTTATAAGAGGAAAAGAACGATTTCTATAGTTTCTACATGTCTACTGGCATGTCAATATAGCTATTGTGCCCCCTTTTGAATACTATTTTATTGCCTTATAAAATTGGAAATCTCCTAACCAGATGAACACATGGAGAAGTTATTTTATTTTGTACAATCTACATGATGATTATACTCCTAAGAGGAAAAGAAATGTACTTGTTTGAAAAAAACCAAGGGAGTCAGGGGAATTTCACTCAACTCTGTGGCATAAGAGAAAACATTTAAATTAAATGATTGGAAAGAGAAAAGCAAAGCTAGGGATAAGTTCTGAAGCATGTAAAAAATCTTTGCTTTGTGGTTCCTTTAAGCGAGTGGTTCTCAAACATTTCTGTGCATCAGAGGGCTTTGTTAAAATACAGATTGCCCAGCCTCACCTTCAGAGTTTCTGATTCAGTAGGTCTGGGATGGAAGCTGAGAATTTGCATTTCTAGCAAGTCCCAGGTGATGCTGATACTGCTGCTCTGAGGACCACACTTAGAGAGCCACTGCTTTAGAAATATTCCTTGTATACCCTTTGTCAGAAATAGCTAAGGTTTCCAGAAGCAAGAATAGGAATAAAGGCAAGATGTACACAAGTGATATCTGATACTGGGGTTGAGATTATGTATTATATACAATTTTTTGAAAAGTAAGACTACGACTAAGCTATTACATTACATGTGCTGCGGTAGTATTTTGTATGTTGTATAAAACAAAAGCATTAAATAAATTGAAAGTATTAAAGAATAATAGAAAATTATTTATATGTATTAAATCTCACTTATTTTCTTTTCATTGCTTATAAAAGAATATGAGCTGTACAATTTTCCAGCTACTTATACATATTAGACAATAAATAAAAACAAAATATTGAAAGAAGAGAGGACAGAATGTTTATGAATCGCTTGTAATTTTAAAATTAAAAAATTAAATTAAATTTAAAATAGTAATAATAATAATTATTATTATTTTGAGGCAGAGTCTCACTCTGTTGCCAGGCTGGAGTGCAGTGGCGCAATCTTGGCTCACCACAAACTCTGTCTCCCAGGTTCAAGTGATTCTCTTGCCTCAGTCTCCTGAGTAGATGGGACTAGAGGAGTGTGCCACCATGCCCGGGTAATTTTTTTGTATTTTTAGTAGAGATGAGGTTTCACCATGTTGGCTAGGCTGGTCTTGAACTCCTGACCTCATGATCTGCCCTTCTCTGCCTCCCAAAGTGCTGAGATTACAGGTGTGAGCCACCACACCTGGCCAAATTTAAAATTTAAAAATTCTACCTGTGTTTAGTTGTGGTACATGTTGCTTTAACAATATGGAGGTGTTTTTTTTTTCACATTTTCTTTGTGTGAAACAAACATAATATCTTTTTAATGATTGTTTCATTGTGACTGAAGTAGCTGAAATGCACAGTGTGCTCTTTTGAGTTTCCCTATAATTGTTCAAGATTGATTTTTCATTGTTCTTAAAATTAAACTTTTTTTTGGAGAAAGAGAAACAGGTAAAAAAAAGAGAGAAAACTTTAGATAACTGTAACTTTATACTATCTTGGGGGCAATGCTTCATTTCTAAGGGAGTTCAAGCACTGTGCATCAGAGCCAGGAGGTTCCAGACTTGTCACTGTCACGTCAATCTTGTAACTTTCCAACAGGTCCTCCTTCCCAGAAACCAAATCAGATTTTCTACTTGAAGCAGTACCAAGCCTCTGGATAGAGCTTCGAGGGAAGGATTTTGGGGTCATGGGTTTTTTCCAGGGAGGCTCGAAAAAAGCTTCCCTTGCAGTTTGAGTTTGAAGGCTGTAGCTCAGTGGCAGATCAGGACACCTAGGAACATTTCCAAGGAAGTAGCCATTTCTCTCCCAGCCTTGAACCCTGATCTCTGGGTTCTTCCCTCTGAGAATCTCCCCCACCTCAGTTAAACTGCGCATCATAACTGCATGGCTATTTGAGATATTATTTTTAAATAACATGTTTACTTTGTGAAAGCTCTTAGTTAGGGAAACCAGAGGTCAGCATTGCAGTTTGTTTACAGATCTGTGAAATGGCTTTGCCCTGCTACCCCCTTATTTATATCAGATTTCATCTTTCATGCTACCCTCTCTTTTCCAAATTCAGTTTCCTAATGCTCTTGGTTACCCCACTTTGGAGATTACCCCGGCTTGCCTAGGATGCATCTCTCCAACTTTCAATGCCTAACCTTGGCTAGTTAACCATCTTGAAACACATTCATATCAAAGCATTAATGACAGAAAATAGCTTAATGTGGTAACTTCTAGTCACATCTTTGCTTTACATAGTGATTTGAAACTCCAAAGATCTTAAGTAAAGACATGCATTTTGAACAATGAAATGCCGTGGACTGGTAGGGCCAACAAGAAGGAGATGTTTAGCCAGAGCAGCTTCCCGTGGTCCTTTGCATCATAATAGCTAGTCCATCTTTGGTTGATGCAAAAGTTGTACTTAAGAGAAAGCATGGGAACAGGGTTCTCTTTTAAAAGCATACTCCAAATAGCTACCTTAAGGGGAAATGAATGGGAACCCTGGCACTATGGTGGGTTAATCTTGATGTTCTCCACTCATCCCTTACGCCTGTTACCCATGTTAGTCTGTTTCTTACTAATTGGAAATTACTTTTACTTATGATTAAGAAACTGTTATAGTCCTGGACTTGTATGTAGAGGATAGGATTACAGTTCAACAAGTAGCCAAGTAATATATGACCAACTAAGATCCCTGGAATTTGGCTACCTAGGGTTTAATGTGTCTAGCAAACTATTTCCTCTGTAGTGAGAAATAACATGACACCAAACCTTTCAGAATCAGGCCAGGAACTGAAATGGGGGGGAAGTTGAACCAGCTGTCTTTGAAGCTGAACCCCGTCATTAAGGGCTAGATGGCACAGCCATAGAATAGGTTAGGACTGTTCTAGAGAACTAGTGTTTGTTGTATATTAATACCTGTAATTTATAAGCCCATAAAGATTTATGCTTCTTGTATTTTATATGTTTATTTGTACTGTTTTTCCTTCACTTTGACAGTCTCAGCCTATCTCAGATTGGCAGGAAATCAATTGAAGTAAACTTTGTTCAGACTTCATTCAAACCTCTGGGGATACAAATGGTAGTGACTGGTTATCATGGGAAGAGTGAAATTCAGAGGAAATTGAATCAAAACCCTCTAAACTTAGGCATTTTTTAATAGTACTAAAACCTTGGAGTTTTTTAAAAAAAACTTTTAAAATCTTCTGGCTTTGTTCTATTTTATTTTTATTTTTTAGAAAGAGATATGGGAACTTTATGATCACCTTGGATGATTTTATTGTAGTTAGAGATTAAAACATTCTAGCTCATTTCTGTAAATATGGAACTCAGTAACCATGTCTCAGTAGAGATGCTTTTTATTTACAGAGAGTAAATAGAAAGTAATTTCAATTTTCTAAAAATGACAAGTGCTGTCAAAATGTATGACAACCTGTAGTATAAGTATGTACAGATACACTACTTTAAATTTATGTCTTAGATTTTCTTTTCTCGCTAATATTTATTTTTATTGACTTTTCTCAGAAATTATTTTAATCAGTCCTGTATTAAAAGATGCACAATTTCAAATTTCTTCTTATCAGATTAAGACACAAAATAGGTTAAAATATAATTTGCCATTATTGTGTTTAAATGGATCTTAGAAGTGTTAAATTTACATTTGCATACTATTCTGGATACTTCTAGGAATTTTAAATTTGATGTCATAATTCTTCTATCACCTTTGGTTGTCTGCATTTAACATATGACACAGTGTGATATCTGAATGCCTCTCTGAATAGCTCCCAGCTATAGTGACTACTGCCATCTTTAGGATGGATCCACAGATTCTGGATCTAACTTATGTGCAGTTAGAGGGAGTTTAAAGGAGATTTAAATTACCCTGCCAACTCCAATGACTCTTCATCCTTGGAGTTTGGTTAGCTGATTCTGTGCCTTGGTCCTAGTAACTGGGGGTTCTAGCTCCCCTAAAGATCTGAACTCATACCACAAATTGTTTCAAGATCTGTTTCTTTTCCTAAAGGTAAGCCTCTGGCTTGATAATGATTCTGGCGCCCTAGGCTTTCTAGGTCTGTTAATCTTAATTCTTTTGGTCATGCATTCCTTTGAAATTATGATAAAAGTTAGGTTTGTTTCCTTTGAAAGTGCACATATTCTCAGGTGTGTGTGCGTATACACACATACAATTTTGAATACAGTTTCTGGGCTTTCATGAATCCTAAGGCAACCCCCAAAGAACGGGGTCTCTGAATATTGCAGGCTTTAATGCCATGTGTAGTACACCCAAGCAGAAATCAGCCCAGCTGGGGCAGCATCCTTGCCCTTTGGTGCACCAGAATCTTGTCAGCAGTAGTCAGGTAGGGTCCACCCAATACAAATATTTGTCTAAAGCAATACCTGGAGAGGTAATATGATTTACAACTTAATGAGAAAAATAAAATAATTTGCTGAGCGTGAGTGAAGCTACTTTAGAGAATGAGAACAGTAAAGATTTTACTGTGTTGATAAAGACTGGATTGCACTCAGTGAATTACAGAGCAGCAAGGTTCTGATATTTACTTTCAGTTCCTCTTCACTGAGGAACTTTTGAACTTCTACATGCATTGTGGCTAAAAGAATTGTGGCCTGTCTTCTATGGATGATTTTAAGCTCAACCATCAAACATCCATTAAACACCAAGTATATGTCAGGTCCTATGCTGGGTGTTGAGGACAGAAGATGAGTGAGGAGCTCATAATGTTGTACAGGAGAAAGACATATAAGTAAATAATAATGAAAGGGATTGCCACTTTTTAAGTGCAGACTACGTGCTAATGGTTTCACATATATTATTTCACCAAATCTTTAAAACAATCCTAGAGTCATGTTTATTTTTATCCTCATTTTACAAGCGAGGAAACAAAATCATGGACGATGGACCATATGCCATGGTAGAACTAAAGTTCAGACGCGAGCACAGAGAAGACCCAGGTTTTTGGGAGGCCCTCTTTAAAAAAGAATGCACTTTGTACTCATCAGACGGCTACTATGAAACAAAAAGAAAACCAACCAGACAAAAATACAGCAGAAAACAAGTGTTGGCGATGATGTGGAGAAATGAGAACCCTTGTGCATTTCTGGTGGGAATGTAAAGAGCTGTCACCATTGTGGAAAGCAGTATGGTGATTCCTCAAAGAATTAAACACAGAACTACCTTATGGTCCAGCATTCCACTTCTGAGTATATATCTGAAAGAAGTGAGAACAGGGGATTCTACAGATATTTGTACACCTGTATTCATAGCAGTGTTATTCACAATATTCCAAAGGTGGAAACAAACCCAGTGTTTATTGTCAGATGAATGAATAAACAAAATGTGGTACTATATATACAGTAGTTTCCCCCTTAACCAAAGCTTTGCTTTCCTCTGTTTCAGTTATGTATGATCCACCACAGTCCAAAATTATTAAATGGAAACTTCTAGAAATAAACAATACGTTTTCAATTGCATGCCATTCTGAGTAGTGTGATGACATCTCACAGCATCCCACTCCATCCTGATGGGGCCGTGAATCTTCCCTTTGTCCATCATATCGCCTCTGTACATGCTGCCCTCCCCTTAGTCACTTAGTAGTCTTCTCAGTTATCAGATTTTCTGTTGCCATGTTGCAGTGCTTGTGTTCAAGTAACCCTTATTTTACTTCATAATGGCCCCAAAGCCCAAGACTTGTGATGCTGGTAATTTGGATATGCCAAAGAGAAGCCATCAGTCCTTCCTTTAAGTGAAAATTTGAAAGCTCTTGGCTTAATAAGGAGAGGAAAAAAGTCATATACTGAGGTTGCTAAGATCTACGGTAAGAACAAATCTTCTATCCAGGTAATTGTGAAGGAGGAAAAAGAAATTCGTGCTAGTGTTGGTGTTGCAACTCAAACTGTAAAAGTTACAGCTACAGTGCAAGATGGGTGTTTCGTTAAGACGGAAAAGACATTAAATGGGTGGGTGGAAGACATGAATAGAAAACATGTTTTGATAACCACCAGTTGCACCAGAAAGCACTGAGCATCTGCGAAGACTTCAGCAAGCAAGAAATGAGTTGACACCACGCCGCAAAGGGCTGGTTACACTGATTCAGAAATACAGAAGGTCAGTAGCAGCCTATGGCTACATCACAATGCTTACATCATTCACCTCTTGTCATCTCATCACAGAGGCATCACAGCATCTCCCATGACAAGAAAGGTGAGTACAGTACAATGCAATATTTTGAGAGAGAGAGAGAGACTACATTCACATAACTTTTATTATGATATATTGTTATAGTTGTTCTATTTTATTATTAGTTATTGTTGTTAATCTCTTCCTATTCCTAATTTATAATTTAAACTTTATCATAGATGTGTTTGTATAAGGAAAAAAACATAGTGTTTATAGGGTTCGGTACTAGCCATGGTTTCAGGTATTGTCTTGTAACGTATCCTCACAGATAAGGGGGACTACTGTATATACAAGGGAATATTATTCAGCCTTAAAAAGAAATGATACATGCTACAATATGGAGGAAGATTGAAGACACTATGCTAAGTGAAATAAGCCATATACAAAGGGACAAATACTGTGTGATTCCACTTATATGGGATAACTAGAATAGTCAAATTTATAGAGCTAGAAAATAGAGTAATTGCTGCCAGAGCTCGGGGGAGGAAGGAGTGGGGAGTTATTGTTTAATGAATATGGAGTTTCAGTTTGGAAAGATGAAAAAGTTCTGGAGATGATGCGCGATGGGGGTTGCACAGCAACGTCAATGTACTTAATGCCACAGACCTGTATACCTTAAAATGTTTAAAGTAGTAAATTTAATTTTACCACAAAAAGAATACAAAATTAATAATAAAATTAGTGACAAAAGTGAATATCTATTTAGAACAAGAAAATGATTTATAATAAATCAAATATTTTACAAAGTTAAATATCAAAAATATCACAAAATCTAAAAAACAATATTTCATATTCAGCCACTGCCAGACACAATCCTCTAAGAGCTTTTATCTATATTTTAATTTCATAATTCTGGATTATCTCTTCATATAGCAAAAATTTTATATTATTTTCTGTAGAGAGAATAGAAAGATATTTCAGTCTTATTTCAAGCATGGTTGATTAAAATTTTTGTTTGTTCTTATTAATACTGGGATTCATAAAACTTCACACACATTTGAAGTACTGCTATAGGTTTGTGTCTTAATACACAGGATTCTTTAATTTTGTACTATTTTCATCAAAAAAATTTTGTAACATATGATGTGGTTTTAATCGTACGTAAGACATTATCAGATACATTCCTGAGAGAACCTGTCTTAACTAGGTTTTCTGGTCAAATTCTAAAACCAAATTCTCTGCCTGCAGCTTTACACACTGGATGATTGAAATTATTTTCCCTCGATTAGCTCTGTCTCTGTGCATTTCACCATCTGTTTCTCTTCAATAACCTACAAATTTCTGAACCTGGGAGCCATTAGGAAGCACACTTTCACTTTTCAATATGACTTCTGGCCCTGCATATTTGTTTTGGCATAGTGGATGCTACCCTGAATGGCTAGCAATAAATTATCAATATACAGAAATGACTGATACCCACATAAATATGACCCACTAAAGCCAAACTAAAATTATTCTCAACTCAACTTTCCCCATTTGGGTCTCAAAAATGCCCACAGCCCCTCCAATACCACCTGATACAGGAAATATGATGCCGTACAGTCAGAGTAAAATGATAATGGGGTTGACTGATTGTGGTTAAATATCTTTTGCAAATTTTATATAAAACATATGATTGTGTGAACACATTTCTTGTGCCCTTCTGGGATCTTGGAAGTAAATCAAGCAATGAATGGTCTTACAGCTTAAGCATCATTATTTTTACAATATTGCCACCTCTGCCTAAGTCTGTCTCACTCCAACATTTTTGCTTCTCTCCACTGTGCTATTCCACCTTAGATAATTGTAAAACATTAGGACAAGGGCAATGAGAGAAACCTAATTAGACAGGAAGGACACACTAAAGAAAGACACATGAAACAGCCTGGAAAGAAGGCTTCGGAGGGAAGAACTCACCTATCGCATGCTGGCCTGTCCTGGCATTGCACTGTTTTATTTTATGTATTTTGTTACCACTTTCAGAAAATTAACAGCACAGCTCTGCCCAACTAGCACATCTAATGCCATGTGCCACCCACCCGCCCTACACTGACCAGTGGTGCCATAAAATACCTGTTTTTTTCCTTTTCTTTTGAAAAAAAAAAAAGATTAGAACAAATAGAAAGATTAGAACAAATGTTGGCATGATAGAAACAAGGAATAAAATAGGCAGAAACATCCCAAGGGAAGATCTACATGCTCTAAATGAGTTTGTGTCTCTTGGAGAGGAATAAAATCCAGAGCACGGAGAAAGTTCAGATAAGATGGATGAACCTCAAAATAACTCGAGGTGCAGTGAAGACTCAGGCAGAACAACTGTATCCTGGCACATGCTATCCCAAATTTCAAAAATAGAATGGTGGATGTAGGTGAGCTATAGATCATGAGCTTGATGCAAATGTAGGTAATATTCTGAGATACAGTATTCAGTAGATAGTGTTAATCACGTAGGGAATGGTCAATAAAATGACAAAAGGATTCTTGATATTGAACTGGATATAAAACATGTAAAAAGCAAGTTGACTCCAATCAGGCAATAAAGAGATTGAATTCAGTCGAGTAGTGAATAATATCCTATAGAGGGAATTTCAACTATCAAATTACACAGTTATAAGTTATAAAAGAAGCTGGGCATGGTGGCTCATGCCTTTAATCCCAGTACTTTGGAAGGTCCAAGCTGGTGGATCGCTTGAGGTTAGGAGTTCAGGACCAGCCTGGCCAACATGGCGAAACCCCATCTCTACTAAAAATACAAAAATTGGCCGGGTGTGGTAGCGCATACTTGTAATCCCAGCTACTCGGGAGGCTGAGACACGAGAATTGCTTGAACCGGGAGGCAGAGGTTGCAGTGAGCAGAGATCATGCCACTACACTCCAGCCTGGGTGACAGAGTGAGATTCTGTCTCAAAAAAACAAAAAAGTTATAAAAGAGGTAACTTTAAAAATTGGGTAAGGGGGCCGGGCACGGTGCCTCACACCTATAATCCCAGCACTTTGGGAGGCCGAGGTAGGCGGATCATCAGAGGTCAAGAGATTGAGACAATCCTGGCCAACATGGTGAAACCCTGTCTCTACTAAAAATACAAAAATTAGACGGGCGTGGTGGCACATGCCTGTAGTCCCAGGTACTCCGGAGACTGAGGCAAGAGAATTGCTTGAACCCAGGAGGCAGAGGTTACAGTGAGCTGAGATCACACCACTGCACTCCAGCCTGGTGACAGAGAAATTGTCTCAAAAATAAATAAATAAATAAATAAATAAATAAATAAATAAATAAATAAATAAAACTAGGTAAGGGTACACATGATATACTAGACTGCATGAAACAGTGTGAATTTGGAAAGCTCTGTTACCTCAAGGAGATGCCCAGCAGATTGACTTTCGGGTCGTGTAGAGGCACCCTGGGCATGTGTGGTACCTAATTAGGTCCCTGACCCTCTCTCAAATTCTTTAACTGACACTTCAACCCTGGCCTTGATTCTCTGATACAGTATCCTCAGCCCAATCAGATCATACATCTATCTATTCTCTTTATTTGCATAAGTGGATTTACAATACTGGGAGAAGAGAGAAATAACTATAAGAATGTTGAAGTTAGTCAAATCCACAATATTAACACATTTGTATTAACTTTAGAAATTTAATTATTTAATCCTTGAGATAACCTATGAAAGATTGTTTGTTAAGTTACTTGAAGCATTTAATATAACCTGATATATTAGAAAATCAGATATATGAACCATATAATTTCAATTTTAAAGTACAAGAGCATTTTCTTCAGTCTATACACAGTGTTTGAATGTTTAAGAGAACATAACTTACTACTGCATAAATTTGGTTTATTACTTTTACTGGAATTGCTTTAATTATTAGAGCCCCCTCCCTCCTTTTATAAACTTGCAAGATGTATAAAAGATACTAATGTGTCAGGCATTTGAAATGCTTGAGAGATTCAGGTAGACTAAATTTGTAATTGATATAATATATAATATTTAAAGGAACTTAATTAACCAAGTCTATCAATTGCATTATTTGTTTAGGGGAATTAACGTCAAATTGAACATTAGTCATGGAATAATTTTAAATGGTAATTTATATTGGCTGGGCACAGTGGCTCACGCCTCTAGTCCCAGCACTTTGGGAGGCTGAGGAGGGCAGATCACCTGAGGTCAGTAGTTCGAGACCAGCCTTGCAAACATGGTGAAATCCCCTCTACTAAAAATACAGTAATTAGCCAGGTGTGGTGGCATGTGCCTGTAATCCCAGCTACTCGGGAGGCTGAGGCAGGAGAATCACTTGAACCTGGGAGGCAGAGGTTGCAGTTAGCAGAGATGGTGCCACTGCACTCCAGCCTAGGCTGCCAAGTGAGACTCTGTCTCAAAAAAAAAAAAGGTAATTTATATTATCCTTTTCAGATTTACAGATTTACAGAGATCTGCTTGATAAATATAAAAGGTTTAGAAAAACTATAAAGGTTTTTTAAGCTTTGCAGCTTTCATTCATTGAATAGTAATTAAGATGTAGGTAGGACTGTATTTTACAAGATTTAAAGATTCTTTTGGCAGTCGGATAAAACACTTCAATGCTCAGCTAGATGAAAGGCAGAAGTCTTTGTTACTTACAGCTCTGAATGAGAGAAGGCTGCCACAGAGGACCACGCAGGGGGTTGCACCTGAGGACTGGGTACCACAGGCTGGAGGGGGAATGGGCAGCTTATGTACAGCAAAAAGGGTGGGGTTAGCTAGGTTGAATAATTTTGAATAATTTGCATAATTTTGGCGGGCTTTGGGGCATGGGCGCTGTCCTTAATTGTCTGATGTCTGGCCCTGTGGTGATTAGAGTGGGTACATAGTGGCCCCAGAGTGTGAGAACCTGATAAGGGAAGTGGTTGGGGTGTGGATTTAATCAGCTGCTCAAGAGAGGAAACTGACCAGCCTCTAGCCAAGGCCTCCATACTAGGTCAAGACAGCACAATAATCAATAAAAATACCATATATGAAATATATTTAGTCACTGATTCCTTTATATCTTGATGTCGATTTTGAACTCAATTATTTGGGGTGTTTGAGTGGCCTGAATAGTAGAGGAGACTTCTACAGAATAGGGCCTAAGTTGCACTAAACAGCATAGAAAACATTTTATTATGACAATAACAAGGAAGAAACCAAGTAGAAATGTGACAAGTCCCTGAAGGCTGACTCGTAACCAGGCTCCCATTTGTTTGGCGTTGGCCAGGAGAATACATCAGTCATGGCAAGGGCCTTTAGTCATATTTTGACTGGATTTCAGAGTGTGTTAAATATGTAAGGCATGTTTTTTTAGGGTGATGGTTTTCTGATCCAGGCTTTCTGTTAGAATGACCTCTTGATTGGTGGTGTTAACCCACCTACAACAAGAAGCTCTAATAATGTTACAAACACCTCTTTGACTAGTTAATATATAATCAAGGACAAATTTACTGTCAAAAAACATTTTTGCCAAAGCTCCCTGGTTTAGCAGGACTAATATTTGCTGTAACTTAGAAATATGATATACTAGAGTTTTGGACATTTGTAGGGTAGCATCAATTATTTTTGACTGTTGGGCTAAAGCAATGGTCCTTGTGGCCATCGCAGCAAGTCCCAGAGCAGTGGTGAGTCCCAGTATTATAGGTACAAATGTGGCACATCAATGACATTTGGCTGGGTAGGGAAAGAATAATTAACATTTATATAAATAGGAATGCCAAGAGAGGCCAGAATGCATCTCGTGGCTTCCAGTTTCAGAGTAATGGAAGGGCAAAGGAGAGGGGATAAACACCCTTGTTGGTTGGGACACAATATAGTTTTGTGGCATTACCATTAGACTGGAAAATTGTACCTTGATTTAGGTAAAGGGAAATTACTAAAGAATGGGACTGGAGGAAGACAGTGGCTTTTGTTGGGCATATGGTGAGAATATGCAGTTGTTCATTGGGTAGCCCATCTGTGGTATGTATTGAGGAAATACGAGTGCAGTTGCCACTTGCCATGAGGGGGCACCCCAATACAGAAGAAAAGGCCGTTTGGAAGTGGTTTTCATTTCTCAGTATTTTTCATCTCTGGGGCAATTATCAGTTGGGTAAATGTGTGATGTGGGATATGTGGAAGCAGGGTGATGAGTTATGGATAGTCAGTGCAGAAGAGCCTACTTCAGTCAAATGTGTTTGTATTTTGGATGTCTGTATAAATATCAGAGAAGCTGGGGCAGTGGGTTTGAATTTTACTTACGTAGTCTTTTAGAGGGCAAGAGGAGAAGATGCTGTTAGGACGGAAAAGATAGGGGTGGGAGTAGGGATACTGACAATGAGAAAGGGAAGGCGAGGAGGATGGAAGGGAATAAATGGTTTGACAGTCGGAGACCAGCAGATGCTCCTTTTACTCCTAGGAGAGCACACAGGGTGGAATACTTCAGTCAGGTTACCCTTTAGGCAGGAGAAGTGGGTGGGATTAGCAGGAACCTGAATCTTAGAAGCATTAGGGAGGTATTGGACTTGGTCTCATAAGGGCTAAGCCAGGTATAGAGTGGAATTACAATCACAGAGAGCAGAACTTCGAGTTTTATAGGTGTCTGTAAAGTCTGGAAAGTTACTCCAGTGTTGTGGGTCTTGCTTTTTTAAAACAGAAGTCAGCAGTGTAACCAGCTACTGGAAAACCAAGAGCCTCTGGTCTCCTATGAATGGCAAGACATTCCATGTGCTAGTGTAGTTGGCACTGCCCATAGTTGGTTGGGAGGCAGGGGGCATGTCATCTTTAATGGCATGGTCTTGAGCTAGGGCAGTGTCGGACTAGGGTATCCTTCCCACATGGATACCCACTAGGGTTGATGTGGGCTGTATTTTTGTGACTCTGTGGTGTTATAATGGGGCTGAGTCATTTGTAGAATTTGAATACAATGTTGGGTCCTGGGAGCTTGATTCACAAATGTCTTTTAAGTCAAAGGCTTTGTGGGTGCACAGCTAGCAAAGATGCTGGCATCCAGAATACTCCTATAATTGGACCAAAGTGCCAGAATCTGAATGGTACAATCAAAGTCTCAATTAAAGGCAGCTAAATGTCCCTACAAAGGACAGGATCTTGTTCCTTTTTATGGTGGCGTAGTATTCCATGGTGTATATGTACCACATTTTCTTTATCCAGTCTATCATTGATGGGCATTTGGGTTGATTCCACATCTTTGTTATTGTGAATAGTGCTGCAATTAACATACATAAGCATGTATCTTTATAATAGAATGATTTATATTCTTTTGGGTGTATATACCCAGTAATGAGATTGCTGTGTCAAATGCTGTTTCTGGTTCTAGGTCTTTAAGGAATTGCTACAATGTCTTCCACAATGGTGGAACTAATTTACATTCTCACCAACAGTGGAAAAGCACTCCTATTTCTCCATAGCCTCGCCAGCATCTGTTGTTTCTTGACTTTTTAATAATCACCATTCTGACAGGTGTGAGATCATATCTCATTGTGGTTTTGATGTGCATTCCTGTAATGATCAGTGAGGTTGAGCTTTTTTTATGTTTCTTGACCACATATTTGTCTTCTTTTGAGAAGTGTTTGTTAATGGGCTTTGCCCACTTTTTAATGGGGTTGTTCATTTTTTTTCTTATAAATTTGTTTAAGTTCCTTGAAGATTCTGGATATTAGACCTTTGTCAGATAGATAGATTGCAAAAATTTTCTCCCACTCTGTAGGTCACCTGTTTGCTCTAATGATAGCTCCTTTTGCAGTGCAGAAGCTCTTTAGTTTAATTAGATCCCATTTGTCAATTTTTGCTTTTGACATTTTTGTCATGAAATCTTTGCCTATGCCTATGTTATGAATGGTATTGCCTGGATTTTCTTCTAGGGTTTTTTGTTTTTTTTTTTACTTTTGGGTTTTCATTTAAGTCTTTAATTCATCTTGAGTTAATTTTGTGTAAGATGTGAGGAAGGGGTTAAGTTTCAATTTTCTGCATATGGCTAGCCAGTTCTCCCAGCACCACTTACTAAATAAGGAATCCTTTCCCCATTACTTGTTTTTGCCAGATTTGTCAAAGATCAGATGGTTGTAGATGTGCAGTCTTATTTCTGAGATCTCTATTCTATTCCATTGGTCTATGTGTCTGTTTTTGTACCAGTACCATGCTGCTTTGGTTACTGTAAACTTGTAGTATAGTTTGAAGTAGGGTAACGTGATGCCTCCATCTTTGTTGTTTTTGCTTAGGATTGTCTTGGCTATATGGGCTCTTTTTTGGTTCCACATTACTTTTAAAGTAGTTTTTTTCTAGTTCTGTGAAGAAAGTCAACGGTAGCTTGATGGGAATAGCATTAAATCTATAAATCACTTTGGACATTTTGGCCATTTTCATGATATTGATTCTTCCTATCCATGAGCATGGCATGTTTTTCCATTTGTTTGTGTCCTCTCAGATTTCATTGAGCAGTGGTTTTTAGTTCTCTTTGAAGAGATCCTTCACTTTCCTTGTTAGCTGTATTCCTAGATATTTTATTCTCTTTGCAGCAGTTGTGAATGAGAGTTCATTCATGATTTGACTCTCTGCTTGTCTACTGTTAGTGTATAGGAATGCTTGTGATTTTTGCACATTGATTTTGTATCCTGGAGCTCAAAGCCATTATCCTCAGCAAACTAATACAGGAACAGAAAACCAAACACCTCGTGTTCTCACTTATAAGTGGGAGCTGAAAAATGAGAACACGTGGACACAGGGAGGGGAACAGCACACACTGGGGCCTTTCTGGGGGGTGATGGCAGGGGGAGGGAGAGCATCAGGATAAATAGCTAATGAATGTGGGGCTTAATACCTAGGTGATGGGTTGATAGGTGCAGCAAACCACCATGGCACAGGTTTACCTAAGTAACAAACCTGCATGTCCTGCGCCTGTGTCCCAGAACTTAAAATAAAATTAAATTAATAAAAATAAAGGCAGCTGAATATAAAAGCTCTCAACAGTCCCTGGTTTTTCTAGACGTGTGATGAGAGGGGTTCTGCTGTACACAGGTTTTAAATCATATGGCCTGATTTGAGTGCATATGGTTAATAGGGTGTCAGGTTGTTTGCCAATTAATATATCTATGGCTGAGGCTCTAACTCCAGTATTAGTCTGTAGGAAGCCCTCCAATTTAACCAATTTCTATGTTCCTTTATAGTTCCTTTATAGTAATTGGTTAAATTGGTCCAGTTGACAATGAGACCCGGGTGCCATTTCTGTATTGTGGGAGAGCCCAACCAACACTTTCCTCCACAAGAGTTTACCTGAAACACTCAGACAAACAGGATTCTGCCCTCCATAATAATAAAGAAACACTGCTGCCAAAGAAGTTACAGACTCCTGGAATAGGCTTCTGCCAAACACAGGCTATGAGCAGAAGCATGGGGAATGCAGACCCTGCAAAGTGCAGCTCAAGTGGCTCATCACTCCTAATGGTCTAAGGTGGGCCCCAGCTGTACTAGTGTATAGCTTTGGAGTTTAGCCAGTCAGCAATGATCATTTTTAATGTTCCAACACAGGAATGTGGATACGGAGAGACTTGGCAACCACCGGCAGGCACAGCAGCACCAGCTAAATTGCAGCTCACCAACAGGCAGCAGTTACATCCCTAGTTGTGCTGGTGTGGGTCTGGAGCCAATGAGTAAGCCAAGAGCAGACCCTCACACCCTGCACCCTGCCCCACAAGGAGCTACCCAAGAGTCCACAATCATGGCCACACCTTCCTGCTCACAGCACCAATTGTTTATAAGATTTGAAGACTTTTGATGGTGGACACTTACAGGAGTTGTGTCGGGGACTGAGTGAGTAACTGCAAGCTACAGGGGGCAGCTTACGTATGGCACACAGGGTGGGGCTAGCTTGGTTTCATAGGCTCTCTGTGGATTGGATGATTTAAATAATTTTGGTGGGCCCTGGGGTTTAGGGACTGTCCCTAGTTGTTTGGTGCTAGGTCCCAGGGCAGATTAGGGCAGATGTGAGTGTGAGAGCATGATAAGGAAAGTCTTCAAGGTGTGGAATTACTCAACTGCTGGAGAAAGGGAATTTATCAGCCTTTAGCCAGGGCCTCAAACTGGGTCAAGACAGCACAATTACAAAAAAAAAGAAAAAAAAAAACAGAATAAGAAAGAAAAGAAAACCCTATATTGTAGACTAAGAGACTATTTCTGTGCATAAATACCCTCATAAACATTACAAACCAAAAGATGGAGGTAATCACCAAGAGCCAGCATTGGTTCATTAAGAATGAATGATGCAAATTTTGTGTTTTAGATCAGGAGTCCCCTGATCTAACAGGTCACAGTACAGGTCCCTAGCCTGTTAGGAACAGGGCTGTACAGCAGGAGGTGAGCAGCAGGCCAGCGAGGGAAGCTTCATCTGTATTTACAGCTGCTCCCCATCACTCACATTAATGCCTGAGATCTACTTCATGTCAGATCAGCAGTGGCATTAGGTTCTCATAGGAGTATGAACTCTATTGAGAACTGTGCATGCAAGAGATCTAGTTTGTGTGCTCCTTATGAGAATCTAATGCCTGATGATCTGTCACTGTCTCTCCGCACCCCCAGATGGAACCTTCTAGTTGCAGGAAATCAAGCTCAGGGCTCCCACTGATTCTACATTACAGTGAGTTGTACAATTATTTCATTATATATTACAATGTAATAATAATAGAAATAAAGTGCACAATAAATGTAATCCGCTTGAATCATCCCAAAATTATTCCCACCCCCACGTCGGTCTGTGGAAAAATTATCTTCCATGAAACTGGTCCCTGGTGCCAAAAAGGTTGAGGATCCCTGTTTTAGATTACCATGTACTCTCTTGTGAGCTAGTGAGTTTCCTGCCCTTCAAATTACATTAGAAAAAGCTAAAAGATTACTAGTTACAAGTAACACTTGTAATGTAATATGCTATTTGTACATCAATTTCACATACTTTATTTCACAATTTTCTTTCTAAGCCAGATTCACAGTAAATTCAGTGACCACATTTTAAACTTATTCCTTTGTAATTCCACAGACATTTATTGAAAATTAAAGATGTGCCAGTCAGGAAACAAGTGTTGGTACAAAAATATGTCAATTCATTAAAATTAAGTAAGACATAGCTATATAGAACAACATAGCTCATTTTGAAAATACATGCAAACAAAAAGATACATATGGTTGCATTATAATGGATACTTGTGCAGGGGAGAAAAATGGGAGATGGTTATGGGGATACAGAAAAGAATAAGTTAAAAAGTAATATAAAAAAGGGGGAAAAGAAGAAAGGGACTTTCACAGAAATAATGGCAATTTCCCCTGAACTGAGAGATGTGATTAACTTGACCTTCTGCACCTGCAGAAAGTACATAAATAAAGGAATAAAACATAGTCCCTGTCCTCAAGAAACTCACAGCCTGGTAGGCAGACATAGGTAGAGACATGTGATTGTAACACATGATTAATTCGATAAGCACAGAATGTTTAAAGTGGGTACCTTAGACAGGCTTCAGGTGCTTGGGGTAGGAGGCTCTTGTCAGGAGAGATTTCTCTGGACAGGTACTAGTTAACCAGGTGAAATGGTGCAAAGGCAATCCCAGGCAGAATATAGGCTATGCAAAAGCACAGTTGAGAGAAAGAGAATGATTTGGAAAATTACAACTTTGAGAGACTAATGTTGTTGTCATGTTTATTCATTCAAAATTATGTATTAAGCACTTACTATGTACCCAAGTACTTAACATGTGCAAATTGAGGTTCAGAGGGTTTGTATTTTGCTTACACAGAGGTAGAATGAACTGGAGCTAGGACTCAGGCCCAGGCCTTCAGACTTCACAAATATTGTGTGCTCTTTCCCCTCAGGCCCCCTTCCACGAATGCTAGAGAAAGAATTTATTGAATTAGATAGAGAGTTGGACTAGATGACCTGCAAGCTTTGAGACTATGTTCAATGAATAACATCACTAGAGTGCTTTGACTTTGCAAATAATGCTTTGATGGTTTCTGACACTCTTGGATGGCCCATTTATGACACCTGTCTGCAGACACTTTAAAGATAGAGCAGTTGTTCTAAAAAGTTTCTGAAATAACTGTGCAGTGAGTATCAACTTCAAACATGCACAGGGAATGTTTTAATATCCTGTTCTTATGTAAATGCCAGGACCAGGCTGGCTGAAGGTCACTAGAGAGGACACAAGCTAGGCTGAGAGAATTTGACCTGGGCAATATTTGAGAGCCATAGACAACTGCACTTGTTAGGGGTAATGACAATGCATTGGTTTAGGACTGAGGCAGACATTCAAAGGACAGGAAAAGCTTCAACATCAAGACAGTAGGAGTCTTGATGTTGGAGATTATTGATCCATTTGTCACCAAAAATAAAAAAGGACCCTGACTCAATCCAATGATTTTTTTCCATATATTTTAGTGATTTCCCTGTTGATTTCTTAAAGGGAATGTGTGTGCTCACTAAAATGCATCTTTATATAAATGTATTTATATTTTAGGACACAAGTTTAGATATATGCTCAATGAAGTCTCTCTAAACTTCTTCAGAGGTTAGCAGGAATAGGCAACCAGCACACAGAAAATTTAATCCATAAATAATTATAATGCAATCATGTTAACTTCAAGTTCTCTTCTTTTTAAAAATAATACCTGCAAAGCTATTTTCTTCTACTCTTTGCAGCTTTTAACAACAAACCGAAAGCCAGGTAGAAACCACAGAGGAAGAAACAGAGAATCTAAATAATTTGCAAACTGTATGTTCAGCTTTTACTTTAGTCTAAAGTTGGTTATAAATACCCAGAAGGTGATTTATCCTACTTTTTTTGTAATTATAATGCTTTAAATATGTGTTATTATGCAAACATATTAAAGACTTTAGTGTGATTTTCTGAATTAGTTCTGAAGTTAGAGTGTCACTAAAGCTAAGCATCCTTCTTCTGTAAGAAAACAAAAACAAAACAAAACAAAACAAAACAAAAACACCTCCAAAACTAAATATGTTCTCCATAAATCTCAGAGGAAAGGAAGAGGTGAAAGTTGATTACCCTAAATCATCATCTCAAAAGCTGCCAAGTCTGCAAATGTACAATCAGTCTTGCTCTTGGGCTCAGTGCCATGACTTGATAGAATTCACACTAGGCTCTGATCTCAGATTTTAACTGACCATTTGGAACTATCACTCAGAACTCAGGACTCTGAAGCTAGGGTCTAAAAATCTTTATCAGCAATGATGGCATTTCTCTCGGCAGACAAGTGACTCCACCTGAAATTTAAGTCTGGCTTAAGGCTATATTTAATGTCCAGTATCATATCATCATCACTGGCTTTCTCTGACTACCTTGCCTTTTGGGAAATGTGATCATATTTTTATATAACACTGAGTTTGCTTCTGACAAAAGAGAGACAGGTGAAAAGGATCAGCCAAATCTTTTAGAAGATAAATAATAAATTAAAGCAACCTAAGATAAACAATATGGTGAAAATGTTCCTCTTTTATATACACAATTTTACATTTTTAGTTATTTTATTCATTGGTAACATGTTGAGAAATATTAATTATTGGGAGCCCTGCTATGTGATAGCAAGTCATCTGCTAAAGTAACAAGCTCAACCATGGACTAGCTGTGGTTGTGGACCATTGACAAAGCTCCCACTGCCTCTCACATTTAGTTTCCTTATCTGTAAAGTAGTGACTATAAACAGCAACTGCATTAGGTGCTTGTGAGGCTTCAGTAATATAATGTTTTAAAGTACTAACACAACACTTAGAACCTAGCAAGTTCTCAATAAACTGTGGCTACTATTTTTTTTTAAATATAAAGACTTTGTACGTTTGCATGCATGACTTTTGTGCTTCACTAGTTTTTCTGTCTCAAGTATTTGATGAAGAATGGCAGTTTTTCACAATCACAATTTTGAGGCCAGAGTCCATTTAAAGATTAAAGAACTCCTACAAATTTTCATTTTGTTCGTAAATTTGGTGATTCTCACATAATTCTTTCCTTACCTTCAACAAAATCTCCTGAAATCTGATATAATACATGTTAATAAGACACTATATATTTCTAGTTTAAGTAATTTAGAACAATTATAATTGTAACTATTACCATAAATATGCATATTATGGAATATTCATGTTAAATTCTTCAATAGCCTTTTTTATAAAATTTCTTTTAGACTTTCAAGAGTTTAGTGGCAGATAAAAAGATTATGTGGCCAGGAACTGATCAACTTGCTCTTTCCTTTTTTATTTTTATTTTTGAGATGGAGTCTCGCCCTGTTGTCTAGCTGGAGTGCAGTGGCACCATCTTGGCTCACCGCAGCCTGCCTCCTGGGTTCAAGTGATTCTCCTACCTCAGCCTCCCCAGTAGCTGGGATTACAGGCGCCGGCCACCACACCTGGCTAATTTTTTGTATTTTTTAGTAGAGATGGGGTTTTGCCCTGTTGGCCACGCTGGTCTTGAACTCCTGACTACAGGTAATCCACCACCCCCCTCAGCCTCCCAGAGTGTTGAGATTACAGGCGTGGGCCCCCGCGCCCGGCCAACTTGCTCGCCCCTTTCTGAAAATCAGAACTATGCAGCAGATCATAATTTCCTTTCTGGCCCTGGCTTCCATTTGTCCATTCTGTAAATGTATGGTTTTATATCTAGACTCTCAATTCTATTTATTTGGTATAGATGTCTATTCTTGTAGCAGTATCACACTATTTTCATTACCATTTCTTCATAGACCGTTTTAAAATCAGGAAGTATGCTGATTTCTTCTTGAAACAAACAGATTTTTAAGGCTCAACATTGTTGTAGATTATTTTCCTTCAACTCTAAATAACATCACATACCCTTGACCGAAGTACAGCATCCTCAATTAGACAATGTCATCTGTCAGAATGTGTGTAGTATGTAGCTTTCAAATGAATGTCCATGGACTCAGATAATAAAACAATTCAGTAATGTAGCAGGATATAAAATTAATATGTAGAAATAGCATTTATATACAAAATAAAAATAGCCAGCTAAAAGATAAAATGATACAGAAAACTTCATTTACATAGCAAAGGAAGATAAATACTTAAAACTGAACAGAGGCTGGGTGCGGTGGCTTACGCCTGTAATCCCAGCACTTTGGGAGGCCTAGGCGGGCGGATCAAAGAGGTCAGGAGATCGTAGCCATCTTGGCTAACACAGTGAAACCCCGTCTCTACTAAAAATAGAAAAAGAAATTAGCCGGGCATGGTGGCGGGTGCCTGTAGTCCCAGCTACTCGGGAGACTGAGGCAGGAGAATGGCGTGAACCCGGGAGGCTGAGCTTGCAGTGAGCCGAGATCGCGCCACTGCACTCCAGCCTGGGCGACAAAGTGAGACTCCGTCTCAAAAAAAAACAACAAAAAAAAAAAAAAAAGAAAAGATATCCATTAATTTTGGGTAAGATGACTCAATCATAAAGATGTCATTTCTCTCTACGGTAGTTTATAACTTTAATGCAATCTTAAAACCAGAATAGCCAGTAAAATACTGGAAAAAAAAAGCTATGAGGAGACTTTCTTTACCATCTATTAAAACATGCTAGAAAGCCTCTGTAATTAGCACCGTGTGGTACTGTCACATGAGTAGGCAGACAGACTAGTGAAATAGAATAAAAAGTCTAGAAATAGATCAAAATAAATATGGAAATTTACTATTAATGAAAGTAATGTCTCAAATTACTGGACTAAAGATAGACTTTTAAATAAATTGCTGGGAAAAGAAGAAAGTTGGCTAGGTGCAGTGGCTCATGCCTGTAATCCCAGCACTTTGAGAGGCAAGGCAGGCAGATCACCTGAGCCCAGAAGTTTGAGACCGGCAAGTTTGGGCAACATGGCGAAGCCCTGTCTTTACCAAAAATGCAAAGAATTAGCTGGGTGTGGTGGCATGCGCCTGTAGTCCCATCTACTCTGGAGGCGAGGGTGGGAGGATCGCTAGAGCCAAAAGGTTGAGGTTGCACTGAGCCGAGATCATGCCACTGAACTCCAGCCTGGGCTACAGAGTGAGACCTTGTCTCAAAAAAAAAATAAATAAATAAAATAAATTTTTAAAAAAGAGTTAAGTCTTTTGACAAAAGACACAGTCAGATCATTTCCTCACCTCTCACACATGAAAAACAGAAAAAAAGAAAGAATCCGTGAAAGTACTAAAGGATGGATGAATTCTTCTATAATCTAGGTATAGGAAAACACTTTTAAACTATGATTAAGAATCCATATTCAAAAGAAAAGATTGATGAATTCGACTGCATAAAAATTCTGTCAAGGCAAAAACACCTTAAGTTAATTGTACAAAAACCAAATAGCAAATTGGAAGAAATACGGATGTCAATAAAAATAAAGCAACTTGAGTGGGAAATTATGGAAGCAAATTCTTATTTTTTTTAATGTACCTACCACCTCTTTAGAATCTTTTGTCTTAAGTTTGGCTCACCTCAACATGATTACTCTGACACATGCTTGCAGCATTTGTATGTCAGGTTATTTTATAGGACTATAGGAATTTCTGTCTGACAATTGCCCTCTCTCAAAGTCTTCTTAGAAATCAGTGCTGTGCCTCTCCAATAGGAAGCTGAGAGCACCAGCCCACCCTGGGCTTTTTTCTTACCAATCAGGTTTCTTTCTCTTCTTCCTGAAAAGCCATTGTTCCTTCTCTCCTTCTAATGCTTTCTTCACATACAGTCTCTCCTCGGGGGAAGAAGAAAAGATGAGTGTGAATAAGGAATATAATTTGTAAGATAAATATGCATATATTAAGTTATGAGATGATATAAACAAACAGCTTCATATTACTTTTAGATATAAAAAAGTAAAATATGAATATAAATTCTTATTAAAAATAAAATGATCATATGTGAAATCATACATATTTAAGTGTGTACTTCATTCTGAATTGAATTAAGTTTATGTTTCCTATATAATATGAAAATAATATTTTATATTTAACACCAGAGCTATATTTCCTCATTTAATTCACTATAATTATGAAAAAACAACCACAATAAAGCAACATATATTCCTGAATTTATAAATAATAAAACTTGTATTCTTTGATCAGTTGAATAGCAATTGAATTGAAGGGCGATTAGGGAAGTTTCAGGAATTAAAGTTGTGTGTTTTCTTTATTTTTTATTTTTTTGAGATAGAGTCTCTTTCTGTTGGTCTGGCTCAAGGGCAGTGATGCGATCTTGACTCACTGCAACCTCAGTCTCCAGGGCTCAGGTGATCCTCCTGCCTCATCCTCCCGAGTAGCTGGGACCACAGGTGCACGTCACCATGCCTGGTTAATTTTTTGCATTTTTCATAGAGATGGGGTTTCACCATGTTGCCCAGACTTGTCTCAAACTCTTGGGCTCAAGTGATCCACCCGCCCCGGCCCCCCAAAGTGCTGTTATTACAGGCGTGAGCCACTGCATTCAGCCTGTGTGTTTTTTCAAAGGGTGAATTCAATTTTTTTAAAATGTGCTATATTTGGGAAAAATGACTTTATTATTTTCCAGAACTTTTTTGCATAATAGTTTATTTTTATTCATTTTCCCATTATTGGTTGAGGAAAATGAAACTTCGCTTTGCTAATTTTGGATAGTTGCTAAGAACGTTTTTCCTTACCAAATTCAACTCAGTTTTGGCTTTAGTTTCCAGAACGCACATTACCTACTGGGTGCCTCCTTGACAAGTTACTGAAGATGAAGCATACTAGTTCAAAATTTCAGTCTGTTTGCTCCTCTTTAAGTGAGATGCCATTAAAACAGTGATTTGAAAACTCACTCTACAGATTTTAAAATACTAATGTGGATTCTAGAACCTAGGCATACATGAAAATCTTATTATTTAAAATATGTTTGGGTCAGAAACTAGCATTTCTGTTTATAACTTCTATTCAGGCAATTATTAAAAAATTAAAAAAACAAACCAAGCATCTCTTGGGTCTTTCCCTCCCTCTGAAACTCCCTCCTTCTACATATTCCTCCCTTCCTTTTGAATTGTTTCTGAGAGCAGAACTCTATTAATTAGATTTTGACACCTGGATGAGATCTTATTTTTCCAAAGTGTTTCTAAATATAATACATCTTAATTCCATAAGGAACACACACATTTGGGAACAAAAATCTCTTCTTTCCCCAGATTCAGTACCTCTTGTATCACAATGCCTGTTCACTTGTCCTGAAGTATCACTTCCTTGTTCATTAGTCTCTGAAGAAATGTACAGTTTTTTTCTTTGCTACAAAATTAAGTCATCCACGCCTCAGCCTCATTGATTAGAAACTGATTAACTCAAAGATCTTTAAAGATAGAGCAATACAACGTTAGAACATGTCAGGAACACTCCTACATTTAGTGATGGGAGAACTCGAACCTAGGGTTGAATATATATATGTTAATCTTATTTCTTCTGACCATCACTACCTGTGGAGAAAGCTAAACATTTCTTATTGAATGACACCTAGAAATTAGCTTGGAAGTTGAAGGACCAAGAATGTGGGCAAGATCAGCTTATACTACGCCAGGTACAGCAATGTTAATGGCTCAAATGGCTGCTAGGGGCAGTCATGATTCTTGCAGCAGTGTTTCAGCAAACTGGAAGAGAGGAAGAAAATCACTTCATTCTGCTTGTCCTTTGAGAATAATTGTGCTAAATTCTTTATGGATTATCTCTTTTAATCTTTGCAACAAACTTATGGAGTAGATACTCTGATAGCCCTATTTTGTGCATAGTAAGGTTAAGCAGTTTGCCCAAATTAAACACTTAGAAAGTAATAGCATTGAATTCAAAGCAAGGCAGTCTGACTTGAGAGTCAATTTCTACATGAATACTTTGTGTAGCTAGAGAAGGCCACAGAAGACCTCCCCCACCAGGACAAGACATGGATTGGGCTAGAAAATGCATATGAGTTTCTGAAACTGGTCAGACTGAAGGCTCTGTCTCATATTTTCTCCTTTTGATGCCAAACGGCCAAAAAGACAAATTTTAGACTCTTATTTTGCAAAGGATCTTAGAAATTGTCTAACAGACAGAGTCCCCGGGAGGCTTAACGATTAGTCAAAGTCACCAAACCAGTCAGTTGAAGAGCTAATATTGAAATGTCCATTTTGGGGACTTTCTTTTCACCATTTCACTGTAGTATACTTTACGTATCAAATGGGACAAGAAAATAATGTGCAGGAATAATTTTATGGGAGGTAACAAGAGTCAGTCTGGGTCAGCTGAGGAAGGAGAGTGAGTTACGAACATTACTTTGAAGAACAGGTGGACTATTTACAAAAAAAAAAAATGTGGAGGGAGATTTCAAGCAAGAGAAAGCCCCTTTCATTCACTACTCTACTCAGCAAACTTATAATACAATCATTGATACCTTCTATGAATTTCCATTTATAGCATTATTTGCCTTTCTACTAAAAATGCTTTTATTCTGTCATTTCAAATCCTATCCTTTAAGGTCCACCTCAATGCTTTCTTCCATGAAACCCTGCATAGACCATTTTAACCCTAAATGTTTATTTTTTTTCTTACCTGAAATTCTCCCAACCCTCATGCTCAAAAATGCAGACCATCATCTCATACATTACTACTCACCTTACAGTAGTTCCCCAATTGCACCATGTGTGAGCTTTCTGTAGTTCTCTCTTTACCTCTTTTGTTTCTCAAGATGTTTTTATTTATGTGTTCACAAACCATTTATTGTCTCAGGCACTGAGACACTCAGGTCCAAGTGCTCGATACATGAAGGTGAATCAGACCCTGAGTTGGTCCTCAATGAGGTGCAGAAAAGTGGAAGGGACAAGAATGCAAATACATTATTATAATTCAGTTATGGAAAAATTTATTGTGGAGCTCTGCTCTAGAGACAGCAAAGGGAACAAATAAAGAAGTTGTCAACTCTATTTTTCCTGTAACTCTATGCTTCATTTTAGGTTGGGATACAAGAAATATTTTTGATGCGAATGACTTATAAAGTGAATATAACCATCTATTTATATGGGATCCCATGTAAATTCACCAAAGTATAATATTGGAAGGATTTTGACTATTGTTCATAAAATTACAAAATTTGTACTAGAAGACCTGCCAAAACCTGTACAATTTCTTTATTTCTCTAGTTTCAGTCCTCTGGAGTCTCTTTGTGACTGGTAGACTCTCAACAAGTCTCAAAGGTTGGTAAGCTTAGATATAGATTCCATAATTGGAAGGGGCAAAAATGAACTCTAACTCACTTCTGACCAGTCTTATAGATGGCTCTGCTCTTCCTAGATAAATCAGAAGCAGAGACCACTAGCATAGTAAGAAGAGGGTGGTGAATCCATTAGGCATATTCAAAGTCAAATAGGGAGCGGGGGACAGAGTTCTTGGCCCACAGTAAATGTTTAATAAGCGCTTGGTCAGTGAATGTCCTTATGGCATTTGCTCCTTAGAACTCTCTCCTGAGTTACGACTTTTTCAAAGGCTATCAGTCTTCTTAACCCACTGGCTTAGGAGTGTCAATGCGCAGAGGTTTAAGTTCTGTTCTACAGCAGCCTGCAGAGCATGCTCGCATGTTCTGGCACAGAGACCAGCTTTGTCCTCTAGGAAGCCTCCCGCATGGGGTATCATAGAGATTCGAGAAATCAGATTTGTAAAAAAGAGAAGGAAGCTGCCAGCCCTGGACAGGTTCCAGAGCCACCCACGGTTGGCTGTGGCCCAAAACCTGTATTGGGCATTCCACAATAGCACATTCAATAATAACACTATGAGGGTTAGGAAGGGAAGAGAGAGATCAGCTAACTACACAGAAGTGTGTCCATAAATGGCCTGCAAACAGGCCCTTTTCTCTACCCTGGGATTATAGAGGCTCATGAAAAAGGAAAAAGTCATTTCAGATCCCTCTATTATTACTTATATCTATGTATATTCAAGCATTAGAAAATGATGCTAGTTCAGCAGAAAGGTGATATATTGAAGGAATATTGTGTAGCTCCCAAACCCTCTGGAAGTCTAAAGAACCAAACTCATAATAAAGGAAGAAACAGGACAGACTGGATGGCCAGAGCTGGTAGAGATGGACCCTGGCTGCCGCCACTGGCAATCCTGCCATGAGTGGCCCTCTGTTGCTGGTCACCATTACTGCCTGTTCTGAGACCACTCCCCTTTAATATTAGACTCTTCTGCTGCCAGAGTCACAACTGAAATGAATTCTGCACTGTCCCCTCTTGATTGCATCATTCACTCTAGGAATAATGTCTCAGATGAGACCTTTCTCTGGCTGAACATAGGTCCTCTAGCTACAGGGAGCTCAGAAAGGGAGTAGCACCCTCCCACCTCCTTCGTCTTTCAGATGAGATGCAGGGCTCCACTTTCTACTAGTCTTGATGTTTCTTCTCATACAAAAGTTGTCTGGATGCTGGTTATTAAGCAATTGTCTCTTTGCTCTCTGCTTAGTGGCACTGGGGCTGGGACTGTGTGAACCACATTCCTCCATTGCCAATTGGCCCCCTGTCAGATTCTGCCAATAGGGGGCCACTAGAAGGAGATGAGAAGGCTAGGGGAGAGGGGAGAAACTTGTTCCTTCTTCATTTGCTCCATGTGCCTGTCAGGCTCTCCCCAGGAATGATTATTCACCCTGTCTGGGGCAGTCGATTCCAGTCTTGAGTTTCTTCCCATATTCCAAGAACCAACCTCATAATTGCCCACGTCCTACCCTGAGAGGCTAACTCCAATCAGCCCGTGCTCCATCTTCAGTGACCTGGGTCTTAGCTCGGTGGTGACTCCCTTAGGAGCTACTAACGCACCAGGGGGGCTGTCCTTTCTCCTTAGATGTCTGGGTTCCAACTCTACAGGGCCTTCTCCCTAAGCTTTCAGGTTCTCATAAGGCCAACCTCTTCCATTTGCTGCTCCAAGCACAGAGGTGGCAAATGCTTCCACAGTTACTATCTCTGTGTCACCTCAGTTGTACCTTTGCCTTCTTTAGACCCCAACACCCATTTAACTAATTCTTATGTTACATTCTTCCTGTTAAAAAAATTAGTATGGTTTTAAAATATTAGAGTTTGAATAATATAGCTTCCAAAATGACAAATGTCCTCCACAGCACATATTTATAAATAATTTAATATTTCTGGAGCATAAAGTGTGAAAGTGACCTTGGCAAGTGATGAAGCTGGAGAGGCAGAGAAGGGCCAGATAATGGAGGACTCGCTTTCCTTCAAGCAGTGTGTGCTTTATTCCTTGGGTAGCAGAGGGCTAGCAAAGATTCCTGAATAAGAAATTGTCGATCAGGTTTGTTTGTTAGTGTACAACTGGCAGTGCATTAGGGGATGAATTGGGGAGGGTTGAGTTTAGAGAAAATCATAGGAGACAATTGCAATAGCACTAACACTATTTGCCTTAGGCTGTTCCTGCTGCTATAACAAAATATCTTAGACCAGGTAATAAAAATAATAGAAGTGTACTTTCTTATAGTTCCAGAGGCTAGAAAGTCCAAGATCAAGGTACCAGCAGATTTAATGTCTTGTGAGGGCCTGTTCCTCACAGAGAGTGCCTTTTCTGTGTCCTCTCATGACTGAAAAGGCTAACAGTTTTCTTGTACCTCATTTATAAGGTCATTAATCCCATTCCTGAAGGATCTACCTTCACACCTTAATCACCTCCTGAAGGCCCCACCTCTTAATACTATCACATTGGCAATTAAATTGCAACATAGGAATTTTGAGTGGATACATTCAGACCATAGCATTACTGAAGCAAAAACACAACTGGTTTGAATGACAAGAAATCCGTTTATAAAGAAAGAGAATATTGGAGGAGGCACACACATATGGAGTTAAGATGAGGTGATCAGTTTGGGATGTGTGAAATTTGAAGTTCTTGTGAGACATACTGGTGGATGTTTCTAAGAGACAGCTAGAGACATAAATTTGTGATTCTTTAGTATGTAAGTGGGAGTTGAAGTAATCTGATGAGATAATAGAGAGTTGAGGTGTCCTACCACCCATCAGTGGGGCTTGGGTGTGCTAGGCTGGAGTGTCAGCAATGCAGGTCAATCCTATAGGATCACAGCTAGGTCTAAGCAGCTGTCTTGGAAGCTTGAGGAGAAGAAAGAGCAAGAGGAGAAGAGTCTGTAACATAAATATATAGGAACCAGGAGAGCCAGGAGAGCCAAATCAATAGATGAGATCAAAGGGTAGGAGTGGGTAAAAATTGGGAAATAAGTCAAAATAAGCACTCGAAATAATGGGAAGAGAGCCAGAGCAAAGCTGAAAAGTGTTCATTAGGCTATGCTTTTAGTAGGTAACTGCTGACCTTACAGAACACAAATTCAGAGGAGTAGGGGTGCAAAAGTTTTAAAAAGTCAAAAACGGGTACAGAAAACTGGATGGTAAGGGAGCAAGTTGAGTTAACAGGATAGACCTACTGCTGCTATAGAGGAAAGAAGAGAGAAGGGAAGAGAGAGTTATGGCAGGGTGATAGGAGGCCTTTGTTTTGCTTCTTGTTTTCAGATGTAAGTGAAGTAAGCTTGTTTACCTGCTGAGAGGAAATAGATGAAAAGGAAATTGGTAAGACATAAAAAGTAAACTGTAGAAAAGTATGTGTGTAAGATTGAGGTTCAGAGCTCAGATGGATGGATTATGTTTGGTTGGAGGAGAGCTGTGGAGTGTGTGTGTGTGTGTGTGTGTGTGTGTGTGTGTGTGACAAAGTGAAAGGAGATAATGCAAAGAGGCAAAGAGACAAGTAATTTTGCATCTAGGAGATGTCAAGCAGTTGAAGAGGCTCAAGTCTGTAGCCTCATTTTCTCTACAATCCCCATCTTGGATGGTAAATGGGTGGTAGGTAAGGTATGGAGATTGGGAAGATTGTGGTGAAGAACAAGAAGAGGTAAGAAAGGCAATAGAAGAGGATTTTTGTGTCTGATTAGAACATAGCCAAATTATTTTATGTGATTGCCAATTCTATTAGTGTTTGAGAGCAGAACGTTTTGAAGTCAACAAATTGGAAGACAGTTTGGCAGTTTCTTACAAAATTAAATGTACTCTTACCATATGACCTGACAGTTGTGCTCCTTGGTATTTACCCAAATTAGTTGAAAGCTTATGTCTACACAAAAATCTGTACATGAACATTTATAGCAGTTTTGTCATAATTGCCCAAACTTGGAAGCAACCAAGATGTGCCTTTAGCAGGTGGATGCATAAATTTTGGAACATCCTGACAAGGGTCTACTATTTAGCACTAAAAAGAAATGAGCTATCAAGGCATAAAAAGCCACAGAGGAAATTTAAATTCATATTATTAAGGAAAGAAACCAATATAAAGGGCTACATACTGTATGATCCAACTATCAACTATACAACACTCTGGAAAAGGCAAAACTATTGAAATGGTAAAAAGATCAATGGTTGCCAGGGGTTGGCAGAAGAGAAGGATGAATTGGCAGAGCACAGGGGATTTTTAGGGCAGTAAAACTACTCTGTAATGTACTATAATGGTAGATACATGTCACACATTTGTCAAAACCCATAGAACGTGCAATTGCAAGAGTGAACTCTAATGTAAACTGGATTTTGGATGATAATAATGTGTCAATGTGCATTCATTGATTTTAACAGATGAATCACTCTGGTGAAGGAGGCTGACAGCTGGGGACCTGTGCACGTGTAGGGGCAGAGGGCATACAAGGACTTTTTATAATACTTTCTGCTCAATTTCTCTGTGAACTAAAACTGCTGGTATAAAGAGTCTACTTCAGAAAAAGCCAACCAATCAGAATCTTAAAAATTTTTGTTACAGTTCTTGTCTTTGAAACAAAGGCTAAGCTAATGGTATGTATCAAAGGCCCCAGAGAAAGTGTAAATTTCACTCTTCAGTCTTGTGCTGACACAGTGTTCCCTTCCAGAGGAGGAAGGTAGCCAATCTCATGGCTGGCCCATAGCTTGTTAGGATACCTGATGTGGGAAGGCTTAGCCAAATGTGAAATAGCTATGCCATCATGTTATTCTCTTAGCAATTAGAATTTAGAAACATGCAAGGAATCAGTACTCTAACACAAGAGCAGAAGTTGATCAGCCACAGTGAGAGAGGGCATGAGGCAGGCTGGGCCAAAGTCATGAGACTTCTAATTTAGGTGTAAACAGAGACCTTGAGGCAGGGAGGAAGAGAGGAAGTAATGGTGGGTGGAACCACAGGGGTGGACCAGAGCTGAGTTAATGGCATATGAATTCCTGTTGCTGATGACAAATCATATAAGTTGTCACCTTTCTAGTTCTCTTCCCTGTGATACATCTGTCCTATGGTTCCTTTCCTCAGATTTATTCAAGTAAGGTCCTGTCAGCCTTAGACTGAGAATTCTTATAATTCCCCTGTCACTTGAGCTATCCTGATAGAGTCTTTATTCCACACATCCAAAATAACCTGCCTAGCATGGTTATCATAAAAAAGAAGAGAGTACATTGTAATATTAAAACAAATTTAATCCACTTTATGAATTTAGCAAGTCATCTCTCCTGGTCATAAGATCTGTTCTTTGAGAGGAATTCTATATAGGAATCAAACACTTTTGCCAAGACAGAATTGCCTGAACCTTTCTGCCTCATATCCTCCTTCTTAAATGTATGATTTCCAAATAGCATATACCTTTTGGTTTCTGAATGAAGTAAGAATTGGATAAACCAAATCATGTGGGGGGTTACCTAACCCACAAATCTTCCTTTTCATTTTTGAAACAGGGTCTCTGTCTGTCTGACACCCAGGCTGAGTGCAGTGACATGATCATGGTTCACTGCAGCCTCAACCTTCTGAGCTCAAGCGATCCTCCCATCTCAGCCTCCTGAGTAGCTCGGACTACAGGAGCACACCACAACGCCCTACCTGGATAAATTTTTAAATTTTTTTGTAGAGACAGTGTGGGCTCAAACTCCCGGGCTCAAGCAATCCTCCTGCCTTGGCCTCCCAAAGTGCTGGGATTACAGGCATGAGCCACTGTACCTGGCCCAAACCCGCAAATCTTTATGATGACCTTAACCCATCCTTTTAATAAAGGACTTAATTATTATTTATTTTTTATTTCCTTGATGCTACCATAGTGCCTAGCACCTGATTGAATATAAACTTAAATATTGTCTTCACTTATGTTGAGTTATTTTTCCATTTTTTATTAGTACAGAGATTCATTGATAAGAAACAAACTCACAGTAAGTAGAAAATTAATGCAGTCTTGCAAATGTGAGCAGTGCCTGTCTCAGGCCCTGGCTACTCCAAAATAAATGGTATGGTCTCTGCTCTCAATGAGCTTACTGTCCAGTGGAAGAGACAAAGATGTAAAATAAATGCAAAATAATGTGACAACTGCCAGAATGCATATAGGTGCAAAGTACTAAGCAGCATAGAGGAGAGAGTGAGTAGCTGTGAGGTGAGAGAGAGGAGGAGGAGGAATAAGGGCGATTTCAGTTCTCCACACTATTGCTGGTTTGACGGGGGATTCCAAGCTGCAAGATCTTGATATCCAGGTAGGGTTGTCCCTGGCAGATAAATTCCCGGGGAGAAAAACACTGGGGCATATGGGTGACATATTAATGACTATGGACTGAATTGAGACTTATTCCATGTAGAGATAATAGCATCTTTAAAAGGAGTGATAGGGTGAAAGAATATTTTTGTTCAGGAACTATAGGTAGTTTGGTATACGTATCAGTTATCTTTTTGCCACAAAAAGTTGTGTAAAAAACCATCCCAAATCTGGCTGCTGAACAACAATCATTCATTCTTTCTCGTGTATCTGTGAGTAGGCTGGATGCTTCTGCTGATCTGGTTGTAGTCTGCTGATCTAAGCTGAGTTCTCTCCTGAATCTGTGATCAACTGGCCTGAAGCTGGGAGCTGGTGGGTTTAAGATGGCCTCAGTCAGGATGACTTGTCACTGCTCTGTGTGAACTCTCTTCCTCCCGCAAGTTGGCCTGGACTTGTTTCCATCGTGGAGGCAGGGTTCTAAGAGACAGCATAAGGCCCCTTGAGGACTGGATTTAGAACCAGCACACCATCACCTTCCATAAGGCAAAGCAAGTCAGTAAGCCAGTGCAGATTCACAGGGGGAAAATAAGTCACTGCTGCACAGTCACATTGCAAAGGGTGTGGAGGGGTGGGGAACTGGGGTCATTTGCGCTATCAATCCATGTCACACGTAGGAATAGAAGGTGCATGTGACTGGTGAGAGGAGAGTCTGGGAAGTTATAGAGGACCCCAGGTAAATGGAGGTAAGAAATGTGGACTGGTAGAGGAAGAGAGGCTTGGAAGAATGGGAGGCAGAGCAGAGACAGGATCAGTTTCTCACTTTAGGAAAGTAACACTGGCTGCAATAAAGAGGATGAATTGGAGGGATCCAACCTTTCCCTTGTAAACAAATATCTGGGATGGAACTCTGCCTAGTTATCTGTTTATTTATATCCCACTTCATTCCAAAAATGATATAATACCACAACTCTTCCATAGTTGTTTTCAAAAATATATGTATTTATGCCCTGTCTACTTCTAAAAAGAATTTGAAGCAGCTCTATTTGAATTCTTCCCAAAGGCCATCTTGGAAGTATGTCGTTGTCTGACTTAACTGAGCAACCAGTAAATGAAACTCCCAGAGCTTCTAGCCAAAGAATATTCCTGGAGGCGAAATAAACAGAGGTGAATTTGGCTGTTTGAAAACACATGTAAGCTCTTTATTTAGAACTCTGATTCCATGGTAGCTGAAGAGAAAGAAAGGTATGGCTGGCAGCATTAGTTCAAAAAGAATATTTACCATTCCAGGCATCTTAGGAAATGCTGCAATAATTTCTGCTTAGCAGACACAAAAATAAGCTGGTAAAAGTCATAGCTTGCCTGTACAACAAAGCTGAGATAACAAAAAGGCCCTGCACAGACTGAACAAGTAACCGGCAAAGTTTAGGTTGCTTTTCAGCTAGTTGCTCATATTGGAACAAATTTGAAAAGCTATGCTTTGCTTTCACTCTCACATCTGCATATGAAAGCCAAGTAGAAGTGATTTTCTTAGATTTTCATAGAAGAGTCTTCCTGAAACTCAATGTATATTTTTTAAACCAAGAGGCAAATTTTTTTCTTTTGTTTCTTTTTTTTTTTTTTTTTTTTGGAGATGGAGTCCCACTGTGTTGCCCAGGCTGGAGTGCAGTGGGGCAATCTTGGCTCACTGCAACCTCCACCTCCCAGGTTCAAGCGATTCTCTTGCCTCAGCCTCCTGAGTAGCTGGGACTACAGGCACACACCACCACGCCCAGCTAATTTTCTTCTATTTTAACTAAAATACAAAGCCACCGCACCCGGCTGGGAAATTTATTTCAAGTTCAATGTTAGTCAATGTAGTAAATTCCATAGTTTCAGGATTAAGAAAATTTATCCTACCATTTTCATTTGCTGTATGTACATTTACAGAAATGCATTGTGTAGGTCTGTGTTAAATACTGGGGCTGCAGAGATGAGTAATATGTGATCTTTCTTCTTAAGTTGTTCATTGATAGACACAGAATAAGGTAAATGGCAACAGTTCTTGCTAAGCTCTAGTTCCTAATTGTGAACAAAATGCTGTGAAACCATAGGTGAGAGAGTGAAAGCCTTAGTTTCTCTATATTAGTCCCTTTGTCTTGGAGTTCATATTCTTAGGACAAAAGGCAAAACAGGAAAAGTGTTCTTGCTTGCAGCGCACTAACATTTTCTGAGGATCATTTAATCATAGACTTCTGTTACCTCCACAATAGGCTCTGATTCTAGCTGAGACCAACACAGAGACTTCTTTTAAAGGAAACAATTCCAGGGAGATTGTAACACTACATAGTGCATATATATCATTTAGATGTTTGTCTTCTCATTTGCAAAGATGATACTAATAGCTGGTGTAATATAAGTCCTTCACTCGTTTGTGCAACTCCAGTTTAGGCCTGTTATCCAGACTTTTTTTTTTGGGGGGGGATGGAGTTTCGTCCTTGTTTCCCAGGCTGGAGTGCAATGGCATGATCTCGGCTCACTGCAACCTCCGCCTCCTGGATTCAAGTGATTCTCTTGCCTCAGCCTCCTGAGGAGCTGGGATTACAGGTGCCTGCCACCACGCCTGGCTATTTTTTTTTTTTTTTTTTTGTATTTTTAGTAGAGATGGGGTTTTACCATGTTGGCCAAGCTGGTCTCGAACTCCTGACCTCAGGTGATCCCCCCACCTCGGCCTCCCAAAGTGGTGGGATTACAGGTGTGACCCACCGTGCCTGGCCCAGAGGATTTGTTAATAACGCCCCCCTCACAAGAGTTATGGTTTGGATAATAAATTACATGGCCACTGTACTAACAACAAATTTTCAGCAAAATGAGCAACTGAGCTGGTTTCCCAGCAGTGATTTCTTTATTTGTGGATGCCAAATTATCCATGCTGTCTTGCACAATCCCGTCTCCTTTTTTATCAGGGATGTGAACTTTTATGATGTCTGGCCTAGACTAAAAGTGCTGTTTGTGGTTGTGCAACACTTTTTCTCAGAGTAGAGCTAACTACTCTGTGTAGAGATCATGACCATGGGAACCCATCAGTGCTCTGCATGAGCCAAGAGGGAAACTGGCTCTGTTAACAGCTTGATAATTGCAACTTTGGCAAAGGGAAGGAGAGACACTCCCCTCAGTACACTTTGCACTAGAATTATAATTCACATACCAACTTTGAATTCTCACCACCATGTCAATTTCAATACTTGTGTAGTTGTCATGCTTCCTAAAATATACTGGCAATACTTGTCATGCTTCCTAAAATATAGTGAAAATAAAAGTTTTAAAGATAATTTTATAAGGTAATAAGGCAAAACATTTTGTGCTTTTGTGGGTGAGGGGTGGGGCTGGGTTTTGGCTCTTTTCCTGTCACTAATCATGCATTTATTTTTTTCATGTGTATTAATTGTTCTTCAATTAACTATCCTTATGTACTTTACAAGTCACACATAACTCAGTCACTCTCTGTTTGGTTAGTAAGCTTTTATAATTTGGATTTCTATAACAACTACTCTTCAGGATGAGCCCAGTTTGAGTTCTATTATGACACCAACTACTAGAAAAATAGACTATGGTCTTTAGAGCCAAACAGGCCAGATTTAAGTACCAGCTTTGCTGGTCTATAGCTTTGTGACCTGGAGCAAGTTACTTACCTTTTCAGGCCTCAGTCATATCAATTGTCAAATGGAGACATTAAAGTTCAACTCTTTATGTCATTGTAAGACTCATCACAAGGCTTTAATTCTAGTAAGGTGCTCAACAAATAATTTTCTTTCTCTTGCATCCCGCTAAAGAAAATATAACTCAACCTCTGGAATGCTCCTATTTTACAATTTTATTTGTTTTTGTTTGTTTGTTTTATTTTGTTTGAGACAGGGTCTAGCTTTGTTGTCCAGGCTGTAGTGTAGTGGCACGATCTTGGCTCACTGCAACCTCCGCCTCCCAGGTTCAAGTGATTCTCGTGCCTTAGCCTCCTGAGTAGCTGGGATTACAGGTGTGCACCACCACACCTGGCTAATTTTTGTATTTTTAGTAGAGATAGAGTTTCACCATGTTGTCTAGGCTGTCTTGAACTCCTGGGCTCAAGCAATCCACCTGCCTCAGCCTCCCAAAATGCTGGGATTACAGGCATGAGCCATCGCACCCGGCCCTACTCTACAATTTTAAAAATTTATCTTACCCTCATAAAACTTCTCATTAACAACAACAACAAAATCCTTGAATACAAATATCTTTAGATAATATAAATATCCCTGGAGGAACACCAGGTTTCTCCAGGTTTTTGATTTTAGGGACTCTTTTGGTAATTCAATAGGAGGTGTCTGTCTTAAGGAAATTAAAAACAAAAACTGGTAGGCTGCTTTCTATTTGTACATATAAAGTATTGAATTTAACACTTGTTAATTAAATAGTTTTTCAAAATTAGCTGGAATTAAAAACATTTTAAGTAATTAAAAATAATTTAATTATTATTATTATTTGCCATGTGAAAAGACAGGTTGCTCTAGCTGTAGAGAATCATGACCCACATGAAAATAATAGAAATTGGCAACCTTGTTTTGGAATATATTGCAGCATGTGAAGAAGATGTAGAAAGGCGAACTTGGAGAGCACGTCCCAAAGGGAAAATTCTTCAGAGGACATATATCTATTACAAGAGGCTCACAATATAAGTCAAATACTTTTTTAAAATGTCACTTAGAGGAACAAATGTCTCTCCTGCTGGGAGGACACATCCTCCATAGTAAGCACAGTGGAAAGATATTTGATGAGGACTGGAAAAGGGACAAGTATGCATGGAAGTGTCGGAGGTGGAAGAGCGGCACATAAGAAACAGTGGGGTGCATGACAGGGGGCGGGAAAGCAGATGCTGCATGTCAAAGGGAGACTTTGAAGGAGGAAACCTATAATGATACCAGTTTCAACAGGGGAATCATATCATGAAAAGATCTTCCAGTTATTTGTGCAAATGCCACTTTTTCAGGGAAGCAAATGAACACCCTTTGTGAAATTATTCTCACACTTCTGATTTCTTTTCCTTTTTTCTCCAAACCACTAGTTGCATTTTGATATGCTATCAAATTTCTCTATCAGTTTTGTTTATTGTCTGTCTCCCCTCAGTAGAACGTAAGCTCCATGAGGACAGGTGCATCTGTCCATTTATTTTATTGTGCACCTCTGTATTCCTGGCATATGGCAACACAAATTTCTTGCATCAGTCAATAAATGAATGCCCACATGAATAAACTATTGTGGGTAGAAGAGGTGGTATCTTCTAGGAGGAGGGAATTATACATGTGAAGTCTATTCAACACATTTATTGAGTTATATGCTCACATGCATAAACATTGGCAGAATGTGAAGTGGAGCTCTCCCAAAAATGAAACTCTTATTTTAACAGATACCCAGAAAAAGTAAGAGTGAATTATTTGTCAAGTTGCTTTTGGAACATTTTGTTTTTTGTTTCCCAGTGTAAATGTTACTGACATGGCACATCTGTCTCCATTTGATACATACAAAAATGGCAGCAAGCATGTCCCAGATATAAAAAGACCAAGGCAGAAAATCCTGGAGGAGAACACAAATACTGGGAATCAGTATTTCTCAAATGGAGAAAGAGAGACACACAAACAGATTTCAATGTGCCATATATTGTAAAAAGGCAATTTCCACTTCCATCTCCACCTTCTGCCTGCCTGCAAAAGGACAGAACAGTAAAAAGGACCTGCTTATAAACATTAGTAAAAAATTCATAAATTTTATCATTCAATAAATATTAGTAACTGTAGTCCAGTTTAACAAATTTTGTTTGATGAAATTTTAAGGGAATAAATTAAAAACAATCAGCTATTCTTTTCTAACAAGGAGAATGATCTTTAAATTGTAAAAGGTAGAACAAAGAAAAGGATTATAAAATAATACAATGAGCAACAGTGTGCCAACAAATTAAATAACCTGAATGAAACAGACAAACTCCTAGAAGGACACAAATTACCAAAAGTAACTCCAAAGGAAACAGAAAATGTGAATAGACCTATAACAAGTAAAGAGAATGAATCTGTAATTGGTAAACTTTCTACAAAGAAAAGCCCAGAGCCAGATGGCTTCCCTGGTGAATTCTACCAAACATTTAAAGAATAATTAGCACCAACCCTTTCAAAATCTTCCAAAAAGTGGAACAGGAGACAACACTTCTAAATGCATTCCATAAGGCCAATAATATCATTATACCAAACTTAGAAAGATAGATCACAACAAAAAAATACCTTCAGATAAAAATCCCTTATGAATGTGGATGTAAATAAGAACTACAATGAGATACAACTTTATACCCACTAAGATGGCTATAATTTTTTTTAAAAAAGAAAGGAAAAGAGTCTGGCTGCTCCTCAAAAAGTTAAACATAGCATTAGTACCTGATTAATCAATCCTACTTCTAGTTATATACCCAACAGAATTGAAAAGAGAGACTCAAAACAGATACTTATATACTAGTGTTTACTGAAGCATTATTCATCATAGCCAAAAATGTAAACAAGCCAAATGTTCACGAACTGATGAGTGAATAAGCACAATGTCATATATTCATACAATGAAATACTATTCTGTCATAAAGGGAATGAAGTACCAATAAATACTAAACATAGATGAACCTGAAAACTTTACGCTAAGTGGAAGAAGCCAGACAAAAAGTCGATGTATTGTATGATTTCATTTATCTAAAAAGTCCAGAATAAGAAATTCATAGAAAGTAGGTTAATAGTTGCCAGTGCAAGGGGGTAGTGGAGGGGAAATTGGAAGTTACTACTTAATAGGTATGAAGTTTCTTTTTGGGGTAATGAGAATTTTCTGGAATTAGTGGTGATAGTTCCATATATTGTGAATATACTAAAAGACACTGGATTGTATGTTTTAAAATTGCTTAAATGGTGAATTTAATGTTAGTCACATTATCCCAATACAATAGATCACAAGGTTTATGAGAAAATAGGATTTAAGAGATAATACTCAAAAACTTAGTGACACATAAAAAGCAGGTAGGAATTTAATTAAACAGAATGGAATCTAATAAAACGGGAGCACAGTTTACACATTCTAAATGGTTAAGAAATAAATGGCTACTATAATACTTATGGTATTTTACCTTGAAAAATATCTAAAGTTTGCTTGTGGAAGTGGGTGCCTGAACTCCCACTCCCACCAGGCTTGCCTGACTGGCTTCCTCACCCACCATCATGTGTGCAAGAATAAAAGAACAAGGCAGCAAGGGTAAGGAGAGAGGAAGAGAGATGAGAGCAGAGAGAAAAAATATATAATAAGCCAAGAGGAAATGGGAAAATGAAAGAGTCTTTAGGGCAGGGGCTTTTCCATATAATTGTGGCTATATTATCCTAAAACTCAAGCTTGTAGCTAGAAAGTTTTTGTAAAGGGGTGGCAAGAGGTGATCTGAAATCACATGGAACAATTGTGACACTGAGTGCAGATGATGTGGCTCAATGTCCTCATGAGGTGTGTGTCTGGAGTTTTTGGGTTCTGCATTCACCTAATGGTTCTCTTTGGAAAATATTCAGGCCTTCAAAACAAAACAGATTTGTTTTCTGGCTTGCACAAATTCAGATTTTTCTGTGTGAAAGCAGAACTGACTGAATTTTGTTAGCTTTTTCATGGAATTGTAGCTATTTTTGATATTATCCTAACACTCAACAAGTTGTAGGTTTCTAAATATTAGATCCAGTGTAGAATCTGAAACCATATTAATAAACTATCCACACTCTGTTGCATTAAAATCCATGGCTTTGGATTTTATCTTGTACTTTAAATAGGTTGTTTACCCATGCATGATTTCATAGTATCATTCTTTGTTCATTTGGAAAATATTGGTTCACTGAATTACTAGTCAACTGAATCCAAAGACAGAAAAAAAGATTACACACTTAAGTAAGTAGGATCTATCCCAGAATGTGAGGTTGCTACATCATGTGAAAATGAATCAACATAATACAATATATTAATAAAATAAAGGACAAAACTCATATGATCATCTCAGTAGATGTGGAAAAGTATTTGATGAAATTCAACAACCTTTCATGATAGAAACATTCAACAAACCAGGAATAGAAAAAAAATTTCCCCACCTGATAGCATCTACAAAACACCCACAACTAACATTATACTTAATGGTAGAAGCCTGAAAGCTTTCCCACCAGAATCAGGAACAGGACAAGGATGTTCACTCTCACCACTCTTTTCAACATTGTACTGGAGATTTTTCCATGTAATTTGGCAAGAAAAGGAAATAAAAGGCATCCAAATCAGAGAGGAAAGAGTAAAACTATTTCTATTTGCAGGTGACATGATCTTATAAGTAGAAAATTCTAGGGAAGATACAAAACAACAGCTACTAGTGCTAATAAACAAGCTTAACAAAGTTGAAAAATACAAAATAATTATGCAAAAATTAATTCTATTTCTATGTAGTAGCAATGAATAATCTGAAAGGAAAATTTTTAAAAGTCAATTTATAGTAGTATAAAAAAGAATAAAATATTTACAAACAAAATCAACAAAAGGAGTTTAAGACTTGTGTGTTGAAAACTAAAACATTGCTGAAAGAAATTAAAGAAGATCTAAATAAATGGAAAGACATCCCATGTTCATGGATTGCAAGATTTAATATTAAGATGATAATTGATCTACATAATCAATGCAATTCTTATAAAAATTCCAGCTGTTTGCTGTCTTTTCTTCAGAAATAGACAAGCTTAATTTAAAATGCATATGAAAGTGCAGGAAACCTAGATAGCTTAAATAATCTTGAAAAACAACAAAGATGGACTCATACTACCAATTTCAAACTTCTTGTGAAGCTACAGTATTCAAAACTATGTGGTACTGGCATAAAAACAGATATATAGAGCGTTAGAAAACAATTGAAAGTCCAGAAATAAATCTCAAGTTTATGGTCAATTGATTTGCAGGAAGGGTTCCAAGGATATTCAATGGAGAAAAAAATAGTTATGTCAAAAAATTGGTGCTGGAACAACTAGATGTCCACATGCAAAAGAATAAAACTGGACCACTCACACCACATACAAAAAATTAACTCCAAACAGATCAAAGACCTAAATTTAATAACAAAAACTATTAAACTCTTACAAGAAAACAAAACTTTCTCGAATAAGGCAATGGTTTCTTAGACATGACATCAAATCATGAGCAGCAACAAAATAAATAAATAAATTAGACTTCATAAAACTGAAAACTTTTGTACTTGAAAAGACACTATCAAGAAAGTTAAAAGACAACTCATGGAATGAGAGAAAATATTTGCAAATCATATATTTAATAAGGGACTAGTCTATCCAGAATATAAAAGACCTTTTGCAACTTTACGATAAAAAAGACAGTGCAACAGAAAAATGGGCAACTACTTTTAATAGACGTTTTTAAAAGAAGATATACAAATGGCCAATAAGCACATGAAAAATGTTCAGCAGCATTAGTCTTAGGGAAATGCACATAAAAACCACAACGAGATACCATTACACATTCACTAAGATGGTTATAATAAAAATGTCAAACAATAAAAAGTGGTAGCTAGGATGTAGGGAAATTTGAACCCTTTTATATTGCTGATAAGACTTAAAATGGTGCAGCTGCTTTTGAAAAACCATTTTTCAAAAGGTTCAATATAGAGTTACCATATGACTCACCAATTCTACTACTAGGTATACATCCAAGAAAAATGAAAAATATGTTCACACAAAAGCTTGTATGCAAACATTATAGCACCTTTATTCATAATAACCAAAAAGTGGAAATAACTCAAAAGTCTATCAACTGATGAATGGTTAAATAAAACATGGTACATCCATATAGTGGAATATTATTTGGCCCTAAAAAGAAATGAAGTACTGATACATGCTAAGTCCTTGATGAACCTTGAAAAGATTATGCTAAGTGAGAGAATATAGTTGCAGAAGACCACCTAGTAAGTGATTTCATCTATATAAAATATCCAGAATGGGCAAATCTGTAGAAACAGAAAGTAGATTAGTGGTTGTCTAGGCTCGGGGTTTAGAAAGGAAATGGAAAGTGACTGATAATGGGTATAGAATTTCTTTTCATGCTGATGACATGTTCTGAAATTAGAGTCTGGCGATGTTTGCACAACTCTGTGAATAAAAGTCACTAAACTGTACAGCTTAAAAGAATATGCTTTATAATATATGAATTATGTACCAATAAAAAATGAAGAGGTATGATGATTATTAGGAACCAGCAATGAATCACTTAAGAATAACTTGACTAACATAATTTATTACCATTTTTTCATAAGGAAACTAGACAAGCAGATTAGAGAAACAACCTATAGACAATGTATCATGATTTAAGTAAGTAATTTGGATCCAGTCATTGATTGTTTGCTTGTTTAGTAATTCATTATCTGTTGGAAATTTACTAAGAATGTACCTGAATTGTGCTGGCTATTGGAGATTCAGAGATCAATATGACAGTTCTTTACAGAACTAGCCTACTAATTAAAAATTATGCTTTAAATATGGCAAGAGAAGCTCAGAGAAGTTAAATAACTCTCCTGATGTCACACAGCTAAAAAGTAACAAAGAATTTGAACTAAATTATATGGGGCTGAAAAGTCCATGACGTTCCATTATGGCATGCTTCCAATAGCAGCGTGCTTGTGGGTAAGAATAGGAACTGAGTGATGATGTAATTCCGGATAGTCACAAAGAGTTGAATAACTGAATGCAGGGAATGTTAACTCATGGACTGATCTCAATCTTGAGGGACATCCCCAGAGTTGTCACAGGGCTCTGAGAATGGCTGGATCCCATTTGATAATCTTATCAACAACATAAATGAAGACAGAGGGCAGGATGACCACATTTGTTGTTGACACAAAGCTGGAAGTGATAGTTGATATGCTCAAAGAAAGAATCAGGATTTGAAAAGATCTCATTAGACTGGAACTATGGGCTGAAATTAATACGGGATTGAGGGAGAACTGGATTAACAGGAATTCACATGAAAAAGACTTGGATATTTTAATTGACAGCAAGCTCAATATGATTCAAAGGTGTTAGCCAAAAAAGCTAAGGCATTCTTATCCTGCATTAAAATATAGTGTCTAGGAAAAGGAATGTAATTGCACTCTGGTCACTGCTATTGTCTGACAAATTGTGAAGCATTTTGTTCAGTTTGGGGTGGCTATTGTTAGGAAGGATATTGACAAACTGGAGCATGTTCAGAGAGAGACCAGAAGAGTGAAACTGTGTCATGTGAAGACTGGGGGTGTTTAGCTTGGAATAGGAAGATCTGGATGGTGCAGTGGGAGTGGGGAGAAGGGAAGTAAAGTAGCTATTTTCAAAGATTTAAGGGGATGTCTTGGGGCTGATGGTTTAATTCAATTCTATTTACTTTAGTAGAATTCAAACTCAAACAAGACAGGGAGACAAATTTCTGTTCATGAATTATTTTCAGATAATTGGGAGTTGTAGAAAATGGAATAATCTACTTTGTAATTTAGTGAGCAGTTTTTCATGGGAATTATGCAAGAGTAATCTATATGAACACTATTAAATAATTGAGAGATATTACTGAAACTTCATTGAAGATTGCCTCAATGTCTTACAAGATCCATTTGAGCTCAAAGAGCCAATAATAATTATAACATTATTGTTATAGTATCAGCTAATATAAATTGAGAAAACTGTTATAAAAATATTCTACATGCATGATCATATTTAGTCTGACAAAAACAATATTTTATTACTCCCATTTTATAGATGTGGAAATTGAGGCCTTAGACAGGCCGAGTAACTTTCTCAAGGATACATGAGTTGTAAATGTTAAAGCTAGACTTCCAACTCAGGTCACTCTAATTCAGAACTTCAGCTCTTAACTGCTTTCCTAAAACTCTTTTGGTCTCTATGTTATTTAATGTGTTATAATAGGTTGATTGCAGTTAGATAATCTGGCTAGAATTCTACCTGCTTAGAGTGCATACATATATGGGGAGGGGTGTTGTATAGTTAAGACATTTGAGTAACTCAAGGTCAACAGGGACTCTTATCTTCATGGAGAGTAAATGCCTGTCCAATGGAATTTCAGGATCGACACGTTCAGTGTTTAAAAAAGCAAACAGCTTAGCTCATATTTTCATTCTTGGATTATTTTAAATGAGACAATGCCAGAGTACACAAAAGTAGATAGCTTGGTTTCAGATTTTCATTCCTGAATTGAGATTTCAGTATGCATGCCATGCTAGGAGATGCCTACCAAAGAATGGAATGAGTAAGGGATGGAAATTACCGTATTTACTCGTGTTAGGCAAAGGACTTTTCTGCGACTTGCATGGTGATTTTATTTTTCTGTAAATAGTGAATGAGTGCCCAACAGGTGCTCTATGGTATGCTGTTTTGAAAATATCTGGTTGATTTCAATTTGAAGGCCCTGCTACAAAGTTTAAGTTTTTGGATGAAGAAAAGAGCAGTATAGTATTTTTCCTCAATAAATTATTTCCTTGTTCAGAATAACTTTTGGACAGGCAGACCAGAAATAAATTGATTAATTCATTCAAGGAAACAGACAAAGGAAAAAGTATAGATTTTGATAAATGGAAGAAAGAACATAAATACCAACTCTCAAAAATTAAGAGGGGGAATGTGCTTAGATTGGATAGTAAGAAAAAGCCAATCTGTGCTAGTGACTTTTAAGCTGAAGCCTTAATGTTGGGAAAGAACCTGCAGGTGCAGAGCTTAGGGCAGGATCAGTCTAGATAGAGAATGCAGCATGCTGAAAGGCCCTGAGGCTGGGAGGAGTTTAGCACATTCTAGTCATACACAGAACAGATGGCAGCGGTCCATATGAGGGATGTCTACAGCTTGGACTAGGATGATAGCGGTGGAGGCATATTTTGGAGGTACTCACACACTGGAGTAGACTCTATACATATGTGTCATATTTTAGGTACATAACACATGCATACAAATCATTCTCCAATCCCTATTCGGTTCTGTATAATCTCAAAAATCTTCAATACATTTCAGTCTTTTATCAGACATTCTTAAACAGAAGCCATTCCTTCTCCTTGGTATGAGAGAGGATATTTCTTCAGACAATTCACTTTCTGTTTGTCAGAAATTCCCTTTCTCCCTTCTTCCCTTTCTTCCTGCATTCCTTCTTCTTACCTGCCTGCCTTCCTCCAACAATATTTAATATATGCCTACTTGCCGTCAAGCACTGGGCTAGGTATTGAACATACAGTTATGAACAAAACAGTCCTTGTTACTGCTTTAATGAAATCTTCATTTGATTAGGTGCTGATTACCCCAAACAGAATTTTATCTACTTTACATTTCTATTTTGTAAGTTAATAATTACTGAATGCTTACTAAATTCTAGGTAGCATGCTGAGCATGTTACTTTTATTTTTTGTAAGCATTTTTCATTTTATTAAATAAATTTTATCATAAGGATTGTGTTTACTGAATTGTTCATTTCTTGCATCTATACTATTCTTAACCATTCCCACCTGTTGAACCTTGAGATGATTCACAATCATTTATAAAGGCTGGCCAATTCAGTGGACATGTACAGAAAAAGCCTTAGGGTTTAAATACGTCCTGAGAACAAAAGGAACACACACTGCCCAGAATTCAAAAGGCAAACGTTGCCTTTAGACTTGAATGATAGCTCTATCTGACTTATCCATTTTTAGGAGATGAGGTATAATAATATCTTTAAAATAAAAAAAACTTTTTGTATTTAAAGAGTTTTTTGTCTTTTAAATTCTCTACTTCATGATGATCTAATTTTATTGACACAAAATTGTATATATTTAAGTTGCACAACTTGACATTTTGATATACATATACATTGTGAAATGATCGTCTCTTTCCAGCCAATTAACATGTCACCTTTATATAGGTACCAGTTTTGTGCCCTTTGACCAACATCACCCCATTTCTTTCTTCCCTTGGCCTCTCTGCATCCACATGTTTGACTATTTTAAATTCCACGTATAATTGAGAACCGTGCAGTATTTCTCTTTCTGTGTCATGTTTATTTCTCTTGGCATAATGTCCTCTAGCTTCATTCGTGTTGTTGCAAATAGCAGGACTTTCTTTTTTTTTTAAAGGCTGAATAATATTCCATTGTTTGTGTGTGTGTATCACATTTTCTTATCCATTCATCCATTGAAGGACATTTTAGTTTTTTCCATATCTTAGTTACTGTGAATAATGCTGGAATAAACATGGAATTCAGGCATCCCTCCATGATCCTGTTTTCAATTTCATTGGATATATACCCAGAAGTGGGATTGCTGGATCATACGGTATTTCTATTTTGAATGTTTGAGGAAGCTTTATACTGTTTTCCATAGTGGCTGCACTAGTTTATATTCCCACCAACAGTGTAACGGGTTCTCTTTTCTCCACATCCTTGCCTACACTTGTTATCTTTTGTCTTTTTTATAATAGTCATACTAGCAGGTGTGAGGTAATTATCTCATTGTGGTTTTGATTTTTCATTTCCCTAATAATTAGTGATGTTGAGAACATCTTCATTTGCCTGTTGATCCCTTGAATTTCTTCTTTTGAAAAGTGTCTATTTAGGTTCTTTGCTCATTTTTTAGTCAGGGTATTTGTGTTTGGGGTATTGAGCTAAATGAGATCCTTACATGTTTTGGATATTAATACATTTTTGATATATTATTTGCAAATATTTTCCCAATTCTATAGGTTGCTGTTATTTTCTTTACTGTGAAGAAGTTTTTTAGTTTGATGCAATTCCACTTGTCTATTTTTAATTTTGTTACCTATGCTTTTCATACCCAGAAAATTATTGCCAAGACCAGTGTCAAGAAGGTTTTTCCCTATGTTTTCTTCCAGGAATTTTACAGTTCCAAATTTTATGTTTAAGGAAGTCCTAGTCAGAGCAATCAGGCAAGACAAAAAAATACCTCCAAGTTAGAAAAGAGGTAGTAAAACTATCTCTGTTTGCTGATGATATGATCTTATACCTAGAAAACACTAAAGATTCCTTCAAAAGACTCCAAGATCTGATACATGAATTCAGTAAAGTCTTAGGTTACAAAATCAATGTATGTATAGCAGCAGCACTGCTGTACACCAACAACAACTAAGCTGAGAATCAAATAAAAAACTAACCCCTTTTACACTAACTACCAAAACAAACAAACAAACAAAAAACAAAAACGAAAAACAAAAAACAAAAAAAAAAACTAGGAATATACTTAACCAATAAGGTGAAAGAGCTCTACAAGGAGGAGTATAAAACATTGCTGAGGGAAATCATATATGACACAAACAAATGGAAATACTTCCCATACTCATGGATTGGAAGAATCGATATCATGAAAATGACCATACTACTCAAAGCAATCTAAAGAGTCAATGTAATTTCTGTAAAAATACCAATATCATTTTTCACACAATTAGAAAAAAAAAATCCTAAAACTCATATGGAATCAAAAAAGAGCCTGAGTAGCCCAAGCAGTCCTAAGCAAAAAGGAGAAATCTGGAGCCATCACATTACTTGACTTCAAATTATACTACAAGGTTATAGTAACCAAAGCAGCATAGTACTGGTATAAAAGTAGATACATAGGCCAATAGAACAGAATAGAGAACTCAGAAATGAAGCAAAATACTGACAACCAACTGATATTTGACAAAGCATAGAAAAACATAAATTGGGAAAATGACACCCTATTATTCCTGTCTCTCACAATATACAATAATTAACTCAAGATGAATTAAAGACTTACATCTAAGACCTGAAACCATAAAAATTCTAGAAGAAAACCTAAAAAAAAACTGTTCTGGACATTGGCCTAGGCAAAGAATCTACTAAGGCCCCCAAAAGCAAATGCAACAGGAACAAAAATAAATACTAGGCTGGGCTCAGTGGCTCATGCCTGTAATCTCAGCACTTTGGGAGGCTGAGATGGGCGGATCGTGAGGTCAGGAGTTTGAGACCATCCTGGCCAACACAGTGAAACCCCATCTCTATTAAAAATACAAAAATTAGCTGGGCATGGTGGTTTGTGCCTGTAATTCCAGCTACTCCAGAGGCTGAGGTAGGAGGAGTGCTTGAACCAGGGAGTCGGAGATTGCAGTGAGCAGAGATCACACCATTGCACTCCAGCCTGGCGACAGAGTGAGACTCCGTCTCAAAAATAAATAAATAAATATATAAATAAATAAATAAATACTAATAAATGGGACCAAATTAAACTAAAAAGCTTCTGCACAGCAAAAGCAATAATTATCAGAGTAAATAGACAACCTAGAGAATGGGAGAAAATATTTGCATTCAACAAAGGACTAATATCCAGAATCTACAAGGAACTTAAATCACCACGAAAAAAACAAATAATCCCATTAAAAAGTGGGCAGATGACACGAATGGACATTTCTCAAAAGAAGATATACAAATGGCTAAGAAACAGGTGAAAAAATACTCAACATCACTAATCATCAGGGAAATACAAAATAAAACCACAATGAGATACCACCACCCTAGCCAGCATAGCCATTATTAAAAAGTTAAAGAGCAATAGATGTTAGCATAAATGTGGTGAAAAGGGAACACTCATACAGTGTTGGTGGGAATGTAAATGAGTAAAACCTCTATGGAAAATAATATGGAGATTTCTTAAAGAACTAAAAGTAAATCTTCCATTTGATCCAGCAATCCCACTACTGGGTACTTACCCAAATGAAAAGAAGTCATTATATCAATTATATATATGCATAATATATATCTCCACATCATGGAATGCTACTCAACCATAAAAAAGAACAGAATAATGTCTTTTGCAACAACTTACATGGAATTAGATGGAGACCATTATTCTAAGTGAAGTAACTCAGGAATTGAAAACCAAATACCACATGTTCCCATTTATGAGTGGGGGCTAAGGTATGGGTACACAAAGGCATATAGAGTGGTGTAATGGACATTGGAAACCCAGAAAGTGGGAAGTGGGGAAGGCGGTGAGGGATGAAAAACTACCTTTTAGGTACAATGTACATGAATTGGGTGAACTGGGATTTTAGTGCACAATTTGTCCATGTAAACAAAACCCACTCCTACCCCTAAAGCTATTAAAATTAAAAAATTATGTTCAGATAAATGTAAGACTTTTTGTGGTTCCATATGAATTTTAGAATTTTTGTTTCCTATTTCTGTAAACATCATCAGAATTTTGATAGCGATTATATTGAATCTGTAGGTCACCTTATGTAATATGAACATTTTGACAATATTAGTTCTCCCAATCCATGAACATGAGGTGTTTTTTATTTATTCATGTCATTTTAAATTTTCTTCATTAATGTTTTATAATTTTCAGTGTTCAGGTCTCTCACCTCTTTGCTTAAGTTAATTCCTAAGTATTTTATTTTTTGGTTGTTGCTAATGTAAATGATATTGTTTTCTTAATTTCCTTTTTGGATAGTTTGTTGTTGGTGCATAGCAATCCCATTGAATTTTGTATGTTGATTTTGTATCCTACAACTTTACCGAGTTCATTTATTTGTTTGAATAGCTTTTTTGTGAAATCTTTAAGGTTTTCTACATAAAAGATATCATTTGAAAACAGATAGTTTTACCTCTTCCCTTTAGATTTGGATGCCTTTTCTTTTTTTTTCTTGCCGGATTGCTCTGTGACTTCCAGTAATACGTTGCATAGCAGTGGTAAGAGTGGGCATCCATGCCTTGTTCCAGATTTTACAAGAAAATTTTTTTATTATTTCTCCATTGATGATTACGTGGGTTTTTCGTATGTGGTCTTTATTTCCCTATTGATTATGATGCTAGCTGTGGGTTTTTCATCTATGGCCTTTATTGTGTTGAGGTAAGCTTCTTCCATACCTATTTTGTTAAGACTTTTTATCATGAAAAAATAATGAATTTTGTCAAATGCTTTTTCCACATCTATTGAGATGATCACGTGGCCTTTGTCTTTAATTCTACTACTGTGGTGTATTACATTGGTTGATTCTCATAAATTGAACCATCATTGCATCCCAGGGATAAATTTCACTTGATCCTGCTCCATGATCTTTTTAATGTGCTATTGAATTTGGTTTGCTAGTATAGTCTTGTGTTGTTTTTGTCTGGCTTTAGAATCAGAGTGATGCTGGTTTCTTAAATGAGTTTTGGATTGTTCCTTCTTCTACTTCATGGAAGTTTAAGGATTGGTATCACCTCTTCTTTAAATATATGGTCGAGTTCACCTACCAAGCCATTTAGTTTGGGGCTTTTGTTGGAAAGATTTTTGTTTTTGTTTTTGTTTTAAGCCTGAGACTCCGTCACCCAGGCTGGAGTGCAGTGGCAGAATCACAGCTCATTGCAGCCTCGACCTCCTGGGGTCAAATAATCCTCCTATGTCAGCTTCCTGAGTAGCTGGGACTACAGTCATGCACCACAACACCCAGCTAATTTTTAATGTTTTTGTAGACATAGGGGTCTTACTATGTTGCCCAGGCAGGTCTCAAACTCCTGGGCTAAAGCTATTCTCCAGCCTGGCCTCCCGAAGTGCTGAAATTGCAGGTGTGAGCCACCGCACTAGCCTTTTGGAAGGTTTTTGATTATTAATTCAATCGCCTTGCTCGTTATTGGTCTGTTTAGCCTTTCTATTTATTTTTGATGCAGTTGTAGTAGGTTGTATGTTTCTAGGAATTTATCCATTTCTTCTCAGTTTTGTAACTCCTTGGTTGGCATGTAATTGCTCACAATAGTCCCTTATGAAGTTTTTTAATTTCTGTGTTATCCATTGTAATGTCTCCTTTTTCATTTCCAATTTTATTTATTTGAGACTTTCTCTTTTTTTTCTTAGTCTAGTTTAGGATTTTTTTAAAATTTTATTATTATTATACTTTAAGTTTTAGGGTACATGTGCACAAAGTGCAGATTTGTTACATATGTATACATGTGCTGTTGGTGTGCTGCACCCATTAACTCGTCATTTAGCACTAGGTATATCTCCTAATGCTATCCCTCCCCCTCCCCCCACCCATGACAGGCCCCGGTGTGTGATGTTCCCCTTTCTGTGTCCAAGTGTTCTCATTGTTCAGTTCCCACCTATGAGTGAGAACATGCAGTGATTGATTTTTCGTCCTTGCGATAGTCTGCTAAGAACGATGGTTTCCAGCTTCGTCCGTGTCCCTACAAAGGATGTGAACTCATCCTTTTTTATGGCTGCATAGTATTCCATGGTGTATATGTGCCACATTTTCTTAATCCAGTGTATCATTGATGGACGTTTGGGTTGGTTCCAAGTCTTTGCTATTGTGAATAGTGCCACAATAAACATACGTGTGCATGTGTCCTTCTAGCAGCATGATTTATAATCCTTTGGGTATATACCCAGTAATGGGATGGCTGGGTCAAACGGTATTTCTATTTCTAGATTCTTGAGGATTTGCCACACTATTTTCCACAATGTTTGAACTAGTTTACAGTCCCACCAACAGTGTAAAAGTGTTCCTATTTCTCCACATCCTCTCCAGCACCTGTTGTTTCCTGACTTTTTAATGATTGCCATTCTAACTGGTGTGAGATGGTATCTCATTGTGGTTTTGATTTGCACTTCTCTGATGGCCGGTGATGATGAGCATTTTTTCATATGTCTGTTGGCTGCATAAATGTCTTCTTTTGAGAAGTGTCTCTTCATATCCTTCCCCCACTTGTTGATGGGGTTGTTTGGTTTTTTCTTGTAAATTTGTTTGAGTTCTTAGTCGATTCCGGATATTAGCCCTTTGTCAGATGAGTAGATTGCAAAAATTTTCTCCCGTTCTGTAGGATGCCTGTTCACTCTGATGGTAGTTTCTTTAGCTGTGCAGAAACTCTTTGGTTTAATAAGATGCCATTTGTCTATTGTGGCTTTTGTTGCCATTGCTTTTGGTGTTTTAGACATGAAGTCCTTGCCCATGCCTGTGTCCTGAATGGTATTGCCTAGGTTTTCTTCTAGGCTTTGTATGGTTTAACCTCTAACATTTAAGTCGTTCATCCGTCTTGAATTAATTTTCGTATAAGGTGTAAGGAAGGGATCCAATTTCAGCTTTCGACATATGGCTAGCCAGTTTTCCCAGCACCATTTATTAAATAGGGAATCCTTTCCCCATTTCTTGTTTTTGTCAGGTTTGTCAAAGATCAGATGGTTGTAGATGTGTGGTATTATTTCTGAGGGCTCTATTCTGTTCCATTGGTCTACAGTAACCAAAACAGCAACCAATAGCATGCTGTTTTGGTTGCTGTAGCCTTGTAGTGTAGTTTGAAGTCAGGTAGCCTGATGCATCCAGCTTTGTTCTTCTGGCTTAGGATCGTCTTGGCAATGCGGGCTCGTTTTTGGTTCCATGTGAATTTTGAAGGAGTTTTTCCAACTCTGTGAAGAAAGTCATTGGTAGCTTGATGGGGATGGCATTGAATCTATAAATTACCTTGGGCAGTATGGCTATTTTCACGATATTGATTCTTCCTATCCGTGAGCATGGAATGTTCTTCCATTTGTTTTCGTCCTCTTTTATTTCATGGAGCAGTGGTTTGTAGTCCTCCTTGAAGAGGTCCTTCACATCACCTGTAAGTTGGATTCCTAGGTATTCTATTCTCTTTGAAGCAATTGTGAATGGGAGTTCACTCATGATTTGGCTCTCTGTTTGTCTGTTAGTGGCGCATAAGAATGCTTGTGATTTTTGCACATTGATTTTGTATCCTGAGACTTTGCTGCAGTTGCTTATCAGCTTGAGGAGATTTTGGGCTGAGGCGACGGGGTTTTCTAAATATTCAATCATGTCATCTGCAAACAGGGACAATTTGACTTCCTCTTTCCCTAATTGAATACCCTTTATTTCTTTCTCCTGCCCGATTGCCCTGGCCAGAACTTCCAACACTATGTCAAATAGGAGTGGTGAGAGAGGGCATCCCTGTCTTGTGCCAGTTTGCAAAGGGAATGCTTCCAGTTTTTGCCCATTCAGTATGATATTGGCTGTGGGTTTGTCATAAGTAGCTCGTATTATTTTGAGATACGTCCTATCAATACTTAACTTATTGAGGGTTTTTAGAACGAAGGGCTGTTGAATTTTGTCAAAGGTCTTTTCTGCATCTATTGAGATAATCATGTGGTTTTTGTCTTTGGTTCTGTTTCTATGCTGGATTATGTTTATTGATTTGCGTATGTTGAACCAGCCTTGCATCTCAGGGATGAAGCTCACTTGATCAAGTTGGATAAGCTTTATGATGTGCTGCTGGATTAGGGTTGCCAGTATTTTATTGAGGATTTTGCATCAGTGTTCATCAGGGATATTTGTCTAAAATTCTCTTTTTGTTGTGTCTCTGTCAGGATTTGATGTCAGGATAATGCTGGCCTCATAAAACGAGTTAGGGAGAATTCCCTCTTTTTCTATTGATTGGAATAGTTTCAGAAGGAATGGTACCAACTCCTCCTTGTACCTCTGTTAGAATTCGGCTGTGAATCCTTCTGGTCCTGGACTTTTTTTGGTTGGTAGGCTATTAATTATTGCCTCAATTTCAGAGCCTGTTATTGGTCTATTCAAGGATTCAACTTCTTCCTGATTTAGTCTGGGGAGGGTGTATGTGTCTAGGAATTTATCCATTTCTTCTAGATTTTCTAGTTTATATGCATCGAGGTGTTTATAGGATTGTCTGATGGTAGTTTGTATTTCTGTGGGATCAGTGGTGATATCCCCTTTATCATTTTTTATTGCATCTATTTGATTCTTCTCTCTTTTCTTCTTTATTAGTCATGCTAGCGGTCTATCAATTTTGTTGATCTTTTCCAAAAACCAGCTCCTGGTTTCATCGATTTTTTGAAGGGCTTTTTGTGTCTCCGTCTCCTTCAGCTCTGCTGTGATCTTAGTTATTTCTTGCCCTCTGCTAGCTTTTGAATGTGTTTGCTCTTGCTTCCCTGGTTCTTTTAATTGTGATGTTAGGGTGTCCATTTTAGATCTTTCCTGCTTTCCCCTGTGGGCATTTAATGCTATAAGTTTCCCTCTACACACTGCTTTGAATGTGTCCCAGAGATTCTGGTATGTTGTGTCTTTGTTCTCATTGGTTTCAAAGCACATCTTTATTCTGCCTTCATTTCGTTATGTACCCAGTAGTCATTCAGGAGCAGATTGCTCAGTTTCCATGTAGTTGAGCGGTTTTGAGTGAGTTTCTTAATCCTGAGGTCTAGTTTGATTGCACTGTGGTCTGAGAGACCATTTGTTGTAATTTGTGTTCTTTTGCATTTGCTGAGGAGTGCTTTCCTTCCGACTATGGGGTCAGTTTTGGAATAAGTGTGATGTAGTGCTGAGAAGAATGTATATTCTGTTGATTTGAGGTGGAGAGTTAATGTGGATGTCTATTAGGTCTGCTTGGTGCAGAGCTAAGTTCAGTTCCTGGATATCCTTTTCAACTTTCTGTCTCGTTGATCTGTCTAATGTGGATGGTGGGGTGTTAAAGTCTCCCATTATTATTGTGTGGGAGTCTAAGTCTCTTTGTAGTTCACTGAGGACTTGCTTTATGAATCTGTGTGCTCCTGTATTGGGTGCATATATATTTAGGATAGTTAGCTCTTCTTGTTGAATTGATCCCTTTACCATTATGTAATGGCCTTCTTTGTCTCTTTTGATCTTTGTTGTTTTAAAGTCTGTTTTATCAGAGAATAGGATTGCAACCCCTGCCTTTTTCTGTTTTCCATTTGCTTGGTAAGTCTTCCTCCATCCCTTTATTTTGGGCCTTTGTGTGTCTCTGCACAGGAGATGGGTTTCCTGAATACAGCATACTGATGGGTCTTGACTCTTTATCCGATTTGCCAGTCTGTGTCTTTTAATTGGAGCATGTATCCCATTTACATTCAAAGTTAATATCGTTATGTGTGAATTTGATCCTGTCATTATGACGTCAGCTGGCTACTTTGCTTGTTAGTTGATGCAGTTTCTTCCTAGCCTTTTTGGTCTTTACAATTTGGCATGTTTTTGCAGTGGCTGGTACCGGTTGTTCCTTTACATGTTTAGTGCTTCCTTCAGGAGCTCTTTTAGGGCAGGCCTGGTGGTGACAAAATCTCTCAGCATTTGTTTCTCTGTAAAGTATTTTATTTCTCCTTCACTTATGAAGCTTAGTTTGGCTGGATATGAAATTCTGGGTTGAAAATTCTTTTCTTTAAGAATGTTGAATATTGGCCCCCACTCTCTTCTGTCTCGTAGAGTTTCTGCTGAGAGATCAGCTGTTAGTCTGATGGGCTTCCTTTGTGGGTAACTTGACCTTTCTCTCTGGCTGCCCTTAACGTTTTTTCCTTCATTTCCACTTTGGTGAATCTGACAATTATGTGTCTTGGAGTTGCTCTTCTCGAGGAGTATCTTTGTGGTATTCTCTGTATTTCCTGAATTTGAATGTTCGCCTGCCTTGCTAGATTGGGGAAGTTTTCCTGGATAATATCCTGCAGAGTGTTTTCCAGCTTGGTTCCATTCTCCCTGTCACTTTCAGGTACACCAATCAGACGCAGATTTGGTCTTTTCCATAGTCCCATATTTCTTGGAGGCTTTGTTCGTTTCTTTTTAATCTTTTTTCTCTAAACTTCTCTTCTCGCTTCATTTCATTCATTTCGTCTTCCATCACTGATACCCTTTCTTCCAGTTGATTGCATTGGCTACTGAGGCTTCTGCATTCTTCACGTAGTTCTCGTGCCTTGGTTTTCAGCTCCTTCAGGTCCTTTAAGGACTTCTCTGCATTGGTTATTCTAGTTATCCATTTGTCTAATTTTTTTAAAAGTTTTTAACTTCTTTGCCATTTGTTTGAACTTCCTCCTGTAGCTTGGAGTAGTTTGATCCTCTGAAGCCTTCTTCTCTCAACTCGTCAAAGTCATTCTCCGTCCAGCTTTGTTCCACTGCTGGTGAGGAGCTGCGTTCCTTTGGAGGAGGAGAGGTGCTCTGATTTTTAGAGTTTCTAGTTTTTCTGCTCTGTTTTTTCCCCATCTTTGTGGTTTTATCTACCTTTGGTCTTTGATGATGTTGACATATAGATGGGTTTTTGGTGTGGATGTCCTTCCTGTTTGTTAGTTTTCCTTCTAACAGACAGGACCCTCAGCTGCAGGTCTGTTGGAGTTTGCTAGAGGTCCACTCCAGACCCTGTTTGCCTGGGTATCAGTAGCAGTGGCTGCAGAACAACGGATATTGGTGAACCGCAAATGCTGCTGCCTGATCGTTCCTCTGGAAGTTTTGTCTCAGAGGAGTACCGGCCGTGTAAGCTATCAGTCCGCCCCTACTGGAGGATGCCTCCCAGTTAGGCTACTCGGGGTTCAGGGACCTACTTGAGGAGGCAGTCTGCCCATTCTCAGATCTCAAGCTGCATGCTGGGAGAACCACTGCTCTCTTCAAAGCTGTCAGAGAGGGACATTTAAGTCTGCAGAGGTTACTGCTGTCTTTTTGTTTGTCTGTGCCCTGCCCCCAGAGGTGGAGCCTGCAGAGGTAGGCAGGCCTCCTTGAGCTGTGGTGGGCTTCACCCAGTTCAAACTTCCCTGCCACTTTGTTTACCTAATCAAGTCTAGGCAATGGCGGGCGCCCCTCCCACAGCCTCGCTGCCACCTTGCAGTTTGATCTCAGACTGCTGTGCTAGCAATGAGTGAGACTCCGTGGGCGTAGGACCCTCCGAGCCAGGTGTGGATATAATCTCCTGGTGTGCCATTTTTTAAGCCCGTTGGGAAAGCGCAGTATTAGGGTGGGAGTGACCCGATTTTCCAGGTGCCGTCTGTCACCCATTTCTTTGACTAGGAAAGGGAATTCCCTGACCCCTTGGGCTTCCCAGGTGAGGCAATGCCTCGCCCTGCTTCAGCTCATGCACGGGGCACTGCACCCACTGTCCTGCACCCACTGTCTGGCACACCCCAGTGAGATGAACCCAGTACCTCAGTTGGAAATGCAGAAATCACCCGTCTTCTGCGTCGCTCACGCTGGGAGCTCTAGACTGGAGCTGTTCCTATTTGGCCATCTTGGCTCCTCCCCCTAGTTTAGGATTTGTTGATTGTTTAACTTTTTAAAAACCAATCCATTTTCCTCTATTCTCTATTTTACATCACTCTATCATTTTCCTCCTTTTGCTAAGTTTGGGTTTAGTTTGTTCTTATTTTTCTAGTTTCTCGGAATATAAATCTAGGTTTTTAAATTGATATCTTTCTCCTTTAACATAGGCATTTAATACTAGGTGTTAAAGTAGTTCCCTCCTAGTACTGCTTTTGTCGCATCCCATAAGTTTTGGTAAGTTATATTTTCATTTTTACTTGTCTTGAGATAATTTTTTAAATTCCCTTTTCATTTTCTCTTTTACTCAATTGTTGTTTAAGAATGTGTGGTTTAGCTTACATGTATTTGTGAATTTTCCTGTTTTCTTTCTATTTTTGATTTCTAGTTTCATTCTACTGAGAAGATAGTTGATATGAGCTCAATTTTCTTAAAGTTGTCAATACAAATTCGAGGCCTCTGGGGACCATGGTGTCTTCTGCCATGTGGCTGATACTGATAGGCCCTACTCTTCTTCTTTTATTCTACCCATCTCCAGATGTCTCAGCTGTGTTGGTTTCCCCAGCAATCTGGGTAGATGAAGCCAAAGTGGGTCCTTCATGCGATGCCCAAAAGGCTGGGGAAGCTGGGCATTCACCCTGCTCTTCTTCTCCCTGTTTGAGAAGCTCATGCATGGGCTGGGGAGTTATCACTGGTTGCTGAACTGTGATGGCCTAGGGGATGAGATAATGCAGCAAAATAAAACTGTTCTTCCTACCATTTTTGTGCAGTTATTTCTTGATTTTTTTGCTCCATTGTGTTGTGACAGTATCTTACCTACACTTCTGAGCTCTCCTAGAGCTATTTTTATTCTTGGATAGCTAATTGTGTGTGTGTGTGTGTGTGTGTGTGTGTGTGTGTGTGTGAAGGCTAGGATCTTCTACTCTGCCATCTTCCTGATGTCGCTCCTCACATGTATTATCTTAATTAATCCTTAAAACTCTATTCTGTTCATGAGGAAGCTGAAGCTCAGGGAAATTGCTGGCCCTAAGTAAGTGGCAGAGTTAGTCTTAGTCTCAGGTCTCTGGAACTCAGAGTTCCAGCTCTTAATTGCAATGCTTTATGTCATCTTAAATTTTATTTTAAAGCTAACTAACCAAATACATAAATAAAAGCATACAAATGAAGAAATAAAAACTTGTTTTAGCATTACCCATTTCTTGCTTCCTTTAATGAGGAGGGAGCTGGAAAGCTTTATACTACCCTTTCTCAGGCTGCTCTGGTCTACATGATTTAAGATCTATTTTAAGAGAAGTAGGCCGGGTGTGGTGGCTAACGCCTGCAATCCCAGCACTTTGGGAGGCTGAGGGGGACAGATAACCTGAGGTCAGGAGTTGAAGATCAGCCTGGCCAACATGGTGAAGCTCCATCTCTACTAAAAATGCAAAATTAGCTGGGTGTGGCAGCATGCCTGTAATCCCAACTACTCAGGAGGCTGAGGCAGAAGAATCACTTCAACCTGGGAGGTGGAGGTTGTGGTGAACCAAGACTGTGCCATTGCACTCCAGCCTGGGCAAAAAGAGCAAAACTCCAACTCAAAAAAAAAAGAAAAAAAGAAAAAGAAAAAAAATCATAAAACGAGATCACCAGGAGCAATATCAATGACCTATTAGTTAACCTGAACTTCTGACAACTACATCCCATCTCCTAATGTGGAGAAATACAAAGCATTGTTTAATATTTCCATTGTCTTGTTTTAATGATAACAATATTGAAATGCAGAACTGAGTTTTGTTTCTCCTTTCTTCCTCCATGTTCAGCCAGACAAATTTCACTGTTTGAATATTTGAAACTCTATTTGAAATCTGTAGCTTCATCATATAAAGAAAATTATTTACTGGAATCATAATAACAGGAATTACTATTCTCTGTTTGCTTTCTGCCTCCCCTTCCACTCCATTTCCTACATATCAGCCAGTGACCTGCAAAGGTGAATTAGGTTGTGTTCCTCCTCAGCATTATACTCTCCAACCTGCCATTGCCCTAAACGAAAAGATCAGCTGTAACCTGCAGGGCCCTGGGTGTCCTGTCTCCTACCATCAATCCTAACTTCACCTTGCACCACCTTCTCCTTGGATTACTACCCTCCAGCCACAGTGTTCTTGGAACTCCCATGGCCAAGAATGCTCTTCCTTGAATTCAAGTGGCTAATGCTTTCCATGCTATAGTTCTTTTATTTCACCTTCACCGAAAGACTTCCATAATTACCTATCTAGAGAAGATCACTCTTTTTCACTATCACCAGCTGATTATTCTTTATGTCAGTTTTTCATTAGTTTTCATTCTAGTGTGTATCACAAGACACAATGGATATTTGTCTATTTACTTTTGTCAGTACCACTCAACTAGAATGTAAGCTTGAGGAGAAACTCTCTCTTTTGCTCCCGGATATAGTGCTGGTTCCTAGAACAGAACTTGGCACACAAAAGGCACTAAATAAATATGTAGAATGCATGAATAGATGATATTATTTTAATAACATTCTTTAGATATATTTTAAAAACCTATTGGATTTTGCTAAAATATTATTCCATTTGGAATTTATTGAATGTAGAATGTCAAAGACACTGTAACCAACTGAGGGGTTCTTTCTGCCCACTGCACAAATAAAGGCCATGGCATTGCAGTAAAGAAACTCTTTAATTGACACAAGGCTGGCCATGCTACGTGGAGATGGAGTTATTACTCAAATCAATCTCATCAAAGGGTCATAGGTTAGGGGTTTTTCAAAGGTAGTTTAGAGGAAGGGGTGGAGATGGTTAGGCCATGGGTGAGTGCTTGCTGTTGATTGGTTGGGTCAGAGAGGAAATCATAGGGAGTTGAAGCTGTCCTCTTGCACTGAGTTGCTTCTGGGTGGGGCCACAGAAGCCATGGTAAGTGGGATCAGGTGGTAGAGCAATGGGTGTCCGACATGCAAAAATCCAGAAAAGTTATCTCAAAAGGTCAATCTACAACAGTGATGTTCTCTGCAGCAGTAATTAAAGAAACTGCATATCTTTTGACCAGTCTACACCTTAGCAAGATGAAGGCTCTTCTCCTCCCCTTAGCCTGCTGATGTCTCATTAACTTTTTAAAGGTGGTTGAGTTTTGGGGAAGGCCCAAACTGCAAGATATTTAAATAAACTATAATCTCTATATCTTCCAAAGTTAACTCAGCCCAAGCCTAGGAATAAAGCAGCTTGAAAGCTAAAGGCGAGAGGGAGGGTTGGCTGGATCAGATCTCCCCCACTGCCATAATTTTCTCACTGACATAATTTTTGCAAAGGTGGTTTCAATATCCATAGGAACTTTAAAAGTAGTAGCTTACTATGATTAGTCACCAGTATCACAGACTGTAGAAAAGTGTTGGTCTAGTCATTGAACAAAATAATATACTCTTATACTGTAATGAGTTAAAAATTGTAGAATGGGATGTGGTGCCTCATAAGTTTCTGTTTGTTTGTTGGCAAAGAAACCACTTCTGAGAGATTGAAGATTTGCACTAAGATTTATGCATGCCATTTACTGTATCTGCAGGAAAATTTAAATTTAAAATATATGCTCAAGTCAAAGCATATTAAATTTATGAAATAAATTATTATAATTTATATTTTCCATGTGATTAAATGCTTACATTTCTGAATTTCTTTTCTTTATTCTTGTGGAAAGAACAATAAATTCTTATTTTATTTTATTTTAAGTTCTGGGATACATGTGCAGAATTTGCAGGTTTATTACATAGGTATACATGTGCCATGATGGTTTGCTGCACCTATCAACCCGTCATCTAGGTTTTAAGCCCCACATGCATTAGGTATTTGTCCTAATGCTCTCCCTCCCCTTGCCCCCCACCCCCTGTGTTGTTCCCCTCCCTGAAATTTTTACAGGATAAGAAGTAATGAACAACTGTTTCTAGTTTACCACTGCCAAAGAGAGATCTTCCTTAATTTATTTAAATAAGGCAACGTTAAAAAAAATCAACATAAACTTCAGTTTTTGTTGCTGAAATGCAACATTTCAGCAACGTGAAAGTGTGAAGAAATGGGTGTTCCTAAATCAGAACAAATGGACTAATTTTCAAAAAGTTCAGTTTGGGGATTATGCCACCTTTTAATTACGCTAAGGGGAAAGTATGTGCAACATCAGACACACTGGGCTGCCATTTATTCCTCTCGCCGCCTTGTCCCAGTTGAGGCAGTGTTGTTGGTTGCAATCTGAGTACTGAACCCTAGTCAACAATACCCATTACTCATTCTTTCAATCAAATATCAACGTGGGAAGTTTGTGACTTAGGCCAAAGATAAAAAGATCTGAACAGCTGTTCCTCTCAGGCTCAGTTCTGATCCTTGTGAGTAAAAAAGAATACCTTAGAAAAGTAACTGTGAGTCCTAATACGACGGTTGCCAAACAAAAAATCTAGCCCCGTTTATTTTGGAAGAGACGTGTGCATCAATCTGGCTGTAAGCAATGTATTTATACGCGTGCTTCTGCCCAAGAGGGACAGCATGGTTCACCCCTCTCATTTGAATGGTGATTTCTCTGTGTGAATTGTTTGTCTTCTCTACCCTGGCACCTTCTGAAAAGAAGAATGTCTTTAACATCAATAATAAATGATTACTTCTGTGTGTGAAACTAAAAGACAAAAATCTGGTCAGGATAGCCTCCCTTGAGGATTCAAATTCTGACCTTACAGAAGGATCAACTGTCCTGAGGGTTAATGTCAATAGAACCTAAGAATTTAATGAAGGATTAGCAGTGGGGAGGCGGCAGGATAGATCTTCAAGCAGGAGCAAGACAACTCATGTCTCTGTATCATATTATTCCCCATACGACCACCATTTCCCCACTGGTTCTTGTCTGTCCACGTTAAGTATCAAGTCTAGATTGAAATTTTTTTGGCTCCTAAATTGTGGATATGCTTTCCAATTTTTCCATCTTGTTGACATTTATAAATATTAACTAATGATAATTAGGTGCTCTAGTTTAAAGAATTACACATGGAGTCTCTTCATTGCCCCGAGAAAGGTTCTCTGGCTGCTCCAAGCATTGCAATTCACTTTTACATGTCATGCAAGTGCTTTTCATTCAGTTATATTCCTTTTTCAATAGGATATACTGAGAAATTAAAACTACAAAGACTAGCTCTTGCTTCTAGTAAGTAATAGTGTGTTTCAAGGTTAAACTATACTGGGTCCTACAAAGGAATTTATTTAGTATTGAAACTAAATTTCTCAGTCTTTTGAATTCATCTGATACTTCTGATGTACAAAGAAAAACACATCTTACTATAGCTAAGAAACTATAGATATACAGATAAGAAGCTATAATTCCAAAGATCTCAATTCTGTTTACATACTGAATTGGCTCCAGAAAAAGCATTTATTCTAGCATGTAACACAACACATTTGTTTTAGACATCAATATTTATACTGATCTCTTTCAACCCTTTTAGTATCGCAGAATTTCAAATCATTAGGTATTCATTTTGCATTGTGCTTTTCAAGGTCATAGAAAGAGAATTCTCTATCTTTTTCTAAGATATAGTTAAAAACATTCCTGTTTCATTAAAAACGTTCCTGTGCTAAAACAAAGTAAATGGTTTATGTACCAGAGCACATAGAAGCAATTAGCTTCATATAGCTACTCACGCTCAAATTGGAAATTCCCTTTCTCAATTTTACGTTCCACATAAATGAGTATGTGTTATAACCATCTCAAAGACTATGTAGCTTATCATATTATATTCCATAATTGCATTTTTCTTTACATTGATACTTGTTAACTAGTATCAGTGGGTGTCTCTGGCTTGAAAAATGGATGTCTCTGGCTTGAAAAAATTTACTTAGGGATTTCATACCAGTTTAAAATTATTTAAATACCAAATACCAAACCATATGCCAATATATATTTGTAGGATTTCAGTTGACTGTAACTTATAAGAGTAATTCATATTATATCACAGTAATTATTTTTATAAAAACATCACAAGTCAAGAAGATGGATTAGGTTAAGCAAAGCAAAGTAACAAACATTATAGAGCCATATCTAAAGAAAAAATACATATTTTTTTTACAATGACAAGGTGCCTCCTCATCATTTAGAGGCAAAATCAAAAGTGTCCAAATAACTTTCTAAAGCCAACAGATAAAAACTAATCATATCTTAATCTTAGTGCTAAGACAGTGTTGGTGGGATTTTTAAAATGCAGTGTGTTATGGTTTAATTGACAGCATTTTTTTTTTGTAGATGAGTATAAAATAAGTTCATCTTAGGATCAGTGGAGAAAGTAGAAATACTGAGTAGCATTTTCTTTTTGTTCCCATTGTAATGTAGGGCATGGGGTGGTTAATTTATTTTCATATAAATGTCAGAGGCATTTGAACCAGAGCAACTCCATCTTGAATAAGGGCTCGGTAAAATAAGGCTGAGACTTACTGGGCTGCATTCCCAGACGGTTAGGGATTCTGAGTCACAGGATGAGATAGGAGGTTGGCACAAGATACAGGTCATAAAGACCTTGCTGATAAAACAGGTTGCAGTAAAGAAGCTGGCTAAACCCCACCAAAACGAAGATGGCAACAACAGTGATCTCTGGTGGTTCTCACTGCTACACTCCCACCAATGCCATGACAGTTTACAAATGCCATGGCAACATCAGGAAGTTACCCTATATGATTTAAAAAAGGGAGGCGTGAAGAATCAACCCCTTATTTGGCATATAATCAAGAAATAACCATAAAAATGGGCAACCAGCAGCCCTCAGGGCTGCTCTGTCTATGGAGTAGCCATTCTTTTATTCCTTTGCTTTCTTAATAAACTTGCTTTCACTTTACTCTATGGACTCACCCTGAATTCTCTCTTGCATGAGATTCAAGCACCCTCTCTTGGGGTCAGGAACTGTTTCCAGTAACATAAAGAACATACTTTGTCCATGATTATGAAGCTTGTTTACTCTCCAGAATACTTTACAGATATACATCCATGGCAACATGCATATATTGCTAGACAGATAGGTAGATATATAGATACAGAGAATTGATTTTAAAATTAACCTCTGAAAACCATAAGTAATGAATTGTGGAAAGAGTTAATTGCTGCTAATTAATTGGAATCTTGATTTTTTTAAATGTGAGATTCAAATTTATCTAACAGTATTTTATCTGTTCATTTTGTTTCATTGTGCTCTTCATCATACCTTTAACCAATGCCATGTTTCTTAAAAATACTTATGACAGACCAATCATATACTCTGGTCCTGCTTTAAGTAGCATTTTTATAGCAGACATGTTTACCCTTAAAATACTGAAAATTGCATGCCTCATTATATCAGTATTTAAAAAATTTTAAGAATATATTATTTAAATTTTATTACTTATTTGGAGTAAATGAGATAAAATAGCTTGTGGGGCATTATACTAATTGAAAGATTTCTATTAGTCTTCATTACTTAATTTTAGAAAAATAAAGAAATAACTAACATTAAAGGGCTATAAAATTCAAGCAATCAGTGCAGATATTTTTCTGCACTGCTATTTGGAAATTTGATGAAAGGCAATCTCTAACGTCTCTTAATGTCTTTAAGATGTTATGATCTTCAGTTCACCAGGTTTTGCCTTGCAAAATGGCACTTGCAATTTTTTAAATGATGCTTTATTTTTTAAATGACGTAATTTTAAAAAATCGTGCTTCCTGCATGAAAACTTCCCAGATCTTAAGTATTTATTTAATTAAACTTATAAAATGAGAATAATACATGCAAAATGTTAGTTTTCAAGTGCTTGACATGTATTTCTTCATTTAGTGTTAAAAACCAAGTGAAGTATCCAGGGCAATTATTATTCTGAGAAGTTAGCCAACCAGCCTAGGGTAACAATACTTTAAAGGAAGCTCCAGATGTAAAATTGAACTTTTTTTGTAGTTTATTTGTTTGTTTTGTTTTGTTTTCCTAGCTGCTATAGACATGAGGTAGATGCTTGATTTTTTCCAAGGAAGGAAAATAATTTATATTACGGTGAAAATAGAACCCTCCCACCTCCACCCTCCAAATATGAGTCAATGCAACTCCAACAGTGGCTTGGCCTTGAATTAGTATGGCTGCAGGGAGCCAAGGAAAGCAGGTTGAAGACAATAACTTTTCATGTTGAGTTGTTTGAGAACCTTATACATTCTGGATATTAGTTCTTTGGCAGATGCATAGTGTGTAAACATTTTCTCCCATTCTGTAGGTTGTCTCTTTATTGATTATTTATTTTGCTGTCTAGAAGCTTTTTAGTTTAATTAAGTCTCATTTGTTTATTTTTGTTTTTGTTGCATTTGCTTTTGAGGTCTTAATCATAAATTCTTTACGTAGGCCAATGTCCTGAAGAGTTTTACTAGGCTTTCTTCTAGGATTTTTATAGTTTCAGGTCTTAGATATAAGTCTTTTAATTCATCTCGAGTTAATTTTTGTATATAGTGAGAGATAGGGTCTAGAAAAACAAATAACCCCATTAAAAAGTGAGCAAAGAACATGAGCAGACATTTGTCAGAAGAAAATACACAAGTGGCCAACAAACACAAGAAAAACGCAACATCACCAATCATTAGAGAAATGCAAATTAAAACAACAATAAGATACCGTCTCACACACATGGACACAGGGAGGCGAACATCACACACTGGGGCCTACCAGGGAGTGGGGAGAAAGTGGAGGGAGAGCATTAGGACAAATACTTGATGCATGTGGGGCTTAAAACCTAGATGAAGGGTTGATAGGTGCAACAAACCACCATGGCACATGTATACTTATGTAACAAACCTGCACATTCAGCACATGTATCCCAGAACTTAAAGTAAAATAAAAAAGAAAAGAAAAAAGAAAGATACTGTTTCACACCAGTAAGAATGGCTATCACTAAAAAGTCAAAAAACAGATGTTAGTGAGGTTATGGAGAAAAGGGAATGCTTATACACTGCTGGTGGGAATGTAAATTAGTACAACCTCTATGGAAAATAATATAGACATTTCTCAAAGAAATAAAACCAGAATTACGATTGGACCCAGCAATACCTGCCACTAGGTATCTACCCAAAGGAAAAAAAAAATGTTACATCAAAAAGACACCTGCATTTGTATGTTTATTGCAGCACTATTTACATTAGCAAAGACGTGGAATGAACCCAGGTGTTCATCAATGGTGGATTTGATGAAGAAAACGTGGCATATATATATCACGGAATACTGTGCAGTCATAAAAAAAAAGAAATCATATCTTTCAGAGCAACATGGATGGAGCTGAAGGCCATTATCCTGAATGAAATAACCCAGAAACAAAATCAAATGCCACATGTTCTCACTTATAAGTGGGAACTAAACAATGGGTACACATGGACATACAGAGGAAAACAATAGGTAATGGGGACTCCAAAAGAGGGGAGGGTGAGAGGGGCAGTGAGGGTTGAAAAGTTACCTACTGGGCACTATGTTCATTAGTCAGGTGATGCATATACTAGAAGCCCAAACTTCACCACTACGTAATATATTCATGTAGCAAATCTGCATATGTACCCACTGAATCTATGAGAAGTTTTATAAAGTATGCATATTTTAAAAAGACAATAACTTTTTTCACATAAAATATTACATAAATACTCACTACCTACACAGTCTGAATAACTATAGGTATAAACAGCTGAAATTTGTCAGGTATAAATGAAGGAAAGGACAACTGAGCCAAAGGGAATAATGTGTGAGAAGGCACAGAGGCGGGAAAGAATAAAGTGTGCTATGGGAAGAGTAAAGGATGCTCTGTAGCTGAAGCAGAAGGTGGGCAAATTTGGGAAGAAAGGCTGGGATAAGGCTGAAAAGTAAGTAGGCACCGAGGCTTCTGAAAACTCCTGAATGCCATTTAGAGGAGTTTGAATTTCACCTTAAAAAACTTGTTATTCAAATAATATGTCAAAGGAGTTTTAAGCTTTGTCGGAATTATATGATTTTTATTGTTTAGATTCTATTAGTTTCCATTAATTATGTTAGATGAATGCATTTTGTGCATAACTGGTCACATATGGTTGAAAAGGTTTACTTTGACTCCCACTATGGGAAGAGTAAATGGTGATTAGATTACACAGCTCAAACAGCTGAAGAAAAGGGTGAATGCTGTGAGCATTAATTTTTATCCTACATAAGCAGGATGTGTCCTTCATTTAAGTGATGTCTGCAGGTTAGCACCTATGCTTTATGACATGCAAAGAGGCACTGTTTATGGCCAACAAGGAACAAGGATTATTTAGGGTAGCTGGTTGCCCAGAGAGAAATTAGATGAAATGAATAAGGCCAGAGAAGGGCACTAACTTTGCTGAGTGCTAACTTCATTGGCCTAGTCAGTTGCCTTACATATAGCATCTCGTTTAAGCCTCACGAGAACCCTGCAAGGGGGGTTATTTTCTCCATTTCAAAGATGAGGTGAATGGGGTCAAAGAAAAATTTAAGCAAATGGCCACCTAAATGCTTCTGAAATGTCAAAGCAAAATTTCACCTGTTATTTCTATAAGCAAATGCCATCAAGTTATTGAAAACTGAAGTTGAGCATTTAAATTTGATCCTAAAAAAATCATAAAGTTTAAGGAACTTTCCTCCATTTAAGGTGTTATTAATATATTTTAAGAGAAGAATTTGTTTTTGAAAGAAAATAGTTTGCATTTGCTGACCCTGATGATGAAATCTTGCTGCACAGATTTGGGAGGACTTCGTCTTTGGATTCATGCTCCTACTCTCAAATAAAGTGACTACCTTAGGTTGATACATTCCAGGGAGGGAGACCAGTTGGGACAAGGCCTAGGCTGCTCTCCTACAAATTTGCCATGAACAGGAGCCAAACTCTAAGACCTGATTCAAGTGGCCCAGCTGTCACTGGTGACACACTCAGGGGCTGGGCCTATCATGTTCTTATACAACCTAGTGAGTCAAGCTTTGGAAAATAACATTGTCAGGGAAGAACGTAAAAGTTACATTATTTGTGACAGTTCAGTAGATTAATCAACAATTTTAATTTTTATCAGCCATTTTCACCTTTCTATGCCAGAACTTGTTTCATAAAAATGAAAATGTAATAGAAAGTGCATGCCTCTATAATATGTAAAATATCTAGGCAAAATTTTGCAATTACTTTGTGGGCAATTTCTCACTCTTTTTTTTTTTTTTTTTTTGTAGTGCAATAGAAATGCCAAATGGTAACTTGTAGAAGATTTGAGTTAGTTATATTACCTGATACCTTGCAAAACAAAATGCCAAGTCATGAGTAAAATATAGTTAAATTTTATATCCTTAGCTCTTCAAGTTTATAATGTTAACGTACAATCCTAGATGAAACTTCTATATTGGACACTATTTCCCCACCAATAACTTTTGTTTATTTAAATATTTTCCTCTCTCTTACTCTCTCTTTCTCTCTTTCTCTATATGTGTACAGTCATTTCCTACAAATTGCCCAATATATCAACTTTTCAGTAATGGCACTGTGAGAAATGCTGCCAATATGCTAGGAGATAATTTGTAGTTAATCATTGCTCACTCTTTTTTTTTTCTGGCATTATTTATCTCAGTGTATACCTAACAGTTTTCTTTTTCAGGTGAACTCCAGAAATCTCAAAGTCTTGAACACACAGTTTAGAATTATCTGTTTATTGACAGAGAATTTTGAAATGTATAGGCAAACATGCTGGAATAAATCAACTAAGATGCAGATAGTAAATTTGCCGATGAGGTTTTTGAAAAATGTATTTGCAGAAAAATTTAGATAAAGTTTCTGAAAAACTTACTATGGCCTAAAATTACATGACTTAATATAAATTGTCTTGAAATTCCAATTTCTATTAACTTCTTATGGGAAAGTATAATGCAATACAAATCGTAATTTTAAAGGCTGCACATCTAAAGCTATTAAATATTTCACTTTGCAAAGTTTACCTAGCATTTATTTGAAATTATGTGCTATTGTGCGCATTTAAAATTAATCATAAATAGCACTTTTTTTAAAAAAGGTATCCTTCTATGCATAAATAATAACAACATGATGAATTTCTAGATCGTTCTTGGTATAAATGTTATTGTCTTCTCTGTATGATTACTATATCAAATAACATGAAATTTATTTGCCAATCTTCTAACCACTCATACCAGAAAAAGAATATTGTAATGATTGAGTGGATTGGTTTACTCATACAAATAATTATACATTTTATAAGAACTACAAAACATCTCCATTAACCACTGCAGTCTTTCTGATCAAACAGTGACAGATAGGAGCTGAGAGTTTAAGGGCATTTGTTTACTATGTTTGCTTGGATTTTCCGAACTGCCTTAGTTCCTGATTCCACACTGCTATTGTGTGGATCAAATAATCCCTTGTCACAAAAATACCCTGGGGAATGACTCCCCTGGCGTCCAGGTTATGAGTGTGGTCAGTCATTCCACATGCCTTAGGGATGAGCTATCTGTGCCATGACGAGCGATTTCCTTTTCGAGTTTTGTAATCCCCAAATACTAAATACTATTATCAATAAAAGTTAATTAAGGAAATGTATATCGAAATATTGTTCAAGATAGCACTGAAATTAGGTTTATCTTTCCTCATTGTCTTAAAAAATTATTACTGAATTAAAACAGGAGAAATTTTACAATATACTCTTAAAATTGTAAATATCTACTACTGACCTCTTTGATATGAACCATAACCAGACATTTAAAAATATACTTTTGTCATGTAGACACACTAGATATGCCACTTTTATTCTCCTTTGCATGGTTCAATGTATAAGAAAACAACTTAGTAGGGGGAGAAAAAAATTAAAAGCCATTCTGTAAATCTTTCCCTCTTTCTTTTCTTGCAATCTCTCATTGTATCTTGGAGAGCAAGACCACAGGTTTTAAGAAATATGACTCATTTTATGTTAGTGGCCTTCCAATACTTCAGAATATTCTTGATTTTTCATGAACAGAGGTACAGCTCAGGGAGTGTGGCTAAATCAGTCCCAGTCTCCAGCTCCGCGTGAACCTGGGATCCAGACATCTCCTGGATATCTGGCGCTCTCTGAGATCCAGCCCTCGGTTTCCTGCAAGCCAAAAGGATCCGCTAGGTTGGGAAATGCCGCCTGGTGCGATTCCAGAAAGGGCCATCTCTTTAAGGATAACGGACTTGGAGGGCCTCTTCACCCTCTCACCCTGCTCCGGACCCTTTCTTCCCATCCTTTGCTCCTAGGATTTTACATGTTGCCTGCAAAGGGAGTCAAACTTAGGGGGCAGGCAAACAAACGAGTTCTTTCCAGCCTCTGTAACCGGATCGCTAGAGCGAAATAAACTCGCACAAGTGTCCAGAGATCGTAGCCAGACAGCCAGCCTGCGCTTGAAGCAACTTTTAAGTGAGGCTGCAAGAGCCGCCGGGATGTAGATTTTAGTTCGTGGCCAAGCACAACTACGACACCCTGTCCCTGCCCCCACCCCATCCCCAAGAATGCATGGAGGAAGGAGAGAGGACGAGGTGAGGGCCGCCTGCATTTCTGCACGTCGGCGCCGGTTAGAAACCCTGCAGTTTTGAGAGAGAAGAAGAGGAGATGGAGGGGCCAGGAGCCACGACTCCCGGGAGAGCGCAGGGAGGGGCGTGGGTGCCCCTTCGCCCACCTCCGCCCCCGTCACCTCGACAGCTGTCCCGCTCTTGGAATTCATTGGCTTCCTCTACCCGGCCTCCCAAACACCACCCCAATCTAGTTTAGCCCCCCGCCCCACCCTCGCTGACCTAATAAGGCCATGCAGTGTGCGGGGGAGCTACATAAAAGCGCGGGCTCGCGGCGACTCTGCACCACGCAGGGGAAGAGAAAGCAGGAGCCGTCCAGCACGGAGGAAGGCGACCATGGCCAAGGAGTGGGGCTACGCCAGTCACAACGGTGAGTGCAGGCAGCCGCGACCCGGCCAGGAAGGGATGCCAGTCCAGGAGAGCCCTGCCATTGCACAGAAATGGGCAACTTTAGAGACTGCAGTGGAAAATGTAGGAGTAGAATAAGACCTAACATTTACTGAGGCTTTTCAACTGCCAAATGCTGCTGCTTCTTTTTTTCCTTCATCTCATTTGGTTCTCCCTAGTATGGAGTTTTTATTTCCCTTGGAGAAAACTGAAGTGCAGAGAAGTTGGATCACTTGCCTAAGATCCCATTGCCTCTGAGAAGTCAGACAGCCCGAGGTCAGGTGTGACTGGCCCTTATTCTGTTTTACTGGACAAGCACCTAACCTGAGCTTGGTGCCGGTGTGAGAATCTCTGCTCTGCCTAAGCTTCTCCCTAATCCAAGGCAAAGGAACATGGGTGTGCTCTGAAACCCACAACACAATGCTCAAATGTAGGTGGTCAATATTATTTTATTCCAACTCTATGATGGAAGGTGTCATTGGTTAAAAAAAAATGTGATAAAGTTTATCTGAAAAATAAGCCTTTGAGCAGGCAGAGTGAACACACTGAGTTAAATAGTCTCCATGTGTGCTATTCACAAAACTACCAACAGGCCTGAAATGAATGCTAAGTCTCTTATTGCCCAGTCTGAAACCTAAGACCTTTTTGAAATCACTGTCTAGCCTCTCTGTATTTTGCTGGTTTAGTCAATTAGAAAGAGGCCTTGGGTTGTGCCACCAAATAAATACATCTCCTCGACTTTATTTCCTAGGTCCTGACCACTGGCATGAACTTTTCCCAAATGCCAAGGGGGAAAACCAGTCGCCCGTTGAGCTGCATACTAAAGACATCAGGCATGACCCTTCTCTGCAGCCATGGTCTGTGTCTTATGATGGTGGCTCTGCCAAGACCATCCTGAATAATGGGAAGACCTGCCGAGTTGTATTTGATGATACTTATGATAGGTCAAGTAAGTATGACAATGAGGTAGAATCACATGGATGTTTTCAAGGTCCATATTGACAAAATGTGGTTTATGACACAGTACCAGAATTAATGGGGAGAGGGAGCACTTTATCTTTTAAAATGCAGATGACATTTGACTTTGCTTTAGTCATGAATAATTATATTTATGTATTGAAGAGGAATGTCACACCCTCCAAACTTGGTCTCTGTGAAAACGGCCCCATGTCCAAGCTAAAAGTTGGCAATGCATTCCTGAAATGGAACACGATAGGACAGAGATGACAATAAACTCAAATGAGTATTCTTCAGACTCCGATGGCCTATACCTGAGGGTTCTTGTGCTTCTTGTCCATGGTCTGGAGAGCCAGGCTTCCACTCTCAATTGCATAGATTCCATTCTACAAAGCCAGATATACAATAGAAACCCTAAATAGGCACTTTCTTCCCTTGGTGCCTGGGAGGTGACCAATCTAGGGGAGAGAACAGGGCCACTGAAGGTGTCAAGATGACTTGCCTTCAAGCCTTCAGTGGGGTTCATCTGATTAATCATTTGGGTGAGTATTTTTGAAATATCTGACAATTTCTTCTTGAGTAGTAGTTTGTGTGTGAGACAGCGACTGAAAAATACATGTTTAGAAAAAACAAATCTCTTTATTTCACCTACACTAGTAAGCAAATCAGTATAATAAAAGAAGACTAGTCAGAAATACTTTATTTCACGATAAATGAGGTAAGAAAGAATCTTCCTTTAATATTTTGGTGCTTGATATACAGCAAAATAATTCCTTATAGCCCCATCTCTAATAAAGTTATATTTATTGATATACATAAATGAACATTCTTAATGATTTTGTAATGAAGAATGATATTCATAATTCCTACCTACCAGGAGGTTCCAAGTTACAGAAATTTAAATTTTCTTAAACAGTGGTTTCGTATTGCTATTGTTTCCTTTTTTCCCCTTCTCCTTATATATCAAGTACCATTTTGAAAGCAACATAACAAAATTAAACATATCTATTAGGTTGAACCATATGAAAATGCCATTTTTGTGTGCAAAAATAGTTGAATATTGTCAATTTCATATAGTTTCTTCTAATAAATTGGACTCACATGTCCCTATAATAACTGTTCTGAGTGGTTGGACAGGAAAAATGCAATGAATTGAACCACTCCATTTCTACCTGAACAAACTCATATAGGCCTAGCCTCATTGTTTGAGGTCTATATTTATGGCTTTCCCTGGGCCACTTAGTGTGGGCAACCTCTTCTAAAATAGCTATGCTCTGAATTCTATTTTGATCTAGCTTATATTGCCAAATCTTGATCTTAGGGTTTCTGCATAGTTTCCAATATACTTTGGAAGACATTTGAACCTCTAAATCACTCTGCAATGGGTTGAGATGTTTATCAACAAGCCCAAATTAATGCTGCTGAGAATTATCTAGTTTAATCATCCACATTGATTGGTTTTCTGGGAAATTTCTGAATTTTCCATTTCATCTCATTTGAATAGACACAGTCTAAATTAGACGTAGATGAAAGTTTTTGCTCGTTGTCTTGAAGAAAAGTGTAGTTGGAAGCAACACGTGGAGAAGGAATTCACATCTGCTCAGTGATCATCATGCAGGCACTATGATGAGCACTTTAAGGTGCTTAATCTCAGTTAATCTTCACAGCAGCTCTGAAAGTTTGGTATTATTATCACCTTCTTAGAGATGTGAAAGTGGGTTCAGAGAAGTTTAGCAACTTGCCTGAGACCACAGAACTAGCAAGGGGTGAAGCCAGCATTGGAAACCTACCTCCACCTGGTTCTCAACTGTCCAGTTCTTCCCACTGCACCACACTACTGACTTGTTCTTTGGGTGTATGCATCCTCATTGTCTATCTGTTGTTTTAATTTTGCTTTCCTAAATGTTAAAATGATGTTTCAATAATAATGAAACAAGCAAACAAAATAAGAAAGACAGAAAAGAACAATCATTTATCTTGACATATCCCCAGACTTCATTTTGTGAGGAGTCCAGTGTCCTGGGAGTGGCACCATCCACCCAGCAAACTGACCACATTTTGTCCATTAAGCCTTGGCTCTAAGAGCACTTGGTTAAAGTAGAGCTCTGTAAAAGAAGCATGAATTCACTGTTGACCAAGCTTATCTGAATCACAGTGCTGAGAGGGGGTCCTCTCCCTGGACCCTACCGACTTCGCCAGTTTCATCTTCACTGGGGCTCTTCGGATGATCATGGCTCTGAGCACACCGTGGATGGAGTCAAGTATGCAGCGGAGGTAAGAGGAACTGCCATAATCCATTCTCGGTCTCATACAGTGAAAACTGCAAAATTAAAAATAAGAACCACAGCAACAAAGCATCATCCACTGCTTTTGTTTCAAGTCTATAGTTATGAAAAGAGCTGTACTAGTTTTAGCTGAACTGAAGCTGCTGAACATTCTAGGCTAGACAGGTAAAAGGGTATAGGTGAGTTGGCATCAAACATGAAGATTTCCAAGGTTATGTTAAGAAACTGGGGCGAGTGCAGTGGCTCACACCTGTAATCTCAACACTTTGGGAGGCTGAGGCAGGTGGATTGCTTGAGCCCAGGAGTTCGAGACCAGCCTGGGCAATATGGTGAAACCCTGTCTCTACAAAAAATACAAAAATTAGCCTGGCATGGTGGCATGCACCTGTGGTCCCAGCTACTCAGGAGGCTGAGGTGGGAGGATCACTTGAGCCTGGGAGGTCGAGGCTGCAGTGAGCTGTGATTGCGCCACTTCACTCCAGCCTGAGCAACAGAGTAAGACCCTGTCTCGAAAAAAGAAAAACCCTAAAAGTTAGAAATTGGATAGCTACTTAATAAGAAAGCCCAGGGTCCTCAATGGAACTGGAAAAAGGATAGCTAATACTTATTAAATGCTTACATGTATTAACTCATTAGATCCTCTTAGCTACCTTATGAGACAGGTTACAGATGAGGAAACAGAAGGCATAGAAAAGACACATAATAAAGTCACACGGCTGGTGAGTGCTAGTGCTCTACCTGATACAGACTGGCTTCAGAATTCATCATCTTATCCAGTGCCCTATACTGCCTATTTTATAAGAATATAGTGCTCTAAAAATAGCATTTAGAAATTCTGAATAATGCTTATGTTCCAATCTCTTAATGAACCGTGTGCATATATATGTGTGTGTGTATATCTATATATACACATGCATACATATTTACACACACGTAGAGATATGTGTACACACATACCATTTAATCTGAGCACATACTACTCTCTGTCTCAGTTAACTCATTAAAGAAAAACATGAATTTTAACTCAGATCAACGCATCAAATTACAAGGGTTTAAGACAGGCCTCTGACATGTTCTCTTTATAAAGCCAAACCAATAAGTGGTGGCAATTGCCTTGGAGGTGAGGACCAATTCATTTTTCCTGCTTTATTCTTTTCCAAAGATAGGCTCTGGTTAACATAGGGGCTGTGACAGAAGCTCAGAAACACACTATGAACATGTTCTTAAGCAGAATCATTAGGCATCTTAGTTCTTGGTTAAATTAAATTCTGTGAAACCCAAAGTACTTCACTGTGATCTTTCTGTTTCTTTACAGCCAATCTAGAGAGCCATGGCAAGATAAATTAAGTATTGAGAATGCCTTCTAGACATCTTCCCCAACCAAATGGGGAAAGTTGAGTATATTTCTTACAGATGCAGGCAAGGCTTTCAGTTTGACCTTTGCACATGGGATTATTTCATACTTTTGGTCTTGAATAAAACATTTTTTAACTGCTGCAAATGATTGTATCCTCTTGCCATTCTCTGTAACTCAGCATAGAAAGTTTGATTAACCTAACTGGTGCTCATGTTCTAAATTAAGGTCAGGTTGCCACCAGGTTTCAGAGCTCTGGTTGATAAAAGGAGATAAATAAATAATTTTATATGCTTTTTATTTGAGCCACTAGAAATGTTACCAAAATGTTACATGCTACTCTTTCAAATTTTCTCAGCTTTTATGAGAGTGCTCAGCAACCTTAGCCTGTACAATGATTGGGTTTATTGTGGATAATGTTGTACTTATTTCCATATTCCAGGAATTTACCTTCTAATCTGTCTTCTATGGTTTCAGCTTCATTTGGTTCACTGGAACCCGAAGTATAACACTTTTAAAGAAGCCCTGAAGCAGCGCGATGGGATCGCTGTGATTGGCATTTTTCTGAAGGTAAAGTAAAAATTGACTATATATTTTCTTCCAAAATGTATTTCCCTGCCAATGGTTAGCATAGTTTGAGTTTCATTTCCTCATTTTTACCTTCCTCCTTTCATATGCATTTTATTATTCATTCAACTAATCAAGATATTTCTGCAAAGATCAGCTCAAAATGTCTTACTTTTCTCTAAAAGTGTATCTTTTACCACACTCCAGGACCCCTAGCACTTCTAAATTTTCCCCAGATGTGGGAGGTGTGTGTGTGTGTGTAGGTGTTGGGGACAGAGCCTTAGAGTGAGCTTATTACGGTGGTGGTAAGGGCAAAGGTGGCATATATTTATTTTCCTTTCTCACTGCTCAACTTCAATTGCACTGGAAACCAGAAAAGTCAGTGTTGGGAACCATATGATTCCAAGTCCCTGGCTGGACATCCCCTCGGCTTGAGGTGGTCACCACTCACGTGATCCCAGGCTAAGATAGCACATGGAATGTGTGTGTTGTTGAGCCAACCTTGCTTTAAAGAGGACTTAGTGTCATTAACACATGAAGTTAGTGGTAACATAATCTAGATTTCAAGCCAGAGGTGAAAATCTGGCTTCTTTCTCTTTGAATGACCTAATTTGTTTTAGGTTCTTAATTCATTGGGTCATTTTTGGTACCTGAGCACAGAACAGCAGGAGGTGGAGTAGGTCTGAGAAGAAAGACAATGAGTTTAGTTTGGGATACATAGGGTCCATTTTGGTTCTAAATCTGGTTTTTAGAAAAGTGGAATGACTTTGCAGAGAAGGTCAAAGACACAGAACTAGATGAACGTGTAATTTTGTGGTCCTGTACTTCAGAAGCCTGGAGTCCAAATTTAGATCAGAAAATATATACTCTAAAATCTTGAGGAAAAATAAACTTATGTTTTTGCTTAGTACGAGATATTCTGGCAGATTTATAAACACTAGTTGCAGATGGATGGATCAAAATCAGCTTTGAAGACAATCCTAAACTATGGAGAAGTAAAAGAACTATACTTGGATTTCTGTTTTCTTACAGATAGGACATGAGAATGGCGAGTTCCAGATTTTCCTTGATGCATTGGACAAGATTAAGACAAAGGTAAACAAAAATCATTTTCCCTCCTAAAACATAAAGCAGATTATGCAGATTTTCTTTACATATTTTCAAGTATTTTTTTCACCTAAAATCTGTTACTAAGTTTGATGGATATGCTAAGCATACATATAAAAATAAATGCTATTATATTTGTATGGCATACAGTTTTTAGAGCAATTTCACATATATCAGTTTTTTTAATGGTCATAGTCATCCTGTCAGATAATCACTTTCTCAATGGAGTAAGTGAGAGTCAGAGAAGTTGAGTGGTCACCGCATCCTCGCCCAACACACACACACACACACACACACACACACACACACACACACTGCATATATGCATGCATACCATCACGGAGCTACTAAATGTCAGCCAGTGCTGGTCTTTTGAGTCTTGGTGATGAGCTTTCTGGGAAGCACTTAAAAATTTAAAATCTTCACAATAGACTCATGTAAGTAACAGAAACATTTTAATTATTTTTTTTCTGACCGTTCTAATCAAATATTATTGAGTTTCATTAACAGAGAAAGTAAGCATTCCAAGTAGATCATTCAATAAAAATACAAGCCTGATATTTTTTGGTATCATCAAGAACAAAACATTAACTTATATTAAATAATTCAATTACACTTGAGATATCAGTTTCTCCTTTTTCTTGAGTGATAGAATTATCACAGATAGTTCTACTCACAGCTAAAACACTAAGGAACACAGTATGACAGTGATTGTGTCAGATCAAGTAATAATGTGCAAACCAGCTTCCCTGCTTTGATCTTTATTTCTGAAAGGCTTATACTTTGTTTAGAAGTTCTATTTTCTCTATTGCATTTGAAATTCATTCTTACAAATAAAGTGGTGAGGGCATTGGGGTGGGTGGGCATGTGCATGCATGCACTCACTGCACCTGCAACCTGCTCTTACCCAGGGCAAGGAGGCGCCCTTCACAAAGTTTGACCCATCCTGCCTGTTCCCGGCATGCCGGGACTACTGGACCTACCAGGGCTCATTCACCACGCCGCCCTGCGAGGAATGCATTGTGTGGCTGCTGCTGAAGGAGCCCATGACCGTGAGCTCTGACCAGGTGAGCAGCCTTGTGAACACGTGGGCTTATGTTGCTGTCTGCCTATGTAAGATACAGATGCTAAATCAAAAATACATAGCTACTAACTGGATACTCACTGAACAGCTCTATGGCCAGTAATTTCATGGTCTGCCCTGGTTAATTACAACCAGCCTGTTCAGCTTTCTAAAACTTGGCCCCCAAAGGGTACCAGGATAAATGCAACTCATTTAAAAGTAGTTTTGATACCGAACATGACTGAGTTTATGCTCTATAAACACTTTAAAGGGTTTAGATTAATATGAGTCTTTGTTAATTTGGACGTTGCCAAATACTGAGCACTGGTAAGGAGATGGGATGATAAATACAGACCTGGAGAAGAGAAAGGTGCTAATGGAAAGGATTTAACAATTTTGTATGCTATATATTATTTCTGCAGTTTTACAGATACATAATTCAAGGCTCAAAAGTTCAGTAATTTGTCCATGATCACACAGCCAAGTGCAGGATTCTAATCCCACCTCCAAACTGTTTCCAGTACTTTTTGGCATCTCTTCTCAAGGTTCCCTTCTTACTGTTTGATCTAAAGAGTGTCCTGGTAACATTCATTAAAGACACTATCAAGGAAAAGCTGTGTAGGAGAAAATAAGTGGGCAAGAACATGGAGAAAAACAGATTGAAGCAAGTAAACAACACAGGGACTCACAACCTAGAGCATGCATGTACTCTAATAGTAAAATCAGTTTCCCAGTGTGTGTCTCTTGCATAAGGCAACAGCTTTCATATTTATGTCAGTTGTAAACTCAAGTTTATAAAGACATTTTTATTAAAAGATCAGATATAACAACCTTGTTCAGTGATATAACTATTTTGAAAGAATGAAATTTTTTCAAGGAGAAATCTAAAAATATTTTAATATAGAATCATAGTGTTATTAATGAGAATTTCTTATTTTCTTATCCTTTAAGAAAGAAAAGTCAATTTAAAATTGAAAATGTAGCATGAGTTTGATTTCTTTTTGCTCTTAAAATAATTGACTCCATAAACTTATATAATAAAGGTCTACTACATTTTATTTACACTGATATATGGATGTGGTCATCCTCTCCAACAAAGTATGTAGTTCATACTGACCCCTCAAATAAAAAGTAAATGTTTCAGATTCAACAGGAAAAGGTTGTGACCAGAGGGCACAGTGATCCTGTATAGAATGAAGAAAAGGGCTTTACAAATAAAGAAAAAATGTGTGTCACTCTAGAGCTGCTAGCTAAATAGCTCTGGACTGGACACTGGGGACAGGTTGTGTGGTTTGCTTGTCATGTTTAAAACACCAGTATTGGCCAGGCACGATGGCTTAACGCCTGTAATCCCAGTACTTTGGGGGTCCAAGGCGGGTGGATGACCTGAGGTCAGGAGTTCGAGACCAGCCTGGCCAACATGGTGAAACCCCATCTCTACTAAAAATACAGAAAATTAGCCGGGCAAGGTGGTGAACACCTGTAATCCCAGCTATTCGGGAGGCTGAGGCAGGAGAATCGCTTGAGTTCTGTGAGGTGGAGGTTGCAGTGAGCCAAGATCACACCACTGCACTCCAGCCTGGCTACAGAGCGAGACTCTGTCTCAAAAACAAACAAACAAACAAACAAACAAAAAAACCAACAACAAAAAAAACCCCAGCAGTATTTATACCTCTTTGTCACGTAGTGTGTCCAGTTGATCCGAATGTCTTGTTAACAGTCTGCCCCTGCCCTTTGCAGATGGCCAAGCTGCGGAGCCTCCTCTCCAGTGCTGAGAACGAGCCCCCAGTGCCTCTTGTGAGCAACTGGCGACCTCCACAGCCTATCAATAACAGGGTGGTGAGAGCTTCCTTCAAATGAGGCTGCTGGATCTTGCCCTCTTCAGGAAAGGAAACCTACCATTGGAGAGCTTGGTTCCTTGCCTCCTTCTGGTGCTCCTTACTCCAAGTCTATTTCATTTTTCCACACTGAGCAATGAATGTGAGAGATGTGGTCACCAAGATCTAAGTTACTTGTTGAAAGAAAGTTACTTTCGACAAGATCTAATATGAAAGCATAGATTTCACATTTGATCTCTGTAATAATCATCTTTCCTATAAAAGTAGCATTTTTGGTAAAGTTTCAAAGAAGAAGAAACAGAGATGGAAGAGTAAAGATATTTTTAAAATGGCTAGCTATTGGGCACCAGTTTTTCTGTTATCTAAAATTTCACACAACTTCATTGTTTTTATTTTTATATTATGAGTTGTCCATCTTAAAGAAATATGAGTAATTCTACATGTAGTAGAGGTGTATGAAGATCATATAACAATTAAACATAAGCCAGAAATTAAAATGACTATAGACAGCAAGAATTGAGCTAATAATATGTTTTAACTCTTAACACCAGCAAGAAGTCAGTCATTTATTGAAGTTTTAGCTACTAAGATTACTTGGTTTTGATTACCAGTGAAAAGAAAACACAATACAATCAGGAGTTTTCAAATTTTTGATTCAGTATTTGAATTTCTTCTTCATAAATGTAGTTGAATTTATCCTAGTATTTTTCTTTACCTGAAGGAGGGCCATTTATTTTTAATTTCACTACATTTTTCTTTGCATGATTATTAAAATAAAAACTGCCTCTGTTGTGTTTCTCACTGGAGGCTGGAATGAATGATCACTAGAACACAAAAGAGTGAATGATGACACTTGAAGTCAAAGCAGTTGTACTGATCACCAGAACCAATAAAGACATAAATGGAAAACGTTGAGTGTTGTGTTTTTTAAATGGAAAGGCATCATAAATGACAAAAATGGAGTTTAACTAAGAGCAACAAACTTTGTAAGTTTGTTTTTATAGCTGAAGGATGGCACTAAGGGCTGAAATTCTGAGTTTGGATGCTACATTCCTCAAGGAGGGCCAGAAAAAAAATTAAAAAGCAATTAGTGAAGGCCTTCTGAGGAAACTGCAGACCAGAAGAGGAATGTATGGCCATATATCTGATAGTGGGAAATACTTTCCAGAGGCCTCAAAATTGGTTTAGGATTCTGGGGTTCAGACTAGTGCAATGGGTTTTAGGGGCGTGAAATCAAGTCAGACTGTAGCTTTTACATCCATATTTTTAAAAATTGTGCCTTTAGGATGATGCTGGCCTAACACTGCAAAAATCCATATATTTAGACCTTTAAGCCATTTAATATAATATCTTTAGACATAAAGTCTAATTTTGCAGTTAGTGGCTTTGATACGTCTTTCATCACTCACTGGCCAATATGTTAACTTACTTTAGAAAGTGACAGGAATAAGCTCATTACCCTAAGGAATGAAATAATATTGGGTCAGGAGAGTCCTGAGATGCCAGAAGTCAAATCACGTGACAGAGTCCTATGAGGCCAAAGTTATTTAATAGATTACCACCCAGGTGAAGTCAAGCCAGGTTGGTCAGTGTGAACTGGAAGTGTTAATTAAATCCCTCGAAATTAGGAGGTGTGGAGCTTTGATCATTAGTGAAAATACACAAGCTGATTCTCTCAAGGTACTTACTTAGTAATGCTTATGCACTGTAAAAGATGTATCCAGTATTGACTCTATGTGGGGGAGGAACATATGACTTAATGTCAGCTACAAATGGTCCTTATTCCAGTATACAAGCTGAACAAGGTTAGAACTGTTTTGAGGGAAAATGCCCCATCAAAAGAGGCTATCTTCGTAGACCATATGCTCTATGAGGGCACAAATATGCGTCTTGCATGCTGACATTCACCTTGTTGTCTGATACTGTGTCCAGCACATAATAATTAATTAATATTTGTTGAATAAGTGATGTCATGAATGTAGATGAATCCAGGTAAAATACTTACCTTCTTGAACAACACGTCACATGGTTAATAGGAATATTGTTTTTGTTTATCTTAGTTTAAATCTCCTTGGAAAATGATCTCACTAGCTTCAGGTGGGAGCTTTCTAGTAGAACATACTTCTCCCCCTCCCTCCAGTCTGAGTCATTGTCAATGCTCACAATTATCGCCCATCTTAAAATTTCCTCACAGCTTCTCAAAGTGCTGAACTCAGAGTTCTGTGATATGTGATATTATAGATGTCCATTAGAATATTAAAGACATACTGTGTCCTTATTCAGCAGGGGGATCATTTTCCTGATCATAAACAGGCCCTCAAACAATTGCATTTCAGATACACACAGCCTTACAAAGGGGCATGGCCAAGAACTGCTGTGATAAAAAGATTTCAGCATCTGCCAACTTTTGTTCTTCAGGGTATAATCATTGTAGGTATTTTAAAATTTCAAAATAGGGCAGAAACTAATTTGAATTTGTGTTTCATAATATTCCAATGATCATATCATTAAAAACCTATGGATAGAGCAGAATTAACAAGAATTTATCTAACATAGGGTATTGTTGAAAGTATGCAAATATATATTTACATACATATACATATATATTTACATATATTTACATATATTTACATATATATATTTACATATATATATAAAACTTTTTTTTTTGAGATGGAGTCTCACTCTATTGCCCAGGTTGGAGTGCAGTGGTGTGATCTTGGCTCACTGCCACTTCCGCCTCCTGGGTTCAAGCGATTCTTGTTCCTCAGCCTCCCAAGTAGCTGGGATTACAGGCATGCACCACAATGACATGCTAATTTTTGTATTTTTAGTACAGATGGGGTTTCACCATGTTGTCCAAGCTGGCCTCAAACTCCTGACCTCAGGTGATCTGCTTACCTCGGCCTCCCAAAGTGCTAGGATTACAGGCACGAGCCACCGCGCCCGGCCAAGACTAAGGGTGCAAATATATTGTTAATGTAATACCTGCCTTTTAAATGAGCAGACAGGATATATTTATGAAAAGGCAAATAATTTCAGGAATATTGATCCAAAATTCTTTAAACTGTACAGTCAGTGAGTATTTATGTAGATGAGTGAGAAGTATTCTACATAGAACATGCAAAACTGGAGCTCTCAGTGTTTAACCATAATCATTTATGTAATTAAATATAGTTGAAATTGATCAGCTATTAACAAGCTTGGATACATGTGGAAAAATTAATATGACAGTTATTAAGATGAGAATTGGCACAAATAAAATTGGCCTAAGAGAAATACATATGGTCTAAACCCACATCAAAGACCACACATAAAGAAAATTAATTAGACTCTAGGTTCTTTTCTAATGCCTTCTTATCTGATATTAAAGACGATCTCCAGTTATGAGCAAAATATATTATTTTAGCAGAAGAAGAAGAAGTGAGAAGAGGTAAGAAAAATGAATGATAACTGTGAATGTCAGATTTTTAAAATTTCATATTTGAGGTATAGAAATTTAATGATTTTTTTAAAACCTACCCCTAAAGTAGTTCTTAAAGTCTTAAAATACAAATGAAAAGCAAAATCATGTTTGAATGTTATTTTCACTTAGGTCATTAGATGGCAGCAAAACATTTAAAAATTTCATGTGAGTCACTAGATGGCAGCAAAATAATTACAAAAATGACTATGACATTAAAAGCCATGCTGTTCTTTATTCACACTAATTGCAGAGCAATAAGGTTTAAAAATTGTTTTTGACAGCCTATTTCTGTTTTTCAAATGTTTACTATTAGCCATTAATATCTATGCAAAAGAAAAGAGAGTGAAGGATTCTTACATATTTTTGAGTCTTTATAGCTAAAAATAAGGCCTGAGGGATAAAAGAATAGTAGGAATTGAACTGAAACTTAAATAATGGGAAATTAACATTTTAAAGCCCTCTTCAGTTTTCAGGAGGACTAGATTGAAGTCACACAACACTTGCTGAATGTGTGGCATCAGGCAAGTTAATTTCTCTATGCCTCAGTTTCCTCATCTGTAAACAGGAATGAGAGTAATACCTGCCTCCAGGGAGATTTTAAGAATTACTGGTAAACCACTTAGAATAGTCCTTCTGACATAACTCGCAATAAGAGTTAACGATGATCTTTTATTAATTAATTTTACATCAACCAAGAAAAAATCGGATGCCTTATTCAATACCTAAAATCATGTTTCTTTCTTTAGGTATCCATTAGTAATATCGTGAATCCACACCTCATCAACAGGTAATATTAAAAGAGTTTCTATAACAGGCTCACCTCTGCTTGTTATTGGGGAAAATGGTATTTTAAATAACAATAACTTTTGTCCCATATATATAGGAGGCAAAACAAGATGTGGTCACATTGGAAACCAGCACATCACTAGAAGCAGCGATTCAGAGGAGGACCAAATAACTTTTCCTGAGGAAGCTTCTGCTCCAGGAGTTCTGCCCCTTTCCTGAGAAGCATATAGAGTTAGCAAAACATCCAGAAAATAAACCAAAGAGGAGAGTTGGAAGAACCATAGCATTCATTTAGTTCAATATTGATTTTCAAATGTTGGCAAGATAGAATCCCTTGGAGTGCAGCGCGAAGTGGAAAAATCTATCTTAATAGTAAATACAGAAAGTCTCCTGCCATGAAATTAATTTTGGACTTGTCTGAGCATGCCATAAAGTCAGAATCCTAAATGAGATGCACAAGTCACACCTGAGGGAAGAGCTTGTACTTTGGGGTGATTCGACTACAAAAAAGGAGATAAAACAGTCTAGGCATAAAATGCAGCATAAAGGAATTAAGTAGAGAGTTAAAGAACTACTTTAGATGTAAAGGTGTTTAGTAGGCGCTGCCACTTGACAACTTGACCGCGTAAGTAATCACAGGTAATCAGCAGGAGTTAAGAGCAAATCTAATGGTGTAATCACAGGGGACCATGTGCGCTGCAGCAGCATAAAACCCAGTGATTTAAAAGCTAATTTTAGCCAGGTTAGAATTGACTCTGCTCAGTAAACAGGAATCAGATCCTCCCTTGTATTTAAATCTTTCTCAGGTAGAGGAGACTGGAATTCCAGGGAAATATTTTGGCCATTAAGTGTACATATTCTCTGTTCCAACATGTCCATACATTTCTATAATATGTACTCAGCTCATTTGAAATTTGGATGGTTCCAGACGCATTTGTTCAGGGTAATTCTTACCCTAAAAGGAACCTGGCTCCCATGGAACTATAATACAAATGGAAGTGTTTGAAAATACTGCGCTCACAGAATTTACACTTCTGCTCTTGTGAGATCAGTTTACAGCAAGATCTAAGGCATCACAAGGGGCACTTGGATGGATCAGGACCCCAAAGAAGGGGGCCTATTAAGGGTAGGAAAATTGTACAAGCCAAGCACAGCAGATGTAAGGGCAAGGCCAAGTGCTGGGAAGAACTAAGAACTGAGAAGGCTGCTCATCAGTGAATATATAGGAGCTCAGATTCTCACACTGGGAACTTTAGGAGTAACAACAACACTTTTAAATTATGTTTGTAATATAAAAGTTGGGGTGTGTGTGTGTGTGATAAGTAGTGGTGACAGGGAGGTTTTATGAAGGTAAAGACTTTATTGGTTTCATTACACTATTGAAGCCCCAGCACTTAACACAGTATCTGGAACCTAGAATGGAGCTCAAAGATATTTGTTGCATGGTTGAAGGAATGAATAGATGGATGGATAAATTGATAGAGGGATGGATGGATGAACAGACAGATGGTGCAATGAAATTCCTAAAATACTGAATGCCAGTCTAGGTCCATGAGCTACTGGGAGCTGTGGCCTCATCTTAGGAAGGCCAGAGACTGGCTTCTCAAAGAGTTCTTGCAGAAATATACAGATGTCTGTTGCTGCAACGCAGGCTTCTCTATAAAAAGAGTGTGCATGGAAGAAGAGAAGCAGCTTTACTTATATCCAAAGCTTATCATTTGCAAATTTTAATTTTAATAACTAATTTCACTTAGTATAAAAGAGACATGTTTTAGGAGATATAACAGCAGAGTCTCTCCCCACATATTTATCTCTTTTAGCACTCATGCTTCTAAAGTGCAAGTTGAAGAGGTAGATTAGCAATGAGTCTGTGGCATTAGACTCTGATGACACTAATTGGCATGATTCATGCTGGTACTTGAACTTACCCACTCTCTCTTTTCTCTAAGTTTGCCTTAATTTTCTCATTAGCGACTTTAGTTCTCCATTTCATTCAGTTTTGTGTAGAGATGCTTATGGCAAGTTCACGTACATAATAAAGATACCTCTTCCTAACACAAATCTTTGTTTCACAGTCATGATTAGCAAAGTATGATAACTTTTGAAAATCCAAAAAGCATTTCCAACTGACATATTCCACTCCACACCAGCCAAATAGATGGTAAATTCAGGTAAATTTCCTCCACAAACAATATAGGCATATACACCCCATGTATGTTCAGGTACTGATAATTACTACCTTGAACTTTATAGGATAGCTGAGAATTTTTTTAAAAAAAGCTTTACCTCAGACAGTAAATTATTAGAAGTCATGGTCAATTATGATGGTGGTGGGTTGGGGAGTGGCAGGGTGGAACAGTAAGTACTTTGTGGCTTAACTTGTAACTTGTTATGTAAATTTCAGAGAGCCTATTATAAATATTTCTTAATTAAAAGAGTATTTTAATGACGCCTTATCTGAGAAGGTCTAATTCATTCCTTTTAATTTGTTTTCTATAACAAAGGGCCTGTTGTCAAGATTGTGAAGTGTACTAAGTCTCTTATTCTTGGGAGCTTAATTGATATGAAACATTGATTAGGCCCCAAGAGGAGTGGAGAGTTGCAGAGGAATTATGAAATAACCACAAGGCATAAAAAAGAAAGTTTATAGCTTCAGGGTAATGCTTTCAGCTGGGCAAAAGTATTCACTATTTGGTATACAATTTTAAAAGTATACACAGATGACTAAAGAAAGGCTTTTTTTTTTTTTTTTTTTTGGAGACACAGTATCACTCTGCTGTCACCCAGGCTGGAGTGCAATCAATGGCGGGGTTTTGGCTGGGATTACAGACATGTGCCACCACGCCTGGCTAATTTTTGTATTTTTAGTAGAGATGGGGTTTCAGCAGGTTGGCCAGGCTGGTCTCAAACTTCTGACCTCAAGTAATCTGCGCACCTTGGCCTCCCAGAGTGCTGGGATTACAGGTGTGAGCCACCATGCCCGGCCATAAGAAAGGCTCTTTTTGAAAAGGTTTCATGCTTTTCAAAAGAGTTTATGTGTCAAACGCGGAAGAGATAAAAGCAGGTTAAGGAACTACCTAGAAGCATCAAGGAGAAGAAAAAAATTGAAAGATAAAGTCGACTTCCAAACATTGCTCAAGAGAAATGATACTAGACATGGCTGTGAATACTGAAGGAAAGGGCTTATCGGGCACAAGCACAGTGCCCAACACACTGGGCATGAAATACATGTCGAACAGTGATATCAGTGCCATAGGAAAGAAGGAACAGATAGCAGGACTGAGGGTACAGGCGACCTGCAAAACACGGCTCTGGGTCACCTGGGTCTTTGGGTCAGCAATGGACTCCAGACGCTTTTTGAATGATGTAAGGCCCCTGGGACACAGTTCTTCCACATGTTCCTACAACACTGCATTTTTAAAAAATAAAGTATATATTCACAGTATTTTATTATTTTATATTTTATAAAATATAAACAAAGTAGAAAACTTTAGAGGCTAAAAAGTTAACTATAAGTAGAATTTCTCATATTTTCTTCCTGTCATGGAGCAGTCATCATGTGCACCCCTGAAGTGTGTGCAGGGTCATGTGGGGGGCAGCTGGTGCAGAGTTGAATGCTAACAAAACAGGCTACAGAGTCTCCTGCCAACTGGTCCGCTTTGTTCTGTCCTGTGGTTTCTCACCAGCCATGCTGGCTTACTATCTTATTCACTGACTCACTGAGTGGGGATTAACTGAGAGTGGAAGTAGAAGGAGATAATTCTATAACAAATCTTTTAAAAAAAGAGCCATTAAGACTGCTGTGAATTGTTTCATGGTTGAAGGAATGGAGGGATGGATGGATGGACAGATGATGCAATGAAACTCCTAAAATACTGAATGCCAGTCTAGGTTCATGAGCTACTGGGAGCTGTGGCCTCATCCTAGGAAGGTCAGAGACTGGCATGTCAATGAGTTCTTGGAGGAACAGCACACATTTTTGACTCATCCAGTTTTGATCTTGGGTTGGGTGGCTTTTTGAATTTGGTTGTAACTCTTTTGGCTTGGTCAAAGACAGCAAAAGATTTAAAAAAAAAGAAAGAAAAAAGCAATCACAATACATTGGTCAAGGGAAATATATTGTACTATTCCTTCTGTTTATTAAAATATTTAAATGACATTTATTCATTCAAGTGTGTATTATTTTCTAGCCATTGTACTCAGATGGAAGAGAGAGAGAAAGAGAGATAGAGACACTAATAGAAGCACAGAGCTAACGGCGTGGAATAATCTTTAAAAGTTTGTGTGAAATGGTAAAAACACATACAATCTAACGAGAAGCAAAAAAGTGCAAAGAAAATGCCATGGGGGTTCACAGCCAGTGGCAATTTTCTTAAGTTATATACTATTTCTATTTCCCCAAATCTTAACTTTGAGTAGTTCAAAACTTTTTAAGACATCTTTTCATGCATATAGATTTTCTTTCTTCTTTAGAATCAACCTGGATAAACACAAATGAGAAAACTACAGTTATAAAATGTAATTATCTTTGTTTCCTATAGCCTATCCACATATGTTATAGGATTATAAAGTGCTGATTTTCCACTTGTATACTCTTAAGACTGTTGTCAGTTAGTGACACCGGTGAATGAGGACTCCTGCCCTTGAACAGGAGGAAAAAATGTATTTGTAATGCCTACAATTCCCCTGGCATGGAAAATGTTAAATTGTTCTTATAACTAAAGGGAAGTCAGAAATTCCCCTATACAAAATGGTGATTTATAAGCAAAAGAGAAGTTTAATCATGTGGCGAAGCTAATATTAACTTGACCAAACCACTGTGATTTAGGTGCAAAGCCATCATTGGAAATGTGTTGAAGCAAAGTGAATAGACAATAATCTTAAGGTGTAGAGGCTGGATTTTGTTCTTTTCTACTCAATCCAATAAACAAAAGATGAGTGAGGGAGTATTATGGGCAAAGCCCTGTCCTAGGGCTCACATGTTGCTGGATACATATGCAACTCTAACACAGACCTTTTAGAAAAGCATTACCTTATGTATACTCTTAAGGTAGGGTTCCAAAATCTTGGTACTGTTAACGTTTTGGACAGAAAAATTCATTGTCGTCAGTGGGTGATTCTCTGCATTGTAGGATGTTTAGCAACATCCCCGGCCTCTATCCACTAGAGGCCAATGGCACACAGTCCCTCTCTCCCCCCGCTGTGAAAACCAAAAATGTGTCCAGACATTGTCAACATCCCCCTGGGGAGCAAAACTGCCTCCAGTGGAGAACCTATGTTCTAAGAAGAGGTGGACTTTTATTTCTATTAGATTGATTATAGTATCACATGTGGCAGCTGTTCTGGAACATAAAATACTTAAAATGTATACTTTGCATATTTTTAGTGTAATTGTCCCACTTAATATTTCTTCCAGTTCTGGTTGAAAGTGAAACTAGGTAATGAGCTTGCAATCTATCCACTACTCTTCAAAACTAAATAGATTCTATTACTTATAGAAGAGTTAAGTGTTACTAGTTATTATGAAAAAACAAAGACACATTCAGAAACTAAATTTTTAAAAGTCTGAAAAGCTATTTACTAAGGGAAGTTGAATTCAACTGTTTATTATATGTAAAGTTATTGTTATCCCCTGCTACCCCAAATAGTTAAAAGGAGTTTGGCAGGAAACCCTAAAAATGGCCAGCATTTTGATAGACATTCTATTTTATAGAGGAGTACTGCTCACATAATCTTAATGCATTGCTATTACATCACCACGAGGCAGTTGCCTTCATAAGCTCCTTGAAGGTATTTCGCTGGCCCTCGGGGAGACCACATAGCAGATGGCTAACAGTTCAAACTGTTTGGTTTCATACCTGGCCCCATCACTTCCTAGCTGAGTTACCTGGGGTAATCTGACCTACCTCTATGCCTCAATGACACCAGCTGTAGAGTAGGACTATGTGAAGCATTCAGAACTGTGTTGGTGCGTAATCAGTTTTCAATAAGTGTTAGCTATTTTTATAGATCAGGAACTCAAATAATGTCAATTAAATACATGTGAATTTTCATCCAAGTTAGAGAACTAGGAAAGTCAACCTGTTATTTGACAATGGAAAATATTATATGTAATGACAATCATACCATTTATTCAACAAAGAAAATATGCCAGGATTGTATCTAGCATCTTCCAGACATTCATTCTCATCACGTTGTGGAGCTAGAATTCCCTTCGCCCCGTTCCGCCCAGTCCCCATTTACAAATAAAGCATGTGAAGTTCAGAGGGATTGCTTAGTTTGCTGAAGGTGATGCAGCAAGTAAGTGTTCGAGTCAGAGTATGAACTCAGGTCTGTCTTATTACAAAGTCGATTCCCATTTCACAATTCTATGGTTCTTGACTACAATAACAATAATCCTAATGGAGCAGCTAACAACATACCAGGAATCATGTTCATTCACAGGACCAATTCACACAAACTAGTCCATTTACCACGATCAGCAGCCCTGGGTACTCTTACTACATTTCACCTTTGGAAACTGAGCTTTGAGGAGGTGAAATAAGTATATAAGATCATGTAGTGAAGAAGCCCTCGAAGCTGAATCCAAACTATAAAACCTGGGCTCTTGGCCACTTGTGATGCTGCCTCACATCTTACCAAAGAAGGATATTGAGAGACTCAGAGTCCAAGAGGGAAGCCAGAGACAGGATTAAATGGTTTTATAGTCAGAAGAAGAAGTTTGGATCTTTCTGTAAAGGAAGTTGTCAGATGAATAAAAGCAAGGAGCTAGGCAACAGCGTGTTGTATCTGGGGACTTCTACAAGTCTCCTCATCTATAAAATAAATAGTTGGACCAGGTAACCTCCAAACTTCTTTTAATTCTACAATGATATATTGTTGTGGTTTGTATTATATCCTCCCAGCACATAATATACCTGTGCATAAGCCACTCCCTAGTGGCTTCCCTGCGCAACTAGTATAAAATCCTTTCTTGCTATCATTGTCTGCAAGGCTCTGCAGGCTGTAGCCCCTGACTGTCTCTGACTCCACTACTTGTCTTTTCTTCCTCAGTCACCATGCTTCAGTCACAAGCTTTTCTGTTCTAGAAACTTCCTTTCTCAGGGCCTTTATACTTGCTGTTTCCTCTGCCTGAAATGCCCTCCCCCAGATCTTTTTTTAGTGGTTCCTCAAATGTACTTCCTTCAATAGGTTTTCTATAACCACCGCATCTAAAGTAGGATTTCCTCACTCATTATTCTTTACCTCATTCCTGTTTTACTTTCCTCATACTAATTTTCAGTATTGGAAATTTACTTTTGTTGTTTATTTTGAGTCATTTATTGTACAGTACCCCCATCCATCCCCATGTAAACTCTGTGAGGGCAGGAGTCATGTTGATCTGGTTTATGGCTATAGCCTCTGTGCTGATGCCTGACACATAATAGCATTCAGAATGATTCATTGAGTGAATGGATGATGAGACAAGTTATCTTGTGTAGCTCACCTAGCACATAGAAAATATTAAGCACAAAATAGGAGCTGAGAAACATGTAACGGTAGTAATGATAACTGACATTGATCAAGCTCTAATTATTGGCACTAGGTTAAATCCTTCACACACTGTATCATCTTAGTCCTCACCACAACTCTGTGAGGTAAGTATTATTATTATCCTAGTTTTATAGATGAGGAAACTGAATCTTAGCACAATCAAGAAATTTGCCCAAAGTCACAAAGCTAGTAAATTAACCCAGATTCAAAACCAACCTAATTTCAGCACAATGTTATTTGCTAACTATAATCTGTAACAAAATTATTTACTAACTTCTGCAAAGTGAAACTGCCATTATCTCCATTTGGATTTTTCAAAGTTTATAATTTCAAGGAGTACTATGTGAGTAACTACTATATGTATCTTGGGACTCAGGCTAGGTAAAGGGTACTAGGTGCCTAAGATACAGAGATAAATAATGTGACACAGTACTCAACTTCAGGGGGCACAGTTTAGGAAGAAAAACATAAGCGTGGTAGAATGGACATCTCCATGACCCAAACACTCCTCTGTCCTCTCACAAAAAAAAACAAAACAAAACAAACAAAAAAACACCTCCTGCTGTGGAGACTCATTCCTCTTAAATGTTTCCCATGAACCTGGCCCAGGTGTTTAATTTTGCATTCCTTAAATTATATTCTAACTGTTTAGCACTGTCTAGGAGGGACTGAATAGCCATCATTTACTGAGTGCCTACACGTGACAGGTGATTTATCTATGCTCACTGACTGAATTCTTACAACAATGAGGTGAGTGTCATTATTCCTGCTTTACAAATGAGCAGTCAACAGCTTATTGGGGCATTGGATTATAACCCAATGATTACAATAGAGTGTCTGATTACAATGCAGAATTGCCAATATTAGGATAGAAGGATGTGTATGCAAAGACCTATGGGAGCCCCAAGAAACAAATGGCTCTTGGCCTTCATAGATATTTATTTATTTTTATTTTGTTTGAGACAGTGTCTTCCTGTTTCCCAGTCTGGAGTGCAGTCGCATGATCATGGCTCACTGCAGCCTCAACCTCCTGGGTTCCGATCTGCCGACCTTAGCCTCCTAAGCAGCTGGGACTACAGGGGCACACCACCATGCCTGGCTAACTTCTTATTTTTTGTAAAGATGGGGTTTTGCCATGTTGCCCAGGCTGGTCTTGAGCTCCTGACCTCAAGCGATCCGCCTGCCTTGGCCTCCCAAAGTGCTGGGATTACAGGCGGGAGCCACTGAGTCCAGCCCCAGATATCTACTTAAACACTATAATGGTAACAAATATGAGAATATCTGGCTTTTTATTAGCTTTTTAATTAAATATTTAATAAATAATGTGTATCTCACCTTGTAAAATATTTTAACAATATCTTTACATTTTTTGAGAAAAAGCAAATACTTTCACATTTTTACTAAGAATAATATGTTAGAAGCTTTTTTATTATAATAATTGGAACACAGACTTTAAGTTTTTTTACATTACATTTTCCTGATATACTGCCTGAATTTTTTTTTTTCTGGGGCAAAGAAAAGTACTTTTCTTAAGCTACTGTCAGTTCCTTTACTTAAGATTATTCTGAAATGAACCCATCCTTCCCTCTAATGGAAAGATAGGTACATAATAAGATAAGCACTTTTTTTATTTGAACAAATCCAGTATTAGAGTAGTCTTTTGCAGCTAGTGAATCATGACAGCCTGCTAAGAAGAATGCCTTCAGTAAAATAAAGTTAGGTTGGGACTGACCAACATGAATGCATAAAGTTAACTCCATTAAAAAAAATTGACCAGGAAAATAAAACAATGCTAAGCCAACCACTGTAATACCAAAAACGCTGCTAAAAAATTTAGATTGCTTCTGAGTAACCAAAGGTGAACCACTCTCCACCCTGTGGTGAACATGTGACACTCTCCCTAACAGCAGCTCTGTGGGGAGGGCTTGCTCCCACTGAGAATTAATTCACTTTCCAGAAGTGAGAGATAAGGAAAAATTCCCATGACAATAATCCATTTGGTGAACTGCAGTTTGGTGGTGTTTGAAGTTTTACGCATATTTAAGAATCAAACATGCTCTTACTTCATCCCTGTTAGGAAAGCCACAATCCAGTTTCACGGAAAATGAAAGACAAGGATTCCTGCTGATCAAATCGCCTGGCTCCCTCCACAGAATCCCGGGAAGCCACTCTACATTCACAAACTTTGCACTCAATTCTTGGCACCTATCAACGCCATATCTCCAGGGCCAAGTGAAGAGTCTCATAGCAACTAAGTTAATATTTGAAAATTATGTAAAGAAACAAAATTACATCAATGGGCCCCAACAGATACAATGCACCTACAGAGGCACAAATAAAAGCTTCTTCTTTGCTACAAACTCCATTTTGTAATGGTCCTAAAAATTTAAAAACTTTATTGCTGCTTTCTTGCCTAAGAATTCCCTGTGACATCAACCCAAAACCCACATAAGCAGAAGTACACAATTTTCTAGAATCTTAGAACAAGTAAGTCTAAACATGAATCATATTTGTTTGGATGAAATTGACTGAAATAAATAGTAAAGAGTGATTTTGAGATACATATTGCAAAAATGTCCACTAATAACTTATCCTTGTATTTATCTGTATATTTTCAAAGGTAAGTAATGTGATGTCAAGGCCGACACAATCACATTAAACTGTGTCCTGCTTCCCCAACTGTAACTCTAATACTATTGCCCTCAGAGATTGCAGAGACCACAGAACCGAACTCCTTCCCACAAACCCCCGGATTTTTCTGTGGCAAAATCCCTTGTAGGAAATGAATTCTCTCTATATCTCAAAACAGCCTCACTTACCCAGTAGGCCCTGTAAGCACAGTGTCTCAGGTCCACAATACTTTTAGATGCCCAGGAAAATGTTTCCTTTTAAAATAAGAACAAAAAAGAAAAAAATTAGGTGTTGGTTAAAGAAAATGTTTAAATATATAATATTAAGATATTTATCTTTATGTCAGTGTTGGTATAAATGCGTGTTTATGAAAAAGGGACCCACCAAGGTGAAATGCCGTAGGACCCACAAATGTCATAATGCTGGCTGGCCTCAAAATGTCCTTCCTATTAAACTATTTTGAATGATTCCTAGGTATGCCAGATGCCAATTTTTCTTGGCCAGCCAGGGAACGTCTCATGTCTTTGGAAGAAATTATCTTTCTCTTACTGGATTCTTCTGAGAAAAGTGATTTGTTAAAAGTTTTGGTTATTTCAAATCAATATGTACTCAACTAGGACGTCTCCTCACCCACGTTAATTTTTTAAAGAGGAGGAAAGTAGGAGAAGATGAGCGCTTCATGTAAGGCTCTGCCAGCCTACGAGGAAATGCAATCCTCCAGGCTCGCCCGAGCGTGGGCTGCGGGCAGGGGACTGTGGGGCCGTTGTCTCGTTTTATTCCACGGCCGTGCAGCAGAGGGCGCGTGCCTCTCAGCACTCATGCTGCGCGCTCCCCTGCGCCTCTAGGATCGTATCCCTATTTGCCCCAAGGTCATAGCTCCTAACCCAGCTTGCCAGCCCCAGGCCGGGGACACCAGAGACTGAGCCCTTCGCGCTGGAGACCCCGGCGCGGGTGGGGCGGGAGGGCTCCGGGGCCAAGAGACAGGTCACAATGGGGACAGGGGACGAAAGGCGCCGGGGGTCCGGGTCCCGAGCAGTCCCCGCCGCCGCCAGACTCCGCAGCCGGGAGGGGGATGGGGTGCGCGTAGAGGCTCCGCGGCCCGGGTTGGACGGAGGAGCCCAGGAGCCACCGCAGCCGCCGCACGCCCAGAGCTCCGAGCTTCGCTGCCAGCCCAGGACACCGGGGCCCTGCCGTGGGCCGAGGGGAGCCGGGCGGCGGGAGAGGAGCCCCGGAGCCCCGGAGCCCCGGAGCCCCGCCGGGCGCCAGCCGAGAGGGCGTTTTCCCCGCCCCCGGAGACTCGCCCGCCCGGCCCGCCCCGCCCCGAGCGCGGGGAGTTCACCTCCGCCCGTCACCACCTCCCCTTGTCGCCTAGGTCCACCCGAGCCCCCTCCCCCGGGCCGCCCCCGAGCACGAAGTTGGCGGGAGCCTATAAAAGCTGGTGCCGGCGCGACCCGCGGACACACAGTGCAGGCGCCCAAGCCGCCGCCGCCAGATCGGTGCCGATTCCTGCCCTGCCCCGACCGCCAGCGCGACCATGTCCCATCACTGGGGGTACGGCAAACACAACGGTGAGTGCCGGCGACGGCCAGCGCGGGGGCGCCCCGATCCCCGATCCCCGATCCCCGATCCCCGAGCCCGGATGCCGGCCCGGGGCCCGCAGCGCCCGCACATGCTGTTTACCGCGGCCGCGGGGAGTGCTGGAGGCTCAGGTGCGCCCCGGGCGCTCGCTCCGCTCGCGGCTCCGCGGCGCCGGGGATGTCCCCCTTGCCCCAGCTGCGAGGCCACTGTGGAGGAATCCCCGCGTCCGCCGGAGGCGCGTAGGGCCCGAGGGAGGGGAGGCGCAGCCCTGGCCGCGGGACCCGAGGACAGTCCCTCCCGGGTCCCGACCTGGGGATCATTTTAACCGGACCTAGGAGGAGGCGGGAAAGGGTTGTAACGGAAAATTCTAGTTGTTGATCGCAGAGAAATTAAGAGACTCCCCTCCCCCCTCCCCCACCTTCCACCCCCACCCCACCCCTCCAGCTTCAGCACCACCTGTGGCTAAGGCGCTCAGCACGAACTGTCCCGGGGCATTTTCCAGTGCTGGTTTGAATCCATGGCTCTGATTTCCGAGTTTTCCCTTCATCTCTCGACTTCTAATGTTAGGGGGTCGGACATCAGGAATCGGGTTTTATCTTGGCCTCAGATCTGGTTCTTCGGAGCCAGCGGAGCAGAGGAGCATGCGTCTGGCGCACCTAGCGCATCTTTGGAGGGTGTGGGGCTTCCCAGGTAGTGGGGAACCCTGACGGTTAAAGGTGGGGTGGGCCCGGGCCTGGGCAGTGAGGAAAGGATCCAGACCTCCTTGAATGTCTTAAGTGAGCTTGCATATCCCAAAATCGCAACCACAAGCCCTGACATTAGTGTCTGCCCGATTTCAGTTGCTGAATTTCAGTAAAACGACCTTAAAATAGCTAATATTTATATAGCACTCAGTGATCTAAGAGCTTTACATATATCGATTCTAATTCTTACAGCGACATCTATGAGGTAGATTTCTAATTATCCCATATTACAAATGTGGAAACTGAGGCACAGATTACGTGTTTTCCCAAAATTTAGCCCATTGTTAAGTGATGCTTCTAAAATTGGAACTGAGCAGATTGGCTCCGGAATGATTGCTCTTCTCTAGGGGTCTGGGTGTACCTTTCCCCACAATGGGGGATTCACATGTCTTCTTTCCCCCAGGACCTGAGCACTGGCATAAGGACTTCCCCATTGCCAAGGGAGAGCGCCAGTCCCCTGTTGACATCGACACTCATACAGCCAAGTATGACCCTTCCCTGAAGCCCCTGTCTGTTTCCTATGATCAAGCAACTTCCCTGAGGATCCTCAACAATGGTCATGCTTTCAACGTGGAGTTTGATGACTCTCAGGACAAAGCAGGTCAGTGTTTAGAAAATAACTTGTGTCTTTTAGCCAGTAGCTGTTTTCCGAGCTTAATGGAAGGAGCCAGGAACAGTGGCAGGAACCCTCTTAATAATACAGTTTGTCTCAGGACTCAAGGATGCCACCCTGATCATTTTCATTAGGTCTCAGATTCTGAGAAGTAGGCTAATTAGTTTGAAGTGTCCCGGGGCCGTTTCTTCCCTGTAAAACCCTTGGCTTCTATGAAGGCCATTGAATAACTGCGATATGCCTGTGAAAAATCACAAAAGGTGCAAAGTCCCCTCGCAATAAAGATCAGTCACGATGAGATTTGCACCAATTGAACTTTTAAGATTGTAAAATATTTTGTCTTGCAGAGCTGATGCATATCCATTAAAAAGTATATCTTAGTGAGCCTTATCTTCAAGTTAGCAGCGAGAAGAGTAACAAAAACGTGCCAATTTAAAATACTGAAATTCTGGGAAAATGTTTTACTTATGAGTATTTCTTAGTATTGGGCTAGTGTGATAAAGATGGCAGCATGTTTTGATATCTACTCAGAAATTCATTTCACAAACGAAGATGTTTTAGAGTTGGTGAACATACCTGGCCCATTACTGACAAAACCAATTACCGTATTTATTGGTAATAGAGCTGTTTACAGGATGCTCACTGTAAAAAAAAAAAAAAAAAGAAAGAGAAAGAAGAAAAAAAATCCTGCTTTTTTTTTTTTATCTCTCTCTCTTTTGAAACAAGAGAACAATCCCATTCACACATAGTAGCTGCCTTCTTTGCTAAGCAGTTAATTTAATTGCCAGTGCCCTATTTTCCTGAGTGCTTTCCTCTGAAGGTCATAGAATGAAATGGTGCTGCAAACACATTTTGTTTGGTGGTGGTGTGGGAGTGAGGGGAGTGGTGGAACAAAATGAGAAAGTTTTGGAGTAGTGACCTACGGTACTAATATATTATATAATATGTAATTATAACCATTTAGTCAGGTAGACTATTCTTTGTCAGCAGCTATCCTATATAGTCAACTTGGTTTTGAAAAAAGAATTCTTCCCTCCTTTCAACTTTAAAAAAATTTGCAAACACCTGGCTTTCTGAAATGGTGATTCTGGAAGACAATTTGATGGGGGATAATGTGGAGATCATCTGAGAAATGTTTTCAACCTACCTGTGCCTGTCTGTGTGCACCCCTCCCCAGTACACACATACATACATACATACACACACACACACACACACACACACTTACAATCATACTCACACTTTCTGGCATAGTATGATGATTTATTAGAATCAAGTAAAGGTTGTACATTGAAAACAGTTCGGTGATTCTGCTACATTGCTTTCCCAAGCATTCCTCTCACTCCAAAGGAACAGTGCTCATATAATTAAATTAAACAATTTTTTTCTTGTAAAGAATACTGTATATTTATAACAAGACAAGGCCAAAGGTCTCAAGGTATTACACATACAGAAAGAATACTATAACATTTCACGTCTAGTCATTTACAAACCAAAAGAAGTGAGCTACTTTAGTCTGTAGCTGTACTTTTTTAAAGAGCCACAATGATGTCATTGTTTTCAATGGATGTAATGTCTGCCAAATTATGTATCTCATTGGATGCTACATAGAAATTGGATAGTTTAAGTCTTTTTTGGAGCACTGAAGAAACAAATCTCCAACAAATGAAAGCAGATGAGGTTCCTAATAGTCCTTAAAAAATGGATAGTGAAATAAATTATTCTAGTAATATGTATTACTGGAAAGTGGATTTGAACACATGGTCTGGTGGCTATCAGCATAGACTGGGGTCAGAGAGACCTGGATTTGAGTTCTAGAGCTGCCGGCAACTAGCTCAGAGACTTTGGGAGTAATACTGTCTAGGTTTTAATTGTTTTTAACTGTAAAGTTGGAGTAACAATAGTGTCTGCCACAGTGGAAGGATGAAATGGGACAGTATATGTAAAGCCCCTAGCCCAGTGCCTGGCGCATAGAAGTTGCTCAATAAATGGCCTCTGTTGTTGTCACAACTTGAACCCTTCGACCACCTCTGTTAGACCATTGCTGTAGATGTTGCACCTGCGATAAGATTTCTGAATAAACTTTTTCTTTAACAGCTTTAAGATTAGTTCCCATCATTTGATGTATTTTAAATTTTTATTTTTATATTTTCTGAAGCATACTGTTTATCATACTGAATATGTACTTATTTTATGTATGAAGTTATTATATAGTTACATATTTTACCATGAATCTGTTAAACTTTGACAGATTTCTCTATAAGCAGTAACTAATTAGATCTAGCTACATTTTTCACAGCTATTTCTTCTGGAGAGCAATGCATACATTTTTAAAGAAGTTGGCCATGTTTAGATTGTGAAACAGATGAAAACCACAGGGTTTCGGTAGGAGCTCCCACCCATGCCTTTAGAGACACATGTATTATCCACCTAGTTCTACAAAAAAGTCATTATTAACACCACTTAAATGCATGGGAAGCTAAGCATCATGAAAGCAGGGTGGAGGCCTGGTCCCTCTCCTGTTCCCCGGAGCCCATGCTGGAAATATCTAAAGTAGAAAGACATAGAAATAGTAGACCCTGACTGCCACTTTGATAAGTGCAGAAAGGAAGTACTCCAAGGAACTATGGAAACGTGAAGGAGGCTTGGCAGTTTAACTGATAAGACAGGAAAGACTTTCCAGGGTAAATAAGGCTTATGTGGAGGCTTGAAGGATTTTGATGTCTTGGACGAGAGTCCAGGCAAAGGGAGATAGGAAATACCAGGAGACTTAAGAGAGCACAGCATGTGCTCCAGAAAGGCAAGAAGGTATACTAAAAGCAAGGTCAGAAAGGACTTGCCCTCCTTTGCATATGAAAGATTCCTTTGTAATTTTGCCTCTCTTTTCCACATTTTCAGTTACTTTGGTTAAACAAGAATGCAGAATATATTAAAATGTCAATATTAAGAGAAAAGACATCTACAGAATAAATTTTTAAAAATCATACCATGTGGGGGACAGGCACGGTGGCTCACGCCTGTAGTCCCAGCACTTTGGAAGACTGAGGTGGGCGGATCACTTGAGGTCAGAAGTTCAAGACCAGCCTGGCCAACAGGGTGAAACACTGTCTGTACTAAAAATGCAAAAAATGAGCTAGGTGTTGTGGCATGTGCCTGTAATCCCAGCTACTCAGGAGACTGAGGCAGGAGAATCGCTGGATCCCGGGAGGCGGAGGTCGCAGTGAGCCGAGACCGCACCACTGCACTCCAGCCTGGTGACAGAACGAGACTCCATCTCAAAACAAACAAACAAACAAAAAACCACACACACACACACACAAAACCATGTGGAAAAACTCCCTTTAGACTTTCTTTCTTTTTTTTTTTTTTAAATAAAACAATCCTAGGCTCTCAAAGCCAAAACAAAGAATAGAGATACTCTAGTTAAACTCACCTTAATAAACATGAAGAAACAGAAGCTGAAGAGTTTAAATAACTTGCTAAGTCGTCTCCTTGCTAGTTTGCTGGAGGGACTAAGTAGCAATCACTTAAAAATAGAATTTTGAATAAAAATATTTGAAGGATAACCTTATTTGACATTTAGTTTATACATACCATGTTTTTTAAAAGCTGGCATTTTTTTCTGTACACAAGTCAAAAAGTTATTTATTTTAGTCACTTAATTTTAAAAAATCGGCAGTTTAACATCTCTTTTTATTAGGAGTTATTTTTGTGGTGGTAACATTTTTAGATTTCCTATACCTCTTATTTCCTGCATTTAAATGCAGTTCATTTACCTGTCTTCTTTGCCTCAATGAGATTTCAGCCTTCTAGAACTTCTCATAGATTGAGGTTTTCCAATATGCTTTAAATGTTCTCTTATATCCAAACTTAAGAACTTGGGTATCAGGAACTGAGCGGGTTGACTTTATTGCTGATTTAAGCTTGAGAGAATTTTTTAAACTACGGAGTTAATAGGATTTAACTAGAAACTTGGGTTAGAGCTCTCATCAATCTTCTAAATTCCTTTGAAAATAAGCCACCATAAATTCACCTTAAGTTAATGAAAAATTGCTAATCCCTTTAGGTTCTTAAAAAACTTATTAAAAAATAACTCACCCTGCTTGAGATGTTTTATTAATGGCCTTATCTGGGAGAAAATAATAGTAGTCAAATTATTAACTCCTGCTAACTTATTAACTTTTATTAATGAGTTTAATACTCTCCTGCTTTATTGCAAAGTTAGGGACAAATATTGAAAGTCAATGCCAGAATTATTGGGCCAACTCTTATCCAAGTCTTACATCATTTCTGTTTTTCAGAAATTGGAATTTTTTAAATCTGTTTGTTATTTCAAGAAAAGAGTAAAGGAAGCTGGATGAGTTTACCTGTGCTCTTTTTAAGTGACCCATTGTCTGTATGACGTAATGGATCTTCATACATGGATCCTGCTTGACTTTCAGGGACTTGCTTTTGAAGCTCTAAAAGTTTTCTTTCACAGCAGTCCTAAGTTAAAAGAAAGCATAACAACAAATGAAAGGGCTTGTCATGCACGCAGTAATGGTGTCAGCCGAACCTTAAATATCTAGAAAATGGACCAACATATTCTAAACACTGTAGTTACTATATTCACATCAAAACAGCTTCTTTTTTTACTCCTATATAATTGCCACATAGTTTAAACCACGACTTCTGTTGAATTTCAACTGTGTTTACTCTAGCGAAAGTGACAGCTAAACATCTTATTGCTTTAAAACAAATGGAATACGTGTATTTTTTCCCCCCAGATTTGTCTATATTGGCACGTAGCCCTAGGATTATTGGCTGCTGCCAACAGGCAAAACAGTAATGCATGATTTAAAATTTTTCAGGTTATTTATAGAAAAGATGGTACCGAAAATGACATGTTTTCTGTAGAATTAATCTTTTGCTTTATTAGTAGGAAATCATTTAAATTTTATTTTTAAACTAAAGATTACTGGGACTAGTTTATTTATATTTTGGACTTAGGAGAAACTGTTGACATTCATTACGGTCTTTAGTCTGTTACTCCAGTGCATCTTAATTTAGTTTAAGTGATTAGGGAGAAAAAATTAAAAAATATTAAATGTTCAGCTTTTAATTTGTATAAGTAATGTGATTCATTTCAATATTACTGGATTTCTTATTTTTCTCAAAAAGTAATTTATATAATTTCCTCAAATAATATGTATAGGAAGAAAGATTATTCTATAACATTATACTTAGTGCTTGTTTTGTGTTATATACAGAGTATGTATAATTGATGACAATCATGAAAATTAAAATTGGCTGGAGCTCTTGGTGTTGAGATTTGAATTTAAATTAAATTGGGGGGGGTCTTGAAAAAAACATTAGAGTAGAAAACTGTATTTATGTCTCCATCCCTCACAGAACCCATTTCTGGGGTACAATGAATCATTGACTCTTTAAAGCACCACTGCCATGGCTGGATTTTACAGAGAAAAAATAGGCAGTTAGCAATTTCTGCTATTTTTTAAAATTATTTTTACATTAGAAAATAGATTTCATTTTAAACTGCAACAGTTTAGAAAATGGCATGTAGTCATTTAAATAAATAAGTAGATCCAGAATATAGCATAAAGTCCCTAACTTAAACCAAGATATTATGTTTTATGTTTCTCAAATAAAAAGTTTGAGTTTATGGCAATTTATTATAACAATGTTTTTGAAGGACTTCATTGACTAAACTCCATGCTAAGAGTTTGCCAGAAATGCTGCCTTCTGTAGCAAGTAAACTTTAAGGATTTAATAACATTTTCTAGTTACAGTGGGTTTCTAATCTTCATAGGAACAAGTTTTATTTTAACAGGGGCTAAAACAGGTATCTGGTGATAACAGATTAGCACTGAATGTGTTTAATCATTGAGCCCAGAGCACTTTATCTTTTTTTTTTTTTAGTGTTAGCTGTTAGCAAGTATTGTTTACTAAAGGTTTGCACACACTCTTGCCTAATTCTAAATGTTTTTAGAAACAAATTAAGATGAAACTTTAAGATTTGTTAGAGAAAGAATAAGAAACAGCAATAAACTTTATTCTCCTTAAAATGTAAGATCCTGCTATGATTCTTCACTGGGGGGAAAGAAGATACATTTAGAAAATTGGTTATCTCAGATTCTTAGTATGGTTTTAGTTAGTTAGTTTTACCACTTGGTAGAGTTAATGATTTGACAAATGACATTTGCTTCTTATTATCAGCCAGTTGGTTGCTAGCTTTAAAGAGTTATTATAAAGGATTTTTTTCAGTATTAATTTATTTCATAAACATATATTTAATTTTTATATATTATTATGAAAAAAGGGAATTATTTCATTCTTTTTTAAAAAAGTCTAGAATTAGAGGCTAATATTTCCTTATAGAATTGTCAGGAAACAAACTGTTGTAATAAGTTGTTTTTGTGTTCCAAGAGATGTGACTTTGTCAGAATACATCCAAATTCATATTTCTTAGCAGATCTTTAACATAACACCATTTATAATTCTTTCTGTTTTCATTCTTCCTTTTTTCTCCTGGCCTATTGTAAAGCAGATCTGGCAGCCAGAGGTTGTATCAGGAACCACAGAAAGACCCCACTGCTTAAATATCTTCAAAGCAGTCTTTCACTTTGAATAGATGAATGGATATTGCTACCATGTAAGGATATTTAGGTGAAGCTCATGAACAAATCTTGTTGTACAGAAGTTATCCCTTTGTTCTGCAATGCCAAAGTAAATTTGGGCTCATTATTTTATGGAATTATAAAGTAAAGCTAATAAAATACACTTATAGCAACAAATGTTTAATTCCCAGTACTAGAAAAATAAAATTTAAATTGTAGAACTAAACTACTTTTAAAAGCTTTTGAATATATTGGTTAAATCCCATTAATACATACAAAGTTAGGCACAGAGTTTCTTGGTGGATGGAAGAAAGACTGATTTCACACTATTTTAATCCTCTGTCAAGACGCAACTTATTAATTATATACAGATAGTTTGTAGCCGATGGATGTGATTTTTGTTACTGATTTTGCTTAATGCAGTTACATTAATGCCAGAATAGTAGAATCGTGGAATAGTTATCAAGTTAGAATTTTAAGTTCTTGGAGATAATAGAGCACATTACACTGCATATAGAAGATGATCCATAAATTATTAGTGAAATAGTAAATGATTTAGTGTGTCCACAGATGAGTAAATTAAGGTCAAAGAGGTTTAATAAAAATTTTCGGCCGGGCACGGTGGCTCATGCCTGTAATCCCGGCACTTTAGGAGGCCGAGGTGGATGGATTACTCAAGCTCAGGAGTTCCAGACCAGCCTGGGAAACAAGGCAAGACTCTGCCTCTACTAAAAATACAAAAATTAACTGGACATGGTGGTGCACACCTGTAATCCCAGCTACTCGGGAGGCTGAGGCACGAGAATCGCTTGAACTCTGCTTGAGGCGGAAGTTGCAGTGAGCCGAGATCGCACCACCGCACTCCAGCCTGGGCAACAGAGCAAAGCTCTGTTTCAAAATAATAATAATAATAATAAATAAATAAATAAATAAATAAATAATAAAAAAAATTAAGGGAACAAAGCTAGCCAGCAGCAGTGAGAGTCTAAATTCTAAAGAATTTGGGAAGCCTATATAAGGATAATTGGATTTTGCAATGTTAAGATCAATGGAATACTGATTTCACAAATTCGGGTGTCTAAGAACTGGTATCAGAGGTTAGCAAAGCAGGCTGTATGGCAGCAATCGGGCCTTGGTGGAAGAGAGGGTCTCACGTTTGCAAGTGTGTGTAGCAGACCAATTTATTGGCCAGTAGCTGCATGGGCACTTCCTAAATGTTTCACAGATTATTAGTTTCACTTAGAATTTTCTCTCTCTGGACCTGAATCTATGACTCTAAAACAAACCCAGAAAAAGGAATCAGTATGCTCAGAAAGAAAGATGTGAAAAACATCCATTCTCCAGACAACGCATGTGAGGAATAAAAACAGGTAAAGTGATTTTGTTCAGCACCGTAGACTAAACTTGACTCTGGATTGAATTTTCAGAGTAAAATGTGATTAAAGGCAAACATTTAGTACTGTAAAACAGAATTAAGATTGTAATATTTAGGCATGTGTTTCATGTGTGTGTATGTATGTGTGTATACCTATGTATATATGTGTATGCAGATACATACATATATGTTACATATATATATATGTTTTAATTTTAGTGCTCAAGGGAGGACCCCTGGATGGCACTTACAGATTGATTCAGTTTCACTTTCACTGGGGTTCACTTGATGGACAAGGTTCAGAGCATACTGTGGATAAAAAGAAATATGCTGCAGAAGTAAGATATACTTTTTTTTTTCTTTCCAGGGAAAAATGTTTATAAGTTGATATTTAGCATTAATTTCAAAAGCTTAATTTGTAAATTCAACTCACGCCCAGTGAACCACTTCTTTTACAAAGGACCTTCACATTTGCTTTTTATAACCTTTAATTGTGACATCATACTTAACGCTGCAAAACTTTCTCTACTGTCTCCAACTCCACCATTTGCAAAAAGTAAACGGACTCAAACTGGAGGATCCTGTTTTAACAGAAATTTAGAAATAAAATGTGTGCCTTCTGTCAAAACTGTACATTTATTTGTCTTAGAGTTATTGATGAAAACACTTGCTGTTATACCAAGTACTGTGTGGATGATTAGAATTAAAATGAAAGGAAAATTTTGATTTAAAATTATCCATATTTTCAATTTCCTGAGTAACCTTTATTGTGAGAAAAAGACCATTGAATAAAATCTGTCAGCTTTGATTATGTAAATCACTCACTGTGGCTTTGTCTCTTCGGCCTTAGCTTCACTTGGTTCACTGGAACACCAAATATGGGGATTTTGGGAAAGCTGTGCAGCAACCTGATGGACTGGCCGTTCTAGGTATTTTTTTGAAGGTTAGTTGATGACCCAATTCTTTTTTTTCCCTATTTTTAATAAAGAATGACCAGACAGAGTATTTGTAACATACAGGACATTCTACAAAAGAGCTTAGGAAATGCCTTTGTCCCTGAAATGTTTTCAAGTTTATCTCCTCCTTTCATATCTGCTAGTTGCAGTGGAGATGGAGGGCAGAAAGACAATAGGAGAGGTACTTATTTGGTACCTTTTGGATGTAAATGTGAAGAACATAAAGAGATCAACTTGGGTGACTGCTAGGTGTTTGTTTGTTTTCTTTTCATTTAACCTGAGGCTAGACAGTACTATATTATGATAAAGTAAGATCAGGTTCTGAAGAGGGGAAGGACAGTGAATTTCAGGCAACAGTGGGACAGAACCGGTTGAGCTGCCCTCTAAACAGTGGTAAAGGGGAATGGAGAAAGGTCTGGGCTGGAGATTTATGAGCTCTGATTCATATGTTGAGGTGGAAGCTACAGGTGTGTATGAAATCATCCAAGTACAGCACGAAGAGGGAGATGAGAAATCTGCCCAGGGAGCAATCCTGAGAAACTGCAAAATGTAAGGCCTTTACAAGGGGAGAGATGCAAATTAAACAACTTAAAAGGGGCCAGGTGTGGTGGCTTAAGCCTGTAATCCCAGCACCTTGGGACACCAAGGCAGGAGGATAGTTTGAGGCCAGGAGCTCAAGACCAGCCTGGGCAACATAGCACAATTCCATCTCTACAAAATTTTTTTAAAAATTAGCTGGGCATAAAAAACAAACTAACAAACAAAAAAACAAAACAAAAACAAAAACACAAAATTAGCTGGGCATGGTGGTATACACCTGTAGTTTCAGCTACTTGGGAAGCCAGGGCAGGAAAATCACTGCAGCCTAGGGGTTGAGGTTGCAGTGAGCTATGATCATGCCACTGCACTACAAGCTGGATGACAGAGCAAGACTCTGACTCTAAAAAAAAAAAAAAAAAAAAAAAAAGCGAGAGTCAAGAGAGATTTGGGTTGCTGGAAGGCGTAGGGAAAGCCAAAGAAGAAAATAATTTTTAAAAAGAAGGGAAGACCATAGTGTAAAGTCCTACAAGGAAATCAAGGCAAGCCCTTGAGGAGTATCCTTTGGCAGTTAGAGGTCACTGGGGACAATTGAGCTGGTGGTTTCAGGACTACTCTCTGAGTGGAATTAGAGGCGAGTTGAAGATTCAGTGAAAGTAGGCAAGTCTATGGTGTCAGTGTCATCAAGCCAGTACTGATGGGGGTCATGTATGAAGTGGAGAATTTGGGCTCACTATTTGGATGTTTTCTAATAGAGCTACCCAAATAAAAATAAAAACTGGTACAGTACCAACTGGGTGATAGTATCTTGCCCTTTATGTTTTTCTTTAGGTTGGCAGCGCTAAACCGGGCCTTCAGAAAGTTGTTGATGTGCTGGATTCCATTAAAACAAAGGTAAATTTGAATTTTCTGCCACCTCCTTAGGGTACCAATTTTCAATACTCCATTGGTTTTAGAAATTTCTTTTGATCAAATTGCACAGTCTCAATGACATGTGGTGTTTGGATGAGCAGTTAGTAAAGGTAGAATATTACTTAAATATTTAATTAACGTTTCTTTCAACAAAGTTGATCCTAATGCTAGCATAATTCTAAGACTTGTATTTATTTAATCTTGCTCCCCCATCATTTGGACATCCATATGTAAGAGTCAGAGAATCTTATGCCTGCAAGGAGGTTCAAAGGTCCTCTAGTCAAATTATTCACTCATTCATACAGCAGATATTTGTTAAGTATGTACTATGTGCCAGTCGCTTTGCAAACTAGTAGACACAATGGTGAACAAGATAAACAAGGCCCTGTTTCATGGAGATTTCTATTCTATGACCTCTTTGCATTCATCCATCCTGCATTTAAATCCTCTCTGCAGCATAGTTGTGTTGAGGTCGTTGAGCATCTGTTTAAACACTACAGTCACTTCCGGTGATGGGGAACTTATCACCAGGGGCAGCCCTGGCTTTATAAAGCTGATCTTCACATTGAAGCAGCATCTATCCTCTGAAATGCTCACTCACTGGCTTGAGCCCCTTGAATTCATAGAATAAACCTGATCTCTCTTCCAAATAACTCTACTCTGTCTCTACTTTGTTTTTTCACCTACCCCAAACTAATTATCTTTAGTTTCCTTTAACTATTCTCATATGATATAGTTTTCTCTCTTTGCCACCACCTTGTCATTCTTCCAGTAAATCATTCCTGTTTGCTTGAAAAGTGTAGTGTCCAAAACAGAATGTAGTTATTTGATTCTGACCTAGAGCAAGAAAATCACCTCCTCATCAGGATACCATATTTCTGTTATTGCAACTTGAAGTCACCTCATTTTAGTGGCAGCAGTCTCACTTTAAATACTGGGTGTGATCAGCTAATGACTTAATGGGGAATGTAAGGGATCATTTTAGATAAAAGGCCAAGATGAAAAATGGACATGTGAAAATAGTTTTTTTTTTTTTTTACTACGACTTGCCACATATTTTCAAGTTGAATGTCTTCTGTTAATTTCTCTTTATTTTGTTTGCCAGTGAATATAGAACCTCTTTTTTAAAAAGTGTTTTTGACCATCAGAGGGGAGTATACCTATTTGTGTCTGCTGCTCTCCTACCTTCCTCCTACTCTGTCAATGTGATAGTTTGAAGCTGCGTATTTGCCTTGTTCTAGGGCAAGAGTGCTGACTTCACTAACTTCGATCCTCGTGGCCTCCTTCCTGAATCCTTGGATTACTGGACCTACCCAGGCTCACTGACCACCCCTCCTCTTCTGGAATGTGTGACCTGGATTGTGCTCAAGGAACCCATCAGCGTCAGCAGCGAGCAGGTTTGTTTTGTAATGACAGGTCTGTTTACGGGTGGAGCATTTAGTCAAGGCAGAAGACCTTGGCCTCCAGAGTGAGAGAGAACTGAGATTTAATCCTTCTCCTGCTACTTCTTGCTATGGAAATAGTGCCTTTGATGGTGCCTAGCAAATAAACAGCGTTCAGTAAATCTTTGTTGTTATTAACTATAAACTTAGTTCGTTTAGTCTCTAAAATTGAATAGTCATTGTAAGGATTCAATGAGAAAGATGTCTGTCACCTAATAAATGCCTTTTTTTTTTTTTGCCAGTTATGAGGAAACTAAGGCTTAGAAAAGTGAGAGTTCATATTCAAGGTTACGCAGGTATCAGTGAGTTACCAGCCTACTACTCACTCACATAAGGGCTTTCTGCTATTTTATTTATATCAGAATGCATTTCTGAATCCTGACAGATGAGAGTCATCCCTTGGAGAACATGTATCTATTAAAACTCACTCCAGGTTGCTTTAGAGGCTTAGAGCAGGTATTCTTACATTTCCAATAAAATATAGTGTGTGATCGTCAAGTGATTAGTGCAGCTTCTAAGTCACTGATGAGCAGCCACTAAAGTGGATACAAATGAGTTTTTCCTAGACTTACCTCTTAGCGCACAGTTGAAATGTAGAAAGTGAACATTCCTTAGGATTCACAAGAGGATGGATCCTGAATAATTTAAGGATAGCTTTAGGAGCCAACAGTCTTGAAAATGGTAACTATGTGAGTAGTGGTAGTGTGATTTAAACCTACAAAAATGCTGAATAATAGAGGTTTAGAGCTGCAATGTGCAATAGAGATCATGTTGTCCAACTTTCTCATTTCACTGGCTTGAATCACATTGATCAACAGTCTGAGATGCAGGAAAATTGAAGTGTTTTCCACTCAGCTACCTTGCAACAGAATCAGGCCTGGGAGCAAGGATTCTATTCCTGTGTCCTCCCTTAGAATATGAACTTATGAATGCTGAAGATACTTCATATCTTTCTTTAAAGGAAATATGTATCTGACTGGAAAATTACTTGTAGCATATCAAAGTGGGCCTAAAAAATAGCATGCTTGGTATGTCACTTGAAGATTGACCTTGTAGTAATAACATATTTGAGTAAGCTTCTTGAAGTGTAGCGTAAGGAAAGATTATAATGCCCTTCTTTTTGTAGATGCAGTGTTTACATTATAATTTAAAACATGAATTTTTTTTTCTTCTTTCACTGAGAGCAATGCAACTTTAAAGCAATAGTCTGACATTTAGAGCCATTATAACAAATGGATTTATGGTGTATACACACCCACAGGCAGAAATACACATATAGATAAGGGCAGTTGAACCTACTGCATTAATCCCTGTACCCTGAGTTTGCTCTTTAAAGTTGAAAGTGGTATTAAACTAATGATGTTAATTGTATATATTGGCAAAATACCAATAGGGCTCTTTTTTTTGTCCTATAACATGGAATCTGGAGGAAGGATCATGCTCAGCTCAGGAAGCTAGGGCTGCAGGTCCTCCTCTATCTGAGTCCCTTGACTTGGCCTTGCCAATTGGTGACTTCATCCTCAAGGTGGTTGTAATAGCATTTTGAGCATCACATCTAGATATAACCACTTCTTGAGGAGGAAATGAATACCTCTTCCATTGGCTTCCTAAGAGCAGAGAAGCTCTTTCCTGAAGGCCCCTAGAAAACCTTTCACTTCTCACTGGCTAGAATTGTGTTTCTTGCTCAGTCCCTAGCCCGGGAATGTGATCATCACAGTCAGTTAAGACCTGCAGGTTTACCCCACTGAGGCTTACAGGGAGAGGGCGGATGTCTGTTAATGAGGAAGTATGGGGGGGCGTGGATTTTAGGTAAGCAGTATAAATGGGTCTGCTAATTCTGCTACCTTTATTTTCTATACCCAGGCTCTGTCTCTGTGATGCTAAAACAATGAGTCAAGTTGACTAATGTGACAGTGTAGTTTAATTGGTGCAGTGAGTAGCAGAAATCGGTTATACTGGTTTGATCAAAAGTTTGACCTGTTTACACTTTATGAACAGACTCTCTTTCAGATTGCTGGAATTCTGTTGTAACGAATCAACCCTATATATCCTTAGAATGCTCCCTTGCATTCAGTAACCATAGCTGTGCATGTTATAATGTATGTGCATGGAAGGTGGCTCTACGGGGGTGATTGAGGGACTATTACTGGACAAAAGAGATCAGGTTAAAGGCTGTTGATTCATGGGCTGCTATATTACTGTCCAAACCACCCTTTTGCATTTGGATCACGTCTTGGTTAGAGGGGGGAAAGTAGCACTTTTTGAGAACCTTGAAGAAGTGGGAGACTGTTCAACAGCTGCCTGTATCTCAGTGGTGGCCAGTAAACTGAAACAAGTTTATAAGGGAATAAAAATCAACCAGTGACAAGGGGTTCTAATGTTAAATGCATATATTGGCAAAATGCCAGTAGGGCTATGTAGGGTGGTGAGCACTCACAATTGTTCACTAAAATGCTGTTTTTAAAACAGGAAAGTAGAATGGTTGAGTGCAAATCCATAGCATGAGATAAATTGAGCTTCTTAAGGCAAATCAGCCTAGGCAAATTCATTTCCGTGTTTTTGTGTATTTGGAGATGCCAGCTCGTCACTCAGCCCATGGAGCTTACAGGTCCTGATCACTTGATCTAATTGTATGGATGTGGTAGTTTGTCTTCCCTGGGGCAGAAAACAAAGCTTTAATTTGGAACTAAAATTGTTATTATTTTGCATCTAAAGGTATGAGTTTATAGACTTTTGATGTTAGATTTTTAAATTAGAAGGTCACTGAAAATTTCCCTTAAAAATGACCCCAACGAATTTGTGTATTTTGTATAAATTGGTTTGTTATATTAAAGCATACATACATAATCTATATGTGATTATGTATTCATTAGGAATCAAACTGAATTTTGGCCATTGATGCACAGCACTGAATGTTGTGGAATGTAATTTTTGTTTGTTTTTGTTTCTGTTTTTTGAGGCAGAGCCTTGCTCTGTCGCCTAGGCTGGAGTGCAGTGGCGCAATCTCAGCTCATTGCAATCTCTGCCTCCAGGGTTTAAATGATTCTTGTGCCTTAGCCTCCTGAGTAGCTGAGATTACAGGTGCTCTACCACGCCTGTTTAATTTTTGTGTGTGTGTGTGTGTGTTTTTTTTTTTGTAGAGACAGGGTTTCACCATGTTGGCCAGGCTGGTCTCGAATTGCTGACCTCAAGTGATCCACCCGCCTCATGCCTCAGCCTTACAAAGTGCTGGGATTACAGGCATGAGCCACTGCGCCTGGCCGGGGAATGTATTTAAAGATATAACACAAGTATATAACTGAATACCATTGTGAAACATTAATTATCAATGTTTTATTGTGTCTTTTAGGTGTTGAAATTCCGTAAACTTAACTTCAATGGGGAGGGTGAACCCGAAGAACTGATGGTGGACAACTGGCGCCCAGCTCAGCCACTGAAGAACAGGCAAATCAAAGCTTCCTTCAAATAAGATGGTCCCATAGTCTGTATCCAAATAATGAATCTTCGGGTGTTTCCCTTTAGCTAAGCACAGATCTACCTTGGTGATTTGGACCCTGGTTGCTTTGTGTCTAGTTTTCTAGACCCTTCATCTCTTACTTGATAGACTTACTAATAAAATGTGAAGACTAGACCAATTGTCATGCTTGACACAACTGCTGTGGCTGGTTGGTGCTTTGTTTATGGTAGTAGTTTTTCTGTAACACAGAATATAGGATAAGAAATAAGAATAAAGTACCTTGACTTTGTTCACAGCATGTAGGGTGATGAGCACTCACAATTGTTGACTAAAATGCTGCTTTTAAAACATAGGAAAGTAGAATGGTTGAGTGCAAATCCATAGCACAAGATAAATTGAGCTAGTTAAGGCAAATCAGGTAAAATAGTCATGATTCTATGTAATGTAAACCAGAAAAAATAAATGTTCATGATTTCAAGATGTTATATTAAAGAAAAACTTTAAAAATTATTATATATTTATAGCAAAGTTATCTTAAATATGAATTCTGTTGTAATTTAATGACTTTTGAATTACAGAGATATAAATGAAGTATTATCTGTAAAAATTGTTATAATTAGAGTTGTGATACAGAGTATATTTCCATTCAGACAATATATCATAACTTAATAAATATTGTATTTTAGATATATTCTCTAATAAAATTCAGAATTCTATTCTGGGTTATTTATTTATTTATTTTTATTATACTTTAAGTTTTAGGGTACATGTGCACAACGTGCAGATTTGTTACATATGTATACATGTGCCATGTTGGTGTGCTGCACCCATTAACTAGTCATTTAGCATTAGGTATATCTCCTAATGCTATCCCTCCCCACTCCCCCAACCCCACGACAGGCCCCAGTGTGTGATGTTCCCCTTCCTGTGTCCATGTGTTCTCATTGTTCAATTCCCACCTATGAGTGAGAACATGTGGTGTTTGGTTTTTTGTCCTTGTGATAGTTTGCTGAGAATAATGGTTCCCAGTTTCATCCGTGTCCCTACAAAGGACATGAACTCATCCTTTTTTATGGCTGCATAGTATTTCATGGTGTATATGTGCCACATTTTCTTAATCCAGTCTATCATTGTTGGACATTTGGGTTGGTTCCAAGTCTTTGCTATTGTGAATAGTGCTGCAATAAACATAGGTGTGCATGTGTCTTTATAGCAGCATGATTTATAATCCTTTGGGTATATACCCAGTAATGGGATGGCTGGGTCAAATGGTATTTCTAGTTCTAGATCCCTGAGGAATCGCCACACTGACTTCCACAATGATTGAACTAGTTTACAGTCTGACCAACAGTGTAAAAGTGTTCCTATTTCTTCACATCCTCTCCAGCACCTGTTGTTTCCTGACTTTTTAATGATTGCCATTCTAACTGGTGTGAGATGGTATCTCATTGTGGTTTTGATTTGCATTTCTCTGATGGCCAGTGATGGTGAGCATTTTTTCATGTGTCTTTTGGCTGCATATATGTCTTCTTTTGAGAAGTGTCTGTTCATATCCTTTGCCCACTTTTTGATAGGGTTGTTTGTTTTTTTCTTGAAATTTGTCTGAGTTCATTGTAGATTCTGGATATTAGCCCTTTGTCAGATGAGTAGGTTGCAAAAATTTTCTCCCATTTTGTAGGTTGCCTGTTCACTCTGATGGTAGTTTCTTTTGCTGTGCAGAAGCTCTTTAGTTTAATTAGATCCCATTTGTCAATTTTGGCTTTTGTTGCCATTGCTTTTGGTGTTTTAGACATGAAGTCCTTGCCCATGCCTATGTCTTGAATGGTATTGCCTAGGTTTTCTTCTACGGTTTTTATGGTTTTAGGCCTAACATTTAAGTCTTTAATCCATCTTGAATTAATTTTTGTAAAAGATGTAAGGAAGGGATCCAGTTTCAGCTTTCTACATATGGCTAGTCAGTTTTCCCAGCACCATTTATGAAATAGGGAATCCTTTCCCCATTTCTTGTTTTTGTCAGGTTTGTCAAAATATTCTGGGTTATTTTATTGTGTACTGAGTGGTGGGTAATACAGTAATGGAGGAACAAATGTCTACTTTTACAATTCACAATAATTCCTTATTAATAATGAGCCATCTTAATTGGCTTACTGATAATTGAAAAAGTCTCCAGAAAAGGAAAAACTCTGGAAGTCATTTACTTATTATGCCAAGTACGGTTTTAAGTGCTGTCTGAGCATTCATGTGATCTTCCTGACAATCCTATGAAGATTAATCCTGCAAGAGAAATGATTACATTAAAAGTAGCAAGGTAGAGAAGGGGGAAGAGTGTGCACACTGAATCAATATAAGCCCCTTGGGAAAAAAATAAATAAAAGTTCATTTTATTCAAAAAGGGAATTCTAGTGATATCCAGAAGTGAAAGAATAATTTGAATTTTAAAAAGAGAAATTAAGCTGAGCATGGTGGCTCACTACTGTATTCCCAGTACTTTGGGAGGCTGAGGCAGGATGATTGCCTTAGGCTGGGAGTTTGAGACCAGCCTAGGCAACATAGCGAGGCTTCATCTCTACAAAAAATGTAAAAATTATTTGAGTGTGGTGTTGCATACCTATAGTCATAGCTATTTGGATGTCTCGGGCAGAAGGATCACATAAGCCCAGGCATTCAAGGCTGTAGTAAGCTATGATTGCATCACTGTACTCCAGTCTTGGTGATAGAGTGAGACCCTGTCTCTAAACAAACAAACAAACAAATAAAAGATGAATTATACAACTATTACAGATAGGAAAGAGTGAATAAACGAAATAAAAATCTCTTACTATTATGCTTTTCTGGATTTAGCTCTGTGCCTTGACCATGGAGTCTTTGGCTGATGAGTTATTCTGGAAAACCAAATAGAACACATAACTCAGGTTCTACATGTCAGGGAATAAAAAGTCCTTGTTGCTTTAGATAGAAAATTTCCTAAACTCACCTTAGATCTTTACCTAACCCAAGCTTACAAAGATTTTATTCTGTGTTTTCTAGCAGATCACAGGTCTAAGAGCCAATTTGAGTTAACTTTTGTATATGGTGTGAGGTAAGGATTTAAGTTCAGTTTTTTGGCCTGAGGATCCAACTTTCCCAGCACCATTTGTAGAAAAGACTATCCTTTCCCCACTGAATTGTTTTGGTACCTTTGCAGATCAAGTAACCAAAACAACTTACATTCCCAACTGTTTTCCTAAAGAATTGTGCTTAGTTTGATTATTCGTTTTGAATCCCAGCTCTTCTCAACCTCTCTGGTCCTGGGTATATGTAGAGAGTGAGACCCAGGATTGTTGCTCTTATTTTTTTCTTTGAGGTAGGATCTCACTCTGTGGCCCAGGCTGGACTACAATAGCACAATGGCTTGATCTCAGCTTGCTGCAACCTCTTCCTCCAGGGCTGAAGTGATCCTCCTACCTCAGCCTCCCTGGTACCTGAGACCACAGGTGTGCAGCACTACACCTGGCTATTTTTTTGTATTTTTAGTAGAGACAGGGTCTCACTATGTTGCCCAGGCTGGATCATTGCACTTTATTTGCTACAGCTTATCTCATCTTCCTTGGGACCACCCTCGTCTCCAGTCCCCACTCAGTGGTGGCAGGGTGGCTGGCAATTAAAACCTGTCAGTAAAGGGCATTTCAGTCTGTTCAGGTTTCAGCAGTTTTTTTTTTAGGTTTTCATTCCCCACTCATACCAGCCCACACAGATGGTGTCTGGGTGACAGAGGAGAGGGCCCAGGATCTGTATAATTCCCCCTAGATCCTTGCTAGCCTCTGTTGTGGGGTGTCCTAGGCTAGCCCTGGCTCCATCTGTGTCTGCTGGTGTTCTGTCTGTTCCACCTGGTCTTTGGAGGTACTAATAACTGAAGGCTTATCCCCACCATTGCCTCTAGTTGCAAAGTCTAGTGCTCTTTATTTATGACCCTGGGGAGGGGTCCAGGTGAATCTTGTTTCCAGAAAGAAACAGTAAAAGGGAAGCCTCTGTCACACAGGAAGAATCACACAGAGGCAACCTATCTTCTGAAGAAGAACCAGTTTCCTTGCTTTTCCTCATCACCCAGATTGCACCCTTAAAGAATGAGGGCAAAAAGGACACTGGTACCTGACATCTTTGCTTAATTCTTCTCTCTCCTTCTTCACACAGGGTCAGAAAAGGTTAGTTTGTCCTTGTGTAATTCTTCCCTGGGTGGAGGCATATTCTCTTGTACCCTGTTTCTTTCTGAAAGCAGCATTCACCTGGCGCCTTCCCCAGAGTCATAATAGCAGACAAAATGCACAGAAAGAAAATTGGTTTTACAACAGGAGAAGGGCCATCAGAAAATATTTCAAAATTAAGACCCATGTTACACTTAGCAATATGCTGCTGCCAAAGACTCAGTGAGATTTCTTTAGCCCACTTGGTAAAATCTAGAAGTTCAACTTCTATTTCTCCTTTCTCCATCTCCTCTCCGCCCCTGACCTCTGCTTCTACTATAAGTAATCTATAGTGCTTCCATATGTTTAACAAAGGTAGCATCATTACTTTTATTTTATTTTTTTAATTTTTAATTTTTAATTTCAATAGATTTTTGGGGAACAGGTCGTGACATGAATAAGTTCTTTAGTGGTGATTTCTGAGATTTTGGTGCATCCATCACCTGAGCAGTGTACACTGTACCCAACGTTTAGTATTTTATCCCTCACCACTGACCTGCCCTTTTCCCTGAGTCTACGAAGTCCAGTGTATCATTCTTATGCCTTTGTGTCCTCATAGCTTAGCTCCCACATATGAGTGAGAACATATGATGTTTGGTTTTCCATTTCTGAGTTACTTCACTTAGAATGATAGTCTCCAATTCCATCCAGTTTGCTGCAAATGCCATTATTTCATTCTTTTTTTGGCTGAGTAGTATTCCATGGTATGTGTGTCACAGAGGTATGTATGCATATATATATATATATATATATATATATAGCTTTATTTGCTACAGCTCATATATATATACACCCATACATACCTCTGTGACACACATACCGTGTAATACTACATATATATATATACCCATACGTACCTCTGTGACACACATACCCATACATACCTTTGTGACACACATACCATGGAATATATATATATCACATTTTCTTTATCCAGTTGTTGATTGATGGGCATTTGGGCTGGTTTCATATTTTTGCAATTGCAAATTGTGCTGCTATAAACATGCATGTGCAAATATCTTTTTCATATAATGACTTTTCTCTGGGTAGATAATTAGTAGTGTGATTGCAAGATCAAATGGTAGATCTACTTTTAGTTCTTTAAGGAATCTCCACAGTTTTCCATAGTAATTGTACTACTTTACATTCCCACCGACAGTATAAAAGTGTCCTCTTTACACTGCATCCATGCCAACATCTATTATTTTTTGATCTTTTGATTATGGCCATTCTTGCAGGAGTGAGATGGTATTACACTGTGGTTTTGATTTGTATTCCCTGATAATTAGTGATGCTGAGCATTTTTCCATATGCTTACTGGCCATTTGTAATTCCTCTTTTAAGAATTGTCTATTCATGTCCTTAGCCCACTTTTTGATGGGATTATTTGCTTTTTTCTTGTTGATTTGTTTGAGTTCTTTGTAGATTCTGGATATTAGTCCTTTGTCAGATGTATAGATTCTGAAGATTTTCTCCCACTCTGTGGGTTGTCTGTTAACTCTGCTGATTATTTCTTTTGCTGTGCAAAAGCTTTTTAGTTTAATTGAGTCCTAACTATTTATCTTTTGTTTTTGTTGCATTTGCTTTTGGGTTCTTTGTCATGAAGTCTTTGCCTAAGCCAATGTCTAGCAGGGTTTTTCATGTTATCTTCTAGAATCTTTATGGTTTCAGGTATTAGATTAGGTATTTGATCCATCTTGAGTTGATTTTTTATAGGGTGAGAGATGAGGTTCCCATTTCATTCTTTTACATGTGGCTTGCCAATTATCCCAGCACCATTTGTTGAATAGGGTGTCCTTTCCCTACTTTATATTTTTGTTTGCTTTGTCAAAGATCAGTTGGCTGTAAGTATTTGGCTTTATTTCTAGGTTCTCTATCCAGTTCCATTGGTCTATGGGCCTATTTTTATATCAGTACCAAGCTATTTTGGCTACTATGGCCTTATAGCATAGTCTGAAGTCAGGTAATGTGATGCCTCCAGATTTATTCTTTTTGCTTAGTCTTGCTTCGGCTATGTGGGCTCTTTTTTGGTTCCATATGTATTTTAGGTCTTTTTTTTTTCTAGTTTTGTGAAGAGTGATGGTGGTATTTTGATGGGAATTGCATTGAATTTGTAGATTGCTTTTGGCAGTATGGTCATTTTCACACTATTGATTCTACCCATCCATGAGCATGGGCTGTATTTCCATTTGTTTGCATTATCTATGATTTCTTTCAGCAGTGTTTTGTAGTTTTCTTTGTAGAGGTCTTTCATGTCCTTGGTTAGGTATATTCCTAAGTTTTTTTTTTATTTGTTTGTTTATTAGCTATTGTGAAGAGGTTGAGATATCTCAATTTGATTCTCAGCTTGGTTGCTGTTGGTGTATAGCAGAGTTACTGATTTGTGTATATTAATCTTGCATCCTGAAACTTTCCTGAATTCTTTTATCAGTTCTAGTGGCTTTTTGGAGGTGTCTTTAGGGATTTTTAGGTATACGATCATATCATCAGCAAACAGTGACAGTTTGACTTCCCCTTCACCGATTAGGATGCCCTTTATTTCTTTCTCTTGTCTGATTGCTCTGGCGAGGACTTCCAGTACCAAGTTTAACAGAAGTGGTGAAAGTGGGCATCCTTGTCTTGTTCCAGTTCTCAGGTGGAAAGCTTTCAACTTTTCCTCATTCAGTATAATGTTGGCTGTGGGTGTATCGTAGATGGTTTTTATTACCTAAAGGTATGTCCCTTCTATTCTGATGTTGCTGAGGGTTTTAATAATAAAGCAATGCTGGATTTTGTCAAATGCTTTTTCTGCATCTATTGAGATGATCATGTGATTTTTGTTTTTAATTCCGTTTATGTGGTGTATCACATTTATTGACTTATGTATGTTAAGCCATCCTTGCATCTCTGCTATGAAACCCACTTGATCATGGTGGATTATCTTTTTGATATGCTGTTGGATTTGGCTTGTTAGTATTCTGTGGAGGATTTTTGCATCTATGTTCATCTGGGATATTGGTCTGTAGTTTTCTTTTTTTGTTATGTCCTTCCCTGGTTTTGATATTAGGATGATACTTGCTTCATAGAATGATTTAAGGAGGATTCCCTCTTTCTCTTCTTTTGGAATAGTGTCAATAGGATTGGTACCAATTCTTCTATGAATGTCTGGTAGAATTCAGCTGTAAATCCATCTGGTCCTGGATTTTTTTTGTTGGCAATTTTTTTATTACCATTACAATCTTGCTGCTTGTTATTGGTCTGGTCAAAGTTTGCATTTCTTCCTGGTTTAATCTAGGAGCGTTGTTTATCCACCTCCTCTAGGTTTTCTAGTTTATGCATGCAAAGTTGTTCATAGTAGCCTTGAATAATAATCTTTTGTATTTCTTTGGTATCAGTTGTAATATCTGTCATTTTGTTTGTAATTGAGCTTATTTGGATTTGCTCTCTTCTTTTCTTAGTTAATCTCACTAATGGTCTATCAATTTTATTTATCATTTCAAAGAACCAGCTTTTTGTTTCATCTGTGTTTTGTGTTATTTTATTTTGTTTGTTTGTTTGTTTCAATTTCATTTTGTTCTGCTCTGATCTTGGTTATTTCTTTTCTCTGCTGGGTTTGGGTTTGGATTTTTTCTCCAGTTCCATGAGGTGTGACTTTAGATTGTCTGTTTGTGCTCTTTCAGACTTTTTGATGTGGACATTTAATGCTATGAACTTTCCTTTTAGCACTGCTTTGGCTGCATCCCAGAGATTTTGATAGGTTGTGTCACTATTATCATTGAGTTCAAAGAATTTTTTAGTTTCTTGATTTCATTGTTGACCGAATGATCATTCAGGAGCAGGTTATTTAATTTCCATGTATTTGCGTGGTTTTGATGGTTCTTTTTGGAGTTGATTTCCATTGTTATTCCACTGTGGTCTGAGAGAGTACTTGATAGAATTTCAATTTTCTCAAATTTACTGAGACTTGTTTTGTGGCCTATCGATATGGTCTGTCTTGCAGAATGTTCCATGTGCTGATGGATAGAATGTATATTCGGCAGTTGCTGGGTAGAATGTTCTTTAAATATCTGTTAAGTCCATTTTGTATAGGATATAATTTAAGTCCACCATTTCTTTGTTGACTTTCTATCTTGATGATCTATCTAGTGCTGTCGGTGGAGTCCCCCAGTATTATTGTATTGCCATCTAACTCATTCCTTAGGTCTAGTAGTAATTGCTTTATAAATTTCGGAGCTCCAGTGTTAGGTGCCTATATATTTAGAATTGTGATGTTTTCCTGTTGGACTAGTCCTTTTATCATTATATTATGTCCTTCTTTGTCTTTTTTATCTCTGTTGCTTTAAAGTTTGTTTTATCTGATATAAGAATAGCTACTCCTGCTTGCTTTTGGTATTCATTTACATGGAATATCTTTTTCCACCCCTTTACCTTAAGTTTATGTGACTCCTTATGTGTTAGGTAAGTCTCCTGAAGACAGGAGAAACTTGGTTGGTGATTTCTCATCCATTCTACCATTCCGTATCTTTTAAGTGGAGCATTTAGGACATTTACATTCAATGTTAGCATTGAGTTGTGAGGTACTATTCTAGTCATCATGCTATTTGTTGCCCTCATTGGTTTTTTTTCATGGTGTTATTGATATATAGGTCTTGTGTGATTTATGCTTTAAGGAGATTCTATTTTTGTGTATTTTTAAGGATTTGTTTCATGACTTAGAGCTCCTTTTAGCAGTTCTTGTAGTGCTGGCTTGGTAGTGGCAAATTCTGTCAGCATTTGTTTGTCTGGAAAAGACTGTATCTTTCCTTCATTAATGAAGATTAGTTTTGCTGGATACAAAATTCTTGACTGATAATTGTTTTGTTTAAGGAGGCTAAAGATAGCACCCAATCCCTTCTAGTTTGTAGGGTTTCTGCTGAGAGATCTGCTGTTAATCTGAAAGGTTTTCTGTTAGGCCTCTAAGCCCAAGCTAGGCCATCATATCCCCAGTGACCTACACATATACATCTAGATGGCCTGAAGCAACTGAAGATCCACAAAAGAAGTGAAAATAGCCTTAACTGATGACATTCCACCATTGTGATTTATTTCTGCCCCAACCTAACTGATCAGTGTACTTTGTAATCTCCCCCACCCTTAAGAAAGTTCTTTGTAATTCTCCCCACCCTTGAGAATGTACTTTGTGAGATCCATCCCCGGCCTTCAAAACATTGCTCCTAACTCCACCATCTATCCCAAAACCTATGAGAACTAACGATAATCCACCACCATTTGCTGACTCCTTTTTCGGACTCAGCCCGCCTGCACCCAGGTGAAATAAACAGTCATGTTGCTCACGCAAAGCCTGTTTGGTGGTCTCTTCACATGGACACGTGAGACATTTTCCTTTATAGGTTACCTGATGCTTTTATCTCACAGCTCTTAAGTTTCCTTCCTTTGTCTTGACTTTAGGTAACCTGATGATTATGAGCCTAGGTGATGATCTTTTTGTGATACATTTCCCAGGTGTTCTTTGAGCTTCTTGTATTTGGATGTCTAGATCTCTAGCAAGGCTGGGGAAGGTTTCCTTAATTTTTCCCTCAAATATGTTTTCCAAACTTTTAGATTTCTCTTCTTCCTGGGGAACACCAATTATTCTTAGTTTTGGATGTTTAACATAGTCTCAAACTTCTTGGAGGCTTTGTTCATTAAAAAAATTTTTGTCTTTGATGGACTGGGTTTATTGGAAAGCCTTGTCTTCAAGCTCTGGCATTCTTTCTTCTGCTTGTTCGATTCTATTGCTGAGACTTTTCAGTGCATTTTGCATTTCTCTAAGTGTGTCCTTGATTTCCAGAAGTTGTGACTGTTTTTCAATTATGCTATCTATTTCACTGAAGAATTTTCTTTTCATATCCTGTATCATGTTTTTGATTTCTTTAAGTTGGACTTCACCTTTCTCTGGTGTTCTTGATTAACTTAGTAATCAACCTTCTGAATTCTTTTTCTGGCAATTTGGAGATTTTGTCTCGATTTGGATCTGCTATGATATTTTGGGGGTGTTAAAAGTCCTTGTTTTGTTCTTTTGTTCTATTACCAGAATTGTTTTTCTGGTTCCTTCTCATTTGGGTAGACTATATCAGAGGGAAGATCTGGGATTCAAGGGCTGCCGTTCAGATTCGTTTGTCTCATGGGGTGCTTCCTTGATGTGGTGTTCTCCCTGTTTCCCTAGGAATGGGGCTTCTTATGAGCCGAACTGCAGTGATTGTTTTTGCTCTTCTGGGTCTAGCCACCCAGCAGAGCTACCTGGTTCTGGGCTGGCACTGAGGAGTGTCTGCAAAGAGCCCTGTGATGTGATCTGTCTTCAGGTCTTGCAGCCATGGATACCAGCACCTGTTCCAGTGGAGGTAGCAGGGGAGTGCAGAGGACTCTGCGAGGGTCCCTGGTTGTGTTTTTGTTTAGTGTACTGGTTTTGTGTTGGTTGGCCTTCAGCCAAAAGGTGGCACTTTCAAGAGTGCATCAGCTGCAATCCTATAGGGATGCTGCAAACTCGCCCTGGGGACATGTGGTTAAGTATTCAGGCTTCTTAGGCAATGGGCAGGGCCGTAGCATTCCCAAGAGATTATGACCTTTGTCTTCAGTTAACAGGGTGGGTACAGAAAGACCACCAGGTGGGGGCAGGGATAGGCATGTCTGAGCACAGACTTTTCTTGGGTGGGGCTTGCTGTGGTGGCTATGGGAAATGGGGGTGTGGTTCCCAGGCCAATGGAGTTATATTCCCAGAAGGATTATGGCTGCCACTGCTGAGTCATACAATTCACCAGGCAAAATGGGGGAGAGCTGTCAGTCAAAGGTCTCACTCCACTCCCACACAGACCACAGTCCTAAAGGCCAGTCTCACCCCCACCGTGACCCCCCAGCAGCACCGAGTCTATTTCCAGGCAGCCAGTGACCAGGGCTGAGAACTTGCCCCAGACCACAGGCCTCCCTGTTGAGAAAGAAAGCAGACTCATAGTTTTTCGGCATCTCAGGGAGCCTGCAGCAGTGATCCAGTTCCTTCAGAGGGTCTGTGGATTCTCTCAGCTTTCCTGGCATGTTCCCGTGGTAGCTCTTGGAGCAAAAGTTCATGATGTTAAGGAAGGAGACCACTACTACTCCTGCTGTCCTCCTCCCCCTACCTTGCCTAGTTCACAAGACAGGAGGAGAGAAAAAGCAAAAAGTTGGAAAAAAACAAAAGTAAGATAAATAGCCAGACAACCTGGGCGCCACCACCTGGCCCTAGGAGTTAAAAAAAGTAATAATAATAACATCAACCCCTGACCTAAACTGCTTGTGTTATCTGTAAATTCCAGACACTGTATGAAAAAAGCATTGTGAAACTTTTTTTCTGTTAGCTGTTGCATGTAGCCCCCAGTCACGTTTCCCACGCTTGCTTGATGTATCGCGACCATTTTGCGTGGACCCCTTAAAGTTGTAAGCCTTTAAAAAGGCCAAGGATTTCTTTTTTGGGGAGCTGAGCTCTTAAGACGCGAGTCTGCTGACGCTCCTGGCTGAATAAAAACCTCTTCCTTCTTTAATCTGGTGTCTGAGGAGTTTTGTCTGCGGCTCATCCTGCTACAGTGTGAGTCTCCACACCCTGCTCTGTCCTGAGCAGGAGCTGCAAGCTAGTCCTGCCTCCTATCCACCAACTTAATCCAAAAAATACATTATTACTTTTCATCTGGTATCTTTAACAATTTGTTTTATGGAATGAAACAAAAAAGAACTCTGAAGGCTCTGATACTGAAAGGTTCATGTTCCACAAATAGAACAGTGCACAATTTCCTTGTGTAGGAAACAGAGATGGGGCAGAGATGGTCCCTCTGTGGGACTTGTGGGAGAATCTCAACTGTTGGCTTGCGACTGGACGCAGCACCCCTGATGGAGTTACATTCTGTAGAACAGCATGGCCCCCCACCACCAAGGATCTGTTTTTCAAGTAGAGATGCCCAGAAAGAGGTTGAGGAACAGAAGGAGTCCTCAGCTAACAGGAGCCTGCAGGTGCAAGTGGAGAGAGTGAGTCCAGCACAGTCCTGGGCACCCTGCATACTCCAAACCAGGACCCAGACATTGAAGATTTCTCCCACATACCTTTGGTCTTTGGAAGAAAGATTGTCCCTGATGTTTTTAGAGAAGTATTTTCACCTTCTCTTAGAAGAATGATTCTGACATGTTTGGCAGAGGGCAACCTGCCCTCCCAGAAGGGGTCCATCTACTGCTCAGTCACTGGACTGTCATTTATTTCCTCTTTTCACTCCACCTGTGTTTCTACTTTCTGAAGAATTCAAGTCTGCATGCTTGGAAAGTTCTGGCAGGTACAGTGATGCCTTTCAGCCTATAGAAATGTGCACGGGGGATGGGCGCGGTGCCTCAAGCCTATAATCCCAGCACTTTGGGAGGCCAAGGCAGGCGCATCACCTGAAGTCAGGAGTTTGAGACCAGCCTGGCCAACATGGCGAAACCCCATCTCTACTACAAATACAAAAAGACTAGCTGGACGTGGTGGCACGTGCCTGTAATCCCAGCTACTCAGGAGGCTGAGGCAGAAGAATCACTTGAACCAGAGAATCGGAGGTTGCAGTGAGCCGAGATAGCGCCACTGCACTCCAGGCTGGCGACAGAGTGAGATAAAGGCTGGCAATATGTGTGTTTATGATATGTAAGATATTTTATACATGGCTACCTTGATGAGCCACCTGGTTCCTTCAGGAGCCAATGTTGAAGCAGGATTTACTGATTCATCTCTTCCAACATCACCTTCTAACCATATAGCCCCCAAAATAGAAAATGTAAGTATTACAGAACAATGTAGACTACAGTTGCCATGAAAAAGGAATGAGGTTTTATATCACACAGTGTGCAGCGTTTCATGGCCCAAATCCCCATTCATCATCCTCTCTCCTTCCCCTTCAAGGACTTGGAATCTCCCCTGGCTGCAGTTCCCTGTCCCTGGAGCCTCCCTTGGGGCTCATTTTCTTCTCTATTTCTAACACAGAGCAATTTAGTTACACCTTCTCTTCCTCCTCGCTCCCAATAAACATTTACACACTCTCATACGTACACCGAGAAACTCAAGCACATGTGAATGCACACACACACGTGCACATACACATAGCTGTCTCTTGTTACTTTACCACACTTAAGCACGCTAAAGGCTAGCAGAGGTAATTTCTTCCAGTTTCAAGGTCTCTCCATAAAGGTGGCAGGAGAATTACAAATATTTATTTTTCTTGTCAGCAATCATTTTTGTATTATCTGTCATATTCTCAACAAAATAAATGTTATTCCTTTTTTTTTTTTTTTTTTTTTTGAGATGGAGTTTCGCTCTTGTTGCCCAGGCTGGAGTGCAATGGCACAATCTCGGCTCACTGCAACCTCAGCCTCCTGGGTTCAAGCGATTCTCCTGCCTCAGCCTCCCTAGTAGTTGGGATTACAGGCACGTGCCACCATGCCCAGCTATTTTTTTTGTATTTGTAGTAGAGACAGGGTTTTGCCATGTTGGCCAGGCTGGTCTCGAACTCCTGACTTCAGCTGATCCGCCCGCCTCAGCCTCCCAAAGTGCTGGGATTATAGGCGTGAGCCCCTGCACCCATCTGACATTATTCCCGTTTTACAAACGGAGACTTGGGGGCTCAAAGAGGATAGGAAATATGCCCAAATCCCACAAGAAATGAGGCAAAAAGGAGATGCAAGCCCAAGCTTTAGTGTTCACTTCCTCTCTACAGCACCACGTGAAGGATGACACTTGATGGCCCAGGGCCTGTTCTTTAACTGTATCAAACCATCCCCCCATCCCCACCCTTTCAATTAACTACTGGTTTTGGTGGCCAAACTATAAGGATTAAGGCTCATCAGGCAGGGCCAGCCAGCCCTGTAAGGGGAATTTGAGAAAGTGAATTGGGCCAGACTTTGTCCAGCACCTGGCTCAGAGCAGAGGTTCAGCTGGACTTCAATAGCACTGCTGCATGAATAGATAAATTTGTTTTAAATTCAAGTGTAATGAGAAGTTGGAGATGGATGTTGGTGATGGTTGTACAACAATGTGAATGTACTTAATACCACCAAACTGTAAGTTTAAAAATGGTTAAAATGGTAAATTGTTTATTAAATATATTTTATCACAAATTTTGTAAAAGTTAAATGTGCATGGGGGGACTGGAGTCATATAAAGCCATATAAAGTAATTTACTTTATATTATCACCTATTTTATTATTCATTTGTTCCCTGCCATTTGAAAGTAGTCATATTTTGCACAAAACAAACTGATATATACAAATCTAACTTAAAAAGATGGATAAGACCTTAAATAAGATGTAGCATCGAGATGACCTGGATTTAATGGTGACAAATGTTGTGGTTGACCACAGTGAGTTCTGGGTCAGATTGTCTAGGTGTAATGCCTGGCTTTTTGTCTCTTAGCTGTACGAATTGGGGCCAGTTATTTAATCTCTTTAAACCTCTTTTTTTCTCATCTGTAAATGAGGATTATAATACTACCTAACACATAAGATTTTTGTGAACTAATCCAGGTAAGAGACAAACTGTCATGCTTTGAAAGCACTCAAAAAATCCCAACTATGATTAGTAAGGCTCCGAAAGTGACTAAAAATGAAGGGCCTTCAGTATCAGTCTAACTCAAACCAGGCTCCTGCTTGTAAACAGCTATGAGTGACTTGATGTGTCATCTTTCCTCTCTTTTACCTAGGTATAGAAGACTCTCTATGCTGCCCTCTTGAATAATGCCCCAAGAATGCATGCCTTTCCTGATCATTCTGTGAAATATTGCTGAGTAAAGGAACGAGTGAATTGTAGATGGATAAATATCTAGTATGTTCTCCATTTATTTCAAAGTGTAGAAAGCTTTTATGTAATCAGAAAATAAAATCCAATTGCTTCCTATTGCATTGCCTTCCCAAATACATTACAGATTATATTTTAAAAATTTGTATGAATCAAGTAAGCCACACTTGATTTCCCCCAGTGGAACCTGTAGAACTATTCCACTGCTCCTGGGCAAGGTGGTATTGGATACAAACTCCATATTGCCAGGATTCCCTCTCCCCCTTCTCTCACTTTTGCTTTAATTTCTATTTTTTGAAAGGGAGATGATTAATCTATTTCAGACTGGCATTTTAACTTGTTTTACTTACTGACCACTGTGGTGAAACGAACCGAGAGCAGTTTCTCAGCTTATCTTAGTCTAATGTAATATGAAAAGACAAATATCATATTTGAGGAAAAATATTTCATATGCAGCATTATTATTAATCAGGGATAATAGGTAAGATATCAGAAACTGATTAAATGAGAATTTTTTTAGTAAAAGAAGGAAGTTAGAGTGGGAAATGTAGTCTTTAGAATCCGACTGAGAGGCCTGTATTTTAACTATGTGACCTTGAATGTGTTACTTAATGAATCAGTGACTCAGACCTGCTCCTTCATGTATAAAATGAAGAGAGTGATACATTTCAGAGAGTCAATGTGAGAAGTAAATGGAATTATGCACAAAGAGCACCAGTGTAGTCTGGCTCATAGTAAGTGCTCAATAAATGGTTATTCTTATAAATATACTCAAAATAAGATATATTTTCCAATCAAACAACAGTCTTACTTAAGGATCACATCAGCCTCTTTCTGGCTGACTCAGGTACAGTAAGATGTGAGGTCAGCCAGACCGCTGACAATTAAACACTGGCTTAGCTATCACTTTCCTGGGCTCCAGTTTCCTCATCCATTCAATGGAAATGATAAAGGTACCTATTTCTTAAGGGTTGTTTTGAGGATTTAAAAAAGATAATTTAGGTAAAACTTAAACCAGTAAATGCTATCTGAGGTTATTAAAAGTTCATTGAATCAACCATGCAGAAATTCACTTCACGATGTGGCAATTGGGGTTTTTTTCCAGGCTTCTGGAAATGTGTAACCAAATAAGTGAATATATGGCTGCCTCCAACAACCATGTTGAATTTTTCTTTTACTTCAGAACAAACTTTGGTCATGCTGCAAGCCTAGTGGAAAGCCTGATTCTTCTGGGTATTGGTCAAGGAACACCCACCCCAGAATGGAAGTCATTTAGCAGGTAATGGTCCCTGTGGAATGACAGTCCTTAGAATGAGTTTGTGAAGACACAAGTATCTGATACCTTCCTTGGTAGACAGTGCTGTCAGGGGCTGATAGGCTCCACCATTTATTTTTTCAGCTGATCCTGTAGAGTTCAAAAAGCACTTTTCTTGGGACACTCCCAAGCATTTTCATAGCCTTTTCTACTGTGCTAGTAGCAAGCAATTCAATGTCTTGCTTAGTTTTCATTTACCTACCTCTCAGGTAAATTCACTGAGTAACTACAAAATGGTGGCTATAGCCATGAGAACATAATATATGTTTTCTAAAAATGCCATTGTCCTTGAAATCATTAATTTTATATTTGTATAGAAGACAAGAAATTGACTTTACATGTAGACTAGTGAGATTGCTATATCTAAATTTGCATACAAATCAGAAAACATTTACATTGAGTTTTACATTTTTGATGCTCTGATCCTACCTGATAGACTCACAAGAAAGTCTGATCTGCGAAAGATTCTTTCTCTCCAGAGATTTCTTCAGATCTGAGAGGTATATACATCTCTTCAAGAAACATTCATTGGGCATAATTCACTATTATTGCCTGCTGATAAAGTAGGAAGTCACAGACATTTCTTGTGGGCAAATTCCACAGGTGATGGTCCCCTGAAATGTCTCTGATTCTGTCTCCTCCCATCACTCCTGCTACCAGTGAGGGAAAGGGAGATCTGCCATTGTCCTGGGGCTGGGGATCCACTCACATCTCTGGTAGCACTGTCACCATTGCCAGGGCTTCTAGCTGAGCCTTATAGTCTCATGGCCTTAGTGCATACCTCCTTCAACTCACACAAGTTGTGATGCTCTTGAGAGGTGAGCACAATTCACAATTGCAAAAATGTGGAACCATCCCAAATGCCCATCAATCAACGAGTGGATAAAGAAATTGAGGTGTGTGTGTGCGTGTGTGTGTGTGTGTATATGATAAATATATATATGATAAATACATATATATGATAAAATACTACTCATCCATACAAAGGAATGAATTAATGGCATTTGCAGCAACCTGGATGGGAAAGGAGATTATTATTCTAAGTGAAGTATCTCAGGAATAGAAAACCAAACATATGGTTTTCACTCATAAGTGGGAGCTAAGCTATAAGAACACAAAGGCATACAAATGACACAATAGACTTTAGGGACTCAGGGGGAAAGGGTGGGAAGAGGGTGAGGAATAAAGACTACAAATCAGGTTCAGTGTATACTGTTCTGGTGATGGGTGCACAGAAATCTCACAGATCACCACTAAAGAACTTACTCATGTAACTAAATACCACCTGTTTCTCAAAAACCTACAGAAATAAAAAAAATTGTTTTAAAGACACAAGAAATTAAAAAAAAAAAGAAAAAGAGGTGAGTAGAATCCCTTCTTGTCTCTCTCTATATTATCTATATTATAATGTATTGGCTTAGAACTGTCTGTGCTTCTAAATGCTGGCATGCACAATTCTTTCACACACACACACACACACGCATGCACACACACACGTCATTGTCTCTCGAGTGCTCCCACAGCGCAGGCCCCATTTGGCCTTCACACTGAGGACAGCTTGGGGTCCAGGCATCATCTTCCCTATTGGTGCTTTCCCTTTTATGATGCAATCTGGTTTCAATCACATATCACCCCAGTTTATGCATTTTTACAGGGTTGAATCTCAGTGAGGTCAGTGTTCTTGTATCTTTTTCAAAGGCAGGTAGATTTTCAGCTCTTATATACACTAATTCATTCTAACAGATACTTGGGCTATTGTCTAACTCTGCTCCTCCTCAGCATATAAGCTTAACCTTCTTATGGATTCACTGAGTGAGAGGGGATTCCTATATCCACTTACCAACTGTGGTTGACCATGTATTAGTTTGCTAGAGTGTCTGTAACAATGTACCACAAACTGAGTGGCTTAAACAATAGTTTATTGTCTTGCAACTCTGGACCCTGGGACCAAGATGAAGGTGTTGGCCAGACCTGTGAAGGTACTAGAGAAGGCTCTGTCCCAGACTTGTCTCCTAGTTTCTGGCAGTTACTTGATTTGTGGCAGCATACCACCAATTTCCACAGGGCATGCTCCCTGTGTATCTATGTCCAAATATCCTCTTTTTATAGACACCAGTCATATTGGATTATACCATGGAATGCCCACTCTACTCCATTACTTAAGATGAGCTCATCTTAACTAATTCCATCGGCAATGAATAGGACTCCAACCTTATATTATTTTGAGGGGGAGAGACACAATTCAACCCTTAACACCATTCAAAATATCTTTCCGCACAAAAATTTGTGTTACATGACAAAGGGAAACTTTATTCTTCACTAATTGCTAAACGTGTCTTAATTGGGCCTACACTTTATTTCATTGTTGCTTCCTGTTAAAAAACTTCATAAAATATATATGGCATGTTTTAATTACTGTGACAGATTCAATATAAATTTTAAAAGGAGAAAGAAAGCACATTTTAATGTACCATGTGTTTATATTATATGTAAATCTTTCACGATTGGCGAAAATTTTTACAGAATATTTGTGGAGGTCCCAAGTTAGAAATATTAAACACTTTATCAAGCTGCACTCATGTCCCTGATGTCTTCAAATGTATGTTGTTACAAACCTCATTTTTCAGGAAGCAATGTGCGTCTCGTTCATGTCCTGTGTTTCACCTGTATGTTTGTTATCCATATAAAGTTATAGTTATAAGACTTGTTATTTTACAATGAGAGCAAAGTTACTTCTTTTTTTTTTTTTTTTTTTTGAGAGGAGTTTCACTCCTGTCACCCAGGCTGGAGTGCAGTGGCGCCATCTTTGCTCACTGCAACCTCCACCTTCCGGGTTCAAGCAACTCTCCTATCTCTGCCTCCCAAGTAGCTGGGATTACAGGTGCCTGCCACCACACCCAGCTAATTTTTGTATTTTTAGTAGAGATGAGGTTTCACCATGTTAGCCAAGCTGGTCTCAAACTCCTGACCTCAGGTGATTCACCCACCTCGGTCTCCCAAAGTGCTGGGATTACAGGCGTGTACCACAGTGCCTGGCTGCAAAGCTATTTCTATACATGTCAGAACATGACATTGTTATCAGTGCATCAAATTTCTTTAATCTTTAGTAAAATAAAGCTGTCACAGTCTTGTTAGGTGACAAAAGTACTTTTTGTATAAAGTAAGCATGAATTGGGTTTTGTGTCAACTCATTGATTCTATAAGGAGAAACAATTCACTTTCAAGCTTTTTTCTTCAGTAACTAATACTCTGGCACATCTGGAGTTCAAATACTATGTTTTTTTTTTAAAGAATTCTGAAGCAACACTTCATATAATTTTCCATTGTTCTTCAAAGACTGGAAAAAAATGAGTTAGACTTGTATTGAAAAGGCTTTGGGCAGAGAGTTAGGCAAACTCCTTGCTGTTGATGCAAATTAAATCAGATCATTAGGTTAGAGATCATATAAACTAATGCTGTGGTGTTCCATGTTGAGCAGGTCTATGCAAACCAACCCCAAAATTCAAGGAAGCTGAGAGGCCAAAGGAGGAGTGACAGATCAGTTTCTTAGAAAGAAATAGTTAATAGGAACTTATGATCAGAAGCTGTGTCTGGTCGGTATCTCGGGAGGTGGTGGGACAAGATGTTGGAAACTCATGCTATTACCCCACCAACCCAGGGCTTACATACCACAGGGAAAGGATAATTCCAAAAGGATGTGTAGGACATCTGAAGTATGATAACTGAAGTATATTAGGTTGTTTGACCTAAAGGTAAGATTTACAGTAAATACCTTTGCGCGAGAAGCAATGGATAAACTGGAAATCTTAGAGGCCCTCCAGGAACAGAGGTTGATCAGAAGCCAACACGGCAGATTAGCATCCAAGGTGGAGTTGCATTAGCCTCCGCAATTGGTCATAATCACCTTGCCAGGCCCCATTCCAGCTAAAGTTGTTTCTCAATAATTTCAGGAAAGCAGTGGTCTGCTATTCTCTGAGCACCATTGACCACTTATTGGATTGTGGAAGAGACCTAACTCAAATTTGGACCAAGAAGTGACTTGAAATCAAGATCTCTCCCCAGAAGAGACAACAATGAATAGGTGAGCCTATCAGGTAGTCTTCCTTTACAAACAGCCTGAAGGCTACAAAGAGGATTGTGTAACAAAGAACGGAAAACAACACAGCACAGGGAGCCTTCAAGACAAAAACCCCAAAACTCAGAGGGGAGGATGAAGAAGCTAGTCCTCAGAGCTGTCTGGGTCTCTCTGACAGCTCTTTGTTTCCGTCTGGTCTGTTTATGTAAATTCTTAACCTCCCATCTCTTAAGGTGGCCTGACTTATTATGTCCTTTAAATAATCCAAAGTGTCTACATATGCGTAATCAGAGACCACATTTTTCCATGCATATTTACCGAGATCCTTCCTCCCATCGCCACTACCCATTAGGTGCTGGGCTCTGTGCTGGAGATTTCCAGTATTCCGGGAGTACACAGAAGAAATTTTTTAATTAATTTTTTAAAAATCTATACAAGAGACCACTTAAATATGTCTCTTCTATTAGCAAAACTGTACTCAGTCTCTATTTCTGTGTTCCAGAAAGATTTTGTGAATGAATTACAAGCCCATTTTGAGCCAGGGGTGCAAGGATTTCTTCCCTTATGTGACATGTTCCCACAAACAGCACATGACAAGCAATTACATCTAAGGATGAATGGAACATTGTTGAGTACCATTCTAAGAATTCCAGCCATTATTTTTCTTTTTCAAAATAAACTTGAAATAACATAATATGTCACAGATGATTGACAAAGTTTTTGCTAGTGTATGATGGTATTATATTTAATTGCTAGAACTAGAATTTAGTTAGACCATGCACTGGCTCTTTAATTCACCTATGTGGTTTTAGGGAATTCACCTCCCTGAGCCTCAATTTTACCATATTGAAAAATGTAGATAGTAACTTTAAAAGTTCTTTTGTGAGGACTGAAAAGGATAATGCATTTTTAAGTACTTAGCATAGTGCTGGGGCACATGACTAATCAATAACTGTTGGTTAATTTCCTTTGCTCCCTCCCTCCTTCCCTTCCTCCTTTCAATTTTTGTTATCAATAAAGCCACATGCAGTCTGAAAGTCTCCTTTTAAGTTTTACATCAAGAATCACATCCCCAAACCTAGATACCATATATTTTATTATTCTGAGTCAGTCCCACTTCATGTGATGTTCACTTCCTGTGTCACGTATAACTGGCAGACCTTAAATACAAACTGAAGAGCAATCATTTTCTTGGTCATACATAAGCTTTCAGACAAAGTATGATGAAATCATTTTTAGCTCTACTCTTTCTACAGTAAAGTATTGCATGCAGTTGGGAAGTGGGAATTATTTCTCTTTTGGAAATTGGAAGCCAATAGTGTACAATATACACTTAATTCTTCCTGTGATAGACATGGATCTCTTCAGTGATACAATCTGCGCCACACTCTGGCATTCTTTGGGCCCCTCCCAGCTATCTAGTATTTCCAGACTTCTTATCTAGGAATTGGCAGCATCTCAACATCAGGCAACTGTCTCAATGACTATAGTAATATCGTTTTCTAAAAATTAAAGAAACAGTTAAGTAATTACTTTTAGAAAGTGCTCTTTAGATACAAATCAAAACAGTATATTTGGTTAAGAGCTTGTCAGAACATTTTTGTTTCCAAGTAAAGATCTGAAGGCTTGCTCTCTGTGCACACCTGGACAAGTTATGTCAACCAATTCACCTATAAATCCATGTCATTGTTCACAGCAAATCTCCTCGAAAGTGTAGTTCATAATTGCTGTCTCAACTTCCCCATTCTCTTCTTTCCCTGGTTCACTTCAATCAGCATTTTGTCTCCACTAGACCATTGAAATAGCACTAATTTAAGATCACAAAGACCTACACACAAAAATCACAAAGATCTAAATGAAGCAAACTCTCCCTTCTGTGTCCTAATCTTACTTGACATCATGATGCAACTGATACAGCTCATCACTCCTGCTTTTTCTGTGTTTAAATGTTTTTTCAGTGGCTTCAATGTTTAGTTTCTGGTTTGCTACCCACTTTGCTGGCTTTTCTTTCTCTGCCAGACCTCCTACCGATGGAGTTCCCTATGCACCTACTCTTTGTTGTTCCTCCTCTAGCTACACAGTCTACCTGAGTGATCCAGGATTTCCATTTCAAATGCCACCTGCGTGTTGAAGACTATCACATTTGTGTCCTTCCTCCCCACTGAACCACAGCCTCTCATGTCCAATTGTCTATTCAGCTTTGCCACTGGGATGTCTAAGAGGCATCTTAGACTTTAATATGACCAAAAATACCAACTGAGCTTGTCTGTGCAATCTTCTTCATTCTCAGTGTTCTCCAAGTCAGTAAATTGCATCATCTTCCATCCAGTTTCTCAAGCCAAACACTTGCAACTCACATCTGATTCCTCTCTCTGTCTAACATTCTTCATGCAACCCTATCCAAACTATCATTATATCTTCCGCGAACTACTGTAATAACATCTCAGCATGTCTCTCTCCCTCTACTCTGGCTACTCTGAAGTTTATTTTCTACACAGGAGGCAGAGAGCTCAAACAAGCATTAATCAAATCATATACTCCCCTCCATAACAGCTTTCAGTGCCTTCCCATTGAATCAATAAGGAAATCCAAACTCTCTCCCTTGCCCCCAAGGCCTTACATGATCTGACCTGCCTTCCTCTTTAAACATTTTGACCTCCTCTCTTTCCCTGCATTCCAGAGCCTCAAGGGCTTTACACTTGCTATTCCTTCTCCTTGGAATGATTTTCCCTGAGATTTTCAAATGGCTATTCCCTCTCATTTGAGGTCTCAGCTGAAATGATGCCATTTTATTAAGATTTTCCTTTACTATCCTAGTAAAAATAGCTCCCCCAGTGCCCTACCTCCATCACTTTCTTGTGTATCATCCTATTTTATTTTCTGCAAAGCACCTACTGTTATTTGATATTATTGTACTTATTTATATGTTTTGTTTATCTCGTTTCTCTGACCTGTGCTATGTGAGATCCTTGTATTACCAGCATGCAGAACAGTGTCTGGCACTTAGCGGGAGCTTCTTTCATTTATAGTTGTTGGCTGGCTGACTGGATGCTTTAATTCTCTGTAAGATCCAGACAGTAGCAAGGCATATCTTATGAATGTTTGTAAGTATTTAACTGTACTTATAGAGCAGTACTCTGTAAATGTTAGCCATCATAATTATTAAAATGTAAATTTTCTTCTAGAAAATTAGCTATCCATTAGATAGCAGTAAATGCTATTTAATGCTGAATTGGGTATGGTGAAATAGACAGTCTCATACATTGCTGGTAGAAATGTAAATCCTCTTAGAAAGCAACTGGGCTTTGTGGAGCAAGACTTTAAACCTGTTATGAAGGGCCTTAGTAATTTTCATATCCTTTGACTCATAAATATCCAAAAAAATCTGTATTTTCAGAAAATAAACTTAACAAAAAAGATATTCACTTATTTATAAGAGTATAAATCTAAAAGCAACCTCAACAGGGAATAGTTAAGTACAATATTTAATTAAAAATAGTTAACTATTTCCTTAAAAATAGTTAACTATTTCCTTAAAAATAGTTAAAATTATGACAAAACTGTAGGAAAAATTGCTACAAAATTTATGCAATAATATGGAAATTGTAATTATATATTCTTAAAATAAAAACTTACACAAACTTGTGCTACACTGAGTGCCCCTCCCCAAATGAAAATCCATTTAAGAAGTGAGAATAGAAATATATAAACTGGGGTGCTAATATTATGATGCTTTGGCTGATTTTTCCTTTTTCTCTAATTTCTAACTTTCTTTAATTATTCATATTTTTATTATGAGTATCTGATTTAAAAACAGAAGTATATATTCATAATAATTTTCATTAAAGCTGATTTTTAGTTCAACTTTGTATGTCTTAATCTAGCTTTCATCTGTCAATTATTTAAAGGTTTTATAAATAGTGAAAACTAGAAAAGTATCCAAAATAAAATAAATACCCATATTCTCATTATCTTCTACTAATAATTGGTTTCCTTCATTTTGTTTTGTTTAGACAGGGTCTTGCTCTGTCTGTCAGGCTGGAGTGCGGTGATATGATCTCAGCTCAGAGCAACTTCTGCCTCCTGGGCTCAAGTGATCCTCCCACCTCAGTCTTCTGAGTAGCTGGGACTACAAGCGTGTGCCACCACATCTGGCTAATTTTTGTATTTTTTGTAGAGACAGGGTTTTGCCATGTTGCCCAGGCTGGTCTGGAACTCCTGAGCTGGAGTGATGGAGCGATCCACCTGCCTTTGCCTCCCAAAGTGCTAGAATCACAAGCGTGAGCCACTGTGCCAGGCCCTAACACTTGTTGATATTTAATCATTTTTGCTTTGTCTTTTCTCCTCAGTTACTAATTTAAAAAACAACACCAGTAAGATTTGTATATATGCAAGTCATATTGTTTTTGTTGATTCCTGGATATCTTTTCACCAATGTTAATAACTTCACTCACTTTGTCTCTATAACCAGTCAACCAAGTACCTTCAGGACCCAAAACTGAATTATTCTCTCTGGGTCTTTGATTTTGATAGGAACTCTTTACCTCATCCTTGGCTAACATACTTTCTCATTCACTACTACAGTCACCCCAAATACCCACCTGTAAAAATTCCAACCATGCCCTAACTTTCCCTTTGATCCAATAACTTAACTTTCTATTTCAATGAGAAAAGAAAGGCCATTAGACATAAATATCAATGTTCCCTCCCATCACTGAGAACAGACATGTAACTGATGTGAACCAATACCTTCACATACATGGGTTGTTTGCATCAATCTGTTTCATATGATTGATGTCCATGTCAAACATGGCAGGCATTCTGGTTTGGAGAGGCAAGAGGGGCCCACAAGAGGAATGTTCTACGTCTTTTAGTCTACAAGGGACTTGTGTGTAGGAACTGGCAGGCCTCCCAAATCTGCTGGAACTATCTGGATGCTGTGAAGTTGCCAGCATGTTGTTTCATAACCAGGACCAGTCTGCATAAGACTTGATTTGTATAATTCAATTCATTTCCAAGCTGATTTTGACTATCACTATTATGCTTATTAATCAATATTTTGACTATCACATCTGTTACCATTTCAAAATTTACCAATATATTTATTCATTTTTATCTCTGTCTCTTGTTTCAGAAAAAGAAAATTTTGATTTCAGTCCAAAAGTAACTTTTATGTTCCACCTCTTCATCATTTTGCACTAAAAATTATTTTGCCTTTCCTTCTATCTTCGACTTTTTTATTTCACTCTGTGTTTGACATATTTAAGCCCTCCTCATCACTAAAAACAAACAAACCAATGAAATCCACCCATGAAGGCTTTAAAGCTAACTTTTATTTATAAAAAATATGGACGTAGAAAAACTGACTGGTTTTATCAGGTAATCCAAGGCATGAAAAACCAACAACAACAAAAAACTCATAAGAAGGGGCTATTTTAGATGGCAGGAAAATTAAAACAGACATAGCAATCCAATATAATACTTGGAACATGTTTGAATCTTGATTCCAATAAGCTCCTTGTAAAAGGATATTTTTTTGAGACAATGAAAGAATTTTGAATATGAATTGAGTATCGGTTGTGACAAGGAATTATTGGTAATTTGGTTGGACGTAACAATAGCATTATATTTATATAAAAAAATATATTTTTAGTGAAGCATAGGTCAGAATATGAAGACTACGTTAAATTTCATGATATCTTGGATTTGCCATAAAATACTTAGGGAAAAGATATAATTTCCTGATGAGTTCTTCCTGCCTGCTGCACAAATAAAATCAATTCACAGAGACCACATCATTGCAGTAAAGAAGGAGTTTAATTGACGGGAGGCCGGCCATGCCTTGTGGGAGATGGAATTATTACTCAAATCAATCTCACCAAAGGCTCAGAGGTTAGGGGTTTTTCAAAGATAGCTTGGTGGGTAGGGAGCCAGGAATTCGTTGGGTAGGAGATGAAATCATACGGAGTTGAAGCTGTTCAATTGTGCTGATTTGGTTCCTGGGTGGGGCCACAGGACTACTGGTGAGTCCCAGTGGGGCCATTTGGTTGTCAGAAATGCAGAAGCCTGAAAAGACATCTCAAAAAGCCAGTCTTAGGTTCTACAGTAGTGATGCTGTCTGCAGAAGTAATTGGGGAAGACACAAGTCTTGGGAGCTCCACAATAATGATTGGTAATTATTTAACTGTGCCTACATTGTAGTAGAGTTCAGGACCCTCTCATCCTTGTAACTTTGTGGCCTTTCTTTAGTTTTACAAGGGTAGTTTAGTTTTTGGGAAGGCCTATTATCATTTAAACTATAAACTAAATTTTCCCCAAAGTTAGCTTGGCGTACGTCCAGGAGTGAGTGACAACAGCCAGCCTATAAAGAAAGAAGCAAGATGGAGTCAGCCATGTCAGATTTCTCAACCTGTCATAATTTTGCAAAGGCAGTTTCACAAAGAGCAGGAGAAAAGAAAAATGTTGCAAAAGTAGCAATCTGATTGTTGATAACTGTTTAGTCTGAGTGAATTACGATGGTTCATTTTACTATTGTTTCTACTTTTGTGTATGTTTGAACTTTTTTCTTCAAAGAGTTGTTGCAAAAGGCCATATGAACAAGTATGTTTCCTTTAACCTCATTTCTCTTCAGGGTTCATTTTCATCTCTCTCCCTCTCATTCTCTTGACATTTTTGGAAATAGCTGTCTAGCTAAACACTTTTATTTCCTTGTTTACCTACAGCAACTTGATTTTTATGCACACAATTTTCTTGAAACTGCTCTATCAAAAGGCATCTTACATCTATGTCATCTTCTAATTCACTTCCCCCCTCCACCACTGTCCAGGCAAAAGAGGCTGTTTTACCCATGGAGGGGAGAGAGACAGGAAGCAGCGTGGGGAGGATGGGCTCATGTGACACTTTAAACTGCTTGCTTTGTTCACAAGTAAAGTTGGTTTTCACAGAGCAGAGAATGGTTCCTGGACTAATGCTAAAATCCTTGGATGCTCACATCCCTTAAATAAAATGGTGTAGTATTTTCACATAACCTATGGATATCCTTCCATATTCTTTAAATGATCTCTAGATTAGATTATTTATAATATCTAATCCAATGTATATGCTATGTAAATAGTGGTTATATTGTATTGTATTTTATTTCTATTATTTTTTATTGCTAATTATTTATTGCTTTTTAAAAAATATTTTAAGTCTGCAGTTGGCTGAATCCACCAAAGTGGAACCTGTGGATACAAAGAACCAACTGTGTAAGATCCCCAAGATGTTATAATCGTTTTGAAAAAGTGTCAACTGTGAGCATCACAGTAGCCTTCACTGGAGCAAACGATAAATTTTTTTCTCTGTGCTTGCCAACTGACTTGTCAATCAGAACAAATAGGATGTGTTTGGGCCTCCCCATCTGCCTTACATGGATAGTTTGGGGATTCTTGTCACAGGACAAAACATGCCGTTAAATAAAGACCACCCTTCCTGGAAGCTGCTAAGGCCTGGCAGGATTAGCTCCAGCTTTTCTCTCCATGGCACATGCTCACTGTGCTGTGTGCCCCACCCCACGTGGGATGCTCCTAGTCCTCCTACCACAGGGCTTTGCATGCACTATCTTCTTACCCCAGTCCACTCACTCCCCTTAGAGCGCCCTCTCCTCAGACCACCAGCTCCTTCAGAACCCAGCATAATTATTACTTCTCAGGAAGCCTCTCCTCCCTAAGCAGGACAACCCCTCCTATAACCTGCTTTCCCATCCCATGTTCACTTCCTTCCTATCCCTTATCTGGCTATAATCTTACATGTATCGAGTCTTTGATAACATCTATCCCCAATAGTATATATCCCATGAGGGTGGGGACCACGGTTTAATTTTTTGTCCTCGCTAATTCTTGCTGTCCTGAAAGCTCTTCACTAGCCCTTGATAAGTCTCCTTAAATGTAAACCATTTGGCTTCTCTCTGATCTCAACTTATGCTGTTCTGTGCCTCCTATTTATGGCCAATATTTCATTTTTCCTTTTCAGTCCAATCCTGAACTTATATATCATGAGGGCCTCATGAACTATGAGATTACAAAGTGGAGTGAATAATCTCTTAAATCACAGTTCTTGTATCAAAATCGTTAAAAGAAAAACTTTAGCCAAATTAAATTTAAGAGAGTTTAACTGAGCAAAGAATGATTCACAGATCGGGCAGCCTCCTGAGCCAGAGTAGGGTCAGAGACTCCAGCGCAGCCAGGTGGTGGAAGATTTATGGACAGAAAAAGAAAAGTGACCCACAGAAAATGGAAGTGAGGTACAGAAACAGCCAGGTTGGTTACAGCTCAGCATTTGCCTTATTTGAACATGGTTTGAATGGTTGGCCAGCTTTGATTGGCTGAAACTTGGTGATTGGCACAAGAGTAGACTACAGTCTGTATACACCTTCATTTAGGTTATAGTTCACGATGTACAGAGAAATCTTTAGGCCAAACTTAAAATATGCAAGGAGGTGTCTTTAGACTACACTTGATTTAAGAAAACTCAATTGCTTCTTTTTCCCTGTGTAAAACTTCATTGTCTTTAGTATAAATTCTTCAGTTGGTCTCCTACTGACTTCTCAAAAGTAAAGGATGTGGAAAATTGTCTTTTTTTGTACTTCATGTCCTGCCAACATATTGGTGACCTCAATGGTCATGTAGATGTCCTGTCTGAAATCCTGACCCTCACAGTCCTCTGACTTCCTCATCTCTAAGGATCTTGACTGCCCCTCCTCCTCAGTCCCACATAGAGTCATACTTTCACCTGGGACTTGGTCACCAACTAGACTAATTCCTATTAGAAATCTTCAATTCCATTATCCTATTCTGGCCATAATCTCCAAAATGTTCAGTCCTTATTCTTGCAAATATGTCTGGATTATCTTCAGCCCTCATCTTACCTGACCACTTTGTAGCATTTGATGATGTTGTCAATCTTTTTTTTTCTTAAATAAAAACTCTTAACTTTCTTGTTTATCATAAAAATTGTCCGCCCTGGTCATCCTCTGATTTCTTTTCTCGTCCCTTCTTACTATCATACATGGGCCTTTAACCCTGCCCTCTCAAGCTATTGCTTTTCCAGTTTCTGTTCTTACCCATTGCTCTTCCATTCAACAGGTCTTTCTGGGTGATTCACATGGTTTAAACAACTCTCATATGAAGATGACTCTATCTATCATCCATCGTATGTATGTATCTATCCTCTCTATCTAGGTATCTGCCTATCTATGTATCTATCTGTCTATCCATCCGTCTATCTTTATAGCATTGCTCTCACATCTGGGATATAAACTTGAATATCCAAATGCTTAATGAGCATCTTCGCTTGGATGTACCACAGGCTCCTCAGACTTTACGTCTCACTCTCACCCCCATGACCTTTTCCTATCCTGACCAGCTCTTCCTCCTGGTTTTCTTGCTTATTCAATGGCACAATCAGCTCTGTCATACACTTGTGAATCGCCCTGAACTCCTCCTACTCCTTCCTCCCTGCACACCCAATTAAGCACTAAAATGAATATTCTGCCAGGCACAGTGGCTCAAGCCTGTAATCCCAGCACTTTGGGAGGCCAAGGCAGGTGGATCACCTGAGGTCAGGAGTTCAAGACCAGCCTGGCCCACATGGTGAAACCCTGTCTCTACTAAAAATAAAAAAGTTAGCTGGGCATGATGGCAGGTGCCCAAAATCCCAGCTACTCAGAAGGCTGAAGCGGGAGAATCTCTTGAACCCGGAAAGTGGAGGATGCAGTGAGCTGAGATAGCACCACTGCACTCCAGCCTGGGTGACAGAGTGAGACTCCATCTCAAAAATAAGAAAATAAACAAAATAAAATGAGTATTCTGCTTCCGAAGTAGTTTGAGTCAATGCTCTTTTTTTCTATCTGATATACAGCTTTCTTTCATTTACTCATTGTTTCTCTCACCTGGAATATTACAATAGCCTCCTACATTTGCTTACTTCCCACTAATCTAATTTATTCATTATTTCTCACAGGAATATTACAACATCCTTCTACTCTCCTTTCATCTGAGGAGCTTTCAAATTTATCTTCCATACTGTCACAGAATGCCCTATCTAAAATGCAATTGCAACCAGTTACACCCCTGCTTAAAAACTCTTCAAAGCCTTTCTGTTTTCCACAAGATAAAGTTTAGGGCCTGAAGCAACACACATAGGACCTCCATGATCTACCTCTATCACCATGGCCGAGCTAGCCTTTCATTGGTAGGAATATCAAGCTATTTGTCATTTCCATCCCAACCGTTTCACTCCCGGTCTCTCACAAACACTGTCCTAGATATACTCTCAGTCTTTCTAATCTGGTGCTATTGCAAAATTATCTTAATTGGTGATGGCTGTAGAATTGCTTTTTCTAAAGTATTGATCTGACTGTGTCATTTTCCTGCTCAAAAGCTTTGTTAACTAATCAGTCTTTTCAGAATTTATTCATTCGTTCACTCATTTAGTCAAGTGTTGAGTAGCACATTCCAGGCATTGTGCTGAAATTCTCAGCAATACAGTGTACGTATTCTAGAACCAACACATATTTCCATTTCTAGATCTCTCCTGCTGGTCTCTCTGCTTGGAATTTTCTTCCCTGATTCAGTGTAGCTAGCTACTTCTTTCCCTTCAGGATTCACCATTGCTTAGGAAAGTATTCCTGCATCTTTTATCTAAATCCTTTTGTTCTACCAAGGGGGCAGTAACAGCATCTTCATTTCCTTCACAGCACTTTGCATTTTATCAGCACTTATCAATTCAGTGATCTCTTTGTCCTTCAGTACTGTAAGTTACAAGAAAATAAGAACTGTCTTCTTTTGCTTACCTCTGGATTCCCAGTGCCTAGTATAGTGCTTGACACATAGAAGCTATTTGTGAAAAGAATGAATGAAATCGGCATAAATGAAATAATACAAATCATGATTCTTTGTTCTCTATTAATCTAAAAGTTTCCAATTTTCAACAAAGTAGATGTACTATATATAAGCAGTCTATGTCCTACCAGCATTTATTCCATCAGTGTTGAATTTGTCCCAAATATTTCCATCTCCTGCCTATTTCCATATCAGAAATCCCTTGGTTTCTTTCCCTAACACTTCTTTGTTATTCTCCAACATTTAATCCTTCTTCATCAGAAACACGGTCTCTTGTGTATGTGCTCCCATATATTCATTATATGTCCGTTCTTCAGCATCAGTAAGGCACTATTCATGTCTCTATTGGATTATGAGTTCCTTAAAGTTAAGGCTTCTGGCTCTAGATCTAGGGGAGACAAATACTTCTTGGATACCTGGCACTGTGCTAAGTAACTGCATATGAGATATTTAATTCCTTAAACCAAACTTTACAAACTGGATCTTAGTTTTGCAGATAAATAAAATGGAAAGTCTAAGGGATTAAGTGATTTGCCCAAGATTAATAATAAGTTAATAATAAATTAATAGGTGGTAGAGCTGGGTCTCAAAGTAAGTTAAGATTAATTTCAAGAAACAGTGTTATTATGTTTGCCTCTCTTGCTTATCTTTGTATGCCAACCACCTAGCTCAGTGTCTTCCACATAATAAGCGTCAAATAGAACATAAACTTAATCAAATTGAAACCAGATGGGCAACCATCTCCTTTGAGGTTCACTGCGTGTTGGGTAAGTTCTTATACCTAGTAGTTTTATTCATAAGCTTTAATATACACACGAGAAAACCACACATTATCACTCTCCTTTTAGCCAGCTGATAATAGTTTCTTCCCACCCTTACCCCTCAAAAAACCCAGAAAATATTGTAAGAAATATTATAATATCCCACCATTCATTTTTTCCGTGTGACTCTTAATGTTGTGGCCTATGAAAGGAAGCTACAGATGATCTAACTGACCTCTAAGATCCAATCTATTCTAACATTCTGCACATCTGTAACTCTATGAGTAGATGAATTGTGAGTACATATATCTAATATTATAGAAACTCACCTAGGATCAACGCAGAAGGGTAAAAATGCTAAATACCTATTCTGAAACAGTAGCCTCACAGAAGAATACTACATAAAGTTATCATCCAATTTCCAGAAGCGTAACCTAGTTTCAGACTAAAACGCAAAATTAAAAGTATCCCTGCTGTAATGAAACACTTCTTTTCATTTTGTACCAATGCACTCCAGTATCATTCTTGCTTATATTTCAACAGTTTTTGAGTCGAGTTGGTAGGCTTAGGAAGAGATGACTTATATTTATGCCAGATTCAGCACAGTTCCTTTCCAATGGTACTTAAATGTCCTTATTCCAGAGGGAAATAAAATGACATACTACAATGGAAGCATTTTGAGCTGCAGAATTTAGAACTGTGTCCTCCAAATCATTTGGTTAGTAAGGTATCTGTTGGAAAAGCCCAAAAGAACTTCAACAGCAAAAATTGACCAAGTCTTCATTGTTTTTGCCTCAATATATTTCACACACAACTTTCTGGGAAGGTAGCCAAGGTAGGAGTTGCCCTAGCTAAAAATACATTTCCTTTAAATGTGAAAGTGGAAGTGATTGTAGCAATTGTTATTTGTGAGGCTCCAAAGAGATACTGATTGCTGCATAGTAGATTTGTCTCATGGAATTTAAAGAGTTTTCTGACATGATCTTATTAAGCCATGTTAATTATTTTGTTCATAAACTAAGTAAGTATTTAGAACTACAATCTGTTCTACTTTAAAGCTGTTTCATTGATACTGCTTCCCTTGTGCAAATAGGAGATAATAGGAGAATAATGTCTACATAACACAGCAGTTGTGTCTTAGTTCATGTATAATTTTTTTTCCAGCAGGTTAATGTTTTAAAGTGGTCAGAGTAGGCTTTCTTACAACTAAAGAAAGAGCCTTAGCAATCTGTGAATTAACTCTGGAAATCTACAGAACTGCAGGTGGAGACTAGGTTAGTGGCTTCAAGAATTGCTACCCTTTCTACTATGCCAAGCTTCTTGGGTAAACTGTTACTGCAGATAACAAAGCTGCAATGACATTTCCCTTCTATTAAAAAAAAAAGGTACACTCTGGATAAGATTTCTAATATTTGTTAAATAATCTACTAGAAGAGAGTGTCCTCTAGGATCTCTCCTTCAAAGGGAAATCACCAGAACCAGGAGTTAAAATTGCGAAGATTAACTGATTGGACATAAATACAAAGAGAGATTTAACAATGCTGGTATTTCTATTAGGAGGGTTAATTATTCTCATTAGTGTCTTGGTTGCAAAATTCCATAGCTTATGAGGAATTTGTCCCAATTCTATTCTTTCCATAAGCTCTCTTATTTTTAGTGTCCAATTTTACAGAGGTGAACATGCATTGTAGGAGAAATACCTGAATTATTTTATAAACAGGAGAAAATCCAAATTTTCTAAATGTAAGAGATTAAAGCCAAGTCACAATCCAATGAGGAGGCAGAGTAAAACATTAGGATTTATGGTTCTTAATTCTTGCATGACTGTTTTAGGAAGTACTTGTTTGTATCTACCACTGAAGATATGTGGTGGTATAATATATACATATATCAAAACAATCACACTATAATCATACATATCTACAATTATTTGTCAATTAAAAGTAAAATAAAATAAATTTTTAAGAACAAAGAAAACAATTGAAATCTTTCAACAGACTTTATTTTCCTTTTATTTTTACACATTTACTTATTTCCAAAAGGATTGAAATGCCACTAAGGAGGGACTTAATACTTTATGACTTTTTCAGAGCCTCCTTGAGACATGTTAAAGTTGCACAGTTGAAAAATACCACACAGCTTTACTGTTGTGCTTGGCAACTTTTCAGAAGATAAATGCTAGCATTCCAGAGGCTTCCTAGTGAATGATGAAGGGTGGAGACACACATTCAGCACCTGATGGCAAGCTGGGCTAATGGTGAGAGGTACCTTTGTGGTGGATGAAGATGTGGAGGGTGGGTGCAGAAGACTGCAGGACAGAGTGAGACAGGATCAGGGAACAGGTGCCTGTGATACCAAAAATCAGCTCTAGGGGTATTTTGCCATGTGTGTATGGGTTGCTGAATATCTTTGCATATGACATTTTTCTGCATTAATTAATTATTCATTTGACTCAAGAAATGTGCTTTGCATATCTATGTTGTTCCGGGTACTGTGCTTAGCATGAAGGAGAGAGATGAAAAACACTCAGCCTCTGGTTTCAAACAAACCAACAGCCAATTGCAATCCAGTATAATAATGAGTGTCTGGTGTTATGGAAGCAGAAGGACACCTCTAACTCAGGCTGTGGTCAGAAAATTTAAAATGTGAGGATAATGCTTGAGTTTAGAACACCGGAAAACTTGGTAACCTGCCAAGTAAATAAAATGGGAGAGGGGACTTTCAGGCAGAGAGAATGGAATGTACAAAGGTGAGAGACAAAAAATATCGGAGTTTTGGGAAATGCAAGTGAGTGTGGTGGCAGCATAACCTCTGTGTGTGTGTGTGTGTGTGTGTGCACGCATCTGTGTGCACATGTGCACAAGCATATATGTACACAATATGTGGAGTGATGGGGAAGGAATCAATTGAAGGTTGAAAATGAAATCAAAGAAGCAGGTAAAATCTAACTCATAAAAGGTTGTGCCTATCAACAGTTTGAACTTGGTAGGGTTTAACAATTAGTTTACTCAACCCAAGTTGCCTCCTTTACCTGTTCTCCACCATAGCACTTTCAAACCTTTGCTGGGCAATCAGCTCTGTGAGGGTAGTAGCCATGACTCTTAGTCACGGTTATATCTCTGGTGACAAAGCATAGTAGCTGACGCATGGGAGATGTCCAGTAACTACAGGTAGAATGAGTCTCTCTTCTCAAGCTTTTAGCTCTATGCCAACTCCTTCCTCCCAGAAGGTGACTTTAACTTTTTTTTTTTGAGACCGAGTCTCACTCTATCACCTAGGCTGGAGTGCCATGGCACGATCTCGGCTGACCGCAACCTCTGCCTCCCAGGCTCAAGCGATTCTCCTGCCTCAGCCTCCCCAGTAGCTGGGCTTTCTGGCGCCTGCCACCACACCCAGATAATTTTTGTATTTTTAGTAGAGACAGGTTTTCGCCATGTTGGCCAGGCTGATCTCGAACTCATGACCTCAAGTGATCCTCCCGCCTCGGCCTCCCAAAGTGCTGGGATTACAGGCTTGAGCCACTGCACCTGGCGATTATAAGTTCCTAACTCAGGAAATAATCATAATCAGACATTGTGTTACTTTCCTAGAGCTTCTATAACAAAATGTGACAAACTAAGTGGCTTAAACAACATACTTATTGTCTCACAATTCTGGAGCCTAGGAGTCCAAGATCCAGTGTCAGGAGAGTTGATTCGTTCTTGAGGCAGTGAGGAAGAATCTGTTCAATGCTTCTTCCCTACCTTTTAGTGGTTTTGGGGTAATCTTTGGTATTCTTTGGCATCTAGACGCATCACTCCAATCTCTGCCTTCATGTTCACGTGGCATTCTCCGTGTGTGTGTGTGTGTGTGTGCACCTGTTTCCAAACTTCCCTTTGAGTAAGGACACGAGGCACTTTGGATTAGGACCCACTATATTATTCTCATTGTAACTTCATCACCTCTGTAAAGATCCTATCTCTGAGTGAGGTCACCTTTTGTAGTAATCTAGGTTAGGACTTCAACATACGATTCTTGTGGGGAGTGTACAATTCAATCCACAACAGGTACAAACTTCAAAACTACCTTCCATCAACTTTCATAATTTATTCTGCAAATAGAGTTTACTGTCCCCATTTTAAAGAGGAGAAAATTGGGGCTTACCCTCTTTCTATGATTTGATCAAGTTTCCACAGCTAGTAAGTGGCAGAGTTTTAACATTGTCTTTAAATAGCCAGATTGAATGCAACCAAAACAAACATTGCAGGAAAGAATTACTTGTTTTATATGTAGGTAGCATGCAATATAAGAGTTGTTCATTCATTATTTTACTTATCTGATAAATAAACATATTGAATATTTATGATGTACCAGGCACTGTGGTATGTTCTGAGGGGACAAGAAATTAGTAAAACGTAAAGGTTGACCTTAAAGCAATTTGCCATTTTCATGTCCAAATTGTAATGTCAGAACATATAAACATTGATCGAACATAAGGGGATGTTTTCCCAGATTTATCAAACTAAACTCAAACTACTTTACTTCAATTTCTTAGATACTCTATAAAACAACAAGGCAGAGAAATGTAGTGGGTTAATAATACAATATAATTTGAAAAGGTTGACTTCGAACATGTTTAAAGAGTGTAAAACATTTGGCAGACAGTTTAATAACCTGTTCAGATAAAAGAAAACACGTATAAAAATAAATACACAAAAAGCTAAAATGATTGCCAAACCTCATGTTTACTCACCCACTGTGATAGGATCTAAGAATGCTGAAAAGCAGCAAATTTGTCTTAAAAGGCAGTGTATTTTCAGATTCAGCAAATATTTACTGATGCCTACTGTGTGCTGGACTGTTTCCTGGGCGTTTTCCATTCTACCTGTGTGATAGTAAGCATCTTACCCCATGAGTCTCAATTGCCCATCTATAAAATAGAAACAGTAATAATACTTTCCTCACCACATTGTTATGAAGAGCAAATGAGATACCATAGGAAGAACTTGGTGCAGTGGCTGGCATGTAGTAGGTTTTTTTTTTTTTTTTTTTGAGTTAGATTCTCATTCTTTCACCCAGGCCAGAGTGCAGTGGCAGGATCATGGCTTACTGCAGCCTCAATCTTCCAGGCTCAGGTGATCCTTGTACCTCGGCTTCCCAAAGTGCTGGGATTACAGGCATGAGCCACTGTGCCCAGCCTGTAGTAGCTTTTCAATAAATGTTTGTGGAATCTGAATCTGAATCGTATAATTTTTCCTATTATTCTTAGACTAAGATTGGAGAATTAGGGCCAAGTGTGGTGGCTCATGCCTGTAATCCCAGCATTTTGGGAGGCCAGGGTAGGAGGATGGCTTGAGCCCAGGAGTTCGAGAGTAGCCTGGGCAACATAGCAAAACTTCTTCTCTACAAGAAGTACAAAAAATTAGCTGGGCGTGGTGGCCCACGTTGGTAGTCACAGCCACTCGGGAGACTGAGGTGGGAGGATCGCTTCAGCTGGGGACGTCGCTGCTGCAGTGAGCCGTGATTACACCACTGCACTCCAGCCTGGGCAACAGAGTTAGGACCCTGTCTCCAAACAAAAACAAAACACAGCAAAACAAAAAACAAAGATTGGAGAACTTTAAAAAAATATTGCGTACTTTAAATCTGAAAGTTCTTTCATAGCCTTATTATAAATATGCATTGTTAGAGACAGATGCAAACCGTTTTTATTTTTTTTTGTACAAGGCATATAAGAAAGAATAAGAATAAATTGTAACTTGAATTACAACATTCAAGACAAACTATTCTTAAATGTATTGGAAAGAATTACGTATTCCCTGGGTTCTTAAAAAGGGTACAGTTTTTCAACTCTTTTTTTCTGTTATGCATTGCATTGGGTTACGATCAGAGCAATTTAAATGATGCAGTCACATTTTCTATTTAAAGTAATAAGGTTCAAATCTCTTAGAAATAAAGCAAAGCAATATAGCCATACTGCTGGTAATAACACTGATCAATTTGATCTTACAAATATGAAACGAGTATGCCAGCATATCATGTAGCATGTGCCAACAATTCTGTAGTTATATATAAATTTGTACTGTTATTTGTTTTAAATTTATGCTCCTGTCTGTTTCTGAAAGGACTTGAGACAGTGTATAAATATACGCATGGTTTAAATTTACAATGATACACACTCATAACATAACTCAATAAATCCCACAAGAAACCTAAGTAACTTTTGTCTATCAGTTTCTGGGAAAGGTCTGCTTGTTTTCTTGAGGGAAAAAATAGACTCAACTTCTTCTTATTCATTGTTGTTTCCTTGGAGCTCTCTTAGGGAACCTATAGCTATCTGGGTTGTGGCTCACCAACCCATGTGATATGAGAGAGCAGAGGACTTTTATTAAACTCACATGTACTGTTGAAATCTTGACGGGGTACATTGTTAACATGGATCTGATATCAGTGAATAATATTTTAGGATTATAGATCTGGAATAGGTATATTTAAGAAATAGATCTAGAATCCTATACTTGCCTAGAAGTAAGTTGCCACCATAACTTTTATGGCAGAAAATGACACTCCAAATGATGATTTTCCATTTTCCTTTTGGTAAAATGCTTTTACTAAATAAAAGCAGAATTGTGCATCTTTCATTCATTACTTCAGCCATTTATTAAACAACTCTTTATTGGATATTTAGTACATGCAGAGCAACGGGAAACACACTGAGGATGTAAAGATGAGTACAACACCATCCCTGGCCTCAGGGAGTATTTTATGTGGTTGGGAATGAGGATGTAAATGGACATTTAAAACATAACCTACTCACAGCCAGGCGCGGTGGCTCACGCCTGTAATTCCAGCACTTTGGGAGGCTGAGGTGGGTGGATCACGAGGTCAAGAGATCGAGACCGTCCTGGCCAACATGGTGAAATCCTGTCTCAACTAAAAATACAAAAAATTAGCTGGGAGTGGTGCTGCATGCCTGTAGTCCCAGCTACTCGGGAGGCTGAGGTAGGAGAATCGCTTGAACCCAGGAAGCAGAGGTTGCAGTGAGCCGAGATCGCGCCACTGCACTCCAGCCTGGTGACAGAGCGAGACTCTGTCTCAAAAAACAAACCAACAAACAAACATAACCTGCTCAGTTCTGTGAGAGCAGAGGAGGAGCACTTCATACAGATGACGACTCAGGGCCCCTAAATGAAGGAATATCTGAAGAATAAATAGACGGTGTGATTAGTTTTCACCCAAAAGGGGCATTCTGGACAGTCATTCCAGTTCATGCAACAAGTTCAACATATTATGATGGCAGACAGAGAAATTGGAGTCAGTTTTGAAATGTTCACCTAAGTCATGCTAAAGTGATGGCTGTTACCCTGAAGTCAATGAGGAACCTCTGCAGGATTTCAACATGTTTAAAATTGAGTTTTATAAATATTTTCCCCGACTAAAGGTAGATAGTATGCAAAAATATACTGGTGTTGGGACAGTCAATCACAGAGCTGCAAGGGGGAAATAACAGAAATCCTAAATAAAATAATGCTGCAGAGGTGAAGATTTATTAAACTCGATTCTACTGTATGGGAAACAAATCTAAGATTATTCATTAGGCAAAAGCACAAAAGAAGATTACATTCCTTTACATTGCTTCTCATTTTGTGAGATTGCTCTCCTGTCATTAACGCCGTCACGGCCTAAACTCAACAATTATCAGACAAAAAGGAGTTCCTGTTTTGTCCTTTTCAGGTATTATTTCACAGCTTTGCTCTCTTGTTAACCTAAGCACTATGGCTCTGAAAAACCAAAACCATTAATGCTTTTTTTTTACTGAATTCCCACGAGGCACTGAAAGATGTGATGCTCTGAAAAACTATGACAGGAAGTCACTAAAGACCATATTTTTGCTTAAGAAATTAGGACTAAATCTAATAATTATGATTAAAAATAGAAAAACCATAAAGAGATATATGGTGTTAGGAAAGAGAGTGATCTTGTAGTTAACTTCAAACTAATGACCAATTTATGCATATAATTATTTTCAGCTCTTAATAATGTTCTCAAAAGTTGAGGAGTTACTGAAACAAATGGACAAAATGCTGATAATTATGGAAACTGGATGGTGTATAAATGAGGGTTCACTATACTATTTTTTCTACTTTTGGAAGTGTTTGAACTTTTCCATAAAATGAAGTTTTAAAAAAGTATTTTGATAATATTGTGTGGTGAGTATCCATAACTGGAAAATAAAATTTATTTTAATTTGATTATATTACTTGATCAATTTATTTAGCTTCTGGATTTTTGAGTCTGTGAAATTTACTTGGTAAGCTTCCATTATAAGACTCTATCTAAGGTCTTAAAAACACTCCCCAAAATCTCTTCCTACAGAAAGTAATTTACAGTAAGGATACAGTGAGCTTCAATTTAAGATGATAATACAAAACATAATCATTTTCTGTCTTAGTAACTTGCTTGAAGCGAAGTCTTTTGTGGATGAGATAGTCATTGACTTAGTGGAAAACACCATTTTACATTTACATATTTATTTAAGTTCCAACTTGTTTCAAATTATTTGATGTGGCCCATGATATATACTAGAGTAATCTCTTATCCTAGAAGAAATGTATTTCCCAAAATAAAATAATTGAACCCTAGAGAATAATTTTCACAAATAACTAAACATATAATTGCATTTCACATTTTGCTTACTAATGAAATTTTCAAAATGGTAAAGATTTACTTCTAATGTTTTTTAGGTCAAAAAGGCTTACAGAAAAATTCAAAATGAAAGTTGGTTTAATTAAGATCAAGAAGGAGAAGATGGTGTGAATTAAATTTTTTGTCAGAAAACATTTCAAATACAAACTAAATGACCTAAGAATTGTAGACTCAGTAGTAGATAATATAAATGACCATCCCGAAACAGATTCTGCAAGTGGTAAGCCTTGTTGTACACTGGAAGAGAGAGATAAATGACAAGCCACCTTCTTCTTGAGGCCTGGAAGATTCAAACAGCAGTTCCCCATTTTCCAAATTTATTATCAGGAATAAAAGCAATATTGAAATAATGCCCAAGCCATATTTAAAAAAGATCTCAGCACTGATGATAAATTGATCAGGCTTCGAATAAATTGTGAGAATTTTTGTTTGGCATTCAGAAAGCATTTCTTATAGAAACAATTTTTCATATGGTGGTTTGGACCCCGGAAAAACCCACAAACCTCTTTAGCATGTTGTATGTTTGCAGTATATACGGACAATGCTAAAGGTGTACAATGCCACTGTACTGCAATACTCTCCTTTTACCCTAGGAGTAAAGCTCAAATCCCTTGCCCTATCCCATGATGTCCTTCATGAGGCATCCTCTGCCTCCTTGCAGACCTCACCTCACACCACTCTCCCCTAACTGTCTGTGCTCCAGTCACACTGGTCTTCCACAAGATTCTTGAATAAGTCAGACTTATTCTCACCTTAAGGCATTTGCCTAAGTTGTTTTCTCACTTAGAATGCAGTTCTCTGACTCCTTCTCCTCCAGACATTAAGAAAAATGTCACTGGGTGCACCTGCTTAGTAGACTCAGCCTAGCTACTGACACCTACTGAAACCTACTCTGACACCCAGTGTAGATTAGCCACCTAATCATTCTATTAAACATGTTATCATGTTTCCATTCTTTGCATAGCTCAAAAAAAAAAACCTACCACCTGATATTCTCTTGTTAATTTCCTTGTGCATTCTATGTGTCCCCAGCTAATAGGTAAGTTTCATAAGAGGGAAAGTCTTGTTCAACATTGCCTTCAATAGCCTGAAACAGTGACTGGAAATAGAAGATCTTCAACGCATGAGTGAATGAATTAAAGAATAACTCTACAGGACTACTGTATGCAGTAATAGAGACTCTAGCTGACGTCACTGGAATATTTGCTCAGATTTATGCCTCAAGGAGATAGGTGTACATCTTCTGTTTCATCACTGATGGTTTCAAGGCACTAGAGTTGTCTTCCCAACAATCTGGGATAAGGTAACCAGTATTAAGAGGCATGACACTGAATCTAGGAGGTGGGTTGATGTGAGAATTAAGAATGACACTGAGACTTAATGAATGGGTGTGGTAGAGACCTCTAAGGCAGGTCTTCCTCCCCTTCACATTTTGCCTCCACCCCATTCTCCCTTTTCTCCTGTTCATTCTCACTAAACAAAGGCTTGGCCAGGAAACAAGTCTGGCCAGCAACATTAATTGGTCATTAATAGGTACATTTTACTTCTTCCTTCTTCTCTCCTGTCATTTCTTCGTTCTCTTCTTCTCTTTCTTCTTCCCTCTCTCCTGCCCCCAATTTTTTCCATCCCTCACTATCTTCTCTTGCAACTTCCATTTGGTTCTGGGAGTGGTGAAGTTGGAGACCACTGCACCAAGCCCAGTGCCCGGCACGCAATAGGTGCACATGTTATGCTTGTTGACTGACTGACTAAATGAATGAATCAATGAACAGATTCCGTTCTGCAGTCAGTGGAATTCTAGAAAGCATATTTTCCTAGATTATTCCAGTACATGCCAAATGGGACAGTCTAACGGTTTGCCTAAATCAAGATGGATCACTTCTCTGGCTTCCTCTAGGCACTAACAGATCTGCTGCTTGGCCACTGACAGGAATTTCATTAATTGGGTGTGATGTGTTTTTTGTGAAGCTGACAGAATTTATTAGTAACTCAATTTTAAGAGACTTAAAAATGAAAGAATCAAAATAGAAAACACTGTGAATTCTATTGTTTTAAATGACAACTTGTCACATGAATAGGTAATGCGTACTCCTATGGACAAATTCCTTAATTTATTTATTATTTTGGTTAGAATACAATATCTTTTTCTTTACAAGAGAGGTACTAGAATCCTTCAGTAGATGCCTAGATACTGCTGTTCTCTTTTGTAACAGTCGCTAAGATACATAAAATTCAGTGATAAAGTTTAGTGGCACGGTTGATTGTTTTTATTTCAGAAATGATTTGCCTCTGTGGACTCATTTACAGATTTGTTTAGATACATTCTTCAACATGTCTATTCTTTCTATTTTCCAGTGCTGTTCACGAGGAGTTGCTGGCTCAGCAGGCCTCTTTGTCTCTGTGCTCATGACAAGGACATATCACCTAACTCTGGGCTCTGGCTCACTTAGTAGCTTCTTTGCCGTTGGACTCTCACACCGAGATGTCACCGAGCAGCAGCCTTTCCCAGGAAGTTGTTAAGGAGATGGGAATCCTCATGCCTGCTGCTTTTTCCCAAATCAGAGGAAGCCCGGGAGCCAGTTGCAGTAAAGTCTTGCCAGTAACGTTTCTCTTAAGAACGGTGAGAAAATACTATGAAAAGTCACATTTACTTTGATCTAGAATTAAGTAAATTTCGGTGTTTGGGTCTTTGGCAAAATGTCACAAGTGGAAAGTCAGGACTCACATGATGTCTAGGCTTCTCTCTATGAGAATTATTTTTAGCTTCTCTTGGTATGCTTGGGTTTCATGTTATAGCCCCCAACCCTCACCACCCTTAAATACAGTAGAACGAAAAAAGGCAGAAAGAAGTTTAGGGACTGGAGTGGTCCCTGCAGTTGTCTGCTTGGCATCCAACCTGACTCGGCCCGCGTGGCAGCCTGTGGTCTGGGTGGGCGTCGCCCCTCGTCACGCCCTGTGGGGAGCTGTGATTGGGTCACGCCTGTCAGGGCAGCCCCGCCCCATGGGTAAGTGACTCAGTTCAAACTCATGAGATGTGAGCTTTGGTCACGGAGGCCCTTGTTTCTCTTTAGAGAAAGCTACTCAAAGAAATGATCTCTTCCTGGATGTTGTGGTCCACGAATATTATGTCTGGAACATCAGAGCCATCTTGTCTCCATGATGGGAGTTCCATCTAAAGACAAAGTCAAAACCCAGCAGAGGACACAGCTGAAGGAACACGAGAAAGTGGCATGGAAACGCTGAAGCCCCAGCACCGGCAGACCTCAGTTATTGGGGCCAATCAACCTCTTGTTACTGTTCAAGCGAGTTTGGAAACGTTGTCAGAGACCCACAACAGAAAACAACTCAAACAGCGTATGTTTTAACTGTGATTAAAATCCTGTTTTAGGCCAGGTTGGGTGGCTTAAGCCTGTAATCTCAGCACTTTAGGAGGCCGAAGAGGGAGGAGCGCTTGAGCCCAGGAGTTTCAGACCAACTAGGCAATATGGCGAAACCCTGTCTCTACAAAAAATACAAAAATTAGTCGGGCATGGTCGCAGACGCCTGCAGTCCAAGCTACTTGGGAGGCTGAGGTGGGATCACTTGAGTCCGGGAGGTGGAGGTGGCAGTGAGCTGAGATCGTACCATTGCACTCCAGCCTGGGCCACTGCACTCCAGCCTGGGGGACAGAGCTAGATTCTGTCTCAAAAAAATGAAAAAAGAAACAAAAACAAACAAACAAAAAACTGTTTTAAATTTTCATTTGTCAGTAACACTAATCATAAAGAGTTGCCCAAATGAATCTACAGAAATGTTTTTGTTTCAAAGGTAAACCCTACCTTGAGTGGATCATTATTTAACATTTGATAACTTTGACACAGAATTCTGCACATCAGAAAAAGATTTTTTAATTGAGTTCCTAAGTATATCTCAGTTTTGTTCTTAAAATAAAAATGCATTTTATCTAATTCTAAAGTCATTTTACCAGGCTACCATAGATAAAGTCAGAACATTTCAACAATTATTGAAGATATGTCTAGAGGTCAATAATTATAATATTAGCTTATTATTTTCATTGTCTTTTCTCAAGACCTTTTAGGAACTTTGTTTTGTCTTGACAGAATTAAGTAGCAATCTTCTCTGGAAATAACTATGAAAAATCACTAAGTCCATTAATTAGAGAAGTTTCTATTCATAAAAGAAGAGTGGATAATAGTTACTGTATTGAAAAAACATTAAAATATGTGTTTTATAAGTAAATGGTCAAGACTTTTAAAACATCTATTTTCTCACTTTTCTAGGAAATAAAAGATAGCCAGGGAAAGAAATCCTAAACCCCTAATTTAACTGAAGTATTGTCAATAATTGAAATCATTTGAAGGTTTAATTGCCTCCCACTCTGTGACACGTTTGTGTGCATTATTGCTCTTGAGGTGGGAGGAAAAAGCTGACCAAGTAGCCTTATGGAAATTGCTTAATAATTAATTCACTTTTTCAAAGGTGGTCAGAACACTCAGTGAGATAAACTTTAAGGATAACAAAACTGAATTACACATGTCTGTTTTGGGTAATCTTGACTAATTTTCTTAGTTTATTTCTTCTTTTCTCTGTAAAATAAGATTAGTAGTCATAACAGGCAACTCTGGCTTACATCTGGGTTCTGCTATTGCATTTCATTTTCATCTCATGGAAAAGGTTTTATAAAGCGTAATGCATTGCTCTTCTCAGCCTAGAGGTGCAAGAACATTATCTAGCTGAGAAAAAGTAGTTTTGAGTATTAATTAATGGTTGTTAAGATGTCAAAGAAACTCTATTTTTGCTTTCCTCTACTGTAGCTTCATTCATGAATATGTTTTGGTTGTAATTGATCTGCATGCCTTATCCATTACACTGCTCAGGCTGATAATATTCAATATAGTTAAAAAAAGAAGTACGTATTAAGGCTAGGCACAGTGGCTCACACCTGTAATCCCAAAACTTTGAGAGGCTGAGGCAGGTGGATCACTTGAGGCCAGGAGTTCAAGACCAGCCTGGCCAACATGGTGAAGCTCCATCCCTACTAAAAACAAAAAATTAGCAGGGTGTGGTGGTGGGCGCCTGTGATCCCAGCTACTCGGGAGGAAGGAGAATCACTTGAGCCTGGGAGGTGTAGGTTGCAGTGAGCCAAGATTGTGCCACCGCACTCCAGCCTGGGTGACAGAGCGAAACTGTCAAAAAAAAAAAAAAAATTAAAAGGTCATTATACATTATAGTACAGGAAAGCAGAATACCAGAATTAGGAAGTTTTTATTAGTCCATGTTTTTTATTTTTGTCCAGACATTTGCTTGGCTAGTAAAATAAGAAGTAGAAGTTATATTTTAAACCTCAGAATAATATATAGGCTTTTTTTTTTAGGTTTCAATATAAATGCAGTGCCTAGAATAATTTTGGTAATATAGTAAGCACTTCATAAATTCTTGACTAATACAGTAATTAGAATCACTTTGAATATGCTGCATTTATTTACTTAATCTACTATGCCTATTTTCACCAAGGATTTGAGCAGGCTTAAAAATACATGCAATAAAAAATACCTAAAATAAATAAGTGAGAGAACTAGGATAAAGGAAAAGTGTGAGTAGAAAAATAATATATCTATGGTAAAATTGACATTTTGAAATGCATATGTACAGTTGCTAGAGATTGGCATCAATTGTCTTTGTGCATCCTGGTAGCCAAAGTAAAGAAGAAAACATGATCAGTTACATGACATTCAGTATCCTTAAGATTAAAAAAAAAGTTATTCAGAATTATCTTAAACTTATTTGATCAATACCCTCGGGAATATTTTCTGATGTGTCCTCATTTATGCAACAATAATCATCAACATTGCCAGTTTGTGTGGATATGTATTGGAGCACTTCGCAATGACATCTGGTAAAGGAAGGCTAACCCGTATTTAAGTAAAAATAATTCATAAAGGTCTGAAGCAACATAATTTAAGCATGTAGTACTCTAATGTGGAACCTTTTACTGCGATAAAGGTAACTCTCTTTAGGATTAGACAGACTGATATGAATAGTAGTCCATTTACTAGCTGTACAACCTCAGGCAGATCACTTCGCCGTGCCTTATCTGCAAAATAAAGATAATTAATAGCTACACATGGCATTGTTATTAGCACACCATTAAGTAAATGTCTTAGCCAGTGATATGGAATAAGTGTTCAAAGAACGGTTGTTTTTATTTTCATTTTCTGTTTTGGTCCGAAGAAAACATTTAGAATAACTGGAGAATTGAATATGTTCTTCAAGCATTTCTACACATTTACTAGTTCTCATAATGAGGCTATTATTGAGAAGTTATACAACAAATGGTTGAAGTTGTCATTTCTGCCAAGAACCTGCAGTGCAGATATGGAAGAAACAGAGGGTAGGGGTAAAGTCTGTTACTAAGACACATGCCTGAAAGGAATGGCCACCCTGCAGTAGCAGAAAGGTAGGCGAAGGTACTGCCTAGATGCCGGGACAAGATATTCCTCAGAAAACACTTCTCCTGCTGCTCCAGTGTGTAGGTCACTAGTGACTAAGTCCCCAAAGTTCCGGGTTACACATCATCACTTCAAACAACTTGGCCTGGGAGTTTTTAAGGCGAAGGTTGCAAAGATTATTTATGTGGCCACTGGAATATTTCAGAAAAAGGTGCCAGTGGAAAATACAATTTCAAGTAGTATAAATATCAAATTCTCTCAGATAAATTTATTGCAATTATTATGCCCTAGAAACCTAAAACTCATGAAAATATCCTGACTCTAGTGTTCTGCTTATTCATTTTAAATAATTATAAATTATTTTGAAAGGACCAAAGTGAAACTTTTTAAAATACAAGACACTTTGGATGAAGAAAGCAGTAAATTATAGTCTCTTGCTGTCTCAAAAAGAGTATTGCTTATTTGGTTGTTAGCTGAAGTTTGTGTCTCTATCTCCTGCCTTCTCACTGTTTTTCTTAAGTGTGGTTTCTTTATCTGAGGTATCTGCAGTGGAGGAAAGATGACCCATTAGAATATAAGCTTCAGGAGATAGCATTTTTGTTTGTCTTTTTGTTTTGTTATTGTTATTATCCCCAACAGGTAGAATTGTTCCTGGCATGTGGTAGGTAGGAACTAAGAAACCTTTGTTTTGTTTGTTTTGGTTTTTTGAGACAGGGTCTCACACCGTTGCCCAGGCTGGAGTGCAGTGGCTTGATCTTCGTTCACTGCAGCCTCGACCTCCTGGGCTGAAGTGATCCTCCCACCTCAGCTTCCCAAGTAGCTGGGACCATAGACATGCACCATTATACCTGGCTAATTCTTTCTTTCTCTCTTTCTTTCTTTCTCTCTCTCTCTTTCTCTTTCTTTCTTTCTTTCTTTCTTTCTTTCTTTCTTTCTTTCTTTCTTTCTTTCTCTCTTTCTTTCTTTCTTTCTTTTCTTTCCTCCTTCCTTCCTTCTTTCTTTCTCTCTCTCTCTCTCTCTCTCTCTCTCTCTCTCTGTATTTTTATAGAGATGGGGTTTTGCCATGTTGCTCAGGCTAGTCTCAAACTCCTAGGCTCAAGCAATCGGCCTGCCTCGGCCTCCCAAAGTGCTAGGACTATAGGCATTAGCCACATGACCAGCCAAAAATAAATAAATGAATGAGGCTGGGTGCATTGGCTTATGCCTGTAATCCCACCACTTTGGGAGGCCGAGGTGGGCAGATCACTTGAGGTCAGGAGTTCAAGACCAGCCTGGCCAACATGGTGAAATCCTGTGTCTACTAAAAATACAAACAATTAGCTGGGTGTGGCGGCATGTGCCTGTAATCCTAGCTACTGAAGAGGCTGAGGCAGGAGAATCACTTGAACTTGGGAGGCAGAGGTTGCAGTGAGCAGAGATTGCACGACTGCACTCCAGCCTGGGTGACACAGTGACTCTGTCTCAAAAAAAAAAAAAAAAAAAAAATGAGGGAACTAGATCCTTGGAGACAGAACCAGTTTCTCCCTGGATAACTCTACACCACATTATGGGCAAGAACTTAATGTCTCAGTGTCTGTTTCCTGTGGATTTTTTTTTTTTTGAGACAGAATCTCACTCTTGTCACCCAGGCTGGAGTGCAGTGGTGCTATCTTGGCTCTCTGCAACCTCTACCTCCCAGGTTCAAGCAATTCTCCAGCGTCAGCCTCCCAAGTAGCTGGGATTACAGGCATGTGCCCAGCTAATTTTTGTATTTTTAATAGAGGCGGGTCTCGAACTCCTGACCTCGTGATCCACCCACCTCGGCCTCCCAGAGTGCTGGGATTACAGGCGTGGTGAGCCACTGAGCCTGGCCTCTTGCAGAATTTTTAACAAAAGAGCTGCCCAGTACCTTGGAGTAGCTCTAGTCACTAGCTTACCTCTATGAAAAAAGTATTTTTTATGGTAATGAACTATTCAAATGGGCATTATTCTACCAGATCAAGGGTTCTGAACATTTTTCTGGGCCATAGACACCTTTTGCAGTCAATAAGCCTACAGCCCCCTTCTCAAAGTAATTTTTTAATGCATGAAATATAATGCATGGGATTATAAAAGAAATTATTTAAAATAGTGAAATACAGTTATCAAAACATTAAAAAACAAATTTGTGTTATAGTAGTATACATATGTTTTTGTTAACACATTGAAGAAAAAGACGACATTTAAAGTGTCAGCAAGTTAGTTTTATTTTTTAAAACATCAGCTACTGTAGCTTAGCTAAAGTAAGATTATTAAACTGTGGAGTGGTCCTTGACCCATCTCTTTCCACATACTGACTAATACGAAATTGTAGATGGGGAAAGAAATGTGGATGCTGAGGTCACCAAGGTATTACACATGACTTCACTGTCAGGTGGCTGATCAAAATGAATTTCAAAACTGCCCAATAGTTGGCCAACTTATATTACAATAACATTTGTGGGCAGAAAGACTAGAATCATGTGAACCCTGATGTCAGTATAATAATGACTGCAATTCCAAAACAGTGATGGAATTGTCATTAGTCTTTCTCTATATATACATATAGAGAGAGAGAGACATTTGCAACAATAATGTAATATAAAAATATCTGAGATTTCCATTAATGATGGAGTTGTAGATTCTTCTAATATCATGGTGATACATACTTTCATACTGGAAAGAAGTAGTACATCTCAGTTAATGGCTAGTGACATAAAGATAGAAGCTTCCCTTTCCCCAGAGGATGAGAACCTCTGTACTAAACCAAAAGTTTCTTAGGACTTGGAGGCCCTGATAAATCTTTGCACTCTTAGCAACATCATATTGTATGTCTTGTTCATCCAAGCAAAATTATTTTTTACTTAATAAATAATATCCCCTTTGGGGCCTGCTTCTACTTTTCCTAACCCGTTTGGATGAGTTTGATGATAGCAAAAGCCAAGGAACTGGCGAAGACAGCAAGTGGCCACAGCTAACAGTCAAGCCAGTTCACAAAAGTCCCAGGGAGAAAGATTCCCAGTTTCCCACTTCCAGGACTTCCTACTGGACACCAATTCTACACAGTAGAACAGTTGAGATGGATTCAGGAATGAATAATTTATTGACACTGATGTCAGAGGGAGAGGCAAGACGTCTAGGGTATGTGACCTATGGATCAGCAGCAGTCTTTTAGAAATGCAAGAGTCCCAGGCTCCACCCTAGACTTACTAAGCCAGAATATGCATTTCAACCAGACCTCCAGGTGATGTGTGTGTGCATTAAAACGTGAGAAGCTGTAGCACTCAGGGTGACAGTATTCCATGTAGTTCACCTAAGTGTCTTCCCTCACGATCTCATCCTTCACCCATACACTTTCCTCCGCAGACCTTACTCCTATGTAAGACTTATTTTGCTTGCATGTTACCTTATATTATAAAATCATTAAGGTTAGGAGGGGGTCAATCACTAGAGCAACTGGGAGAGGTGCCAGTGCTTTGAATGTAGCTGGAACCTCTCTCCATTTGGAGTAATTCCAACCATAAACTTGGCCTGCCTTACTTTGGTTGGTCAGAAGAATATAAACATTCTACAGTCTCTTTATCTAGTTTGTTTTTCTCAATGTCTTGCTGAGAAATATGTTCTTCAGAATTCACTGACAACACATATTTAATCTATGGCTCTCCTTCAACACAATAAATTTCCCTTTATCAGCACTAACCCCAAACTCCCTCACCGATTACTACCTGCTTTTTTTTTTTTTTTTTTTGAGACGGAGTTTCGCTCTTGATGCCCAAGCTGGAGTGTGCAAGGGCACAATCTTGGCTCACCACAACCTCCGCTTCCCAGGTTCAAGAGATTCTCCTACCTCAGCCTCCTGAGTGGCTGGGATTACAGGCATGCGCCACCATGCCCAGCTAATTTTTTGTATTTTTAGTAGAGGTGGGGGTTTCTCCATGTTAGTCAAGCTGGTCTTGAATTCCTAACCTCGTGTGATCCGCCTGCCTTGGCCTCCCAAAGTCCTGGGATTACAGGCGTGAGCCACCGTACCCAGTCTAATTACTACCCTCTTTAAATGTATCTCCCTATAAAAAGAAGTTCATCTCTGTGGTCCCCCACATCCTTCCCTACTGACTCTCCCCTTCTGGCAGTTCTCTTGGACTCAGCTGTTAGGACCATCAGGACCCAGTTCATAAATGGATATACTGCAAAATTTTGTTTTAAAATCTTTTATTTGAAATTACAATGCACATTCTAACAGAAATTGTATACTTGGTTTTTCAAAATAACAAGGAAAAGATTATTACGTCTTTAATATGGTTGTGGAATTGTTCATCTAAAATGAAAGGGATAATAAAGCAATGTAATTGCAATACAGTAACTAAACATGAGGAAAAACCAATGACATTGAATACGAAGTGATAATATATGCATTTTAGATTTGGTTGAACTAAAGAAGCATGAGTATCATCTGTGAAGAGCATAATAAGGCTACCTTTTATTATTATGAATAATTACATCTAAAAATAGTTGCTGTTCTATTCCTGAATATAAATGGTATCCAGGCCCTACCAGATGTAACTTGGGTCTCCTGGTTCCTTAAGAATAACATACTTTTCATTCCAGTTTTTAATCAACTCTACCCACATGTTCAGGCAATCATTGGTGTAAAACTTGAGACCTTTAGAGAAGGAGCCCTTTGAGATTCCTCTTAGAACCACACTGCCATCATCCTCTGCCTCCCTTGTGCTAATCTCTTCTGACTCCATGACTCCTAAATATTCTTCTGGGGAAAAGCAATATTTTGAACTGAGCGACGGTATGAGTTTCAGATCCCAGCGTAAATCCTGACTTGGGTAGATGAAGGTACGGGATGTGTTATACTCAGTCTCATGGAATGTCAACTCTGAGTGTTAGAGAAAGTAATTCTTCCATAGCAAAGTTTCTGAAAATAATAGGACTCAAGAAAACTCATTGAGTCCAAAATGTTGATTTCAGCAGGAACAAAGCAAGTACAACCTGACCCCAAAGGGGAATCAATTTTAACAAACGTGTGGAAACAGTCTCAGAACGGAACACATCTGAGTTACTTGTAATTAATTGACTTTAAAAGTCATGATTAAAACCTATCCAGTGGCCCTTAAAAAACTGACTCAGTAACTTTGAAAATAATCTCTGTATTGACATGGTTCAGGTAACGGACCCTCAAAATGGAAGTGTTAAGTTGGTTCTATCACAGAGATTAATTATTCTTTGGGAAACAAGTGAAAATTAACAAATTGATTTCATGTGGTATCCAAACTTGTGCACAGCCCTTGCAATAATCATTGAAAGTTATTTAGCACAGAAGGAGGACCCACAAGCTAGCTCCTAAGAAAAAAGCAAGAGCCATGACACCACATTCCTCCGCATCGCTGTGATCTTTATTAGGACTCCAAGAAAACACAGGGCTGAGCAGTAACTCATTGCCTCAGTTGCTCTATAAGACATAGAAGAAAAGCTGTTTGGGATAAGAGGAAAATTTTGGAATTTTATATAAAGAAGACTACTTACTACCTGTTAAAAATTACTAATTTTTCGTCTTCCTTTTAGTCATACCTAAAGACTCCTACATGGCTTTGATGACATAAAGAGTTTGTAGAGTGAAGACAGAAATGGTGAATGAATAAACAATTTGGGCTTGAATGTAATGACCAAAAGAAGTCCAGGAGAGTTTCAGGTAGGGAAAAAACGGAAAGTGAAAGTTTTCACTTCCAAAATAGTGACAAATCCCAATGAAACAAATGAAAGAAGTGTTCTGAATTGAGACAGTTATAGACAATCTACCATTTTCTTTTTAATCAGTATTAAAACACAAACTAAGTTTTATTTAGCATCTTATTAAACCTATAGAGAACTATTCCTTATACTATTTTAGATATGTAAAAACTTGAATAACGTTTTATCTTCTAAAGAGAATTTATAGTGTCCCCATGCTGGGTAATTCTGTAATAATGAAATACATTTCTACTTTGAAATATCTGTTAATAAAATCTGATTTTGGTATATTTCTCAAGATACTTGATTAAAATGTCATCTTAACAAATATTTGAATGATAACATTTTTCTTTAAAAAAACCTACTGTATATTTCATCTTTGGTATTATCAAAAAACAGAGTATATAAATCTGTAGATCTTGCTACATTTTCTGGAAAAATTGACATCTTTTGGATTAAGGTGAAACTTCATATTTTGAGAGTGTTTTAAGTTATAGCATACCTTGATTGTGATTTGAAACCTGTATATCTCAGACTTTGTGTTTCTTTGAATTATAGAAAGGTTTAATGAATTTTGGGTTGCTATTAGAGTCTAGAAAATGCTCAAGTAGATAATAGGATATGGATACCCTAACAATAAATCCATTAGCTTTTGGTATTGGGTGTTAGGTTTCAGTCACAAGCTTTTCAATTTAAAAAATCTTTTATTCCCAGGGAACCAACTTGCAGCTACATCCACAATTCCTCAACACTGGAACAACATGCTTATGACCTTTCCTTTTCACAGCAACAGTGACGTGTTTGGTTTGTAACAGTTTCTGAACCACTGAAGTACTTTTCAACTTTCTCCCTTGGAAAAGCTGGCATCTTGCCTGAAATCCTTGGTGTGGTCTAGCATTGCTTTTGTTTTAATCACATTCCAGTGAGAAACAGCCACTTAGCCAAATTTACATCAGCACTTCCTATGGTAGCTATTGGAAACAGCACGGGCAAAAATGTTGCTATCTACTGCATTCATTGGACTCTGGTAGCTTGTAACAAATAAATAGATGTATTTTGGCTCCTCTTCTCCACACTTTTCCTCTATGTTTAAAAATATTTTGAACAAAAGATGAAGTGTTGACATTTTATCATTCTTAGGAACCCACTAAGTAAAAGATTGTATTGCTAGGGGTGGTGGCTCATGCCTCTAATCCCAGCACTTTGGGAGGCCAAGGCGGGCGGATCACTTGAGGCCAAGAGTTTGAGACCAGCCTGGACAACATGGCGAAACCCCATCTCTACTAAAAAATACAAAAAAAAATTAGTCAGGCATGGTGGCGTGCCCCTGTAATCCCAGCTACTCTGGAGGCTGAGGCAAGAGAATTGCTTGAACCCAGGAGGTGGAGGTTGCAATGAACTGAGATTGCACCAGGGCACTCCAGACTGGGCAACAGAGCAAGACTCTGCCTCACAAAAAAAAAAAAAAAAAAAAAAAAGATTGTATCATGCTGTATTCATGTCCCAGGGAGGGCTGCGAGAGGGAAGTACCATAAACTGGGTGGCTTAAAACAATAGAAATTTATTGTTTCATAATTCTGTAAACTCAAAGTCATGAGTCAAGGTGTTGTCATCGCGATGTTTACTCTGAAACCTGAAAAAGAGGATCCTTCCTTGCTTCTTCTTAGCCTCTGATGATTTGCCAGCAGTCAGTGGGTTTCTGTGGTTTGCAGAACCATCATTCTAACCTTCTATCCTCACATGGCATTCTCTTTCTGTATCTTCACAACATTTTTCCTTTGTATGTATCCACCTCTGTGTTTGAATTTCCCCTTTTTATGATGACACCAGTGCTATTGGATTAGGGCCACCCTCATGACCTCGTTTGAACTTGATTACCTCTATAGAGACTATTTCCAAATAAGGTCACATTCTCACATTCTGAGGTACTGGGTGTGGGACTTCTGCCTATCTTTTTGGAGATACAATTCCACCCATGACATGCTGGCTACACATCTTTCGAAATAACCACAAAATACACGAAAGGTATTATGCTCAGATTTAAGGACTATACCCTTTGGTTTACAGATTTAAATGTTTTCTACTATGGAAGCAGGCTGAAGGGCTTGAATGGGAAGAGGATGGATGGTTGCACGGCTGCCCTGGTAGATGCTGAATGTCCTCTGGGTGATACCATTAGTAATGGTCCATCTGTTCTCTTCCAGTGCCCTGATCACCCTCCTGTGGCCAGTAATCCTCAAACCTCATTTTTTCTTATTGAGGATTTAAGCTGAGCTTTCTTTAAATGATTGGTGGTTTGAGGCTAGGTGAGAATATTTGAGTTGGGGACATGGTTTGAGAATAAATACGTACAGATCCACATATATGCCAACTCTAATGGAGACAGCACCTGGGCCTGCCTGGCAGGAGGTCTGTGTAGAGACTTTGACCTTCAAAACACACACTCCCCATTCCTCTTTATTTGCTGCACTAATGCCTGTGTGGTAAATGTTTGCTGCACTCTGGATTGTGTTATAACACTCTACACCTCTTTAATGCCTGGGAATTAAGGTGGAGGTGTCAGATTACCTTGCATAAAATATTACTGTACACTATTTTGACATGTAGGAATAGGACAACAGGAAATGAAAATACTAAAGAGAATTGGGTCTCCATCCTTTTCTTTGGAAGGAATCTAAATCAATATTAAGTATTTTCTTTCTGCACTGAAAAATTAGAGAACTTGCTGTCTGTGACAGCCTTTTGGAAATTATGCAAGTCACTGACTTGTGGGTGTCATATTATATGCCTATGTCTTATTTACAAATTATGGTGTATGGACATTTGGGAGACAGGAATCAAGCTTATTATTACATTTTATCCACTCTAAGATGAGCTTATCCAAGACCTCCATATTTTAGCATCTCTGAAAGCAGGATGTGTCTTATAATTTATGGATTGTTACCATCATCATGGTGACAGAGCTGTCATTGCCTGCACGTGGGTGAACTTGGTTGTAGCTCTCGACAATATCATCACATCTGTTGAGGCATTGTTGATACTCCACATGTTGAATTTAATTGCCACTTAAAATGAATATAGAAAGAATATATTATAATCCAATAATGAAATGAAAGTGATTTGTACATAGCAAGATGCAGAAATAGAAAAGTGGGGGCATACATGTAATAGTAATGAAGCAGATGTTAGTGATTGGAGGGATGAATACAATTCCATATTTTCTTGCAAAGCAATTATGAAGTGCTTTACATGACCTAAGAAAGATATCCATAAATGGTTGAAGCTTTGTTACACTTTTTATTAAAATGTGGGCAAAAAGACTGCTTATCATATGCAAGGCAAGGTGATGAAAAAAGGAGAAATTGCTAATTACCTCTTAATAGATGAAAAAAATGTAACACAATGAAAATTGATATGACCAACTCATGCGTGCATACATACTATCAGTATGGCATTGTGTCATCAGTTAGTTGGAAGTGTTTCTCCCTTCTGAGTTGACATAAAATTATTGCTTACCTTATAACTGAAGGCATCATCAATGAAATGTATTTTTTTGCCATCTCCATGAGTCCTAGATGCTCCCTGGGAAACTTCCCTAGAAGTTTCCCTAGAAACTTTCTGGAAAAACACCAGATATTTATTGATTGACTGTATGGGTTTGGTAATTTAAATAAAAAAGTGTCCCATTATTGTGGCTAGCAGGACTGGAGGCTGCCTCTATGAGTAAGAGAGTAAGTTAGTATTTTCCTAGTCTGCTTCATTGCAGGGGTCTTGAAAGTAACTTTTCAGTGAGGGAATGGAATAGAAGGGGTGGCTGATGTAAGAGAAGGCTGAGGCATGGGAATAGGTTTGGCAAATAATTAGTTGCCACTCTCTCAGCATATGCTGGGAGCTGTTGTCACCCACAGGACATTCAGTGACAGTGTGGGGAAGCCTCATCATGATTATTTTTCCTTCTATCTAGATCCCACTTAAAAGCTCTTCTTTTAGCTTAATCATGTACATAAATATATGCATTGTTTCTACTCAATACATAATTCTATGCTATTTACAAGATGACTTTTTCTTAATATATCTGTTGCATCATGGTTAGTATTAACATTTCTAAGAACACCTTTTTGATCACCCATGTTTTTAGTTTGTTTTATAAGTCTCCATCCTCTTGCTTTGTATTGAGGGAAGATTTCTTCTGCACCCTCCAGGTGTACATCCCAAGGTTTTTAAACTGTCATTGCCATCACTCAGCTTGCATGATGTTGATGTCACTGATATCCATAAAGCACTCATGGATGTCACTGATATCCATAAAGCACTGTTATTAAATATATATCTGTGGCTATCAATAACCCCAATTCCACAGGTGGCTGTAAAAGTATTTCCACCTTGTTTGTTTCTGATAAAATACCTATAATTTCATGTGTCTTCTTGTCCTTACATTTGCAGGACTTATCAAAAAGTTACATATGCTCTATTCTTTATATTCTCTCTCCTCTCATGGAAATAGTAACTATTTATGTTTGAATAAAGGGGAATGTAATTATTTATTTCATATTGAATATGTATACCAGATGCCTATACCAAGCGTTTCAGCATCCTTACATACTTCCTTTTATTTAATCCTAAAATAACTATATAAATTACATGTACATATCTTGAGCTTTGGTATTATAAATTATATTTTCAATAAGAAAACAGGCAAAAAATGCTTCCATAGTTATAATGTGGCAGTTTATGACACTCTAGCCCACAAATCTTTTTCTTTCTCTAAACCTTTGCTAAACTTTTACAATGAAAATTATGCAGTAAATATCTGAGATAACTGGGGAGTCCTAAAGTATTAGATTTAAGATGAGTTTCCATAGCAACAATTACAGTAATAGTGGACATTCACTGAGTGCTTCTTTTGTGCCAGGTAAGCTTCTAAGCTCTTTATGAATATTTTGTGAATAGGGCAACTCAAAGATAAAAACCATAATCTTTCTTATTTTATAAACAAGGAAACTGAGGCAAAGAGACTTAAGTGATTGGCCTCAGCTTATAGAACTTGCTATTGGAGTGAGGATGCAGACCAAGGCAGTCAACCTCAGAGCCTTCGTGAATAATCATTCCAGAATTCTGGTTCTTCACTTCCCCACTTAAGAAGCGAAAGCCCAGAGAAGCCTTTGAGGAAGAGCTGCCAAGGATCCTCCGGAGTGTCAGTCTTAATTTTCATGCTTTCGGAAGCTGTTAGATCTTGGAACACCTCAGGATTTCTGATCAGTAACTACAGAGGCATAACAAGGCAGCTATGAGTGTAGTCTTTCATTCTTAACTTTTTTGTTCCGCTCCCTGATGACACGATGAACTGACTTCATTAACTGTCTCTGGAGCACCAGGGTGGCCTCACCTTCTGTCTTTCCAGCCTCATCTGCTGGGGCTTCTTACCTCAGCCTCCACCCTAGACATGCAGAGCTGCTGCAGCTCTGCTCCTCCCCAACACACATTGTACCACACGCATCCCCACAGCTCCCACATACAGATGCAAACACACACACACACACACACACACACACAGAGTGAACTCCTTAAAGTCTAGGCTCATGTTGTCCTCATTGTCCATAATGCCCCTCAGCAAGTCCCAGTCTCCCACCCCAGTTGGATTCCTCCCACTCATCCTGTCAGAATGAACTAAGGGGTTGCCTCCCCGGGAAGCTTTCCCTCACCCTCGGCCCACCTCCTCTTGCTGGGATGGATAAACCTTTTCTGTTCCTCCCACAGTGCCCTGCACATTCCTCCATCACTGGACTTATCAGGCTGCCTTTTATGAAACATCTCTCGGGCAGCTTCTTGAGGAGGGACAGTGGATAACTAATCATCCCTAGTGCTTACAGAGCACATGGCGCACAGCTGCCCCTTAAAAAGCATTGAATAAATGAATGAGTGAATAAATGAGTAAATGAAAATGGGATGAAGCTGGAAAATGACCCCAAGTCACTAGCTCACCTCAGCCATGCAAGATTTTTAAAGTGGGTGATAAATGCTCAGTCTTCTATTTTGAGGAGATTTTCCTCATCTTGCTCAGCCAAGGAACTTTGGAAAAAGGCTTTACATGAAGAAAGACAAAGGTCTTGGAGCAGGTGTTGGGAGCAGTGGCTGCCCACTCAGAGGATGCGAATGTTTCCCTTCCTGTTGGCAGCAAATTGACCAAGCTGAGAAGGGCACCTAGCCCAAAATGATGCGTTTTGGGCACCTGTGGGCACCTGGAGGGCTACCTGGCAGTTTCATGTGTCTTATGGAGCAAATGCATTTCCAAGCGTACTCAAAGTGATCAAACAAGAGGAAAAATATATGTACTGATGTTTGAAGATGTGAAGTAGACTGTTCTGTACTGTAGGAAGAAAGCACATGTAACCCTCAAGCCAGCCTCCTCCCCATGCTTGGCAAAGTGTTAAAGGCATTTTTTTGTTTTCTGAGAACTTTTACAAGTAGATTGATGTTTGACTAAATCAGACTCTGGCCTGTGCTGCCAATTTTCACAGCCTATTCACAGTGCACTGTGGAGTAATTCTAACAAAAAAGACATTGCCTATTAAAAAGTAAGGTTACCAAAAATGTTATTATATGCTGACAATGCATTACATTTTTTAAAAACCTAATTGAATGTAATTTTCACTGCAGAAGGGAGATGTGCCCCTACTGGCCAGTGAAGGAGGAAATGGCTGTGAATGTGGAATCAGAAATCTGGATTGGAACCTGAGCTCAGCCTTTTACTGGCCATGGGATCTTGAACAAGTTACTCAACTGAACTGAATGTCAATTTCCTAATCAACAAGACAGTAAAATCATGCCTACTCTGCAGGGTTATTATAAAGAGTAAAATCAGCTTGTGTCTGAGACAGGGTAGATGCTCAGTAATGTTAGTAGTATCTTTATTATTTCATGGAAATGAATAATTTTCCTGCTTTAATTGTTTGAAAAAAGATAGTGTTTACCAAAAAATGTGTTTTTTTAGTCAATAATTTCAACCACAGTTTTAATTACTGACAAAATGAAATATTAGGTTCCAATACACTTCTTAAAAATATTTTAAAAATCTTCAGTATTTAGTAAATCCCAGCAAAAGAGGCAAAATGTGGTTGATGGGAAATCCTTGAACGGGGTAGAGGAACAACATCAAGGAAATCCAGGATGGAGTTTGGAGCAGCATGATCTCTCAGCTGTGGCCTGATTTCTGCTGGTATTTCTTGAAAAACAGGGTCAAAAAGGGAGCATATTGTAGCTAACCAGAGTAGAACTCTCTTGAATCAATGACTCCCAGATGGAAAAAAGATCAATAAAACACTCTAAATGCAAACTCTTGTTCCACTTTAGTTCTGAAGAATCAGACTTTCTAGGGGTAAGGCTAGGAAACGTGTGTGTGTGTCTGTGTGTGTGTGTGTGTGTGTGTGTGTGTTTTAACTCTCAAGTTATTATTATGATCAGCCACTTTGAGGAACTATTAGAGGTAATGCTTTGAGATTTATGGGTAGTTGTTTTTAGAGGTCAATAACCATAATTCCGAAGCATGAAGTGCAGCCAAGGATAATATTTGTCTAATATGTAAAATTCTAATTATAGCTAAATTGCAAAGAATAGTCATCTATTGTGTAAGATATCAATCTTGTCTTTCATTAGTTAGCATGTGATCCTCCTTTGAATCTTAATAGACTCTTTTTAATAATATAATTTCTTTTATTTCTTTAACGTCAGTGTATTGTCTTCTTCATTAAAAGAAAATGTCTGTGAATTGAATTCCTCATGAAATGGCTTCCTATGTGCCAAGTACTATTTTAATTTCTCTAATTTTAACATTTAATCTGTACAGCAATATTATGAAGCAGACTATTACTATCTCTAAGGAAACAGATACCAAGAGGTTAATGATTTTTCCATGGTCAACATAGCAAGTAACTATCAGCACCAAGATTTGAATCCAGGTAGATTAGTTGTTAAAGCTATTCACTATTATTATCACTAGAGGGAAAAATATTCATTTGAAATGTTTTTGTTTATGTGCCAGGCAATGTGCTAGGCACTGGGAATATGACTATGACTGAAAATATTTATGCCTTCAGGTTGCTTGTAATCTTGTAGGAGAGACAGGCAATTTAGCAGGCAGCCACAGTGATATTTTAAAAGTTCAAGAATAGTGTAAGTGCTTGGATGCATGGGTGCATATAGGAAAGCATATAGCCAGATTGAAGGATTGATTACATGAAGGTTAAGCATAGGCCTCAGAGTCAGGCTACCTGCATTTTAATCCCATACACACAGCTAAACACATATGACTTTAGCACCATGCGCCTCCATTCTCTACTCCAAAATGGGGTTAACATTGGTGTTCAAGTCATAAAGTTGTTATGATAATTAAATGTGATAGCTGCATAAATTATGAGGCACACAGTGAATATTCAATATGCATGGACATACAATAGCTGTTGAATGTCATCTAAATGACATTCGAAGATCAGCTAAGAATGAGCCACAGGAACAGAAGGAATCATCCAGGTCTGTGCAATCCGATGAAGTCTTGGGTTATTAATACTCTTTTGAAATGCCAAGAGCTTCCTTCTGTAGAAACACACATGGAAGCCAAGTTCAGAAAAAAATTTAAATTATTAGACTGCCAGTGGATCTATCATATCCTCATTTTCTAACTGATCATTAGCCAATTGTCAAAGGGAAATAAGAATGAAAAATAATTCTTTTCATATAGATTTTTATTTTATTTGTTTTACTGTTTTACTAGTCTTGCTTTTTTCCCAAGAACATTTTTATGTGAAACCTTTGCTATTGGTTGATTTAGAGAAGCAGAAAACATGCCTTTTGTAATCCTGAAAGTCTCAAGAACATCCTTGAGGGTGCATGAGCAATCTCCCTTTCCCTCCCACCTGTCTTTTTCCCAAGGTCTATTTATTCCACAATTATATTTAGCTAAAAGTGTAAATCTGAAGCTGACTGACAAAAGTTATCAACAGTTTTAAGATCTCCCAGAAAAAGCCTTGGTCTGCATTTTTCTTGTTTAGTCATTTATTTGGGATTTCTTTCTTTCTTTGTTTTTTTTTTTTTTTTTTTTTTGAGACAGAGTCTCGGTCTGTCGCCAGGCTGGAGGGCAGTGGTGCGATCTTGGCTCACTGCAACCTCTGCCTTCCAGGTTCAAGCAATTCTCCTGCCTCAGCCTCCTGAGTAGCTGGGATTACAAGCGTGCACCACCATGCCTGGCTAATTTTTGTATCCTTAGTAGAGACGGGGTTTCACCATGTTGGCCAGGCTGGTCTTGAACTCCTGACCTCGTGATCCACCCGCCTCAGCCTCCCAAAGTGCTGGGATTACAGGCGTGAGCCACTGCACCCAGACTGGTTTGGGATTTAAAAAACCCAATATCCACTATGGTGGTGCTGTGTGGATGAGAGAGCAAACACTATTGTTCTACTTGCCTGGGCTGTCCTGTGTGAAAAGAGAAATAAAACCTGAACATTTTAATGACAGCATTGTGACATTACAGATGCTTATTGATGTCTAATAATGCAACCTTCTTCATACATTAAGTAGAAGTAGGTATAGCACTTATCCAGTGGATTTACATTGGTAAAAGAAAACCTGAGAAGTAGAGAGTGAGTGACATTCACAAATGAAATGTAACTGTCAAGCAACTGAAGCTCTCTAAGTATAAACTTTTGTCATCTCTAATCCCAGGCAAAGTGGGCTCCAGACAAAATGAAGTTAGGAGATTTTATGTCTTTGGTGTCCTTCTTTTTGGTCTCCTTATTTTTAAAAAATCTCAATTAAAATTGGTCCTCTTGGTTTCTGTCAAGCCATGTTTAAATTACCAGCTGATAATTATGGTAAAATTTATTGGTGGTGATGGGTGGGGGCAGAAGATTTATTATCTACTGAGAATACTTGCATTTAGTAGAGGATCAAACCTCCTCAAGACCCTTAACAACTATGCTGTAAAAATTACAGCTTCAAAGATGACAGGGTTGATATTCTTGAGCAAGGGTCCCCTAGCCAGCTTCCTACTCAAATTCCTACTCAATCTTCCTTAGCTGGTTTGTAAGACTGCTTGTGGCATTAGTTTTATTCAGGAAACATGGAGCTCTCTGAGAAAAAGGGCTCATGAGATTATTCCAAAGATAAACATATTGAGTAGAAAGAATAGAGTTATTTGATACATAAAGGATAACTGTGTTCAACGTAAGTTTATTGTACAAGTAATATTCACAGAACACACAAAAATCCCTGTCCTCAAGTAGCTCATATTCTAGTAATACAATGAACGGTTGGGCAGGATAATTCTTTGTGGAAAAGCACAAAGAATCTGTTGAATTTTTATTTAAATTTTATCTTTTCTAGAGAAATAGACATGTACACATATAAACATGTACAAGTTGTCATTGCAGCATAATTTCTATGGTAAAAAATTGGAAGCAATCTAAATGTTCACCCAAGAGGGAATAGTAATATAGTGGGTATCATACGAAAATGAAATTAATAGCATTCTTTATTTTTCTGTAAATCAACATAGAGATTATATGTTGAGCTCCAATGTGGACTGATGGTAGAAAACTTAATCTGGTCACTTCCAGATATCAATTCAGGACTTTCTCTTACCTTAGCTGTCATGTATATTCACAGGTGCTGAAGGGCCATCACGTTCGGGAATGGTCTCCACTTGGTGTCTGCCCACGCAGACAGGGGTATCATACCATTCTCAGGAATGGTCACTGAATATATAGGCTTCTCAGAGCCAGAACCACCCAGCCCAGCCCTTCTTGAATTCTTGATTAACAGAAACTGTGAGAGGTAATAAAATAATTACTTTTGTTTTGAACCATTAAAATTTTATGGTAATTTGTTATGCAGTAATAGATCATTGCAACAGCCCTCCTTCCATCAATTTTGTAGCACCTGGTCAAAGTTTTCTCTTCCTCAAGACCTACATGGACGTCTGACTGTTGCTCTATCTCCATTCCCAGGACTGGTATTATCTACTATGCTGGTGGGGGAAGGGATGGAAGTGGGGTAGTTGTTCTGAATCTTCAGCTATTCTCTTTTCAAGCTATTGTTTGTGGCTTTTTTCCCTTTTACTCAGCTCTGCCCAAATTTTACTTCTGAGTCTTAAAACTCAAAACAAAACCGAAAACCCCATATTTGTAATCAAAAATTTTAAAAAAGGTTTTCAAGACTATGGTTTTTGTCATGATTTTTAAAAGTTTGCTTAGAAACGTAAGAACTAGACTTGCTGTTTGGTTCATTTGAGTGTGCTAGCTCTCCTCCAAGGTGATGAATGCCGCTAACTGGAGTCAAGGGCCAGGAAATAAATGTGTGTATGGGGAAGAAACCTTAATATCTTAATACTTATTAAAAAACAAAACTACGGTTTTCAACTATGAGGACAACACTAGTTTGTGAAACAGTCAAGGGATTTACTTTATCTGTATAGTTTAAATTATTTTAAATTATTTTTTTAGAGTGTGTGAATATTAATTTTGTAATTAAAATTTTTAAAATTATAATAAATTTAGCTTTTTTTTTTTTTTTTTTGGAGACAGAGTCTTGCTCTGTTTCTCACACTGGAGTGCAGTGGCACAATGTCGGCTCACTGCAACCTCCGCCTCCTGGGTTCAAGAGATTCTCCTGCCTCAGCCTCCGTGAGTAGCTGGGACTACAGGCACATGCCACATGCCAAGCTAATTTTTGTATTTTTAGTAGAGACGGGGTTTCACCATATTGACCAGGCTGGTCTTGAACTCCTGACCTCAAGTGATTTGCCCACCTCAGCCTCCCAGAGTGTTGGGATTACAGGTGTGAGCCACCACACCCGGTTAATAAAATGTTTTAAGAGAACTAAACAATTATTCTGCCATCAGCATTAATAAATGTACTTACATACTCAAAAACATTCAGATATAATTTGTGGAGAAATACAACATAAATTAAAATTCAAATCAATTTTTGAAAAAATTTTAACTCTTCTACTTGTAAGTTTTTCAAATAATAATATAAGAAAAAAGTTACTCATATGTCTCAAATGTCATGTCCCTTATATATTGTTAAAGTTTGTAAATATAATTTATGTTGCATAACAAGAATAGTCATTTTTCTCATGAAATGTGATGTAGACACTAACCTGGATCTTTCAGAATTATTGTAATTGCTCATAAAATGGACCATATCATTTATTCATTAACTAAGTCAATATATATTCAATATGTAGCTACTATGTGCCAGGAAGATAAGTTAGGCATGTTTTAGAATGGAGATGATCCTAGCCTTCTGGAATTTACGGTCTAGTGGAAGAGACAGTAATTACTTAAAATTACACAAATAAACATATAATTACAAATTTAATAAGTTCTCTAGAGCTGTGGTTTTTACTCCCAAGCAGGAGTAATTTTGCCCCCTCCCCCTCAGAAGACTTTTGGCAATGTCTGGCAACATTTTTGGTTGTCATAAATTAACCACTAAAGATAAAGGGCACATTTGTTTTGCCCTGTTTTCTTTGCTTGCCAACATACACAGAAGTAAAGACTTCAAGTAGGGAACACTCTGCATTCGCTTCTGTAATGAGAAGGTCAGAATCGGGATATCTGGAGAGCACCAACTTGAGGAATGAATGACCAGGATAAGGGGTGGGGTGGTGCTACCAACATCTAGTGGGTAGAGTCCAAGGATGCTGCAAAACATCTTAAAATGCATAGTGCAGCCCTGCATGACAAAGAATCATCCAGCCCAAAATGTCAACAGTGTCAAGGTTGAGAAACCCTGCTGTAAAGGGAAAATATGTAGTATTTAGAGAGCATATATTGGTGGGGAGATTGGGAATTAGGTAAAGCCTCTCTAATGTCTAGCATTGACATTCACAGAGAGGCAAATCAATCACTAAAGACAAAGGGCACATTTGTTTTGTCCTAGTTTCTTTCCTTGCCAACATACACAGAATAAAAAAACTTTGAATAGGAAAGACTCTGCATTCCTTTCTCTAATGAGGAGGTCAGAAAATGATGGGATATTTGGGAAACAACAACTTGAAGAATGAAAGTAGAGACTGGAACTAGATACCATCTCAGTAATGCATCAGCATTGTAGCATGAGGGCTATGATGATCAGAAACTAGATTTTGTTCCTTGTTTGTTATTTCAGTTATGCCCATTTTTTTTCATGATGCAAAGCAACAAACAAACAAACCTCCCAAAAACAAAAACCAAAAACTCTGACAAACTTGAAGGGCCTATGTGACTGTCTTTGAAAGTGACATGGCAGAGGAGAAAGACGGAGCTCCACTCTGCAGCCAGCCATGGGGAAGAGAAGGACAAGGTGCTGCAGCTCTAGAAATGCTGCGACAGCTGACCAATGTCAGAAATTTGTGGAAAAGGAGAGCCTCGGAAGTGACTCATGTTAACAGCATAAAGATCCACCTAGGGTTTGCCAGTGGTAAGCAGTGAGCCTGACGCAATTATCGGCTATGCCTATCAGCCTATTTTTCTGGCTGGTTTGGTGTGATTACAGTGGTTAATGATTAATGGGCTCACCAGCTCCCTTAGGTAAAAAGTTTCTGGTTCTTTCCCAGAAGTTTCCATTAACACAGGAGGAGAAATACAGTGGAATATATCCAGAAGAACCTTCCTAACAGGAGCATATGGATAAATCTATCCAGAAACTGCAAGGTCATCACCAACCCAGAAAGGCATGACATGAAATGACAAATGGTACAATGCTATGTGTGTCCCTATCTAGTCAAAATTAAGGCCAGTGGGATATTGCAGTTCTTCCCTCATTCCTGCCTGGAAGGCTCTGCTGCAACCTATCTTACAAAAAGGACACTGTAGTTTTTCCCCACTGTAGCTCCCACTTCTGTATACATATTGCTCATCACCTCTCAAGCCCTTTCTGCATGGGCTCCAAACCAAAGATATTAACACCTCTGACAAATGGGAAATAGATTAACTCAGTACACAATCAAATGGTTGAGACTTTTTCATAGCAAGGGAAACTTTTCTACTTGAGCTCATGTTGTGAGTTTTTCATAAAAAGTATCTTGGGCCACATTTGAGTTAAAAGTGGTTACCATAGTATTTTCTTTTTAATTTAACTTTCAAAAATGTATAGTGTAGGATTGTTTCATATTACAAAAATTGTGTAAGACCTATAGAAAATCCAGAAATAACACAAGGAAGAAAATAAAATTCCTTTAATTCCAACATCAAGCAGTCACTTTTGTTACTATGTTAAATTACATCCTATTCCTATCTTGTCCCTATCCCTGCCTGGGGATATATTAACATACATTTTTAAATGAAGCAAAATAGATATAAAGAGTTTATGTTTCAAAAATATGTGAAATATTTCATTTTTGAAAGTTATAGATGATCCTGACATACTTCTTAATGCCCTAACACATAAGTCAGCAAAGAATCTTGAGAACTGACTGAGAATAAAAAGAAGGAAAAATGTCAGCCATATGACTTCAAAGGCTCTTACCAATGGTTAAAACCATTTTCTGTGTGAAAAATTCAGGGCCTAGAGTTTTTAATATTTAATATTTCCATAAATTGACTATTATAGTGGAGAATTCTGTTCCTTTTCCAGAAAGAATGATTTCTTAATTAACCCCAGCTTTGCAGCTAAATACCTAGTGCTTATTTGCAATAAATGAATCATTTAATAAGACCACATACACATAATTCAATTATACTTATTTTCTGCAGAGAAAAATCAGTGAAAAACGTATTTGTGTTAATCCATAACCAATGATTTGTACTTGAAATTTGTTCTGAGTCTAGAAATGTTAGTAAATAGCATTCTATTTCTAAATTATTTCATTCTTGAGATGGATGTTTTAGATGCCTGGTGCCCAGATTTATCCTCAAGGCCACTATCTCGGATTTTGTTTTAGACAGGTCTATGTGGTCTTCAATTCACATCATTCTGGCAGAGAGACTATATGTGTGCTGCCTGTTTTTGCTTTCTGACCTGGAGTTCTGCAGATCCCAGGAGCTGGCAGGATCTTGCTTGGTTGTTGCATATGTGCAGCTTAGAACCTTGGGGGAAGTTAATACCCCTGAGGGCTACTCTTAGCCAATGAGGCCAGAAGCTGATGGAAAGTTCTCCATTTTCTGTCCCTCAGGTAGGAATTCTGGGAGGCATCCAGGACACTTTTTATGAGGTCCTTACAAAATTAAGCCCCAATGTCATAGCATTGGCATTCCTTAACACATACTTCTGTTGACTATTTCTCCTTCCCTGGCTCAAAATCCTCCCCACTCCTGCTCCCTGGGATCACCTCCCAAGTAAATTACCTGCACACAAATCCTTTATCAGATTCTGTTTTGAGGAGAACCCAACTAAGATAACAAGTAAGGGTTGTCTAAAAACTTATACACAAGTAACATTCTAATGAAATTTAACCGTGCTATACTGTGTATAAAATCATAAGTATGTTAAGTGGGACCCTAGAATGTATATCTTGCTGGGCAAAAAATAAATTAAAACTTCTAAATATGAATCAAACTTGAATGCATTATTCAAGCTTATAATATGAATTCACCTCTAACACCACCAATTCCTGGCTGTATGATACTAATCAAGGTTTTCAATATCATGGAGACTCTAATTTGATTATCTCTGTATAATCAAAGGTGTATCTCTGTATAATCAATCTAAGGGTGATAATATCTACCACACAGATTATGGATTAGGGATTATGAAATACCCTGTAAATCGTGATGAGAAGTTTCGATTATATCCTGAAGGCAACGGAGACTAGTAAATGGGTAGCACTGAAGAATAAATGATTAGATTCACATGTTAGAAGGATGGCTGACAATAAAGTAGAGAACAGATATCAGGGAGCCAAGAACAGGAAACTCTGAGGTTGTCATCAAGCAAGTGAGAGATGATGATGGTGACCTGAATCGGAGGAGTCAGGGTAGGCATGGTGAGAAGTGGGCAGATTTGACTGAGAACCTTATTTACCAAGTTGATGTTGGGAACAAAAACAGGGGAACCAAGATGGCATCCACATTTCTGTCTTGGGCCCCTGCGTGGATGGATGGATTTGCTGCATGAATGTGGAGCCATTCCCTGAGGGAAGAACACAGAAGGAGATAAGAAGGCTTGGTGAAGTGTGGTGACCTTGGGTCTATGCTTATTGAGTTGTAACACTTTGAAGTCAAGAAATACAATTGTGAGAGGGTGGGGCCAGACAAGTTTCTTTTGGGAAGTGACAGCTAAGATGTGACCTGATGAGTGAATAGGGATAACCCTGATGAAGATGAGAGCAAGTGTGGAAATAAACTTCCTTATGATCCAGCAATTCCACCTCTGGGTATTTATTAAAAAAAATTGACATCAGGATCTTGAAAGATATTTGCACTACTAAGTTCATGGCAGCATTATCCACAATAGCCAAGGGTGGAAACAACCTTAATGTCTACTGAAGGATGAGTAAATAAACAAAATATGATATATATCAAAAAATGGAATATTATTAAGCCTTAAAGAAAGAATGAAATCCTGCCATATGTGTCAATGAGGGCATTGTGCTAAGTGAAATAAGCCAGTGTGAAAGACAAATACTTCATTATTCCAGTTAGATCAGCTATCTAAAGTAGTCAAACTCATAGAAAAAGTTGAATGATAGTGGCCAGGGGCTGGGAGGAGGAGGAAATGAGTTACTTATCAATGGGCATAAAGTCTTAGTCTGGCAAGATGAATAAAGCTCTAGAGATCAGCTATAGAACATTGCACCTGTAGATAACAATACTGTATTGTGCACTCAAAAATTTATTTAAAGGGTAGAGCTCATGTTAAATGTTACCACAATTATAGAAAGAAATGAAGGTCAGTAAGGACAACAGGGTGCATACGCAGGGAATAAGGAAGTGGCTCATTATAATGCAAAAGAACTAAAGGCTGGCTGACTTTCAAAATTGCTAAGAAATATCCTTCATCCTTAACATGAAAGCAGGAGACTTAGCTTTGTGATGCTATCTGCATTTTTTTTTCCAATAATCTTGAATAAGTTATTTTCCCTAGACCCAGACTATTCTTTCCTGCCTTAACTGCTTTAAAAATATTCTTCACTCCCCAAACACCAGCACTGTAGTCCTCTTTCATGCCTTTCACTTCATAGCACTATTAAGCTGCCAAATACAGGCTACTGAGATGGAAATGGTATTCAGAATATTATCCAGTGACAAAAACAGTGACGTCCTTTACCTAGAAATTTTATTAGGAATTACATACCAACTGGAGTTCAGGTGTGGAACACTGAGAGACATCATCTTTGAATTAAAATTAGAGTTTGGTTTTGAAGTGGCTCTGTTGTTTAAAAACCACATCCTTTCAGAAGGACTCAGAGAAGCCCAAAAGCTTTTACCATTTTTTTCACTAACATAAAATATTTATAACACAGTCATTTATTTGGATCTCATTTTATTATGCTGCCCACATTGTTGATACCTATTGTAGACATTCAAGCATGTTTGACCCTTGGCTACTTAATAAATCAGGTAATAATGACAGGACACTGCAGTTAAGTTGTTAGAACAAATGCAGTCAGACAGACACTTAAGAGAGGGAGTAAAAGAAATCTCTTAGGTGGCAAAACTGCATGATGAGCTAAAGATTAGTTACCTGAAAAAGATTTGCTGATAAGGCAAAGCATCTGGGATTCTTGTTCCCTGTTGTCTTAAATCTGCTACAAGTACTGTGGGATGCTGACATTTGATCTTTTGAGCTGGAGAGCATTAATATGCTAAGGCTTGAGAATCTGCATTGAATTTTACCCTAAACAAGCACTGCGTTGGAATTTTTTGTTGTTTTTATACTTAAAGATATTTAAACATTATGCATATACACACACATACATACACAGACATATATAGGTATATACACACATAAATATACACATACATAAACATGCATATACATACACATGCATACATAACCATATGCATACATATGGTTCCATGATTTCCAGGCAAACACCTGAAGTGGCTTCGACATATTTCAATAATATAGAACATTTTAATGCTAACTAATTTTAATGCAAGTTGATTTTTAAAAAGCTATTTGAGCTAATTGCTAGTCTGGGAATTTCTTAAAAATAATATGAACAATTCCAAGAGATCAAATTTAAAATTTAGAACCCCAACACATTTTTTAAAGGCATTATAATTTCTGATTCATAGGAATATTGTCAAGTTACAAACAAACTTTGTTTGGTTGACTTAAGTATGTAGTGTGATCTCTTGGCGTTTCTTATTTGCTTGTCCTATCTAGGTTTCCAAAGAGTTCCTTGATTTTGTCAATATTGGCACAGTCTGAAAGGTCATCCTGATACACTGCAGGTTTCATTACTGCTTGAGCTTGCTATTGTGAAATACATTTTCGTCCAGTAAAGGGTTTCAGATGGACACGTTTTCTATACATTTCACCATATTCCAACATATTCTGGCATAATTAAAATTATGTGGTGTCCTGAGGTGTAATTACATCTCACAGGATCACTGGTTTTTGTTGTTGTTGCTGTATTTTTAAAAACAATTTTGTTGGTGGTCAAAAGCTTTCTTATTTAAATAAAATATGTTTAGTAAGGATGCTTGTTCTTGACTCAACCCTCAATCCTCCCGGTCTTCCAAGGTAGTAAATGTTTTAAAGAGTGATTGTCTTACAGATTTTCATCTACTCAGTTATTATTTCCAAAGAACAAAATCTGATCCTGCAAGATTCCAAAATCTCCCTTTTCCCTTAGGAAACACCTTGGAGATGCATGGGCATCACATTAAGCTGCTTAGCATGTGTCTTGGGGATAGACAGAGATGTGCTTATTAGAGATACTGAAGATATTACACATAAAAAGGAGAAAATGGAATAAAATAAATGAGAGAATGAGATGTAGAGTTTATAATTAGAAATGGAAAAGAATTTAAAAATTGAAGACCATTCATTTAAGAAATATGTATTTTGTGTCTCCAGCTCGTAAGCATTCTCTTAGACGCCGGAGACACAAAACTGACACAAATCCCTGCCCTCTAGGTATGGTTAGGCTTAATGATATTTGTTCAGGCAGGACTGCGCCTCTCCTTTCTTGATTTTTTTATAGGGCTGTATCATTATATTTTTTATGCTTTCCACTTGCTGTAGTCAACATTTAAATCAGTAAAAGGCAACTTGGCCTGGGACAAAAGGTAATAGTTGTTTAACCTAAAATTCCTATCAAATTATTCAACAAAGTAGCACATATATTTGCAAGAGGAGCAGTGGCTTTATCTTGGAATATTTTTAAATAAACAGGGTGTCTGCACCAGTACTCTAGATTTTGAGGTTTATTATTAATAAGAATAAATATTTGAGTGTCAGTGTGTGGTCATTTGTATATCTGCAGAAGTTAGCATTTAAATGTAGCAGCTTGTTTTGTTGTTGGTTGGATAGTACACTCAGGCATGAGTATATATACATTATACAGTCCTGCCTCAGGCAGGACTGGAGACACATGATTCTAGAACAACATTTAGCCATTAGTACCTCATTAATCAAAGAAATGAGTTGCACACTTTGGGCCTCCTCTCAGCCCACTAGATCTATCTACCTACCAGATTCTAGATTCAACTAATTTCAAATTTTTTAAATTTTAGATATAATTTGTTCCAGAGGCTAGGCTATTGAAAATATATTTCTAATCCTAGGACTTGGATAACTTTCCCCTAAGGACAGGACATCTATATTAGTTCATTTTGTGTTGCTATAAAGGAACACCTGAGGCTGAATGATTTATTTTAAAAAAGAGATTTTTTGACTCATGGTTTTGCAGGCTGTACAAGCCTGGTGCTTGGAGCTGCTCAGCTTCTGGTGAGGCCACAGGAAGCTTACAATCATGGTGGAAGACAAAGGGGGAGTAGGCCTGTTACACAGCGAGAGAGGGGCAATTCATGAGGCACCAAGTTATTCATGAGGTATCCATCATTATGACCAGATCACCTCCCACTAGGCCCACCTCCAACACCGGGGATCACATTTCAACATGAGATTTGAAGGGGATAATATCCCAACCACATCACCATCCTATCAGTCTATCTAGATGCTTCCTTTCAGCCTAATGAAGTCTAAGATTCCAAATTTTATCCTCTTGCAAGTAAAAGGCAAATAGTAACTTTATAAGTGTAAGACATGCTGGGAGGTGGATAGGTTTAGAATAATTCACCAAGAGATTCAAGTTTCAAATTTTAAAGTCTTGATTGCATTACTTATTCCATTACTTAATTTATATACACACATACACAACACTCTCACACATACTATACCTGTTCTGTGTAGTTTCCAAGGGAGAACAGTGGGTAAGAAAAGTCCATTTGGGTTGAAGTGTTAATAATATGCCTTAGAGATTTATTTTCATAAGCCCAGAGGGATTGAATAAACCTTTGCAGCCGTCAAGTCTTCACTGGAATTATTCAGTGTCTTCTTCCCAATAATCTATTTTCTTTTCTGCATCTCTTGTCTGTGATGAAGCTAGCTTCTTATCAGTTGTACTACAGTATTGTTTAGTTTTATTGTTTGGTGCTAGGTTTACACCAGGATGCATCTAAATCAGATGGAGCCTTGCCTGGATCACATATTGTAGCCAAGCTGATTGGACTACTTGCCTTTCAGCTTTTCTTGAGCCAAATTTAAATTTGTAATTTCTTTTTTTTTTTCCTCTGAGACAGAGTCTTGCTCTGTTGCTTAGGCTGCAGTGCAGTGGCATGCTCCTAGCTCACTGCAACTTCCATCTCCCAGGTTTAGGAGATTTTTGTGCCTCAGCCTCCTGAGTAACTGGGACTACAGGCACATACCACCACACCTGGCTAAATTTTTTATTTTTTTGTAGACTGAGTTTCACCATGTTAGTCAGGCTGGTCTCTAACTCCTGGCCTCAAGCAATCCACCTGCCTTGGCCTCCCAAAGTGTTAGGATTAGAGGCGTGAGCCACCACACCCAGCCTAAATTTGTAATTTCTCATAAAACTTTTCTACTCTTAATTCACCCTTGGTACTACATTTAATCTCTTTCCTCATTGACACATTAACATAAATCCAATGAGGAAGATTTCAATTGCAACATAAGTTGTTGACTTATCATTACAGGGGCTATAAGGGTGTTGCCTTTGCTCTATTTACAAACAGGTTCACAACCTTCTTCCTGGTGTTCTCTTTCTTATATAACTAGGTCTGCCATTCTAGCGAGTGGGGATATTGGAGCAGATGGCTCTGATATTAAGAACCCCTGAAGGCTGAGAAGCAACAAATGAGAGATTAGCGGATAGGAATCCCTGAAAGCTCTGGTCCCAACAAATGAAGTAGAAGAGGGTATTTGGAGGCACAAAGAATCCTAGTGTTTGGGATATGCAACTAGGGCCTTGCCTTTTAGTCAATGGAAGCTTGCTGCTAAATAACAGATTGATGACTCTTGTTAAGTTAGATGCAATATGAGAACAGAGATTATGTCTGATTCATCACGGCAAACCTAGCACAGAGCCTGAAGTGGCTGGCATATAGTAACAATGATAATAGAAGAAATGCAATGAGTACTTACTTAGGTGCTCAATTAATCCTCACATCAAATTTATGAGATTATTACTATTTTCTCCAATTTGCATATGAGGAAACTGAGACACAGAAAGGTTAACTTACCCAAGAGTAACTTACCCAAGTAACTTACCCAAGAGGACACAGATAGTAAGTGGTGGAAATGGTATTGCAACCCAGTCATCTGGCTTTAGGCTCATGCTTGACCATTAGTTTAGAGAAAAGGAGAGTGAAAACCACAATGGGCCTGAAAATCACTTTCTCTCCCTTTAAGAAAAAAAATTATCTGCTCTTTTTCAAGACTTAGAAGCCACAGAATGGTAGGCATACTGAAGACTTACTAGTCCAAAAAGACTATTTGGTCTGAAACCTGTTGGTCCTAAGGGTAGACTTTCAGAAATTTATAAAAGTGTGCCACAATAGGTATAGGCTGAATTCCAGAGCCTTATGTCGGATTGGCCACTCTAGAAAGGTCCTAAACTAAAGACTGCCACAGGGAGCAACCACATGAAAACCTTTATTTGCTGCTAGCAGGAAGGTCATTCCCAAAGTGGGACAACCCTGGCTGGTAGTGAACAGAGGTTTTATATGTTACAGCAATGGAAATTGGTCAGGAGAAAAGGAGAACAAAGAAACAAAAAAAATGAGGTATAGAGAGAGGCAAATGTTCTTAGATGGCTAAGGATATGTGAGTCCACTCTGTGAGGATTTAACAAGGAGAACAGGTTGTAGTGGATTTGAGTGAGTCCTTTCATGTTTTTGGGTTTATCAAGAAAAACTTAGACTAGGGGTTTGCAACTCTTGGTTTAGGAGGTCATGTACAGGGTTTAAAATCTTCCCACTGTCGAGACTTATCTGCCAGTGGATGTTGAAGCAGAGCACCACTGCCTTTCCTTAATCCCAAAGCTTATTACCGGAGGCTACCGTACTCAGCAATTAAAACCGAACAAAAATGTGCTACGTAAACGAATGAAACTAAGTTATTGTGACATGTTAGAAATAGCCAAAATACTTACCATGGTATTATGAGGTTAAAAAAAAATTAACAAAGCTCCAAATAAATAACTAATTAGTACTTTTACTCAGACTATTAATTTTGCTTATCCACTACCCCTGGAAAATGTTCAGCACTGACAACAAGCATCATTGTTAGCATTTACCTTGTATTGTGCTTAAAGAGAAGTTTCATTAACACTAACAACATTATAACAACAAAGGAAAATTTTTTTCACATAATTTTATCACTCAGACACACCAATCTTTGCTTTTTTCTACACTACTTTCTTGTATGACTCTTAGTTATGATTTTCAACAATTTTTGGTTGCAATATAGAAGCAAGACATTTCTCTATTTGAGCCTCATGTGTAGAATTGATCATACACTCAGTTTATGAAGCTCCATCACTCTCAGTGCAATTGAGACCTTTCTCTTGTCCCCTTTTCTTAATTCCCTTTATTCCTGACTCGCAAACACATTTCCTTCTCTAGTAGACATCAGCTTTTTGGATATGTATGCACCCTTCTAAAACATGATATTTACAAGAGTTTTAAATGTACATATGTGGCATTTTGTTGTATAAGTTGCCTCGTATTTCCAGGAAACACAAATAATGCTGCAATGAATATCCTTGCAAATATCACATAATGGACTTTGAGAGCATGTCTCTGAGATTTATACCCAAGAATGAGACTGCTGAGTCACAGGCTTTTTTCACAATAGGTTTCATTAGGAACTGTCAGACTGCTGTTCAGAGTGACTCAAATCTTTTCATCAATTAGGCGTGAAGCTTCCAGTTGACTTACATTCTCTTCAGTATTGGGCAGTATCTGAATTTTAAAAATTTGCTAATTTGATGGCTCTAAAGTGATATTGTTGTTTAATTTGCATTTCTTTGGTTACTGATGAGTTTTAGGATCTCTAATCCATTCAGTTTTCCTTTTTTGTGTGATTTCTATTCCAGTACTTGTCCATTTTCTTTTCTTTTGATGTGCAAGAGTTTCCTGTTATTAAGATTTTAATCCCTTGACTGTTTCAGATATTATTGATATCCTCTGCCATTCTGTCATCTGTTACTAACTTTGCCTATAATATTATTTGTAAAAAAGGTATCTCTAATTTTTGTCAAATTGACAAGCATATCTTGTGTTTCGTGTAAATATATCTCTTTTCCATTACAAGATTATAAAGATAGTCCACTATATTTACTATTTTGACTTTCTAATTTTAAATTAATATCTTTAATCTGGCTTTCATTATAGTATATTTTGTAAAGTAAGGATCTAGGCTGGGCACGGTGGCTCATGCCTGTAATCTCAGCACTTTGAGAGGCTGAGGTGGGCTATTGCTTGAGTCCAGGAGTTCAAGATGAGGCTGGGCAACATGGAGAAACCCCATCTCTATTAAAAACACACAAAAAAAATTTAGCCAGGTGTGGTGGTGCACACCTGTGGTCCCAGCTACTCAAAAGGATGAGGCATGAGAATCACCTGAGCCCAGGAAGTCAAGGCTGCAGTGAGCAGTGATTGCACCACTGCACTCCAGCCTGAGAAAAGGGGACAGGAGATCCTGTCTCAAACAAACAACAAGCAAAGTTAGGATCTAGTTTATTTTGCTCTGTATACTGAATGAAATTTTTCCAGTATAATCTACTAAATGGGGAATTTTCTCCTCATTGGTTTTGATGCTCCTTTTCTCATATAGTTTTAATACATATGTATATGTATATATAGGATATATATGCATGCATGCATATTGTCTCTACTAAGTTTCATTAGTTTGTTCTCCACCAATATAATTTTGTTTCTATTACTAAGCCTTTATAGCTTTAAAATATAGTAGAAGATGCAACCTGCTTTGCTCTTATTTTTGCCTTATTGAGTTAGTTATTTGTGGTTTTTATATTCCACATAAATTCTAGAATAAGTGTTTTCATATTTTTGAAAAATGTGGCTAAAATTTCTATTTGATTAAATTAATTTAGAGATTAATCTGGGAAATAGTGATACCTTCACAATGAGACTTCCCATCTGTGAACACAGTATATTTCTCCACTTATTCAAGTCTTTTTCAATATCCTTGAGAGTATTTTAAAATGTTCTCTATAAAAGTATTGTGCCATATTGTTTAAATTAATTCCTAAAAGCCTCACAGTTTTTGCTGCTATCAAGAAAGGTATATCATTTTTGATTCCCTTTTCTGGTTGGTAACATTGGCATAGAGAAGACGTAACATTGGAAAACTATGACTGAGGGGCCAAATCTGGCCCACCAACCTGTTTTCGTAAGTAAGCACAGTTTTATTAAAACTCAATTACATCCAGTCACTTACAGATTGTCTATGGCTGCTTTCTTTTACACCACAATGGCAGAGTTGAATAGTTGTGATGGAGACTTATGGCTTGCAAGGGTGAAAATATTTACTAACTTGTTTTTTACAGAAAAAGTGTGCAAGCACATGGAGTGGAGGCATTCTATTGATCTTGTATTATGTGGTCATTCTGAAGAGTTGTCAGCACTAATGGCTTATCTCTTACTTTTTAATTCTTACACCATTCGTTCCCTTTTCTTTTCTTATTTTGTTGGCCATGATTTCCATTAGATTCCATTAGAATGCAAAAACATCTAAGAAAGCAGACATTTATGACAATTATGAAATTTAAAGAAACTAACCTAAGTATTATATTCACAATAGGTTTTTGGAATATATTATTTGCAAGTTAATAAAGTACTCTCCCATACTTGACTTTCTAAAAAAAAAAAAAACTCACATTTTTTTCATAGCTAAGTGCTGTAAGAAATGCTTCTTCTACACCTGTTGAGATTCTAAAATGATTTTCTTCTTTTGTTCTTTATTCTACTAAATTGTTTGATACATTTTCTAATAATGTACTGCCTACTTAACCTTTTTCCATTTGGATATCAATTATGTAGCACAAAAATAGCATATCCAAAAAGAAATTGCTGATTTTTTTTCTAACTTTCTTAATGTCATCGCCCCACCTCCATTCTTGAAACATGTTCTATTCACATGTATCTTTCCCCTCTTGGAAATGGGAACAGAACAGTTCTTCCCCTTTCTTGGACGTAAATCTCCATTCATCTTTGAATTTTCTCTTTCACAACTCATACATGATCTATCGACAGAACTTTAAATTCAAAACATCCCCAGAATTGATTACTTCTTGCCGTCTCCACCGTCTTCATCCTGGCACCGTGGCCTCTCTGTTGAAGTATTGAAACAGGTCTTTTCCTGCTTCTACTTCTGGTCCCACAGTCTATTCTTCACCCTTGCATTCCATATGCTACCCTCATTCCATATGCTACCCTCCACATGCAAAAGCACTGCTTTTAATACAAAGTCCGATCAATCACTCCCCTGATTAAAAACTTCAAATGGCTTTTCATCTTATTTAGTGTAAAAGCCAAAGTTGTTATGATAGCCTGAAACACCCACAAAATGGATCTCCAACCGCCCTACTTTCCTTAGCTTCTACCCTGTTACTCAGGGCATTGACACTTGCTTTTCACTCTGCATAGAATGTCCTCTTTTTCATCAGCCACTGACTCACTCACAGCCCTCAGTTCTCTGCTCACATGCACTTAGCAGCAAGGCTTTCCCGGACAGCACCCCTCTTTCCTGCTCCCTGACCCATACTCTTGGGTACTTGCCTTCCTTGGTCTTTGTCACCTACAGAATGTATTTACATCTTTATAAATTCATTTTCTCTCTCCACAATGGAATATAAAAAATAGACTATATAAACTCCATGACAGCAGTAGTATTTGCTTGTTTCGTTCAATTGCACATCCATAGAACCTTAAAGAATTTCTTACATGCATTACATGCTCTATAAATATTGACTTAGTAAATTTAAGCTATATAAAGTATTACTTGCAGTTGTTTTCATTTATTTGACTAATGGTGATTCTATATACTTGCTACTGATTTTTAAATATAATGATCTATTTGTATTCTTTTCTAATTGGTATCTTAATCATTTCTTGTAAATCTAAAGAACATTTCCTTCAAATTTTTCACATATTTTTATTGTCTACATTCTTTTTCTACACATGTGTTAAATTGTTTTGTCATTGTATCTGTGAGTCCTCTCCTTTGTAATTTATTTTATCATATCATCTATTGGAAAATTAGTAGTTCTCTGAAGATATAATAATTTTTCTATTTTTGATTAATTTATCTTTCTTCCTTTTAAACGTAATACTTTATATGCTCTGCAATTTATTTCTATATATGGTAAAAAAGGTGTGGGAGTCTTAAAAATATTATTTTCTCACCTCCTTGAATAATGATCTTAAAACTGTTTATTAAATGTTTCTCCCTTTCTCCTTTGTTTGGAGTTAACTACATTCTTATTTATAACTGAATCTATAATGTTTGCTGCCCCCGTTAATCTAAGTTTCTATATTTCTACTTGTCTAATACTTTATTTTTCTTCTTTTTCAGATTTTTTTCTGAAATTTAAAGTTGATAAATTTTAGAATAATGTCAGAAGTTTTTTTCAAATTATATTTTAATTGAGTTTTTTTTTTTTTTTTTTTTTTTTTTTGAGACAGCGTCTCTCTCTGTCACCCAGGCTGTAGTGCAGTGGTGTGATCTCGGCTCACTGAAACCTCCACCACCCTGGTTCAAGCGATTCTCCCACCTCAGCCACCCGAGTAGCTGAGACTACAGGGATGTGGCACCACACCAAGCTAATTTTTGTATTTTTAGTAGAGATGGGCTTCATTTTGTTGACCAGGCTGGTCTCAAACTCCTGGCCTCAAGTGATCCACCCGCCTCGGCCTCCCAAAGTGCTGGGATTACAGGCATGAGCCATCATACCTGGCGTAATTGAGATTATTTTTGTTCTGCACTATTTGATTTGGTAGCCACTAGTCATAGGTGTAGCTAGTGCAAGTTGAAATGTGTTGTAAATGTAAATTATATACCTATTACCAAACAGTACAAAAAGAAGAATGCGAAATATCTCATTAATAACTTTTGCATTGATTACATGTCAGAATGACTATTACAGTTATTGTAGGTTAAATATATTAAACTTAATCCTACCTGTTTCTTTTTACTTTTTCTGATGTGGCTAGTAAAAGCTTTAAAATTACAATGTAGTTGGCATTTTATTTCTATGGGAGAGTGCTATATCAAATAGTTTAAATTACTTTGGGATTGATTTACATGTTTGTTATCCCTTTCAAAGAATATAGTATTTAAGCCTTTTTGCATAAATGCAAATAAAGCTATCTTATGTTTAGCTTTATCATCATCACACAAATACATATATATATACAGACAAATATATATATATGCATATATACATATATATGTACATATGTACATGTAGACATATCTACATGGGACATGTAGAGAGTGAAGGATATGGACAATATCCAGGAGGAAATACCTAGCTTATGGCTGAATATATAAGTGTAAAGCACAGGAGAAAAATAGGAGCTGAAAATCCAATGTGAGTATCATTAACCCATTATTTGGCATCAAGCATTTATAGGGTCTTGTTTCAACTGTTTTCTGATTAAAATATTTGCTCATTTGCTAATAAGGCTTTATAATTTCCAGGAGTATTTGGATTTCCATGTGATAATCTTTTGACCAAAAAAAAAAAAAAAGAAAGAAAACCCTTAGAGACTTAAAATAGAAACCATGTAGGTGAGAAGATGGGCAATGAACTAGGAATTTTTTTTTTTTCTTTGAGACAGAGTCTCGCTCTGTCACTCAGGCTGGAGTACAATGGCATGATCTCAGCTCACTGCAACCTCCATGTCCCGGGTTCAAGTCATTCTCCTGCCTCAGCCTCCCGAGTAGCTGGGATTACAGGTGCATGCCACCAAGCCCGGTTAATTTTTGTATTTTTAGTAGAGACGGGGTTTCACCATGTTGGCCAGGCTAGTCTTAAACTCCTGACCTCAGGCAATCCTCCCGCCTCAGCCTCCCAAAGTTCTGGGATTATAGGTGTGAGCCACGGTGCCTTGCCAAACTGGGAACTATTTTAAGACTAACCTTCTCCTAGGAGGGGTATGTCTGAGGAAAGTGCTCTAGAAAGCCCTCCACACAATGAGTCAAGAAGGGAGGGGTTGAAGGGTGAGCACATAGCTAAGGCAAGAGAAGGAGAACTCAGCCAAGAACAGCCAGACATTCTGCTGAACTATGTGTATTTATTGATGGGAGCACCTTAGGGATGGAGTTGGGTGGATGAGAGGGTCAGGATACAGACAGCATATAAGCTAGGTAGAGCCAGCTCTGACATGGATAAAAATAGAGGAGACAGTTGGGAATAGCAGATTGCAGAGTAGACTATTACTAAATAAAGAATGAATAGGTGCCCAAAGCTCTTGGGCTGCTGGAGGGAGTGACCTTCCAGAAAAGGTGAGCCTCCCTCCTTACGGCCAGAGCATTAGCTTTCTCTGCCACAACAACACCAGGAAAGGCTGAATCTAAGATTGTGTCTGGGAAATTCTGGCCTCTCTTTCGGGGCTTTTCAGCCAAAGTCCATTTCTTCTTGCTTTATAGGAGTTGCTGACTGTGTCTGACATCATGGACGCAGTTCCATTGCAGCCTGAGCATTAACATGCGGGGTGCATTTTAACTCTTGGCAATGGCCTTCTTGCTAAATTCCTTAACTGGTGGATATCAGTTGGAAGTCTCTAGAGATCACTTGGAATCTCAATGACTCTCATGCAAACAACCACCAATTCTCCAAGAGATGCTAACACGAGTAACCAGGGACATGCTAAAAGAGTGCTCAGATGCATGTCTTCATTCCAAGACCCTGCCCAGCCCCTCTGGCAATCCCTGGCTGGATTTGATTGCCTTCCAGATGATTTTGTTTGATAAATGTGAACTAACAATGTTAAAAGACTAAGAGAAGATTCTGATAGAACACTTAAGAGAATTGGGAACCATTTTTTAGAGGTTTTTTCCCCTTTTTGATTAAAGACTGTGTTATCCTTACTCCTTCACCGTTTGGCGCTGTATTTCATGAAGGTGAGAGACAGGAAGTCGATTGTCAACAACTGGGGAAAATTGAGCTATAAACAGGAGCTCTGATTTTACAGTTATTTTAGTCATGGATAGTTTTTCTTTTTTGGAACTTTCATATGGGATAATTTTGTGAACCAAAAATCTGTATACAGAAACTACTTAGTAGAATATATAGACATAAATGTAGAAAGATAAATAGATACTGCTCCTTTTCAGTCTTCAGTGACTTTTGCTAAGAGGTATTGGGTAATCTGGGAGACTCTGTACGGTAGTCACATTTTGGTGTCTAGAGAGTTCCAGGTTCTTCTGGCTGGTTACCAGCTGCCCGCTCCCTTGAATTCACACTATCTCATTCTGCAGCAGAAGCTGCTTTCTATTCCTCAGTGAAATTAATGGGAAATAATTGTATCTAAACAAAATTGTCCTTCTTTAAGACCAGTCCTAGGGGATTATATTTGTCTGTATGACATTCAAAGAAAGAAATACAATTCTGGCTCCAAAAATCATTGAAAAGTAATGTAGGCCTCTACTGAACAGTCCTTGAAGACATCCAAGGAGGCTGGGATACAGCAGGGTTCACACAATACATTACAAATTAAGTTTCCTAAAAACCTCTATTAGACATCTTTCCTTTCCCACAAATGTTCTGTGGTTATATAAATCTCTACAAACCCCCAAACCTAGTCCCCAGTCTGTCTCTTTAAATGATTTTCTTTATGTAAAACAATCTATTCCCTCCCTAAAAGGGTACAATAACATGTATGTATGATTGTAGTTACTTATATGTTTAATATGTTTGTTTTTGTCATGTAGAGATTGAATTTTTTCTTATTAGAAACGAAAGTTAAAGTCAGAAAAATACAAATTCGCCTTTGTAGTAAAGATTTCTTTCAAAAGCTATAAGTATACGCCTAACCTAACCGGTTATTCTCTCTTTAGGCCTGAGGGCTGGCATCTCCTTGGCAAAGAAAGGAGCAGGAAGGAAAGGAAGGATGCCAGGAATTGTCCTGGGACTGCAGAGAAAATGCATGTCTGCTCTTTCTTTTCTTTCTTCTTTCTTTCTTTCTTTCTCTTTCTTTCTTTCTTTCTTTCTTTCTTTCTTTCTTTCTTTCCTTCCTTTCTTTCTTCTCCCTCTCCCCCCTCCCTCCCTCCCTCCCTCCCTCCCTCTCTTTCTTTCTTTCTTTCTTTCTTTCTTTCTTTCTTTCTTTCTTTCTTTCTTTCTTTCTTTCTTTTTTTGCTTCTTTCCTTCTTTCTTTTCTTTCTTTCCTTACAGGGTCTCACTGTGTCACCCAGGCTGGAGTGCAGTGGTGACATTATAGCTCACTGTAGCCTCCACTTCCCAGGTTCAAATGATCCTCCCACCTCAGCCTCTGAAGTAGCTGGGACTACAGCCTTGCACCACTACGCCTGGCTAATTAAAAAAAAATTTTTTTTTTTTTTTTGTAGAGATGACGTCTCAGTATATTGCCTATACTGGTCTTGAATTCCTGGGCTCAAGTGATTCTGCTGGCTTGCCGCCCACAGTGCTGGGGTTATAGGCGAGAGCCACCACACTCAGCCGTGCATGCCTTTTTCTCATAGAACAGTGGAAACCTTATGGGACCCAACATCTGAAGACCTGGCTTTGGGCCCCGGCAGTAGTCTTCCTGCTGGGCGGACCTTGGGTAGGTCACCTAGTCACATGGTGCCTCAGTCTCCCCAACAGTAAACATGGAGGGATGGTATAGCTGTCCTCATTAAACCTTAGCTGCCACCGTACAAGTGAACCAGAAGGTTTTGTTGTGGTATTTAGTCTGGCACTGAGCAAGGAAAATCATTGTTCTCTTCTCAGCCTCCATCTTGCCATCCATTAAATGGGGCTGTCATGGGGCACACAGGAGATAACAGATACGAAGCAAAATTATGAGCAAGATCCAAACATAAGAGATGATTACAACCTCATGATTCAAGAAAAAGAGTTATGGCCCTCCCTCCTTTGTGTGAAATTTAGGGAAGGCTTTTGGTGTAGGGGACTATATTCGTTTGGTAGGGCTGCCATAACAAATACCACAGACTAAGTGGCTTAAACAAACAGAAATGTATGTCCTCACATTGATGATGGCTAGAAGTTCAAGACCAAAGTGTTGCAGTGCTGGTTTCATTCTGAGGACTCTCTTGCCTTGTCTTCTCCCTTGTCTTCATGTGACCTTCCCTCTAATCCTGTCTTTGTTCCTATAAGGACTCCAGTCTTATTGGATTGGAGCCTATGCATATGACCTCATTTGACCTTAATTACCCCTTTAAGGGCCCTGTCTCTAAATACAGTCACCTTCTGAAGTGCTAGAGGTTAGGACTTGACATATGAATTTTGAGGAGGCATGACTCAGCACATTAAGAGGGTTGTCACCTTACTTTTTGAGACAGTAATTTTGCTTTCAAGATTTTGTTATATGGCTCACTGCAAGCTCCGCCTCCCAGGTTCACGCCATTCTCCTGCCTCAGCCTCCTGAGTAGCTGGGACTACAGGCGCCTGCCACCATGCCTGGCTAATTTTTTTTTTGGTATTTTTAGGAGAGATGGAGTTTCACCATGTTAGCCAGGATGGTCTCGATCTCCTGACCTCGTGATCCGCCCACCTCGGCCTCCCAAAGTGCTGGGATTACAGGCGTGAGCCACCGTGCCCGGCCATGACTGACTTATTGTAACTGCCTTCAGTTGTTTTGTGAACAGTTAAATTAATATCCTGGTTTTTTCCCCATTTGTCCACTAGCAATTTGAAGAACATTGAAATTCTGAATTTTGTACCTTTAGTCTTTCAGTTGGTTACGGTTTCAAGCAAGAATGATATTATCCTTGAGACTTTATTCATCAATTTCCTTTGAGATTTGTTTGTTGTTTTCTTGCCAAGTCACAAAGAAGTAAACATTACCAGTGATTCATCTTAGTTGATAACTACCTTCCAAAACAGGAAAGAGCATTTCCATTATATACAATTTCCTTTAAAGTAGTAATTCATTGTTAATTGTAATTGCCCAAACCATTTTCTGGTGACCAACTAAACCTTGTACTTTTCTGTACTTTTGTAGATCAAAGATAAAGAAATGGAAACTATAACTTTCAGTAGTATCAGAAAAAATTGTATAAAGTAATGAAGTAAACAGGATAATTTTTTAGGAAATGCTTACTTTCTATATTTGTTAGGGTGGCAAAGGCAGAATGTATTTAATGTGTATTTCTAATTGGAATTTGTATTTCTAATATATATATGTGTATACATATATACACACATATATATATCTCCAATTAGATGTATATATATACACATATATCTCCAATTAGAAATAATTGCTATGTGTATCTGTAATTGGATATGTGTATATATATATAAAATATATATTAGAGATACACATGAAGTACATTCTGTCTTTGCCACTCTAACAAATATAGAAAGTAAGCATATATATATATATACACACACACAAAATTAATTTTCCCAGATCTCACCACCTATGATACAAATGGAGTCATTTTAATAGATATCATTCAAACTCTACTAGCTTTTAAAAGCTTGCCCTGATCAAAAATAAGCTTAGCTTCCTCAATAGGTGTTTAGGGAGACCTGAGCATAGTTGGGGATTGAGCTTAAAGAGAGGTATATTATCATCTTAAACTGAAAATAAACCCTTTTTTTTGAAGACCAAAATCTCCTTACTGAGTCAAGTCCCTTGTATCTGAATCCTTTGGTAAGATTGGAGTCTCTCTCGGAAGTTTCTTCAGCCCTCTTGCAAAAAGATTTTAGCTGGCCCAGGCAGGCAAGTTCCCCAGACACATTCACGTGCTCTTGAACCCTGGCTACAGGTCAAGTGAGGACTCTTGCCACATATGAAATCCTTTATACTAAGAACTTTTTACAAAGTTCCCATTGTATTATCTCTTTCAAATATCAAAGCAGAAGTGTTTACTAAGTATAATTGTTCTAAATTTGGGGATGAGAAAACTGAACTGCAATGAGGTTAAGTAACTTGCCAAGGTTGTACCTCTAGTAAGTGGCAGTCCTAAGATCAGAACCCAAAATTTTAGAATCAAATCCAGGGATTTGATTCTAAACCCTATATCCCATTATATATATGTAAAATGATAGATAGTTTGAATGACAGATATAAAAGCTAGTAGAGTTTGAATATCTATTAAGATAACTTCATTTGCATCATAGGTGGTGAGATCTGGGAAAACTAGTTGTGTATATATATATGTATGTTTACTCTCTATATTTGTTAGGGTGGCAAAGGCAGGATGTATTTAATATGTATTTCTAATATATATTTTATATATATATGCATATCCAATTAGAGATACACATAGCAATTATTTCTAATTGGAGATATATATGTATGTGTGTGTATACATATATATACACACACACACATCTAATTGGATGTACATATACCATATATATATATACACACACACATATATACACACACACAAACACACACACATATATATATATATACACACACATATATATATATACACTTGGGATATAGGGTTAGGTAACACCTCCTATCTGTTATCTAATTTCATTGGCCAACTTTATAATGGCAGAGGAACCACCTGTGAGAAGAACCAGAACATGGTCTATGATAGGAATTCAAATATATATATGTGCCCAATTAATTAGAAGAGGGAAAAATGACAGAAAGCAAATTATAAGAAGGAATTGTGGGCCCCTTGAAAGAATTTACTCAAAGTGGGGAGACTCGGAGAAGGGTCTGCATCTGGAACTGGTGTAGGGCTGGAACCGGAACCCACCCTGATACCAGACAAACTGGAAGTTTCCTAATACCATAGGGAGGAAGATTTGTATTTAAATGTAGTGGGCTCTTGCAGCTTGGGTCACACACAAGTTTGCTGATCCAGAGGAGGAAGGGGCTTCCTCCTAATTTCCCAAAGGAGAAAGTTTCTGAGTAGACCACCTAAGCGGCCGTTTGCAGTGAGCAGCAGCACACAACAGAACAATAGTTCTGAGGATGCTGCAAGGGAATAACTGGCATCTGCTGAAGTAGAACTTCACAAGCCCTGGTCTAGGGTACACCAGGGAGATGATGGGTCCAGATCCATCCAGAAGCTGGCAGAGACAGTCCCTGGGGACGCTCAGAAGAAAGAGAGAGGGAGAGGGACCCTCAGAATTTGTCAAAGTAGTGAGTGTCATTGAGCTAAAGGGGAGTCTAAATAACACACTGATCTCATTTGAGTCCACAGGTTAATGAGGTCAGGAAAAATTTGGAAGACACTTATTAAGCCACCATGAGTGACCTAAGAAGCACAGATCAAGCAAAAATCTACGGATGTTGTTATATTTCTGGATTTAGGAATAACAGTTTATTGTTTGTGTCTGGTTAGTGATTCTGAGGGTGAGGTTAGAAATACACATGGTTTGCTAAATATGAATTTTGTTTATTCCAATTCTTACCATAACTGACAGGCTATAACTGCATGTATGAATTCCTTCTTTGTTTACTTTTTCCCATGGCCAAGGGGGGCCGGAGGACTGGTCTAATAATAAAATAATGCTTATTCTCCAGATGGTGTAGTAAGGTCAGAAATACATATTGGTGCAATTTTATTTTCAGAAAAAGCCTGTCTATAAATCTAAAGTGTCTTTTTTTAAGCATTTCAGATGGCATTTGAGATGTCTTGATATCTATTAAAGGTTTAGGTATTGAGGACTTTAAGACTTTTCTTCCATTAGTTAATGTTAATTGAGACTCAAAGGACCCTTGGACCCAGGGCTCCAAAGTCTACATTTGTGTGAGATGGTTGTTTTCCAGACTGTAGACTCCACTGTGGAGATTTTCTGTGTACTACTCTGAGCTCTAGGCCCAGAGAGTTCGAGCATTTCTTTGAGGAAAAAAAAAGAAGAATCTCTTCTTCCTGTTTCTGCCGTTTTGAACAGACACATGACACTGGCAGCAGCTGGCTTCCAAGAGGGATTATTTTCACTGAAGTTGGTGCTATGAATTATTTCTTTCCTTGTTATCTGAGGGAGAAATAAAAGTTGTACTCCAGGTATTTTGTGTTCTGTGAATCTTTCTTCCCAATGTAAAACCTAATTATTTGGCTTCTAACTGAACCCACTTCCCTTAAAGAAAGGGAAAATTCAAGTTCAGAGCTAAATAAATCTCCTCTCTGTCCCATTTAATTACAGAAATGAAGAATGAATAACCTGGAAAAAAACCATATAATGTATATATGCAGCTTTTTTTTTTTATTTCAGAAAAGGATTTTATTAAATTTTCATAATGTCCTAAGTTAAGAAAATCTTTTATTAAAAATTCTGATGATTTGCTTTTGCAGCCAAAGTTGTGGGAAGGAAAAAAGATTACAGACTTAAATTTTTAAAAATCAATATGTTGCCATTTATGAGAACAATATTTCAGGAGGGAAACCGGAGAATGCTCACTAGTCAAGAGTTGGGGACCACTCAACCCTGTTTCTTAATATTACAGAATTACAGTCTGCCTTTAAACCCCAGTATTCTCAGGTCCAACCCTTCCTCTGACAATCAATATTGTTGCAGAAATTGCTTTATGGGAATAACTTCATGATTCATAGGAGAGGGTGAGCCTTGTGCTCACAAGTAAATAAACTTTTTTGTTTTACAAGTAAATAAGTTTTTGTTTTGTTTTGCTTTGTTTTTTTGAGACAGAGTCTTGCTTTGTAACACGAAGGCTGGAGTGCAGTGGCAGCGATCTCAGATCACTGCAACCTCCGCCTCCCAGGTTCAAGCGATTCTCCTGCCTCAGCCTCCTGAGTAGCTGGGATTACTGGTGCCTGCTGCCACATCATGCTAATTTTTGTAATTTTAGTAGAGATGGGGGTTTCACAATGTTGACCAGGCTGGTCTCGAACTTCTGACCACAGGTGATCTGCCCACCTCGGCCTCCCAAAGTGCTGGGATTACAGACGTGAGCCACCGTGACTGGCCGTAAATAAGCTTTTAAAGTAAAAAATAATAACATGCATTTGAAAATATGGTGAGTAGCAAGGGTTGGTTTAAAAGAACAAAGGTGAATATGACATTGAAGTTCTGTAATGAGGTCCTGATGGTTTTACAAAAGTGTAAAAATTTAGCCTGGGGACGGTGCCTTGAGCCTGTAATCCCAGCATTTTGGGAGGCCCAGGTGGGAGGATTGTTTGAGCCTAGGAGTTTGAGACTAGCCTGGGAAACATGTGAAACCCCATCTCTACAAAAGTATAGAAAAATTAGCCGGTTTGGTGGTACACATCTCCAGGCTCCACTACTCTGGAGGCTGAGGTGGGAGGATCACCTGAGCCCAAAAGTCGAGAGACTGCAGTGAGCTTAACTGAGCTCATTAAGCTCAATTAAGTGAGCTTAATTGATCGCACCACTGCCCTCCAGCCTGGGCAACAGAGTTGAGGCAGTCTCATAAAAAAAAAAACAAAATAAAAAATTTAGGGATATTTTTGTTGGTTAAAAGTTTGTTAGGAAATATAAGTTCTGGTTTGGAAGAGAACGTGCCACCCAGCAAACACTTACTGAGTCTTTGTTGAGTATCACACGTAGAGGATCATTACTGACTCATACAATACCCTCAATGACCCTATGAGGTAGAGCTATTGTCATACTGCTTTAAAAAGGTAAAAACTGAATCACAAAGGGATTAAGCAACATGTTTAAGGTTATACAACTTACAAGATGGGAGAAAAGATTTAGACAGGACTCCAAAGCACTGCAGTAAACCACCTTGAGACAGCTGTAACATAAAGTCAGAAAAAGCTCCTGTCTTTTATTATATTATTAAAATTTGTACAAAGTTTTCACCAGCAAATGGCTTGAATTCCGCCTATTAGTAGTAGAACTGTCTCAAAATTGGAAAAATTTAAGTAATTATACTGTATATTTGATGAAGAGGATAATTACTTATTTATAACTGTTTACAGCTAATCTTATAAAAATTCTTAATTGTATCAAATGTGCTATTTTAGTCTATATCAAAAATCAAATATTAATTTATTCCAAGTATTTAAATTTATCATTCAATTCACACACACATGCACAGACACAGACACACACACACACACATAATTTACTCAAAATTTCAAACAAAAATTATGGAATAATGTCTAAGGGTTTGGAAGCTAACGCATGCTAAATATGTACAAAATAATGTCTGTTATAATAACAATGGAGCACCTGCTTTAAAATATGAAATGAGACCAATCTCAGAATGGTGAAAATTCACTGGACTGAGAGACCAATATTTTTGTGGTTCAGGGAAATGATTTAGTGAGAACAAGCAGACCATGATTCATCATTTCTTTTTCTCACATTTTTGCATCCATTTACATAAATAAATTTAAGAATTATATCTACTTACTTTTTTCCTAAAATAAATTTATTTTGAAATGGCAACATATGGTTTTAGAGTTAGAATGGTACTAACTTGATTAATAGAGGGATTTTTACAAGTAAAGAAACCAGTAATCTTAATGAGTCAGATACCAGTCAAAGAAAATACAAGTGGTTCATAACACCTTATAATGAGAGATTCCATGCAGCCACTATTTCAAAACATGTTCATGCTTGTAAAGAAACAGGACATAAAACATGGCTCCATGAATCAGGAAATTAATGGTCATCCTTTTAGGATGTCAGATCTTTAGAGAAAAGCAGGACTTGTTTTTGTAAAGTAATAGATAATAATAGTGACCAATTGATGCACCAAAAACTAATTTTGAGGGTGAAAAAGGATGGCATAGCAAAGAGAAAAAAAAAAAAATCACCTGGCGATTTGCTAATCACCTTGCAGTAAATATTCTTAACTAAATTAGTAAATATTCTTAGTTAAATTAACAGAAAAGATTAGAAAAGAAGGAATATTTAACTAAATATTCTTAGTTAAATTAACGGAAAACATTAGAAAAGAAGGAATATTTAAATGAAAGAGGTGAACCAAATATTTGGGGAGTTGGTGGTACAGAGAACAGGACTAACAAAATCATCAGAATATTCTGTGTATGATGAGAGGAGAAAATGAGATTAAAGCATTGAAAACTTAAAAAATAAATGTTTTATGGTTTGGAAGTACATTTTTAAAATTGTTTAAACACTAAGGTCTAATTCTTTTTCTTAATACTGTCATAATAAGCTAAAAAGAACTTTCATTGCATAAGAACTCACATTGAACTCACATGAATAAAACTAATCTGTTCATTTAAAACCATAAAAGGAATTATTTTAATTTCAAATTGTAATAGTGCAAGAATCCAAGAAGATTATGGGTCTGGTAATTTGAGTTCAGGTAGGAGATACAAAGTGGTTCTCATAACTAACTCCGAGATCACCAGAGCTTGGACACACATAACTTCAGTTTCCTCAATAAAGGTCAATTAGCAATTTTTTAAGTCCCCCTATGTTGTCCAGCACTGAAGCAGACATGGGAATATAAAAGAAATAAGTAAAACATTCAGTTTCTGCCCCAAGGAATTTGCTTTTATGACAGAATTTTCTATGAATAATTACTTATGTCTTATTTCAAAGGCACTTTGAAAAAGACAGAAAGAAACACAGACAAGAGGAAACAAGAAAATTCTTGCTTACAATTTTAAGCAGAAAACACGTACTATTTAGTCTTTCTCTCTTTACAAGGGTGTATATTATCTATATTCTACTTTGGTTCACTGTAAATCAGCACCCAAATACTTACGGATACTGCACTGTGAGGGGCTGTCACTAACCCTTGCATTGGATCATGCAAAAGGTGCCTCATCGTGTTGCTCTGGGAGTTGAGCTCAGGCTACCAAACAGCCTTGCTTAAGGGTGATCTGCTCACTCTCTGGCTTAAAATCACCCTGGCTGTTTCAATGGTCTCATCATTAGGCTGCATTTGGTCTTGGCTCTTCAATCCAGTCTCCTGGGATCACCTTTATTTTTTCCTGGCTTCCTTTTTTTCTTTTTCTTTTCTCCCCCCCCTAAAGTTTTCCTTCACCTTTACCCCTTTGGTCCTCTATTCTTGAATTTTTAGTCTCAACATACTCTAGCACTCATACTTTAATTGCTCCTGAATCCAGGGCAGAATTCTAGCTATGTTCACATTTTGAGATAGCTATATTTTCTCATAATAGTTCCTTTACCGTAAAAATTACATACCTAAAATCTTGTATATTTTTTCTATCTCAATAACTCTGTTTTTCTTTTTCTTCCTCTACTCTCACATTGATACAGATTGTTTCCAGACCTCGCTAATCAACCTTCTGTGGGAGAAGGGGCACTTTTCTCATAGCGGGTGACTTTACATAGTCCGTGTGGACAATGCTTAAAGAAAGCAGAGCCTTGTGTAATTACCTGAATGCACAGTCTATTGAAGTAATTCCACCCAAAATCTTTCATTTCCTTAATTAGTGGCTTCTCCATGTTGATTCCAATGCCTGCCCATTAAAAACAAATCACGAAATGCTAGGAGAGAGAATTCCAATATTCAGCCTTCTGTCCTGTTTTATTTCTCCCAGAGGTAATCACAAAGGTTTTTAGTATACAAAGTAAATGAAATGCCTCTAAGCCTGAAACTAATTCCTTCGGTGAGAAAGCTGGCAGTCCATGGGGATGAGGTGGGAAGACCTCCATTGCAGTCTGGTGCACCTCTGCTCTCTGCTGGAAGGACAGATTTCCACCTCCCCAGGTGGGCCATCCATCTTGTCCTCTGGATTAACATGCTTCTACCTACTGAGACCAATTATTCTTCTTAGTTACAGACCTTGAGTCAGCAAGTCAAATGTGATCTTAGGTGCAATTACTAGGGAATTGGCTCTTGCTTTGCTACTGTTTATGACCAAATTTCCAACTGCTCTGTTCCTCTATCCTTGGGGCATTAGGTGAATTACCAAGACATGGAGTAATTTTCTCTCTGATTGAGGATTACCTTGCTATAGTTTAAAGTTTGAAACAATCCTCCCAAGGACAAGAGTCCTGTTCTTGAATGTTAAATCTGTACTCCTTGCATCTGTGCTCTGCCCAGCTCAATAGTAAATGCTGAGACAGCCACCTTCATCTGGACTTCTGATGTGACATTCCCCAAGTCCTGTCCTATTTCCTTTGGTCAGATTCCACTAAACATCATCTGCCTATCCTGACTTTTCTCTCCTGGGCCTCTCTAAGCTCTGGTCTCACTCTACTGGCTCCATTCATTTTGGGCCCACAAAGGCGTGGTTCAAGCCGCCAATGGTTGCAACTATTACACTCCTACTGAATTTTTGGAGACCAGGACTAACATAAATCAGGGCAAATGTGGCCACAAATTTTACAGGAGGCTAAAAGTCAGAGGGCACAAACATTAGTATGTCAGATGAAGTAATTTTTCCTTCTGTACCCAGAAAAGTTGATTTCTAATGTCTATTGAATATCTTTAATGTTTTTGGCACTCATTTGTATGTTTTGTTTCATTTCCCTGGCTTAATGAAAGTAAGATTCATTTCTTTCTTTCCAATGAGCCTTTATCTCAGCGAAGTTAGAATGTTCAAAAAAAGCATTGTACCGGCTAATTGGATTTTATATGAAATGAGAGCTCAACAAAACATCCTTTCAGTTGTTCCCTTGTTGAAACATTTCTAAGATATAACATATTTTATAGCCCTAGAAAACAAAATATAATAAAGGGATTGACTCTTATTTTGGGATGGGTTCCTGCCATGCTTTAAGGGACTAGATCATTAAGGGCAAATGTATTCATTCTTTCAATGTTTACTATGTCCTAGGCCCTTAATGATGAATAGGCTTAGCCTTAGGAAACCTTAGAATCCAACAGGGGAATACAATACTCATTTAGAATAATGCTAAGGGGGGCAGAATGCATTAAGTGCCTTAGTGGAGGAACAGATTATTTTCACAGATACCGGGAATTATAGAGATTGTAAGACATTGGGATAAACAGATGATGAAGCAAGTGTCATTCAACAAATCATGACACTTATTAATATGCCAGGACTTTCTAGGCCCTGGGATACAGCAGTGAAAAAACAAAGAGATGGTGTTCCTGCTTTCATGGGATTCACTTTCATGAGAGGTAGAGGACAGACAATAAATGAATGCACCTAAATGTACAGTGTACTAAATGGTGGTAACAGCTATGGAGAAAAATAAAGCTGAGTAAAGAGAATAGGGACTGTGGGGTGAGGGGCAGCCAGCTGATTGGCATTGGATTCTCAGAGAACATCCTGGTGACCTTCGAGCAGAAACTTGAAGTAAGTAGAAGTAAGCATATGAATAAGGGCGGGAGGAGCAATCCCGGAAGAGGTGCGGATGCAGGCTTCTCAGAACTTCTGGAGCTTCTTGGTGCTCCCTGAAGAAGACCAAGGAGGCCAGTGGGGCTGATTAGGGCCAGCTGGGAGGGGAGCGAAAGGAGAGATCAGAAGGCTGGAGCAGGCAGGGGCAGATCCAGCAGGGCCTGAATACTTTGGACTATGCATGGCAGCCTCCTTGCTCACCTCCCCTCAATTTAAGGGGAAACTGGAAAGAAAACAAAGTTAATTAAGGGTTTTGGCTAGGCTAGCTGGATTTCATTCAATTGAAGTGGAACCAAAACATGTTGTTTTGTATTTAATTCTTAAGTCATTTTACTTGGGTTTTCTTTTTTTCCAAATTAGATAATAAACAATCCATAGTTGCAAATAGGCTTTATTTTCTGTCCTATTCTCCCAAAGCTCCTGGATCCTAGGAGGGCTCACAGTACCATACAAAAAGAATGAGTCAACTCTTAATATTGTATTTTATCCTGGATGAGAACTACTGAGAAGTCATTGTTTCACACTACTTGTGAATCTTATCCCTTGTTTTCCTAGACCAGCTCTTTCATGCCATTGTAAACTGACATGGAATTGTAATGAGATTTTAGCCACATGTAGACCAAAGGGAGATACACAAATCTGGAGATATGGAAAAAGTAAACTTTTTTTGGTGTCAAAATTAGTCCTTTCTCTTTACTTGAGAGCGTTTGCTTATGGGTAGATCTCAAGGTTTAGGTGGTTATTTCGTAAAACACTCTGATATATCAAATATTACAGAAAAAATTAGTCACGAAAGGCTTTAATTTTTCTTTAAATTGAGCTTGGCCTATTTGCCACAAGTAACTGAAGCTAGATTTCCTCCCACACTAGCAGCAACCAAGTTGCTGTGACATTTATTAAAGTCCTTTGAGTTAATCAAAACTTCTGTTAAGGATTTGCGTTCCCTGTTATTTTTTTTTTTAATTAAGTTTGAAACTTTAGGCTTACACTGAAGTTTCAAAAATAGTACAAAGGGCTGGGCGCCATTGCTCACGCCTGTAATCTCAGCACTTTGGGAGGCCGAGGTGGGCAGATCACCTGAGGTCGGGAGTTGGAGACCAGCCTGAGCAACATGGAGAAACCCCGTCTCTACTGAAAATACAAAATTAGCCGGGCATGGTGGTGCATACCTGTAATCCCAGCTATTCTGGGGGCTGAGGCAGGAGAATCTCTTGAACCCGGGAGGCAGAGGCTGCAGTGAGCTGAGATCGCGCTGTTGCACTCCAGCCTGGGCAACAAGAGCAAAACTCCGTCTCAAAAAAAAAAAAAATAGTACAGAGAGTTCTTGTATACCTTTCACTCAGTTTCACCAAATGGTAACATCTTACATAATCATAATATAATCACTGAAACCAGGGAATTAATATTATTAACTAAATACACGACTGACTAATCTATAGACTTTACTAGAGATTCCTGTTTTCACACTAATGTCCTATTTCTATTCCAAGAACTAAACTAAAATCCCCACATTGCATTTAGTTGTCATGTCTCTTTAGTTGCTTCCAATCTGTGACAGTTGCTGTCTTTCTTTTTCTTTCATGACATTGACTTTTTTTAAAGGATACTTGCCAATTATTTTGTAGAATTTTGGTTTGTCTGATGCTTGTTATAACTAGATTAAGGTTATGCATTTTTGGCAGTATTATCACAGAAACGAAATTGTAAAAGGGTACTTACATAATATGGATAGGTCTTCTTACTGCTGGCATTAAAGTTAATCATTTGGTTATGGAGCTGTCTGCCAATGTAAAGTTACTATGTTGCCCTTTGTAATTATTAAATATGTTCTTGAGAGATACTTTGAGATTATGCAAATGTCCTGTCTCTGACCATAGGGTCACTCACTAATTTTACTATCCATTCTTCACTTTTGTCTGCAATAATTCTACTGTGGTGTTTGCCAAATGGGGATTTTCTAGTTCCATCATTCTATCTATATTTCTTAATGGGAATACAATTATGAGAAAGGGTCAACCCTTTTCCATTATTTAGACAATTATTCATTTCTATTAGTGTAGATTTATATATTTTTATTGTATTCTTTAGGTTATAATTTATTACTGTTGTCACTGATTTTGTTATTCAAGTAAGTGAGAATTAACCTTAAGCAGAATATGAACCAAAGAGACCAAATGCACAATGTAATAAACACTACCATAGGCACATAAATTTATTTTTCCTATATGACTTGAGAAATTCTTTGTGTGACAAGCACTGTAGTTCAATCTCTTTTATCCTCTAGCAGTCTGCCCCACACGTGTACAATAGAGGTTAACTGAAATAATTAATTAATTTTAAAACAAGGTAGCAAAATTAAATGTTATAAAAATAATTAAGTGATCTCACTAGATTTTCTGATTTTATTACTTTCATTTGGTTTAGCAGACATAAGCTAGAAATAAAGAAAATATGTTTTTATTCACCAACAATGTCCAAGAAAGTCAAATATGAGACTCTGTCTAACTCACCATTCTTTGAAGAGTGACTAAAGTAAGATGTAAGCTATTTTGATATTTTATTTTGATATTGGGTTTGGGTTTACCATGGTATTGATTGCATCTCTTGGTATCACATTTTTAAAATTTTTGAAATGTTTAAAATATTTATTTTGTATGGAAAATGCATAGAAATATTGAAATAAAACATAAAACAACTAGACGGTGAAAAGCAAACCCACCTCTCACCTTGTCCCTTAAAGACCCTGGTCTTCTTTAAGGGACCTTCTTTAAGGATCTTCTTTAAGATTGTCTCTTCAGAGACAACCATTGTTATCCATTTCTTGTGCACCATCCCAGAGAGAGTCTATACATATATAGATGTTTCTGTGTGTGCGTATGTGTCTGTGTGTGTCCTTTTTATTTTTATTTTTGAGATGGAGTCTCGCTTTGTCGCCCAGGCTGGAGTGTGTGTATGTGTACATAACTAAATTAAACTGATAATTTGAATGCTTACATTACCATTAATTTAGTTTTTGTATGTGAGCCCACGCACACATATATACACACACGCTAACTGTTCCAGAGCAATGACTTAGTGAAGAACTGGATTTCCACTCTGTCAGACAAATTTTGGAAAGCACTGAAGTTGGGCATTTCTGATTGATTTTACCTTTCCTGGAATGTTATTTTCCTTTATAACTTAGACTCCTTCTGTGGAGATTTAATAAATAAAAGTCTTTTTTTAGTGTATGTTATTTCATTTTATTTTTATAATTTATTTACATTTTAATTTTAAATTGACAAATAAAGATCATATATATTTGTGGTGTACAATGTGATGTTTCATGTATGTATACATTGTGGAATGACAAAATCAAGCTAATAAACACACTCGTTTCCTCACATACTAATTTTATTGTGATGAGAACATGTTTAAAATCTACTCTTACAGCAATTTTCAAGTATACAATACATAGTTATTCACTGTGGTTGCCATGCTGTTCAATAGATCTCTAGAACTATTCCCATCTGAAATTTTGTATGATTTGACTGACATCTCCCCAATCCCTCCCGGGCCCCTGCCTCAGGTAACCACCATTCTGCTCTCTACAACTATGAGTTCCATTGTTTTAGATTGCACATATAAGTGAGATCATGCAGTATTTGTCTTTCTGTGCTTGCTTTTTAAAACTTTATTATGTATTTATTTATTTTTTGAGACAGGGTCTCACTCTGTCACCCAGGCTGGAGTACAGTGACACAAACATGGCTCACCATGGCCTCCATCTCTGGGGTCAAGAGATCCTCCCACTTCAGCCTCCTGAGTAGCTAGAACTACAGGTGTCCAATACCACACCTGGCTAATTTTTGTATTTTTTGTAGAGATGGGGTTTCACCATGTTGCCCAGGTTGATCTCCAACTCCTGGGCTCAACTCTTCCACCTGCCTTGGCCTCCCAAAGTACTAGGATTACAGGCATGAGCCACCGTGCCTGGCGTTTGCTTTATTTCACTCACTGTAACACACTTTAGGCTCATTCATGTTGCAAATGACATGATTTCTTTCTTTTTTAAGGCTGAATAGTATTCTATTGGGTATATATACCACTTTTTTTTTTTTTTTTTTTTTTTTTTTGAGACAGCGTTTCGCTCATGTCGCCCAGGCTGGAGTGCAGTGGCGTGATTTCGGCTCATTACAATCTCTGCCTCTCAGGTTCAAGTGATTCTCCTGCCTCAGCTGAGATTAGAGGCATGTAACACCATGCCCGGCTAATTTTGTGTTTCTGGTAGAGATGGGGTTTCACCATGTTGGCCAGGCTGGTCTTGAACTCCTGACTTCAAGTGATCCACCAGGCTTGGCCTTCCAAAGTACTGGGATTACAGGTGTGAGCCACCACTCTGGGCCTCATTGTGGTTTTAATTTGCAACACTGCACTTTAATAAGAGACTTTACAAACTAGTTGGATTGAAGGCCTTAATAGAGAATGAGGTAAACATCATGAAAACAACAATATACTCAGAAGAGAAAACTTTTACAGCAACCAAGAGAAGTCAAACATCTGTAGTAATCATAGAAATGTAATTAAAATGTAAATGAGTCACAATTTTTAATCACTAGTTTTTTAAAAAAACACTATACCTAATTCAGACAAAAGTGTGGTATTTTGAGGCAGCATTAAATTGATAAAATATGTATTTGAAATAGGTATTGATATACATCAATTATCATTGAAACCTTCATATCCTTTGATTGAGGCATCTCGAGGTTGTATAATTTGTCTCAGGAAACTGTCCAAAAGAACCTGAATCAAATATCCAAAAACTTATTGCTCCATTATTATTTTTTATTTTTTATTATATTTTTAAGTTTTAGGGTACGTGTGCACAATGTGCAGGCTTGTTCCATAGGTATACCTGTGCCATGCTGGCCCGTTGCACCCATCATCTCATCATTTACATTAGGTATTTCTCCCAATGCTATCCTTTCCCCCACCCTCCACCCCATGACAGGCCCCAGTGTGTGATGTTCCCCACCCTGTGTCCAAATGTTCTCATTGTTCAATTTCTACCTATGAGTGAGAACATGAGGTGTTTGGTTTTCTGTTCTTGTGATAGTTTGCTCAGAATGATGGTTTCCAGCTTCATCCATGTCCCTGCAAAGGACATGAACTTACCTTTTTATATTTGCCACATTTTCTTAATCCAGTCTATCATTGATGGACATTTGCGTTGGTTCCAAGTCTTTGCTTTGTGAATTGTGTGGCAATAAACATATGTGTGCATGTGTCTTTATAGTAGCATGATTTATAATCCTTTTGGTATATACCCAGTAATGGGATCACTGGGTAAAATGGTGTTTCTAGCTCTAGATCCTTGAAGAATCACCACACTGTCTTCCACAATGGTTGAACTTGTTCACACTCCCGCCAACCTAGGCAAACATGGTGTGGAGTGGACCTCCAGCAAACTCCAACAGATCTGCAGCTGAGGGACCTGACTGTTTTAAGGAAAACTAACAAACAGAAAGGAATAGCATCAACATCAATAAAAAGCACATATACTCCAAAACCCCATCTGTAGGTCACCAATATCAAAGACCAAAGGTAGATAAAACCACAAAGATGGGGAGAAACCAGAGCAGAAAAGCTGAAAATTCTAAAAACCAGAGTGCCTCTTCTCTTCCAGAGGATCGCAGCTCCTCACCAGCAAGGGAACAAAGCTGGATGGAGAATGATGAGCTGACAGATGTAGGCTTCAGAAGATCAGTCATAAAAGTCCTTCTACTATGAGTCTGCAGTGATTTCTTCAATCTAAACTTGTAACAAACCTTTAGAGAACACATTTTAGGCTAAGAGATGCTGTCCACAGTAGTTGTTTAAACATCTGAATAACTTTAAAATTATTTTACAGCTGGGCGCAGTGGCTGAGGACTGTAATCCCAGCACTTTGGGTGACAGAGGCGAGCGGATCATCCAAGATCACACCACTGCACTCCAGCCTGAGTGACAGTGTGAAACTTCATCTCAAAAAAACAAAAACAAACAAACAAAAATTATTTTACATGTAAAAAGCTGAACTACGATTCCAAAGGATAAATTAATAATTCAATCATCTAAACGAGCAGTTGAAAGGTAAATTAATCATGCAAATTTCCAGCTTGATGGTAATTCAATCATTCAAATGACCAGTTTATTTCAGTTATGCACACACAGACACTTATATATATACAATATCCAACATAGATATAAAATATCCAACAATATCAGACAATCCAACATTTATTTTCTGCCTTTTATAGGTATCAAGCACAGGAGTTGGCAGGGCACACACTTTCAACTGATTCAAGCACAGTATTTCACACTCGTGTGTGTGAGCACACACATACACACACACACACACACCATAATTGTTTTAAGTGGTGAGTCTGTGATGCAAGCTGGCCAGTCAGAATTTTCCCTAGGGCTTTTCAAACTGATGATAGGACGAAGAAGCCTCATACTATTTGCTAATGGAACTTATTAGCATATGAACTCAGTGGTGTGTCTCACTTCTTAGAAACTGGGAAGAGGGGCTCATGGAGAAGCCCACTGAGCTAATGCAGCTGACATGCAGAAACGTGTGGAAAGGAGCATGACTGCACTCTGGTGACCTTGAAGTTCCTGTTGATAGAGTTCTCTAAGGCCACTGCTCTACCTTTCCCTCTCAAACTGGCTCAATCAATTTCCCCTTTCTGTTTATTTTAGTTCCTGTTAAGATCAGGGAACTTGCTTCCTGTAAATACAAAGGAGTAGTACAAACGCCATCCTCCATCCTCGATGGCACTCAGTTTTAGAGAGCTCTTGCATTCACTGTTGCTGGGCTGTAGACTGACACATTCTTTTCTTTGATTTTTTATGGCAATTTGGTAGAACATACCAAATTTTACAACCAAAATTTACATAGGCAAAAACACTTTGGCCTAGACATTCCACACTTAGGAACCTCTGCTATAGAAATGTTAACACACTTGATAAAGGACATACAGGAAAGATGTACACTGACATATTTTTGTACTAGCCAAAAATCAGTGGCAACCAAACTATCAATAGACAAACGCTGAAAATAACTTATGACTCACCTACCATGGAGTTCTCTGCACATAAATAATAAGCTGTCTACATATGGAAGGATGAGCATGACGTGTTATTGGAGAAAAAAATCAAATTGCAAACGTAGAATCCAATTTTGGTGACAACAAGCTAGAATCAGATAAGTATACATGCATTGTATATGGGTTCTTTTTTTTCTTTTTGGGACAGAATCTCGCTCTGTCACCCAGGCTGGAGTGCAGTGGCGTCATCTCAGCTCACTGAAAGCTCCGCCTCCTGGGTTCACGCCATTCTCCCACCTCAGCCTCCTGAGTAGCTGGGACTACAGGAGCCTGCCACCACGCCCGGCTAATTTTTTGCATTTTTAGTAGAGATGGGGTTTCATCGTGTTAGCCAGGGTGGTCTCGAACTCCTGACCTTGTGATCCACCCGGCTTGGCCTCCCAAAGTGCTGGGATTACAGGCGTAAGCCACCGTGCCAGGCCTGTTTTTGTTTTTGAGAGACAGTCTCACTCTGTCACCCAGGCTGGAATGCAGTGGAACAAGCTCAGCTCACTGCAACCTCAAACTCCTGGGCACAAGGGATCCTCCCATCTCAGCCTTCAAGTAACCGAGACTACAGGCAAGCACCACCATGCTCAGCTAATTTTTAATATTTTTTAATAGAGGTGATGTCTTACTTGTTGCCCAGGCTAGTCTCAAACTCCTGGGCTCAAACTATCTTCCTGCCTCAGCCTCCCAAAGTGCTGGTATTACAGGTATGAGCCACTGGGCCCAGCCAAGCATTGTAAGGTTTATGCTTTGGTGTGACTTTTTTTGTCAATGGTGCTTTAAAAATCTTACCTTTGCAAATTTACAAAACTTGAAAGCCACCGTGTCAGCTTTGTGATAACTTCTTTTCAGTCGATGAGATAGATTCTACTATTGGCCCATTTAACTAATGAGAAAACCGAGACACAGGGGTTAACTTACCCATCTTTACCCAGCTAGTCAGGCAATGGTTACAAGAGCAGGAGGAGGGTCACGGTGAGACTCTGACTTTACTGGAATGGTCCAGATATCCATTAATATTAGAAATCCCTTTACTGGAGGCTTGAAAATTAGTTCTCAGCTTCCTTCTTTCATTTTCTCTCTCATTTTTCTTAACTATTTTCTTTCTTTTAAAACTTCATTTATTGACCAGCCTGACCAACATGGAGAAACACCTTCCTATTAAAAATACAAAATTAGCTTGGCGTGGTGGCACATGCCTGTAATCCCAGCTACACTGGAGGCTGAGGCAGGAGAATCACTTGAACCCAGGAGGTGGAGGCTGCAGTGAGCCAAGATCACGTCATTGCACTCCAGGCTGGGCAACAAAAGTGAAACTAAGTATAAAAAAAAAATTTATTTAGTTCTTTTTTTATTTTCCTTCCTTTATACCTAAGATCTTCTGGCATTTAATTTAAAAGGTTGATTTTATAATGTGTTTACCAAAATAGGCAGTCCCCATTCTTCTACTTGAGGAAATAACTTTCAACTCCATTTTTTAGTTATTTTGTTCTTTATCTCCATATGACTAAATAATTTGCTTATATTGCTACTTACTATTTTTTCAGTTTTGGGATTTTCTATTCGCCTCCCACTAGGAAGATAAGGATATACTTTTCTTTTATGCCTTCACCCTGTTCTACCTCTTTTGTGATAAAATGTTTGTCTTAATTTAATTAGGTCAATATTAGTATTTAAATTATTAAAAGTATTTTGTTACAAACATGCAAATGCTACTCACAACTGAGCCATCTACCATCTAGAATAATTTTTCTTTCCTCCACAACTTTTAATTTCCACTGGAATTGTGTAGTTTATTCATTTGCTTGTCATTTTGTATAACTATCACAAATTTAACCACAACTCTGCCAGGGTCTAAATCACCTCTCAAAATGATGAGAAGTGTCTGTTATAGTATCAGAAGCATGACAGTTCGTACTGTTCTACATTATTGTCAACACTTGATGTCGTCATTTAAAATTTTTAATCATTCTGGAAGGCATTTCTATGGATATATCCTACAGTTGTTTTAATCTGCATTTTTTGGTGGCTAATGAAATTGTGCACTTTTCTATTTCTTTATTAGACATGTAGCTATCTTCTTTTATAATAGAATTATTTCATCCTTTTCCCCATTTTTAATTGGATTGTACTTTTTCTTAATGATTTGTAAAAATTCTTTATTCTGGATACTAGTCTTGAGGTTAGATGTATTATAAATTTATTCTCCTACTTTCTGTGTCTTTTTACTCTTTTAATAAGGTTGTTTGATGAATGTAAGTTCCTAATTTTAATGTAGGACAATTATCTATTCTTTACAGGACCAGCTACATAATTTACCGGGCTTAGAACAAAATCAAAATGAAGGATCCTATATTCAAAAATTATTAAAAATTTCAAGATGAGGACATAGAATATTAAACCAAGCATGAAGCCCTTTTACTCTCAGGGCCCTGTGCAGCCATATGAGTCACATGGCAATGAAACTGGCCCTGATTCCACTTTATGTGTAGTGTTTTTTGAGGCCTCATTTAGAGAGTTTTTGGCTACTGCAAGGTCATTGAGATATTCTCTTATATTATTTCCCAGAAGCTTTTATGTCTTGCCTTTTACTTTTATTTTTCTTTTTTGAGACCAAGTGTATTTCTATACATTTTAGAGTCCACATGTCAATTACTACTAAAAAGGACATGCTGAGATTTGTTAATGAGATTGCATTGAGTTTACAGATTAATTTGAGAGGAATCAAACCTTCATAATATTGAGTCTTCTAATCCATGAATGTGGTACGTTTCTTTATTTATTCTGACTTCTTTAACTTCTTAATCATGTTTTATATTTTTCTCTGTAGAAGCTTCACACATCTTTAATGCATAGGTATTTATGGGATTTTATTTTTGCATTCGTAATTTTTAAATGTTTAATGTCTAATTGCTGTTATGTAAAAATACAGTTGCTTTTATAGAAAGAGCTTATATCCAGCAAACTTGCTGTATTCCTTTATTAATTCTATGATCTGTAGGTAGATGTGCTTGTGTTTTCTCTGTACACAAATGCGTCATTTTGATAAAAAAATTTTATTCTTTTTTAATTTCATATCCTTTATTTCTTCGTCTTGCCTTATTACACGGGCTAGGACCTTGGAATGCTGACTACTACTGGGCATTCTCATCTCATTCCTCTTCTCACCATTTAGTTTACTGAAAGATTTTTATAGATATCTAGATATCTTTTTTTTTTTTTGAGACGGAGTCTTGCTCAGTCGCCCAGGCTGGAGCGCTGTGGCGCAATCTCGGCTCACCACAAGCTCTGCCTCCCGGGTTCACGCCATTCTCCTGCCTCAGCCTCCCGAGTACCTGGGACTACAGGCGCTGGCCACTACGCCTGGCTAATTTTTTATTTTTTTAATTTTTTTTTAATTTTTAGTAGAGACGGAGTTTCACCGTGTTAGCCAGGATGATCTCCTGACCTCGTGATCCTCCCGTCTTGGCCTCCCAAGTGCTGGGATTACAGACTTGAGCCACCGCGCCCGGCCTTTTATAGATATCTTTACCAAGTTAAGGAAGTCTTCTGATTTCTTAGGTTTCTCAGCTAATCATTCTTTATTATGAATAAGTGTTACATTTTAACAAAAGCAGTTATACATCTATCGAGATAATCATGTGATTATTTTCCTCTATTCTGTTAATATATTAAGTGACATTGATTGAGTTCAAAGGTAAGTTTGAGACCTAGAAATCCTGGAATAAACCCAACTTGGTCATGAAGTATTATTCCTTTTATATATAACTAGATTTGGTTTGCTAATACTTGGTTTAATATTGTTACATTTATGATTATGAGCGATTTCTTGTGATTTTTCTTTCTTGTAATGTCCTTGTTAGGTTTCAGTATTAAAATTTGTGAGAGATTGACAATACTTCTTCCTTGTTTGCAAAAATTTACTGATGAAGCGTTCATGACCTAGAATATTCTTTTTGACAGAAGTAAATTTATTATAAAGCTGATAGCATGCTGTTTTACCTAGTGTCCTCACACAAAGGTATAGGACCAGAGGTTGTCTTGCATTGCCGTCTTATCCTATTGCACCCAGCATCAAATGGTGACAAAATACAGAGTTCAAAATTAATATGTGGAAAATTCTTCCATTATATAGATGAGTAGATTGTAAGCAGAGGATTTGGTTCTTCTCAGTGAGTAGTCAAAATAAATCTCCTCTCCTGTCAGGAATACACTTGATAATACCCTGACATTTTATAGTTTACATATGAAAGAAACTTGATAGAGGTATCTCTCAAATTTGAAAATCTTAATTTATGTAACATTTCAATAATGACTTATGAATCTCAACTCACTGTAACCTCCACTTCCTGGGTTCAAGCGATTCTCCTGTCTCAGCCTCTGGAGTAGCTGGGATTACAAATGTGTGCACCACCACGCCTGGCTAATTTTTGTATTTTTAGTAGAGAAGGGGTTTCACTATGTTGGCCAGGCTGGTCTTGAATTCCTGACCTCAGGTGATCCACCCACCTCGGCCTCCCAAAGTGCTGGGATTACAGGCATGGGCCACAGCACCCGGCCTGAAAATATATCTACACGGTTTTTTTTTGTTTTGTTTTTTAACTGAAGAACAAACCAACAATGGTGGTAAGTGGCTTGCCAAAACTCACACGGCCGGAAGTGATGGGCCAGAAAGAGAAAACATGAATTCTGAAGGCAGATGCAACCCAGCTTTAATCAATAACTTTCGACTTGCTAGCTTCATGCTTATGGGCAAATTATATACCCACTGTCATTGCCAGTTTCATCAGCTGTGAAATGGATAATTCACAAGGATAAAGCCTGTTCGGGGGCCACTGGGAAAATCAGTGATTATATACATGTCAGTACCTAACACAAGGCAACACTCAAGAAATGAAAGCATTATTCTTCCCAAACACTCTAGAGCCATCCCCATCATCCTGGGAAACTTCTTTTAATGTTTTCATTTCACATGTATGCTGATATCTTTTCAAAGCCACACTTGAATTTGTGCCAAACCAGAAATGACTCCCCCAAAGACTTATTACCTGTATCACTCATTACCTATATCCTGTCCTGCTCATCCCTGTCTAACTACCTGTAACAAAAAAAATATATATACACATAAATATATATATACACATAACAAATATATATATATATACACACACACACATAACAAATATATATATTTGTTACAAGTAGTTAGGCATGAACAGGGTAGGAGAGGGCTTTTTCCCATCCACCAGGAGTATCAGGTGCTGTTTTGGCAATTGCCACATTGCCTCTCTAAAAGTGATAAATTGGCAGCTGGTGCCAGGGAGAGGCCGTTTCCTGATGCTCCACACCTGTTGCAAAAGTGTTAATTGAATGTAGGCACCAGGGAGAAGAAACTTCCTGGGCATGCACCTTAAGAGACAAAATGGCGGAGTATGATCTTCCAAAGGCACCCACCGGAAGAGGGGAATAGCCTCAGATGGGCATGCATACAACTTCCTAACCCTTTTATGCCTGAGGTTGCAATTTTTTGAATTTTTGCAATCAGACCTTGGCAGTGACCTTGAGCAGTAGGATATAAATAATTCCCACATGCTTAGCGTTCCGGTAGTGGAACACTAGGCATAAATGGGATTTATTAAAGACACTGCACCTACTTACCTCCCAAGGATAAGGAGGGCACTGCACATATGGGCAGCTCGTGCTAAGGGAGGAATCATGTGGAAAGGGCCAACCTATAAATTCCTAGGATCATGGTTAAACACTGCACTTGACCTCAGTGCCCGCTTGGGTCTCTTCCAACCATACTTTCCTTTCCTTTCTTTCCTGCTCTAAAGCCTTTTAAGTAAACTTCCACTCCTGATCTGAAACTTGCCTTCATCTCCTTTTCTGTCTTATGCCCCTCAGTCAAATTCTTTCTTCTGAAGAGGCAAGGATTGAGGTTGCTGCAGACCCATATGAATTCACTGCGGTAATTCAGATACCTTCCACCAGTAATATATTTCATGTCGTGATACTTGGATGTTTGCCACTACTAACATATTCATTCAATATTCTACTATGACTTATTTTCTCATTCAAAGAAATACTCATTTTCATGTGTAATATTGTATTTGTACTTATATATATATTTTTTCTTACACAGTATCTTCAAAGGTGTGTACAAGAGCCCACAAAGCTAGTTTTGTCCCTGATTTGTGGGAATTTTAAAAATGATGAACTAATTTATAATTATACAATGCTTCATGTTGGTTTTGATAAGTCCTTGCTAGGAAATTGTTCATTTCATCTAAACATTTTTTAATCAAATTTGTTGCAATATTCTCATTTTATCGTTTCATATATGCATGTATGCTATTGATTCTGTTTCTCTGGAGAGCCCCAACTATACACCCCCCTTCCCTAGCTCTATTCCATCCTGCCCAGGGTTTGACTTACAAAGGTGACTTTTCTGTCTGTACTGCCACCGGTTTGTACACACTTCTCATTCTCCCTTATTCATTTAATAAATATTTGTTGAATACCTGCCATGCTAATCGCCATATTAAATGCAGAAGATATCTTGTTTAAAAAGAATGGGCTGGTCCTTATCCTCATAAAGTTTGATGAAGACCCATATTAAACTAGAAATGTAGTAAGATGATCCTCTCACCTTGCTTTATGAATGCTATTTTCCTACTTATAGGACTTTTTATTTCTTCTGCAATTCAAGACCTACCCTTCACATGAGGCCTACCTCAAGCTTTATCTGTCTTGTCCAAGCTAATATTTCCAAAGTACATAAGAATTACCTTCAATATTTTCCTGTGTGTGTATGCATGTACGTGCTATTTCTTTTATTTTTCATAGAGATAAGAATATACAGAATTAAGCACATGTAAATGAATGAGCAAATGAGCATATATTGATTGCCTTTGTCTATAGGATATGATAGATGGTCATATCACAAGCTAAGTCATACCTTTGTTTATTATTCCCTATTACAGACAAACTTCAGAGAGTGTGAGTTCTCCTTGTGGGCAAAATTGGGCACCACTGTTTATCTTATGGCTTCATAGTGGTAACCACAAAGCATTTTATCTAGTTCTGACTGTTATAGCAGGTAGCTAGTCAGGCATGAGGAGCCCTCTCCTCCCCACCCACCACACACACACCAGGAATGTCAGGCCACCATCAGGTGATGGTCAGGCAGTTGTTAACTGTTTCTCTAAAATATAATTAGTCACAGCCAGTACAAGGGAAAGGTAGTCTCCAATAAACAGAAACACATAAAACTGGTAATGAGCAGCTTCCTGATAAGATCTCAGGAGTTGGGCAAGTGGGCTCAAGTATGTGCATTAAAAGGCAAAATGGCAGAGTTTAGCTGGTATTTGACCTCCTAGGGACATTTGACTGGTAAGGGAAAGAAAGCCTCAAGTGAGCATGCATACAACTCCAGTAAACACACTGCACATGCTGCCCTCCCAAGTGCTAGCAGGCCACTCTGCATGCAGACAGCCCACCCCAAGGGAAGATTCTGGAGAGAGGGAACACAAGACCCCAGAAGCATGCCAACATATAAAACCCCAATTCAAAAGGTCAAACCATGCTCTTGTCTTTCAAATACCCACTTGGCCCTCTTCCAAGTGTACTTTCCTTCCTTTTGTTCCTACTCTGAAACTTTTTAATAAACTTTCACTCCTGCTCTAAAACTTGCCTCAGTCTCTCCTTCTGCCATATGCCCCTCGGTCTTATTCTTTCTTCTGAGGTGGCAAGAGTTGAGGTTGCTGCAGACCTGTATGGATTTGCTGCTGGTAACAGGACCACTCCATAATAATAGCTAACATTTACCAAATACTTACTATGTGCCAGGCATTGTTTTGTTTGCTTTTTAATTCATGAACTTCTGTGATACTCAGAGATCCTATGAGATATGTATTATTACTAATCCCATTTTATAAAGGCTGAAACTGAGGCTTAGAGGTTAAATAGCTCACCCAATGTCACAGAGCTTGCCAGACCCAAATCCAGGCAGTCTGTTTCCAGTGTTAACCTTGTTAGCCTTTGGTTGATACTTCTAACCAAAGAGATGTTCAACAAATACTAGATAGTGTTAAACTATGAAAGCTAACCAATTTAATGAATTTTTGCTATATCAACATAAAAAAAGTCATTGATTTTTACATAGTTGTTGATTGTAATTCTGTATTTCATGAGCATGATGTTCTGATTTGACTTTAACATGTGAAACACTAATAAAAAATGAGATTAAAAAACACAATTTAAAATACTGAAGTGGCTGGGTTTATTCTGTAGCATTAGAACAATAAAAAAGGTGAGTATGTTTAGAATTAAAATTATTTTTCAGATGAAAGATTAAGAGAAAAATATTTTTACCATGACTCATTTATTGATGCTGTACATTGTATCTTTGCTGTTTCCATTTTCCTTGCAAAAGATATTTGTACCAAAGCTGTCCTTCCCCTGCAGGAGCACAAGTGTGAGCAGATAATTTCAGAAGTCATAAGCTTATGTATTATTTCTGGAAAATGAGGGACATTACCTTTCACACTGTGATTAAGTGACATTCTGTAATGAGGAAACTATAATCAAAATTTGAAATGAGAAAGGACAAGATAATATTAATCATAAAGCACAGACTGAAAACAAAAATCCTTAAAATTAAATTATTTTAGGAAATGAAGTCATCATCATAATTTTTCTAAGTATTCTAGGTACAGTCATAAAGGATAATGCAGTTTGAATACTCACAAACTAAAGACTCAGAGGGTTTTTTTTAAAATGTCATTTCATGAGTTATAAAACACTTGCATGTTTCTTTTAATTTTTTGATTAACTCAGGCTTCACTACTGTCTGAAAATACATGTTTCTTTTAGACAACTTTGAAAACATAAAAGCAACAAAGAAGAAAGAAGAATTTTAAATTCTTCATTTCGTTGCTAACCACAACTCCCTGCCCCTCCCCCGCCCCTCCCCCACCCTGGCTCCCAAGAGAAGCAGCAAGTGTTTATGGCTCATTCAGGGAGAAAACAACAAAGGGTTGGAGAGATTCAGAAATGAGTAGCGTTTTCCCTGGCTTTCCTATCCACTTCATCACTTTGTCTGCAGAAGAACAGAAGATCGAAATGGCAGAAATTGTGCACATCAGACTCCTGACGTGACATTATGTAGATTTTGAGGCAGGAAAGTGTCTGCCTCATGCAATTACTAAGAATTCCCCTTAAACGTGTAGAAAAGACAATGTAAAGCTTTTTATGACTTGTTATCTGGGTGAGCAAACAACTTAATCCCACTGAGTTTGTTGTTTTCCATCGTTTAAGACGAAGATAATAAATAATTTCCCTATCTTCCTAATCTTGTTGTAAAGCTGAAACTTTGTGTGTGTATAATATAGCACACATAAATATAATATAGCACATATATAATATATTATATATAAATGTGTTTTGGAAAAGGAGGAAGTATTATAAAAGTTTTGTTAATTTTAGATACAAAAGCAGACTTTTAAAGTTTATACTATTATATGAAGAGAGAGGCAAGAGTTGTAAATTGTTCTTCAAACTTTCATTATGTGTTTATTTAGAAAAATTACTTTGTTTTTCTTTACATGAAAAAATAATAATGACAGCTACCATTTAATAGAGCCCTGGCAGTGCAAAGTATTCCACATGCATTACCTCATTTAATTCCCTCAATAACTGTTATTGATAAGCAACTCAAAGCTGGGACTAGGGTGAGGCAAAGGAGGCATTTGTTTCTGGTACAAAATTTAACAGGGCACCAAAAACTCAGTTATTAAATAAATAACATTTTAGAATTGTATTTAAAAATCAAAAGGAATCCAAATAAATCTACAATAAACAAAATATCTACATTTTAATTAAAGGCAGGGCAGTTATCTTGGGTAACCTTGAGTAAATAACTTCTTTGTGCCTCTGCTTTATTTAAAACGGGATAATAATAATAATAATACCTGCTCCTTAGGGTTGTAGTGAGGGCTTAATGATTTAATGTATGTGATTAGAACAATGCCTGGCATATTTTAAATGCTTGAAACATGCTGGTTAAAATCATCTAGTATTGTCTTTACTGGTTTTGCAAAACTTTAAATATAAGAAAACTGAGACTCAAAGGGTTTAAAAGGCTTGACCAAGGTTACAAAGTGAGTCGCAGTATTCACACCCAGAAAGTTTTCCTCCAGAGCCCTTTTCTTAATCACTCCACCATACTGTTTCTCATGGGGATGTTATGGAACTTGTATGTTCACAGAGCACGCGAGTGTGCATGTGTGTGCACCTTATTGGTAGATAAGTGATCATACAATGAAAGCTTTTAAAAATCTCTTGAAATGCTATCAAGTGTTAGCGTATCGACTAAGATGGGTTTTATTAAATTGGCATTGCTTAGCAAAGGAGCACAAAAGAAACGGAAGAAATATGCTACAGGCAGAGTGTGAGATTAAGAGAGCAGGGCCTTCACTTCACTCAAGAGGTTAAGACAGATTATATAACCAGTCCCTTTACATAAGAGGGCAATCCATCTTCTTTAGGAGATATATCAATGGTTAGGATTCAGTTAGGATATATCAATGGTTAAAATTTAGTTTTAACTTGTTCAACTTGTTCATCTGAATTTAGCTATAGATTTTTTTTTCTTAATGAGAATAAATGGAACTATCTGTTAACAGGATAAGTGGGAAACAACACATGAGGTTTTATACAACTCTATCCACAATAGGCAGTGCATGGCACAGAACAAAAAAGCGCTCTTATTTACAGAGCTTCTGACTTCAGTTACACCTCTTAGTAAAGTGAGCAAAGGATTATTTATACAGGTTTCTAGGTTGGTCACAATCACGCTTTCTAAGAATGATGCTGAGTTGTTTAAACTTGTGACTCAGTGCTCTCTAACCTTCCTGGATCTGTGTTATTGCCTCTTAACTGTTGTCTGTCATCCAGGTTTTGGAAGACAATTTACTTTCCTTTGTGAATGAACAGGGGCAAATTAAAGGATGCATTTCTATGTGTTTCTTTTGAATATTTTCCTCACTGAATACTGGGATGATATAAACTGCAAAGCCTGTAGTCTGAAGTGTAATCCTATATAGTGAAGTTATATAAGAGTGAGCAGTTCCTCAGAGTCCAGCAATTCAGCAAGAGCCACACACACACAAGATGCACAACAATGATGAAACATGCGTGAATAGATTTATATAATTGCCAACAAAAGGACATCTTTTTACAAAATGCTGAAATTTGCATGATGTCTTTTTCACAACTTGTGTGTATTTCGCAACTTCACAACATATTTATAAGCAATTGGTTCAACTAATAGAAAACATGCCATTTACTTCCCTTATCTTTGGGATCTGATGCTAACTCTGCAACTTACTGTTTCTGTACCCCATTTTCTTACCTAAAAGGAGGTTAGTAATGTGACTCATCTCACAAACTTGTTGTGAAGACTGAATAAGATAAAGCGTGCAAAGTCTTAAGAAGAAGACATGGCATTTAGCAACTAATCAAAAATGTCACCTCTCTCAATATCATTATTACCTTAGAAAAAGTCTGGAAACTTACCAAAGTAATCACATCACCTTTAATAATGAGTGTGGAAATGTACCTTCTTGGTTCCAGAGACCCTTATTTCATCCAGGTTTCTAAGGCATCCATTACATCATAGTAAAATAGCTGCTATGACCTCTTTGTCAATAGCTGCTATGACCTTAATTATCTGTAGAAGGCCTCTAGAATGAGATTTTTGACAATATGCATTACAAGTAAAACTATTCTATAATTATATTCTGTTGCAGTGATTATTGACCATCTTGTTTCTTGCCTTGTTGTAAAAAGATAAAATACAGGTATCATTATCTATGTCCACTGAGATAGCGAAGGCTCTATTTCCTGTTTCCTGTTCCATTAGTGCCCAAATGACTGCCCTCTTTAGAGCTGCTCTATAAGCTCCCTGACATACAACAGCACAGCTGGGCCTTGCCTTCCTACAACATATAGGTTAACACTTTTGCCCATCACGTTCTAATTAAATAGAACAAAATGGATGACTTTCAATGTGGGGAAAAATCAGATTTAAGTAAACTAAAAAAATGTCATCAATATTTCTCTTTGTTTGACAGTATTAGATATCACTTTAATGGAAACCTATAGAGTTCTGTTGCACGATTGATTTTTGAAGGCTTTAAAATTGAGTAACTTGTCATATCTTGGTAGTCTCTATGCAAACACATGTATACATTTTTTTTTTTTTTTTTTTTTTATGTGAGACAGAGTCTTGCTCTGTCACCCAGGCTGTAGTACAGTGGCAGCATCTCGGCTCACTGCAAGCTCCGCCTCCCGGGTTCACGCCATTCTCCTGCCTCAGCCTCCTGAGTAGCTGAGACTACAGGCGCCCGCCACCACGTCCGGCTAATTTTTTGTATTTTTTTAGTAGAGACGGGGTTTCACCGTGTTAGCCAGGATGGTCTTGATCTCCTGACCTCGTGATCCGCCAGCCTCAGCCTCCCAAAGTGCTGGGATTACAGGCGTGAGCCACCGTGCCCGGCCTTACATATTTTTTCTGAAGAATTTTTTTTGAGATAGGTGCTTGTTCTGCTGCCCAGGCTAGGGTATAGTGGTGCAATCATAGCTCACTGCAGCCTCGAACTCCTGGGCTCAAGCAATCCTCTCTCCTCAGCCTCCTGAGTAGCTGGGACTATAGGCATGCACCACCACGCCTGGCCAATTTTTAACATTTTTGTGTTAAGAGTCAAGGTCTCACTCTGTTGCCCAATCTGGTTTTTTTGAATTTTTACAGCAGATAGAAATATCGGAAAATCTATTTCACCAGGAGAGAGAGAGAGATTTAACAGACATCCAAGAATGAGGAAAATGGTGAATGCTGTTAATTTTTTTTAGTTGAGAATATTCCCAATTAAAAAAAAAAAAGTACGCCGGGCACGGTGGTTCAGGCCTGTAATCCCAGCACTTTGGGAGGTCGAGACTGGCGGAGCATGAGGTCAGGAGATGGAGACCATCCTGGTCAACATGGTGAAACCCTGTCTCTACTAAAATACAAAAAAATTGCGGGGCGTGCTGGCGCGCGCCTGCAGTCCCAGCTACTCGGCAGACTGAGGCAGGAGAATCACTTGACCCGGGAGGCCAAGGTTGCAGTGAGCTGAGATCGCGCCACTGCACTCCAGCCTGGCAACAGAGCAAAACTCCGTCTCAAAAAAAAAAAAAAAAAAAAAAAAAAAAAAAAAAAAAAAAAAAAAAAAAAAAGTAAAAGAAGTGTTTACCTTCAAACTATTTAAGATAGAAAACTAAGTAACATACAGAACACAGAATTATATCTGCAATTAAATGTAAAATTCTCAACATTTTATTTTTCATTTCTCTATGTTAACTTTGTTTCAAAATACAAATATATTTTAACATTGCTGGCTCCGAACAACACTAAATTGATTTTAGAACGTGAAAGATAAGAGCCTTAATCAGCCATCTCCACTTAGGAGATCTGAGAGTTCAGAGAGAGATGTAAAGCACCATGGTTCCGCTGAAGGGGTTGTTCTCCATTGGCACCTGAAAGGCAGGATTGGGGTGTGGCTTCCTCATGCCTGAGCCAGTGTGCTTTGCTCTGTTCCTGGGACGCAGACAACGCACCTAAGCCTGTCACTCAGATCCTTTCTTCTAGATCTAGATGGAAACACAACAAATATTTTTTTGATCAGCACAAATTCCCTCCAACTGCGAGAAAAAATAGCTGACTGCACATGCCCTAGCAAGGCCTGGCCAATGGCTTCTTTTTTATTCTGTGAGAAGCACGGTGTTTGTCTTCAGTAGAGATTACATAAAATCCTGGCGATTTTGCATTCTGTAAGTTTCTCACACTTACCCACTTTTTCCTTCTCCATTACTATTTCTCCATTCCAAAGTACTGTATTCTCTCACCTACCTGAGAATAGCTTCCTAGAATGGATCCTCCTCTCTCCATACTGTATTCCTCCCGCCCAATTGTTTTTTCCGTAGCTAGCATTGACCTTGTAGAATGCACACCTGCTCTCATCCATGTCCATCAACGCTGCTGCCCTCCCGTCTACCACTACCACCTCAATGGCTTCCCATCTCTCTGATGAAAGAAAAACTTCAGCCGAATTAAACTTAAAGGAGCTTAACTGAGCAACGAACAGTTCACAAATTGGGCAGCCCCCAGAAACAGCAGATTCAGAGACTCCAGTGCAGCCACATGGTGGAAGAATATTTATAGACAAAAAAGGTAAATAACGTACAGAAATTGGGAAGTGAGGTACAGAGCAGCTGGATTGGTTACAGGCTGGCGTTTGCCTTATTTGAACACGGTTTGAACACTCAGCAGTGTATGACTGGTTGAAGTACAGCGCTGGGATTTGCCAAGACCCAGCTATTGTCACAGGCGCATACTCCTAAGTTAGGTTTTCAATCTTGTCTACCTATTAAGCTAGGTTGCAGTTTGTCCACAAGGACTCCAATATAGAAGTACAGAGTCCTTCTCAGGTCATATTTAGTTCGCTTTTAACACCTCCCAAGGTAAAATAGAATACTGTTAGCATGTTTACATGTAGATCTGAGCCGTCTTACCTCTCTGGCCTTATCTTGAAGCAACTTCCTTCTCATTTTCTTTGTTCTATGCTCAAAAGCCTCTTTCAGTCCCTTTTATTTGCAGTGCTCCCTCCCCCGACAGGGCATGTTCCCCTGCTGCTTTCTGCACCCAGAAGGCATCTTAACATCCTTTCCTCCTTCTCCCTAGGGCTTCACACCTCACACTTCCACAGCCTCAGAGCAGGCTTCTCTTACTTTGGAGGGTAGGCCACTCATCACAGCACTTGTAACAGTGGTGGTTCTACACTTTTTGTGCAATAATTTAATTAATGAAGCACTCTGAGAGTGACTACAATCTCTCACAGATGGGCTGTCTCAAACTTAATGAAGCGGGCTTAGGTAAACATAGAGAAAGACCTGATTCTGAGCTAAAACTAAACAACAACCACAGCCCTTGTCAAAAAACAGCAAGTGTCAAATATCACCTAAGTAAATTTAAGTTGTTTAAATTCTATTTTTGGAAAGACATTTGTTGAATTTAAATAGTCAGAGAAGAGATTTTATTAACTTTGATTTCTTACTTTTCTATATTGAACACAGTTGACTTACCATAAAAATTAACTTGAGATTTTAAAGCTCTAATCAGTCTTTTTTCTGCATTTCGATATGGATCAACTTTATTTTCTTATTTTTATATGTTTTAATTGTATGTTCTTCAATTTCTGACCATAGTTATTTTGCCAATGTGATATGCAAAGATGTGTTGTAAGATGCTAATTTTACAGGAATGAAGAGTTGATGGACAAACGCAGCTGATAAAAGGGCTGGAGTTGAGCCAGTGGTGTGCTGGTAAATGTTTAATAACTTGCTTTCAGAAAAAAATGTACATGTCTATATATATGTACATTATAAATGTTACTGATATAAAGGATGTATCAAACAAAATTTACAAACAATAATAAACTACAAAGTTCTTTTTACTATAAATTACATGTAGCCAATTGACCCTCACCAGATGCTTTCACTGATATTTGCCAAAATACATCCATACATAGTAAATCTACATTTGCAATTTATACATAAGTGTAGTTTTTGCTACTTCTTTGCTAAACCAGATAACAGTCTTTAAATACTGGAAGATTATTTCTCTGTGTGTGTGTGTGTGTGTGTGTGTGTGTGTGTGTGTGTGCGCGCGCGCGCGCGTGCGAGCAGTATTCACAATGTAATGAGTAAAGGAAAACATACTTTTAAGTTTAATCTGTATTGCTAACATTTTTCTCCATCATCACTTTTTAAAGTCTAGGCCACTGTCCAACAGAAATATAATGTGAGCCATATATGTATAAATTTCTGGTAACTACTTAAAAAATAAACAGATTAAAATTAATCTTGATAATATATCTTATTTGAACAAATATATTCAAAATAGTATAATTTCAAGCTGTAGTAGATATACAAATTATTAGAGATATTTTACTGTCTTTCTCCATAGTGTCTTCAAAATCTGATGCGTATTTTATACTTCTAACACATCTTAATTTGTATTAGTCATATTTCAAGTGCTTGATAGCCACATGTGCCTAGGTGCTACCATCTAGGAAGGTACAGGTTTAGACAATCAACAAAACAATAAATCAAGCTGTGATCTGTGAAGTTTGCATTTTTTTTTTTTTGTGGTATAAATACTCCCACCATGGTCAATTTCAAGTTGTCAGTATTATGGAAAGAGATGTGCTGAGCACATTTTTATATAGCATTTCTACCAATTACATAGCATTTCTACCAAACAGCCACAATGGACGTAAAAAACACTCAAGCACATAGGAACAAGTAAAATAATTAGGAATTGATGAGTTTGAAGCATTTATTGTTTGTTTTTAATATAACATTTAATTGTAGGTTTATATAGCTTAATTTTGAGTTAAGGCTGTGTTTATCAACTGGCTCAGAAAATTCCTGGAAATTTTACAACTGGTTCTCAGGAGCCAGGATGAGATTGCTCCAGAACACCACTGAATTGAGTTATCAAAATGGATAAATGTCACAAAAGTGTGCTGGTGAAAGGAAAATCTGGCTAAGGAGATCACAAAGCATTGCAAATCTTATCTTCCTTCAAATCCAAATAGTGCATGCCAAATTGATCAGTTTGTGGGAATTCAGAAAGCTAAATGGCAGAAAAATATCACTGGCTGAAAATAAGTTTTCTGTAACATTAGAAATGTTGAAGTAAAAATAACAGAGGAATTAAGAACATGGGCCTTGGGGTCAGACAGCTCAACATTTGATTCCTAACTGTGTATTTCACTACTTGAACAACTGAACAAGGATCTTAATCATTTTGAAATTATCCATATATCTATAAATGAGGATGCTGGCATCTACCTTCCTGGTTTCCTATAATAAAAAATGGACACAAGGTTGCCATTGACAAAGTGTATACCACAAAAAAACTGGTTTTGTGAAATGTCAATACGTATTAATTTGGGGGAAATTCTGGTTAAGTAGGTTAGAAAATTGGAATTTTTCAGCGTACTTAAGTAGCTAAGAAATGAATATAATAAGGAAAACCCTTGAAATGTATTTGTACATTGATCTCAATTTGTAACAGGTATCTTCATGGCTTATTTATTGTATTCCAAGGAAAACACAGATAAATATTTACAAAGTACTCGGCATAGGTCTGGCATGTGATTATGTGCTCAAGAAAGGGGAACAACAATAATATAATTACTAAAAATATGATAAAATATGAATTGTATGTAACCAAGGTATGGTGTGTGGTCCACTGGAGAAAATAAAAGCTTCATGCACAAGCAGATAGTCAATTCATGCACAAAGACATTTTTTATTTTTTATTTTTTTTACATGGGTTCTCACTCTGTTGCCCTGGCTGGAGTGTAGTGGTGCAATCATGGCTCATTGTATCTTTGATCTCCTAGACTCAAAGGATGCCCCTGCCTTGGCTTCCCAAAGTACTGGGATTATAGGTGGTGCGAGCCACCTCACCCTGTCCACAAGGAAATTAAAGTAAAATTACATGACTCCTTCAACCAATTTTTATAGTTTCAGACAGAACGAAATCAAAATGAATTGAAAGGCTAGGACAATTAGCCAGATAAACACTGGAAGCAGAAGCCAAAGCTAGAAGAAACCCAGGATGAATCAAGGGAAGATTCCTTTTAAAATCCATTAAAAAGGAAAAGAGCCTTGATTTAAAATGAAGAACAAATGAAAGACTCCTGTCTTCTTAGGATGTCCCAGTCAAATTATTAAGAAAGATGAATGAAAAAAATGAATAGTTACCTGAGACTAAAAAGTATGGATCAAGCTAGGAAAAGCCCCAGAGTCCTAGGAAGTTTCAGTAGCATGATAAACAGCATTGGTGGGCTGGGACAAACCTCAAGAGACAGAGACAGAAAGCAGAGCAAAAGCAGCGTGGAAAGAAGAAAACTTGCTTGAAGGAAACCAGTTTGGTATAAACTGATTTGTTCCCAGTGAATTAACAAACAAACACATGAATGAATGGGATTATAATTACAAGGGGAGGGACCTTCTGCGAAAACTGATCAAAAGAAGGGGACAATTTGAAGAGGGGCTGGTTATGACCTTTTTGTGGGAGAAGCACTTCAATGTTCCAGTACACAGAGAGATCACAATTGGAGTCTGCAGCTTGGGCTCTCAAATGGAGGCCTATTAAAAAAGACTTGGCTTTTCCAGAACCAGAGGCAAGAAATAAACAATTGCCTGGTGTTTATGCAGTTTGGACATGCAAAATTCAGACTTCAGACTTACGTGTTAAGACCTGCCAGGTGATCTGAGGCCTATCTTTGGAGGTACATGAAATATAACCTGTTCCAGGACAATACTGTAAAAGAGCATTGAAAATAATAATTTTTAAAAAAGCTGATTAGGCATATATATGATATGGTGATGACCAATTCTGGAGAAGTCGGTGTACAAACTAGGAGTACGGGCAATAATTGAGTCTAACTTCCACCATCTGGAATTGCCCTTGGAACTTTATCAGCAGACCCTGGCCAGTACTAAATCTAGGAAGACTCTGTTTGAGGATATCAGATTACATCTTTCACCCTTCACCTAGATTCAAGAAACTATATAATAATCCTCCCGATTCCTTAGCAAAACCTTAAGGAACAAACAAACAAACAAAAAGCAATGCTTTTTTAGAAGAATGTATCACCATTAATTCACAATTCTGGAAATGTGAATTAATGAATTCTGGAAATGATTCTGCTAACCCAAGAATCAAAATTATTATGTTTTATCCTTCTGAGGCATTCCTTTAATCTGTAGTTCAGGATTTCCTTCTGACCTTGTCACTTAAATTGAAATGTAAGACATTTTGATGCTTAGATAATCTTTCCAAATAAAGATCTAGTGAGCACTGACCTTTATGGAGTATGCACCATCAGCACTACGGTGCCCAGGCTAAAATGCTTTGAAAGAAGGGCCGAGGCGGCCGATTGTTCTTATTTCAGTTGATCAAGGGCATTTGTGGTATCTCCTCAATTCAAAGACTTTTGACATTTTAAAATTCACAACACAATTGCTTCCGAAGTAAGAATTACTTCATTACACATCCTCTTAGTCCTTCAGGCATGGATTCTTTTTTAAACCTCTCTACCACATGGCCTTGCTCCTGCCAAGGACGCCATCTTGCCCCTGGCATTCAGCGCTGACCCAGTCTGACAGAAGCAGGGCAAGCTGAAAATAGCAGCAACAAAAGCAGCCAGGCTTGCCTGCTGCTCTAGGGATGCTTTTGCATGTCTTTTTCTTGTTTTTTAAATGGTGCAATGAAGCTTTATTACAAGTCTAAAGAGTGAACTTCTGATACAGCTAAGCAGATATTCTATATATGAAATACACGCACACACAATTGTATATATGATTGATACTTAACAATATAAATGCATTTATTTTTCTAGTTCCATATCCTGAACTCTCAGCACATATTTTGCACTTAGGCAGGGAATAACTGGTTGCCCTTTTGCTCTGCTGCAATTGTTCTTTCCTTGGACCACTTTGCACCTCAAGTGTCTGGCGTATGGCAATAATTCAATACATGTTTACTAAATACCATAATTAGTATATATTTTCAGGATAGCCAACTATACTGCTATAGCAAGTGACTCAAGTGTTTATTTCTTGCTTGTGCTTTATGCCCTTCAGGGTCAGCTTCAGCTGTGGTTCTCTTCATGTCACTTCTTTCATTGGCCAGAGCAAGTCACATGTATAAGCCTGACATCAATAGGTTGGGAAAGTATAATCTGCTTCCAGGGAAGGATAGCACATATTACAAATACTTCTCTTCAGTGCCCACATACAGAACACACTTACCTACCCCCATTAGGAGATAACCCTATTATTCATGGCACCAAGCTCAATGAAGAGTGGGGTTTTGTGATGGTCTTTACATTGGTCTAGAGACCTGTGAATAAATTTTAGTGTTAGACTGTTCTTGCATTGCTATTAAAAAATACCTGAGACTGGGTAATTTGTAAGAAAAGATGTTTAGTTTGTTCCCGGTTCTGCAGGCTGTACAGGAAGCATAGTGGCATCTACTTCAGGGAGGCCTCAGGAAGCTTCCAGTCACGGCAGAAGGCAAAGGGGGAGCAGTCACATCACCTGGCAAAAGTGGGAGCAAGAAAGACAGGGAAGGTGCCACACACTTTTAAACAGCCAGATCTCACAAGAACTCACTCCCTATCATGAGAACAGCACCAAGGAGATGGCGTTAAGCCATTCGTGATAAATCCACTCCCATGATCCAATCACCTCCAACCAGGCCCCACGTCTAACACTGAGGATTACAATTCAACATGAGATTTCGGTGGGGACACATATCCAAACTATATCCGTTATTAACTCCATGCACATCCAATATACAGTGACTGAGCAGGCTCAGGATAAATGCAGTAAGTATTTGCATTTGGAAGAGGGAAGACCAGGACATACAATAGTCATGGCCTGTAAAAGTTTGAAATCCCACTGGGAAGTTGTAAGAGGCCACTGTTTCCCTGAGGCTGGGGGATGTTCCTTGATAATTCTCTGAACTCACCCCCAGCAATGCCTGTACAGTTCGTTCTTCTCCATAGGGCTTAGCTTTGCCCTCTGAGAAGCCTTCCTTTTCCATTATCCTCTTTGGCTACATCTGAAAAGAATGTTGGAGATCATGGTCTCATTGGGAGCCAAGGTGCAGTCCCAGGCTGCTTTTCACTCAGGAAAGTTTAGGGGCCCAAGCCTCAAGAAGCCACAGTCTCTTTTAGTCCCTGCTGGGTTTTATCAACATAATCACTCACTCAGAAACATACTTGGCTTCTTATCTATTTGATTCCATCAGTTCTTTTTGCCAATAGATATGTCTTTCTCTTTGCAACTTATGAGGGTCCATTAATCCTTACAACTAATGTATTAACTAGAAAGTGTTTGAATATAACTGCCCCTTAACAAACAGAAAAATTGAAATAAAGAAAACAAAAGAAGTGCACAAAATATTTCAGGAAAACAATGGCAGGACCTTGTCTTCAATTGCACCATTAAGACCTCGATTTTACATTTAACCCACTCTTTTTCCATCATGCTTTTGCATGGGTACATTTACTACATAATAAACCTAGGGAGAGATGTTTCTGTTGCAATTGCAATTATATTACAGAAGCAGAGTATACAATATACAGCAAGACCCTTAGTTCACTATGCACATCCAGAACCTGAATTTAATGGACCACAGTTGGTGAACAATTAGAATTAGAACTGAAGATAATAGTATCCATAAAACAGTCCTCAGTGTTTACTTGAAACTTCAGTTTGTTGTTGTGATCAACCAGTATTTTAATTCATTGATTTTATTTTTATTTTTTTTTCTACTGGCAATCGCAATTTAAGAAATTACATACATACTATATCAGTCAGGGTTCTCTAGAAGGACAGAACTAATAGGATAAATATATATATAAAGGGGAGTTTATTAAGAAGTATTAACTCATGTGATCATAAGGTCCCACAATAGTCTGTCTGCAAGCAGAGGAGCAAGGAAGCCAGTCAGAGTCCCAAAGCTGAAGAACTTGGAGTTTGATGTTCAAGGGCAGGAAGCAGCCAGCATGGGGGAAAGATGTAGGCTGGGAGGCTAAGCCAGTCTAGTCTTTTCACGTTCTTCTGCCTGCTTTTTATTCTGGCTGCACTGGCAGCTGATTAGATGGCGCCCACCCAGATTAAGGGTGGGTCTGCCTTTCCCAGCCCACTGACTGGAATGTTAATCTCTTCATAGACACACCCAGGGTCAATACTTTGCATCCTTCAATCAAATCAAGTTGACACTCAGTATTAACCATCACAAATATGTATACTGAACATGGAGTTTAGAGAGATCCTATGAATTTTGAGCACAAAGTTTACAACGAAGCCAAAATATAGATGAAATTGGTTCAAAAAATAACAACAGATGTGGCTCACCCACTTTCAGTTTTGTGCTATCAGTTGTTAGAAGCAACTAGGATCAAATAGATAAGAACCTGTTTCGCCAGATAATTTGTCTTACATAGGTTGACCCAGCCAAAAATAAAAACATACAGCATAACAATAATTGGAGAGGGAGTTTTTTATGTATAATATTTCAAAAATCTCATATTTCTGTTATTTTCAGATTCTACTTGGAGTGAAGAGCACAGAATATCTAAAGTGTGGGAGTGTATTAATAAATGGCCAGGCACAGTAGCTCACACCTGTAATCCTTGCACTTTGGGAGACTGAGGCAGGCAGATCACCTGAGGTCAGGAGTTCGAGACCAGACTGGCCAACATGGTGAAACCTCATCTCTACTAAAAATACAAAAAAAAAAAAAATTAGCTGGCGGTGGTGGTGGGTGCCTATAATCCCAGCTACTTGGGAGGCTGAGGCAGGAGAATCACTTGAACCCGGGAGGCAGAGGTTGCAGTGAGCCTAGATTGCACCACTGCACTCTAGCCCAGGTGACAAGAGCAAAACTCTTATCTCAAAAATAAATAAATAAATAAATAAATGGCCACTGAAATTTAGAGTGCATTTGAAGAATCTCTCACAAAATGTTTTCTTATCTCTAGAATGAAACTGAACTTCAACCTTTGCATACTAATCTTTTTCTGTTATTATTGTAATTTAATTGGTTTTAATATTCAAATTATCCCTGATTCATTCAGTCATCAAAATTTAGGAGGCACCCACTATGTGAAAGTCTCGATTAGACATTCTGTAAATATTTTAACAATGAGAAGACAATAATTTCTAAATAAAGATTCCCCCAAAATAGTCTTTCACGAGTGAAGACTTAAGACTTAATTTTTTTTTCTGAAAACATGTCACAGTCATAAGAAGACTTGATTTTTAAGAGTAAAATTAGTTGTTTATTTAATGAACCAGGGAAAAATAGATAACTTCAATACGTATATATATTTTTAGACAGATTCTTGTTCTGTTGTCCAAGCTGGAGTGCAGTGGTGTGATCTCAGCTCACTGCAACCTCTGCCTCCCAGGTTCAAGTGATTCTTCTGCCTCAGCCTCCTGAGTAGCTGAGATTACAGGTGCCCACCACTATGCCTAGCTAATTTTTTGTATTATTAGTAGAGACAAAGTTTTACCATGTTTCCCAGGTTGGTCTCAAACTCCTGACCTTCAGTGATCCACCTGTCTCAGCCTCCCAAAGTGCTGGGATTACAGGTGTGAGCCACCACACCAGGCAAATTTGGTTAATATTAAACTGACAAGGTAATGTTTAATCCTAACTTCAGGTAAAGTAGGCTTAAAATCTTATTAGAAGTATTTCATGATGTGTTTCCATGTAAGCCACCATGAATGTCTCAAAAATGCCAAATGCTGCAAAAATTATAATTCAGGTGGCTGCTCTGTTCATGTTTTTATAGTCAAATTTTCTTGTGTAATTTGGTATTCAGTGCTGGCATGATTCTTGTCTGCCTCCCCTCATTACCAAGAATAACTCAACATTCTCTCATATTTGGCCTTCTACATTAAGACTTTCTTTTCTCAAATTTGATACAAAATACTGAAAATATTTTATCTTTACAAAAGCAAGATTTTTTAGTGGGTCTTCTTTTTCTTTCTGGAGTAAAGAACAGATATGTTTTGGCCGGGTGCAGTGGCTCATGCCTGTAATCCCAGCACTTTGGGAGGCTGAGGCCAGTGGATCACGAGGTCAGGGGTTCGAGACCAGCCTGACCAACATGGTGAAACCCCGGCTCTACTAAAAATACAAAAATTAGCTGGGCATGGTGGTGGGCGCCTGTAATCCCAGCTACTCAGGAGGCTGAGGCAGGAGAATTGCTTGAACCTGGGAAGCGGAGGTTGCAGTGAGCCGAGATCGCGCCACTGCACTCCAGCCTGGGCGACAGAGCGAGACTCTGTCTCAAAAAAAAAAGAAAAAAAAAAGAACATTATGTTTTAAACAAGCAAGCTTAGTTTTCTGCATTTATTTTCACAGAACTTATATGTTGCATAATAATTCTAGATTTCCTCCCGTCACTTATCCCAGTAGATACTTTTATCATGACTTATTCCTACTGGGTTCTATTTCTCAGTCTCCTTCAACAGTGCCTGTCTAAAGTGGGGCTGATAAACCACACTAAATTTAGGATCTGAAAAGTAGGAAATCATCTTAGGTCTTAAACACATTTGTTAAATATGCATCCGTACTCTTAATTTATATAGCACTTGGTTTTAAGTTGTCATAGAAAATGTATGTCCCCTAGCCAACATGGTAAAACCTCATCTCTACTAAAAATACAAAATTAGCCATGCATGGTGGCACATACCTGTAATCCCAGCTACTCGGAGGCTGAGGCAGGAGAATTGCTTGAACCTGGGAGGCAGAGGTTGCAGTGAGCCAAAATCGTGCCATTGCATTCAGGCCTGGGTGACACAGCGAGATTCTGTGTCAAAAAAAGAAAAGAAAAAAAGAAAAGGCATTCGTGTAATTTTATTGGTTTTTATTGCTAAAATTGTACCTTGCAATAAAAAACAAGACCAAATCTATATATTGTACAAAAAATTGGACATTGACTCTGTTCAATTTGTAATTTGAAATTACCTGTGTGTCTCACATTTGTGTCTTGCATTGCATTTCTACTAGACAGCACAGCTTTGGAAAGTGGTGTAAATTTCTTACTCAATATGTCTCATGTTACCTTTTATTTATTTTGCCCTTACTCATATTTCTTTTTCTTTCCTTTTCTTCCTTTCTTTCTTTTTTTTTTTTTTTTTTTTTTTTTTTGAGACAGACTCTTGCTCTGTCATCCAGGCTGGAGTACAGATGGGATCTCAGCTCACTGCTACCTCCACCTCCTGGGTTCAAGTGATTGTCTCACTTCAGCCTCCCGAGTAGCTGGGACTACAAAGTCCATTGACTTTGTATTAAATTTCACTCCTTTGTTTAAAAGATATTTTCAAATTCTGCTCAATTCCATGAGAATTCTTGATCATTTTCTTTATACAAAAATCCTTCCATAGTCTCTGTGATGAGAAACCAGGATTACAAAGCCATGCTCCCTGCTCTCACATTAATTTTCACAAAACTTACATATTGCCTAACACTTCTAGATTTGTGTGAACCTCTCTTCCAAATATTGTCTAATAGATACATTCATCATTAGTAAGTAAGACAATGTAGTAGTGGAGAAAGCCTCATATTATCTTGAAATACAAAGAAAGAACACATAAACAGAATCTACTAGAAAAGCAAATGTGAAACAAAGTCCTGGTTGTTTATCTTTAAAATCATATTTCAGAAGTTTGGTCGATTTTAAAGATCCCCTTCTACATTTGAGTGAAAATCATAAAATTTTTGCCTTCAAAGGAAATCACCTGGCTGGGCACAATGGCTCATGCCTGTAATCCTACCACTTTCACAGGCTGAGGCAGGCGGATCACGAGGTCAGGAGATCGACACCATCCTGGCTAACACGGTGAAACCCCGTCTCTACTAAAAATACAAATAATTAGCTGGCCATGGTGGCACTTGCCTGTAGTCCCAGCTACTTGGAAGATTGAGGCAAGATAATTGCTTGAACCCAGGAGGCGGAGGTTGCAGTAAGCCAAGATTGCGCCACTGCACTCCAGCCTGGGTGACAGAGTGAGACTCTGTCTCAAAAAAAAAAAAAAAAAAGAAAGAAAGAAAAAAATCACCTGTGCTTCATATATCAGAATATGATTAAATATAGCTACAGTTATTGAGAGCCAACTATATAGCTAATGCTTTGTGAATGTTATTTTTAACCTGCATGAAATTCTACAAAGGAAATATTATTATTATTTTATGGATATGAAAACTGAGACTCGGAGGATAAGTAATTTGACAAGGTGAAGCAACACAGTCAAGCCAGTTATCCATTCTCACATCTGCTTAACACAAACCCAATGCCCTGTCCATTGTTGCAGCCCTGTACTTTCACCATGAAGTGATAGCACTGCAGTGTCCAGCGGGGTAGTGACTAGCCACACATGCCTATTGACTAGAAATGTGGCCAGGTCAAATCGAGACTAAAACACACGCTGGATTTGGAAGACTTAATACCAAAAAAAAGGAATGTAAAATATCACATAAATTATTTTTATGTTGACCATATGTTGAAATAGTTGAAAATATCTTGAATAAATATTTGAAATAATATTTTGAATATATTGGATTAAGTATGTTATTAAATGAATTTTCCTTATTTCTTTTTCCCTTTTTAAAATGTGGCTATTGGAAAATTTGAAATTACCTATGTGTCTCACATTTGTGGGTTACGTTGTATTTCTACCGGGCAGCACAGCTTTGGAAAATGGTGTAAATTTCTTACTCAGTATATCTCATGTTACCTTTTATTTATTTTGCTTTTACTCTTTTTTTTTTTTAAGACAGACTTTTGCTCTGTCACCCAGGCTGGAGTACAGGTGTGATCTCAGCTCACTGTAACCTCCGCTTCCTGGGTTCAAGTGATTCTCCTAACTCAGCCTCCCAAGTAGCTAGGACTACAGGACACACCACCAGACTCAGCTAATTTTTGTATTTTTAGTAGAGACGGGGTTTTTTGCCTTTTTGGCCAGGCTGGTCTGGAACTCCTGGCCTCAAGTGATCTGCCTGCCTCAGCCTTCCAAAGTGCTGGGATTACAGGCGTGAATCAATGTGCCCGGTCTCATTTTTTTTCTTAAAGACTGTAAAGCTACATGTGTGGTCATTACCTAGCTGCAGAAAACTTTTATTGGATTCACTAGCAATGTCTTTCTCCCTGAAGACTCGAATCAGAGGATTTGTAACTTGCTGAGTGCTTGAAAGGCTTTTGGCTACTACAGAATTTCATTGCTGCCTGAATAGAATTTAAGTGCTTTCAAACAAGGGCCAATTCTCGCTTTCTGTTTTATATTATTTCCACAGTTGTCAAATGTATTGGGAGATAGTTAATGAGCATTTTATTGCCTTTTAAAATCAGTTGGTACAGATGGGTTGAGTAGGACGGGAGCTGAAGGCTCAAAGCAAAACACTATCCCATCTCCTTTTCAATGCCAAAGAGACATTGCAAATTATTGTCATTAAATCCCAGATTCACCAAAATTGTTTTTATTCCAGAAAAATGTTTATTGATACCGCCCTCCTGCTTATCTCCAACACTCTCTCTATGCCCCTTGACTTCTGAGGGTGTCATTATCTACACTCTGAAGAGACACAGGTATCTGGCTAAACTCATTCAAAATCTCCCTGCCTTCCCCCTTAGTCCCAACCACTTAGGGAAACAATCTTATCAGAGTAACATTTTAAAAAGGGAAAAGAAAGGAGAAGCAAAATATATTCAGTCTAATTTAGCTTCTCTGATTTCTAGATTAGAATATACAGATGCCCCTAGACTTAAGATGGGATTATACCCCAAAAAACCCATCATAAATTGAAAATATTTTAAGTCAAAAATGCATTTAATACACCTAACCTACTGAACACCATAGCTTAGCCCAACCTACCTTAATTATGCTCAGAACATTTACATTAGCCTGCAGATGGGCAAAATCATCTAACACCAAACCTATTTAATAATAAAGTGCTGGCCAGGCACTGTGGCTCACACCTGTAATCTCAGCACTTTAAGAGACTGCGGGAGGAGGATCACTTGAAACCAGGAGTTCGAGGCCAGCCTAGGCAACATAGTGAGATCCCATCTCTACAAAAAGTAAAAAATTAGCCAAGTGTGCTGGTGTACACCTATACTGGAATCTGAGGATAATTTCTTAATCCCAAGCATTCCAGGCTACAGAGAGCTATGATGGCACCACTGCATTCTAGCCTGGGTGACAGAGTGAGACCCTGTCTCAAAAAAATTAAAAAAAAACAACAGTATTCAATATCTTATGGAATTTATTGAATACTATACTGAAAGTGAAAAACAGAATGGTTATATGGATACCTGAAGTATGATTTCTACTAAATGCATGTTGCTTTTGTACCACCATAAAGTTGAAAAAATCATGTGGAACCATTGTAAGTCCAGATTGTCTGTAATTAACACATATTTCTATCAATGAAGACGCTTTCAGTTGAAAATTATAGAATATAAATTGAGTACATAACAACATCACAATAAATCTTTTTACCTTTTAGGATAATACATAGAATCTTTCCTGAGAAAATCCATTCCAGGCTATTTAATTAGGGCCAATCCTGCATCCAATCCCAAGTTACAGGGTCTGGATTTAGCCAGACATGACCAGTCAAATTATCTCTTATTTCTGGTCACAGTAATTGGTTCTGCAATGACATCTGAAACAAGCTGAGCCAATTAGATCCTTCCTAGGATGTTTTATAAAAACTACTGGGAAAGACCATTTCTTTCTGTGAATAGGATATGCGTCTAGAGATGCTGGTGGCTATCTTTCCCACCACAGGAAGGGGCTTATCTGGAAATACAGAGTTAGCAACCTGAAAATATCATTTGATTCCGTGGATTTAACTGTGCCCAAAACCACATATGCCCTATTACATATGTCCATGTTCTCTTTTCTTTTTAAATAGGTATGAAGTGGATTCTGTTACTTTATCCCAAAAGAGTCTTGGTTGACACAAAATTGATATTCAGAGTGGAATGTCATAGGTGACAAACACCAAAACATGAAATAAACTCAACTGAGTTGCAATTGCAATGAAGCACAAAGAAGAACTTTTACCATCATTTTGGAAGATGGCAAGTCTTATTAGGGTGTGTTTATGTCAGCTGACTGTGAGCCAAAGTAGCAAATGTAGTAAATCATGTTTGCTTGTTTCTGCTTGCCAACGTAGTTTCATAAAGCCCCTGACTCTGACAACCTGCAGCTCTTCAGAGGGATGCTTTGAAGACAAAACAGGATAGAGCATATGGCCCCCACGTCTCTTGCCTGAGTCACTATACTCTTTAAAAGATAAATGACCCTAGTTCTTGCCTTTTCCTATACATAAGATAGCATCTGTCAGGCATAGTGACTATGCCTCCATAACCAGATGTACTCTTACACCCAAACTTTGCTATGATTTTGAACATACTGAACCCCTACTACCTGTGTATAAGCTGTGAGCTAAAGCACCATTTTGGAGGAGTCTGACAAAACCTCTCTGAAGAATTCCTCCTGGGCTCTAGTCTTCAGTCAACAGTCCTCAGCAAGACTTCTGCATGAAACTAATTTTTTGAGAGCTCGATTTTTTTTTAATTTAGTCAACAAACTAATTTAACAGTTACTTGTATCTTGTAACATAGGTCATATTATCACTGAGGTTAGAGCATTAGGAGACAGGAACAATATCAGGATGTTGGAGTGTGTTAATCATTTTTTACAGCTATTAGTAAAGTTCTAAAAAAGGTAAGTATCTAAAAACAGACACATCTGGAAATAGAACCAGCATGCAGCCATGCTAAGGAAGTCCTTGTTGCTTACAGGCCAGACTTCAAAATCTCGGAGAGCCAGATAATCATGGACCCTGGGGGATTTAAGAAGCTGAATTTTCTGGCCCACGTTGTTTAAAGTTAGTATTAGCAAAGACAGGGAAGCAGGAAGCACAGAGGAAAATAAGTTTTGGACACAGGAAGGACCAAAGAATTAGCTGAGTTCTGTTTACTGAGGGCCGCCAAACACTTTGCTGAATATTCTTGGCTCCCACAAAAGAATAATTATCTCCAATATAAGGCACTATCCCATGGAATGAAGCCTGGGTATAGGATGTAGCAGAGCCCAGCCTCATTAGTGTAACCCATGGGTTTGTATTAGCAGGCCAAGGTGAATGTTAGGCTAAAGGTAAGTATAGCGGCCAGTTGAGAATTGACAGATACAAGGTAGAGTCCAGATTCAAGTGTCACATCCTGGCCTTGGTTTCTAACCCACACAGTCTCAAGAATTCAATTTAGTCATCACTAAGATGAGACATTAAGGAAGTTGGGAGATCCAAGGAAACCCAAGGCTGGTAACCAGGCTGTTCAAACCTGAGGCCATCTCCAAGTTCCTGAACCTACAATGATAGGAATTGTTAAAACAGAATGTTCCCCAGAAGAGGAAGCTCTCAAATGCACCTCACATAAGAAACTGTGACAGGTAATAGGAAAAGGAAATCCTCTCAGGGAGTGAAACTGGAAGCAACCAGATTAGCTGGCCAAGAAACTCATTCCTTTGCCAGGGCAGGGAGTCTCTGCTTTCCCCATCCAATGGGATACGGTACATGCCACAGACGGAGACCTCTACATGTTGTTTAGCCTTCTCCCCTTTTCTAAATGGGAACTTTTGTTAAGAGTTTTGCTGGATGGGCTTATCAGTAAGCTAAAGTTGTTAAATATTCATTTGGACTAACCAAAATAAAATGTATATCATTCAGATATCTTGGAATTGGGTGCAGTAACTAGATGGACTTCGGGTTGTTTCAACTTGCAGAATGGATGAATGCCCTTTCAGTTTCATACTGGTCAAATGCAGGAATTTCTGAAATTGCATGCATTGAGAAAAAGATATATATATATATAAACGCCATACAGCTAAGAGTTAGAATGTAGTCGACATCTGTTATTTCTACCTGCCCAGTACCCATTCTCATTTCTGTTGATAATATAATATCTTCCTTGAGGAGCTGTAATAGAATTAGTGGGCTTTTACCACAGAATATTTGTCTAGATCATGACCTCTATAAAAACATTTGTTTAACACTACAGATAAATAAATTTAAGTGGTAAATATGAACTATTTCTGACACAACTGAAAAAGGCATAAGCTATGATGTGGCAGGAGTTTCTGAGTCTTCTTCAGGTATTCTGATTTTACTATACCTCTATAGATTAGTAAATGACTTATATTAACAATTTATGAAGCAGATCTTCCGTTTGAAACTAACACCTGAACAATTACACATCCTTTACAGGTATCTATTTCAGATGTTTCAGGTGGAGATGGCCCACAGTTTCCCAGCCTCAGAAATGAGTATGTGACTTGACCTAGCCACTTAAAGTGTCCCATAATCCAGAGACATTCAGAGATTGGATTTAACCAAAACTATGCTAAGTTGACCCCTCCTAGCCACTTTTCTGCCAAAACAATAAGAAAAGACATTCATTGTCTTTCCAGAACTTTAAGCTGTAAGAAATGCATCTGGGGCTGCTGGCAGCAATCTTTTCTGCTGTATGGAGAAAGCTTTGTTTATTGAGCACCTATTAGGTGTTAAATATTGTGCTACATCTATTCTATGGAAATAGAGTTGTAAAAAAATGAATCTAGTCTGTGCAATCAAAGAGCCAATAGTCTGGAATATTAGTGATAAGCTCTGTATCAGCCAGATATAAATATTGAATGAATGTGTCTATCAGTGTTCAGTTGCAGAGAACTGAATTCACACTAGCTGGTTTAAGCAGAACAGAATATTGACAATGGATTTTATAATTACCAAAAGAAGAAACTCACCACAAGAAAGAGTCTTTTCTGGGCTGATAACCTGGCTCCAATGCCAAGGCCCTGGGTGTCAGAGAAAAGGACTGGAAGGGCAGTGTAGCTGTGCTGGACTCAGCTTGCCTTGAATAAAATGACCCTGTTTGGAATTCAGGAGCTGAGCACTAAAAGCAATCCCAGTTGGGAATATCAACCCACTTTGGCACAGAATATCACAGTTCAATTGTTCCACTGGGGATAGAAGATCTCTGTGTACTCTGAAAAAGTATTGCAACATAAGAAGCAGACCTTGGCTAATGGACTGATCATATTTCCTTGTTTCTTGTCCTTTGAAACTTTTGGGTCCTTTGACCTAAGTAAGCACTTTGGGAAGAGAAATGTATTCCTCAAAAGAGATGCCTGAGTCATACTCTAGACCACTTAAGTCCAGTCTTCGAAAGGCATAGATGAAAACTCATTATCTTTTCAAAATGCTTCCAAGGTTAAAAACAACTGGGTTAAATAATCACAAATTAAAACCATATCATGTGCTTTCTTTCCTTGTCTTTCTCTACAAGCCTCAAATCCTTCTCAGGTGCTAAAATGTGGATTTTGTCAATGAATTTGTACTAAGAATTTAGCTTCTTTCAGTTATGCTTATATTCATTTATTCTTTTGTTCAACATTCTATAAACAACATGAATGCTAGTCCTACTTCCTAACTAGATGCTTCAAATAGAGTGACAAACAAAATATAGTCTGTAGCTCTCCAGGAACCCAGGAGGTTTCTTCCACCTACCTCCATGCTAGATGGAACTGCATGCCCATTCATGTCTCTCAGACCTCATCAGCTCTATAAAAAATAAAATCCATTGACATAAAGTTTATTCCTAAGTGCTTTTTTCTTCAAGAAATACAACTAATTTTTCATGAGATTTCCAGCATTTCCTGTGTCAGCTGAGTTTGGAATAACTTGAACTCTGATGACCCTTGTATCCCAATATATTCTCTTTTTGTCTGTCTAGTTCAGAATAATCAGAAAGACAAACAAAAAATCATGCCTATTCACATTCGTTCCAAATTTTTAATATTTCTAAGGAAATATTAAGGCTAAATTTCTTTATTCAAAAGCAGCTCACTTTTCTTTGTTAGGTAACTGAATTATGTTTAGGATTCTAAAAAAGAGGAAAACTAAAAACTAGTCTAGAGCCTTTGATTTGGAGGCTATTGTTTGCAGGTGATTTTAAAATGTATTTTTTAAAGCCCCATTATGTTTCACTAAGGACAGTTTCTCTGGTTTCCATAGTGATATTCAAAATGAGTGTAGGTGCAATCAAAGAGAATGATCACATTAATAAGTGGTTTAGCATTTCTGTTGAATATGAACTTTGCCCAATATTTTAAAACAATTGAGCTATTTTTTAAGTCCTCATTCCATAATGGATACATTTGCCAGACATGCTAAACCATCTATTAATGCAATCAGATGTCTCCTTTATGAAATGAGTAACAAAGCCCACTTTGCTTGAAACTTAAAAGAGTTTCAAAGATATTGAAAGTTATTCTGGTTATATCTTGCATTTTTTAAAGATCCTATGAATAATTACTTCAGGCAATTATTCAGAAAGCACTTTTTAAGTAACTGTGTCCAATGGCATAATAAGACGGGTAGGGATGAGAGGTGTGAGCAGATACAAACTGGGTACAGGGTTTACATCATTTTCAAGCTATCAATGAAACCCAGCCAGTGGTTCTATTTGGAAGCTAATTTCCACTATGGTAACAACCAAAGTCAACATATGTAATGTAGGGAGTAAAAAATCATTGAACTAGCTCATAAAACCCTCAGGATGCTCTTTTCCTCCATCTATGTACTATGTGGGATTGACTCAATTAGGGGCCAGACACCTGTTGGGTCTAATCAATTATTATTGAGTTATTTTAGGAACAAATAGAATCCACAAGATGTCTTATGACACTTACTCAGTAAACAATGGTTTTCCCCAGCTGCTGTCCAAAAATTCTCATGAATTAAATTAACAATAGTCCTTAGGAGAAAATTTAAAAAAACAAAACAAAACAAGATTTAAAAACCCCAACTGCACTAGCCAACTGAGAGAAAAATAAACAGTAGCAGATTAGCAGAAGAATCTAATTCAACTTTAGAGGTAAGTACCTTCAAACACCAGAGGGATAATGAAAATAGCCCTTTACTGTAATTGAATGTATTTCTTTGAATTCATTATTATTTTATGCAGTTACCCCTTTCTTTCCATGATCATCTTTATCAGAACACCTGAAATTTTTTTTTAACATTTAATTTTTATTTTCAAAACATTGCCATAAACATACATACAACACTGAATTTTATCCCCTCCATTGGCTGGCTGTGTGCCATGAAGCACTTGTGACAGAAAACATATGTAAGCTTAGGGTAAAAGTTTATAAGGAATCAAAATATCTTCCCAAAAGAGGGGGTAGAGGCAAGAGGAATCAATAAGTTTAAAAATCATAACTTTCATTTTATAAAAAATAGTTTGAATAATTTTCTTATAAATCTTTAATGCTTACAAAAGCAGGAAATACATTTAAAATAGTCTTTTTAACACAGATTCATTTGTACAATGTGGCCATAAGAAAAATAACTAAAATGACATTTCAGTAGTCTATATTCTATTCTTGGCAAATTCCACATAAAATTTAACTAATTTACTATTCAAAATAAGATTTTAACTGCCAAGGATGTCAGACTAGTTGTGGTTAGTACCTGAATACCAAGCTCTTCTCCATTTTATATATTGTACTAAAATTTTAAATACAGCTTAGCAGTGATAGGTACTAATAACAATACTTGACTACATGGTTACCACCCATGACTACTGCATTGCAGCTTAAAACATGCTTTGGTCAGTAAATTTAAAAGATATAAATCAAATAACAAGGCCAGGAAAGTTGTTTTAGAATTTCTTGACCTTAAGTAAACTTTAAATACATCGACAAGGCAAAAAAAAAACATGATCAAATATACAGAAAGGTTTCTATTTTTTCAACCATATGGCATTTTATATTATTAATTTCACTGTTTAAAATAATATTTTATACTCCTGTGCACAGATTATCATTGCTCTCCAAATTAAAACTAAACTACAATTACTTTCCTAGAATGTCAAGTACTGTATATATTAATTGCTCCTTTTGCATTTCCATGAAGATGATCCTTCATCCTGTAACTTTTTAAATTTTGGACCAAGAAAGAACCACCAACCAAATCCAATGAAAACACAAATAATGGACTCCACATAATAACCATCCAGGGCTGTAACACATGAGCCACCCAGTTTTTTGCAAAGCTTTAAAAATAAAGCTATAGTAAATAATCCACAATTTCACAATGAAAGTATTTAGCAATTAACATGCTTCTACTTTAAAAAGAATTAATCAAAATATATTTTTCTTAAAACATTTCAGTATTTCACTGAATTCCAATGACAAAATATGTTAATGTATCTTAATCTCTCTAATGCTACTAACAGGATTAAAAACAATTTTCAGTTCTTGCTGTAAACAATACTCATTTTCTTTTTTGAGGCAGGGTCTCACTTGTGGCCCCGGATGGAATGCAGTGGTGTGATAATGGCTCACTGCAATCTCTGGCTCCTGGGCTCAAGCAATCCTCCCACCTCAGACTTCTGAGTAGCAAAGACCACAGGCGTGCACCACCATGCCCCATTAATTTCTATATTTTTTGTAGAGATGATGTTTCACTATGTGGCCCAGGGTGGTCTTGAACTCCTGGGCTCAAGCAATCTGCCTGCTTCAGCCTCTCAAAATGCGGAATTACAGGTGTGAGCCACCACACCCAGCCGAATATCTGTTTTCTTTCTTTTTTTTTTTTTTATTATACTTTAAGTTTTAGGGTACATGTGTACAACATGCAGGTTTGCTACATATGTATACATGTGCCATGTTGGTGTGCTGCACCCATTAAATCATCACTTACATTAGGTATATCTCCTAATGCTATGCCTCCCCACTCCACCCACCCCACAACAGGCCCTGGGGTGTGATGTTCCCCTTCCTGTGTCCAAGTGTTCTCATTCAGAACACCTGAAATTTTAAAATAAGGTAGTCCAGACTTCCATCTGTTATTTATCACATTTTTGTATTTACCTGTGGTGATGAGTTTGAGATAAGTACATTTAACACTCTGACAGTTTTACATCAGCATAGGTCTTGCACACTGGTTGTCAAATAAATACATGCTATGGGCTGAGTTTGGAGAGAAGAACGTTCAAAGTGTGTTGATTGTATGTTGATAACTTTTTCTAGTTGTTTAGATATTGATGACACTCTTTCAGTATTCTGGGTTGAGCATTTAGTTATAAAGTGTGCCCAAGGTGGATTAAGACTGGAGCATAAGCATTATTCTCAAATGGTTAAGAGGTCTCTGCGTCCTTTTAAAGATCCAGGATCAATCAATGTATCATCTATCTATCTATCCATCTGTCCATCCAGTGGGATATTTATTGAGTATATGTTGTGTGCTTTCATTGTACTTGGCATTATGAAGGGGAAAATAGACCTGGTCTCTACTTTCATTTATGTAGCGATAGACCTAAATCAAACAGCCTTGATCATTGAAAAAGTGTTTTACAAAGGAGAAATAGGTATTAACAGTGGTAATGGGTCTGTGTAAGGAAGGAATTTAACTCAACAGGATGACAGAGAAGACCCTCAGAAGAAGGGAAGCATGAAATGGGAGCTGAAGGAGGAGGAGTTAATAGAAAGATGGCTAGATAAAGGTGAAGAGAGAAGTAGAGGTAAAACCATGTAAGTGCTTGTAGTCCATATTAAGACATTCTATCAGTATCTCAATAGCCATCAGTATTAATGGCCGTTGAAAAATCTACCGAGATGTGGGTGGACATTGCCAGATTTTTGTGTTATTGTTAGTAAATGTTTCCTTTCATCTCTGGCAATACTTCTAATCTTGAAGTCTAGTTTGTTAGATATTACAGCCACTCAGCCTTCTTTTAATTGGTGTTTACATAATATATACATTTGCTATTATTTTGCTTTTAAGCTGTCAATATATATCTTTTGTAAACAGCATGGGATTGGGTCTTGGTTTTTAATGTAGTGTGACAATTTCTACCTTTTGATTAGAGAGTTTAGTATTATTGGCACAATTAGGGTTAAGGCTATGGTCTTGCCATTTGTTTTCTATTTGTTCCATCTGTTTTCATTTATTGTTTTTTTTTCTTTCCTTTTTGGGATTATTTTTTACACTTCTATTTTAGTTCATTTATTGGCTTTTCAGTTTTTCTTTTATGTGTTTACACTAGGAATTATAAAATGTATCCTTTATGTATTATGGTCTATTATATATTGGTACTATATGATTTAATATTAAATGTAAGAACTTTACAACCATATATTTCCACTTACTGTTTCTCATATTTTGTGATATTTGCTTCCATTCTGTAATAAGTCTCACAATACATTGTTATTATCTTCACTATAAATAATCAATTATATTTTAAATTAATTAAGACATAGGAAAAAATCTATATTGCCTGCATATTTACCATTTCTTGCATTATTCATTCTGTTGTATAGATCTGGGTGTGTAAATGGTTTCATTTTCTTTCAGACTGAAGATTTTTCTTAAAAATATTTCAAAATGTATGAAGCAAAATCTTACAAAATGGAAGACAGAGATAGACAAATTCACAATTACAGTGGAAAAATTTACTTTTCAACCTTACTTTTTCAATAATTAATAGAAAATGGTGACCAAAAATGGGTAAGGGTATGAAAGATTTGAGCAACATTCATTATCACTGGCCATCAGAGAAATGCAAATCAAAACCACAATGAGATACCATCTCACACCAGTTAGAATGGGGATCATTAAAAAGTCAGGAAACAACAGGTGCTGGAGAGGATGTGGAGAAATAGGAACACTTTTACACTGTTGGTGGGACTGTAAACTAGTTCAACCATTGTGGAAGACAGTGTGGCGATTCCTCAAGGATCTAGAACTAGAAATACCATTTGACCCAGCCATCCCATTACTGGGTATATACCCAAAGGATTATAAATCATGCTGCTAGAAAGACACATGCACACGTAGGTTTATTGCGGCACTATTCACAATAGCAAAGACTTGGAACCAACCCAAATGTCCATCAATGATAGACTGGATTAAGAAAATGTGGCACATATACACCATGGAATGCTATGCAGCCTTAAAAAATGATAAGTTCATGTCCTTTGTAGGGACAGGGATGAAGCTGGAAACCATTATCCTTAGCAAACTACCACGAGGACAAAAAACCAAACACCACATGTTCTCACTTATAGGTGGGAATTGAACAATGAGAACACACGGACACGGGAAGGGGAACATCACACACCAGGGCCTGTTGTGGGGTGGGGGGTGGGGGAAGGGAAAGCATTAGGAGATATACCTAATATAAATGACGAGTTAATGGGTGCAGCACACCAACATGGCACATGTATACATATGTAACAAACCTGCAAGTTGTGCACATGTACCCTAGAGCTTAAAGTATAATTTAAAAAAAGAAAGATTTGAGCAACACTGTCAATCAATTTGACTCATTAACATTTGTAGAAAATATGCTCAACAATACAGAATACCCATCCTATTCAAGGGCATGTGAAACAATCACTAAGAAGGTAATATATTAAGGCATAAAACAAATCCCAATAAAATTAAAATATGAAAATTATACACAGTATATTATTTTACCATAACAGAATTCAATTATAAATTAATAACAAAAAGATACTCGAAAAATACCAAATATATGGAAATCAAACAATCTATGGGTCTAACAAGAAATCACAATAAAGTTAGAAAATTTTTTGAACTAAGTGATGATGAAAATAAAGCATATCAAAAACATGTGAGATACAGCTAAAGCAGTGGTTAGGGAACATTTATAGCTTTAAATGCTTATATTAGGGAAAAAATTCTAAAATCAGTAATCTATGCTTCCATCTTAAGAATCAGAAAAAAATCAAGAACAAATTAAAGCCAAAATATGTAAGAAAATAGAAACAAGAAAGATGAAAGTAGAAATCAATGAAATAGTAAACGGACAAGTTAACAAAGTCTTAAAAATAATTTTTGAAAAGACTGATAACATTGAAAACATTGTGATACCATTTTCACATTTGAGTTTTAAAATTTTCAGGTAATTTAAATTTTATGTAAAGTTCACAACCACATATTCCTCATATCAGTGTGTTGTAATTTGTTACTAATAAAAAAATTACCAAAATTTTAAATGACATTTTAATAATTAGAGCTTATTCAAGTTTATTCCTACAATGTTATTCTCACCAAATTCCATTAGTACATGCTTTTCTGAAAGAGAAGAAAAGAATGACACCATAAGGTGTACTTTGTGGGTTGTATATAACCGTAGATATCCCCATGAGAATGTCTCAAATTTGAATATCACTTGGCATGCTTGATAGAAGTAAGGGGGAAAAAAAAAGCTAAGAATCATTTAAGTAGCTCAGCTAATAAAAGTCTCTATATTAGAACATGAATATTTGTCCAAAAGTTACATGGAATAAAATCACAGAAAAATGATCAAGAACATGATAAAAGGGTTGAAATAAACCAAGAGTCAATGTGCATTAGGCCATTCTTGCATTGCTATAAAGAAACACCTAAGACTGGGTAATTTATAAGAAGAGAGGTTGAGTTGGCTCATGGTTATGCAGGCTTTATAGGAAGCATAGTGTCATCTGCTTCTGGGGCGGCCTCAGGAAGCTTTAACTATGGCAGAAGGTGAAGCAAGAGCAGGCAGTTCACACGGTGAAACCAAGAGCAAGAGAGACATAGTGGTGCTGGTGGGGAGGTGGGGAGTGCTACACACTTTTAAACAACCAGATATCATGTGAACTCAGGGGAAGAGCTCACTTATCACCAAGGAAATGGCTCAAACCATTTATTCATGAGGGATCCACCCCCATCATCCAAAAACCTCCCACCAGGCTCCACCTCCAGCAATGGGGATTACTTTTCAACATAAGATTAGGGCGGAGACAAATATACAAACTGTACCACAAGGTCTGTTGGCACTTGCATCCGTTTCTTTGTGTGAATCCATTAGAACCTATTCCACGGTTGCAAAAGAGTTATTTCTAAAAAATAAACTCTGCCCTTTAAGTTGAGAAATGTTTTGTTTTACAGGGATCTTTCTAAAACTTCAGATAGCAAATTTCTAAGCAGCGTCAGAATCTTTCAGGATGACGTAAATTAAACATAATTATATTTCTTAAATAAATGTTTCCATTGTTTCATTCCTAAGCATTATATATATATTTATATATGATAGATATTTTTATATATGTATATATATATATATACATATATATATTTCTAGGTGCTGTTTTTGAATGAAGAAAGACTATGATTATTTTACCTACCCAATGCAGAAGTATGGAAGTAAAATTAATACTATGTCTACGCAAAGATTTCATAAAAACATGTTTGTAGGATAAATTGTGAATCCTTCTAATTCCCTGGCTATTTTCTAGAACATGTGTGTCTTCTATTTATTTGGCAAAAAATGTATGGAGTGCCTACTATATGACAGACACTGTGCTAAGTGTTTGGGATGCATCACTGATGAAACAGATTTCTCTCCTCATGGAATTTGAGATTAATTTTCCCAATGCAAAGTTCTAGTCACTTTATAACTCCATTTAAAAACTTTCAGTAGGCTGGGTGAAGTGGCTCATACCTGTAATCCCAGCACTTTGGGAGGCCAAGGCGGGCAGATCACCTGAGGTCAGGAGTTCAAGACCAGCCTGACAAACATGGAGAAACCCCATCTCTACTAAAAATACAAAATTAGTCAGGTGTGGTGGTGCATGCCTGTAATCCCTGTTACTTGGGAGTCTGAGGCAGGAGAATCACTTGAACCCAGGAGGCGGAGGTTGCAGTGAGCCAAGATCGTGCCATTGCACTCCAGCCTGGGCAGGAAGAGCAAAACTCTGTCTCAAAAACAAACAAACAAACAAACAAACAAAATCTTTCAGTTGTTCCCCGGTTTATGCTAAGTTAAAAACAAGCTCCTTAGTCTTTCATTAAGACACGATCTGGCCCAAACTTCCTTCCCATGTTTGCCTCCTGTGTTTTATTTTCTTTGGCTTGATCTTATACTCCAGTGAAACTGGGAGATTCCTACCTTCAGGTTTTCACCTACCCAGAATGTTCCAGGGCCTGTCTTTATTATCATCTTTCTTTTTCCTTTCAGTCTGTCTTATGTTTCCCCTCCATCCTTCCCTTTCTCCCTCCTTTCCTCCCTTCTGATCCTCTGTCCCTTCCTACCTATCCACTCATTTCCTCAGCAAACATAATTGAGTGTCTACAGTGTGCCAGGCACTGTGCTAGATGCTGGGGAGGTAAAGACAGTTTTCTCCTTATTTCCACTTATTGAAATATAAGCAAGCAAGGCTTGAATTTGAGCATTAAATCTAAGTAACACTCTTGAGTGTGGGGCAAGACATGTCACTCAAATGTCTGTCAGCCCAGTTACTGGACACTGACATCCTATAAGCTCCAAGAGCGCAGGGGTCATGTGTGTTGTTCACTTTTTAATCTCCAGTGCTTGGCACATATCCTGGTTATATGGCTGATGTTTACGAGTAATTTTTGAATGAATGAATGAATGAGAACAAACAATAAGACAGTATACTACTTTAGAATAGTAGCAGAAGACAAAATTATTGAACTGCCCAAGATCCTTGAAGAGGCTGAGCATAATGGCTCATGCCTGCAATCCCAGCACTTTGGGAGGCTAAGGAGGGAAAATCACTTGAGCCCAGGAGTTCAAGACTAGCCTGGGAAACATAGAGAGACCTCATTTTTACAAAAAATTTAAAAATTAGCCAGCAGTGGTGGTGCATTTCTGTAGTCCCAGCTATTAGAGAGGCTGAGGTTTGAGGATTGTTTGAGCCTGTGAGGTCAAGGCAGCAATAAGCAGTGCTCATGCCACCTACTGCACTCCAGCCTGGGTGACACACAGAGCAAGGCCTTGTCTCAAAAAAAACAAAAAAATAAGAAGGAAAAGAAAATGCATAAGGAGAGGAAACTTGGAAGCCTTGGAGTTGGAATGATAAAACCAGTTGAGAGTTGAGTTTCAACTCAATGTTCTAGGTAGATGAAACCCTGAGGGTAGGAATCTCCCTGTTTGACTGCAGTATAAGATCATCACAAAGAAAATAAAACACAGGCGGCAAACATAGGAAGGTGGTTTGGGCCAGACTGGACTGTCTTCATGAAAGACTGAGGAGTTTGCTCTTAACTTAGTAAAAACAAGGGAATAACTGAAAGTTTTTAAATGGGGTTATAAAATGGCTAGAAATTGGACTGTTACCCATCTCTGAACTATCCCCAAGCCCAGCAAGTAATGAAAAAGAAAACTTAGAAAACATATTTATTTCAGAGACATATTTCTTGAATCTAAGGCAAAAAAAATGTATCTTTTCAGTTGCACTTCCTTTGATTAGGCAATTAAAATCTCTTTTTTACTTATTTGCTAGGAAACTCAGCTGAATAGTGTTCAACTCTCAAGTCCAGCTAAGCCTCAACTATAAATGCAGGTGCTATGATTTCTCTCATCAGCGTACAGTTAAGACAAAGTGTGATAACTTAAAACATGAGAACTACACAGGTCCAGTTACACAGGAAGAGCTCAATGCATATAGCTGCTCCATATATTCCAGGAACTCTTTATACTCCTGGTGTCTTCAGATAGGACCAACTTGTTTTGGATCCTAGCATCCAGCAATAATAAGTGGCTGGGAACTCCGAAACCAGACTGCCAGGACTTTAACCCTGACTTTGTCCATTTTTATGTAAATTTGAGCGTCAATTAATATTTATCTGCTTATTTTCTTACCTATAAAATAGCTATAATATTACTATTTGCCTCAGAGCACTGTAAAAAATAAGTTAATAGATATAAAAGTCTTGGTAAACAAATAAAAAATAAGTTAAATAGATAAAAAAGGCTTGGTAGATCCGGCACGGTGACTCATGTCTGTAATCCCAGCACTTTGGGAGGCCGAGGTGGGTGGACCACCTGAGGTCAGGAGTTTGAGACCAGCCTGACCAATGTGATGAAAACCCATCTCTACTAAAAATACAAAAATTAGCCAGGTGTGGTGGCATGTGTTTGTAATCCCAGCTACTCAGGAGGCTGAGACAGGAGAATCGCTTAAATCTGGGAGGTGGAGGTTGCAGTGAGCCAAGATAGTGCCATTGCACTCCAGCCTGGGCAACAAGAGAGAAACTCTGTCTCAATAAATAAATAAATACATAAAAGGCTTGGTATACATTCCCAAAACACAGAGAGCATATGATGAACATTAGCTTTTACAAGATTCTTGGCTGTAATCAACAGTCTTCAAAGTGGGAACATCATAATGATTGAGAGCAACAACCCTGGGGTAAAATTGCCTGGATGCACATTATAGGTCTACCACTTCCTAACTTCCTTTGTGAACTCAAACAAATTAATGCCTCTGAGTTTAAATTTCCTCCTCCCTAAAATGAGAATACTAATAGTTCCCATGTCATAAAGTTTTGTGAGTTTTAACTCCAATAACTGATCGTACACTTAAAATAGAATCGGGCATATAAGTATCACTCAGTAAATATTAGCCCTTCTTATAATGAAAAAAAAATGCATACCCTCAAAGTGCTCATAGTCTCATAGGAGGGAGAAAATGAGACATGTAACAAATAATTACAACATACAGTGGTCAGGGCTGATGGGCCTATGCTTAATGAGAGTATAAGACAGACTCCTTTATGTGGCGCTTCAGGGAAATTATCACCTAATTGATAGTTAACCAAATATATTTACTGGGTAGACTATAAGCACTTAATTACCTGATTGGAATAACAAATATTGACGAAGAAGGGGAAACCCCTCTAGAGAAAATAAGCATTTTCTTAGTGGGACATTTTTGTTTTGATCATTAATGACTTAGCTACATTTCATTTATTCTAAGTTTCCTAAAAGATTGTTCAACTGTGCTAATAACAGTGAATCCAGCTCTTGCTTCATAAGAACAGAAAATATGCTTAATTAACAATGCAAATCACAACAGCCCCCCGCCAAGTAACTATGCTATTTTCACAGCTTGCTTCATACGTCTTCTACCAGCCCCTGGTAATTCTTTGTGTATTTTTGTACTCCAGGGGAAATCATGGTTATTGTCTAGGCTGTGTCTAAATAGGTTGCATGTACCCAAGAGTTTGTGCCATTTCTTTACACTCATCAACTTCATCTGTCTACTTTGTTCCTTTTGTTCATTGTATTTTTTTGCCCCTATGACTATGCTGAGAAAGATCAAAGAGCAGATTCCTACTTTGTATGAGTATATTGTTGGGGAGATTGAAATGTAAGTCAGAAAGGTTTAAACCAAAGCCATCAGAGCCCAAGTAAGCCCGACACATGGAGGGGGCTTGCAGTGATGGCTCAGAGTTATCATTAGATAAAGTGACAATGACTGCACTTTGTTCTGTGAATGTGCTGATTAGTAGAAAGTTCTAGTTAATGGAATTGACCATCTGAAAATATAAAAGACTATGCTTGGTTTTTCTATGGTTCTGCTTGTTACTTAACTTTCTTGCTATTTTTCAGTTTAGATTTGGTTTGCAATATATTTTTCTTACGCTTTCTTTACCCTTAGAGAAGAATGCAACAGTTTATATAGTTGCCGTCCATGTGAGTGACAAAAAAGAAATCCAAGAAAATCACACAGAAACTCCCGTCTCCATAAGAGACCAGTATGAAGATTTTATGTCCCAGAAACATCTTGCCAGAAATGTATTCCTACTGGGAATAAAAGCCTGAACCTCAGGGAAGAAAATACTTTATTAATACTTTCTTAAAGATTTTAACGTTAGTCAGTTTTGGATCATTTATGAAGAGCAGCCTTGAGAACATGTTGGTAAGCTTAAGTAACACTGAATTAAAAAGTCACAAAGTAATAATTTTGTAGAAGCTGCATTGGTTGGGATCTTTTTCCATCCCCTTGCCCTGCTTTCCTCTCCAGGCTTCAATCTTAAGAATCCATGCAGCAATAAGACATCTGACAGCAGCTGCAGCCCTCTATCCACCCACATACAAAGGCAGTAGCATTTCAGTCTCCTCATTGACCTGAGTTGAGTTATGTTCTTAGGTGCCACTTGACTTAGGCATAAAAAACATGCCTTTCCCCAAGCCTTAGGACTGAAATATTGGGGAAGGATGGTTTCTATGGGTAATTTAGAGTGTTCTTAACAAGCACAAAATGAGAAATGGGATAGTAGGCACTTAGAATACAGCAAATACATTCTATTAAAAGTGCTAGGAAGTCATTTAACAATCAGTAAACGTGCATTATATGAGGGAGGCACTTAACTGTTGGACATGTAATGCTCTATTAGTATATTGGCTCTCAACAGAAAATAATTTCCCATATTTCCATGTGTTACGATAACAAATAGTGTGAAATAGAATTTTGGTTTCTTCCTTCCACCCTTCAGACCTTTGACAAAAAAATCAGAATCACAGAATATTAGAGCTGGAAAGAATCTGGAGCTTCATTATGGAGCTAGGTACCATTTAATTTAACATAGGGCCAGATTTGCCAAAACATTTTCATCAAGGTCTTCTATGAATAGGAACTGTTTTTTTTTTTTTTTTTTTTTGAGACGAAGTCTTGCTCAGTCGCCCAGGCTGGAGTGCAGTGGCAGGATCTTGGCTCACTGCAAGCTCCGCCTCCCGGATTCATGCCATTCTCCTGCCTCAACCTCCAGAGTAGCTGGGACTACAGGCGCCCACCACCACAGCTGGCTATTTTATTTATTTATTTATTTTTTATTTTTAGTAGAGACAGGGTTTCACCGGGTTAGCCAGGATGGTCTTGATCTCCTGACCTCGTGTTCCGCCCGCCTTGGCCTCCCAAAGTGCTGGAATTACAGGCATGATGAATAGGAACTTAATGAATACGTACATATATTACTAATAAATTATATTCCTCTACTATCCTACCAGTATACTGTCTATATTATAAATGTACATCAAGAAAAGAAATTTCAAAAAAATTTAAAGATGAGATAGATGATATAATATCTTCCTAATCATGATGGTTTCATGTTTTCATTTGCACAACATTTACTTCCTGAGATTCGTAACTAATTATGGTGGATGAAAATCCAAAGTCCAGGTAGTCTCTTGATCATTTCAAATATTTGGGCCAATTCATTTCTAGTACTGGTTAAACTGACTTTTGAAAAAATCCTGTAGTATTGCTGATAAAAAGATGGCAATAAGTTTAAGGAAAGGGTCAAGTCTACTGTTTTCTTTCTTATTTGAATCTGAATTAGTAGTATTTGCTTCATTCTGATTTTTATTTTGTTCTGTTTTTTATCAGAAATCTGTTTAAACCACATGTCCATTCTATAAGTATTATTTTATCTAAAACAAAAAATAGTAAATCCATAAAGCTCCCTGACTGGACACTCATCATCTGCCATTAGAGTAACGACCCTCTGTCAAGAGCCACCCACTCTGTCCTCAGGATGCTTCTCACATCTTAAGTGCTCACTTAACAGTCCAATGAAGGACAAGCATCAATCTATGTATTAGATACTTTTAAAGCCAATTTCGTTCCATTTCTAAGATAAAGATAAAAATAAGTGCTGTTTTCTCCCCACAACCTGGGGCCTGCCTTGAACATTCTCTAGATTAGACCAATCCACGTTGGAGACCAAAGACTAGTGGCATAGGATGTGTACAGGCCAACAACATCTGTTACTACTGGAAGCCAACTGTGCAGCTTGGCTCTATTTGCCCATCAGTAAAAACAGGATTATAAAGTGATTCTCACAGAGTTTTTGCAAGGATTAAGTGAGATAATTATTTTCAGTGCTGAGCAACCTTTTCTGAAGGGACAATAAGTTGTCTTCATTAGGATCTTGTGTGGCCTGAAGTCAGACTACCTAAGCTCAAAGGCTAAGTATCAAGTCTGCTAATGACGGGACCTTGGGCAAGTTACTTACACTTTGCAAGGCCCGGTCTCTTCACGTGTTAAATGGTACAGTAATTCATTAATGGCACAATCTTTTGAGGATTAAGTTAAATAACATTTGTAAAGCTCTTCCTACAGAGCTTGATATAAGGGAGTACTTTATAAGTATTAAATATTGTTTTATTATTATTCTCAGGATCAGTTACAAAAAATGTTTACTAAGTTATTTTCATAATGGATATAACTATATAACCCTTTATAATTATATATAAAATCTCCTTACAATTTAGACTAACTGCATCATATAGAACAGCAGTTATAAGGTGGAGTCTGGAATTCCTTGGGTTTTCTGAAACTCTTTCAAAAGCTCCGGCAGGTCTAAAGCATTTTTGTAATGATACTAAGAAGTTGCATTATTTTTTCACTCTCATTCTTTCATGAATTTACAGTGGAGTTTTCCAAAGGCTACATATGTGATGTTGCAACAGACCTATTCAGCTGGACATTAAAGAATTTGTCAAAATTTCCTTTACATTTTCTTACTAGATTGTTTTTTATTTATAACATATATTTATTTTTCATAAAGATACATTATAAATATAATGGTTTGTTACTGTTTTTAAGCAAACAAGTAAATATGTATTTTCAGTTTTTCTCAGAGTAATTTCCAGTAAGATAAATCTTGACAACTATAACCCACATAAATAAAAATCTGTGGGATTCTTAGTAATTTTTTTAGTAAACAAGTTTCTAAAACCAACAAGTTTGAGAATTGATATAGAAGATTGTCTATGAAGAAAATGGCAATGTTTTTAGCCACTAAAATTAGCCACACAGTCTATTCTTTCAGCCTGAAGGTAGAGCCCAGCTGGGAGGCTGTGGTTAAGCTGGATGCATGAGCCTTCTCCAGGAGACGACTGTGTGATGCTGATGTGAAGCACTGAGCATCCTACCTGGTGAAAAGTGGGGATTGTAGGCCGGGCCTGGTGGTTTACCTGCAATCCCAGAACTTTGGGAGGCGGAGGCAGGCAGATCACTTGAGCTCAGGAGTTTGAGACTAGCCTGGGCAATATAGTGTGACCCTGTCTCTACTAAAAATACAAAAAAATAGCCAGGCATGGTAGTGCGCACTTGTGGTCCCAGCTACTCCAGAGGCTCAGGTGGGAGGACGGCTTGAGCCTGGTAGGTGGAGGTTGCAGTGGGCCAAGATGGTGCCACTGCAGCCTGGGGTGACAGAGGACCCCATCTCAAAAAAAAAAAAAAAAAAAAGCGGGGTTTGTAGCACAGGGTCATGGTGGTTGAAAAGGGACCCAGAAGTGTTGAATGTCTTTCCTAAGGTCACAGTCCGTTAGTGACAAAGCGGGAATACCTAATGGAGTATTTATTCCTTCTCCAAATTTTTATCTGAAGGTGAACTTTTAAATATAAATATTCCAGAGATTCTCACAATTATCTTTCTGTCTTACAATCCCTTGTAAATATAGTAGAAATAAAATAACAAAACATTGTGATCATTATGAAACATTCATTCATTAAATTGTAATTCCATCAATCTTATTGTGACTCTCATCTTACCATTGTCCCTTTTAGCTGGACCTTATAAGATCTATAAATAGAGACATGTTACTATTTTCTAGTTGTAAACAAAGTATACAACTTAAGGATATTTGTCATATTTTGTAGGTCTCTTTAGAGAATTGTTCAACCTAGAATCTGCATTTTCTTCACAAAATGTCTTCTACAAATGTCTCATTGCTCTATTCCTTCACTATCTAGTGCTATTTAGGTCTTTCCTGTTTTTTTCTCCCTCTCTGCCCTTCCTCCCTCCCTCCCTCTTTCCCTCCCTCCCTCCCTTCCTGCCTTCCTCCCTCCCTCCCTCCCTCCCTCCCTTCCTTCCTTCCTGCCTCCAGTCTGCCTTCCTTCCTTCCTTTCTTCTTTCTTTCCTTCCTTCCACTTTAAAATACATCCTATAGGGATAATGGCATATTTCTTCTCTTCTTCATCTCTCATTCTCACATATTAAAGGCCAACTGTAACCTGCCAACTAGCAAAAAATTGTCCTTCTGGACAGAAAAGAAATATCCATTCTGGTTGTACTCTCTAAATGTTTACAAATGAAAGCAGAGAGCTAGTCAGTCAATTCTGTTTGAAATCAGCTTTTCAAGGTGACATGTGGCCTTTTTGTGCTTCAACATGGTAATGGGATAGAATAATTTGCTTCTTTTGGTAGATTTTTCTTTAACGGTAATAGAAACCAACTTTGAGGTTTCACTGTTCCCGTATCAAACTCTTGTAAATTCTAAGGATATTTAAATGGTAACAGCTACGAGACTGCCATGGGAAATTTTGAAGCAGCTTAATCTTTTGCCACAAACAGGCAGTTCCAAAGCAGTAATAATTTAATAATGTTGTTTTGTTTTGCAACTATGATCTGTGGGCTTAATTTTCTTGCAGCCACAAGTTTACTGAATGTGTTTGCTTGTCCCCTGTAGTTTTCTTCCAAGTTATAATTACAGTAATGATTTGTATAAAGTATTTTTTAAGATGTGGGTTCTATCTGCCATGCTTTATGCAGGAAGTCTCAGAGGCAAAAGTAACTGTGAAGTCCGCAGTTTAGCATCATGGTTAGGAGTTGCTGTCAGGCACATCTGAGTTATCATTGTTTCACCAGCCCCTGTTCAATCTTGGGCAGGTCACTTGACTGCCCTCAAACTGTGAACTATAAATTAGGCTTGTAAATAGTTCCTGCATGCTGTTGCTATGCAGATTAAATAAGGCTAGGTTAGTTAATGCCAAGTACAATTTCAACAGCTAATTAGCAATACAGACACATTCGCCATTTTTATTATGTCATAGGATATGGCCTCTAAAGGCAGAGAGAGGGAGAGAATGGAAAAGACTGAATAAACAGAAAAACAGAAAGTTTAGGGCCAGGTGTGGTGGCTCACGCCTGTAATCCCGGCACTTTGGGAGGCTGAGGCGGGTGGATCACCTGAGGTCGAGGGTCGGAGACCAGCCTGATCAACATGGAGAAACCCCATCTCTACTAAAAATACAAAATTAGCCGGGCATCGTGGCACATGCCTGTAATACCAGCTACTTGGACGGCTGAGGCAGGAGAATCGCTTGAATCAGGGAGACAGAGGTTGCGGTGAGCCGAGATCACCCCACTGCTCTCTAGCCAGGGCAACAAAAGTGAAACTACTTCCAAAAAAAAAAAAAAAAAACAACAAAAAAAACTCCCACGGGCACCTCCATGTTAATTAGCAATAGAAGTTAGAAAAATTCACAAGAATTTATGGCCGGGTGCGGTGACTCACGCCTATAATCCTAGCACGTTAGAAGGCCGAGGCAGGTGAATCACCTGAGGTCAGGAGTTTAAGACCAGCCTGGGCAATGTGGCAAAACCCTGTCTCTACTAAAAATACAGAAAAATTAGCGGGGCGTGGTGGTGCATGCTTGTAATCTCAGATACTCGGGAGGTTGAGGCAGGAGAATCGCTTAAACCTGGGAGGCGGAAATTGCAGGGAGCCGAGATCAAGCCACTGCACTCCAGCCTAGGGCGATAGAGCGAGACTCCGTAGCAAAAAAAAGAAAGAAAGTTTAACATAACAAGAGAACAAGAAAGAAAGTAGTAAAAGAAGTTTTTTAAGAGATAGCTTTATAAACATAGGAATAGAAAAAAGGGACATTTGGTTATGGAGACTGAGAAAAAATGGAATGAAAAAGAAAGATAAATCGATTGCTGAAAGATATGCTAGGTTTAGAACTCACGCCAGAGATTTATTTTTCAAACAGTACTGTTTGAGCAAGTACAGATGAGATTATTTAGATCTAATTTTTTATAAGGTCTAGCATCATCACTTGCTTCTTGGGTTTCTCTGGAGGCTGGGAAGCAGGAGCAGCTTCGGCAGTCTCCCTTGAGGCTTGGCCTCTTGGAAATTTGTCTATCTTGCTTTGTGACAATGTCCCAAATGCAGACTCTTTCAGAGACAACAAAGGTCTTTTACCAATATAGTAATGAAGTTGTAACCAATCAGTGACCCTGCCTACTGCCCAAAAAACAATACAATTTTCAAGAGCTTCAGTGAACTGTCTTGGCCTAAAGTCATCTCCTTTGTGTCACCACCTCCCAAACATTTTTCTTATATTTAAGGTGTTTTTCAGAATCCTCATAAATGCCAAAGCAAAGTTTCTTTGAAGGAAAGAAAAAGACAATTGTTTCACAGCTATTATTTTGTTTTTCAGTCTGAATGGTTTGGGAGAATGAATGCAATACAGAAATCTGGATTATTTGGATTAAACTCTTTGAACTTCATATATTCTGCCAGTAAAATCTAAAAGAAAAACAAAAAAGGCTGGACGCAGTGGCTCACGCCTGTAATCCCAGCACTTTGGGAGGCCGAGGCAGGCAGATCAGCTGAGGTCAGGAGTTTGACACCAGCCTGGCCAACGTGGTGAAACTCTGTCTCTATTAAAATTCAAAAATTAGCTGGGCATGGTGGCTGGCACCTGTAGTCCCAGCTATTTGGGAGGCTGAGGCAGGAGAATCGCTTGAAGCCGGGAGATGGAGGTTGCAGTGAGCCGAGATCGCACCATTGCACTCCAGCATGGTTGACAGGAGTGACACTCCATCTCAAAAGAAAAAAGAAAAACAAAAAATACCCAAAACCTGAAACAGACCTGTCTGACTGTCTTACCTTGGAATATTGGAAAAGTGAAAGGGCTTGCTCTTATATTTTGAGGTTAATGTTAAATTCTAATTTAGCACATAAAGTGAGTCTTTCTGAAATAATTCTTACATATTGCTCCCTATTGATATTCCAGGTCAGTGAGCGGTGGACCTTTTCCATATTTAAATTATTTATTATAAAATGGCTTTAGCCTTATTTTGTTTCCCCTCTATTAAATAATACATTCAGCTGGGAGTTTTACTGGCCGGCTGCTTACAGCTATGAGTTAAATTACCACTGAGAATGAGAGCTGTAAAATCAGATAAGATGTCTTCTCACTGTCTTAACAGATAAAACAAGGAAGGCTGTACGGAAGCTTAGAAAACCCTCCAGGAAAATGTGTTTTATCTGGAAAAGAATAGTAAAGGGTACCAAAATGTCACTTGTGGAAACCTGAGGTAAATGAGCAGACAGACATTTTTCATTGATGTCTAAACAATTATTCCTTCATGTCACCTCAGCCATTTTCTAACAGGGGTAGGTCAAAAAACACTCACCTCCTGCTCTTTCATGAACCTTTGACTTATACTCCTTGGCTCAAACTCAAAAAGAGTAATTTAAGTTAAAAAATATGGTAAACATGACAATTCTGGCTATGGAGTCACCAGTAGCATATTAACACTTATAGTGTAACGTGTCTCTCCTCCCAGAGTCAACTGTGCTACCAGTGGGCATTTACATGGGCTGACTCCCTTCTGATATAGATTTAATAGGGCTTTTAAAATCCCTTCACATCTGATTACATAGCATCCACTCACTTATTCATCAGGTATTTATCAAGTGCCTACTCTGTGCCCAATTCTGTTCTAGACATGTTTAATGCTTGCTCCCAAAATATTACTGACACAACCCGTGAATGAGACCAAGCTGAGTTTCTTGAGTTTATTGGTAAGGGACAATGCCAGCTCTACCAAATAGCAGTTATGTCTCTGATCGCATAGGCAAGGTCAGATTTGTTGAGAATTAAAAGTCTGGTTGAAAGAGGGTCTTTCAATGTCAGGGAGAGGAGAAGACTAGATTAGAATTAGACTAGTATCATGATATAACAGTTTAGAATTGATGAAAAGAGCAAGGTGGGGATTTTTTAGGCAAAAGAGTCAAAGAATCCTCCTTAGTTAATAATCCCCCTCTGTTTTCTATTGAAGAGTTGATAGATCTTTCTGGATCTAATATAACGAATAATCAAGTTATGTGCCTGGGCAAGAGTCTCTTGGAGTGAGAAAGTTATGCTAATGAAGACAGTGGACTAGTCAAGTCATGTTAATACTTCCAGTAAGTTGCATGTGGCAGTGCAGATGGGGATCGGTAGTTCCCATTCTCAGACACTTAGGACCCATCAGCAGACAAACGGGAGGAAAACCTTTGCATTTGTGGGGTTTACATTCTGGCAATTTCAATCAACCTCAAATTGTGAACAAAAATGACTCGTTTAAATTACGTGTCAGTCACTGTTTTTTTCTTTCACAGTTTGAATTTAGAATTAGCCAGACATTATAATTTTTCATTAGGCTATTCGACCAGGCTTTCTGGACTACTCCAAATGCCTGGCCATTGAGTTAGCTGTGATGGTGAGACTCTGTCCTAGAAATTTTGTTGTTTAGCATGTGATACCCCCTTGCAAAGAGATACCTCTTTATACAAAGTAGTAAGTGACTTCTAAGAAACAGTTGTTTATCTGATAAAATTAATATTTGTTCTAACACAGGGTTCTATTTAGAAAAGTACTTACTTTATAGTCACAATACATGAAAAGGGAAAGTGAGTTAAGTGGAAAGGTGAATTTACAGACTTATATAACCTGATCTAAGATTGTTACATCTGTTTCAAAGTGACTGTGTGTTTGAATAAGACCCAAGTTCATTGCATTTACTTGTTCTTATGACTAAGCATGAAGAAACTGACAATGTATCTCCTCCCCAGGGTGGAGACCCCGCTTTGTTAATGTTACTCTACACGTGGTTTTAACACTTACTACGGAGTTACGAAATGCACAGGACCTCTGAAACCTGACAGACACAGTAACCTGTGAAGTGTTTAGCTGTAGGTGAGAACTGAGCTCAACCTGAGGGTACAGAGGGACAGAGTATGTGCTCCACCTAAGGGTATTCACATTGCCTCAGGGGAAAAGAAGGTACAGACCAAAGGAAGACCTGTAGACATGATTCAGCTTGCCTCTGGCCTTCTTATTAGCCCTGATTAAAACAAGGAAATTCCATAAACTAGGGTTTCACCTTCAGTGGACTGGATCTCCTGGTAGATCTAGAAGCTCATCGGTAAATAGAAAGAAAGGTGCTGTTCACTTCCCTGCTTCATCAGGGACTTGACCATTAACCTCCTTCCTTTATAGAAATTCCACTATACAACCTTCACCCATACAGGGAGAATCAAAATATAAGGCAAGTGGAGGTGGTATGGGCTTGGATTTTACTTATGTAAAATAGTGATAAAAAGGTGGCACAGTAATAAAAGGTAGCACAGTAATAATTTCAGCAGCAACAATGGCAACTTTAATTTGGAGAAAAAAGATAAATATAAATAAATCTCTTTGGGTTAAAGTGTAGTCACTATGTTATAATTAAGACATGTTTAATGCTCATGCATTTTGTTTAATATCCAAATGTCATTCCAAATTCAGAATTGTGTTTGTATATATCATAAAACATAAAAAAGACCTGTGTTCATAAATTGGGCATGTGTACCTAATGTGGGCCACATATGGACCTAATGCCCACATAATTCAAATCTTTCATTCTTCAGATGGATGAACAAAGACAGAGAGATGGATCTATTTATTCCAAGTGATAAAACATGTTAGAGTTGGAGCTGAAGCCAAATCTTACAATATCTGCCTATTTATACACTTCTCCCTTTTCTAAGGAGTTTCTCTTCTAAGGTGTGACAGTAGATAGAACTATATTCTTTGCAAAATTGCTTTTAAAAACTAACAAGGTAATACATACAACTTGAATACAAACAATGCAGATATCTATGAAGTAAATTTAAATTAAAAGTAAAATTATTCCCTTTGCTCACTCTTGGTGACACCCCCTAGGCCTTACCACTTTAACAAATTTGTGTGTATTCTTGCAGAGTTCTCATGCGCATACAAAACATATACAGGCTGGGCACAGTGGCTCACGACTGTAATCCCACCACTTTGGGAGGCCGAAGTGGGTGGATCATTTGAGGTCAGGAGTTCCAGACCAGCCTGGCCAACATGGTGAAACCCCATCTCTACTAAAAATACAAAAATTATCTGGGCATGGTGGCAGGCACCTGTAGTCACAGCTACTCGGGAGGCTGAGACAGGAGAATTGCTTGAACTCAGGAGGTGGAAGTTTCAATGAGCCTAGATCGCGCCACTGCACTACAGCCTGGGTGACAGAGTGAGACTCTCTTTGAAGAAAAAAAAAAATATACAATACGTGTATACTTATTTAATTCTAGTTTGTTGTCACCAAAATTGGATTCTACTTTTGCAATTTGATTTTTTTCTCCAATAACATGTCATGCTCTTCCTTCCATATGTAGACAGCTTATTATTTATGTGCAAAGCACTCCATGGTAGGTGAGCCATAGTTATTTTCAGCATTTCTCTATTGATAGTTTGCTTTCCACTATTTTTGGCTAGTACAAAAACATGTCACTGTATATCTTTCTTTTATGTCCTTTATCAAGTGTGTTAATATTTCTATAGCGGAGGTTCCTAAGTGTGGAATTTCTAGGTCAAAGTGTTTTTGCCTGTGTAAATTTTGGTTGTAAAATTTGGTATGTTCTACCAAATTGCCATCAAAAAAGCAAAGAAAAGAATGTGTCAGTCTACAGCCCAGCAACAGTGAATGCAAGAGCTCTCTCTAACACCGAGTGCCATCGAGGATGGTGTTTGTACTACTCCTTTGTATTTACAGGAAGAAAGTTCCCAGATCTTAACAGGAACTAAAATAAACAGAAAGGGGAAATTGATTGAGCCAGTTTGAGAGGGAAAGGTGCAGCAGTGGCCTTAGAGAAGAACTCTATCACCAGGAACTTCAAGGTCACCAGAGTGCAATGGTGCTCCTTTTCCATACCTTTCTGCATGTCAGCTGCATTAGCTCAGTGGGCTCCTCCATGAGCCCCTCTTCCCAGTTTTTAAGAAATGAGACACACTTCTGAGTTCATACACTAATAAGTTCCATTAGCAAATAGTAGAAGAGGCTTCTTCCTCCTACCATTAGTTTGAAAAGCCCTAGGGAAAATTCCGATTGGCCAGCTTGCATCACAGGCTCACCACTTAGAACAATTACGGTGTGTGTGTGTGTATGTGTGTGCTCACACACAGGAGTGTGAAGTACTGTGCTTGAATCAGTTGAAAGTGTGTGCCCTGCCAACTCCTGTGCTTGATACCTACAAAAGGCAGAAAAGAAATGTTGGATTGGCTGATATTGTTGGAAATTTTATGTCTATGTTGGATATTTTATATATATGTCTGTGTGTGCATAACTAAAATAAATTGGTCATTTGAATGATTAAATTACCATCAAGCTGGAAATTTGCATGATTAATTTACCTTTAAACTGGTCGTTTAGACTATTGAATTATTAATTTATCCTTTGGAATCTTAGTTCAGCTTTTTACATGTAAAATAATTTTTGTTTGTTTTTGTTTTTTTGAGACGAAGTCTCACACTGTCACTCAGGCTGCAGTGCAGTGGTGGGATCTTGGATGATCCGCTTGTCTCTACCTCCCAAAATGCTGAGATTACAGGCCTCAGCCACCGCGCCCAGCTGTAAAATAATTTTAAAGTTATTCAGATGTTTAAACAACTGCCATGGACAGCATCTCTTAGCCTAAAATGTGTTCTCTAAAAGTTTGTTACAAGTTTAGATTGAAGTAATAACTGCAGACTCATAGTAGAAAGACTTTTATGACCTACCTTCTGAAGCCTAATTCTGTCAGCTCGTCATTCTCTGACAACCTTTCTTCCGTTGCTGGCGAGGAGTTGCGATCCTTTGAAGGAGAAGAGGCACTCTGGTTTTTAGAATTTTCAGCTTTTCTGCTCTGGTTTCTCCCCACCTTTGTGGTTTTATCTGCCTTTGGTCTTTGATGTTGGTGACCTACAGATGGGGTTTGGTGTGGATCTCCCTTTTGTTGATGTTGATGATATTTTTCTGTTTGTTAGTTTTCCTTCTAACAGTCAGGTACCTCAGCTGCAGATCTGTTGGAGTTTGCTGGAAGTCCGTCCACTCCACACCCTGTTTGCCTAGGTTGGTGGGAGTGTAAACTAGTTCAACCATTGTGGAAGACAGTGTGGCGATTGCTCAAGGATCTAGAGCTAGAAATACCGTTTGACCCAGCCATCCCATTACTGGGTATATACCCAAAGGATTATAAATCATGCTACTATAAAGACACATGCACACGTATGTTTATTGTGGCACGATTCACAAAGCAAAGACTTGGAACGAACCCAAATGTCCATCGACGATAGATTGCATTAAGAAAATGTGGCACATATACACCATGGAATACTATGCAGCCATAAAAAAGGATAAGTTCATGTCCTTTGCAGGGACATGGATGAAGGTACAAACCATCATTTTGAGAAACTATCACAAGGAACGAAAACCAAACACCCCATGTTCTCCCTCATAGGTGGGAATTGAACAATGAGAACACTTGGACACAGGGTGGGGAACATCACACACTGGGGCCTGTCATGGGGTGGAGGGCGGGGGAAGGGATAGCATTGGGGGAAATACCTAATGTAAATGAAGAGATAATGGGTGCAGCAGGCCAGCATGGCACGTGTATACCTATGGAACAAGCCTGCACACTGTGCACACGTACCCTAGAATTTAAAGTATAATAAAAAATAAAAAAAAATGCAGCAATAACGTTTTTTGTATATTTGATTCAGGTTGTTTTGAACAGTTTCCTGATACAAATTATACAACCCTGAGATTCCTCAATCAAAGGATATGAAGGTTTCAATGATAATTGATATATATATATCAATACCTATTTCAAATACATACTTTATCAATTTAATGCTGCCTCAAAATAACACACTTTTGTCAGAATTGGGTATAGTGTTTTTTAAAAACCTAGTGATTAAAAATAGTGCCTCATTTACATTTTAATTACATTTCTATGATTACTACAGATGTTTGACTTCTCTTGGGTGCTGTAAAATTATTCTCTTCTGAGTATATCATTTTTTTCATGATGTTTACCCAATTCTCTATTAAGGCTTTCAATCCAACTAATTTGTAAAGTCTCTTATTAAACTGCAGTGCTGCAAATTAAAACCACAATGTGGCCCAGCACGGTGGCTCACACCTGTAATTCCAGTACATCGGGAGGCCAAGCCTGGCAGATAATTGAGGCAGGAGTTGAAGACCAGCCTGGCCAACATGGTGAAACCCCATCTCTACTAGAAACTCAAAATTAGCCGGACATGCTGGTACATGCCTCTAATCTCAGCTGAGGCAGGAGAATCACTTGAACCTGGGAGGCAGATGTTGTTGTGAGCCGAAATCACGCCACTGCACTCCAGCCTGGGCGACAAGAGCAAAAAGCAGTCTCAAAAAAAAAAAAAAAAAAAAAAAAGTGGTGTATATACCCAACAGAATACTATTCAGCCTTAGAAAAGAAAGAAATCACGTCATTTGCAACATGAATGAGCCTAGAGGATGTTATAGTGAGTGAAATAAAGCAAAGGCCAGGCATGGTGGCTCATGCCTGTAATCCCAGTACTTTGGGAGGCAAAGGCAGGTGGAGAACTTTAGCCCAGGAGTTCGAGATCAATCTGGGCAGCATGGTGAAATCCCATCTCTACAAAAAATACAAACATTAGCCAGATGTGATATTGGACGCCTGTAGTCCTAGCTACTCAGGAGGCTGAAGTGGGAGGATCTCTTGACCAGGGGAGGTGGAGACCATGGTGAGTGACCCGTGTTTCTCTCAGTGTACTACAGCCTGCATGACAGACTGAGACCCTGTCTCATAAAATAAATAAATACATAATAAAGTTTTAAAAAGCAAGCACAGAAAGACAAATACTGCATGATCTCACTTATATATGGAATCTGAAAACATTGAACTCATAGTTGTAGAGAGCAGACGGGTGGTTGCCCGAGGTAGGGGCTGGGGAGGGATTGGGGAGATGTTAGTCAAATGATACAAAATTTCAGATAGGAATACTGATAGAAATCTATTGAACAGCATGCAACTGCAGTGAATAACTATGTATTGTGTACTTGAAACTTGCTATAAGAGTAGATTTAAAACTTGTTCTCACAACAATAAAATCAGTATGTGAGGAAATGAGTGTGTTAATTAGCTTGATTTTGTCATTCCACAATGCATACATATAGGAAACCTCATGTTGTACCCCATAAACATATATAATTTTTACTTGTCAATTTAAAATTAAAATTTAAGTAAATTATAAAAATAAAATGAAATAACATACACTAAAAAAGACTTTTATTTATTAAATCTCCACAAGAAGTCTAAGTTATGAAGGAAAATAAAATTCCAGGAACAGTAAAATCAATCAGAAATGCCCTACTTCAGTGCATTCCGAAATTTGTCTGACAGAGTGGAAATCCAGTTCTTCACTAAGTCATTGTTTTGGAACAGTTAGTGAGTGTGTATATATGTTTGTGTGGGCTCATATACACAAATTAAATTCATGGTAATGTAAGCATTCAAAATATCAGTTTCATTTAGTTATGTACACATACACAAACACACACCCCCCACACACATTTATAAAATCAGCCATTCCACCAAAACTAGCTACTTAGAGTCTCATCTCTCACTGAAGATTCAAAACAGAAACGTGGATTTAGGGAGGCATGATGGTTCATCCTCTCTTGGAGCCCAGTTGGAAGTTGACTGACTGATTCAGACATTATAATTGATTGGTCTGGGTGAAAGAATCCACTTTGACTCTTAATTGAACACCTACTATGTGCCATTGTTTTAAGGCTTGCCATGTGTTGCTTCATTCCTTCCTCACCATTACCTTATGATCACACTTTAAAGATAAAAAAGTAGAAGCGCAAAAAAGTTATTTGTCCAATATTACAAAGCTAGTAAGTGGTGGAATTTGAATTTGAACCCAGATATCTAACTCCAGAGCCTAAGTGCTTCACCCATCTCACTGTGGTGGCTCTAGAGAAAAACAGGTAAGTGCACATTAAGAAGCAAATGCCTCTGAGTTGTTCTTAATTTTTTTTATTTTAAATTTTAAAATTCATATAACCATTTATTCTGCGCCTGCGCCGGGGGTGGGGAAAAAATCGGGTGCGGTAGGGGAGGTTCAGAAAGCCCCACAGAAGGAGAAGAGGCCCAGGAGAGAAGACTGTCAGGAAGCTGGTGGGCCTGGGGGCTGGCCTTGTTCTCAGAGGCCAGGGAAGTGCAGGTGGGCTGAGTGAGGTTAGTGGTGTAACGACAGAGGTCTTCGACAGGCAGAGGGATGGGGACAGGCGCGAGGGGCCTTGGCAGCGACCCGGGGGAATGGGAGTTGGGGCTCGGGCCTCGGGGAGGCGATTGGTTGAAGGACAGAGGTCTGGGAGGGGCAGAGCGATGGGGACATGGACGGCGGCCCGCTGCAGGGACTCCGGGGCACTGGGAGTCGGGGGTCGGGGATAGTCTTGGCTTTTTGCCCTCTCCTGCCGCCTGCTGCTCCAGTTTCTTTCGCTTTGCGGCGAGGTGGGCAGGGTGAGCTCTCGGGACGAATGGCAGTTTTGGAAGAGGCCTGGGGCTAAGGACAGGCCAGGGCGGCGGGAGAGGCGGACCGGTGGCGTGGCTGGATCTGGGCGCGCTGTCGGACCTTCCACATCACCAGCTGCAGGCAGGCGTTTGCGTCCTCGCTGGAGTTGTGGCCGTCCTGGCTGTTCTGGATGATCTGTGCCAGGTAGTCGGCCGCGAGATTCCTGAGGGAGCGCTTGTAGGGGAAACCCAGGTAGTGCGGGAAGAGCACGGCCGTGTCCACCACGGTGCTGTGGATGAGCTTCAGGGCCAGCAGGTCGCTCTCCAGGCTGTGCCCGATGAGGATGGTTTGGGCGCTGAAAAAGCTCAGCAGGATGGCTTGGACTTGGGGCAACGTGATGCTCGTCTTGGCGACGTCGGCCTCGGTGACTCCGGAAAACCTGGTGTTGTAGTCCACGATCTCGTTGTCGGGCTTGACGAAGGTGTCGTACACCACTCGCATGTCGGCGTCCACCACGGTGACGCGGGTCAGCTCTAGGCCATGCGTGGTGTAGCACATCTCACAGTCCAAGGCGTAGATTCCTGGATAAGCGTCTCTGGACAACTCTTTCTTGAAGGTCTCCACGAAGCCATCGAGGCTCTCCTTGCGGCCGTCCCGCACGTGCTGCTTTGCCACCTGGCAGCCCACAGAGCCAGGAGCAGCTGCACAGCAGGTGTACTGGCTAACCCGGCCTCCAGCCACCTGGCTCGAGCGGACCCGCCCCCAGTGATAATAACACAACTGGTCGCGTACACAGCGGCCCGAGGAGGACACCAGGTACTCGGTGCCACAACGGCAGCAGACCCTGCAGGAGGAGTCGCCGGGCCCCTTCCCCTGGCCAGTGAAGAGGACGGCGCCTCCGGGCCGCTCGGGGTGCGGGAAGGGGTAGCCGTTCTCCTTGAGCTGGTCCTGGGTGAGCAGGAACTCCTGGAGGCGGCTGTACAGGGCGGCCCTGCTGAGGCCGGGCATGGAGCTGGGGGTCAGGCCCTTCAGTCTCTTGAGGGTGTTCAGGACCACGTTCAGGTACCTGTTCTTGTTGGGGCTGCAGTCGTAGGCCACCTTCTCCTCGTTCAGCGCCTTCTCCTCGGCCTCCTGCTTGGAGGCGCAGAACTTGAGACACTCTTCGGTGAACAGTTGGAGATAGCCTCGGCGGAGGACGGTGGGGACTTGGCACCCAGAGCTTCGGAGGATAATGGGTTTCTTCAAACTCGGTAAGGATGGACGACGGACGATTCGCTTAGAGCTGATGGTGGCGGTGGTCTTGCATGCCATCCCTGACCTGTTGCGCGTCTTCCCTGGCTGTCTGCCGACCTTGGAGCCACTGGAGCGTTGGCTACTGCTGGCCACCCGGGTTCTCTTGGCATCTGTGTAACCTGTGACCAAGCAAGGGCTGGAAGAGTGGGCGATCGTCTTCCTCTTCCTGGGGGCTGAGATGCGGACTCCCGAGGGCCTCTCTGTCAGCCTTGGGGCGGCTGGCAAGCGGCAGGCCGATCCCCTCTGCGCAGGGAAGTAGCACGACTCCGTCACCATCTTGGGCCACGCTGGGGGCACCGCCGGACCCCTGTTCTGGGGCTCTGCCTGGATGTCCACAAATGCTGAGGCCTGCTTGTGCATCTGGGGCACCCAGAGCCCGAAGCTCTGGGCAGGCTGATGAGAGGGCAGTGGGAATTCTGGAGCCTCGAGGGCCGCCTCCTCGGCCACCTTCTTAGTTTCTGGGTATCCAGGTGGGAACCAGCAGGGAGCTGTGGCTCGCAACATCTTGCTGCCTTCGGGAGCACCGGCCTGGCTCTGCTCCTCTCCCAACTGGCGGCTTCAATGAGTGCTGCGGCCGCCACGCGTCGCCTTTATATACGCACAGGGCAGACTGGGTGGGACTTCTCCTTGATAGGTTGGTGCTTCAGTCCAATCACCCTGAGCCTCATCTTCCACCAGACTCCAGCTTGGGAATGCCTCAGGGGGTGCGCTAATGGAATCAACTGGAGCTCCCGGTTGCTAAACTTGGAGCTAGGTTGCTTTTCCTGAGTTAAGTAACTGTCCCTGCAGGGCAGTCCTATAATGGCTACTGGAATTGGGCTACCTAGGATTAAATTAAGGTTCAGGGAGGTTGGTCAACTTGCTTGGGCCCACACAGCACCCAATGGAGCCAGGACTGGGCCAGCAGTCTGCTGCATGCTGGAGGGCAGGATCTCTCTGGGGTTGCCTTTCCTTGCTCTGTGCACTCCTCCGCTGCGGACAAATTGAGGACAGGAAGTGGACCGCACCCACTTCTCTCCCAGGAGTTGGGCAATGTTCAACACAGGGGGTCTTCCAAAGGTTCATAGAAAATGCACATGGTGAAGAAACTATGCATGGATTTCCACTGGTTTGCACTAAAATAAACTTGTCCTAACTTCTTATAAACTTTCTGAACTAGATCTAGTTTGAGGCACTAAGAAGGATGAGACATCCACTGAAAAGGACTCCCGTCAGAGCAATATGAATTCCACGAAAATTGCAGCAAGAGGAAACATCAAATTTATGGTGAAGCTTGGGTGGAAGAATGAAGAAATCATTGATGTATTAAGAAAAGCTTATAAGGACACTACCCCAAGGAAATGAACTCTTTACGAATGTATAGCTTGTTTCAAGAAGAGGTGAGAAGATGTGGAAGATGAATCCTGCAGTGGCTGTGAAAACCACTGTGCCCAGATCAGCTGCAGTTACGACGAGAGCTATCAGTGGAAATTTTAAACAGGAGGGATCACGATCCTGACGCATCCCTCTGACAAATTGTAAGCGGCAGTTGGAACATGGCTTCACCAATATGATCTCCAAGGCAAAGCATCATGAAAGCGATGGCTACCAAGAGGTGGCAGCGGTCCAGTCAAAGGAAAAGGAGGCCAGTCAGGAGCCCACATCATGGCATCAGTGTTTTGGGACACTCAAGGCATTTTGCTTGTTGACTTTCTGAAAGGCCAAACATCTGCTTATTAGGAGAGTGTTCTGAGAAGCTTAGATAAAGCTTTGGTAGAAACATGCTGGGAAAGTCTCACTAGATCCTTGTTCACCACATCAATGCTCTGCTCATTCCTCTCATCAAACAAGGGCAATTTTGTCAGTTTCAATGGGCAGTCCTTAGGAATTCACCTTACGGGCTGCTTTCATTCCTTCTAAATTCTTTTTGTTTCCTAATGATAAAAAGTCTCCTTGCCTTGCTTGGAAAGATGAGAGAAAGTCTCCTTGACTTGTTTGGACAGATGAGAGATGAGATCCTCCTCTTCTCTCCCAGGACAGAATGGTGAGACTTGAGTTTCCTTTCTCCTCACTCTTCTCCTCCTTGAGGGAGCTGCTGTGCCGGACAGACCTGCCCCCGTGTCTAGACACTGGTAGACTCGTTTAAGTTCCTCACAGGCAATCCTCCATGGGGTCAAAGTGGAAGGACTTATTTCTTCAGGGCTCGGTAGTCCACATCCTGGCGCGCACCTTCACCAGCCCAGGGCGGGGTAGAGGAGGGTGAAAGGGCGTGGCTCAGAGCCCGCTTCTTCCGCTCGGGCGTATCCTGGGAGGAACCCTTGTCCGGTGAGCATGTCTTCGTCTCTACCAAATTCCCTAGTGGGACATTTCTGGCAGCCCTACTTGTTCAGCAGCTTACGGGGGTCAGGTGGACCTCTGCTAGTCACCAGCCTGAAGCCCTTTCTCCATTTCAGCTATTTTGGCAGTTGCCTAGGTGACTTTTGAACCTCATTATCCAGAACAGCAAACGGACGAGGGGTGAGAAGAGTGGCCGTCTGGGTTTGCAGCATAGTGCTGCCTTCTAGGAGTTGTGCAGTCTTCGATTGTGTGAAACTTCACCTGGCTGATTTGTGGCAATGCCTCCACAAATTCGCTAAATTCAGTAGCTTTTGCCTTCCAAGATTCATTTACACAATGTTGAATGCTTTAAATGAATGAGCATGAAGAGTGCTGGGCTGGAAAGTGATGAGATGGGTGGTAGGGACTCCTCGGAGTAGAGGAGTAGAGTTTTACTATTATGACTAGGAGGCAAATAAAAAGAAGCTGAACGTGATCCATAATAAAAGAAGCACACACTCACAGAGCTCCATACCAACTACATTAAAATGGAAATCATGATATTTGGAAATACAACTTAATTGGAAATCATTAAGTAATCTCATCAACCTTTTTACAGTGGGTGGCAGGGCTATGGAGGGAAAACAGCAATGGTTCTGGCACCTACTTAACTTGATTCCATTAAATTCACCCAACAGGCCTCCAGAGAACATATTACTGCTTTGATATTACAAAGGGAAAAACAGCTATGGCGTCTCTGAAAAGCACAACGTGCTAGGACTGGAATGACTTTAAAACCACACATAAATTTCTGAGAGATTTTTGCCATAAGGTACCATCCACCTTACTGTAAACCACATCCTAAAATTGTCTGCAGTGCAAATGGATTATGTGCATCCAACAGGAAACAGCATAGGTTGAGAAGCTGTTACTTAATAGCTTCATTGTCACCACGAGTGTAAAGTGTGGGGTCTCATCACTTTTGCACCCACGTTTTGTCTGTTGGTTTCTCCACACTGTCAGGAGCATTTGACCAACTCACTGTGGCTCAGGGTCCCTTACGCAGCCTGTTGGGGAAACCAGTGGGTATTGAAGACCTGCCTCTGGTGTGCCAGGAGGTTGTGCCTGCCGGCCACTCTGACTTGCGATCTTCCGCCTCAGTGTATGGCTTCCTACACCTGGGTAATTAACATTGCCAGCATGATAAGGAGGTCCTTTCATCACTATTGCCACTAGTCCTTCCGACTCCTGTGCCCTGTTTCTCCTTTATTGGAACCCAAGAACGAGTAAACATAGCATTTTCAAACATCCCGCCCCCTTCCCTGGTAACACCAATATTCCACCATCCTAATTCCCTCACAAGCATTCAGTCCCTCCACCCTGAGGTGGTGAAATCCCTGCAGGCATTTATAAGTATACCTGGACAGAAGAAATACAAGATACCGTTCTATTAACTCAATATAGTGTTGCTAAGTTCGTACTTTTGCTTGGTTTATTTTATTTTATAAATAGGTATCACTCGCATGGTTCCAAATGCGGTAGGCACAGAGAGTATATATGATGGAATTACATCCTCCTTCCCTGCACTCAGCAACCGAGATCTTCCCGCTACGGGCACTCAAAGGTTTCATTGTCTGAAATATCAGCCTAAACGTAGTTCATGTTTAGGAAGCAACAACCGTAAATAGTCCCACATCCAAACGGAGTGGATTTAGGTTTCACTTTTTCAAGGAAAAACCATCAAAGAATTTTTCCACATACTTATAAACCATCCCACGTATAGAATCCATTTTTACTGACACAAATTTAGTACCAATAAACGACTCTTCTTCTCAATTTGTTTTATTTAACAATAAGTCTTGAACGTCATTCCCAGTTAACATTTTGAAGAGTTTCCTCTCTTTCGTTCTGTTTTAGCTGCAAAGTATTCTTCCGTAAGGATGAACGTACTATAATTTATTAGCCAGCCACTTAGTGATGTACAATTAAGCAGTTTTAAATCTTTGACTCTTGAAAATATTGTTTCTCACACATAAATATTTCTATAAAATAAATTAGTTGAATTAGAATTGTTGGAGTTCAAGACCAGCCTGGCCAACATGGTGAAACCCCATCTCTACTAGAAACACAAAATTAGCCGGACATGCCGGTACATGCCTCTAATCTCAGGTGAGGCAGGAGAATCACTTCAACCTGGGAGGCAGAGGTTGTAGTGACTCGAAATCACGCCACTGCACTCCAGCCTGGGCGACGCGAGCGAAACTCTGTCTCAAAAAACCAAAAAAAATTAAACATAAAAAGAAAAGCGGTACATATACCCAATAGAACACAATTCAGCCTTAAAAAAGAAAGAAATCATCTCATTGGCAACACGAATGAGCCTAGAGGATGGTACACTGAGTGAAAGAAAGCAAAGGCCAGGCACGGTGGCTCATGCCTGTAATCCCAGTACTTTGGGAGGCCAAGGCAGGTGGAAGCGTTGAGCCCAGGAGTTGGAGATGAACCTGGGCAACATGGTGAAACCCCATCTCTAAAAGAAACACAAAAATTAGCCAAGTGTGGCGTTGGACGCCTGTAGTCCTAGCTATTCAGGAGGCTGAAGCGGGAGGAACTCTCGACCCCGGGAGGTGGAGGCCGTGGTGAGTGAGCCGTGTTTGTGTCACTGTACTCCAGCCTGGGTGACAGACTGAGACCCTGTCTCAAAAAATAAATAATTACATAATAAAGATTTAAAAAGCAAGCACAAAAAGACAAATACTGCATGATCTCACTTATATGTGCAATCTCAAACAATGCAACTCATAGCTGTAGAGAGCAGAACGGTGGTTACCCGAGGCAGGGGTCAGGGAGGGACTGGAGAGATGATAGTCTCATGATACAAAATTTCAGAGAGGAATGGTTCTAGAGATCTATTGAACAGCCTGGCATCTACAGTGTATAAGTATGTATTGTATACTTGAAAATTGCTATAAGAGTAGATTTTAGACATGTCCTCATCACATTAAAATCAGTATGTGAGGAAACGAGTGTGTTAATTAGCTTGATTTTGTCATTCCACAATGTATACACGTATGAAACATCATGTTGTATGCCATAAATATATATAATTTTTATTTGTCAAGTTAAAATTAAAATTCATATAAATTATAAAAATAAAATGAAATAACATACACTACAAAAGACGTTTATTTATTAAATCCCCACAGAAGGGGTCTAAGTGATAAAGGAAAATAAAATTCCGGGAACGGTAAAATCAATCAGAAATGCCCTACTTCAGTGCTTTCCGAAATTTGTCTGACAGAGTGGAAATCCAGTTTTTCACTAAGTCACTGTTCTGGAACAGTTTGTGTGTGTGTATGTATGTGTGTGAGGGCTCACATACACAAATTGAACTAATGGAAGTGTAAGCATTCAAATTATCAGTTTAATTTAGTTCTATACATATACACACACACACACTCACACACCGAAAACATTGATAAAATCAGCCATTCCAGCAAAACTAGCTACTTAGTGTCTATCTCTCCTTGAAGATTCAAACTAGAAATGAGGATTTAGAGAGGCATGATGGTTCGTTCTCTCTTGGAGCCCAGTTCGAAGTTGACTGACTGATTCAGTCATTGTAATTGGTTGGTCTTGGGGAAGAATCCACTTTGACTCTTGGGAAGTCAGCTAGGTCAGCGGAAAGAGCAGGGGCTCTGGAGCCAGACTGCCTGCACCCGACTTCTAGCTATGATACCTTGGATAAACTACTTATCACCTGGGCTTCAGGTTCCTCATCTGTAAAATGGGGATAAGAATGCTATCTCTCTCACAACTATTAGGAGGACTGACTGGGTTAATACGTGCAAAGTACCAAGTACATAAGAAACCAACAGCCAGTGCTCATTACAATCATTATTATTTTGGGCAAGTTAAGCCGCACGGTTTCTTTAGGTATAAAATTAGGCTTTATTTACCTACCTGTTGGGTTGTTCCAAGGATTAATCACATAGTGTTCATGAATTCCCTTTATAAACTATTATAGAAAAGAAATATAGTTAACATTAATTGAACACCTACTATGTGCGATCGTTTTAAGGCTTGCCATGTGCTGCTTCATTCAGTCCGCACCATGACATTAGGATCACACTTTCGTTTTCCATTTTTTTTAAAATTATACTTTAATTACTAGGGTACATGTGCACAACGTGCAGGTTTATTACGTATGTAAGCACGTGCCATGTTGGTGTGCTGCACCCATTCACTAGTCATTTACATTAGGTATATCTCTTAATGTTATCCCTCCCCCTCCCCCCGCCCATGACAGGCCCCGGTGTGTGATGTTCCCCTTTCTGCGTCCAAGTGTTCTCCTAGTTCAATTCCCACCTATGAGTGGGATCACGCGGTGTTTGGTTTTTTTGTCCTTGCGATAGTTTGCTAAGAATGATGGTTTCCAGCTTCATCCGTGTCCCTCCGAAGGGCATGAACACATGCTTTTTTATGGCTGCATAGTATTCCACGGTGTATTTGTGCCACGTTTCCTTAATCCAGTCTATCATTGATGGACATCTGGGCTGGTTCCAAGTCTTTGCTACTGTGAACGGTGCCGCAATAAACATACGTCTGCGTGTGTCCTTTTAGCAGCATGATTTATAGTCCTATGGGTGTATACCCAGTAATGGGACGGCTGGGTCAAATGGTATTTCTAATTCTAGATCCTTGAGGATTCGCCACACTATCTTCCACAACCGCTGAACTGGTTTACAGTCCCACCAGCAGTGTAAAAGTGTTCCTATTTCTCCACTACCTCTCCAGCACCTGTTGTTTCCTGACTTTTTTATTGATCGCTATTGTAACTGGTGTGAGACGATATCACTTTGCGGATTTGATTTGCATTTCTCTGATGACCAGTGTTGATGAGCATTTTTTCATGTGTCTGTTGGCTGCATAAATGTCTTCTTTTTAGAAGTGTCTCTTCATATCCTTCCCGCACTTGTTGATGGGGTTGTTTGGTTTTTCTTGTAACTCTGTTTGAGTTCTTAGTAGATTCTGGATATTAGCCCTTTGTCAGATGAGTAGATTGCAAAAATGTTCTCCCTTTCTGTAGCATGCCTGTTCACTCTGATGGGAGTTTCTTTAGCTGTGCAGAAACTCTTTAGTGTAATTAGATGCCGTTTGTCAATATTGGCTTTTGTTGCCTTTGCTTTTGGCGTTTTAGACATGAGGTCCTTGCCCATGCCTATGTCCTGAATGGTATTGCCTAGGTTTTCTCCTAGGGTTTGTATGGCTTAAGATGTAACATTTAAGTCTTTCATCCGTCTTGAATAAACTTTTGTATAAGGTGTAAGGAAGGGATCCAATTTCACCTTCGGACATATGGCTAGCCAGTTTTCCCAGCACCATTTATTAAATAGGGAATCCTTTCCCCATTTCTTGTTTTTGTCAGGTTTGTCAAAGATCCGATGGTTGTAGATGTGTCGTATTATTTCTGAGGGCTCTATTCTGTTCCATTGGTCTACAGTAACCAAAAAGGCAACCAACAGCATGCTGTTTGGTTACTGTAGGCTTGTAGTGTAGTTTGAAGTCGGGTAGCTTGATGCCTCCACCTTTGTTCTTTTGGCTTAGGATTATCTTGGCAGTGGGGGCCCTTTTGTGGTTCCATATAAACTTTCAAGTAGTTTTTTCCAATTCTGTGAAGAAAGTCCTTGGTAGCTTGATGGGGATGGCATTGGATCTATAATATACCTTGGGCAGTATGGCCATTTTCACGATACTGATTCTTCCTAACCGTGAGCATGGAATATTCTTCCATTGGTTTGTGTCCTCTTTTATTTCGTGGAGCAGTGGTTTGTAGTTCTCCTTGAAGAGGTCCTTCGCACATCGCATCCCTTGTTAGTTGGATTCCTCAGTATTTTATTCTCTTTGAAGCAATTGTGAATGGGAGCTCAGTCATGATTTGGCTCTCTGTTTGCCTGTTATTGGTGTATAAGAATGCTTGTGATTTTTGCACATCGATTTTGTATCCTGAGACTTTGCTGAAGTTGCTTATCAGCTTAAGGAGATTTTGGGCTGAGACGATGGGGTTTTCTAAATATTCAATCATGTCATCTACAAACAGGGACAATTTGACTTCCTCTTTTCCTAATTGATTACTCTTTATTTCTTTCTCCTGCCTGATTGCCCTGGCCAGAAGTTCCAACACTATGTTGAATAGGAGTGGTGAGAGAGGGCACCCCTGTCTTGTGGCAGTTTGCAAAGGGAATGCTTCCACTTTTTGCCCATTCAGTATGATATTGGCTGTGGGTTTGCCCTAAATAGCCCTTATTATTTTGAGGTATGTCCCATCAGTACCTAATTTATTGAGAGTTTTTGGCATGAAAGGCTGTTGAATTTTGTCAAAGGCCTTTTCTGCATCTGTTGAGATAATCACGCGGTTTCTGTCTTTGGTTCCGATTATATGCTGGATTATGTTTATTGATTTGCATATGTTGGACCAGCCTTGCATGTCAGGGATGAAGCCCACTTGATCATAATGGATAAGCTCTTTGATGTGCTGCTGGATTCGGTTTGCCAGCATTTTATGGAGGATTTTTCCATCGGTGTTCCTCAGGGATATGGGCCGAAAATTCTCTTTGTTGGTTGTGTCTCTCTCAGCCTTTGGGATCAGGATGATGCTGGCCTCATAAAATGAGATAGGGAGGATTCCCTCTTTTTCTGTTGATTGGAATAGTTTCCGAAGGAATGGTACCAGCTCCTCCTTGTACTTCTGGTAGAATTCGGCTGTGAATCCGTCTGGTCCTGGAGTTTTATTGCTTGATAGGCTATTAATTAATGCCTCAATTTCAGAGCCTGTTATTGGTCTATTCAGGCATTCAACTTCTTCCTGGTTTACTCTGGGGAGGTTGCATGTGTCCAGGAATTTATTCATTTCTTCTAGATTTCCGAGTTTGTTTGCCTAGAGGTGTTGACAGTATTCTCTCATGGTAGTTTGTACTTCTGTGGGATCAGTGGTGATATCCCCTTTATCATTTTTTATTGCATCTGCTTGATTCTTCTTTCTTTCATTCTTTAATAGTCTTGCTAGTGGTGTATCAATTTTGTTGATGGTTTCAAAAAACCCGCTCCTGGATTCATTGATTTTTTGAAGGGTTTTTTGGGTCTCTATCTCCTTCAGTTCTGCTCGGATCTTAGTTATTTCTTGCCTTCTGCTAGCTTTTGAATGTGTTTGCTCTTGCTTCTCTCATCCTTTTAATGGTGATGTTAGGGTATGCATTTTTGATCTTTCCTGCTTTCCCTTGTGGGCATTTAGTGCTATAAATTTCCCTCTACACACTGCTTTAAATGTGTCCCAGAGATTCTGGTATGTTGTGTCTTTGTTCTCATTGCTTTCAGAGAATATCTTTATTTCTGCCTTCATTTCGTTATGTACCCAGTACTCATTCAGGAGCAGCTTGTCCGGTTTCCATGCGGTTGAGCGGTTTTGAGTGAGTTTCTCAATCCTGAGGTCTAGTGTGATTGCAATGTGGTCTGAGAGACCGTTTGTAATAATTTCTGTTATTTTACTTTTACTGAGGAGTGCTTTACTTCCAACTATGTGGTCAATGTGGAAATAAGTGTGATGTGGTGCTGAGAAGAATGTATATTCTGTTGATTTGGGGTGGAGCGTTCTGTACATGTCTCCTAGGTCCGCTTGGTGCAGAGCTGAGTTCAATTCCCGGATATCCTTTTTTAACTTTCTGTCTCGTTGGTGTGTCTAATGTTGACAGTGGGGTGTTAAGTTTGCCATTATTATTATTATTATTATGTGGGAGTCTAAGTCTCTTTTGATCACACTTTAAAGACCAAAAGGTAGAAGCGCAAAGACGTTATCTGTCCAATATTACAAACCTAGTAAGTGGTGGAATTTGGCCTTGAACCCAGATCTGTAACTCCAGAGCCGAAGTGCTTCACCCACCTCCCTGTGGTGCCTCTACAGAAAAAGAGGTAAGCAGGCATTCCGAAAGCTGGTGGGCCGGGGGGCTGGCCTTGTACTCAGAAGCCATGGAAGTCCCACGTGGGGTGGCTAGTGGTGTAAGGACAGAGGTCTCGGATGGGCAGAGGGATGTGGACAGGCGCGAGGGCGCGCGGCAGGGACTCGGGGGACTGGGAGTGGCGGCTCGGGGCTGCGGGAGGCGATTGGTGGAAGGACAGAGGTCTGGGAGGGGCAGAGGGATGTGGACAGGCCCGAGGGGCCGCGGCAGGGATTCCGGGGGACCGGGAGTGGGGGGTTGGGGTTACTCTTGGCTTTTTGCCCTCTCCTGCCGCCGGCTGCTCCAGTTTCTTTCGCTTTGCGGCGAGGTGGGCAGGGTGAGCTCTCGGGACTGATGGCGGTTTTGGAAGAGGCCTGGGGCTAAGGACAGGCCAGGGCGGCGGGAGAGGCGGACCGGTGGCGTGGCTGGATCTGGGCGCGCTGTCGGACCTTCCACATCACCAGCTGCAGGCAGGCGTTTGCGTCCTCGCTGGAGTTGTGGCCGTCCTGGCTGTCCTGGATGATCTGTGCCAGGTAGTCGGCCGCGAGATTCCTGAGGGAGCGCTTGTAGGGGAAACCCAGGTAGTGCGGGAAGAGCACGGCCGTGTCCACCACGGTGTTGTGGATGAGCTTCAGGGCCAGCAGGTCGCTCTCCAGGCTGTGCCCGATGAGGATGGTTTGGGCGCTGAAAAAGCTCAGCAGGATGGCTTGGACTTGGGGCAACGTGATGCTCGTCTTGGCGACGTCGGCCTCGGTGACTCCGGAAAACCTGGTGTTGTAGTCCACGATCTCGTTGTCGGGCTTGACGAAGGTGTCGTACACCACTCGCATGTCGGCGTCCACCACGGTGACGCGGGTCAGCTCCAGGCCATGCGTGGTGTAGCACATCTCACAGTCCAAGGCGTAGATTCCTGGATAAGCGTCTCTGGACAACTCTTTCTTGAAGGTCTCCACGAAGCCATCGAGGCTCTCCTTGCGGCCGTCCCGCACGTGCTGCTTTGCCACCTGGCAGCCCACAGAGCCAGGAGCAGCTGCACAGCAGGTGTACTGGCTAACCCGGCCTCCAGCCACCTGGCTCGAGCGGACCCGCCCCCAGTGATAATAACACAACTGGTCGCGTACACAGCGGCCCGAGGAGGACACCAGGTACTCGGTGCCACAACGGCAGCAGACCCTGCAGGAGGAGTCGCCGGGCCCCTTCCCCTGGCCAGTGAAGAGGACGGCGCCTCCGGGCCGCTCGGGGTGCGGGAAGGGGTAGCCGTTCTCCTTGAGCTGGTCCTGGGTGAGCAGGAACTCCTGGAGGCGGCTGTACAGGGCGGCCCTGCTGAGGCCGGGCATGGAGCTGGGGGTCAGGCCCTTCAGTCTCTTGAGGGTGTTCAGGACCACGTTCAGGTACCTGTTCTTGTTGGGGCTGCAGTCGTAGGCCACCTTCTCCTCGTTCAGCGCCTTCTCCTCGGCCTCCTGCTTGGAGGCGCAGAACTTGAGACACTCTTCGGTGAACAGTTGGAGATAGCCTCGGCGGAGGACGGTGGGGACTTGGCACCCAGAGCTTCGGAGGATAATGGGTTTCTTCAAACTCAAACTCGGTAAGGATGGACGACGGACGATTCGCTTAGAGCTGGTGGTGGCGGTGGTCTTGCATGCCATCCCTGACCTGTTGCGAGTCTTCCCTGGCTGTCTGCCGACCTTGGAGCCACGGGAGCGTTGGCTGCTGCTGGCCACCCGGGTTCTCTTGGCATCTGTGTAACCTGTGACCAAGCAAGGGCTGGAAGAGTGGGCGATCGTCTTCCTCTTCCTGGGGGCTGAGATGCGGACTCCCGAGGGCCTCTCTGTCAGCCTTGGGGCGGCTGGCAAGCGGCAGGCCGATCCCCTCTGCGCAGGGAAGTAGCACGACTCCGTCACCATCTTGGGCCACGCTGGGGGCACCGCCGGACCCCTGTTCTGGGGCTCCGCCTGGATGTCCACAAATGCTGAGGCCTGCTTGTGCATCTGGGGCACCCAGAGCCCGAAGCTCTGGGCAGGCTGATGAGAGGGCAGTGGGAATTCTGGAGCCTCGAGGGCCGCCTCCTCGGCCACCTTCTTAGCTTCTGGGTATCCAGGTGGGAACCAGCAGGGAGCTGTGGCTCGCAACATCTTGCTGCCTTCGGGAGCACCGGCCGGGCTCTGCTCCGCTCCCAAATGGCGGCTTGCCTCCGGGGCCGCCTCCTTGGCCACCTTCTTAGCTTCTGGGTATCCAGGGCGGAACCAGCAGGGAGCTGTGGCTCGCAACATCTTGCTGCCTTCGGGAGCACCGGCCTGGCTCTGCTCCCCTCCCAAATGGCGGCTTGCCTCCAGGGCCGCCTCCTCGGCCACCTTCTTAGCTTCTGGGTATCCAGGGGGGAACCAGCAGGGAGCTGTGGCTCGCAACATCTTGCTGCCTTCGGGAGCACCGGCCTGGCTCTGCTCCTCTCCCAACTGGCGGCTTCAATGAGTGCTGCGGCCGCCACTTGTCGCCTTTATATAGGCACAGGGCAGACTGGGTGGGACTTCTCCTTGATAGGTTGGTGCTTCAGTCCAATCACACTGAGCCTCATCTTCCACCAGACTCCAGCTTGGGAATGCCTCAGGGGGTGCGCTAATGGAATCAACTGGAACTCCCGGTTGCTAAACTTGGAGCTAGGTTGCTTTTCCTGAGTTAAGTAACTGTCCCGGCAGGGCAGTCCTATAATGGCTACTGGAATTGGGCTACCTAGGATTAAATTAAGGTTCAGGGAGGTTGGTCAACTTGCTTGGGCCCACACAGCACCCCTTGGAGCCAGGACTGGGCCAGCAGTCTGCTGCATGCTGGAGGGCGGGATCCCTCTGGGGCTGCCTTTCCCTGCTCTGTGCACTCCGCCGCTGCGGGCAAATTGAGGACAGGAAGCGGACCGCACCCACTTCTCTCCCAGGACTTGGGCAATGTTCAACACAGGTGGTCTTCCAAAGGTTCATAGAAAATGCACATGGTGAAGAAACTATGCATGGATTTCCACTGGTTTGCACTAAAATAAACTTGTCCTAACTTCTGATAACCTTTCTGAACTAGATCTAGTTTGAGGCACTAAGAAGGATGAGACATCCACTGAAAAGGACTCCCGTCAGAGCAACATGAATTCCACGAAAATTGCAGCAAGAGGAAACATCAAATTTATGGTGAAGCTTGGGTGGAAGATTGAAGACATCATTGACGTTTTAAGAAAAGCTTGTAAGGACACTACCCCAAAGAAATGAACTCTTTACGAATGTATAGCTTGTTTCAAGAAGAGGTGAGAAGATGTGGAAGATGAATCCTGCAGTGGCTGTGAAAACCACTGTGCCCAGATCAGCTGCATTTACGACGAGAGCTATCAGTGGAAATTTTAAACAGGAGGGATCACGATCCTGACGCATCCCTCTGACAAATTGTAAGCGGCAGTTGGAACATGGCTTCACCAATATGATCTCCAAGGCAAAGCATCATGAAAGCGATGGCTACCAAGAGGTGGCAGCGGTCCAGTCAAAGGAAAAGGAGGCCAGTCAGGAGCCCACATCATGGCATCAGTGTTTTGGGACACTCAAGGCATTTTGCTTGTTGACTTTCTGAAAGGCCAAACATCTGCTTATTAGGAGAGTGTTCTGAGAAGCTTAGATAAAGCTTTGGTAGAAACATGCTGGGAAAGTCTCACTAGATCCTTGTTCACCACATCAATGCTCTGCTCATTCCTCTCATCAAACAAGGGCAATTTTGTCAGTTTCAATGGGCAGTCCTTAGGAATTCACCTTACGGGCTGCTTTCATTCCTTCTAAATTCTTTTTGTTTCCTAATGATAAAAAGTCTCCTTGCCTTGCTTGGAAAGATGAGAGAAAGTCTCCTTGCCTTGTTTGGACAGATGAGAGATGAGATCCTCCTCTTCTCTCCCAGGACAGAATGGTGAGACTTGAGTTTCCTTTCTCCTCACTCTTCTCCTCCTTGAGGGAGCTGCTGTGCCGGACAGACCTGCCCCCGTGTCTAGACACTGGTAGACTCGTTTAAGTTCCTCACAGGCAATCCTCCATGGGGTCAAAGTGGAAGGACTTATTTCTTCAGGGCTCAGTAGTCCACATCCTGGCGCGCACCTTCACCAGCCCAGGGCGGGGTAGAGGAGGGTGAAAGGGCGTGGCTCAGAGCCCGCTTCTTCCGCTCGGGCGTATCCTGGGAGGAACCCTTGTCCGGTGAGCATGTCTTCGTCTCTACCAAATTCCCTAGTGGGACATTTCTGGCAGCCCTACTTGTTCAGCAGCTTACGGGGGTCAGGTGGACCTCTGCTAGTCACCAGCCTGAAGCCCTTTCTCCATTTCAGCTATTTTGGCAGTTGCCTAGGTGACTTTTGAACCTCATTATCCAGAACAGCAAACGGACGAGGGGTGAGAAGAGTGGCCGTCTGGGTTTGCAGCATAGTGCTGCCTTCTAGGAGTTGTGCAGTCTTCGATTGTGTGAAACTTCACCTGGCTGATTTGTGGCAATGCCTCCACAAATTCGCTAAATTCAGTAGCTTTGGCCTTCCAAGATTCATTTACACAATGTTGAATGCTTTAAATGAATGAGCATGAAGAGTGCTGGGCTGGAAAGTGATGAGATGGGTGGTAGGGACTCCTCGGAGTAGAGGAGTAGAGTTTTACTATTATGACTAGGAGGCAAATAAAAAGAAGCTGAACGTGATCCATAATAAAAGAAGCACACACTCACAGAGCTCCATACCAACTACATTAAAATGGAAATCATGATATTTGGAAATACAACTTAATTGGAAATCATTAAGTAATCTCATCAACCTTTTTACAGTGGGTGGCAGGGCTATGGAGGGAAAACAGCAATGGTTCTGGCACCTACTTAACTTGATTCCATTAAATTCACCCAACAGGCCTCCAGAGAACATATTACTGCTTTGATATTACAAAGGGAAAAACAGCTATGGCGTCTCTGAAAAGCACAACGTGCTAGGACTGGAATGACTTTAAAACCACACATAAATTTCTGAGAGATTTTTGCCATAAGGTACCATCCACCTTACTGTAAACCACATCCTAAAATTGTCTGCAGTGCAAATGGATTATGTGCATCCAACAGGAAACAGCATAGGTTGAGAAGCTGTTACTTAATAGCTTCATTGTCACCACGAGTGTAAAGTGTGGGGTCTCATCACTTTTGCACCCACGTTTTGTCTGTTGGTTTCTCCACACTGTCAGGAGCATTTGACCAACTCACTGTGGCTCAGGGTCCCTTACGCAGCCTGTTGGGGAAACCAGTGGGTATTGAAGACCTGCCTCTGGTGTGCCAGGAGGTTGTGCCTGCCGGCCACTCTGACTTGCGATCTTCCGCCTCAGTGTATGGCTTCCTACACCTGGGTAATTAACATTGCCAGCATGATAAGGAGGTCCTTTCATCACTATTGCCACTAGTCCTTCCGACTCCTGTGCCCTGTTTCTCCTTTATTGGAACCCAAGAACGAGTAAACATAGCATTTTCAAACATCCCGCCCCCTTCCCTGGTAACACCAATATTCCACCATCCTAATTCCCTCACAAGCATTCAGTCTCTCCACCCTGAGGTGGTGAAATCCCTGCAGGCATTTATAAGTATACCTGGACAGAAGAAATACAAGATACCGTTCTATTAACTCAATATAGTGTTGCTAAGTTCGTACTTGTGCTTGGTTTATTTTATTTTATAAATAGGTATCACTCGCATGGTTCCAAATGCGGTAGGCACAGAGAGAGTATATGATGGAATTACATCCTCCTTCCCTGCACTCAGCAACCGAGATCTTCCCGCTACGGGCACTCAAAGGTTTCATTGTCTGAAATATCAGCCTAAACGTAGTTTATGTTTAGGAAGCAACAACCGCAAATCGTCCCACATCCAAACGGAGTGGATTTAGGTTTCACTTTTTCAAGGAAAAACCATCAAAGAATTTTTCCACATACTAAAAAACCATCCCACGTTTTTTGTGTCTCTATCTCCTTCAGTCCTGCTCAGATCTTAGTTATTTCTTGCCTTCTGCTAGCTTTTGAATGTGTTTGCCCTTGCTTCTCTCATTCTTTTAATGGTGATGTTAGGGTATGCATTTTTGATCTTTCCTGCTTTCCCTTGTGGGCATTTAGTGCTATAAATTTCCCTCTACACACTGCTTTAAATGTGTCCCAGAGATTCTGGTATGTTGTGTCTTTGTTCTCATTGCTTTCAGAGAATATCTTTATTTCTGCCTTCATTTCGTTATGTACCCTGTACTCATTCAGGAGCAGCTTGTACGGTTTCCATGCAGTTGAGCGGTTTTGAGTGAGTTTCTCAATCCTGAGGTCTAGTTTGATTGCAATGTGGTCTGAGAGACCGTTTGTAATAATTTCTGTTATTTTACTTTTACTGAGGAGTGCTTTACTTCCAACTATGTGGTCAATGTGGAAATAAGTGTGATGTGGTGCTGAGAAGAATGTATATTCTGTTGATTTGGGGTGGAGCGTTCTGTACATGTCTCCTAGGTCCGCTTGGTGCAGAGCTGAGTTCAATTCCCGGATATCCTTTTTTAACTTTCTGTCTCGTTGGTGTGTCTAATGTTGACAGTGGGGTGTTAAGTTTGCCATTATTATTATTATTACTATGTGGGAGTCTAAGTCTCTTTTGATCACACTTTAAAGACCAAAAGGTAGAAGCGCAAAGACGTTATCTGTCCAATATTACAAACCTAGTAAGTGGTGGAATTTGGCCTTGAACCCAGATCTGTAACTCCAGAGCCGAAGTGCTTCACCCACCTCCCTGTGGTGCCTCTACAGAAAAAGAGGTAAGCAGGCATTCCGAAAGCTGGTGGGCCGGGGGGCTGGCCTTGTACTCAGAAGCCATGGAAGTCCCACGTGGGGTGGCTAGTGGTGTAAAGACAGAGGTCTCGGATGGGCAGAGGGATGTGAACAGGCGCGAGGGCGCGCGGCAGGGACTCGGGGGACTGGGAGTGGCGGCTCGGGGCTGCGGGAGGCGATTGGTGGAAGGACAGAGGTCTGGGAGGGGCAGAGGGATGTGGACAGGCCCGAGGGGCCGCGGCAGGGATTCCGGGGGACCGGGAGTGGGGGGTTGGGGTTACTCTTGGCTTTTTGCCCTCTCCTGCCGCCGGCTGCTCCAGTTTCTTTCGCTTTGCGGCGAGGTGGGCAGGGTGAGCTCTCGGGACTGATGGCGGTTTTGGAAGAGGCCTGGGGCTAAGGACAGGCCAGGGCGGCGGGAGAGGCGGACCGGTGGCGTGGCTGGATCTGGGCGCGCTGTCGGACCTTCCACATCACCAGCTGCAGGCAGGCGCTTGCGTCCTCGCTGGAGTTGTGGCCGTCCTGGCTGTCCTGGATGATCTGTGCCAGGTAGTCGGCCGCGAGATTCCTGAGGGAGCGCTTGTAGGGGAAACCCAGGTAGTGCGGGAAGAGCACGGCCGTGTCCACCACGGTGCTGTGGATGAGCTTCAGGGCCAGCAGGTCGCTCTCCAGGCTGTGCCCGATGAGGATGGTTTGGGCGCTGAAAAAGCTCAGCAGGATGGCTTGGACTTGGGGCAACGTGATGCTCGTCTTGGCGACGTCGGCCTCGGTGACTCCGGAAAACCTGGTGTTGTAGTCCACGATCTCGTTGTCGGGCTTGACGAAGGTGTCGTACACCACTCGCATGTCGGCGTCCACCACGGTGACGCGGGTCAGCTCTAGGCCATGCGTGGTGTAGCACATCTCACAGTCCAAGGCGTAGATTCCTGGATAAGCGTCTCTGGACAACTCTTTCTTGAAGGTCTCCACGAAGCCATCGAGGCTCTCCTTGCGGCCGTCCCGCACGTGCTGCTTTGCCACCTGGCAGCCCACAGAGCCAGGAGCAGCTGCACAGCAGGTGTACTGGCTAACCCGGCCTCCAGCCACCTGGCTCGAGCGGACCCGCCCCCAGTGATAATAACACAACTGGTCGCGTACACAGCGGCCCGAGGAGGACACCAGGTACTCGGTGCCACAACGGCAGCAGACCCTACAGGAGGAGTCGCCGGGCCCCTTCCCCTGGCCAGTGAAGAGGACGGCGCCTCCGGGCCGCTCGGGGTGCGGGAAGGGGTAGCCGTTCTCCTTGAGCTGGTCCTGGGTGAGCAGGAACTCCTGGAGGCGGCTGTACAGGGCGGCCCTGCTGAGGCCGGGCATGGAGCTGGGGGTCAGGCCCTTCAGTCTCTTGAGGGTGTTCAGGACCACGTTCAGGTACCTGTTCTTGTTGGGGCTGCAGTCGTAGGCCACCTTCTCCTCGTTCAGCGCCTTCTCCTCGGCCTCCTGCTTGGAGGCGCAGAACTTGAGACACTCTTCGGTGAACAGTTGGAGATAGCCTCGGCGGAGGACGGTGGGGACTTGGCACCCAGAGCTTCGGAGGATAATGGGTTTCTTCAAACTCAAACTCGGTAAGGATGCACGACGGACGATTCGCTTAGAGCTGGTGGTGGCGGTGGTCTTGCATGCCATCCCTGACCTGTTGCGCGTCTTCCCTGGCTGTCTGCCGACCTTGGAGCCACGGGAGCGTTGGCTGCTGCTGGCCACCCGGGTTCTCTTGGCATCTGTGTAACCTGTGACCAAGCAAGGGCTGGAAGAGTGGGCGATCGTCTTCCTCTTCCTGGGGGCTGAGATGCGGACTCCCGAGGGCCTCTCTGTCAGCCTTGGGGCGGCTGGCAAGCGGCAGGCCGATCCCCTCTGCGCAGGGAAGTAGCACGACTCCGTCACCATCTTGGGCCACGCTGGGGGCACCGCCGGACCCCTGTTTTGGGGCTCCGCCTGGATGTCCACAAATGCTGAGGCCTGCTTGTGCATCTGGGGCACCCAGAGCCCGAAGCTCTGGGCAGGCTGATGAGAGGGCAGTGGGAATTCTGGAGCCTCGAGGGCCGCCTCCTCGGCCACCTTCTTAGCTTCTGGGTATCCAGGTGGGAACCAGCAGGGAGCTGTGGCTCGCAACATCTTGCTGCCTTCGGGAGCACCGGCCGGGCTCTGCTCCGCTCCCAAATGGCGGCTTGCCTCCGGGGCCGCCTCCTTGGCCACCTTCTTAGCTTCTGGGTATCCAGGGCGGAACCAGCAGGGAGCTGTGGCTCGCAACATCTTGCTGCCTTCGGGAGCACCGGCCTGGCTCTGCTCCCCTCCCAAATGGCGGCTTGCCTCCAGGGCCGCCTCCTCGGCCACCTTCTTAGCTTCTGGGTATCCAGGGGGGAACCAGCAGGGAGCTGTGGCTCGCAACATCTTGCTGCCTTCGGGAGCACCGACCTGGCTCTGCTCCTCTCCCAACTGGCGGCTTCAATGAGTGCTGCGGCCGCCACTTGTCGCCTTTATATAGGCACAGGGCAGACTGGGTGGGACTTCTCCTTGATAGGTTGGTGCTTCAGTCCAATCACACTGAGCCTCATCTTCCACCAGACTCCAGCTTGGGAATGCCTCAGGGGGTGCGCTAATGGAATCAACTGGAACTCCCGGTTGCTAAACTTGGAGCTAGGTTGCTTTTCCTGAGTTAAGTAACTGTCCCTGCAGGGCAGTCCTATAATGGCTACTGGAATTGGGCTACCTAGGATTAAATTAAGGTTCAGGGAGGTTGGTCAACTTGCTTGGGCCCACACAGCACCCCTTGGAGCCAGGACTGGGCCAGCAGTCTGCTGCATGCTGGAGGGCGGGATCCCTCTGGGGCTGCCTTTCCCTGCTCTGTGCACTCCGCCGCTGCGGGCAAATTGAGGAAAGGAAGCGGACCGCACCCACTTCTCTCCCAGGACTTGGGCAATGTTCAACACAGGTGGTCTTCCAAAGGTTCATAGAAAATGCACATGGTGAAGAAACTATGCATGGATTTCCACTGGTTTGCACTAAAATAAACTTGTCCTAACTTCTGATAACCTTTCTGAACTAGATCTAGTTTGAGGCACTAAGAAGGATGAGACATCCTCTGAAAAGGACTCCCATCAGAGCAACATGAATTC